>NC_000007.14:55493182-58119653 GCF_000001405.40 Homo sapiens | reverse complement strand
GAATTCAATGGACTCGAAAGGAATGGAATGGAATCGAATGGAATGCAACGGAATTGACTCAAATGGAATTGAATGGAATGGCCACGAATGGAAGGGGTGGAATGGAATGGATTGGTATTGAATGGAAAGGAATGGATTGGGCTCAAATGGAATGGAAAGGAATGGATTCAAATGGAATTGAATGAATCATCAAATGGAATCTTATGGAATCATCAAATGGACTCGTATGGATTCATCATCGAATGAAATCGAATGTAATCATAAAATGGAATCGAATGGAATCATCATTGAATGGAATAGAATACAATCATCCAATGGAATCAAATGGAATCATCATTGTATGGAATTGAATGGAATCATTTAATGGACCCGAATGGAATCTTCATCAATTGTAATTGAATGGAATCATCGAAAGGCCTCGAATGGAATCATCATCAAATGGAAACGGATGCAATCAGCGATGGTACTAGAATGGAATCATCGAATGGTCTTGAATGGAATCATTATCGAATGGAATCGAATGGAATCATGGAATGGAATTGAATGGAATCATCATCACATGGAATCAAATGGAATCAGCCTATGGAATTGAATGGAATCATTGAATGGCACCGAATGCAGTCATCCTCGAATGGAATCGAATGCAATCATTGAACGAACTCGAATGGAATCATCATTGAATGGAATCGAATGGAATCATTGAATGGACTCGAATGCAATCATTGAATGGACTTGAATGGAATCATCATTTATTGGAATAGAATGGAATCATCGATTGGACAAGAATGGAATTATCATTGAATGGAATCGAAAGGAGTCATCGGACGAACTCTAATGGAATCATCATTGTATGGAATCGAATGGAATCATCAAATGGATTCGAATGGAATCATCATTGAATGGAATCATTTGGAATCGTCGAATGATCTCAAAATGAATCAAAATCAAATGTTCCTGAAAGAATCATCATCGAATGGAATCACATGGAATCATCATCGAATGGAATCATACACAATCATCATAGAATGGAATTGAATGGAATCATCAGTTGGACTCGAAAGAATTCATCAAATGGACCAAAAGGGAAGCGTCAAATGGACTCGAACTGAATCAGCTTCGAATGGAATGGAATAGAATCATTGAAAGGAGTCGAATTGAATCATCAAATGGACTCGAACAGAATAATTATAGAATGGAATTGAAAAGAGTCATTGGATGGACTTGAATGCAATCATCATTGAATGGAATCGATTGGAATCATCGAATGCACACGAATGGAATCATCATTGAATGGAATTGAATGGCATCATTGTATGGACTCGAAAGGAGTCATCATCAAGTGGAATCCATTGGAATCATCGGATGGAATCGAATGGAATCATCGAATTGAATCGAACTTAATCACCATTTAATGGACTCAAAAGGAATCATCATTGATTAGAATCAGAAGTAATAATCGAATGGACTTGAATGGACTCATCATTGAATAGAATCAAATGGAATCATAGAATAGAATCGAATGGAATCATCATCAAATGTAATTAAATGGAATCATCAAATGGAATCGAATGGAATCATGATCGAATGGAATCGAATAGAATCAGTGAATGAAATCGAATGGAATCAACATCAAATGGAATCGAATGTAATCACAGAATGGTATCGAATGGAATCATCATCAAATGTAATATAATGGAATCATCTAATTTACATGAATGGAATCATCATTGAACGGAATAGAATGAAATCATCATCGAATGGAATCAAATGGAATCATCTATTGGACACGAATGGAATCATCATTGGATGGAATTGAATGGAATCATCTAATGGACTGCAATAGAAACATCATCGAATGGAATCAGCTATTGTACCCGAATGGAATCATCATAAAATGGAATCAAATTGGATCATCGAATGGTCTCGAATGGCATCATCATCGAATGGAATCAAATGGAATCATCAAATGGACCCGAATGGAATCATCATTGAATGGAATTGAATGGAAACAACAAATGGACTCGAATGGAATCATCATCGAATATAATTGAAACAATCATTAAATGGATTCGAATGGAAACATCGAATGGACTCAAATGGAATCATCATCGAATGAAATCAAATGGAATCATTGAATGGACTCGAATGGAATGGTCATTGAATGGAATTGAATGGAATCATGGAATGGAATCCAATGGAATCATCTTTGTATAGAATTGAATGGAATCATCAAATGGACTCAAATGGAGTCATCATCAAATGGAACTGAATGGAATCACCGAATACAATCAAATGTAATCATCATCGAATGAAATCACATTGAATTATCGAATGGACTCGAATGGAATCATCGTCGAATGGAATTGAATGGAATCATCGAATGGACTCGAATGAAATAATCATCAAATGGAATGGAATCATCAAATGGACTTGAATGGAATCATCATCGAATGAAATTGAAAGGAATCATCTAATGGAATCATCATTGAAGGGAATCGAATGGAATGATCTAACAGACTCGAATGGAATCATTGTCAAATGGAATCAAAAGGAAACATTGAATAGACACGAATTGAATCATTATGGAATGGAATCGAATGGAGTCATCATCAAATGGAATCGTTTAGAATCCTCATCAAATGAAATTGAATGGTATCATCAAATGGAATAGAATTATCTCCGAATGGAATCAAATGGAATCATTGAATGAAATAAAATGGAATCATCATTGAATGGAATCGAATGGAATCATCATCAAATGGAATCGAACAGAATCATCATCAAATGGAATGGAATGGAATCATCAAATGGACTCGAATGGAATCATCATTGAATGGAATCGAATCTAATCTTCGAATGGACTCGAATGGAATCATGGTCGAATGGAATCGAATGTAATCTTCGAATGCAATCGAATGGAATCATCATCGAATAGAATCGAATGCAATCCTCGAATGGAATAGAATTGAATCAACATCAAACGAAATCGAATAGAATCATCAAATGAAATCGAATGGAATCTTCGTCGAATGGAATTGAATGGAATCATCATCGAATGGAATCAAATTGAATCATCATCGAATGGAATCAAATTGAATCATCAAAGAATGGAATCAAATGGAATCATCATTGACAGGAATCGAATGGAATAATCAACGAATGGAATCGAATGCAATCATTGAATGGAATCCAATGTAATCATCATCGAATTGAACCCAATGGAATCATTACATGGAGTCAAATGGAATCATTGAATGGACTCAAAAGGAATCATCATTAAATGGAATAGAATGGAATCATCGAACAGAATCAAATGGAATCATCATCGAATGAAATAAAATGGAATCATCGAATGGTCTCGATTAGAATCATCATCGAATGGAATCAAAAGGAATTATTCAATGGACTTGAATGGAATCACTGAATGGACTCGAAAGGAATCATCATCAAATGGAATCATATGGAATCATCGAATGGACACGAATGGAATCACCATCGAATGGAATCGAATGATATCATCGTATCGACTTTAATGGAATTATCATCAAATGCAACTGAACGGAATAATCAAATGTACTCGAATTGAATCATCGAATGGACTCAAATGGAATCATCACCAAATGGAGTTGAATGGAATCATCGAATACAATCGAATGTAATAATCATCAAATGAAATTGCATTAAATCATGGAATGGACACGTATGGACTCATCATCGAATGGAATCAAATGGAATCATCGAATTGACTCATATGGAATAATCATCAAATGGAATGGAAAGGAATCATAAAACGAAATCAATGGAATCATCATCAAATGAAATCAAATGGAATAATTGAATGGAACAACATGGAATCATCACAGAATGGAATCAAATGGAATCATCTAATGGAAGCGAATGGAATAATCATCAAATGGAATCGAATGGAAACATTGAATGGACACAAAAGGAAGCATCACCGAATGGAATTGAATGGAATCATCATGAAATAGAATTGAATAGAATCATCATTGAATGGAATCAAATGGAATCATCGCACGGAAGAGAATGGAATCATCATCTAATGGAATCAAATAGAATCATCGAATGAATTCAAATGGAATCATCACCGAATTGAATCAAATGGAATCATCATCGATTGTAATTGAATGGAATCATCATCGAATGTAATTGAATGGAATCATCATTTAAAGGAATCGAATGGATTCATCGTCAAATGGAACCGAACAGAGTCATCATCAAATGGAATTGAATGGAGTCATAATCAAATGGAATCGAATGGAATCATCAAATGGAAACGAATGCAATCATCGACTGTGCTTGAATGGAATCATCATGGAAAGGAATAGAATGGAATCATCGAATGGGCTCGAATGGAATCATCATCGAATGGAAACAGATGGAATAATAGAAGGGACTTGAATGGAATCATCGAATGGACTCGAATGGAATCATCATTGAATGGAATTGAATGGAATCATCGAAAGGTCTCAAATGGAATCATTATCGAATGGAATCAAATGGAATCATCAAATGGAATCAAATGGAATCATCATCGAAAGGAATCGAAAAGAATCACCATCGAATAGAATAGAATGGAATCATCATCGAATGGAATCGAATGGAGTTTTCATCAAATGGAATCGAATGGAATCATCATTGAATAGAATCAAATGGGATCATTGAATAAATCGAGTGGAGTCTTCATAAAAAACAATCGAATTAAAACCAGAAATGGAATACAACATACTCATTGAATGGAATTGAATGGAATCATCATTGAAAGGACTCGAAAGGAATAATCATTGAATGGAATCGAATGGAATCATATAATGGACTTTAATGGAATCATCGAATGTACTCGAATGGCATCATCATCGAATGGAATCGTATGTAATCATGGAACACAATCGAATGGAATCATCAAATGGACTCAAATGGAATCAAAGTCAGATGGAATTGAAAGGAAATATCGAATGGACACGAATGGAAACATCATCGAATGAAATTGAATGGAATCATTGAATGGACCCAATTGTAATCATCATCGAATGGAATCAAATGGAATCATATAATGGAATCGAATTTAATCATCATTGAATGGAAGCGAATGGAATCATCGTCCAATGGAATTGAATGGAATCATCATAGAATGGAATTGTTTGGAAACATCAATGAATGGAATCGAATGGAGTCATGGAATGGAGTCCATTGGAATTATCATAGAATTGAACCGAATGCAGAAAACATCGACTGGATTCAAATGGAATAATCGAATGGACTCGATGGAATCATCATCGAATGGAATCAGAACAAATCATCAAATGGACTTGAATGGAATTATCATCGAGTGGAATTGAATGGAATCATTGAATGTACTCGAATGAAATCATCATTGAATGGAATAGAAAGAAATCATCCAATGGACTTGAATGGAATCACTGAATGTAGTCAAATGGAATGATCATTGAATGCAATCGAATGGAATCATCCAATGGACCCCAATGGTATCACCATTGAATGGAATCAAATGGAATCATCATCAAGTGCAATCAAATGGAATAATCGAATGGACCCAAATGGAATCATCATCAAATAGAATCGAATGGAATCATTGAATGGAATCATCATCAAATGGAGTCCAATGAAATCATCAAATGGACTTGAATGGAATCATCATAGAATGGAATTGAATGGAATCATCGAATGGAATCGAATGGAATCATCATCGAATGGAATTGAATAGTATCATCAAATGCACTCGAATGGAATCATCAATGAATGGTTTCATCGAATGGAATCAAGTGGAATAATCTTCAATTTGCATCAAAATAAATCACCGAATTGTCTTGAAAGAATAATCACAAAAAGGAATCAAATGGAATCATCGAATCGAATCGAATGGACGGACTCAAATGGAATCATCATCGAAGGGAATCAAAGTGAATCATCATCGAATGGAATTGAAAAGAATCAACACCAATAGGAGTCAAATAGAATTATCATCAAATGGAATCCAAAGGAATCATCATCAAATAGATTCAAATGGAATCATTGACTGGACTTGGATGGAATCATCGAATGGAATCAAACAGAATCATCAAGGAATGGAATCGAATGGAATCATAGAATGGAATCCAATGTAGTTATCTTCGAATTGAACCCAACGGAATCATTAAATGGACTCGAATGGAATCATCGAATGGACTCAAAGGGAATCATCATCAAATGAAATAGAATGGAATCATTGAATGTAAACAAATGGAATGATCGAATGGATTTGAATGGAATCATCATCGAATGGAATCGAATGGAATCATCGAATGGACTCAAAGGGAATCATCATCAAATGAAATAGAATGGAATCATTGAATGTAAACAAATGGAATGATCGAATGGATTTGAATGGAATCATCATCGAATGGAATCGAATGGAATCATGGAATGGACTCAAATAGAATCATCATTGAATGGAATTGAAGGGAATCATCAAATGGACTTGAATGGAATCATTGAATGGACTCGAATGGAATCATCATCGAATCGTATCGAATGGAATCATTGAATTTACTCAAATGGAATAATCATCAAATGGAACCGAATGGAATCATCTAATGGAATCAAATGGAATAATCATTGAATTGAATCGAATGGAATCATCTTCAAATGGAATCCAATGGAATCATCATCGAATGGAATCTAATGGAATCATCACGTTATGGAATCGAATGGAATCATCAACGAATGGAATCAAATGGAAAAATCGAATGGAATACTTTGGAATCATCATCGAATGGAACCGAATGCAGTCGTCATCGAATCGAATTGAATGGAATCATCAGCGAATGGAATCGAAAGGAATCATCATGGAATAGAATCAAATGGAATCATCAAATGGAATGGAATGAAATCATCATGGAAAGGAATCGAAGGAGATCATCAAAGAGAATCGAACAGAATCATTGAATGGAATCGAAGGGAATGATCATTGAATGGACTCAAATGGAATTCTCATTGAAAGGAATCGAATGGAATAATCGAATGGACTCTAATGGAATAATCAGATGGACTCCGATGGAATCATCAAATGGAATCGAATGGAATCATCGAATGGACTCGAATGGAATCATCATCAAATGAAATTGGATGGAATCAATGAAGGGACTCAAATGGAATCATCGAATGTACTTGAATGGAATCATCATTGAATGGAATCGAATGAAATCCTCGAATGGACACAAATGGAATCATCATCAAATGGAATCGAATGGGATCATCTTGATATGAAATCGAATGGGATCATCATCAAAAGAAATCCAACAGATTTACTGAATGGACTTGAATGTAATGATCAAATGGACTCGAATGGAATCATCAAATGGAATTGAATGGAATCATAGAATGGAGTCATCGAATGGACTCTAATGTAATCATCATAAAATGGAATCTTATGGAATCATCAAATGGACTCGAATGTAATCATTGAATGGACTTGAATGAAGTCATCGAATGGACTCGAATGGAATTATTATCCAATGGAATCGAATGGAATCCTCGAATAGAATCAGATGCAATCATCAAATGGAATCGAAAGGAATCAACATCGAATGGAATTGAATGGAATCACATAATGGAAACGAAGGCAGTCATCATCAAATGGAATCAAATGGAATCATAGAATGGAATCGAATGGAATCATCACCAAGTGGAATCGAGTGGAATCATCAAATGGAATCGAAGGGAATCATTGTGGAATGGAATGGAAAGGAATCAATGAATGGAAATGAATGGAATTACCAATGAATGGAATCGACTGGAATCATCATTGAATGGAATTGAATGGAATCATCGAATGGACTCGAATAGTATCATCATCAAATGGAATCGGTTGGCATCATCTAATGGGCACGAATAGAATCATCTTTGAATGGATTCAAACGGAATCATCTAATGTACTTGAATGGAATCATCATTGAATGGAATAAAATGGAATCATCGAATGGAATCAAACAGAATCATCATCATATGGAATCGAGTGAAATCATCGAATGGACTCAAATGTAATCATTGGAGAATGGAATCAAATAGAACCATCAAATGGACTCGAATGGAATCATCATTGAATGGAATCGAATGGAATCATTGAATGGACTCGAATGGAATTATCATCAAATATAATCAAAAGCAATTATCAAATGGATTTGAATAGAATCATCAAATGGACTCGAATGGAATCATCATTGAATGGCATCAAATGGAATCATCGAATGGACTCGAATGAAATCATCATCGAATGGAATCGAATGGAATCATCAAATGGAATCGAATGGAAATATCATCGAATGGAATCAAATGGAATCATCGAATGGACTCCAATGAAATCATTATCGAATGGAATCAAATGGAATCATTGAATGGAATCGAATGGAATCGTCATTGAATGGAATTGAATGGAATCACTGTATGTACTCAAATGGAATCCTCATCTAATGGAATTGATAGGAATCATCTAATGGACTCGAAAGGAATTATCTAATGGACTCGAAAGGAATCATCATCAAATGAAATTGAATGGAATCTCCGAATGGAGACGAAAGGAATCATAGTCGAATAGAATCGAATGGAAACATTGAATGGACTCAAAAGGAATATCATTGAATGGAATCAAATCCACCATTGAATGGACTGAAATGAAATTATCGAATGATCTCAAATGGAATCACTGAATGGACTCGAATGGAATCATCATCGAATGGACTCAAATGGAATGATTGAATGGACTCGAATGGAATCATGGATTGGACTCAAATGGAATTATCGAATGGGCACGAATGTAATCATCAAATGGAATCGAATGGAATCATTATGGAATGGAATGAAATGGAATAATCAAATGGAATTGAATGGAATCATCGAATGGAATCGATTGGAATCTTCATCGAATGGAATAAGATGGAATCATCGAATGGAATCAAATACAGTCATCGTCGAATGGACTCAAATAGTATCATCATAGAATGGAATAGAATGGAATCATCAAATGGATTTGAATGGAATCATCATCGAATGGAATCTAATGGAATAATCAAATGAACTGGAATGGAATCATCCCATGGATTTGAATGGAATCATCATCGAATGAAATCGAATGGAATCATAGAATAACATCGAATGGAATCATCATCGAATGGAGTCGAATGGAATCAACGAATGGACAAGAATGGAATCATCATTGAATGAAATCAAACGGAATCATAGAATAGCATCGAATGGAATCATCGTCGAATGGAGTCTAATGGAATCATCGAATGGACACGAGCGGAATCGTCATGGAATGTAATTGAATGGAATCTTCTAATGGACCCAAAAGGAATCGTCATCGAATGCAATCAGATGGAATCATCATTGAATCGAATCAAGTGGAATAATCATCGAATAGAATCAAATGCAATCATCATCGAATGGAATCGAATGGAATCATAGAATTGAATAGAATGGGATCATCATCGAATAGAATGAAATAGAATCATTGAATAAAATCGAATGGAATCATCATTGAGTGGGATGTAATGTAATCATCGAATTGAATAGAATGGAATCATCATCAAATGGAATCGAACAGAATCACTGAATGAAATCGAATGGAATCTTCATCGAGTGGAGTCAAATGGAATCATCAACGAATGGAATTGAATGGAATCATAGAATGGAATGCAATGTAATCATCATAGAATTGAACCCAATGGAATCTTTAAATGGACGCGAATGGAGTCATCGAATGGAATCATCATCGATTGGAATAGAATGAAACCATTGAAAGCAATTGAATGGAATCATCATCGAATGAAATCAAATGGAAGTATCGAATGGACTCGAATGGAACCATCATTGAATGGAATCGAATGGAATCATCAAATGGACTCAAATGGAATCATCATCGAATGGAATAGAAAGGAATCATCAAATGGACTTGAATGGAATCATTGAGTGGACTCGAATGGAATCATCATTGAATGCAATCGAATAGAATCATTGAATGGCATCGCATGGAATCATCATCAAATGGAATCGAATGGAATCATCGAATGGACTTGAATGGAATCACAATTGAATGGAATCGAATGTAATCATCATCGATTGAAATCGAATGGAATCATTGAATGAACTGGAATGCAATCATCATTGAATGGAATCGAATGCAAACATTGAATGGACTAGAATGGAATCATCATTGAATGAAATTGAATGGAATCATCGAATGGAATCGAATGGAATCATCGAATGGCATTGAATGGTATCATCATCGAATGGAATCATCAAATGGAATTGAATGGAATCATCATCAAATGAAATTGAAGGGAATCATTGAATGGCATCGAAAGGAATCATCATCTAATGGAATCAAATGGAATCATCTAACGGACTCGTTTGGAATCATCATCGAATAGAATTGAGTGGAATCATCGAATGGACACGAATGGAATCGTCATCAAATGGAATCATCATCAAATGGAGTCGAATAGAATCATCATAGAAAGGAATCAAATGGAATCATCTAATGGAAGAGAATGGAATCATCATCGAATGAAATCAAATAGAATCATCAAATGAAATCAAATGGAATCATCATCGATTGGAATCAAATGGAATCACGATTGAACGGAATTGAATGGAATCATCATCAAATGGAATCGAATGCAATCATCAACAAATGGAATCGCATGGAATCATCAAATGGAATCTAATTGAATCAGCATCACATGGAACTGAATGGAACCATCATGGAGTGGAATCTAATGGAATCATCATCAAATGGAATCCAATGGGATCACTGAATTGAATGGAGTGATCATCGAATGGAATCAAAGGGAATCATCAAATGGGATCAAAAGGAATCATTGAATGGAATCAAATGGAATCATCGAATGGATTCGAATGGAATCAACATCGAATGGAATCGAATGGAATCATCGAATGGACTTGAGTGGAATCATCATTGAATGGAATCAAATGGAATCATTGAATGGACACCAATGGAATCATCATTGAATGGAATCCAATGGAATCATCGAATGGACTCAAATGGAAATATCATCAAATGGAACCAAATGGAATCATCGAATGACATCGAATAGAAACATCAATGAATGGTATCTAAGGGAATAATCAAATGGACTTGAATGGAATCTTCTAATGGACACGAATGGAATCATCATCGAATGGAATCGAATGGAATCATCAAATGGACTCAAATGGAATCATCATCGAATGGAATTGAATGGAATCATCGAATGGACTTGAATGGAATCATCTTCAAATGGAATCTAATGGAATCAGAGAATGGACTCGAATGGAATCATCAACGAATGGAATTGAATGGAATCATCGAAAGGCATCGAATGGAATCATCATGGAATGGAATGGAATGGAATCATTGAATGGACCCGAATTTAGTCATGATCAATTGGAATCGAATGGAATCTTCGAATGGACTCAATTTAAATCATCATGGAATGCAAGTGAATGGAATCATCATCGAATGGAATCGAATGGAATCATCATCAAATGGAATACAATGGAATCGTCATCAAATGGAATCAAATGGATTCATCATCCAATGTAATTTAATGGAATCATCATCGAATGGAATTGAATGGAATCATCCAATGTAATAGAATTGAATCTCCATCGAATCGAATCAAATATAATTATCGAATGAAATCATATGGAATCATCATCGAATGAAATCGAATGGAATCATCAATGAAAGGAATCTAATGGAATCTCAGAATGGAATCCAATGTAATCATCATCGTATTGAACTCAATGGAATCATTAAATGGACTCGAATGGAATCATTGAATGTAATGTAATGGAATCATCATCAAATGGAATAGAATGGAATCATTCAATGGAATCGAATGGAATCATCATCGAATGAAATCACATGGAATCATCGAATGGACTCAAATGGAATCATCATCGAACAGAATCAAATGGAATCATCGAATGGATTCGAATGGAATAATCATCGAATGGACTCAAAAAGAATTATCAAATGGACTCGAATGGAATCATCATCGAATGGACTCAAATGGAATGATCGAAAGGACTCGAATGGAATCATGGATTGGACTCAAATGGAATTATCGAATGGGCTCAAATGGAATCATCGAATGGACTCAAATGGAATCATCGAACGTAATCGATCACAATCATCATCGAATGGAATCAAATGTAATCATCAAATGGAATTGAATGCAGTCATCATCGAATGGAATCGAATGGAATCATCATTGAATAGAATTGAATGGAATCATCAAATGGAATTGAATGGAATCATCCTCAAATGTAATCGAATGGAATCATCGAATGGAATCAAATGGAATAATCGAATGGAATTGAATGGAATCAGCATTGAACGATAACGAATGGAATCATCATTGAATACAATCATTGAATGGAATCATCGTCAAATGGAGTCAATTGGAATCATCAAATGGACTCGAATGGAATCATCATAGAATGGAATTGAATGGAATCATCGAGTGAAATTGAGTGGATTCAACACTGAATGGGATCGAATGGTATCATGGAATGCACTCAAATGGAATCATCAACGAATGGTATCTAATGGTATCATCGAATGTAATCGAATGGAATCATCTTCAATTGGAATCAAAAGGAATCACTGAATGGACTCGAATGGAATAATCATCAAAAGGAATCAAATGGAATCATTGAATGGAATTGAATGGAATCATCATCGAATGGAATTGAATGGAATAATCGAATGGACTCGAATGGAATCATCATCGTATGGAATCTAATGGAATCATCGAATGGAATCAAATGGAATCATCATTGAATGGCATCAAATGGAGTCATCATCGAATGGAATAGAAAAGAATAAACATCAAATGGAGTTGAAAGGAATCATCATGGAATGCACTCAAATGGAATCATCAAAGAATGGTATCGAATGGTATCATCGAATGGAATCGAATGAAGTCATCTTCAATTGGAATCAAAAGGAATCACCGAATGGACTCGAATGGAATAATCATCGAATGGAATCAAATGGAATCCATCATCGGATGGCAACGAATGGAATCATCATCGAATGGAATCGAATGGAATCATCAAATGGAATCAGATGGAATCATCATTGAATTGAATCGAATAGAATTATGGAATGAAATCGAATGTGATTATCATCGAATGGACTCGAATGGAATCATCATCCAATGGAAACTAATGGAATCAATATCGAATAGAATCGAATTGAAACGAATGGAATTATCATGAAATTGAAATGGATGGACTCATCATAGAATGGATTCGAATGGAATCATCGAATGGAATTGAGTGGAATCACCATCAAATGGAATCGAATGGAATCATTGAATGGAATCGAATGGAATCATCATTGAATGGAAATGAATGGAATCATCATAGAATGGAATCGAATGGATTCATTGAATGGAATCAGATGGAATCATTGAATGGGCTTCAATGGAATCATTCAATGGACTCAAATGGAATCATTATTGAATGGAATTCAATGGAATCATCGAATGGTCACGAATGGAATCATCATCGAATGGAATCGAATTTAATCATCAAGTGGAATCAAATGGAATCATCATCGAATGGAATCGAATAGAATCGGCATTGAATAGAATCGAATGGAATCATCATCAATGGAATCGAATGGAATTTTCTTCAAATGGATTCGAATGCAAACATCATCGAATAGAATCAAATGGGATCATCAAATGAAACTGAATGGAATCATCATCAAAACGAATCAAAATAAAACAAAGAATGGAATCCAATGGAATCATCGAATGGAATCAAATGGAATCATCATTGAATGGACTCGAATGGAGTCATCATCGAATGGAATCAAATGGAATCCTTTAATGGACTCGAATGCAATCACTGAATGGACTCGAATGGAATCATCTAATGGAATCTAATGTAATCATCATCGAATGAAATCAAATGGAATCATCGAATGGAATCGAATGGAATCATCATTGAATGGATTTTAATGAAATCATGGAATGCACTCGAACGGAATCATTGAATGGACTCAAATGGAATCAACATTGAGTGGAATCGAAAGAAAACATGAAATGGAGTTGAATGGAATAATCGAATGAAATCATCATCAAATGGAATGGAATGGAATGGAATCATCAAATGGACCCGAAAGGAATCATCATCAAATGTAATCAAATGGAATCATCAAATGGAATCCAATGGAATCATCATTGAATGGAATCAAATGGAATCATCATCGAATGGAATCAAATGGAATCATCATCGAATGGAATTGAATGGAATCATCAACCAATGGAATCGAATGGAATCATCAATTAATGGAATCGAATGGAGTCATCGTATGGAGTCCGTTAGAATCATCATCGAATGGAACCGAATGCAGTCATCATCTAATTGAATCAAATGGAATCATTGAATGGACTCGATGGAATCATCATCGCATGGAATCGAATGGAATCATCGAAAGGACCCAAATGGAATCATCATCGAATGGAATCAAATGGAATCATTGATTAGACACGAAAGGAATCACCATGGAATGGAATCAAATGGAATCTTCAAATGGAATCGAATGAAATTATTGAATGGAATCTAATAGAATCTTCATTGAATACAATCAAATTGGATCATCATCTAATTTAATCTAATGAAATCATCATTGAATGGAATCTAGTGGAGTCATCATCTATTGGAATTGAATGGATTCAGCAAGGAATGGAATCCAATGGAGAAATCAAACGGAATCCGTTGCAATCATCATCGAATGGAAACGAATGCAGTCATCAAAGAATGGAATCGAATGGAATCAACGAAGGGACTCGAATTGTGTCATTGAATGGAATCTGATGGAATCATCGAATGGACTCGAATGGAATCATCGAGTGGACTCGAATGGAAACATCATCATATGGAATCGAATGGAATGCTCGAATGGACTCTAATGGAATCATCATCGAATGGAATCGAATGGAATCATTGAATAGACTCTAATGGAATCATCATCGAATGGAATCGAGTGTAACTCTCGAATGGAATCAAATGGAATCTTCAAATAGAATTGAACAGATTTGTAAGAAACTTACTTGAACCAAAAAATAGAAAAACAAACAAACCAAAACCCCCTAAAACTGTGATGAGCAAAGTAGACATCAGAACAGGAAATATCACTGGGGATGAAGAATAACATTTCAAAATGACAAAGGGGAAAATACACCAAGAAGTCATGAAAATAAGAAATATGTATGCACACAATAGCATCACTTCAAAATACATAATATAAAAGCTATTAAAACTGAAAGGTAAAATAGTAAAACCACAGTCATCCATGGGGATTTCAACAGTCTCCTGCCAGAAATTTTTAAATTTTGTTAAACGAAAAGTTGGTAAGGGTAGAAAGGATCTTATAAATATAATTAGCCAACTTGTTCTAATTGAATCTTTTAGAATAATCTAAGGATGAGGAATGAGGTAGCAGAGAAAGAAAATGCAGACATCAACGTGACATTAGTGTTTCAAGGCTATGAGAATACACCAATAATGGTGTGTGTGTGTGTGTGTGCAGATGGTAAGCTCAATGTTAAAAATATTGAGTTTTAACTGACAATTCATTATTAGGAAAGATAAGAGGAAATGATATCTAGTGAGAGGCTATATGACTGAACTCTAATAAGAGAAAGGTCACAGCAGAAATTGTATACTTGACAGCTCTAAAAGGAGGTCAGTCAAAAATAAGTCAGTGATGAATTCTCTGGTGTAAAAGCAGAGGAATGAGGATTAGATTGAAAACCCATGGAAGCAGAGTGACTTATGATAAAAATATGAGCTTGAAAATCCTGCAGAGAGGGTTTTAAATCCTGGGTATGATATTCTGCTTGTGTAGGCAATAGTGATAAAAACACAGCAACAAAGAGAGGTAAAGAGCACTTTCCTTTGATATAAGTAAAGGGCACGTCTTATTGCACATATATATATAGGTATTGAACTGAGATTCAACATGTTTCTCTCATTGAAACAGCAAGCTTTCCAGGCCTTCATGTTCCCAGTGAGGTAGGTAACCTTCTGATGATTATACTCACCCACCCTCATTGCAAAGCTCCCATTGTTATTGTCTTGGTTCTGGATTCCCTCAAAAATAGACTATGAAACAAATATCTGGGGTCAGATACTTTAATCAGAAATTGAGTGAGAAAGCACAGAAGTGGAGAAAATGAAACAGAGCACGAAGCCAGTGTGAATGAGTAGTTAATGCTATGTGCTCAGTAATGATGGAGGTATGGAGATTGTGTCAAAATAACTTTACAAAGAGATGGGGATGCTGGAATCCCCATCTCTTATTGCTTAAGGATTGCCTTAGAATCATTAACTCTCTACCCCTAACTCTTTCTTTGTTCCTATGTGTGGTTGAGAGGCACTGGTTAGCCTCAAGAAGCTTGCAGGCAGGCCCAAAATCAGAAAGACAGGCATGATGTGGGGAGCTCTCAGTTAGCTGGAAACAGGTGAATTTTAGGTGAACACATTGAGTCCAGGACATAGAAGACAAGTCATCAGCAATATCTGCTACAGCCAGTATTCTTTTTCGTTTTAAGAATATATATACTTTCTATTGGGGGTGCCCAAGTCCCTCTTTGGTTTAATGATTCACATAACTCAAGAAAGCTGATTTTTACTGTGGTGATAGTTTCTAACAGTGAAAGAAACCAGATTAAAATAATCAGAAGCATAAAAGCACATAAAGTTGAGTCCAGGACAAACCAGATGTGAGCTTACAGGTGTCTTTTCATAGTGGGGACTTCACACTGACTGATTTTCTTTACAATGGTGTGAGACAACATGTGTGAACTTGTTGCCAACTAGGGAAGCTCAGTCAGTCTTGAGTCCAGGGTTTTTATTAGGATTCCGCCACACATGAATCAAGCATCCTGTGACTGAACTTAGCTACTTAGTTCCCAAACTCCCTATGCCCTAAGAGAGGTCATGTTAATATGGCATTACACAAAGTCATAGGCATACAGAAACAGGTGCTCACAAGAAATCACGTTGTAAACATCAGCTATTTGATGCGACCTACGTTTTCAGGTATACAAAGACACTCATCAGGCAGCATACACCAAGGGCTCATAGGTTATCATCTCCCAGGAGGTTGTCAAGGGCCAGTCCTGAAGACCTTTGGAATGCGCAAGGTTTTGGAAAGCCATGTCTGCAGAGTTAACCCTCCATTACACAACCTCCAAGAATTTTTTTATCATTAAAAATGTTTTTTGATCTCTGACAATGTACCAACCAATACTGAGGAATTAGTAACAACAGTGTATTCCTGAGTACTTGCACCTGCAAGGAGAATAAGGACAGATGCACTTACATAGGACAGATGCAAATAGACACCACTATGACAAGTGAAGCTGGAATAATCAATAAATTCCTAAAGGCAAAGTGGGGCTGGTGAGATTGGGAGACCGCTGACAGCTGCAGAAGTTGGGAAAGATCCATCATCTTGAAAACTTTTTCCCCACAAACCCACTGCGATCTCTCAAGCAATTAGTAAGGAATCCAAGAGAGTCTGTATATGACACAGATCAGGGAGAGCAGACCACTTGGGAGGTGACCAGGTCTTGGGGGCCGAGCCCTTATGAATGGGATTAGTGCCTTTATAAAAGAAGCTCAATGGAGTTCTTTTGTGCCTTCCACTATGTGAGGACATAGAAAGAAAGCACCATCTATGAACCATGAAATGGGCTCTCATCAACACTGAATTTGTGAGCATCTTGACCTGAGATCTTACAGCCTCAAGAAGTGTGAAAAAAGAAATATCTGTTGTTTTTTATTCACCCAGTTTATGTTATTTGGTTATAAGAGTCCAAATAGAGCAAGATATTCCACTTAATATGTAGGGGAAGGCAACAAAAACTGCCACACTTAGAATACTCCTGATGCTGGGAGTATGAAAACAGGAAAAACAAAACAAAATTGCTTTTGAAGGTGAAGGAGGAATATCACTGAGCTCACCAACACAGCCAGCAAAAGAACAGAAGTGTGAGAAGGCTACATTCCTGAGACCCTGAGAAAAAGTACCTGCATAAGACTGAGATGAAATTACCTACCGTAGTTATAACTGAAATCCCAAAAAGAAAAGAGGAAAAAATAATTGAGCAAAAGAAATATATTTCAAAATAACTGCCAAAAATATTCTAAAATAAGTGACGGAAAATCAAACTTCAGATATAGGAAACTGAGAGAATGTCAAATAGAACAAAAAGAAATAAGAATTACATCTTGAAAAATCTTTAAAAAGTCAAGTCTAAATTTTATATCTTGCTCCAAATATATAGAGATATAAATAGGTTATCATCAAGATATGGAGAAAGCCATATCATGGAAACACTAAAATAAAGCTGTGGAAGGACTACATTGATCTTAGACACAACAGAGTTCAGAACAAGAAATAGTATCAGAGATGAGAGATAATAAATAATAGAATAATCAATTCTCAAGATGTAAACATCCTACTAATTAGGATATGCAGCTAACAACAGAACCTCCAAATACATGAGGTAAAACAGGAAGGAAATCAAAGGTGAACTAGAAAAATCCAAAATTATATTTGCAGACTTCAACACTTTTGTCTTAGTAATGGAAAGACTAGGCACTAACTCAATAATCATATGGAAGATAAGAACAACAATATCATCAACAAGACATCCAATCTTCAATGGCAGATACTCTTTCCTTTCAAGTGAAAAAAAAACAGTATGGCATATTCTCTAACAAACCCAGAATTTCTAATATATGCGTTCTTCCTTCCTTCTTTCCAACTTCCCGTCTCTTCTCTTCCCTTCCCTTGCCTTCTTCCTTCCTTGCTTCTTTTCCTCTTCCTTTTCTTTTCTTTTCCTTTTTCTTTCTTTTTTCTCCTTCCTTCCTTCTTTCCTTCTTTCTTTCCCCTTATTCTTCCTTCCTTCTGCCCTCCCTTCCTTTCTCCCTCCCTTTTCTGCCTTCTTTTCTCATATTTTTTCTTTCTTTCTCATGATCTTGCTTTCTTTCCTTTTTTCTCCCTTCCTCCCACCCTCATTTTCTTCCTTCCTCCCTCCCTTCCTTTCCTCTTTTTCCTTCCTTCCTTCGCCTCTTTATTTTCTTTGTTTCTTTGTCTTTCTGCCTTTTACCATTCTCTGTTCCTCCTTTCCTTCCTCCCTTCCTCCTTTCTTTCTTTCTTTCTCTCTTTCTTCCTCTTTCTTTATTTCCTTCTTTCCTTCTTGTGTTCATGCTTTTTTTCTCCCTTCCTGCCTTTCTCCCTTCCTCCCTCCTTCCCTTCCTTCCCTCATTTCCTCCTTCTTTTCTTTCTTCTTTCTTTCTTTATTTCCTTCCTTCCTTCTTTCCTTCCTTCTTTTTCTTTCTTTGTTTCCTTTTCTTTCTTTCTCTTTACTAAAATTCATATTATTTTAAAAAAATTAAGAGAGGGAGACAGAAAAATAAAGAACGCTTTAATCTGCAGGTAAAATAGATTATGACTGCTGTAGGCCAAAGAATGGCCTCCCCAAAATTTTCATGTCCTAATTCCCAGAGTCTAACGTACAAATATGTTAGGTTGCACAGCAGTGTGAAATTAGATTTCAAGTGAAATTAAGTTTGTGGAAAAATGATAGAGAGATTGTCTTAAATGGGTGGGATCAGTGAAAGCACAAATTTCCTTATAAGTGAAAGAAGAAGGCAGAAGAAAGGCAACCTTGGTGGTGGTGGCATGATAAATTACTCAACATCACTGACTTTTAACATACAAGAATGACGACCCAGTACAGTGGCTCACGCCTAATCCCAGCACTTTGGGAAGCTGGGCTGGGTTTATCACGAGGTCAGGAGATCGAGACCATCCTGGCTAACATGGTGAAAACCCATCCCTACTAAAAATACAAAAAATTAACTGGGCATAGTGGCAAGTGTCTGTAGTCCAAGCTACTCAGGAAGCTGAGGCAGAAGAATCACTTGAAGCCGGGAGGCAGAGGTTGCAGTGAGCTGAGATCATGCCACTGCACTCCAGCCTGGGTGACAGAAGGAGACTCCATCAAAAAAAAAAAAAGAAAAATAGGATGTAAGAATGAGGTCATGTTCCAAGGAATAAAGGTGGCCTCTGGATGCTGAAAAAAATCAAGTAATAGATTCTGCCACATAGCCCTCAGAAAGACTGCAGCCCTGCCCAAACCTTGATGTTAGCCCTGTGAGTTTCATTTAAGGCTTCTGAACTACAGAACAGTAGGATTAAAGGTCATTTTATTGTAAGATATGAAGTTTGTGGTAATTGGTTACAGCAGCAAGAGGAAGTTTATATTGTAATTGTATCATGAAAATGAGAACCATAATTTACAACTGCTTTTAATACTGCACTTGGATGTTTGAAATCACGTATATGGAAATGATCTCTATGTGCATGAGGGAGGACAGCAAATTGATGCCAAAATAATGCAAATGCAAATATTACACTCATTTCTATGTAGGTTTCATTTAATCTTTGAAATTAAAATGAAATTAAAAGATTGTGATCTTTTGATGAAATTAGACTAAAATGAACAATAACAAAATAAGAACTTACTTATATTATTTATATGGTCAAAAAAGAAGTGATAGTGGAAAAAAACAAGATCAAATGAAGGTGATGATTTAGGAAGTTGGAAAGACAGCTGAAACTACAAAATGGTATATAACCAGTGAACACTTAGACACACTGATTGATGAACTTCAGCTTTTGGTTTGGTGAGAGCATAAAATGAGAGCAGCTGAGGTTTGCAAATTTGTAATATCCTTGTGGAAAACCAGGGGAAAACACATCTCAGCCTAATAAGATTTATATACTAAAGAGTCTAGACTTGATCCATTTGTCTTTGTAATTCAAAAGCTAATTCAAATAATGAGCTGATGTATTGTGTGAACAATCATTGCTGATTATCATCGCATACCTGGCATTCTCTTGTATCTGATATCTAAAATACTTGGTAATTCCTGGACTTTCTCTTTTCAAACCCAGTACGGTTTAATTTGAGTCTTAGAAGAGTTGTCTTTGAGAAATTCTTCCCTCTACTGCATCTCTGAATGGGCATAGCATGGTTACATACATACTGTCATTCCATAGAACATTTGTTAAATTAAAGCCAAAGTTTAAAGCAAGAGCTTTAACTTACTGGTTTTAGTAATGTTTTCCTCCCCAAATAGCCAAAACAATATTGCTACCCTCACACCTTTTAACATAAAGCTTGGTGTTGTCTATTTTTCAGGTGCTGTCATCTATATGATCTCAGTATTTTAAAAATCAGCTTCCAGCCCATATGGTGGTTCATGCTTGCAATACCAGCAGTTGAAGAGGCTGAAATGAGAGGATTCCTTGAGCCCAGGAGTTCACAAGCAACCTGGGCAACATAGCAAGACCCAGTCTCTATCAAATGGTAAAAAAAAAAAAGTGGGCATGGTGATGTGCACCTGTTGTCCTAGCTATTTGGGAGGCCAAGGTGGAAGGATTGCTTGAGCTTGGGAGGCTGAGGCTGCAGGGAACATTGATTGCACCACTGCACTCCAGCCTGGGCAACAAAGCAAGACCCTATCTCAAAAAATATATATAATAAAAATAAAAATCAGCTCTCATTGATTTCTATGTAAATATGCACAGGTGATGTCCATATAGACATAAATAATAATGTTTCTGACAATGGGTCCCTATCATCTTCAAAATGTAAAATGCCTATCTGTGTAATTGACTGGTTAGTCTCGTTAATGAATATAGATTCAATTCTACTTTCTTGTTCTAGATAAATTATATAATCTAGCTTTTCATTTCACTTATTTACTGATAACAACAGGAAGAATGACAAGACATCTGTTTTGGAAAATTACTCTGGTAGGTGTAAAGATGTAACAATGATAGAATTGCACGGAAAACTAGAAAAAAGTATGGTCTTCTGATATTCTATCACATCACACACTAAAGGCCTCATAAAACTCAGATATTTTATCTAAAAATGTTATTTTCATCATAGGAATGATCAAAGCATGAGACTACAATTGTATTAAAATCTGCTTGTATCACAAGCACAGGTGCTAAAAAGGAGGGGAAAACATCCTGATATTGTCAACGTATGTTTTACTTTTCGTCAACATGCACCTCAACTTGATATGATGCAGATTGAAGGAAATCACCCATAATTCCATATGAAGAAGCCTTGTGATATTTTATGGGAAACTAAATAGAGAAAATGCTAACAGAAACCCTATTAAGCATGAAGCTTTATGGAACAAACACAAATCCAGTGGTGAAAGATACACACTCGAGTTCTGTTTGTTGTCTTGGAACAACACGGTTTAGAGGTGACTAGCGGGTGAGGAGAACATATGCGAGTTCACCAAAGAGAAAAGCTGAATGAGGCAATGCCTCTTCCTGATCATATCTCTTACTCAGATAACTATATAATTTATTGTCCAGTAAAGGGTATATTAAAAAATCATATTAAAAGTCATGCAGTGAAGTTGTCCAGGGAAATCAAGACTTAACAGTCTCACTCTGACAATAATGAACAGGGGGATTCCCTCAAGATAGACTAGGACATGACCCCACACTGGCAGGTAGTAGTACCAGAAAAGAACGCATGGAAAATCTTTACCTTATGCTTGAGGTAGGGACCAGGCTAAAGTGAAAGCCAGACCTAAAATTCTATCTAAAATAAATCCACAATCGAAGAAAATATGTGGTGTACAGGCATAGAATGTCTTTACTGGATCATTGAAATAGTAAGATAAATTCAACTTTTTACATTGTTTTCTTTTCCTCCAGTTAGGGCTTGAGGTTTGTCTCTGGAGAGTGACTGTCAATTGGAGCCCTGCCTTTCTGGGGTTCTGGTCAGGGGGTTGTGGATGCTTAACATGTGCCTTTCACAGGACACTTCCTTACCGCAGCAGTGGCCAGGTGTACATCCCACGACCAGGCCTCCCTCTCACAGAATATCTGTTGAGACTGGGATATGCCTGGTGACTGTTGCCTGACCTGTGTCCTGTGTTTTTCTGATAAGAGCCACTCTCAGAGACCCTGGCCAGGAGGAGAGTTAGGTTCCAGTGTAGGTCAGCTCAGACCCATGGAGGTCACAGAATCAAACATGGGAAATCACAGAAGTAGGTTTATTACTCACAGATCCAGAGAGAAGAGGGTAGCTGAGAAGAGGGTTTAGCTGTGTCCCCAGCCAAATCTCATCTAGAATTCCCACATGTTGTGGGAGGGAACAGGTGGGAGGTAATTGAATCACGAGGGCAGGTCTTTCCCATGCTGTTCTTCTGATAGTGAATAAGTCTCACAAGATCTGATGGTTTTATAAAGGGGAGTTTCCCTGCACAAGCTCTCTTGTCTTGTCTGCTGCCATGTGAGACGTGCCTTTCACCTTGCACCATGATTGTGAGGCCTACCCAGCCATGTGGAACTATTTGTCTATTAAACCTCTTTCTTCTGGAAATTACCCAGTCTTGGGCATGTCTTTACCGGTGGTGTGAAAATGGACTAATACAGTAGCACACCTCACAGGGCTGAAGAAAATGGGGAAGATGAGTGGGGAGCAGGAGAGAGAAAAGGGGTCTGTGGGAGTCCAGCCTTTATTGGGCCCAGAACATTACCCAAATAAGTTTTCCACGGGGCACTAGTCAGTGGGGTGAGTGCCAGAAGGCACCTTTCTTGACTCCTGCTGCAACCAAGCAGGTCACTCTGGCATGTGGGGGCTGTCCATGTGCGCTGTGAGGTCTGTGGGGTGAGTCAGGTAGGTTGTATCCAACGGTTCCATAGCTGGTAGTCACCAGGAGGAGGCAACTGTGCAGGGTCAATATCTGGGCCAGCCACACTGAGGATCTGTGAGGGTTAGAACTGGAAATTGTCAAGGGAATCTGAACCCAGCTACCATATGAGAGAGTTTAACTTATGTTCAATGTGAATGCCACGGCAATATTAAAAGGTAAGAATTTGCTCCATACGTGCTTGAGGTAAATAGGAGAAACCTAGAATTTATGTAAACAGTGAGAAGATTGAATGCGTTTTCCACACATATTTTAATACTAGCGGCGTATTATATATATCAATCCATCAGGCATTCAGAAATACATGCTTATGAAAATCTTTTGCACCATCAGACAAAAGACAAGGGTAGAAGACATTTGTAACCCTATACCCACTAGTAAATTAAAAACAGAATTACCTTTATGTCCTAACATATCTGTGTTGTGAAAGGCTGCCCTGTGAAATACAGGATTTCTTAAACATGTTTTAAAAATCATAGGTGTCAATATTTTTTAGAAATCCATTCAAATTTTCTCTTGCTATTTTACAATGCCTATTTATTTATTTAGTGGCTCTGCTGATTTTGATGTATATCCTAAACTTTACATTTTCTTTAAAGGATGTTTTATAAAACTTTACGTAAAATGTTTCACTATCTTCACATTCTCTCCCTGTCCTTTTGTTTTGCTCTTATATGGTGGTCTTGAGTCTTTTCTCTGGCTTTTCAAACCTAGTAAGACTAAGACACTAAAGGAACTTTGCCCGTGGTATGGTAATGCCTTCTAAAGCACATCCTAAGCTCTCGTGCATACAGGGGTCTCCTTTGAGCTCTGTGCTTTTGAGATCCCATATACCTAAATTCCAGTACTCCAAATCAGTACTGCTCAGTTTTAGTGACTAAGTTTAAAAATGTATTTTAATAGCAAGTTAGTTTAGTGCACTCTTGCTTCTTTCTTGACTGCTTGTATACATGTATATTCCTTTAAATGAATCTTGGAATTTATTTAAAAATTTTAAATTATACTAATGAAACTGTATATTGTTGTGAATTCATAAGTGAATTTGGAAATAATTTGTCTTTATGATACTAAATCCTTTTTATCCAAGAATCATATGTGTCTTCATATTTATTCCAGTCTGTATTTATATAACTGAGTAAATATATAGAAATGTAGTTACATACAGCTGTAGTTATAGATACAAATATAGATATAACATGTTAAATCTATATATATCCCATATAACATATATACATGTTATATGCGTGTGTGTATATATATATGTTAATGATATTAAAGAGCTCCCTTAAAATTTTTCTTTTATTTCCTATATAATTTTGGTTGAGCTTGCATTTTCCTTGTATAAATAAGCAAATATTTATACTAGTTTTAATGCTGATGTTTAGACATTGTATCTTACTTTAGTATTGAATATTTTCACAATTATTATAAATATTATCTAATATTAATAATGTACCTGTTAAAAATATTTAAAATTTTACCTTTGAATTATTTTATTGTTGAATTAAAATTCCTTTAATATGATAGTCAATTTCTATTTTATGCTTTCTCTATGCATATGCAAATTACTCTATCCACTTCTCTATCTCTATGTAGTAACATATGAAAATCAAGCCTCTCTTCTAATGGACATACACGTTTGCATATAGAATATCAGACTCTTTATAGCACTTAAAATCTTTAAAGACATGAATATTGCCTTTTAACAAATATATTTTAGCATGTACTGAGAATCCCCTATTTATTTTTAATTTGGGCTAATCAATATGATTATTAATATTATTGGATTACCAAATTTGGAAACACACTTTCATCCCCAATGTGGATATTTGTTTTATTTTTTTTGCCAATTTCTTGTCTTACTGTTTCAAATATTGTTGGATATTATTTTTATTTTATTTGGCATTTTAGTATCAACATTTGTAATTGAGGTACTCTACATATTTTTTCTTCAATATCTGGTGGGTTTTATGATTACTGCTATATTGGATTTGTAGTAGACATTGACAAAAATATTCCTGTATGTTTTATAGCTGTATGAAGGAAACTAATATATTTTATTTATGTTGAGTCTATGTGTGTCTCTGCACGTGAGATGGGTTTCCTGAATACAGCACACTGATGGGTCTTGTCTCCTTATCCAATTTGCCAGTCTGTGTCTTTTAATTGGAGCATTTAGCCCATTTACATTTAAAGTTAATATTGTTATGTGTGAATTTGATCCTGTCATTATGATGTTAGCTGGTTATTTTGCTCGTTAGTTGATGCAGTTTCTTCCTAGTCTCAATGGTCTTTACAATTTGGCATGTTTTTGCAGTGGCTGGTACCAGTTGTTCCTTTCCATATTTAGTGCTTCCTTCAGGAGCTCTTTTAGGGCAAGTAAATCTATCAGCATTTGCTTGTCTGTAAAGGATTTTATTTCTCCTTCACTTATGAAGCTTAGTTTGGCTGGATATGAAATTCTGGGTTGAAAATTATTTTCTTTAAGAATGTTGAATATTGGCCCCCACTCTCTTCTGGCTTGAAGAGTTTCTGCCGAGAAATCAGCTGTTAGTCTGATGGGCTTCCCTTTGTGGGTAACCCGACCTTTCTCTCTGGCTGCCCTTAACATTTTTTCCTTCATTTCAACTTTGTTGAATTTGACAATTATGTGTCTTGGAGTTTCTCTTCTTGAGGAGTATCTTTGTGGCGTTCTCTGTGTTTCCTGAATCTGAATGTTGGCCTGCCTTGCTAGATTGGGGAAGTCCTCCTGGATAATATCTTGCAGAGTGCTTTCCAACTTAGTTCCATTCTCCCTGTCACTTTCAGGTACACCAATCAAACGTAGGTTTGGTCTTTTCACAGAGTCCCATAATTCCTGGAGTCTTTATTCGTTTCTTTTTATTCTTTTTTCTCTAAACTTCCCTTCTCCCTTCGTTTCATTCATTTCATCTTCTATCACTGATACCCTCTCTTCCAGTTGATTGCATCGGCTCCTGAGGCTTCTGCCTTCTTCACGTAGTTCTCAAAACTTGGCTTTCAGCTCCATCAGATCCTTTAAGCATTTCTCTGCATTGGTTTTTCCAGTTATACATTCGTCTAATTGTTTTTCAAAGTTTTCAACTTCTTTGCTATTGGTTTGAATTTCCTCCTGTAGCTCACAGTAGTTTGATCATCTGAAGCCTTCTTCTCTCAAATCGTCAAAGTTATTCTCTGTCCAGTTTTGTTCCGTTGCTGGTGAGGAACTGCATTCCTTTGGAGAAGGAGAGGCACTCTGCTTTTTAGAGTTTCCAGTTTTTCTGCTCTGTTTTCTCCCCATCTTTGTGGTTTTATCGACTTTTGGTCTTTGATGATGGTGATGTACAGATGGGTTTTTGGTGTGGGTGTCCTTTCTGTTTGTTAGTTTTCCTTCTAACAGACAGGACCCTCAGCCGCAGGTCTGTTGGAGTTTACTAGAGGTCCACGCCAGACCCTGTTTGCCTGGGTATCAGCAGCAGTGTCTGCAGAACAGCGGATTTTCGTGAACCACAAATTCAGCTGTCTGATCATTCCTCTGGAAGTTTGGTCTCAGAGGACTACCCAGCCGAGTGAGGTGTCAGTCTGTCCCTACAGGGGGGTGCCTCCCTGTTAGGCTGCTCGGAGTTCAGTGACCCACTTTAGGAGGCAGTCTGCCCAGTCTCAGATCTCCAGTTGCATGCTGGGAGAACCACTACTCTCTTCAAAGCTGTCAGACAGGGACATTTAAGTCTGCAGAGGTTACTGCTAACTTTTTGTGTGTCTATGCCCTGCCCCCAGAGGTGGAGCCTACAGAGGCAGGCAGGCCTCCTGGAGCTGTTGTGGGTTCCACCCAGTTCCAGCTGCCTGGCTGCTTTGTTTACCTAAGAAAGCCAGGGCAATGGCGGGCCCCACTCCCCCAGCCTCGCTGCCACCTTGCAGTTTGATCTCAGAGTGCCATGCTAGCAATCAGCAAGACTCCAGTGGCATAAGACACTCCGAGCCATGTGCAGGACACAATCTCCTTGTGTGCCGTTTTCCAAGCCTGTTGGAAAAGTGCAGTATTAGGGTGAGAGTGACCCGATTTTCCAGGTGCCGTCTGTCACCCCGTTCTTTGACAAGAAAAGGGAACTTCCTGACCCCTTGTGCTTCCTGAGTGAGGCAATGCCTCACCCTGCTTCGGCTCCCACATGGTGGGCTGCACCCACTGTCCTGCACCCACTGTTTGGCACTCCCTTAGTGAGATGAACCTGGTACCTCTGATGGAAATGCAGAAATCACCCGTCTTCTGCGTCGCTCATGCTGGGAGCTGTAGACCGGAGCTGTTCCTATTCGGCCATCTTGGCTCCACCCCTCATTTCATTATTTCATCATTTCATCATTTCACTTCATTTCATCATTTCATTTCATCATTTCATACCATTTCTTCATTTCATCATTTCATCATTTCATTTCATTTCACCATTTCACTTCATCATTTCATTTCAGCATTTCATTTCCTCATTTCATTGCACCATTTCATTTCATCATTCCATTTCATCATTTCATCATTTCATTTCATCTCATCATCTCATTTCATCATTTCATTTCATTTCAGCATTTCATTTCATCATTTCACTGTTTCATTTCATCTCATCATTTCATTTCATTTCATCATTTTATCATTTCATTTCATTTCATCATTTCCTCATTTCGTTTCAACATTTCATTTCATGTCATCATTTCATCATTTCATTTCATTTCAGTGATACATGTATTTAAGTGCTGATGTGATGCCCAGGAGACACCCTATTTCCCTTTGTAAAACACCTCCTTCAACAAAATTCAATCTCTCATGGCTGGCTAAGTCTACAGGGATACCAGCCTCTCTTCAACCACCCAATTTGATTCAGAACCTCAAACAGCACCTCAGTTTCATAAAAACATAAAACATAAACACAACACTTGGTTGTAAGTGAGCCAAAAGTTTCTTGTCTCTTTCTCTGCTCAAGGTTTAAGGCCGTGTCTCCCCAACTATGTTCAGTGGAAGAAAAGATCCCCTGGACAAATAAGTTTGAGAACTGTTGTTGCAGGACTTCTGAGAACCTTTAAAACACAAATCCACATCCGCAGGGATCTTCAGGAGGGAGATGGCTGATGCAGCACAACTTTCTTTCACAGGAGCATCTTGCAGAATACAGTATAAGATGCAGAAAGGCTGCATTGAGTCTTTTTAAGGGCCAGGGCCTTTGTAGTGGTGGGGTAGGAGCTCTCCAGATAGCATCTCATGAGTAGGAACATTCAGGTGGCTTTTTTTTCCTTACTGGCCAAACTGTGTGTGCATCATGAATGAAGCCAGTCTCCCTCATCCATATTAAAACTAAACCCAAATTAATTGTCTAAATTGGGACTCAACACCTCCAGGAGCCATGCAGAAGAAAGCCCCACCACACTTTAAAGTAGCTTACCTCATCATATTTGAGGAAAGTAAAACGCTTATGACCAGTATGCTGCTAATACAAGTCAACAGATAATGCTGTATGAAAAATTATTTTTCCCAATCATAGCTAGCATAGTCCACATTTTGCATTACACCTTCCCTCCTTTTTTAAAATTTTAAACACAGGTCCTTTTCTCTCCTTTTTTTTAATTTTTAATTTAATTATACAAGACGGAGTCTCAGTATGTTGCCCAGGCTGGTCTTCAACTCCTGAGATCAAACGATACATCCATCTCCGCCTCCCAAAGTGCTGAGATTACAGGCCTGAGACACTGTGCCCAGCCTTAAACACAAATCTTAATTCATTCTTACAATTATCCTGAGGTTAGAAAAATGGAAGGGGAAGAAAAATGGCAAGCAGGTAGGCTGACTTCAGCTTCATTATTTGGAAGGACAGTTTGCTCGGTTAAAACACACTACTGCCCACAAAGGCCAAGACAACAGAAAAATACAGACATATAAATAGATTTTATATGTGACAGCAGTTTGGATGGAGACTTTTTCAATGCAAATGGCAAACAGCTGTCCTTGGGAATAAATGACAACGAATTTGTATTATCTTAACAGCTGTCCTGAGAGCATTTCTCTACATCTCCACCTGAATTCTGGAGTCAGGGAGAAAGCCAAAACGGAAGAAAAGACACTAGATCACCTGTGTCCAACCCTTTGATTACGAGGACTTTTCCGCCTATCTGTGGTGGTGGGTATCATGAAAATTATGCACAAACCTTTTTTTTTTAAGCTCATCAGCTATCATTAGCAGTAGTGTATTTTATCTGTGGCCCAGGAGCATTCTTCTTCCAATGTGGCCCTGAGAAGCCAAAAGACTGGACACCTGTGCACTAGGTCAAAAGGCCACTCCTTCTGTAAGCAATTGTAAAGAATTTCTGTCATTATCTTGACATGAAAACCAATGGAGAGTGGGACAGAATGCAAAATCTTCAAGAATTTTTCTTGTTTTTTTTTTTTTTTTTTTTTTTTGAGTCAAGGTGTTGCTCTGTGGCCCAGGCTGAAATACACTGGTGAGATCACAGCTCAGTGCAGGCTCAAGTGCTCCTCCCACCTCAGCCACAGTAGTAGCTGGGACAACAGATGAGCACAACCACTCCTGGCTAATATTTTATTTTTTGTAGAGATGGGGTCTCATTATATTGTCCAGGTTGGTCTCAAACTCCTTGACTCAAGGGATCCAGGACAGGATAACAGGCGTGAGCCACCACACCTGGCTATGCGCATGAACTTTTAAGACAAATACAAGGCTCCACAAAATTAAGGTTTTCCCACCTAATTTCCAGGGGATCTTTTGGTCCAAGGATGAGAAACCCTTAAAAGTACACAGACATCTACAAAGATTCAAGACAGTTCATTCGGGCTGAGCCAGCACACTGGGCACACTGACCTTCAAACAAGACCCACCCATGACATACACCAGATGGCTCTCCAAGAATCTCTCCAGTTCTCAGGGTCCCTAAGGTACTGGACAGAGCTAGGATAGCAAACCCATTTGCTTCTTCCTGAAGGAAACCCCTTGAGGTCAAGACCCCACAATCAGACGAGGATGGAGTGGCTCACCCTCAGTCAACAGGCCAGACTCAAGGTGGTATAATGTCTTAACCAAAGGTGTGGGACTCCAGGTATGAATCCGAACTCAGTTCTCCTTTGATAACCACACTTTGTTAATTTTCCTTAACAGGGTTCCTGGCAAGTCATTTTTCCCTCAGGCCTTCGGTTTCCTCACCTACAAGATGAGAAGGCTGCACCAGATGGAAATTCGGGGCGTAAGGGGATGTCCGCACGCAGCCCACCCCGCCCACTGGACCCTCGAGCCACCATCACATTTCCCAACACGCACCCGCCCCACAAATCCTGCCCAAGGTGAGGGCTGGTCCCGGGTCCTCTGGCTGCCGCATCAGCGAGTGCAGGAGGGAGGAGAAGCCTCCAAGGGGGTGAAGCAGGCTCAAGAATGCAACTCGGCCAGGAGTGAACTGGGGCCCCAAGGGAGATGTCCAGTCCGGTGCTGGAGCCCAGCCCTGGTCCCCGACCCCCTTACCTGCACGGTCCGTATCTCCTGCTGGGTGAGGTCTTTGGACTCAGCGCACTTGGTGCGCAGCCAACGCAGGCTGCCAAAGGAGATGCCAATGAGCTTCTGGAGCTGCCCGCACTGCTGCAGCACCCGGCTGGCTGCGGCCCCTGCGCCTCCCTCCGCAATAGCCGCGTCACCCCCTCCACCGCTCTCCTTCTTCTCTCCCATCGGGGCCGAGCTTGGCGCTGCTCTATGCAGCCTGCAGCAGCCCAGGAACAGAGCCTGGGGTGCGGGTGTCTAGGCAAGGAACCCCCGAACCAGGAGAGCTGGACCAGGAGTGACCGTCGGCGCTGCCTTAGCCAGGACGCCGGTAGATCTAGCAGCCGAGTCTGCCAATCCCGCCCTCAGACCCGCGGCGGTGGGGGCAAAAAGCCACGGCGGTGGGGGCAAAAACCCGCGACGGCGGGGTGAAAAAGCCTCAGCGGTAAAAACCTGTGGAGGCGGGAATAAAAAGCCGCGTTGGCAAAAAGCCGCAGCGGCGGGGAAAAAGCCTCGGTGATGGGGACAAAAAGCCGCGGCGGTGGGAGCAAAAAGCCGCAAAAAGCCACGGCGGCGGGCGTAAAAAGCCGCAACGGTGGGGTCAAAAAGCCGGGGCGGTGGGGGAAAAAGCTGGGGCTACAGGGGCAACAAGCCACGGCGGCGGGGGCAACAAGCCATGACAGTCGAGGCAAACAGCCGCGGTGACAAAAAGCTGTGGTGGCGGGGGCAAAAAGCCGCGGTGGTGGGGGCAAAAAGCTGCGGTGACGGGGGCAAAAAGCTGTAAAAAGCCGCAGCATCGGGGGCAGAAAGCCACGACAGCGGAGGCAAAAACCGCGGTGGCGGGGTAAGAAGTCGCGGCGGCAAAAAGATGCGGCTGCGGGTGCAAAAAGGCGCGGTGGGGGCTAAACGGTGTGGCGGCAGCAAAAAGCCGTGGCGGCGGGGGCAAAAAGCCTGAAAAAGCCATGGCGTCCGGTGCCAAAAGCCGCAAAAAGCCACGGTGGAGGTGGTAAAAAGCCGCAAAAAGCCGCGTCAGAGGGGGCAAAAAGCAGGGGCGGCAAAAAGCCACGACGGTGGGGACATGAAGGCGCAAAAACCCTCGGCGGCAGGAGCAAAAACCCGTGGCGGCGGGGGCAAAAAGCGGCTGGGGTGATAAAAAGCCGCGGAGGCGGGGACAGGAAGCCACGTAGGGGGCAAGGAGCCGCGGCGGCGGGGGCAAAAAGCTGTGGTGGCAGGGACAAATAGCAGCAAAAAGCCGCGGCGGCGGGGGCAAAACGACACAAAAAGCCCGGGCAGTGGGGGCAAGAAGCCGCGGCTGGAAAAACCTGCGGCGGCGGGGGCGAAAAGGCGTAAAAAGCCACAGTGGCGGGGGCCAAAAGCCACGGCGGCAAAAAGCCGCAAAAAGCCGGGGCTGCGGGGCAGGAAGCCGCGGCGGGAAAAACCTGCGGCGGCGGGGGCAATAAGCAGTAAAAAGCCACGGCACCGGGGGCCAAAAGCCATAAAAAGCCACGGCGGCGGTGACAAAAAGCCGCGGCAGAAAAATTCGCGGTGGTGGGGGCAAAAAGCTGCGGCAGCAGGGGGGAAAAGGTCGCAAAAAGCCGCGGCGGCGAGGGCAAAAAGCTGTGGCTTCAGGGGCAAAAAGCCACGGAGGCAGGGGGAGAAAGATGCAAAAAGCTGCGGCGGCAAAAAGCCGCGGCGGCGAGGGCAAAGAGCCCCAAAAAGCCGTGACGGCAGGGGCTAAATTCGGCGAGGCCAGGGTCAGAAAGCCGCGGCGGCGGGGGCAGAAAGCCGCAAAAACCCGCAGCGGCATGGTCAAAAATCCACGGCGGCAAAAAGCCACGTCGGCGGGGGCAAAATAGTGGAAATGGGGTAGAAGGCCAGCACAGCTTGGCATTCCTGGAGTGTGATGTGGAAGGAAAAGTGCAGAGGAAGACAAACAAAGATGTAAGTAGGCTTGACTCAGTGCAGCTAAGAACCCACATGTTATCATGCTGTTATCTATCAGCTAATTTTTTGTATTTTAGTAGAGAAGGGGTTTTACCACATTGGCCAGGATGGTCTCGATCTCCTGACCCCATGATCCACGCACCTCAGCCTCCCAAAGTGGTGGGATTAGAGGCATGAGCCACAGAGTGCTCAAAAAATCTATTAATTAAAAAATGTGTATGTAGCCGTCTTTAATCTACCATGTCCATTAGCAGATAAATACTATAAGCAAAATAACAACAGTGAAAGAAACATAGACTTAGAGTAGATACTCTGATTTATTTAATAAACATTTGAAAATAGACCAAATTATGATAAAAAAAAATCTGTTTCTATTGAGGATGAGGGTTAGTGTTTGGAAAGGGGCAGGAGAAGTATCTCTATTTTTAGTAATGTTCTATTTTCATACATGGTTATAAGCAACTACATGTGTTTCATTAATGAAGCTATCCATATTTAATCATTGTACTTTTCTGCATGTATGATATATGTCAATAAATGTCTTAAATTATATACAGCAAAAATAGACAAAAACACAAGAAGACATACACAAATGTTAAACCTAGAGAGAAATTTGAATATAAGTAAGTCTCTGAATGACTGATAGAACAAACCGAAAAATAGGATGGAGAGGTCTGGAACAGCATGATCAGCAAAATTGACATATCTGTCTTTTAATATAGGTAGAAACATAGTTAGATAAAAAAAGGACTTGTCTCGGAGCATGATTTCTGAAAATAGTGGAATCGAGTTTGAATCTAGTAAGTACATATAAATAAATGTCTTAAAACTCCTCTTATGCTAGCTAATTAAGAAATATTATTGTAATAGACATTAGAAAATATTTTAATAAATTGAGTGCATTTCACACGCTGAGGAAATGATCTTACTTGCATTTGATAGTTCAATTAGATACATATATACCTATAGGTAGTTTAAAATATTTCTAATAACCTTATATACTTTTAAAAAGCATTGATATATGTTTGCACTATCTGGTCTATAGAGTACACATAACAAACATGATTATAGCTCTTCTGCTATAAACTTCAAATGTCTAATTAATACAAAAATCTAGAATGAGAAGAGTTCTTTGCAATTTTTTTTTTTACCAAATAGAATATAGGAAAGATAGCTGCAAATATACCTGACACACTTATCTGTGAGTATGGTGGTAGCCTTTTTATTTTATTTTATTTTGAGAGAGGGTCTCACTTTGTCACCCAAGATGGAGTGCAGTCATGTGATCAGAGCTCACTGAAGTCTTCACATACTGTGCTCAAGCGATTCTCCCACCTCAGTCTCCTGAGTAGCAGGGACTGCAAGTGCATGACACCATACTAGCTAATTTTTGTAAAGATAGGGTTTCACCATGTTGCCCTGGCTGATCTCCATCTCCTGGACTCAAGAGATCTGGCCACCTTGGCCTCCCAAAGTGCTGGGATTATAGTTTTGGGGCACCGCGATCAGCCCAGCCTTAAAAAAGGCAGACTAGAGATCTTTATCTATGTATATCTATATCTATCTATAAAATAAACATATGTGTTCCTTATATAAAAATATATATTATTAATATTATATAAAAATTTTTTTCAAGGTAGAAATATATAAAGAGGGTGCATGTAGAGCCTGGGGCATTGTGTAGTGAAGCTCAAGGCCTCTGAAGAAATGCCCCTTGCCTCTTGTGTCTGGGCTAGAATCCGAGAAGGGAAAGCAGCAGATGCACTGGTTCCCAGGTTCTTGGCATCCTACAGAGAGAAACTTGTTTGAGCTAGGGTAGTGTTTAACACCCTTGTTCTTACTCTTCTGTTTTATGTAGTAAGCAGAGACTAGCTTCATGAGAACAGACAGTGACAGTCAAGGCTGTCTGTTATTTTGTGCAGCATTAATTGAGAAATTCTAGCACCTGAAGACCTCTGGGCCATTTGAGGGTATGTGCAGGGGAGGAAAGGGAAGTTTTCATCCCTCCTGCTGTGGAGAGAACCCGTGGGAAGTACAGACCTTGTGCTAACTGAAGGCAGACCCCCTTGCTAACCAGCTTCTCATCAGCCAACCCTGGATGAGTTTCCATGTCTATTTACTAAATAATCTTTATTGCTCTTCTTCATATGGGCAAAGTATGGTTTACAGGGAATATTGTTCCTTTGAGCACCCATCGTGGAAACCCCTTCCTGTTGTGGGAAAACAGGCTTCCATATGTGTCTTATTGGGAAACACATAGGCAGTTTCTATGTTTTTACTGAATCTATTTCAGGGATATGGGAACTGAATAGTGCCCATCAAAGTCTCACCTGATGTTGGAAATTGATCTGAGAGCGCAGAAGGACAGAATTCTTTCTTTGTTCCTGGGCAGCGGTGGTTGAGGGATCATTTTGTGGCAGCTACAGTGGCAATGATGGAGGCAGAATGGAGGTCTCAGTACCAAGACAAGGAGAGACTTGGCCTCACAATGGCAGCATTGCAGGGGTGCGCTCTACAGAGCATTTGCTCACATGGTTTTGGGCATTGTCTCTAACTACCTTGCTTCCCCAATAGGTTGACCCATTCTAACTAACTCCATTTCTCTTTAAAAAAGCAAACTTCATTTGTATGACTTGCAATTGTAAACGACACCAATTGGCCAGTTATCATTCAAATTCTCTGTTACTTAATCCTGCCTTTTCCTGACGTATGCAACTTTCGCCTAAAAAATTGGACACTTTGTTGCTTACTCATTGTCTTTACACATTTTAAAATGTTGCTTTGTGCCCTCAATCCCTAACTACATTTTCAATGTTTTGCAAGTGGGGTCCATGTGTTCTTGATTTACATGAAGCTCAAAATAATGGTTATAGTAACTAGTACTTCATAATTAAGCAAAAAGCTCTTATTGAAAAATGACAGAACTATACATAGGGATGAGAACATGGAGAGATATTTCGTGAGATCACAAAGTTATGGTATGGCAGAAATAGAACGCTGAGTAGAGACTCTGTGTTCCCAATCATTATTTCTACCACCAGCTTTCTATTTTGATGTTAATAATGTTCTTAGGTGGGAAACCCTACATATTTGCCAATGTTTAGTTCATTGACAAAGAAATAGAAAGAGCTTCAAGAACACTCTAATCTTTAAAAATTAAAATACCTATAATTGGCCATACGAAAAAATTGGTACTTGACATATACTGAGATCGTTTTATTTTGTGCTAGACAAATGAAGTCATAGAACAGAATGTGCTTTAAATATTATGAATAGTGCTTACATGTGTGTGTGTCTATAGATGCATATTAGGCCGCTGAAAAGTTTTATTATTCTTTCCAGGAGAGAGACTGCCAACTTTTGAACCTAACTAGAACAAGTAAATTGCTTCTTCATATTTTTATTAAGGCAAAGAGAGTCTAGTTAAAAATAATTCAAATTGTCGTGGAAATGCTATAAATTGCTGTGAAGTGAGTTGCTGGCTATGGCTTGTCAGAGCAAATATATTGTACAAATCTTAGGGGAGAGTTAGTGCTTGTGCATTAAAATCAAATCATCTTGCAGCACACCGAGAAAAAGGTTAGATTTGTAAAATAATTTCAAAGTCATGAAAAGAGCAAATATGCTCCACAAAGAGCCTAGCAACCCTCAATGACAAATGCCCCTTTTATATAGTTTGGTATCTGAATTAGAATCCCAGAATCTACAAATTCCTCTGCGTGTGGGTGCTGCATTTTGAGGATTTTATAACACTGCCATCACCAAGCTCTCTTTTGATATTCACTTTAAGGAGATAATTTACGGGCAACCAGAGAGCATAAACCAAAGTAGATATCTATCTAGATAGCTAGATACATCTCCATATGATTGACAGGATACATTCTGGCCGAGTGTGAGTACAACCTATGGATGTGGTTGGAGAGAACAACTGTTCCACCTGAATGGCAGATCAGGATTATTCCTTCTCATCTGCTGCAATGGCTTAATGTGTTAAGGAGAGGAGCGAGACGGCAAGAACCGCATTCATTCAGTCATACAGACCAAAAGGAGGAATGTCGCCCAGCCCTCTAAACTGACCCAGAACCCAGCTCATGTCTCAACTGCTACCTCTCCTACTTAGAAAGAAATAACTCCACCAAAGCAGGGTTGTGGACAAACATATTTTTATTGATCATATACAAATAGATGAAGATGGACTTGGATGTTAAGAAAAATAATACTATACAAAATCGAGAGTAGACAGTCGCCCCTAGACTTAAATTAAGGGTGTGTACATTAGATAATTTAATCCAATGTATCCGGTAAAAACTTGAACCAACCTTTTGGCCTCTTCCTTAAAATTCAGGGAAGCATGTCCTCCAAAAAACAGAATCAAAATATAAATAAAAGACTGGCTTAAGATGAAAGGAAACCTTACAAATGAAAAGAAGCCAGATGAGAGGCACTTAACTGAGAATGAAAAGAAACTGAGTGGACAAAATAATTATGAGAAGATGAACCTTCAAATCAGAAAGAGGGCAAAAAGCTTATTTGATACTATGGGAACTCAAAAGAGAGTGAACAAAAATGTGAAAATTCCAGGAGTAAAGAAAAGTAGCATAGCTAAATGAAGAGCATGAGAAAATGTATACAATTTTGAGTAATAAGAACAGAAATCAAAAGTAACTATTGTATGTTATATTTTAGTAGAGCAACACTGAAGAAGAATGAAAACAAGAAATAATGTTAAATATGAACATATGGAGAACAGAATAATATTTTTAAAATTTTTAGTTTCTAAGCTTATCTGAAATTTTAATTTTTTTCTTATGTAATACCAGAGTTATTAGGAAGGTATTATCTAATAACACTATTTTCAGTGATATTTTAAGTAGTTGTCCTAGAAAAATTTTATTTTTTAAAAATGTATATTTAAAAATACATTAAATGTGTATATACATCAATCATATGTATCGATTTTTGTTTTTCTTGAATTGCAAATGAAATTTTTATTTTTGTGTTCCTGGAATAAAATAAACTTGAATGGATCATAATATGTTATTCATGCTGCAATTCAAGGTATTTCAATACTTTAAAAATGTTACATTTATAGTTAACAGATACTGACCTATAAATTTTCTGTCATATAATGATGCTGTGAGACAATCTAAGAAGAATTAAAATTTAAATTCATGTATTCCTACTTTTTTCTCTGTTCTCTAACTGTAATATATTTTAATTACAGATGGAGGAACAGATAGATGTTAGATAAATAGATATACAATAGATAGATCATCCAAAATTCTTATTCTTGTGGTTTTATGTAGTCAGTATTTACCTCTATTTTTCTACATGTTTATCCTTCCAATTTAGTTCATTACTTCCTGCACCTTTGATGTCATATATATAAACAGGAAATAACACATGGTGGCCGGGATGTAGAGAGAGCCACAGGACTTGTGAATAAAATCCACAGGCAAGGATGTGGCGATTCCTTTTGCAATATTGGAGGGAATGCCAAACCCTATGTTTGCTGTGGAAAAGATTATGGTAGTTCCTCAAAACATCAAAATGGTATTGCCTTATGATTCAGCAGCCCCACATCTCAAGATAGCATAAGAATTGAAAGCAGAGTCTTGAAAAAATATTTGCACATCCATGTTTGCAGCAGCATTATTGGCAATAGCTAAAACGTAGAAGCAATTGAAGTGCCCAACAACAGATGAATGGATAAGCAAAACATGAAGTATACATACAATGGAAAATTATTCAGCCTTAAACATGAGGGAAATATTCTGACATATGTTGCAACTTGGATGAAACTTGAGGATATTATGTCAAGTGAAATAAGTTAATCAGTGAAGGACAAATACAGTATAATTCCATTTGTATAAGAGACTTAAAGTGGACAGAATCACAGAGATAGTACAATGATGACTGCCAGAAGCTGGGGGGAGGAAGACATGGGGAAGTACTGTTTAATGGGCATAGAGTTTCAGTTTCACAAGATGAAACGAGTTATGGAGATGGATGGTAGGGATGGCTGCACAATGTTATGACTCTATTTAGTATCACTGAACTGTACACTTAAAATGGTTAACAGAGTACATTTTATGTTATGTGTATTTTACCACAATAAAAAGTTAAAATACCTTAGGAACATTTTCCTGAAAGAGTCCACATAATATTCATTTTAAGGCATGTGTTTATGCATAGCTTTCTATTTTTCTCTTTTCTATTTATATTCCAAATTAGAATATAATGCTAATCAAGCATAGTGGCTATGTTTCTTGCTTTCTCTAGTCTGCAGGTAGCATACAAATGTAATAAACTACTCATTAATGTCACATCTATTTATTTTCTGCCTTATACCAAGCTTGTGGGATTCTCTTAAGTACAACATTTTTATACTTACACCTATGCAATACCCATTAGCATCGCCTTCCTAAATCAGGGGAAAATGAGTCTCTGTAAGGTGCAGTAACTTACTAAGATACAAAACTCAGCATTCAAATCTGTATACTTCAATATCCTGCCCTCTTCTCATTTGTCTTTACTGCCTTTCATGTATGTGTTAGATGTTCAATAAATTCTCTTTTTTAAACTGAATTTAAGCAGTGGAGCAGTGTTTTGTTGAACAATAAATATGATATTGGACACTCTTCCTCCCTTTCATTTATAATGCAGTTCATGAAAAAGAGAAATTCATTGTGCTAGAAGCTTAAAATAATGAAAATGCCATTTTCTACATTAAACAGAAACTGAAGGGAATCAAGATGAATTGGATGAGACATAGAAAACAAGTGGGAAATAAATCTAGTATAACTTCCCCTTTGTGTACCTTTGTTATTTAGCATTTGAGAAAATGTGTCCCCCAAATATCTTCCCATCTTAATTCATGTCTATAAAGTAGACATTTATGTCTCACCTTGTCAAGAAGGGCAAACTCTAACATAAACATTTCCCAAAAATGCTTCCTGCTAAAACATAAGCTCAGTCTGGCTAGAAATTTAGCTCACTTCATAAAAATTAGTTGGTAGCTAATCTTTGCATGCTGTTCTCTGAACTTGAGTGAAAGCTGTCCATCAGGCATACAGGGAATGACGGAAAAGGTGACAACAGAAGATGAATGCTATGTCACTAACCTTCAAAGATGACCTGCCTTTTCTTTCAAATTCTTGATATCTTAAGACTTCATTAATTCATCTCTCTTTGCCCTTGGTTCAACATTGTGCTATACCAAAACTCATGTAAAACAATGATCTATTGTAATAAAAATGGCATTTTTCTTTCATGTAGATGCAAGCTATCTGGCATTTTTACAATCAACATACTTCCGTTGTCAATTTTTCATTCTGTATTGGAACTAATTGATAGGTATTTCTGAAGGGATGAAGGTGTTTCTGTGTTCATTGTGATCCAAACGTTTTTTAGACCTAGTGGTGTTGGTAAAACAATTTGTGCCAGCTGACCAAGGACCACTGTGGCAGAAAGCAGCAAACTTGCATAAGATGTCGCTGCCTCATCAGTTGGCTTTGAAAACTAGGGGCTTATTCTATAGTCCTATGAATCAAAGACATTGATAGATGTAGTATAAGATTACAATCATATTTTCCTTTTGACAGTCACATTGTAAAGCATGATGTGTTGCAATTAATCTCAATTAGCTGGTGACAATTAAAATTAATAGTTTATTATTGCTGATAAACAGTCATGACTCTCTTGTTCTCAAATGTGCAAGGAATTCTTGTAATTTTAATAAAAATTTGTATATTATTACTAATTGATTTAATCTTATTGGATTTGGTTCATGGATCCAACTTATTAAAATATTGATAATGGGATAATTATTTATCTCCCCATTTCATTTACACTAAAAGTCACAATTCTTACAATGGTCTGCAAGCCCATCATGATCTGCCGCATGTTAACAGCCAAAATTCTTTTATGTCTTCACCCTTGATCTTACCAGTGGTCCTGGCCACCTCACTGTTCTCTGGACATGCCAACATGCTGCTGCCTTATGACCAAGACTCTAGTTAATTTCTTGGCTTGGAAAGATAGCCCTCCATATATACACTGATCAGCTCATTCAACTTCCTCAAGTCTTTACTGAAACCTCACATTCTCGATGAGACCTATTCAGTATTTCAAACTGTCTCCCAGCTGCAACAGTCCAAAACCCCTTAGTCTTCTGTGTATTTTTGAAAGGATTTATTGAGATATAATTTACACACTGTAGAGTGCACATATTAATGTCTACAAGTCAGTGGCTTTTAGTATATACACAGTTAAGTGGAGCCATCATCACAATGAATTTTAGAGCATTTTCATCCCTTCAAAAAGAAACCCCACCGTCTCTAGCTGTTAACCTCCTATGCACTCATCCCCTACTCAATCCTAAGCAACAACAAATCTGTTTTCTGTCTCTGTAGGTCTTCCTATTCTATTTTCATCTAAATAGAATCATACAATAGGTGGCCTTTTGTGCCTGGCTTCTTTCAATTGGCATAATGCTATCAAGGTTCATATCCGTATTAGTACTTTATTTCTTTTTATAACTGTATAACATTCAATTTCATGGATATAACATTTTGTTTATCCAATACTATTTTGTTGACATTTGAGTTGTGTTCAGCCTTTGGCTATTTTAAATGCTGCTGTTAAAATACTTGTGTACAATTTGTGTTTGAACACCTCTTTCCAATACTCTGGGGGTATACCTGGGAATAAATTTCTGGGTCATATGACAATTCTATGTTTCATATATTTAGAAGCCATCAACCTATTTTCCAAAGTGGCCAGTTCTAGCCATAGAGTATTTAACTGTGGTTTTGATTTGTAGTTGCCTGATGAGTGATGCTGTTGAGTATTTTTTATGGGATTATTGACCGTTCGTGTATCTTCTTGGGATACACAACTATTCCTATCATTTATCAGTTTTGAGTTGGGATTTTTGTTACTGAGTTAAAACAATTTTTCTATATTCAAGGTACATATATAAGCAGACATATAGACATGTGTTTCTCAAATATTTTCTCACAATTTTTGAGCTGCCTTTTGACTTGCTTGGTTGTCCTTTGAAACACCAATGTCTTTATTTTTTAAGAAATTTTAAATATCTAATTTTTATTTTGCTGCTCATGTTTTTGGTGTTACAGCTATTTTTTTGCTAGATCCAAAATCCTGAAGATTTTCACATATGCTTTATTCTAGCTCTTGCATGTATGTCTTTAATTCATTTGAGTTAATATTTTTGTATGCTTTGGGGTAAGGGTTCCAATTTACTATTTTGCAAGTGGCGATCCACGTGTACGTTGTTGACTCAGTGTGGTCAAAGACTGTCTCTTCCTCATTGAATTGCACATGGCACCACTTTCAGAATCCATTGACTATAGATACATAGTTTTATATATGGACTCTCAATTCTCTTCCATCAATCTATATAATTTTCCTTCATCAGTATTTTGTTGTCTTGATTACTGATACTTTGCCGTAAGGTTTGGAGCACGGGGGTGTGAATTATCCTAATATGTTTTCTTTTATCAAGACTATTTTGGCTATTTTGAGTCCCTTACAATCCCATGTGTATTTTAGAATCAGCTTGTCAGTTTCTAGACAGAAGTCTGTTAGGATATTTGCAGGCATTACGTCAAATCTGTAGTTCAACTTGTAAAGTACTACAATATTAAATCTTCCAATTCATGGATGGAAGATGTTTGCTAATTATTTAGATATTCTTTAAACAATAATTTTTAATTTTCAGAGTAAAATCTTGTATCACATTTTCCAAATTAATTATTATTTCTTTTTTTGATGCTATTTTAAATTGAAGTGTTTTCTTAATTTCATTTTGGGGTTTTCATTGTAGATGTGTGCAGTTGATTTTTGTACATTTATCTTGTATTCTGTAATATTGCTGAAATAATTTACGAGTTCTATCGTTCAATGGATTCCTTAAAATTTTCTATATACAAGAATGTTATTTTGAAATAAAGTTTTATTTCTTCCTGTTCAATATGGGTGACTCTTTTTTTTTTAGTTGCCGATTTGCCCTGCTTAAAATCTTTAGTACAGTGTTCACTAGAAGAGGTCCAATTATATATCCTATTCTTATCTCTGACCATAGCGGGAAAGCATCCTTTACCATTAAGTTGCATGCTTGCTGTTGGCTTTTCGCAGGTGCCATGTATCTGGTGTAGAAAGTTCTCTATTCCTGGTTCATTGAGTTTTTATTTTTATTTTTAATCATTAAAGCATTTGGATTTTGGTAAATGTCTTTTCTGAATCTATCGAGATGATCATGCAATTCTCGTGTCTTATTCTATGGATAAGATGTATTACCTTAATGGATTTTGGGCTGTTAAACCAACCTGAGATTACTAGTATAAATTTCACTTTGTCATAGTGTATAATTCTTTTATATGTTGCTAGATCTGATTTTTTAGTATTTTTTAAGGAATTTTGCATTTATACTTATAGTTATTTTATTTTTCTACACTATTTGGACTAATTTTTGTATCAAGGTAACACTGGCCCCACAGAATAAATTGGGAAGTGAATATTTCTCTTTTTAAAAAAAGTCAGTCAGGAATTAATATCAATTAGTCAATACTAACAAATATGATTAATATTATAAATTATTAATTTCTCTAATTTTTATTTTCTTCCTTCTGCTGGCTTTAGGTTTAGTTTGCTATTCTTTCCAATGCCTTAATGTGGAAGGTCATCTTATCTCCTCCTTTCCTTTGTCTTTTCATTTTCAAAATAGTGTCTTTTTAGCATCAGGTGAGCTCCCCAGGTTGGTAGTACTCCATGTTTATTGCTGTACAACAATGACAGGTAATATGTGCTGAAGACAATGGAAACTTAACATTCAAAATCCTCCTAGACTCCAACTTATGTGATACGTCTCTTCCTTTGATTGGTCCTAATTTCTACCCTTTCTCTATTATAAACCTTGAGTACAATGGCATTCAATGAGTTCTGTGAGTCTTTTTAGTAAATTCTTGAAACTGAGGGTGTTCTGGGGAAACCTTTGAACTGGCAGTTGGTGACAAAAGTGCGAATCATCTTATATGGCCTCTTCCTTTGAACTTTGCATCTGGACGCAAACTCTGCACAATTTGGGCCAGAAGTCTCGTGTTGACTTCGCAGCCTAAATTATCTTGTAGTTTGTCTAACCCTCAATAAATTTGCTTTCATCAAATATTGTATTTGTTACCCCAAAATTACTATCATGTTTCTTTTCTCCAAATAACTAACATTCGGAGAAATAGCCAGCTGAATCTGTAACTCAAAAGAAACAAGTGATCCTTATACCATATAAGTGGCCATTTCATTTTGCCTTCTTCCACCAAATCTTAGCAACCTCAACCATTGCCATGAGCCACTGTAAGCCTACCGTCTACAAACAAACAAGTATCTTTTAAAAACACTTCATACTCCCATTTGATAAATTTCCCAGCAAAGAGATGCTTAATTTAACTCTATGCAAGTGGCTCATATTCGCAAAGTCTGGAGATATTATTCATGTAGTGTGAGAAAATCATCCCAGCGATGCCAGCACATTCTCCTTCCCATGATCTGCTTAGTTTGCAAGCATATTCAGGCCGTAGGTGAGAGATTTGTATTTCACAGTACAACAATTTTATGGAGGTCATTGAAACTTAGATTTAGCATTTTAGCACAGTCACGCATCACTGAATGACAGGGATACGTTCTAACAGATGCATCCATAGGCAATTTCATCATTTTGCAAACGTCAGAGAGAATATTACAAACACCTAGTTTGTACAGCCTACCACGTTTAGGTTATATGGTATAACCTCTCTCTCCTAGGCTACAAACCTGTGTACTACATTACTATACTGAATACTGCAGGCAATAAGAACACAGTGGTAAGAGTTTATGTATGTAAACATAATTAAACATAGATAGAAAAGTATGTAAAAATATGTATTATCTCATGGGACCACTTTTGTATATGTAATCCATTTTTGACTGAAATATTATTATGCATGACATGACTCTATGACAAAAATAATACATTTTAAAAAATGTACACGTGTATCAGACATATTATTATAAAAATAAAAATATTTATTCAGTGTAAGAATTTGTAATGATCACAGCTTATATTTAAGTACAGTTTCAAATGCCTAGTGCAATTAGTATTTATTTCTTTGTGTATTTTAAACATGTATATAATAAATATTTTTCAGGTTCAACAATATATATCAATCCTACAGGCTCTTATAAATATTAGTTAAAATCAATTGGTAAATTCATGTATATATATGCATGCCTGTATCAGTGAGCGTGTGTGCATGTATGTTTGTGTAAATGTAATTGTATGTGTGTGTAAATGTAATTGGATGCATCCTTATATTTACCCTTACCTACAAGATTTCCAAGATTCATTTATGATCTTTAGATAATGGGCATTTGAAGATTTACCAAATACAACTGTAGTAGTGGAAAATATCAAGATATCATTAAATTCATCTTGTGCACATAATTGTTTCTATAAATTTATGTTTCTTGCAAAGCTTGCACTAATGCTCATGCACAAAATAATTTTCTAAATAAAAAATAAAAACGTTTTCTCAGTCATTAATTCTTAAAATTATTTCTCCCCACTAATTAATGTGAATTAATTCTTAATTCTTAATTATAGAATAATGTTGCCCTTCAGAGTTTGGAAATTTTTACATGTTGTACACATTTCACTAACCAGAACAACTTCTGAAATATTGGCATTAATTACTGTCACTCAGCAATTATTGATTTCAAAGGCATTAAATACCATTCATATTCTGAATCATGAGGGTACTTTGGCATCTTATTTAATCAAGCTCTTTGTATCATCATCTACACTTTAATTACTTAACAAACATTTCTCTGTGTGAGAAAGTTTGAGCAGGTTATTGTGCTTTTTTAAGATGCAACTTTTGCTTAATCTAGAGATAGGCAATGCTCCCTATAAGGGACAAGGACAAAAATAAATGAGCAATAGAGATGTGACAGGCATGGAAAAAGACACTATATTTATCAAACAAATAGGGCCACAGATGACGATAAGGGGGATCAAATCTTGAGATACTGACTCAGTTTACAACCGCACTGCATAATAGAGCAAATCATTTGTTAATATTTTTACAAATGGAATTTAATTTTATTAAGATGAATACAGTGTTTTAAACAAGGCAGATCATCTTAAAATAGTGGAAAAAGTGATAAAACCAATGTAAAAATCGTAAACATTTTATAAAGAATTTTTGTCATGTAATTTAATATTTTTGTTCATTTAAAATCACCCAAATCAAAATAATTTTATCTTAATTAACAAATAATCATCAGAAGTTTAATTAATTTTTACTTTATAATACTAGGTTTAAAAATTCTTAACTATATTTTTAATCATATATGCTTATATATAAAATAGACATAGGATATATATTTACATGTTTACAATATTATATTGTAATTGCTCCAATGGATGTGGTTTTTCAATAGAATTAATAAGTACTTTTAAAAAGTTTCCATTTCAATGATGTATATGATTGATTTTTCTTAGACAAAGCATACATGTATTGATAGGTAATAATATGAAAATCTTCTAAAGGCATTACAGGAACACGAAAATGTAATTAAATACTCACTAATTTCTAATGTTTTATGTAAGCGGAACACATTTAACTGAAAATTGCTTTTATATAATACTCAAACGAGACTAAAAACTTTTTAACCAGCGGAGCAAGTCTTCAAATTGATAATCTGAACTATATAAGAGGAGAAACTTCAGGCACTCCAATATTTGAAATGCTACAGAATATTTATATAAACTATTATTTCACAATTTCTGTTTGTAGAGTGCTATAGAGTAATCGATATAAATGACATCTCAAGTCTTTCTACAGCTTTGACGACATTTACATCCTAATTTTAATTATTAATATGTTGGAGCAGTGCATACAACTAGATTCCGATCTTCCTTTTTAATGAGTAAAAATATGTCCTTTGAGACAGCATTAAAGAAAGAGCACCTTGTATAAATTCAATGCCAAGAGACAAGATATTCTTGATTCTGAAATCTTGTTCTTTTATACAGCAATGTAATTAATAAGAAGAAAAGCAGGACATAGATGTGGAGCCTATTTTAATAAAAAATTGTCTATAGATTTTGATGATAAAATTAAAAAATCTACTATATTTAGTTAGTTACAAAAAACTAGGTTGTGGGAACATATTTGGTCAATAAAACACCCCTACCAAGTGCTGACAAGAAAAAAAGTTAGGTACCACATTTCTTCTCTGCAGATGGCCTGAGATGGGTTAATTTGAAAGAATGCTTCCAAACCTGAGGTGACCCCTGAGAACAGCATAATCCACTGCTGTCTCCCACATTCAGTTTCTCAGTTTGTGCTCTTTTAATTTTGCGGGGAGGGAAGCCAGGCCTTTAAACCAATCTTCAGCATGATGGCAGAGCCAAGGAGTGTGGACAGGTGGCACGGTGTCTGACTTTGTTCCAGCAGCCACTTGGGCTTTCTCTGGATCTTCTCTGCCCTAGGGATAGCACCGATATTGAAAACATATCTTTGTGACATTCTCTATGCCAGGAACTCCCAACACATTTTCCTTGAAACAGATGAAATGAGCGCACCAGCATGGCACATGTATACATATATAACTAACCTGCACAATGTGCACATGTACCCTAAAACTTAAAGTATGATAAAAAAAAAAGAAATACATCATAGTTCTATCAAACCAAAAAATAAAAAAAATAAAAAAAATAAACCAAGAGGTGTGCTGTTTGTTTCTTTTTCCTCCTTTCTGCAGCCCTTCTTAATCATCTAATATTTTAAATACATTGTCGATCACCAAAAGGAGCATAAGGTTTATATTGATTTGTAGCAGATGTATTAATAGCCCAGCCCCTATTCCTTACCTGTAGCTGCTGGGAAGAAAACCATTCTTAACACTCTACAAGGTCTCATCTCCAGAATTTGCACCTGTTTCTAGCTGAGGACTTTCTCTAGCAGAACGGGAGCTTGTTACTGGACATGAAGTGGGAAGAAAAGGTGAGGATAACTAAGAAGAATCTCCCCGGATTCAGTGATGTAATTCTGAGGCATGTTCCACATAGCTTCCCATAGAATTAAGCCCAGATATATACACAGGAACTTGCCTCTTAACACGTGTGGTATTGGCTTTTCTATCTTTCCTGTTTTATTTTGTTCTCTCTTCCTTGTCTCACTTTTGCTGTGTCCTCACTCCTGCTTTAAGAATACCCAAACAAATACATTCATTTATTTTTTTAGACTCTCAGAACACAGTTGATAGTTGAACTTGTAATCTATGATAATCAGCTTGGATGCTACACTGACAGGAAGATAGTGAACTCACAATGTCTAATTAAGATAAAATTAAAAAGTGTATTGATTCATGTCCAAAGATTTAAAAAACCTAAGCGGCAGTGTCACAATTTCTTCTTTTTAGTTTACATGGTTTCTTAAATGCCTACAAATGTTTTAAAGGAAGCCTTGAATCTAGGAAAAATAGAGACATATGGAATAAATTACTAACCCATTTCTCCTTGAAATCCATTAGATGCTTGATGATTTTTCACATATATTTCTGAATTGAAAAGCTAGTTGTGAATTATTTTTATAAGCGTATCCTTATGTAATATTTTGTTTTTAACAATGAATTGAATGTTTAAAGACTAAATTATTCTATCCAGAGAATAAAAAGCAATTATTTTACAAGGAGAACATGCATATGTTGACACGACATTTTAAAGTCTAGATTTTAAAATAGGTCCCATATACTTTTGTGTCAATTAGAATATATTTGTATCAGTCTGTCTACAGTTTTACACCTGTCTAAATGTACTTGAACTACAACAACTACCTTGAACAATTTTGAAATTTATGATTCCTCTGAAACTGATTAAAAGAATTACGGTAGAGTGAAATTCTGATTGACATAATTTGGGAGAGAAATTATTCCTTGGACATCAACCTCTGCCAAGATAGTTTATAATGACATTGAGGCTTTTTGATTTACACAATTTGTTATATAAAAAATACTAAGACGATGACAGATAATACACAGACTTTAATTAAAATTGTACTACAATTAAAAGTCTAAATAAATTAGAAGTGTACATGGTACATATAAATGTATGTTTATATATTTTATTTGTGCATTTTTTTCCTAGGGTTTCTTTTGCTTTAGTTTGTAAAAAGTTCTTATTTTTATGATAAAGTAGCATATACAAAATAAAGAAAAATCAGGAAATAGAAAATGAAGAAGAAAACATTAGCTATTGTCAACCAAATAAAAATTGTGCAATCTCTAAGCACATGAACTATGTAATATTTGTACAGCATAGTACAATGTTTATGCTTCACAGGGTGAGGTAGAGACTGCAGAACCTTGAACTTGGGACAAATAAGAAAGTAAGGAAATTTTCACAACTTATTAATATTATAGAAAATGCTGAACTTAACAATTAAGATACAAGTAGTGAAAATTATAGTATTTAAGGAGATCTAGAAAATTTAATCTTTACCTGTAATGTGTGAGAAGTATTAGAATAATGCTTGTGTTTCTGGATTGGCATCGATTTCTATTGAGACTGGAAACATAGTAGAAGTGAGGGAAAAAGAATTTAAATTGTGGATACTTTAGTTTTATACCTAGGAGTTCGAGAAATACATTTTGTTACTATCAAAGCAGTTGGCACAAGAGTGTACAAAATTTCCTAATTGTGTCTATGTGGAGAAGACATAGACAAACAGAGAATAGCTAAACAGAAATAGCAAAAGACACAAATAAATTTTACCTATATTTTTAAGTAAAAGCCAATTAGAGAAGGAAAACATGAAATTTGTGTTTTATCAAAATTTTTCTCTTTCTCATAATATAGTTGAATATATTACTGGAAAAAATTTGAAGCACTGGTATGTTCACAAATAAAATTAAAATATAAGTTCAAAACCATGGGAATGCAGGGAGCAGACAAAATATAACTAAACACCAAAACTGATTTTGCCCTACGGACATGTAGCAAAATGAATGCGTGCAGATTCCTACTGTCATACATCACATAGGACAGTAAAGAAATACATAGTGTTTCCCAAGATAGGGCATCACACAGGAGCTCTTCCCTAAAGCTAGGACAAAAATTTCTATCCTCAGTATAAAGAAGAATCAGAGGTAAATTAGTCCCATTTCACATTCCCTGGAAATGGCAAATAAAAATGACTTGAGATTGGACAGATTTAAAGAAACTCAATCGTTAATGATTTACAGCAATTAATTTAAAAATTGTTTAAATGTGCAGTCCAAACATACGTCCGAACACCTTTAGGCCAGGAATTAACATAATGTGGTCCCAGAATGGTGGTGCCTTTAGTAGAATCACAAAAGAATTCAAATTATCTTTGACAAATTTTCTATTTACTAATCTGCAAAAGTGCACAAAAATAATTTTCAGAGAAAAATAAGTATTTGTCATTCAAAGGCATCTGAGTATGCAACGAAATGATATTCCGCCCTTTGAAAGGAAAGCAGAAAAAGAGTACAAACAGATCCACAAAGGTTCATTAGTAGAAATATCACTGTTAGATTATAAAGCACATTTGCTTTCAAAATTTTTTTAAAAAATGAATATATTGTTAGGAGACTAAAAAATTCATGTAGCAAATTTGGAAAGTAGTTTGTATAAAAATATAGTTATTTTAAATTAAAAACTCAAAAATGTACTCATCAGATTAGACATAGCCAAGGTGAGAGTTCATAAATATTTCAGAATGCATTACAGAAAATTTTAAAAAATGTAAAATGTGGACAGAATGATGAAGAGACATGGAAGATACAGTGAGAAAGTGTAGCATGTGTTTAGAGAGTGTTCTCATAGAAGAAGGGAACTGGAAAGGAACAATATGTGATGGTATTTTGGCTGAAAGTTCCCTAGACTTTTGTAAGACACTAATCTGCGTATTCAAAAATTCCATGCTTGCTAAGCAAGCTATGATGGAGATAAACCTACACCTATGTATCTCCTAGAGAAATAGTAAACAATGAGGAAGGGAAAAATATTTCAATTAGCACTAGAAAAATGAAATTACTTTTAATCATATTGAAATCTGAAAAAAATGAAAGGTTAAATAAACAATATTATTTGTTAAGAATAATAATGCCATTCTGAATTTCTAAACGAAGAAAAATATTCATCAACCTATGGCTAAATAACATATTTAGAGATAAAAAACAAAACGTCACCAGCAGAATTCCACTAAAGAAACTACAGAGAAACTCTGAAAATATTCTTCAGAAAGGTCGAAGTTCTGAAATCAAAGAATGAACAGAGAGTATAATATATTGCAAACATACAGATAGAACAAATAAGAAACTGGGTTTTGAAACAAAAATATATTTAAAATTAGATAAGCACTGCAATATGTATGATAAAAAGAAAATTATTAGGGCTGAAGTATTCAAAGAACACTTAATTGTCTGACAAGAGCAGAAAAATGAGTATGACTTTGCAACTCTTTCTTTTTCGAATGGAATGGAATGGAATGGAATAGAATGAAATGGAAAGGAATTGAATGGAATTGAATCCAATGGAATTGAATGGAGAGGAATGGAATGGAATGGGAGATGAGATTGTGCCATTGTGCTACATGATGGGTGACAGAGTGAGACACTCTTGAAAGAAAGGAATGGAATGGAAAGCAGTGGAATAGAATGGAATGGAATGCAGTGGAGTGGAGTGGAGTGGAGAGGAGAGGAGTGGAATGGAGTGGAATGGAATCGGATGTAATGGAATGTAGTGGAATGGAATGGAAAGGAATGGAATGGAATCATAATCGAATGGAATAGAATGGAATTATCATCGAATGGAATCAAACGGAATCATCATCGAATGGAATCGAATGGAGTCATCATCGAATGGATTCGAAAGGAATCATCATGCAATGGACTTGAATGGAATCATCATCGAATGGACTCGAAAGGAATCATCATAGAATGGAATCATTTGGAATCATCAAATGTAATCAAATGGAATCATCATCAAATGTAATCAAATACAATCATCGAATGGAATCGAATGGAATCATAATTGATAGATTCGAATAGAATCATCGAATGAAATAGAATGGAATCAACATCAAATGGAATAGAAATGAATCATAGAATGGTATCAAATGGAATCATCATCGAATGGAATGGAATGGAATCATCATCAAATGGAATAGAATGGAATTATCATCTAATGGAATCAAACGGAGTCATCATCGAATGGAATCGAATGGAGTCATCATCAAATAGAATGGAAAGGCATCATCATGCAATGGACTTGAATGGAATCATCATCGAATGGACTCGAAAGGAATCATCAAATGTAATCAAATGGAATCATCATCAAATGTAATCAAATGGAATCATCGAATGGATTCGAATGGAATCATAATTGAATAGATTCGAATAGAATCATCGAATGAAATAGAATGGAATCAACATCAAATGGAATTGAAAGGAAGCATAGAATGGTATCGAGTGGAATCATCATCGAATAGAATGGAATGAAATCATCATCGAATGGAATCAAAAGCAATCATTCAATGGACTCTAATAGAATCATTGAATGGACTTGAATGGAATAATCACCGAATGGAGTAGAATGGAATCATCGAATGGACACGAATGGAATCATGATCGAATGGAATCGAATGGAATCCTCTAATGGACCCAAATGCAATCATCATTGAATGGAATAGAACGGAATTGTCATCGAATGGAATCGAATGGAATCATCTAATGGACACGAATGGAGTCATCATTGAATGGAATAGAACAGAATCATCATCGAATGGAATCAAATGGAATCCTCTAATGGACCTGAATGGAATCATCTTTGAATGGAATAGAATTGAATCATCATCGAATGGAATCGAATGGAATCATGTAATGGACACGAATAGAATCATCATCGAATGGAATCAAATGGAATCATCTAATGTACCAGAATGGAATCATCACTGAATGGAATAGAATGGAACCATCAAATGGAATTGAATGGAATCTTCATCATATGGAATCCAGTGCAATCATCGAATGGACTCAAATGTAATAATCGGAGAATGGAATCAAATGGAATCATTGAATGCACTCGAATGGAATCATCATCGAATGGAATCAAATGGAATCATCTAATGGACCCAAATGGAATCATCATCAAATGGAATCAAATGGAATCATCGAATGGACTCAAATGGAATCATCATCAAATGGAATTGAATGGAATCATCGAATGGACTCGAATGGAATCATCATCGAATGGAATGGAATGGAATCATCATATGGCATCAAATGGAATCATCATTGAATGGAATCGAATGGAATGATCTAATGGACTTGAATGGAATTGTCGTTGAATGGAATCAAATGGAAACATCGAATGGATGTGAATGGAATCATCATCAAATGGATTCGAATGGATTCATCATAAAATATAATCAAACAGAATCATCATTGAATGGAATCAAATGGAATCATCGAATGGAATAGAATGGATTCATCTTCGAATGGAATAAAATAGAATCATCGAATGCAACCAAAAGGAATCATCATTGAATGGAAACGATTGGAATCATCATCGAATGGAATTGAATAGAATCATCATCAAATGGAATGCAATGGAATCATCGAATGGACACCAATGGAAACATCATCGAATGGAATCGAATGGAATCTTCAAATGGACTCAAATGCAATCATCATTGATTGCAATCGAATGGAATCAGCATCAAATGGAATTGAAAGGAATCATCATCGTATGGAATCGAATAGAATCATCAAATGAAATGGAATAGAATCATCATTGAATGGAATCGGATGAATCATCATCAAATGGAATCAAACGGAATCATCATCAAATGGAAGCCAATAGAATCCTCAACGAATGAAATAGTAAGGAATCATCACTGAAAGGAATCGAACGGAATCATCAACTAATGGAAACAAATGGAATCATTGAATGGAATAAAATGTAATCATCATCGAATTGAACCCAACTGAATCATTAAATGGACTCGAATGGAATCATCGATTCGACTCAAATGGAATCACCATCAAATGGAATAGAATGGAATCATCGAATGGAATTGAATAGAATCATCATCGAATGAAATCAAATGGAATCATCGAATGGACTCGAATGGAATCATCATCGAATGGAATTGAATAGAATCATCATCAAGTGGAATCGAACAGAATCATCATCAAATGGAATCAAATGGAGTCATCGAATGGAATAGAAGGGAATCATCATCGAATGGAATCAAATAGAATCATCGAATGAAATCAAATGGAATCATCATCAAATGGAATCAAATGGAATCATCATCGAATGGAATTGAATGGAATCATCATTGAGTGGAATCAAATGGAATTGTCAACAAATGTAATCGAATGGAATCATCGAATGGAACCAAATGGAATCATCATCAAATGGAACCGAATGAATCATCATCAAATGGAACCCAAAGGAGTCATCAGCGAATGGAATTGAATGGAATCATAATCGAATCGAATCGAATGGAATCATCATTGAATGGAATCGAATGGAATCACCGAACTGAATAGAATGGAATGATCATCGAATGGAATCAAAGAGAACCATCTAATGGAATCGAACGGAATCATCGAAAGGGGTCGAAAGGAATCATCAAATGTATTTGAATGGAATAATCATTGAATGGAATTGAATGGAATCTTCAAATGGACTCGAATAGAATCATCATCAAATGGAATCGAATGGAATCACTGAATTGAATCAAATGGAATGATCATCGAATGGAATTGAAGGGAATCATCAAATGGGATTGAACGGAGTCATCGAATGGAATCGAGGAGAATCATCGAATGGATTCGAATGGAATCATCATCAAATGGAATCCAGTGGAATCATTGAAGGGATTCGAATGGAATCATCATCAAATGGAATTGAATGGAATCACCGAATAGACACGAATGGAATCATCGTAGAATCATTGAATGGCATCGAATGGAATCATCATCGAATGGAATCGAATGGAATAATTGAATCGACTCAAATGAAATCATCGAAGGACTCGAGCAGAATCATTATCGAATGGAATCAAATGGAATCATTGAATGGACTCGAATGGAATCATCATCGAATGGAATCGAATGGAATCATCGAATGGACTCGAATGGAATAATCGAATAGACTCCAATTGAATCAACAAATGAAATCGAATGCAATCATCGAATGGACTGGAATGGAATCATCATCAAATGGAATCGGATGGAATTAATGAAGGGACTCGAAAGGAATCATCAAAAGGACACGAATGGAATCATCATTGAATGGAATCAAATGGAATCACTGAATGGACTCGAATGGAATCATCATCAAATGGAATCAAATGAGATCATCGTCAAATGGAATCGAATGGGAACATCATCAAAAGTAATCCAATGGAATCACCGAATGGACACGAAAGTAACGATCAAACGGACACGAATGGAATCATCAAATGGAATCGAATGGAATCATCTAATGGACTCGAATGGAATTATCAAATGGACTCAAATGGAGTCATCGAACTGACTCTAATGGAATCATCATCAAATGGAATCGAATGGAATCATCAAATGGACTCGAATCATTTAATGGACTCGAATGAAATCATCGAATGGACTCAAATGAAATCATCATCGAATGGAATCGAATGGAATCCTCGAATAGAATCAAATGGAATCATCAAATGAAATTGAACGGAATCATCGTCCAATGGAATTGAATGGAGTCATCAAATGAAATAGAATGGAATCATCATCCAATGGAATCGAATGGAATCATCAAATGGAATCGAAGCAATCATCATCGAATGGAATCAAATGGAATCATCGAATGGAATCAAATGGAATCATCGTCAAGTGGAATCAAGTGGAATCATAGAATGGAATCGAATGGAATCATTGGCGAATGGAATGGAATGGAATCAATGAATGGAATTGAATGCAATCACCAATGAATGGAATTGAATGGAATCATCCTCGAATGGAATCGAATGGAATCATCGAATGGACTCGAATAGAATCATCATCGAATGGAATCGTGTGGAATCATCTAATGGGCACGAATAGAATCATCATCAAATGGAATCGAATGGAATCATCTAATTTACTCGAAGGGAATCATTATTGAATGCAATAGACTGGAATCATCGAATGCAATCGAATGGAATCATCATCATATGGATTTGAGAGGAATCATCGATTGGACTCGAATGTAATCATCAGAGAATGGAATCAAATGGAATCATCAAAGGGATTCAAATGGAATCATCATCGAATGGAATCGAATGGAATCTTCATCAAGTATGATCAAAAGCAATCATCAAATGGATTCGAATAGAATCATCAAATGGACTCGAATGGAATCATCATCGAATGGAATCATTGAATGGACTCGAATGAAATCACCGTTGAATGAAATCAAATGGAATCATCGAATGGACTCGAATGGAATCATCATCGAATGGAATCAAATGGAATCATCGAATTTACTCGAATGGAAACATCAAGTGGAATTGAAAGGAATCATCAAATGGACTTGAATTTAATCATTGCATGGACTCGAGTGGAATCATCGAATGAACTCGAAAGGAATCAACATCGAATGAAATCGAATGGAATCACCGACTGGACACAAATGGAATCATCTTCGAATAGAATCGAATGGAATCATCAAACGGACTTGAATGGAATATCATCAAACGGAATCAAAAGCATCATCAAATGGACTCAAATGGAATTATGGAATGGACTCAAATGGAATCATCCAATGGACTCGAATGGAATCATCATCGAATGGACTCAAATGGAATGATCTAATGGACTCCAATGGAATCATGGATTGGACTCAAATAGAATTATCAAATGGGCTCAAATGGTATCATCGAATGGACTCGAATGGAATCATTTTTGAATGGAATCAAATGGAATCATCAAATGGAACCAAATGGAATCATCGAATGGAATCGATCAGAGTCATCATTGAATGGAATCAAATGGAATCATCAAATGGAATCGAATGCAGTCATTATCAAATAAACTCAGATGGAATCATCATTGAATGGAATCAAATGGAATCATCGAATGGCATCAAATGGAATCATCATCAAATGGAATCTAATGAAATAATCGAATGGACTTGAATGGAATCATTGAATGGAGTCAAATGGAATCATCATCGAATGGAATCAAATGAAATAATAGAATCGACACAAATGGTATCATCATCAAATGGAATTGATTGGAATCAATGAAAGGAATCAAATGAAATAATCATTGAATGTTATCAAATGGAATCATCATCGAATGGAATCGAAAGGAATCATCATCTAATGGAAACGAATGCAATCATCAATGACTGAAATCAAATGGAGAAATCGAATGGACTCGAATGGAATCATCGATTGGCCTCAAATGGAATTATCGAATGGGCTCGAATGGAATCATTGAATGGACTCAAAAGGAATCATTATTGAATGGAATCAAATGGAATCATCAAATGGAATTGAATCTAATCATCGAATGGAATCGATCGGAATCATCGAATGGAATCGAATGCAATCATCATCGAATGGAATCGAATGGAATCATCATCAAATAGAATCGAATGGAATCATCGAATGGAATCGAATGGAATCATTGTCTAATGGAATCAAATGGAATCATAGAATGGAACCCAATGGAATCATCATCGAATGGAATCGATTGGAATCATTATCATATAGAATTGAATGGAATCACTGAATGGAATCATCATCAAATGTATTCCAATAGAATCATCGAATTGACTCAAATGGCATCATCATTGAATGGAATCGAATGGAATCATTGAATGGAAACGAATGGAATCATCATCAAATGGAATCGAATGATATCATCAAATGCACTTGAATGGAATCATCAATGAATGGAATCGAATGGTATCATCGAATGGAATTGAATGGAATCATCTTTGAGTGGAATCTAAAGGAATCACCAAATGGACTCCAATGGAATAATCATCGAATGGAATTGAGTGGAATTATCGAATGTACTCGAGTGGAATCATCGAATGGAATCGAATGGAATCATCCAATGGAATCGAATATAATCATCATAGAATGGATTCGAATGGAATCATCAAATATAATCGAATGGAATCATCATTGAATGGAAAAGAATGGAAGCATCAAATGGACATGACTGGAATCATCATCGAATGGAATGGAATGGAATCATCAAATAGAATCTAATGGAATCATCATCGACTGGAATAAAATGGAATCATCAAATGGAATCGAATGGAATCATCAATGAATGGAATGGAATGGTATCATGGAATGGAATTGAATGGAATCATCTTTGAGTGGAATCTAAAGGAATCACCTAAAGGACTCCAATCATCGGATGAATTCGATTGGAATCATCGAATTTAGTCAAATGGAATCATCATCGAATGGACTCGAATGCAATCATCATCGAATGGAATCGAATGGAATCATCGAATGGAATCGAAAGAAATCATCGAATGGACTCGAATGGAATAATCATTGAATGGAATCGAATGGAATCATCATGGAATGGAATCGAATGGAATCATCGAATGGACGAATGGAATCATGCTCGAAAGGGATCAAATGGAATCATCAAATGGACTCGAATGGAATCATCATCGAAAGGAATCATATGGAATCATCGAATGCAACTGAATGGAATCATTGAATAGACTAGAATGGAATTATCTTCGAATGGAATTGATTGGAATCATTGAAGGCACTCGAAAGGAATCATTGAATGGACTCGAAAGGAATCATCATCAAGTGGAATAGAATGGAATCATTCAATGGACTCAAATTGAATCTTTGAATGGACTCGAATGGAATCATCATTGAATCGAAGCTAATGCAATCATCGAATGGCCTCAAATGGAGTCCTCATCGAATGGAATAGAAAGGAGTCACCAAATGGACTCCAATGGAATCATCGATTGGTCTCGAATTAAATCACCATCAAATGCAATCGAATGGAATCATCGAATGGACTCGAATGGAATCATCGAATGTACTCAAAAGGAATCGTCATCGAGTGGAATCAAGTGAAATCATCAAATGGACTCGAATGCAATCATCGAATGGCCTCGAATGGAATCATCATTGAATAGAATGGAATGGAATCATCAAATGGACTCGAATGGAATCATCATCGAATGGAATTGAATGGAATCATCGAATGGAATCGAATGGAATCATCATCATATGGAATCGAATGGAATAATTGAATGGACTCGAACGGAATCATCGAATGGACTCAAATGGAATCATCATCAAATTGAATCGAATGGAATCATTGAATGGACCCAAATGGAATCATCATCTAATGGAATTGAATGTAATCATCGAATGGACTCAAATGGAATCATCATCGAATGGAATCATTGAATGGAATCGAATGGAATCATCATCGAATGGAATCGCATGAAATCATCAAATGGCATCAAACGGAATCATCATTGATAAGAATCAAATGGAATCACCTAATGGACAAGAATGGAATCACTATCGAATGGAATCGAATGGAGTCATCGAATACAATCGAATGCAATCATCATCGAATGGAAGAGAATGTAATCATCATTGAATGGAATCGAAAGGAATCATTGCACTTGAAAGGAAACATCGAATGGATTCAAAAGGAATCATCATCATGTGGAATCGAATGGAATCATCGAATGGACTCGAATTGAAACTTTGAATGAACTCGAATGGAATCATCATCGAATGGAATCTAATGGAATCATTGAATGGACTCAAATAGAGTCATCGAATGGAATCTAATGGAATCATCAAATTGACACAAATCGAATCATCAAATGGACTCAAAAGGAATCATCATCGAGTGGAATCGAATGAAATCATCAAACAAACTCGAATGCAATCATCGAATGGCCTCAAATGGAATCATCATCAAATAGAATCGAATGAAATCATCAAATGGACACGAATGGAATCATCATCGAATTGAATTGAATGGAATCATCAAATGGAATCGAATGGAATCATCATTGAATGGAATCAAAAGGAATAATCGAATGGACTTGAACGGAATCATTGAATGGACTCAAATGGAATCATCATCGAACCGAATTGAATGGAATCATTAAATGGACCCGAATGGAATCATCTTCGAATAGAATTGAATGGAATCATTATATGGACTCGAAAGGAATCATCATCATATGGAATTGAAAGGAATAATCGAATGGACTCAAACGGAATCATCATCGAACTCAATCAAATGGAATCATTGAATGGACCCGAATGGAATCATCATCTAATGGAATTGAATGTAATCATCGAATGGACTCGAATGGAATCATCATCAAATGGAACCGAATGGATTCATTGAATGGAATCGAATGGAATCATCATCGAATGGAATCGCATGAAATCATCAAATGGCATCAAACGGAATCATCATTGATAAGAATCAAATGGTATCACCTAATGGACAAGAATGGAATCACTATCGAATGCAATCGAATGGAGTCATCGAATACAATCGAATGGAATCATCATCCAGTGGAATAGAATGTTATCATCATCGAATGGAATCAAAAGGAATCATTGAATGCACTCGAAAGGAAACATTGAATGGATTCGAAAGGAATCATCATCATGTGGAATTGAATGGAATCATTGAATGGACTCGAATTGAATTTTTGAATGAACTCGAATGGAATCATCATCGAATGGAATCTAATGGAATCATTGAATGGAATCGAATGGAGTCCTCATCGAATGGAATCGAATGGAATCATCGAATGGACACAAATTGAATCATTGAGTGGACTCAGAAGGAATCATCATCGAGTGGAATCGAATGAAACCATCAAACGGACTCAAATGCAATCATTGAATGGCCTCGAATGGAATCATCATCAAATAGAATCGAATGAAATCATCAAATGGACACGAATGGAATCATCATCGAATGGAATTGAATGGAATCATTGAATGGAATCGAATGGAATCCTCATCAAATGGAATCAAAAGGAAAAATCGAATGGACTTGAACGGAATCATTGAATGGACTCAAATGGAATCATCATCGAGCCAAATTGAATGGAATCATTGAATGGACCCGAATGGAATCATCATCAAATGGAATTGAATGGAATCATTGTATGGACTTGAATGGAATCATCATCAAATGGAATCGAAAGGAATCATGGAATGGAATTGAAAGGAATCATCATCAAATGGAATGGCATGGAATCATCAAAAGGCATCAAATGGAATCATCATCGAAAAGAATCAAACAGAATCATCCAATGGACACGAATGGAATCATTATCAAAAGGAATCGAATGGAGACATCGAATGGAATAGAATGCAATCATCACGGAATGGAATCGAATGGAATCATCATCAAATGGAATCGAAAGGAACCATCGAATGGAATTGAGTTGAACCATCGATGGAATCATCATCGAATGGAGTCGAATGGAATCATCATCGAATGGAATCGAATGGAATCATCATTGAATGGAGTCGAATGGAATCATCATCAAATGGAATCTAATTGAATAATCAATGAAGGGAATCGAATGGAATCATCATCGAATGGAATCAAATGGAATCACCATTGAATGGAATGTTATGAAATCATCGAATGGACTCGAATGGAATCATTGATTGGAATCGAATGGAATCATCATCAAATGAAATAAAATGGAATAATCGAATGGACTCGAATAGAATGATCATCGAATGGAATCGAATGAAATCATGGAACACACTCAAATTTAATCATCGAATGGACTCAAATGGAATCAACGTCGAGTGGAATCGAAAGGAAACATCAAATGGACTTGAATGGAATCATCAAATGGACTCGAATGGAATCATCATCGAATGGAATTGAATGGAATCATCGAATTGACAGGATTGGAATCATCATCAAATGGAATCAAGTGGAATCATCGAATGGAATCGAATGGAATCATCATTGAATGGAATCGAATGGAATCATCAATGAATGTAATCGAATGGAGTCATCGAATGGAGTCCGTTCGAATCATCATCGAATGGAACCAAATGCAGTCATCATCGAATGGAATCAGATGGAATTATCAAATGGACTCGAATGGAATCATCATTGAATGGAATCGAATGCAATCATCAAATAGACTCGAAAGCAATCAATGAATGTACTCGAATTGAACCATCATTGAATGGAATAAAAAGGAAACATCGAATGGAATCGAAAGGAATTATCAGCGAGTGGAATCAAATAGAATCCTCGAATGGACTCGAATGGAATCATCATCAAATGGAATCGAATGGAAACATCTAATGGCATCACATAGAGGCATCATCGAATGGAATCGAATGGAATCATTGAATGGCCTTGAATGGAATCATCATCTTTGGAATCGAATGAAATCGTTGAATGGAATTGAAAGGAATGATCATCGAATGATATTGAATGGAATCCTCGAATGTAATCAAATGGAATCATCAAATGGAATTGAACAGAATCATCATCGAATGGAATCGAATGGAACAATCAAATGGAATTGAACAGAATCATCATCGAATGGAATCGAATGGAATCATCAAATGGAATTTAAGGCAATCTTCATCGAATGGAATCAAAGGGAATCATTGTCAAGTGGAATCGAGTGGAATCATTGAATTGAATCAAATGGAATCATTGTCAAATGGCATGGAATGGAATCAATGAATGGAATTGAATGGAATCACCAAGGAATTGAATGGAATGGAATCACCATCAAATGGAATCAAATGGAATCATTGAATGCACTCGAATGGAATCATTATCGAATGGAATCATGTGAAATCATCTAATGGGCACGAATATAATCATCATAGAATGGAATCGAGTGGAATCATCTAATGTACTCCAATGGAATCGTCATTGAATGGAATAGAATGGAATCATCCAATGGAATCGAATGGAATCAACATCATATGGAATCGAGTGGAATCATCGAATGGACTTGAATGCTATCATTGGAGAATGGAAGCAAACGGAATCATCAAATGGACTCGAATGGAATCATCAATGAATGCAATCGAATGGAATCATCAAATGGACTCGAATGGAATAGTCATCAAATATCAAAAGCAATCATCAAATGGATTCGAATAGAATCATCGAGTGGATTCGAATGGAATCATCAAAGAATGGAATCAAATGGAATCATCGAATGGAATCAAATGGAATCATCGAATGGACTCAGATGAAATAATCATCGAATGAAATCGAATAGAATCATCGAATGGAATCGAATGGAATCATCATCGAATGGAATCGAATGGAATCACTGAATGGACTTGAATGGAATCATCATCAAATAGAATTGAATGGAATCATCTAATGCACTCAAAAGGAATCATCATCAAATGAAATCGAATGGAATCACTGAATGGACACGAATGGAATCATCATCAAATAGAATCGAATGGAATCATCGAATGGACTCGAATGGAATATCAACGAATGTGATCAAAAGCATTCATCAAATGGACTCAAATGAAATTTTCAAATGGACTCGATTGGAATCATCAAATGGACTCGATTGGAATAATTGATTGGACTCAAATGGAATTATTGAATTTGCTCGAATGGAATCATCAAATGTAGTCGAATGGAATCATTATTGAATGGAATCAAATGGAATCATCGAATGGAATCTAAAGGAATCATCGAATGGAATCGATCAGAATCATCATCGAGTAGAACCAAATGGAATCATCAAATGGAATAGAATGCTGTCATCATCGAATGGAATCGAATGGAATCATCATTGAATAGAATCAAATGGAATCATCGAATGGAATTGAATGGAATCATTGTCGAAAGTAATCAAATGGAATCATCAAATGGAATCAAATTGAATCATCGAATGGAATTCAATAGAATCAGCATCGAATGAAATCAAATGGAATCAATATCGAATAGAATCAAATGGAATCATTGAATGGAATCATCATCAAATGGAGTCCAATGGAATCATCAAATGGACTCAAATGGAATCTTCATCAAATGGAATCGAATGGTATCATCGAATGCACTCGAATGGAATCATCAATGAATGGTATTGAATGGTGTCATCGAATGGACTCGAATGGAATCATTTTCCATTGGCATAGAAAGGGATCACTGAATGGACTCGAATAGAATAATGTTCGAAAGGAATTGAATGGAATCTTCGAATGGAATCGAATGGAATCATCATCGTATGGAATTGAATGGAATCATGGAATGGACTGGAATGGAATCATCATCGTACGGAATTGAATGGAATCAATGAATGGAATCATCATCGAATGGAATCAAATGGAATAATCATCGAATGGAATCAAAAAGAATCAACATCAAATGGAGTCGAATGGAAACATCATCGAATGGAATCCAAAGGAATAATCATGGAATTGAACCGAATGGAATCATCATCGAATGGAAGCGAAAGGAGTCGTCATCAAATGGAATCGCGTGGAATGATCATCTAATGGAATCAAATGGAATCATTATCATTATCTAATGGAATCATCGAATGGAATTGAATGGAATCATCATCAAATGAATTGAATGGAATCATCGAATGGTCTCGAATGGAATCACTATCAAATGGAATCGAAAGGAATCACCGAATAGAATCGAATGTAATAATCATTGAATGGACTCAAATGGAATAATCATCATATGGAATTGAACGGAATTATCCAATGGAATCGAATAGAATCATTGAATGGACTCGAATGGAATCATCATCAAATGGTATTGAATGGAATCATTGAATACACTCAAATGGAATAATCATCGAATGGAATTGAATAGAATCATCATCGAATGGCATCGAATGGAAACATCATCGAATGGAATCTAATGGGATAATGGTATGGAATCATGGATCAGACTCAAATGGAATTATCCAATGGGCTAGAATATAATCATCGAATGGACTCGAATGGAATCATTATTGAATTGAATCAAATGGAATCATCAAATGGAATCGAATGGAATCATCAAATGGAATTGATCGGAATCACCATCAAATGGAATCAAATGGAATCATAGAATGGAATCCAATGCAGTCATCATCGAATGGACTCGAATGGAAACATCATTGAATGGCATCAAATGGAAACATCATTGAATGGAATCTAATGGGATAATGGTATGGACTCGAATGGAATCATAGAATGGAGTCGAATGGAATCATCATTGAATATAATCTAATGGAATCATCGAATAGCATCAAATGGAATCATCGTCGAATGCAGTCGAATGGAATCATCGAATGGACTGGAATGGAATCATCATGTAATGTAATTGAATGGAAACTTCGAATGGACCCGAATGGAATCATCATCAAATGCAATCAAATGGAATTATCATCGAATTGAATTGAATGAAGTCATCATCGAATGGAATCGAATGTAATCATCCAATGGAATATAATTGATGCATCATCAAACGGAATCAAATGGAATCATCATCGAGTAAAAATGAAAGGAATCAATGAATGAAATCGAATGGAATCATCACCAAAAGGAATCGAAGAGTGTCATCGAATGGAGTCCATTTGATTCCATATTCGATTGATGATGATTCCTTTCAATTCCATTCGATGATGATTCCTTTCAATTCCATTTAATGATGATTCCTTTCTATTCCACTCAATGATGTTTGCATTCGATTCCATTTGATGATGACTGCATTCGGTTCCATTCTATGATGGTTCCAACGGATTCCATTCGATTTCTCCATTTGATTCCATTCATTGATGTTTCCATTTGATTCCATTAGATGATAATTCCATTAGATTCCATTCAATGATGATTCCATTAGATTCCATTCGATGATTCCATGTGATTCCATTCGATGATGATTACATTCATGTCCATTCGATTATTCTATTTGATTCCATTCGATGATGATTTAATTCGAGTCCGTTCAATGATTCCATTCAAGTCCATTCCATGATTCCTTTTGATTCCATTCAATGATGATTCCATTGGTGTCCATTCGATGATTCCGTTCAATTCCATTCGATGATGATTCCATTCGAATCCATTCAATCATTCCATTTGATTTCATTTGATGATGATTGCATTCGATTCCATTTGATGATTCCATTAGAGTCCATTCAATGTTTCCGCTTGATTCCATTCGATGACACCATTCGATTCCATTCAATGATGATTCCATTCAAGTCCATTCGATGATGATTCCATTCAGTTCAATTTGATGGTGAATCCATTGGATTCCATTCGATGATTCTATTCTGTTCCATTCTTTGATGATACCATTCGATTCCATTTGATGATATTTCCATTCGATTCCCTTCTTTCATGATTCCATTACATTCCATTCAATGATTATTCCATTCGAGTCCATTCAATGATTCCATTTGATTCCATTCGGTGATGATTTCATTTGATTCCATTCAATGATTCCATTCGAGTCCATTCGATGATTCCATTTGAATCCATTTGATGACACCATTCGATTCCATTCAATCATGATTCCATTTGATTCCATTCTATCATGATTCAATTCGAGTCCATTTGATGATTATATTCGGTTCCATTTGATGATGATTCCATTGTATTCCATTCAATAATTCCATTCGATTCCATTCGTTGATGATTCCATTTGATTCCATTCGATGATGATTGCATTTGGCTCCATTCGATGTTTCTATTTGATGTTTCAATTTGATGATGATTCCATTCATGTCAATTCGATGATTACATTCCATTCCACCTGATGATGGTTCCATTCTATGCCATTCGATGATTCCATTCGATTCCATTTGATGATGATTCCATACGAGTCCATTCAATGATTCCATTAGATTGAATTCGATGATGATTCCACTCGAGTCCCTTCAATTATTCCATTCGATTCCATTGGATGATCCCTTTCGATTCCATTCCATGATTCCATTCGATTCTATTCGATGATCATTCCATTCGATTCCATTTGATGATTCCTTCGATTCCATTCACTGATGATTCCATGCGATAACATTTGATGATGATTCCATTCGATTCCAGTCAATGACGATTCCGTTCGATTGCAGTCGATGATGATTCCATTCGAATCCATATGATGATTCCATTCGATTCCTTTCGTTGATTCCATTCGATCCCATTCGATGATTCCCTTTGATTCCATTCGATGATCATTCCATTGGATTCCATTTGATTATGATTCCATTCAATTCCATTCGATGATGATTTCATTCGATTCCATAGGATGATGACTCCATTAGGTTCCATATGATGATGATTCCATTGTGTTCCATTTGATGATGTTTCCATTGGATTCCATTTGGTGATGATTCCATTCGATTCCATTTGATTATGATTCAATTGGATTTCATTCTGTAATTCTATTCGATTCCATTCAATGATAATGCCTTTCTATTCCATTCGTTGATTCCATTCGAGTCCATTCAATGATGATTCCATCGGAGTTCATTCGATGATGTTTCCATGGAATCCATGGAATCCATGATTCCATTCGAGTCCATTCAATCATTCCATATGAATCCATTTGATGATGATTCCTTTTGAGTCCATTCGATGATTCCATTTGATAGTTCCATTTGAGTCCATTCGATGATTGCTTTTGATTCCATTCAATGATATTCCATTCGACTCCATTCAGTGATTCCATTCGATTCTATATGATGATGATTCCATTCGTGTCCATTCGGTGATTCCATTTGAATTCATTCGATGATGATTCCTTTCGAGTCTATTAGATGATTCCATTCGATTCCATTTGATGATGATTTCATTTGAGTCCATTCAGTGATTCCATTCGATTCCATTCGATGATGATTCCATTCGACTCCATACAATGATTCCATTCGAGTCCATTCTATGATGATTCCATTCGTTTCCTTCCGATCGTCCATTCCAATCGAATAGAATTATCCCATGCTATTCGATTCCATTCGATGATGATTCCTTTCAATTTCATTCGATGATTCAATTTGATTCCATTGATGATGATTGAATGGGAGTCCACTCAATGATTCCATTCGTGTCCATTTGATGAATCAATTCGAGTCCATTAGATGATGATTCCATTCGATTCTATTCGATGATGATTCCAATCGATTCCATTAGATGATGATTCCATGTGATTCCATTCGATGATGATTCCATTAGGTTTCATTTGATGATGATTCCATTCGGTTCCATTGGATGAAGACTCCATTCCATTCCATTCGATGATTCCATTCTATTCCATTCGTTGATGATTCCATTCGATGATGATTTCATTTGATTCCATTCGATGATGATTCCATTCGATGATGATTCCATTCGATTCCACTTGATGATAATTCCATTTGATTTCATTAGATGATTCTATTCCATTCCATTTGGTGATTATTCCATTCGATTCCACTGATAATGATTGCATAAGATTCCATTCAATGATTCCATTCGTGTCCATTTAATGCTTCCATTCGAGTCCATTCGAGGATGATTCCATTCGATTCTATTCGATGATGATTCCATTCGAGTCCATTCGATGATTCCATTCGATTCCATTAGATGAGGGTTTCATTCCAGTCCATTAGATGATTCCATTTGATTCATTTCGATTATGATGCCATTCGATTCCATGTGTTGATTTGATCAGATTCCATTCAATGATGATTAAATTCGTGTCCATTCAATGATTCTATTCAAATCCATTCGATGATTGCTTTTGATGCCATTCGATGGTGATTCCATTCGATTCCATTTGATGATGATTGCATTCAAAACCATTCTATGATTCCATTCGATACCATTCGGTGATGATTCCATTTGATTCCATTTGATGATTCTATTCGATTCCATTCGATGTTGATTCCTTTTGATTTCATTTGATGATTCAATTCGATTCCATTCGATGATGATTCCACTCGATTTCATTCCATGATTCCATTCGATTACTTTCAATGATGATTCCATTCCATTCCATTCGATGATTCTATTTGATGAGGATTCCATTCGATTCCTTTCAATGATTCCATTCGATTTCATTCGATGATGTTTCTATTTGATTATTCCATTCGATTCCATTCAATGTTGATTCCATTCGAGACCATTCGAAGATTCCTATCAATTCCATTCAATGATGATTCCATTAGTGTACATTTGATGCTGATTCCATTCGATGATGATTCCTTTCGATTCCATTCGATGATGACTCTATTAGGTTCCATTTGATGATGATTCCATTCGGTTCCATTTGTTGATGATTCCATTTGATTCCATTCGATGATTCCATTCGATTCCATTTGTTGATGATTCCATTCAATACCATTCGATGATGATCCCATTCGATTCCATTCGATGATGATTCCATTTGATGATGATTCCACTTGATTCCATTCGAAGATGATTCCATTCAATTTCATTAGATGATCCTATTTGATTCCATTCGATGATTCTATTCGATTCCATTTGATGATGATTCCATTTGAGCCCATTCCATAATTCCATTCACTGATGATTCCATTTGAGTCTATTGGATGATTCCATTCGATTCCATTCAATGATGATTCCATTCGATGTCATTCAATGACTCCATTCGTTTTCATTTAATTATGATTCCATTCGATTCCATTAGATGATTCCATTTGATTCCATTTGATCATGATTCCATTCGAGTCCATTCAATGATTCCATTCGATTCCATTGGATGATGATTCCATTCAGGGACTTTTGAAGATTCCATTCAATTCCATTTGATGATTCCATTCGATTCCATTCGATGATGTTTCTATTCAAGTCCATTCAATGATTCCATTCGATTCCTTTCAAAGATTATTCTATTCCTGTCCTTTAGATGATTCCATTAGATGATGATTCCATTTGATTCCTTTCAATGATTAAATTCGATTTCATTCAATGATGTATCTATTCGAGTCCATTCAATGATTCCTTTCGATTCCATTCTATGATAATTCCATTCGAGCCCACTGGAAGTGTCCATTCGATTTCATTCGATGATGATTCCATTCGAGTCCATTTGATGATTCAGTTCGATTCCTTTAGATGATTCCCATCAATTCCATTTGATGATTATTCCATTCGATCCCATTTGATGATTCCATTCGATTCCATTCTTTGACGATTCCATTGGACTGCATTCTATGATGAATCCATTCGATTCCATTCTTTGACAATTCCATTGGACTGCATTCGATGATGATTCCATTTGATTTCATTTGATGATGATGGCATTCCATACCTTTCTGTGATTCCATTTGATTCTATTCGATGAGGATTCCATTGGAGTCCATTTGATGATTCCATTCGATTCCATTTGATGATTGAATTCAATTCCATTCAATGATTCCCTTCTATTCCATTCGATGATAATTCCATTTGAGTCCATTCAATGAATTCATTCGATTTCATTCAGTGTTGATTCCATTCGAGTCCATTCAAGGATGATTCCATTCGAGTTCATCCCATGATTCAATTCGATTCCATTTGTGGATGATTCTATTCAATTCCATTCGATGGTGATTCAATTCGATTCCATTAGATGGTTATTCCATTCGATTCCATTCGATGATTTCATTCAATTCCATTCGATGATTTCATTCGATTCCATTCGATAATTCCATTCGATTCCTTTTGATGATTCCATTCAAATCCATTCGATGATTGCATTCCATTCCATTCTATAATTCCATTCAATTCCATTCGATGATGATTCCATTCAAGTCCATTCGCTTATTCCATTCTATTCCATTAGATGATGATTACTTTTGAGTCCATTCCGTGATTCCATTCAATTCCATTAGATGATTACTCCATTCAATTTCATTTGATGATGATTCCTTTAGATCCCATTCCATGATGATTCCATTCGATTCCATTTGATGATGATTCTATTAGTTTCCATTCGATGAGGATTCCATTCGATGATGATTCTATTCAATAACTTTCGATGATTTTTTTATTCCTTTCGATGTTGATTCCATTCAATTCCACTGGATGATTCCATTCCATCCCATTTGATGATTATTCCATTTGATTCCGTTCGATGATGAGTCATTTTGTCTTCATTCGATGATAATTCCATTCGATTGCATTTGATGATGATTCCATTTGATTCCATTCAATGATGATTCCATTCGAGTCCATTCGATGATGATTCCATCTGAGTCCACTAGATGATGATTTCATTCAAGTCCATATGATGATTGCATTCGATTCCATTCGATGTTGATTCCATTCGAGTCAATTCGATGATTCCATTTGATTCCATTCGATGATGATTCCATTTGAGTTCATTCCATGATTCCATTTGATTCCATTCGATGATATTTCCATTTGAGTCCGTTTGATGATTCCACTCAATTCCATTCGAACATGATTCCATTTGAGTCCTTGTGATGATTCCATTCAATTTCATTCAATGATGATTCCATTTGATTCCATTCAATGGTGATTCCATTGAATTCCATTCGATGATTCCATTCGATTCCATTCAATGATGATTTCATTTGATTCCATACGATGATTGCATTTGATTCCATTTGATGATGATTCCATTCGATTGCATTTGATGATGATTCCATTTGATTCTAATCTATGATGATTCCATTAGAATCCATTCGATGATGATTCCATTAGAATCCATTCGATGATGATTCCCTTACAGTCCATTCGATGATGATTCCATTCGAGTCCATTCAATGATTCCCTTCGATTCCATTCTATGATGACTCTGGTCGAGTACATTCGATGATTCCATTCAGTTCGATTTGATGATGATTCCACTCGAGTCCATTCGATGATTATTCCACTCAAGTCCATTCAATGACGATACCACTCGAATCCATTTGATGTTTCCATTTGTTTCCATTTGATGATGATTCCATTCCATTCCATTCAATGGTGATTCCACTCATTTCCATTCGTGTTTCCCTTCGATTCCATTTGATGATGATTTCATTTGTTTCCATACGATGATTCCTTTTGATTCCATTTGATGATTATTCCGTTCGATTCCATTTGATGATTCCATTCGATTCCATTCAATGATTCCTTTCAGTGATTCCATTCAATTCCAGTCGTTGATGGTTCCATTCGATTCCATTCAATGATGATTACATTCGAATCCATTCGATGATGATTCCATTCAATTTTATTTGATGATTCTATTGGATTCCACTCGTTGATGATGCCATTCGATTCCATTGGATGTTTCCATTTGATTCCACTTGATGATGATGCCATTTGATGCCATTCAATGATTACTGCATTCGATTCCATTCGATGATGATTCCTTTCAATTCCATTTGTTGATGATTCCTTTTGATTCAATTTGATGATGATTCAATTTGATTCCATGTGAAGAGGATTCCATTCAATGATGATTCCAATCAATTCCATTCAATGAGGATTCCTTTCAATTCAATTCAATGATGATTCCATTCGATTCCATTCCATGATGATTCCATTCAATTCCATTCGATGATGATTCCAATCGGGTCCATTCAATGATTCCCTTCGATTCCATTCAATTCCATTTGATGGTGATTCCAATCGGGTCAATTCAATGATTCCTTTTGATTCCATTCAATGATGATTCCATTCGTGTCCATTGAATGATTCCATTCTATTCCATTCGAAGATGATTCCATTCAACACTTTTCAATGATTCCATGGGATTCTATTCAATGATGATTCAATTCGAATCCATTCGATGATTCCATTCAATTCCATTCAATGATGATTCCATTCGATTCCATTCAATGGTGATTCCATACAATTCCATTCGACGATTCCATTCTATTCCATTCGATGATGATTTCATTCAATTCCATACGATGATTCCATTCGATTCAATTTGATGATGATTCAATTTGATTCCATGTGAAGAGGATTCCATTCAATGATGATTCCAATCAATTCCATTCAATGAGGATTCCTTTCAAGTCAATTCGATGATGATTCCATTCGATTCCATTCCATGATGATTCAATTCCATTCGATTCCATTCGATGATGATTCCATACGATGATTCCATTCGATTCCATTTGAAGATGAGTCTGTTCACTTCCATTCATTGATTCCATTCAATTCCATTGAATGATGATTCCATACAATTCCATTCGACGATTCCATTCTATTCCTTTTGATTTCATTCGAGGTTGATTCCATTAGAGTCCATTCGATGATGATTCCATTCACGTCCATTAGATGATTCCATTCGATTCCATTCGATGATGATTCCATTCAAGTCCTTTAAATGATTTCCTTCCATTCCGTTTGATGCTGATTAAGTTTGGGTCCACTCAACGATGATTCCATTCGATTCCTTTCAATTACAATAATATTCGATTCCATTCGAGGATGATTCCATTAAAGTGCATTCTATGATTCCATTTGAGTCCATTTGATGATTCCATTCGATGACATTTGATGATGATTCCATTCGTTTCCATTCGTTGTTACCATTTGATTCCATTTGATGATGATTCCATTTGATTACATTTGTTCATGATTTCATTTGGTTCCATTTGATGATGATTCCATTCGAGTCCATTCAATGATTCCCTTCTATTCCATTTGGTGATTATTCCATTAGGGTCCATTTGATGATTTCATTTGATTCCGTTCGATGATGTTTCCATTCGAGTCCATTCGATGATTTCTCTCAATTCCATTCGATGATTTTTCCATTCGATTCCATTCAATGGTGATTCCATTCAATTCCAGTCGATGATTCCATTCGATTCCATTCAATGATGAGTTCATTCGATTCCATACCATGATTCCATTCGATTCCTTTCGATGATTATTCCATTTGATTGCATTTGATGATGATTCCATTTGATTTCATTCAATGATGATTCCATTCATTTCCACTCGATGATGATTCCATTAGAGTCCATTCGATGTTGATTCCTTTAATGTCCATTGGATGATGATTCAATTCGAGTCCATTGAATGATTCCATTCGATTCCATTCGATGATGATTCCAGTCGAGTCCATTAGATGATTCCATTCAGTTAGGTTCGATGGTGATTCCACTCGAGTCCACTCGATGATGATTCCACTCAATTCCATTCCATGATGATACCACTCGTGTCCATTCGATGATTCCATTCGATTCCATTCGATGATGATTCCATTCGATTCCATTCAGTGGTGATTCCATTCATTTCCATTCGTGATTCCCTTCGATTCCATTTGATGATGATTTCATTTGTTTCCATACGATGATTCCTTTTGATTCCATTTGATGATTATTCCGTTCGATTCCATTTGAGGATTCCATTCCATTCCATTCAATGATTCCATTCAATTCCAGTCGTTCATTGTTCCATTCGATTCCATTCGATGATGATTCCACTACATTCCATTAGATGACGATTCCGTTCGTTTCCATTAGATGACGATTCTATTCGATTCCATTCAATGATGATTCCACTCGATTCCATTCGATGATGATTCCATTCAATTTCATTCGATGATTCTATTGGATTGCACTCAATGATGATGCCATTCAATTCCATTGGGTGATTCCATTCAAATCCACTCGATGATGATGCCATTCTATTTCATTCGTTGATTCCATTAGATTCCAATCAATGATGATTCCACTCGATGCCATTCAATGATTACTGCATTCAATTCCATTCGATGATGATTCCTTTTGATTCCATTTGAAGATGATTCCATTTGATTCAATTTGATGATGATTCAATTTGATTCCATGTGAAGAGGATTCCATTCAATGATGATTCCACATGATTCCATTCGGTGGTGATTCCATTCGATTGCATTTGATGATGATTCCATTTGTGTCCATTCAAAGATGCCATTCGATTACATTCCATGACGATTCCGTTAGAGTGATTCGATGACTCCATTCAACTCCAGTCGATGATGATTCCATTCGATGCTATTCAATGATTCTATTCGATTTCATTCGATGATGATTCCATTCGAGTCCATACGATTATTACATTAGATTCCATTCAATGATGATTCCATTTGATGCCATTTGATGATTCATTTGATTCCATTTGATGATGATTCCATTCAATTCCATTCGCTGATGACTGCATTCGATTCAGTTCAATGATTCCATTTGATTCCATTCAGTGATGACTCCGATTGATTCCATTCGATGATTCCATTCGATTCCATTTGATAATTCCATTTGATTCAATTCGGTAATGATTCCATTCAAATCCATTTGATGATTCCAGTCGAGCCCATTCAATAATTCCATGTGAGTCCAATTCATGATTCCATTTGAGTCCATTCGATCAGTCCATTTGAGTCCATTTGATGATGATTCCATTCGAGTCCATTAGATGATTTCATTTGAGTCCATTTGATAATTCCATCTGAGTCCATTCGATAATTGCTTTCAATTCCATTCGTTAATATTCCATTCCAGTCCATTCGATGATTCCTTTTGATTCTATTCGATGATGATTCCACTCGTGTCCCTTTGGTGATTCCATTCGATTTCATTCAATGATGATTCCTTTCAATTCCATTAGATGATTCCATTCGATTCCATTTGATAATGATTCCATTCGAGTCCATTCAGTGATTCCATTCGATTCCATTTGATTATGATTCCATTTGATTACATTCGATGATCCCATTTGATTCCATTTGATGATGATTTCATTCTAGTCCACTCGATTCCATTTGATCCAATGGTTACATTCGAGACCATTCAATGGTTCTACTCGATTCCATACGATGATGATTCTCTTTGATTCCATTCTATGGTTCCATTCTATTCCATTCAATGATGATTCCATTCGAGTACATTAGATGATTTCATTCGATTCCATTCGATGATGATTCTATTCGTGCCCATTCATTGGTGATTCCATTTAGTTCAATCCACTGATTCTATTCGATTCCATTCGACAATGATTCCATTCGATTCCATTCGAAGATTCCACTCGATTCCACTTGATGATAATTCCCTTCAATTCCATTCGATGATGCCACTTGATTCCATTAGATGATGATTGCCTTCAATTCCTTTTGATAATTCCATTCAATTCCATTCGATGATGATACCATTTGATTCCATTTGATGATTCCATTTTATTCTATTCGAGGAGTCCGTATGATTCCATTCAATGATGATTCTATTCGAGTCCATTCGATGATTTCATTCGAGTCCATTCAATGATTCCATTCGAGTCCATTTAATGATTCCATTCAATTCCATCTCATGATGATTCCATTAGAGTCTGTTCAATAACTCCATTCGATTCCATTTGGTGATTCCATTCGATTCCATTTGATGATTCCATTCGCGTCCATTTGATCATTACCTTGAGTCCATTCAGTGATTCCATTGGATTTCTTTTGATGATGATCCCATTCTATTCCATTTGATGATGATCCTATGCGATTCCATTCGATGATGATTCCAGTCGAGTCCATTCGATGATCCCATTCGATTCCATTCAGTGATGATTCCATTTGTGTCCATTCGATGATTCCTTTTGAGTCCCTTCTTTGATTCCATCCAATTCCATTTGATGATGATTCCATTCGAGTCCATTCGATGATTCCCTTTGATTCCATTTGATGATGATTCCATTCGAGTCCATTCAGTGATTCCATTTGATTCCATTCAATGATGATTCCATTCGAGTCCATTTGATGATTACATTCGATTCCATTCAATGATGATTCCATTCGAGTCCATTTGGTGATTCCATGTGATTCCATTCGATGCTGATTTCTATTGCATTCTATGATGATTCTATTTGGGTACAATAGATGTTTCAATTCGATGATGATTATATTCCTGTCCATTAGATGATTCCATTCCATTCCATTCAATGATGATTCCACTCTGTTGTATTCTATGATGATTCTATTCGGATCCATTTGATGATTCCTTTGGATTCCATTCGATGATGATTCCGTTACATTCCATTCGATGATGATTCCATTTTATTCCATTCAATGATGATTCCATTCGGGTCCATTAGATGATTCCATTTGATTCCATTCGATGATGCTTACCACTCTATTCCATTAAATGATGATTCCATTCATGTAAATTAGATGATTCCATTCTATTCCATTCGATGATGATTCCAATTGGGTCCATTCGATGATTCCATTCTACTCCATACCATGAAGATTCCATTCATGTCCATTCGATGTTTCTATTCGAGTACATTCAATGATTTTTTTCAAGTCCATTCGCTATGATTCCTTTTGATTCCATTCGATGATGATTACATTTGATATCATTCTGTGATTTCATTCAATTCCATTCGAGGGTGATTCCATTCGATTTCATTCTCTTATTCTATTTGATTCCATTTGATGATGATTCCATTCAATTCCATTTGATGATTCTATTTAATTACATTTGAGGGTGATTCCATTCAATTCCATTCTATGATTCCATTCGATTGTATTCAATGATGATTCCATTCGAGTCCATTCGATGATTCCTCCTGATTCTATTCAATTATGATTCCATTTGAGTCCATTCAATGGTGATTAAATTCGATGCCATTCAATGATTCCATTCAATTCCATTCAATGATGATTGCATTTGATTCCATTCGATCATTCCATTCCATTCCATTCAAAGATGATTCCATTCAATTCCATTCTATAATTCCATTCGATTCCATCCAATGATTCCAATGGATTTTATTTGATGATGATTCCATTCGAGACTATTCACTAATGCCATTCAATTCCATTCGATGATGATTCCATTCAAGTTCATTCGATGATTCCAATCGGTTCCATTCAATGATGATTCCATTCAAGTCCATCTGATGATTCTATTCGATTCCATTCTATAATGATTCCATTAGAGTCCATTTGATGGCTCGATTCGAGTCCTTTCGATTATTCCATTCGATTCCATTTGTTGATGACTCAGTTTGAGTCAATTCGATGCTTCCCTTTGAGTCCATTTGATGATTCCATTCGAGTCCATCTGATGATTCCATTCGATTCCAGTCTATGATGATTCCATATGATTTCATTCGATGATGATTACATGTGATTCCATTCGATGATGATTCCTTTTGATGCCATTCGATTATGATTCATTTCGAGTTTGTTCAACGATTCCACATGATTCCATTTGATGATGATTCCATTCGAACCCATTCGATGACTCCATTCGATTCCATTCGATGATGATTCCATTCGAGTTCATTCAATGATTCCATTCGATTCCATTCCATGATAATTCCATTCGAGTCCATTCGATTATTGCATTCTATTCCATTTGATGATGATTCCATTCGTGTCCATTCGATGATTGCATTCGAGTCCATTCGATGATTCTTTACAATTGCATTCGATGACGATTCCATTCGAGTTCGTTCGATGATTCCATTCAATTCCATTCAATGATAATTCCATTCGAGTCCATTCGATGATTCCATTCTATTCCATTCGATAATGATTCCTTTCGTGTCCATTCGATGATGTTTCCGTTCTAGTCCGTTCGATGATTCCATTCGATTCCATTAGAGGATGACTGCCTTCAGTTCCATTCGATTATTCCATTTGAGGATTCCATTTGATTCCATGCAATGATGTTTCCATTTGACTCCATTCCATGATTCCTTTCGATTCCATTTGATTATGATTCCATTCGAATCCATTTGATGATTCCATTATACTCCCTTCGTTGATTCCATCTGATTCCATTTGATGATGATTCCATTCGAGTCCTTTAAATGATTCCATTCGATTCCATTCATTGATGATTCCTTTTGATTCCATTCGATGATTCTATTCTATTCCATTCAATGATGATTCCATTCGATTCCATTCTATGATTACATTCGATTTCATTCGATGATGAATCGATGTGTGTCCATTCAATGATTCCATAAGATTCCATTCGATTATGATTCCTTTCAAATCCATTCAATGATTCCATTCGTTTCTATTTGATGATGATTCCATTGGATTTCATTCAATGACTCCATTTGATTCCATTCATTGTTGAGTCCATTCGATTCCATTCGATGATGATCCCATTGGATTCCATTCGATGATTCCATTCGAGTCCATTCAAAGATTCCATTTGAGTCCATTCTTTGACCCCATTCAATTCCATTCTGTGATGATTGCATTCGAGTCCATTTGATGATTCCATTCTATTCCATTTGATTATTCCTTTCGATTCCATTTGATGATGATTCTATTGGATTCCATTCAATGTTTCCATTCCATTCCATTCGATGATGATTCCATTCAAATCCATGTGATGATTCCATTCGATTCTATTTGATGATGATTCCATTCGAGACCATTTGATGATTGAATTCAAGTCCATTCAATGATTTCATTTGAATCCACTCGATGATGATTCCTTTTGTGTCCATTTGATGATTACATTCGAGTCCATGAGATGATTCCATTCAATTCCATTTAATGATGATTCAATTCGTGGCCATTCGATGATTCCATTCGAGTCCATTAGGTGATTCCCTTTGATTCCATTCGATGAGGACTCCAGGCGAGTCCATTAGATGATTCCATTAGATTCCATTCAATGATGATTCCATTGGAGTACATTTAAAGATTCTTTTCTAGTCCATTTGATGATTCCATTCAATTCCACTTGATGATGATTCCTTTTGAGCCAATTCGATGATTCCCTTCGAGTACCTTCAATGATTCCATTAGATTCCATTCGATGATGATTCCATTTGAGTCCATTCAATGATTCCTTTTGGTTGAATTTAATGATTCCATTCGATTTCATTCGATGATGATTACATTCTAATCCATTCGATGATTCCATTTGATTGCATTCGAGGATGATTCCTTTCTACTCCATTCAATGATTCCATTCGATTCCATTTCATGATGATTCCGTTCAATTCCATTCGATGATGATTCCATTCTATTATTTTCGATGATGATTCCATTCGAGTCCATTCGATGATTCCATTCGATTCCATTCCATGATGATTCCATTCGCATCTGCAGATTATTCAAATCAATTCCATTCGATGATTCCATTCGAGTCCATTCGATGATTCTATTCGATTCCATTTGATAATTCCATTCAATTCCATTTGATGTTGATTCCATTCGAGTCCATTCGATCATTATTCCATTCGATTCTATTCGATGATTCCATTTGATTCCATTTGCTGAGTATTCCATTCGAGACGATTTGATGATTCCATTCGAGTCCATTTGATGATTCTATTCGATTCCATTTGATAATTACATTTGATTCCATTTGATGTTGATTCTATTCGAGTCCATTCGATCATTATTCCATTCGATTCTATTCGATGATTCCATTTGATTCCATTTGATGAGTGTTCCATTCGAGACGATTCGATGATTCCATTCGAGTCCATTCGATGATTCTATTTGATTCCATTTGATAATTCCATTTGATTCCTTTTGATGTTGATTCCATTCAAGTCCATTCGATCATTATTCCATTCTATTCCATTCAATGATTCCATTTGATTCCATTTGATGAGTATTCCATTCGAGACCATTCAGTGATTCCATTCAATTCATGTGATGATGATTCCATTCGATGATTCCAATAGATTCCATTAGATGATGATCCCATTCGATTCCATTTGATGATGATTCCATCAGAATCCATTTGATGATGACTCCTTTCGGTTCCATTCGATGATGATTCCATTTGGTTCCATTCGGTGATGATTCCTTTGGATTCTATTCGATGATGCTTCCATTCGATTCCATTTGATGATGATTCTTTTCGATTCCATTCGATGATGATTCAATTCGATTCCATTTGATGATTCCATTCGATTCCATTCAATGATGATTCCTCTCGTGTTCATTGATTATTCCATTCCATTCCATTGGATGATTCCATATGAGTCCATTCGATGATTCTACTCGATTCCACTCAATAATTCCTTTCGATTCCATTTGATGATGATTCCATTTGAGTCCATTCGATGATTATTCCATTCGATTATATTCGGTGAATACTTTCATTTCCATTTGATAATAATTCTATTCGAGACCAATGGATGATTCCTTTCAATTCATTCGATGATGATTCCATTCAATTCCGTTCAATGATTCCATTAGATTCCATTTGATGAAGATTCCATTCGATGATGATTCCATTCGATTTCATTCGATGATGATTCCATGCAATTCCATTTGATAATGACCCCTTTTGGTTCCATTCGATGACGATTCCATTTGGTTCCATTTGATGATGATTTCTTTGGATTCCATTCAATCATGATTCCATTCCACTCCATTTGACGTTAATTCATTTCAATTCCATTCGATGATGATTCCATTTGATTCCATTCGATGATGATTCCATTTGATTACATTCAATGATGATTCCATTCGATTCCATTCGATGATTCCATTTGATTCCATACAATGATGATTCCATTCTAGTCCATTCGATGATTCCATTCTAGTCCATTCAGTGATGATTCCATTCGATTCCATGGGATGATTCCATTCGATTCCTTTCTATGATTATTCCATTCGTATCCATTCAGTGATTCCTTTCGATGCCAATTGAAGATTATTCTATTCGATTCCATTCAATGTTACCATTCGATACCACTCATTGATGATTCCATTAGAGTGCATTCGACCATACCATTCGGTTCCATTTGATGATGATTCCATTCGATTCCATTCGATGATTCCATTCAATTCCATTCTATGATGATTCCATTCGAGTCCATTTGATGATTCCATGGGACTCCATTTGATGATGATTCCATTCTATGATTCCATTTGATTCTATTCTATGATGATTCCATTTGATTTCATTTGATGCTGATTCCTTTCAATTCCATTTGATGATTCCATTCGATTACATTCGATGATGATTCCATTTGCTTCCATTCGATGATTCCATTCGATTCTATTCAATGATGATTCCACTCGATTCCATTCGATGATGACTGCATTTGATTCCATTTGATGATTCTATTTGATTCCATTCGATGATGATTCTGATCAATTGCATTCGATGATTCCATTCGATTCCATTTGATGATTCCATTTGATTCCATTCAATAATGATTCCATTCGAGTCCATTCAATGATTCCATTCGAGGATATTCAATAATTCCATTTGAGTCCAAATGATGATTCCATTCGAGACCATTCAATCATTCCATTTGAGTCCATTCGATAGTGATTCCATTCGAGTCCATTCGATAATTCCATTGGAGTCCATTCGATGATTGCTTTCTATTCCATTTGCTGATATTCCATTCGAGTCCATTCGATGATTCCATTCAATGCTATTAGATGATGATTCCATTCATGTCCATTTGGTGATTCCATTCGATTCCATTCGATGATGATTCCATTCGAGTCCATTCAATGATTCCATTCAAGTCCATTTGATGATTCCTTTCAATTCCATTTGATGATGATTCCATTCGAGTCCATTCGATGATTCCATTCAATTCCATTCGATGATGATTCCATTCGAGTCCATTCGATGATTCCATTTGATTTCATTCGATGATGATCCCATTCGATTCCATTCGATGATTCCATTCTATTCCATTCGATGATGATTCCATTCGCGTCCATTCAATGATTCCATTTGAGTCAATTTAATGATTACATTGGGTTCAATTTGATGATGATTACATTGGATTCCATTATATGATTCCATTCGATTCTGTTCATTGATGATTCGATTCCATTCGATGATGATTCCATTTGATTTCATTTGATGATTCTATCAGATTCCATTCGATGATGATTCAGTTCTATTATATTAGATGATTCCATTCGATTCCATTCGATGATGATTCCATTCGATTCCATTCGATGATGATTCCATTCGATTCCATTCGATGATGATTCCATTCAATTCCATTCGATGTTGATTCCATTTGATTCTATTGGATTATGGTTCCATTCGTTTTCATTTGAAGATTCTATTTGATTCCATTCGATGATGATTCAGTTCTCTTCCATTGGATGATTCCATTTTATTCCATTCCATGATGACTCCTTTCGATTCCATTCAATGATGATTCCATTCGATTCCATTTGATGATTACATTCGATTCCATTCGATGGTGAGCAATTCGATTCAATTCCATGATGATTCTATTTGATTCAATTAGATGATGTTTCCATTCTATTCCATTCGATGATGATTCCATTCGTGTCCATTTGATGATGATTCCATACGAGTCCATTCGATGATGAGTCCATTCGATTTCATTCGATGCTTCTATTCAATTCCATTCAATGATGATTCCGTCTGATTCCATTCTATGATTCCATTCAATTCCATTTGATGCTTCTATTCGATTTCATTCGATGATGATTCCAATCAATTCCATTCGTTAATTCCATTTGATTCCATTTGATGATGATTCCATTCGAGTCCATTCGATGATTCCATTCGAGTCCATTCAATGATTCCATTTGATTCCATTCTATGATTCCATTCGAGTCCATTCAATTATTCCGTTCGAGTCCATTCAATGATTCCATTCAATTCCGTTCAATGATGATTCCATTCGATTCCATCTGATGATGATTTCATTTGATTCCATTCAATGATGATTCCACTCGAGTCCATTGAATGATTCAATTTGATTACGTTTGATGCTGATTCCATTCAAATCCATTCGATTATTCCATTCAACTCCCTTCATTGATTCCATCCGATTCCATTTGATGATGATTCCGTTGGAGTCCAATCGATGATTCCATTCGGTTCCATTCAATGATTCCATTTGCGTCCATTTAATTATTACATTCGTGTCCATTTGATGACTCCATTCGATTCCAATTAATGATGATTACTTTTGATTCCATTTGATAATTCTGTTCAATTCCTTTCAATGATTCCCTATGATTCCTTTCTATGATGATTCTATTCGATAGCATTAGTTGATGATTCCATTAGATTCCATTCGATGATGATTCCTTTCAATTCCCTTTGTTGATGATTCCATTAGATTCCATTTGATGATAATTCCATTCGACTCCATTCGAAGATGATTCCATTCGATTCCATTAGATGATTAATCCATTCGATTCCATTCGATGATTCCATTTGACGATTCCATTCTATTCCATTTGATGATGAGCCATTCGATTCAATTCCATGATGATTCCATCTGATTCAATTCAATGATGTTTCCATTCAATTCCATTCGATGATGATTCCACTCGATTCCATTCCATGATGTTTCCATTTGAGTCCATTCAATGATGTTTCCATTCGATTCCGTTCAACTATGATTCAATTCGATTTCATTCAATGCTTCTATTTGATTCCATTCAATGATGATTCCATCTCTTTCCCTTCGATGATTCCATTCGATTCCATTCAGTGATGTTTCCATTCGATTCCATCTGGTGATGATTTCATTTGATTCCTTTTGATGATGATTCCATTCGAGTCCATTTGATGATTACATTGGAGTACAATCGATCATTCCATTTGATTCCATTCGATGATGATTCCATTCATGTCCATTCGATGATTCCATTCGATTTCATTTGACGATGATTCCACTCGAGTCCATTTGTTGATTCCATTCAATTACATTTGATGATGACTCCATTCGAGTCGATTCGATGATTCCATTCAATTCCCTTCTATGACGATTCCATTTGAGTCCATTCAATGAATCCATTCAATTCCATTCGATGATGACTCCATTCGAGTCCATTAGATGATTCCATCCAACTCAATTTGGTGATGATTCAATTCGATGACATTCGATAACTCCATTCAATTTCATTTGATGATGATTCCATTCGATTCCAATTGATGATTCCATTCGATTCCCTTCAATGATGATTATATTCGAGTGCATTTGATGATTCCATTCCTTTCCATTCGATGATGATTCCATTCGTGTCTATTCGAAGATTCCACTCAATTCCATTCAATGATGATTCCATTTGATTCCATTCTATGATTATTGATATTGATTCCATTCAGTGGTTCCATTTGTTTCCATTTGATGATTTTTCCGTTAGATTCCATTAGATGATTACATTCGATTTTATTCGATGATTCCATTCGATTCCATTCAATGGTGATTCCTTTAGACTCCATTCGAAGATTCCATTCGAGTCCATTCGATGATTCCATTCGAGTCCATTTGAGTATTCCATTCTTTTCCATTCGATGATGATTCCATTAGGGTCCATTCGATGATTCCATTAGAGTCCACTTGATAATTCCTTTCAAGTCCTTTTGATCTCTCCATTCGAGTCCATTCGATGATTCTATTTGATTCCATTCGATGATGATTCCATTCGAGTGCATTCAATGATTGCATTCGAGTCCATTCAATGATTCCATATGATTCCATTTGACAATGATTCTATTCGTTTCCATTTGATGATTCCATTCATTTCCATTTGATGATGATTCCATTCTAGTGTATTCGACGATTCCATTCAAATCCATTCAGTGATGATTCCATTCGAGTCCTTTTGATCGTTCCACTTGATTCCATTCGATGACTATTCCATTCAAATCCATTTGATGACTCCATTTGATTCCATTTGATGATACCATTCGAGTACATTTGATGATTCCACTTGATTCTATTTGATGATTATTCCATTGGAGTCCACTTAGTGAATCCTTTAGATTCCACTCGAAGATGATTCCATTCGAATCCATTAGATGATACCATTCAATTCCATTCGTTGATGATTCCATTCAAGTGCATTCAATGATATCATTCGATTCCGTTTGATGATGATTCCATTCGATTCCATTCAATGATTCTATTTGATTCCATTCAATGATTATTCCATTCAATTCAATTTGATGATTCCATTGGACTCCATTTGATGATGATATCATTCAATGATTCCATTCGATTCTATTTGATAATGATTCCATTTGATTCCATTTGATGATGATTCCATTGGATTCCATTCGATGATTCCTTTCTATTCCATTTGATGATGATTCCATTTGATTCCATTCGATGATTCCATTCTATTCTATTCGATGATGATTCCATTCGATTCCATTCGATGATGATTCCATTCGAATCCATTCGATAATTCCTTTTCATTCTATTTGATGATGATTCCATTCGATTCCATTTGATGATGACTGCATTAGTTTCCATTCGATGATTCCATTTGATTCCATTCGATGATGACTCTGATCGATTCCATTCGATGATTCTGTTTGATTCCTTTCGATGAATCCATTTGATTCCATTTGATAATGATTCCATTCGAGTCCATTCAATAATTCCATTTGGGTCCAATCGATGATTCTATTCGAGTCCATTCAATCATTCCATTTGAGTCCACTCAATGATGATTCCATTCGTGTACATTCGATGATTCCATTCAAGTCTATTCGATGATTCCATTCATTTCCATTCAATGATTCCATTTGATTCCATTTGATGATGATTCCATTCTATTCCATTTGGTGATGATTCCATTCGATGCCATTCGATGATGATTCCATTCAAATCCATTCAATGATGACACCTTTAGTTTCCATTTGAGGATGATTCCATTCAGTTCCATTCAATGATGATTCTGCTAGATTCCATTCAATAATTGCATTAAATTCCATTCATTGATGATTCCTTTGGAATCCATTTGATGATGATTCTTTAGGATTCCATTTGATGATGATTCCATTTGATTCATTTGATGATTCTATTCGAGTCCATTCAACTCTGTGTCTTGAATGCAAACAACACAAAGAAGTTCTGAGAAGGCTTCTGTCTACTTTTTATATGACGATATTCCCGTTTCCAACGAAACCCTCAAAGCTATCCAAATATCCAATTGCAGATTCTACAAAAATAGTGTTTCAAAACTACTCTATCAAAACAAAGGTTCAACTCCGTTAGTTGAGTACACACTTCACAAACATGTTTCTGAGAATGCTTCTGTCTAGTTTTTATGGGAAGATATTTCCTTTTTCAACACCAGCCTCAAAGCACTCCAAATGTCCGCTTACAGATACTACAAAAAGAGTGTTTCAAAACTGCTCTAAGAAAAAGAATGTTCAACTCTGTGACTTGGATGCAAACATCACAAAGATGTATCTCAGAATGCTTCCGTCCAGATTTTATATGAACATATTCCCGTTACCAACGAAATCTTCAAAGCTATCCAAATATCCACTTCCAGATTGCACAAAAAGAGTGTTTCAAAATTGCTCTATCAAATGAAAGGTTCAACTCTGTTAGTTAAGTAGACACATCATAAACAAGTTTCTGAGAATGCTTCTGTCTGGTTTTTATGAGAAGATATATCCTTTTTCACAATAGGCTTAAAAGGGCTCCAAAAGTGCACTTCCAGATACTACAAAAAGTGTGTCTCAAACCTGCTCTATGAATGGGAATGTTCAAATTTGTGACTTGAAAGCAAACTTCACAAAGATGTTTCTAAGAATGCTTCTGTCTAGATTTTATATGAAGATATTCCCATTTCCAAAGAAATCCTCAAAACTTTCCAAATATCCACTTGCAGATTCTACAAAAAGAGTGTTTCAAAACTACTCTATCAAAAGAAAGGATCAACTCTGTTAGTTGAGTACACACATCACAAAAAAAGTTTCTCAGACTGCTTCTATTTAGTTTTTATGGGAAGAGAGTTCCTTTTTCACCACAGGTCTCAAAACGCTCCAAATGTCCACTTCCAGATACTACAAAAAGAGTGGTTCAAACCTGCTCTATGAAAGGGAATTTTCAACTCCGTGACTTGAATGCAAACATCACAAAGTGTTTCTCAGAATGCTTCTGTCTAGATTTTATATGAAGATGTTCACATTTCCAACGAAATCCTTAAAGATTTCCTAATATCCACTTGCGGATTCTACACAAAGAGTGTTTCAAAACCACTCTATCAAAAGAGAGGATCAACTCTGTTAGTTGAGTAGACACATCACAAACAAGTTTCTCAGAATGCTTCTTTCTAGTTTTTATGGGAAGATATTTCCTTTTTCACCCAAGGCCTCAAAGAGCTCCAAATGTCCACTTCCAGATACTAGAAAAAGAGTTTTTCAAATCTGCTCTGTGAAAGAGAATTTTCAACTCTCTGACTTGACAGCAAACATCACAAAGAAGTTTCTGAGAAGGCTTCTGTGTACTTTTTATATGAAGATATTCCCGTTTCCAGTGAAATAAACAAAGCTATCCAAATATCCACTTGCAGATTCTGCAAAAAGTATGTTAAAAAACTGCTCTATCAAAAGAAAGTTTCAACCCTGTTAGTTGAGTACACACATCATAAACAAGTTTCTGAGAATGCTTCTGTCTAGTTTTCATGGGAATATTTTTTTTTTCACCATAGGCCTCAAATCGCTCCAAATGACCACTTCCAGATACTACAAAAAGACTGTTTCAAACCTGCTCTATGAAAGGGAATTTTCAACTCTGTGACTTGAATGCAAACATCACAAAGGTGTTTCTGAGAGTGCTTCTGTCCGGATTTTATTTGAAGGTATTCCCGTTTCCAACGAAATCCTCAAAGCTATCCAAATATCCACTTGCAGATTCTACAAGACGACTGTTTCAAAAATCCTCTCTCAAAAGAACGGTTGAACTCTGTTAGTTGAGTACACACATCACAAACAAGTTTCTGAGAATGTTTCTGCCTAGTTTTTATGGGAAGAGGTTTCCTTTTTCACCATAGGCCACAAAGCCCTCCAAATGTCCACTTCCACATACTACAAAAAGACTGTTTCAAACCTGCTCTTGAAAGGGAACGTTCAACTCTGGGACTTGAATGCAAACATGACAAAAAAGTTTCTGAGAATGCTTCTGTCTACTTTTTATATGAAGATATTCCCGTTTCCAATGAAATCCTCAAAGCTATCCAAATATCCACTTGCAGATTCTACAAAAACAGTGTTTCAAAACTGCTCTATCAAAAGAAAGGTTCAACTCTGTTAGTTGAACACACACATCACAAACAAGTTTCTGAGAATGATTCTGTGTAGTTTTCATGGGAAGAGATTTCCTTTTTCACCATAGGCCTCAAAGCGCTCCAAATGTCCACTTCCAGATACTACAAAAAGACTGTTTCAAACCTGCTAAATGAAAGCGAATGTTCAACTCTGTGACTTGAATGCAAACATCACAAAGAAGTTTCTGTGAAGGCTTCTGTCTAATTTTTATATGAAGATATTCCTGTTTCCAACGAAATCCTTAAAGCTATCCAAATATCCACTTGCAGTTTCTACAAAAAGAGTGCTTCAGATCTGCTATACCAAAAGAAAAGTTCAACTCCGTTAGTTGAGTACACACATCACAAACAAGTTTCCGAGAATGTTTCTGCCTAGTTTTTATGGGAAGAGATTTCCTTTTTCACCATAGGCCTCAAAGCGCTCCAAATGTCCACTTCCAGTTATTACAAAAAGAGTGTTTCAAACCTGCTCTATGAAAGGGAATCTTCAACTCTGTGACTTCAATGCAAACGTCACAAAGAAGTTTCTGAGAATATTTCTGTCGAGATTTTATATGAAGATATTCCCGTTTCCAACGAAATGCTCAAAGCTATACAAATAACCACTTACAGATTCTACAACAAGAGTGTTTCAAAACTGCTCTATCAAAAGAAAGGTTCAACTCAGTTGAGCACACACATCACAAACAAGTTTCTGAGAATGATTCTGTGTAGTTTTCAAGCGAAGAGATTTCCTTTTTCACCATAGGCCTCAAATATTTCCAAATGTCCACTTCCAGATACTGCAAAAAACTGTTTCAAACCTGCTCTATGAAAGGCAATGTTCAACTCTGTGACTTGAATACAAACATCACAAAGAAGTTTCTGAGAATGCTTCTGTCTACTTTTTATATGAAGATATTCCCATTTCCAACGAAATTCTGAAAGCTATGCAAATATCCACTTGCAGATTCTACAAAAAGAGTGTTTCAAAACTGCTCTATCAGAAGAAATTTTCAACTCTGTGAGTTGAATGCACAAATCACAAAGCCGTTTCTGAGAATTCTTCTGTCTAGTTTTTATGTGAATATATCCCGTTTCCAATGAAGGCCTCAAAGAGCTATAAATATCCACAAGCAGATTCTACAAAAGGAGAATTTCAATACTGCTCTCTCAAAAGAAAGGTTCAACTCTGTGAGTTGAATGCACACATCACAAAGATGTTTTTTAGAATGCTTCTGTCTAGTTTTTATGTGAAGATATTTTCATTTCCACCATTGGCCACAAATCGCTCCAAATATCCACTTGCAGATACTACAAAAAGACTGTTTCAAAACTGCTCTGACAAAAGGAAGGTTCAACTCTGTGAGCTGAAGGCACACATCACCAAACGGTTTCTGAGAATGCTTCTGTCTAGTTTTTAATTAAAGATATCACGTTTATGACGAAACCCTCAAAGAGCTCCAACTATCCACCTGCAGATTCTGCAAGAAGACTGTTTCAAAACTGCTCTGTCAAAAGGAAGGTTCAAATCTGATAGTTGAATGCACACATCACAAGGAATTTTCTGAGAATTCTTCTGTCCACTTTTTATGTGAGAATATTTCCTTTTCCACCTAAGGCGTCAAAGCACTCCAAATGAAGACTTGTAGATTCTACAAAAGAGTGTTTCAAAACTGCTCTTTAAAAATAAAGGTTAAACTCCGTGAGTTGAATGCACACATCACAAAGCAGTTTCTGAGAATGTTTCTGTCTAGTTTTTATTTGAAGATATCCCGTTTCCAACGAAGGCCTCAAAGACTTCCAAATATCCACTAGCAGATTCTACAAAGGAGAATTTAAATACTGCTCTCTCAGAAGAAAAGTTCAACTCTGTGAGTTGAAGGCCCACATCTCAAAGAAGTTTCTGAGAATGCTTCTGTCTAGTTTTTATGTGAAGATATTTCCTTTTCCAACATAAGCCTGAAAGCTCACTGAATGAACATTTGCAGTTTCTAGAAAAAAGAGTGTTTCAAAACTCCTCTATCAAAAGAAATGTTCAACTGTGCGAGTTTAATGCACACATCACAAAGCAGTTTCTTAGAATGCTTCTGACTAGTTTTTATGTGAAGATATTCCCGTTTCCATCGAAAGCCTCCAAAATCTCCAAATATCCACTGGCAGATTCTACAAAAGGTGTCTTTCCAAACTGCTCTATCAAAAGGAAGGTTCAACTCTATGAGTTGAATGCACACCTCACAAAGAAGTTTCTGACAATGCTTCTGTCTAGTTTTTATGTAAAGATATTTGATTTTCCACCATAGCCTCTAAGCATTCCAAGTGAACACTTGCAGATTATAAAAAAGAGTTTTTCAAAACTGCTCTATCAAAAGAAAGGTTGAATTTTTAAGTTGAATGCACACATCACGAAGCAGTTTCTGAGAATCCTTCCGTCTAGTTTATTTTCAAGCTATCCCGTTTCCAACAAAGGCCTTAAGGAGCTCCAAATATTCACAAGCAGATTCTGCAAAAGGAGAGTTTCAATACTGCTCGATGAAACGACAGTTTCAACTCTGTGAGTGGAGTGCACACATCACAAAGGAATTTCTGAGAATGCTTCTGTCTACTTTTTATGTGAACATATTTCCTTTTGCACCATAGGCCTCAAAACAATCCAAATGAACACTCGCAGATTCTACAAAAAGAGTTTTTCAAAATGCCTCTATCAATAGAAAGGTTCGACTCTCTGAGTTCAATGTACACATCACAAAGAAGTTTTTGAGAATGTTTCTGTCTAGTTTTTATGTGAAGATATTTTCTTTTCCACTATAGGCCTCAAAGTGCCCTAAATGAAAACTTGCAGCTTCTACACAAAGAGTGTTTCAAAACTCCTCTATCAAAAGAAAAGTCCAACTGTGCAAATTTAATGCACACATCACAAAGAAGTTTCTGAGAATGCTTCTGACTAGTTTTTATATGAAGATATTCCCATTTCCAATGAAGGCCTTTCAAATCTCCAACTATCCACTAGCAGATCCTACAAAAGGAGTCTTTCAAAACTGCTCTATCAAAAGGAGGTTTCAACTATGTGAGTTGAATGCACACCTCACAAAGAAGTTTCTGAGAATGCTTCTGTCTATTTTTTATATGAAGATATTTTCTTTTCCACCATAGACCTCAAAGCGCTCCAAATGAACACTTGCAGATTCTACAAAAAGTGTGTTACAAAACTGATCTATCAAAAGAAAGGTTCAACTCTGTGAGTTGAATGTAGACATCATAAAGCAGTTTCTGAGAATGCTTCTGTCTAGTTTTTTGAGAGGACATCCTTTTTCCAATGAAGGCCTCAAAGAGCTCCAAATAATTACAAGCACATTCCACAAAAGAGGTGTTTCAAACCTGCTCTATCAAAAGAAAAGTTCAACTCTGTTTCTTGAATGAACACATCACAAAGAAGTCTCTGAGAATGCTTCTGTCAAGTTTTTATGTGAAGATATTTCCTTTTCCACCATAGGTCTCAAATCGCTCCAAATATCCACTTGCAGAATCTGCCAAAAGAGTGTTTCAAAACGGCTCTCTCGAAAGGAAGGTTCGACTCTGAGAGTTCAATGCACACATCACAAGGGAGTTTCTGGGAATGCTTCTGTCTAGTTTTTATGTGAAGATATTTCCTTTTCCACCATAGGCCTCAAGGCGCTCCCAATGAACACTTGCAGATTCTACAAAAAGACTTTCATAACTGCTCTATCAATAGAAAGGTTCAACTCTGTGAGTTGAATGCACACATCACAAAGAAGTTTCTGGGAATGCTTCTGTCTATTTTTTATGTGAAGATATTTTCTTTCCACCGTAGGCCTCAAATCACTCCAAATATCCACTTGTAGATTCTACAAAAAGACTGTTTCAAAACTGCTCTGTCAAAAGGAAGGTTCAACACTGTGATTTGAAGGCACACATCACGAAGAAATTTCTGAGAATGCTTCTGTCTTCTTTTGTCTGAATATATTTCCTTTTCCACCATAGGACTCAAAGGGCTGTAAATGAACACTTGCAGTTTCTCCAAAATTAGTGTTTCAAACTCCTCTATCAAAAGTAAAATTCAACTCTGTGAGTTTAATGCACACATCACTAAGCAGTTTCTGAGAATGCTTCTGACTAGTTTTTATGTGAAGATATTCCCGTTTCCAACAAGGCCTCCAAAATCTCCAAACATCCACTAGCATATTCTACAAAAGGAGTCTTTCAAAACTCCTCTATCAAAAGGAAGTTTCAACTATGTGAGTTGAATGCACACCTCACAATGAAGTTTCTGAGAATGGTTCTGTCTAGTTTTTATGTGAAGATATTTCCTTTTCCACCTTAGGCCTCAAAGCACTCCAAATGAACACTTGCAGATTCTACAAAAAGAGTGTTTCAAAACTGCTCTATCAAAAGAAAGTTTCAACTCTTTCAGTTGAATGCACACATCACAAAGCAGTTTCTGAGAAAGATTCTCTCTAGTTTTTATGTGAAGATATTTTCTTTTCCACCATAGGTTTCAAATCGCTCCAAATGAACACTTGTAGATTCTACAAAAAGTGTGTTTCAGAACTGCCCAATCAAAAGATATGTTCCACTCTGTGAGTTGCATGCACACATCAAAAAGCAGTTTCTGAGAATGCTTCTGCCTAGTTTTTATTTGAAGATATCCCGTTTCCAATGGGGGCCTCAAAGAGCTCCAAATATCCACAAGCAGATTCTACAAAAGGAGAGTTTCAGTCCAGCTCGATCAAAAGAAATGTTCAGCTCTTTGAGTTGAATGCACACATCACAAAGAAGTTTCTGCGAATGCTTCTGTCTAGTTTTTATGTGAAGATATTTCCTTTTCCACCATAGGCCTCAAAGCGCTCCAAATGAACATTTGCAGATTCTACAAAAAGAGTGTTTCAAAACTACTCTATCAATAGAAAGGTTCAACTCTGTGAGTTGAATGCACACCTCACAAAGGGGTTTCTGAGAATGCTTCTGTCTAGTTTTTATGTGAAGATATTTTCTTTTCCACCATAGGCCTCAAATCGCTCCAAATATCCACTTGCAGATTCTACAAAAAGACGGTTTCAAAACTGCTCTGTCAAAAGGAAGGTTCAAATCTGTGAGTTGAATGCACACATCTCAAAGAAGTTTCTGAGAATGCTTCTGTCTAGTTTTTGTGTGAAGATATTTCCTTTTCCACCACAGGCCTCAAAGCGCCCTAAACAAACACTTTCAGTTTATATAAAAAGAGTGTTTCAAAACTCCTGTATCAAAATAAAGTTCAGCTTTGCGAATTTAATGCACTTATCACATAGCAGTTTCTGAGAATGCTTCTGACTAATTTTTATGTGAAGATATTCCCGTTTCCAACGAAGGCCTCCAAAATCTCCAAATATCCACCAGCAGATTCTTCAAAAGGAGTCTTTCAAAACTACTCTATTAAAAGGAAGTTTCAACTCTGTGAGTTGAATGTACACCTCACAAAAAAGTTTCTGAGAATGCTTCTGTCTTGTTTTTATGTGAAGATATTTCCCTTTCCTCCATAGGCCTCAAAGCGCTACAAATGAACACTTGCAGACTCTACGAAAAGAGTGTTTCAAAACTACTCTATCAAAAGAAAGGTTCAACTCTGTGAGTTGCATGCACACATCACAAATCAGTTTCTGAGAATGCTTCTGTCTAGTTTTTAATGTGAAGATATCCCGTTTCCTTCGAAGGCCTCAAAGAGCTCCAAATAATAACAAGCAGATTCCAAAAAAGGAGTGTTTCAAAACTGCTCTATCAAAAGAAATGTTCAATTCTGTGAGTTGAATGCACACATCACAAAGAAGTTTCTGAGAATGTTGCTGTATAGGTTTTATGTCAAAATATTCCTTTTTCCAATGAAGGCCTCAAAGGGCTGAAAATATCTACTTGCAGATTCTACAAAAAGAGTGTTTCAAAACTGCTCTCTCAATAGGAAGTTTCAACTCTCTGAGTTGAATGAACATATCCAAGGAAGTTTATGAGAATGCTTCTGTCTAGTTTTCATGTGAAGGTATTCCCATTTCCACCGTGGGCCTCAAAGCACTCAAAATATCCACTTGCAGATTCTACAAAAACAGTGTTCCAAACTGCTCTAACAAAACGAAGGATCAACTATGTGAGTTGAATGCACACATCACCAAGAATTTTCTGAGAATGCTTATGTCTATTTTTTATGTGAAGATATTCCCGTTTCCAACGAAGGCCTCAAAGAGCTCCAAATATCCACTTGTAGATTCTACAAAAAGAATGTTTCAAAACTGCTCTATCAAAAGGAAGCTTTAACTCTCTGAATTTAATGCACACTTCACAAAGTAGTTTCTGAGAATCCTTATGTCTCGTTTTTATATGAAGATATTGCCATTTCCTTTGTAGGCCACAAAGCGCTCCAAGTATCAACTTGTAGATTCTACAAAAACAGTGTTTCTAAACTGCTATATCAAAAGAAAGGTTAAATTCTGTGAGTTGAATGCATACATCACAAAGAACTTTCTGAATATGCTTCTGTCTAGTTTTTATGTGAAGAAATTTCCTTTTCTACCAAACGCCTCAAAACACTCCAAATATCCACTTGCAGAATCTATAAAAAGAGTGTATCAAAACTGCTGTATCAATAGGAAGTTACAACTCTCTGAGTTAAAAGCAGACATCACAAAGAAGTTTATGAGAATGCTTCTGTATAGTTTTTATTTGAAGATATTGCAGTTTCCACGGTAGGCCAGAAAGCACTCCAAATATTCAATTGCAGATCCTACAAAAAGAGTGTTTCAAAACTGCTCTATCAAAAGGAATGTTCAACTCTGCGATTTGAATGCACACATCACAAAGAAGTTTCTGAGGATGCTTCTGTGTAGTTTTTATATGAACGTATTTTCTCTTCCATCAGAGACCTCAAAGTGCTCCAAATGTCCACTTGCAGATTCTACAAAAAGAGTGTTTCAAAACTGCTCTATCCAAAGAAAGGTTCAACTCTGTGAATTGAATGCACACATCAGAAAGAAGTTTCTGAAGATGCTTCTGTCTAGTTTTTATGTGAAGATATTCCCGTTTCCAACGAAGGCCTCAAAGCGGTCCAAATATCCACTTGCAGATCCTACAAAAAGAGTGTTTCAAATCTGCTGTATCAAAGGGAAGATTCAACTCTGTGAGTGGAACGCACACATCACAAAGTAGTCTCTGAGAATGCTTCTGTCTGTTTTTTATGTGTAGATATTTCCTTTTCTACCACAGTCCTCAAAGTGCTCCAAATATCCACTTCCAGATTCTACAGTAAGAGTGTTTCAAAACTGCTCAATCAAAAGGGAGGTTCAACTCTCTGAGTTGAATACACACTTCACAAAGTAGTTTCTGAGAATGCTTCTGTCTAGTATCTATGTGTAGATATTGCCTTTTCCACCATAGGCCACAAAGCCCTCCAAATATCCACTTGCAGATTCTACTAAACGTGTGTTTGAAAACTGCTCTATCAAAAGAAAGGATCAACTCTTTGAGTTCAATGCACTCATCAAAAAGAAGTTTCTGAGAATGCTTCTGTCTAGTTTTTATGTGAAGATATTTCATTTTCCACCACAGACCTCAAAGTGCTCCAAATGTCCACTTGCAGATTCTACAAAAAGAGTGTTTCAAAACTGCTCTATCTGAAGAAAAGTTCAACTCTCTGAGTTGAATGTACACATCACAGAGAAGTTTTAAAAATTCTTCTGTCTAGTTTTTTTTTGTTCCGGTTTTTTTTTCTTTTATTGTTATACTTTAAGTTTTAGGGTACATGTGCACATTGTGCAGGTTAGTTACATATGTATGCATGTGCTATGCTGGTGCGCTGCACCCACTAACTCGTCATCTGGCATTAGGTATATTTCCCAATGCTATCCCTCCCCCCTCCCCCACCCCACAACAGTACGGGACATGGATGAAATTGGAAATCATCATTCTCAGTAAACTATCGCAAGAACAAAAAGCCAAACACCGCATATTCTCACTCATAGGTGGGAATTGAACAGTGAGATCACATGGACACAGGAAGGGGAACATCACACTCTGTCTAGTTTTTATGTGAAAATATTCTCGTTTCCAACGAATGCCTCAAAGTGGTCCAAATATCCACTTGCAGATTCTACAAAAAGTGTCTTTCAAAACTGCTCTATCAAAAGGAATGTTCAACTCTGTGAGTTGAATGCAACATCACAAAGGAGTTTCTGAGAAAGCTGCTGCCTAGTTTTATATGAAGACATTTAAATTTCTCCCATAGGCCTCGAAGCGCTCTAAATATAAACTTGCAGATTCTACAGAAACAGTATTTAAAAACTGCTCTATCAAAGGGAAGGTTCAACCTTCTGAATTGAATGCATATTTCACAAACTAGTTTCTGAGAAAACTTCTGTCTAATTTTTATGTGAAGATATTCTCGTTTCCACAGTAGGCCACAAAGCCCTCCAAATATGCACTTGCAGATTCTACAAAAGAGTGTTTCAAAACTGCTCAATCAAAAGGAAGTTTCAACTCTGTGAGTTGAATGCAACCATCACAAAGAAGTTTCTGAGAATGCTTCTGTCTACTTTTTATGTGAAGTTATTTCCTTTTCCACCACAGGCCTCAAAGCGCTACAAATGTCCACTTACAGATTCTACAAAAAGAGTGTTCCAAAACTGCTCTATCAAAAGAAATGTTCAACTTTGTGAGTTGAATGCAACATCACAAAGTAGTTTCTGAGAATGCTGCTGTCTAGTTTTTATATGAAGGTATTTCCATTTCTACCATAGGCCTCAAAGTGCTCTAAATATCAACTTACAGATTCTACAGAAAAAGTGTTTCAAAACTGCTCTCTCCAAAGGGAGGTTCAACTCCCTGAGTTGAATGCACACATCACAAAAAAGTTTCTGAGAATGTTCTGTCTAGTTTTTATGTGAAGATACTTCCTTTTCTACAAAAGGCCTAGAAGCTCTCCAAATAACCACTTGCAAAATCTATAAAAAGAGTGTTTCACAACTGCTGTATCAATAGGAAGTTTCAACTCTCTGAGTTGAAAGCATGCATCACAAAGTAGTTTATGAGAATGCTTCTGTGTAGTTTTTATTTGAAGATATTGCAGTTTCCACCAAAGGCCACAAAGCGCTCCAAATATCCAATTGCAGATTCTACAAAAAGAGTGTTTCAAAACTGCTCTATCATAAGAAAGGTTCAACTGTGTGAGTTGAATGCACACATCACAAAGAAGTTTCTAAGAATGCTTCTCTCTAGCTTTTATGTGAACGTATTTCCTTTTCCATCACAGATCTCAAAGCCCTCCAAATGTCCACTTGCAGATTCTTCAAAAAGAGTGCTTCAAAAATGTTCTATCCAAAGACAGTTTCAACTCTGTGAGTTGAATGCACACATCAAAAAGTAGTTTCTGAGAATGCTTCTGTCTATTTTTTTTATGAAGATATTTCCTTTTCTACCATAGGCCTCAAAGTACTCCAAATATCCATTTCCAGATTCTACAGTAAGAGTGTTTCAAAACTGCTCAATCAAAAAGAAGGTTCAACTCTCTGAGTTGAATGCACACTTCACAAATTTGTTTCTGAGAATGCTTCTGTCTAGTTATTATATGAAGATATTGCCATTTCCATTTCAGGTCACAAAGCGATCCAAACTTCCACTTGCAGATTCTACAAAAACAGTGTTTCTAAACTGCTCTATCAAAAGGAAGGTTCAATTCTGTGAGTTGAATGCACACATCACAAAGGAGTTTCTGAGAATGCTTCTGTCTATTTTTTATGTGAAGATATTTCCTTTTCTACCAAAGGACTCAAAGTACTCCAAATAACCACTTGTAGATTCTATAAAAAGAGTGTTTCAAAACTGCTGTATCAATAGAAAGTTTCAACTCTATGAGTTGAAAGCACGCATCACAAAGAAGTTTATGAGAATGCTTCTGTGTAGTTTTTATTTGAAGATATTGGAGTTTCCACCAAAGGCCAGAAAGCGCTCCAAATATCTAATTGCAGATTCTACAAAAAGAGTGTTTCAAAACTGCTCTATCATAATGAAGGTTCAACTCTGTGAGTTGAATGCACACATCACAAAGAAGATTCTAAGAATGCTTCTGTCTAGTTTTTATGTGAAGGTATTTCCTTTTCCACCACATTCCTCAAAGCGCTCCAAATGTCCACTTGCAGATTCTACAAAAAGAGTGTTTCAAAACTGTTCTGTCAAAAGAAAGTTTCAATTCTGTGAGTTGAATGCACACATCATGAAGAAGTTTCTGAGAATTCTTCTATCTAGTTTTTATGTGAGGATATTTCCTTTTCTACCATAGACCTCAAAGCGCTGCAAATATCAACTTGCAGATTCCATTAAAAGAGTGTTTCAAAACTGCTGTATCAATAGAAAGTTTCAACCCTCTGAGTTGAATGCACGCATCACAAAGAATTTTATGAGAAAGCTTCTGTGTAGTTTTTATTTGAAGATATTACAGTTTGCACCACAGGTCACAAAGCGCTCCAAATATACACTTGCAGATTCTACAAAAAGAGTGTTTCAAAACTGCTCTATCAAAAGAAACGTTTAATTCTGTTAATTGAAGACACACATCAAAAAGAAGCTTCTGTGAATGTTTCTGTCTAGTTTTTATATGAAGATCTTCCCGTTTCCAATGAAGGCCTCAATGATCTCCATATATCCACTTTCAGATTCTACATCAACAGTGTTTAGAAACTGCTCAATGAAAAGGAAGGTTGAACTCTCTGAGTTGGATGCACACTTCACAAAGTAGTTTCTGAGAATGCTTCTCTCTAGTTTTTATGTGAAGATATTCCCGTTTCCAACGAAGGCCTCAAAGCAGTCCAAATGTCCAGTTGCAGAATCTACAAAAAAAAGTGTGTCAAAACTACTCTATCAAAAGGAATGTTCAACTCTTTGAGTTGAAGGAAAACACCACAAAGTAGTTTCTGAGAATGCTTCTGTCTAGTGTTTATATGAAGATATTTACTTTTCTACCATAGGCCTTAAGCACTCCAAATATCCACTTGCAGATTCTACATAAAGACTGTTTCAAAACTGCTCAATGAAAAGGAAGATTCAACTCTCTGAGTTGAATGCATACTTCACAAAGTAGTTTCTGAGAATGCTTCTGTCTAGTTTTTATGTGAAGATATTCCCGTTTCCAACGTAGGCCACAAAGCCCTCAAAATATCCACTAGCAGATTCTACAAAAAGAGTGTTTCTAAACTGCTCTATCAAAAGGAAGGTTCAACTCTATGAGTTGAATGCACACATCACAAAGAAGTTTCTGAGAATGCTTCTGTCTAGTTTATATGTGAAGTTATTTCCTTTTCCACCACAGGCCTCAAAGTGCTCCAAATGTCCACTTGCAAATTCTACAAAAACAGTGTTTCAATACTGTTCTGTCAAAAGAAAGGTTCAATTCTGTGAGTAGAATGTACACAACACTTAGAAGTTTCTGAGAATGTTTCTGTCTAGTTTTTATGTGAAAATATCCCCTTTTCCAATGAAGGCTTCAAAGTGGTACAAATACCACTTGCAGATTCCATAAAAAGGGTGTTTCAGAACTGTACTCTAAAAAGGAAGTTTCAACTTTCTGAGTTGAATGCACACATCACAAGGAAGTTTATGAGAATGCTTCTGTCTAGTTTTTATGTGAAAGTATTCCCGTTTCCACTGTAGGCCTCAAAGCACTCAAAATATCGACTTGCAGATTCTATCAAAAAGAGTGTTTCAAAACTGCTCTATCAAAGGGCAAGTTCAACTCTGTGAGTTGAAAGCACACATCCTAAAGAAGTCTCTGAGAATACTTCTGTCTGCTTTTTATATGAAGATATTTCCTTTTCCACCAAAGTCCTCAAAGCGCTCCAAATGTCCACTTGCAGATTCTACAAAAAGAGTGTTACAAAACTGCCCTATCAAAACGAAGGTTCAACTCTGTGAATTGAATGCACACATCACAAAGAAGTTTCTGAGAATGCTTCTCTCGAGTTTTAATGTGAAGATATTCCCGTTTCCAACGAAGACCTCAAAGCGGTCCAAATATCCACTTGCAGACTCTACAAAAAAAGTGTTTCAAAACTGCACTATCAAAAGGAATGTTCAACTCTTTGAGTTGAATACAAACATCACAAAGTAGTTTCTGAGAAAGTTTCTGTCTAGTTTTTATATGAAGATAGTTCCTTTTCTACCATAGGCCTAAAGCGCTCAAAATATCCACTTGCAGATTCTACAGTAAGAGTGTTTCAAAACTGCTCTATCAAAAGGAAAGTTCACCTCTCTGAGTTGAATGCGTATTTCACAGAGTAGTTTCTGAGAATGCTTCTGTCTAGTTTTTATGTGAAGATATTCCCGTTTCCAACGAAGGCCTCAAAGCACTCCATATATCCACTTGCAGATTCTACAAAAGGGTGTTTCAAAACTGCTCAATCAAAGGGAAGTTTCAACTCTGTGAGTTGAATGCCCACATCACAAAACAGTTTCTAAGGATGCTTCTGTCTGGTTTTTATGTGAAGGTATTTCCTTTTCCACCACAGACCTCAAAGCACTCCAAGTGTCCATTTGCAGATTCTACCAAAAGAGTGTTTCAAACTGCTCTATCCAAAGAAAGGTTCAACTCTGTGAGGTGAGTGCACACAGCACAAAGAAGTCTTGAGAATGCTTCTGTCTAGTTATTATGTGAAGACATTCCCCTTTCCAATGAAGGCCTCAAAGTGGTCCAAATATCCACTTGCAGATCATACAAAAAGAGTGTTTCAAAACTGCTCTAACAAAAGGAATGTTAAACTCTGTGTGTTGAATGCAAACATCACAAAGCAGTTTCTGAGAATGCTGCTGTCTAGTTTTTATATGAAGATATTTCCATTTCTACCACAGGCCTCAAAGCCCTCCAAATATCAACTTGCAGATTCTAAAGAAAGAGTGTTTCAAAACTGCTCTACCAAAAGGAAGGTACAATTCCGTGAGTTGAATGCACACATCACAAAGAGGTTTCTGAGAATGTGTCTGTCTAGTTTTTATGTGAAGATATTCCTGTTTCCAATGAAGGCCTCAAAGTGGTCAAAATATCCACTTGCAGATTCTACAAAATGAGTGTTTCAAAACTGCTCTATCAAAAGGAATGTTCAACTCTGTGAGCTGAATGCAACATCACAAAGGAGTTTCTGACAATGCTGCTGTCCAGTTTTTATATGAACATATTTCCATTTCTACCATACGCCACAAAGCACTCCAAATAACCACTTGCAGATTCTACAGAAAGAGTCTTTCAAAACTGCTCTATCAAAAGAAAGGTTCTATTCTCTGTGTTGAATGCACACTTTACAAAAAAGTTTCTGAAAATGCTTCTGTCTAGTTTTTATGTGAAGTTAATCCCTTTTCCACCATAGGCCACAAAGCCCTCTATATATTCACTTGCAGATTCTACAAAAAGAGTTTTTCAAAACTGCTTTATCAAAAGAAAGGTTCAACTCTGTGTGTTGAACGCACTCATCACAGAGAAGTTTCTGAGAAAGCTTCTATCTGGTTTTTATATGAAGTTATCTCCTTTTCCACCCCAGGCCTCAAAGCATGCCACATGTCCACTTGCAGATTCTACAAAAAGCATGTTTCATAAGGGCTCTATCAAGAGAAAGGTTCAATTCTGGGAGTTCAATGCACACATCACAATGAAGATTCTGAGAATGCTTCTGTCTAGTTTTTATGCAAAGATATTCCCGTTTCCAACAAAGGCCTCAAAGTGGTTCAAATATCCACTTGCAGATTCTACAAAAAGAGTGTTTCAAAACTGCTCTATCCAAAGAAAGTTGCAACTCTGTGAGTAGAATGCACACATCCCAAAGAAGTTTTGAGAATCCTTCTGTCTAGTTTTTATGTGAAGATATTCTGGTTTCCAACGAAGACCTCAAAGCGCTCCATATACCCACTTGCAGATTCTATATAAAGAGTGTTTCAAAACTGCTCAATCAAAGGAAGTTTCAACCTTCTTAGTTGTATGCACACGTCACGAAATAGTTTCTGAGAATGCTTCTGTCTAGTTTTTATATGAAGATATTGCCATTTCCATTGTAGGCCACAAAGTGCTCCAAACATCCACTTGCAGATTCTACAAAAACAGTGTTTCAAAACTGCTCCATCCAAAAGAAGTTTCAATTCTGTCAGTTGAATGCACACATCACAAAGAAGTTTCTGAGAATGCTTCTGTCTAGTTTTTATGTGAAGATATTACCTTTTTTAAAAGTCCTCAAAGCGCTCCAAATATCCACTTGCAAATATTATTAAAAGAGTATTTCAAAACTGCTGTATCAATAGGAAGTTTCAACTCTCTGAGTTGAATGCATGCACCACAAAGAAGTTTATGAGAATGCTTCCGTGTAGTTTTCATTTGAAGATATTGCAGTTTCCACCGTAAACCACAAAGTGCTCCAAATATCCACTTGCAGATCCTACAAAAAGAGTGTTTCAAAACTGCTCTCTCAATAGGAAGTTAAAACTCTCTGAGTTGAATGCACACATCACAAGGAAATTTATGAGAACGCTTCTGTCTAGTTTTTATGTGAAGGTACACCCGTTTCCACCCAAGGCCCCAAAGCACTCAAAATATTCACTTGCAGATTCTACAAAAAGATTGTGTCAAAACTGCTCTATGAAAGGGAAGGTTCAACTCTGTGAGATGAATGCACACATCACAAAGAAGTCTCTGAGAATGCTTCTGTCTGGTTTTTATGTGAAGATATTTCCTTTTCCACCACAGTCCTCAAAGCGCTCCAAATGTCCACTTGCAGATTCTACAAAAAGAGCGTTTCAAAACTGCTCTATCAAAAGGAAGGTTCAGCTCTGTGAGTTGAATGCACACATAGCAAAGAAGATTCTGAGAACGCTTCTATCTAGTTTTTATGTGAAGGTATTCCCGTTTCCAATGAAGGCCTCAAAGGGGTCAAAATATCCATCTGCAGATTCTACAAAAAACTGTTTAAAAACTGCATTATCAAAAGGAATGTTCAACTCTATGAGTTGAATGCAAACATCAGAAAGTTGTTTCTGAGAATGCTTCTGTCTAGTTTTTATATGAAGATATTTCCTTTTCTACAATAGGCCTCAAAGTACTCCAAATATCCACTTCAAGATTCTACAGTAAGAGTGTTTCAAAACTGCTCTATCAAAAGGAAGGTTCAAACTTCTAGGTTGAATGCACACCTCAAAAGGAGTTTGCGAGAATGCTTCTATCTAGTTTTTGTGTGAACAGATTCCCGTTTCCACCGTAGACCACAAAGCCCTCCAAATATCAACTTGCAGATTCTACAAAAAGAGTGTTTCAAAACTGCTCTATCAAAAGGAAGGCTCAAATTTGTGAGCTGAATGCACATGTCACAAAGAAGTTTCTGAGAATGCTTCTATCTAGTTTTTATGTGGAGTTATTTCCTTTTCCACCACAGGCCTCAAAGCGCTCCAAATGTCCACTTGCAGATACTACAAAAACAGTGTTTCAAAATTGTTCTATCAAAAGGAAGGTTCAATTCTGTGAGTTGAATGCAAACATCACAAAGAAGATTCTGAGAATGCTTCTGTCTAGTTTTTATGTGAAGATATTTCATCTTCTACCATAGGCCTCAAAGCAGTCCAAATGTCCACTTGCAGATTCTACAAAAAGAGTGTTTCAAAACTGCTGTATCAAAAGGAAGTTTCAACTCTCTGAGTTGAATGCACGCATCACAGAGAAGTTTATGAGAATGCTTCAGTGTAGTTTTTATATGATGATATTGCAGTTTCCACTATAGGCCACAACGCCCTCCAAATAGCCACTTGCAGATTCAACAAAAAGAGTGTTTCACAACTGCTCTATCAAAAGGAAGGTTCAACTCTGTGAGTTGAATGCACAGACCACAAAGAAGTTTCTGAGAATGCTTCTGTCTAGTTTTTATGTGAAGTTATTTCCTTTTCCACCACAGGCCTCAAAGCACTCCAAATGTCCACTTGCAGATTCTACAAAAGGAGTGTTTCAAAACTGCTCTAGCAAAAGAAAGGTTCAGTTCTGTGAGTTGAATGCACACATCAAAAAAAAGTTTCTGTGAATGCTTCTATCTAGTTTTTATGTGAAGATATTCCCGTTTCCAACGAAGGCCTCAAAGCACTCCATATATCTGCTTGCAGATTCTACATAAAGAGTGTTTCAAAACTGCTCAATCAGAAGGAAGCTTCAACTCTCTGAGTTGAATTCACGCATCACAAAGAGGTTTATGAGAATGCTTCTGTGTAGTTTTTATTTGAAGATATTGCAGCTTCCACCATAGGCCACAAAGCGCTCCAAATATCCAATTGCAGATTCTACAAAAAGAGTGTCTCAAAACTGCTCTATCAAAAGGAAGGTTCAACTCTGTGAGTTGAATGCACACATCACAAAGAAGTTTCTAAGAATGCTTCTGTTTAGTTTTTATGTGAAGATAATCCCGTTTCCAACGAAGGCCTCAAAGCGCTCCATATATCCACTTGCACATGCTACATAAAGAGTGTTTCAAAACTGCTCAATCAAAAGGAAGGTTCAAATCTCTGAGTTGAATGCACACGTCACAAAGTAGTTTCTGAGAATGCTTCTGTCTAGTTTTTATATGACCATATTTCTTTTTCTACCCTAGGCTTCAAAGTTCTCCAATTATCCACTTGCAGATTCCACAGAAAGAGGGTTTCAAAACTGCTCTATCAAAAGGAAGTTTCAAACCTCTGAGTTGAATGCACACACAATGAAGAAGTTTCTAAGGATGCTTCTTTCTAGTTTATATGTGAAGATACTACGGTTCCCAATGAAGGCCTCAAATCACTCCATATATCCACTTGCAGATTCTACATAAAGAGTGTTTCAAAACTGCTCAATCAAAAGGACGGTTCAAACCTCTGAGTTGAATGCACGCATCAGAAAGAAGTTTATGAGAATGCTTCTATGTAGTTTTTATTTGAAGATATTGCAGTTTCCACTGTAGGCCACAAAGCGCTCCAAATATCCAATTGCAGATGCTATAAAAAGAGTGAACCAAAACTGCTCTATCAAAAGGAAGGTTCAACTCTGTGAGTTGAATGCAACATCACAAAGCAGTTTCTGAGAATGCTGCTGCATAGTTTTTATATGAAGATAATTCCATTTCTACCATAGGACTCAAAGTGCTCCAGACATCAACTTGCAGATTTTACAGAAAGAGTGTTTCAAAACTACTCTATCAAAAGAAAGGTTCAATTCTGTGAGGTGAATGCACACATCCCAAAGAAGTTTCTGAGAATGTTTCTGTCTAGTTTTTATGTGAAAATATTCCCTTTTACAATGAAGGCCTCAAAGCTGTTCAAATATCCACTTGCAGATTCTACAAAAAGAGTGTTTCAAAACTGCTCTATCAATAGTAAGTTTCCACTCTGTGACATGAATGCACACATCACAAGGAAGTTTATGAGAATGCTTCCGTCTGGTTTTTATGTGAAGATATTTCCTTCTCCAACACAGTCCTCGAAGCACTCCAAATGTCCACTTGCAGATTCTACAGAAAGAGTGTTTGAAACCTGCTCTATCAAAAGGAAGGTTCTACTCTCAGTTGAATGCAAACTTCACAAAGAAGTTTCTGAGAAAGCTTCTGTCTAGTTTTTATGTGAAGATATTCCCCTTTCCACCGTCGGCCATAAAGCCCTCCAAATACCCACTTGCAGATTCCACAAAAAGAATGTTTTAGTACTGCTCTATCAAAAGGAAGGTTCAACTCTGTGAGTTGAATGCACATATCACAAAGAAGTTTCTGAGAATGCTTCTGTCTAGTTTTTATGTGGAGTTATTTCCTTTTCCACCAGAGGCCTCAAAGCACTCCAAATCTCCTCTTGCAGATTCTGCAAAAAGAGTGTTTCAAAACAGCTCTATCAAAAGAAAGATTCAATTCTGTGAGTTGAATGCACACATTCTGAAGAAGTTTCTGAGAATGCTTCTGTCTAGGTTTATGTGAAGATAATTCCCTTTCCACCACTGTCCTCTAAGCGCTCCAAATGTCCACATGCAGATTCTACAAAAAGAGTGTTTGAAAACTGCTCTATCAAAAGTAATGCTCAACTCTGTGAGTTGCATGCAAACATCACAAAGTAGTTTCAGAGAATGCTTCTATCTAGTTTTTATATGAAGATATTTCATTTAATACAATAGGCCTCAAAGCGCACCAAATATCCACTTGCAAATTCTACAAAAAGAGTGTTGCAAAACTGCAACAACACAAGGAAATTTCAATTCTGAGTTGGATGCACACTTCACAAAATAGTTTCTGAGTATGCTTCAATCACATTTTTACGTGAAGATATTCCCGTTTCCACCATAGGCCTCAAAGCACTCTATGTGTCCACTTGTAGATACTACGAAAAGAGTGTCTCAAAAATGCTGTACAAAAAGGAAGTTTCAACCCTCTGAGTTGAATGCACACCTCACAAAGAAGTTTCTGAGAATGCTTCCTTGTAGTTTTTATTTCAAGATATTGCAGTTTCCACCGTAGGTAACAAAACGCACCAAATATCCACTTGCAGATTCTACAAAAAGAGTGTTTCAAAATGGCTCTATCAAAAGAAAGGTTCAATTCTCTGAGTTGAATGCACACCTCAAAAGGAAGTTTCTGAGAATGCTTCTGTCTAGTTTTTTCATGAAGATATTTCCTTTGCTACCACAGGCCTCAGCAGGCTCCAATATCCACTTGCAAATTCTACAAAAAGAATGTTTCAAAACTGCTGTATCAATAGGAAGTTTCAACTCTGTGAGTTGAAAGCACGCATCACAAACAAGTTTATGAGAATGCTTCTGTCTAGCTTTTAAGTGAAGATATTCCCGTTTCAACCTTAGGCCACAAAGCACTCCAAATATCCACTTGCAGATTCTACAGAAAGAGTGTTTCAGAACTGCTCTATCAAAAGAAATGCTCAACTCTGTGAGTCGAATGCACACTTCACAAAGAAGTTTCTAAGGATGCGTCTGTATAGTTTTTATATGAAGATATTTCCTTTTCCACCACAGGCCTGAAATCGCTCCAATTGTCCACTTCTAGATTCTATAAAAGATTGTTTCAAAACTGCTATAACAAAACAAAGGTTCAACTCTGTGAGTTGAATACGCACATCACAAAGGAGTTCCTGAGAATGCTTCTGTCTCATTTTTATGTGAAGATATACCCGTTTCAAATGAAGACCTCAAAACGGTCCAAATATCAACTTACAGATTCTGCAAAAAAGAGTGTTTCAAAATGGCTATATCAAAAGAAAGGTTCAATTCTGTGAGTTGAATGCACACCTCACAAAGAAGTCTCTGACAATGCTTCTGTCTAGTTTTTTTGTGAAGATATATCTGTTTCCAACGAAGGCCTCAAAGCGCTCCAAATATCCACTTGAAGATTTTACGAAAGGAGTTTCTCAAAACTGCGGTATGAATAGGAAGTTTCAACTCTCTGAGTTGAATGCACACATCACAAAGAAGTTTATGAGAATGCTTCTGTCTAGTTTTTATTTGAAGACATTCCCGTTTCCACCGTAGACCTCAAAGCACTCCAAATATCTCCTTGAACATTCTGCAAAAAGAGTGTTTCAAAACTGCTCTATCTAAGGGAAAGTTCAACTCTGTGAGTTGAATGAAAACATCAGAAAGAAGTCTCTGAGGATGATAGTGTCTAGTTTTTATATGACGATATTTTCTTTTCCACCACAGGCCTCAAAGCGATCCAAATATCCACTGGCAGATTCTACAAAAACAGTGTTTTAAAACTGCTCTATCAAAAGAAAACTTCAACTATTGAGTTGAATGCACACATCACGAAGAAGTTTCTGAGAACGCTTCTGTCTAGTTTTTATGTGAAGCTATTCCCGTTTCCAACAAAGGCCTCAAAGCAGTCCAGATATCCACTTGCAGATTCTACAAAAGGAGAGTTTGAAAACTGCTCTATCAAAAGCAAAGTTCAACTCTGTGAGTTGAATGCAAACATCACAAAGTAGTTTCTGAGAATGCTTCTGTCTAGTTTTTTTATGAAGATGTTTCCTTTGCTACCACAGGCCTCAACGTGCTCCAAATATCCACTTGCAAATTCTACAAAAAGAGTGTTTCAAAACTGCTTTATCAATAGGAAGTTTCAACTCTGTGAGTTGAAAGCACGCATCATAAACAAGTTTATGAGAATGCTTCTGTCTAGTTTTTATGTGAAGATATTCCCGTTTCAACTGTAGGACACAAAGCACTCCAAATATCCACTTGCAGATTCTACAAAAAGAGTGTTTCAGAACTGCTCCATCAAAAGAAATGTTCAACTCTGTGAGTCGAATGCACACATCACAAAGAAGTTTCTAAGGATGCGTCTGTATAGTTTTTATATGAAGATATTTCCTTTTCCACCACAGGTCTGAAAGCGCTCCAATTGTCCACTTGTAGAATCTATAAAAGATTGTTTCAAAACTGCTCTATCAAAGGAAAGGTTCAGCTCTGTGAGTTGAATGCACACATCACAAAGAAGTTTCTGAGAATGCTTCTGTCTCGTTTTTATGTGAAGATATTCCCGTTTCCAACGAAGACCTCAAAACGGTCCAAATAGCCACTTGCAGATTCTGCAAAAAGAGTGATTCAAAACGGCTCTATCAAAATAAAAGTTCAATTCTGTGAGTTGAATGCACACCTCACAAAGAAGTCTCTGACAATGCTTCTGTCTAGTTTTTATGTGAAGATATACCCATTTCCAACGAAGGCCTCAAAGCACTCCAAATATCCACTTGAAGATTTTACAAAAGGAGTTTCTCAAAACTGCTGTATGAATAGGAAGTTTCAACTCTCTGAGTTGAAAGCACACATCACAAAGAAGTTTATGAGAATGATTCTGTCTAGTTTTTCTGTGAAGATATACCCGTTTCCACCACAGGCCTCAAAGCATTCCAAATATCCCCTTGCAGATTCTACAAAAAGAGTGTTTCAAAACTGCTCGATCAAAGGGAAGGTTCAACTCTGTGAGTTGAATGCACTCATAAGAAAGAAGTCTCTAAGAATGCTTCTGTCTAGTTTTTATGTGAAGATATTTCCTTTTCCACCACAGACAAATATCCACTTGCAGATTCTACAAAAAAAGTGTTTCAAAACTGCTCTGTGAAAATAAAGGTTCTATTCTCTGAGTTGAATGCACACACAACAAATAAATTTCTGAGAATCCTTCTTTCTAGTTTTTATGTGAAGATATACCTGTTTCCAACGAAGGCCTCAAAGCGGTCAAAATATCCACTTGCAGATTCTACAAAAAGAGTGTTTCAAAAGTAATCCTCAAGTCTGTGAGTTGAATGCAAACATCACAAAGTAGTTTCTGAGGATGCTTTTGTCTAGTTTTTATATGAAGATATTTCCTTTTCTACCATAGGCCTCATAGGACTCCAAATATACACTTGCAGTTCTACAGAAAGAGTTTTTCAAAACTGCTGTATCAGTAGGAAGTTGCACCTCTATGAGTTGAATGCACGAATCACAAAGAAGCTTATGAGAATGCTGCTGTGTAGTTTTTATTTGAAGATATTGCAGTTTCCACCGTAGGCCACAAAGCGCTCCAAATATCCAATTGCAGATTGCACAAAAAAACAGTTTCAAAACTGCTCTTTCAAAAGGAAGGCTCAACCCTGTGAGTTGAATGCACACATCACAAAGAAGTTTCTAAGGATGATTCTGTCTAGTTTTTATGTGAACATATTTCATTTTCCACCACAGACCTCAAAGCCCTCCAAATGTCCACTTGTAGATTCCACAAATAGAGTGTTTCAAAACTGCTCTATCCACAGAAAGGTTCAACTGTGTGAGTTGAATGCACACATCACAAAGAAGTTTCTGAGAATGCTTCTGTCTGGTTTTTATGTGAAGATATTCCCGTTTCCAACGAAGGCCTCAAAGCAGTCCAAATATCCACTTGCAGATTGTACAAAAAGAGTGTTTCAAAACTGTTCTATCAATAGGAATGTTCAACTCTGTGAGCTGAATGCAACATCACGAAAGAGTTTCTGAGAATGCTGCTGTCTAGTTTTTATATGAAGATATTTACATTTCTACGATAGGCCTCAAAGAGCTCCAAATATCAACTTTCAGATTCTACAGAAAGAGTGTTTCAAAACTGCTCTAATAAAAGAAATGTTCAACTCGCTGAGTTGAATGCATACTTCAAAAAGTAGTTTCCGAGAATGCTTTTTATGTGAAGATATTCCTGTTTCCACCGTAGGCCACAAAGCCCTCCAAATTTCCACTTGCAGATTCTACAAAAAGAGGGCTTCAAAACTGCTCTATCAAAAGGAAGGTTCAACTCTGTGAGTTGAATGCATACATCACAAAGAAGTTTCTGAGAATGCTTCTGTCTAGTTTTTATGTGAAGTCATTTCCTTTTCCACCAAAGGCCTCAAAGCACTCCAAATGGCCATTTGCAGATTCTACAAAAAGAGTGTTTCAAAACTATTCTATCAAAAGAAAGGTTCAATTCTATGATTTGAATGCACACATCACAAAGTAGTTTCTGAGAATGCTTCTCTCTAGTTTTTATGTGAAGATATTCCCGTTTCCAAAGAAATCCTCAAAGCGCTCCATATATCCACTTGAAGATTCTACAAAAAGTATGTTTCGAAGCTGTTCTCTCAATAGGAAGTTTCAACTCTCTGAGTTGAATGCTCACTTCACAAAGAAGTTTCTGAGAATGGTTCTGTCTAGTTTTTATGTGAAGATATTCCCGTTTCCACCGAAGGCCTCAAAGTGCTCCAAATATCCACTTGCACATCCTACAAAAAGAGTGGTTCAAAACTGCTCTATCAAAAGGAAGTTTCAACTCTCTTAGTTGAATACACACTTCACAAAGTAGTTCCTGAGAATGCTTCTGTCTAGTTTTTATGTGAAGTTACTTTCTTTTCCACCACATTCCTCAAAGCGCTCCAAATGTCCACTTGCAGATTCAAAAAAAGAGTTTTTCAAAACTGCTGTATCAAAAGAAAGTTTCAATTCTGTGATTTGAATGCACACATCACAAAGAAGTTTCTGAGAATGCTTATGTCTAGTTTTTATGTGAAGATATTACCGATTCCAATGAAGTCCTCAAATCCCTCCAAATATCCACTTTCAGATTCTACAAAAAGAGGGTTTCAAAACTGCTCTATCAAAAGGAATGTTCAACTCTGTGAGACGAATGCAAACATCACAAAGTAGTTTCTGATAATGCTTCTGTCTGGTTTTTATATGAATATATTTCCTTTTCTACCATAGGGCTCAAAGCAATCCAAATCTCCACTTGCAGATCCTACAAAAAGAGTGTTTCACAACTGCTGTATCAATCGGAAGTTTCAACTCTCTGAGTTGACTGCACACATCGCAAAGAAGTTTATGAGAATGCTTCTGTCTAGTTTTTATGTTAAGATATTCTCGTTTCCACCTTAGCCCTCAATGCACTCCAAATGTCCCCTCTCAGAATCTACAAAAAGAGTGTTTGAAAACTGCTCTATCAAAGGGAAGGTTCAACATTGTGAGTTGAATGCAAACATCACAAAGTAGTTTCTAAGAAAGCTTCTGTCTAGTTTTTATGTGAAGATATTCCCGTTTCCACCATAGGCCACAAAGCTCTCCAAATATCCACTTGCAGGTTCTACAAAAAGAGTGTCTCAAAACTGCTCTCTCAATAGGAAGTTTCAACTCTCTGAGTTGAATGCACACATCACAAAGAAGTTTATGAGAATGCTTCCGTCTAGATTTTATGTGAAGATATTCCCATTTCCAATGAAAGCCTCAAAGTGGTCCAAACATCCAATTGCAGATCCTACAAAAAGAGTGTTTCAAAACTCCTCTATCATAAGCAATATTCAACTCTGTGAGTTGAATGCAAAAATCACAAAATAGTTTCTGAGAATGCTTCTGTCTAGTTTTTATATGAAAATATTTTCTTTTCTACCATAGGGCTCAAAGCGCTCCACATATCCACTTGCATATTCTACAAAAAGAGGGTTTCAAAACTGCTCTATCAAAGCGAAAGTTCAACTCTGTGAGTTGAATGCAAACATCACAAAGTAGTTTCTGAGAATGCTTCTCTCTAGTTTTTATGTGAAGATATTTCATTTTCTACCATAGGCCTCAATTCGCTCCAAATATCCACTTGCAGATTCTACAAAAAGAGTGTTTCAAAACTACTCTATCAATAGGAAGTTTCAACTCTCTGAGTTGAATGCACACATCACAATGTAGTTTATGACAATGCTTCTGCCTAGTTTTTATGTGAAGATATTCCCGTTTCCTCAGTAGGCCTCAAAGCATGCAAAATATCCCCGTGTAGATTCTAAAAATACAGTGTTTCAACACTGCTCTATCAAAAGCAAGGTTCAAAGCTATGAGTTGAATGCACACATCACAAAGAAGTTTCTAAGGATGCTTCTGTCTAGTTTTTCTGTGAAGATATTTCCTTTTCCACTGCAGGCCTCAAAGTGCTCTAAATGTTCACTTGAAGATTCTACAAAAAGAGTGTATCAAAACTGCTCTATCAAAAGGAATGTTCAACTCTGTGAGTTTAATGCAAACATCACAAAGAAGTTGCTGAGAATGCTTCTGTCTAGTTTTTATATTAAAATATTTCCTTTTCTACAATAGGCCTCAAAGCGCTCCAAATATCCACTTGCAGATACTACAGAAAGAGTGTTTCAAAACTGCTCTATTAAAAGGAAGTTTCAACTCTGTGAATGGAATGCACACATCACAAAGAAGTTTCTGAGAATGCTTCTGTCTAGTTTTTATGTGAAGATATTCCCGTTTCCATGGTAGGCCACAAAGCGCTCCAAATATCCACTTGTAGATTCTACAAAAATAGTGTTCCAAAACTGCTCTGTCAAAAGGAACGTTCTACTCCGTGAGTTAAATGCACACATCACAAGGAAGTTTCTGAGATGCTTCTGTCTAGTTTTTATGTGAAGATATTCCATTTTCCACAGTAGGCCTCAAAGCGGTCCAAATATCCACTTGCATGTTCTACAAAAACAACGTTTCAACACTGCTCTACCAAAAGGAATGTTCAACCCCATGAGTTGAATGCACACATCGCAGAGTAGTTCTGAGAATGCTTCTGTCTAGTTTTTATATGAAGATATTTCCTTTTCCACCACAGGCCTCAAAGCACTCCAAATGCCCCTTGCAGATTCTACAAAAAATGTGTTTCAAATCTGTTCTATCAATAGGAATTTTCAACTCTCTGAGGTGAATGCACACATCAGAGAGAAGTTTATGACAATGCTTCTGTCTAGTTTCTATGTGAAGATATTCCCGTTTCCACCATAGGCATCAAAGCCCTCCAAATATCCACTTGCAGATTCCACAAAAGAGTGTTTCAAACTGCTCTATCAAAAGGAAGGTTCAACTCTGTGAGTTGAATGCACACATCACAAAGAAGTTTCTAAGGATCCTTCTATCTAGTTTTTATGTGAAGATATTTCCTTTTCCACCAGAGGCCTCAAAGCGCTCCAAATGTCCATTTGCAGATTCTACAAAAAGAGTGTTTCAAAACTGCTCTATCAAAAGAAAGTTCGACTCTGTGACTTGAATGCACACACCACAAAGAAGTTTTGAGAATGCTTCTGTATAGTTTTTATGTGAAGATATTCCCGTTTCCAACGAAGGCCTCTAAATGCTCCAAATATCCACTTGTAGATTCTAGAAAAAGAGTGTTTCAAAACTACTCTATCAAAAGGAATGTTCAATTCTGTGAGTTGAATGAAAACACGCAAATTTGTTTCTGAGAATGCTTCTGTCTAGTTTTTATATGAAGACATTTTCTTTCCTACCATAGGGCTCAAAGCGCTCCAAATATCCCCTTGCAGATTCTACAGAAAGAGTGTTTCAAAACTGCTCTATCAAAAGGTAGTTTCAACTCTCTTAGTTGAATGCACACTTCACAGAGTAGTTTCTGAGAATGCTTCTGTCTAGTTTTTATGTGAAGATATTCCCGTTTCCACCGTAGGCCACAAAGCCCTCCAAATATCCACTTGCAGATTCAACAAAAAGAGTGTTTCAAAACTGCTCTATCAAAAGGAAGCTTCAACTCTGTGAGTTGAATGCACACATCACAAAGAAGTTTCTGAGAATGTTTCTGTCTAGTTTTTATGTAAAGTTATTTTGTTTTCCACCACAGGAATCAAAGCGCTCCAAATGTCCACTTGCAGATTCTACAAAAGAGTGTTTCAAAACTGCTGTATCAAAAGGAATGTCAACTCTGTGAGTTGATTTCACACATCACAAAGAAGTTTATGAGAACGCTTCTGTCTAGTTTTCATGTGAAGATATTTCCGTTTCCATTGTAGGCCTGGAAGCACTCCAAATATCCCCTTGCAGATTCTACAAAAAGTGTGTTTCAAAACTGCTTTATCAAAGGGAAGTTTCAACTCTGTGAGTTGAATGGACACATCACAAAGAAGTCTCTGAGAATGCTTCTGTCTAGTTTTTATGTGAAGATATTTCCTTTTCCACCACAGTCCTCAAAGCGATCCAAATATCCCCTTGCAGATTCTACAAAGAGTGTTTCAAAACTGCTCTATCAAAAGGAAGGTTCAACTCTGTGAGTTGAATCCACACATCACAAAGAAGTTTCTAAGGATGCTTCTGTCTAGTTTTTATGTAAAGATATTTTCTTTTCCACTACAGGTCTCAAAGTGCTCCAAATGTCCACTTGAAGATTCTACGAAAAGAGTGTTTCAAAACTGCTTTATGAAAAGAAAGGTTCTACTCTTTGAGTTGAATGCAGACATCAAAAAGAAGTTTCTGAGAATGCTTCTGTCTAGTTTTTATGGGAAGCTGTTCCTGTTTCCAACGAAGGTCTCAAAGCAGTCCAAACATCCACTTGTAGATTCTACAAAAAGAGTGTTTCAAAACTGCTCCATCCTAAGAATGGATCATCCCTGTAAGTTGAATGAACACATCACAAAGAAGTTTCTCAGAGTACTTCCTTCTATTGTTTATGAGAAGATATTTCCTTTTCCACCATAGGCCTCAAAGTGCTCCAAATATCCACTTGCATTTTCCTCAAAAGGAGAGTTTCAAAACTGCTCTATCCAAACAATGGTTCAGCTCTGAGTGTTGAATTCCCGCATCACAAAGTAGTTTCTGAGAATGTTCCTGTCTAGTTTTTATGTGAAGATATTTCTTTTACCCCATGGTGCTCAAATCGTTCCCAATATCCACTTGCAGATTCTAAAAAAGGAGTGTTTCAAATGTGCTCTATCAGAAGAATGGATCAACTCTGTTAGTTAAATGCACACATCACAAAGAAGTTTCACAGAATGCTTCGGTCTAGTTTTTATGTGAAGATATTTCCTTTTCCAACATAGGCCTCATGGGGAACCAAATATCCACTTCCAGACTCCACAAAAAGAGATTTTCAAAACTGCTCTATAAAAACAAATGTTCTAGTTCTAGATCCCTGAGGAATCGCCACACTGACTTCCACAATGGTTGAACTAGTTTACAGTCCCACCAACAGTGTAAAAGTGTTCCTATTTCTCCACATCCTCTCCAGCACCTGTTGTTTCCTGACTTTTTAATGATTGCCATTCTAACTGGTGTGAGATGGTATCTCATAGTGGTTTTGATTTGCATTTCTCTGATGGCCAGTGATGATGAGCCAGTGTGGCGATTCCTCAGGGATCTAGAACTAGAAATGCCATTTGACCCAGCCATCCCATTACTGGGTATATACCCAAAGGACTATAAATCATGCTGCTATAAAGACACATGCACACGTATGTTTATTGTGACATTATTCACAATAGCAAAGACTTGGAACCAACCCAAATGTCCAACAATGATAGACTGGATTAAGAAAATGTGGCACATATACACCATGGAATACTATGCAGCCATAAAAAATGATGAGTTCATGTCCTTTGTAGGGACAAGGATGAAATTGGAAATCATCATTCTCAGTAAACTATCACAAGAACAAAAAACCAAACACCACATATTCTCACTCATAGGTGGGAATTGAACAATGAGATCACATGGACACAGGAAGGGGAATATCACACTCTGGGGACTGTGGTGGGGTCGGGGGAGGGGGTAGGGATAGCATTGGGAGATATACCTAATGCTAGATGACGAGTTAGTGGGTGCAGCGCACCAGCATGGCACATGTATACATATGTAACTAACCTGCACAATGTGCACATGTACCCTAAAACTTAAAGTATAATAAAAAAAAGAAATGTTCAAGTCTCTGAGTTGAATGCACACATCACAAAGAAGTTTCTGAGAATGCTTCTGTCTAGTTTTTATGTGAAGATATTGCGTTTTCCAACATAAGCCTCAAAGGGATCAAAGTATCCCTTGGCAGATTCTACAAAAAGGGTGTTTCAAAACTATTCTATAAATCGAAAGCTTCAACATTCTGAGTTGAATGTACACATCACAAAGTAGTTTCTGAGAATGCTTCTGTCTAGTTTTTTTGTGAAGATATTTCCTTTTCTGCCATAGCCTCAAAGTGCTCCAAATATCCAATTGCAGATTCTACAAAAAGAGATTTTCAAAACTGCTCTATCAAAAGAAAGGTTCAACACTGTGAGTTGAACACACACATCACAAAGATTCAAAGAATGCTTCTGTCTAGTTTTATGTGAAGATATTTCCTTTCCCACAATGGGCCTCTAAGCGCTATTTTATCCACTATCAGATTCTAGAATAGAGTGTTTCAAAACTGCTCTATCCAAAGAAAGCTTCAATTCTGTGAGTTGAATGCACACGTCAAAAAGAAGTTTCTTAGAATGCTTCTGTCCAGTTTTTATGTGAAGATATTTCGTTTTCCAACATAGGCCTCAAGGGGAACTAAATATCCACTTGCATATTCTACAAAAGGAGTGTTTCAAAGCTGCTCTATGAAAAGAAACGTTCAACTCTGTGTGTTGAATGCACTCATCACAAAGAAGTTCCGGAGAGGGCTTCTGCCTAATTTTTATGTGAAGTTGTTTCCTTTTCCGCCATAGGCCTCGAAGCGCTCCAAATATCCACTTGCAGATTCTACAAAAAGAGTGTTTCAAAACTGCTCCATCAAAAGGAAGGTTCAACTCTGTGAGTTGAATGAACACATCACAAAGAGGTTTCTGAGAATGCTTCTGTCTACTTTTATTTGTAGATATTTCCTTTTCCCCATAGTTCTCAAAGCCCCCCAAATATCCACTTGCAGATTCTACAAAAAGAGTGTTTCAAAACTGCTCTATCAAAAGAATGGATCAACTCTGTGAGTTGAATGCACACATCACAAAGAAGTTTCTGAGAATGCTTCTGTCTAGTTTTTATGTGAAGGTATTTCCTTTTCCACCATATGCCTCAAAACGCTCCAAATATCCACTTGCATTTTCTTCAAAAAGAGAGTTTCTAAACTGCTCTATCAAAAGAATGGTTCAACTCTGTGAGTTGAATGCCCGCATCACAAAGTAGTTTCTGAGAATGTTTCTGTGTAGTTTTTATGTGAAGAGATTTCCTTTTCCCCGATAGTTCTCAAAGCGCTGCAAATATCCACTTGCAGATTCTACACAAAAGTGTTTCAAAAGTGCACTATCAAATGAATGGATCATCTCTGTGAGTTGAATGCACACATCACAGAGAAGTTTCGGAGAATGCTTCTGTCTAGTTTTTATGTGAAGATATTTCCTTTTCCACAGTAGACCTCAAAGCTCTCCAAATATCCACTTGCATTTTCTTCAAAAGAGAATTACAAAACTCCTCTATCAAAAGAATGGTTCAACTCTGTAAGTTGAATGGATGCATCACAAAGAAGTTAATGAGAATGCTTCTGTCTAGTTTTTATGTGAAGATATTTCCTCTTCCACCACAGGCCTGAAAGCGCTCGAAATATCCACTTGCAGGCTCTAAAAAAGAGAGCTTCAAAACTGCTCTTTCAAAAGAGAGGTTCAGCTGGGCGCGGTGGCTCACGCCTGTAATCCCAGCACTTTGGGAGGCCGAGGCGGGCGGATCACGAGGTCAGGAGATCGAGACCATCCTGGCTAACAAGGTGAAACCCCGTCTCTACTAAAAATACATAAAATTAGCTGGGCGCGGTGGCGGGCACCTGTAGTCCCAGCTACTCGGGAGGCTGAGGCAGGAGAATGGCATGAACCCGGGAAGCGGAGCTTGCAGTGAGCTGAGATTGAGCCACTGCAGTCCGCAGTCCGACCTGGGCGACAGAGCGAGACTCCATCTCAAAAAAAAAAAAAAAAAGAGAGGTTCAACTCTATGAGATGAATTCACACATCAGAACGATGTTTCTGAGAATGCTTCTGTCTAGTTTTTTTTTGTGAAGATATTTCCTTTTCCACCATAGGCCTCAAAGTGCTCCAAATATCCAATAGCAGATTCTACAAAAAGAGAGTTTCAAAACTGCTCTATCAAAAGAAAGTCTGACTCTGTGAATTGAATGCACAGTTCGCAAAGAAGTTTATAAGAATGCTTCTGTCTAGTTTTTATGTGAAGATATTTCCTTTTCCACCATAGTTCTCAAAGCGCTCCAAATATCTACTTGCAGATTCTACAAAAAGAATGTTTCCAAACTGCTCTATTAAAGGAAAGGTTCAACACTGTGAGTTGAATGCACACATCACAAAGAAGTTTCTGAGAATTCTTCTGTCTAGTTTTTATGTGAAGATACTTCCTTTTCCACCACAGGCCTCAAAACGCTCCAAATATCCACTTGCAGATTCTAGAAAAAGATAGTTTCAACACTGCTCTATCAAAAGAATTGTTCAACTCTGTGAGTTGAATGCACACATCACAAAGTAGTTTCTGAGAATGCTTCTGTCTAGTTTTTATGTGAAGATATTTCCTTTTCCACCATAGTGCTCATAGCACTCCCAATATCCACTTTCAGATTCTGCAAAAAGAGTGTTTCAAAGCTGCTCAATCAAAAGATAAGTTCAACTCTGTGAGTTGAATGCACACATCACAAAGAAGTTTCTCAGAATTCTTCTGAGAATTTTTATGTGAAGATATTTCCTTTTCTACCATAGGCCACAAAGCGCTTCAAATGTCCACTAGCAGATTCTAAAAAAAGGGGTTTCCAAACTTCTCAAACAAAAGGAAGTTTCAACTCTGGGATATGAATGCCTAAGTCACAAAGTAGTTTCTCAGAATTCTTCTCTCTAGTTTTTATGTGAAGACATTTTCTTTTCCACCATAGGCCTCAAAACGCTCCAAATTTCCACTTGCAGATTCTACAAAAATAGAGTTTCAAAGTTGCTCAATCAAAAGAAGTTTGAACTCTGTGAGATGAATGCACAGATCACTAAGAATTTTCTCATATTACTTCTGTCTAGATTTTATGTGAAGATATTTCCTTTTCTACCATAGGCCACAAAGCGCTCCAAATGTCCACTTTCAGATTCTACAAAAATAGTGTTTCCAAACTGCTAAATCAAAGAAAATTTCAACTCTGTTTGTTGAATGCACACATCACAAAGAAGTTTGTCAGAATTCTTCTGTCTAGCTTTTATATGAAGATATTTCCTTTTCCACCATAGGCCTCAAGGCGCTCGAAATGTCCGCTTGCACGTTCTACAAAAAGTGTATTTCAAATTTGGTCCATCAAAAGAAATGTTCACTTCTGGGAGATGAATGCACACATCACAAAGAAGTTCCTCAGAATGCTTCTATCTAGGTTTTATGTGAAGATATTTCGTTTTCCAACATTGGCTTCAAAGGGAATCAAATATCCACTTACATATTCTCCAAAAAGAGTGTTTAAAAACTGTTCTATCAAAACATAGATTCAACTCTGTGAGTTGAATGTACACATCACAAAGAAGTTTCCCAGAATGCTTCCATCTAGTTTTTATGTGAAAATATTTCTTTTTCCACCATGGGCCTCAAAGTGCTTCAAATATCCACTTGCAGATTCTACAAAAAGAGTGTTTAAAAACTGCTCTATCAAAAGAAAGGTTCAACTCTGTGAGTTGAATGCACACATCACAAAGAAGTTTCAGAAAATCCTCCTGTCTGGTTTTTATGTGAAAATATTTCATTTCCACTATAGAGCTCAAAGCGCCCCAAATATCCACTTACATTTTCTTCAGAAAGGGAGTTTCAAAACTATTCTATCAATAGAAATGTTCAGCTCTCTGAGTTGAATGCATACATCACAAAGTAGTTTCTGAGAATGCTTCTGTCTAGTTTTATGTGAAGATATTTCCTTTTCCACCATAAGTCTCAAAGCGAAAAAAATGTCCACTTGCATATCCTACAAAAAGAGTGTTTCAAAGCTGCTCAATCAAAAGAAATGTTCAAATCTGTGAGATGAATGCACACATCACACAGAAGTTTGTCAGAATGCTTCTGTCCAGTATTCATGTGAAGATATTTCCTTTTCCACCATAGGCTTCAGAGCGCTAAAAATGTCCACTTGCAGATTCTACAAAAAGAATGTTTCAAAAGTGCTCAATGAAAAGTAATTTTCTGCTGTATGAGATGAAGGCACAAATCACAAAGATGTTTCTCAGAATTCTTCTGTCTAGTTTTTATATGAAAATATTTCTTTTTCCACCATAGGCCTCAAAGCACTCCAAATGTCCAGTCTCAGATTCTACAAAAAGTGTGTTTCAAAGCAGCTCAATCAAAAGAAATGTTGAACTTTGTGAGATGAATGCACACATTACAAAGAAGTTTGTCAGAATGCTTCTGCTAATTTTTATGTTATGATATTTCCTTTTTCACCGTAGACCTAAAAGCAGTACAAATGTCCACTTGCAGATTCTACAAAAAGAGTGTATCAAAGCTGCTCAATCAAAGAATGGTTAAACTCTGTGAGATCAGTGCACACATAACAAAGAAGTTTGTAAGAATGCTTCTGTCTAGTTTTTATGTCAATATATTCCCTTTTCCAACATAGTACTCAAAGCGCTCCAAATGTCCACTCGGAGATTCTACAAAAAGAGGGTTTCAAAACTGCTCAATGAAAATTAAGGTCCAACTCTGTGAGATGAGTGTACACATCACAAAGAAGTTTGTCAGAATGCTTCTGTCTAGTTTTTATCTGAAGATATTTCCTTTTCCACCATAGGCCTCAAAGCACTCCAAATGTGCACTTGCAGATTCTACAGAAAGAGTGTTTCAAAGCTGCTCAACCAAAAGAAAGGTTGGATTCTGTGAGATGAATGCACACATCACAGAGAAGAATGTCAGAATGCTTCTCTCTAGTATTTATGTGAAGATATTTTCTTTTCCCCCATAGGCCTCAAAGCACTCCAAATGTCCAATTGCAGATTCTACAAAAAGAGTGTTTCAAAACCGCTCAATGAAAAGTAAGGGTCAACTCTGTGAAATGAATGCACACATCACAAAGAAGTGTGTCAGAATGCTTTTTTCTAGTTATTATGTGAAGATACTTCCTTTTCCACCATAGGCCTAAAAGCGCTCCAAATGTCTGCTTGCAGATTCTACAAAAAGAGTGTTTCAAAGCTGCTCAATCAAAAGAAATGTTGAACTCTGTGAGATGAATGCACACATCACAAAGAAGATTGTGAGAATGCTTCTGTCTGGTTTTTATGTGAAGATAATTCCTTTGTAACCATAGGCCTCAAAGTGAATGCACACATCACAAAGAAGTGTGTCAGATGCTTCTGTCTAGTTATTATGTGAAGATACTTCCTTTTCCACCATAGGTCTCAAAGCGCTCATAATGTCCACTTGAAGATTCTACAAAAAGAGTGTTTCAAAGATGCTCAATCAAAAGAAAGGTTCGACTCTGTGAGATGAGTGTCCTCTTCACAAAGAAGTTTGTCCGAATGCTTCTGTCTTGTTTATATGTGATGATATTTCCTTTTCCACCATAGTCTTCAAGCATTCCAAATGTCCACTTGCAGATTCTACAAAAAGAGTGTTTCAAATCTGCCCAATCAAAATAAAGTTTCTACTCGGTGAGATGAATGCACACATCACAAAGAAGTTTGTCAGAATATTTCCATCTAGTTTTTAAGTGAAGATATTTCCTTTTCCACCATAGGCCCCAAAGGGCTCCAAAAGTCCACTTGCAGATTCTACAAAAAGAGTGTTTCAAAACTGCTCAATGAAAAGTAAGGTTCAACTCTGTGAGATGAATGCACACATCACAAAGAAGTTTGTCAGAATGCTTCCGTCTAGTTTTTATATGAAAGTATTTGCTTTTCCAACATAAGCCTCAAAACGCTCCAAATGTCCACTTGCAGATACTACAAAATGGATGTTTCAAAGCTCCTCCATCAAAAGAAAGTTTCAACTCTGTGAGATGAAGGCACACGTCTCAAAGAAGTTTGTTTGAATGCTTCTGTCTAGTTTTTTTGTGAAGATATTTCCTTTTCCATCATAGGCCTCAAAGCGCTCTAAATGTCCACTTGCAGATTCTGCAAAAAAAGTGTTTCAAAACTAATCAATGAATAGTAAGCTTCAACTCTGTGAGATAAATGCCCACATCACAAAGAAGATTGTGAGAATGCTTCTGTCTAGTTTTCATGTGAAGGTATTTCCTTTTCCACCATAGGCTTCAAAGCGCTCCAAATGTCCACTTGCAGATTCTACAAAGGAGTGTTTCAAAGCTGCTCAATCAATAGAAGCATTCAACTCTGTGAGATGAATGCACACATCACAAAGAACTTTGTCACAATGCTTCTGTCTAGTTTTTTCTGCGAAGATATTTCCTTTTCCATCATAGGCCTCAAAGCGCTCCAAATGTCCACTTGCACGTCCCACAAAAACAGTGTTTCAAAACTGCTCAATGAAAAGTAAGGTTCAACTCTGTGAGATGAATGCACACATCAAAAAGAAGTTTGTCAGAATGCTTCAGTCTAATTTTTATGTGAAGATATTCCTTTTCCACCATAGGCCACAAAGCGCTCCAAATGTCCACTTGCAGATGCTACAAAAAGAGGATTTCAAAGCTGCTCAATGAAAGGAAATGTTCCAATCTGTGTGATGAATGCACACACCACAAAGAAGTTTGCAGAATGCTTCTCTCTAGTTTTTATCTGAAGATATTTCCTTTTCCATCATAGGCCTCAATGTGCTCCAAATGTCCACTTGCAGATCCTACAAATAGAGTGTTTCAAATCTCCTCAATCTAAAGAAAATTTCAAGTCTGTGACATGAATGCACACATCACCAAGAAATTTCTCAGAATGCTTCAGTCTAGTTCTTATGTGAAGGTATTTTCTTTTCTACCTTAGGCCTCAAATCACTCAAAATGTCCACTTCCGGATAGTACATAAAGGATCTTTCAAAACTGCTCAATCAAAAGTAAGGTTCAACTGTTTGAGATAAATGCACATATCACAAAGAAGTTTGTCAGAATGCTTCTGTGTAGTTTTTATGTGAAGTTATTTCCTTTTCCACCAAAGGCCTCAAAGCACAACAAATGTCCAAATGCAGATTCTACAAAAAGAGTGTTTCAAAGCTTCTCAAACAAAAGAAAGACTCAACTCTGTGAGATGAATGCACACATCACAAAGAAGTTTGTCATAATGCTTCTGTCTAGTTTTTATGTGAAGATATTTCCCTTTCCACCATAGGCCTCAAAGCGCACCAAATGTCCACTTGCAGATTCTACAAAAAGAGTGTTTCAAAACTGCTCAATGAAAAGTAAGGTTCAACTCTCTGAGATGAATGCACGCATCACAATGTACTTTGTCAGAATTCTTCGGTCTAATTTTTATGTGAAGATATTTCCTTTTCCACCATAGGCCTCAAAGCGCTCCAAATATCCACTCACAGATTCTACAAAAAGGGTGTTTGAGAACTTCCCAATTAAAAGAAACGTTCAACTCTGTGAGAGGAATGCCCACGTCACAAAGGAGTTTGTCAGAATGCTTCTGTGTAGTTTTTATGTGAAGATATTTCCTTTTCCACCATAGGCCTCAAAGTGCTCCAAATGTCCACTTGCAGATACTACAAAAAGAGTGTTTCAAATCTGCTCAATGAAAAGTTAGGTTCAACTCTGTGAGGTGAATGCACACATCATAAAGAAGTTTGTCAGAATTCTTCTGTCTTGTTTTTATGTGAAGATAAATTCTTTTCCACCATAGACCCCAAAGTGCTCCAAATGTCCACAGACAGATTCTTCAAAAAGATTGTTTGAAAGGTGCTCAATCAACAGAAAAGATCAATGCCGTGAGATGAATGCACACATCACAAGAAGTTTGTCAGAATGCTTCTGTCAAGTTTTCATGTGAAGATATATCCTTTTCCACCATAGGCCTCAAAGCACTCCTAATGTACACTGCAGATTCTAGAAAAATAGTGTTGTAAAACTGCTCAATCAAAAGAAATGTTCAACTCTGTGAGATGAAGGCACATATCACAAAGAAGTTTGTCATAATGTTTCTGTCCAGTTTTGAAACACCCTTTTTCTACTATCTGCAAGTGGACTTTCAGAGTGCTTAGAGGCCAATGGTGGAAAAGGAAATATTTTCACATAAAAACTAGACAGAAGCATTCTGACAAATTTCCTTACGAAGTGTGCAAGCATCTCATACAGTTGAAACTTTCTTTTGATTGAGCAGATCTGAAACACACTTTTTGTAGTATCTGCAAGTGGACATTTGGAGTGCTTTGAGGCCTGTTTTGGAAAAGGAAATATCTTCACATAAAAACTATACAGAAACATTCTGAGAAACTTCTTTGTGATGTGGGCATTCATCTCACGGAGTTGAATATTTCTTTTTATTGAACAGTTTTGAAAAACTCTTTTTGTATAATATGCAAGTGGACATTTGGAGGGCTTTGAGGCCTACGGTGGAAAAGGAAATAGCTTCACATAAAAACTAGACAGAAGCATTCTGAGAAACTTCCTTTTGATGCACGCATTCATCTCATAGGTTTGAAACTTGCTTTCAATTGAGCAGTTTTGAAACACTCTTTTTGAAGAATCTGCAAGGGGACATTTGGAGGGCTTTGAGGCCCATGGTGGAAAAGGAAATATCTTCACATAAGAGAGAGAGAGAAACATTCTGAGAAGCTTCCTTGTGTTGTGTGCATTCATCTCAAAGAGTTGAACCTTCCTTTTTATTGAGCAGTTTGGAAACAATCTTTTTGTAGAATCTGCAAGTGGACATTTGGAGCGCTTTGAGGCGATGGTAGAAAGGGAAATATCTTCACATAAAAATTAGACAGAAGCATTATGACAAACTACTTTGTGATACGTGCATTCATCTCACAGAGTTGAAACATACTTTTGATTGAGCAGTTTTGAAACACCCTTTTTGAACTATCTGCAAGTGGTCATTTGGAGTGCTTTGAGGCCTATGGTGGAAAGGAAATATCTTCACATAAAAACTAGACAGAGTCATTCTGTCAAATTTCTTTGTGATGTGTGCATTCATCTCACAGAGTTGGACCTTTCTTTTGATTGAGTAGTTTGGAAACCCTCATTTCGTAGAATCTGCAAGTGGATATTTGGAGCGCTTTGTGGACTATGATGGATAAGGAAATAGCTTCACATAAAACCTAGACAGAAACATTCTCACAAACTTCTTTGTGATGTGTGCATTCATCTCACAGAATTTAACCTTTCTTTTGATTGAGCAGTTTGAAACCCTCTTTTTGTAGAATCTGCAAGTGGACATTAGTAGCGCTTTGAGGCCTATGGTGGAAAAGGAAATATCTTCACATAAAAACTAGACAGAATCATTCTGAGAAAATTCTTTGTGATGTGTGCATTCATCTCACACAGTTGCAACTTTCTTTTGATTGAACAGTTTTGAAACACTCTTTTTGTAGAGTCTACAAGTGGACATTTGGAGCGCTTTGAGGCCTACGGTGGAAATGGAAATATCTTCACATAAAACCTAGTCTGAAGCATTCTGAGAAACTTCTTTGTGACGTGGGCATTCACCTCACAGTGTTGACTCTTTCTATTGATTGTGCAGTTTGGAAACATTCTTTTTGTAGAATCTGCATGTGGACATTTGTAGCGATTTGAGGCCTATGGTGGAAAAGGAAATATCATCACATAAAAACTGGACAGAAGGATTTTAACAAACTTCTTTGTGATATGTGCATCCATCTCACAGAGGTGAACCTTACTTTTCATTGAGCAGTTTTGAAACACTCTCTTTGTACAATTGTTAAGTGAGCATTTGGAGTGCTTTGAGGCCCATGGTGGAAAACAAAATATCTTCACATAAAAACGAGACACAAGCATTCTGACAAATTTCTTTGTGACCTGAGGATTCATCTCACAGACTTGAACCTTTCCTGTGATTGAGTAGTTTGGAAACTCTGTTTTTGTAGAATCTGCCTGTGAACATTTGGAGCGCTTTGAGGCCTATGGTGGAAAAGGAAATATCTTCCCTCAAGAACTAGACAGCAGCATTCTGAGAAACTTATTTCTGATGTGAGCATTCTTCTCACAAAGTTGAGCCTTTCTTTTAATTGAGCAGTTTTGAAACACACTTTTTGTAGAATCTGCAAGTGGACATTTGGAGCGCTTTCTGGCCTCTGGTGGAAAAGGAAGTATCTTCACATAAAAACTAGATGGAAGCATTCTCACAAACTTCTTTGTGATGTGTGCATTGATCTCACAGAGTTGAAACTTACTTTCGATTGAGCAGATTTTAAACACTCTTTTTGTAGAATCTGAAAGTGGACATTTGGAGCGCTCAGAGGCCTATGGTGGAAAACGAAATATCTTCACATAAAAACTAGAGAGAAGCATTCTGAGAAACTTTTTTGTGATGTGTGCATTCATCTCACATAGTTGAACTTTTCTTTCGATTGAGCAGCTTTGAAACACTCTTTTTGTAGAATCTGCAAGTGGACATTTGGAGCGGTTGGTGGCTTATGGTGGAAAACGAAATATCTTCACGTAAAAACTATACAGAAGCATTCTGACATACTTCATTGTGACGTGTGCATTCATCTCACAGAGTTGAAGCTTTCTTTTCATTGAGCAGTTTGGAAACACTCTTTTTGTAGAATCTGCAATTGGACATTTTGAGAGCTTTGCGGTCTATTGAGAAAAGAAAATATCTTCAGGTAAAAACTGCACAGAAGCATTATGACAAACTTCTTTGTGATATGTGCATTCATCTCACAGATTTGAAACTTACTTTTGATAAAGCAGTTTTGAAACACCCTTTTTGAACTGTCTGCAAGTGGACATTTGGAGGCCTTTGAGGCATATGGTGGAAAGGAAATATCTTCACATAAAAACTAGACAGAAGCATTGTGACAAATTTCCTTGTGATGTGTGTATTCGTCTCACAGAGTTGAACCTTTCTTTTAATGAGTAGTTTGGAAACTCCCTTTTGTAGAGTCTGTAAGTGGACGATTGGAGTGCTCTGAGGACTAAGGTAGAAAAGGAAATATCTTCACATAAAAACTAGACAGAAGCATTCTGACAATTTCCTTGTGATGTGTGCATTCATCTCATAGAGTTGAAACTTCCTTTTGATTGAGCAGATGTGAAACACTCTTTTTGTAGTATCTGCAAGGGGATATTTGGAGCGCTTTGAGACCTGTTTTGGAAAAGCAAATATCTTCACATAAAAACTATACCAAAATATTCTGAGAAACTTCTTTGTGATGTGCGCATTCATCTCACAGATTTGAACGTTTCTTTTCATTGAGCAGTTTTGAAACACTCTTTTTGTATAATATGCAAGTGGGCATTTGGAGGGCTTTGAGGCCTACGGTGGAAAAGGCAATATCTTCACATAAAAACTAGACAGAATCATACTGAGAAAATTCTTTTTGATGCGTGCATCCATCTCACAGGTTTGAAATTTTCTTTTGATTGAGCACTTTTGAAATGCTCTTTTTGTAGAATCTGCAAGTGAACATTTGGAGCGCTTTGAGGTCCATGGTGGAAAAAGAAATATCTCACATAAAAGCGAGACAGAAGAATTCTGAGAAGCTTCTTTGTGTTGTGTGCATTCATCTCACAGAGTTGAACCTATCTTTTTATTGAGCAGTTTGGAAACACTCTTTTTGTAGAATCTGCAAGTGGACATTTGGAGTGCTTTGAGTCTATGGTAGAAAAGGAGATATGTTCACATAAAAATTAGACAGAAGCATTATGACAAACTAATTTCTGATATGTGCATTCATCTCACCGAGTTGAAATTTACTTTTGATTGAGCAGTTTTGAAACTCCCTTTTTGAACTATCTGCAAGTGGTCAATTGGAGTGCTTTGAGGCCTATGGTGGAAAGGAAATATCTTCACATAAAAACTAGACAGAGGCATTCTGTCAAATTTTTTGTGATGTATGCATTCATCTCACAGAGTTGGACCTTTCTTTTGATGAGTAGTTTGGAAACCCTCTTTTCGTAGAATCTGCAAGTGGACATTTGGAGCGCTTTGCTGACTACGGTCGAAAAGGAAATAGCTTCACGTAAAAACTAGACAGAAGCATTCTGACAAACTTCTTTGTGATGTGTGCATTCATCTCACAGAATTTAACCTTTCTTTTGTTTGAGCAGCTTTGAAATACTGTTTTTGTAGGATCTGCAAGGGGATATTTGGAGCGCTTTAGGCCTGCGGTGGAAAAGGAAATATCTTCACATAATAATTAGACAGAAGCATTCTGAATAACTTCTTTGTGAAATGTACATTCGTTTCACAGAGTTGAACCTTACTTTCAATTGAGCGGTTTGGAAGCACTCTTTTTGTAGAATCTGCAAGTGTACATTTGGAGCGCTTTGAGGTCTTTGTTGAAAAGGAAATATCTTCACATAAAAACTGGACAGAGGATTTTGACAAACGTCTTTGTAATATGTGCGTTCATCTCACAGAGTTGAACCTTACTTCTAATTGGGCAGTTTTGAAACACCCTTTTGTATTATCTGGAAGTGAACATTTGGAGTGCTTTGAGGCCTATGGTGGAAAGGGAATTGTCTTCAAGTAAATACTAGACAGAAGCGTTCTGACAAACTCCTTTGTGATGTGTGCATTTATCTCACAGAGTTGAGATTTTCTTTTGATTGAGTAATTTGAAAATATCTTTTTGTAGGATCTGTAAGTGGACATTTGAAGTGCTTTGAGGCCTATGGTGGAAAAGGAAATATATTCATTTAAGAAGTAGAAAGAAGCATTCTGAGAAACTTCTTTGTGATGTGTGCATTCATCTCACAGAGTTGAATCTTTCTTTTGATTGAGCAGTTTTGAAACACTCTTTTTGTGGAATCTCCAAGCGGACTATTGGAGCGCTTTGTGGCCTATGGTGGAAAAGGAAATATCTTCACATAATAACTAGAAAGAAGCATTCTGAGAAATTTCTTAGATATGTGCATTCACCTCACGGAGTTGAAACTTTCTTTTGATTGAGCAGCTTTGAAACACTCTTTTTGCAGAATCTGCAAGTGGACATTTATAGCGCTTTGAGGTCTAAGGTGGAAAAGGAAATATCTTCACATTAAAACTATACAGAAACATTCTGAAAAACTTCATTGTAATGTGTGCATTCATCTCACAGAGTTAAACCTTTCTTTTCATTGAGTACTTTTCAAAAACTCTTTTTGTAGAATCCGCAAGTGTACATTTGGAGTTCTTTGAAGCCTATGGTGGAAAAGGAAATATCTTCACATAAAAACTAGACAGAAGCATTGTGACAAATTTCCTTGTGATGTGTGTATTCGTCTCACAGAGTTGAACCTTTCTTTTGATTGAGTAGTATGGAAACTATGTTTTTGTAGGATCTGCAAGAGACCATTTGGAGCGTTTTGAGGCCTATGGTGGAAAAGGAATTATCTTCACTTAAGAACTAGACGGAAGTATTCTGAGAAACTTCTTTGTGATGTGTGCATTCATCTCACTGAGTTGAAACTTTCTTTTGATTGAGCAGTTTGAAAACACTCTTTTTGTAGAATCTGCAAGGGTACATTTGGAGCTATTTGAGGCCTACGGTGGAAGAGGAAGTATCTTCACATAAAAACTAGACAGAAGAATTCTGAAAAATTTCTTTATGATATGTGCATTTATCTAACACAGTTGAACCTTACTTTCTATTGAGCAGTTTTGAAACATCCTTTTTGAACTATCTGTAAGTGGGCAGTTTGAATGCTTTGAAGCCTATGGTGGAAAACGAAATATCTTCGCACAAAAACTAGACAGAAGCATTCTGACAAATTTCTTTGTCATGTGTACATTCCTCTCATAGAGTGGAACCTTTCTTTTGATTGAGTAGTTTTGAATCACTCTTTTTGTAGAATCTGCAAGTGGACATTTGGAGTGCTTTGATGCCTATGGTGAAAACGGAAATATCTTCTCTTAAGAACTAGACAGAAGCATTCTGAGAAACTTCTTTGGGATTTGTGCCTTCATACAATGGAGTTGAACCTTTCTTTTGATTGAGCAGCTTTGAAACATTCTTTTTGTAGAATCTGCAAGTGGACATTTGGAGCGCTTTGAGGCCTATGTTGGAAAAGGAAATATTGTCACAAAAACACTAGACAGATGCATTCTGACAAACTTCTTTGTGATGTGTGTATTCATCTCACAGTGTTGAAATTTTCTTTTCATTGGGCAGTTTTGAAACACTCTTTTTGTAGAATCTGCAAGTGGACATTTTGAGAGCTTTGCGTCCTATTGTGGATAAAAACATATCTTCACATAAAAGCGAGACAGAAGCATTCTGAGAAACTTATTTGTGAAGTGTGCATGCATCTCACAGAGTTTAAACTTTCTATTGATTGAGCAGTTTGGAAACACTCTTTTTGTAGAATTTGCATGTGGACATTCGCAGCTCTATGAGGCCCATGGTGGAAAAGGAAATATCTTCACATAAAAACGCTACAGAAGTATTCTTACAAACTCCTTTGTGATATGTGCATTCATGTCACAGAGTTGAACTTTACTTTTGATTGAGCAGTTGTGAAACACTCTTTTTGCACTATCTAAATATGGACATTTGGAGTGCTTTGAGGCCTATGGTGGAAAAGGAAATATCTTCAAATAAAAACTAGACAGAAGCATTCTGACGAAATCCTTTGTGATATGTGCATTCATCTCACAGAGTTGAACCTTTCTTTTGATTAATTTCGAAACTCACATTTTGCAGAATCTGCAAGTAGATATTTTCAGCACTTGGAGGCCTATCGTGGAAAAGGAAATATATTAATTTAAGAACTAGACAGAAGCATTCTGAGAAACTTCTTTGTGATGTGTGCGTTCATCTCACAGAGTTGAATCTTTCTTTTGATTGAGACGTTTTGAAAAAGTCTTTTTCTAGAATCTGCAAGTGGACATTTGGAGCCATTTGCGGCCTATGGTAGAAAAGGAAATATCTTCACATAATATCTAGACAGAAGAAATCTAAGAAACTTCTTTGTGATGTGTGCATTCATGTCACAGAGTTAAACCTTTCCTTTGATTGAGCAGTTTTGAAACTCTTTTTTTAGAATCTGCAAGTGGTAATTTGGAGCGCTTTGAGGCCTGTGGTGCAAAAGGAAATATCTTCACATCAAAACTAGACAGAAGAATTTTCAGGAACTTCTTTGTTATGTGTGCATTGATCTCACAGAGTTGAACCTTACTTTTGATTGAGCACTTTGGAAACACTCTTTCTGTAGAATCTGCAAGTGGACATTTGGAGCGCTTTACGGCCTATGGTAGAAAGGAAATATCCTCACATAAAACCTCGACAGAAGCAATCTGAGAAACTTACTTGTGATGTGTGCATTCCTCTCACAGAATTAAACCTTTCTTTTGATACAGCAGTTTCAAAACTCTCTTTTTGTAGAATCTGCAAGTGGACATCTGGAGCGCTTTGAGGCCTATGGTCGAAAAGGTAATATCTTCACATAAAAACTAGACAGAAGAATTCTGACAAACTTCTTTGTGACGTTTGCATTCATCCCACAGAGGTGAACCTTTCTTTTGATTGAGTAGTTTGGAAACCCTGCTTTTGTAGAATCTGCAAGTGGACACTTGGAGCGCTTTGCAGCCTATGGTGGAAAAGGAAATATCTTCATATAAAAATCAGGCAGAAGAATTCTGAAAAACTTCTTGGTGATGTGTGCGTTCATCTCACAGAGTTGAAACTTTCTTTTGATTGAGCAGTTTGTGAACACTCTTTTTGCATAATCTGCAAGTGGAGGTTTGGTGCAATTTGCGGCATATGGTAGAAAAGGCAATATCTTCACATAAAATCTAGAAAGAAGCAATCTGACAAACTCCTTTGACAAGTATGCATTTTTCTCAAAGGATGAAACCTTTCTGTTGATTGAGCAGATTTGAAACTCTCTTTCTATAGAATCTGCAAGGGGACATTTGGAGTGCCTTAAGGCCTATGGTGGAAAGGAAATATCTTCCCATAAAAACTAGACAGAAGAGTTCTGAGAAACTACTTTGTGATGTGTGCATTCACCTCCCAAAGTTGAACCGTTCTTCTGAAGGACAGCTTTGAAATACTGTTTTTGTAGAACCTGCAAGTGGACATTTCGAGTGTCTTGAGGACTATGATGGAAAAGGAAATATCTTCACATAAAAACTAGACAGAAGAATTCGGAGAAACTTCTTTGTGATCTGTGCATTCATCTCACAGGGTTGAAGCTTTCTTTTGATTGAGCAGTTTGGAAACACCCTTTTTGTGGAATCTGCAAGTGGACTTTTGGAGCACTTTGTGGCCTGTGGTAGAAAAACAAATATCTTCACTTAAAATCTAGACAGAAGCAATCTGAGAAACTTCTTTTTGATGTGCTCATTCATCTCAAAGAGTGAAACCTTTCTTTTGATTGAGCAGTTTTGATGTGCTCATTCATCTCAAAGAGTGAAACCTTTCTTTTGATTGAGCAGTTTTGAAAATCTGTTTTTGTAGAATCTGCAAGTGGACATTTGGAGCGCTTTGAGGCATATGGTGGAAAAGGGAATATCTTCACATAAAAACTAGATAGAAGCATTCTGAGAAACTTCTTAGTGATGTGTGCATTCACTTCCCAGACATGAACCTTTCTTTTGAAGGACCACTTTTCAAATACTCTTTTTGTAGAATCTGCAAGAGGACATTTCGACTGCCTTGAGGCCTAAGGTGGAAAATGAAATATTTTCACATAAAAACTAGACAGAAGAATTCTGAGAAACTTCTTTGTGATGTGTGTGTTCATGTCACAGACTTGTATGTTTCTTTTGTTTGAGCAGTTTGGAAACTCTCTTTTCGTAGAATCTGCAAGTGGACATTTGCAGCATTTTGTGGCCTATGGTCGAAAAGGGAATATATTTCCATAAAATTTAGACAGAAGCAATCTGTGAAACTTCTTTGTGATTTGTGCATTCATCTCAAAGAGTTAAGCCTTTCTTTTAATTGAACAGTTTTCAAACTCTCTTTTTGTAGAAACTGCAAGTGGATATTTGGAGCGCTTTGAGGCCTATGGTGGAAAAGGAAATATCTTCACATAAAAACTAGACAGAAGAATTCTCAGAAACTTCTTTGTGACGTGTGCATTCATCTCACAGAGTTGAACTTTTATTTTGATTGTGCAGTTTGGAAACACTCTTTTTGTAGAATCTAGAAGTGGACATTTGGAGCGCTATGCAGCCTATGACAGAAAAGGAAATACCTTCACATAAAATCTAAAAAGAAGCAACGTCAGAAACTTCTTTGTGATGTGTCCATTCATCTCACAGAGTTAAACTTTACATTTGATTGAACAGTTTTGAGAATGTTTTGTTGTAGAATCTGCAAGTGGACATTTGGAGAGCTTTGAGGCCAATGGTGGAAATAGAAATATCTTCACATAAAACCTAGTCAGAAGCATTCTGAGAAACTTATTTGTGATGTGTGTGTTCATGTCACAGACTTGAATGTTTCTTTTGTTTGAGCAGTTTGGAAACTCTCTTTTCGTAGAATCTGCAAGTGGACATTTGCAGCATTTTGTGGCCTATGGTCGAAAAGGGAATATATTTCCATAAAATTTAGACAGAAGCAATCTGTGAAACTTCTTTGTGATTTGTGCATTCATCTCAAAGAGTTAAGCCTTTCTTTTAATTGAACAGTTTTCAAACTCTCTTTTTGTAGAAACTGCAAGTGGATATTTGGAGCGCTTTGAGGCCTATGGTGGAAAAGGAAATATCTTCACATAAAAACTAGACAGAAGAATTCTCAGAAACTTCTTTGTGACGTGTGCATTCATCTCACAGAGTTGAACTTTTATTTTGATTGTGCAGTTTGGAAACACTCTTTTTGTAGAATCTAGAAGTGGACATTTGGAGCGCTATGCAGCCTATGATAGAAAAGGAAATACCTTCACATAAAATCTAAAAAGAAGCAACGTCAGAAACTTCTTTGTGATGTGTCCATTCATCTCACAGAGTTAAACTTTACATTTGATTGAACAGTTTTGAGAATGTTTTGTTGTAGAATCTGCAAGTGGACATTTGGAGAGCTTTGAGGCCAATGGTGGAAATAGAAATATCTTCACATAAAACCTAGTCAGAAGCATTCTGAGAAACTTATTTGTGATGTGTGTGTTCATGTCACAGACTTGTATGTTTCTTTTGTTTGAGCAGTTTGGAAACTCTCTTTTCGTAGAATCTGCAAGTGGACATTTGCAGCATTTTGTGGCCTATGGTCGAAAAGGGAATATATTTCCATAAAATTTAGACAGAAGCAATCTGTGAAACTTCTTTGTGATTTGTGCATTCATCTCAAAGAGTTAAGCCTTTCTTTTAATTGAACAGTTTTCAAACTCTCTTTTTGTAGAAACTGCAAGTGGATATTTGGAGCGCTTTGAGGCCTATGGTGGAAAAGGAAATATCTTCACATAAAAACTAGACAGAAGAATTCTCAGAAACTTCTTTGTGACGTGTGCATTCATCTCACAGAGTTGAACTTTTATTTTGATTGTGCAGTTTGGAAACACTCTTTTTGTAGAATCTAGAAGTGGACATTTGGAGCGCTATGCAGCCTATGACAGAAAAGGAAATACCTTCACATAAAATCTAAAAAGAAGCAACGTCAGAAACTTCTTTGTGATGTGTCCATTCATCTCACAGAGTTAAACTTTACATTTGATTGAACAGTTTTGAGAATGTTTTGTTGTAGAATCTGCAAGTGGACATTTGGAGAGCTTTGAGGCCAATGGTGGAAATAGAAATATCTTCACATAAAACCTAGTCAGAAGCATTCTGAGAAACTTATTTGTGATGTGTGTGTTCATCTCACAGAGTTGAACCTTTCTGTTGATTGAGCAGTTTGGAAACACTCTTTTTGTAGAATCTGCAAGTTGACATTTGGAGTGCTTTGTTGTCTATGGTAGAAAAGGAAATATCTTCACATAAAATCTAGAGAGAAGCAATCTGAGAAACTTCTTTGTGATGTGTGCATTCACTCCACAGAGTTAAACCTTTCTTTTGATTGAGCAGTTTTGAAACTCTCTTTTTGTAGAATTTCAAATTTGACCTTTGGAGCGCTTTGAGGCCTATGGTGGAAAAAGAAATATCTTCACATAAAAACTAGACAGAAGAATTCTCAGAAACCTCTTTGTGATGTGTGCGTTCATCTCACAGAGTTGAAAGTTTCTTTTGATTAAGGAGTTTGGAAACACTCTTTTTGTAGAATCTCCAGGTGGATGTTTGGTTCGCCTTGCGGCCTATGGTAGAAAAGGAAATATCATCATATAAAATCTAGACAGAAGCAATCTGAGAATCTTCTTTGTGATGGGTGCATTCATCTCACAGAGTTAAACCTTTCTTTTGTTTGAGAAGCTATGAAACTCTCTTTTTATGGAATCTGGAAGTGCCCATTTGGAGCACTTTGAGGACAATGGTGGAAATGGAAATATCTTCACTTAAAAACTAGATAGAAGCACTCTGAGAAACATCTTTGTGATATAGGAATTGATCTCCCAGAGTTGAACCTTTCTTCTGAAGGACCAGTTTTGAAATACTCCTTTTGTAGAATATGCAAGAGGACATTTCGATCGCCTTGAGGCCTATGGTGGAAAAGGAAATATCTTTACATAAAAACTAGACAGTAGTATTCTGAGAAACTTCTTTGTGAACTGTACCTTCAACTTAAAGTGTGAAACCTTTCGTTTGATTGAGCAGTAATGAAACTGTCTTTTTGTAGAATCTGCAAGTGGACATTTGGAGCGCTTTGAGGACGATGGTGGAAAAGGAAATATCGTCACATAAAAAATAGAAGAATTCTGAGAAGCTTCTTTGTGATGTTTGTGTTCTTCTCACAGAGTTGAACCTTTCTTTTGATTAAGCAGTCTGCAACCACTCTTTTTGTAGAATCTGCAATTGGACATTTGGAGTGCTTTGAGGCCTATGGTGGAAAAGGTAATATTTTCACATAAAAACTAGACAGAAGACTCTGAGAAACTTCTTTGTGATGTGTGCATTTATCTCACAGAGTCAAACCTTTCTATTGATTAAGCAGCTTTGAAACTCTCTTTTTGTAGCGTCTGCAAGTGGACTTTTTGATAGGGCAGTTTTGAAGCTCTCTTTTTGTAGAATCTGCAAGTGGTCATTTGGAGCACTTTGATGCCTATGTTGGAAAAGGACATATCTTCACATAAAAAATAGACAGAAGAATTCTGAGAAGCTTCTTTGTGATGTTTGCATTCTCACCGAGTTGAACCTTTCTTTTGATTGAGCAGTCCGCAACCACTCTTTTTGTAGAATCTGCAATTGGACATTTGGAGTGCTTTGAGGCCTATGGTGGAAAATGTAATATCTTCACATAAAAACTAGACAGAAGACGCTGAGAAACTTCTTTGTGATGTGTGCATTTATCTCACAGAGTCAAACCTTTCTATTGATTAAGCAGTTTTGAAACTCTCTCTTTGTAGAATCTGCAAGTGGACTTTTAGATCACTTTCAGGCCTATTGTGGAAAAGGAAATATCTTCACATAAAAACTAGACAGAAGACTTCTGAGAAATTTCTTTGTGATGTTTGCGTTCTTCTCACAGAATTGAACATTTCTTTTGATTGAGCAGTTTGGAAACACTCTTTTTGTAGAATCTGCAAGTGGAAATTTGGAAAGCTTTGTGGCCCATGGTAGAAAAGGTAATACCTTCACATAAAATCTAGACAGAAGAAATCTGATAAAGTTCTTTGTGATGTGTGCATTCATCTCACAGAGTTAAACTTTTCTTTTGATTGAGCAGTATTGAAACTCTCTTTTTGTAGAATCTGCAAGTGGATATTTGGAGCTCTTTGAGGCCTATTGTGGAAAAGGAAATCCCTTCACATAAAAACTAGACGGAAGAATTCTTAGAAACTTCTTTGTGTCTGTGTGCCTTCACCTCACAGAGTTGAACCTTTCTTTTGATTGAGCAGTTGGGAAACACTCATTTTGTAGAATCTGCAAGTGGACATTTGGAGCGCTTTGCGGCCTATGGTAGACAAGGAAATATCTTCACATAAAATCTAGACAGAAACAACCTGAGAAACATTTTTGAGATGTGTACATTCATCTCGCCTAGTTAAACCTTTCTTTTGCTAGGGCAGTTTTACAACTCTCTTTTTGTAGAATCCGCAAGTGGACATTTGGAGCGCTTTGAGGCCAATGCTAGAAAAGGAAATATCTTCACATAAAATCTAGACAGAAACAATCTGAGAAACTTCTTTGTTATGTGAGCATTCATCTCTTAGAGTTAAACCTTTCTTTTGATTGAGCAGTTTTGAAACTCTCTTTTTGTAGAATCTGCAAGTGGACATTTGCAGCGATTTTAGGTCTATGATAGAAAAGGAAATATATTCACAAAAATACTAGACAGAAGAATTCTGCGAAACTTCTTTGTGGTGTGTGCGTTCATCTCACAGAGTTGAACCTTTCTTTTGATTGAGCAGTTTGGAAACACTCTTTTTGTAGAATCTGCAAGTGGAGATTTGGAGCGCATTGTGGCCTATTGTAGAAAAGGAAATATCTTCACATAAAATCTAGACAGAAGCAATCTGAGGAACTTCTTTGTGATTTGTAAATTCACCTAACAGAGAGAAACATTCCTTTTTGTAGAGCAATTTTGAAACTCTCTTTTTGTAGAATGTGCAAGTGGACATTTGGAGCGCTTTGAGGACTATGGTGGAAAAGTTAATATCTTCGCATAAAAACTAGACAGCAGAATTCTGACAAACTTCTTTGTGATGTGTGCATTCATCTCACATATTTGAACCTTTCTTTTGATTGAGCAGTTTGGAAACACTCTTTTTGTAGAATCTGCAAGGGAACATTTGGAGCACTTTGTGGCATATGGGAGAAAAGGAAATATCTTCACAGAAAATCTAGACAGAAGGAATCTGAGAAACTTCTTTGTGATGTGTGTGTTCATCTCACAGAGTGAAAACTTTCCTTTGATTGAGGAGTTTTGAAACTCTCTTTTTGCAGAATCTGCAAGTGGATACTTAAAGCCCTTTCAGGCGTATGGTGGAAAAGGAAATATATTCACAAAAAAATAGATTGAAGCATTCTGAAAAACTTGTTTGTGATGTGTGCATTCATCTCCCAGAGTTGAACATTTCTTTTGATGGACCAGTATTAAAATACACTTTTTGTAGAATATGCAAGTAGGCATTTCGAGTGCCATGAGGACTATGATGGAAAATGATATATCTTCACATAAAAACCAGAAAGAAGAATTCTTAGAGTCTTCTTTCTGATGTGTGCGTTCATTTCACAGAGTTGAACCTTTCTTTTGATTGAGCAGTTTGGAAACACTCTTTTTGTAGAATCTGCAAGTGGACATTTGGAGTGCTTTGCGGCCTATGGTAGCAAAGGAAATATCTTCACATGAAATCTAGACAGAAGAAATTAGATAAACTTCTTTGTTATGTGTGCATTCATCTCACAGAGTTAAACCTTTCTTTTGATTTAGCAGTTTAGAAACTATCTTTTTGTAGGATCTGCAAGTGGACATTTGGAGCACATTGAGGACTATGGTGGAAAAGGAAATATCCTCACATAAACACTAGATAGAAACATTCTGAGAAACATCTTTGTGATGGGTGCATTCATCTCCCAGAGTTGAACCTTCTTTTGGAGGACCAGTTTTGAAGTACTCTTTTTGCAGAATCTGCAAGTGGACATTTCGAGCACCTTGAGGCCTATGGTGGAAAAGGAAATATCTTCACATAAAAATTAGGCAGAAGAATTCTGAGAAATTTGTTTGTGATGTGTGCTTTCATCTCACAGAGTTGAACATTTCTTTTCACTGACCGGTTTGGGAACACTCTTTTTTAGAATGTGCAAGTGGACGATTTGAGCGCTTTGAAGCTTATGGTAGAAAAGGAAATATATTCACATAAAATCTAGACAGAAGCAATCTGAGAAAGTTCTTTGTGATGTATGAATTCATCTCACAGAGTTAAACCTTTCTTTCGATTGAGGAGTTTTGAATCTCTGTTTTTGTAGAATTGGCAAGTGGACATTTGGAGCGCTTTGAGGTCTATGCTGGAAAAGGAAACACCTTCCCATGAAAACTAGACAGAAGAATTCTGAGAAACTTCTTTGTGATGTGTGCATTCATGTGACAGAGTTGTACCTTTCTTTTGATTGAGCAGTTTGGAAATGCTCCTTTTGTAGAATCTGGAAATGGACATTTGGAGCGCATTGAGTCCTATGGTAGAAAAGGAAATATCTTCATATAAAATCTAGACAGAAGCAATCTGAGAAACTTCTTTGTGATGTGTACATTCATCTCCCAGAGTTGAACTTTTCTTTTGATGGAAAAGTTTTGAAACAGTCTTTTTGTAGAACCTGCAAGTGGACATTTGGAGCACTTTGAGGCCTATGGTGGAAAAGGAAATATCTTCAAGTAAAAAATAGACAGAAGTATACTGAGAAACTTCTTTGTGATGTGTGCGTTCATCTCACAGTTTTGAAATTTACTTTTGATTGAGCAGTTTGAAAACACTCTTTATGTAGAATCTGTAAGTGGACATTTGGAGCACATCACAGCCTATGGTAGAAAATGAAATATCTTTACATAAAATCAAGACAGAAGCAATCTGAGAGACGTAATTGTGATGTGTGCATTCATCTCACAGAGTTAAACCTTTCTTTTGATGGAACAGTTTTGAAACTCTCTTTTTGTAGAATCTTCAAGTGGACATTTGGAGTGCTTAGAGGCCTATGGTGGAAAAGGTAATATCTTCACATAAAAACTAGACAGAAGAATTCTGAGAAACTCCTTTGTGATGTGTGCGTTCATGTCACAGTGTTGCACATTTCTTTTGATTAAGCATTTTGGAAACACTCTTTTTGTAGAATCTGCCAGTGGACATTTGGAGCGCTTTGTGGCCTATGGTAGAAAAGGAAATATCTTCACATAAAATCTAGACATAAGCAATCTGAGAAACTTCTTTGTGATGTGTGCATTCATCTCACAGAGTTCAACCTTTCCTTTGATTGAGCAGTTTTGAAACTCTCTTTTTATAGAATCTGCATGTGGACATTTGGAGCGTTTTGAGGCCTATGGTGAAAAAGGAAATATCTTCACATAAAAATTAGACAGAAGAATTCTGAGAAACTTCTGTGTGATGTGTGTTTTCATCTCATAGAGTTGAATCAGACTTTTGATTGAGCAGTTTGGAAACACTCTTTTTGTATAATCTGCAAGTGGACATTTGGCGGGCTTAGCGGCCTATGGTAGAAAGAGAAATATCTTCACATACAATCTAGACAGAAGCAATCTGAGAGAATTCTCTGTGATGTGTGCATTCATTTCAAGGAGTTCAAACTTTCTTTTGATTGAACAGTTTTGAAATTCTCTTTTTCTAAAATCTGCAAGTGGACATTCTGTGTGCTTTGAGGCATACGGTGGGAAAGGAAATATCTTCACATAAAAACTAGACAGAAGAATTCTGGGAAACTTACCTGTGATGTGTGTGTTCATCTCCCAGAGTTGAACCTTTCTTTTGTAGGACCAGTTTTGAAATACTCTTTTTATAGAATCAGCTAGTGGACATTTAGAACGCCTTGGGGTCTATGGTGAAGAAGGAAATATCACCACATAAAAACTAGACAGAAGGATTCTTAGAAACTCCTTTGTGATGTTTGCGTTCATCTCACAGAGTTGAACCTTTCTTTTGATTGAACAGTTTTGAAACACTCTTTTTGTAGAATCTGCAAGTGGACATTTGGAGTGCTTTGCAGCCTATGGTAGAAAAGGAAATATCTTCACATAAAATGTAGACAGAAGCAATTAGAGAAACTTCTTTGTGATGTGTGCATTCATCTCACAGAGTTAAACCTTTCTTTTGATTTAGAAGTTCAGAAACTCTCTTTTTGTAGTATCTGCAAGTGGACATTTGGAGTGCATTGAGGCCTATGGTGGAAAAGGAAACACCTTCACATAAACACTAGATAGAAACATTCTGAGAAACATATTTGTGATGTGTGCATTAATTTCCCAGAGTTGAACCTTTCTTTTGAAGGACGAGTTCTGAAATACTCTTTTTGTAGAATCTGCAAGTGGACATTTCGAGCACCTACAGGTGTATGGTGGAAATGGAAATATCATCACATAAAAACTAGACAGAATTCTGAGAAACTTATTTGTGATGTGTGCTTTCATCTCACAGAGTTGAATATGTCTTTCATTGAGCCGTTTGGAAACACTCTTTTTTAGAATCTGCAAGTGGACATTTGGAGCGCTTTACGGACTATGGTAGAGAAGGAAATATCTTCACATAAAATCTAGACAGGAGCAATCTGAGAAACTTCTTTGTGATGTGTGTATTCATCTCACAGTGTTAAACCTTTTTTTGATTGAGGAGTTTTGAACCTCTGTTTTGGTAGAATGGGCAACTGGACATTTGGAGAACTTTGAGGCCTATGGTGGAAAAGGAAATACCTTCCCATAAAAACCAGAAAGAAGAATTCTGAGAAACTTCTTTGTGATGTGTGCGTTCATCTGGCAGAGTTGTAACTTGCTTTTGATTGAGCAGCTTGGAAAAGTTCCTTTTGTATAATCTGGAAGTCGACATTTGGAGAACATTGCAGCCTATGGTAGAAAAGGAAATATCTCCACATAAAATCTAGACAGAAGCAATCTGGGAAACTTCTTTGTCATGTGTACATTCATTTCAAAGAGTTAAAGCTTCCGTTGGATTGAGCAGTTTTGAAAATATGTTTTTGTAGAATCTGCAAGCGGATATTTGGAGCGCTTTGAGGCCTAGGATAGAAAAGGAAAAATCTTCAAATAAAAACCAGACAGAAGTATACTGAGAAAATTCTTTTGTGACGTGTGCGTTCATCTAAAAGAGTTGAACCTTACTTTTGATTGAGAAGTTTGGGAACACTCTTTTTTTAGAATCTGTAAGTGGACATTTGGAGGACATCACAGACTATGGTAGAAAAGGAAATATCTTCACATAAAATCTACACAGAAGCAATCTGAGAAACTTCCTTGTGATGTGTGCATTCATCTCACAGAATTAAACCTTTCTTTTCATTGAGCAGTTTTGAAACTCTATTTTTGTAGAATATGCAAGTGGACTTTTGGAGTGCTTTGAGGCCTATGGTGGAAAAGGAAATATCTTCACATAAAAACCAGACAGAAGAATTCTGAGAAACTTCTTTCTGATATGTGGGCTCATCTCACATAGTTGAACCTTTCTTTTGATTAAGCAGTTTGGAAATACTCTTTTTGTTGAATCTGCAAGTGGCCATTTGGAGCACTTTGCGGCCTATGGTAGAAAAGGAAATATCTTCACATAAAAACAACTCAGACGAATTTTGAGAAACTTCTTTCTGATGTGTGCATTAATCTCACAGAGTTAACCCTTTCTTTTGATTGAGCAGTTTTGAAACTCTCCTTTTGTAAAATCTGCAAGTGGACATTTGGAGCACTTTGAGGCCTATGGCGGAAAAGGAAATATCTTCACATAAAAACTAGACAGAAGAATTCTGAGAAAATTCTTTGTGATGTGTGCATTCATCTCAGAGAGATGAAACTTTCTTTTGATTGAGCAGTTTGGAAACACTCTTTTTGTAGAATCTGCAAGTGGACATATGGAGCGCTTTGCGGCGAGTGGTAGAAAAAAGAGATATATTCACATAAAATGTTTTCGGAAGAATTCTCACAACTTCTTTGTGATGTGTGGCTACATCTCACAGAGTTAAACCTTTCTTTTGATTGAGCAGTTTTGCAACTCTGTTTTTGTAGAATCTGCAAGTGGACATTTGGAACGCTTTGAGGCTTATTGTGGAAAAGGAAATATCTTCACATAAAAAGTAGACAGAAGTTTTCTGAGAAACTTCTTTGTGATGTGTGCGTTCATCTCACAGCGTTGAACCTTTCTTTTCATTGAGCAGTTTGGAAACACTCTTTTTGTAGGATCTGCAAGTGGACATTTGGAACGCTTTGCAGCCTATGGTCGAAAAGGAAATATCTTCACATAAAATCTAGACAGAAGCAACCTGAGAAACTTCTTTGTGGTATGTGAATTAATCACACAGATATAAACCTTCCTTTTCATAGAGCTGTTTTGAAACTCTCTTTTTGTAGGATCTGCAAGTGGACTTTTGGAGCGCTTTGAGGCATATGGTGGAAAAGGAAATATCTTCACATAAAAACTAGACAGAAAAATTCTGAGAAACTTATTTGTGATGTGCACATTCATCTCACATAGTTGAACCTTTCGTTTGATTGAGCAGTTTGGAAACACTCCTTTTGTAAAATCTGCAAGTGGACATTTGGAGCACTTAGAGAATTACGGTTGAAAAGGAAATATCTTCACATAAAATCTAGACAGAAGAAATCTGAGAAACTTCTTTGTGATGTGTGCATTCAACCCACAGAGTCAAAACTTTCTTTTGATAGAGTTGTTTTGAAACTCTCTTTTTGTAGAATCTGCAAGGTGACATTGGAGCACTTTGAGGCCTATGGTGGAAAATGAAATATGTTCACATAAAAACTAGACAGAAGAATTCTGAGAAACTATTTTGTGAGGCGTGCCTTCATCTCACAGAGTTGAACCTTTCTTTTGATTGAACAGTTTGGAAACACTATGTTTGTAGAATCTGCAAGTGGACATTTGGAGCACTTTGTGTCCTATGGTAGAAAGGAAATATCTTCATATAAGATCTAGACAGAAGCAATCTGAGAAACTTTTATGTGATATGTGTATTCATCTCACAGAGTTAAATCTTTCTTTTGATTGAGCAGTTTTGAAACTCTCTTTTTGTAGGATCTGGAAGTGGACATTTGGAGCGCTTTGAGGCCTATGGTGGAAAAGGAAATATCTTCACATAAATACTTGAAAGAAGCATTCTGAGAAAATTCTTGTGATGTGTGATTCATCTCTCAGAGTTGAAACTTTCTTTTGATTGAGCAGTTTTGAAACTCTCTTTTTGTAGAATCTGCAAGTGGACATTTGGAGCGCTTTGAGGTCTATTGTGGAAAAAGAAATATCTTCACATAAAATCTAGATAGGAGCATTCTAAGAAACTTCTTTGTGATGTGTACATTCATCTCACAGAGTTGATCCTTTCTTTTGAAGGACCAGTTTTGAATTACTCTTTTTGAAGAATCTGCAAGTGGACATTTCGAAAGCCTTGAGGCCTATGGTGGAAAAGGAAATATCTTCACATAAAAACTAGACAGAAGAATTCTGAGAAACTTCTCTGTGATGTGTGCATTTATCGCCCAGATTTGAAACTTTCTTTTTATTGAGCAGTTTGGAAACACTCTTTTTGTAGAATCTGCAAATGGACATTTGGACTGCTTTGCAACCTATGGTAGAAAAGGAAATATCTTCCATAAAATTTAGACAGAAGCAATCTGAGAAACTTCTTTGTGATGTGTGCATTCATCTCACAGATTTAAACCTTTCTTTTGATTGAGCAGGTTTGAAACTCTCTTTTTGTAGAATCTGCAAGTGGACATTTGGAGCACTTTGCATCCTAAGTTTGAAAAGTTAATATCGTCACATAAAATCTAGACAGAAGCCATCTGAGTAACTACTTTGTGATGTATGCATTCATCGCACAGAGTTAAATCATTCTTTTCAGTGAGCCCTTTTGAAACTCTCTTTTTGTATAATTTGCAAGTGGACATTTGGAGGGCTTTGAGGCTTTTGGTGGAAAAGGATATATCTTCACATAAAAAGTAGACAGAATAATTCTGAGAAACTTCTTTGTGTGTGTGCATTCATCTCACGGAACTGAAACTTTCTTTTTATTGAGCAGTTTGGAAACACTCTTTTTGAGAATCTGCAAGTGGATATTTGGAACGCTTTGCAGCCTATGTTAGAAAAGGAAATGTCTTCACATGAAATCTAGAAAGAAGCAATCTGAGAAACTTCTTTGGAATGTGTGCATTCATCTCACAGAGTTAAACCTTTCTTTTGATTGAGGAGTTTTGAAACTCTCTTTTTGTAGGATCTGCAGATGGAAATTTGGAGCGCTTTGAGGCCTGTGGTGGAAAAAGAAATATCTTCACATAAAAACTAGATAGAAGCATTCCGTGAAACTTCTTTGTGATGTGTGCATTCATCTCACAGAGTTAAAACTTTCTTTCATTGAGCAGTTTTGAAACTGTATTTTTGTAGAATATGCAAGTGGACATTTGGAGCCCTTTGAGGCCTACAGTGGAAAAGGAAATATCTTTCCATGAAAACTCGACAAAAGAATTCTGAGAAACTTCTTTTTTATGTGTGTGTTCATTTCCCAGAGTTGAACCTTTCCTTTGATTGAGCAGTGTAGAAAAGCTCTTTTTGTAGAATCTGCAAGTGGACATTTGGAGCACTTTCTGGCCTGCGGTAGAAAAGGAAATATCTTCACATAAAATCTAGACAGAAGCAATCTGAGAAACCTCTTTCTGATGTGTGCATTCATCTCACAGAGTTAAACCTTTCTTTTGATTGACCAGTTTCAAAACTCTCTTTTTGGAGAATCTGCAAGTAAACATTTGGAGAGCTTTGAGGTCTATGGTGGAAAAGGAAATGTCTTCACATAAAAACTAGATAGAAGCTTTCTGAGAAAGTTCTTTGTGATGTGTGCATTCATCTCCCATAGTTGAAAATTTCTTTTCATGGACCAGTTTTGGAATACTCTTTTTGCGGAATCTGCAAGTGGACTTTTCGAGCGCCTTGTGGCCTATGGTGGAAAATGGAATATCTTCACATAAAAACTAGACAGAAGAATTCTGACAAATTTCTTTGTGATGCTTGAGTTAATCTCCCAGAGTTGAACCTTCCTTTTGATTGAGCAGTTTGGAACACTCTTTTTGTAGAATCTGCAAGTGGACATTTGGACCACTTTGCGGCCTATGGTAGAAAAGGAAATACCTTCAAATAAAATCTAGACAGAAACAAACTGAGAGACTTATTTGTGATTGTGCATTCATCTCACAGTGTTAAAACTTTCTTTTGATGGAGCAGTGTTGAACCTCTCTTTTTGTAGAATCTACAAGTGGACAATTGGAGCACTTTGAGGCCTAAGGTGGAAAGAGAAATATCTTCACATAAAGAAAAGACAGAAGAATTCTGAGAATCTTACTTGTGATGTGTGCGTTCATCTCACAGGGTTGAAACTTTCTTTTGATTGAGCAGTTTGGAAACACTCTTTTTGTAGAATCTGCAAGTGGACATTTGGAGGGCTTTCCGTCCTATGGTAGAAAAGGAAATATCTTCACACAAAACCTAGACAGAAGCAATCTGAGAAATTTCCTTGTATTGTGTGCATTCATTTCACAGATTTAAAGCTTTCTTTTGATTAAGCAGTTTTTAAAATCTCTTCTTCTACAATCTGCAAGTGTACATTTGGACCACATTGCGGCCTATGGTAGAAAAGGAAATAACTTCACCTAAAGTCCAGACAGAAACAAACTGAGAAACTTATTTGTGATTGTGCATTCATCTCACAGAGTTAAAACTTTCTTTTGATTGAGCAGTGTTGAAACTCTCTTTTTGTAGAATCTGCAAGTGGTCAACTGGAGCACTTTGAGGCCTAAGGTGGAAAAAGAAATATCTTCACATAAATACTAGAAAGAAGAATTCTGAGAATCTTGTTTGTGATGTGTGCGTTCATCTCACAGGGTTGAAACTTTCTTTTCATTGAGCAGTTTGGAAACTCTCTTTTTGTAGAATCTGCAAGTGGACATTCAGAGCGCTTTGAGGTCTATGGTAGAAAAGGAAATATCATCACATAAAATCTAGAGAGAAGCAATATGAGAAACTTCTTTGTGATATGTGCATTCATCTCACAGAATTAAAGCTTTCTTTTGATTGAGCAGTTTAGAAACTCTCTTTTTGTAAAATCTGCTAGTGGACGTTTGGAGCGCTTTGAGGCCTATTGTGAAAAAAGAAATATCTTCACATAAAATCTTAATAGGAGCATTCTGAGAAACTTCTTTGTGATGTGTACATTCATCTCACAGAGTTGATCCTTTCTTTTGAAGGACCAGTTTTGAGATACTCTTTTTGAAGAATCTGCAAGTGAACATTTCGAAAGCCTTGAGGCCTATGGTGGAAAAGGAAATATCTTCACATAAAAACTAGACAGAAGAATTCTGAGAAATTTCTCTGTGATGTGTGCGTTTATCGCCCAGATTTGAAACTTTCTTTTTATTGAGCAGTTTTGAAACCCTCTTTTTGTAGAATCTGGAAGTGGTCATTTGGAGCGCTTTGCAACCTATGGTAGTAAAGGAAATATCTTCACATAAAACCTAGACAGAAGCAATCTGAGAAACTTCTTTGTGATGTGTGCATTCATCTCACAGATTTAAACCTTTCTTTTGATTGAGCAGGTTTGAAACTCTCTTTTTGTAGAATCTGCAAGTGGACATTTGGAGCGCTTTGCATCCTAAGTTTGAAAAGTTAATATTGTCACATAAAATCTAGACAGAAGCCATCTGAGTAACTACTTTGTGATGTGTGCATTCATCTCACAGAGTTAAACCTTTCTTTTCATTGAGCAGTTTTGAAACTCTCTTTTTGTAGGACCTGCAGGTGGACATTTGGAGCACTTTGAGGCCTCCGACGGAAAAGGAAATATCTTCACATAAAGACTAGACAAAAGAATTCTGAGAAACTTCTTTGTGATGTGTGCATTCATCTCACAGACTTGAACCTTTCTTTTGATTGAGCAGTGTAGAAAAACTCTTTTTGTGATATCTGCAAGTGGACTTCTTGAGCACTGTCTGGACTACGGTAGAAAAGGAAATATCTTCACATAAAATCTATACAGAAACAATCGGAGAAACTTCTTTGTGATGCGTGCATTCAACGCACAGAATTAAACTTTTCTTCTGATTGAGCAGTTTTGAAACTCTCTTTTTGTAGTACCTGCAATTGGACATCTGGAGCGCTTTGAGGCGTATGGTGGAAAAGGAAATAGCTTCACATAAAAACTAGACAGAATAATTCTGAGAAACTTCTTTGTGATGTGTGCGTTCATCTCACTGAGTTGAACATTTATTTTGATTGGGCAGTTTGGAAACACTCTTTTTTTAGAATCGACAAGTGGACATTTGGAGTACTCAACAGCCTATGGTAGAAAAGGAAATATCTTCACATAAAATCTAGACAGAAGCAACCTGAGAAACTTCTTTGTGATGTGTGCATTCATCTCACAGAGTTAAACCTTTCTTTTGATTGAGCAGTGTTGAAACTCTCTTTTTGTAGGATCTGCAAGTGGACATTTGGAGTGCTTTGAGGCCTGTGGTGGAAAAAGAAATATCTTCACATAAAAACTAGATAGAAGCATTCCGAGAAACTTCTTTGTGATGTGTGCATTCATCACACAGAGTTAAAACATTCTTTGATTGAGCAGTTTTGAAACTGTATTTTTGTAGAATATACAAGTGGACATTTGGAGTACTTTGAGGCCTACAATGGAAAAGAAAATATCTTTCCATGAAAACTAGACAAAAGAATTCTGAGAAACTTCTTTTTTATGTGTGCGTTCATCTCCCAGATTTGAACCTTTCCTTTGATTGAGCAGTGTAGAAAAAATCTTTTTGTAGAATCTGCACGTGGACATTTGGAGCGCTTTCTGGCCTATGGTAGAAAAGGAAATATCTTCACATAAAACCTATACAGAAGCAATCTGGGAAACTTATTTGTGACGTGTGCATTCAACTCACAGAATTAAACTTTTCTTTTGATTGAGCAGTTTTGAAACTCTCTTTTTGTAGTATCTGCAGGTGGACATCTGGAGCACTTTGAGACCTATGGTGGAAAAGGAAATATCTTCACATAACAACTAGACAGAATAATTCCGAGAAACTTCTTTGTGATGTGTGCGTTCATCTCACCGAGTTCAACATTTATTTTGATTGGGCAGTTTGGAAACACTCTTTTTTTAGAATCGACAAGTGGACATTTGGAGCACTCTGCAGCCTATGGTAGAAAAGGAAATATCTTCACATAAAATGTAGACAGAAGCAATCTGAGAAACGTCTTTCTGATATGTGCATTCGTCTCACAGACTTAAACCTTTCTTTTGATGGAGCAGTTTTGAAACTCTCTTTTTGGAGAATCTGCAAGTGAACATTTGGAGCACTTTGAGGCCTATGGTGGAAAAGATAATATCTTCACATAAAAACTAGATAGAAGCATTCTGAGAAACTTCTCTGTGATGTGTGCATTCATCTCCCATAGTTGAAAATTTCTTTTTATGGACCAGTTTTGGAACACTCTTTTTGCAGAATCTGCAAGTGGACGTTTCGAGCACCTTGAGGCCTATGGTGGAAACTGCACTATCTTCACATAAAAACTAGACAGAAGAATTCTGACAAATTTCTTTGTGATGCTTGAGTTTATCTCCCAGAGTTGAACCTTCCTTTTGATTGAGCAGTTTGGAAACACTCTTTTTGTAGAATCTGCAAGTGGACATTTGGACCACTTTATGGCGTATGGTAGAAAAGGAAATACCTTCACGTAAAATGTAGACAGAAACAAACTGAGAGACTTATTTGTGATTGTGCATTTATCTCACAGAGTTAAAACTTTGTTTTGATTGAGCAGTGTTGAAACTCTCTTTTTGTAGAATCTGCAAGTGGACAATTGGAGCTCTTTGAGACCTAAGGTGGAAGCGGAAATATCTTCACATAAAGACCAGACAGAAGAATTCTGAGAATATTATTTGAGATGTGTGCGTTCATCTCGCAGGGTTGAAACTTTCTTTTGGTTTAGCAGTTTGGAAACACTCTTTTTGTAGAATCTGCAAGTGGACATTTGGAGCGCTTTGCGTCCTATGGTAGAAAAGGAAATATCTTCACACAAAACCTAGACAGAAGCAATCTGAGAAATTTCCTTGTGTTGCGTGCATTCATTTCACAGATTTAAAGCTTTCTTTTGATTGAGCAGTTTTTAAAATCTCTTTCTGTAGAATCTGCAAGTGTACATTTGGACCACTTTGTGGCCTATGGTAGAAAAGGAAATAACTTCACATAAAATCTAGACGGAAACAAACTGAGAAACCTATTTGTGATTGTGCATTCATCTCACAGAGTTAAATCTTTCTTTTGATTGAGCAGTGTTGAAACTCTCTTTTTCTAGAATCTGCAAGTGGACAATTAGAGCGCTTTGAGGCCTAAAATGGAAAAAGAAATATCTTCACATAAAGACTAGACAGAAGAATTCTGAGAATCTTATTTGTGATGTGTGTGCTCATCTCACAGGGTTGAAACTTTATTTTTATTGAGCAGTTTGGAAACACTCTTTTTGTAGAACCTGCATGTGGACATTTGGAGCGCTTTGCGGCCTATGGTACAAAAGGAAATATCTTCACACAAAACCTAGACAGAAGCAGTCTGAGAAACTTCTTTGTGTTGTGTGCATTCATTTCACAGATTTAAAGCTCTCTTTTGATTGAGCAGTTTTTAAAATCTCTTCTTGTAGAATCTGCAAGCAGACATTTGGAGCGCTTTGAGGCCTATAGTGGAAAAGGAAATATCTTCACACAAGAACTGGACAGAAGAATTAAGAGAAACTTCTTTGTGATGTGTGCTTTCATCTCCCAGAGCTGAAACTTTCTTTTGATTGAGCAGTCTGGAAACACTCTTTTTGCAGAATCTGCAAGTGGACATTGGAGTGCTCTGCGGCCTTTTGTAGAAAACGAAATATCTTCACATAAAATCTAGACAGAAGCAATCTGAAAAACATCTTTGCAAATGTGTAAATTCATCTCTATCCCCTCTTTTTGTAGAATCTTCAAGTGGACTTTTGGAGTGCTTTGAGGCCTATGGTAGAAAAGGAAATATCTTCACATAAAATCAAGACAGAAGCAATCTGAGAAACTTCTTTGTGATGTGTGCATACATCTCACAGAGTTGAACTTTCCTTTTTATTGAGCAGTTTGGAAACTCTCTTTTTGTAGAATCTACAAGTGGACATTTGGAGCGATTTGAGGCCTATGGTGTAAAAGGGAATATCTTTAAATAAAAACTAGACAGAAGAATTCTGAGAAATTTCTTTGTAATGTGTGTGTTCATCTCAGAGTTGAAACTTACTTTTGACTGAGCAGTGAGGAAACAATCTTTTTGTAGAATCTGCAAGTGGATATTTGTACCACTTTGCGGCCTATGGAAAAAAAGGATATATCTTCACATAAAATCTAGACAGAAGCAATCTGGGAAACTTCTTCATGATGTGTGCATTGATCTCACAGAGTTAAACCTTTCTTTTGATAGAGTAGTGTTGAAACACTCTTTTTGTAGAATCTGCAACTGGACATTTTGAGCACTTTGCAGCCTATGTTAGAACAGTGGATCTCTTGGCAGAAACTCTAGAAGCCAGAAGAGATTGGGTGCCAATATTCAACATTCTTAAAGAAAAGAATTTTCAACCCAGAATTTCATATCCAGCCAAACTAAGCTTCATAAGTGAAAGAGAAATAAAATACTTTACAGACAAGCAAATGCTGAGAGATTTTGTCACCACCAGGCCTGCCTTACAAGAGCTCCTGAAGGAAGCACTAAACATGGAAAGGAACAACCGGTACCAGCCACTGCAAAATCATGCCAAAATGTAAAGACCATCAGGACTAGGAAGAAACGGCATCAACTAACTAACAAAATAACCAGCTAACATCATAATGACAGGATCAAAGTCACACATAACAATATTTACTTAAATGTAAATGCACTAAATGCTCCAAATAAAAGACACAGACTGGTAAATTGGATAAAGAGTCAAGACCCATCAGTGTGCTGTATTCAGGAAACCCATCTCACATGCAGACACAGATAGGCTCAAAATAAAAGGATGGAGGAAGACCTACCAAGCAAATGGAAAACAAAAAAAAAGGCAGGGGTTGCAATCCTAGTCTCTGATAAAACAGACTTTAAACCAACAAAGATCAAAAGAGACAAACAAGGTCATTACATAATGGTAAAGGGATCAATTCAACAAGAAGAGATAAGTATCTTAAATATATATGCACCCAATACAGGAGCACCAAGATTCATAAAGCAAGTCCTGAGTGACCTACAAAGAGACTTAGTCTCCCACACATTAATAATGGGAGACTTTAATACCCCACTGTCAACATTAGACAGATCAATGAAACAGAAAGTTAACAAGAATACCCAGGAATTGAACTCAGCTCTGCACCAAGCAGATCTAATAGACATCTACAGAACTCTCCACCCCAAATCAACAGAATATACATTTTTTTCAGCACCGCACCACACCTATTCCAAAATTGACCAACTATGTGGTCCTCAGCAAATGTAAAAGAACAGAAATTACAACAAACTATCTCTCAGACCACAGTGCAATCAAACTAGAACTCAGGATTAAAAAACTCACTCAAAACCGCTCAACTACATGAAAACTGAACAACCTGCTCCTGAATGACTACTGGGTACATAATGAAATGAAGGCAGAAATAAAGATATTCTTTGAAACCAATGAGAACAAAGATATAACATACCAGAATCTCTGGGACACATGCAAAGCAGTGTGTAGAGGGAAATTTATAGCACTAAATGCCCACAAGAGAAAGCAGGAAAGATCCAGAATTGAAAACCTAACATCACAATTAAAAGAACTAGAAAAGCAAGAGCAATCACATTCAAAAGCTAGCAGAAGGAAAGAAATAACTAAAATCAGAGCAGAACTGAAGGAAATAGAGACACAAAAAACCCTTCAAAAATTAATGAATCCAGGAGCAGGTTTTTTGAAAGGATCAACAAAATTGATAGACCGCTAGCAAGACTAATAAAGAAAAAAAGAGAGAAGAATCAAATAGACACAATAAAAAATGATAAAGAGGATATCACCACCGATCCCACAGAAATACAAACTACCATCAGAGAATACTACAAACACCTCTACGCACATAAACTGGAAAATCCAGAAGAAATGGATAAATTCCTTGACACATACACTCTCCCAAGTCTAAACCAGGAAGAAGTTGAATCTCTGAATAGACCAATAACAGGAGCTGAAATTGTGGCAATAATCAATAGCTTACGAACCAAAAAGAGTCTAGGACCAGATGGATTCACAGCCGAATTCTACCAGAGGTACAAGGAGGAACTGGTACCATTCCTTCTGAAACTATTCCAATCAATAGAAAAAGAGGGAATCCTCCCTAACTCATTTTATGAGGCCAGCATCATTCTGATACCAAAGCCAGGCAGAGACACAACAAAAAAAGAGAATTTTAGACCAATATCCTTGATGAACATTGATGCAAAAATCCTCAATAAAATACTGGCAAAACGAATCCAGCAGCACATCCAAAAGCTTATCCACCATGCTCAAGAGGGCTTCATCCCTGGGATGCAAGGCTGGTTCAATATACGCAAATCAATAAATGTAATCCAGCATATAAACAGAACCAAAGACAAAAACCACATGATTATCTCAATAGATGCAGAAAAGGCCTTTGACAAAATTCAACAGCCTTCATTCTAAAAACCCTCAATAAATTAGGAATTGATGGGATGTATCTCAAAATAATAAGAGCTATGTATGACAAACCCACAGCCAATATCATACTGAATGGGCAAAAACTGGAAGCATCCCCTTTGAAAACTGGAAGAAGACAGGGATGCCCTCTCTCACCACTCCTATTCAACATAGTGTTGGAAGTTCTGACCAGGGCAATCAGGCAGGAGAAGGAAATAAAGGGTATTCAATTAGAAAAAGAGGAAGTCAAATTGTCCTTGTTTGCAGATGACTTGATTGTATATCTGGAAAACCCCATTGTCTCAGCCCAAAATCTCCTTAAGCTGATAAGCAACTTCAGCAAAGTCTCAGGATACAAAATCAATGAACAAAAATCACAAGCATTCTTATACACCAACAACAGACAAACAGATAGACAAACTATAAGTGAACTCCCATTCACAATTGCTTCAAAGAGAATACAATACCTAGGAATCCAACTTACAATGGACATGAAGGACCTCTTCAAGGAGAACTACAAACCACTGCTCAATGAAATAAAAGAGGATACGAAGAAATGGAAGAACATTCCATGATCATGGGTAGGAAGAATCAATATCGTGAAAATGGCCATATTGGCCAAGGTAATTATAGATTCAATGCCATCCCCATCAAGCTACCAATGACTTTCTTCACAGAATTGGAAAAAACGACTTTAAATTTCATATGGAACCAAAAAAGAGCCCCCATCACTAAGTCAATCCTAAGCCAAAAGAACAAAGCTGGAGGCATCAGGCTACCTGACTTCAAACTATACTGCAAGGCCACAGTAACCAAAACAGCATGGTACTGTTACCAAAAAAGAGATATAGACCAATGGAACAGAACAGAGCCCTCAGAAATAATGCTGCATATCTACAACTATCTGATCTTTGACAAACCTGAGAAAAACAAGCAATGGGGAAAGGATTCCCTATTTAATAAACGGTGCTGGGAAACCTGGCTAGCGATATGTTAGAAAGCTGAAAGTGGATCCCTTCCTTACACCTTATACAAAAATCAATTCAAGATGGATTAAAGACTTAAACATTAGACCTAAAACTATAAAAACCCTAGAAGAAAACCTAGGCATTACTATTCAGGACGTAGGCATGGGCAAGGAATTCATGTCTAAAACACCAAAAGCAATGGCAACAAAAGCCAAAATTGACAAATGGGATCTCATTAAACTAAAGAGCTTCTGCACAGCAAAAGAAACTACCATCAGAGTGAACAGACAACCTACAAAATGGGAGAAAATTTTTGCAACCTGCTCATCTGACAAAGGGCTAATATCCAGAATCTACAATGAACTCAAACAAATTTACAAGAAAAAAACAAACAACCCCATCAAAAAGTGGGTGAAGGACATGAACAGACACTTCTCAAAAGAAGACATTTATGCAGCCAAAAAAACACATGAAAAAATGCTCACCATCACTGGCCATCAGAGAAATGCAAATCAAAACCAGAATGAGATACTATCTCACACCAGTTAAAATGGCAATCATTAAAAAGTCAGGAAACAACAGGTGCTGGAGAGGATGTGGAGAAATAGGAACACTTTTACAATGTTGGTGGGACTGTAAACTAGTTCAACCATTGTGGAAGTCAGTGTGGCGATTCCTCAGGGATCAAGAACTAGAAATACCATTTGACCCAGCCATCCCATTACTGGGTATGTACCCAAAGGACTATAAGTCTTACTGCTATAAAAACACATGCACATGTATGTTTATTTGGCACTATTCACAATATTAACGACTTGGAACCAACCCAAATGTCAAACAATGATAGACTGGATTAAGAAAATGTGGCATATATACACCATGGAATACTATGCAGACATAAAAAATGATGAGTTCATGTCCTTTGTAGGGACATGGATGAAGCTGGAAACCATCATTCCCAGTAAACTATCACAAGAACAAAAAACCAAACACCGCATATTCTCACTCATAGGTGGGAATTGAACAATGAGAACGAATGGACACAGGAAGGGGAACATCACACTCTAGGGACTGATCTGGGGTGACGGGAGGTGGGAGGGATAGCATTGGGAGATACACCTAATGCTAGATGACGAGTTAGTAGGTGCACCGCACCAGCATGGCACTTGTATATATAAGTAACTAACCTGCACTCTGTAAACAAGTACCCTAAAACTTAAAGTATAATAATAAAAAAAGAAAACAAAATATCTTCACATAAAAACTAGACAGAAGCATTCTCATAAACTTCTTTGTGATGTGTGCATTCATCTCACAGAGTTGAAACTTTCTTATGATTCAGCAGTTTGGAAACACTCTTTTTGCAGAATCTGCAAGTGGATATTTGGAGTGCTTAGGAGCCTATGGTAGAGAAGGAAATATCTTCACATAAAATCTAGACAGAAGCAATCTGAGAAACTTCTTTGTGTTGTGTGCATTCATCTCACAGAGTTAAAACTTTCTTTTGATTGAGCAGTTTTGAAACTCCCTTTCTGTAGAATCTGCAAGTGGACATTTGGAGAACTTTGAGGCCAATGGTGGAAAAGGAAATATCTTCACATAAAAACTAGATAGAAGCATTCTGAAAAACTTCTTTGTGATGTGTGAATTCACCTCCCAGAGTTGAACCTTTCTTTTGAAGGACCAGTTTTGAAACACTCTTTTTGTAGAATCTGCAAGTGGACATTTCGAGCGCCTTGAGGCCTGTGGTGGAAAGGGAAATATCTTCATATAAAAACTAGACAGAAGAATTCTGAGAAACTCCTTTGTCATGTGTGCCTTCATCTCACAGAGTTGAACCTTTCTTTTGATTGAGCAGTATGGAAATACTCTTTTTGTAGAATCTGCTGGTGTACATTTGGAGCGCTTTACAGCCTATGGTAGAAAAAGAAATATCTTCACATGAAATCTAGACAGAAGCAATTTGAGAAACTTCTTTGTGATGTATGCATTCATCTCACAGAGTTAACCCTTTTATTTGATTGAGCAGTTTTGAAACTATCTTTTTGTAGAATATGCAAGTGGACATTCTGAGCACTTTGAGGCCAACAGTGGAAAAGGAAATATCTTCACGTAAAAACTAGATAGAAAAATTCTGAGAAACTTCTTTGTGATGTGTGCGTTCATCTCACACAGTTGGACCTTTCTTTTGATTGAGCAGTTTTGAAACACTCTTTTTGTAGAATCTGCAAGTGGACATTTGGAGAGTTTTCCAGCCTATGGTAGAAAAGGAAATATCTTCACATAAAATCTAGACAGAAGCAATCTGAGAAATGTCTTTGTGATGTGTGCATTTATCTCACAGAGTTAAACCTTTCTTTTGATTGAGCAGTTTAGAAACTCTCTTTTTGTAGAATCTGCAAGTGGATATATGGAGCGCTTTGAGGCCTATGGTGGGAAAGGAAATAACTTCACATAAAAACTAGACAGAAGAATTCTGTGAAACTTCTTTGTGATGTGTGCGTTCATCTCACAGAGCTGAAACTTTCTTTTGATTGAGCAGTTTACCAACACTCTATTTGTAGAATCTGCAAGTGGACATTTGGAGTGCTTTGCGGCCTATGGTAGAAGAGGAAATATCTTCACATAAAATCTAGACAGAAGCAATCAGAGAAACTGCTATGTGATGTGTGCATTCTTCTGACAGAGAAAAACATTTCTTTTGAATGAGCAGTTTTGAAACTCTCTTTTTGTGGAATCTGCAAGTGGACATTTGGAGCACTTTGAGTTCTGTGGTGGAAAAGGAAATATCTTCATGTAAAAACTAGACAGAAGTATTCTGAGAAACTTCTTTGTGATGCATGCATTCATGCCACAGAGTTGAACCTTACTTTTGATTGAGCAGTTTGGAAACACTCTATTTGTAGAATCTGCAAGTGGACATTTGCAGGGCTTTGCGGCTTATGGTAGAAAATAAAATATCTTCACATAAAATCTAGACAGAATCAATCTGAGAAATATCTTTGTGATGTGTGCATTCATCTCACAGAGTTAAAACATTCTCTTGATTGAGCAGTTTTGAAACACTATTTTTGTAGAATCTACAAGTGGACATTTGGAGTGCTTTGAGGCCTATGTTGTAAAAGGAAATATCGTCACATAAAAACTGGACATAAGAATTCTGAAAACCTTCTTTGTGATGTGTTCCTTCATCTCCCAGAGTTGAACCTTTCTTTTGAAGGACCAATTTTTAAATACTCTTTTTTTATAATTACAAGTGGACGTTTCGAGCGTCTTAAGGCCAGTGGTGGAAAAGGAAATATCATCACATAAAAACTAGACAGAAGAATTCTGAGAAACTTCTTTGTGATGTGTGCGTTCATCTCAAAGAGTTGAAACTTCCTTTTGATTAAGCAGTTTGGAAACACTCTTTTTGTAGAATCTGCAAGTAGACATTTGGAGCGCTTTGCGGCCTATGGTAGAAAAGGAAATATCTTCACATAAAATCTAGACAGAAGCAATCTGAGAATTTTCTTTGTGATGTGTGCTTTCATCTCACAGAGTTAAAATTTCTTTTGATTGAGCAGTTTTGAAAGTCTCTTTTTGTAGACTCTGCATGTTGACATTTGGTGCTCTTTGAGTCCTATGGTGGAAAAGGAAATATCTTCACATAAAAACTAGGCAGAAGAATTCTGAGAAACTTCTTTGTGATGTGTGCGTTCATCCCACAGAGTTGAAACGTTCTTTTGATTGAGCATTTTAAAACACCATTTTTGTAGAATCTGCATGGGTGGATTTGGAGCCCTTTGCAGCCTATGGCAGAAAAGGAAATAGCTGCACATAAATACTTGATGGAAGCATTCTGAGAAACTTCTGTGTGATGTGTGCTTTCATCTCACAGAGTTAAAATTTCTTTCGATTGAGCAGTTTTGAAAGTTGCATTTTGTATACACTGCATGTGGACATTTGGTGTGCTTTGAGGCCTATGGTGGAAAAAGAAATATCTTCACATAAAAACTAGGCAGAAGAATTCTGAGAAACTTCTTTGTGATGTGTGCGTTCATCTCAGGGTTGAAAGTTTTTTTTTGATTGAGCAGTGTAAAGCACTATTTTTGTAGAATGTGCAAGTGGATACTTGGAGCGCTTTGAGTCCTATGGTTGAAAAGGAAATATAGTCACATAAAATCAAGACAGAAGCAATCTGAGAACCTTCTTTGCGATGTGTGCATTCATCTCACAGAGTTGACCCTTTCTTTTGATTGCACTGTTTTGAAACTCTCTTTTTGTAGAATCTGCAAGTGGATATTTTGGAGCGCCTTGAGGCCTATGGTGGAAAAGGAAATATCTTCACATAAAAACTCGATGGAAGCATTCTGAGAAACTTCTTTGTGATGTGTTAATTCATCTCCTTGAGTTGAACCTTTCTTTTGAGGACCAGTTTTGAAATACTCTTTTTGTAGAATCTGCAATGGACATTTCGAGCACCTTGAGTCCTATGGTGGAAAAGGAAATATCTTCGCAGAAAAACTAGACAGAAGAATTCTGAGAAACTTCTTTGTGATGTGTGCGTTCATCTCACAAAGTTGAACCTTTCAGTTGATTGAGCGGTTTGGAAACACTGTTTTTGTAGAATTTGCAAGTGGACATTTGGAGCGCTTTTAGGCCTAAGGTAGAAAAGGAAATATCTTCAACTGAAATCTAGACAGAAGTAATCTGAGAAAGTTCTTTGTGATGTGTGCATTCGTCTCACAGTTAAAACTTACTTTTTATTGAGCAGTTTTGAAACACTCCTTTTGCAGAATCTGCAAGTGGATATTTGGAGAGCTTCGAGGCCTGTTGTGGAAAAGGAAATAACTGCAAATAAAAACTACACAGAAGCATTCTGAGAAACTTCTTTGTGATGTGTGCATTCAACTCACAGAGTTCAACCTTTCTTTTGATAGAGCAGATTTGAAACTCTTTTTGTAGAATCTGCAAGTGGACATTTGAAGCGCTTTGAAGCCTATGGTAGAAAAGGAATTATCTTCACATAAAATCTAGACAGAAGCAATATGAGAAACTTTTTTGTGATGTGTGCATTCATTTCACAGAGTTACACCTTCCTTTTGATTTAGCAGTTTTGAAACTCTTTTTTTGTAGAATCTAAAAGTGGACATTTGGAGTGCTTTGAAGCCTATGGTGGAAAAGGAAATATCTTCACATAAAAACTAGGCAGAAGAATTCTGAGAAACTTCTGTGTGATGTGTGCGTTCATCTCACAGAGTTGAAACTTTCTTTTGATTGAGCAGTTTAAAACACTGTTTTTGTAGAATATGCAAGTGGACATTTAGAGCACTTTGCTTCCTATGGTAGAAAAGGAAATAACGTCACATAAAATATAGACATAAGCAATCTGAGAAACTTGTTTGTGATGTGTGCATTCATCTCACAGAGTTAACCCTTTCTTTTCATTGAGCAGTTTTGAAACTCTCTTTTTGCAGAATCTGAAATTGGACATTTGGAGCGCTTTGAGGCCTATAGTGGAAAAGGAAATATCTTCACATAAAAACTAAAAAGAAGCATTCTGAGAAACTTCTTTGTGATGTGTGCATTCTTCTAACAGAGTTAAACCTTTCTTTTGATGGACAAGTTTTGAAATACTCTTTTTGTAGTGTGCAAGTGCACATTTGGAGCTCCTTGAGGCCTATGGTGGAAAAGAAAATATCTTCATATGAAAACTAGATAGAAGCATTCTGAGAAACTTCTTTGTGATGTGTACTTTCATCTCCCATGGTTGAACCTTTCTTTTGAGAGACCAGTTTTGAAATACTCCTTTTGTAGAATCTGCATGTGGACACTTCGAGTGCCTTGAGGCCTATGGTGGAAAAGGGAATATCTTCACATAAAATCTAGACAGAAGCAATGTGAGAAACTTCTTTGTGATTTGTGCATTCATCTCACATAGTTAAAACTTTCTTTTGATTGAGTAGTTTTGAAACCCTTTTTGGTAGATTCTGCAAGTGGACATTTGGAGCGCTTTGCTGTCCATGGTAGAAAAGGAAAAGTCTTCATATAAAATATAGACAGAAGCAATCTGAGAAACTTCTTTGTGATGTGTGCATTCACCTCACAGAGTTAAGCAACTCTGTTCATTTAGCAGTTTTGAAACTCTCTTTTTGTAGAATCTGCAGGTGGACATTTGGAGTGCTTTGAGGCCTATAATGTAAAAGGAAATATCTTCACATAAAAACTAGACAGAAGAATTCTGAGAAACTTCTTTGTGATGCATGCCTTTGTCTTACAGAGTTGAACCTTTCTTTGGATTGAGCAGATTGGAAACACTGTTTTTGTGGAATCTGCAAGTGGACATGTGGAGCGCTTTGCAGCCTATTTTAGAAAAGGAAATATCTTCACATAAAATCTAGATAGAAGCATTCTGAGAAACTTCTTTGTGATGTGTACATTGATCTCCCAGATTTCAGCCTTTCTTTTGAAGGAAGAGTTTTGAAATACTCTGTTTGTAGAATCTGCAGGTGGACATTAAGAGCACCTTTATGCCTATGGTGGAAAAGGAAATATCTTCACATAAAAACTAGGCAGAAGAATTCTGAGAAACTTCTTTGTGATGTGTGTGTGTTCATCTCACAGAGTTAACCCTTTCTTTTGATTGTGCAGTTTTGAAACTCTCTTTTTGTAGAATCTGCAAGTGGACATTTGGAGCTCCTTGAGGCCTATGGTGGAAAAGGAAATATCTTCACATAAAAACTCGATGGAAGCATTCTGAGAAACTTCTTTGGGATGTGTTAATTCATCTACCAGGGTTGAGCCTTTCTTTTGAAGGACCAGTTTTGAAATACACTTTTTCTAGAATATGCATGTGGACATTTTGAGCACCTTGAGGTCTATGGTGGAAAAGGAAATATCTTCACATAAAAACTAGACAGAAGAATTCTGAGAAACTGCTTTGTGATGTGTGTGTTCACCTCACAGAGTTAAACCTTCCTTTTGATTTAGCAATTTTGAAACTCTATTTTTGTAGGATCTGCAAGTGGACATTTGGAGCGCTTTGAGGCCTATGGTAGAAAAAAATTATCTTCACATAAAATCTAGACAGAAGCAACCTGAGAAACCTCTTTGAGATGTGTACATTCATTTCACAGAGTTAAACCTTCCTTTGGATTTAGCAGTTTTGAAACTCTCTTTTTGTAGAATCTGCAAGTGGACATTTGGAGTGCTTTGATGCTTACGGTGGAAAAGGTAATGTCTTCACATCAAAACTAGATAGAAACATTCTGAGAAACTTCTTTCTGAAGTGTGCATTCATCTCCCGGGGTTGAACCTTTCTTTTGAAGGACCAGTTTTGAAATACGCTTTTTGTAGAATCAGCAAATAGACATTTCGAGCCCCTTGAGGCCTACGGCAGAAAAGGAAATTTCTTCACAGAAAAACTAGACAGAATAATTCTGAGAAACTTCTTTGTGATGTGTGCGTTCATCTCACAAAGTTGAACCTTTCTGTTGATTGAGCGGTTTGGAAACACTGTTTTTGTAGAATTTGCAAGTGGACATTTGGAGTGCTTTTAGGCCTAAGGTAGAAAAGGAAATATCTTCAACTGAAATCTAGACAGAAGTAATCTGAGAAAGTTCTTTGTGATGTGTGCATTCGTCTCACAGAGTTAAAACTTACTTTTTATTGAGCAGTTTTGAAACACTCTTTTTGCAGAATCTGCAAGTGGATATTTGGAGAGCTTCCAGGCCTGTTGTGCAAAAGGAAATAACTGCAAATAAAAACTACACAGAAGCATTCTGAGAAACTTCTTTGTGATGTGTGCATTCAACTCACAGAGTTCAACCTTTCTTTTGATAGAGCAGATTTGAAACTCTCTTTTTGTAGAATCTGCAAGTGGATATTTGGAGAGATTTGAGGCCTATTGTGGAAAAGGAAATTTCTTCACAGAAAAACTAAACAGAAGCATTCTGAGAAACTTCTTTGTGAGGTGTGCAATCAACTCACAGAGTTGAACCTATCCTTTGATTGAGCAGTTTTGAATCTCTCTTTTTGTAGTATCTGCATGTGGATATTTGGAGACTTTTGGGCCCTATGTTGTAAAAGGTAACATCTTCAAATAAAAACTACACAGAATCATTCAGGGAAACTATTTTGTGATGACTGCACTCATCTCACAGAGTTGAACCTTTCTTTTTATTGAGTAGTTTTGAGAAACTCTTTTTACAGAATCTGCAAGTGGATATTTGGAGAGCTTTTAGGCCTATTGGGGAAAAGGAAATATCTCCAAATAAAAACTACACAGAAGTATTCTGAGAAACTTCTTAGTGATGTGTGTATTCAACTCACAGAATTGAACCTATCTTTTGATTGAGCAGTTTTGAATCTCTCTTTTTGTAGAAACTGCAAGTGGATATTTGGAACCCTTTACGGCCTATGGTGAAAGAGAAAATGTCTTCAAATAAAAACTACACAGAAGCATTCTGAGAAACTTCTTTGACATGTGTGCATTCATCTCACAGTGATAAACCTATCTTATGATAGAGCAGTTTTGAAACACTCTTTTTGTAGAATCTGCAAGGGGATATTTGGAGCGCTTTGAGGCCTACCGTGGAAAAGCAAATATCTTCACATAAAAACTACACAGAAGCATTCTGAGAAACTTCTTTATGATGTGTGTGTTTATGTCACAGAGTTGAACCTTTCTTTGTATTGAGCAGTTTTGAAACACTCTTTCTGCAGAATCTGCAAGTGGATATTTGGAGCCTTTGGAGGCCTAATGTTGAAAAGGAAATATCTTCACATAAAAGCTACACAGAAGCATTCTGAGAAACTTCTTTTTAAGTGTGCATTCATCTCAAACAGTTGAACCTTTCTTTTGTTTGAGGAGTTTTGAAACACTCATTTTGTAGAATCTGCAAGTGGATATTTGGAGCACATTGAGACCTACAGTGGAAAAGCAAATATCTTCACATAAGAACTATACAGAAACATTCCTTGAGGCTCCTTTGTGATGTGTGCATTTATTTCACAGAGTTGAACTTTTCTTTTGCTTTAGCACTTTTGAAACACTCTTTTTGTAGAATCTGCAAGTGGATATTTGGAGCACCATGATGCCTACAGTGGAAAAGCAAATATTTGAACATAGTAACTAAACAGAAGCAGTCTCAGAAACACTTTTGTGATGTGTGCATTTATCTCACAGAGTTGAACCTTTCTTTTGATTCAGCAGTTTTGAAACACTCTTTTTGTAGAATCTTCAAGTGGATATTTGGAGTGATTTGATGCCTACAGTGGAAAAGGAAGTATCCTCACATAAAAACTATGCAGAAGCATTCTGAGAAACTTCTTTGTGATGTGTGCATTCAACTCACACAGTTGAACCTACCTTTTGATTGAGCAGTTTCGAATCTCTCTTTTTGTAGAATCTGCAACTGGATATTTGGAGCCTTTTGTGCCCTATGGTGGAAAAGGAAATATCTTCAAGTAAATACAACACAGAAGTATTCACAGAAACTTCTTTGTGATAACTGCATTCATCAAACAGAGTTGAAGCTTTCTTTTGACTGAGCAGTTTTGAAACACTCTTTTTGTAGAATCTGGAAGTGGTTATTGGAGGGCTTTGTGGTCTATTTTGGAAAAGGAAATATCTTCTCATAAAAACTACACAGAAATATACTGAGAAACTTCTTTATTATGTGTGCATTAAACAAACTGGCTGAGGCCTACTGTGGAAAAGAAGAAATGTTCACATAAAAACAACACAGAAGAATTCTGAGAAACGTATTCGTGTTGTGTGCATTCAACTCACAGAGTGGAACCTATTTTTAGACTGAGCAGTTTCAAATCTCTCTTTTTGTAGAATCTGCAAGTGGATATTTGGAGCACTTTCAGACCAATGGTGTTAAACGAAGTATCTCCTCATAAAAACTAGACAGAAGCTTTCTCAGAAACTTCTTTGTGATGACTGCATTCAACTCATGGAGTTGAACCTTTCTTTTGATAAGGCAGCTTTGAAACACTCTTTTTCTAGAATCTGCAATTGGATATTTTGTTTCTTTGGAAGCCTATGTTGGAAATCGATATATCTTCACATAAAAACTACAGAGAAAATTTCTCAGAAACTTCTTTGTGATGTGTGCATTCAACTCACAGAGTTGAAACTTTCTTTTGATAGAGCAGTTTAGAAACACTCTTTTTGTAGAATCTGAAACTGGATATTTGGAGCACATTGATTCCTATTGTTGAAAAGGAAACATCTTCACATAAAAACTACACAGAAGCATTCTCAGAAACTTGTTTGGATGTGTGCATTCAACTGACAGAGCTGAACCATTTTTTTGACAGAGCTGTTTTGAAACTCCCTTTTTGTACCATCTGCAAGTGTATATTTGGAGTGCGATGAGGCCTATGGTGGAAAAGGAAATATCTTCAAATGAGAACTAGACAAGAGCATTCTCAGAAACTTCTTTGTGATGTGGGCATTCAACTCACAGAATTGAACCTTTCTATTGATAAAGCAGTTTTGAAACTCTCTTTGTGAATAAAATGCAAGTGAATATTTAGAGCGCTTTTAGGCCTAGGGTGGAAAAGGGAATATCTTCAAATAAAAACGAGACAGAAGCATTTTATGAAACTTCTTTGTGATGTGTGCATTCAACTCACAGAGTTGAACCTTTCTTTTAATAGAGCAGTTTTGAAACACTGTTTTTATAGGATCTGGAAGTGGATATTTGCAGCGCTTTGAGACCTAAGGTGGAAAAGGAAATATCTTCACATAAAAATTAGACAGAAGCATTCTCCGAAACTTCTTTGTTATGTGTGCACTCAACTCAAAGAGTTGAACCTTTCTTTTGATAGAGCAGTTTTGAAACAAGCTTTTTCTAGAATCTGCAAGTGGATATTTAGTTCCCTTGTAGGCCTATGTTGTAAAAAGAAATATCTTCACATAAAAACCAGACAGAAGCATTCTGAGAAACTTCTTTGTGATATGGGCATTCAAATCACAGAGTTGAATCTTTCTTTTGATAGAGCAGTTTTGAAACACTCTTTTTATAGAATCTGCAAGTGGATATTTGGAGCGCTTTGAGACATAAGCTGGAAAAGAAAATATCTTCACATAAAAACTGGACGGAAGCCGTCTCCGAAATTCCTTTATAATGTGTGCACTCACCTCACAGAGTTCCAACTTTCTATTGATACAGCAGTTTTGAAACACTCTTTTCCAGAATCTGCAAGTGGATATTTGGTGCCCTTTGTGGTCTATGTTGGAAACTGAAATATCTTCACATAAAAACTAGAAAGAAGCATTCTCAGAAACTTCTTTGTGATGTGTGCATTCAAATCACAGAGTTGACCCTTTCCTTTGATAGAGCAGTTTTCAAATACTCTTTTGTAGAATCTGCAAGTGAATATTCTGATCGCTTTGAGCACTATTGTGGAAAAGGAAATATCTTCACATAAAATCTAGACAAGCATTCTGCGAAACTTCTTTATCATGAGTGCATTCAGCTCACAGTGTTGAACCTTTTTTTGATAGAGCAGTTTTGAAACACTCTTTTTGTAGTATCTGCAAGTGGATTTTTTTTTCCATTGGAGGAATGTTGGAAAACGAAATATCTTCACAGAAAACTATACATAAGTCTTCTCCGAAACTTCTTTGTGATGTGTGCATTCAACTCACAGTGTTGAACCTTTCTTTTGATAGAGCAGTTTTGAAACACTCTTTTTGTAGAATCTGCATGTGGATATTTGGAGCCCTTTGAGACCTATGGTGGAAAAGGAAATATCTTCCAATAAAAAATACACATCAACATTCTCAGAAATTTCTTTGTGATGTGTGCATTCAACTCACAGATTTGAAACTTTCTTTTATTAGAGCAGTTTTGAAACACTCTTTTTGTATAATCTGCAAGTGGATAATTTGAGCACTTTGAGGCCTATCTTGGAAAAGGAAATATATTCACATTAAAACCAGACAGAAGCATTCTCCAAAACTTCTTTGTGATGTGTGTATTCAAATCACAGAGTTGAACCTTTCTTTTGATAGAGCACTTTTGAAACACTCTTTTTGTAGTATCTGCAAGTGGATATTTGATTCCCTTGGAGGTCTTCATTGGAAAACAAAATATCTTCACATAAAAACTAGACAGAAGCTTTCTCAGAAACTTCTTTGTGATGTGTGCATTCAATTCACAGAGTTGAATCTTTCTTTTGATAGAGTAGTTTTGAAACACTCTTTTTGTAGAATCTGCAAGTGTATATTCGAAGCACTTTGGGCACTATGGTTGAAAAGGAAATATCTTCACATAAAAACTAGACAGAGGCATTCTCTGAAACTTCTTGCTGATGAGTGCACTCAACTCACAGAGTTGAACCTTTGTTTTGATGGAGCAGTTTTGAAACACTTTTTTTGTAGAATCTGCAAGTGGATATTTTGTTCTCTTGGAGGCCTATGTTGGAAAACGAAATATCTTCACATAAAAACTAGACAGAAGCATTCTCAGAAACTTCTTTGTGATGTGTGCATTCATCTCACAGGGTTGAACCATTGTTTAGATAGAGTATTTTTGAAACTCTCTATTTGTACAATCTGCAACTGTATATTTGGAGTGCTTTGAGGCCTATTGTGGAAAAGGAAATATCTTCACATAAAAACTAGACAGAAGCATTCTCAGAAACTTCTTTGTGATGCATACATTCAACTCACAGAGTTGAACTTTTCTTTTCATAGAGCAGTTTTGAAACACTTTCTTTGTAGAATCTGCAAGTGTATATTTGGAGCAGTTTGACACCTATGTTAGAAAACGAAATATCTTCACAGAAAAACTAGACAAGAGCATTCTCAGAAACTTCTTTGTGATGTGTGCATTCAAATCACAGAGTTGAACCACTCTTCTGATAGAGCAGTTTTGAAACACTATTTTCGTAGAATCGGCATGTGGATAATTTGAGCGGTTTGAGGCCTATGGTAGAAAAGGAAATTTCTTCACATAAAAACTAGGCAGAAGCATTATCGGAAACTTCTTTGTGATGTATGTGTTCAACTCACAGAGTTGAACCAATCTTTAGATAGAGCCGTCTTGAAACTCTCTTTTTGTAGAACCTGCAAGTGGATATTTTGTTCCCTTGGAGGCCTATGGTGGAAAATGAAATATCTTCACATGAAAATTAGACAGAAACATTCTCAGAAACTTCTTTGTGATGTGTGCTTTCAACTCACAGAGTTGAACTTTTCTTTTGATAGAGCCTTCTGAAACACTCTTTCTGTAGTGTCTGCAAGTGGATATTTGGAGCGCTTCGAGCCCTATTTTGGAAAAGGAAATATCTTCACATAAAAACAAGACAGAAACAGCCTCAGAAAATTCTCTGTGATGTGGGCATTCAACTCACAGAGTTGAACCTTTCTTTTGATAGAGCAGTTTTGAAAAACTCTTTTTGTAGGATCTGAAAGTGGATATTTGGAGCACTTTGAGGCCTATGGTGGAAAAGGAAATATCTTCACATAAAAATTAGACAGAAGCATTCTCAGAAACTTCTTAGGATGTGAGCATTCAACTCACATATTTGAACAATTCTTTTGACATAGCAGTTTTGAAACTCTCTTTCTGAGAAAAATGCAAGTGGATATTTGGAGCGCTTTGAGGGCAATGTTGGAAAAGGAAATATCTTCACATAAAAACTAGACAGAAGCATTCTCTGAAACTTCTTTGTGATGTGTCGATTCAACTCACAGAGTAGAACTTTTCTTTTGATAGAGCACTTTTGAAGCACTCTTTTTGTAGAATCTGCAAGCAGATATTTTGTTCCCTCTGAGGCCTATGGTGGAAAAGGAAATATCTTCCCATAAAAACCAGACAGAAGCATTCTCAGAAACTTCTTAGTGATGTGTGCATTTAACTCACAGGTTTGAGCCATTCTTTTGATAGAGCAGTTTTGAAACTGGCTTTTTGAAGAAAATGCAAGTGGATATTTGGAGCGCTTTGAGGCCTATGGTGGAAAAGGAAATGTCTTCACATGAAAAGTAGAGAAAAGCATTCTCAGAAACTTCTTTGTGATGTGAGCATTCAACTGAGAGTGTTTGTTGAATCTTTCTTTTAATAGAGCAGTTTTGAAACACTGTTTTTGTAGAATCCGCAAGTGGATATTTGTAGTGCTATGAGTCGTATGGTGGAAAAGTAAATATCTTCACATAAAAACTAGACAGAAGCATTCTCAGTAACTTCGTTGTGATGTGTCCATTCAGCTCACAGTGTTGAACCTTTCTGTTGATAGAGTAGTTTTGAAATACTCTTTTTGTGGGATCTGCAAGTGTATATTTGGAGCGCTTTTAGGCCTATGGTGGAAAAGGAAATACCTTCACATAAAATCTAGACAGAAGCATTCTCAGAAGCTTCTTTGTGATGCGTACATTCATCTCACAGAATTGAACCTTTCTTTCAATACAGCAATTTTGAAACACTCTTTTTGTAGTATCGGCAAGTGGGTATTTTGTTCCCCTTGAGGCCTATGTTTGAAAAGGAAATATCTTCACATTAAAACTGGACACAAGAATTCTCAGAATCTTCTTTGTGATGTGTGCATTCAGCTCACAGAGTTGAACTTTTCTTTTGATAGAGCAGTTTTGAAACACTCTTTTTCTGGAATCTGCAAGTGGATATTAGTAGCGCTTTTAGGCCGGTGGTAGAAAAGGAAATATGTTAACACAAAAAGCAGACAGAAGCATTCTCAGCAACTTCTTTGTTATGTGTGCTTTCAACTCACAGAGTTTTAAATTTCTTTTGATAAAGCAGTTTTGAAACACTCCTTTTCTAGAATCCGCAAAGGAATATTTCATTCCCTTTGAGGCCTTCGTTGGAAAATGAAATATCTTTATGTAAAAACTAGACAGAAACATTACCAGTAACTTCTTTGTGATGTGTCTATTCAATGCACAGAGTTGAACCTTTCATAGATAAAGAAGTTTTGAAACACTCTTTTTGTAGAATCTGCAAGTGGATATTTGGAGCACTTTGAGGCCTGTGGTGGAAAACGAAATATCTTCATATAAAACATAGAAAGAAGCATTCTCCGAAACTTTGTTTTGATTTGTGAATTCAACTCACAGAGTTGAATCTTTCTTTTGATAAAGCAGTTTTGAAACACTCTTTTTGTAGTACCTGCAAGTGGATATTTTGTTCTCTTTTATTCCTATGGTGGAAAAGGAAATATCTTCACATAAAAACTAGTCAGAAGCATTCTCCGAAAGTACTTTGTGATGTGTGCATTAAACTCACAGAGTTGAACATTTCTTTTGATACAGCAGTTTTGAAACACTCTTTTTGTAGAATCTGCAAGTGGATATTTGTAGCGCTTTGAGGCCTGTGGTGGAAAAGGAAATATCTTCACACAAAAAGCAGACAGAAGCATTCTCAGCAACTTCTTTGATATGAGTGCATTCAACTCACAGAGTTGAAACTTTCTTTTGATAGAGCAGATTTGACCACTCTTTTTGGAGAATCGTCAAAGGGATGTTTGGTTCCGTTTGAGGAATACGTTGGAAAATGAAATATCTTCATTTAAAAACTAGACAGAAGCATTATCAGTAATTTCTTTTTGATGTGTGCATTCAATGCACAGAGTTGAACCTTTCTTTTGATAGAGCAGTTTTTAAACCCTTTTTGTACAATCTGCAAGTGGATATTGGGGGCGCTTTGAGGCCTATGTTGGAAAAGGAAGTATCTTCATATAAAAACTAGAAAGACGCATTCTCAGAAACTTGTTTGTGATGTGTGCATTCAACTCACAGAGTTGAACCATTCTTTAGATAGAGAAGTTTTGAAACTCTCTTTTTGTAGAATCTGCAAGTGGATATTTGGAGCGCTTTTAGGCCTATGGTGGAAATGGAAATATCTTCATATGAAAACTAGACAGAAGCATTCTCAGAAATTTCTTTGTGGTGTGGGCCTTCAACTCACAGAGTTGAACCTTTCTTTTGATAGAGCAGTTTTAAAACTCTCTTTTTGTAGAATCTGCAAGAGGATATTTGGAGCGCTTTGAAGCCTATGGTAGAAAAGGAAATATCGTCACATAGAAACTATACTAAAGTATTCCCATAAACTTCTTTGTGATGTCTGCATTCAACTCACGGATTTCAACCGTTCTTTTGATGGACCAGTTTGGAAACCCAATTTTTCTGGAATCTCAAAATGGATAATTGGAGCGCTTTGAGGCATATGATGGAAAAAGTAATATCTTCACATAAAAACTAGACAGAGGCATTCTCAGAAACTACTTTGTGATGTGCACATTCATCTCACAGAGTTGAAACATTCTTTTGATAGAGCACTATTGAAACACTCTTTTTGTAGAATCTGCAAGTGGGTATTTGGAGCGCTTTGAGGCCTATTGTGGAAAAGGAGATATCTTCACATAAAAACTAGACAGAAGCATTCTCAGAAACTTCTTTGTGATGCATGCATTCAACTCACAGAGTTGAACCTTTCTTTTCATAGAGCAGTTTTGAAACACTTTTTTTGTAGAATCTGCAAGTGTATATTTGGAGCGGTTTGATGCCTATGTTAGAAAATGAAATATCTTCACAGAAAAATTAGATAAGAGCATTCTCAGAAACTTCTTTGTGCTGTGTGCATTCAACACACAGAGCTGTACCTTTCTTTTGATAGAGCAGTTTTGAAACACAATTTTTGTAGAATCTACAAGTGCATATTTGGAGCTCTTTGAGGCCTATGGTAGAAAAGGAAATATCTTCACATAAAAACTACACAGAAGCATTCTCAGAAACATCTTTGTGATGTGTGCTTTCAACTCACACATTTGAACGTTTCTCTTGATAGAACATCTTTGAAACACTCTTTTTGTAGTTTCTGCAAGTGGATATTTGTTTCCCTTGGAGACCTATGTTGGAAAACAACATATCTTCACATAAAAACTAGAGAGAAGCATTCTCTGAAACTTCTTTGTTATGTGGCTTTCAACTCACACAGTTGAACTTTCTTTGATGGAGCAGTTTTCAAACACTCTTTGTAGAAGCTGTGAGTGGATTTTTTTTCTCTGGGAAGCCTATGTTGGAAACCGAAATATCTTCACATAAAAACTAGACAGAAGCATTCTCAGAAACTTCTTTGTGATTTGAGAATTCAACCCACAGAGTTGTATCTTTTTTTTATATATATACTTTAAGTTATAGGGTACATGTGCACATTGTGCAGGTTAGTTACATATGTATACATGTGACATGTTGGTGCACTGCACCCACTAACTCGTCATCTAGCATTAGGTATATCTCCATATGCTATCCCTCCCCCCTCCCCCCACCCCCCAACAGTCCCCAGAGTGTGATATTCCCCTTCCTGTGTCCATGTGATCTCATTGTTCAATTCCCACCTGTGAGTGAGATTATGCGGTGTTTGGTTTTTTGTTCTTGCGATAGTTTACTGAGAATGATGATTTCCAATTTCATCCATGTCCCTATAAAGGACATGAACTCATCATTTTTTATGGCTGCATAGTATTCCATGGTGCATATGTGCCACATTTTCTTAATCCAGTCTATCATTGTTGGACATTTGGGTTGGTTCCAAGTCTTTGCTATTGTGAATAATGCCACAATAAACATACGTGTGCATGTGTCGTTATAGCAGCATGATTTATAGTCCTTTGGGTATATACCCAGTAATGGGATGGCTGGGTCAAATGGTATTTCTAGTTCTAGATCCCTGAGGAATCGCCACACTGACTTCCACAATGGTTGAACTAGTTTACAGTCCCACCAACAGTGTAAAAGTGTTCCTATTTCTCCACATCCTCTCCAGCACCTGTTGTTTCCTGACTTTTTAATGATTGCCATTCTAACTGGTGTGAGATGGTATCTCACTGTGGTTTTGATTTGCATTTCTCTGATGGCCAGTGATGATGAGCATTTTTTCATGTGTTTTTTGGCTGCATAAATGTCTTCTTTTGAGAAGTGTCTGTTCATGTCCTTCGCCCACTTTTTTGATGGGGTTGTTTGTTTTTTTCTTGTAAATTTGTTTGAGTTCATTGTAGATTCTGGATATTAGCCCTTTGTCAGATGAGTAGGTTGCGAAAATTTTCTCCCATTTTGTAGGTTGCCTGTTCACTCTGATGGTAGTTTCTTTTGCTGTGCAGAAGCTCTTTAGTTTAATGAGATCCCATTTGTCAATTTTGTCTTTTGTTGTCATTGCTTTTGGTGTTTTAGACATGAAGTCCTTGGCCATGCCTATGTCCTAAATGGTAATGCCTAGGTTTTCTTCTAGGGTTTTTATGGTTTTAGGTCTAACGTTGAAGTCTTTAATCCATCTTGAATTGATTTTTGTATAAGGAAGGGATCCAGTTTCAGCTTTCTACATATGGCTAGCCAGTTTTCCCAGCACCATTTACTAAATAGGGAATCCTTTCCCCATTGCTTGTTTTTCTCAGGTTTGTCAAAGATCAGATAGTTGTAGATATGTGGCATTATTTCTGAGGGCTCTGTTCTGTTCCATTGATCTATATCTCTTAAAGACAAGAATTTTCAACCCAGAATTTCATATCCAGCCAAACTAAGCTTCATAAGTGAAGGAGAAATAAAATACTTTACAGACAAGCAAATGCTGAGAGATTTTGTCACCACCAGGCCTGCCTTACAAGAGCTCCTGAAGGAAACACTAAACATGGAAAGGAACAACCAGTACCAGCCACTGCAAAATCATGCCAAAATGTAAAGACCATCAGGACTAGGAAGAAACGGCATCAACTAACTAACAAAATAACCAGCTAACATCATAATGACAGGATCAAATTCACACATAACCATATTAACTTTAAATGTCAATGGACTAAATGTTCCAATTAAAAGACACAGACTGGCAAATTGGATAAAGAGTCAAGACCCATCAGTGTGCTGTATTCAGGAAACCCATCTCACGTGCAGAGACACACATAGGCTCAAAATAAAAGGATGGAGGAAGATCTACCAAGCCAATGGAAAACAAAAAAGGGCAGGGGTCGCAATCCTAGTCTCTGATAAAACAGACTTTTAACCAACAAAGATGAAAAGAGACAAAGAAGGCCATTACATAATGGTAAAGGGATCAATTCAACAAGAAGAGCTAACTATCCTAAATATATATGCACCCAATACAGGAGCACCCAGATTCATAAAGCAAGTCCTGAGAGACCTACAAAGAGACTTAGTCTCCCACACATTAACAATGGGAGACTTTAACACCCTACTGTCAACATTAGACAGATCAATGAGACAGAAAGTCAACAAGGATACCCAGGAATTGAACTCAGCTCTGCACCAAGTGGACCTAATAGACATCTACAGAACTCTCCATCCCAAATCAACAGAATATACATTTTTTTCAGCACCACACCACACCTATTCCAAAATTGACCACATACTGGGAAGTAAAGCTCTCCTCAGCAAATGTAAAAGAACAGAAATTATAACTGTCTCTCAGACCACAGTGCAATCAAACTAGAACTCAGGATTAAGAATCTCACTCAAAACCGCTCAACTACATGGAAACTGAACAATCTGCTCCTGAATGACTACTGGGTACATAACGAAATGAAGGCAGAAATAAAGATGTTCTTTGAAACCAACGAGAACAAAGACACAACATACCAGAATCTCTGGGACACATTCAAAGTAGTGTGTAGAGGGAAATTTATAGCACTAAATGCCCACAAGAGAAAGCAGGAAAGATCCAGAATTGAAAACCTAACATCACAATTAAAAGAACTAGAAAAGCAAGAGCAAACACATTCAAAAGCTAGCAGAAGGCAAGAAATATCTAAAATCAGAGCAGAACTGAAGGAAATAGAGACACAAAAAAACCTTCAAAAAATTAATGAATCGAAGAGCTGGTTTTTTGAAAGGATCAACAAAATTGGTAGACGGCTAGCAAGACTAATGAAGAAAAAAAGAGAGAAGAATCAAATAGATGCAATAAAAAATGATAAAGGGGATATCACCACCGATCCCACAGAAATACAAACTACCATCAGAGAATACTACAAACACCTCTACGCAAATAAACTAGAAAATCTAGAAGAAATGGATAAATTCGACACATACACTCTCCCAAGACTAAACCAGGAAGAAGTTGAATCTCTGAATAGACCAATTACAGGAGCTGAAATTGTGGCAATAATCAATAGCTTACGAACCAAAAAGAGTCCAGGACCAGATGGATTCCCAGCCGAATTCTACCAGAGGTACAAGGAGGAACTGGTACCATTCCTTCTGAAACTATTCCAATCAATAGAAAAAGAGGGAATCCTCCCTAACTCATTTTATGAGGCCAGCATCATTCTGATACCAAAGCCAGGCAGAGACACAACAAAAAAAGAGAATTTTAGACCAATATCCTTGATGAACATTGATGCAAAAATATTCAATAAAATACTGGCAAAATGAATCCAGCAGCACATCCAAAAGCTTATCCACCATGATCAAGTGGGCTTCATCCCTGGGATGCAAGGCTGCTTCAATATACGCAAATCAATAAATGTAACCCAGCATATAAACAGAGCCAAAGACAAAAACCACATGATTATCTCAATAGATGCAGAAAAAGCCTTTGACAAAATTCAACAACCCTTCATGCTAAAAACTCTCAATAAATTAGGTATTGATGGGATGTATTTCAAAATAATAAGAGCTATCTATGACAAACCCACAGCCAAGATCATACTGAATGGGCAAAAACTGGAAGCATTCCCTTTGAAAACTGGCACAAGACAGGGATGCCCTCTCTCACCACTCCTATTCAACATAGTGTTGGAAGTTCTGGCTAGGGCAATTAAGCAGGAGAAGGAAATAAAGGGTATTCAATTTGGAAAAGAGGAAGTCAAATTGTCCCTGTTTGCAGACGACATGATTGTATATCTAGAAAACCCCATTTTCTCAGCCCAAAATCTCCTTAAGCTGATAAGCAACTTCAGCAAAGTCTCAGGATACAAAATCAATGTACAAAAATCACAAGCATTCTTATACACCAACAACAGACAAACGGAGAGCCAAATCATGAGTGAACTCCCATTCACAATTGCTTCAAAGAGAATAAAATACCTAGGAATCCAACTTACAAGGGATGTGAAGGACCTCTTCAAGGAGAACTACAAACCACTGCTTAAGGAAATAAAAGAGGATACAAACAAATGGAAGAACATTCCATGCTCATGGGTAGGAAGAATCAATATCGTGAAAATGGCCATACTGCCCAAGGTAATTTACAGATTCAATGCCATCCCCATCAAGCTACCAATGACTTTCTTCACTGAATTGGAAAAAACTACTTTAAAGTTCATATGGAACCAAAAAGAGCCCGCATCGCCAAGTCAATCCTAAGCCAAAAGAACAAAGCTGGAGGCATCACACTACCTGACTTCAAACTATACTACAAGGCTACAGTAATTTTTTTTTTTGATAGAACAGTTTTGAAACACTCTTTTTGCAGAATCTGCAAGTGGATATTTTGAGGGTTTTGAGACCTTAGGTGGAAAAGGAAATATCTTCACATAAAAATTAGACAGAAGAATTCTCCGAAATTTCTTTGTGATATGTGCACTCAACTCACAGATTTGAACTTTTCTTTGGATACAGCAGTTTTGAAACACTCTTTTTGGAGAATCTGCAAGTGGATTTTTTTTTCCTTTTAGGCCTCTGTTGGAAAATGAATTATCTTCATATAAAACTAGACAGAAGCATTCTGAGAAACTGCTTTGTTATGTGTGCATTAAAATCACAGTGTTGATCCTTTCTTTTGATAGAGGAGTTTTGAAGCACTCTTTTTGTAGAATATGCAAGTGGATATTTGTAGCCCTTTGCGACCTGTGGTGGAAAAGGAAATATCTTCACATAGAAACTACACAGAAGCATTCTTAGAAACTTCTTTCTGATGTGTGCATTCAACTCACACATTTGAACCTTTCTTTTGATACAGCAGTTTTGAAACACTCTTTTTCTAGAATCTACAAGTGGATATTTGTTTCCACTGGTGGCCAATGTTGGAAAAAGTAATATCTTCACATAAAAACAAGACAGAAGCATTCTCAGAAACTTATTTGTGATCTCTGCATTCAACTCACAGTGTTGAACCTTTTCTTTGATAGAGCAGTTTTGAAACACTCTTTTTGTAGAATCTGCAAGTGAATATTTGGAGCGCTTTTAGCACTATGGTGGAAAAGGAAATATCTTCATATTAAAACTGGACAGAAGCATTCTCAGGAAGTTCTTTGCAATGTATGCATTCAACTCACAGTGTTGAACCTTTCTTTTGATAGAGCAGTTTTGAAACACTCTTTTTCTAAAATCTGCAAGTGGAGATATGGAGCACTTTGAGGCCTACGGTGGAAAGGGAAATATCTTCACATAAAAACTAGACAGAAGCATTCTCCGAAACTTCTTTGTGATGCGTCCATTCACCCAACAGAGTTGAAACTTTCTTTTGAGAGAGGAATTCTGAAACACTCTTTTTGTATAATCTGCAAGGTGATATTTAGTTCTCTTTGGGGCCTATGTTGGAAAACTATATATCTTTACATTAAAACTAGACAGAATCATTCTCAGAACCTACTTTGTGATGTGTGCATTTAACTCACAGTTTTGAACCTTCCTTTTGATAGAGCAGTTTTGAAACACTCTTTTTGTAGAATCTGCAAGTGTATATAAAGAGCGCTTTGAGTCCTATCTTGGAAAATGAAATATCTTCACATAAAAACTAGACAGAAGCATTCTCAGAAACTACTTTGCGATGCGTGCATTCAACTCACAGAGTTGAGCCTTTCTTTTGATAGAGCACTTTTGAAAACTCTTTTTGTAGAATCTACAAGTGCATATTTGGAGCGCTTTGAGGCCTATGGTGGAAAAGGAAATATCTTCACATAAAAACTACACAGAAGCATTCTCGGAAACTTCTTTGTGATGCGTGTCTTCAACTCACACATTTGAACGTTTCCTTTGATAGAGCAGTTTTGAAACATACTTTTTGTAGTATCTGCAAGTGGATAATTGTTTCCCTTGGAGACCTATGTTGGAAAGCAAAATATCTTCACATAAAAACTAGACAGAAGCATTCTCCAAAACTTCTTTGTGATGTGTGCATTCAACTCACGGAGTTGAACCTTTCTTTTGATAGAGCAGTTTTGAAAAACTCTTTTTGTAGAATCTGCAAGTGGATATTTTGTTCCCTTTGAGGCCTATATTGGAAAACGAAATATCTTCACATAAAAACTAGACAGAAGCATTCTCCGAAACTTCTTTGTGAATTGTGCATTCAACTCACAGAGTTGTACCTTTCTTTTGATAGAGCAGTTTTGAAACACTCTTTTTGTAGAATCTACCAGTGGATATTTTGAGGGCTTTGAGACCTAAAGTGGAAAAGGATATATCTTCACATAAAAATTAGACAGAAGAATTCCCCGAAACTTCTTTGTGAGGTGTGCACTCAACTCACAGAGTTGAACTTTTCTTTGGATAGAGCAGCTTTGAAACACTCTTTTTGTAGAATCTGCACGTGGATTTTTTTTCCCTTGAAGGCCTCTTTTGGAAGACGAAATATCTTCACATAAAAACTAGACAGAAGCATTCTCAGAAACTGCTTTGTGGTGTGTGTATTCAACTCACAGTGTTGAACCTTTCTTTTGATAGAGCAGTTTTAAAACACTCTTTTTGTAGAATCTGCAAGCGGATATTTTGAGCGCTTTCAGGCCTATGGTGGAAAAGGAAATATCTTCACATAAAAGCTACATAGAAAGGTTCTCAGAAACTTCTTTGTGATGTGTGCATTCCACTCACAGATTTGAACCTTTCTTTTCATAGAGCAGTTTTGAAACACTCTTTTTGTAGCATCTGCAAGTGAATATTTGAAGCACTTCGAGGATTATAGTGGAAAAGGAACTCTGTTCCCATTAAAACTAGACAGAAACATTCTCAGAAACTTCTTTGTGATGTGTGCATTCAAATAACAGTGTTGAACCTTTCTTTTGATAGAGCAGTTTTGAGGCACTCTTTTTGTGGAATCTGCAAGTGGATACTTGGAGCGATTTGAGGCCTATGGTGGAAAAGGAAATATTTTCACATAAAAACTAGACAGAAGCATTCTCAGGAACTTCTTTGTAATGTGTGTATTCAAGTAACAGATTTGAACCTTTCTTTTGATAGAGCAGTTTTGAAATACTCTTTTTCTAGTATCTGCAAGTGGATATTTTGTTCCTTTGGAGGCCTATGTTGGAAACCGAAATATCTTCACATAAAAACTAGACAGAAGCATTCTATGAAACTACTTTGTGATGTGTGCATTGAACTCACAGAGTTGAAACTTTTCTTTGATAGAGCAGTTTTGAAACACTCCTTTTGTAGAATCTGCAAGTGGATATTTGGAGCGCTTTGGGGCCTATGGTGGAAACGGAAACATCTTCACATAAAAACTAGACAGAAGCATTCTCAGAAGCTTCTTTGTGATGTGTGCATTCAACTCACACAGTGGAACCTTTCTTTTGATAAAGCAGTTTTGAAACACTCTTTTTGTAGAGTCTGCAAGTGGATATTTGGAGCCCTTTGCACCCTGTGGTGGAAAAGGAAATGTCTTCAAATAAAAACTACACAGAAGCATTCAGAGAAACTACTTTGTGATGTATGCATTCTTCTTGCAGAGTTGAACCTATTTTGAATCTCGCTTTTTACAAAATCTGCAGGTAGATATTTGGAGCCCTTTTAAGCCTATTGTGGAAAAGGAAATATCTTCACATAAAAACTAGAGAGAAGCATTCTGAGAAACTTCTTTTTGATGTGTGCATTCATCTGAAAGATTTGAAATTTGCTTTTGATTGAGCAGTTTTGAAACACTCTTTTTGTAGAATCTCCAAGTGGGTAATTGGAGCCCTTTGAGGCCTGTTGTGTAAAAGGTAATATCTTCACATAAAAACTAATCAAAAGCATTCCGAGAAACTTTTTTGTGATGTGTGCATTCAACTCACAGAGTTGAACCTATCTTTTGATTGAGCGATTTAGAATCTCTCTTTTTGTAAAATCTGCAAGTTATATTTGGAGAGCTTTGAGGTCTACTGTGGAAAAGGAAATATCTTCACATAAAAACGACACGAAGCATTCTGAGAAACTTCTTTGTGAGGTGTGCATTCAACACAGAGACTTGAACTTATCTTCTCATTGAGCAGTTTTGAATCTATCTTTTTGTAGAATATGCAAATGCATAATTGGAGGCCTTTGAAGTCAACTGTGGAAAAACAAATATCTTCACACAAAAACTACACAGAAGCATTCTGAGAAACTTCTTTGTGATGTGTTCATTTATGTGAAAGAGTTGAACATTTCTTGCGATTGAGCTGTTTTGAAACTTTCTCTTTCTAGAATCTGCAAGTGGATATTTGGAGCTCTTTGAGGCCTATGGTTGAAAAGGAAATATGTTCACATAAAAACTAGACAGAAGCATTCTCAGAAACTTCTTTGTGATGTGTGCATTCAACTCACAAAGTTGAGCCTATCTTTTGATTCACCAGTTTTGAATCTCTCTTTTTGCAGAATCTGCAAGTGGATATTTGGAGCCCTTTCCGGCCTATGGTGGAAAAGAAAATATCTTCAAATAAAACTACACAGAAACATTCTGATAAACTTCTTTGTGATGTGTGCATTCAACTGACAGGGTTGAACCTATCTTATGATTGAGCAGTTTTGAAACACTCTTTTTCTAGAATCTGCAAGTGGATATTTGGAGCTCTTTGAGGCCTATGGCGGAAAAGCAAATATCTTCAGATAAAAACTACACAGAAGCATTCTGAGAAACTTCTTTGTGATGTGTGCATCCATCTCTTAGAGTTGAACCTTTCTTTTGATTGAGCAGTTTTAAAACTCTCATTTGTAGAATCTGTAAGTGGATAATTGGAGCCCTTTGAGGCCTATTGTGGAAAAGGAAATATCTTCACATAAAAACTACACAGAAGCATTCTGAGAAACTTCTTTGTGATGTGTGCATTCATCTCACAGAGTTGAAACTTTCTTTTGATTGAGCAGTTTTGAAACACTTTTTTTGTGGAATCAGCAAGTGGATAATTGGAGCCCTTGGAGGCCTATTGTGGAAAAGGAAATATCTTCACATGAAAACAACTCAGAAGAATTCTGAGAAACTTCTTTGTGATGTGTGCATTCAACTCACAGAGTTGAACCTATTCATTTTTTTGAGCAGTTTAGAATCTCTCTTCTTGTAGAATCTGCAAGTGGATATTTGGAGCACTTTGCACCCTATGATGGAAAAGAAAATATCTTCACATTAAAACTACACAGAAGCATTCTGAGAAACTTCTTCGCGATGTGTGCATTCAACTCACAGAGTTGAACCTATCTTATGATTGAGCAGTTTTGAAACACTCTTTTTATAGAATCTGCAAGTGGATATTTGGAGTGCTTTGAGGCTTACCGTGCAAAAGCAAATATCTTCAGATAAAACTACACAGAATCATTCTGAGAAACTGCTTTTTGATGTGTGTATTCATCTCACAGAGTTGAAATTTTCTTTTGATTGAGCAGTTTTGAAACACTGTTTTTGCAGAATCTGCAAGTGGATATTTGGAGCCCTTTGTGGCCTATGGTGGAAAGGAAATATCTTCAAATAAAAACTAAACAGAAGCATTCTGAGAAACTTCTTTGTGACGTGTGCATTCATCTCACAGGGTTGAACCTATCTTATAATTGAGCAGTTTTGAAACACTCTTCTTGTAGGATCTGCAAGTGGATATTTGGAGAGCTTTGAGGCCAATTGTGGAAAAGGAAATACCTTCACATGAAAACTACACAGAAGCATTCTGAGAAACTTCCTTGTGATGTGTGCATTCATCTCACAGAGTTGAACCTTTCTTTTGATTGAGAAGTTTCGAAACTCTCTTTTTCTGGGATCTGTAGGTGCATAATTGGAGCCCGTTGCGGTCTATGGTGGAAAGGGAAATGTCTTCAAGTAAAAACTACACAAAAACATTCTGAGAAATTTCTTTGTGATGTGCGCATTCATCTCACAGGGTTGAACCTATCTTATGATTGAGTAGGTTTGAAACACTCTTTTTGTAGATCTCCAAGTGGATAATTGGAGCACTTTTAGGCCTATTTTGGAAAAACAAATATCTTCACATAAAAGCCACTCAGAAGCACTCTGAGAAACTTCTTTGTGATGTGTGCATTCAACTCAGAGAGTTGAACCTGTCTTTTGATTGAGCAGTTTAGAATCTCTCTTTCTGTAGAATCTGCCAGTGGATATTTGGGGCCCTTTGTGCCCTATGGTGGAAAAGGAAATATCTTCAAATAAAAACTAGCATTCTCAAAACTTCTTCGTGATGGGTACATTCAACTCACAGAGTAGAACCAATCTTTTGATTGAGCAGTTTTGAATCTCTCTTTTTGCAGAACCTGCAGGTGGATATTTGGAGCTCTTTGGGGCCTACTGTGGAAAAGCAAATATCTTCACATACAAACTACACAGAAGCATTCTGAGAAACTTATTTGGGATGTGTGCATTCAACTTCCAGAGTTGAACCTATCTTTTGATTGAGGAGTTTTGAATCTCTCATTTTGCAGAATCCGCAAGTGGATATTTGGAATCCTTTGTGGCCTATGGTGGAAAAGGAAATATCTTCAAATAAAAACTACACAGAAACATTCTGAGAAACCTCTTTGTGATGTGCGCATTCATCCCACAGGGTTGAACCTATATTCTGATTGAGCAGTTTTGAAACACTCTTTTTGTAGAATCTGCAAGTGGATATTTGCAGCGCTTTGAGGCCTACCGTGGAAAAGTAAATATCTTCAGATAAAAACTACAAAGAAGCATTCTGAGAAACTTCTTTGTGATGTGTGCATTCATCTCACAGAGTTGAACCTTTCTTTTGATTGAGCAGTTTTGAAACACTCTTTTTGTAGAATCTGAAAGTGGATAATTGGAGCCCTTTGAGGCCTATTGTGGAAAAAGAAATATCTTCACATAAAAACTACTCAGAAGCCTTCTGAGAAACTATTTTGTGATGTGTACTTTGAACTCACAGAGTTGAACCTGTCATTTGACTGAGCATTTTTGAATTTCTCTTTTTTTAGAATCCGCAAGTGGATATTTGGAGCACTGTGAGGCCTACTGTGGAAAATCAAGTATGTTCACATAAAAACTACACAGAAGCATTGTGAGAAACTTCTTCATGATGTGTGCATTCAACTCACAGAGTTGAACCTATCTTCTGATTGAGCAGTTTTGAATCTCTCTTTTTGCAGAATCTGCAAGTGGATGTTTGGAGAGCTTTGAGGCCTATTGTGGAAAGGAAATATCTTCACATTAAAACTACACAGTGGCATTCTGAGAACCTTCTTTGTGAGGTGTGCATTCAACTCACAGAGTTGAACTTATCTTCTCATTGAGCAGTTTTGAAACTCTCTTTTTGTGGAATCTGCAAGTGGATATTTGGAGCCCTTTGTGGCCTATGGTGGAAAAGGTAATATCTTCACATAAAAACTACACAGAAGCATTCTGAGAAAAATCTTTGTCATATGTGCATTCATCTCACAGAGTTGATCCTTTCTTTTGATTGAACAGTTTTGAAACACTGTTTTTGCAGTCTCTGCAAGTGGATATTTGGAGCGCCTTGAAGCCTACTGTGGAAAAGTGAATATCTTCACATAAAAACCACACAGAAGGATTCTTAGAAACTTTTTTGTGATGTGTGCATTCATCTCACCGAGTTGAACCATTATTTTGATTGAGCAGTTTGAATCTCTCTTTTTGCAGAATCTGCAGGTGGATAACTGGAAAGCTTTGAGGTCTATTGTGGAAAAGGAAATATCTTCACATAAAAACTACACAGAAGAATTCAGAGAAACTTCTTTGTGATAAGTGCATTCATCACACAGAATTGAACATTTCTTTTGATTGAGCAGCTTTGAAACACTCTTTTTGCAGTATCTGGAAGTGGATATTTGGAGGGCTTTGAGGCCTATTATGGGAAAGGAAATATCTTCACATAAAAACTACACAGAAGCATTCTGAGAAACTTCTCTGTGATGTGTGCATTCAACTCACAGAGTTGAACCTATCTTTTCATTGAGCAGTTTTGAATCTCTTTTTGAATAATCTGCAAGAGGATATTTGGAGCGCTTTGAGGCCTACAGTGGAGAAGCGAATACCTTCACATAATAACGACACGGAAGCATTCTAAGAAACTTCTTTGTGAGGTGTGCATTGAACTCAGAGAGTCGAACCTATCATTTGATTGAGCAGTTTTGAATCTCTCTTTTTGCAGAATCTGCAAGTGGATATTTGGAGGGCTTTGAGGCCTATTGTGGAAAAGGAAATATCTTCCGAGAAAAAATACACAGAAGCATTCTGAGAAACTACTTTCTGATGTATGTATTCAACTCACAGAGTTGTACGTATCTTTTGCTTGAGCAGTTTTGAATCTCTGTTTTTGTAGAATCTGCAAGTGGATATTGGGAGCCCTTTGCATTCTATGGTGGCAAAGGACATATCTTTAAATAAAAACTACACAGAAGGATTCTGAGAAATTACATTGTGATGTGTGCATTCATCTCACAGGGTTAAACCTATCTTATGATTGAGCAGTTTTGAAACACTCTTTTTGTAGAATCTGCTGGTGGATATTTGTAGCGTTTTGAGGCCTATTGTGGAAAAGGAAATATCTTCACATAAAATATACACAGAAGCATTCTGAGAAACTTCTTTGTAAGGTGTGCATTCAACTCACAGTGTCGATGCTATCTTTTGATTGAGCAGTTTTGAATGTCTCTTTTTGCAGAATCTGCAAGTGGATATTTGGGGAGCTTTGAGGTCTACTGTGGAAAAGCAAATATCTTCACATAAAAACTACACAGAAGCATTCTGAGAAACTTCTTTGTGATGTGTGCATTCAACTTACAGAGTTGAACTTATCTTTTGATTGAGGAGTTTTGTATCTCTCTTTTTGTAGAATCTGCAAGTGGATATTTGGAGCCGTTTGCAGTCCATGGTGGAAGAGGAAATAACTTCAAATAAAACTACACAGAAGCATTCTCAGAAACTTCTTCGTGATGTTTTCATTCATCTCATAAGGTTGAACCTATCTTTTGATTGAGCAGTTTTGAATCTCTCTTTTTACAGAATCTGCAAGTGGATATTTGGAGAGTCTTGAGGCCTACTGTGGGAAAGGAAATAAATTCACATAAAAACTTCCCTGAAGCGTTCTGAGAAACTTGTTTGTGATGCATGCATTCATCTCTCAGAGTTGATCTCTTGTTTTATTGAGCAGTTTTGAAACACTGCTTTTGTTGAATCTGCAAGTGGATATTTTGAGCACTTTGAGGCCTACTGTGGAAAAGCAAATATCTTCACATAAAAACTACACAGAAGCATTCTGAGAAACTTCTTTGTTATGTGTGCATTCAACTCACAGAGTTGAACCTATCTTTTGATTGAGCACTTTTGAATCTCTCTTTTTGCAGAATCTGCAAATGGATATTTGCAGTGCTTTGAGGCCTACTTTGGAAAAGGAGATATCTTCACATAAAAACTACACAGAAGCATTCTGAGAAACTTCTCTGTGATGTGTGCATTCATCTCAAAGAGTTGATCCATTCTTTTGATTGAGCAGTTTTGAAACACTGTTTTTGTAGTATCTGCAAGTGGATATTTGGAGCACTTTGAGGCCTACTGCAGAAAAGCAAATATCTTCACATAAAAACTACACAGAAGCATTCTGAGAAACTTCTTTGTGATGTGTGCATTCATCTCACAGATTTTAACCCTTCTTTTGATTGAGGAGTTTGGAAACACTCTTTTTGTAGAATCTGCCAGTGGATATTTGGAGCGATTTGAGGCCTGTTTTGGAAAAGCATATATCTTCTCATAAATACTACACAGAAACATTTTTCGAAACTTCTTTGTTACCTGTGCATTCAACTCACAGAGTTGAACCTATCTTTTGACTTAGCAGTTTTGAATCTCTCTTTTTGTAAAATCTGCTAGTGGATATTAGGAGCCCTTTGCGCCCTATGGTGGAAAAGGAAATATCTTCAAATAAAAACTACACAGAAGCATTCTGAGAAGCTTCTTTGTGATGAGTGCATTCATCACACAGAGTTGAAACTTTCTTTTGATTGAGTAGTTTTGAAACACTCTTTTTGTAGAATCTGGAAGTGGATATTTTAAGGGCTTTGAGGCCTATTTTGGAAGAGGAAATATCTTCACATAAAAACTACACAGAAACATTCTTGGAAACTTCTTTGTGATGTGTCCATTCAACTGACAGAGTTGAACCTATCTTTTGATTTAGCAGTCTCAAGTCTCCCTTTTTGCAGAATCTCTATGTGGATTTTTGGAGCGCTTTTAGACCTACTATGGAAAGGTAAATATGTGCACATAAAAACTACACAGAAGCATTCTGAGAAACTTCTTTGTGAGGTGTGTATTCAACACACAGAGTCGAAGCAATCTTTTGATTGAGCAGTTTTAAATCTCTCTTTAGGCAGAATCTACAAGTGGATATTTGGAGAGCTTTGAGGTCTATTGTGGACAAGAAAATATCATCACATTAAAACTACACAGAAGCATTCTGAGAAATTTCTTTGTGATATGTGCATTCAACTCACAGAGTTGAACCTATCTTTTGATTGAACAGTTTTGTATGTCTCCTTTTAAAGAATCTGCAAGTGGATATTTGGAGACATTTTCGGTCTGTGGCGGAAAAGAAAATATATTCAAGTAAAAACTACACAGAAGCATTCTGAGATACTTCTTTGTGATGTGCGCATTCATCTCATAGGGTTCAACCTATCTTTTGATTGAGCAGTTTTGAATCTCTCTTTTTGCAGAATCTGCAAGTGTATATTTGGAGAGCTTTGAAGCCTACTGTAGGAAATGAAATAAATTCACATAAAAACTTCATAGAAGCATTCTGAGAAACTTCTTTGTGATGTGTGCGTTCATCTCACAGAATTGATCCCTTTTTTTATTGAGCAGTTTTGAAACACTGTTTTTGTTGAATATGCAAGTGGATATTTGGAGCGACTTGAGGCCTACTGTGGAAAAGCAAATATGTTCACATAAAAACTACACAGAAGCATTCTGACAAATTTCTTTGTGATGCGTGCATTGATCTGACAGGTGTGCACCTATCTTATGGTTGAGCAGTTTTGAAGCACTCTTTTTGCAGAATTTGCAAGTGGATATAAGGAGTGCTTTGAAGCGTATTGTGGAAAAGGAAATATCTTCACATAAAAACTACACAGAAGCATTCTGAGAAACTTCTTTGTGATGTGCGCATTTATCTAACAGAGTTGAACCTGTCTTTCGATTGAGCAGTTTTGAAATTCTCCTTTTTTTAGAATCTGCAAGTGGACATTTGGAGTGCTTTACTGTCTATTGCAAAAAAGAAAATGTCTTCACATAAATCCAGACAGAATCAATCTGAGAAACTTCTTTTTGACGTGTGCATTCATCTCACAGAGTTGAAACTTTCTCTTATTGAGCAGTTTTGAACTCCCTTTTTGTAGAATTTACAAGTGGACATTTGGAGCAGTTTGAGGCCTATGGTAGAAAGGGAAATATCTTCACATAAAAACTACACAGAAGCAAGCTGAGAAACTTCTTTGTGATGTGTGCATTCAGATCACAGAGTTGAACCTTTCTTTTGATTGAGCAGTTTTGAAACTCTCTTTTTGTAGAATCTGCAAGTGGACATTTGGAGTACTTTGAGGCCTATGGTGGAAAAGGAAATATGTTCACATAAAAACTAGACAGAAGAATTCTGAGAAACTTCTTTGTGATGTATGAGTTCATCTCACAGAGTTGAAACTTTCTTTTGATTGAGCAGTTTGGAAACACGCTTTTTGTAGAATCTGCAAGTGGACATATGGAGCGTTTTGCAGACTATGGTAGAAAAGGAAATATCTTCACATAAAATCGAGACAGAGGCAATCGGGGAAACTTCTTTGTGATATGTGCATTTAACTCACAGAATTAAAATTTCCTTTTGATTGAGCAGTTTTGAAACTCTCTTTGCATAAAATCTGCAAGTGGACATTGGGAGCCTTTTGAGGCCTAGGGTGGAAAAGGAAATATCCTCATATAAAAATTAGACAGAAGAATTTTGAGAAACTTCTTTGTGATATGTGCGTTCATTGCACAGAGTTGAACCTTTCTTTTGATTGAGCAATTTGGAAACACTCCTTTGTAGAATCTGCAAGTGGACATTTGGAGTGCTTTGCGGCCTATAGTAGAAAAGGAAATATCTTCACAGAAAATCTAGACAGAAATAATCTGAGAAACTTCTTTGAGATGTGTGCATTCATGACATAGTGTTTAACGTTTCTTTTGATTGTGCAGTTTTGAAACTCTCTTTTTGTAGGATCTGCAAGTGGACATTTGGAGCACTTTGGCGCCTGTGGTAGAAAAGGAAATATCTTCACATAAATTCTACACAGGATTAAACCTTTCTTTTGATTTAATAGTTTTGAAACTCTCTTTATGTAAAATCTGCAAGGGGACATTTGGAGCCTTTTGAGGTCTATGGTGGAAAAGGAAATATCTTCACATAAAAACTAGACCAAAGAATTCTGATAAACTAATTGTGTTCATCTCACAGAGTTGAAACTTTTTTTTTGATTCAGCAATTATGAAACTCTTTTTTTGCAATCTGCAAATGAATATTTGGAGCGCTTAGGGGCCTACTGTAGAAAAGGAAGTATCTTCACATAAAATCTAGACATAAGCAATCTGAGAAACTACTTTGTGATGTGTACATTCATCTCACAGAGTTAAGCCTTTCTTTTGATTGAGCAGATTTGAAACTCTGTTTTTGTAAAATCTGCAAGTGGACATTTGGAGCACTTTGAGGCCTATGGTGGCAAAGGAGATATCTTCACATAAAAACTAAACAGAATAATTCAGACAAACTTCTTTGTGATGTGTGCGTTCATCTCACAGAGTTGAACCTTTCTTTTGATTGAGCAGTTTGGAAGCACTCTTTTTGTAAAATCTGCAAGTGGACATTTGGAGCGCTTTGCACCCTTTGGATGAAAAGGAAATATCTTCACATGAAATCTAAACGGAAGCAATTTGAGAAATTTCTTAGTGATGTGTGCATTCATCTCACAGAGTTAAACCTTTCTTTTGATTGAGCAGTTTGAATCTCTCTTTTTGTAGAATGTGCAAGTGTACAGTTGGAGCGCTTTTAGGCCTATGGTGGAAAAGGAAATATCTTCACATAAAAACTAGATAGAAGCATTCGGAGAAACTTCTTTTTGATGTGTGCATTCATGTCACAGAGTTGAAACTTTCTTTTGATGGACCTGTATTGAAATACTCCTTTTGTAGAATCTGCAAGTGGACATTTGGTGCACCTTAAGGACTATGGTGGAAAATGAAATATCTTCAAATAAATACTAGATAGAAAAATTCTGAGAAACTTCTTTGTGATGCGTGCATTCATCTCACAGAGTTGAACCATTTTTTTCATCGAGCAGTTTGGAAGCACTCTTTTTGTAGAATCTGCAAGTGGACATTTGGAGCGCTTTGAGGCCTATGGTGGAAAAAGGAATATCTTCACATAAAATCTAGACAGAAGCAATCTGAGAAACTTCTTTGTGATATGTGCATTCATCGCACAGGGTTAAACCTTTCTTTTGATAGAGCAGTTTTGAAACTCTCTCTTTGTGATGTGAAGATATTTCCTTTTCTACCGTAGGCTGAAAAGCGCTCCAAATGTCTACTTGCAGATTCTACAAAAAGAGTGTTTCCAAACTGCTCAATCAAAAGAAAGGTTCAACTCAGTGAGATGAACGTACACGTCACAAAGAAGTTTCTCAGAATTCTTCGGTCTAGTTTTTATGTGAAGATACTTCCTTTCCCACCATAGGACAAAAAGCGCTCCAAATGTCCACTTGCACATTCTACAAAAAGACAGTTTAAAAACTGCTCAACGAAAAGAAAGGTTTAACTCCGTGAGATGAATGCACACATCACAAAGATGTTTCTCAGATTGCCTCTATCTAGGTTTTATGTGAAGATATTTCCTTTTCTAACATAGGCCTCAAAGAGCTCCCAATGTCCACTTGTAGATTCTACAAAAAGAGAGTTTCAAAACTGCTCAATCAAAAGAAAGGTTTAACTCTGTGAGATGAATGCACACATCACAAAGATGTTCCTTGGATTGCTTCTGGCTAGATTTTATATGTAGATATTTCCTTTTCTACTATAGGCCGCAAGGTGCTCCAAATGTCCACTTATAGATTCTACAAAGAGAGAGCTTCAAAACTACTCAATCAAAAGAAAGGTTCTGCTGTGTGAGATGAACGCGCTCATCACAAAGAAGTTTCTCAGAATTGTTCTGAGTAGTTTTTATGTGAATATATTTCCTTTTCCACCATAGGCCTCAAAGCGCTACAAATGTCCACTTGAAAATTCTACAAAAAGAGGAGTTTCGAAACTGCTCAATCAAAAGGTTTAACTCTGTGAGATGAATGCACACATCACAAGGAAGTTTCTCAGATTGCTTCTGTCTAAATATTATGTGAAGATATTTCCTTTTCTACCATAGGTCGCAAAACACTGCAAATGTCCACTTGCATATTCTACAAAAAGAGTGTTTCCAAACCGCTCAATCAAAAGAAACGTACAACTCTGTGATATAAACGCACACATCACAAAGAAGTTTCTCAGAATTATTCTGTCTAGTTTTTATGTGAAGATATTTCCATTTCCAAAATAGTCCTCAAGACGCTCAAAATGTCCACTTGCAGATTCTAAAAAAGAGTATTTCAAAACAGGTCCTTCAAAAGAAATTTGAAGTCTGGGAGACGAATGCACACATCACAAAGAAGTTTCTCAGTTGGCTTCGGTATAGATTTTATGTGAAGATATTCCCTTTTCTAACATAGGCCACAAAGTGCTCCAAATGACCACTTGCAGATTCTACAAAAAGAGTGTCTCCAAACTTCTCAACAAAAAGACAAGTTCAACTCTGTGAGATGAATGCACATATCACAAAGAAGTTTCTCAGAATTCTTCTGTCTAATTTTTATGTGAAGATATTTCCTTTTCTTCCATATGCCTCAAAGCGCTTCCGATGCCAACTTGCTTATTCTGCAAAGAGATATTTAAAACTGCTCAATCAAAAGAAAGGTTTAACACTGTGAGATGAATGCACACATCAGAAAGAAGTTTCTCAGATTGCTTCTGTCTAGATTTTATGTGAAGATATTTCCTTTTCTACCATAGGCTGCAAAGCACTCCAAATATCCACTGGCAGATTCTGCAAAAACAGTGTTTCCAAACTGCTCAATCAAAAGAAACGTTCAACTCTGTGATATGAACGCATGCATCACAAAGGAGATTCTCAGAATTATTCTGTCCAGTTTTTATGTGAAGATATTTCCTTTTCCAAAATAGGCCTCAAGGCTCTCAGAATGTCCACTTGCAGATTCTACAAAAAGACTATTTCAAAACTGGTCCTTAAAAAGAAAGCTTTAACTCTGCGAGACGAATGCACACATCACAAAAAAGTTATTCAGATTTCTTCTGTGTAGATTTTATGTGAAGATATTTCCTTTTCCACCGTAGGCCTCAAAGCGCTGCAAATGTCCACTTCCAGATTCTACAAAAAGAGACTTTCAAAACTGCTCAATGAAAAGAAAGGCTTAACTCTGTCATAGGTGGGAATTGAACAATGAGAACACAATGGACACAGGAAGGGGAACATCACACTCTGGGGACTGTTGTAGAGTGGGGGTGAGGGGGGCGGGATAGCATTGGGAGATATACCTAATGCTAGATGACTAGTTAGTGGGTGCAGCACACCAGCATGGCACATGTATACATATGTAACTAACCTGCAGATTGTTCACATGTACCCTAAAACTTAAAGTATAATAATAATAAACTAAAAAAAAAGAAACACACTTTAAAAAAAAAGAAAACACACGTCACAAAAAAGTTTCTCAGATTGCTTCTGTCTAGGTTTTATGTGAACATATTTTCTTTTCTACCATAGGCCACAACGCACTCCAAATGTCCACTTGCAGATTATACAAAGTAGTGTTTCCAAACTGCTCAATCAAAAGAAAGGTTCAACTCTGTGAGATGAACGTACACATCACAAAGAAGTTTCTCAGAATTCTGTCTAGTTTTTATGTGAAGATATTTCCCTTTCCACCATAGGCCTCAAATCACTCCAAATGTCCACATCCAGATTGTACAAAAAGAGAGGTTCAAAACTGCTCAACGAAAAGAAAGGTTTAACTCTGTGAGATGAATGCACACATCACAAAGATGTTTCTCAGATTGCTTCTGTCTAGGTTTTATGTGAAGAGATTTCCTTTTCTAACATAGGCCGCAAAGTGCTCCCAATGTCCACTTGCAGATTCTACAAAAAGAGAGTTTCAAAACTGCTCAATCAAAAGAAAGGTTTAACTCTGTGAGCTGAATGAACACATCACAAAGATGTTTCTTGGATAGCTTCTGGCTAGATTTTATGTGTAGATATTTCCTTTTCTACCATAGGCCGCAAGGCGCTACAAATGTCCACTTATAGATTCTACAAAGAGAGAGTTTCAAAACTGCTCAATCAAAAGAAAGAGTTAACTCTGTTATTTGAATGCACAAATCACAAAGATGTTTCCCAGGTTGCTTTTTTCTAGATTTTATGTGTAGGTATTTCCTTTTCTACCATAGGCCGCAGAGCGCTCCAAATGTCCACTTGCAGATTCTACAAAAAGAGTGTTTCAAAACTGCTCAATCAAAAGAAAGGTTCTGCTGTGTGAGATGAACTCACTCATCACAAAGAAGTTTCTCAGAATTGTTCTGAGTAGTTTTTATGTGAATATATTTCCTTTTCCACCATAGGCCTCAAAGTGCTACAAATGTCCACTTGAAAATTCTACAAAAAGAGTGTTTCAAAATTCTCAATCAAAAGGTTTAACTCTGTGAGATGAATGCACACATCACAAGGCAATTTCTCAGATTGCTTCTGTCTACATATTACATGAAGATATTTCCTTTTCTACCATAGGCTGCAAAACACTGCAAGTGTCCACTTGCATATTCTACAAAAAGAGTGTTTCCAAACTGCTCAATCAAAAGAAACGTTCAATTCCGTGATATGAAAGCACACATCACAAAGAAGTTTCTCAGAATTATTCTGTCTAGTTTTATGTGAAGATATTTCGATTTCCAAAATAGTCCTCAAGGCGCTCGAAATGTCCACTTGCAGATTCCACAAAAAGAGTATTTCAAAACTGGTCCTTCAAAAGAAAGTTTTGACTCTTGGAGACGAATGCACACATCACAAAGTAGTTTCTCAGAATGCTTCTATCTAGTGTTTATGTGAGGATATTTCCTTTTCCACTGTAGGCCTCAGAGCACTCCAAATTTTCACTTGCAAATTCTACAAATAGAGAGTTTCAAAACTGCTGAATCAGAAGAAAGGTTTAACTTTGTGAGATGAATGCACACATCACAAAGAAGTTTCTCAGATTGCTTCTGTCTAGATTTTACGTGAAGATATTTCCTTTTCTAACATAGGCCGCAAAGCGCTTCTAATGACCACTTGCAGATTCTACAAAAAGAGTGTTTCTGAACTCCTCAATCAAAAGAAAGGTTCACCTCCATGAGATGAACACATGCATCGCAAAGAAGTTTCTCAGAATTCTTCTGTCTAGTTTTTATGTGAAGATATTTCCATTTCCAACAAAGGCCTCAAAGCTCTCCAAATGACCGCGTGAAGATTTTACAAAAAAAGAGATTCAAAACTGCTCAAACAAAAGAAAATTTTAACCCTGTGAGATAAACACACACATCACGAAGATATTTCTCAGAATGCTTTTGTCTAGTTATTATGGGAAAATATTTCGTTATCCACCATAGGCCTCAAAGCGCTCCAAATGTCCCCTTGCAGATTCTCCAAAAAGAGGGTTTCAAAACTGCTCAATCAAAAGAAAGGCTCAACTCTGTGAGATGAAACCACACATCACAAAGAAGTTTCTGAGAATTCTTCTGCCTAGTTTTTATGTGAAGATATTTCCTTTTCCACCATAGGCCTCAAAGTGCTCCAAGTGTCCACTTACATATTCTACAAAAGAGGGTTTCAAAACTGCTCAATCAAAAGAATGGTTTAACTCTGTGAGATGAATGCACACGTCACAAAGTAGTTTCTCAGATTGATTCTGTGTAGTTTTTATGTGAAGATATTTCCTTTTCTACTATAGGTGCAAAGTGCTCCAAATGTCCACTTGCAGATTCCACAAAAAGAGTGTTTCCAAACTGCTCAATCAAAAGAAAGGTTCGACTCCATGAGATGAATGCACACATCAAAAAGAAGTTTCTCAGAATTCTTCTGTCTAGTTTTTATGTGAAGATATTTCCTTTTCCACCATAGGTTACAAGGCGCTCCAAATGTCCACTGGCAGATTCTACAAAAAGAGAGTTTCAAAACTGCTCAATCAAAAGAAAGGGATAACTCTGTGAGATGAATGCACACATCACAAAGAAGTTTCTCTGATTGCTTCTGTCTAGATATTCTGTGAAGATATTTACTTTTCTACCACAGGCCGCAAAGCACTCCAAATGTCCACTTGCAGAGTCTACAAAAAGAGGGTTTCCAACTGCTCAATCAAAAGAAAGTTTCAATTCCGTGGGATGAACGCACACACCACAAAGAAGTTTCACAGATTGCTTCTGTCTAGATTTTATATGAAGATATTTCCTTTTTTACCTTAGGCCGCAAATCGCCCCAACGGTCCACTTGCAGATTCTACAAAAACAGTGTTTCCAAAATGCTCAATCAAAAGAATGATTCAACTCTGTGAGATGAATGCACACAAAACAAAGAGGTTTCTCAGAATTCTTCTGTCTAGTTTTTATGTGAAGATATTTCCTTTTCCTCCACAGGTTTCAAAGGGCTCCAAATGTCCACTTGTAGAATCTATAAAAAGAGAATTTCAAAACTTCAAAATCAAAAGAAAGTTTTAACTCTGTGAGAGGAATGCACTTATCACAAAGAAGTTTCTCAGAATTCTTCTGTGTAGTTTTTATGTGAAGATATTTCCTTTTCCATCATATTCCTCAAAGCCCTCCAAATGTCCACTTGCAGATTCTACAAAAAGAGAGTTTCAAAACTGCTCAATCAAAAGAAAGGGTTAACTGTGTGAGATGAATGCACACAATACAAGGAAGTTTCTCAGATTGCTTCTGTCTGGTATTTATGTGAAGATATTTCCTTTTCCACCATAGGCCTCAAAGCGCTCCAAATGTCCACTTGCAGATTCTACAAAAAGAGAGTTTCAAAACTGCTCAAAAGAAAGGTTTAACTCCGTGAGATGAATGCACACATCACAAAGAAGTTTCTCAGATTGCTTCTGTCTAGATTTTATGTGAAGATATTTCCGTTTCGACCATAGACTTCAAAGCGCTCCAATGTCCACTTGCAAATTCTAGAAAAAGAGTGTTTCCAAACTACTCAATCAAAAGAAACCTTCAACTCTGTGAGATGAATGCACATATCAAAAGAAGTTTGTCAGAATTCTTCTGTCTAGTTTTTATGTGAAGATATTTCTTTTCCACTATAGGCCTCAAGGAGCTCCAAATGTCCAATTGCAGAATCTACAAAAAGAGTGTTTCAAAACTCTTAATCAAAAGGAAGTTTTAACTCTGTGATATGAATGTACACATCACAAAGCAGTTTCTCAGATTGCCTCTGTCTAGATATTATGTGAAGATATTTCCTTTTCTAACATTAGCAGCAAAGCGCTCCTAATGTCCACTTGCAGATTATACGAAAAGTGTGTTTCCAAAATGCTCAATCAAAAGAAAATTTCAACTCTTTGAGATGAATGCAAGCATCAGAAAAGAAGTTTCTCAGAATTCTTCTCTCTAGTTTTTATGTGAAGATATTTCCTTTTCCACCATATTCTTCAAAGCGCTCCAAATGTCCACTTGCATATTCTACAAAAAGAGAGTTTCAAAACTGTTCAATCAAAAGAAACGGTTAACTCTTTGAGATGAATGCAAACATCAAGAGGAAGTTTCTCAGACTGCTTCTGTGAAGATTTTATTTGAAGATATTTCCTTTTCTACTATCGGCCGCAAAACGCTCAAAATGTCTATCTGCAGATTCGACAAAAAGAGTGTTTCCAAACTACTCAATCAAAAGAAAAGTTTCAACTCCATGAGATGAATGCACATATCAGAAAGAAGTTTGTCAGAATTCTTCTACCTAGTTTTTATGTGAAGAGATTAAGTTTTCCACAATAGGCCTCAAAGCGCTCCAAATGTCCAATTGCAGATTCTACAAAAAGAGAGTTTCAAAACTACTCATTCAAAAGAAAGGGTTAACTCTGTGAGATGAATACACACATCATAAAGTAGTTTCTCAGATTGCTTCTGTCTAGATTTTATGTGACGATATTTCGTTTTCGACCCTAGGCCGCAAAGCACTCCAAATGTCCACTTGGAGATTCTTCAAAAATAGTGCTTCCAAACTGCTCAGTCAAAAGAAAGGTTCAACTCTGTGAGATGAACGCACGCATCACAAAGAAGTTCTTCAGAATTCTTCTATCTTGTTTTTATGTGAAGATATTTCCTTTTCCACCATAGGCCTCAAAGCACTCCAAATGTCCATTGCAGATTCTACAAGAAGAGAGTTTCAAAACTGCTCAATCCAAAGAAAGGTTTAACTCTGTGAATGAATGCACACATCACAAATAAGTTTCTCAGACTGCTTCTGTCTAGATTTTATGTGAAGATACTTCCTTTTCTAGCATAGGCCGCAAAGTACTCCAAGTGTCCACTTGCAGATTCTACAAAAAGAGTGTTTACAAACTGCTCAACGAAAGAAAGGTTTAACACTGTGAGATGAATGCATACATCACAAAGTACATTCTCAAATGGCTTCTGTGTAGATTTGATGTGAAGATATTTCCTTTTCTACTGTAGGTCACATAGCGCTCCAAATATACACTTGCAGATTCTACAAAAAGAGTTTTTCCAAACTGCTCAATCAAAAGAAAGATTCAACTCTGTGAGATGAACGCACACATCACAAAGTTGTTTCTCAGAATTCTTCAGTCTCATTTTTATGTGAAGATATTTCTTTTTTCACCATAGGCCTCAAAGTGCTCAAAATGTCCACTTGCAGATTCTACAAAAAGAGTAATGCAAAACTCGTCCTTCAAAAGAAATGTTCAACTCTGGGAGATGAATGCACACATCACAAAGAAGTTTCTCAGAATGCTTCTATCTAGTTTTTATGTGAAGATATGTCCTTTTAAACCATAGGTCTCAAAGCTCTCCAAATGTCTACTTGCAGATTCTACAAAAAGAGAGATTCAAAACTGCTCAATCGAAAGAAAGGTTTAACTCTGAGATGAATGCACACATCACAAAGCATTTTCTCAGATTGCTTCTGTCTAGATTTTAGGTGAAGATATTTCCTTTTCTACCATAGGCCACAAAGCACTCGAAATGTCCACTTGCAGACTCTACAAATAGAGTGTTTCCAAACTGCTCAATCAAAAGAAAAGTTCAACTCTGTGAGATGAATGCACACATCACAAAGTAACTTCTCAGAATTCTTCTGTCTAGTTTTCATGAGAAGATATTTCCTTTTCTAACATAGGACTCAAAGCGCTCCACATGTCCACTTGCAGATACTACAAAAAGAGTGTTTCCAAACTGCTGAATCTAAACAAATGTTCAACTCTGTGAGATAAACACACCCATCACAAAGAAGTTTCTCAGAATTCTTCTGTCTATTTTTTATATGAAGATATTTCATTTTCCACCACAGGCCTCAAGGTGCTCGAAATGTCCACTTGCAGATTCTACAAAAAGAGTATTTCAAAACTGGACCATAACTCTGGGAGATGAAGGCACACATCACAAAGAAGTTTCTGAGAATGCTTCTATCTAGGCTTTATGTGAAGATATTTACTTTTCCACGTTAGTCCTCAAAGCGCTCCGAATGTCCAATTGCAGATTCTACAAAAAGAAAGTTTCAAAACTACTCAATCAAAAGAAAGGTTTAACTCTGTGAGATGAATGTACCTATCACAAAGAAGTTTCTCAGAATGTTTCTGTCTAGATTTTATGTGAAGATATTTCCTTTTCTACTATAAGCAGCAAAACACTCCAAATGTCCACTTGCATATTCTACAAAAAGACTGTTTCAAAACTGCTCAATCAAAAGAAAGGTTGAACTCTGTGAGATGAACGCGCACATCACAAAGAAGTTTCTCAGAATTCTTCTGCCAGGTTTTTATGTGAAGACATTTCCTTTTCCACCATAGGCCTCAAAGGGCTCCAAATATCCACTTGCAGTTTCTACAAAAGGAGAGTTTCAAAACTCCTCAATAAAAAGAAAGGTTTAAGTCTTTGAGATGAATGCACACATCACAAAGAAGTTTCTCAGATTGCTTCTGTCTAGATTTTATTTGAAGATATTTCCTTTTCTACAATAGGCCACAAAGAGCTCCAAATGTCAGCTTGCAGATTCTACAAAAAGAGCGTTTCCAAAATGCTCAATCAAAAGGAAGTTTCCACTCTGTGAGATGAATGCACACATCACAAAGAAGTTTCTCAGAATGCTTCTTTCTAGTTTTTATGTAAAGAAATTTCCATTTCCACCTAGTCCTCAAAGAGCTCAAAATGTCCACTAGTGGATTTTATAAAAAGAGTGTTTGAAAGCTGCTCAATGAAAAGTAAGGTTGAACTCTGTGAGATGAATGCACACATCACAAAGAAGTTTGTCAGAATGCTTCTGTCTACTTTTTATGTGAAGTTATTTTCTTTTCCACCATAGGTCTCAAAGCGCTCCAAATGTCCTCATGCAGATTCTACAAAAAGAGTGTTTCAAAGCTGTTCAATCAAAAGAAATGTTCAACTCTGTGAGATGACAGCACACATCACCAAGAAGTTTGTCAGAATGCTTCTGACTAGTTTTTATTTGAAGATACTTCCTTTTCCACCCTAAGCCTCAAAGTGCTCCAAATGTCCTCATGCAGATTCTACAAAAAGAGTGTTTCAAAACTGTTCTATCAAAAGAAAGGTTCAACTCTGTGTGATGAATACTAACATCACCAAGATGTTTGTCAGATTGCTTCTGTCTAGTGTTTATGTGAAGATATTTCCTTTTCCACCATAGGCCTCAAAGCGCTCCAAATGTCCACTTGCAGATTCTACAAAAGAGTGTTTCCAATCTGCTCCATCAAAGAAAAGTTTCAACTCTGTGAGACGAATGCACACATCACAAAGAAGTTTCTCAGAATGCTTCATTCTAGTTTTTATTTGAAGATATTTCCTTTTCCACCAAACCCTTCAAACAGCTCAAAATGTCCACTTGTAAATTCTACAAAAAGTGTGTATGAAAACTGCTCTATCAAAAGAAAGTTTCAACTCCGGGAGATGAGTGCACACGTCAAAAAGAAGTTTCTCATAATGCCTCTGTCTAGTTATTATATGAAAATATTACGTTATCCACAATAGACTTCAAAGCACTCCAAATGTCCACTTACAGATTCTACAAAAATAGTGTTTAAAAACTCCTCAATGAAAAGTAAGGTTCAACTCTGTGAGATGAATTCACACATCACAAAGAAGTTTGACAGAATGCTTCTGTCTAGTTTTTATGTGAAGATATTTCCTTTTCCACCATAGGCCTCAAAGCTCTCCAAATATCCACTTGCAGATTCTACAAAAAGAGAGTTTCAAAACTGCTCTATCAAAAGAAATTTTCACCTCTGTGACTTGAATGCACACATCACAAAGAAGTTTCTGAGAATGCTTCTGTCTAGTTATTATGTGAAGATATTTCATTTTGCAACATAGGCCTCAAAGGGAACAAAATATCCCCTTGCAGATTCTACAAAAAGAGTGTTTCAAAGCTGCCCAATAAAAAGTAAGGTTCAACTCTGTGAGATGAATGCACACATCACAAAGAAGTTTCTCAGAATGCTTCTGTCTTGTTTTTACATGAAGATATTTCCCTTTCCACCATAGACCTCAAAGGGCTCCAAATGTCCTCTTCCAGATTCTACAAAGACTGTTTCAAAGCTGGTCAATCAAAAGAAAGGTTCAACTCTGTGGGATGAATGCACACATCACAAAATAGTTTCTCAGAATAACTCTGTCTTGTTTTTATGTGAAGATTTTTCCTTTTCCACCATTGGCCTCAAAGCGCTACAAATGTCCACTTACAGATTCCACAAAAAGAGTGTTTCAACGCTGCTCAATCAAAATAAAGGTTCAACTCTGTGTGAGATGAATGCACTCATCCCAAAAAGTTTCTCATAATGCTTCTGTCTATTTAATATAGGAAGTTATTTCATTATCCGCCATAGGACTCAAAGCGCTCCAAATATCCACTTGCAGATTCTAGAAAAAGAGTCTTTCAAAAGTGCTCAATTGAAAGTAAGGTTCACCTCTGTGAGATGAATGCGCACATCACAAAGGAATTTCTCAGAATGCTTCTGTCTAGTTCTTATATGAAGATATTTCATTATCCACCATAGGCCTCAAAGCACGCCAAATGTCCACTTGCAGATAGTACAAAAACGGTGTTTCAAAACTGCTCAATCAAAAGTAAGGTTCAGCTCTGTGAGATGAATGCACACATCCAAAGGCATTTGTCACAAAGCTTCTGTCTAGCTTTTATTTGAAGATACTTCCTTTTCCACCATAGGCCTCAAAGCGCTCCAAATGTCCACCTGTAGATTCTACAAAAAGAGTGTTTCAAAACTCTTCAATCAAAGGTAGCTTCAACTCTTTGAAATGAATGCACATATCACAAAGAAGTTTGTCCGAATGCTTGTCTCATTTTTATGTGAAGATATTTCCTTTTCCACCATTGGCCTCAAAGTGCTCCAAATGTCCACTTGCAGACCCTACAAAAAGAGTGTTCCAAAGCTGCTCAATGACAGGTACATTTCAACTCTGTGGATGAATGAACACATCACAAAGAACTTTGTCAGAATGCTTCTTTCTAGTTTTTATGTGAAGATATTTCCTTTTCCTCCCTAGGCCTCAAAGCGCACCAAATGTCCACTTACACATTCTACAAAAAGAGAGTTTCAAAACTGCTCGATCAAAAGAAAGGTTGAACTCTGTGAGATGAATGCACACATCACAAAGAAGTTTTCAGAATGCTTCTGTCTATTTTTTATGTGAATATATTTCCTTTTCCAACATAGGACTCAAAGGGCTCCAAATGTCCACTTGCAGATTTTAAAAAAAGAGGTTTTCAAAACTACTCAATGAGAAGTAAGGTTCAACTCTGTGACATGAATGCACACATCATAGAGAACTTTGTCGGAATGCTTCTGTCTAGTTTTTATATGAAGATATTTTCTTTTCCACCATAGGCCCAAAAGCGCTCCAAATGTCCTGTTGCAGATTCTACAAAAAGACTGTTTCGAAACTGCTCAATGAAAAGAAAAGTTCAACTCTGTGAGATGAATGCACACATCACAAAGATGTTGATCAGAATTCTTCCGTCTAGTTTTTATGTGAAGATATTTGCTTTTCCACCATAGACCTCAAAGCGCTCCAAATATCCACTCACACATTCTACAAAAAGGGTGCTTCAGAGCTGCTCAATCAACAGAAATGTTCAACGCTGTGAGATGAATGCACATATCACAAAGGAGTTTTTCAGAATGCTTCTGCCTAGTTTTTATGTGAAGATATTTCCTTTTCCACCACAGGCCTCAAAGCGCTCCAAATGTCCACTTGCAGATTCTACAAAAAGAGTGTTTCAAAACTGCTTTATGAAAAGAAAGGTTCAATTCTGTGAGTTGAATGCACACACCACAAAGAAGTTTCTGAGAATGCTTCTGCCTAGTTTTTATGTGAAGATATTCTGGTTTCCAACGAAGGCCTCAAAGCGGTCCAAATATCCAATTGCAGATTCTACAAAAAGAGTGTTTCAAAGCTGCTCAACGAAAGGAAAGGTTCAACTCTGTGAGATGAATGCACACGTCACAAAGAAGTGTGTCAGAATGCTTCTGTCTAGTTTTTATATGAAGATATTTCCTTTTCCACAAAAGGACTCCAAGTACTCCAAATGTCTGCTTTCAGATAGTACAAAAAGTGTGTTTCAAAACTGCTTAATCAAAAGTAACGTTCAACTCTGTCACATGAATGCACATATCACTAATAATTTTCTCAGAATGATTCTGTGTAGTATATATCTGAAAATATTTCTTTTTCCACCTTAGGCCTCAAAGTGCTCCAAATATACACTTGCAGATAATACAAATAGAGTGTTTCAAAACTGCTCAATGAAAAGAAAGTTTCAACTCTGTGAGATGAATGTACACATCACGAAGTAGTTTGTCAGAATGTTTCTCTACAGTTTTTATTTGAAGATATTACCTTTTCCACGATCGGCCTCAAAGCGCTCCAAACGTTCACTTGCAGATTCTACAAAAAGAGAGTTTCCAAACAATTCAAGCAAAAGAAATGTTCAACTCTGTGAGATGAACGGACACATCACAAAGTAATTTGCACAATTCTTCTGTCTACTTTTTATGAGAAGCTACTTCCTTTTCCACCATAGGCCACAAAGCACTCCAAATGTCCACTGGCAGATAGTACAAAAAGGCTGTTGCAAAACTGCTCAATCAAAAGAAAGGTTCAACGCTATGAGATGAATGCACTCATGACAAAGAGGTTTTTCAGGATGCTTCTGTCTAGGTTTTATGTGTTGATATATCCTTTTCCATCGTAGGTCTCAAAGCACTTCACTTGTCCACTTGCAGATCCTGCAAAAAGATTGCTTCCAAACTGTTCAATCTGAACAAAATTTCAAGTCTGTGAGATGAATGCAAACATCACGAAGTATTTTCTCTGAATGATTCCGTCTAGTTTTTATGTGAAAATATTTCCTTTTCTACCATAGGCCTCAAAGCCCTCCAAATGTCCACTTGTAGATTCTACAAAAAGAGGGTTTCAAAACTGCTCTATCAAAAGAAAGGTTCAACTCTGTGAGTTGAATGCACACATCACAAAGAAGTTTCTGAGAATTCTTCTGTCTAGTTTTCTTCACATGTAATATCTTCACATAAAAACTAGACAGAAGAATTCTGAGAAATTTCTTTCTGATGTGTGCATTCATCTCACAGAGTTGAAACGTTCTTTTTATTGAGCAGTTTGGAAACCCTCTTTTTGTGGAATCTGCATGTGGACATTTGGAGGGCTTTGCAGCCTATGGTAGAAAAGTAAATACCTTCACATAAAATCTAGACAGAATCAATCTGAGAAACTTCTTTATGATGTGTTCATTCATCTCACGGAGTTAAATCTTTCTTTTGATTGAGCAGTTTTGAAACTCTCTTTTTGTAGAATTTGCATTTGGATATTTGGAGTGCTTTGAGGCCTGTGGTGGAAAAGGAAATATCTTCACATAAAAACTAGACAGAAGCAATCTGAGAAACCTCTTTGTGATGTGTGCATTCATCTCACAGAGTTAAATCTTTCTTTTGATTGAGCAGTTTTGAAGCTCTCTTTTTGTAGGATCTGGAAATCGACATTTGGAGTTCTTTGAGGATTATGGTGGAAAAGGAAATATCTTCACATAAAATCTAGACAGAAGCAATCTGAGAAATTACTTTGTGATCTGTAAATCATATCACAGAGGGAAACTTCATTTTGTTTGAGCAGCTTTGAAACACCCTATTTGTACTATCTGCATGTGGACATTTGGAGTACTTTGAGGCCTATGGTGGAAAAGGAAATATCTTCATGTAACAAGTAGACAGAAGCATTCTGAGAAATTTCTTGGTAATCAGTGCATTCATCTCACAGAGTTGAACCTTACTTTCGATTTAGCAGGTTTGATACAGTCTTTTTGTAGAACCTGCAATTGGACTTTTGGAGTGATTTGAGGCCTATGGTAAAAAAGAAATATCTCCACATAAAAAGCAAACAGAAGCATTCTGAGAAGTTACTTCGTGATGTGTGCCGTCATCTCACAGAGTTGAACTTTTCTTTGGATTGAGCAGCTTTAAATACTCTTCCTGGAGCATCTGCCAGAGGACATTTGGAGAGCTTTGTGGCATATGGTGGAAAAGGAAATATCTTCACATAAAAACTAGACAGAAGCATTCTGACAAACGTCTTTGTAATGTGTGCATTCATCTCACAGAGTTGAAACTTACTTTTCATTGAGCAGGGGGAAACACTCTTTTTGTAGAATCATTAAGTGGACATTTAGAGTGCTTTGAGGCCTATGATGGAAAAGGAAATATCTTCACATTAAAACTACACAGAAGCATTCTGACAACCTTCTTTGTGATATGTGCATTTGTCTCACCAAGTTGAACCTTAACTTGACTGAGCAGTTTTGAAACACCCTTTTTGTACTATCTGCAAGTGGACATTTGGAGTGCTTTGAGGCATATGGTGGAAAAGGAAATATCTTCACATAAAAACTAGACAGAATCATTCTGACAAGCTGCTTTGTGATGTGTGCATTCATCTCAGAGGGTTTAAGTTTTCTTTTGATTGAGCAGCTTTGAAAAACTCTTTTTGTGGCATCTGCAAGGGGACATTTGGAGCGCTTTGAAGCCTATGGTGAGAAAAGAAATATCTTCACATAAAAACTAGACAAATGCATTCTGAGAAACTTCTCTGTGATGTTTGCATTTATGTCACAGAGTTGAACCTTCCTTTTGTTTGAGCAGCTTTGAAACACACTTTTTGTACAATCTGCAAGTGGACATTTGGAGCGCTTTGAGGACTATGGTGGAAAACGAAATATCTTCACATAAAAACTAGACAGAAGCATTCTGACAAACATCTTTGTGATGCGTGCATTCATCTCACAGAGTGGAAACTTACTTTTCATTGAGGAGTTTTCCAGCACTCTTTTTGTAGAATCTGCAATTGGACATTAGGAGCACATTGAGGCCAACGGAGGACAAGGAAATATCTTCACATAAAATCTAGACAGAAGCAATCTGATCACCTTCTTTGTGAAGGGTGCACTCATCTCACAGGGTTAAACCTTTCTTTTGATAGAGCTGTTTCAAAACACTCTTTTTGTAAAACCTGCAAGTGGACATTTGGAGCGCTTTGAGGCCTACGGTGGAAAAGGTTATATCTTCACATAAAAACTAGACAGAAGAATTCTGAGAAACATCTTTGTGATGTGTGCGTTCATCTCACAGAGTGGAACATTTCTTTCAATAGAGCAGTTTGGAAACACTCTTTTTGTAGAATCTGCAAGTGGACATTTAGAGCCCTTTGCAGCCTATGGTACAAAAGGAAATATCTTCAAATAAAATCTAGACAGAAGCAATCTGAGAAACCTCTTTGTGATGTGCGCATTCATCTCACAGAGTCAAAACTTTCTTTTGATTGAGCAGTTTTGAAACACTCTTTTTGTAGGATCTGCAAGTGGATATTTGGAGCACTTTGAGGCCTATGGTGGAAAGTGAAATATCTTCACATGAAAACTAGACAGAAGAATTCTGAGATAGTTTTTGGGATGCGTGCGTTCATCTCACAAGGTTGAAACTTTCCTTTGATTGAGCAGTTTGGAAACACTCTTTTTGTAGAATCTGCAAGTGGACATTTTGGGCATTTTGCAGCCTATGTTAGAAAAAGAAATATCTTCACATGAAATCCGGAAAGAAGCAATCTGAGAAACTTCTTTCTGATGTGTGCATTGATCCCACAGAGTTAAAACTTCTTTTGATTGAGCAGTTTTGAAATTCTCTTTTTGTAGAATCTGCAAGTGGACATTTGGAGCACATTGAGGCCTATGGTGGAAAAGGAAATATGTTCATATAAAAAGTAGACAGAAGCATTCTGACAATCTCCTTTGTGATGTGTGCATTCATCTCAAAGCATTGAAAATTTCTGTTTATTGAGCAGCTCTGAAACAACCTTTTTGTAGAATCTGTGAGTGTATATTTGGAGAGTTTTGAGGCCTATGGTAGAAAAGGAAATATCTTCACATAAAAACTAGACAGAAGAATTCTCAGAAACTTCTTTGTGATGTGTGCGTTCATCTCACAGAGTTGAACCTTTCTTTTGATTGAGCAGTTTGAAAATAGTCTTTTTGTAGAATCTGCAAGTGGACATTTGCAGTGATTTATGGCCTACGGAATAAAAGAAAATATCTTCACAAAAAATCTAGACAGAAGCAATCTGAGAAACTCCTTTGTGATGTGTGCATTCATCTCACAGAGTTAAACCTTTCTTTTGATTGAGCAGCTTTGAAACTCTCTTTTTGTCGAATCTGCAAGTGGACATTTGAAGCACTTTGCAGCCTAAGGTAGAAAAGGAAATATCTTCACATAAAATCTAGACAGAAGCAACCTGAGAAACTTCTTTGTGATGTATGCATTCATCTCACTCAGTTAAACATTTCTTTTGATAGAGCAGTTTTGAAAGTCTCTTTTTGTAGAGTCTGCAAGTGGACATTTGGAGCGCTTTGCGTCCTATGGTAGAAAAGGAAACATCTTCACATAAAAACTAGACAGAATTCTGAGAAACTTCTTTGTGATGTGTGCGTTAATCTCACAGAGTTCAAACTTTCTTTTGACTGAGCAGTTTGGAAACACTGTTTTTGTGGAACCTGCAAGTGGACATTTGGAACGCTTTGCCACCTATTGTAGAAAAGGAAATATTTTCATATAAAATCTAGACAGAAGCAATCTGAGAAACTTCTTCGTGATGTGTGCATTCATCTCACAGAGTTAAACCTTTCTTTGGATTGCGCAGATTTGAAACTCTCTTTTTGTAGAATCTTCAAGTGGCCATTTGGAGTGCTTTGAGGCCTATGGTAGAAAAGGAAATATCTTCGCATAAAAACTAGAGAGAAGAATTCTGAGAAACTTCTTTGTGATATGTGCATTCACCTCACAGAGTTGAAACTTTCTTTTGATTGAGCAGTTTGGAAACATTCTTTTTTTAGGAACGGCAAGTGGACATTTGGAGCGCTTTGCAGCCTATGGTAGAAAAGGAAATACCTTCACATAAAATCTAGACAGAAGTAACCTGAGAAACTTCTTTGTGATGTTTGCATTCATCTCTCTGAGTTAAACCTTTCTTTTGATAGAACAGTTTTGAAACTCTCTTTTTCTGGAATCTGCAAGTGGACATTTGGAGCGCTTTGCGTCCTATGGTAGAAAAGGAAATATCTTTGCATAAAAACTAGGCAGAAGAATTCTGAGAAACTTCTTTGTGATGTGTGCGTTCATCTCACAGAATTGAAACTTTCTTTTGATTGAGCAGTTTGGAAACTCTCTTTTTGTGGAATCTGCAAGTGGACATTTCGAGTGCTTTGCCATCTATGGTAGAAAAGGAAATATTTTCATATAAAATCTAGACAGAAGCAATCTGAGAAACTTCTTTGGCATGTGTGCATTTGTCTCACAGAGTTAAACCTTTCTTTGGATTGAGCAGTTTTGAAAGTCTCTTTTTGTAGTATCTGCAGTTGGACATTTGGAGCGCTTTGAGGCCTATGGTGGAAAAGGAAATATCTCCACCTAAAAACTATACAGAAGTATTCTGAGAAACTTCTTTGTGATGTGTGCGTTCATCTCACAGAGTTGAACCTTTCTTTTGATTGAACAGTTTGGAAATACTCTTTTTGTAGAATCTGCAAGTGGTTATTTTGAGCGCTTTATGGCCTATGTTAGAAAAGGAAATATCTTCACATAAAAACTAGACAGAAAAATTCTGATAAACTTCTTTGTGGCATGTTTATTCATCTCACAGAGTTTAACCTTTCTTTTGATTGAGCAGTTTGGAAACAGTCTCTTTGTAGGATCTGCAAGTGGACATTTGGAGTGCTTTTCAGTCTATGGTAGAAAAGGAAATATCTTCACATAAAATCTACGCATAAGCAATCTGAGAAACTTCTTCATGATGTGTGCATTCATCACAGAGAGTTAAACATTTCTTTTGATGGAGCAATTTTGAAACTCTCTTTTTGTAGCATCTGAAAGTGGACATTTGGAATGCTTTGAGGCCTATGCTGGAAAGGGAAACATCTTCACTTAAAAACTAGACAGAAGAATTCTGAGAAACTTCTATCTGATGTGTGCCTTCACCTCGCAGAGTTGAACCTTCCTTTTGTTTGAGAAGTTTGGAAACTCGGTTTATGTGGAATCTGCAAGTGGACATTTGGAGCGCTTTGCGGCCTACGGTAGAAAGGGAAATATCTTCACATAAAATCTAGACAAAAGCAATCTGAGAAACTTCTTTGTGATGTGTGCATTCATCTGACGGAGTTAAACCTTTCTTTTGATTGAGCAGTTGGGAAACACTCTTTTTGTAGAATCTGCAAGTGGACATTTGGAGCGCTTTGCAGCCTATGGTTGAAAAGGAAATATCTTCACATACAATCTAGACAGAAGCAATCTGAGAAACATCTCTGTGATATGTGCATTCATCTCACAGAGTTAAACCTTTCTTTGATTCAGTGGTCTTGAAACTCTCTTTTAATGGAATCTACAAATGGACATTTGGAGCTCTTTGAGACCTATGGTGGAAAAGGAAATATCTTCACATAAAAACTAGATAGAAGTACTCTGAGAAACTTCTTTGTGATGTGTGCATTTATCTCCCAGAGTTGAACATTTCTTTTGATGGACCAGTTTTGAAATACTCTTTTGGTAGATTCTGCCAATGGACATTTTGAGTGTCTTGAAGCCTAAGGTGGAAAAAGAAATATCTTCACATAAGAACTAGAAAGAAAATTCTGAGGAACTTCTTTGTGATATGTGCGTTCATCTCACGGATTTGAAACTTTCTTTTGATTGAACAGTTTGAAAACACTCTTTTTGTAGAATCTGCAAGTGGACATTTGGAGCACTTTGCGGCCTACGTTAGAAAAGGAAATACCTTTACATAAAATCTAGACAGAAGCAATCTGAGAAACTTCTTTGTGATGTGTGCATTCATCTCACAGAGTTGAACGTTTCTTTTGATTGAGCAGTTTGGAAACTCTCTTTTTCTAGAATCTGCAAGTGGACAATTGGAGCGCCTTGAGACCTAAGGTGGAAAAAGATATATCTTCTCATAAAAATTTAACATAAGAATTATGAGAAACCTCTTTGTGATGAGTGCATTCGTCTCACATAGTTGAACTTTCTTTTGATTGGGTAGTTTGGAAACACTCTTTTTGTAGAATCTGCACGTCGACATTTGGAGCACTTTGCGGCCTATGGTAGAAAAGGAAATATCTTCAAATAAAATCTAGACAGAAGCAATCTGAGAAACTACTTTGAGACGTGTCCATTCATTTCACAGAGTTAAACCTTTCTTTGCATTGAGTGGTTTTGAAACTCTCTTTTTGTAGAATCTGCAAGTGGACATTTGGATCGCTTTGAGGCCTATGGTGGAAAAGGGAATATCTTTACCTAAAAACTAGACAGAAGAATTCTGAGAAACTTCTTTGTGATGTGTGTGTTCATCTCACAGAGTTGAACCATTCTTTTGATTGAGCATTTTGGAAACACTCTTTTTTTAGAATCTGCAAGTGTACATTTCGTGTGCTTTGAGGCCTATGGTGGAAAAGGAAATATCTTCACATAAAATCTAGACAGAAGCAAACTGAGAAACTACTTTGTGATGTGTGCATTCATCTCACAGAGTTAAATCTTTCTTTTGATAGAGCAGTTTTGAAATACTCTTTTTGTAGAACCTGCAAGTGGACATTTCGAGCCCCTTGAGGCCTATGGTGGAAAATGAAATATCTTCACATAAAAAATAGACAGAGGAATTCTGAGGAACTTCCTCCAGATCCATGCGTTCATCTCACTGAGTTGAACCTTTTTTTATGATTGAGCAGTTTGGAAGCACTCTTTTTGTAGAGTCTGCAAGAGAACATTTGGAGCGCTTTGGGGTCTATCGTAGAAAAGAAAATATCTTCACATAAAATCTAGACAGAAGCAATCTGAGAAACTTCTTTGTGATGTGTGCATTCATCTCACAGAGTTGAACCTTTCTTTTGATTGAACAGTTTTGAATCACTCTTTTTGTAAAATCTGCAAGCGGATATTTGGAGCCCTTTGAGGACTCTTGTGGAAAAGGAAATATCTTCACAGAAAAACTATGCAGAAGCATTCTGAGAAACTACTTTGTGATGTGTGCATTCAACTCACAGAGTTGAACCTATTTTTTGATAGAGCAGTTTTGAAACTCACTTTTTGTAGGATATGCAAGTGTTTATTTGGAGCCCTTTGTGGCCGATGGTGGAAAAGGAAATATCTTCCCATAAAAACTACACAGAAGCATCCTGAGAAGCTTCTTTGTGATGTGTGCATTCATTGGACAGAGTTGAACCTTTCATTTGTCTCAGCAGTTTTGAAACACTCTTTTTTTAGAATCTGCAGTTGGATATTTGGAGCCCTTTGAGGCCTATTGTGGAAAAAGAAATATCTTCACATAAAAATCCACAGAAACATACTCAAAAAATACATTGTTTTGTGTGCATTCGTCTCACAGAGTTGAACCTTTCTTTTGATTGAGCAGTTTTGAAACACTCTTTTTGTAGAATCTGCAAGGGAATATTTGGAGCACTTTGAGGCCTATGGTATAAAAGGAAATATCTGCACATAAAAACTACACAGAAGCATTCTGAGAAACTTCTTTGTTATTTGTACATTCAACTCGCAGATTTGAACCTATCTTTTGATAGACCAATTTTGAAACTCTCTTTTTGTAGAATCTGCAAGTGGATATTTGGAGCCCTTTGTGGCTGATGATAGAAAAGGAAATATCTTCACATAAAATCTAGACAGAAGCAATCTGAGAAACTTCTTTGTAATGTGTGCATTCATGTCACAGAGTTAAACCTTTCTTTTGATTGAGCAGTTTTGAAAGCCTCTTTTTGTAGAATCTGCAAGTGGGTATTTGGAGCACTTTGAGGCCTATGATGGAAATGGAAATATCTTCACATAAAAATTTCACAGAAGCATTCTGAGAAACTTCTTTGTGATATGTGCACTCAACTCACAGATTTAAACCGATCTTTTGATAAAACAGCTTTGAAACTCCTTTTTGTAGAAACTGCAAGTGGATATTTGGAGCCCGTTGCGGCCTATGGTAGAAAAGGAAATAATTTCACATTAAAAAGTAAACAGAAGCATTCTGAGAAACTTCTTTGTGATTTGTGCATTCATCTCACAGAATTGATCCTCTCTTTTGATTGAGCAGTTTGGAAACACTCTTTTATTAGAATCTGCAAGTGTATACTTGGAGAGCTTTGAGGCCTAATGAGAAAAGGAAATATCTTCACATAAAAACTACACAGTAGCATTGTGAGAAACTTCTTTGTGATGTATGCATTCATCTCACAGAGTTGAACCTTTATTTTGATTGAGCAGTTTTGAAACACTCTTTGTAATATCTGCAAGCAGATATTTGGAGCGCTTTGAGGCCTATGGTGGAAAAGGAAATATCTTCACATAAAAACTACACAGAAACATTCTAAGAAACTTCTTTGTGATGTATGCGTTCATCTCACAGGGTTGAAGCTCTCTTTTGATTGAGCAGTTTTGAAACACACTTTTTTTAGATATCTGCAAGTGGATATTTGGAGCACTGTGAGGCCTGTTGTGGAAAACGAAGTATGTTTACATAAAAACTACGTAGAAGCATTCTGATAAATTTCTTATGATGTGTGAATTCATTTCACAGAGTTGAACCTTCCTTTTGATTCAGCAATTTTGAAACACTCTTTTTGTAGAATCTGCAACAGTATATTTTGAGCACTTTGAGGCCTCTGGTGGAAAAGGAAATATCTTCACATTAAACCTACACAGAAGCATTCTGAGAAACTTCTTTGTCATGTATGCATTCATCACACAGAGTTGAAACTTTCTTTTGATTGCACAGATTTGAACCAATCTGCTTGTAGAATCTACAAGTTCATAATTGGAGCGCTTTCAGGCCTATTGTTGAAAAGGAAATATCTTCACATAAAAACTACAAGGAAGCATTCTGAGAAACCTTTTTGTGATGTGTGCATACATCTAACAGAGTTCAACCTTTCTTTAGATCGAGCAGTTTTGAAACACTCTTTTTGTAGATTCTGCAAGTGTATGTTTGGAGCACTTTTATCCTATTGTGGAAAATGAAATATCTTCACATAAAAACTATACAGAAAAATTCTGAGAAACTTCTTTGTGATGTGGGGATTCATCAGACAGAGCTGAACCTTTCTTTTGAATGAGTAGTATGGAGACACTCTTTTTGTAGAATCTGCATGAGGATATTTGGAGCGCTTTGAGGCCTATGGTGGAAAAGGAAATATCTTCACATAAAAACTACACAGAAGCATTCTGAGAAACTTCTTTGTGAGTTGTGCATTCAACTCACAGAGTTGAACTCATCTTCTCATTGAACAGTTTTGAATCTCTCTTTTTGTAGAATCTGCAAGTGGATCTTTGGAGTCCTTTGCCCCCTATGGTGAAAAAGGAAATATCTTCACATAAAAACTACACAGAAGCATTCTCAGAAACTTCTTTGTGATGCGTGCATTCATCTCGCAGAGTTGAACCTTTCTTTTGATTGAGCAGATTTTAAACTCTATCTTTGTTGAATGTGCAAGTGCATATTTGGGGTCCTTTGAGGTCTATTGTGGAAAAGGAAATATCTTCACATAGAAACTAAAACGAAGATTAATGAGAAATCTTTTTGTGATGTGTGCATTCATCTCACAGAATTCAACCTTTCTTTTGATCGAGCAGTTTTGAAACACTGTTTTTGTAGAATCTGCAAGTGGATATTTGGAGCGCTTTGAGGAGTATTGTGGAAAAGGAAATATCTTCACATAAAAACTACACAGAAGCATTCTGAGAAACTTCTTTATGATGTGTGCATTCAACTCACAGAGTTGAACATATCTTTTGAAGGAGCAGTTTTGAAACTCTCTTTTTGTAGTATCTGCAAGTGAATATTTGGAGCCCTTTGTGGCCTACGGTTGGCAAGGAAACATCTTCATATAAAATCTACACAGAAGCATTCTGAGAAACTTCTTTGTGATGATTCCATTCCTCTCATAGAGCTGAACCTTTCTTTTGACTGAGCAGTTTTGAAACACACTTTTTGCGGAATCTGCAGGTGGATATTAGGTGCACTTTGAGGCCTATGGTGGAAAAGGAAATATCTTCACATAAAAACTACACAGAAGCATTCTGTGAAACTTCTTTACGAAACGAGCATTCAACTCACAGAGTTGAAACTATCTTTTGATAGAGCAGTTTTGAAACTCTCTTTATGTAGAATCTGCATGCGGATATTTGGAGACCTTAGCAGCCTATGGTGGAAAAGGAAATATCTTCACATAAAAAGTACACAGAAGCATTCTGGGAAACTTCTTTCAGATGTGTGCATCATCTCACATAGTTGAGCCTTTCATTTGATTGAACACTTTTGAAAAATTCCTTTGTAGAATATGCAAGTGAATATTTGGAACGCTTTGTGGCCTATAGTGTAAAAGGAAATATCTTCAAATAAAAACTACACAGAAGCATTCTGAGAAGCTACTTTGTGATGTGTGCATTCAACTGACAATATTGAACCTATCTTTTGATAGAGGAGTTTTGAAACTCTATTTTTGTAGAATCCACAAGTGTATATTTGTAGCTCATTGCGGCCTATTGTAGAAAAGGAAATATCTTCACTTAAAAACTACACAGAACCATTCTGAGAAACTTCTTTGTGATGTGTGCATTCATCTCACACAGTTCAAACTTTCTTTCGATTGAGCAGTTAGGAAACACTCTTTTTATAGAATCTGCAATTGGGTATTTGAAGTGCTTTGAGGCCTATTGCGGAAAGGGAAATATCTTTACATAGAAACTACACAGAAGCACTCTGAGAAACTTCTTTGTGATCTGTGCATTCATCTCACAGAGTTGAACCTTACTTTTGATTGAGCAGTTTGGAAACACTCTTTCTGTAGAATCTACCAGTGGATATTTGGAGCGCTTTGAGGACTATGCTGGAAAAGGAAATATCTTCACATAAATACCACGCAGATGCATTCTGAGAAACTTCTTTGTGATGTGTGATTTCATCCCCCAGAGTTGAACCTTTCTTTTGAATTACCAGTTTGGAAAGACTCTTTTTGTAGAATCCGCAAGTGGATATTTGGAGCTCTTTGAGGCCTATAATGGAAAAGGAAATATCTTCACATAAAAACTAGACAGAAACATTCTCAGAAACGTCTTTGTGATGTGCACATTCAACTCACAGAGTTGAAACTATCTGTTGATAGAGGAGTTTTCAAACTCTCTTTTTGTATAATCTGCAAGTGGATATTTGGAGCCCTTGGGGGTCTAAGGTGGAAAAGTAAATATCTTCACATAAAAACTACACAGAACTATTCAGAGATACTCCTTTGTGATGTGTGTATTCATCTCACAGTGTTGAAAATTTCCTTTGATTGAGCAGTTGCAAAACACTCTTTTTGTAGAATCTGCAAGTGGATGTTTAAAGCGCTTTGAGGACCATTGTGGAAAAGGAAGTATCTTCGCATAAAACTACACGGAAGCATTCTGAGAAATTTCTTCTGATGTGTTCATTCATCTCACAGAGTTGAAACTTTCTTTTGATTGAGCAGTTTTGAAACACTCTTTTTCTAGAATCTGCAAGTGGATATTTGGAGCGCTTTGAGGCCTACGGTGGAAAAGGAAATATCTTCACATAAAAACTAGACAGAAGCATTCTCCAAAACTTCTTTGTGATGTGTGCACTCAACTCACGGAGTTCAACCTTTCTTTTGATAGAGCAGTTTTGAAACACTCTTTTTCTAGAATCTGCAAGTGGATATTTGGAGTGCTTTGAGGGCTATGATGGAAAAGGAATTATTTTCACATAAAAACTAGACAGAAGAATTCTGAGAAACTTCTCTGCCATGTGTGCGTTCATCTCACAGAGTTGAATCTTTCTTTTGATTGAGCAGTTTGGAAATACTCTGTAGAATCTGCAAGTGGAAATTTGGAGCACTTTGCTGCCTATGGTAGGAAAGGAAATATCTTCACATAAAACCTAGACAGAAGCAATCTGAGAAACTTCTTTGTGATGTTTGCATTCATCTCACAGAGTTGAACCCTTCTTTTGATTGAGCACTTTCAAAACTCTCTTTTTGAAGAATCTGCAAGTGGACATTTGGAGCTCTTTGAGGCCTATGGTGGAAAAGGAAATATCTTCACATAAAAACTAGACAGAAGAATTCTGAGAAACTTCCTTGTGATGCATGCCTTAATCTCACAGAGTTGAACCTTCTTTTTGATTGAGTAGTTTGGAAACACTCTTTTTGTAGATTCTGCAAGTGGATATTCGGAGCGCTTTACAGCCTATGGTAGAAAAGGAAATATCTTCACATAAAATCTAGACAGAAGCAATCTGAGAAATTTTTTGTGATGGGTGCATTCATGTCACAGAGTTAAAACTTTCTTTTGATTGAGCAGATTTGAAACTCTCTTTTTGTAGAATCACCAAGTGGACATTTGGAGTGCTTTGAGGCCTATGGTGGAAAAAGGAATATCTTCACATAAAATCTAGACAGAAGCAATATGAAAAACTTCTTTGTGATGTGTGCATTCATCTCACAGACTTAAACCTTTCTTTTTATTGAGCAGTTTTGAAACTCTCTCTTTCTGATGTGAAGATATTTCCTTTTCTACCATAGGCTGCAAAGCACTCCAAATGTCCACTTGCAGATTCCACAAAAAGAGTGTGTCAGAGCTGCACAATCAAAAGAAAGTGTAAACTCTCTGAGATGAATGCACACATCACAAAGCAGTTTGTCAGAATGCCTCTGTCTATTTTTTATATGAAGATATTCCCTTTTCAACCATAGGCCTCAAAGCACTCCAAATGTCCACTTGCAGATAGTACAAAAAGGGCGTTTCAAAACTGCTCAGTCAAAAGTAAACCTCAACTTTGTGAGACGAATGCACATATTGCAAAGGAGGTTGTCAGAATGTTTCTGTCTAATTTTTATGTGAAGATATTTCCTTTTCCACCATAGGACTCAAAGTGCTCCAAATGTCCACTTGCAGATTCTACAAAAAGAGTTTTTCAAAACTGCCAAATAAATAGAAAGTCTCAACTCTGTGAGATGAATGCACACATCAAAAAGAAGTTTGTCAGAATGCTTCTAATTTTTATGTGAAGATATTTCCTTTTCCACCATAGGCCTCAATGCGCTCCAAATATCCACTTGCAGATTCTACAAAAAGAGTGCTTCAAAGCTGCTCAATCAAAAGAAAGCTTCAACTCTCTGAGATGAATGCACACATCACAAAGAAGTTTGTCTGAATGCTTCTGTCTGGTTTTTATGTGAAGATATTTCCTTTTCCACCATAGGCCTCAAAGCACTCCAAATGTCCACCTGCAGATTCTACAAAAAGTGTGTTTCAAAGCTGTTCAATCAAATAAAGCTTCTACTCTCTGAGATGAATGCACACATCACAAAGAAATTTCTCAGAATGCTTCTGTCTAGTTTTTATGTGAAGATATTTCCTTTTCCTCCATAGGCCTCAAAGAACTCCAAATGTCCACTTGCAGATAGCACAAAAAGGATGCTTCAAAACTGCTCAGTCAAAAGTAAGGTCCAACTTTGTGAGATGAATGCACATATCACAAAGAAGATTGTCAGAATGCTTCTGTCTGGTTTTTATGTGAAGATATTTCGTTTTCCAACATAGGCCAAAAAGCACTCCAAATTTCTACTTGCAGATTCTAGAAAAAGAGTATTTCCAAACTGCTCAATCAAAAGAAAGGGTAAACTCTGCAAGACGAATGCACACTTCACAAAGAAGTTTCTCAGAATGCTTCTTCCAGTTTTTATGTCAAGATATTTCCTTTTCCACCACAGGATTCAAATCCCTCCAAATGTGCAATTCCAGATTCTACAAAAAGAGTGTTTCACACTGCTCAATGAAAAGTAAATTTCAACTCTGTGAGATGAATGCACACATCAGAAAGACATTTGTCAGAATGCTTCTGTCTAGTTTTTAGGTGAAGAAATTTCCTTTTCTACCATATGTCACAAAGCTCTCCAAATGTCCGCTTGCAGATGCTACAAGAAGAGTGTTTCAAAGCTGCTCAATCAAAAGAAAGCTTCAACTCTCTGAGATGAATGCACACATCACAAAGAAATTTCTCAGAATGCTTCTGTCTATTTTTTATGTGAAGATATTTCTTTTTCCATCATAGGACTCAAAGCGCTCTAAATGTCCCTTTGCAGATTCTACAAAAAGACTGTTTCAAAACTGTTCAATCAAAAGTAAGGTTCAACTTTGTGAGATGAATGCACGTATCACAAAGAAGGTTGTCAGAATGCTTCTGTCTAGTTTTTATGTGAAGGTATTTCCTTTTCCACCATAGGACTCAAAGTGCTCCAAAAGCCCACATGCAGATTCTACAAAAAGAGTGTTTCAAAACTGCTGAATAAATAGAAAGTCTCAACTCTGTGAGATGAATGTACACATCACAAAGAAGTTTGTCAGAATGCTTCTGTCTAGTTTTTATGTGAAGATGTTTCCTTTTCCACCATAGGCCTCAAAGCGCTCCAAATGTCCACTTGCAGATTCTACAAAAAGAGTGTTTTAAAGCTGCTCAATCAAAAGAAAGCTTCGACTCTATGAGATGAATGCACACATCACAAAGAAATTTCTCAGAATGCTTCTGTATAGTTGTTACATGAGGATATTTCCTTTTCCAACATAGGCCTCAAAGCACTCCAAATGTCCACATGCAGATAGTTCAAATAGGTTGTTTCAAAGCTGCTCAAACAAAATGAAATTCCACTCTGTGAGAAGAATGCACAGATCACAAAGAAATTTCTCAGATTGCTTTTGTGTAGATATTATTTGAAGATATTTCCTTTTCCACCATAATCCTCAAAGCACTCCAAATGTCAATTTCCAGATTGTACAAAAAGAGAGCTCCAAAACTGCTCAATCAAAAGAAAGGTTTAACTGTGTGAGGTGAATGCAAACCTCACAAAGAAGTTTCTCAGATTGCTTCTGTCTAGATTTTATGTGAATATATTTCCTTTTCTACCATAGTTCGCAAAGCGCTCCAAATGTCCACTTGCGGATTCTACAAAAAGACTGTTTCCAAAGTGCTCAGTCAAAACAAACATTCAACTCTGTGAGATGAAAGCACACAGACAAGGAAGTTTTTCAGAATTCTTCTGTCTAGTTTTAATGTGAAGATATTTCATTTCCACCATAGGCCTCAAGGCACTTAAAATGTCCACTTGCAGATTTTACAAAAAGAGAGTTTCAAAACTGGCCCATCAAAAGAAAGGTTCAACTATGGGAGATGAATGCACACATCACAAATAAATTTCTCAGAATCCTTCTATCTAGTTTTTATATTAAGGGTTTCCTTTTCCACGATAGGCCTCAAGGTGATCCAAATGTCCACTTGCAGATTCTACAAAAAGAGAGTTTCAAAACTGCTCAATAAAAAGAAAGCTTTAACTCTGTGAGATGAATGCACACATCACAAAGAAGTTTCTCAGATTGCTTCTGTCTAGATTTTATGTGAAGATATTTCCTTTTCTACCACAGGACGCAAAGCGCTCCAAATGACCCCTTGCATATTCTACAAAACGAGGGTTGCCAAACTGCTTAATCAAAAGAAAGGTTCAACTCTATGAGACGAATGCAAACATCACAAACTAGTTTTCCAGAATTCTTCTGTGTAGTTTTTATGTGACGATATATCTTTTTCCACCATAGGCCTCAAGGCACTCCAAATGTCCACTTGCAGATTCTACAAAAAGAGATTTCCATACTGCTCAATCATAAGAAAGGTTCAATTCTGTGAGATGAACACAGAAATCACAAAGAAGTTTCACAGAATTCTTCTGTCTTGTTTTTTTGTGAAGATATTTCCTTTTCCACCACAGGCCTCAAAGCGCTCCAAATGTCCAATTGCAGATTTTACAAAGAGAGAATTTCAAAACTGCTTAATCAAAAGAAAGTTTTAACTCTGTGAGATGAATGCATGCATCACAAAGAAGTTTCTCAGATTGCTTCTGTCTAGATTTTATGTGAAGATATTTCCTTTTCTATCATAAGCCCCAAAGCACTCCAAATGTTCACTTGCAGATCCTACAAAAAGAGTGTTTCCAAACTGCTCAAAGAAAAGGTTCAACTCTGTGAGATGAATGCAAGCACCACAAAGAATTTTCGCAGAATTCTTCTGTCTGGTTTTTATGTGGAGATATTTCATTTTCCACCATAGGCCTCAAGCGCTCAAAATGTCCACTTGCAGATTCTACAAAAAACAGTATTTCAAAACTGGTCCATCAAAAGAAAGGTTCAACTCTGGGAGATAAATTCGCATATCACAAACAAGTTTCTCAGAATGCTTCTATCTAGTTTTTATGTGAAGGTATTTCCTTTTCCACCATAGGCCTCAAAGCTCTCCAAATGTCCACTTGCAGATTCTACAAAAAGAGAATTTCCATACTGCTCAATCAAAAGAAATGTTCAACTCTGTGAGAAGAACGCACACATCACAAAGAAGTTTCCAAGACTCTTCTGTCTAGTTTTTATGTGAAGAAATTTCCTTTTCCACCAAAGGCCTCAATGCACTCCAAATGTCCACTTGCAGATTCTACAAGAGAGTTTCAAAACTGCTCAATCGAAAAAAGGTTTAACTCTGTAAGATGAATGCACACATCACAAAGAAGTTTCTCAGATTACTTCTGTCTAGATTTTATGTGAAGATATTTCCTTTTCTGCCATAGGCCGCAAAGCGCTCCAAATGTCCACTTGCAGATACTACAAAAAGAATGTTTCCAAACTACTCAATCAAAAGAAAGGTTCAATTCTGGGAGATGAACGCACACATCACAAAGAAGTTTCTCAGAATTCTTCTGTCTAGTTTTTATGTGAAGATATTTCTTTTTCACCATAGGCCTCAAAGTGCTCCAAATATCCACTTGCATATTCTACAAAAACAGAGTTTGAAAACGGCTCAATCAAAAGAAGCGTTTAATTCTGTGAAATGAATGCATGCAACACAAAGTTTCTCAGATTGCTTCTGTCTAGATTTTATGTGAAGATATTTCCTTTTCTACCATAGGCCCCAAAGCGCTCCAAATGTCCACTTTCAGATTCTACAAAAAGAGAGTTTCAAATATGCTAAATCAAAAGAAAAGTTTTACTCTGTGAGATGAATGCACACATCAAAAAGATGTTTCTCAGATTGCTTCTGTATAGATTTTATGTGAAGATATTTCCTTTTCTACCATAGGCCACAAAGCACTCCTAATGTCCACTTGCAGATTCTACAAAAAGAGTGTTTCCATACTGCTCAATCATAAGAAAGGTTGAACTCTGTGAGTTGAACGCACACATCACAAAGAAGTTTCCGAGAGTTCTTGTCTTGTTTTCTTATGAAGATATTTCCTTTTCCACCATAGGACTCAAAGCGCTCCAAATGTCCACTTGCAAATTCTACAAAAAGAGTGTTTCCAAACTTCTCAAAGAAAAAAAGTTAACTCTGTGAGATGAATGCAAGCATCACAAAGAAGTTTCTCAGAATTCTTCTGTCTAGTTTTTATATGAAGAGATTTCATTTTCCACCATAGGCCTCAAGCGCTTGAAATGTCCACTTGCAGATTCCACAAAAAAGAGTATTTCAATACTAGTCCATCAAAAGAAAAGTTCAACTCTGGGAGATGAATGAGCACATCATAAAGAAGTTTCTCAGAATGATTCTATCTAGGTTTTTGGTGAAGATATTTCTTTTTCGACCATAGACCTCAAAGCACTCCAAATGTCCACTTGCAGATACTACAAAAAGAGAATTTCAAAACTGCTCAATCAAAAAAAAGGCTTAAGTCTGTGAGATGAATGCACACATCACAAAGAAGTTTCTCAGATTGCTTCAGTCTAGATTTTATGTGAAGATTTTTCCTTTTCTACCATAGGCTGCAAAGCCCTCCAAATTTCCACTTACAGATTCTACAAAAAGAGTATTTCCAAATGGCACAATCAAAAGAAAGGGTCAACTCTGTGAGAGAAATGCACACATCACAAAGAAGTTTCTCAGATTTCTTGTCTCTAGATTTTATGTGAATATATTTCCTATTCTACCATAGGCCTCAAAGCGCTCCAAATGTCCTCTTGCAGATTCCAAAATAAGAGAGTTTCAAAACTGCTCAATCAAAGGAAAAGTTTACCTCTGTTAGATGAATGCACACATCACAAATAAGTTTCTCAGATTGCTTCTGTCTATATTTTATGTGAAGAGTTTTCTTTTTCTACCATAGACCACAAAGCGCTCAAAATGTCCACTTGCAGATTCTACAAAAAGAGTGTTTTCAAACTGCTCAATCAAAAGCAATGTTCAACTATGTGAGATGAAAGCACACATCATGAAAAAGTTTCTCAGAATACTTCGGTCTAGTTTTTATGTGAAGATATTTACTTTTTCACCATAGGCCTCTAAGCGATCCAAATGTGCACTTGCAGATTCTAGAAAAATAGAGTTTCAAAACTACTCAATCAAAAGAAAGCTTTAACACTGTGAGATGAATGCACATATCACAAAGAAGTTTCTGAGATTGCTTCTGTCTAGATTTTATGTAAAATTATTTCCTTTTCTACCATAGGCAGCAAAGTGCTCCAAATGTCCACTTGCAGATTCTAGAAAAAGAGAGTTTCAAAACTGCTCAATCAAAAGAAAGCTTAAACTCTGTGAGATGAATTCTGACATCACAAAGTCGTTTCTCAGATTGCTTCTGTCTAGATTTTATGTGAATATATTTCCTTTTCTACCATATGCTGCAAAGTGCTCCAAATATCCACTTGCAGATTCTACAAAAAGAGTGTTTACAAACTGTCCAATCAAAAGAAAAGGTCAACTCTGTGAGATGAACGCACATATAACAAAGAAGTTTCTCAGAATTCTTCTGTCTAGTTTTTATGGGAAGATATTTCTTTTTCCACCATAGGCCTCGAGGCGCTCGAAATGTCCACTTGCAGAGTCTACAAAAAGAGTATTTCAAAACTCGTCCTTCAAACGAAAGTTTCAACTCTGGGAGATGAATGCCCACATCACAAAGAAGTTTCTCAGAATGCTTCTATCTAGTTTTTATGTGAAGATACTACCTTTTAAGCCATAGGCATCAAAGTACTCCAAATGCCCACTTGCAGATTCTACAAAAAGAGAGTTTCAAAACTGTTGAATCAAAAGAAAGGTTTTACTCTATGAGATGAATACACGTATCACAAACACGTTTCTCAGATTGCTTCTTTCTAGATTTTATGTGAAGATATTACCTTTTCTACCATAGGCCTCAAAGCGCTCTAAATGTCCACTTGCAGATTCTCCAAAAAGAGTGTTTCCAAACTGCTTAATCGAAAGAAACTTTCATATCTGTGAGTTGAATGCACACATCACAAAGAAGTTTCTCAGAATGCTACTGACTAGTTTTTATGTGAAGATATTTCCCTTTCCACCATAGACCTCAGAGGGCTCCAAATGTCCTCTCCCAGGTTCTACAAAAAGAGTGTTTCAAGTCTGGTCAATCAAAACAAAGGTTCAATTCTGTGAGATAAATGCACACATCACAAAGTAGTTTCTCAGAATATTTCTGTCTTGTTTTTATGTGAAGATTTTTTCTTTTCCACCATTGGCCTCAAAGCGCTGCAAATATCCACTTATAGATTCTACAAAAAGAGTGTTTCAAAGTGCTCAATCAAAAGTAAGGTTCAACTGTTTGCGAGATGAATGCACTCATGCCAAAAAGTTTCTCATAATGCTTGTCTAATTAATATAAAACGGTATTTTGTTATCCACCATAGGACTCAAAGCGCTCCAAAATCCACTTGCAGATTCTACAAAAAGAGTGTTTCAAAGCTGCTCAATCAATAGAAACGTTCAATGCTGTGAGACGAATGCACACATCATGAAGAAGTTTGTCAGATTGCATCTGTCTAGTTTTTATGTGAAGATATTTCCGTTTCCAACATAGGCCTCAAAACGCTCCAAATGTCCACATGCAGATTCTACAAAAAAAGTGTTTCAAAACTGCTCTATCAAGAGGAAGGTTCAACTCTGTGAGATGAATGCACACATAAGAAAGAAATTTCTCAGAATGCTTTGGTCTAGTTTTTATGTGAAGATATTTCCTTTTCCACCGTAGGTCTCAAAGCGCACCAAATGTCCCCTTGCAGATTATACGAAAACAATGTTTCAAAACTTCTCAATCAAAAGAAGGGTACAAATCTGTGAGATAAATGCACACATCACAAATTTTGTTAGAATGATTCTGTCTAGTTTTTATGTGGAGATATTTCGTTTTCCAACATAGGCCTCAAAGTGCTTCAATTGTCCACTTGCAGATTCTACAAAAAGAGTGTTTCAAAATTCCTCAATCAAAACTGAGGTTCAAATCCATGAGATGAATGCACCCATCACAACGAGGTTTGTCAAAATGTTTCTGTATAGTTTTTATGTGTTGATATTTCCTTTTCCGCCATAGGCCTTTAAGCCCTCCAAATGTTCGCTTGCAGATACTACAAAAAGAGTGCTTCAAACTTGCTCAATCAAAAGAAAAGTTCAACTCCCTGAGATGAATGCACACATCACAAAGAAGTTTCTCACTATGCTTCTGTCTAGTTTTTATGTGAAGATATTTCCTTTTCCGCCATAGGCCACAAAGCGCTCCAAATGTCCACTTGCAGATTTTACAAAAAGAGTGTTTCAAAACTTCTCAATCACAAGAAAATCTCAACTCTGTGACATGAATGCACACATCACAAAGAAATTTCTCAGAATGCTTCTGTCTAGTTTTTAAGTGAAGATATTTCATTTTCCACCATAGGCCTCAAAGCGCTCAAATGTCCACTTGCTGATTCTACAAAAAGAGGGTTTCCAAATTACTCAATCAAATGAAAGGTTCAACTCTGTGAGATAAACGCACACATCACAAAGTAATTTGTCAGAATGCTTCAGTCTAGTTTTAATGTGAAGATATTTCCTTTTCCACCATGGGCCTCAAAGCCCTCCTAATGTACACTTGTAGATTCTACAAAAACAGTGTTTAAAACTGCTCAATCAAAAGAAATGTTCAACTCTGTGAGATGAAGGCACATATCACAAAGAAGTTTATCATAATGTTTCTGTCCAGTTTTGAAACACCCTTTCTGTACTATCTGCAAGTGGACTTTAGGAGTGCTTAGAGGCCTACGGTGGAAAAGGAAATATCTTCACATAAAAACTAGACAGAAGCATTCTGACAAATTTCCTTACAATGTGTGCATTCATCTCACAGAGTTGAAACTTTCTTTTGATTGAGCAGATTTGAAACACTCTTTTTGTAGTATCTGCAAGTGGACATTTGGAGTGCTTTGAGGTCTGCTTTGGAAAAGGAAATATCTTCACATAAAAACTATACAGAAACATTCTGAGAAACTTCTTTGTGATGTGTGCATTCATCTCACAGAGTTGAACGTTTCTTTTCATTGAGCAGTTTTGAAACACTCTTTTTGTATAACATGCAAGTGGACATCTGGAGGGCTTTGAGGCCTACAATGGAAAAGGAAATATCTTCACATAAAAACTATACAGAATCATTCGGAAAAAATTCTTTTTGATGCATGCATTCATCTCACAGGTTTGAAACTTTCCTTTGATTGAGCAGTTTTGAAACACTCTTTTTGTAGAATCTGCAAGTGGACATTTGGAGAGCTTTGAGGCCCATGGTGGAAAAGGAAATATCTTCACATAAAAGCGAGACAGAAACATTCTGAGAAGCTTCTTTGTGTTGTGTGCATTCATCTCACAGAGTTGAAACTTTCTTTTTATTGAGAAGTTTGGAAACACTCTTTTTGTAGAATCTGAAAGTGGACATTTGGAGCGCTTTGAGGCTATGGTAGAAAAGGAAATATCTTCACATAAAAATTAGAAGCATTATGACAAACTACTTTGTGATATGTGCATTCATCTCACAGAGTTGAAACTTACTTTTGATTGAGCAGTTTTGAAACACCATTTTTGAATTATCTGCAAGTGGTTATTTGGAGTGCTTCGAGGCCTATGGTGGAAAAGGAAATATCTTCAAATAAAAACTAGAAAGAAGCATTCTGACAAATTTATTTGTGATGTGTACATTCATCTCTCAGAGTTGAACCTTTCCTTTGGGCAGTTTTGAAAAACCATTTTTGTACTGTCTGCAAGTGAACATTTGGAGTGATTTGAGGCCTATGGTGCAAAAGGAAATCTCTTCAAATAAAAAGTAGATAGAAGCATTCTGAAAAACTCCTTTGTGATGTGTGCATTTAACTCACAGAGTTGAACCCTTCTTTTGATTGGGTAATTTGAAAATCTCATTTTGTAGAATCTGCAAGTGGACATTTGGAGCTCTTTGAAGCCTATGGTGGAAAAGGAAATATCTTCACATAAAAACTATACAGAATCATTCCGAGAAAATTCTTTGTGATACGTGCATTCATCTCACAGAGTTGGACCTTTCTTTTGATTGAGTAGTTTGGAAACTTTCTCTTTGTAGGGTCTGCAAGTGGACACTTGGAGCACTTTGAGGTCTACGGTGGAAAAGGAAATATCTTCACTTAAAACTAGACCGAAGCATTCTGAGAAACTTCATTGTGATGTGTGCATTCACCTCACTGAGTTGAAACTTTCTTTTGATTGAGCAGTTTGAAAACAGTCTTTTTGTAGAATCTGCAAGTGGACATTCAGAGGGCTTTGCAGCCTATGGTAGAAAAGGAAATATCTTCACATGAAATCTAGACAGAAGCAATCTGAGAATCTTCTTTGTGATGTGTGCATTCATCTCATATAGTTAAACCTATCCTTTGACTGAGCAGTTTTTAAACTCTCTTTTTGTGGAGTCTGCAAGTGGACGTTTGGAGTGCTTTGAGGCCTATGGTGGAAAAGGAAATATCTTCACATAAAAACTAGACAGAAGAATTCTGAGAAACTTCTTTGTGATGTGTGCGTTCATATCACAGAGTTGAACCTTTCTGTTGGTTGAGCAGTTTGGAAACACTCTTTTTGTAGAATCTGCAAGTGGACATTCTCAGCGCTTTGAGACCTATGGTAGAAAATGAAATATCTTCACATAAAATCTAGATTGAAGCAATCTGAGAAACTTCTTTGTGATGTGTGCATTCATCTCACAGAGTTAAACCTTTCCTTTGAGTGAGCAGTTTTGAAACTCTGTTTGTGTGGAATCTACAAATGGACATTTGGAGCACTTTGAGGCCTATGGTTGAAAAAGAAATATGTTCACATAAAAACGAGACAGAAGAATTCTTAGAAACTTATTTGTGATGTGTGCATTCGTCTCACAGAGTTGAACCTTTCTTTTGATTGAGCAGTTTGGAAACAGTCTTTTTGTAGAATCTGCAAATGGACATTTGGAGCGGTTAGAGGCCAACGGTAGAAAAGGAAATATCTTCACATAAAATCTGGACAGAGGCATTCTGAGACGTCTTTGTGATGTGTGCATTCACCTCAGAGTTAAACCTTTCTTCTGGTTGAGCAGTTTTAAAACTCTCTTTTTGTAGAATCTGCAAGTGGACATTTGGAGCGCCTTGAGGCCTATGGTGGAAAAGGAAATATCTTCACATGACAGAATAGTTCTGAGAAACTTCTTTGTGATGTGTGCATTCCTCTCACAGAGTTGAACCTTTCTTTTTATTGAACAGTTTGGAAACTATCTTTATGTAGAATCTGCAAGCGGATATTTGGAGTGCTTTGCGGCCTATGGTAGAAAGGGAAATATCTTCACATAAAATCTACAAAGAAGCAATCTGAGAAACTTCTTTGTGATGTGTGCATTCAACTCACAGAATTAAAACTTTCTGTTGATTGAGGAGTTTTGAAACTCTCTTTTCGTAGAATCTGTAGTTGGACATTTGCAGTGTTTTGAGGCCTATGGTGGAAAATATCTTCACATAAAAACTAGGCAGAAGAATTCTGAGAATCTTCTTTGTGATGCATGCTTTCATCTCACAGAGTTCAACATTTTTTTTGATTGAGCAGTCTGGAAACTCTCTTTTTGTACAATCTGCAAGTGGACATTTTTAGCGCTTTGTGGTCTATGGTGGAAAAGGAAATATCTTCACATAAAATCTAGACAGAAACAATCTGAGAAACTTCTTTGTAATGTGTGCATTCATCTCACGGAGGTAAACCTTTCTTTTGATTGAGCAGTTTTGAAACTCTTTTTGTAGAATCTGCAAGTGGACATTTGGAGTGCTTTGATGCCCATGGTGGAAAAGGAAATATCTTCACATTAAAACTAGACAGAAGAATTCTGAAAAACCTCTTTGTGATATGCGCGTTCATCACACAGAGTTGAACCTTTCTTTTCATTGAGCAGTTTGGAAACACTCCTTTTGTAGTATCTACAAGTGGATATTTGCTGCGCTTTGTGCCCTATGGTAGAAAAGGAAATATCTTCAGATAAAATCTAGAAATAAGCAATCTGAGAAACATCTTTGAGATGTATGCATTTATCTCAAAGATGAAACGTTTCTTTTGATTGAGCGGATTTGAAACTCCTTTTATAGAATATGCAATTGGACATTCGGAGTGCCTTGAGGCCTAAGGGGTAAAGGAAACATCTTCACATAAAAACTAGACAGAATAATTCTGAGAAACTACTTTGTGATGTGTGCATTCATCTCTGAGAGTTGAACCGTTGTTCTGAAGGACAGTTTTGAAATACTCTTTTTGTAGAATCTGCAAGTGGACATTTCGAGCACCTTGAGGCCTATTTTGGAAATGGAAATATCTTCACATAAAAACTAGATAGAATAATTCTGAGAAACTTCTTTGTGATATGTGCGTTCATCTCACACAGTTGAACCTTTCTTTTGATTGAGCAGTGTGGAAACACTCTTTTTATAGAATCTGCATGTGGACATTTGGAGCGCGTTGTGGTCATGGTAGGAAAAAAAATCTTCAAATAAAATCTAGACAGAAGCAATCTGAGAAACTGCTTTGTACGGTGTGCATTCATCTCACAGAGTTAAACCTTTGTTTTCATTGAGCAGTTTTGAAACTCTCTCTTTGTAGATTCTGAAAGTGGATGCTTGGAGTGCTTTGAGACCTATGGTGGAAAATGAAATATCTTCAAATAAAAACTAGAGAGAAGAATTCTGAGAAACTTCTTTGTGATGTGTGCGTTCATCCCACAGTTTAGAACCTTTCTTTTCATTGAGCAGTTTGGAAACACTCTTTTTGTAGACTCTGCAAGTAGACATTCTGAGGGCTTTGAGACCTATGGTAGAAAATGAATTATCTTCACATAAAATCTAGACCGAAGCAATCCGAGAAACCTCTTTGTCATGTGTGCATTCATCTCACAGAGTTAAACCTTTCCTTTGAGTGAGCAGTTTTGAAACTCTCTTTTTGTGGAATCTGCAAGTGGACATTTGGAGCCCTTTGAAGCCTATAGTGGAAAAGGAAATATGTTCACATAAAAACTAGACAGAAGAATTCTTAGAAACTTCTTTGTGATGTGTGCATTCATCTCACAGAGTTCAACCTTTCTTTTGATTGTGCCATTTGGAAACAGTGTTTATCTAGAATCTGCAAACCGACATTTGGAGCAGTTAGCGCCCCACGGTAGAAAAGGAAATATCTTCACATAGAATCTAGACAGAATCATTCTGAGAAACTTCTTTGGTATGTTTTCATTCATCTCCCAGCGTTGAAGCTTTCTTTTGAAGAACCAGTTTTGAAATACTCTTTTTGTAGGATCTGCAAATGGACATTTCAAGCGCCTTGAGGCCTATGGTGGAAAAGGAAATATCTTCACATAAAAACTAGACAGAAGAATTCTGAGAAACTTCTTTGTGATGTGTGCATTCATCTCACAGAGTTGAAACTTTCTTTTGATGGACCAGTTTTTAAATACCCTTTTTGGAGAATCTGCTAGTGGGCATTTTGAGCACCTTGAGGCCTATGGTGGAAAATGAAATATCATCACGTAAAAACTAGACAGAAGAATTCTGAGAAAGATCTTTGTGATGTGTGCGTTTATCTCACAGTGTTGAACCTTTCTTTTTATTGAGCAGTTTGAAAACACTCTTTTGTAGAATCTGCAAGTGGAGATTTGGAGCGCTTTGGGGCCAATGGTAGAAAAGGAAATATCTTCACATAAAAACTAGACAGAGGAATTCTGCTAAACTTCTTTGTGATGCGTGCCTTCGTCTCAGAGAGTTCAACCTTTCTTTTGACAGAGCAGTTTGGAAATGCTCTTTTTGTAGAATCTGCAAGTGGACATTTTGTGTGCTTTCAGACCTATGTTAGAAAAGGAAATATCTTCACATAAAATCAAGACAGAAGCAATCTGAGAAACTACATTGTGATGCGTGCATTCATCTCACAGAGTTGAACCTTTCTTTTGAAGGACCTGTTTTGAATACTTTTTTCGTAGAATTTGCAAGTGGGCATTTCGAGGGCCTTGAGGCCTATGGTAGAAAAGGAAATATCTTCACATAAAAACTACACAGAAGAATTCTGAGAAACTTCTTTCTGATGTGTGTGTTCATCTCACACAGTTGAACCTTTCTTTTCATTAAGCCGTTTGGAAACGTTCTTTTTGTAGAATCTGCAAGTGGATATTTGGAGCACTTTGTGGCCTAGGGTAGAAAAAGAATTATCTCCACATAAAGTCTAGACAGAAGCAATCTAAGAAACTCCTCTGTGAAGTGTGCATTCAACTCACAGAGTTAAACCTTTCTTTTGATTGAACAGTTTTGAAACTCTCTTTTTGTAGAATCTGCAAGTGGACATTTGGAGGGCTTTGAGGCCTATGGTAGAAAAGAAAATATCTTCACATAAAAACTAGACAGAAGAATTCTAGGAAACTTCTTTGTGATATCCGCGTTTATCTCACAAGTTGAACCTTTCTTTTGATTGAGCAGTTTGGAAACACTCTTTTTGAAGAATATGCACGTGGACATGTGGAGCGCTTTGCGGCCTATGGTAGAAAAGGAAATATCTTCACATAAAAACTAGACAGAAGAATTCTGATAAACTTCTTTGTGATGTGTGCATTCATCTCAAGGAGTTAAACCTTTCTTTTGATTGAGCAGTATTGAATCTATCTTCAGGTAAGATCTGCAAGTGGACATTTGGAGCACTTTGAAGCCAATGGTGGAAAAGGCAATATCTTCACATAAAAATTAGACAGAAGAATTCTGAGAAACTTCTTTGTGATGTGTGCATTCATCTCTCAGAGTTCAACCTTTCTTTTGATTGTGCAGTTTGGAAACACTCTTTTTGTAGAATGTGCACGTGGACATTTGGAGCGCTTTGCGGCCTATGGTAGAAAAGGAAATATCTTCACATAAAATCTAGACAGAAGCAATCTGAGAAACCTTTTTGTAATGTGTGCATTCATCTCACAGAATTAAGCCTTTCTATTGATTGAGCAGTTTTGAAACTCTCTTTTTGTAGAAACTGCAAGTGGACATTTGGAGCGCTTTGAGGACTATGGTGGAAAATGAAATATCTTCAGATAAAAACTAGACCAAATAATTCTGAGAAACTTCTTTGTGATGTGTGCGTTCATCTCACAGAGTTGAACCTTTCTTTTGATTGAGCAGTTTGGAAACACTCTTTTTGTAGAATCTGCAAGTGGACATTTGGAGCACTTTGAGGCCTCTGGTGGAAAAGGAAATATCTTCACATAAAAACTAGACAGAAGAATTCTGAGAAACTTCTTTGTGATGTGTACGTTCATCTTACAGAATTGAACCTTTATTTTGATTGAGCAGTTTGGAAATAGTTTTTTTGTAGAATCTACAAGTGGACATTTAGAGCACTTTGCAACCTATGGTTGAAAAGGAAATATCTTCACATGAAATCTAGACAGAAGCAATCTGAGAATCTTCTTTGTGATGTGTGCATTCATCTCATATAGTTAAACCTATCCTTTGACTGAGCAGTTTTTAAACTCTCTTTTTGTGGAGTCTGCAAGTGGACGTTTGGAGTGCTTTGAGGCCTGTGGTGCAAAAGGTAATATCTTCACATAAAAACTAGACAGAGAATTCTGAGAAACTTCTTGTGATGTGTGCATTCATCTCCCAGAGTTGAACGTTTCTTTTGATGGACCAGTTTTGAAATGCTCTTTATGTAGTATCTCCAACTGGACATTTCAAGTGCCTTGAGGCCTATAGTGGAAAATGAAATATCTTCACATAAAAACTAGACAGAAATATTCTCAGAAGTTTCTTTGTTATGTGTGCGTTCATCTCACAGAGTTGAACCTTTCCTTTGATTTAGCAGCTTGGAAACACTCTTTTTGTAGAATATGTAAGTGGACATTTGGAGCACTTTGAGGCCTATGGTAGAAAAGGATATATCTTCACAAAAAATCTAGACAGAATCAATCTGAGAAACTTCTTTGGGATGTGTGCATTCATCTCATAGAATTAAACTTTCTCTTGATTGAGCTGTTTTGAAACTCTCTTTTTGTAGAATCTGCAAGTGGACCTTTGGAGTGCTTTGAGGCCTAAGGTGGAAAAGGGAATATCTTCACATAAAAACTAAACAGAAGAATTCTGGGAAACTTCATTGTGATGGTTGCATTCATCTCACACAGTTGAAACTTTCTTTTGATGGAGTAGTTTGGAAACACACTTTTTCTGGAATCTGCAAGTGGACATTTGGAGCGCTTTGTGGCCTATGGTAGAAAAAGAAATATCTTCTCAATAAATCTAGACAGAATTAAACTGAGAAACTTCTTTGTGATGTGTGCATTCATCCCACAGACTTAAAACTTTCTTTGATTGAGCAGTTTTGAAACTGTTTTTGTAGAATATGCAAGTGCACAGTTGGAGTGCTTTGAGGCCAATGGTGGAAAAGGAAATATCTTCACATAAAAAATAGACAGAAGAATTCTGAGAAAGGTCTTTCTGATGTGTGCATTCATCTCACAGAGTTGAAACTTTCTTTACATTGGGCATGTTGGAAACATTCTTTTTTTAGAAACGGCAAGTGGACATTTGGAGCACTTTTCGGCCTATGGAAGAAAAGGATATATCTTCACATAAAATCTAGTCAGAAGAAATCTGAGAATCTTCTTTGAGATGTGTGCATTCACCTCACGGAGGTAAACCTTTCTTTTGATTGAGCAGTATTGAAACTCTCTTCAGGTAGGATCTGCAAGTGGACATTTGGAGTGCTTTGAGGCCTGTGGTGGAAAAGGAAATATCTTCACATAAAAACTAGACAGAAGAATACTGAGAAACTACCTTGTGATGTGTGCATTCAACTCTCAGAGTTGAATCTTCCTTTTGATTGTGCAGTTTGGAAACACTCTTTTTGTAGAATATGCAAGTGGACATTTGCAGCGCTTTGCAGCCTATTTTAGAAAAGGAAATATCTACACATATAATCTAGACAGAAGCAATCTGAGAAACTTCTTTGTAATGTGTGCGTTCATCTCACAGAGTTAAGCCTTTCTTTTGATTGGGCAGTTTTGAAACTCTCTTTTTGTAGAATCTGCAAGTGGACATTCGGAGTGCTTTGAGGACTATGGTGGAAAAGGAAATATCTTTACATAAAAACTAGACCAAAGAATTCTGAGAAACTTCTTTGTGATGTGTGCGTTCTTCTCACAGAGTTGAACCTTTCTTTTGAATGAGCAGTTTGGAAACACTCTTTTTGTATAATCTTCAAGTGGACATTTTGGAGCACTTTGCAGCCTATGGTAGTAAAGGAAATATCTTCACAAAAAATCTACACAAAAGCAATCTGAGAAACTTCTTTGTGATGTGTGCGTTCATCTCACAAAGTTAAACCTTTCTTTTGATTGAGTAGTTTTGAAAGTCTCTTTTTGTACAATCTGAAAGAGGACATATGGAGCTCTTTGAGGCCTATGGTGGAAAAGGGAATATCTTCACATAAAACTTAGACAGAAGAATTCTGTGAAACTTCTTAGTGATGCCTGCATCCATCTCACAGAGTGGAAGCTTTATTTTGATCGAGCAGTTTGGAAACAATCCTTTTCTTAAATCTGTAAGTGGACATTTGGAGCACTTTGGGGCCTATGGTAGAAAAGAAAATATCTTCACATAAAATCTAGACAGAAGCAATCTCAGAAACTTCTTTGTGATGTGTGCATTCATCTCACAGAGTTAAAGCTTTCTTTTGACTGAGCAGTTTTGAAACTCTCTTTTTGTAGAATCTGTAAGTGGACATTGGGAGCACTTCACAGCCTATGGTGGAAAAGGAAATATCTTCACATAAAAACAAGACAGAAGAATTCTGAGAAACTACTTTGTGATGTGTGCGTTCATCTCACAGAGTTGAATGTTTCTTTTGATTGAGCAATTTTGAAACTATTTTTGTAGAATCTGCAAGTTGACATTTGGAGCGCTTTGAGGGCTACGGTGGAAAAGGAAATATCTTCACATAAAAACTAGACAGAAGAATTCTGACAAACTACTTCGTGATGAGTGCATTCATTTCACAGAGTAGAATCTTTCTTCGGATTGAGCATTTTGGAAACACTCTTTTTGTAGAATCTGCAAGAGGACATTTGGAGCGCTTAGTGGCCTATGGTAGAAAAGGAAATATCTTCACATAAAATCTAGACAGTAGCAATCTGAGAAACTTCTGTGTGATGTGTGCATTCATCTCACAGAGTTAAACCTTTCCTTTGATTGAGCAGTTTTGAAACCCTCTTTTTGTAGAATCTGGAAGTGGTCATTTGGAGCACTTTGCGGCCTGTGGTAGAAAAGGAAATATCTTCACATAATATCTTGACAGAAGCTATCTGAAAAACTTCTTTGCGATGTGTGCATTCATCTCAGAAGTTAAAGATTTTCTTTGATTGAGCTGTTCTGAAACTCTGCTTTTGTAGAATCCACAAGTGGACATTTGGAGCGCTTTCAGGCCAATGGTGGAAAAGGAAATATTTTCAACTAAAAACTATACAGAAGAATTCTGAGAAACATCTTTGTGATATGTGCCTTCATCTCACAGAGTTGAAACTTTCTTTTGCTTGAGCAGTTGGGAAACACTCTTTTTGTAGAATCTGCAAGTGGACATTTGGAGCGCATTGAGGCCCATGGTGGAAAAGGAAGTATCTTCCCATAAAAACTAGATAAAAGCAACCTGAGAAACTTCTTTATGATGTGTACATTCATCTCCCAGAGTTGAACTTTCTTTTGATGGACGAGTCTTGAAATCCTCTTTTTGTAGAATCTGCAAGCAGACATTTCAAGCGTCTTGAGGCCTATGGTGGAAAATGAAATATCTTCACATAAAAACTAGACAGAAGAATTCTGAGAAACTTCTTTGTGATATGTGCATTTATCTCATGGAGATGAAATTTTCTTTTGATTGAACTGTTTTGAAACACTCTTTTTTTAGAATCGGCAAGTGGATATTTGGAGAGCTTTGCAGCCTATAGTAGAAAAGGAAATATCTTCACATAAAATCTAGACAGAAGAAATCTGAGAAGCTTCTTTGTGATGTGTCCATTTATCTCACAGAGATAAAATTTTCTTTTGATTGAGCGGTTTTGAAACTCTCTTTTTGTACAGTCTGCAAGTGGACATTTGGAGGGCTTTGAGGCCTATGGTGGAAAAGGAAATATCTTCACATAAAAACTAGACAGAAAAATTCTGATAAATTTCTTTGTGATGTGTGCATTCATCTCACAGAGTTGCACCGTTCTTTTGATTGAACAGCTTGGAAACACTTTTTTTAGGATATGCAAGTGGACATTTGGAGCGCTTTGCAGCCTATGGTAGTAAGGAAATATCTTCACATAAAATCTAGACAGAAGCAATCTGAGAAACTTCTTTGTTATGTATGCATTCACCTCACAGAGTTAAACCATTCCTTTCATTCGCCAGTTTTGAAACTCTCTTTTTGTGGAATCTGCAATTGGAGATTTTTAGTGCTTTGAGCCTATGGTAGAAAAGGAAATATCTTCAAAAAAAAAGTAGATAGAAGCATTCTGAGAAACTACTTTGTGATGTGTGCATTCATCTCCCAGAGTTGAAATTTTCTTTTGAAGGTCCAGTTTTGAAATACTATTTTCATAGAATCTGCAAGTGGACATTTCAAGCGCCTAGAGGACTATGGTGGAAAAGGAAATATCTTCACATAAAAACTAAACAGAAGAATTAGGAGAAACTTCTTCGTGATATGTGCGCTCATTTCACAGAGTTGAACCTTTCTTTTGATTGAACAGTTTGGAAACACTCTGTTCGTAGAATCTGCAATTGGATATTTGGAGAGCTTTGCGGCCTATGTAGAAAAGGAAATAACTTCACATAAAATCTAGAAAGAAGCAATCTGAGAAACCTCTTTGTGATGTGTGCATTCATCTCACAGAGTTAAAACTTTCCTTTGATTGAACAGTGTTGAAACTTTCCTTCTGTAGAATCTGCAAGTGGACAATTTTAGTGCTTTGAGGCCTATGGTGGAAAAAGAAATATCTTCACAAAAAAACTACAAAAAAGCATTCTGAGAAACCTTTTTGTGATGGGTTCATTCATCTCACAGAGGTAAAACTTTCCTTTGATTGAGCAGTTTTGAACTCTCTTTTTGTAGAATCTGCAAGTGGACATTTGGGGCGCTTTGAAGCCTAAGGTGGAAAAGGATATATCTTCACATAAAAACTACACAGAAGAATTCTGAGAAACTTCTTAGTGATGTGTGTGTTCATCTCACAGAGTTGAAGCTTTCTTTTGATTGAGCAGTTTGGAAACACTCTTTTTGTAGAATCTGCAAGTGGACATTTGGAGCGCTGTGTGGCCTATGGTAGAAAACGTAAAATCTTCACATAAAATCTAGACAGAAGAAATCTGAGAAACTCCTTTGTGATGTGTGCATTCATCTAACAGAGTTAAACCTTTCTTTTAATTGAGGAGTTTTGAAACGCTCTTTTTGTAGAATCTGCAACTGGACATTTGGAGCGCTTTGAGGCCTATGGTGGAAAAGGAAATATCTTCACATAAAAATGAGACAGATGAATTCTGAGAAATTTATTTTTGATGTGTGCATTCATCTCACAGAGTTGAACATTTCTTTTGATTGAGCAGTTTGGAATCATTCTGTTTGTAGAATCTGGAAGGGGACATTTGGAGCACTTTGCGGCCTATGGCAGAAAAGGAAATATCTTCACATAAAATCTAGACAGAAGCAATCTGAGAAACTTCTTTGTGATGTGCACATTCATCTCACAGAGTTTAAACTTTCTTTTGATTGAGTAGTTTTGAAACTCTCTTTTTGTAGAATCTGCAAGTGGAGATTTGGAGCACTTTGATGCCTATGGTGGAAAAGGAAATACCTTCACATAAAAACTAGATAGAAGCATTCTGAGGAACTTCTCTGTGATGTGTGCATTCATCTCCCTGAGGTGCACCTTTCATTTTATGGACCAGTTTTGAAATACTCTTTTTGTAGAACCTGCAAGTGGACATTACGAGTGCATTGAGGCCTCTGGTGAAAAAGGAAATATCTTCACATAAAAACTGGATAAAAGAATTCTGACAAACTTCTTTGTGTTGTGTGCATTCAACTCACAGAGTTGAAATTTTCTTTTGACTGAGCAATTTGGAAGCACTATTTTTGTAGAATCTGCAACTGGACATTTGGAGCACTTTGCGGCCTATGGTAGAAAAGGAAATATCTTCACATAAAATATTGACAGAAGCAATCTGAGAAACTTCATTGTGATGTGTGCATTCATCTTACAGAGTTAAACCTTTCTTTTAATAGAGCAGTTTTGAAACTCTTTTTGTAGAATCTACAAGTGGACATTTGCAGCACTTTGAGACCTATGGTGGAAAAGGAAATATCTTCACATACAAACTAGACAGAAGAAATTTGAAAAACTTCCTCGTGATGTGTGCATTCATCTCACTGAGTTGAACCTTTCTTTAGGTTGAGCAGTTTGGAAACACTCTTTTTGTAGAACATGCAAGTGGACATTTGGAGCGCTTTGCGGCCTAAGGCAGAAAAGGAAATAGCTTCACAAAAAATCAAGAGAGAAGCAATCTGAGAAACTTCTTTGCGATGTGTGCATTCACCTCAAAGAGGTAAAGATTTCTTTTGATTGAGCAGTTTTGAAACTCTCTTTTTGTGGAATCTGCAAGTGGGCATTTGGAGCGCTTTGAGCCCTATGGTGAAAAAGCAAATATCTTCCCATAAAAACCAGACAGAAGAATTCTGAGAAACTTCTTAGTGATGTGTGTGATCATCTCACAGAGTTGAACCTTTCTTTTGATTGAGAACTTTGAAAACCCTCTTTTTGTAGAATCTGAATGTGGACATTTGGAGCACTTTGAGGCCTATGTTAGAAGAGGAAATGTCTTCACATAAAATCTAGACATGAAGCAATCTAAGAAACTACTTTGTGACGTGTGCATTCATCTCACAGAGTTAAACCTTTCTTTTGATTCAGCAGTTTTGAAACTCTCTTTTTGTAGGATCTGCAAGTGGCCATTTGGAGCGCTTTGCAGCCTATGGTAGAAAAGGAAATATCTTTACATAAAATCCAGACAGAAGCAATCTGAGAAACTTCTATGTTATGTGTGCATTCATGTCACAGATTTGAACCTTTCTTTTGATGGAGCAGTTTGGAAACACTCTTTTTGTAGAATCTGCAAGTGGACATTTGGAGCGCTTTGGGGCCTACGGTGGTAAATGAAATATCTTCACATAAAAACTAGACAGAAGAATTCTGAGAAACTTATTTGTGATGCGTGCATTCATCTCACACAGTTGAACTTTTCTTTTGGTAGATCAATTTGGTAACACTCTTTTTGTAGAATCTGCAAGTGGACATTTTGAGAGCTTTGTGGCCTATGGTAGAAAAGGAAATATCTTCACATATAATCTAGAAAGAAGCAATCTGAGAAACAGCTTTGTGATGTGTGCATTCATCTCACAGAGTTAAACCTTTCTTTTGATTGAGCAGTTTTGAAACTCTCTTTTTGTAGAATGTGTAAGTGGACATTTGGTGCGCTTTGAGGCCTAGGGAGGAAAAGGAAATATCTTCACATAAAAACTAGACAGAAGAATTCTGCGAAACTTCTTTGTGATGCATGTGTTCATCTCACAGAGATGAACCTTTCTTTTGATTGAGCAGTTTGGAAACACTCTTTTTGTAGAATCTGCAAGTGGACATTTACAACGCTTTGAGGCCTATGGAGGAAAAGGTATTATCTTCACAGATAAACTAGACAGAATAATTCTGAGAAACTTCTTTGTGATGTGTGCGTTTATCTCACAGAGTTGAACCTTTCTCTTGATTGAGCAGTTTGGAAACACTCTTTTTGTAGAATCTGCAAGTGGACATTTGAAGCACTTTGTGGCCTATGGTAGAAAAGAAATATCTTCACATAGTATCTAGACAGAAGCAATCTGAGAAACTTCTTTGTGATGTGTGCATTCATCTCACGGAGTTAAAACTTTCTTTTGATAGAGCAGTCTTGAAACTCTCTTTTAGTAGCATCTGCAAGTGGACATTTGGAGCGCTTTGAGGCCTATGGTGGAAAAGGTAATATCTTCACTTAAAAACTAGACAGAAGAATTCTGAGAAACTTCTTCGTGATGTGTGCGTTGATCTCACAGAATTGAACCTTTCTTTTGATTGAGCAGTTTCGAAACATTCTTTTTGTATAATCTGCAAGTGGAGATTAGGAGAGCTTTGCGGCCTATGGTAGAAAGGGAAATATCTTCATATAAAATCTAGACAGAAGCAGTCTGAGAAACTTCTTTGTGATGTGTGCATTCATCTCACAGAGTTAACCCTTTCTTTTGATTGAGCAGTTTGAAATCTTTTTTTTGTAGATTCTGCAATTGGACATTTGGAGCGCTTTGAGGCCTATGGTGGAAATGGAAATATCTTCACGTAGAAAATAGATTGAAGCATTCTGAAAAAGTTCTTTGTGATGTGTGCATTCATCTCACAGAGTTGAAATTCACAGAGAAAGGCAGGAAGGGAGAAAAAATAAAGCAAGAACAGAAGAAAGAAAGAAAGAAAGAAAGAAAGAAAGAAAGAAAGAAAGAAAGAGAGAGAGAAAGTGAGAAAGAAAGAAAGAAAGGTAGGAATAAGGGAGGAAGGAAAGGAGGAAGAGAGAATGGTAAAAGGGAGGAAGGCAAAGAAACAAAGAAAATGAAGAGTGGGAAGGAAGGAAGGAAGGAAAAACGAGGAAACGAAGGGAGGGAGGAAGGAAGAAAAGGAGGGAGGGTGGAAGGGAGTTAAAAGGAAAAAAAGCAAGAAAGTGAGAAAGAAAGAATAAAAGAAAGGAAGGAAGAAACGAAGGGGGAGAAAGGAAGGGAGGGAGGAGGGGAGGAAGAATAAGAGGAAAGAGAGGAAGGAAAGAGGGGAGGAAGGAGAAAAAAGAAAGAAAAGAAAGGAAAAGCAAAAAAGAAAAGAAAGAGGAAAAGAAGAAAGGAAGGAAGAAGGCAAGGGAAGGGAAGAGAAGAGAACGGAAGATGGAAAGAAGGAAGGAAGACCGCAAATATTATAAATTCTGGGTTTTGTTAGAGAATATGCCATACTGTTTTTTTTTTCACTTGAAAGGAAAGAGTATCTGCCACTGAAGATTGGATGTCTTGTTGGTGATATTGTTGTTCTTGTCTTCCAGATGATTACTGAGTTTGTGTCTAGTCTGTCCATTCCTAAGACAAAAGTGTTGAAGTCTGCAAATATAATTTTGGATTTTTCTAGTTCACCTTTGATTTCTTTCCTGTTTTACCTCATGTATTTGGAGGTTCTGTTGTTAGCTGCATACCCTAATTAATAGGATGTTTACATCTTCTTGAGAATTGATTATTATATTATCTATTATCTCTCATCTCTGATACTATTTCTTGTTCTGAACTCTGTTGTGTCTAATATCAATGTAGTCCTTCCACAGCTTTATTTTAGTGTTTCCATGATATGGCTTTCTCCATATCTTGATGATAACCTATTTATATCTCTATGTATTTGGAGCAAGATATAAAATTTAGAGTTGATTTTTTAAAGATTTTTCAAGATGTAATTCTTATTTATTTTTGTTCTATTTGACGTTCTCTGAGTTTCCTATATCTGAAGTTTGATTTTCTGTCACTTCTTTTAGAATATTTTTGGCAGTTATTTTGAAAAATATTTCTTTTGCTCTATTATTTTTTCCTCTTTTCTTTTTGGGATTTCAATTATAACTAGGGTAGGTAATTTCATCTCAGACTTATGCAGGTACTTTTTCTCAGGGTCTCAGGCATGTAGCCTTCTCACACTTCTGTTCTTTTCCTGGCTGTTTTGGTGAGATCAGTGATATTCCTCCTTCACCTTCAAGAGCAGTTTTGTTTTGTTTTTCCTGTTTTCATACTCCCAGCATCAGGAGTATTCTAAGTGTGGCAGTTTTTGTTGCCTTCCCCTACATATTAAGTGGAATATCTTGGTCTATTTGGACTCTTATAACAAAATAACATGAACTGGGTGACTAAAAAACAACAGATATTTCTTTTTTCACACTTCTTGAGGCTGTAAGATCTCAGGTCAAGATGCTCACAAATTCAGTGTTGATGAGAGCCCATTTCATGGTTCATAGATGGTGTCTTCATTCAATGTCCTCACATAGTGGAAGGCACAAAAGAACTCCATTGAGCTTCTTTTATAAAGGCACTAATCCCATTCCTAAGGGCTCAGCCCCCAAGACTTGGTTGCCTCCCAAGTGTTCTGCTCTCCCTGATCTGTATCATATACAGACTCTCTTGGATTCCTTACCAATTGCTTGAGAGATCACAGTGGGTTTGTGGGGAAAAAGTTTTCAAGATGATGGATCTTTCCCAACTTCTGCAGCTGTCAGCGGTCTCCCAATCTCACCAGCCCCACTTTGTCTTTAGGAATTTATTGATTATTCCAGCTTTACTTGTCATAGTGATGTCTATTTGCATCTGTCCTATGTAAGTGCATCTGTCCTCCTTCTCCTTGCTGGTGCTTGTTTTCCCTCACATTTTGACTCAGTTCTTGGCAACCTGGTTGCCATAAAGTAAAGTCATGACTTTGAAGTTAGTTTGGTTCTTTCATTGTTGTAAGGTTAGGACCCCTATTCCATCCCAGCTCTCCAAAACCCAGAAATTTTGGGGGGTTGAAATTTTAGGCTTTCTCTTTGAATTGTACTTTTATCTTATTTCAGTTACAATTTGCATTTTCATAATGAGTAATGAGACTAAGCTTTTTTTGTGTAGTTGACTGTACCCTTGGATTTTTTTCCCAAATCCTTTTTCATTTCTTATTTTCTTTATGGTTTTAGAAAATGTAGTTTACATATTGTAGCTTGATTTTTTAATCAGTTAATGGTATGCTTAATGGAGAGAAAAAATATTAACTATATTTCCCTTTTTAATTACTGTGCTTTTTTCTTTTTTAAGGAAATATTTCATTATGTTAAATTTTAATGTTATTCTACTCAGCTATTCCTTAAATATTATAGTATTTTGGATTTCACATATAAATTTGTAACACATCTTGAGTTTATTGTATATAGAGTAAGGCTATTTTCTCTTTTTTGTTTTTTAAGGTAAAAATCACATAATATAAAATTAATAACTTAACCATTTTAAAGCATACAATGCACTTGCTTTTAGTATATTCACAGTGTTCCAGGACAATTTCATCATGTCCCTTCTAAAAACCCATTATCCATAAAGTTGTTATACCCTATTCTGCTTCCCTGAGCCCTAATGACCACTAATCTGATTTATATCCCAATTGATTTGCCAATTCCTGAAGTTTCATGTGAATAAAATCAAGTAATATTTGTCCTTTTGTGCACTAAACATAATGCTTTCAAATTTCACCCACTTTATACCATGTATAAGTACTTCATTCTTTGTTATAGCTGAAAATTGGGTGTCCATTTATGAGTCAACAAGCATATGGATTGTTTACACTTTTTGACTGTATGAATATTACTGCTGTAAATATTCATGCACATGTTTATTTTTTGAGCACCTATGTTTTGTAAGATTAACAGCTGACTTAACAGAAACAATGGAAGGCAAGAGGCAGTAGAATAATGTATTCAAAGATGCAAAGAAAAAAAACTGTCAGCCACCAATTCCTTATCAAGCAATTATTTTTCAAAAATGAAGATAACACAAAGACTTACCCAGATAAACAGAAATATTAACTGAAGTTGTTGCTGGCAGACCTACCAAACAAAAAAAAAACACTAAAATAAATTCCTAAGGCTAAAAGCAAGTTACACAAGCCAGTCACTTGAATCCACATTTTTAAAAAAGCACTAGTATAGGTAATATTAACATTATAAAAGACAGTAGAAATGCATGTTTTCTCTTTATCATAAATTGTTTATAAAATAATATGTGTATAACGGCCAGGCACGATGGCTCACGCCTGTAATCTCAGCACGTTGGGAGGCCGAGGTGGGCGTATTATGAGTCCAGGAGATCGAGACCATCCTGGCTAACACAGTGAAACCCTGTCTCTACTAAAAATACAAAAAATTAGCTGGGCGTGATGGCAGGCGCCTGTAGTCCCAGCTACTCGGGAGGCTGAAGCAGAAGAATGGCATGAAGCCAGGAGATAGAGCTTGCAGTGAGCAGAGATTGTGCCACGGCACTCCAGCCTGGGTGACAGAGAGAGACTCCATCTCAATGCTAATAATAATAATATGTGCATAATGTATTGCTGAGTATTTGACATGTAGAAATGTAATATGTTTATAACATATTTTCCAGTAACATCAAAAAGGAGGTAGTTGGAAAAAAATGTATTGTGATAAGGTAATCACTCTAGATGGTAAAGTAATAATTACTAAAATGTATTGTTGGCTTTGTAACTTTAATAGATGTAATGTGTAAAGTGATAATACTTTAAAATGGAGGAAATAAGAGAGATTTGTATAAGAATGATGTTTCTATGTATTACTAAAAGTTTACTAGTATAAATTGGAAGATGATTTGAATAATTAATTTTCCATATACCTATATGGCAAACTTACAACAACAACAAAAATTCTCAAAAATATATAGTAAAATAATTCATTAGTAATCTAAAGTTCCTTATTTTAGAAAATATTCATTCATTGCAAAATAAAGCAATAAAGAAAAATATTTGAGAAATATACAAAACAAAGGGTAAAATGGCAGACATAAATAGAATTATACTAATTATAATATTAAATGTGAGCAGATTAAATTCCATTCAAGAGGCAGAGATTGTCAGACTGGATTAAAACAAGTGATCCCAATATACGCTAAGATGTAAGGATACTAATGGATTGAAAGTAAAAAGATGACAAAAAATATCATGCAAAGAGCAATCATAAGAACACTGAACTCATTATACTCATAACACACGATATAGACTATTAAAAATGTGAATAGGATTTTAAAAATTTATATTGTAGTAATAAGGGGTCAACGCTTTCAGAAGACATAGCTATTACAATCATGTATGCACAGATATGAGCTAAATTGTTTCCTCTATACAGATGCTGAAATCCTAACCACTGAATATGAACTCATTAGGAAACAGGTTATTTGCAGGTGATTAAATTAAGATAAAATCAGATGAGCCTGAATTCAGTATGACTGATGTCCTTATAAAAAGAAGAAATTTGAGTAGAGGGAGATATACACACAGGGAGAGTTCCATGTGATTATGAGGGCAGAGGTTAGCCAAGGAATGCCAAAGACTGCCACAAAACCACCAGAAGGTAGAAACAAGGCACAGAACAGACTTTCTCTCATAGCCCTTGAAGGGACCATCTCTGCTGACACCTCAATATCAGACTTTTAGCTTCCAGGACTATAAGACTATAAATGTATGTTGTTCAAGTCACCCAGTTTGTGTTACTTGGTTATGGCAGCCCTAGAAAACTAATACATGAACTAATAACAAAGCATAAGAACATGAAGCAAAAATTGACAAAAGAGGAGCATCAGGAAAATGGCAGTGGAGACAGCTGCAATCTTCCATTTCCCCACAGAAACATCACACAACTAAGAGAAACTGTCCGAATAAACTTTGCCAAAACTCTGGAAAATGGTCAAAAGATTACAACAACCAAGTGAAAGCAGACTCAAGGAAAAGACAACTGGAAAACTTTACGACATTTTTAGCTTGCCTTTGCCTCAGCAAATTGGCAGTTCTGAAGTGTCAGAAGCCCACGTTCCCAGTGAGGAAGCCTGGTCCATCGTCCAAAGGAACAAGAGAAGATCTTACCCGCAAATTATTATGTGTCTGTTCTGACTGGTCTGGAGGATACCTAAAGGACTCATGAAAGGCTTTTGTTTTTTCTGTGTTGCTAGAATACAGAACAGATAAGGAATGGACATAATTAAGAAACTCTGCAAGGAGACCTAACAAACCACAGATGCTTAGGGCAAAAATTAGAGTTTACACATATAGTAGATCACCTTCAGCACAGGAAGAAAAGTTGGAGAAGAGTATTTGGAAAACTAAGACATTCAAAATCATTCACGTACATGGAAGAGTCTAGAAAGTCACATGTATGCATAGGTTAAGCCACATGCTGACAAATGTCATAAGAAGACCCTACACTTTTACCTTGGCGATCCCTCCCCTCAGTGCAAGCTCTGTGCAAGAGTGAACTTGAACTTCACTCAGTGCAAGAGTGAACACACATTTTGTGCCGGCTTTAAAGAACCCAGCACAAAGCCAGTCTGCATGGCCTAGAGACATATTTTGCTGGCTAATTATTACTTGTTTTTCTTTTTGTTTTTGTTGTATTTGCCTGTTTGCTTAGTTCCTGACATACAAGAAAATCACTGTCAAAACATTAGCTTAACATTTGTTAAGGAAACAAAAAGACTTCGGTGGCCACACCTTATAAAGCAAACAGTTTTGTAAATCACTTTGGAAAATTTCACTAAAAAAAAAAAAATCCTTAACAATATAATAAGTAAATAAAATTTAAAACCACAAAACATTAGTGTGTTTGTAGGGGGTGGTCTGATTTACAGAGTAACCACATAGTAATTATAATTATTATAATGTCCAGTTTTCAAAAAAAGTTACAAGGCATAAAAGAAAGGAAAAGTATGGCTCATTCAAAGGAACAAAATAAATTGACAGAAAATATCTCTAAGGAAGCCCAGACATCAAACTTACTAGACAAAGACTTTAAAACAACTCTCTTAATTATACTCAAATGTCAAAAGGAAAACATAAACAAAGAAATAAAGGAATCAGAAAAAATATTTAAAAGTAGGAATATCAACAAAGAGATAAAAGAAATTCTGGAGTGGAAAACTAAAATGATAAAAATTAAAAAATCACCAGAGGGATTTAAGAGTATATTTGCACACACAGAAGTCATGAGCTTGAAGATAAGAAAATGGAAAATATTGGCTCTGAGAAACAGATAAAAAATGAGCAGAGACTAAGGAATCTGTGGGACATCATCAAATAGACCAACATTCATATTCTAGAAGGATAAATTATGTTGTTAAAAACTTTACCATTCTTTCTTTTCACCTTTCTTTCTTCCTCCCTCCCCCTCCTCCTCCTTTTTACTTTTCTTCCTCTTCCTTTCTCTTCTTCTTTCTCTTCTTCATTATCCCTTTTGCTCTGTTTCTCTTTCTCCCTTTCTCTTTTTTCTTTTCTTTCAATTTTCTCAATTACTAAGAGATGTTTAAATACCCTTACCATGTGGGTAGATATGGTTATTTCTCCCTTTAGTTCTCTTTTGAGATTTATAGTCACTCTAAGTAAAGAGATAACCCAAACATAAGCCTCACAAACAGGCTTCCATACCATTCTTAATTTGGTCCTGTCATTCCTCATTGCTGTATTAACTTTCTGATGCTTTTAAGGATGTTTGATAACAAATTGTTTCGTTTTTTCCAATGGAATGTTTATTCTGAATTATCTAATTCATATTGTAAGTATATAGGGAGTTTAAAATTACTAAACTAACATTTTTGAAAGAATGTATTTGGGCATTTAACAAATATGTTAATCCTTAAACTGTTATTGGGCATACAGCAATAAAAATAACATAATTTTTATGTGTACAATATTTATGGAATACGTTACTGGAACAAATGAATAATTTAGATAATAACATGACAAAGAACAGAAATTGTATACACTATAGAGCATAGTAATAGAATAATGAATGATTAAAATTATTAATATCAGGTAGAAAATGAAAGGTATCTTTGAGAGCAGAACTCAAGGAAGAAAGCAATTCGCCTTATGAGGAAAGAGTTACCTGTGGATAAAGGAGAAACTGAAAAATTTACAAGTCAAGACTTTTTGAGCAAAAACAAAAATATGACTATTACTCAACAATTCAGTATAGTGAAAAAAAAGTTGAGATATCTTGAAAGTAAACCATGTTGTGGAAGAACATGTAGGGTTTTGATAATCATGGAATTATTCTGAATTAATTTTAAATGCGATAGGAATATATGAGATAATTTCACCAGAGAATAACATGATTGTGTTTGCATTTCAAAGGGGTGTATCTGTTGCACTGTGTAGAATAAATAGGTTATGTGAGCAAATAAATTGGGAGGCTATTGTAATCCAGAGAAAAAAGGTAGTGACTTAGGTAAGAATGCTGTTAGTATGAGTGGTATTAGTTGTGAGTAGTCTTTAGGCCATGGATGTATTTCATAGGACTGGCCAAGAGAACTGCAGCTAAATTGGAGTGTAGGGAGTGAAATGGAGAACTCAAAGATGACTCTCAGCACTGGAAGGTGACAGCTGTCACTGAAGCATGCTGATGCCTCTTATTAAGAGAGTTACTTGGGAATGGCAAGATCAAAACTTCTCACTTTCAAATTTATGAAAAATATTGTTTTCAGAACGAATGACTTTGGGATCAGAAAGCCATCATTCTAATTGATGGTTCCACAACTACACAGGCTCACACTCCCAAGAGCAAAAGTAAATCATCACAAAGATGCTTCCTGATAATTCTAGAGAATGGAGAATTACTGTAACATCTTTCTGATTTTAGGAGAGGTAGCAGTTCCCTTTTTAGCCTAAGCGCTATTTTTTTTAAAGCTCGGCCAAGAGACCCCATTATAATTTTCAAATGTGTGTAACTTAAATTCTCATATTAAATACCACTATGCTTAAATTAGTCAAAACATTTTCCCCATCTACAACTCTATCTTTTCACTGCAATCATTTTCACAAAAGTGACTGCAGCTAACAGACCCTAATAGGGGAAAATCCAGGGTAGGTTATCTGATCTAGTTAGTTTTGAAGACAGGATTTAGAGATTATTTAATATGAAATAGGTCACCTGAAATGAAATGTTTACTGAAAACAGCTTGGATCAGCCCAGTTTTCTACCACTGAACCATGCACTTGGTTTAAAAAACACAACAACTCTGGGGAATATTGGCTGCTTCCAACTGCGTTGATGGTGTTAAAGAAAAGACCATAAAATTATAAATGATCATCTGAGGCATTTATAGTCTCTGCTCAAGAGACTAGAGTCTTCTATTCTTAATGAAACACCCAAATATCTTAATAATTGGGCAAAATGTAAATATCAGAGAGATAATTTTATCTTGAAGTTTGTTAAATTATAATGGTGATTCACTACCTTGCCACGTCTCTGAGTCAAAAATTAGATCTTTGTTTAGGAACCAATGGTACTCTGCAACTTGGAAATAGGAAGATTTTAGAAGACTCAAAGATTGACTTTCTTGTGTGCAAAAAAAAGACGTATTGAGATAAGACAAGTCTTTCCTTGCAAGGATACCTCTAATGCTCATACACCACCTCTCCTAACGTTAATATAGTTTCCAGATCACTAACCAGCGTCAAAGAGCAACCCATGCAACTACAAATTCAAAAGATGTCGAACACAGGGTCAAGCCTAGAATAAGAAGTCTTAGCTAATTAAGTATGCTTGTCCCCCCAAATTCATAAAACTTGGATATGTCAGAGAATGCATTCTAAGTTCACTCAAACTAGGAGGGAGAAACATAATTTTAAATTAAGAGCTGAAGCATTGTTGTCCTAACAAAAAGCAAGGAAAATGAAATATCACACCACAGGAGGGATTTCACAAATTAGTGTCAACATCGAAACCTTAAAATAGGCAAGGAAAATGCAGATTCACAATTAATTCTTCTACTCATTTTGTTCAGAGAAGAGATGGTTCTGAGAGAATGACAGTGAATTAACCCCAGCTGATTTAGTTGGTGCTTTCAATCGCTGCTTCTGATAAACTCCTTTAGCTAGAATAAATTGATGAGGATTTTGGCATGTAGTATTAGAGATACTTATTTTTTCCTCTTATTTGCTTTGTTCAATGTAGTAAATACTAGCTGTATATGGCTACTTAAACTCAAATTAATTACAATGAAATATACTTAAATATTGAATTTTTTAGTCACTGTTGGTTCATTATTGAATACCTTCTGCTAAGATTTCCCATCTAAATACACTAAGAGGTGGCTTAGTTAACTGGTCGTCCACAAATATTGACGCTGTTGTTAACTCCTGATATATTCTCTGCAAATAGAATATTCATGAGCCTCCTCCTGAAACCAGCAGCCTAAAGATAATTGTATAAATTGGATACAAGTTGGAAATCTATACTTTTTAAGTTTTTGAAATATTAGCTTCCCAGGGAAGAAAATCAAATTCATAAGATATGTTAGGACAATTTAACTCAAGATGTTCAAAACTGAAATGACATATTCTACAATATGTGACAAAACCACCCCCTAACAACTTAAAGCAAAACAGAGATTGACCGTAGAGACCTGCCTTTTCCTCATCCCCCAGCCAATCAGTTTTCAAATCTTGCATTTTATTTCGAAAGGTCCTTATCCCCCTAGTCTCTTGTTTCTAGACTTGGCACATATTTGTTACCTCTATCTACTGACTTTCCTCTCTTCAAACAGTATCTATGCCTGCCAAATGTGAACATACAAAAAACAAATCAGAATGTGCCATTCTGATTTAAACTGCTTATTAGTTAATACCCTCAAGATAACATCTGGGTTCTTAGCTGCACTCAGTGAAGCCTACTTACATCTTTTTTGGTTTTCGGCTGCACTTTTCCTATCACATCACACAGCAGCAATGCCAAGCTGTGCAGGCCTTCTACCCCATTTCCACTATTTTGCCCCCGCCGCCGCGGCTTTTTCCCTCCGCTGCCGCAGGTTTTTTTGGTTTTTTGCCCCTGCTCCCTTTTGCTCCCGCCTCCGCGGTTTTTTGCCTCCGCCTCCTAGGCTTTTTGCCACCATGGCTTTTTGCCCCCACAGCCGCTGCTTTTTGCCGCTAGGGCTTTTTGCTCCCGCCGCCGCTGCTTTTTGCAGCTTTTTGTCCCCGCCGCCGCTTCTTTTTGCAGCTTTTTGCCCCCGCCACCGCTGCTTTTTGCAGCTTTTTGCCCCCGCCGCCGCAGATTTTTGTGGTTTTTTGCCCCTGTCCCGCTGCCTTTTGCCCCCGCCGCCGCGGCTTTTCCCCCCCGCTTCCGCGGCTTTTTCCCCCCGCTTCCGCGGATTTTTGCCCCCGCCGCCGAGGCTTTTTTCCGTTGTGGCATTTTGCCTCCGCCGCCGCTGCTTTTTGCAGCTTTTTGCCCCCTCCGCTGCTTTTTGCATTTTTTGCGCCCGCCGCCACGGCTTTTTGCCCCCCTCCACCATGGGTTTTGCCGACGCGGCTTTCGACCCCCACCGCCGGGGCTTTTTGTCCGCGCCTCCGGGGCTTTTTGCCGCCGCGGGTTTTTGCCGCCGCGGCCATGGCTTTTTCCCCCGACACCGCGGTTTTTTGCCCCCCTCTCCGCGGTTTTTTGCACCCCCCCACCCCCCGCCGCCGAGGCTTTTTGCCGCCTTGGGTTTTTGCTGCTTTCTGCCCCTGCTGCCGCGGCTTTTTCCCCCGCAGCCGCGGTTTTTTGCGGCTTTTTGCCCCCGCCGCGGCTTTTTGCGCCCGCCGCCGCGGGTTTTGCTGACGCGGCTTTTTAACCCCCCGCCGCGGCTTTTTGCGCCTACCCCCGCGGGTTTTTGCTCCCTGCCGCCGTGGCTTTTTGCCCCTGCCGCTGCGGCTTTTTCCCCCGGTCGTGGCTTTTTGCCCCCGCCGCTGAGGCTTTTTGCCGCTGCGGCTTTTTGCCCCCGCCGCCGCTGCTTTTTGCGGCTTTTTCCCCCCGCCGCCGCGGCTTTTTGCGGCTTTTTGACCTCGCCACCGCGGCTTTTTGCCCCTCCACCGTAGCTTTTTCCCCCGACGCCGTGGCTTTTTGCCCCGGCCTCGGCGGTTTTTTGCCCCCTACGCCGAGGCTTTTTCCCCGCCGTGGCTTTTTCCCCCCGCCGCCGCGGCTTTTTGTGGGTTTGTTTTTTTTTGCCGCCGCGGCTTTTTGCCCCGCCGCCGCCGCTTTTTGCCGCCGCGGCTTTTTACCCCCGCCGCCGAGGATTTTTGCCCCCGCCGCCGCGGCTCTGAGGGCGGGAGCGGCACACTCGGCTGCCAGCTCCACTGGCGTTCTGGCAAGGGCAGCGCGGAGGGGCGCTCCTGGTCCAGCTCTCCCTGCTCGGGAGTGTATGAATGCTTTGTGTTCTGACAAAGAGACTGTAGCTCCCATGTCCTACCTGCTTGGTTGCATTGCCAGTGCCCACGGTAGGCCATTTTATCCACGTTTTTATGTTTTATTTTGTTTTGTTTTGTTTTTTTCTTTTCAGGAGAGTTAGTCCAAGACCAATAACTCCATAACTGGTAGAATTGGAAGACTTTAATAGTGCATAACATTTTGTACATAGTTTTATAACAGTTTTCTTTTTCTTTTTTTCTGATTCTTTTCAATATACCCCATCATGATTGAACTCAAAGTCATTGCTTGTTTAAAATCTACAACTGCTGACGTTTTGTAACCTTCGCATTCCAGGTAATTGGTTTTTTGTGCATTTTCTGTATTTTTCTCCATCAGTCTACCTAGATATTTGTTAGATTTAATATTTTAATATTTTTCTGAAAAAGTGAGCTTTTGCATTTTTAAATATATACTCAGTTGCTTTAATTCTGCTATTTCATGTACTATTTCCTCCTTTTTTTTTTTTTTTTTTTGACACGGAGTCTTGCTCTGTCGCCCAAGCTGGGTGCAGTCCCGTGATCTCTACTCACTGCAACTTCCACCCCCAACGTTCAAGCAATTCTCCTACCTCAGCCTCCCGAGTAGCTGGGATTCCAGGTGCATGCCGCCATGCCAGGCTAATTTTTGTATATTTAGTAGAGAGTGGGTTTCACCATGTTGGACCAGGCTGGTCTCGAACTCCTGACCTCAGGTGATCCACCTGCCTCGGCCTCCCAAAATGCTGGGATTACAGGCATGAACCATGGCGCCTGGCTATCTCCTTCATTCTTTATGTTTATTTTACTGGTTTTATCTCTCTCTCTCTCTCTCACTGTTTCTCTCCTTCTCACATTCACTTTGCAGTTGTCAAATAGCCCAGGTGATGTTACAGATTTACTCCTTATAAAAGGAGGCATTACACATTACACATGCATCTTAGTGGCCTTACAAAAGTGTTTGGTTCATTTGTATTGACTATTCACCTTTAAAATATTTCAATATTCATTAAAATAGCTTCCAACCAATATTATTAGGCTTATGTTTCTATCTTTTTTGTATTGATATCTACCTTCATTGCTGTTTGTTTAGGAGATATATTCTATGTCACGTTATTTGCGTGAAAATTGTTTGAATTTGTGGTATGGTCTAGAAAATGTTAATTTTTGTAAGTATTCTGTATGAACATGAAAATAACATGAATTATAATATTCATGTTCCTTATATAACATTTGCCCTTTTTAAAATCCACTAGCTTCTTTTAAAACTTACTCTTTTAATTTTTTCTTTTATCTATTACTGAAAGATGTGTGTTTGAAATGTCTGTAATGATTTGGGGGCTTATCCATTTCTACTTTCTGATATTTTTGCTTTATATAATTTGACTCTCGAAATACGTGTGTGTGTGTGAGAGAGAGAGTGTGTGGTGTGTGTGTATATATGTATATATGTATCAGGCTAATGCACATTTAAGTCATCACATCTTAATAACTTAAAACTTTTATCACACTGGTTAGACTAACTTATTTTAATAAATGTTTCTAACTTACATTCTATTTTGTCTACATAGCAACTTTTTAAAAAATTATATTCATGTAGTATGTATGTATATCATATATACACAGTATCTGTATTGTTTGAATTTCAAAGTTTCTGTAAATTTATATATTAGTTGCCTCTCTTGTAACTATGATAGAGACGGATTTTTTTAATTTTGCCAATCTTTGTATTTTAACAGAAACATTGTCTACTTAGGTTTAAGTTAATCTTTGATCATTTATACTTAATTTGTTTTATTAATTTGTTGTATATATATATAAAATGCCTCATTTTCTCCTATCAGTTTCTGTCTTCTTGTTTTTAAATTATGACTTTTATTTTTATTGTTTTCATAGATACAACAGAGAAATGCATAATGTCCAGTGAATTTATTAAAGTTCCAAAGTCGGTCGCGCGCAGTGGCTCACGCCTGTAATCTCAACACTTCGGGAGGCCGAGGCGTGTGGATCACGAGGTCAGGAGCTGGAGACTAGCCTGACCAACATGGTGAAACCCCGTCTCTACTAAAAATACAAAAATTAGCCAGGCATGGTGGCACGTGGCTGTAATCCTCGCTACTCAGGAGGCTGAGGCAGGAGAATTGCTTGAACCTGGGAGGCAGAGGTTGCAGTGAGCCGAGATGGCGCCACGGCACTCCAGCCTGGGCGAAAGAGTGAGACTCCTTCTCAAAAAAAGAAAAAAAAAAAAGAGTTGCTAAGTCATACTCAACTTTCTGCTCTTGTCAGACAATTAAGGGGTCTTTGAATACTTCAGCCCTAATAATTTTCTTCCTAAGGTACACATTGCAGTGCTTATCTAATTTTAAATATCTTTTTGTTTCAACACCTGATTTTTTATTTAGATCTATCTGTATGTTTACAGTATATTTTGTTCTGTGTTCATTCTTTGATTTCAGAACTTCAACCTTTCTGAAGCATGTTTTCAGTTTCTCTTTAGTTTCTTTAGTGGAATTCTGCTGGTGGCATTTTGTTTTTTGTCTCTAAATATGTTATTTAGCCATAGGTTGATGAATATTTTTCTTGGTTGAGAATTTCAGAATGACATTATTATTCTTAACAAATAATATTGTTTATTTTACCTTTCATTCTTTCCTATTTCAATATGATTAAAGATAATTTGATTTTTCTAGTGCTAATTGAAATATTTTTCCCTTACTGATTCTTTACTATTTCTCTAGGAGATACATAGTTGTAGGTTTATCTCCATTGTAGCTTGCTTAGCATGCATGGAATTTTTGAATATGCAGATTAGTGTCTTACAAAAGTCTAGAGAACTTTCAGCCAAATTACCATCACATATTGTCCCTTCCCAGTTCCCTTCTTCTATAAGAACACTCACTAAACACATGCTACACTTTCTCACTGTATCTTCCATGTCTCTTCATGATTCAGTCTACATTTTGCATTTTTCAAAATTTTCTGTAATGCATTCTGAAATATTTATTAACTCCCACCATGGCCACGTCTAATCTGATGAGTTCATTTTTGAGTTTTTAATTTAAAATACTATTTTTTTATACAAACTACTTTTCAAATTTGCTACATCAATTTTTTAGTCTCCTAAAAATGTATTCTTTTTTAAAATTTTTTTTAAAGCAAATGTGCTTTATAATTTAACGGTGATATTTCTACTAATGAATCTTTGTGTATCTGTTTGTACTCTTTTTCTGTTTCCTTTCAAATGGTGGAATATCATTTCCTTGCGTACTTAGATGTCTTTGAATGACAAATATTTATTTTTCTCTGAAAATTATTTTTGTGCACTTCTGATGATTAGTAAGAAGAAAATTTGCCAAAGAGAATTTGAATTTTTTTGTAAGTCTACTAAGGGCACCACCATTCTGGGACCACATTATGTTAATTCTTGACCTAAAGGTGTTTGGATGTATGTTTGGACTGCACATTTAAACAATTTTTAAATTAATTGCTGTAAATCATTAACGATTGAGTTTCTTTAAATCTGTCCAATCTCAAGTCATTTTTATTTGCCATTTCCAGGGAATGTGAAATGGGACTAATTTACCTCTGATTCTTCTTTATACTGAGGATAGAAATTTTGGTCCTAGCTTTAGGGAGGAGCTCCTGTGTGATGCCGTATATTGGGAAAAACTATGTATTTCTTTACTGTCCTATGTGATGTATGACAGTAGGAATCTGCACTCATTCATTTTGGTACATGTCCGTAGGGCAAAATCAGTTTCGGTGTTTAGGAATATTTTGTCTGATGCCTGCATTCCCATGGTTTTGACCTTTTTTGTGTGAACATATCACTTTTTTCACAAATATCACTATTTGTGAACATTTTACTTTTTTTTGTGAACATACCAATGCTTCAGTTTTTTTTAGTAATCAACTATATTATGAGAAAGAGAAAAATTTTGATAAAACACAAATTTCATGTTTTCCTACTCTAATTGGCCTTTACATAAAAATACAGGTAAAATTTATTTGTGCTTTTTTGCTATTTCTGTTTTGCTATTCTCTGTTTGTCTATGTCTTCTCCACATAGACACAATTGGGGAATTTTGTACACTCTTGTGCCAACTGCTTTGATAGTAACAAAATGTATTTCTCGAACTGCTAGGTATAAAACTCAAGTATCCACAATTTAAATTCTTTTTCCCTCACTTCTACTATGTTTCCAGTCTCAATAGAAATCGAGCCAATCCAGAAATACAAGCATTATTCTAATACTTCTCACATTACAGATATAAATTTTCTAGATCTCCTTAAATACTATCATTTTTCACTACTTGTATCTTAACTGTTAAGTTCAACATTTTCTATAATATTAATATGTTGTGAAAATTTCCTTACTTTCTTATTTGTCCCAGGTTCAATGTTTTGCAGTCTCTACCTCACCTTGTGAAGCATAAACATTGTACATGCTGTACAAATAATACATAGTTCATGTGCTTAGAGATTGCACAATTTTTATTTGGTTGACAACAGCTAATGTTTTCTTCTTCATTTTCTACTTCCTGATTTTTCTTTATTTAGTATATACTACATTATCATAAAAATAAGAACGTTTTACAAACTAAAGCAAAAGCAACCCTAGGAATAAAATGCACAAATAAAATATATAAGCATACAATTATATGTACCATGTACCCTTCTAATTTATTTAGACATTTAATTTTAGTACAATTTTAATTAAAGTCTGTGTATTATCTGTCATTGTCTTAGTATTTTTTATATAACAAATTTTGTAAATCAAAAAGTCTCAATGTCATTATAAACTATCTTGGCAGAGGTTGATGTCCAAGGAATAATTTCTCTCCCAAATTATGCCAATCAGAATTTCACTCTACCATAATTCTTTTAATCAGTTTCAGAGGAATAATAAATTTCAAAATTGTTCAAGGTACTTGTAGTTCAAGTACATTTTGACAGGTGGAAAACTGTAGACAGACTGATGCAAACATATTCTAATTGACTCAAAAGTATATGGGACCTATTTTAAAATCTAGATTTTAAAATGTTGTGTCAACATACACATGTTCTCCTTGTAAAATAATTGCTTTTTATTCTCTGGATAGAATAATTTAATCTTTAAACCTTCAATTCACTGTTAAAAACAAAATATTACATAAGGATATGCTTATAAAAATAATTTGCAACTAGCTTTTGAATTCAGAAATATATGTGAAAAATCATCAAGCATCTAATGGATTTCAAGGAGAAATGGGTTAGTAATTTATTCCATATGTCTCTATTTTTCCTAGACACAAGGCTTCCTTTAAAATAACTGTAGGCATTTAAAAAACCATGTAAACTAAAAAGAAGAAATTGTGACACTGCCGCTTAGGTTGTTTAAATCTTTGGACATGAATCAGTATATTTTTTAATTTTATCTTAATTAGACATTGTGAGTTCACCATCTTCCTGTCAGTATAGCATCCAAGCTGATTATCATAGATTACAAGTTCAACTATCAACTGTGTTCTGAGAGTCTAAAAAAATAAATGAATGTATTTGTTTGGGTATTCTTAAAGCAGGAGTGAGGACACAGCAAAAGTGAGACAAGGAAGAGAGAACAAAATAAAACAGGAAAGATAGAAAAGCCAATACCACACGTGTTAAGAGGCAAGTTCCTGTGTATATATCTGGGCTTAATTCTATGGGAAGCTATGTGGAACATGCCTCAGAATTACATCACTGAATCCGGGGAGATTCTTCTTAGTTACCCTCACCTTTTCTTCCCACTTCATGCCCAGTAACAAGCTCCCGTTCTGCTAGAGAAAGTCCTCAGCTAGAAACAGGTGCAAATTCTGGAGATGAGATCTTGTAGAATGTTAAGAATGGTTTTCTTCACAGCAGCTACAGGTAAGGAATAGGGGCTGGGCTATTAATACATCTGCTACAAATCAATAAAGCCCTTATGCTCCTTTTGGTGATCGACAATGTATTTAAAAATATTAGATGATCAAGAAGGGCTGCAGAAAGGAGGAAACAGAAACAGCACACCTTTTGGTTTATTTTTATTCATTTCATCAGTTTCAAGGAAAATGTGTTGGGGATTCCTGCCATAGAGAATGTCACAAAGACATGTTTTCAATAGTGGTGTTGTCCCTAGGGCAGAGAAGACCCAGAGAAAGCCCAAGTGGCTGCTGGATCAAAGTCAGACACCGTGCCACCTGTCCACACTCCTTGGCTCTGCCATCATGCTGAAGATCGGTTTAAAGGACTGGCTTCCCTCCCCCCAAAATTAAAAGAGCACAAACTTAGAAACTGAATGTAGGAGACAGCAGTGGATTATGCTGTTCTCAGGGGTCACCTCAGGTTTGGAAGCATTCTTTCAAATTAACCCATCTCAGGCCATCTGCAGAGAAGAAAGGTGGTACCTAAATTTTTCTTGTCAGCATTTGGTAGGGGTGTTTTATTGACCAAATATGTTCCCACAACCTAGTTTTTTGTAACTAACTAAATATAGTAGATTTTTAAATTTTATCATCAAAATCTGTAGACAATTTTTGATTAAAATAGACTCCACATCTATGTCGTGCTTTTCTTCTTATTAATTACATTGCTGTATCAAAGAACAAGACTTCAGAATCAAGAATATCTTGTCTCTTGGCATTGAATTTATACAAGGTGCTCTTTAATGCTGTCTCAAAGGACATATTTTTACCCATTAAAAAGGAAGATTGGAATCTAGTTGTATGCACTGCTCCAACATATTAATAATTAAAATAGGAGGTAAATGTGGTTAAAGCTACCAAAACACTTGAGGTGCCATTTATATTGATTACTGTATAGCACTCTACAAACAGAAATTGTTAAATAATAGTTTAAAGAAATATTTTGTAGCATTTCAAACATTTGAGTGCCTGAAGTTTCTCCTCATATAGTTCAGATTATCAATTTGAAGACTTACTCCACTGGTTAATATGTTTTTAGTCTCGTTTGAGGATTATATAAAAGCAGTTTTCAGTTAAATGTGTTCCACTTACATAAAACATTACAAATTAGAGAGGATTTAATTACATTTTCATGTTCCTGTAATGTTTTTAGAAGATTTTCATATTATTACCTATCAATATATGTATGCTTTGTCAAAGAAAAATCAAACATATATATCATTGAAATTGAAAATTTTTAAAAGTACTTATTCTATTGAAAAACCACATCCATAGGAACAATTACAATATAATATTGTGAACATGTAAATATATATCCTATGTCTATTTTATATATAAGCATATATGATTAAAAATATAAGAATTTTTAAACCTAGTATTATAAAGTAAAAATTGGTTAACTTCTGATGACTATTTGTTAATTAAGTTATAATTATTTTGATTTGGGTGATTTTAAATAAACAAAAATATTAAATTACATGACAAAAAGTTATTTATAAAATGTTTATGATTTTTACACTGGTTGTATCCTTTATTCCACTATTTTATTTTAAGATGACCTGCCTTGTTTAAAACACTGTATTCATCTTAATTAAATTAAATTCCATTTGTCAAAAAATTAACAAATGATTTGCTCTATTATATAGTGTGGTTATAAACTGAGTCAGTATCTCAAGATTTGATCCCCAATATCATCATCTGTGGCCCTATTTGTTTTATAAATGTCTTTTTCCATGCCTGTCACATCTCTATTGCTCACTCATTTTTCTCTTTGTCCCTTATAGGGAGCATTGCCTATCTCTAGATTAAGCAAAAGTTGCATCTTAAAAAGGCACAATAACCTGCTCAATCTTTCTCACACAGACAAATGTTTGTTAAGTATTTAAAGTGTAGATGATGATACAAAGACCTTGATTAAATTAGATGCCAAAGTACCCTTGTGATTCAGAATATGAATGGTATTTAATTTCTTTGAAACCAATAATTGCTGAGTGACATTAATGTCAATATTTCAGAAGTTGTTCTAGTTAGTGAAATGTATACTACATGCAAAAGATTCAGAACTCTGAAGAGCAACATTATTCTATAATTAAGAATTAAGAATTCACATTGATTATTGGGGAGAAATAATTATTAAGAATTAATGACAGACGATGTTTTTATTTTTTATTTAGAAAATTATTTTATGCATAAGCATTACTGCAAGTTTTGCAAGAAACATCAATTTAAAGAAATAATTATGTGCACAAGATGAATTTAATAATGTTGATATTTTCCACGATTAGAGTTTTATTTGGTAAATCTTTAAATGTATATCAACTAAAGATAATAAATGAATCTTGGAAATCTTGTAGGTAAGGGTAAATATTAGGATGCATCCAATTGCATTTACACACACATACAATTACATTTACACCCATACATGCACACACACTCACTGATACATGTGTGTATATATATGCATGAATTCACTAATTGATTTTAACTAATATTTATAAGAGCCAGTTGGATTGATATATATTGTTGAACCTGAAAAATATTTATTATATACATGTTTAAAATACACAAAGAAATAAATAGTAATTGCACTAGGCATTTGAAATTGTACTAAAATAGAAGCTGTGAACATTTTGTGATCGTTACAAATTCTTAACACTGAATAAATATTTTTATTTTTATGTTTGATACATGTGTACATTTTTTACAATGTATTATTTTATTTTTGTCATAGAGTCATGTCATGCATAATAACATTTCAGTCAGAGATGGATTACATATACAAAAGTGGTCCCATGAGATTATAATACATATTTTTACATACTTTTCTATGTTTAAGTATGTTTAGATACAGAAACTTACCACTGTGTTCTTATTGCCTGCAGTATTCAGTATAGTAATGTAGTACACAGGTTTGTAGCCAAGGAGAGAGAGGCTATACCATATAACCTAGACGTGGTAGGCTGTACAAACTAGGTGTTTGTAATATTCTCTGTGATGTTTACAAAACCATGAAATTGCCTATGGATGCATCTGTTAGAACGTATCCCTATCATTCAGTGATGTGTGACTGTACTAAAATGCTCAATCTAAGTTTCAGTGCCCTCCATAAAATTGTTGTAACTGTGAAATACAAATCTCTCACCCATGGCCTGAATATGTTTGCAAACCTAGCAGATCATGGGAAGGAGAAAGTGCTGGCATCGCTGGGATGATTTTCTCACACTACATGAATATTATCTCCAGACTTCGCGAATATGAGCTACTTGCATAGAGTTAAAGTAGGCATCTATTTGCTGAGAAATTTACCAAATGGGAGTGTGAAATGTTTTTAAAAGATACTTGTTTGTTTGTAGCCCGTAGGCCTACAGTGGCTCATGGCAATGGTTGAGGTTGCTAAGATTTGGTGGAAATGAGGCAAAATGAAATGGCCACTTATATGGTATATGGATCACTTGTTTCTGTTGAGTTACAGATTCAGCTGGCTATTTCTCCCAATGTTAGTTATTTGGAGAAAAAAACATGATGGTAATTTTGGGGTAACAAATACAATATTTGATGAAAGCAAATTTATTGAGGGTTAGACAAACTACAAGATACTTCAGGCTGCAAAGTCAACACGAGACTTCTGGCCCAAATTGTGCAGACTTTAGGTCCAGCTGCAAAGTTCAAAGGAAGAGGCCATATAAGACGATTCTCGCTTTTGACACCAACTGCCAGTTCAGGGGTTTCCCCAGAACACACTCAGTTTCAAGAATTTACTAGAATGACTCACAGAACTCATTGAATGCCATTGTACTCATCGTTTATAATAGAGAAAGGGTAGAAATTAGGACCAATCAAAGGAAGAGACATATCACATAAAGTGGAATCTAGGAGGATTTTGAATGTTAAGTTTCCATTGTCTTCAGGACATATTACCTGTCATTATTGTACAGGAATAAACATGGAGTACTACCAACCTGGGGAGCTCACCTGATGCTAAAAAGACACTATTTTGAAAATGAAAAGGCAAAGGAAAGGATGAGATAAGATGACCTTCCACATTAAGGCACTGGAAAAAAAATAGCAAACTAAACCTAAAGCCAGCAGAAGGAAGAAAATAAAAATTAGAGAAAATAATAATTTATAATATTAATCATATTTGTTAGTATTGACTAATTGATATTAACTCTTGACTAACTTTTAAAAAAAAAGAGAAATATTCACTTCCCAATTTATTCTGTGGGGCCAGTGTTACCTTGATACAAAAGTTAGTGCAAATAGCATAGAAAAATAAAACTACTATAAGTATAAATGCAAAATTCCTTAAAAAATACTAACAAATCAAATCTAGCAACATATAAAAGAATTATACACTATAACAAAGTGAAATTTATACTAGTAATCCCAGGTTGGTTTAACAGCCCAAAATCCATTAAGGTAATACATCTTATCCATAGAATAAGAAACAAGAATTGCATGATCATCTCGATAGATTCAGAAAAGACATTTAACAAAATCCAAATGCTTTAATGATTAAAAATAAAAATAAAAACTCAATGAACCAGGAATAGAGAACTTTCTACACCAGAAACATGGTACCTGTGAAAAACCAACAGCAAACATTCAACTTAGTGGTGAAAGAAAGGATACTTTCCCGCTATGGTCAGAGATAAGAATAAGATATATACTTTGACCTCTTCTAGTCAACACTGTACTAAAGATTTTATGCAGGGCAAATTGGCAAGTAAAGAAATAAGAGTCACCCATATTGAACAGGAAGAAATAAAACTTTATGTGCAAATAACATTCTTGTATATAGAAAATTTTAAGGAATCCACTGAACGATAGAACTAGTAAATTATTTCAGCAATATTACAGCATACAAGATAAATATACAAAAATCAGTTGCACACATCTACAATGAAAACCCCAAAATGAAATTAAGAAAACAATTTACAATAGCATCAAAAAAAGAAATAATAATTAATTTGGAAAATGTGGTACAAGATTTTACTCTGAAAATTAAAAATTATTGTTTAAAGAAGATCTAGATAATTAGCAAACATCTTACAGCCATGAATTGGAAGATTTAATATTGTAGTACTTTACAATTTGAACTACAGATTTGACGAAATCCCTGCAAGTATCCCAACAGACTTCTGTCTAGAAACTGACAAGCTGATTCTAAAATACACATGGAATTGTAAGGGACTCAAAATAGCCAAAATAGTCTTGAAAAAAGAAAACATATTACACCCCCGTGCTCCAAACCTTACGGCAAAGCATCAGTAATCAAGACAACACAATACTGATGAAGGAAAAATATATATATTGATTGAAGAGAATTGAGAGTCCATAGATAAAACTGTGTATCTATAGTCAATGGATTCTTACAATGGTGCCATGTGCAATTCAATGAGGAAGAGACAGTCTTTGAACAAACTGGGTCAACAATGTACACGTGGATCACCACTTACAAAATAATAAATTCGAACCCTTACCCCAAAGCATACAACAATATTAACTCAAATGAATTAAAGACATACATGCAGAGCTAGAATAAAGCATATGGGAAAATCTTCAGGATTTTGGATCTAGAAAAGATATAGCTGTAACACCAAAAACATGAGCAACAAAATAAAAAATAGATATTTAAAATTCCTTAAAAATTAGACATTGGTGTTTCAAAGGACAAACAAGCAAGTCAAAAGGCAGCTCAAAAATTGTGAGAAGATATTTGAAAAACACATATCTGTATGTCTGTATATATATGTAACTTGAATATAGAAAAATTGTTTTAACTCAGTAACAAATACCCCAACTCAAAACTGATAAATGATAGGAATAGATGTGTTTCCCAAGAAGATACACGAACGGTCAATAATCCCATAAAAAGATACTCAATAGCATCACTCATCAGGCAACTACAAATCAAAACCACAGTTAGATACTCTATGGCTAGAACTGACCACTTTGGAAAATAGTTTGATGGCTTCTAAATATATTAAACATAGAATTGTCATATGACCCAGAAATTTATTCCCAGGTATACACCCAGAGTATTGGAAAGAGGTGTTCAAACACAAATTGTACACAAGTATTTTTAGCAGCAGTATTTACAATAGCCAAAGGCTGAACACAACTCAAATGTCAATAAAAATATTATTGGATAAACAAAATGTTATATCCATGAAATTGAATGTTATACAGTTATAAAAAGAAATAAAGTACCAATACGTACATAAACCTTGATAGCATTATGCCAACTGAAAGAAGTCAGGCACAAAAGGCCACCTATTGTATGATTCTATTTAGATGAAAATAGAATAGCAAAATCTATAGAGACAGAAAACAGATTTGTGGTTGCTTAGGATTGAGTAGGGGATGGGTGCATAGGAGGTTAACAGCTAAAGAAGGTGGGGTTTCTTTTTGAGTGATGAAAATGCTCTAAAATTCATTGTGATGATGGCTCCACTTATCAGTGCATATACTAAAAGCCATTGACTTATAGACATTAACGTGTGCACTCTACACTATGAATATTATATCTCAATAAATCCTTTCAAAAATACACAGAAGAGTAAGGAGTTTTGGAATGTTGCAGCAGGCAGGCAGTTTGAAATACTGAATAGGTCTCATCGAGAATGTGAGGTTTCAGTAAAGACTAGAGGAAGTTGAATGAGCTGATCAGTGTATATATGGAGGGCTATCTTTCCAAGCCAAGAAATTAACTAGAGTTTGGTCATAAGACAGCAGCATATTGGCAGGTCCAGAGGAGAGTGAGGTGGCCAGGACCACTGGTAATATTAAGGGTGAAGATATAAAAGAATTTTGGCGGTTAACATGCGGCAGATCATGATGGGCTTGCAGATCATTGTAAGAATTGTGGCTTTTAGTGTAAATGAAATGGGGAGACAAATCATTATCCCATTATCAATATTTTAATAAATTGGATCCATGAACCAAATCCAATGAGATTAAATCAATTAGTAATAATATGCAAATTTGAATTAAAATTACAAGAATTACTTGCACATTTGAGAACAGGAGAGTCATGATTGTTTATCAGCAATAATAAACATTATTAATTGTAATTGTGATCAGCTAATTGAGATTAATTGCAATACATCATGCTTTATAATGTGACTGTCAAAAGGAAAATATGATTGTAATCTTATACTACATCTATCAATGTCTTTGATTCATAAGAATATAGAGTAAGCCCCTAGTTTTCAAAGTCAACTTATGAGGCAGCAACATCTTATGCAAGTTTGCTGCTTTCTGCCACAGTGGCCATTGGTCAGCTGGCACAAATTGTTTTACAAACACCACTAGGTCTAAAAATAGTTTGGATCACAATGAACACAGAAACACCTTCATCCCTTCAGAAATACCTATCAATTACTTCCAATACAGAATGAAAAATTGACAAAGGAAATATGTCGATGTGATCTTGGCTCACTGCAACCTCTGCCTCCCAAGTTGAAGTGATTCTCCTGCAACAGCCTCCTGAGCAGATGGGACTATAGACACTTTAAGTGCTTTTAATGTATTCATAAAGTTGTACAGCTATCACCACTCTCTAACTCTAGAACATTTTTATCATTTCAAAAAGAAACTCCATACTTACTAGCAGTTACTCCCCATTTCCCCCTTTCCCCAGCCCCTGGCAACCACTAGACTATTCTCTGTCTCTATGGACTAGCATATGCCAAATATCAGAAAAAACAGAATCATATGTGACCCTTTGTGTTTGGCTTCATTTATTTAGCATGTTGTCCTGATTCATCCATGTTGTATCTTGTGTCAGCCCTTCATTGCTTTATATGCCTGAATCCCACTGCATGAGTATACTATGGTTTGTTTATCCATTCATTAGTCGATGGATATTTGAGTTGTGTTCATTTTTTGACTATGATTAATAATGTACTGTGATGAGATTCATGTACTCGTTTTTGTGTGGACGTATTTTTACAATTTTCTTTATATATCTAGGAGTGGGCATATGGTAAATCTATGTTTAAATTTTTGAAAAACTTCAAAACTGTTTTCCAAAGTCTCTGTACCATTTTATATTATTACCAGCAGTGTATGGAGGTTCCAGTTTTTCCTACCTCCTTGACAACATCCGTTATTTTCCTTTTTTAAAAAAATATAGCTATCCTTGTACATGTGAGGTGGTATCTAGTTGTAGTTTTCATTTGCATATCCTTAATGACTAATGATGTTGAGCATCTTTTTATGTGCTGATTGGCCATTTGTATATCCTTTTAGAGAAATGTTCATTTAGATTGTTTGCTCGTTTAATTGGGTTGTGTTTTTGTTATTCTAAGAATTCTTTATATATTCTGGACATTAGTTCCTCATCAGATGTATGACTTAATAGATATTTTCTCTCATCCTGTGGGTTCTTTTCAGTTTCCTGATGGTATCCTCTGATGTACAAAAGTTTTAAATTTTGTTAAAGTCCAGTTTGTTTTTTCCTTTTGTCACTCTTGCATTTGGTGTTGTATTTAAGACCCATTGCCTAATTCACGGTCACAGATTTATACCTATGTTTTCTTCTACAAATTTTATAGTTTTACCCCTTATATTTGGGTCTTTGATCCTGATAGTGTTTTTCTGGTGAACAGAATTTGTTTAGGTTTTATATGAAAACCCACTGGGGCTATTGAGGTAGTTTTACTATATTATCTTTAGAAGTTTTATGGTTTTGCTTCTCATCTTATTCTTAATCCACTGGAAACTACGTGTTGTATAGTCAGTGTTCATTTATATTTACTCACATATTTGTCTTCTTACGTACTCACCATTTCTTCTCGCAACTCAAGTCTTCCATCTAGGTGAACACCATTCTACTGAAGAACATCTCTTAGAACTTCCTTTAGTGAAGGTCTCTTAGTTAGCAAATTCAGCATTTGTTTGGTTTTTATGACTTAAATATTGTCTTATATTTGGCCTGTTTATTAAAAGATATATTAATTTCATATGTGATTATTTTTTCTCAGTACATTGTCTTCTTGCTTCCATTTTTAAGACATTAGCTCTTGGTCTAAATCCATATTCTTTCATGGATAATGTGAATTTTCTCTCTGGTTGTTTTCAATATATTCTTTTCTTCAAGGTTCCGTTATTTTTATGATGATACATTTAGGTATTTTTTTTTCCTTTTAAATCTGTCCAACTTGAGCTTCCTGAATATGAAGGGTGGAATTTTTCATCACTTTGGGAAAATTCCAAGCCGTTATCTTTTTTACAAAACCTTTCTAACAGTTTATTTTTCTACTTACGAAATCCTGTTAGTTGTAATATCTTATCATTCTTGTCTTCCATGTCTCTGGTTTCTCTCTTATTTTTTACTTCTTTGGGCTTTATTCTGAGCAATTTCTTCAGCCTGTCTTCCAGTTTACATTTTCCTTTTCAATTGTATGTAATCTGCTGTCAAATCTGTCTTCAATTTCAACAATTATGTTTTTATTTCTGGAATTTCTGTTTGGATCCTTCTCAAATCTGCCTGGTCATTTTTTAAAATGTTTTTTTGCTTTCATTGAGTTGTATTAAATTTTTACTATATGCCCAACAATTCTAATTAAGTCTTTATTGGTTTGATTTTGCTGAGTCTCTTTTCTTTTGTCTTTATTTTCTTTACTTGTACAATGGTAATAATCTAGTAATAACACCAACTAAATCACATGATTGTTTTATGAATTGAGATAATGAATATATTGCATAATATCTGGTACATAGTAAATGTACATGCAATCCATTATAATAATTAGAAATAATGAAATATAATGTATGATTATTAGGAAATGTACCAGAGCCACAAATTTTATTGAGCGATATAAAAGACAACTAGAGAAAACAAAGAAATATGACATAGCTGGATGGAAACAGTAATAATAATGTTGTGTGTTCATCTTGGACTAAATCATGTCTCATACAATTTCAATAAAATTCCAATTAAATTTATTTTTGAAACATGGCAAATACATTGTAAATTTAATGTAAAAGAACAAACAGGGCCAGGCTCAGTGGCTCAACCTGTAATCCCAGCACTTTGGGAGGCTGAGGCGGGCATATCACGAGGTCAGGAGATGGAGACCATCCTGGCTAACACGGTGAAACCTCATCTGTACTATAATACAAAAATTAGCCGGGCGTGGTTGCAGGCGCCTGTAGTCCCAGCTACTCGGGAGTCTGAGGCAGCAGAATGGCGTGAACCCAGGAGGAGGAACCTGTGGTGAGTGGAGATCATGCCACTGCACTCCAGCTTGGGCGACAGAGCGAGATTCCATCTCAAAAATAAAATAAAATGTAAAAAGAAAAAATTTGTGTCTTGTTTCCTCATTAATGTTGGTTGAAAGCATGTTTGCACTTGTCTTTGACTTGTGTTTTATTAACATCGATTGGCATATTAAAAGTCCCTCTGAGCTTACCTTGTCTAAAAAAAGATAAGAAAAAGGGACTGTGGGAAGGACTATGAGGCAGAGGGCTGGTGTGAGCACATGCTGGGCAGGAGGAAAGAGGTAATGACCAGGACCAGGGAAATCCCCAAAACCAGCAAGTCAGGGAGCCAAATGAAAGCCTTTCATTCCGTATCGGCCACCTAACCCCATTGACACTCCAAGTGAACATTCTCTTTTAGAGATACTCATTGTCCTGTTTTCTCTGTAATCTTGTAAAGGAATCTGATTTCTCCCATTAGCCTTTCACAGGACTAAAATTTCACATTAGAATGCTATTCTTTAGAAGGCATCTTCTTAGATTAGGCTGCAAGGAGATTGAGGAAGTTACTGTCTGTCACTTATGCCCCACAGGGACATTAATTCACCAGAGCTTTGGTGGGGGAGTAGAGGAGCTCCTTTCAAGCAGGACTGGATGCTGCACAGAGTGTAAAGGGGGCAGAAGGATCCAGGACACCTAGGCCTGGAGATAACGCCAATGCTGGGAGGTACCGTTATTATCCCCATTTTTTTACAATATGTGAGACAGGATGAGGGGATGGATGGGGAGGATATCTGGGGGCCCTGCTAGAACTCACCTCCAGAGCCCAGGCTTGGGAATCCCCAGAACCCCCATATTGTCCCTTACACCTGGGTGGCTGTGCTCAAGGGCTCAGGGAAGGGGGACTCTTGTGGTCCTGGACTCCCTAGCCCTTCCCCTTCTGTGGGCCCACCCTGGGCTGTCAGAGTGTTAGGTGCTGGAATGGTGTGAGCTGGTTTGTAGTCATTTCCAAGGCAGTTTATGGTAACCTCACCTCTGTCCCTGCCATGTCCTGAGCAGAGGTCCCGGGGAGAAGTCCTGGGGCCAGAGCCACCCATCTCACCACTAGCCATATGATGAAAAACAACATATGATTTCATCATATGAGGGGGCTGCACCCTGGGAGATGGCATCGGGTGGAACGGAGCATCTGTCTTCACCTCCTTGTTAAGCAGAGGTGGCTCTGGGACTGTGGGTGGAGATACTGGAGAGGCAGTGGGAAGCGAAGTGGAGGAGGAAATATTACTGGGTACTAATGAGTCACAGTTGATAGACTCATGTCTTCATGTGCTTTGGAGGCAGTGTGGTGGGGTGCAGATGGCATATGTTTTGGTGACCTACAGGCTTACATTCAAATAGCTGTTACCTCATGTTCCACGTCTGTGACCCTGGCAGGGGGAGCTCCTCAACCCCAAACTTGCACAGCTGAGTGGGAGAAACCAGAGGGATCTTGTGTTGTTAGGGACCTGGCATCATGCCTGGCACAGAGCACTTGCAAAATCTTCATTCTCAAGATTGGCATTTGTAGCTCTGGGAGATACACAGAGAGGTCTGTGTATGTATGGGTGGGTACATGTGGATAAGTGTGGGTCTGTTTATGTGTGTGGGAGTGCATGTTTCAGGGACACAGGCTATTCAAAACCAGCACAAGTTAACTCCAATAAGGGAAGGGAAGAAAGCTCATGGTAAACCAGGAAGACACTCTAGAGATGAGGCTTCCTGCACCCCACATGGTCTCTTGGTGCCTGTGCCATTGTAGCCTTCAGTGCTCATGCTTGTCCTACCCTCAGGGTCCTCCCCCGGATCTCAGTGCCTGGCCTGTGGAAAGCTTCAGTAAATGAGGAAACATAAATATAAGGGAATATAACTAGCTAATTAGGGTAATTAAGTGAGGAGTAGCCATTTCCAACATGCATTAAGCTGTCCCTGATTTTTAGGGGCTGGAGGTCTAGTGAGAGACACAATTTGCGGCAAGATGGGGACGAAGTAGGATGCACAGAGAAGGTGAGCGTGGTTTGTAGGTTAAGTAGAAATTCACCGGGCAGAGAAGATGTAGGAAGACCCTCCAGGCAGAGGAGCAACAGGATCAAAGCCATGTGGTGAAGGAACAAGGCAAGTGGGTCAGCAATGCTACTAGAGGGGGAGGGGAAGAAGTCAAGGTGGAAATGGAGGGGCCTCAGCTCCTCAGTGCCTGGGGTGTTATGCTAAGGAATTGCGGTCTTACCCTTTAGTCAAAGGGACAACGGAGGGACATGACCAGGTTTGCAGTTTGAGAAAATTATCAGGCTGATATCTGGAAAGAGGAAGGTCTGGGGCAGCGAGACCAATGGGAGGCTTCTCTGCTCAGGTGAGAGGCGGTGGTCATCTGGATTAGGGAGAATTTGAACTCAAGGCTACAGGAACTGAGAAGACAGTTCCAGTTTACCATATGAGCAGTACCTGCTGTGGCTGGCAGGGCACCAGCACTTCTACCCAGATTATCTCATTAAAATTCTAAAGTAGACCTGGTCAGCTCTGGAAGCCACCTGGGCCTCAGGCATGAGAGAGGAGGAGGAATTGGGGCAAATGTAGTGGGTGGGTGCAGTTGGAGATGCTGAGCGTATTAGCAAAGATGGGACAGAAAAGTGGGGAGCAGGGAAAGGAGTGGCAGGGAGAGTGAGGCCTTTCCCTGCCTGGCCACAGCCTTTACCCATGAGCCTCCCATTCCTCATTCCTGCCAGATTGGCTGGACCCAGGACCAGGACCCTGGTTTGTGTTGAAGGTTCTGTCTCCTCTGTGGGCCTCCCTCCCTCTACCTCTTCCTTCTGAGGATTGCTTAATGTTCTGCCTAAACACGAATCTGACTACATACTCTCCTGCTGATAAATCTTCAAGGATGCCTCTGATTCTGGGCAAAGCCTGAGCTTCTTAGTTTTATGTTCTGGGGGTCTCCATTGTTGGATATCCCCTCCCCAGCTTCAACTCTGCCTGTTCCTCCTCGTCGAAGTACCTGTATTTTAAAATGCTACCTCCTCTCCTTTTCCTCCAAGATTTTCAGAGGTGATGGTGATGATAAGGATGGTGATGGTAAGGTGATAATGATGGTGATGATGAGGAAGGTGATGGTGAAGGTGGTGATAATGATAGTGATAGTTATGCTGAGGATGATGATGAGAATGGTGAGAATGGTGAAGGTGAGCATGGTGATGGTGATGGTAAGGATGGTGATGATGAGGTGATAATGATGGTGATGGTCAGGATGGTGATGGTGAAAGTGGTGGTGGTGATAATGATGGAGATGGTGAGGGTGGTGATAGTGAAGTTGGTGATGATACTGATAGTTATGGTGAGGATGCTGCTGCTGATGCTGGTGAGAATGGTGAGGGTGAGACTGACGATAATGACGATGGTGATGGTGAGTATGGGGATGGTGATGGTGCACCCCTTGATCTGGCAATTCGACATCTAAGAAATGTTCATTTCTTCCAGGATTTTTTTTTTTGAGTCAAGACTTCCCTATGTTGCCCAGGCTGGCCACAAACTACTGGCCACGAGTGATCCTCCCACTTTGGCCTCCTGAGTAGCTGTGATTACAGGCATGAACCATGGTGCCTGGCTTTACCCTAGGAATTTATCCCGAGGAAATAATCAGACAAGTGTGCCAAGCGGTACTTAGAGAAGGGTATTTACTGTTGCATTGATGATAGTAAGTAAGATGTGGGAAGAATGTAAATGTCCAGCAATAAGAGATTGGCTAAATAATTGTGCTACAGCTAGGCAAGGGGCTGGTTTATGGCTATTCAGAACACAGACCCTCCTGATTGAGTCAAATCTCCTGTCACTTCTCTCACACACCACACACCTCCCTCCTTTTCAGCACAAATTACAATCGTAATTTTACATTTCTTTGTGAACCTCTTTGATGAATTTCTGTATCCCTCATTAGATCCTAAGCTCCATGGAGGCAAGGAGTATACTATGTTCATTGTTGTGTCCTCCATGCCAAGTTAAGTTCCTGGAACACAGTACACTCTCAATAATTTGTTGTTAAATGAATGACTGAATCTATATTCTTAGTATGGAAAGATGTTTGAAATATGCAATTAAGAGAAAGAGCAGATCATAAAACAGCATGCGTGCTGTAGTACACACTGCAAATTCCCTCCTTTCTTGATCATCTTTGGGGGACCACATGCGCACTCTCAGTCAATAAATTATGACTGATCCAAAGTCAATCATGACAATGCTATTCTCTAGTGCTAGGGATGGCCATGAGATCAGGTTCTGGCCAATCTAAACACAGATTTCCACACCTAAAGAGAAATCCTCTGGGGGTCACCTCTGACGTTCTTGCTTTTCTAATAAGAATACGGAAGTGACTGCTTTTGCTGGCCTTGTAAACTCATGTAGTGGTTGGAGCTTCGGTAGCCGTCTTACAGCCATAAGCTAAATTCCAATAGACTCACAAAGATGCTGGGCCTAACATTGTTGAACCAGTGAACCATAGCCAGGAACCATAGATACTCTAACTATGTAAGAAAAATGAACCTGTCTTTGTTTAAGTGACTGAACTTTCAGATTAATGCACTCCCAACAGATACAGAGCATGATCCCATATATACCTGTATGTGCAAATATGAATAGAAAAATAAAGTGATTATCTCTGCGTGGTAGGATTCTCCTTCATTTTTTTTATTTTATAAAGTTTTCCCAAAGGGCATGTAAATAATAATCAGACAAATATTTCTGTACATTCAGAAAATAAACAATGGTACTAATTTTATTTTTAAAAAATAAACAAAATATTGGGGCCCCAGAAGATAGTTCACTACCATATGATAAGTTGTTTAGCCACGAACGAGATGAACACTTGTGGGTATCCTGGAGGACAGGTTCGGCAGCAGTGAGAGGTCCCCTCCAGAACAGTATGTGGTTCCAAACTCCTGAGGGAGCGGGGGCAGACCGCAAGGAAGTAGATGAGAACCTGAATGAGGCTCTGTGGGGAGAGAGGATGTTCCTCAGCCCTCACAAGGACATGTCAGTTTCACTTGAGATTAGGTCCTGGCCTTGGCTGGGCAGCCTGCCAGGCAGGTTCTCAGCAGCATGGGGTGATAACAGGAGTACGGGAAGCCTGGCAAGCTGGGGCAGCTCTGGGGTCTTCAGGTGGGGCCGTCTTGGGCAGCAACTGTGTTGGCTGTAAACACAGATTTCCAGGAAGCAGAGCGTTGCAATCTCTCCCACCACAAACCTGGACCATCTTAGTTTCCATAGCAGCATCCATGTCAGTGAGGAATCTGGACATGATCTGTGATCCCCTCTCCCACTTTTCCTTTTCTCTTAGAATGGGACAGAGCAGCCTGGAGTAGCTAGTGTCCTGTAGTGACTCCAGTTTGCTGCTCTCTTCCTTATCTTCTTCCTCCTGCTCTCTGTCTCCTCTGCATCCTTCACGTTCTACATGAGGAAGCTCAAGTCACCGGGCTGAGCCTGGGCTTCTCATCTAAATCACGGAGTGCCAGTCAATGCCTCCCTTCCTCTTCCCAGGGAGCAAGTTTAATCTTCCCTGCCTGCAGTGGAGAGCTAGACCCTGTTCCTTATTCCCTGTGGGACCATCCGCAGCCTGTTTCCTCACCCCTGTAATGGGACTGCAGTCCTCCCTGCCCACCTGGCAGTGCTAATTCCAGGCCGGGAGCCCTCCTGGGAAAATCACCAGCGTGGGTGATACGGTGGGTGTTTGTGTGTGTGGAAGGGTGGGGCTGCCACCTGGCCACTTACAGACCCCATCCTTCCTCTCTCCCTGTGCTTGTCGCATGTCAGGAATCCCTCTCCTTTGTGCCATGAAACATAAGGCATTTTCAGATCCATCATCTCATTGAGCCTGGCATCTCCTTGGTGAAGTTGGAGTTATTGTCACCATTTTACTGATGAGTAAAATGAGGCTCAGAAAGGGGAAAGTCGTTGCCAGGGTTCCGCTGTGGACTTATAGTGGAGCTGGGATTAGGATGCGTGTTCTGGATTCCTGGCGGGGTCCTGGCCCATCTGCAGCTAAGGCCTGTCTTTCTGCTCCCATGAGGTCCCTTTTCCATTCCTTTCCTCCCCATGACAGCCACTGTCACCACCACCCAGGGTCTGTGCTCACTGTCACACCACCCCTCGCTGACCCCTGTGTCTGGGCTGGAACCCACCATGTCCATCAGACAGATTTTCCTCAGTGGTGGTTGGGCTCCAAATCCACTCTCCCCAGACTGACACAAATTGCACTACAGGGGTCCGCAACTGTAGGCATTTCTGGTCTAGAGAGAGAGAGATGGCCCCATAGAAATGTCAACATCGCTTGGTGAAGAGGAGAGTGGAAACACAGGAGAAAGTTCAGGGAGTGACGTCAGGAGTAGGTGGTCCTTGAGTTGGGTCTTGCGGGATGTGTAAGAGTTACCAGGCAAGGAAAGCTGGGAAGGGCATTCCAGGAGGAAAGAGCAGCATTCTCCAAGGCTCAGACTGGTCTGGTGGCTACAAGGTAGAGGTGGGTGACCTGGACCCCTTGAGACAGTGCTCCCTTTTCAGGAGAAAATCTGCAGCTCCCATACTTTGGGCTGTCTCAGAGTCCCCCAGAGATCTTGGGAAATTCCTGGGTCCAGTTCCCAGGGATTCTAGTCCAGGCAGAGGAATCTGCACTTCTCACAGGCAGGGGCTGTGACCTCACCCCACTGTTCTGATGGAGTTGGTCCCTGGATCACTCTGGAAAAATACAAGCAAGACTGAGAGGCTTTGACCCAAGCACTGTGCAGGGGGTGGGATGGGGATAGATGTGGAATGGGCCAGAGGAATAGTGGTTGGAGCTATACCCTCCTGGACCACCCTGTCTAAAATGTGGCTCTCCCATCCCCCTTTCCCACTGATACATTCCATCCTCCTTCACTTTTCCTTTATTTTATTTTATTTTATTTTATTTTTTGTAGATACAGGGTCTCACTATGTTACCCAGACTGGTCTCAAATTCCTGACCTTAGCCATCCTCACATCTCGGCCTCCCAAAGCACTAGGATTACAGGCATGAAGCACCGTGCTGTCATCACCAACTCACATGCTGAACATTTGACTAGTTTATTTATTATCTGTTTCACTCTACTAGCATGAGGGCTACATGAGGAAAGGGACTTTGTTTATGTCATTCACTGCTGTAGCCAAGTGTCTACAATGTGTAAGGTCATGGAAGCTGTCTCTGTTTTGGTTTGTAATTTTAATTTTGGGAAGCAGAAGATATCTGAGTGGACTCAGTGGCTGACAGGAAAAGGGAGAACAGTCTTGGTGTGCACAAGAGTGACAAGGAGACCTAGACAGAGAGATGTCAGAGGACAGTTCCTGGAAGAGGCTGACGGAAAGGTGGGGCAACTGGGAAGGGTCTCTCTGGAAATCAATTCCTTTGAAGCTGGCAGGGAGGGAGGAAGTGCATGGGTGGAGAGGAATGCCTGAAGAAGACCTCCTTGGCTTCCATATTCTTCAGGAAGTGACAGGTGAGGGGCTTCCTGGGAAGAGAGGGCAGGAGGGGAGCAAATGTAGGCTGCTGATGGTGGGCCTGCAGCAGTGCCCCAGGGTGAAGGGGTGAGTGCATTACTGAGGCTGGACCCTGGTCATGACCCTTGCCTTGGCCTCGAGACTCATTAAAAACCAGCCTCCTCCAGTGAGCTTAGATCATGCCACTGCACTCCAGCCTGGAGACAGAGTGAGACTCCGTCTCAAAAACAAAAACAAAAAAACAGCCTCCAGTCCCAATGTGCCCAGCTGGACCATGCGCTGCTTCCTGGATGTGCCACCATCACAGCCGGAACACAAATCCTGAGTCATTGCCTCTACAAAGCCTGCCTGGACTCAGTGCCCATCGCACTGGGCTCCTGCAGCACCTGGTCTGCCACTACTATGTGACTTGCCTCTGCCTGCCTCTTATCACAGGTGCCTGTGTTTTTACCTGCCTCAGTGAGGGCTGTTGAGGACAAGGCCAGTCTGATCCATCTTAGGGGCTACAGCAGGTGGCAGCAATGGCTGGGCTGTGTGAGGGCTGGGCAATAGGCAGGCCAGGTTCTCACGCTGAGCACTGGGTGCCCTTTGTGGACTCAACTGGGCATGACCACTGCTTCTGAGTGGCCAGAAGATTCCTGGGAGAGGCCTGGTTATCTTGGGCTGACCCTCTCTCCCCAGTTCCTTCCTCCCTCCCTCCCTTGCTGAAACCCTTTTGCATGTCCTCAAAATCCTGCTCCAGCACCAGCAGCCCCCTGGTTTCCAGCAGCCTCAGGGAACTCTTCCTTTTCTTCCTTGCTGTGAGTAAGAGGCCCGATCCCCTGAGGTCACTGCTGCCTTGCTGTCCTCTGCTGCAGCCCTTCCCTGGGCCTGAGCAGCATAGGTCCTCCTTGCTTCTCATTGCCTCCCTCTTTCAGCTCATCATCTTTCTCTCCCATAAAAATACATTCATGTGCCACGAAATGATGTTTCTGTTAACCCAGACCGCATGTGCAGTGGTGGACCCATGAAATTATAATGGAGCCGAAAGACACCTACTGCCTAGCCCAGTGACATAACAATTGTAACGTTATGGCACAGTTACTTTAAAAATATATTTATTAAAAAAGATTTATAATTCTATAGAAAAAGAAATATATATCTCATAGTGTAGCCTAAGTGTCCAGTGTTTATAAAATCTACAGTAGTGCAGTCATGCCCTAGGACTTCACCTTCACTCACCACTCACTGACTCACCCAGAGAAGCTTCCAGCCCTACACGTTCCATTCATGGTAAGTGTCCTAGACCAGTGCACCATGTCTAGGTACCATACTATATTTTTATATAGTGCAATACTATGCTTTTACTGCACTTTTCATGATATGTTTAAATGCACAAGTACTGACCATTGTGCTACAACTGCCAACAGTATTCACTGCAATAACCTGTGCCCAGGTGTGCAGCCTGAGAGCAGTAGGCTGTGCCATAGAGCCTAGGTGTACGGTAGGTACAATATTGAGGTGTGTGTAAGCACACTTTGTGACGTTTGCACAAGAAAAATTACCCAAGGACACGGTGACACATGAAGGGAATCAATATTGAAGCTCTTGCCCTCAGATTGCACCCAGGGCCACATCCCTATGCATTGAAGCCTTGGCTCCCAGTTCATGGGCACTTTCTCCTGCTGAGGTGATGCCAACATGCACATAGAGAGTCCTCCTCATGCTCTGGCTCTTGGTCCCTCCGCCCCTGGAGACGTTGTCTCCACCCTCCCTGAGTCACCCACTCCTACCTGTATATTTTTGTCCTTGTCACTGCAGAAAATGTAGCCACTCCAGACCCTCAATTTCAAACACCCTTTTTTTGACCACCACTTTCTTTTTTCCAGCTGCCTCCCAAATCCAACACACTTCAATTACTCCAAATTTTCACTTATGTGTCTCACTCACTTTCTTGCAAATTTCCCCTCCTCCCAGCTGACACTATATGGTCCAGCCTGTCATCCACCCTCTCTAACACTCTCCACTCTCTTGCCCACAATTGATTGTACTCCCAGGGCAAAACTGCACTCTGCTGAAATCCAGCCACCCACTCCCTCTGCTCCTGCACTCAGGTGGCTGAGCAAAGCCAGAGAGAAACACACGTGCCTTCTGCTCTCATTTAATCATCAAGCCCAAACCTCCAGTGGGCCCTGGATGATGTCCTGCAAACTCACTCATTTCCTGAGTCCATAAGTCTGCCAGACTTCTTTATTTGTTATTTTAATAAAAATATATATAATCTAAGCATGTTATGAATACCAACTGATTTAATTATCATAAAACTCTATGAATCTGTTCTATAATAATCACCATTTCACAGCTGAGGAGATGCTGGCACAGGAAGAGATGAAGCGACTTGCCCTGGAGCCCAGGCACCCAGCCCTGGAAGTGCTGCCTTGTCCCCAGGCAACAGTATCGTGCCTTCTCCTTCCTCCTTAAACCTCTAAAACCTTCCCCAGTCTTCCTTACACCTGCTGCCTTGCTTCCTATTCAATTTGAAAATAGATAAAGAGAGACCCTTCCCTGGATCCCACCCCCACATCTCCCCAGCTGCTTGCCTCTGTGCTTCCTTCTCCACCTTCGCTTGTTATTGTAGCTGGAGTGTCTGCACTCATGTTAGGGGTGACTTTTCTCCATCATATCCACAGCTCAACCCTCAGGTTCTTTCCTAAGTGTCTGCTTTGCACACTGCCCCGTTCCACAATGCAGCTCTCCCACCCATCTCACACCCCACATGCTTACTTATTCATCATCTGTTCTGCTGTACTACAGTGAGGGCTACACAGGGGCAGGGATTCTGGGTATCTTATTCACTGCAGATTCCAGCATCTAGAGCAGTACCTGGCACCTAGAAGGTGTTGGTATTTAATGAAGTCAGTCATTTTGTATGTCAGTCTCTGGCCTGGTGCTGGGGACACTAGGGTGATTCAGACAGGTCCCTGCTTATACCAAGTTTACAGTCCCATAGGGGAGACAAACACATTACCTGACAAATTTGCAGGCAGCCATTTATATTTTTCATCTTACAAAGCAGCCCTTATTGTACTTGAGAGGAAATGCACTCAAGCCGTGAGGCGTAGCCCCACCTCCCCTACTTCAGGACAGAAAGCCCCAGGCTCCAGCCCTTACATTCCTGGGCCTCCAGGGCTCCCTGGACTTTAGGAAACAGCTAGTAAGGGAGTCCAATTCCACTTTGACTCAGAGCTGTGGGATGTCAACAAGGTGCTTCCCCTCTCCGGTCCTCAATGTCTTTGTCTATTACAAGAGAGGATGGTGCCAGCTCAGCAAGCTCCACGGGGCTGGGGCAAATGGGACAGGGAGGGTGAAAATGCTTTGTGGACAGAGAGGAGGAATTCTGAGTGGCTATCAGAAAGGCACCATGTTTATTTGACAATTTCAAACATGACAGAACTGCAGAACACAGACATCAAGACTCCCCTGTAATTCCATTTGGAGTCTAAAGCTTAGATTTTGTTTGGTTTAAGCAGTGGCAAACATTATGTATAGATATAGATGTGGGATCATAAAATGTGTTTAAAAGTTATTGATGTGGGACAACTTTGCATATCAATATACAAGCATTTATTTTATTTGTTTTAATAGCTGCGAAATATCCCATTGTATGAAGAGACTAAAATCTGTCCTTCTATTGTGGATATTTGGAATGATGAACCATTGGAACAAAACAGAGAGGGCAATCAAAGCATTTGACAGCCTGGCAGGTCAAAGTGAGAGGTTTATTACAGAAGACAGTAATGCTAAAAGGGGAGGAGAGCTAAGTGAATCCACCTGCTGCAATGAGAGCCCAGAATCCCACCACCCTAAGAGGCAGGAGACAACGTGGCCAAAAGGGCAGAGGCCCCCAGGGCTCCCAGCAGTGCCAGATGCAAACTTGTCATCCCACCCTGTGTGTGGGCTTCCTATGCCCTGGACAGTCTTTCCTGAGGCAGAGGCTGTTTTAAGAGCTTAGAGCACCCATTCTACAGCAGAATTTCTTATGAATGAGGTCCCTGTTCTGTGCTCCTCACCTATCCTGGGCGCTTTTCCCAACTTGACTTTGGGTAGTGGGTGGATACAGGCCCCAGGTAAACACGAGGCCCCAGGTGGACATCAGGGCTCAAGTGGACACACAGGCTCCAGGTGTATATCAGGCCCCAGGTATATACCATTTTCCTGGTACATATCAGTAACCAAGGGGACACTGGACTCCAGGTGTACATCAGGCTCACAGGTGGACACCCAGGCCCCATATGGACACCAGCCTACAGGTGAGCATCAGGCTGCAGGAGGATACCCAGGCCTTAGGTAGATATCAGGCCTTATAAGGACACCAGGCCTCAGGTGGACATCAGGGCCCAGCTGGGGACTCAGGTTCTAGGAAGACACCCAGGCTGCAAGTAGCATCAGGGCCAAGGCGGATGCTAGACTCCAGGTGGACATCAGGCCCTAGTTGGACACTAGGCCCTAGGTGGACACCTGGGACCCTGGTGACCATCAGGCCCCAGATTAACTCCAGGCCTTAGGTGAACATCTGATCCCAGTCGGATATCAGGCCCCAGGAGAACATCAGTCCCCCGGTGGATATCAGCTTCCAAGTTGACATCAGGCCACAAGTGGACACTGGACTTGAGGTGTACATCAGGCCTCAGATGGACATTTGGAGTCTAAAGGCCCCAGGTGTACAGCAGGCTCAGGTGCAAATCAAGGCACAGGTAACACCATGCCCTAGGTGGTTACCTAGGCTTCAGGTAGACATCAGACCCCAGGTGGACACCTGGACCTCAGGTGGTCATCAGGCCCTAGGTGGAAACTCAGGTCCCAGGTGCCCATCACGTTCCAAGTGGACACCCAGGCCCCATGGTGATACCCAGGTTCCAGGTGGGCACTGGGCCCCAGATGAACACCAGGCTCCATGTGGATACCAGAACCTGGGTGGACACCCAGCTCTGAGGTGGATATCGGGCTCCAGGTGGACATCAAGCCTCAGGTAGGTATCTAGTCCCCAGGTGGACATAAGACCCCAGTTCAACACCGGACCCTGGGTGGATACCTAGGTCTCGGGTGGATGCATCTGCAGCTGAACATCAGGCTCCAGGTGGACACCCAGGCTGTAGGTGAACACTAGGTCTTAGGTAGACATTAGGTCCCAAGTGGACAACCAGGTCCCAGGTGGACACCCAACCTTAACATGGACATCAGGCCCTAGGTAGACAGCAGGTTCAAGGTGAATATGAGACTCCCGATAAACACCGGTCCCCAGGGAGACCCTTGTCCCCAGGTGAACACCAGCACCCAGGAAGACATCCATCTCCACCTGCACATCATTCCCCAGGTGTATACCTAGGCCCTGTCGGAGCACCAGGCCTCAAGTGAGTACATAGATCCCTGGTGGCCATTAGGCACCAGGTTGACACCCAGGGCTTAAGTGGACATGAGGCCCAAGATGAATGCTAGTCCCCACGTCAATAAATAGGCCCCAGGCATACATCAGGTCTGAGGTCTATACTCAGTCTTCAGGTGGACAGTAGGCCCCAGGCAGACACCAGACCCCAGGTAGATACCGGCCCTATGCAGACACCAGTCTGCAGGTGGACAGCAGGCCCCAAGAAGACATTATGCCCTGGGTGACACCTAGGCTTCAGGGGAACACTAGGCCACAAGTGGTTACCTATGCCCCAGGTGGACATCAAGCCTTAGTGGAATTCCTAGTCACCAACTGAACATCAGGCCACAGGTGGCTGCCCAGGCCCTAGGTGAATACCAGGTCTCGCAGGGACATTAGGCCCCAGGTGAACAGCAAGCCCCAAGTGAATACCTAGGTTCCTGGTGAACATCAGGACCCAGGTGGCACTCAGGCCCTACACTCAGGCCAAAAGTGGAAATCAGAACATATGTGGACACTCAGGGCCCAGGTGGCTATCAGGCCCCAGGTTTATATCACTTTCCTGGTAGACATCAGTACCCAGGTAGATACTGGACTTCAGGTATACATCAGGTTCCTAGGTGGACACCCAGGCCCCAGGTGGACACCAGCCTACAAGTGGACATCAGACCACAGGAGGACACCCAGGCCCCAGATAGATATCAGACTCCAGAGGAACACCCAGGCCTCAGGTGGACATCAGGTCCCAGGTTAATTGCAGGCCCCAGATGGAACTCAGGCCCCACCTGGACAAAAGTCCCTAGGTAGACACGTAGGCCCTGTAGGCCCTGGGGAACATCAGGCCTTAGGTGAAGTTCTAGGCTACAGGTGGACATCTTGCTCCAGTTGGACATCTGGTCCCAAGTGGACATCAGTCTCCAGGTGGACACAATGTCCCAAGTTGGACATCAGGCACCAGGAGGACTTTAGTCCTCTGGTGAACACCAGCTCCCAGGTTGACATCAGGCTACAAGTTGACATCTAGGGCCCAGATGGACATGTGGCCCCATATGAACACTAGTCCCCAGTCAGCTAGGGACTGGGTCCACCTGGAGCCTGATGCTTAGCTAGAGACTGGATATCCACCTGAGGCCTAGGTATCTACCCAGGGACTGGTGTCAAAGTGGGGCCTGATATCCACCTGGGGACTAGGTATCCACCTGGGGCTTGATGTCCACCTCAAGCCAGATGACCTTCTGGAGTCTGATGTCCACCACAGGCCTGCGTGTCCATCTTGGGCCTGGTGTTGATTTGGATTCCAATGTCTACCTGGAACGTGGGGCCATGCTGTCCATTTGGAGCCTGGACTTTTCACCTGGGGCCTCGTAGACATCTGGCCCCAGTAAACATCAGCTTGGGGCCTGGTTGTCCACTTAGAGCCTGGAGTTTTCACCTAGGGCCTGAAGATCACCTGGGACCCAGGTGTCCACCTGGGACATCATGCTCCAGGTGTACACCCAGGCTCCGGGGTACAACGGGCCCCAAGAGAACTCCAGACCATATTAAACATCAAGTCTCAGGTGGATGCCCAGGCCCCATGGGTACACCAGGCCCCAAGTAGACAGTGGACGCCAGCTGAACATCCGCCCCAAGGTTGACACCCATACTACAGGTGGATATCAGGCCCCAGGTGAATACCTATGCTTCAGGTGTGCATCAGTCCCCAGGTGAACACAAGGCCACAGATAGACATCAGGCCTCAGGTGCACATCTGGCTCCAAGTAAACATCAGGTCTTAGGTGGATACCCAATCCCCAGGTTGACATCAGAGACCAGGTTGAAACAAAAACATCCCAGTGGGTATCATGTCCCAGTGGACGTCCAGGCACCAGGTAACTGTAACCACTGTAACGAGAAATGGTAGGTCTGAGTACCATCATGCTCCTTGCTCACAAAAGGATGCTTAGCTATTTTATTCAAAATACAACTCCATCCATCACTCTGAACAGCGATGTGTAGAAAGGAAAAGAAAAACCAGGCCCCAAGGAATCCATCAAAAATGAGGTAGATATTATAAGGGACAGAAATCCCCAAAGGAAATGTTATAGTTGACATAGAATAGTCTTTAAAACCCATTAATTTTCTCGCACATTTGATACAAAGCATTATTTCCAGAGACTGAACCTAGAAAGAATTGCTTAAGACTAGGAGTCTTGTCCCAGCCTGGATCCCACACTGTTGAACATCTATACTTAGTACACCACATTATACATAGCACTGACATGACCTGTGTGCATTTAATTTTCTAATCCTTGTTCATCTGTGGCGTATTTTACATATATATATATATATATATATATAACATATATAACATACATACATACAAGTACACATGCACAAAAAGTATATAAGGGTAGGATAGTATAATTGTGCCGTAACTTTTCTTGTGAAAGTGGTGGAAAATGGATTGCGTTGGCGACATGCTGGAATGTGCTTCCATTGGCAGAAGTAAGGCTTTCAAAACTAGTCGTTTCATTTTTCTCTAGCAACTGGGAATATTAATAATTGAAGATGTGTTGGTATAAAAATAATCATAATAATCACAATGAAGTGGTGTTAATAATTCTATCACAAGATATAATAGACATTATAGATATTATAAGATGTCAAAAAAAAGAAGATGCCATAATATCTTTGAGATGATTGACACGTTAAATGCGGCCTCCTGTGCCGCCCTGGGGCGCCACTCTCACTGGGTTCTTGGCGGTGCTCACCCTACTCCACCTGCTCAGCCCAGGCTCCTGCGCCCCTGAAGTCACGCCATGGGAGCGAGGAGCTTGCCGAGGCCCTAGACAAGGACAATGAGGAGGGGGTGCACGTGGAGTCCCCGCGGATAGGCTGGACGCTGGGCAGGAGCCTTTGCGGGGGTGCACAGCCTCCTCTGGAAGCCCTGGTCGCTGCCCGGTGCCTGCTGCGCCCTGCGAGCTCCGCGGCGGTGGAGCCAGGCCTGGGCTGCCTGCTCTCGGCCCTGCCTGCGGACCCTCTGCCTTTTGTCTTGCCCGTGGGGCCCGGGGCCTCAGCTGGCCCGGGATTCCTGAAGTTAGCTGATGATGGGCTGGCCTCTGGGACTGGGTCGTGGGCCTTGTGCACTGGCCGCCACGTCACCAGCGCCTACCCGGGGTGCTGCTGGAGATGCGGGATGCCCGGGCTCGGGCTCTGCTGGGTCCCCTGGCGTTGCGAACCCCGTCACCTTCCATCGCGGCCACCATGCTGCCCGCTGGTCAGCCCTGGTCTGGAGCCTTCCTGGGACCCCTCCGGCCCCAAGGAGGCATCACTCACAGCCGCTTGCGACACCGGGACCGCCTGAACCTCCGCCAGGGCTGCGCCGCGCAAGTGGCTCCAGCCAGCCAGCCCTGGCCCATGAGCAGGACTTTCCGCTCCTCGAGATGATCACCCTCGGCAGGGATACACGGCTATGGAGGAGGCAGCGGATACCTTCCAAAGTTTGTGGACACTCTTCTGCCACACCAAAAGTTTCACCATCAGCTGCGATGCCGACTGGGGCGTAGAGACCACTCCGGGATGTGGACCAGGCAGTGCCTTTGCTGGGCATCCGCCGTGCTGACCACCCCAAGTGCAGACCCGCACTTCGTGTAACTCCTACTGCACGTTCCACATCCAAAGTTCTGTTACCATTTCTAAGCAGGAGAAATCAAAAGAAACTGAAATCAGAAAGAAAGAGAGACACAGAGAGAAAGCCATGAGCAAAAAAAAAAAAAAAAAAAAAAAAAGAGCAAAACCTTTCGGAAAGCATAAAACACCCCAAAGCCAAAAACCAATTCTTATCTCTTTTAAACCTTCTGCCTTCTCCAATGATGAATGATTTATTTTTTTTTACCACTGACAATTCGTAATTATTAACTTCTCCGGCATTAATGAATAGAAATTGAATCACATGTGGGAGTATAATTTGTATCATATGAAGTTTTTCATATTTTAAAAAATAATTGTTCAGTTTTTCTCCATGGATTAACAATTAATGGAAAATTTTCAACATTGCTGTGTTAATGTCTCCTGAGATAATTAGATGTGAATAATCTTTTATAAACATAATTTCCTGGGTGGAATTTCTCATCTTCAGGAGCTTCATAAATAACCATGTCCCAAGAGAACTGTGAATTTGGGAACTGCAAGAACTGAGTCCCAACTTGTCCAGCCTGGAAGCTTTTGGGTGATCACTCTTGCAGGTGACTTCACTGCCTTCTGTTGAAGGGCCAGTGAGAGCCTGGGGGTTTCAACCTGCAAGAGCCTTACCGTTTTAGGGTTAGCATTAACAATGAGGAAAAGGCATACTTTTTTGATATTCTCCATATGTAATAAAATAGTTACCAAAACAAAGCAAAGTGTGAGTGGTGACTGTTGAGAGGACCCTTTTTATCTTTGCTGGATTCCCAGAGATTTCTGGGTTTCTTTTGGAGTCAATAGTATTTCCATGTTAATTCTGAGCTCTTAAAACCCACAATATGAGTTGCAGCCAGTGACTAGAGTTGCAGCCAGTGACTAGTGTTGCAGCTTGTTAAACTGATCACTGGTGGTAGAGCTTTTTCATTCTGCTCACTTCTTAAAAGGTCAGCTTGGTCAGGGATTAGTGCTCCCTTGCCAGAAATAAGCAGTTAGGAATCAAGTAAAGGAGTCAGCTAAAAGCGTAATTACTAAGTAGCGAGGTCACAGCTAGATGGTTGTTGATCTCATTTTCTCTCTGCTGCTGATTTCAAGGCTTTATACCGTGTTTTGATGTAACATAGAATGTATACTATGAAGGACAAATAGTCTGTTAGCTTCTTGGAGCTATGCTCCATTACTGGAGCAGGGGACAACAATTTGAAGGACATTACTACTTAGACAGTTTAATCTGCCTTTGGCTAGAATAAACTTCAAGTTCCAAGGGCTGGGTTCAGTTGTTATGCAAATTTAGATTGTTGCGGTAAAATTTCCAAATAAAAAGATAGGACTCTTTAGATGAAATAAGAATTTAACTGTATTTGAACCCTGTTGAAGGCCAGACAAGTTTAGGCAAAATCCCATGACTGAACACTCTGTGATGAGTCCCTTTAAATTCCAACATATAATCTATGTTGGTAAATATGATACATGCACTGGAAAAGGATGTGTATTCAGTAGTTGTTGAGTGTCATGTTCTGTATATGTCAGTTTATGTCAAGTTTCTTCATTGTGTTCATCAAATTTCCCTTTCTCTTATGGTTTTTCTTCTGTTGGTTCCATCGGTAATTGAAAGGTATGTTAAAATCTATATTGTAGATTAGACCATTTATCTTTTAGTTATATCAGTTTCTGTAGTAAATAATTTGAAGGGATATTTTATATTTATACATATTTAAAATTGGCATACTTTTCTAGTGACCGACATTGTAAAATCTTTTTTATCTTAGCTATATTTCTTGGCGTAAGACTAAACTTTCAATAATAACAAAGCAACATGAGCTTTGTGCTGATTAGTGTTTGCAGGCATGTTTTCCATTGTTTTACTTCCAAATGTCTGGATTCTTGTATTCAGATAAATTAAATAAACATAAAAAATAAATATAATATAAAACATTAAAAACTAAATATTCTAAAAATCCAGCCAGAGATGTTTCACTTTTAATTGAAGGGTTTAGGACCATGGTGCTCACACTGTGTGCTAAGGTGCCCTGAGATGCTGTGTTTAACTGACCGGGGCACCAGCGGATAGTGTGTGAGTATGTGTATGTGTGTGTGTGTATTTGAGATGGGGGTCTCACTCTGTCCCCCTGGCTGGAGTGTGAGGTCTAGGCTCACTGCAGCCTCTGCCTCCCTGAGTAGCTGGGACAACAGGCATGCACCACCACGCCTGGCTAAGTTTTGTAATTTTAGTAGAGATGGGGTTTTGCCATGTTGCCCAGGCTGTAAATTTTTGAGGGAAACAAAGCAACATTTGCTGGAAACCTTAAGAACTACTAGCCTGAAGCAGTTCATAGTTTCAAAAGTAGTTAGTTAGAAGTGCATTTCTTTACCTTTAAGGTGGGTGTTGTTAATCACCGCGATGAAAGCAAGTATTGTGCTAAAGTCAGTGTGGAATAGGAATAAGGTCCAGTGGTTGAGATCCAGTCCGATTTTAAGATTTGAAAAGTTGTGCTGTGTGCCCAACAGGCACAAACATCCCATTAGTAAGTAAATTGTGCTTTTTTAAGAAAGAAACAAAAATACTGTTTCTACTTCCATCGCGTGTTATTTTTTATGTGTACTTGCAAATCCATCACCAAAATAAAAATAATGAACATATCTAGCACTCATAAAAGTTTCCCCTTGCCCTTTTATAATCCCAAACTTTCTGTATCTTCCTACCTTACCACTCTCCCTGGCAATCACCAATCTGTCACTATAAAATAGTTTGCCTTGTCTAGACATTTATATAATTGAAATGTAGTATGCACCCTTTTTTGGAGGGGTCTGGCATCTTTCACACAGCATAATTATTTTGAGATTCAGCTATATTGCAGGCATCAATAAGTCATTAATTTTATTACTAAGTAGTATTCTATTGTGCAGATCGGTCACAACTTACATATCCATTTGCCTGTTGATGGGTTTTTGCATTGCTTCCGGTTTTGGACTTATACAAATACATTTGCAATGAACATTCATGTACATAAGTTCCTATAACTTTGAGTAAATATTAGGAGTGCAATAGCTAATAGGTTTAGGTTTAGTTTTAAGAGACTGTCAAAATGTTTGCTAAAATGGTTGTACCATTTTATATTTTTATCAGCAGTATATAAGAATTCCACACTCTTGCCAACACTTTGTATGGGCCTTCTTTTAAAAGTTTAGACATTTTCATGTGTGTACAATAGTATTTTATTGTGGTTCCATAATGCCTAATAACATTTAGTATCTATGTACTTACATGCCATCTGTATATATTTGGTAAAGTGTATGTTCACTTTTTTTTTGGCTTCTTTTTTTGTTTTTTTTCTTTGCTTTTTTTCTCATTATTAAATTTTAATAGTTTCTTTATATACTCTGGATTCAAATCCCTTATTAGATATGAGACTTGCCAGTATTGTCCCCTTGACTTTTCTTTTTTGTTCTCATAACACTATCTTTCAATTAGCAGATGCTCTTAATTTTGATGGGGTCCAATTTATTAATTGTTCTCATGCATTTGGTTTCTGGGGCTTCATCTAAGATATTTTTGATTAATTGAATATTATGAAGTTTTTTTTTCTTTATTTTCATCTAAAAGTTCATAGCTTTTAATACTTTATTTTATATTTAAGTTAATGGTCCTATAAGTGACAGAGCTTTAACCCAAGTCACTGTCATGCATAGGTGGACCCAGGGGCTTATATAAGATCATCAAGAAATGTTCTCCTTCTTTCTCTTGACACTTTTCCTTTTGTTTTAGCCTCATTTTTTCCTTCTGAAGGTGACTCTCTTCTCTCTCTGTAGCAAGAGATAGTGCTACAAATAACCCACTTTACTTTGTCCTCGCAGACCACAGTGGTAGAAAAAGCAAGAGTCCTTCCTGATGATTCCAAAAAAAAAGTACTGAAACAGTTGCTATGATCCAAGGGTAGAGTCTTTTGCCAGAGCTGGGCATCATGATCACCTCTAGGGCTGGGGCTGGTAGGTTGGGTCAGGCCTAGTTGGTGCCCATTGAAATGGTCCTCAAAGAAAAGGGGGGCTCTCAAGAGGAGGGTTGCTGAACACCCCACCAAAAAATAGCCACTGTGTACATACCTACAATTCCTTGCCAGTTTATAAGCAACTGGTTGGGTGGAAAATGACTAGAAATTCAGTTGTCATTAACTTTCCTTTATAATGTCAGTAGGATGAGCCATACATTTCACATGTTGTGGGTTATGTCCATGATAGTCATTTCTGTGTATTAGGTATCAATTTGGAGTATCATCTGAAGAAATATACTATTTTGTGATGTTATCCTTAAATTAATATTTTTAGGATAAAGAATTATAGGATGAAAGAAAAGTGTAGGATAGAAATAAAAGAATAGAGAAAATGAGAGCATGGATATACTGCAGAAAATGGCCAAACAGGAAAAGTACTTGTGAGAGGTACTGAAGTACATAAGTGATATCACATAGACCTCCAGGAAATTACAACTACTGGCATAAGAACAAATTATCCGAATAGTCTTTGCTAATACTGAGTCTTTTCTGCTTGCAAAAGAAGTAAGAATGGTAAGGAATCGGGACATTGTTCAGATAGGCCTCAATGCATTTATTCATTTACCTGTTGATGGGGTTTGGGGGTATTAATGAAGGATGTTAAAAAATAATAATGGGCATGCTAGGTAATCATAATTGATTTGTCCATTTGGTGTGAAGAACATTTTGCCTACCTTCTTTTTTGTCGAGGGATTCATTTTTAATGTCATGTTGGATTCTATGGCTTACTAAATGTGTAATTGCCTATTTATGGATTCTGAAGAATTTTATAAAATGTATTTGCCAAACATTTTGAAAGCTTAGAACTTCTCCAAGGAAGAAGTTCTTTAGTGCTTTAGTGCTGCCCTGACAAATATGGTAGCCACAGCCATGTGAATATTGAGCATTTGAAATGTGGCTAGGCTGGATTGAGATGTGCTGTCAGGGGAAAACACACACCAGATTTTGAAGACTTAGTAGGAAATAAAATTAAACATATCTAATTAATAACTTTTATATTGGTTAGACATTGACATAATATTTTGTATGTATTTTACATATAAATATACATTCATGTGTATGTGTAATTAATATCTTCACATGAAATACTTCTCAATTACAATTGGAAGAATGATGACTTTGTGGTGGAGAAATCTGGCACAAACTTGATCATATGCCTCCTGCTGTGATGTCCTAGGAAGACCACAGCATTATTTCTGTGGTTTTCTTGTGAAAGATACATGACCTAAGTCTGGATATGGAAACCCATCAGATGGAAAAAGGTGAACACATCCTTCATAAATGCTTATGATCTTTAAAACTCTTAAGGTTATGAAAAATAGGGCAAAAGAGAGGAACTGTTTGAAGTTGAAGGAGCTTAAGAGACATGACAATTAATGCAATGGGAAATCCTGGATTGGATCCTGGATTACAAAGTTCAAAAAAAATGTATTTAGGGCGCCACTGAGAAAATTTGGATGAGATTATAACATCTGTTGATTGGACAGTAGTGTTGGGTGAATGCTGATATCCTGACATGGATGATTATGTTCTGGTTATGAGAACTTTTCCCAGATTCCTCATTGTTTGCCCATTGCGTTCATGGACAATGTGGTGATGGTAGCAGGAGAAGATGCTGCATGTTTCCAATAATATGAACTTCCCTGCAGCAGTGCTGCCTACTGCCCAGATGAGTGCCCTGACTGCCGACAATAAGCAATGCTGAGACCCTGGAAAGAGGAACTACCTTGCCTAGACCAGACAGATTTCTGGTAATGTTGTAATAATATTTTTTCCCTTCCTTCATGGAAGTGGTAAAGAATTGCCCTCACTGGAATAGATGCATATCGGAATATGGACTCCACTTCATATGCTTCTCATAGCATCAAATTATTTACATTTGCTGAGTTCTTATTCTCTGCTGTCATACAATTACTACTGATGATGGAGCTTATTTTACAAAAAAAAGGAGTGATGCGATGGGCTTCAGCCCAGATTTATTGGTCTTGTGACATCCCACATCACCCAGAGGAACATGACCTCAAAAGAATCAGTTACTTCACCAACTGTGAGACCCTGAGGGGCTGGGTTTCTATCCCCCAAGATGTGTTAGATGCCCTGACCCAAGAGCCCTCCTACCCAGAATGCATGGTTCCATGTAGCAAGGATCAATGTGATGGTGGTGATGATGATGGTGAGGATGGTGACGGTGAAGGTGGAGGTGGTGATAATGAAGTGATAGTTATGTTGAGGATGATGAAGGTGATGATGATGATGAGAATGGTAAAGGTGAACATGGTGATAGTGAGAATGGTGATGGTGGTGATTGTGATGGTGATCATAAGGATGGTGATGGTGAAGGTGGTGATGATAATAGTGATAGTTATGGTGAGGATAATGGTGATGATGATGAGGATGATGATGGTGAGAATGGTGATAGTGATGATGATAGTGATGGTAATGATGATAATGATGATGATTATGAGGATGGGGAGGGTGACAATCATTATTATGGTGAGGATGGTGATGGTGAAGGTGGTGATAATGATAGTGATAGTTATGGAGAAGATGCTGGTGTCGATGATGGTGAGAATGGCGGGGGTGAGAATGGCGGAGGTAAGAATGGTGATGGCGATGATGATAGTGTTGGTGATTGTAAGGATGGTGATGGCGATCATGGTGATGATGATGATGGTGCTGACTGGGCTATGAGGTAATGGAGGCAGAAAAGTGGAAGTTTCTAGGAAGTATAGAGCCAGCTGGGAACTGCAAGGCAACCTTAGTGGGGGTGGAAGATGTCGGGCCCCTGCCTCATTTCTAGACATCTGGGGAAAGCTCACCCCTCACAGTAGTTCCAGGAACCCCTCCATCCAGCATTTCCTTCTCGCAATCAGCATGGAGCTTTTGGGGTGCAGAGAAGTGTCTTCTATTCACTGCACTCTGTGGGAAGGGAAAATGGGGAGTGCTATTTATGAACCCAGTATAATACAGTAGGGTCTTATCTAATATATTCTGGGAGAATTTTCAGCTGAAGAGAGCAAGCCTCAGAGAAGTCAGGTAACTTTATCTTCAATAGCATCCAGTTGTGATTTATTGAGCAGTTACTATGTGCCAGGCAACATGCTGGGTGGTTCCTTATATGTTATCTCATGAAATCCTACAGCAACACAAGGAGACAGGCATAACTACCCCATTTTAAAAATTGTGGTAAAATTAACTAAAATTTACTGTCTAACTATGTTTAAGTTTACATTTCGGTGGCATTAAATACATTCACAATGTTGTGCAATCAATTTCCAGAATGCTTTTCATCTTGTAACACTACCATTCTGTAACTCATTTAAAAACAACTCCCCAATCCCCACCCTCCCCAGGACCTGGTAGCCACCATTCTCCTGTCTGTCTCTATGGATTTGACTACTCTAGGTGCCTTGGAAAAGTGGAATAATACAGCATTTGTCTTTTTGGTCTGGCTTATTTTGCTCAGCCTAATGTCCTCAAGGTTCATTCTTGATGCAGCAGGTGTCAGAATCTCCTTCCTTTTCAAGGCTGAACACTATTCCACTGTATGCAGAGACAGCATTTTGTTGATCCGTCCGTCCATCCATGGACACTTGGGTTGTTTCCACCTTTTGGTTATTGTGGATGATGCTGCTCTGAACATGGTTGTGCAAGTGTCTCTTCCAGGCTAGCCCCATTATACAGAAGAGCATAGAGAGATTCTGGGAAGGGGCATGACCTGCCTGGGGCCTTTGGTGAGGTCCTGGTGGAGGATCTCCCAGACCTCAAAGGCAGAGCTCCTCTCCTCACCCCACTGCCTTTCTTAGGACCTGCCTCCTGCTCCACCACACAGTGCCCACTCCCTGGTACTAGACTTGCTAAGGCCTCTTTTATTTATTTATTTATTTATTTATTTATTTATTTATTTATTATTATTATACTTTAAGTTTTAGGGTACATGTGCACAATGTGCAGGTTGGTTACATATGTATAAGGCCTCTTGATACCTGAAAGTTCAGGGACAGGAACTGGTGGGCACAACTACAGTCACTCACTTCTCTGTCCCCTACTTCAGATTCTGTGCCAAAAAATACATGACAATGACCTGCTTTCTACTCTTTCACCAGATGTGGATGAGGCTCTTACTGCATGCCAGGCATGTGTGGGCACTGGATGGAGACCCCTGGGAAATGAGATGTGAGCTCCTCAAGACCAGGGGCATCCCTTTCACTTGCTGCTACCCTGTGAGGGATGGAGGGGAACCCTGAAGCATTGGAGAAGTACATGAGTGACCTAGCTCAGATGATGATATCATAGTAACCCTGTTTATTATGAGCTACCATGTGCCAGGCATTGTGCAAAGTACTTTGCACACATTACCTGCTGTAAAGCTCAGAGACAACTGTAGGAGTGAATCTGTTATACCTCCCACTTTACAGGGGAGGAAACTGACCCCCAGAGAGGTGAACCAGTCTTCCCCAGGCCTTGCAGCTAGTCTCTGGGATGTGGATCCAGGTGGTCTGACTCAGAGATCCCCTCATCCTCTTGGTTTTTGTCCCTGCAGCCCTCTGGCTTGTCTCCAGGGCCCCGTACCCTTGGCCATCCCCAAGATGACCTGGACATGGGCTTCAGCAAAGGCAGCAACCCGAGCACATCTCCTTTTGATAGGGAGGAACCTCAGGCCCACCACAGGAGCCCTGGGCTGCAGGTGGTGTAGGTGCTGGCTGAACCACGGTGCACCCATGTTGGAGGATGCACCCTAGGATGGGCAGCAGCAGGAGGTCTCCCTGCCCAACAACTGGTAGTGGTACCTGAGAACAAAGGAGGATGAGACTTTGGACACAGGTATGGAGAAGCCCAAGAGGAAGAAGATTTGGACTATGGGCTGCTGGATGGCCTCAAGGACCCCCTCCCAGAAAAGGAACTTTGAGACTTATACCCAGGGCTGAGATGAAAGTGCTCCCTATTTTCTATCCTGGAACTGCTGCAAACCTCAGTGTGACATCACAGGGCCTCATTTCCCTATTTGTAAAATCGGATTTTATGGGGGTTCCAATGAGACAGTGGACCCAGAGCATTTTGGGAATTGTAAAAAATGTACAGTGAGGGAATAATTATTATCAATGGACCATTGCTCTTCCAATAGTTAGTATTCTTTAGCAAATATTTGAAGGTAAAATATGATTTGTTGAGGAGGTTTGCAGCAGCTGAGGCCCTCAAGAGTCTTTTCTGTCTCCGTTCAAATCTGGCCTCTGACAGGGACCTTCTTGGGGTTACCCCTGGGCCCCTCATCCTTTGTGCAGGCTTCTCAGGGTTCTTATTTCTATTGCATCTTGTGGTTCCCTAGTGGATGGCATGCTCCGTCTTCACTCAGAGCTAACTGCATCTCCTCCAGGTCCATGTCCCTCGTGCAGCACCCACTGCTCCCTCACCAGGATTCAAAACCTTCTGTGACTGACTTCTGCTGACCTCCCAAATTTATCCCCCCTCATTCTTTCTGCTCCTCCAGTTCCATGCCTGCACCCCTCAATCCTGTGACTCACACTCTCACCCAAGCTGTTCTCCATCAGGATTTCCTTGGCTCCCTTTTCTGCTAGGCAAATTTGTGTTCATCCTTCCAAGCCCTGCACAGATGTCCTCCTCTGAAAGCTCTCCCTGAGGTCACAGAGTCCTGGAACAAGGCAGTCTTTGCTCCTCTGCTGCCTCTGGGTTTTGTGCCTTTATCACTTTGGTGTGACTGCCTGCCTCCTGCTGAAGGGAGGCATTTTGGCTTTACTCACCTCAGTATCTCCTGGGTCCAGCTGGGTGTCTGGCCTGGCCCAGAATCGGTGCTCATCGAAGGTGTATAGAACTCACAAGGACCCAGGAATGTTTTGCAAATAACACCACCCTCCCACACTTCTCCAATGTTTACTTTCTAAGCTCCTTTACTCTTTGACATTCAAATTTCTAAATGGCCTGTATGTATTTACAAAGCCTGGGAAAACGCCCTCAGAGGACAAACACACCCCACTGGCAGAATGTATTTGCATTGACTAGCATTATGGATGAAATTCAGCTTTCTGGCAAATGAATCATTTGGCATTGACTGAGTATCTGCTCTGTGCGGGATACTCAGCTGTGATCTCTAGAAAGAGACGTGAACTAGTGACGCGGTCCTTGACCCCGAAGAGCTCAGAATCCAGTGAGCTTGATTTCTTGTAAGTTAGAGACAGAGTTCAGAGCAGAGCTCAGGCAGGAGAAGAGAAGTAAGGTGGACACACCAGAGGCAGTGACAGACACACAGCTGTCTGGGGACACTGAGTGCAGCAAGAAATAGCTTAGGCTGCCTTGGCAGCCCACGAAGGTATCACAGTCTCCTATTGCAGCATCTCAGTAATGCTTTTGTTATGCTGATCTCTGCAAAGCCCCGCTGTGCCCCAGCCCAGGATGGTGGCAGCCATGCTGTAGAGAAAAGGGCAGTGACCAGGACCACAGGCTCAGAGCTTGCACCCTGGACAACCTGGGAATGGGAGCCCTTCACATGTTCTCTGCCTCTGTGTTCAGGTTGGGGGGGTCTTTGTCAAGGAAGGGAGATGACCCCCATGCTGGGTCAAAAGGACACACTCCCAGGAACAGACTATCTCTTCTTTCTGGGTAATTTCTGCCTCTGCAGTGAATGGTGAAACCAGACACATCCTCTGTGTTGGTATGACACAAAGACAGGCATTCCTGCTCATGGGCTGAATCTTCAGATGAGGGGAGGTGTAACACACTCCTGTGCTCTGCTGACTAAGGCAGGGACACATGTCACCCCATCAGAATGAGTGCCAGACCAATGGCTACAATAAAATCATTTCCAATATTCAAAGGAGTCACCTTCATTCATCTACAAATACTTTTCCTTTTCTTTTCTTTTCTTTTTTTTTTTTTTTTTTTTGAGATGGAGTCTTGCTCTGTCGCCTAGGCTGGAGTGCGGTAGCATGATCTTGGCTCACCGCAACCTCCGCCTCCTGGGTTCAAGCGATTCTCCTGCCTCAGCCTCCCAGGTAGCTGGGACTACAGGCACCCAACACCACATCTGGCTAATTTTTGTATTTTTCATAGAGACAAGGTTTCGCTATATTAGCCAGGCTTGTCTTGAGCTCCTGACCTTGTGATCCGCCCACCTTGGCCTCCTAAAGTGCTGAGATTACAGGTGTGAGCCACCGTGCCTGGCCCAAGTTTTTTTCTATAAAACCACCTATTGCACTCAGGGTAGGGTAAATGACGCATCATGCCTGCTGGCAACATGGGCCCTATCTGGAAAGTGAGTGCCACCACCATGGCACAGTGCTGTGCAGTGCCTGTGTGGTGCTGAATCTCAGGAGCAGCCCCCATCCTGTGAACCACAACTACAGGGAAAGCCGAAAAAAGTGGTGGTGCCTAGGCCTGTGCCCGGTGGAAGGGGGGAACAAGTGACATTTCCATCACAGCAATGAAAAATTAAAGAAAAGCTGGGAACCAGGAGGGGGCTTGTAACTGACCAGAGCCAAATTTTGAAATTCCTGCCAGAGGAGCAAAGAGGTTTCTGCAAAATTCACCCTACTGCCAAAGCTCCATCGCCCAGGTAGCCCTCACACAACGTCCGCTGCAACAAGCCCCAGTCCCAGCCCCAGCCCCAGACCCAGCCCAGTCCCCTTGGTTCCCTGACATTCGTTAAAGCCAAAAGATCCAGGGAGTCAGTCCACCCAGGAGCAGAGGAGAGGATGTCCCTCAAGAATGAGACAGGAAGTGCAGAGGAAATGTGACACAACCTGTGCTAGAAGACAAGGCAAGGCCAAGTCGGCTAGAGCTCATTCTAGGCAATCCACCCACCCATGAAGGGAAACATGGAGAACAAGCAAGCTTTTCTGTCTGAGACACTTATGGGAGCAAAGAGCTCCACGGTCACTAGATCTGCCCAATCAAGCAGAAACATGTTTGGAGAGAGAAACAATCATAACAGGGATCTCCAGGAAATGTCTTCCTGACAGAGTGGGAAGTCAAGGACTGGGAAGTCCCTCACGGACAGGGAAGACATGTGGCCAGAGCAAGAGGCATCTAGGACAGGGGAGGCAGAGCAAGAGGGAGGAAAGAGCAGAAGGAGCAAGAGGGAAGACAGCGCAGAGGGAGGACAGAGCAAGAAGGAGGACAGAGCAGAGGCCGGCGCCCAGGCAGGATACAGTATCGTGCCACCGCCACGGGTATAAGGGGAGGGGTTCCAAAAGGGTGGCTTGTCCAGAGAGGCCAGCGTTCCAATGACAGGGATTGTTGCCATCTCCGATTCCCAGCTTCCTCCTGCAGACTGTATTGTAGTGTGGCTTCATTTCTCAGAGAAGAGCCGTGAAAAGATAAAATCATCTTCTCTGATGTGGGTCCGCTCCTCTCTTGCGGGACAAAGAGCTCCTGTAGGGCTCTTGTCCTCGGCTGCAGTGTGTTCATCTTGATCCTAGAAAAGAGGCCGCTCAGGATGGGGATGAGATTTCAATTGCTCCGGGACCGACGCATCTCCTCACATGGACCAGGTCTTCACACACCCAAAGCGGCTTCGCAGCGGCAAAAACAATTGACAACCAGTCTCATGACCCAGGCAGAGATGCAGAAAGAGGCTCACCAAAGACAGGCCGCCATGAGAGAAATCGCTTTGTGGTGCAAAGGGCACATTCGGACAAAGACACACACACACATGGACACACACACACAAACCGACAGAGAGAGGGAAAGAAACACACAGAGACTGAGAGACAGAGAGAGAAAAGAGAACCGGACACACACACAGACACACACACACACACACACAAACACAGACACACACAGACACACACACAGAGTCATACAGCAGAGGCATTGAAACACACACCCCCAGGCAAGCCCTGAGGCTGCGGGGTTCTGCTCTCGAGGAGAACGACACTCGGGTGAGAGAGCAGCCCAGGGGCATGCAGGCAGACCTGTCCTCGAGATGACGGCGGCACGACTTTTGGGGAGACTCACCCCAACCAACACCGTCTGGGCAGGCCTGAGGCTGGGATGCCGTGCTGCCTCCCCCAGACTCTGCCTGGGGCTTCCTCATCCTGGTCGGCCCTTTGCGACTCCTGGCATCCGGAGACGTCCCGGTCGACCCCGTGGAGAGGTCAGGCCGGAGTCTCAGAGCCCCGACACCCAAGCACTGCCACGGAGGGCTCCTGTTAGCCAAGCCTTGGGGACTGGTTTCTAAGACAACCGTGGGAACCACTGTGAGGGGAGAAGGCGCTCACGCCTCGCGCGTGCGCATTGGCTGGGCCAACTGGCGCTCCGCTCCTGGCAGTCAGGCCGCGTCCCCTTTAAAGAACGCCGCGGCGGCGGCGGCGTCTGGATCCGGAGTCCAGTTTGGGGTGGCGTGGGAGAGGGGGCTGTGGGTGTCTTGTCCTGTCCCAGGGCCAAACCCCCAGGAGTCCTGCCCTCAGGACCTCCTGGAGCCGACTTCCGCCGAGGGAGGGGGAGCTTCAGGACGCCTGCTGTGTTCTCAGGACTCCCCTGAAGATCCGATTTTGGCCCCCTACGAGGGGGATAGGATGGGCTCACCACATCTGGTGAGGCAGGCAGGGCCTCGCTGCAGCACAGAATGATGCCATAGGTCTCAAGGCCTAGTGTCAGCTGTAACTTCACTGATCCATCAGCCCTCTGCGCCCCTCGTCCTTGGAAAGAGCAGTGGCCTGCCCCGCTTCTAAAAGCCCTGGGGCTCCGGAAAGCTGACGGCTCTTTACAGGACTCGAGCAAACAGGAACAGGGGCGAATCCGAGGGGGAGACCATGTGACCACACGCGGCACTGGCATATCCCACAGCGGATGGTGTGAACGTGTGTCACCGGAGGCATACAGGGCCACCGTGAAACAAACGGTGGTGTCCAGGCATGTGCCGGTGGAAGGGGGGATCGAGGGAACTTTCCCTCAATGCCAAGGAAAATCAAAGAACACCTGGGACCTGGGGGGTAGGAGTCCTGTTCCTGACCCAAGCCACGTTTTCCAGTGCCTACCAGGGAGCAAAGAGGTTTCTGCAAAATTCGCCCCACCCCCAACCCTCCACCGCCCCGGTAGCCCTGACGCAACTTCGGCTGCACCCAGCCCCAGCCCAGTCCCTTTGGTTCCCTGATATTCGTTTCGGCCAGAAGATCAAGGGAGTCAGTGCACCCTGGAGCGGAGGAGAGGATGTCCCACAAGAATGAGACAGGAAGTGCTGAGGAAATGCGACACCACCTGTCCTGTAAGACAAGGCCAGTCACGGTCGCCCAGCGCTCATTGTAGGCAATCCACCCACCCATGAGGGGAAACGTGGAGAAGAAGGAAGCTTCCCTGCCTGAGACAGGAATGGAAACCAAGAGCTCCAGGGTCATGAGACCTGCCCAATCCAGCAGAAACACGTTTGGAGAGAGAAACAATCGTGTGACACGGATCTCCAGGAAGTGTCTCCCTGACGGACTGTGAAGTCGTCTTTCTTGAAGACATTTGGCCAGAGCGAGAGGCATCCAGGCCCCTGAGAAACAGGGGACGCAGAGTAAGAGGGAGGACAGGGCAGAGGCCGGAGCCCAGGCAGGATACTGCACCGTGCCACCGCCGCGGTCATAAGGGGAGGTGGTCCCAAAGGGTGGCTTGTCCGGAGAGGCCAGCGTTCCAGTGACAGGGATTGTTGCCATCACTCATTCCTGGCTTCCTCTTGCAGACTGTATCATGGTGTGGCTTCATTTCTCAGAGAAGAGCCGTGAAAAGATACAAGCATCTTCTCTGACATGGGTCCACTGCTCTCCTGCCGGACAAAGAGCCCCTGTGGGGCTCTTGTCCTCAGCTGCAGTGTGTTCATCTTGATCCTAGAAAAGAGGCCGCTCAGGATGGGGATGAGATTTCAGTTGCTCCGGGACCGACGCATCTCCTCACGTGGGCCAGGTCTTCACACACACAAAGCGGATCCGGGGCGGTGAAAACGATTGACAACCGGCCCTCATGACCCAGGCAGAGGCGCAGAAAGAGGCTCACCAAAGACCGGCCGCCATGCCAGAAGCCGCTTTGTGGCGCACAGGGCACATTCGGCCAAAGACACACACGCACACGGGCACATACACACAAACCCACAGAGAGAGGGAAAGAAACACACAGAGACCGAGGGACAGAGACAGAAGAGCGAATGGGTGACACACACAGAGACACACACACACAGACACACCCAGACACACACACAGAGTCATACAGCAGAAGCATTGAAACACACACCGCCAGCCAAGCCCTGAGCCTGCGGAGTTCTGCTCTCAACGAGAACGACCCCTGGGTGTGAGAGCAGCCCAGGGGCACGCAGGCCGACCTGTCCTCGAGATCACGGCGGCACGACTTTTGGGGAGACTCACCCCAACCAACACCGTCCGGGAAGGCCTGGGGCTGGGATGCGGTGCTGCTTCCTCCGGACTCCGCCTGGTGTTTCCTCATCCTGGTCGGCCCTTTGTGACTCCTGGCATCCGGAGAGGTTCCCGTCGACCCCGTGGAGAGGTCAGGCTGGAGCCTCAGAGCCCCGACACCCAAGCACTGCCACAGTAGGCTCCCACTTTGCCAAGCCTCGAGGACTGGTTTCTACGACAACAGTGGGAAGCACTGTGATGGGAGAAGCCGCTGGCGCCTCGCGCATGCGTATTGGCTGGTCCGACTTGCGCTCCCCTCATGGCAGTCAGGCTGCATCCCCTTTAAATAACGCCACCGCTACTTGGCAGCGGCAAGGCTCCTGATGCAGCTGAGGTGGTGGCTGGATCCGGGGTCCAGTTTGGGGCGGCGTGGGAGATTGGGCCTTGAGTATCGTGTCCCAGGGCCAAACCGCCAGGAGTCCAGGCTTCAGGACCTCCTTGATCAGACTTCCACCGATGGAGGGGGAACTTCAGGGCACCTACTGGGTTCTCAGGACTCCTCTTCAGATCCTAGTTTGGACCCCTCCTTGTTAGAAAGGATAAGCTCAGCACATCTGGTTATTCAGGCAGGGCGTCGCTGCAGCACAGAATGTTCACATGGCCCTGAAGCCGTGGTGTCAGCTGAAAGTTCACTAATCAGTGAGCCCTCTGCCTCCCTCCTCCGTTGAAAGAGCAGTGACCTGCTCCGCTTCTAAAAGCTGTTAGGCTCTTGCAAGCAGACATGGCTTTCCAGGATAGGTGCAAACAGGGACGGTGCAAATCCGAGGTGGAGACAATGCGATCACGCATGGCACTCGCGTATTTCACAGCAGATGGTGTGAATGTGTGTCACCGGAGGCATATGTTGTGATGGCGAAACCAACACTGGTGTCCAGGCATGTGCCCAGTGGAAAGGCGGAACAAGTGGCCTTTCCCTGAGCTCGAAGGAAAATCAAAGGACACCTGGGAATAAGGAGGAGGCCTGGGCCTCAGTCCAAGCCGCATTTTGAAATGCCTGCCAGAGGAGCAAGGAGTTTTCTGCAACATTCACCCCACCCCGAAGCCTCCCCTGCCCAGGTAGCCCTGACACAACCTTCCCTGCACCCAGCCCCAACCCCTTCCCCAGGGCCAGCCCAGTTCCTTTGGTTTCCTGACATTCGTTACAGCCAAAAGATTCAGGGAGTCAGTCCACCTATGCGCAGAGGAGAGGATATCCCTCATTTGTGAGACTGGACGTGCAGAGGTAATGGGACACCATCTGTCCTAAAAGACAAGGCCAGTCACGGTCACCTAGCGCTCATTCTAGGGAATCCACCCACCCATGAGGTGAAACAAGGAGACCAAGGAAGCTTCCCTGTCTGAGACACGTATGGAAGCCAAGTGTTCCAGGCTCATCAGACCTGCCTAATCCAGCAGAAACAGGTTTGGAGAGAGAAAGAGTCATGACACGGATCTCCAGGAAGTGTCTCCCTGATGGACTGGGAAGCGATCTTCGTATAAGTTATTCAGCCAGACCAAGAGGCAACTAGACCCCTCAGAAACAGGGGAGACAGAGCAAGAGGGAGGACAGAGCAGAGGCCAGAGCCCAGGCAGGTTACAGAACCTTGCCATCGCCACGGGCATAAGGGGAGGAGTGCGAAACATGTGACTTGTCCAGAGAGGCCAGTGTTCCAGGGACAGGGATTGTTGCTGTCTCCCATTCCCGGCTTCCTCTTCAGAATTGTATCGTGGTTTGGCTTCATTGCTCAGAGAAGAGCCGTGCAGGGGTACAACCATCTTCTTGAAGGTGGGTCTGCTCCTCTCCTGCCGGACAATGTGCTGCTGTGGGGTTTTGTCCTGGGCTGGAGTGTGGTCCTCTTGATCCTAGAAAAGAGGCCGCTCAGGATGGGGATGAGACTTTGATTGCTCTGGGACCGACGCATCTCCTCACATGATCGAGGCCTTCACAAACCCAAAGTGGAACCACCGTGAAAATGATGGGCAACCGGCCACAGGACCCAGGCAGAGACACAGAAAGAGGCTAACCAAAGACTGGGAGACATGCAAAAAATCACATTTTGGCGAACAGAGCACATTCTTCCAAAGACACACACGCACACGGGCATACACACACAAACACATACACACACACGCAGACCGATAGAGAGAGGGAAAGAAACACACAGAGGGTGAGAGACAGAGAAGAGATAATGGGAGACACACACACACACAGAGTCCCACTGCAGTGGCACAGAAACACACACTCCCAGGCAACCCCTGAGGCTAAATAATAGTGGAAAATATGTATCTAAGAATACACTTGGAACAGAAATGTGAAAAACCAAAAGTAAGACATATTATGAAGGATCAAATATAAAATGACCCAGTGCTAAAGAGGCAACAAAGAAAATTGTAGAAGAAAATGACAAGAGGCATTGTGCCTTAATGAGTTTGTGCTACTATATAAGAAAATACACTAGGTTGGGTAATTTCTGAAGAACAGAAATGTATTTCTCACAGTTCCATAGGCTGGAAGTCCAAGATCAAGGTGCCAGCAGGATTGGTGTCTGGTGAGGGTCTGGTCTCTGCATCCAAGATGCTATCTTGAGCACTGTGTCTTCAGGAGGAAATGCACTGTGTCCTCACATGGTAGAAGGTGGAAGGGCAAAACAGGGGAAGCCCACTCCCTCCAGTCCTTGTGTAAGGATCCTAAACTCATTCGTGAAGACTCTCCCTTCATGACTGAATCACTAGCTAAAAGCCCTACTTCCTAATCCTATGACATTGGTGATTAATTTTAGGGGGACACATTCAGAGCATAGCACCCTATATTCAATTTCTTAAAAATTATTTTGTTGTTTTGCTTTTCTGTTTTTCAAATGGCTTAAAGTGCACAAAATTGGATTAATCATAATCCTTGGCTCATAGCATACCTTGGCTCCATTTCATCCTTGTCTGTGCCTGGGCCTCTGTGTAAATGTATTTGAACAACATGGTAATTACTTGTGAACTTACAACACAACCAAAGAACTAGGGTTCTGACCCTAACATCTCCTCCTCTGTCCTTTTTCCCGATTTTCACCCTTCAGCCCGAGGGTAACTACTACCCTGAATTTATGTTTAGGATTCTCTTCCTTTAAAAAAAAAATTGTTTTATTGCATACATATGATTACCCTAAATGACATATTATTTAGTTTTTAAGGGTATAATTTATTTACCCATTCTCCTATTAATTTACCCATTCTCCTATTAATGAACATTTGGCTTATTTCCAGATTTTTGCTATTATGAATGGCATTACATGAGCATTTTTTTTTTTTTTACTACTTCTTGTACATATGGGCAAGAGTTTCTCCAGGGCCTATGGTAGAGGAATTACTTTGCCATAACATATGAGAATGCTCAAGTTTATAAGAATCCAAATTGCTTTCCAAAGTGGTTGTTCTAATTTAAACTCTCACCTCCTGTATTAGTTCGAGATGATCTTGTTGATCCACAGTCTCTCCATATTTGGTGATATGGTTTGGCTGTGTCCACATCCAAATCCCAGCTTGAATTCTATCTCCCAGAATTCCCACATGTTATGGGAGGGACCCAGGGTGAGGTAATTGGATCACGGAGGCCAGTCTTTCCTGTGCTATTCTCATGATAGTGAATAAGTCTCATGAGATCTGATGGGTTTATCAGGAGTTTCTGCTTTGGCTTCCTCCTCATTTTCTCTTGCTGCTGCCATGTAAGAAGTGACTTTTACCTCCTGCCATGACTCTGAGGCCTCCCCCACCATGTGGGACTGTAAATCCAATTACAGTTCTTTTTCTTTACACCTCTTTTTCTTCTCAGACTTGGGTATGTCTTTATCAGCAGTGTGAAAACAGACTAATACAGTAAATTGATACCAGTGGAGTGGGGTGCTCCTGAAAAGATACCCAAAAATGTGCAAGCGACTTTGAAACTTGGTAACAGGCAGAGGTTGGAACAGTTTGTAGGGCTCAGAAGAACACTGGAAAATGTGGGAAAATTTGGAACCTCCTAGAGACTTGCTGAATGGCTTTGACAAAAATGCTGATAGTGTTTTGAACAATAAGGTCCAGGCCGAGGTGGTCTCAGATGGAGATGAGGGACTTATTTTGAACTGGAGCAAAGGTGACTCTCGTTATGTTTTAGCAAAGAGAATGGCAGCATTTTGCCCCTGTCCTAGAGATTTGTGGAACTTTGAACTTGAGAATGATAATTTAGAGTATCTACTGGAAGAAATTTCTAAGCAGTAAAGCATTAAAGAGGTGACTTGGGTGACGTTAAAGACCTTCAGTTTTGTAAAGGAAGCAGAGCATACGGTTTTGGAAAATTTGCAGCCTGACAATGTGATAGAGAAGAAAATCCCATTTTCTGAGGATAAATTCAAGCTCTCTGCAGAAATTTGCATAAGTAACAAGAAGCTGAATGTTAATCCCCAAAACAATGGGGAAAATGTCTACAGGACATGTCATAGGTCATCACAGCAGCCCCTCCCATCACAAGCCTGGGGCCTAGGAGGATAAAATGGATTTCTGGGTTGGGCCAGGTTCACTGTGTGGTGTGTACCCTAGGGCCTTGTTTCTCTGCGTTTCAGCCCCTCCAGCCATGGCTGAAAGGGGAAAACATAGAACTCAGGCCATGGCCTTGAGAGTGCAAGCACCAAGCCTTGGCACCTTCCACGTTGTGTTCAGCCTGCACATGCATAGAAGTCAAGAATTGAGGTTTGGAAACCTCCACCTAGATTTCAGAGGATGTTTGAATACACCTGGATGTCCAAGCAGAAGTTTACTGCAGGGGTGGTGCTTTGATGGAGAACCTCTGCTAGGGCTGTGCAGAAGGGAAATGTGGGGTTGGAGCCCCTACACAGAGTCCCTACTGGGGCACTTCCTAGTGGAGCTGTGAGGAGAGGGCCACTCTCCTCCAGACCCCAGAATGGTAGATTCACTAACATCTTGCACCATGAGCCTGGAAAAGCTGCGGACACTCAACATCAGCCCAACTCAACATCAGCCCATGAAAACAGCCACGAGGTGGGCTATACCCTGCAAAGCCACAGGGACAGAACTACCCAAGGCTGTGAGAGGCTGCCTCTTGCATCAGCATGACCTTGATGTGAAACATGGAGTCAAAGGAGATCATTTTGAGCTTTAAAATTTGACTACCTTGCTGGATTTTGGACTTGCATGAGGCCTATAACCCCTTTGTTTTGGCAAATTTCTCCCATTTGGGACAGCTGTATTTACTCAATTACCTGTACCCCCATTGTATCTAGGAAGTAACTAGCTTGATTTGGATTTTACAGGGTCATAGGCAGAAGAGACTTGCCTTGTCTCAGATGAGACTTTGGACAGCAGACATTTGGGTTAATGCTGAAATGAGTTAAGACTTTGAGGGACTGTTGGGAAGGCATGATCTGTTTTGAAGTGTGAGGACATGAGATTTGGAGGGGCCAGGAGCAGAATAATATGGTTTGACTATGTCCCTACCCACATCTCAACTTGAATTGTATTGCTCAGGATTCCCATGTGTTCAGGGAGGGAAGCAGGGGAAGTAGTTGGATCTTTGGGGCCGGTCTTTCCCATGCTATTCTTGTGATAGTGAGTAAATCTCACAAGATCTGATGGGTTTATCAGTGGTTTCGTCTTTTGCTTCTTTTTCCTCCTTCTCATATTCTCTTGCCACTGACATGTAAGAAGTGTTGTTCATCCACCGCCATAACTCTGAGGCCTCCTCAGCCATGTGGAACCCTTACTCCAATTAAGCCTCTTTTTCTTCCCTGTCTCGGTTATGTCTTTATCAGCAGTGTGAATATGGGCTAATACATTTCGTATTGTCAAACTTCTTAATATTTGTGGAGAGAATAGATGTGTAGTATCTTGTGCATTTCCCTGATTACTAATGAGCTTGAGAAAATTTTTATGTTTTGCAGGCTTTCTCTTTTGTGAAATCCCTATTAATGTCTTTTCCCAACTTTCTGTTGGGTTGCTATTTTTAAAATTAATTCATAGGAGCTCCTTATACTTAGTTGATACGATATTAACTCTTTCATAGGTTTCAGTTACTGCAAATATCTTCTCTAATTCATAGTTTATCTTTTCACTATTTTACTTTATTTTTTAATTTCTATTTTTTGTTTTTGAGACAGAGTCTCACTCTGTCATTCAAGCTGGAGTGCAGTGGCTCACTGCAACCTCCACTTCCCGGGTTCAGACCATTCTCGTGCCTCAGCTTCCCAAGTAGTTGGGATTACAGGTGTCTGCCACTAATACCCCGCTAATTTCTTGTATTTTTAGTAGAGATGGGGTTTCACCACGTTGGCCAGCCTGGTCTCAAACTCCTGACCTCAGGTGATGTACTGTTGGGATGACGGGCTTGAGACACTGTGCCCAGCCTATCTTTCCACTTTTTGATGTAAAAAGTTCTTGATTTTGTGATAGTCAAAATGTCTAATCTTTTTTAATGGTTAAATGGCTTTTTGTGTCTCATTCACTTACATTTTCTACGAAAAGTTTAAAGTTTTGTTTCTGACATGTAAGTCTTTTGTCCGTCTGGAATTTAATGTTTGTATATAGAGTGAAGTAGGAATATAATTTCATTTTGTTTCTTATATCGATAACCATTATTTTTCTATTCTATTTATTGAAAAGCCCTTTCTTTCCTTGCTGATCTGCCATTTCACCTACATCACATATCAAAGATTAAATTTGTGGAGATTTGCTTGGGAACTCTCTATCCTGTTTCATTAGTCAATTTATCAGTGAGAACCACACTGTCTTAATTGCAGTAGCTTTATAAAAGTTCTGATATTTGGCAGGACAAATCTTTCCTCTTCTTCAATGTCTTTGATATACTTGGCCCCTTCCCTTTTCATACACACACACACACACACACACACACACACACACACACACACACACATATATATATATATATATATATATGTATATATATATAGAGAGAGAGAGAGAGAGAGAGAGAGAGAGGTCTCACTTTGTTGCCCAGGCTTGAGGACAGTGGTGCAATCATAGCTCACTTCAGACTTGAACTCCTGGGCTCAAGAGCTCCTCCTACCTCAGCCTCCCACATAACTGGGACTCTAAGGCATGCATCACCACATCCAGCTAATTTTTTTAAAAAATTATTATTTTTTGCAATGATGGGGATCTTGCTATGATGCCCAGGCTGGTCTCAAACTTTTGGCCTCAAGCAATCCTCCCATCTCAGGCTCCCAAAGTGCTGGGATCACAAGAGTGAGCCAACACACCTGGCTTCATTTTCCATATTTTAAGACCATTTTTAAAAAGCTGCTCAAGACTTCTTTTTTCTCTTGGTGTTACTTGCAACCCCCTTACTTAGCCTTGGAAATACTGTTAGTGAAGAAAATCTAAAGAGTCAAAAAATAAAATATTATTTCTTTTCTTCCCATTGCAAAAGAGCCAGACACCCTCCTGAATCATAAAGCTAGTTTTGATAAATTGGTGAACTAAGAGCATACACAGTATTATTAATTCTGTTCTAATTTCTGCTTCACTGTGGAGTGTCTTCACAGAGTCTTAAAAGATTATTGCTGTGAAATATTCTTATACATGTAACACATAAGCTCTACAATTCTGCAATTGTACTTGTCTGTCTTACCTAATACTCAGTTGCTTTGCTTCATGATATTTAAATTGGCATCTCTAATTTCCAAAAGGCATAAATACTAGTATAGATTTTTAGTTAAGCCAGAAGAAAGTAGCCTTTATTTACTAACATATCTTATATGTAAAAGTTTAATAAATCTCCCTGCTTCTTTTCTTTTGCATCATAACAACCACTGAAAATAGTATTTCTATAGCAGTTGGGGGTAAATGGACAATGACTTTTGTGGCCAGAGGTGAATGGCCCAGGGGCTTCTGCACTCCAGGTCCCACTGAGCCTGCCACACAGCTGAGGGCATCGGTATTTCCACACACCTATAGTGCACGCTGTCCCAGAACACAGATCAGATGCTCTCCTTTATTCAAATGGGGAGTTGAGAGTATTGTCGTTGTACTTAAATTAATAAATACATATTTATACACTGTTAAAATCTGGTTGGATTTGTGTCCCTTCACAAAATGAATTGCTTAAATGATACCACAGAGTTAATATAATTGAGTACATTTGCTTCTATGAGATGCTCTTTTAAATGGAATTATAATCTAATTTGAAATGTCAATTAAAAGTTTAAATATTCAACTCAATTACATTTAGATTTTTGTTTTGTTTTGTTTTGAGATGGAGTTTAGCTCTTGTCACCCAGGCTGGAGTGCAATGGCACAATCTCAGCTTACTGCAAGCACCTTCTCCTGGGTTCAAGTGATTCTCCTGCCTCAATGTCCCAAGTAGCTGGGATTACAGGTGCCTGCCACCACACCCGGCTAATTTTTGTATTTTCAGTAGAGATGGGGTTTCACCATGTTGGCCAGGCTGCTCTCGAACTCCTGACCTCAGGGGATCCACCCACCTCGGCCTCCCAAAGTGCTGGGATTATATGCATGAGCCACCATGCTCGGCCTTTTAGACTACTTTATTTTAGTTACTTATTTTTATGACTTTATTGTTATAAAAATGCTAATTTTAAAAAATCAATCAATATAACAAAGAACATAGAAGATGATCAACAAGCATTCCCACCTCTGTAATCTAGAAATAACTGTCATCAATCCAAAAGCTTACACATGGCGGGTCCCTTCACATCAGTTCACAGTACAAAGTAACTCCTTTCTTGTAGAAAACATTATTATTATCATTATTATTTTTGAGATGGAATTTGACTCTTGTAGCCCAGGCTGGAGTGTGATGGTGTGATCTCAGCTCACTGCAACCTCTGCCTCCCAGGTTCAAAGGATTCTCCTGCCTCAGCCTCCCAAGCAGCTGGGATTACCGGCATGCACCAAGATGGCCTGCTAATTTTTTGTATTTTTGTAGAGATGGGGATTCACCATGTTGGCCAGGCTGGTCTTGAACTCCTGACCTCAGGTGATCCACTTGCCTCAACCTTCCAAAGTGTTGAGATTACAGGCAGGAGCCACCACACCCAGACTAGAAAACATTATTCAATAGCAAACAGTAGCAGTATGCTTGGGGGTTTTAGGATTGATTATTTTCAAATCTCTAGAAAAGCTCAATGCATTACCTTAGGCTATAATCTCAGGGCAGAGTCTCATCTGTTAATGGGGGGCTGGTCTAAGGGTCCTTCCACCTCTCAGATTAATGGTTTCCCATGTTGAACTGCTCCCTGTCACCCACCCATCCTCAGTTTTGTTTGTTTGTTTTTACAGAGACGAGATCTCACTATATTGCCCAGGCTGGTCTTGAACTCCTGGCCTTAAGTGATCCTCCTGCCTTGGCCTCCCAAAGTGCTGGAGTTACAGATGTGAGCCTCTGTGCTCAGCCCATCCTTGGCTGTTCAATTGTGGAGGTAAGTAGTAGATGCCAAGTTTACCTCCAGGTCAGAAGGGGCAGATGCCCCAGGGCAGAATCATAACCATAACCAGGCCTCCCAATGCATGAAGACATTATGTTCTGAAGCTTAAACCTGGACAAAGTTCTGACCAGTAGCACTGTGTTCATGAATATCGGGTCAAAAATTTAAAACTGGGACTATCCAGAAGAACCTGGTAGATGCAGGTGCAGTCTACAGTCCAATGGTCAGCCATGATAACAGGCCACCTGTACTTTCTCTTTATCATGGAGTTCTTGATGTAAAAATTGATGACACTTTCTTCCTTCTGATGTGCTTCCCTTTCTTCTTCATTTTCCATAAGTAGTTTCCTCCATCCCACCTCCCAACAGGCCACAGTCAATTCAGGACATTTTAACCATGAAAATGAGTGTCCATAACATGAATTTAGAGGCCAGACAGGGTGGATCATGCCTGTAATCCCAGCACTCTATGAGGCTGAAGTGGGAGAATGGCTTGAGCTTGGGAGCTTCAGACCAGCCTGGGCAACATGGTGAAACCCTGTCTCTAACAAAAAATAATTAAATAAAAAAAAATAAGCCATGTATGGTGGTGCATGCTACTAGTCCCAGCTACTCAGGAGGCTGAGGTGGGAGGATTATGGGGCCAAGGAGGTCAAGTATGGAGTGGGCCAAGATCATGCCACTGCAATCCAGCCTGTGCAATGGATTGAGACCTTATATCAAGAAAAAAAAAAAAAAGATTTAAAGGACAGGCTGACTTTCTTGTTACAAGCCAATGCTCATTTGCTATTCCATAAATCCTAGGGCACCTCTTAAGAATTATGCTAAATCTACTCTACCCATGCTCTATAAATGGAACAACAACACTTGGATGATATCAGAGCTGTTTACCGCATGGGTTACTGAGTATTTTAATCCCACTGTTGAGACCTACAGCTCAGAAAAAAAGATTCATTTCAAATACTTCAGCTTTTTGACAATGTACCTGGTGACTAAAGAGGTCTAATGGAGATGTACAGGGAAACGCATGCTGGTTTCATGCCTGCCAACACAACATCTATTCTGTAGTCCATGGATTGAGGCATCATTTTGACTTTCAAGCCTTATTATATGAGAAATATATTTTATAAGGCTGTTACTGCCATAGGTCATGATTCCTTTGATGGATCTGGGCAAAGTCAATTGGAAACCTTCTGGAAAGGATTCACTATGATAGATGCCACTATGAACATTCATGATTCACCAGAGGAGGTGAAAATAGCAGCATTAATAGGAGTTTGGAAGAAGTTGATTCCAACCCTCATAAATGACTTTGAGGGGTTCAAGACCTTAGCAGAGGAAGTAACCACAGTTGTGGTGAAGATAGCAAGAGAACTAGAATTACAAGTGGAGCCTGAAGATGTGAGTGAATTGCTGCAATCTTTTTTTTTTTTTGAGATGGAGTTTTGCTTTATTGCCCAGGCTGGAGTGCAATGGCGTGATCTCGGCTCACCACAACCTCTGCCTCCTGGGTTCAAGTGATTCTCCTGCCTCAGCCTCTTGAGTAGCTGGCATTATAGGCATGTGTCACCGCATCCAGCTAATTTTGTATTTTTAGTAGACAAGGTGTTTCACCATGTTGGTTAGGGTGGTCTCAAACTCCCAACTGCAGATAATCCGTCTGCCTCAGCCTCCCAAAGTGCTGGGATTACAGGCATGAACCACCACACCCAGCCAAATTGCTGCAATCTTAATGGAAATAAATGGAATTAGATGGAAAAAGTTTAGCCTGGGGCTCAGGATCGGCTCTCCCTTTACTACGACATTCCTCTGCAGGGCACCAAGGAATCAGAGAATTCTACACTCGACTTTGACCTTGTGGGTGATTATGGCAGTATATTTATCAAAGTAGGAGAATAGAACACATTTAACTATTTGTTAGCTTCATTTATAACTCATAATTATTTAGACATAATGCAAATGTGGGCTGGAATTCATGTTCTGATTTTTTGTGGCCTTGAGCTAAGGAAAAGGGACCCAGGGAGATGGAATTTATATGCTTGGATGGCTTCATGGAATCCCCAACTTCTTTAGCTTCTGTGACAACTCAAGATTGTTACTAAAATCCACTTTGTATTATCTTTAAAAACCAAGGGATATCACTTTTGCTTATATAATACATAATATTATAATACATATTATATTATAATAATACATAATATAATATATATTACATTATAATAATACATAATATAATATATATTACATTATATATTATTATATGATGTTATATGGTATATATAATTTAGATTATATAATACATATATAATATATATAAAATAATATATTATTGTTGCTTATTATGAATGAGGAAAGAAAGTGGTTTCTTGGGATGGAATCTACTCCTGGTGAAAATGCTGTGAACATTGTGGAAAGAACAACAAAGGACTTAGAATATCCTATAAACTTAGTTGATAGAGGAATGGCAGGGTTTGAGAGGATTGGTTCCAATTTTGATATAAATTCTACAGTGGGTAAAATGCTGCCAAACTGCGTAGCACACTACAGTGAAATCTTTTGTGAAAGGAAGAGTCAGTTAATGCGATAAAATTCATTGTCATCTTATTTTAAGAAATTGCCACTCCCTCTCCAGCCCTCAGCAACCACCACCCTGATCAGTCAGTAGCTATCAACATTGAGACAAGACCACCCAGCAGCAAAATGATGATGACTTGCTGAAGGCCCAGATGATGGTTAGCATTTTTTGGCAATCACGTATTTTCAAAGTAAGGTATATACATAATATTTTAGACATAATGCTATTGCACACTTAATTGACTACAGTAGCTTAAACATAACTATTTTTTTTTTTTTTTGAGTTGGAGTCTGGCTCTGTTGCCCAGGTTGGAGTGCAATGGTGTGATCTTGGCTCACTGCAAACTCTGCCTCCCAGGTACAAAAAATTCTCCTGCCCCAGCCTCCTGAGGAGCTGGGACTACAGGTGCACACCACCATTTCTGTATTTCTGGTAGACACAGGGTTTCACCATGTTGGCCAGGCTGGTCTCGAACTTCTGACCTCAGGTGATGCACCCGCCTCGGCCTCCCAATGTGCTGGGATTACAGGCATGAGCCACCATGCCTGGCAACATAACTTTTATATGCACCAGAAAGCAAAAAATTTTGTGTGACTTGCAGAAAATTTCGTGTGACTTGCGCTGTTGTGATATTCACCTTATTGTGGTTACCTAGAACCAAACCTGCAATATCTCCAAGGTGTGCCTGTATCCCTAGAAGCAGAGCTGGAGTAAGGACTTGGGTGTGGGTGGTTTATTTGGGAAGTGATTCCAAGAAGCAAGAGTCAGAAGTGGGAAGAGTGAGCCAGGCAAGAAAGAAAAGCCAAAATGACATGCTATTGAGGCTCCTGCCATGCAGTTTTTTCTGCAGGACCTTCCGAGAGGCTCCGGAAAGTTATCCAGAACTGTCCACCTGAAACATGAGCCTGCAGCATTTGTCCACCTGTCCCACACTGGTTGAGGTCTTCCCCTGAGGCTGTTAACCTGCAAGTGCTTCTGGGCTGTATTTGTGCTCAGGCAAAATCCTACAATAATGGAGATGCCCTAGGGCAGAAAGTGTAGCTTGAGTTTGCTGGCAGCACAAGGGAAGCCTGCGCTTCCATGGAACTTCCCACAGTGGCTGAGACTGAATGAAAGGTGAGCTGAGAAGACATGACACAGACGCCATTGCACTAAGCAATCGTAGCCATCAATCTGGGCAAGAGGAACCCTACCCTGAATCCTGCACTTTAGAAGGTGCCTCTCTGGCCCTCCACTGACTGTACCCTGGCCCACCCAGAGCTCTCACCCTCTCTTCTAGGGCACACGCTGGGCACTCAGGGCCCTGGCGAAATGTGCCTGAGCCTGCATGGCCTCTTCCCTGGGTCCATTTCAAAGCGCAAACTGTGCTTGTCCAAATGGTGCCCAAGGCTCTGCTGTCTGAAGGGGTGAGAATTGTGGATGGAGCTTGCATGGGGCCTAGGGAGTCCCCCACACAGGGGTACGCAAAGCTTCTCAAGTGCGGACAGGGTTACCTACGATGAAAGAAAAAAGTTTAGCCTGGGGCTGAGGATCGGCTCTCCCTTTACTACGACATTCCTGTGCAGAGCACCAAGAAATCAGAGAATTCTACACTTGACTTTGACCTTGTGGGTTATTATGGCAGTACATTTATCGAAGTAGGAGAATAGAACATATTTAATTATTTGTTAGCTTCATTTATAACTCATAATCATTTAGACATAATGCAAATGTGGGCTGGAATTCAAGTTCTGATTTTTTGTGGCCTTGAGCTAAGGAAAAGGGACCCAGGGAAATGGGCTCTATATGCTTGGATGGCTTCGTGGAATCCCCAACTTCATTAGCTTCTGTGATGACTCAAGATTGTTACTAAAATTCACTTTGTATTATCTTTAAAAACCAAGGAATATTATGTAGATCAGTGGTTAGAAGGCACTTGACTCAAAATATCTATGAACCAAAGGATATAAATGACTAAAAGCAAGAGGACTATTATTACCTGAAGAGGTGGAGGGTTGATCTCAGGATATGACCTGTGAGATCCTTCCTGCTGGCTCAGTGCTGGCTGAAAGAGGGACAGGAGAGCACCAGGAACAACACATATCTGGGACAGGAGGGAATGCAGGGAGGAAGGAAAGAGAAATAGGCCCTTTTATTTTTATTGATACATGGCAATTATACATATTTCTAGGGTACGTGTGATATTTTCATACGTGCATACACTGTGTAGTGATCAAATCAGGATAATTTGCATATCCATCACCTCAAACATTTATCATTTATTTGTGTTGAGGACATTCCACATCTTTCCTGTAGTCATTTTGAAATATATGTTATTGTTAATGATCGTCACCCTACTGTGTTATTGAGCACTAGAAATTCTTCTGTTCCTTCCATCTAACTGTATTTTTGTGCCCATTAACCAACTTCTGGGAAGGGCAAAAGAGTGGGTGGATGAAAAGGGCCCTTTTTAAGGAAAAGTAAATCTTACAAGAAGGGAAGACATCTTAGGAGGAAAGATAAAAATGTGGACCATGGGCTTAGAGTAGGGACTGCAGAAATTGAATGGCAAAGAAAAAACCAACTTAGCAATGTGAAAATACATCTCAATGTCATTCCTTTCACAGGTCCAGTGTCTGACTATTTTGGGAAGCTGGATATGAAGTCAGAATCTTTCTTTGAGTCATACATTTTTATGATTATGATTATTATTGAATGATAGCTGACAATTATTGAGAGCAATTATTGAGGACAATTATTGAGCTTTCACAAGCTCTTTTCAAAGGCCTTTACATACATTTTCTCCACTTCTAATTGTGAGATATTCTTATTATTCCCATTTTGTAGATGAGGGATGCACAGGCATAAAGCCTATGTGGAGGCAGAGAGCAGCTAAGTAACCTGACCATGGCCCAACAGCAAACAAATGATGGGGCCACATGCAAATCCAGGCAGAACCCTTCTATTATATAAAGCTCAATGTTTTCTTGTTTGCATCTTGTTATGAATACATCTATTTGCAAATGGGCTTTGAAGCTACTTTAAAACATTTTGTGGCTGTGAGTGGTGGCTGACACCTGTAATCCCAGCATTTTGGGAGACCAAGGTGGGCAGATTGCCTGAGCTCAGGAGTTTGAGACCAGCCTGACCAACATGGTGAAACCCTACTAAAAATACAAAAAAATTAGCCAGGCATGTTGGTGTGCACCTGTAATCCCAGCTACTCTGGAGGCTGAGGCAGGAGAATCACTTGAACCCAGTAGAGGAAGGTTGCAGTAAGCTGAGATCATGCCACTGAACTCCAGCCTGGGCAACAGGTGAGATTCTGTCTCCAAATAAAAAATAAATAAGATTGAATTTTGAGCTCCTGACCATGTCCCTAGATTGTACTCATATGTATTTTGATGTCTAATAATATTTATTCTTAGTGTGTTTTTTAAGTGAAAGTATTTATTGAGCATCTACTGTATACCATGTGCTGAGATAGGCACCAGTGGTGCAGGGAACATATGGCACAGTCTCTGACCTCAGGTAATTTTTCACTCTCATACATATGTATTAGGACACCAATACATATGTGAATATAAGATAGTATGATAGATATTGCAACAAGTAATTTTTTACTGTAAACCTATTTTATAGGATTTTGAACTTAAACTACTTTCACCCTATTTCCAAAAAAAGTATTGCATAACTTTAAATGGATTCTCAGTTTGAAATCATCATACAAACTGCAGTAGCATCTTCTGGTGAAATACTGCTTTGTATCTATTAGAATAGTCCAAACAATTGGGAGAGAACTGCATTATTAGAGCTGTAAAAGTTACTGTCTAGAAATCTCAGAGAAGAAGAGGAAGTTCTATGGTAGATGAATAAGATGACATCTAAACTGTTCTCTTAAGCTACTGAAGTTCTGTGGATATCTCACAGCACAAAGTTCAAATGTATGCCCACAACTCCTCATGCCACAAGATGTGACAACTTTCCAATCTCTTTTTGCAAAAGTTTCCAATTATGTCTCTTTTAAGAGTACTTTTTATACCCACATATTCTGGATTTTGTAGTGCACACAAAGACAAGATGGGAAGGGGCTTCCATTTATTGATGCCAGTTGCTCTATGGACCAGGCCCTGCCCATGCATCCGTGTTGGTTCTTTTATCCCCACATCAACCATAGCCCATAGGCATTAACTGCCATTGCACAGATGAGGAAATTGAAACTCTAAGAGAATATGCAATCTACCCAGAGTCATGCAGCTTGTGTATGTAAGGGTTGGAATGAAAATACAATCTGTGTGAGTCCTAAGTCCCCTTCCACCATATGGTTTCCATTTCATTTTGCAATCAGCTTGGCTGGGATATGTCTGCCCTAAAAGATAGTAAGTAGAAATATTTGTCTCTATACCTTAACCTGACATCCATGGGCTTGCTTTTTGTATTTGGATGTGTCATAACATTGTAATAATAATTTGATCTTATTTGAACCATGAATATTATACTACTCAGTCTAGAGATTTATGACATCCCAGTCTAAACTGTGTGATAGCAATGAAGCTTCTTCAAGGAGACAAGTATGAGTAATAAGGTAGTAATAAGTTGAATTTCTATGGAGTTGCTACTTCTGAATTAAAACTAGTTGAGGTTAAGTAGATATTCAAAAAGATCGCTATAATCTTCACTTGAATAATACACTTATTATTTTTACATATTTATTTATTTATGGAACATAGATGTAATTTTAAAACAAAATTTTTGCAAATTGTATTAAAATATATTAAAAACATAATACATTATGACCCAATAGAGTTTTTCACAGTAATTCAGTGTTAGTTTAAAATGTGAAATTCAATCAGTATAATTCACCATAGAATACAGTGTGTATGTCAGTATAATATATATATCAAAATTGGAAAGAAGTAAATTTATCTTTGTTTTGTAATAAGATGAAATTAAAATTTTAATGAATTTCAACTTTCATTTTAGATTCCGGAGGGTACCTGTGCAGGTTTATTACATGGGTGTATTGTGTGATGCTGAGATTTGGGGTATGAATGAAGGTGTGAGTGCCTGTCTTGAACTTGCACCGAGAGCAATCTCCCCTGATCAGCAGAGGGTAAACTAACTTGAGTTACACTTGAATTTCTTAGGAGAGCAGGTCACAAAGGGCAAATTGTGGTCCAGAGACAAAAGTGCTCAATGGTCTAAAATGAGCCTGCCATATCACTGAGGGTACAGGTCTTCACAGAAATATATTTCAGAAAGGGGTCAAAACCTTGTTTAAAGATAAATGTAAGCTGGGTGTGGAGGCACATGTCTATAATTCCAGCTACTCAGGAGGCTGAGGCAGGAGGATCCCTTGGGTTCAGGAGTTTAAGACCAGCCTGGACAACATAGGAAGATCCATCTCAATTTTTAAAAATGAGAAAAAAATAGATAAACTTAAGCATATTAAATTTTTAAAGAGTTTATTTGAGCAAACAGAGATTCATGGATCAGGCAGCTCCAAACTGAAAGTGGTTGAAGGATCTACTGGAGGTGTTTGTAAGGAAGGCTTTTATAGGGTGAATATAGAAGTAGAGTAGAGAAATTATTTGGTTGGCAAAAATTTGGGCAGTTGCATTATTTGAACTATCCTGGTGGTAGGTCTCTCATTACACAGCTAATACTCAGCGGGCCACTTGCTGATGGGCTAAGCTTGTTTCATTTTGTCTATGTAGGAACCCTGGCCATGGGAGCTATCTCAGCCTAATGCTCTCCCATTATGATATTTTACACCTTCTTTCTGTATCAGGGTAAGTGGGGGTCTTCCCCAGGAGGGTTCTTACCACCCTGTTTCCCTCAGCAAAATGAAACTGTCCCTTTTGCCTCTGTAGGCAATCTTCTGAACAAGGCATTCCTAATATTCTTATCTCATCTTATTTTATCTTATCCTCTTCTCTGTACCTTGTTTACATGCTTCTGGAACACTTGTGTGTCTTGCACCCATCTCCTGCATTATTTAGGCAATCCTAAAAAAAGACCACTAGGATGGATTGGTAGAGAACTGCTGGCATATTGAGCCCTCTCTCTTCATATCTGGAACTTTCATAATTACCTTAGTTCTCCATTCCAATTTTGCACTTATCTTTGTTCTCCACTTCAAAATACATTTACCTCTAACAGAAGCTGAGTACATAAAAGGGACCTTGTCCAGTGGTACTTATGAGGCAGGAGACATGATATAGTTAAAATTATAAACTATAATCACTATATAGTTATATACTATATATAATCACTATATCACTCCCGGGTTCAAATGATACTCCTGCCTCAGCCTCCTGAGTAGCTGGGATTACAGGCATGTGCCACCACACTAGAATAATCGTATATGTTTTAAAATAGGAATAGATTTTCTCAGCTAAACTGTAGGGAAATGCTAAGGAAAGAGTGAGATTTGACTTGATAATTATGTGTCTGAATGAATCAGCCAATTAATAAAATGAAAACAGGCTGGGACAGTGGTGCATGCCAGTCATCCCAGCAATTTGGGAGGCTGAGGTGGGCAGATCACTTGAGTCCAAGAGTTTGAGACCAGCCTGAGCAACATATCAAAACCCCGTCTCTACAAAAAATACAAAAATTAGCCAGGTGTGGTGGCTCATGCCTGTAGTCCCTGCTACTTGGGAGGCTGAGGTAGGAGGATCACCTGAGCCTGGAGATGTAGAGGCTGCAGTGAGCTGTGATCATGCCACCGCACTTCCAGCCTGGGTGACAGAGTGAGACCCTGTCCCAAAGAAACTAAACTAAAATGAAAACGAACACAAGATAAAAATTGATGGATTTATTTTAACACATAACGTGATGAACACACATAGATAACAATACTAACCCAGTGGATTTTTGTCAGTCAAACTCATGGTCACTAGTCTAAAGGAAATAGGAATAATGACTTTGAATTAACAACCATTTACAACATTAGAAATAAAAAATACAAATTATCATCAGATATATCAGACTCACAATTATCTGACCTTTTAAGAATTCATCCTGCTCTCCATAATGAATAAGAAAATATTGATAACTCTTTTTTCTCTTAACTTAGCCCTTCATGCTCCAGAATCTCTGAATTTGTGTTTACATCTTCACACTCTTTTTTTGTAATTATTTTCTGCAGCTTTTTTCTCTTCACTTGAGACATCTCGTATATTCTCTTTACACTTTTCCACAAATGACTCAATTTTTTTCATAAGCTTCATTAATGAGTTCCATGTATGTGATGATAGTGTAATGATAAATTATCCATGTAGTTTCCCTCCAGTCTTGTTCATTACTCAAGTGACTCTCCTTGGTTTAGCAACAGGCTAGGAGGTACCTATGACATTTTGTTCAGGTTAAGCAGAAAGAAGAAAACAAAATCTATGTTCTCTTTTTTATATTTTAAACAAAAGTCAACAAATAATTTGGAAGTACCCATGATTAGACAGGGAGGATTTTATGCTCCTTCAAGAGTAATTGAGATTGTTTAATTGTATGGAGGAATGAGCATATCTCAAGGGGAATTGAGAAGATATAATATTTGGATGACAGAATCATTAAGAACTGGCTTTGCACCCTGGCTACACCATTGTACACAGGAAATATTAGGGTGCAGTGGTGCATGCCTGTAATCCCAGCACTTTAGGAGGCTGAGGCAGGTGGATCACCTGAGGTCAGGAGTTCAAGACCAGCCTGACAAACATGGTGAAACCGCATCTCTACTAAATACAAAAAATTAGCTGGGTGTGGTGTCACATGCTTCTAATCCCAGCTACTTGAGAGACTGAGGCAGGAGAATCACTTGAACTTGGGAGGCAGAGGTTGCAGTGAACTGAGATAGTGCCATTGCACTCCAGCCTGGGCAACAAGAGTGAAACTCTCTCTCAAAAAAAAAAAAAAAAAATTAACTGTGCCACCAACTTTTTCACATAGGATGATTAAGGATTACAAAGCCCATGCTACCTCTAGGGGCTCCTACCACTGCCACACCACACATATATCTTGACAGGGCCTGTTACAGAGAAGAAAAGGCACAGTAAATTAATATCACAATCATTGCCACATACCCACCAAAAGACTCAAATTAAAATTTTGACGAAATTAAGTGTCAAGAAGAATGCAAAGATTAGGGAATTATCAGACATTGTAAGACTGTCAGTTGGTGTGTTAACATTGGGATGAAACCAATAATACCTAGTAAAACTGAAGATATGTTTACCCTGTAACCTATGGTTTCACCTCTTGCTTTATACTATACATAAATACACACTAATGGTAACCAAATGGAAATACAAACATGTTCACAACAACATCATTTGTAACTGACAAAAATGAACACAACCCACATGTCCACCAACAATGAAGGGATACACACTGGTCCAATTTTTATTTATTTTTATTTTTTTATACTTCTTTTATGTATATAAATATAAATTTATATATATTTTTTGAGACAGAGTCTTGCTTAGTCGCCCAGGTTGGAGTGCAGTGCAGTGGTGCGATCTCGGCTCACTGCAACCTCCGCCTCCCGGGTTCAAGCAATTCGCCTGTCTCAGCCTCCCCACTAGCTGGGATTACAGGTGCGTGCTGCCACTCCTGGTAAATTTTTGTATTTCTAGCAGAGATGGGGTTTCACCTTGTTGGTAAGGCCAGTCTCAAACTCCTGTCCTGAGGTGATCCACCTATCTCGGACTCCCCAAGTGCTGGGATTACAGGTGGCAGGCACTGCGCCTGGGCTTTTTTTTTTTTTTTTTTTTTTTTTGAGACTGTCACTCTATTGCCCAGGTTGGAGTACAAGGGCGCGATCTTGGCTCACTGCAACCTCCACCACCTCCCAGGTTCAACTGATTCTCCTGCCTTAGCCTCTCAAATAATTGGGATTACAGGCACACACCACCACAGCTGGCTAATTTTTTTTTTTTAAACAGAGTCTAGTTCTGTCACCCAGGCTGGAGTGCAGTGGTGCAAACTCGGCTCACTGCAACTTCTGCCTCCCAGATTCAAGTGATTCTCCAGCCTCAGTCTCCTGAACAGCTGAGACTAGAGGCATGTGTCACCATGCCTGGTTAATTTTTTGTATTTTTAGTAGAGATGTGGTTTCACCATGTTCGCCAGGATTGTCTCCATCTCCTGACCTCGTGGTCCACCTGCCTTGGCCTCCCAAAGTGCTGAGATTACAGTCATTAGCCACCACATGGCCTAATTTTTGTAGTTTTAATAGAGATGGAGTTTCACCATGTTGGCTAGGGTAGTCTGGAACTCCTGATCTCAAGTGATCTGCCTGCCTCGGCCTCCCAAAGTGCTGGGATTATAGGCATGAGCCATCCTGCCTGGCTGGTGTACTGTTTTAATAGAATGCAGAAACAATGCTAAGTGTGACTCTTAGATACTTAATATTGAGTAAAAGGGGCCAGATGCACCAGGATACAGACTTTTACTCCAATTATGTAAGAGAAAAACCAGGCAAAATCAGACTTTACTTTAGGCATATAAAAAATGCATAATAAGGCCAGGCACTGAGGTCAGGAGTTCTAAACCAGCCTGACCAACATGCAAAACCCCATCTCTAGTACAAATACAAAAATTATCCAGGCATGGTGGCACATGGCCCATGCCTGTAATCCCAGCTACTTGGGAAGTTGAAACATGAGAATCGCTTGAATCTGGGAGGCGGAGGTTGCAGTGAGTCAAGATCATGCCACTACACTCCAGCCTGGGTGACAGAGTGAGGCTCCATTCCCCCCCCCAAAAAAAAAAGATATAAAATACATAATAAAATTATAAAGATAACCAAGGAGAGGATGGCAGATATCCACAGGTAATGTGGATATCTGTTATATCTGTTACTAATAAGGGGAAGGAAGACTTTAGGATCAGTTAGGGGCATACAGATGACTTCTCGGTGGTGATAGTGCTCTATTTCTTCACATGGATAGGTATCACACAGATGTTTATTTAATAACTGATGTATCCATATCTTTGTTTGTATATTTTAAAATAAGAATGAAATAGAGGAAAGGAAGGTGAATGGAAAGAGATTTCTCCATTCATCAAAATTTTAAAGTCATGTTTTTCCTCAGATTCTTCTCCAAGCTCAGTCTGAAATGATGAAAGCAGCCAAGCATTGTGGCTCACGCCTGTAATCTCAGCATTTTGGGAGGCTGATGTGGACGGATCACCTGCGGTCAGGAGCTGGTCAACATGGTAAAACCCCATCTCTACTAAAAATACAAAAATTAGCTGGGCATGATGGTGGGCACCTATAATCCCAGCTACTCTATAATCCCAGCTACTCGGGAGGCTACAGTGAGATGAGATCACACCACTTGACTCAAAAGAGTGAAACTCTGTCTCAAAACAAAACAACAACAACAATGACAAAGGAAACAGGAAAACATCCTCAATAATAGAGGATTTACTAAACTAGGGTGCAGCCACTCATACTGTGTCTTGATTTGTAGATTAAGAAAATGATGATCCTTCTTAGGTACTGATTTAGAGTGACATTTCTGTGAAAATAGAGAAATACTTACATATCCATAGAATACATATATGTATTTAAAATTGTATATGAGCATGACATATACATACATATTTGTGTGTATGGCATCTGCATCCTTGTATGTTTAAATACGATCTGGCAATTGCATTCTTTGGTATATACCCAAATATTTGAAAACTTATATCCACTCAAATCCTGCACATGAATATTTACAGCAGCTTATACACAACTGACAAAGATTGGAAGTAACCAAGATATCCTACAATAGAGAAATGGATAAACTAACTCTGAAACATTCATGCAATGGAATATTCTTCAGGAATAAAAAGAAATGAACTACAAGGCATGAAAAGACATGGAGGAATCTTAAACATGCATTTCTAAGTGAAAGAAGCCAATACAAAAAGGCCACATAATATAGAGTTCCAATTATATGGAATACTAGAAAAGACAAAACTAGGCAGATGGTATTATAAAAAGTTCAGTGGTTGCCAGAGGCTTGAGCAGAGGGAAAGATGAATAGGTGGAGCACAGAAGATTTTTAGGGCAGTGAAACTTTTCTGTGTGACCCTATAATGGTGGATATATGTCCTTAAGCATTTGTCAAAGCCCATAAATGGTAGAACACAGAGAGTGAATCTTAATATTAGCCATGAACTTAATAATATCAATATTGGCTCATCGAGCATAACAAATTACCACACTAACAAGATGATAATAGAGGAAGTGTGTGTACTATGGTGTGAGGTGGATATTAGAGCTCAATATGCCTTCTGCTCTATTTTTCTGTACACCTACAACTGTTCTAAAAATTAGGTCAGATATTTATTTATTTACTTTTTTTTTATTTTTTGAGATGGAGTCTCATTCTGTCACCCAGGCTGGAGCACAATGGCCCGATCTCGGCTCATGGCAACCTCCGCCTCCCAGGTTCAAGTGATTCTCCTGCCTCAGCCTCCTGAGTAGTTGGGATTACAGGCACCAGCCACCATGCCTGGCTAATTTTTTGTATTTTTAGTTGAGACGGGTATTCACTGTGTCACCCAGGATGGTCTTGATCTGCTGACCTCGTGATCCAACCGCCTTGACCTTCCAAAGTGCTTGGATTACATGCATGAGCCACCGCGCCTGACCTTATTTATCTTTTTGAGACAGGGTTTAGCTCTGTCACTCAGGCTGGAGTGCAGTGGTGCAATCATGGCTCAATGCAGCCCCAACCTCCAGGGCTCAAGTAACTCTCCCGCCTCAGCCTCCTGAGTAGCTGGGACCACAGGCATGTGCCACCATGCCCAGCACATTTCTTAGACCTCTGAAACGATGCCCAACACCATATGTCACTAGGGGATTCAAATTAAAACAATGATGTGATACCATTACACATCCCTTAGACTGGCTTGAATGCAAACACCAATACCAAATGCTGGTGAAGACATGGAGCGACAGGAACTCATCTCTATTTCTGCTGAGAATGCAAAGTGGGACAGCCACTGTGGAAGGCAGTTTTGCAAGTTCCTGCCAGACTAAACATACGCTTACCATACGATCCGGTGAAAAAATGAAATTTTAAAAACATATTTTATATACTTAAAACATATACATTTAAATAAATACATATTTTATATATATTTTTAAAGTATATATATTGTTATTTTTTGTAGAGACAGTCTCTACAGACCATAGCATGCAGAATCTATTAATTTTAAACTCTTGGACAAGCGTTTTAAACTCTTGAACAAGAAATTATTTGAAGAGTGAAAAATAAAATGATAGAGTATTGATTGGTAAATTCCAAGTGTTGTATATTACATAATTTGGATTAATTTTAAATTCCAAAAAGTGAAAATTTAAAAAATATTTAAAAAATTTCCTAATCCGAGGTCAAACCTAGTTCAACACATTCAAGAGCTGATTTCAGAGGAGAGATAAGTGGTCAACAAGTCCTTAGGTTTTGACTTTGTTTTCCGACTATTTGTGTTTGTGAATGCTTAATTTTTAGATTTCGTTCCTTTCTTCTTAGCGTATTGACTAATATTTTATTAAGCCAGAGAGACAGTAAGTTAGAATTATCTGTTTGTCCATTTTATCTGTTATAAATATTTCCTCCAAATTCACTTATCTAAAGTTTTTGGTATATTTAGTCGGGTGCAGTGGCTCACGCCTGTAATCTCAGCACTTTTGGAGGCTGAGGTGGGGGATCACTTGAGGTCAGGAGTTCAAGATCAGCCTGGCCAACATGGCAAAACCCCGTGCCTACTGCCATACAAAAATTAGTTGGGTGGCTGGTTGTTTTGGCTCACTCCTATAATCCTAGCACTTTGGGAGGCCAAGGTGGGCAGATCACCTGAGGTCAGGAGTAAAGAAACAGAGAGTAAAGAATTTCTGAGACCAAAAAGTCTGAGAACAGCTGCTCAATATATTCATTCAACAAATATTTGTCTCCTTACCGTGTGCATGGTACAGTTCTAGGCTCTAGGGATAAATAGCATTGAACAAAATTGACAATTCTCCTGCTCTCATCAAGTTTACATTCTAGGGGACATAATAAAAGAACAGAGATGATTTGTCAAAAAGCAGTCCGGGCACAGTGGCTCATGCCTGTAAGCCCAACAATTTGGGAGGCCGAGGCAGGGAGATCATTTGAGGTCAGGGGTTCGAGATCAGCCTGGCCAATATGGTGAAACCCTGTTTCCACTAAAAATACAAAAATTAGCCAAGGCTGGGTGTGGTGGCTCACCCCTGTAATCCCAACACTTTGGGAGTCTGAGGTGGTTTGGGTCACCGGAGATAAGGAGTTCAAGACCAGCCTGGCCAACATGGTGAAACCCCATTTCTACTAAAATACAAAAAAAAAAAAATGTTAGCCAGGTGTGGTGGCAGATGCCTGTAATCCCAGCTACTTGGGAGGCTGAGGCAGGGGAACCACTAGAACATGGGAGGAGGAGGTTGCAGTGAGCCGAGATCACACCAATGCACTCCAGCCTGGGTCACAGAGTGAGACTCCATCTCAAAAAAAAAAAAAAAAAGTTTTAAGTGCTATGGAAAAAAAAGGGAAGTGGTAAATAGATTCAATTTCAGATAGGATGATCTCTGACAAGGCAAGAATCATGTTAAGACATGAAGAAAATTAAGACAATGATCCTTACAGGTATATGGAGGGAGAGCTTCTTTTCTTTCCTTTTCTGTTTTATTTATTTATTTATTTATTTATTTATTTATTATTTATTTATTTATTTAGACAGAGTTTCACTCTTGTTGCCCAGGCTGCAATGCAATGGCACCGTCTCAGCTCATTGCAACCTCCACCTCCCGGGTTCAAGTGATTCTCCTGCCTCAGCTACTCTCCCAAGTGAAAGGTGACCAAGAGAGCCATTGAAAATAGTGAGAGTGGCTGGGTGCGGTCCCAGCACTTTGGGAGGCCGAGATGGGTGGATCATGGGGTCTGGCATTCGAGACCAACCTGGCTGAGAGGGTGAAACCCCATCTCTACTAAAAATACAAAAATTAGCCGGGCATGGTGGTGTGCCCCTGTGATCCCAGCTACTCTGGAGGCTGAGGCAGGAGAATCACTTGAATCTGGGAGATGGAGGTTGCAGTGAGCCCAGATCATGCCACTGCACTCTAGACTGGGTGACAGAGCAATATTCTGTCTCAAAAAAAAAAAAAAAAGAAAAGAAAAAGAAAATGGTGAGAGCACCATGTTTGAAAAGTGGTCCAGGCACTGGGGTAAGGGGTGAGTGTCAGCCAAGTCATCAGCTATCAGAACAGGAAGCCATCAGGTAATATATCAAGTTGATATATTGAGAAGGAGCAGGATCTACCTATTATATAATATAGAGATAAGCACTCAGATATATAGATTAGAAATGGTTTAGAAAATTTAAACATTTGATTATTCAGGAAGTATACCTGGGAGCATTGGAGAAACAGGGTGGGGGAGTAGACTGCATGGAAAGCTCTTTCTTAGTTTGTGAATTTTCAATTATGCACATAGGTTTCTTACATAACATGGAAAATTCAATTAAAGAAGAAACAACATTGTGTTCTGAGGTCCCAAAGTTTAGTGATTAATTAGAAAGACTCACAAAACTGAGTGAAGCTGTTATACTCATAGTTTATTACAACAAAAAGATATAGACTAAAATCAGCAGCAGAAAAAGGTGCATAGGGCAGAGTCCAGGAGAGACAAAGCACAAGCTTCTGGTTGTCCTCTCCCAGTGACATCGTGTGGACAGTGCTTAATTCACCCAGAGATATGTGACGAAAAGTACAGAATATACTCCCCAACAAAAACCTTACCTGAGCCTTGGTGTTGAGCATTTTACTGGAGTTTGGTCACATGGACAAGAGCACCCATTTGGTTGACCTTAGTTTCTCTGTCTCCACCCTTCCCAAGGTCAAGCTGACACTGCATGGTCCAAGGTCCCCATAATAAATCACGTTGTTAACTCCCAGATAGGCAGGAGATTCCAAGGACTTAGAGGTTATTTCCTGGGAACTAGGATAGAGTCAAACTTTTCTTTGGAGTATGCCAGGTTTGGGCAATTCAGGCCTACTAAGTTTCCTTGATTGCACACAAGTGATAATATGTAGGAAATGAGTAGTCACATATATTGCTGGTGAAAGTACAGTGTTATATAACCGTTTGGAAAGAAATCAAGTGTGTCTCACATAAAGATTATATTTGGTTTGTTTTTGTTTTTGTCTGAGATAGGGTCTCACTCTGTCACCCACACTGGGGTGCAGTGGCATGATCATAACTCACTGCAGCCTCGACCTCCCAGGCTCCAGCTATCCTCCCACCTCAGTCTCCTGAGTAGCTGGGACCACAGGCACCTGCAAGTACACCCAGCTAATTTTTGTGTTTTTTGTACAGATAGGGTTTCACCATGTTGCCCAGGCTGATTTCAAACTCCTGGGTTCAAACAATCCCCTACCTCAGCTCCCCAAAGTGCTAGGACTACAGGAGTGAGCCACTGCACCCAACCTATATTTGTATATACATTAAATTGTATATGTTAGGCCGGGCATGGTGGCTCACACCTGTAATTCCAGCATTTTGGGAGGTCAAGGTGGGCGGATCACTTGAAGTCATGAGTTTGAGAGCAGCCTGGCCTACATGGTGAAAACCCATCTCCACTAAAAAAACAAAGTTAGCTGGACATGGTGGCAGATGCCTGTATTCCCAGCTATTCAGGAGGCTGAGGCAGGAGAATCACTTGAAACAAGCAGTGGAAGTTGCAGTGAGCCAAGATCATGCCACCGCACTCCAGACAGGATGAGAGACCAAAACTCCATCTCAAAAAACAAAACAAAAAAATTGTATATGTTATTGTATGTATGTGTATATATGAAGTTGTATAGACACATGTTAAATATATATACATATATTACACTTTATACACATACACTTGTTTCCTCATGCAATTTGTTTCAGCAGAAGTAAAAATTAATAAACATATAAGTAAAAGAATATTTATAGAAGCACTATTTTTTGTGGCAAAAGTACTTTAATATCTTAAATGCTCATATAATGAAAGATACTTTAACTCTTACAAAGAATGAGTTAGCTTTTTATCTACTATAAAGGTATCCTAATATCTTTATACCTAAAGTGATATATGTGGCCAACTGTTATACTAAAAAAGGAGAATGCTTTATAATTAAAGAAAAAAGAAAGAAACGTTATATAGTAGCCCTCCCTTATCTGCAGGAGACGTGTTCTAAGACCCACAGTGGATGCCTGAAACTTGGGTAGCATTGACCCAATTGCTGTCAATCAGAACACATTTCTGTTTATGATTTCCACGCACAAATTTAATGCCTTTTTCATCTTAACTAAGCACTTATCACACACGTGGCTGTACTTTTTAGAGCTTGGGGTGCAACAAACTAGACTAACAGAAATTTCTTTTCCCTTCTTAACATTTTCACCACTAGAGGATTTCTTACTATCGATCTTAGCAACCTGAGCACACTACTTCTCTCTTTTTCTTTCTTTCTTCCTTTCTCTTTTTTCTTTCTCTTTCTTTCTTTTTCTTTCTTCTTTCTTTCTTTTCCTTTCTTCTTTCTTTCTTTTTCTTTCTTCTTTCTTTCTTTTTTCTCTTTATTTTATGTATTTACTTATTTATTGAGATGGAAGCTCAGTCTGTCATCCAGGTTGGAGTGCAGTAATGCGATATTGGCTCACTGCAACCTTCTCCTCCCAGGTTCGAGAGATTCTCGTGCCTCTGCCCCCCAAGTAGCTGGGATTAAGGCGCTCTCCACCGTGCCCAAATAATTTTTGTATTTTTTGTAGCAATGGGGTTTCACCATGTTGGCCAGGTTAGTCTCGAATTCCTAATCTCAAAAGATCCACCAGCTTCAGTCTCCCAAAGTGCTGGGATTACAGGCATGAGCCACCATGCCTGGCCTGTATATTCTGTTGTTTGCTGGGCAATACTTATATGAATCTTGGAGAACATCATGGAAAGATGCTCATCATCTTGTTAACTGGTTATTTCAAGAGTGGAACTGGAGGAGGAATCGTGCCTTTCCTGTGTATTTATTTGTAATGTTTCATTTTCATTATGAACATGTATTATTTTAATATGTTTAAATATTAATAAAGACAGGTAAATATATGTAATTTTAATTCAAGCTGAAATCCTCAAGGCAATCACATATAATTAAATAGATGGAGGAAAGAAAACATTTAAAATCCCTGAAGGAAAAGGAGGGAAGTCCAGGCAAGGAGTCTCATGCCTATGTCAGCAATTTGGGAGGCCAAGGCAGGCAGATCACTTGGGGTCAGAAGTTCGAGACCAGTTTAGCCAACATGGTGAAACCCTGTCTCTACTGAAAATACAAAAATTAGGCAGGCATGATGGCATGCACCTGTAATCCTAGCTACTTGGAAGGTTGAGGTGGGAGAATCGCTTGAACCCGGGAGGGAGAGGTTGCAATGAACTGAGATTGTGCCACTGCAGTTCAGTCTGGGTGACACAGCGAGACTCTGTGTCAATCAATCAATAAAAGGAGGGGGAAAAATGCAGCTAAAAAAATAAGGGATTCAAAAGTAGCAATGTACCATAATGCCTAAATTTGTGGGATTGGCGGGGTGTGATGGCTCCCACCTGTAATCCCAGCACTTTAAGAGGCCAAGGTGGGTCGATCACCTGGTCAGGAGTTAGACACCAGCCTGACCAACATTGTGAAACCCTGCCTCTACTAAAAATAAAAAATTTAGCAACGTGTGGTGGCGGACACCTGTAGTCCCAGCTACTAGGGAGGCTGAAACAGGAGAATCACTTGAACCTGGGAATCAGAGGTTGCAGTGAGCTGAGATTGCCCCACTGCACTCCAGCCTGGGTGACAGAGTGAGACTCCCTCCAAACAAACAAACAAACAAACACTTTGGGACAAATTCCAATCGAGTCCAGGGGAGCACACACTGGAGACCAACATCCCCCCTCGGGTTGCTTCAGGGTCGAGAGAGTGCATCTGGAACAGACTGGGAAACTCCAGCAGGCAAAGTAAGGTGCCAGGAATAGACAACACCTGACACACTCCATGTTCCCTCCACCCACCCCTCTCCCCACCAGTCTTCCATCGGGCTCCAATTCTGCACTCTCCCCAAGAACCTGAGACTGAAACATTGCAAGGAAGACACCGATACTCAAAGTCACAGGCTTAGGAATCTGAGCTACAAAGAAAAATGAGCCCCTGCTCCCCCAACTGCCTGGTACTCCCCTCAGCACTGCTGCCCTGCACCTGCCCCCTCCTCCATAATTTGAACTGTCCTCACAGAAGCTGGAGAGACGGCCCACCTGTCAGGAAAGAGAGGACCAGCATGTGGCAAATGCCTGGGGTATGTAGGAGCAGATGGTGAGATTAGCACAGGGTTGTAAGAAACAAGTGGCTCTCAGACCTAAGAAGACTCTGCGGGAGACAGCACATTAAGCCTTCATAGGGGCATGCGCTGGACAGGAGCTCCCCAGTTACCGAAACAATTATCTGAGAAAAGCTCTGATCTGACCCGAAATGCCCTTGGATCCCATGGCAACGCCTCAGCGTCTGGCAGTAATAGGCTTCTGTGCCCAGAATCTCTAGGTCTGGAGGTCCCGCCTCCACCAGCCTCTCACAGCCCAGAGGTGCCTCCCATTGGCGCCTGATGTGTTAGGGAGGCTGTTCTTCCAGCTGTGACAGATCCAGCCTAGGAGCGCTCCTGGGTCTTAGTTGTTTCTTCCCGCACACCTGACACTCAAAGCCACAACCCACTTGCCCGCCACCTTGAGAACACCTTAAAACGACCGTCTAGATCTGATCGCACTAAGGGAATGGTCAGCTTTACTCCCATTAGATGGTTTGGCCCAAAGGACCTAGCGACTACCTAGACAAAAATTTCTTCCTAAAAGCTGCATGTGTCTGTGGTCTCTAAGAGGCAAAACTAAACCCTAAAGAAAAAGCCAACCCACCCCTACCTCCACCACAAAACAAAAACAAAACCTACCGCCAACCCACCTTTCATGTGAGGAGTCCTTGAGAAGGGCCTCTCCAGCCAGGACAAGGCAAGGGAATCTGTGCACTTGGCCAGACCCAGAACACACAGTGTCAGGGACCTGACAGTCACACTCTGACCCCATAGAATTTCCACCACTGACACACAGATCAGGATGTGTCAGCCTGAGAGATGACATCACAAATCTGGCTTTCACAGATTGATTCCACACACATCCCATCACTGACACCAGATTCCCTCATCACTGACCCTACATACCCACAATCATTGATTCCATGGACCTCATCACTATCCCAAAGACCACCCATCACTAATCTACAGATCATCATCTCTCACCCCAGGGGCCCCACAGATTCCCCATCCCTGATTCCAGGATCTATAGAACCTCATCTCTTACCCCCACAGACCTATTAATAAAAGCATACATTCATAGGAGACTGTGTTGACCATTTTACACACCCATTGTGTGTGTGTGTGTGTGTGTGATGATTAATGGACTTAGGTAAACTTTAGTGTTTTGGTAGGCAATGCAATTTTTCAATGTCTTTTCTTTCTTTTTCTTGTACATCTTTAAAGGCCTTACTCCAGTAAGTGTGCATTGCAGTTTATTAATGCCTATCCCTTATTGAGTCTTTGTCATGCATATTTGTTATTAATCATAATTCACAATTCTTATAATTCAGAGACACTAGAGATTCACATAAGAAGAATGGCTTTGGGTTTTTATTTATGTATTTGTTTTGGTTTCTGTAGATTATCAAATTCATTCATTTGTATCAAGTCACTAAGTGTATACTTTGTTTTCTAAAAAAAAATTGCAATTAATTTTTTTTTTAAGACAGGCTATTGCTCTGTCACCCAGGCTGAAGTGCAGTGGTATAATCATGGCCACTGTAGCCTCAACCTCCTGGGCTCAAGTGATCCTCCCTTCTCAGCCTACATAGTAAGCTGAGACCACAGGCATGCACCAATATGCTCACCTAATTAAATTTTTTTTTTGTAGATATGTGTGTCTCACTATGTTGCAGAGACTGGTCTTGAACTCCTGGGCTCAACTGATCCTCCCACCTTGGCCTCCCAAAGTGTTGAGATTACAGGTGTGAGCCACTGTACTCAACTGATAAAATCTTAAAAAGAGGAAAATACTTTGGGACCTAACGTAAAATTTCCACTGAGATGATGCGTCAGAAATTAAGGTGGAATAAGATGGCCCTAGGGCATCAAAACAATGGAAACTAAATCTTGGGCTGGGTGCGGTGGCTCATGCCTGTAATCCCAGCAATTTTGGAAACCAAGGTGGGGGACTCTCTTGAGGTCAGTAGTTTGAGGCCAGTCTAGCCACCATGGTGAAACACTGTCTCTACTAAAAATACAAAAATTAGCCTGGAGGTTTCAATGAGCCAAGACTGTGCCAATGCACTCCAGTCTGGGCAACAGAGGGAGATACTGTCTCAAAAAAAAATAGAAGAAGAAACAAAATCTTAATTTCTTCATCAAATGTAAAAACTATGGACTGGACTATGGAGGAATAATACACAAAAAGACACATAGGCACTATTTTTTTTGAAGTTTTATTGAGAAATATTGATAACATACCACACAAGCCACTGATTTAAAGTGTAAAATTCAATGGTTTTCAGTATATTTGCACTGTTATGCAAACATCACCACAATAAATTTTAGATCATTTTCATTACCCTGAAGTAAACACCATATCCCTCCATTTCCCCCCAACTCCCCTAACCCTGGGCCACAACAAATCTCCTTTCTGTTTCTATGTATTGGTCTATTTTGGACATTTTATTTAAATGGAATTACATAACATGTGGTCCTTTGTGACTGGCTTCTTTCACTTAGCATAATATTTTCAAGGTTTTTTCAATCTTGCATGTGCAAAGGGGGCACTTTACATAAGGGTAAACCTGGGGTGGGGGGTACTTACTGATTGATTTGGAAACTTCCCTCCAAAATTGTAAAGGGTTTCAAATAGAGGAAAAACCTATTCAGGCTAAAATCCTGTTTTCAGCAGTTTGTAATGTGGGGTTTTATTGCAAAGAATGGCAAGATTTTTGGGCTTATTTTCTGCAAATTCTCCCTGTGTTTGGGGAACAGTCACAGAATGTAGAGGAATGGGCTTCTAGGCTCTGTGGCTGGAGATTCACATCTGGGAGAACTCAGGTCCCAGGTAGGCAGAGAAAAACAGTGTAAGAGTGCCAACAGAATGCTTTGAAATGGAAAATTTAAAATGTTCCCTCCAAAAGGAGTCTCAGATAACCACACAAAAGAGGACTTTGCTGGGCAGGTCCATCGCAATTGTTCAATAACAAGACACAGACAGACTGGGAAAGAAGGAAGTTTATTTCTGCAGCCATTTACAGGGAGAAGCACCAGGTAACTCACCAGATCAACTCAAAGTTACAAGTTTTTTTTTCTAGTGCTTATATACATCTTAAGCTCCATGTGAGATTGCACCTACAAGCAGGACTGTTTCATTCAATCAACATCTAATCTTTAACTTGGGTCTAGAGTCTGGAAAGATTTCTCTAGAGTCTTGGAAAGTTTCTGAATCTTAAGACAGGCCAAGGTGAATGTGTACCAATGCTATCATTATTCAATCAAACTTTAGGAGCTGGGCTAGAGTCACACCATTCTTTGGAGTATGCCAGGTTTGGGCAATTCAGGCCTACTAAGTTTCCTTGACTGCACACAAGTGATAGTGAGTATGTAGGAAATGAGTAGTCGCATATATTGCTGGTGAAAGTACAGCGTTATATAACCCTTTGGAAAGAAATCAAGTGTGTAGTGCATAAACATTATATTTGGTTTGATTTGTTTTTGTCTAAGACAGGGTCTCACTCTGTCACCCATGCTGGAGTGCAGTGGCATGATCACAACTCACTGCAGCCTCGACCACCTGGGCTCCAGCTATCCTCCCACCTCAGTCTCCTGAGTAGCTGGGACCACAGGCACCTGCAAGTACACCCAGCTAATTTTTGTGTTTTTTGTACAGACAGGGTTTCACCATGATGCCCAGGCTGGTTTCAAACTCCTGAGTTCAAAAACTCCCCTACCTCAGCTCCCCAGTGTGCTAGGATTACAGGAGTGAGCCGCTGCACCCAACCTATATTTGTATATACATTAAATTGTATAAGTTAGGCCAGGCACGGTGGCTCACAAGTGTAATTCCATCACCTTGGGAGGGCAAGGTCGGTGGACCACTTGAGGTCAGGAGTTCGAGAGCAGGCTGGCCAACATGGTGAAAACCCATCTCCACTAAAAAGACAAAGATAGCTGGACTTGGTGGCAGATGCCTGTATTCCCAGCTACTCAGGAGGCTGAGGCAGGAGAATCACTTGAATCCAAGATGTGGAGGTTGCAGTGAGCTGAGATCACACCACTGCACTACAACCTGGGTGACAGAGCAAAACTCCATCTCAAAAACAACCAAAAAAATTGGGTATGTTATTGTATGTATGTGTATATATTAAGTTGTATATACACGTTAAATATATATACATATATTATATTTTATACACATACATTTGTTTCCTCATGCAATTTGTTTCAGCAGAAGTAAAAATTAATAAAGGTATAAGTAAAAGAATATTTACAGAAGCACTATTTTTGATGGCAAAAGTACTTTAACATTTTAAATGCTCATATAATGGAAGATACTTTAACTCTTACAAATAATGAGTTAGCTTTTTATATACTATAAAGATATCCTAATATCTTTATACCTAAAGTGATATCAATGGCAAATTGTTGTATAAAAAAGGAGAATGCTTTATAATTAAAGAAAAAAAGAAAGAAACGTTATATAGTAGCCCTCCCTTATCTGCAGGAGATGTGATCTAAGACCCGCAGAGCAGTGGATGCCTGAACCTTGGATAGCATTGACCCAATTGCTGTCAATCAGAGTGCATTTCTGTTTATGATTTCCATGCACAAATTTAATGCCTTTTTCATCTTAACTAAGTACTTATCACACATGTGGCTGTACTTTTTAGAGCATGGGGTACAACAAACAAGACTAACAGAAATTTCTTTTTCCTTCTTACATTTTCTCCACTAGAGGATTTGTTCTTACCATCGATCTTAGCAACCTGAGTACATGACTTCTTTTTCTTTCTATTTCTTTCTTTCTTTCTTTCTTGGTTGCTTGCTTGCTTCCTTGCTTTCTTGCTTCCTTTCTCTGTCTCTTTCTCTCTCTTTCTTCCTTTTTTCTTTGTTTCTTTCATCTTTCTTTTTTTCTTTCTTTCTTTCTCTTTATTTATTTATTTATTGAGATGGAATCTCACTCTTCACCCAGGTGGGAGTGAAGTAATGTGATATCGGCTCACTGTAACCTTCATCTCCCAGGTTCAAGTGATTCTCGTGCCCCCACCTCCCAAGTAGCTGGGAATACAGGCGCCCAACACCACGCCCAAATAATTTTTGTGTTTTTTGTAGTGATGGGGTTTCACTATGTTGGCCAGGCTAGTATTGAACTCCTGACCTCAAATGATCCACCTGGTTCAGTCTCCCAAAGTGCTGGGATTACATGTGTGAGCCTATGGCACCTGAGCTGTATATGCCATTGTATGATTGCAAATAATTATATGAATCTTGGAGAACATCATGGAAAGATGTTCATCATCTTGTTAACTGGTTATTTCAAGAGTGGAACTGGAAGGGGAATACTGCCTTTCCTGTGTATTTATTCATAATGTTTCATTTTCATTATGAACATGTATTACTTTAATATGTTTAAATATTAATAAACACAGGCAAAAATATGTAATTTTAATTCAAGCTGAAATCATCAAGGCAATCATACATAACGGAGCAAATAAAACATTTAAAATGAATGAAAAGGAGGGGAGGCCAGGCACTGTGGCTGACGCCTATAATCCCAGCATTTTGGGAGGCCAGGCAGGCAGATCACTTGGGGTCAGAAGTTTGAGACTGCCTTGGCCAATCGAGACCCCTGGACTTGATTGGAATTGGTCCCACAAACGTTTTTTTTTTGAGGGAGTCTCACACTGTCACCCAGGGTGGAGTGCAATGGGTTAATCTTGGCTCACTGCAACCTCTGCCTCCTGGGTTCAAGCGATTCCCCTGCCTCAACCTCCCTAGTAGCTCGGACCTCAGGTGTCCACCACAACACCTCACTAATTTTTTTCTATTTTTAGTAGGGACAGGGTTTCACAATGTTGGTCAGGCTGGTCTCAAACTCCTGACTTCAGGTGATCCACTGGCCTTGGCCTCTCAAAGTGCTGGGATTACAGGTGGGAGCCATCACACCCCACCAATCCCACAAATTTAGGCATTATGATACATCGGAGCCACCATGTCCCACCAATTACACATATTTAGGCATTATGATATATTGCTACTTTTAGAATCACTTGGTTTTTATATTGTGTTTTTTCCCTTCCATTTGTTTGTTTATTTATTTATTTATTGAGACAGAGTCTCGCTGTGTCACCCAGCCTGGAGTGCAGTGGCACCATCTTGGCTCACTGCAACCTCCACCTCCCAGCACTCCATCTCCACCACACTGCCAACTAACATGCTTCCTCAAGCCCCCTCAGGGTCTAGAGAGTGCGTCTGGAACAGACTGGGAAACTCCAGTAGGCAAAGTAAGGTGCCAGGAATAAAGACACCGCCTGAAACTTTCTCCATGTTCCCTCCACCCACTCCTCTCCCCACAACTCTTCCATCTGGCTCTAACTCTGCCCTCTCCCAAGAGCCTCAGATTGAAACGTTGCAAAGGAGACAAAGATTCTCAAAGTCACAGGCTTGGGAATCTGAGCTACAAAGAAAAATGAGCCCCTGCTCCCCCAACTCCCCCGTACTCCCCTCCGCACTGCTGCCCTGCATCTGCCCCCTCCTCCATAATTTGAACTGTCCTCCCAGAAGCTGGAGAGAGATTGTCCGCCTGTCAGGAAAGAAAGGACCAGCATGCGGCAAATGCCTGGGCTACGTAGGAGCAGACGGCGAGATTAGTGCAGGGATTTAAGAAACAAGTGGCTCTCAGACCAAAGAAGACTCTGCCCGAGATGGCACACTAAGCATTCATAGGGGCGTGCGCTGGACAGGAGCTTGCCAGTTACCCAAAGAATTGTCTGAGAAAGGCCCTTGTCTGTCTGACCCGAAAGGCCCTTGGTTCCCACGGCAACTCCTCAGCGTCTGGCAGTAATAGGCTTCTGTGCCCAGACTTTCTGGGTCTGGAAGTCCCCCTCCGCCAGCCTCTTGCAGCCCAGAGTCACCTCCCATTGGCGGCTGATGGGTTGAGGAGGCTGTTCTTCTAGCTGTGACAGATCAAGCCTGAGGACCTCTCATGTGTCTTTCTTAGTTGTTTCTTCCCGCCCACCTGCCACTCAAAGCCACAACCCACTTTCATGCCCCCGAGTGGACCCCTTAAAGCGACCATCTAGATCTGAACTGCGCTGAGGGAATGGTCAGCTTCGTTCCCATTAGATGGCTTGGCCCAAAGGACTAGCGATTGCCCAGACAAAAATGTCTTCCTAAAACTGGATGTGTCTGTGGTCTCTAAGAGGCAAAACCAAACCCAAAAGAAAAAGCCAACCCACCCACCCCTATCACAAAACAAAACAAAAACAAAAACCGCCGACAACCCACCTTTCACATGAGGAGTCCGTGAGAAGGGCCTCTCCAGCCAGGATCAGGTAAGGGAATCTGTGCCCTTGGCTGGACCCAGAACACCCAGTGGCAGGGACCTGACTATCACACTCTGACCCCATAGAATTTCCACCACTGACACAGATCAGGATGTGTCAGCCTGAGAGATGACACCACAAATCTGGCCTTCACAGATTGATTCCACACTCTCTCATTGATTCCACACACATCCCATCACTGACACCAGATTCCCTCATCACTGACCCTACATACCCACGAGAATTGATTCCATGGATCTCATCACTGTCCAAAAAACCACCCATCACTAATCTACAGATCCTCACCTCTCACCCCAGGGACCCCACAGATTCCCCATCCCTGACTCCAGGATCTATAGAACCTCATCTCTTACCCCCACAGACCTATTTATAAGAGGATACGTTCATGGAATACCGTGTTGACCATTTTTCACATCCATTGCGTTTGTGTGTTTGTGTGCGCTGATTAATGGACTTAGGTAAACTTTAGCATTTTGGTAGCCAATGCAGTTTTTCAATGCCGTTTCTTTTTCTTTCTTTTTCTTGTACAACTTTAAAGACCTTACTCCAGTAAGTGTGATTTGCAATTTATCAATGCCTATCTCTTATTGGGTCCTTGTCATGCATATTTGTTATTAATCATAATTCACAATTCTTACAACTCAGAGACACCAGAGACTCACATAAGAAGAATGGCTGTGGGTTTTTATTATTGTTATTTTTTTGGTTTCTGTAGATTATAAAAGTCATTCATTTGTATCAAGTCAGTAATTGTATATTTTGTTTTCTTAAAAAATGTAATTAAAAATATTTTTGCTGGAATGCAGTCGTATAATCATGGCCACTGCAGCCTCAACCTCCTGGGCTCAAGTGATCCTCCCACCTCAGCTTACCTACTGGCTGAGACCACAGGCATACAACAATATACCCACCTAATTAAACAATTTTTTTTTGTAGAGATAGGCATCTCACTATGTTGCAGAGATTGGTCTTGAATTCCTGGGCTTAACTAATCCTCCCACCTTGGCCTCCCAAAGTGTTGCAGTTAGAGGTGTGAGCCACTGCACTCAGCTGATAAAATCTTAAAAAGAGTAAAATACTTCAGGAAGTAATGTAAAATTTCCACTGAGATGATGCATCAGAAATTAAAGTAGAATAAAATTGACCTAGGGCATCTGAAACAATGGAAACTAAATCTTGAGCCAGGCGTGGTGGCTCATGCCTGCAATCCCAGCACTTTTGGAGGCCAAGGTGGTGGACTTATTTGAGGTCAGAAGTTCGAGACCAGCCTAGCCAACATGGTGAAACACCATCTCTACTAGGAATACAAAAATTAGCTGGGAGGTTTCAGTGAGATGAAATCGTGCCACTGCACTCCAGCCTGGGCAACAGAGGGAGACTCTGTCTCAAAACATAAAATAAATAAAATAAAAATAAAGAGGAAGAAGAAACAATATCTTGATTTCTTTATCAAGTGTAAAAATGTGGACTCTGGAGGCACACAGGTACTCTTTGAAGTTTTATTGAGAAATATTAACATGTCACAGAAGGCACCCATTTAAAGTGTAAAATTCAATGATTTCAGTATATTTGCACAGTTGTGCAAACATCACCACAATAAATTTTAGATCATTTTCATTGCCCCAAAGTAAACCCCATATCCCTCCATTTCCCCCAACTCCCCTAACCCTGGGCCACCACTAGTCTACTTTCTGTCTCTATGCATTCATGTATGTTGGACATTTTATTTAAATGGAATTACATAACATGTGATATTTCGTGACTGGCTTCTTCCACTTAGCATAATATTTTCAAGGTTCATTTAATCCTGAATGTGCGGAGGGGGCACTTTGCATAGGGATAAACCTGGTAGGTGGGCTTACTGATTGATTTTGAAACTTCACTCCAAAATTGTGTGTGTATATGTATATATATATTTTTTGTTTGTTTGTTTGTTTTGAGACAGAGTCTGGCTGTGTTGCCAGGCTGGAGTGCAGTGGTGTGATCTCGGCTCACTGTAACCTCTGCCTCCCTGGTTCAAATGACTATCCTGCCTCAGCCTTCTGAGTAATTGGGATTACAGGCATGTGCTACCACACCTGGCTACTTCTGTATTTTTAGTAGAAACAGTGCTCTTCCATGTTGGTCAGGCTGGTCCTGACCACCACCATGTCCAGCTAATTTTTTTTTAAGACAGGGTCTCACTCTGTTACCCAGGCTGGAGTGCAGTGGCACAATGTCAGCTCACTGCAGCCTCGACCTCCAGAGATCAAATGATCCTCCCACTTCAGCCGCCCAGGTAGCTGTGACCACAAATATGTGCCACCACACCTGACTAATTTTTGTATTTTTAAAATACAAAAAAACCTGTTAAGACAGGGTTTCAGCAGGTTGTCCAGGCTGGTCTCGAACTCTGGAGCTCAAGTGATCCACCTACCTTGGCCTCCCAAAGTGCTGGGATTACAGGTGTGAGCCACTGCACTTGACCTAATTTTTGTTTTTTTTTTTCCGAAGAGATGAGGTCTTGCTGTGTTGCCCAGACTGGTCTCAAACTCCTGGCTCAAGCAATCCTCCCGTCTTGGCCTTCCAAAATGCTGGGATTACAGGTGTGAGCCACCACACTGGCCCATTCTTTCTTTTATACTGAGTATTCAGAAATTGTTTGAAATGTGTTTTCCACTTACAGCATTTCTCAGGTTGGACTAGCCATCTTTCAAGTGTTCAGCAGCCTTATTGAACAGCACAGCTCCGGAGGGTGATTTTATGTACATTCCCACTGCTCTCTCTGCCTCCTTGATTCCCGTCTACCCCAAACCTCTGCAGTCTGCGACTATCGTGTCTCTCTCTCCTCTCTTTCTGTTTCTTGTGTTCCTTTAATATGGAGAATTATTTCCAATTCCTTAACATCGTCCCCTGATTTTTTTCTGTCCTATATTCAAGGGTCACAGTTTTCCTCTCACCATCATTACAGTCTTTTCCCATAACATGTGACATGCCTTTTTGTCTTGGTTGAGTATTTATTTGCAATACATGAATGGTTGTTTTTTTGATACATTAGTGACTTACATACTTTTTTTTTTTCTGAGATGGAGTCTTGTTCTGTCACCCAGGCTGGAGTGCAGTGGTGCGATCTCAGCTCACTACAACCTCTGCCTTCCAGGTTCAAGTGATTCTCCTGCCTCAGCCTCCTGAGAAGCTGGGATTACAGATGTGCACCACCACATCTGGCTAATTTTTGTTCTCTTAGTAGAGACAGAGTTTTGCCATTTTGGCTAGGCTGGTCTTGAGCTCCTGACCTCAGGAGATCCACCCTCCTCGGCCTCCCAAAGTGCTGGAATTATAGGTGTGAGTCACCTCACTTGTCCAGTCTGCACTATTCCTTAGAGTCAGACAATTTGAGGCAAACAATGTCTTTCTCATTCAGATGTGACCTTCAGGGTCTGACTTTTGTATTTTTAGTATAGACAAGGTTTCTTTTCTTTCTTTCTTTCTTTCTTTCTTTTTTTTTTTTTGTTGTTTTTGAGACAGAGTTTCACTCTTGTCACCCAGGCTGGAGTGCAGCGGCATGATCTCAGCTCACTGCAACCTCTGCATCCTGTGTTCAAGCGATTCTCCTGCCTCAGCTTCCTGGGTAGCTGGGATTACAGGCGTCTGCCACCACACCCGGCTAATTTTTTGTATTTTTAGTAGAAACAGGGTTTTGCCATGTTGGGCAGACTGGTCTCGAATTCCTGACCTTAGGTGATCTGCCAACCTCAGCCTCCCAAAATGTGGGGTTACAGGCGTGAGCCAGCACCTGGCCTCTCCTGGCTAATTATTTGTGTTTTTGAAGAGATGAGGTTTCACCATGTTGGCCAGGATGGTCTTGATCTCCTGATCTCGTGATCCACTGGCCTCAGCCTCCCAGAGAGCTGGGATTAGAGGTGTGAGCCACTATGCCCAGCCTCAATGTAGCTTTTTATCCAAGTATTTATGTAGGAAAAATCAATCAAAGGGCACAACCGTTTCAATACTTAGGTTATTTAAGATGAAATTTGTGACCAGAAGAGTGCCAGACACACATGAAATGTTTTGTGCATGAAGGAACCACAAATTAGATAAACAAAGTTGAAGGAACTAAGTAACAAATAATTTTCTGTTGTTTGTTTTGGTATGTTATTTTGGTAATGTGATTAATCATGTATGTCGACGGCATTGGGAAGAATTTCCAGATTCTCTGATATGCATGATATCTTAATCATATGAAATAAAAGAAGGCTATCTTAGGAAATTAGGTATCACTGCCAAGGACCTTTACATGAGAAGATAAATTAAAATTACTATTAAATTGGTAACAATCAGATGGGCTGGCAGGCAAGTTGTATCATTTTTTCTTGGCATTTTTTCTTTTCCTTGATTCAATAAAACAAACCTAAATGCCAGCTATCTGCAGAACCCTCACTAGACTATGTTTAATGATATGTGAAACACAGTCTGCACACTCACAGATCCTTGCCATGTCCCGTTCCCATCCTCTCAAAACCTGTGTTACCCTGTGGCTAGATTTCTTAAGGAGATGAAAGACAGAGACAAATGAGAACTATATTTTTTGAGGTCACTCTACACAGCTCCTGCAGGTAGACAATGAACTCTCCGGTGAGGCTTTTATCCTTGGCTCGGGGGTGGAGGCCTTAATCCTAGAAAAGAGGCCTCTCAGGGTGGGGAGGTGATTTAAATCCTTATGAGATAGACGCAGCTCCCCACCTCTTCCAGACCTTCACAAACCCAAACTGGAACCACCGGAAAAACGACTGACAAATGGCCTCAAGACCCAGGCAGAGACGCGGGGAGAGGGTGACCAGAAGAAAGGCCGACGTACAAGATACCGCCCTCTGGCACACAGGGCACATGTGTCCCAACACACACACGCACACACAGACGGGCACAGAGTGAAAGAGCGAGAAAGGAGAGAGAGAGAAATAAGAGAGAGACTTACGCACACACACAAACGCACAAAGACATAGGGCAGTGGCACGGTAACACCCACCCCCAGGCAGCCCCTGAAGCTGCTGTGTTCTGCTCTCTGCAACTACGACCCACCAATGAGAGAGCAGCTCATGGGCACACAAGCAAACCTCTCCTTTTTTGAAGATACTCACTGGCACACCGTCCATGCAGTCCTGAGGCTGGGATCCCGCCCTGCTTCTCCTGCCCTCCGCCAGCGGTTTCTTCCTCTTGGACGACCCTCCGTGAATCCCGGCCTCCAGAGATCATCCTGTTGATGCCCTGGCCAGGACTGGTCTTAGCCTCGACTCTGATTAATCCCTCTAATCCCAGGTACTCGCGAGGCGGAGGCAAGAGAATCATTTGAACCCAGGCGGCAGAGTTTGCAGTGAGCTGAGATCCCGCCACTGCACTCCAGACTGGGTGACAGGGTGAGATTCCGACTATTAAAAAAATGATAAAATAAATGATGGCGGAGCGGCGGCTGCGGGGACTCGGGCGGTGGCTGGTGAAGTGAAGATTGGGAGAGGGGCCTCATCAACCCTCCGCAAATCCTGGCCTGAGGCTGGGATCTCGCGCTGCCTCCCCTGCGATCTGCCTGAGGTTTCTTGCTCCTGAGGTTTCTCCCTGGTTGTCGACCCTCCGAGAATACCGGTCACTGGAGACCATCCTGTTAACACCCTGGCCAGGACTGCTCTCAGTCTCGACTCTGACGCACTATCACACAAGGCTCCTACTTTGCCAAGTCTCAGGAACCTATTTCTGGGCAGCAGTGCTGGACACTGTTACCAAAGCTGTGGCTCGGACCTCGCGCATGCGCGCTGGCGAGGCCGACTCTGCCCTTGCTCTGGAGAGTCAGGCTGCGGACCCTTTAAAACATGGCTGCAACACAGCTGACTGCGGGGACTGGGGCGGTGGTACAGTCCGAGGCGGCGGGTGGGAAGGGTACTAGGAGGGGGCCTGCAGGAGACCCAGGGTTGGACCCATAGGAGTCCTGTCGTCAGGACCTTCTCGATCCGTCTTCTGCTTCAGTTCCTGGTGGAGGAGGAGCTTCAGGGTGCCGCTGGGCTCTCCGGACTCCTCTTCTGATCTGATTATGGATCCGAAAGGGGGATCAGAAATGGGGTTACAATGTAGTGAGGCGGGAAGGGTCTCGCTGGGGCACAGAAAGATCCCAAGGGCCGTAAGGCGTACTGTAGGCTGAAAATGCAATGACCTATGAGCCCACTGCCTCCCTCCTTCCTGGGTGGAGCAGTGGCCTGCCTTTATCTCCAAGGCCCGGGGCTCTGGCATCCCGAAACTTCTTTCTGCCACATGTGCAAAGAGAGAAAGAGGCAAGTCCGAGATGGAGCCAATGTGACCACGAGTGGCACTGATGTCACCCAAGAGCAGACGGAATGAGCGTGTGTCTCTGAGGCCATATGGGGTGATGCCGAGACAGACAGTGACGTCCAAGTGTGTGCCTGTGGGCCACTAGGACCTCCCACATAAAGCTGAGGAAAAGCCAAGCACACCTAAAAACCTGCGAGACAGGGCCTGTGCCCGAGTCCAAGCCACATTCAGGGATGCCTGCCTGAGGGGCCCAGAGATTTCCACAAAGTACATCCCACCCCAATCCTGCCAGTGGGTAGGTACCTCTGATGCCAACTCCCCTGCACCCAGCAAAACCCAGTCCTCTCGGTTCCCTGACATTCGTGGCAGCCAAAAGATTCAGTGCTTGAAGGCACTCTCCCCAGGAGCAGAGCAACCAGATGGCCCTCAGGAATGAGAGAGAAGTACAGGTGGGATGCAACACCGCCTTTCCTAGAAAACAAAGGTCAGCCACGGTCAGGTCACCTCCTGCTCTTCCTGGACCGACTACACAGCCATCACTTTGGACATGGAGACCAAGGGAGCTTTGCTGTCCAAGACAGGTATGGAAGCCCAGAGCTCCAGGATCATCACACCTGCCCAATCATCCAGAAATAGGTTTTGCAGAGGGAAGCAATCATGAAACGGACCCCAAAGAAATTTCTCCCTGATGGACTGGGAAGTGTTCTTTGTTGAAGATGTTGAGCCAGACTAAGAAGGCTCTAGGATTCCCAGAGCCTGGGCAGACAGAGCAAGAGGGAGGACAGAGTAGAGGCCAGCGCCCAGGCAGGATACGGCACAAAGCCACCATCATGGGCATCCGGGAAAAAGTGTCAAGCGGGTGACTTGGCCAGGAAGGCCAGCGTTTGGGTGACAGAAATGCTTGCTGCATCCCGTTGCTGGCTTCCTTTTCTGTCGCCGTGTCGAACTGTTCCTGGATTTCTGAATGAGGGCAAAGTGCAAGAGGAGTGAAAACCGTCTTCTTCAAGGTCTGTGGGCACCCTCCTGGGGGTGGACAATGAGCACCTGTGAGGCCTTTGTCCTTGGTTGGGTTGTGGTCGTCTTGATCCTAGCAAAGAGGCAGCTGAGGATGGGAAGGGTGTTAAAACCCTTGCGAGTCAGGCTGGAGGCTCAGAGCCCCAACAAGGAAGCAGGGCCACAGAGAACTCCTGCTTTGCCAAGCCTCAGGGGCTGGATTCTAAGAACCATGGAAATCAATGTGATGAGAGAATCAGCTAGAGCCTCGCGGATAGGCATTTGCTGGGCCTACTCACGTTGTGCTCCTGGAAGACAGGCTGTGGCCCCTTTAAACAATGGCGACTGCACAGTGGCAGGGAGAATCCTGTTGCAGCCGCGGCGATGGCAGGATGCAGGTTCCAGTAGGGGGCGGCAGGGGAGAGAGGGCCGCGGTGGTCCCAGGGCCAAATCCCGAGGAGTCCTGTCTTAAAGACTTCCTTGAGCTGACTTCCACCGGTGGAGGGAGAGCTTCAGGGCACCTGCTGGCATCTCAAGACCCCTCTTAAGATCTGATTTTGGACCCCTCCGGGTGAAGAAGGATGGACTCACCACATCTGCTGAGAAAGGAAGGGCCTCATTGCAGGGCAGAATGATCACATGGGCCTCAAGGTGTGGTGTCAGCAGAAAAATCACTGACCCATGAGCCCTCTGCCTCCCTCCTCCTTTGAAAGAGCAGTCGCCTGCCCCACTTGTAAAAGCTCTGGGGCGCTTGCAAGCTGATACCTCTTTCCAGGGCACATGCAAACAGGGACAAGGGCAATTCCAAAGTGGAGTCAATTCCAACATGCGTGGCACTGGCGTATCCCAGAGCAGATGGTGTGAATGTGTGTCACTGAAGGCATATGGGGTGATGGCGAAACACAAGATGGTGTTCAGGCATGTGCCAGGTGGAAGGGGGGCACAAGTGACCTTTGCATCAATGCCAAGGAATATTGAAGAACACCTGGATCCAGGAGGCCAAAAGATTCAGGGAGTCAGTCCACCCAGAAGCAGAGGAGGGAATGTTTCTCAATAATGAGACTGGAAGTGCAGATGAAATGTGACACTGCCTGTTTTAGACTAGGCTGGTCACAGTGGCCTGCTGCTCATTCTAGGCAATCCACCAACCAATGAGGTGAAACATGGAGACGAAGGTAGCTTGCCTGTCTGAGAAACCTATGGAAGTCAAGCTCTCCAGGGTCATCCAACCAGCCCAATCAAGCAGAAACAGGTTGGGAGAGAGAAAAAATCGTGATGCGCATGTCCGCCAAGTGTCTCCCTGATGGACTGGAAAGTGATCTTTGTTGAAGACATTCAGCCAGACCTAGATGCATCTAGGCCCCTCAGAAACGGGAGACAGAGCAAGAGGGAGGACAGAGCAGGGGCCAGAGCCCAGGTAGGATACAGCACTTTGCCACCTCCACGGGCACAAGGGGAGGGGTGCTGAACCGGTGGCTTGTCCAGAGAGGCCAGCGTTCCCGTGACAGGGATTGTTGCCATCTCCCATTCCCAGCTTCCTCTTCAAGACTGTATCGTGGTGTGGCTTCATTTCTCAGAGAAGAGCCACGAAAAGATACAATCATCTTCTTGGACGTGGGTCTGCTCCTCTCCTGCAGGACAGTGAGCTCCTGTGGGGCTTTTGTCTTTGGGTGGAGTGTGGTCATTTTGATCCTAGAAAAGAGGCTGCTCAGGATGGGGATGATAGTTCAATTGCTCCGGACCAACGCGTCTCCTCACGTGGTCAAGGCCTTCACAAACCCAAAGTGGAACGGCCAGGAAAACGACTGACAGCCGGCCACATGAACCAGGCAGAGATGCAGAAAGAGGCTCACCAAAGACCAGCCGACATGCAAGAAATAGCTTTCTGGCTCACAGGCACATACGTCCAAACGCACAAACACACCAGGGCACGCATACACAAACACACACCCACACACACACCGACAGAGAGAGGGAAAGAAACAGAGTGAGAGACAGCGAGAGAGGAGAGAATGGGAGACACACACACATACACATACACACACCGTCACACGGCAGTGGCATGGAAACACACCCTCCTCAGCCCGAATGCCACCCCTGAGGCTGGGGGGTTCTGCTGTCGACGAGAATGACCCTCGGGTGACAGAGCAGCCCAAGGGCACACAGGCAGGCCTGTCCTAGAGATCACGGGGGCACGAATTTGGGGAGACTCACCCGAACACCTTCTGGGCAGGCCTGAGGCTAGGCTGCTGTGGTGCTTCCTACGGACTCCGCCGGGGGTTTCTTCATCCTGGTCGGCCCTTTGCGACTCTTGGCATCCAGAGACGTTCCTGTCGACCCCGTGGAGAGGTCAGGCCAGAGCCTCGGAGCCCCGATGCCCAAGTACTGCCACGGAGGGCTCCTGCTTTGCCAAGCCTCCTGGACTGGTTTCTAAGACAACCATGGGAATCACTGTGATGGGAGAAGCGGATCTCACCTCGCGCATGCGCATTGGCTGGACCGACTCGCGCTCCGCTCCTGGCAGTCAGGCGAGTCCCCTTGAAACAATGGCAGCTGCACGGCGGCAGGGGGGCTCCTGCCACAGCCTCCGTGGCCTCTGGATCCAGGACCCAGTAGGGGGCGGCGTAGGAGAGAGGTCCACGGGCGACCTAAGGCCAAACCCTCAGGAGTCCCGTCTTCAGGACCTGCTTGAGCCGACTTCCACCGATGGAGGGAGAGCTCGAGGGTGCCTGCTGGGGTCTCAGGACTCCTCTTTGAATCACATCTTGGACCCCTCAGGGTGAGAAAGGATGGGATCACCACATCTGCTAAGGCAGGCCGGGACTCACTGCAACACAGAATGTTCCCAGGAGCCTCAAAGCATAGTGTCAGCTGAAAATTCACTGACCCATGAGCTGTCTGCCTCCCTCCTCCATTGAAAGAGCAGTGGCCTGCCCCGGTTCTAAAAGTCCTGGGGCTTCTGCAAGCTGATACCGCTTTCCAGGACAAGTGCAAACAGGGACAGAGGCGATTCCCAGGTGGAGCCAAGGCGACCACGTGTGGCACTGGCGTATACCAGAGCAGATGGAATGGATGTGTGTCACCGAGGGCATATGGGGCGATGGCGAAACAAGCAATGGTGTCCAGGCATGTGCCCGGCTGAAGAGGGGCACAAGTGACCTTTCCATCAATGCCAACCAAAATCAAAGAACACCTGGGATCCAGGAGGGGTCCAAAAGATTCAGGGAGTCAGTCCGCCCAGGAGCAGAGGAGAGGATGTCCCTCAAGAATGAGACAGGAGATGCAGAGGACATGCAACACCGTGCCTGTCCTAGAAGACAAGGCCAGTCACGGTGGCTTACCGTTGCTTCTAGGCAATCCACCTACACATGAGGTGAAAAATGGAGACCAAGGTAGCTTCCCTGTCTGAGGCACGCATGGAAGCCAAGAGCTCCAGGGACATCAAACCTGCCCAATCAAGCAGAAACAGGTTTGGAGAGAGAAACAATCATGACACGGATCTCCAGGAAGTGTCTCCCTGAGAGACTGGGAAGTGATCTTTGTTGAAGACATTCAGCCAGAGCGAGAGGCATCTAGGTGCCTAAGAAACAGGGGAGACAGAGCGAGAGGGAAGGCAGGGCAGAGGCCAGAGTTCAGGGAGGATACAGCACCGTGCCACCTCCACGAGCACAAGGGGAGGGGGGCCAGAAGTGTGGCTTGTCCAGAGAGGCCAGCGTTCCAGTGACAGGGATTGTTGCCAACTCCCATTCCCGGATTCCTCTTCAAGACTCTATCGTGATGTGGCTTCATTGCTCACAGAAAAGCCGGGAAAAGGTACAACCTCATTTCTGACGTGGGTCCACTCCTCTCCTGCAGTACAATGAGCTCCTGTGGGGCTTTTGTCCTTGGCTGCAGTGTGGTCATCTTGATCCTAAAAAAGAGGCCGCTCAGGATGGGGATGAGATTTCAATTGCTCCGGGACCGACGCGTCTCCTCACATGGACCAGGTCTTCACACACCCAAAGCGGCTTTGCAGCGGCAAAAACAATTGACAACCAGCCTCATGACCCAGGCAGAGATGCAGAAAGAGGCTCACCAAAGACAGGCCACCATGCAAGAAATCGCTTTGTGGCGCACAGGGCACATTCGTCCAAAGACACACTTGCACACGGGCACACACAGAAACCGACAGAGAGAGGGAAAGAAGCACACAGTGAGTGAGAGACAGAGAGAGAAGAGAGAATGGGAGACACACACACACACACACACACACACACAATCATACAGCAGTGGCACAGAAACACACCCCGCCAGGCAACCCCTGAGGCTGCAGGGTTCTGATCTGGATGAGAACGACCCTAGGCTGAGAGAGCAGCCCAGGGGCACGCAGGCCGATCTGTCCTTGAGATCCCGGGGGCACGACTTTTGGGGAGACTCACCCAAACACCGTGCAGGCAGGCCTGAGGCTGGGATGCCTTGCTGCTTCCCCTGGACTCCGCCAGTGGTCTCGTCATCCTGGTCGGCGCTTTGCGACTCCTGGCATCTGGAGACATTCCTGTCGACCCCGTGGAGAGGTCAGACTGAAACCTCGGAATCCCGACACCCAAGCGCTGCCAAGGAGGACTCCTGCTTTGCCAAGCCTCAGGGACTGGTTTCTAAGACAACCATGGGAAGCACTGTGACGGGAGAATCCGCTCGCGCCTCGCGCATGCGCATTGGCTGGGCGGACTAACGCTCTGCTCCTGGCAGTGGGGCTCAGTCCCCTTTAAATAAGGCCGCGGCTGTGCAGCGGCAGGGGGGCTACTCCTGCAGCCTTGGCAGTGGCTGGATCTGGGGTCCCGTTTGGGGCCGCGTGGGAGAGGTGGCCGCAGGTGTCCTGGCCCAGGGCCAAACCCCCAGGAGTCCAGTCTTCAGGACCTCCTTGAGCGACTTCCACCGATGGACGGGGAGCTTCAGGGCGCCTGCTAGGTTCTCAGGACTCCCCTTCAGATCTGATTTTGGACCCCTCCGAGTGAGATAGGATGGGTTCACCACATCTGGTGAGGCAGGCAGGGCCTCCCTGCAGCACAGAATGGGCCTCAACGCGTGGTGTCAGCTGAAAATTCACTGATCCCTGAGCCCTCTGCCTCCCTCCCCCTTTGAAAGAGCAGCGGCCTGCCCCGCTTCTAAAAGCCCTGGGGCTCCTCCAAGCCAACACTGCTTTCCAGGACATGTGCAAACAAAGACAGAGGCGATTCCGAGGTGAGGCCAATGCGATCAAGCGTGGCACTGGCGTATCCCAGAGCAGATGGTGTGAATGTGTGTCACCGGAGGCATATGGGGCGATGGCAAAACCAACAATGGTGTCCAGGCATGTGTCTGGTGGAAGGGCAGATCAAGTGACCTTTCCATCAATGCTAAGGAAAATCAAAGAACATCTGGGAACCAGGAGGGGGCCTGTGCCTGAGTCCAAGCCACATTTTGAAATGCCTGCCGGAGGACTAAAGAGGTTTCTGCAAAATTCACCCCACCCCCAACCCTCCACGGCCAAGGTAGCCCTGACCCAACCTTCCCTGCAACCAGCCCCAGCCCCAGCCCCAGCCCAGTCCCTTTGGTTCCTTTCCCCGATATTCATTATGGTCAAAAGATCCAGGGAGTCAGTCCACCCAGGAGCAGAAGAGAGATGTCTCTCATGAATGAGACATGAAGTGCAGGGGAAATGCGACACCACCTGTCCTAGAAGACAAGCCTGTCATGGTCGCCTAGTGCTCATTCCAGGCAATCCACCCACCCATAAGGTGAAACACAGAGAGGAAGGAAGCTTCCCTGTCTGAGACAAGTATGGAAGCCAAGAGCTCCAGGGTCGTCAATCCTGCCCTATCAAGCAGAAACAGGTTGAAAGAGAGAAACAATCACAACAGGGATCTCCAGAAGGTGTCTCCCTGATGGACTGGGATGTGATCATTGTTGAAGATATTCAGCCAGAGCGAGAGGCATCTAGGCCACTCAGAAACAGGGGAGACAGAGCAAGAGGAAGGACAAAGCAGAGGCCAAAGCCCAGGCAGGATAGAGCACTGTGCCACTGCCACAGGCATGAGGGGATGGGTGCCAAAAAGGTGGCTTTTCCAGAAAGGCCAGCGTTCCAGTGACTATCTGTGAAAGTGCTTTGTGATGCGTGGGTTAGCCCTCAGAGTTAAACATTTGTTTTGACTTAGCAGTTTGGAAACACTCTTTTTTAAGAATCAATGAAGGGATATTTTGAAGCCCATGGATGAGTATATTGATAAACTATATATCCCACCATAGAAACTAGCAACAAATTATTAGTGAAAATGCTCTGTGATGTGTGGATTCATCTCACAGAGTTAAATTTTGTTTCTATTCTTCAGGTTTCAAACACTCTTTTGTAGAATCTACAAAGGAACATTTCAGAGTCCACTGAGGCCTATAGTGAAAACTGAATATCTTGTGATAAAAGCTAGAAACGAGCTATCTGTGAAAATGTTTGTGATGTGTGGATTTATCTCATGGAGTTATACCTATGTTTATATACAGCAGGTTGGAAACTCTCTTTTAGTAGAATCTAAAATAAGAAATTTCTGAGTTCTTGAGGCCTATTATAAAAAAACGAATATCCCTGATAAAAACTGACAACAAATTACCTGTGAAAATGCTTTGAGATGTGTGGATTTATCTCGCAGAGGTAAACCCTTGCTTTGGTTCAGAAAGTTGAAAACCCTCTTTTTGTAATATCTATGAAGGAATATTTTGGAGCCCATAGAGGCCTATACTAAAAACCAAATATCCCAGGATAAAAACTAGAAACAAGCTATGTGTGAAAATGTTTTGCAATGTGTAGAATCATCTCACAGAGTTAAACCTTGTTTTGATTGGGCAGGTTAGAAACATTCTTTTTGTAGAATAAAGGAAGGGACATTTTGGAGCTCATTGAGGCCTATAGTGAAAAACCACATATGCCATGATAAAAACTAGAACAAGCTATCTGTAAAAATGTTTTGCAATGTGTGGTTTCATCTCACAGAGTTTAACCTTTATTTTGACTTAGCAGGTTGGAAACACTATTTTTCTAGAATCTGCAAGGGGACATTTCAAGCCCAATGAGGCCTGCAGTAAAAAACTGAATATCCCACGATGAAAATTAGAAACTAGCTATCTGTGAAAATACTTTGCGATGTGTGGATTCATCTAACAGAGTTGAATGTTAGTTTTGATTCAGCAGGTTGTAAACTTAGCAGGTTGGAAACATTCATTTTGTAGAATCAAAGAGAGGACTTTTCTTAGCCCCCTGAGGCCTATAGTGAAAAACCAAATATCCTGTGATAAAAACTAGAAACAAGTTATCTGTAAAAATGCTTTGCAATTTGTGGATTTGTCTCACAATGTTAAACCTTTGTTTTGATTCCGCAGGTTGGAAACTCTCTTTTTGTACAATTGATGAGGAGATATCTCAAAGCCCATTGATTCAGGCTTATAGTGAAAAATCTAAAATCCTAAAAAAAACTATAAAGAAGCTATCTCTGAAAATGCTTTAAGATGTGTGATTTCATCTCATAGAGTTAAATCTTTCTCTTTATTCAGCAGGTTGGAAACATTCTTATTGTAGAATATATGACAGGACATTTCAGAGCAAATTGAGGCCTGTAGTGAAAAACAGAATATACTGTGATAAAAGCTAGAAACAAGGTATCTGTAAAAATGCTTTGTGATGTGTAGATTTATCATACGAAGTTAAACCTTTGTATTGCATCAGAAGGTTGGAAACTCTGTGCTTGTAGAATCTATGAGAGGTCAATTTGGAGCCCATTTTGGCAGGTAGTGAAAAACCAATATCCCACGATAAAAACTAGAAAAAAGCTACCTGTGAAAATGCTTTCTGATGTCTGGATTCATCACACAGTTAAATCTTTGTTTTGATTCAGGAGGTTGAAAACACTGTTTCTGGAAAATCTATGGAAGGCAGGTTGGGAACACTTCTTTTTTGTAGAACCTATGAAGAGACACTTTGGAGCCCATTGAGGCCTGTAGTAAAAATACAAATGTCCCATGATGAAAACTAGAAAAAGTTTTATGTGAAAATGCTTTGCAATGAGTGGATTCATCTCACAAGTTTAAAGCTGTGTTTTGATTTAGCAGATTGGAAGCACTATTTATGGAGAATCTACGAAGGGACATTTTGGAGCCCATTGAGGCCTCTTTTAAGAAATCAAATGTCCCACAATGAAAACTAGAAATAAGTTGTCTGTGAAAATGCTTTGTGATGTATGGATGCATCTCCCAGAGTTAAACCTTTGTTTTTATTCAGCAGGTTGCAGACAGTCTAATTCTGGAATGTATTAAAAGACATTTCAGGGCCCATTGAGAACTATAATAAAAAAACAAATATTCCTTGATAAAAACTAGAAAAATCTATCAGTGAAAATCCTTTGCGTTGTGTGGATTCAACTGAGAGTTAAAATTGTTTTGATTCAGCGGCTTGGAAAAACTCTTTTTTAGAATCTATGAAGCGACATTTCATAGCCCATAGAGGCCTATATTTGTAAAACCTTATTTAATTCTGCTATAAAAACAGGAAACAAGCTATCTGTGAAAATACTTTCCAATGCGTGGATTTATCTCACAAAGTTAAACCTTTGTTTTGTGGCAGCAAGTCAAAAACACTTTTTTTGAAGAACATTCAAAGGAATATTTTGAAGCCAATTGAGGCCTGCAGTGGAAAACGAAATATCTTATCATAAAAACTTGAAACAAGTTATCTGTGAAAATGCTTTGTGATGTGTTCATTCATCTGACAGAGATAAACCTTTATTTTGATTCAGCAGGTTGGAAACACTCTTTTTGTAGAATCTAGGAAGGAACATTTCGGAGCCCATTGAGGCCTATAGAGAAAAACCTAATATCCTGTGACAAAAACTAGAAACAAAATATCTGTGAAAATGTTTTATGATGTGTGAATTCATTTATCAGAGATAAAACTTTTTTTTGATTCATCAGGTTGGAAAAACTCTTTGTAGAATCTATAAAGGGATATTTCAGAGCCCATTGAGGCCTACTGTGGAAAACTGAATATTCTGCAATAAAAACTAGAAACAAGCTATCTGTGTAAATGCTTTGCCATGTGTGGGTTCATTTTACAGAGTTAAACCTTTGTTTGGATTCAGCAGGCTGAAAACAGTCTTTTAATAGAATCTACAAAGGGACGTTTCAAAGTACACTGAAGGCCATACTGAAAAACCTAATACCAGTGATTAAAACTAGCAGCAAGCTATCTGTGAAAATGCTTTCTGATATGTGGATTTGTCTCACAAACTTAAACCTTTGTTTTGATTCAGCAGGTTGGCAACACTCTTTTTGTACAAGCTGTGAAGGGACATTTTGGAGCTCACTGAGGCCTATAGTGAAAAAATGAATATTTCAAGATAAAAACTAGAAACAAGCAATATTTGAAAATGCTTGGTGGTGCGTGGATTCATCTCACAGAGGTAAACCTTTATATTGATTCAGCACGTTGGAAACACTCTTTTTAAAGAATCCACAAAAGGACATTTTGGAGCCCAATGACAAGAATATTGAAAAACTGAGTATGCCACGATACATACTAGCAACAACCTATTAGTGAAAATGCTTTGTGATGTGCAGATTCATCTCACAAAGTTAAACCTTTATTATCATTCAGTAGGTTGAGATCACTCTTTATGTAGCATATACAAAAAAAAAGACATTTTTGTGAACATTGAGGACTAAAGTAAAACACCAAATATTTCACGGTAAAAACTAAAAACTGTCTATCTGTGAAAATGCTTTGTGAAGAGTGGATTTATCTCAGAGTTAAACCTTTGTTTTGATTCAACAGGATGAAAACACCTTTTTTGTAGAATCTATGAAGGGACATTTCGGAGCCTATTGTGAACTAAACTGAAAAACCTAATATCCCAGCATAAAAACTAGAAAGAAGCAAAATGATTTGTGATGTGTGGATTCATCTTACAGAGATAAGCCTTTTTGTATCAGTTAAACCTTTTTTTTATTCCCCGCAAGTTGGAGTCCTCCCACCTGACCATGGGGCCGTGTTGTGGACAGCTTGTGCAATGAAGGGAATGCAAGGATGGAGTTGGAAGCACTTCCTGTGTCATCTGCACCTTTTTTGGCAGATGAAGGTGCAGGACCCCATCCACACCTCAGCAGACTGTATGCTCACCTGTATCTGACCTAATTGCTGCTCACACTCCTAGTTCTGGAATGAAATCCCAAGATGTTGGAGGAGTGCTCCCTTCATGATGTGAAGCACATGCTCGGCTGCAAACCGAATTCGAATTGGATTCAAGTGGCCTGCGGACAGGACTGCTAGGGTACCGCCTTGGGTTGGCCACAGGACAATGAGGCCCTGACAGGTGTCTGCTCCTGAGAGCGGTGTGCTCCTCTTCTTTCTAGAAGAGTGGTTCCTTCGTATGGGGGGGTGATTTGTACACCTGTGAGTCTCAACCATCCCCCCAACTCACCGTGGACTCAGGAACCATGGAAAAACAAAGAACATGCAGCCCCATAGGCCAAGCAGAGCCACACAGACAGGTGCACCAGAAGGTGAAGGGACTCAGAAAAAAAAGTGCTGCAGTGCATTAAACACATTCCTTTTAGCAGATGCCCCTCACACACACACATACACACAAACACACTCACATACAGCCACACACACAAACGCAGACATTCAAACACTCACAACCCTCCCAGAGAAACACACAGCCTGGCAGCTCCTGAGGATGCACGGTTCTGCAGAAAGCCCCTTCTGAGAGACAGCAGCCCTGGAAAACAGAGGCAGGCTGTATCTAGAAATCACAGGGAGGGAATTTTCAAAAAGACTCACTCCCACACCATCTAGGCGGGCCTGACTCATCGTGGGTATCCTTTTGGATCCTCAGGGATTTCATGGTTTATTCCTGGGGCTCCACTTGATGTTTCTTCAGGCTGGCTCGCCACTGTCCGCTCCTAGGATTGTGGGAATATCCCATAGAGCCCTCAGAGTAGACAGGTGAGAGTTCAATGCTGACACACATCCACAGAGGACTCCTTCTCCGCCAAGATGAAGGGACTTGTCACCAGACAATGGTGGCTTCACTGTGACGTGAGCCGCTGTTCACCACTGGTGCCTGGTGACCTGGCTGTCACATGCGCATTCACCAAGCAGGCTCAGGCACCTGGCTGTCAGGGCTGTAAGCCTGGCAAAGCTCAGGAAAATGGTACAGCCAGAGCTGGCCTAGTCTCCAGAAAAAGGCTGCCTGCAGCAACCCACTGCAGCATGCTAATAGTCTCGAACATAGAGCCTTCATGAGCCATCTCCGTGGTAGGGTCTCACAGGAGAAGGAGGAGTTTCAAGACTGTGAGGTGGGCTCTGGAGACTGCTCTTCTGACTCCATTCCCAAAAGAGGCTGTGTGCATGAATTGGGTCTCCTGGGGATGGGAATAAAGTCTGGTGAGTTGTTAAGAGGTCTCCAGGTGATGGAATAATATCTGAGATCCAAGAGGCAGGTGTCAGTGGAAGATGGCCAGGCCATTGAACCCCCTGCCTTCCTTCATCCTGGGCCTCACAGGGGCTCCTGCTTCTCAGCACGGCTCTCTGGGAAAGGCAGGAACCATGACAAAGGCAAGTCCAAGGTGGAACAGTGTTCTCACACCTAAAACAGGCCTCTCACAAGTGCACTTGAGGTTGAGAGAGTGTCTCAGAGGCTGTCTGGGGCAATTTGAAACCTGAAAATAAAGTCCAGGAGTGCTGTTGATGGGCACTGTGGACCCCCAATGAAAGCAAAGAAAAATCAAGTCTCTCCTGGGAGAATGAGCAGACTTGTGCCGGAATCCAAGCCATGTTCAAGGATTCCTGCCAGAGGACTTAAAAGCCTCCTGCAAAGTGCAAACAATGCCAGCCACCACTATGAGACCACTACCCACAACCTGGTGTGCAACCAGCCTACCCAAAATACCTTTTGCTCTCTGATATTCCTGGCAACCAAAATATCCACAATGAAAGTCAGTCCCACCCACCAACAGCCCAATGAAATACCCCATCCACAATGAGAAAGGAAGTGCAGACGACATGAAACAGAGTCTAGATTTCCAGGTAAAAGCCAGACACAGCTGCCTGTTTCTCATCCTACAGGAGTCATGCAGCTGTCCTTTAGAAGTGGGAGAACAAGAGTTATCTTGATGGTGGATATAATCGAAATTTATGAACCCAAAAGTATCACAACTGCCCAGTCATTAAAATGTGACAGTGTTTATAAGAAAACACTCATGCAATGGATTCCCATGAGAATCGTCCTCCACGAACTGGGAAACTTTTAGTGTGGAAGACTTTGAGCCAGACCCAGAAAAACCCCAGGTTCATGAGGAACATGGAAGTCAGACTGAGCCAGACCTAGGAAACTCTAGGCCCACAAGGAACATGGAAGTCAGGAAAAGAGGAGGCCAGTGTGGAGGCCACATCCAACCCAGCATCAATCCATCTCACTCCCATGTGGCTCCAGGAATGAAAGCTCAATTCTGGAGCTGGCCAGAAGGGCTCCAGTTTGCAATCCAACTTTTCCCTGCACGATTGAGTCATCCCACCTGGGCACCAGGCCATGCTGTTGACTGTGCAATGAAGGGAATTAGGGGATGCAGTTGGAAGCAACTTCTGTGTCATCTATCTGCACCTTTTTTGCAGGTGAAGGTGCGAGATCCCATCCACACCTCAACAGATTCTATCCTCACCCCTATCTGACCTTATTGTTGCTCACACTCTGTGTCCCAGAATAAAATTCCGAGACAATGGAGGAGTGCCTCCCTGATGACCTGAAGCACCTGCTCAGCTACAAACCAAAATCAAGGTAAATTCAAGAAGCCCTGTGACAGGACTGCTGGGGTCTGACCCTGGGTTGGCCACAGAACAATAAAGCATGGGGAGTTGTCTGTTTTTGGGGTGTGGTGTGCTTCTCTTCTTTGTAGAAATGTGGCTTTTTGGCAAGGGGAGGTGATTTTGACCCCGGCGGTTGTCAGCCATTCTTCCAATTCACTGTGGATTCAGGAGCCATGGAAAAATGAAGAACATGGAGACCCTCAGCCCCAGCAGAGCCACAGAGACAGGCCACTGAAATGTGGGGTGACAAAAAACATTGCTGCAGTGTGTTAGCCACATTTCTTTCAGCAGACTCCACTTACTCCCACACACAGACACACACACACACACACACACACACACTCACATGACCACACTCACACGCAGATATCCACAACTTGAAACATTCCCACAGAAACACACATCCTAGCAGTTTCAGAGTCTGTGTGTTTCTGCAGGAAGCTCCTCTTGGGAGAGAGCAGCCTGGGGAACACAGGCGGGCTGTACCTAGACATCACGGAGGGGGGCAAATTTCAAAAAGACTCACCCTGCACCCTCTAGGCAGGCCTCTTTGGCCATCTTCATGGTCAGGTCCCGCTGGAGGGGGAGGCACTTGGAGACTGTGATGTGGGTGCTGGAAACTGTTCCTCTGATTCCATTCCCCAAAGAGGCTGTGTGCAAGAATTGGGTCCCATGGGGGAAGGGAATACAGTCTGCTGAGATGTTAAGGGGTGTCCAGGTGATGAAATCATACCCAAGACCCCAGAGGCAGATGTCAGCTGAAAATGGCAGGGCCCTTGAGCTCACTGCCTCCCTTCATCCTGGGCCTCACAGGGGCTCCTGCTTCTCAACATGGCTCTCTGGGAAAGGCAGGAACCATGACAAAGGCAAGTTCAAGGTGAAGAAGAGTCTCACACTTCGAACTGACCTCACGGGTGCAGATGCAGTTCAGAGAGTGTCTCAGTGGCTGTCTGAGGCAATTGCAAGCCAAAAAAGTGTGTTTAGGAGCGCTGATGAAGAGTAGTATGGACTCCTTATGAAAACAATGGAAAATCAATGCTTGCCTTGGCAAATAAGAGGGCCTGTGCTAGAGTCCAAGCCATGTTCAAGGATTCCTGCCAGAGGACCCAAAAGCCTCCTGCAAACACCCCAATCCCCCACGGTGAGACCACTACTCACAACCTGGAGTGCAGCCAGCCTACCCGAAGGACTTTTTGCTCCCTGAAATCTCTGGCAGCCAAAAGATCTGTAGAGAGGGGCAGTCCCCCCTAGCAACAGATCAATAAAAGATCCCTTCCACAATGAAAAATAACATGCAGATGATTGTAACAGAGCCTAGATGACCAGGCAAATCCAGATACCACTGCCTTCTTCTCATCCTATAGGAATCATGCAGCCCTCTGATAAAAGTGGGAGAACAAGAGTTTCCTTGTTAGCAGATATGGTAAAAATGCTTTGCTATGTGTGGATTTTCTTTTCACAGTTAAAACTTTGTTTTGATTCAGAAGGATAAAGACACTTTTTCTGTGTCTCTATGAAGGAAAATTTCAAAATCCATTGAGGCCTATAGTGAAACACCAAATATCCCACAATTAAAAACTACAAAGAAGCTATGTCTGAAAATGCTTTCCAATGTGTGATTTTGTCTCACAGAGTTAAACATTTCTTGTGATTCAGTAGGCTGGAAACTCTCCTTTTCTGGAATCTAAGAGGGGATATTACAGAGCAAATTGAGGCCTATAGTAAGAAACTGACTATCCTGTGATAAAAACTAGAAACAAACTATCAGTGAAATGCTTTGTGTTGTCTGGATTTATCTCACAAAGCTAAATCTTTGTTTTAATTCAGCAGTTTAGAAACACTTTCACTGTAGAATCTACAAAGGGACATTTTGGAGCCCACGGATGCCTATAGAGAAAAATGGAATATCCCGTGATGAAAACTTGATGCAAGCTATCTGTCAAAACGCTTTGTGAGGCATGGAATTATCTCACAGAGCCAACTTTTTGTTTTGATTCAGCACGTTGGAAACATGTTTTTTTGTAGAATCTAAGATGAGACATTTTGAAGCACATCGAGGCCTGGAGTTTAAAACCAAATATCCTGCGATAAAAACTAGAAACAAGCTATCTGTGAAAATGCTTTGTGATCTGTGAAATAATGTCACATATTTAAACCTTTGTTTTAATTCAGCAATTTGGAAACACTCTTTTTGTAGATTCTACATAAAAACATTTCGGAGCCCATTGAGGCCTATAGTGAAAAACCAAATATCCCATGAAAGAAACTAGAAGCAAGCTATCTGTGAAAAAGCTTTGCAACGTGTGGATCCAACTCACAGAGTTAAAACTTTCCTCTGATTCGGCAGAATCAGAACACTCAATTCAATCAGAATTGAAACACTCCTTTTCTAGAATGTACGAAGAAACATTTCAGAGCCCATTGAAACCTATAGTGAAAACCCTAATATCTCATGATAAAAAACAGAAACAACCTATCTGTAAAAATGCTTTGGGATGTGTGGATTCATCTCAAAGAATTAAACATTGTTTTCATTCAGCAGGTTGAACACACTCTCTTTGTACAATCTACACAAGGACATTTCAAAGCCCATTGAAGCCTGTAGTGAAAAACTTAATGTCCTGTGATAAAAACTACAAAAAAACTGTGTCTGAAAGTTATATGCTATGTGTGATTTCATCTCACAGAGTTAAATCTTTCTTGTGATTCAGCAGGTTGATGAAAAACAGATTATCCCACGATAACATCCAGAAGCAAGCTATCAGTAAAAATTCTTTGTGATGTGTGGATTCATCTCAGAGAGTTAATCATTTTTTGATTAAGCAGATTGGAAACACTCTTTGTGTAGAATCTACAAAGGGACAGCTTGAAGCCCATTGAGGCCCATAGTGAAATACGAAATATCTCATGATAAAAGTAGAAACAAGCTGTCTTTGAAAATGCTTTGCAATGTGTGGGTGCATCTCACAGATTTAAACCTTTGCATTTATTCAGCAGGATGAAAACACTATTTTATAGAATACATGAAGGGATATTTCACACCCATTGATGCCTATAGTAAAAAACAGAATATTTCACAATAAAAACAATAAAAGTCTATATCTGAAAATGCTTTGTGATGTGTGGATTCATCTTTCAGAGTTAAATATTTATTTTGATTCAGCAGGTTGGAAACACTCTTTATGTAGAATCTATGAAGGGCCATTTCAGAGCCCATTGAGACCTACAGTGAAAGACCAAATATCCCACAGAAAAAAAAAAAAAAAGAAAAAAGCTATCTGTGAAAATGCTTTGCCATTGTGGATTCATGCCACAGAGTTAAACTGGTGTTTTAAATATGCAGGTTGGAAAAACTCTTTTTGCAGAATCTACAAAGAAATATTTCAAAGCCTATTGAAGCCTATAGTGAAAAACAAAATATGTGGAGAAAAAAACTACGAACAAGCTATCTGTGAAAATGCTTTCCAATGTGTGGATTCATATCATGGAGTTAAAGCTTTCTTTTGATTAAGCAGGTTGAAAGCAGTCTGTTTTTAGAACCTATGAGAAGACATTTTAGTGCCCATTGAGGCCTATGGTGAAAAACTGAATATCCTGTGATAAAAATGAGAAACAGGCTATCTGCGAAAATGCTTTGCAATGTGTAGATTTAACTCATAGATTTAAACCTTTGTTTTGATTTAGCTGGTTGGAAACACTCTTTTTGTGGAATCTACGAAGGGACAATATGGAGCCCCTGGAGAAGTATTTGGAAAAAGCGAGTATCCTACGATGAAAAGCAGAAACAAGATATCTGTGAAAATTTTTTGCAATGTGTGGATCTATCTCACAGAGTTAAACCTTTGTTTTGATTCAGCAGGCTGGAAACCCTCTTTTTGCAGATTGTACAAAAGGACATTACAAAGCTCATTGAGACCTATAGTGAAAAGTTAAATATCCCACAATGAAAACTAGAAACAAGCTATCTGTGAAAAGTTCTTGTGATTTGGGGAATCATCTCTCAGAGTTAAACATATGTTATTTTTTCAGCAGGTTGAAAGCACTATTTTTGTAGAATATATGAAGGGACATTTCGGAGCCCATGGACAAGTACATTAAAACACTGTATATCCTGCAATAAAAACTACAAACAAGCTATCTGTGAAAACGCTTTGCATTGTGTGGATTCCTTTCACAGAGTTAAACATTTGTATTGATTCAGCAGGTTGGAAACACTCTTTTTGTAGAATCTACTAAGGGCCATTTCAGAGTCCGTTCAGGACTACTACAGTGAAAGACCGAATATCCCATGATAAAAACTAGAAACAAGCTATCTGTGAAAATGCTTTGCAGTGTGTGGATTCATCTCAAAGAGTTAAACATCCGTTTTAATTTGGCAGATTTGAAAAACTCTTTTTGCACAATCTACGAAGAAACATTTCAAAGCCCATTGAAACCTACAGTGAAAAACAAAATACGAGGAGATATAAGCTAGAAACAAGCTATCTGTGAAAATCCTTTGGGATGTGTGTATTCATATCACAGAGTTAAGCCTTTGTTTTGATTAAGCAAGTTGGAAACAGTCAGTTTGTAGAATCTAGAAGAAGACATTTTGGTGCCCATTGAAGCCTATAGTGAAAAACGAAATATCCACGATAAAAACAAAACAAACAAACAAACAAATCCAAGCTATCTGTGAAAGTATTTTGCAATGTGTGGATTCACCTGAGTTAAATCTTTATTTTGATTCAGCACTTTGAAAACCCTCTTTTTGTACAATCTATGAGAGTCATTTGGGAGCCTATCGAGGTCTATAGTGAAAAACCAAGTATCTCATGATAAAAGCTAGAAACTAGCAATCTGTGAAAGTGCTTTGCAATGTATGGATATATCTCACAGATTTAAACCCTTGTTTTGATTCAGTAGGTTGGAAACACTCTTTTTGTAAAATCTACATAGGGACATTTCAGAGCACATGAAAGCCATTAGTGAAAAACTGAAAATCCCATGACAAAAACTAGTAAAAAGCTATCTGTGAAAATACTTTGTGATGTGTCAATTCATATCACAGAGTTAAACCTTGTTTTAATTCAGCAGGTTGAAACATTCTTTTTGTAGAAACTAAAATGGCACATTTCGGAGAACATTAAGGCCTAAAGTTAAAAACGTTATATCTCAAGATAAAAACTAGAAACAAGCTATATATGAGAACGCTTTGCAATGTCTGGATTCAAATCACAGAGTTAAACCTTTGTTTTTATTCAGCAGGTTGTAAATGCTCTCTTTGTAGAGTCTATGAAGGGACATTTCAGAGCCCTTCAAGAAGTATATGAAAAAACTGAACATCCTGCCATGAAAACTAGACACAAGCTATCTGTGAAAATTCCTTCCTATGTGTGGATTCCTCTCACAGTATAAAACCTTTTTTTTTATTCAGCAGGCCAAAATCACTCTTTTTGTAGAATGTACAAAGGGACATTTTGGAGCCCATTGTGCCCTGTCATGAAAAACTGAGTATTGTGTGATAAAAACTAGAAACAAGCCAACTGTGAAAATATTTTATGATTTATTATTTTATGTCACAGAGTTAAATCTTTGTTTTTATTCAGCAGATTGAAAACACTCTTTTTGTAGACTCTATGAGGGGACATTTCAGAGCCTATTGAGGTCTATAGTGAAAAATCAAATATCCCATGATAAAAACCAGAAACAAGCTATCTGTGAAAATGCTTTGAGATGTGTAGATTTATGGATTTATCTCACAGAATTAAATGTTTGATTTATCAGGTTGCAACAACTCTATTTGTAGAATCTACAAGGGGACATTTCAGAGACCATTGAGGCCTACACTGAAAAAACTGAATATCCCATGATAAAAATTAGAAACAAGCTATTGGTAAAAATGCTTTGCAATGTGTGGACTTATCTCACAAAGTTAAACCACTGTTTTGATTTAGCAGGTGAGAAACACTCTTTGTAGAATCTAAGGAGGCACATTTCAGAGCCCATTGAGGTCTAAAGTAAAAAATCAAATATCCCACAATAAAAACTAGAAACAAGCTATATTGGAAAATGATTTGTGATGTGTGGATTCATTTCAGAGAATTAAACATTTGCTTTGATTGAGCAGGATTGAAGCACTCTTTTTGTAGAATCTATGAAGGGACAATTTTGAAGCCCATTGAGGCCTATAGCCAAAAACCAATTATCCCGTGATAAAAACTAGAAACAAGCTATCAGTGAAAATGTTTTGTTATGTGTGGATTTATTGCACAGAGTTATACCTTTGTCTTGATTCAGTCAGTTGGATACAGTCTTTTCATAGAATCTATGAAGGGACATTTCAGAGCCCATGGAGGAATATATTGAAAAACTGAATATCTCACGACAAAAAGTAAAAACAAGCTACTCGTGAAAATGCTTTGTGATGTGTCGATTCATCTCACAGTGTTAAGCCTTTATTTTTATACATCATTTTGGAAACACTCTTTTAGTAGAATCTAAGAGGGGATAATTCTGAGCCCGTTGAGGCCTATTGTAAAATATCCAATATTCCGTGATCAAAACTAGAAACAAGCTATCTGTGAAAACGTTTGCAATGTGTGGATTCACCTCAAAGAGTTAAAGTATTGTTTCGATTCAGCAGGTTAGAAACATTCTTTTTGTAGAATCTACAAAGGGCATTTCTGAGCCCACTGAAGACTATAGTGAAAAACCGAATATTCTGTGATAAAAATTAGAAAAAATATCTGTGAAAATGCTTTGTGATATTTCAATTTATCTCACAACATTAAATATTTGTGTTGATTCAACAGGTTGGAAACTCCTTTTTTTTTTGTACAATTTATGAGGAGGCATTTCAAAGCCCATTGAGGCTTATAGTGAAAAACTGAATATTCTGAGATAAAAACTATATGAAGCTGTCTCTGAAAATGATTTATGATGGGTGATTTCATCTCACAGAATTAAACCATTCTTTTGATTCAGCAGGATGGAAACACTCTTTTGGTAAAATCTTCAATAGGACATTTCAGAGCAAATTGATGCCTACAGTGAAAAACCGAATATCCAGCAATAATGTGTAGATTCATCTTACAAAATTAAACCTTTATTTTGCTTCAGATGCTTGAAAACTCACTGTTTGTAGAATCTATAAGGGTATAATTTGAAGCCAATATCAGCCTGTAGTGAAAAACCAATATCCCACAATAAAAGTAAAAAAAGCTATTGGCCAGGTGCGGGGGCTCACGCCTGTAGTCCCAGCACTTTGGGAGGCTGAGGCGGGTGGATCACGAGGTCAGGAGATGGAGACTATCCTGGATAACACAGTGAAACCCCGTCTCTACTAAAAACACAAAAAATTAGCCTGGCCTTGTGGCGGGCGCCTGTAGTCCCAGCTACTTGGGAGGCTGAGGCAGGAGAATGGCATGAACCCGGGAAGCTGAGATCGCGCCACTGCACTCCAGCCTGGGCGACTGAGTGAGACTCCATCTAAAACAAAAAAAAAAACAAATAAAAAACAACAAAAAAAACAGGTCTGTGAAAATACTTTGTAATGTGTGGATTTATCTCAAAAAGTTAAACGTTGTTTTGATTCAGCAGGTTAAAACACTCTTTTCGTAGAATCTACAGAGGAATCTTTCAAAGCCCATTGAGGCCTATAGTGAAAAATCAATATCCCGAGATAAAAACTAGAAACAAGCTATCGGGGAAAATGCTTTGCAATGTGAAGATTTATCTCACAGAGGTAAACCTTTATTTACATACGGCAGGTTGGGGGACACTCTTTTTGTAGAATTGAGTTACAATTAAGACTCCATTGAAGCCTATAGTGAAAAACTCAATATCCAGTGATGAACCCTAGAAACAAGCTATCTGTGAAAATTCTTTGTGATGTGTTATTTCATATCAAAGAGTTAAACCTTTATTTTTGTTCAGAAAAATGAAAAACTTTTTTTTGTAGAATCTGCAAAGAGACATTTCTGAGCACATTGAGGCCAATAGTAAAAAATCAAATGTCTCATCATAAAAGCTAGAAACAAGATATTTGTGTGCTTTCCAATGTGCAGATTCATTTCACAGAGTTAAACCTTTGCTTTTATACAGGAAGTTGGGAACACACTTTTATAGAACCTATGAATGGACATTTCAGAGTTCATTGAGGCCTATACTGAAAAACTGAATATCCTGCGATAAAAACTAGGAAAAAACTATCTGTGAAAATGCTTTGTGAGGTTTGGAGTCATCTCACAGATTTAAACTGTTGTTTTGATTCAGCAGGTAGGAAACACTATTTTTGTAAAATCTACTATGAGACATTTCTGAGCCCGATGGGGCATACAGTGAAAAACTGAATATCATGCTTTAAAAACTAGAAACAAGTGATCTGAAAATATGCTTTGTGATGTGTGGATTTCTCTCAAAGAGTTACACGTTTGTTTTGATTCAGCAGTTTTAAAACACTCTTGTTATAGAATCTACAAAGGGACATTTCAGAGCGCTTGAGGCCTTTAGTGAAAAACCAAATATCCCACAATAAAAATTAGAAACAAGTCATGTGTGAAGATGCTTTGTGATGCATGGATTTATCTCACAGAGTTAAACCTTCCTTTTTATTCCATAGGTTGGAAACACCATTTTGTACAATCTACAAAGGGACATTTCAGAGCTCGTTGAGGCTAATATTGGAAAATCTAATATCCTGCAATAAATACTATAAAGAAGCTATTTCTGAAAATACTTTGTGATGTGTGATTTCATCTCAAAAATTGAACTTTTCTTTTGATTCATCAGTTTGGAAGCTTTTTTTTGTAGAATCTCCAAGGGGAGATTTCATAACCCATTGAAGGATACAATGAAAAATCAAATATCTCTTGATAAAAACTCAAAGCAACTTATCTGTAAAAATGCTTTGCAATGTGCAGGTTCATCTTACAAAGTTAAACCTGTGTTTTGCTTCAGCAGGTTGGAAACTCTTTGGTTGTACAATCTACAAGGCAACAATTCACAGTCCATTGAGGCATTTAGTGAAAAGCCAATAACCCATGGTAAAAATTAGAAACAAGCTATGGGTGAAAATGCTTTGTGATGTGTGGGTTCACCTCACAAAGTTAAAACTTTGTTTTGATTCAACAGGTTGGAAACACTCTTTTTGTAGAATCTACAAAGGGACATTTCAGAGCCCACTGATGCTTATAGTGAAAAACTAAATACCCCAGGATAAAAACTAGAAACAGGATATCTGTGGAAAAGCTTTGCATATCATCTCACAGAATTGAACATTTGTTTTGATTCAGCAGGTTGGAAATATTCTTTTTGTAGAATCTACAAAGGGAAATTTTGGAGCAAATTGAGGCCTATAGCATGAAATCGAATATTCCGCAATAAAAACTAAAGAAAATCTATCTATAAAAATGCTTTGTGATGTGTGGGTTCATCTCACAAAGTTAAATCTTTGTTTTCATTCAGCATGTTGGAAAGACCTTTTTGTAGAACCTATGAGGGGACATTTCATAGCCCACGGAGGCCTACAGTGAAAAATTGAATATTATATGATAGAAACTATGGAAGCTATATGTGAAAATGCTTTGCAATTTGCGGTTTCATCACATACAGTTTAAACTTTCTTTTGATTCAGCTAAGTTGGAAACATTCTTTTTGTAGAAGGTATGAAAGGACATTTCGGAGCCCATTGAGGCCTATAGTGAAAAGCCGAATAATTCATGATAAAAACTAGAAGCAAGCTATCTGTGAAATAGCTTTGCAATGTGGGGATTTATTTCACAGAGTTAAACTTTTGTTTCTACACAATAGGTTCAAAACTCTCTTTTAGTAGAAGCTAAGAGGGGACAATTTAGAGCACTTTGAGGCTTATAGTGAAAAATTCAAAGTTTTGTGATCAAAAACTAGATACAAACTATCTGTAAAAACATTTGGTGATGTGAAAATTCATCTCACAGTGTTAAACATTTGTTTTGATTCAGTACATTGGCAAAAATTTTTGTAGACTGTACAAAGTGACATTTTGGAGCCCATTGAGACCAATATTGAAAAAATGAACATCCTGCCATAAAACTAGAAAAGTTCTTGGTGAAAATGCTTTCTGATGTGTGAATTCATCTTACAGATGTAAACCTTTGTTTTCATTCAGCCGGTTGGAAATACGCTTTTTATAGCGTTCAGGAGGGGATATTTCAGAGCCCATTGAAGCCTCTAGTTGAATACTGAATATTCCTAGTGACATATGGTGTTGAGCATCTTTTCAGAGGTCTAAGAAATGTGCGAGGTATGGTGGCACACGCTTGTGGTCGCAGCTACTCAGGAAGCTGAGGTGGGAGGATTACTTGAGCCCTGGAGGTTGGGGCTGCATTGAGCCATGATTGCACCACTGCACTCCAGCCTGAGTGACAGAGCTAAAACCTGTCTCAAAAAGATAAATAAGACCTGGTGCGATGGCTCATGCCAGTAATCCAAGCACTTTGGGAGGGAAAGGTGGGTGGATCACGAGGTCAGCAGATTAAGACTATCCTGGCTAACACGGTGAAACCCCGTCTCTACTAAAAATACAAAAAATTAGCCGGGCATGGTGGCTGGTGCCTGTAATTCCAGCTACTCGGGAAGCTGAGGCAGCAGAATCGCTTGAACCTGGGAGGCAGAGGTTGCAGTAAGCCAAGATCGTGCTGTTGCACTCCAGCCTGGGCAACAGAGTGAGACTCCATCTCAAAAAATAAATTAAAAAATAATAATTAACAAATAAATAATTGACTTAATTTTTAGAACAGTTGTAGGTGTACAGAAAAATAGAGCAGAAGGCATATTGAGCTCTAATATCTGCCTCACACCACAGTACATACACTTTCTCTATTATCATCTTGTTAGTGTGGTACATTTGTTATGCTTGATGAGCCAATATTGATATTATTAAGTTCCTGGCTTATATTAAGATTCACTCTTTGTGTTCTACCATTTATGGGCTTTGACAAATACTTAAGCACACATATCCACCATTATAAGGTCACACAGAAAAGTTTCACTGCCCTAAAAATCTTCTGTGTTCCACCTATTCATCCTTCCCTCTGCTCAAGCCCCTGGCAACAACTGAACTTTTTATAACACCATCTGCCTAGTTTTGCCTTTTCTAGTATTCCATATAATTGGAACTCTACACTATGTGGCCTTCTTGCATTGGCTTCTTTCACTTAGAAATACGTGTTTAAGATTCCTCCATGTCTTGTCATGCCTTGGTAGTTCACTTCTTTTTATTCCTGAAGAATATTCCATTGTATGAATGTTTCACAGTTAGTTTATTCATTTCCCTATTGTAGGATATCTTGGTTACTTCCAATCTTTGTTGGTTATGTATAAGCTGCTGTAAACATTCATGTGCAGAATTTGAGTGGACATGAGTTTTCAAGTCATTTGAGTATATACCAAAGAATGCAATTGCCAGATCATATGGTAAGCGTATGTTTAGTTTTGCAGGAATTTGCAAAACTGCCTTCCACAGTGGCTTTACCATTTTGCATTCCCAGCAGCAATCAATGAGATTTCCTTTTGCTCCATATCCTCATCAGCATTTGGTGGTGTCAGCGTTTGGATTTGAGCCAGTCTAATGGATGTGTAGTGGTATCTCATCGTTGTTTTAATTTGAACTCCCTAGTGACATATGGTGTTGAGCATCTTTTCAGATGCTTATTTTTGCTATCTATATAGCAAAGGGCAGATACAGATGGTGAACTGCAGGGAAAGAGCTTGCTATGATGATAGGAAGCTGCAGGCAGAGATGATCTCAGGGTTAACTGGGCATCGACTGTGCCTTCTCCTGTCACATAAAATGTGATCTACCTGAGTTTTGACTGGAAAAACAGAATATCTGGCTGTTCATAAATATTTCTTGAGGCTTGAGGTTTATGTATGTTATGATCAAAAGGTGATATCACCCCGATATATAAGCACGTTGGGGTACAACAGGGAATGAATGTCAGAGGTGTTGAGAGTCAACATTGAACGGATGGTGTCACTGGCTGCCCATATATTTCTCATTATGGACTTTAACTTTTCATTTGCCACATGAAAGGCCACTGAGATAGGCTAAATCACATTTTTCTCTTGGGGATCTCTGTTACTGAGAAATTTTTGCATTCTGGGCTACACTGGGTTCATAATCTGACTATATATATAATGTGTGTATGTTTGTTCCTTCCCTAAAATGCTCAGTTAAGCTGCAGTTCTAGAGACAAATACTACTAGGTTTCCATTTTAGAGAGTTGAAGATCTGAGGTCTGGAGAAGTTAGTGTTAGAAAGTTATATTTAACAGGTGGCAAGACCATGTGGCCAGGTCAGGTAAGCTGCCTTCAGATTTTACTCTTGAACTTCTACTGGATAATGTCTTTTTGTTATAGAAAAGAAAAGAGTGAACTTAGATTTTTTTTTCAAAATCATGGGCTGTAAGAGTTCTTTCAAGAAATGATGAAAAGCAATAATTGTCTCATTTTACATTACCTATAATTATTGCTCACCAGAAATTGATTATTGATGCAGCAACCTTTTACATTCCTCTCTGCTTTACTATGCATGAAGGGGCTTCACTGTAAATAAGAGGTCCAAGATTCAGAAATATCTTTAACTTGCAATGCTTAGTCTCGTGTATCCATCTGAAAAATATTTTGCTCATTAGCCATATGGACTCATATGGCAAACTACAGCCAGAGACACAAAATGTGGAAAGAGGAAAGGGCTATCAGAAGTCCCGTGTCTCCTTACATTTTGTATTTCTATTCATATGCATCTAGAATCATAAGGAATTTGAGCAAATGGGAAATGCAAAGTCCTAATCAAAGCATACCCACATTTCAGTTATCTGCATTATTGCACATTTAAATTTATAATGCATACATAGGATACAATTCAACAGGTATAAAAATGTTAAGTAACCTTTTCTCTCACGCACCCCAGTCACTCAGTAGCTCACTTTAGGGTCAACATGTTAATTTTGTTGTGCATACTTTCATAAATTTTCTGTCTCTCTCTCTCTCTATATATATATATTTATATATATATATATATTTATATATATATTTATATATATATTTATACATATATTTATATATATATATATTTATATATATATATTTTTATATATATATATTTATATATATATATATTTTTATATATATATATATATATTTTTTTTTTTTTTTTTTTTTTTTGAGGTGGAGGGTTGGCCTGTCACCCAGGCTGGAGTGCAATGGTGAGATCTCATCTCACTGCAACATCTGCCTCCTATGTTCAAGCAATTCAACTGCCTGAGTAGCTAAGATTGCAGGTGTGTGCCACCACACCCGGCTAATTTTTTGTGTGTGTTTTTAGTGGAGACGGGGTTTCACCATGTTGGCCAGGCTGGTCTCAAACTCCTGACCTCATGATCCGCCCGCCTCGGCCTCCCAAAGTTTTGGGATTACCAGCGTGAACTACCACACCTGGCCATTTTTTTCTCTTTAAAATAAATTGTATTGTGTATATTTAAGGTACTCATATGATGTTATAGAATACATATACATAGTAAAAAGTTTACTATAGTAAAGCAAATTACCATATCTATCACAGATACCCACATTTTTTGGTGTGACAAGGGAAGGTAAAATCTTATTTAGCATGAATCCCATATACGGTACGATTTTATTACCTATAGTCCTCATGTTGTATATAGATGTATAGGATTGTTCATCCTACATATCTGCTACTGTGTATCTCTGACCCACATGTCCTTATTTCCTCCCTTCCTCTCTACCTGATAACCACTGTGTTGTTCTCTATTTTTTTTTTAGGCAGAGTCTCACTCTGTTACCTCCCAAAACTGCTGAGATTATAGGCGTGAGCCACCGCACTTGGCTGCTTTCACCATTTCAGACTGAACTTGGGGAAGAACCTCAGGAAAAACATGACTTTAACATTTTGATGAATGGAGAAATCTCTTTCCATTCACCTTCCTTTCCTCTATTTCATTCTTTTTGTGAAATACACAAACAAACATATGGATACATCAGTTATTAAATAAACATCTGTGTGATACTTATCCAGGTGAAGAAATAGAGCACTATCACCACCGAGAAGTCCTCTGTATGCCCCTAACTGATCCTAAAGTCTTCCTTCCCTTATTAGTAACAGATATAACAGATACCCACATTACCTGTGGATATGTGCGTTTCTCTCCTTGGTTCTCTTTATAATTTTATTATGTATTTTTTTCTTTCTTCTTCTTCTTCTTTTTTTTTTTTTAAGAGATGGAGCCTTGCTCTGTCACCCAGGCTGGAGTGTAGTGGCATGATCTTGACTCATTGCAACCTCCAACTCCCGGATTCAAGTGATTCTCATGCCTCAACCTCCCAAATAGCTGGGATTACAGGCATGGGCTATGTGCCACCACGCCCGGCTAATTTTTGTATTTTTAGTAGAGACGGGGTTTTAAATGTTGGTCAGGCTAGTCTCGAACTCCTGACCTCAGTGCCTGGCCTTATTATTCATTTTTTAAAAGCCTAAAGTAAAGTCTGGTTTTGCCTGGTTTTTCTCTTACATAATTGGAGTAAAAGTCTGTATCCTGCTGCATCTGGCTCCTTTTACTCAATGTTAAGTATTTAATATTCACACTTAGCATTGTTTCTGCATTCTACTAAAATAGTACACCAGCCAGGCACGATGGCTCACGTCTATAATCTCAGCACTTTGGGAGGCTGAAGCAGGCAGATCACTTGAGTTCAGGAGTTCCAGACCACCGTAACCAACATGGTGAAACCCCATCTCTACTAAAACTACAAAAATTAGGCCATGCAGTGGCTAATGCCTGTCATCTCAGCACTTTGAGAGGCAAAGGCAGGCAGATCATGAGGTCCGGAGATCGAGACCATCCTGGCGAAAACGGTGAAACCAAATCTCTACTAAAAATACAAAAAATTAGTTGGGTGTGATGGCACGTGCCTGTAGTCCCAGCTACTCGGGAGGCTGAGGCTGAAGAATCACTTGAATCTGGGAGGTGGAGGTTGCACTGAGCCGAGTTTGCACCACTGCACTCCAGCCTGGGCAACGGAACTAGACTCTGTTAAAAAAAAAATGGCTGGGTGTGGTTGTGGGTGCTTGTAATCCCAATTACTCGGGAGGCTGAGGCAGGAGAATCAGTTGAACTTGGGGAGTGGTGGAGGTTGCAGTGAGCCAAGATTGCACCCTGTACTCCAACCTGGACAACAGAGTGAGACTCAGTCTCAAAAAAAAAAAAAAAAAAGGCCGGGCGTGGTGGCTCCCACCTGTAATCCCAGCACTTTGGGAGGCTGAGACAGGTGGATTACCTCAGGTCAGGAGTTTGAGACCAGCCTTACCAACAAGGTGAAACCCTGTCTCTACCAATAATACAAAAATTTGCTGGTAGTGGCGGCACCCATCAGTAAGACCAGCTACTCAGGAGGCTGAGACAGGAGAATTGCTTGAACCTGGGAGGCAGAGATTGCAGTGAGCTGAGATCGCGCCCTGCACTCCAACCTGGGAACCTGAGCAAGACTCCATCTCAAAAAAAAAATAAAAATAAAAATACAGTACACCAGTGTGTATCCCTTCATTGTTGGTGGACATGTGGGTTGTGTTCATTTTTGTCAGTTACAAATGATGCTGTTGTGACATTTGTGTATTTCTATTTGGTTACCATTAGTGTGTATAGTGTGTATAGTGAACAGTATAAAACAGGAGGTGAAACCATAGGTTACAGGGTAAACATATCTTCCATTTTACTAACTATTATTGGTTTCATCCCAATGTTAACACACCAACTGACAGTCTTACAATGTCTGATAATTCCCGAATCTTCGCATTCTTGTTGATACTTAATTTTGTCAAAATTTTAATTTGAGTCTTTTGGTGGGTATGTGACAATGATTGTGATATTAATTTACTGGGCCTTTTCTTCTCTAACTAGCCCTGTCAAGATATATGTTTGGTGTGGCAGGGGTAGGAGCTCCTAGAGGTAGCATGGGCTCTGGAATCCTTAATCATTCTATGTGAAAAAGTTGGTAGGGCAGTGATTTTTTTTTTTTTTGAGACAGAGTTTTGCTCTTGTTGCCCAGGCTGGAGTGCAATGGCTCGATCTCAGCTCATTGCAACCTCCACCTCCCAGGTTCAAGTGATTCTCCTGCCTCAGCCTCCCAAGTAGCTGGGATTAGAGGTATGTGCCACACAACAAGCCACGTTTTTGTATTTAGTAGAGATGGGTTTTCACCATGTTTGTCAGATTGGTCTTGAACTCCTGACGTCAAATGATCCACCCGCCTCAGCCTCCCAAAGTGCTCAGATTACAGGCATGCACCACTGCCCCTGGCCTGTTTTCATTTTATTGATTGGCTGATTCATTCAGACACATAATTATCAAGTCAAATCTCACTATTTCCTTACCATTTATCTTCAGTTTAGCTTAGAAAATCTATTCCTATTTTAAAACATATACAATTATTCCAGTGTGGTGGCATATGCCTGTAATCCCAGCTAGTTGGGAGGCTGAGGCAGGAGTATCACTTGAACCTGGGAAACTGAGGTTACAGTCAGTCAAAATCACCCCACTACACTCCAGCCTGGATGACAGAGTGAGACTCTATCTCAAAAAACAAAACAAAACAAAACAAGAAGGTTTTCTCCAGATCATTTTTACATTTAATTATTCAGTCTGTTGTGACTATACCTTAATGTAAAGAATTCAGTAAATATAACTTCAATCCTACACACTGTTAGTCAATGTACCTAACACAATTTATTGAATAAATCAGTCCATTCCCAACATCATTCTACTAAAAATGCAAAAAACATTAGCCAGGCAGGTGGCGGGCCCATTGTAGTCCCAGCTACTCAGGAGGCTGAGGCAGGAGAATGGTGTGAACCCAGGAGGTGGAGCTTGCAGTGAGCCTAGATCACACCACTGCACTCCAGCCTGGGCAACAGAGCAAGACTCCGTCTCAAAAAAATAAAAAGTAATTACATTTCCCAACGTAAATGAATAGAGTCATTAAGGAAAATAACATGGAGATTCATCAGAAATTAAAAACAGAATTACTGTATGTTCCAGCAATCCCACCTGTGGGTGTATAGCTAAAGGAATTGAAATCAGCATATTGAAGAGATAACTGCACTACCATATTCACTGCAGCATTATCCATAATAGCTAAGATATGAAAGCAACCTAGGGGGCCAGCCTTGGATGAATGGATAAAGAAAATGTGATATATATATATACATACACACACACACACACACACACACACACACACACACATAAAGGAATACTATTCACTCTTTATTTTATTTATTTTATTTTATTTTGAGACGTAGTAGTTTTACTCTTGTTGCCCAGGCTGGAGTGCAATGGCATGATCATGGCTCACCGCAACCTCCACCTCCCGGGTTCAAGCGATTCTCCTACCTCATCCTCCCCGGTAGCTGGGATTACAGGCATACACCACCTAGCCTGGCTAATTTTGTATTTTTAGTAGAGACGGCATTTCTCCATGTTGGTCAGGCTGGTCTCGAACTCCCGACCTCAGGTGATCCACCCGCCTCAGCCTCCCAAAGTGCTAGGATTACAGGCATGAGCCACCATGCTCGATCTTACTATTTACTCTTTTTTTTTCCTTTGAGATGGAGTTTCTGTCTTTTTGCCCAGGCTGCAGTGCAATGGTGCAATCTCAGCTCACTGCAACCTCCGCCTCCTGGGTTCAAACAATTCTCCTGTCTCAGCCTCCCAAGTAGATGAGATTACAGGTGCCCACCACCACGCCCAACTAATTTTTGTATTTTTAGTAAAGAGGGGGTTTCACAATGTTGCTCAGGCTTGTCTTGAACTTCTGAGCCTGAGTGATCCACCCGTCTCAGCCTCCAAAAGTGCTGGAATTATAGGTGTGAGCCACAGCACCCAGCCAAAAACACAGATTAGTGTATTAATAGTCTGAAGCACTGTAAAATACTGCTGAGAATACAGATCACTAATATCATCATCATAGAGCACAAAATAGGTTCTGGTATTATTAAGAATATCATAGCTCTGACTAAAACATACATGGAAAACACATTCTATTAGAAATTAAATTATACTAATACTATTGGCAATCACTTTTATAGCTGTCACTGTAAACTCAAAGACAAGAAATAAATTCATCACCAGAAAACATAAAACAAGTACTTAGCCTTACTGCTGAGAAGCCTGTAGTTGCCTTTTACTGAACGACACCTCAGTTCTTGGGATAAAGTTTGAAACAGCAACTGGAAGGACAGCTTTAACTTTAAAATGGTTTTACTTTTAGAGTTGTCATGTTATAAAAGCTATTCTCACATAGCTAAGATGTTGGAAAGAGACCAGGTTTTGTGAAGGTTTTTCATCAGGTGTTTCATGTTGTCCTCACTGCATCCTCAAACAATGGTAAATGCTTCGTAAGCCACTGTAATGCTAACTCAGCTGATAAATTAATACAATTCTGTTTCTTTAGGCCGGGCGCAGTGGTTCACACCTGTAATCCCAGCATTTTGGGAGGCCGAGGCAGGCGGATCACAAGGTCAGGAGATTGAGACCATCGTGGCTAACACGGTGAAAACCCGTCTCTACTAAAAATCCAAAACATTAGCTGGGTGTGATGACACGCGTCTATAATCACAGCTACTTGGGAGGCTGAGGCAGGAGAATCCCTTGAGCCCGGGAGGCGGAGCTTGCAGTGAGCTGAGATTGCGCGACTGCACTCCAGCCTGGGTGACAGAGAGAGACTCCGTCTCAAAATAATAATAATAATAATGAATAAATAAATAAAATAAAAAATAAAAAGATGGAAGAAACTCAGACTTTCAAAAATTAGGGATCCCATTTTTACCTAAGATATTGGCTTTACTCTTAGGTTCCCTTGATTGACTTAGCCAATAATTTTTTTTCTACCTAAGTACACAAGAAAAATGAAATGAAGGGGTAGAGCTCAAGAATCCCTGTGCATTTCTAAAAGCCAAATTTTACAACCACTGCAATATTACCATTTACTAATATTTTCTTTCTGTCTCAGCCAAAGGTAAGAGGTCTCTAACTGGGACAGGCATGGTGGCTCATGTCTGTAATCCCAGCAATTCGGGAGGCCTAGCTGGGTAGATCACTTGAGGTTAGGAGTTCAAGATGAGCCTGGCCAACATGGTGAAACCGCATCTCAACTAAAAATACAAAAATTAGCTGGGTATGGTGGTGGGCACCTGTAATCCCAGCTCCTCAGGAGGCTGAGGCAGGAGAATTTCTTGAACCCAGGAGGCAGAGGTTGCAGTGAGCCTAGATCACACCCCTCTACTCCAGCCTGGGTGACAGAGCAAGACTCCATCTCAAAAAAAATAAATAAATAAATAAATAAAGAGAGAGAGAGAGGCCTCCAGCTGGATCCAAGTCAGTTAATTACCAGATCAAATCTGATCCTGGACCTAGTTCAGTTTCTGTCCTGACTTTCAAACTGTTTGGATCACAGATTTGTTCAGAGAAACTCAGAGAATTCCAAACACAAATCCATGGAGTTCTGAAATCTGAGAGAACTTACCCATGATCCCCAGCCACTTTGAGAGATCAAGGGACAAAAGTAGGTCCTTGCAGGTACCTTGCTTGTTCACTCAGCACTCCTGGGGATTGTTAAGGCTCTACTTCAGATCCCACTTCTGACACCATCTGTTAAAAGAAAAACTTCACCTGAATTAAATTTAAAGAAGTTCAATTCAGCAATCAACAATTCATGAATAGGGCAGTCCCTGGAATCACAGCAGATTCAGAGAGATTTCAGCACAGCCACATGGTGAAAGATTTATAGACATAAAAAGGGAAATGAGGTACAGAAATTGGAGGTGAGGTATAGAAACAACTGAATTGGTTACAGCTTAGCATTTGCCTTAGTTGAACACAGTTTGAACACTCAGTAGTGTAAGAGTGGTTGAAGTATGGCTGCTGGGATTGGCCAACACTCAGCTATTGTTACAGGTGCATACTCCTAAGTTAGGTTTTTCAATCTTGCCTACCTATTAAGTTAGGTTGCAGTTTGTCCACAAAGATTCAAATATAGAAGTATGGAGTCCTTCTCAGGCCATATTTAGTGTGTTTTAACACTCTAAAATGTATAAAATTAACCTGAACCCCAACCACCTTGGGAACATTTTCTCAGGGTCTCCTGAGGAGGGCTGTGTCACAGGCCATGGTCACTCATATTTTGCTCAGAATAAATCTCTTCAAATATTTTACTGAGTTTGACTCTTTTACTCAACACTGTCCAGTAACAAAAGAGAACAAACTATCAAGACACACAGCAACAGACAAATTTCAAAAACTTTATACTGAGTGAAAGAAGCTAGACCCAAAGATTACATGTGCTATGGTTTCATTTATATGAAGTTCAAGAACTGGCAGAACTAACTTATGGTGATAGAAACCAAATCATCAGTTGCCTTATGTTGCAGCAATACTGACTGGAAAGGGGCATGAGAGAAGTTTATGAGGTGAAAGAAATGTTTTGTGTTCAGATTAAGATGTGTGTCACATGGGTTTATACCTTTAATATGTGTATATTTCACTCTATACATTTAATTCCTCATAAAATAAAATAAAATAAAACTGAAGAGAAGTAAATAAGAGTACAATGTCTTTATGTGACTCCAAAGAGAAGGTTTGCCTCCAAAAGAGAAGCCCGAGAGGTTTGTTTTGAGCTATAACAAAAATAAGGTTTCTGAAGAAAGAAGAGATATCAGACAAAAAGTGGTTTCTCTAGGAATTAAAAAAGAAGCAGAAATAGATAAAGAAAAATTGTTCTTGTGAATTTAGTGCATAGCAAAGTATTGTTGTTTTTAGTGCCGAGTCTCTTTTCCCCTAAAACCTGGACATGCTGTATTCTTTAAGCCAATTTCAAGAAATAAGTGAAAAATCTCATAGGAGGAAAGAAAGGAAAATCGCTCTTTGAATATACACTAAAACCTGAATGTACAAATGGTACCTATCAGTGTACTAGGGAAAATGCACAATACACTTAAGCTGTTTAACTTGAATAGAATATAATAAAAGAGCAATTTAAAAGCTGTGGATAGTGTATAGATAAACCAAAAGGGATAATTCTGTATGTACCCTGCAATTGTTACCTTCTCTAGGCCTGAAGGGGTGAAGGGCAGTATTAGTTATCAAAACTTGGAGACAAAAAGGCCATGTGGAGATAACCACTTTCAAGACAGTGATCCAGGACATTGGTGAGAGATAAAAGCATATGGCTTAGAGAAGGAAGTTCTAGAAAGAAGATTATTAGTGGAGACAACACAAGCCAGTGGGGAAGGAAAATGGTGGAAACAAAGAGCAGGGAAGAGGACAATAGTATGTATGATGAGTCCAATCAGGCACTGGGGACAGGGAAGTGGGTATAATTTTGTTTTATTTAACAACAAAATAGACAGAGAAATGAAAGGCAATGAAGTGCACATGAATAAGCTGGTTTCTACTGTGTGCAACTAGGGTTCAGTCATGCTGGAGACTGTAAAAGATGTCGAACACACCTTTATAATTGGCCACCTGAGGAATGAAGGAGCCGTGTACATAGTAATTTCCTGATTTTATCTATGGACTAAAGGTTGCATTAATAGCAAAACCCACAGTTAATTTTGCACCATCCTAATACCTTGAGCCATTAACTTCCTGGCATTTCTTGTCTGCTAGGAAGAATACTCAGGGAATGGCCTCAGGCTGAGAGATGTTGAGATAGAAAGCTCTTTAGAATATATGAGAACCATCAACTGAAGTTGCAGGTGATTTCCAGAGCAGCCTTTAGAGATAGGAGTGAAGAATGCATAGCTTCTGTTACAGGTAGTAATCGAGATACACAAACTCTTCTGTGGACTTCTAAGGTGTGGGAGTTGATAACTTCTGAAAGCAAAGAAAAATGGCATAAAAATAAAACAGAATGTGATAAGGAATGACTAGAGGATAGGCTGTAGGAAAGAAGGAGAAAGAGGAAAGGTCAGTTTAGGTTCAGTTATTTAAGAAAATCTCTTTGAGGAGTAGGAATTTGAAACCAGTTCTGCAGAAACCTGGGGGTAGAATATTCCAAACAGAGTAAAATAGAAGAACAAAGACTCAGAGGCAGGCTCAATCTTGGCAATAGGCTCAACAATCAGACCAAAAAAAAAGCAGAATAATGAGGGGATAGAGTGATAGGAGATGAAATGGGAGAGGGGTTCAGATTACATGAATTTTATAGGACTTGGTGATTTAGATTTTATTCTAGTATGTTGAGAATCCACAGATCATTTTAAGCAAAAAAAAATGGCATGATCTCATTTATATTTTAATAGTCAGTTGGGCTTCTCTGTATAATATGGATTTTTATGGGGCAAGAAGGAAGGGAGTTGTTACAGGTACTTGAGAGGAAAGGTGATGTTTGCTTGACTAGGTCAGTAGCAATAGAGTTGGGAAAATGCAAGCAGATCAGACTCACTTTTTGATCTTTAGTTCACTTAAAGTGTTGACACATTGGAGCATAAAAGATAAATATTTTACTTTTCATCCCTAAAAGGCAGAAAAATATAGGGGCAAAAAATGGAATGTTGGAAGTTTAGGAAATGTGGTTTTTGACTTGACCTTAAACTGTTCCAGCTGTATATGATCTTAGGGCGATCACACAGCTGTTTTGGCTGCAGCTTCTTCATTTCTGAAATGGCATTAATAATAACATTCCTATAGCTGAGGTGTTAAAGATTAAAACTGTAGAGGTAAAGCAGTCTTGAAAATTTCAATGTAATACCTAAATTTAAGGTATTATAGCGATGCCCTAAGTTGCTTTTAAAACATGCTATGTTATTACATGCTACTCTTTGATAGCCTTTTATTTATGATAATTAATGTAATTAGTGTGCTAATTTTCTACAGTTGCATTCTGGGGCAATCATGCAACAGTTGTAATTTTAAAAGTTGGGCAAATAAGTAAATGTCAATCTGTAATAAAATCCAAATGAGTCTGTGATGAATGTTGATGGTGACTGGTAATTTACCTGATAAAATATTGTAACTGCCCAGTTACCTTGGAATAGCTGATTTCTCAAAGTAATTACCATGTTCTGCATAGTGAAGTGTCATCAGAGAAAATTTTAACACACAGTGATCGTTTTTAACTTGGTGATTTAAATATCATATTGATTAATGAAATAGTAGTATTTTAATTCTGACTGTTAAGTGAAAAGAGAGAGAGACGTTTATCACATACTATAGAGTGCACTGTTGTGTAATAATCACTCATTTCTTACCTGTTTTTAACTACCATTTAAAAAATATCATTCCTTCTAATAAAGATAAAATCTTATTGGATTAAAAGTTAAAAAGCAATTGGACCCAGTCTCCTACCTAGAACCTTATTGCTGTTAAGTCTAGGACATCTTTAAGAAGCCATCTTTACCTTGCTGTTTTCTGAGAGTCATATGTTATGATTTCATTAGATTTGCAAACAAACAACAGAAGCATACTACTGGTATGGTATTCTAACATTTGCCAGGATATTTTTCATCAAATTGTTAACTTTTGGTTAACTGTGTGTTTCTTTGTTTGCTTTGCTTTCCAAGAATATGTTTCACAGATACTATTAGTTCAAGAAAGCTGGGGAAAAGAAAAAAAAATAAAGGTTAAGATCCTGACTAGAGAATGAATTAGAGAAAGCCAAAGTAATTTCCTGGAATAGATATGTGGGAGGTTGGGTCAAATTTAAAGGTTCAGAAGTAGACTTCGAGATAAGCATTTTTCTGGATATTTGGAATTATCTCCTAAAGATATTATTCTTTGACATATGACCAAAAACATACAGCCAAAGATCAATTTGGTTTCGGCAAATCCAGTCCAAGAAAATAAGTTATCTAAAGGCTCAGAAGTGTTTTGTCCTAGTTCTTTCTCAGGCTTCTTAATCAATAATCACAACTCTGTACCAATTATTGGTAAGTAATATATATAGATTATCAGAGACTGCAGTTTCTGCCAGTGTGTCTGAATTAACCCTTTCAGTATTTTGTGAACTTCAGTTGTAAAATATTAGCAGAATATAAAATAATTTTAAATTTTTAAAATTTTAAAGTAGGGAAACATTTGAGCAAATACTTCACCAAAGAAGATATGCAAATGGTCAGTAAGCATATGAAATGATCAACATTATTATTCACTAGAAAAATGTAAATTAAATCCACAATGAGATGCCCCTATACATATAACTAAATTGGCTAAAATTTAAAAATTATAGACAACTGAAAGTATCAAGTGATAGTGAGGATGTGAACCACAAAACTCTCAGTTTGTTAGTGGGGATGCAAAATGATACAGCAACTTTGGAAAACAGTTTGACAGTTTCTTATCATTTTAAATACTCTCTTACATACAACTCAGAAAGTCCTCTCTTAAGAATTTACCCCCAAAAAAGGGAGCAAGGGAAGTTCATGTAAATCCCTATATGCAAATTATTCACAATACCTTAAACCTAGAAACAACTCAAATGTACATCAATCAGCTAGTGATAAACAAAGTTTTCTATATAGAGATAGTAGGTTAATATTAGCAATTTAAAAAGAAGAAACTTAAAATCCATGAAAGAACATAATTTTGCAAAAGACATGAAAGGCAATACATTGTTTTATTCCATTTATGTGATATTCTGGGAAAGGCAAAAGTATAGAGACAAATCAGATCAGTGGTTGCCAGGGTATATAAGTAGGGGTTGGAGACTTAATACAAAGGAAATTGAGGGAATTTATGGGGGTGATGGGAGTTTTCTGTATATTGATTGCAGTGGTAGTTATATGATTATATACATTAATCAATAATCATCAAACTGTATATCTAAGAAGGGTAAATTCTAATGAATGTAATTTATCAATAATAATCAAACTGGATGTCTAAGAAGAGTAAATTCTAATGAATGTAAATTATACATCAATACATGTGATTTTTTAAAATTTATTTAAGGATATATGAACAAATTTTGGCAACAATTTGAAAATTTAGAAAAAAATTGACAAATTCTAAGAAAAATACTACTTACTGAAGCAGACACTGCAAAAAAATATGAGTAATCTGATTTACATTAATGAAATTAAATATTTAACATATTCAATTTTGGAATAGTCCATGCCAGGATTTGCCTGCAAATTCTTCTAAAGATTTAATAATGGAATAGTAATTCTTTTATAACACTTAGAGTTCTATAACATTTAGTTTCTGTAATTGCGGAAACCCTTTCCAACACATTTTATGATGGCCACATTATCTTGATAAGAAATATTACAGGGCAGTACATGAAAGAAAAACACAATCCAGGCTTCATATACAAATTGAAGTAAAAATCTTATGCAAATATTTTTTAAACAAATTCAGTAGCATATTTTAAAAGTTTAATGTAGACTAACAAACTTCCTTTAATTCCAGAAATGTAAGGATGTTTTAACATTAAAAAATCAATGCGTAAACTTTTTTGATTTTGATAATTATACTTTGGTTATAGGGAGATGTCCTTTTTTTAGAAGGTCAAATTGATTCATTTGGGGGTATGTATTAGTCCGTTTTCATGCTGCTGATAGCGATAAACCCAAGACTGGGCAATTTACAAAATAAAAGAGGTTTAATAGACTCACAGTTCCATGTGGCTGGGGAAGCCTCACAATCATGGCAGAAGGTGAAAGCCATGTCTTGCATGGTGGCAGACAAGAGAAGAGAACTTTTGCAGGGAAATTCCTCTGTATAAAATCATCAGATCTTTTGAGACTTCTTTGCTGTCATGAGAACAGCATAGGAAAGATGTGCCCACATGATTCAATTACCTCCTACTGGGTCCCTCCCACACACGTGGGAATTCACGATGAGATTTGGGTGGGGACACAGCCAAACCCTAACAGGGTAGAAGGGCAAATTTGACATATTAGTCTTAAATAATTAAAAAGAGAGAAGAATGAGAGAGGAGGAAAAATCATAAATAAATGGAGCAAAACATAAACAACTGGTGAATCTGAAAATCTCAGTAAAATATTTTGTGGTTTCTTATACTTTTCTTGCAACTTTTGTGTTTGAAATGTTATCCTCCTTCTGCTCAAATTTGCCAAAAACATTTAAAAGTCTATTAGTGCAATGTACTACGAATAAAAAGAAAAATCAGACGATTGTCTAAAATCTCTGATAATCGTATTTTTTAGAATTGAAAACCTCAGCAAACTGTAGCATTTTAATTGATAAACATAATCTTCAAAAAAAGAAAAAAATCTGCAGCAAAATCCTTCATAATGTGAAATGTTAAACATTTTGTCTGCAAGATAAAATATGAGGATAGATTACTTATTCTCGTTACTCCATCCCACTTTATTCTAATTCATTCATAGCCAGAGCGAGACGGTAAGGAGTAAAGACTAAAGACCAGAAAGGTAAAATGCCACTCCCATTTTCACACTATACATTTGTGTTTATGAAATGTCCAAGATAATTTTCTACTTAATTATTAGAATTAATATCACAGCTTTGTGTGGTTTCTGATATAAGATCAATATTTTAAAAAGTGTATTTCTTTATACAATAAATAGATTAAAATATAAAAAGATATCCCTTTGAACAGCATCAAAACATCAAATACTTGAGATAAATTTAATCAAATATATGCAAAATCTCTACAGAACTATATAACTTTATTGGGTAATATTGAATGAAACCTAAATAAATCAAGAGATAGAATGTGTTCATAAATTGAAAACTCAAATTTATAAAGATGTCCATTTTCCTAAGTTCATCTGTTGATTACAATATCAATCATAGTTCCAAGAGGCTTCTTTATCTTCAAAAACTTACATGTGGATTCTAGAATTTAGATGACATTGCAAAAGGCTAAGAACAGCTAACATCTCAAAAAAGAACAAAGTACTTACAGTGCCAGATATCAAGGATACAATATAAACCATAGTAATGAAGAAAGGTAAATATCACAAGCATAGACAGACCAATATAACAGTATAGAATCCTGTATCAGTATGGAAAAAGAAATCTAGATTTTTACCTCACTTCATTCACAAAACCATTTCATTCATGTAGATCTAAACAGGAATGGAAAAGCAATAATTGTATAAGATAATAAAGAATATCTTCAGGGCTTGGAAAGCAAAGATTTCTTAAGCAGGATATGAAAAACATTAATGATTTGAACTGTATTAAAATTAAAAAGTGTTTTCTTCTCTAAAAAGTCACCAATAAGAGAGCAAAAGCAAGTGAAACTAGATTATTTGCAGTTTATATAATTGACAAATGGCTTATATGCAGAATACATAAAAATTCGAACAATAAGAAGAGAGGCCACCCAATAGGAAAATGGGCGATATTTTGAAAAAGCAGTTTACAAAAGAGATTATACAAATATATAATAAACGTTTTAAAAGACGTCCAACCTCATTAAAAGACGTCCTTAAATAATAATTAAGTCCATCGGGAGAAATATTATACATTCACCAGACAAGTTAAAAGATAGAAAGTAATTTAAAGTGTTGATGTGGTTTTGAAGCAAATGGAAATCTCTTATGCTCTCAGGATGAATTTCGAACAACCACTTTGGAAACAGGTTTCATATTATCTACAACATTTGAACACATGCGTCCTGTATGATCCAAGAATTTCATTTCTGGGTATGCATTCAACAGAATTATATGCACATATGCAGTAATAGAAACTTATAACAATGTTCACAAATGGATTATTTAGCCACAGAAGGAAAGCAATGTCTACCAAGACAAGTAAGAATAAATAGTGGTGTATGAATAGATTGTACTACTTTACATCTATCAAAATGAATATGATAAAGATACACACAATAACATCTGTGAATCTTGATCATAATTTTGAACAAGAGGAACAAATACAAACACATTCTGTATTAGTCTATTTATAGGGGGTAAATTATTCTTTACCATTTGACATCAGGACAGTGGTTACATTTTGGGAGAAGGGAGAGGGAAATAATGTGCTTGGGGCATGAGGAGCCTCCTATGTGTCCTTTGAGTGTTTCTTGACCCAGGTTGGTAGTTTCATGGGTGTGTTCACTCTGAACTAATTCCTTGAGCTATACAATTATGATTTGGGCAATTCAATTATATTATATTTCAGTGGAAGCTTATGAAAGAGAAACATTCCTGCTAAAATTCATTAAGTGAAGGCTTATGGGGAAGTAGACCTTCATAGCATCCCATACTTGCAAAAGGGGCAATCTAACTGAAGGATGATATCAGTATCAGATATCAGATATCACACAAACCAATGATCACTCTTACTGTCTCAACTGTGGGTCAACCTGACATTACAAATTTTCTGATGTAGTACAACATGAGGTACAAAATTTCACCTGTGATTTATTCTAGTCAAGATTGTTTAACTGAGAGCCATTAAGGCTTTAGGTGTAAATTTAGACACAGAAAGCAATCAAGCAAAACCCTAAGGTATGCCATTTTGCAGGGCAATTGGCCTCATTCCTTCAACAAGTCAGTACCATTTAAAAAGGGGGGTAATTCTAGATTTAAAAAAAAATTAAAGGGTGGACAATTAGATATAATGTGCAGGACTGCACTGAGACTGGTTTAAAGAAATCAGCCCTAAAGAAAAATGTTTAATTAATTAAAGACATCTAAATACAGCATGGATATTATATATAATGAAAATGCATGAAAATAAAAATGTGAAAATTACTGACTGAAAAAGAGGTTACAAAGCGTATATTTGATGAAAAATAATATGTAAGGCTAGAGGCAAAGGTGCTAACAATGGGGGTTTCTTGTTTATAGGACTATTTCGACACATTTTGCTCCTCTGCATTTAAAAACTTTTCTCTGATGCACATATACTGTTTCTGTAATAATAAAATTATGTTTAAATGATTCAACATTTCTGAATAGCAAATTGCTATACATGTGTACTTTAAAATAGACAATTTATAGGGCTATACCTAACTTGTGACTGTGCACTGTCCAGTTACTATACATGCACTTCTTATCCTCCTTTTAATATCTAATTATAAAATTCTGAACTCATTGAGGGCTATTAGCACAGCTACAATTGTTTATGCTTCTTCTAAGTTTGATATTTGTACGGTATTTTTAAAATTATATATTACTAACTTTTTGTATATATTTGAGTATTTTGATATTTTACCTATAAAAAAGTACAATGTTTACTGAACAAAATAATAGAATAATTATTTTTAAAAATGTAGAAATTAACAATTGCAGACAATATCGCTTCCCAGAAATAATTTCCAGTTTTATTACATTGTCATCATGGACTAAATTACACACTATTTTTACTTTTTGGAATATGCTAAGGTTTTCATTGAGGCCCAATACTTTGTCCACTTTGACTATTATTCCATGAGTATTTGAATAAATATGCACATATTAGTTATCCTCCGTTAATCGCTTATGTCCTCCTAAATCTCACTTATGTTTTTTCACTTGATCTTCCATCAGCTGAAAAAATAGTATTATAAATTGTATTTTAAAAAATGCTTCTGAAGTTTTTGCTTTCTGAATTTTGCATACATATTTAATAAATATTTATGACAGTTACTTATTTATAGTGATCTTTTTATTGATAAAAAGTGCCTTTGTCCTAATTCATATTTTTTACCAACCATGAATAAAACTTATTGGTTCTAAATATTGTGATCTTTGCTTTTTTTTTTAAATTTCCATTTGCCTGTTGTTCTTTTGCCCAAAGCTTCACTTTCAAGCATTTGAGTTAATTTTTATTAGAGTTGCTGCTTGTATGCAATAAATCATTGGCTTTGTTACTGAATGTAATCCTGGAAGGAATCATGGTTCCTCTAAGAGTTTCCACTGTCAAGAACCTAAAGAGTCTGTTTACGGAGATGTAGCTAGGGTTAAAAAAATAAGAGAGAAAGAGAGATGCAGAGGAAAAAAGACACCAACCACAGGAAGCCATAAAGGGTCAAGAGAAAAGATAGCATTACCAGAGCTAAGTGAGTTCTGGAGCTGCAAGGAAAGGTCACATAGCAGGAGTTCTAGTTATGGAGAGATTCAGCTCCTGGCAGAAGCACAGAACCAAAGCAGAGGGAATCGGGGGAAAAATAACCCATTCTCCTCTCCACCTAACTTGAACCCTACAGGAGCCTCCCACTGAGTGCCTTCTGCTGAAATTCAGGCTACAAAGGAATCTGGATGATGTTGACTGCATGACTCTGCATCCATGAGCACAGAGCAAGTTAGACAAGGGAAGAAAATAAATCCATGAAGTCAATAGAAACTTACCAGAACATTACTCCGACTTCACCATTCATTCTTGCCTCTTGCTTAGATTAAGAAAATTGGATCTCCAGTACAGGAAGACCACAGTCCTAGCATAATTTAAATTGTGGCAGGGTGTCAGCAATTCAGTCTTATTCCCAACTGGATTATAAATGTTAATGTCACCCACTATCAGTACTCTTTATATGAGATAGCAAAGAGAGTGAGGGGAAAGAAATATTCAGTTAGCATAAATATGTAAATTAGCTACCACTGTTTTCACTTTTGGTCATGAGGCTAAATTTTATCATCATAATTTCCATTTTCTATTATCCATTCCATTTTCAAGCAAACTTTACTACTTCCATAGTACATGAATTATTGTCTCATGGGATGACCCAAATCTTCATTTCATAGGATCAAAGTCCCTAGTGATACTGTCTTTATTTGGTGGCTCTTTATGGGAAACATAAGTGCTAAAAGTCTCCACAGCAGATCTCCTGGATTCCAACTAGGCCTACTTGCCTAATTTTCCTTTGTTAATCAGAATTAATCAATCCATTCAGTATAGTTAAACTCTTTATTGCCAGTTAGGTCAATGGCATTAGGAGCTAAAAATAGCAAGGGTGCAATTTCAGGTCCAAATTTAATGGAAACATAGCTATATTTCTTGAAAGAAATGTTCCTTCCTTGGAAAAGAGAACCTCCAAAGCTACTAAATACAAGTTTCCAGGAACGGAAATAAAATTCTGTAAATAGAATATTAGGTAAAATAATTCTACTTCTTAGTTCCTGATCCTACGTGTTCTGGCTTTTGGAAATATGGCTTATGTATTGGCTAATAGTTTAATCTGTTAGGCCAGCACCACAATTTCAAACAATATTGTGTCACACCTGGCATTGAAACTGAGCCTTTAGGAAGCCATTCCATCATTCTATCAAGCTAGCTGCTTACTGGTGATGGGACATGTGGGGAAACATGAATTTCACGGGCATGGATCTTTTGTAACAATTGTTTTGCTATAAAATGAGTTTCCTTGTCAAAGGCAATGTAGTATGGGATGTTATGGCAATGAATAAGGCATTCTATAAGGTGACATATGGTGACACCGGTAGAAGCATTGAGGGCAGAGAAGAGAAACCCATTTCTAGAATGTGTATTTGGTTTCATGTGGACAAATGGTTGCTTACTCCACAATATAAAGGATTCAATGTAATCACCCTGGCACCAGGTGCCTGGTCGGTGTCCCTATGAAATGGTGCCATATCAGGAGCACATTGGCCCTTGGTATTGACAAGTTGGACACTCAGTGATAGTAGACAGATCAGGGTTGCTAAAGGGTAGTCCATTGTGTTGAGTTCAAGCATATTTACCATCCATGCAACTATGATTACTTTTTGCATGGTTCCACTAAGTAAGCACCAGTATCACTGGGAGAAAGCTTGATAGACATCCACAGGAAAGATCAGACACCTAATCTACCTGATTGTTGAGCACCTTCTCTTTAGGGGGTTCTCCTGTTAAATATGAATGAGAATTGAGGAAAATTTGATAACTAAGCAGGAATAGCTAATAAAGGTCTGAACCACCTGCTCATTCAATATACTTGTGACTCCCCTTCCTGTTCAGCCTTAATGTCACCCATATCAATTCCATCTTATAATAACCTGCTAATTTTCAAGCACAGTTTTAATATTTGATAACTTGGATAGCAACCAGTTGATGGTGAACACTTCAAATCACATAGATACATGGTGACAAGCCTGACTTCTTAAATAGATAAAAAATATTTGGCAGAAGGGGACACAGTTTTGTTCCAAAATCATTAGTTAGGTGAACTGTGATTGTCTTCTTGGGGTTACTTAGAAGCTTCAAACAGCATTACTCTAAGCCAGATACTTAGATCTACGGAGTCAAAATACCTGCGCAGTAGAGGAGCCTACAGCACAGACTGAACCTGCTGCAAAGAGCTCTTTCTTCTAAATGGGTAGACTTGTGAGTTAGCCTGTAATAGGTTTGAATACACACAGCTGTAGTCATGTTACTTCCAAAATCCAGAGAAGCCTCTCAGTCACTCTGCTCTTTCTGTGTGGTAGGCAGTACAAGGTATAGCTACCTGTTATTCCCTAAGAAAGAGATATTCTTACACACCCCATTTTGTAATAGCTTCTACATTAATTAGGACCCTTGTATAAAACAGAAATCTGCTTCAGGCTTGGTATTGTGCCTCACACCTGTAATCCCGGCATTTTGGGAGGCCAAGGCGGGAGATCGCTTGAGCCTAGGAGTTTGAGACCATCCTGGGCAACATAGGAAACCCCATCACTATTATTAAAAAAGAAAGAATGAAAAGGAAAAGAAATCTGCTTCAATGGTCCACAATAGAGACTTTGGTGAATGGACTACTTACCTCAGTTAGAGCAGGATTTAAAACCCCAGCAAAGGTTGCTGTAATACTCAGACACCAGAAACAGCGAAACGCTGTTACCGTCCCTAGACCTGAAGGGACAAGGTGTATAATTTGCATTATTGAAGCCTAGGACGAGCTGGTGCTGTGGAGAAGAGTTATCTGGTAGAAACTACATTCATGCAGAATTAGGAAGAAAGCAGGGAATAGATATCAGGATTTCTCTCTCTCTCCTTCTGCCATCTGACCCACTGCCAGTGCCTTACATTAATCCAATTCAACTAGGAGCTAGCTGGCAGAGGAACCTGAATGATAAATTCTTAGGGGTTCATCTCCTGGAGCACAGAACAGAGTACTGAAAGTCAGATAAAGGATTTGGGTGGAGCTAACAGAATCATCAACACATTTTTTCTTGTCCAATATAAGTCTTTTGCTTTAATTATTAATTTTATTTCATTACATATAACAGTGAAGATATGTTTAGTTTGAGTTTTGTCATCTTATGTAATGCTCTCTGCTTTGAATGTTTTCTTTTTTTCACATTTTCCTATAATATGTTCTTTGTGTGTATGTTTGCATTTGCCTTCCATAAGATTTTGTGTGTATGTTTGTGTATATGTATCAGTTATGATGATACACAGCAGAAAAAAGTATTTTAAAATCTGCAAATATATATAAAGTAGAGATGCACCAAATAAATATTTGGCCGAACACTGAAAGGCTGAGTATCAACGTCATTATTGACTGAAGCTGAATATTACTATCATAGAATGAATCAAAAGTTTTATGAAATTCAATTTTGATTGCAATATTTGTTACTGAAATTTCAGTAATCAAAAATTTAAAGCTTGACGTTATTCAAGGACAGTAATTTCTTGGCATTGTCAGCTGCAAGATTGTTCCTGTGATCATCATAGCACGGGCAGATGCTAATTTGTCTACCATCGTATATCAAACATAGGAGGAAGTTCCCACCAAATTATTACACTTTCTTCCTCTATAACATTAAACAATAAAGTATATATATGGAGATTGTGGATCCTGAAAATGTAGTTGATGGTGACGATGCAGCTTCATTGAAGTAATCCCCCAGCAACTGCAGCTTTGCACACTGACTATTTTTAGAAGCAGAATTAGAATTGATGACTTGAAATACATATTTTTATCCTTTTATATTCCTGTACTTGTTCTATAATCACTTGAGAATATTTCTCTATAAACCTTAACTTTTAAATGTGGCAATGGAAAAGTGAAAATAACTTTTAAGATAAAACAATTGTCTCTGAATTTTCAGCTGCATCTAAGCTTTCATGATGCAAGCTAATTTCAGTACGTTCTCCAGTTTAGGATGACAGGAAAGGCTTAACCACAGGTATTCTATAAGAAATATATGCACTCTAATGGCATATTGTATGGTGATTTCCTCAACAAATTATAGCAAACAAACTAATTTCTCTTTAAGCAAGCACTGGATCTTAATAAGTCCTGAGATGGAAGTCGTGCCATTAAGGTTTGTTCAAGCAGCTACTTTAATATGTGACCACTGCCAATTTACGTTGTATAGGTTCATAACAAAGCAGTTCCAAAATTGTATGCCTGTCATGTAGTATATCTTTAGCTGAAGATTTTAAGATTTCACCAAGGTTAATTAACCCTTGAAAGTAAATACTCAGATATTAAAAATAAATCTAAAGAATCATGAGGTCATTGATACCATATAAGCTTAGAGATGCCAGAAATGTGGATGGATTACATCAGTTTTCTAATCTGAACTCCCAAAATATGAGGCAAAACTAAAGGTGAATGGAGAATTGGGCTAATCCAGAGGGTAAACATGCACGCATGTGAGTGCAAGTGTGTGCTTGCATGTGATATGTACCCTCTGTGGCCCTGAGTAGTGGCAGATATAGACTTCTCAGGGACACCTGGGCACTGCCCCTGCCTTTACACATTTGTCAGGTATATTGGCTCATGGGTTCATTCTCTTTATCAGAGAAAGATTACAGGTTTCTCGTATAGACACCAAAAGATCAGGTGATATATTATTGAAAGTTCACTGCCTATTATAGTCTGAGTAATATAAAAAAATAATGGCATATGGATGGTCTGAAGGCAATATTAGTTTCTTCTACTAGGTAGGGAAGGAGGTGTCTTTCTCTTTTTGTGAATTTGGGCCTTTGTTGTAAATTGGGAGTTGACATATTTCTGAAACATAAGGGAAAACCACATCCAACCAGAACCTAACCTTTTAATCCATCCAAGAGTTTACTTAATTCACCCAATTAAAATATGGATTCTCGGCCGGGCGCGGTGGCTCACGCCTGTAATCCCAGCACTTTGGGAGGCCGAGGCGGGTGGATCATGAGGTCAGGAGATCGAGACCATCCTGGCTAACAAGGTGAAACCCCGTCTCTACTAAAAATACAAAAAATTAGCCGGGCGCGGTGGCGGGCGCCTGTAGTCCCAGCTACTCGGGAGGCTGAGGCAGGAGAATGGCGTGAACCCGGGAAGCGGAGCTTGCAGTGAGCCGAGATTGCGCCACTGCAGTCCGCAGTCCGGCCTGGGCGACAGAGCGAGACTCCGTCTCAAAAAAAAAAAAAAAATATGGATTCTCTGCAATACCTGTTCATAATCTCTTTAGTCCATATTTTCTCCATTATGTCCAACTCCCACCATTCAGCTGTTGATTTATGGTGAGAGCTATTTTTAAGATTGTAGAATTAATTACTGAAAATAACTCTACAGACTCATAAAATTCATATTCACCTCTGCATTCCAGTGATCAGAAAAAATATGGGGCGTATTTCCAAATATAACTCCTTCACTGTCTCTTTTCAAAGGGCATAACAGAGTGACAGAATTGAAGGAAGAGGGCAGATAATTTAAAAATATTATATAGGGGGGCACCTCTTGAAAAGGAAGCCTAATATCCTACAGGAAGGCTCTGGCCCTAGGTTTTCATCTGTAAATCATAGTTACTCTAACTCTTGTAGTTACTAGAGGGAAAATTTTCTTTATTCATGTTGCTATGTTGTTCATCTTGGGAAGGGAAAGTAAGAGATTGTAATAACACCTAAGATAATAATAGCCTCACAGATTACTGTGATCATATAGGACAGTATGTTTCATAGTTTTAGATTCCTTAAAAATCTTGTCCACAAACAGAAAATATTTGATGTAAAGATTAGAAACCAATCTAAGAAGAAGAGCAAAGAAAAGCAACTAAAGATGCTTACCTTGAAAGAAAGAGGACTTAAGGCAACATTAGTTGTTTTCAAATATTTGAGGGCTAGCCAATGAATGACCAAGGGGACAAATTTTATACAGCCATGAAGGGTGGAGAACGGAATGGCGTACAAGTTTTAGGATGGCATATGTAAACTACTCTAAGGAATTAATAATTACTATCATACATGGATTGCTTTAAGGGATGGGGGACACAAACAGCAGGGTCAAAACAAAGTCTTATGGTTAGGAATACTGTAGAGAATATACGGCCATTGAATGGGGAGTTAGACTAATTAAGCTGTATAGACATTTTCAATTGGGATTACAATTGAATGAGTTATATGAAATTGTATGAGATACTACTGATATTTAAGGATTATTGTATTACTTTCCTATTTGTCAGGCTAACAAGAGTGAAGGCAATGCATGATAAATGTGGTATAGTGAAGATTAGTAGATTTCGAGTTGGAAACACGGAGCTTGAACTCAGAATTCAGTTCTATCACAGACATTAGTAAACTAGAATAAATAAGTAACTTATATGAGACTCAATTCATTTATTAAACATAATGATAATTATACTATATACCTCACAAGATTATTATGTGAGTTAAATTAGGTAGCGTGTATTCAGTACAATGAACCCTTAGAAATGGCCTAATATGTGCACTTGTAACTGTGACAAGCTGAGTCACAAAGAGAGGAAAGTGGCAGTTGCAGCCTAAAATTTTGCTAGGTTTTTATGACACATACAGAGATAGCTATAATTCAACAGGGTAAATGCTCTAACAGAGGTGAATTTAAAATTATCTTATGAACAAATGAAGTTGGGAAAGGTTGATTTTGAAGATGAATTAGAAAAACATGCAAAAAAGAATTGCCATAAATCTTGTAAGACAAACAGTGTTTAAGAAGTATGTAAAAATATACCAGAAATAGTCAGCATGAGCAAATGCATAGATATTGAATAAAAATCTGCCTAAGCCCTCTCTCAGAAAAAAAATAAAATAAAATGTAAGCCCTTCATGGGGAACAACTAATAGTAAAAGCTGACTTGACTATGTATTTGAACACACTTGGTATGGTACATGGAAGATAGCAGGTACACAATATGTGCTTTTTTAAAAAAACAGAGTGCTTGACTTCTCGTTCTGGCCATAATAAAATAATGGATTTCAGACTGAATCTTCTGCTGTAAACAACTATAAAACTAGACAAAATATACCATGTGCCTATTTTGAAGCATTTTACAACACACAGCATAGAGTAGTGATCCTTGAAGTGAACTCCACATTTAAAGCTGGCCTTTTATACAGGGATATTTCCAAAACTGCAGGAAAGGAAAGAGGAGCCCAAATAGATCGCAGCAATTTTTCTGAATGGAGAAACCGATTGTAGGTTGCAGCTGAGGTGGCTGGAATTTATGAAGAACATTCCAGAGAAGAAAGAGTCGAACTGAGAAAGAGATCTAAAAATCTAGAAATGAGTCTTCTAGAATTTTTTGAGTGAACAACATATTATGCATGTGCAGAGTAAGATTTCACAAGGCCACACAGAGAACAGTTTCTAAGGGGCAATGAGCGGCATGAGGATTTCACTGGTTCAACAATGTTGAAAGCCATTAGAGTTTGAACTAGCCAAAGTGAAAAGACTCACTGAGCATCTCCCAGTGTTTAAATAAGAACTCAGGAAAGTCAGCTTCCAAAGTAGGGCTCATCTACTCCTATCAGAAGAAAAACTCTTAAATCAGCCTTAAAACCTTAAAAATAGGCACCAACTGGATCAAATTAATGTGCCAGTAAATTAACTGTCTGCTCAAAATAAAATTCAACACACTTCTACCAAAGACAGAAGTCTAGAATCTAAATAATATAGTATGAAGAATGTCAAATATAAAATAAAAACAATTATTAAACATGCAAAAATAGCAGAAACCTATGAGAAAATTAGGAGAAAAATAAGCAATAGAAACAGACCTAAGATAGCCAGGATGTTGTTAAGAATAAAAACAAGCATTATTAAGCTGGTATTAAAATACGTCCAAGGATTTAGAGGAAAAGAAGGAAGACAGTGGAGAGATGTAGAATATCAACACAGTAATACAATTCACAATTCTTAATTGTAGGCAGGAGAAAAGGCATGTAATAGAAAAGGGTATAATGATAAAAAATACTTCTGACTTCTCATCAGAACAAACGTAAGCCAAATGAAAATCTAAAAATTATTTAAAGTATAGAGAATAAATAATAAGTCACTTCAGAATTATATATCCAGTGAAAATAATCTTCAAAAGGCAAAATTAACACTTTAATAAGGTTAAAATAATAGGTGAAAGAATTTGTTACCACCAGAAAAGCACTACAAGAAATGTTAAAGCATGCTGTTCAATCACAAGAGTAGTGATAAAAAATGTAAACTCACATCTACCAAAGATGTGGAGTGCTACTGGGGCACAAGGACAGATAGGTTTTCCTTAAGGGACAATGACAACATCAAAGAATCTAAAATTTCAACAGGAAAATACGTAATTGTTATTATCCTGAGATGATAGTTTTAATATCCTGATTTAGTAATTGTCGTATCTGATTATATTTGTCAGAAAAACTAACATATTCAAGATTTTTAACCCCAAAATATGAAGACTTTTTATCATTTTATTGAGTCACGAGCTGCTATGGTTACCAACAGAAAAGATTTTTGGAGCCCAAAGACTTCTAAGGCTTATTTTTCTCTCCATTTCTTACTTCTGTGCCTTTAAAGATATTATAAAGGAATTTAAGAGCACCGATTGTAGGGCAAAAGTGAAGAAAAAAATTAACTGTGGGTATGTTATGATAAATTGCTTGTATTAGTTATGAAGCCAGGTATTTATAAGAATGTCCTTATCCAAACAATTGTATTTAGCATAAAAAATCCTGGAAAAGTGGCTTATCAATTTCAAAAACTTATCTCTGCAAATATTATATAGTGGAATTTGTTTTCCAATATCTTATATAGCAATGTCATCAAGTTTATAAACTGGATAATCTGCTAATTATTTTATGAGAATGGAAAAAGTCACTTAAAGTAGCCATATTCAACTCTGTGCATATGCCCATCAAAATACAAGCAGGGCTCAATAGGTAGTTTATGTTTGTGGGCAGGTAATCTTAAAAAATATTTACCTAAAAATCAACAGCCCTTCATGCTAAAAACTCTCAATAAATTAGGTATTAATGGGACATATCTCAAAATAATAAGAGCTATTTATGACAAACCCACACCCAATATCATACTGAATGGGCAAAAACTGGAAGCATTCCCTTTGAAAACTGGCACAAGACAGGGATGCCCTCTCTCACCTCTCCTTTTCAACATAGTGCTGGAAGTTCTGGCCAGGGCAATTAGGCAGGAGAAGGAAATAAAGGGTATTCAATTAGGAAAAGAGGAAGTCAAATTGTCCCTGTTTGCAGATGACATGATTGTATATCTAGAAAACCCCATCATCTCAGCCCAAAATCTCCTTAAGTTGATAAGCAACTTCAGCAAAGTCTCGGGATACAAAATCAATGTGCAAAAATCACAAGTATTCTTATACACCAATAACAGACAGAGAGCCAAATCATGAGTGAACTCCCAGTCACAATTGCTTCAAAGAAAATAAAATACCTAGGAATCCAACTTACAAGGGATATGAAGGACCCTTCAAGGAGAACTATAAACCACTGCTTAATGAAATAAAAGAGGATACAAACAAATGGAAGAACATTCCATGCTCATGGGTAGGAAGAATCAATATCATGAAAATGGCCATACTGCCCAAGGTAATTCATAGATTCAATGCCATCCCCATCAAGCTACCAATGACTTTCTTCACAGAATTGGAAAAAACTACTTTAAAGTTCATATGGAATGAAAAAAGAGCCCGCATTGCCAAGTCAATCCTAAGCCAAAAGAACAAAGCTGGAGGTATCAAGCTACCTGACTTCAAACTATACTACAAGGCTACAGTAACCAAAACAGCATGGCACTGGTACCAAAACAGAGATATAGACCAATGGAACACAACAGAGCCCTCAGAAATAATGCCACACATCTACAACTATCTGATCTTTGACAAATCTGACAAAAACAAGAAATGGGGAAAGGATTCCCTATTTAATAAATGGTGCTGGGAAAACTGGCTAGCCATATGTAGAAAGCTGAAACTGGATCCCTTCCTTACACCTTATACAAAAATTAATTCAAGATAGATTAAAGACTTAAATGTTAGACCTAAAACCATAAAAACCCTAGAAGAAAACCTAGGCAATACCATTCAGGACATAGGCATGGGCAAGAACTTCATGTCTAAAACACCAAAAGCAATGGCAACAAAAGCCAAAATTGACAAATGGCATCTAATTGAACAAAAGAGAGCTTCTGCACAGCAAAAGAAACTACCATCAGAGTGAACAGGCAACCTACAGAATGGGAAAAAACTTTTGCAACCTACTCATCTGTCAAAGGGCTAATATCCAGAATCTACAAAGAACTCAAACAAATTTACAAGAAAAAAAAAAAAACTAACAACCCCATCAACACGTGGGCAAAGGATATGAACAGACACTTCTCAAAAGAAGACATTTATGGAGCCAAAAGACACATGAAAAAATGCTCATCATCACTGGCCATCAGATAAATTCAAATCAAAACTACAATGAGATACAATCTCACACCAGTTAGAATGGTGATCATTAAAAAGTCATGCAACAACAGGTACTGGAGAGGATATGGAGAAATAGGAACACTTTTACACTGTTGGTGGGACTGTAAACTAGTTCAACCATTGTGGAAGTCAGTGTGGTGATTCCTCAGGGATCTAGAACTAGAAATACCATTGGACCCAGCCATCCCATTACTGGGTATATACCCAAAGGATTATAAATCATGCTGCTATAAAGACACATGCACACGTATGTTTATTGCAGCACTATTCACAATAGCAAAGACTTGGAACCAACCCAAATGTCCAACAATGATAGACTGGATTAAGAAAATGTGACACATATACACCATGGAATACTATGCAGCCATAAAAAATGATAAAATCATGTCCTTTGTAGGGACATGGATGAAGCTGGAAACCATCATTCTCAGCAAACTATCACAAGGATAAAAAACCAAACACCGTATCTTCTCACTCATAGGTGGGAATTGAACAATGAGAACACTTGGACACAGGAACGGGAACGTCACACACTGGGGCTTGTCGTGGGGTAGTGGGGAGGGGGCAGGGATAGCATTAGGAGGTATACCTAATGCAAATGATGAGTTAATGGGTGCAGCACACCAACATCGCACATGTATACATATGTAACAAACCTGCCCATTGTGCACATGTACCCCAAAATTTAAATAAAAAATATATTTACCTAAAAATCAATATGACTGCGTAAATAAATAAATTGCACATTATTCTAAGAATACATGATTATGAAATATTGTCAAGCCTAACAGAAATAAAGATAACAGTATAATTATTCTTGATAACCCCAAACTGAAGAGAACTCAAAGGCCCCTAAAATTGGAGAATGGATTGTAACAGCTGTGATATAGTCAAATAATTGAAAACGACTCAAAAGTACTACAAAAAAAGACACCAAAAGTATGTATTGTATGATCACATCTATATAAAGTTGCAGAATGTGCAAGATCTATCTGTAGTGATAGAAACAAGAATAATGGCTGGAGGGTGATGGGAATTGATTGTTAAGTGGCATGAGAAATTTCTGGGGTAATGTCAATGTTCTATGGGCTGTGGGTGGCTCAATCATACATTTTTATCAAAAGTCATTGAATAATGACTTAAAAATTGTGCATTTCATCTTATCTAAAGTATATCACAATTAAAAACAAGGAAAAATACTATCAAAAAATATGGAAAAGTAAACTTTTGCATATTAGTCTCAGAAACCAATGATTTCTGCTATTCTTTTTACTCTATCAATGTTTTTCATTTTGAATCATCTAGGTTTTTCTGTATTACTGTGCTTCAGCTCAGAGAGTGAATACTTAACAAAATGCAGAGTATGAGTTTCAGTGAAGTAATGGCCAAAATATAGGCCATAAACAGATTATTGTGAGATTAGTATTTGTGGTATGAACAGTAGCCTCCCAAAGATGTCCATATCGTCATTCCTGGAATCTGTGAATATGGCAAAATGGACTTTGTAGCTGTAACTAAGGTTACAAACCTTAAGATAGGGCAAGCATCTTTAAGTATCCAGGTGAACCCAATCTAATCATATGAACCTTTAAAAGTAGAGAACATTCTTTAGCTGGAGAAAGAGAGGCTTGGTAGAGGGAGAAATTAGAAAGATTCCGCCTGAGAAGGTTCAGAGGCGTCATTGCTGGTTTTGCGATGTGGAGGCTCACATAGGAAGTCTGGAGACAGGTTACTAGGAGCTGACACCAGCAACCACCAGTTGACACAGGCAAGAAAACAATGACGTACAACTGTACAAGATACTGGGAATGGTGATACAACTGCAAACAACTAAATTCTGCCAACAACCTTAATAAACCTGGAAATGTACTCTTACCAGAGCTTCCCAATAAGATCCCTGTTGATTGTCACCTTCGTTTGGACCTTGTCGGATGTTGAACAGGGGAGCTGGTTGAGCCCACTCAGACTTCAGACCTACAGAAGTGTGAGATAATAATTTATGTTGCTGAAGCCATTAATTTAGTTGAAATTGTCATGGTGCCAATATAAAACAAATACTTTATTTTAGAATGAGACTAGATAACGAAGGGCTTGTGTTGATTTTCAAGAAGATTGAAAAATATATCTCATAAATCTAGTGAAAACATGAAAGTTCTGGGGAGGATGAAATTGATAACATCTTTTCTATTTGTATTAGTCCATTTTTGCACTGCTGTCAAGAACTGCCTGAGACTGGGTAGTTTATAACGGAAAGAGGTTTAATTGACTCACAGTTCAGCATGGCTGCGGAGGCCTCAGGAAGCTGACAATCATGGCGGCAGGTGAAGGGGAAGCAGGCACTTTCTTCACAAGGTGGCAGAAGAGAGGGAAGTAGGAGCACAGGAAAAAACTGCCTGTTTTAAAACCAAAAGATTTCGTGAGACTCGCTATCACGAGAACAGGATGGGAGAAACCACCCCCCCACCATAATCCTATCACTTCCCTCCCTCAACACGTGGGAATGGGTGGGGACACAGAACCAAAGCATAGCAGCATTTATGTTAATTCTGCTACATCATTCCTGTTAGACCATCTCTCTCCGTTTTGTTTTCCTAGAATAGCCCATTGCTTGTATTAAAATCATTTCTAGGTATAAACTTTATTCTCAGTAAAACCTTGAAAATGTGAATATACTTGGCATTTTTACTTCATCAATACGTAGGAAAATTCTGTACAAAGCCAAAATTCTTCTTTTGATTGCCCTCATAATATAGGAAAAAAAGATGGAAATATAAATATTTTATATGAAAACTAAAATCTTCTGATATGGCCTCAAGGCATGTTGGTCAGCCTCATCCCTTTCACAAACTGGCATCAGTGACTGTTACTCTCAGTTTCCTTCCTTGTTTCCTCACATATACTCTCCCTATTCCTCCCCCAAAATCATTACTGCTAGTTAAAATAGATCTTTCTTTCCATTTTTCATTCTTGTCACCATTTTCAGGAAATAACTATTGCCCCTTTCTTTGATCAAAAGCAACTCCCCAAGTACAATGTTTTTTTCTTGCCTGAGGAAGGTTATTTTTTCCTGCTGGAAAGAAATGAAAGATTAGAAACCAAATCACACACAATCTTGCATACTGCAGCCACCAAGGAGGTAACTTTCCACCATTACTTGAGACAAATGCGTGTGTGCGTTTTTAATCTAGTCTGACCTCAGAGCTTCTAAATAGATGAAGAAATACTTGTGTAATTGAAAAAAAACTGTTCTCTCAGCCATTATTCAAAGGACACTAACTCAAATAACAAATCTTAAAGCTCTTTAAAATGTAAAAACATTTTCTTGGTGGAACATCAAATGATAGCTGATTCACATTAAAATCCATAATTACAACAAGCCTCAGTGAACAGGTCTGGCTATTTTTCATTGAAAAGAAAAAAGTATAACAATCATAGAACACCTGAATTTATTGGCTTTAATTAAATGTGTTTGTTCTAAACTGATGTAATTTAGGCACAATCCATAGAAAAGAAAATTTATTGTATATTCAGTACTGATTTGCCTGTCCATATAAGAATATTTACAGTCTAGTGAAAATTAGCCTGATGTTATATACAGAAAAGTATAAAGCCTCTAATAACATTATTTTTTTCATTTAAAGACAAAGGTTTAAAATAAACTTTATATATTATAAAGTCAGCTAAAGTTATTTTTATTTCTCTTAACTAAATACATTGTGATTTTAGGAGCAAAAATATAAATTTCTGAAATTGTATACATTATCAAAACAATTTCACTGAAGAATGGGGTTTAGATCAGTAATCAGAGTGTTTCTAAGAAGCCTATTGATTACTTTCCTCCACCTATTATAAGTAACTAATAAACCATTTTTGCTATGTTTGAAATATTAAACTAATATTAAACATAACTGAGCCAACTCAATGGATGAACTCTAGCATTGAGGTAGGTCTGTGTAACATATTTGTGATTATAGCAATAAAAGAAATGCATTTCAATTTTTTTTCAGTTTCTACTATATACTAGCTAATGGATTAGCTCTGCAGTAGTAAGTTGAAGAATGGGAAGCAGAAATAGAGTAGAAAAGATAAATGACATTTATTAAGTCCATGCCATGGACTAGGTGTGTGATGGACTTTCTGTACATATTTATTTATACAAGAATCTTATAAATTAAAAATTATCCTCACTTAATATATAAGAAAATTGAGACTCAGACAAGTAAAATAACTCATTCAAGGTTACATAAGTGGGTTTTCAATCCTTATTCGTCTAGTTCCAGTGCCCATGACCTGGCTCTGTGGAAGGGAAACAAACTGAGGAAGAGAAAAAGTAAAATAAGCAGTGAAGGCAGAAATTGCTAAACTCTGTAGTGCTATCAGGGGCACATGGGCATCTTCCTGGAACTAGCACTACAAGAGTGTAGCCCTCTCCCTACATCAACACCATTTCTTTGTAGTGAGCTATAGAGAAACTTAGAAGGCAAGACCTCAACTGCCTAAGTGGACATAAATGTAAAATTTTTAGGTCTTGTGCAGGTCCTGACTCAGAGTGAAGAACCTGAAGCCCTTGCTGCCTCAGGTGAGGAACCTAAATGGATGTCAAATAAACTCAGTAATCAAGGTAAATGGTAATGTAATATTTTATTAAATCAAAATTAATGCAGGAAATCCATGATGAACAATATATTAACATTTTAAATAAAAACAAAATCAATATTACTGAGGTTTTCTTTTGCTTCATGCTTCCATGTGGCTTGGCAATGGTGCTGTGTTGTTACTGATCCTATCAGACCACTGAGCATCTGCTAGAGATGGTAACAATAGAGTCAAAGGGTGAGTCAAAGAGTGCATGCATTTAAAATTCAGATATTAATCATATTTAATGACTACAGCTTGAGGTTTTAAAATTTCTTCATATCTGTAGGTGTAGTATCTTTATTTTAAAAATTTTCTTCCTTCTTTCTACTTTTCTTGGAAATTGTCAAAAATGTATTGTATTAGCCTTTTCAGATATCATACTTTGAAAATATTTATCATGTACTCCTATTTTTTGTTGTTATTTAATAATTTTATGCTCATCAATTCCACCTATATCTTTTCTGTTAGTTTGTCTACACATTAATTTTCAACTAGAAGTCCTTTTTTAAATGTCCAAGTCCTCTCACATTTTGTATGCATATTATAGTTTTTCATATTCTATGTGTTGAAAACTCTTATTCCAAGAGCCTTTACTCAGTAATACTGGATGATGGATAAATTGTCTTGTGGGTGTTCCCATGGATTTTCTTTTGCATATGTGAGTTCCCTATTCCTCTGGGGGGAGTGTAGCTATGTATGTTAATAAACAAAAATGATTCAAGTCATTATAAACAAGGTAATATGTGAAGAGTGCAGGCAATGATATCTTGAATAAGAATAATTGGCACTGACATTGATAACTCAAATTGGAATAAAAGAGAACTAAAAGTTCACTATCATGTAGTGATTCCTTAAATTAAGGAAGGATTTGGATGTAGATTTTTAGGGGAAACATATTACCAGGACATTCTTATGAAAATAAAAGGATGGCTGAAAAAATTATGTAAAACCCAAAGGGTCATTCAAGCAACAAATAGACATAAAAGATCTCAGATAACATCACCCCAAAAATCTAGCCAAAGAATGAGCCAAAATAAGGAGAAAGTAAAAAGAGACATTTTATGAAATGACAGATGAACAATAAGTCCTATAAATACAGCACATAGATTAAGCAACTAAAGAAAACTTCTTGCAGACTATAGAATAAAAGGCATAAATTTTGGTAAAACAAGAATAATGCAAGTTACAAAACTCCAGAGGTTGCAGAAGAGAATTAAAAAAAAAAAACTGTCCTCACATGATCTCTTATAAAAAGATGTAGACTGGAGCAGTCTAAAAGTAAAATCTGAAGGTAAAATAGAAACCACAGGAACTTCTACCAGTAACTGCAGATTTGTAATTGATATCAACTCTCCCATGGAACACAACAACAAAATTTTCTTCGAGACACTAAGTGTTAACAAAGCAATGGAAAATTGCAAAGCCCAGATCCAAGAGATGAGCTTGGCATTGAGAATCACTTTTCAGCTCAAGATTTTTACTGATTCTAGGAAGTTAAAAAATAGATTGCAAAACTAAGGAATACTTTTGGCAGCCAAATGCATGTAACTGTGTGAGTGTGCAAGGGAATGTGGTGGGGAGAATTGGAGCACAGTACCCTCCAGGCTTTGAGTTGGGGGCAAAGACTACACTCAATAAAGACCAGCCCACTCAGGGACATAAAACTAGTGTCTGATTATCTGTCCACTTATGGATGTATTAAAGTAACCTGCTAGTGTCCCTAGCTTACTGCAAAGAGCAAATGTAATTCCTCTCTAGAGAATGTTAACATTTCCAGGGCCTCAAATTACTTTCAGTTTTCATATATAATGCCTAGTACTTAATTTAAAAATACATGTAAATAAATACATGATGAGATATGATGAAGAAATTATTGAAAAAAATGAGGATGATGTGGTTTGGCACTGTGTCCCTGCCCAAATCTCATCTCTAATTGTAATCTCCACGTGTTGAAGGAGGGACTTGGTGGGAGGTAATTGGATCATGGGGGTGGTTTCCTCCATGCTATTCCCATGATAGTGAGGGAGATGTCATGAGATCTGATGGTTTTAAAAGTGGCAGTTTTGTCCAGTGCAATGGTTCACACCTGTAATCCCAGCACTTAGGGAGGCTGAGGTGGGTGGATCACTTCAGATCAGGAGTTCAAAACCAGCTGGCCAACATGGCAAAACCCCATCTCTACTAAAAAGACAAAAAAAATAGCTGGGTATAGTGGCACACGCCTGTAATCTCAGCTACTCAGGAGGCTGAGACAGGGGAATCACTTGAACCTGGGAGGTGGAGGTTGCAGTGAGCCAAGATCACACCATTGCACTCCAGTCTGGGCTACACAGCAAGACTCTGTCTCAAAAAAAAAAAAAGTGGCAGTTTTTCCTGCTCTCTCTCTTGCTGCCATGTAAGATGTGCCTTGCTTCTCCTTTACCTTTTGTCATGATTGTATGTTTCCTGAGGCCTCCCAAGCCATGCAGAACTGTGAATCAAGTAAATCATTTTTATTTATAAATTACCCAGTCTCAGGTAGTATCTTTATAGTAATTTGAAAACTGACTAATTCAGCAGACATATAAGAGAAAAATCAACAATAAAAAAAGTTTTGCCTGGAAAAAATAATGAATCTCTTTATAATTGCATAATTATAGTACAGATGTTCCTCAACTTATGATAGGGTTACATCCTGATAAGCCCAATATAGTTGAAAATATCATAAGTAGAAAATGCATTTAATATACCCAACCTGCCAAGCATCATCGCTTAGCCTAGCCTACCTTAAACATGCTCAGTGCACTAACATTAGCCTACAGTTGGGCAAAATTATCTAACAGAAAGCCTACTTTATCAGAAAGTGTTGAATCTGTCATGTAATGTATTGAATATGGTACGTTATGTTGAAATTGTGATTGTTTTGCAATATTGTAAAGTCGAAAAATTGTAAGTCAAACCATCATTAAGTCAAGGACTATCCGTATATTTAAATTCTTTTATACAGACACACACACACACATACATACACACGGAGAAAGAGGGGAAGAGAGTGACAGAAAGATAAACAGTGAGACAGAAAGAGAGACCAGAAATTACCAGTGTGAGAAATTAATAAAAGAGAGGACATCACTACAGTTTCTATAGACATCAAAACAAGTATAAAAGATTTATAGTGGCCCCAGCTAGTGTGACAAGGCAATTAAAAGAAGTTAAATTTGTAAATATTGAAAAGGAAAGGTAAATGCTATTTTGGAGATGGCATGGCTATGTACAAATGTCAAAAACTATCTACAAACAATTAGAAATAAAAGCCAGTTTGGTAAGGTGACTGGATTTATAACAAATGCACAAAAAGCAAAAATCAATTGTATATCTATTACACTTTTTGTTTGACAAAGTAGAAATAATTCATCACAAACAAGGACAGAAAGGAAAGGGAATAAACACATCCTTAAATTGTGTACCCTAGATGCCTCTCTTGCTTCACCCTAGGCTCAGTCCTGATGAAAATGGCTCATTATTTTTTAGAGAAATTTAAATTGAAACTGTAATGACATACCATTCTACACATACTAGTTTGTCTAACATTAAAAAACTAACAATAATGATTACAAATGAAGACACAGAACAAGGGGAATTCTCATAGACTGTTGGAGAAAAAGTAAATGGATGCAGCTACCCACTTACATATTTGTACCACAAGATACAAGCAAGGATGTTCATAGCAGCATTATTTGTTTAAAAAAAGACAAATTTTTAAAATTGCATATTGAATATTCTTCAGCAATGAAAATGAACAAATTAGAACTACATGTAACAACATAGGTCAATCTCACAATGCATAATGTTAAGCAATAAAAGAAAATAAATGAGTGTGTATTTGTTTCCTGGGGCTGTTGTAACAACTTATCACAAACTTAGTGATTTTAAACAAGATAAATTTATTCTCTCTCAGTTAGAGAGACCAGAAGTACAACATTCGTTTCACTGACCTAAAGTCAAGATGGCAGAAGGGCTATATTCTCAAAGGAGACTCAAAAAGATAATCCATTCATGGCCTCTTCCATCCTGTGGGCTTTCCTCTATTTTCAAAGCCAGCATCACAGCATCTTCAAACTTCTCCATTTCTGTTGTCCCATTGCCTTCTGCTCCCTCTGTCTCTTTCTACAAGGACACTTGTGATGGCATTTAGGGCTCACTCGGATAACTCAGGATGAATTCTCAAATTTCTTTTTTCTTTCTTTCTTTTTTTTTTTTTTCTTGGTACAGAGTCTTGCTCTGCCACCCAGGCTGGAGTGCAATGGCGCGATCTTGGCTTACTGCAACTCTGCCTCCTGTGTTCAAGTGATTCTCCCTGCCTCAGGCTCTCGAGTAGCTGGGATTACAGGCGCCACCACCACCACACCCAGCTAACTTTTGTATTTTTGGTAGATATGGGCTTTTCACCATGTTGGCCAGGCTGGTCTCAAACTCCTGACCTCAGGTGAATCCACCTGCCTTGGCCTTTCAAAGTGCTGGGATTACAGACATAAGCCACTGTGCCCGGCCTCAAATGTCTTAAATACATCTGCAAATGCCTTACTTCAAATAAGGTCAGGCTCCATGGATTAAGACATGGACATGCCTTTCAGAGGCATTATTGGGCTACCACAGAGTAGGTATATAAATATCAAAACATTAAGAAAAGTAAACTCCAAATAGTGGGTATCTTTGAAGACAAATGAAGGAGTAGTAATCTATTTTGCAAAAAAAAAATGTTATTCTGAGTGGTAGTTGTGGAGGTATTTGTTTTGTGATAATTCTTTAAGGTGTATACATTTTCTTAGGATTTGACATTACATATATATGTTTATGCATAAATTATTCATAGATATACATATATTAAAATTTAAGAAATAAATTAGAATGACTCAATGTTCAAATGTTTTTAAATTTTTTTTTAAAATGTGACCTTTTAGGAAATAATGCAGTCACATAGATAAATTTAATACTTCCAATTAAAAAAGCAGATATAGTATTATTTTATTATAAAATTATTTTTTATCTATTCTGCTAGTTCTCCCTCTCTCACTATACATATAGTTATGTATCTTCCATCTATATCCAAACTTTTTGGAGTATGAAATTTGAAACACATATAACTATTTTACAGCTATTATAATAATTGTATGTGCTTATTCCTTTTAAACTTGAAAAATACCAAAAAGTGCAAAGAAGAAACAAAAAAAAAACCACCCAAATGAATTCTACCAACTGTTAACATTGGTTGTTTCTGAAAATTTGGGGTGATTTATTTTGTTTTCTTTGTACTCTTTGGCATGAATTATTTTTATAAAATAAGCAAAATCATTACTATAAAAATCACTGAAATAAAACCTATGTAGAAATTGTAATAATGAAGATAACAAAGAGAGTAATCACTGCTTACATAGCCATTTATTTAGTGCTTGCCATCTACTATGCATTATTCAGTGTGTATTACATTTCATTTTTCATCATCACAATAATTTTGCAAGATATATACATATATATAAAACAGAATATTGTATCTGTATTTATTATAGATGATAAAACAGAGGTGTTTTGTGAGTTTAAGTGACAGCCAGCAAACAATATTGCTGGGTTATGGTACCCAAGAGTTCTGGCTTCAGTGTGAAAAAAAATATTCAATGTTTTCCACTGCTGCTCTGGATGATTCTAATTCAATTATGACTGAATCAGATGGATGTATTGACAATTCAGAAGTGCAGATTATTCAATGAAACCATGTACGTGTGCATGTTTGTTTTCTCCTCAAATCTTGCTCCCCTTCCTCATTCTTTCAACCAACACCTAACACCTCCCTCAAAACACACAATACACACAAACACAACTAATCCCTTGAGAGCTGAGGCCATAGCTGACACATATTTCAACACCAGAGTCTAGCACAGAATCTAGCACTAAAAGTCACCCCCAGAGTGTTTACTATAAATAAACTAGTGATGAGACTGTAGCTTAAATCCACGACCATCAACTCTGCTGCCACACTTCCAAGCAAGAGTTAGGTCCGTCATTGAAGCTATGTAGTTGTGATTTATGCAGAAGCTTTGTAAAGAAAACCAGAGCTTGGGTAGTGGGTAGCAATAATCTCTTCTCAATTTTCCCTATGAAGAGATAAACTCATTGCAGTCTATAGCTACCAAACACAGAGGTCACAAGATTTCTGTGACAAGAACTCCCACTGCTATGGTCTTCCACAAATAATGCTAATGGAAACAGAGAGGAAAAACAATTATCAAACAATCAAATAAAGGTCTGACTGCATGCTCTTTTTCAATATTTTGCATCTGAGGATATCAGAAAGGAAAGCAATTCAGAGGTGCAAATTGCCTAATGTGCAAATCAATAACATGCTGGCCTAATGCTCGATTTCATGAGATTGCTGTTATATAAAAGTAGGGAAAAGCAAATAATCAGGAGCCAAAATTGTCTCGTATCAGGGAAAGTTCATAATTAGTTTGCATTGTCACAGAATTCCAAATAGTACTGATTAATTAAGCCAATATGTATTCCAAGCAGCAACAGCTACCAATAGTCAGCCTGTGTGGGGAGAAGCATAAATCCAATGAACTCAAATTTAATACCCGTAATTGTACCAATGTAAGTAACAGTCAATGACTGAGCATGCAGCCCTTTCCCTAGACAATCTCTAAAATAGTTTTTAACTGAATTTTGTGAACAGTATGTAGAGAAAATCTAAGGAAAAAAACACAGTGAAGGCAAGAATTCCCAAAATGCAAATCAGAAAACATTAAAATAATATTATGAAAGTTTGGTTTTCACAATTAGGGTATTTTTCAAGTTCAATTGACTTTCTCGTTGTATTTTTCTTTTAATTTTTCAATTTCTAGACATGTTTATGCAATTATTTGTAAATCTGTCTAAATTCTAGAAAAAATTTTGCCCATCTGAATGTCATAGAAACAGAAATATAAAAACAATTTTAAGATATAAATATTCTTGAGGATTTATAACCAAATATTTTTATTCCTTATTCAACTAAAAATATTCCCTTATATCTGTGCCCCAATTAAAATAAAATTGAATAAAATGAATATTTTAAGACACTGGTTTTCAGCATTTTCTTACTTTTTTTGTAAATGGTACAAAACTAAGTAACTAGTTCTCCTTTGCATAAAGAACTGCTCACCACTCTCCAAGAACAGATGTTTAATTCGGACAAAGAAGAAAATAATACAGATACACCTTTTTCTCCTCGAGAATAAAGCAAAGAGAAAGAGATCAAATTGAAAGAGAGTGGGAAGAGAGATGATTTGTTATTGAAGACAGACATGAAAGATCAAGATACGAATTTTAGATAGACAGTGTAAGAACTTGACAAGTGAAAAGATAATCAACTTTGTGATGGAGGTCAGGAGATCGCGACCATCCTGGCTAACACGGTGAAACCCCGTCTGTACTGAAAAATAGAAAAAATTAGCCGGGCGTGGTGGCAGGCGCCCGTAGTCCCAGCTACTCAGGAGGCTGAGGCAGGAGAATGGCGTGAAGATGGGAGGTGGAGCTTGCAGTGACGATCGTGCCACTGCATTCCAGCCTGGGTGACAGAGCGAGACTCCGTCTCAGAAAAAAAGAAAAAAAAAAACTTTGTGATCTGTTATATACTTGCAATGTCAGAAAGAATAAGATATTATGCTTCAACTTCAAATCATCGACTATAGTACTGTAGTTGATGCAAGGGATGTAGATTTTAGGAAGAACAAATAGACCATGAGCCAGACTTGAGTGCCCTTCCTCCAGGTGTTTTTTTGTCATCTTAATCAAACTAAGGCTCCTGTATATTTCGGATTCATTGCTAGAAGTTTAATCTGCCTCATTGTTGCCTTTCATCTGCTTCTTTGTTGCCTGAGAAGTAGATTGATTTATTGATTTTGATTTTTAAGTTCAAGAAGGATATTTTAGTACCAGGCAAAAGTACCTAATTTATAAGGTGCTGAAAATGTGTGAAGATGCCACCTTTCCACTGAGTTTCTAAAAAACTTAATTGGCCTACTAAAATAATAGGCTTGATTTTGAGGCCTGACTGCCAGGTTACAAAGTGCTGGCTGGCTCAGATCTGTCCCTTTCAAGCTTAATGAACAGTCTTTGTTCAACTTCCAAACATTCCATATGGTTAGTGCTTGATGGAACACAATATTTTCACCAAGAAAGAGAAGTTCAATACATTTACTCATAACTGCTAACTGAATAGCCTATATAGAGTCAAAATTTAGCCTATGTGTCTCTAATTTTTCTAATTTTGTATATATATATGGAGAAGTTCTATGTTCATATATATATATTTTTTTTTGGAGAAGTTCTATGTTCACTAGCTACTGTACTCTGGGGAACTTATATAAAATGGGCTGCCAGAACATGGATGATTGATTTGATTTTGTCGCTGATACCCACAAAATCTTGATTTCCCTTGACTTTCTACTCAGCAAGCTAGTAAATAAATTTATTAGTGGCAATATCATAGCACTTTTCTCTGATGAGCTCAAAGTATTTTCCAAGCATCTCCTCACTCATCCTTACAATATTTCTATGAAGTTAACTAGCAGAGATATATCTATTTTAAGGTACAGATCAAATTGTTTTATGGATAGGTGAGCTGTCCAGAATTGTATAGATTATTACTGGGGAAGAAGGAAGAAAATTAGGTTTCCCATATCTCAGATAACCATATAATTTATTCTGCAAACTAGGAAACTTGTGAAAGTGATAGGGACACTGTTAATAATGACGCCAGGAGAACACTGACAAACTGAGAATACAACCATGCTACCTATATCCTACTAAATGGAATAGTAAGAAAATCACAATACCTAGTTGAAGTTGTAAGCCAGAGGATTTGTTTCATTATTTTGAGTTGCTGTAAAATAAAATTCTACTATGAATAGTTTGTTGCATTTACTTCCATTATTTCAGTATGTAATTTTTCAAACATACTTGGAATTATAACTTACATGTAATTTTGTATTCAAGATTTTTAATTTGACACTTCAAATTGTTTTGCTAATATACAAGAATGCTTTATAAACATTTACAAATTACATTATGTTAATATATATGAATTTACCATAATCAACATAACCATAGCCCAGTTATTGTTTTCAATTATTTAGATTTATGAATAGTGCTCCAATGAGATTTTTAGCATACATTTTTCATATAGCTTTAACAATCTCCTTAGGATATATGTATTTTTGATTGCCTCCAGTTATATTTTTAATCTTTATTTACAATTTATTCTAATTTTTAGGCTTTAGTTTACCTTTTGGGGGAATTTATTTTTTAATCTTGTTAGAACTTGTTTTGGTGACTGGTAGATGGGAACAATCATGAATGGTGTCATTATTTGTCTTAGTCTGCTCGAACTGCCATCACAAAATACCACAGACTGAGTGGTTTAAACAGAAATGTATTTTCTTACACATCTGGAGGCTGGAAAGTCCAAGATCAGGATCTGTGAATGTTTGCTGTCTGGTGAGCATTCTCTTGCAGACAGTCAAGTTCTCTCACTCTGTCCTCACATTGCAGGGAAAGAGAGCAAGCTCTCTGGTGTCTATGTTATAAGGGAACTAATTCCATCATGAGAACCCTGCCCTCATGACATCATCTAAACCTTGTTACTTCCCAAAGGCCCTGTACCCAAACACCATCACATAAATTCTGAATTTTGGGTTAAATTACATCTATCTCATTATAATACTATTCTGTTAATATTATTTAATTGGTAATATATGTTGAAGTTTCTGGAGATTATTGTTTTTCTATTAACATGATAAATTATAGTAAACTATTTCCTAATAGTCATCCATTCTTGCTTACTAACATGAACACTACTTGATTATGAAGTATGATTTTAATGGGATTGCAACTTTTAATTGTAAAGTACAGCTTTAGAATATTTGCAGTAATATTTATTAGTGGAATAGGCCTGTATTTTATTGTGTGTAGTGTATATGAGAGAGATGAAGGGAAAGGGATGGGCAGAGAACACGTATGTTCAGCTTGGTCAAGTTTAGTATAAATACAATATTTATTCATAAATATATTTGGAAGTATTTTTATTTTCTGTACATGGAAACATTTAAAGCTATAGATTTCTCCTCTCCCTCTCACTGTCACTCTTACTCTGTGTGTGCACCTGCATGTGTGTGCATGCATCATTTAGCCCTGCTGACTGATATGCCTGGTTATTTACGATCAAAAGCCAGACATTGACCTAAGAGAAAAAGTATTTAGATGGGATCTTCCTCCAAAGAAGTTGTAGTTTTCTGCTGGCTTAGAGGTAGACCCTCTTGGTCCAATCAGACTGAAATGCCTTGAGGCTAGATTTCAGTTTTTGTGGCAGCTGGTGCATTTCTAGTTTGCCTTTTCAGCTAGGGATTAGCGTTTTAGGGGTCTCAATGCCTAGGGAGATTTCTAGGTCCTCTGTTCCTTGTTGAACTCCAACTTTGTCTATCCTTTTGCTGAGAGGTCTGCTTAACTTCCTTTTAATCGGGTAGCTCCATTTTATGCTAAGCTTCTTAGTTGCTCACCTTCTGCAACTAAAGAATCAGAAAATGCTGTGAAGGAAAAACAAAAAGAAATTGCTTTGTTTCTACTGGCCCTTTATCAAGCCCTGGCCACCATGATAGTCATGAATTCCAACTGTTGTCTATGCAGGCCTATCAGATTTCTAACATCTCTGAGCTACCATTTTCTTCTTAGCTATCTGCTCAGCAAATGTATCCAAATGAAAGGTTGTGGAGAATGTTGAAATCACTTCAATGTGTTTCTCTTCTTTCTGGGAGCTTACACACTCAAGTTCTGGATGCTTTGATTGCTATCAGAAGCCCTTAAATAGCTACTTATTTTTAATTAATTTTATCCTGGTTTCATAATTGTTCTTGCCAGGTGGGATGGCCTGATACAAATTAACTTGTCATAGCTAGAATTAGAAGAGGAAAACTTTAAATAGCATTGAGTTACCAGTACTTTCATGTCTTGATACATTTTTCTTGAAAATGTTCATGCCTGCTGATTTGTCTGTTTGTTGAGAGGAGAACATTCAGAATTTTATATCTTCAACATCTTTTTCTGCATTAATAAGATACTGAGATTTGATAACTCTTGTCATTTTGGTCACTTATATTTTCATATGGAAAAAATCATATAATCCAGGGTTTCCAATATATTTGTGTAAAATTAAGAAAATGATCTTATCTAATTACTTGATCAATATCTGTGATTATATTTTCATTGCCTTCCAATTTTAGTATTTGTTCTCTCTTCCTTCTTAATCTGGATTGAGGTTCTGATTAATTATTTTAATGTTGCAAATTGTTTTCACTTTTTCCATAAAATGAGTTCTTGAGTTTATTTCTTTACTGCATCATTCTATTTTCAAGTCATGAACTTCTGCTTCAATTAAAAAAAAATCCTCACCATTTCTATGAAATTGTTGTGTTCATATTTTATTTTTTATTTACTGTGTAATTCAGTATGGAATATATAATATTATAAAATATGTAATAATAGGATAAAAAATAAGATACAAAAAGTAAGGGGTGTAAGTTTGGAAAATTATACTTGCTGATATGGTGAAATAACTCTGACCAAACTAACCTTCCAGCAATAAAAACAAAATTGGAGAACTGGATAAAATATACATGGTAACATGTTAGGTCAGCTTTGTCTGTCTTCAAACAACTATAAATATTGTTCTACCCTTGTTATTTATTTATTCTTTTCCATTTTGTTTTGCTCAATTTTTTTCTTATACACCATCTATTTGAGTAAATTTTGAAAATATCTATTCTTCATTTTTCCTGTTTCTAGTGTGGTATATAATTCTCAGATAAAAGATATTTTCCCTTTTATCTTTCCCTAAGCTCACACTACATATATTGCATTTATCTTATATCTGCTTTAAAACCTATTTATGTCTTTTTAGGTCACTTACATCAGAGCAGATGTGTTGGTGCGGGAAGGGGAGTTTCATTTAATGAAACAATGCATTAAAAATTTGTATTCACTTTGTGATTCAATGATAGTCAATGTGGCATGTAATTTTTTTCTGTCTTTTAATATTATATTGTCTTTGTTGCTTTTCTCTAACATGAAATATATGTTACACAGGCACAGTGCTGGTATCTTTTCTATTATTATCTTTGAATGGGACTCATTATTGTCTGAGCTATTTATTAAAATGGTGAAGGAAAAGATCAGTAAAGTAAATTATGTCAATAGGCAGTATCAATTTAGGTCTATTTTCCACGAATATTTTCTCAGCAACTGTGGTGTTATGATATATATTGGTTTTCATCCACAGTTCCTGGCTTATAACTCCCCTAGCACTTGTTACAGTCTTTTGTTATAATATTGGGTGTGTTAGGCCTCAGGAGCAGGCCTCTCACCTTCTCATGGCCTTTTTTCATTTTTATGTTCCTGCCTTTCTGGTTGTGGATCTTAAGACCATCTCAGGAGAGAGTCCCACCCTATACCCTGGAGGGAGGAATGCTGATATCATGAAACTTCCATGAAAATCCAGGAGGACAGGGTTCAGTGAGTTTCTGGGTAGTTGAACACATGGATGTTCCATGGAGGGTGGCCCACCCAGGGATGGCATGGAAGCTCTGCTCCCTTCCCCCATGCATTGCTCTAAGTGTCTCTTCACATATATCCTTTGCAATATCCTTTATAATACACCAGGAAATGTAAGTGTTTCCCTGAGTTCTGTGAGCCACTCCAACAAATTAATCGAACCCAAAGAGGGGGTCATGAGAACCCAACTTGAAGCCAGTAGGTCAGAAGTTCAGAGGCCTGGACTTGTGGCTGGTAGGTTGAGGGTGGGAAGTCTTGGGGACTGACCTGTGAGATCTGACACTATCTCCAGGTAGACAGTGTAGTGTCAGAACTGAATTAGAGGACACTCAGCTGGTGTCTGCTTCTTGGTGTATGTATGGAGGAAAAACCCCACACATTTGGTCACAGAGGTCTTGTGTGTTGCTGATTGATCTTTGTGGTGTGAGACTAGAGGAAAAACATAGAGAGTTTTCTCTACACAGCAACTATATAATCTGTGGGAATATCTCTTTTTACACCTAGCCCTACGTCTGTCTGGCTACAGTCATTTATCTGGCCTTGGGAAATGTGACCACAGAATCAGATATACACATGAGATTAAATAATACATGTGTATGTAATTTAAATATCTAGAAAAGTTATGACTTCACCAGGTATGAAGAATATAAAAAGAACTTTGTCAAGAATCATACAGTAAATAGATTTTTAAATTTAATCTAGTACCTAAACAATCAGAGTAGGGAGGTTAGATACTAAAATCAGGCTAAAGATGTAGGCAACATGGATCTAGAAAACAAGGATTGCATGGCCATTTCACCTAGAGTTCATGGGCTTGGAATCTCTATTAACATAACTTTTACAGCGTTAGAATTTGTTCCCATATTAATGAGGGAAAAACAAACAATTACCCTGAGTATCTGAAGCTCCAGATCTCATTTTCCAGTCAAAATCTCTGATAGGTAAACAACCTGAAAAAGTAGCCACAACTCACTGAGGTGATAACCCCATTTGCTTAAGAGAATGTAATTGTTTTTATGATTTTTTTTATCCCAAGAAAACACTGAAAAAAAGTTTAGAGATGACAAAATATATGAAAACTATAATATTTATACTTTAGAGATGTGATATTTATTTATAATTGTATTATTATTTAAATATAGATTAGCATTTTACATTCCAATTTTAAATGTGTAACAGAATATTTTAGATATTGGGTTTTTTTTTTAGTTGAAATTATAAGCGGTTTTACCAAGTTGCCAGTAGTGGTTTAACATTGAAGATAATTTAAGATTCATGATTTTGTGAGTTTAATTTATTAGCTCTATAAGGGTTGTTTAAGTACTCTGAAGGCTTTATTTGTTAGTCCGATAATTAAAATGTTCACAAAGATAATTCAACATATTAAATTTATAAATGTAGTTTAAAATCTTTAAGGGAGTTTAATTAACTAAGTTGTAAACGGACCAAACATTAATCAAAGTCCCCCTTAAAAATAATTTTTAATGCACTAGATTTATAAATATAACAATAAGATTTCTAATTTAAACTCAAAAATTTTTTTAATTGGTTAACAATTTAATGTAATATGCTGCACATTAACTCAGAATATGAAATCTTATAAGTAGTCCTTTTTACATTCAAGAATCACATTGATAAACATCACAAAATGACCACTGGTAACCACTATGAAACTCTTTAAGCGATAGGTATTGTATGAATTTTACTCCTCATGATTTGAAGATAATGCATAAATTCCTTCTTGTTATTTTGTTTCCAATTTAGTCTTTACATAGACAATTCAATTTAGTCTTTACATAGACAAAACTCCTATAACAGAAAAACTGAAAACAAAGAGGGTACATTCCTTCGGTTGCTTTCTGAGGACGCCCTACTCTAAAAGGCAGTAGCTTTCAACAAACTATGTCTCCTTCTCATTGTACTCTGTGACTCACCTGGAATTCTTTCCTTTGTGAGGCCCAAGAACCCTCGCTTGACGTGTGGATCGGGACCCCTTTTTCCAGTAACACTAGTACTGTTATAATTAGGTAAATGTTACTCACACCTGAAACATGGAGCATAAATGATTGAATTTCATTTCTACACAACATTTTTTCCTTTAAACTGACAATTTCTTAAAATTTTTTTTTGTTTGTTTTTCTATGTATGTATCAAAGTACCAACTCCAAACTCTACCCCAGTTTTCTAATGAGTCTCATAATGCATTCAGAAGCATTAGACATTTTATCAGATTTATCTTTTTGAATTTTTTTTCTAGATAGCTCTAATTTACACACGTTGCTGTGTACACATACTGTACATCTAACAACCAGGAGATTCCCTGTACTTTATACCCTACTCTTTCTTCATTTACTTCCTCATTTTAGTGAAACTCTTCTCCAGTAAATTCCTGAGATAGGATGTATTGGATGTAGACTTTTAGAATCTTGCCATGCTGTAAATGCTTATTATTGTTTCCTCCTACCTGATTTACAGTTTGGTTGGAGATACTATTCTGCATTAGAAATAATTTGTTTTGCAATTTATAAGGCTTTGTTTGTCTTCTAGTGACCATTTTGATTTCTCTTCTCTGGAAATTTGAAGTGTCTTCTTTTTTTTTTTTTCCGGAGTGTGCTGATGTGTGTGTGTGTGTGTTTGTGTTGGTCTAGGTCTATTTTCACCACTGGCTTGAATTCTGGTGGACACATTCAATCTGAAATTCATACACTTTAACTCTTACCCATTTCAAAAAATTATTTACATATATCATACTTCATTGTACTTTTTTCTTTTCCCAAATGCCTGTATTTTGTTGCTGGCCGTATAGGACCAATTATTTAATTCATTAAACTTTCCCTTTCTCATTCCCAACTCTGTTTACACTAACTTGTCTGGAGATGCAGTCAGCTTTACCTTCCAAATCTCCCATTAAGTTATATATTTCTGCAATAAATTTCTTAATTTTTAAGAATTCTATTTTTTTGAATATCCATTTTATATCACACCTTGTTCTTGTTGTATTATCTTCCCTCTCTGAGGAAATTAATAATTACTTTTTTCCCACACTGTATAGACTCTGTTTACTTTCAGTTGTTTTGTTTATTTTTTGTTTCTGTGTTTGTTATTGGCTGTACCTAGAATCTCGTGATTGTTGGTTATCTGTTTGTGTTCAAGAGCAATACAATAAACGTTTCCAGTAAGCTTCAGGTTCTTAGGTAATAATTGTCAACTGTGGCTTCCAGACAGGGCAATCAGGTCGAGAAGTTTTCCCAGAAAAGCTCCTCATGACATATCCACTGGTCTATTCCTTTGGGCTGATCATGATCTTCCAACTAGAGTCTTCCAGTCTTCTCTGAGGATATAAGACTAATAGACTGTTATGTTTTGAATCTAGATAGAGGTGAAAATTGGGGAGATCTAGCTTTCAGTAGTTACTGTTCATTTTGCCCCCCTAATTTATGTATGACCGTTGAAGATGATATTGCCAGTACTAAGATTCCCTGTTACCTCTCTAGACAGCAAATGTCTACTTTTCCACCAGCAGAACCTAGAGGCATTCACGAGGCTTGATGGAGTGGGCATTGGAAACAGTCTTTCAACCAATCTTCATGGGTTTTAGCCCTACCTTTACTTCTACTTTCAGAGGTATCCCGTGCAACCAATTTATGAACATTTTGTAGAATCAGATTTCCCCGCTACTTACAATTTTGCACATTTTGGTAAGCTAAGTCAGTTACCAGCCATTTATGGACTTCCTATTTTCAAGTGTTGCTGTTTTCTTTTTATATCACTTGAATAAGCCATTTGCCATCATGTTATAGTTTCAGGTGGGAAAATAAGTCTCTCTATGGGTTTAACATGCCATATTTGCTCAGGTGTCTGCATCTACTCTCACCATTTTTTGAAGAAAGACTTAATTGTTATGGCACTAACAACTAGTCTTCAAAGTTTGGTTTATAATTTTTAATGGTGTTTATTTTTAACAAAATTGGTGGAGTTTTTTTCTTCGTACATTGATTTTTCTTTTGGTTTTCAGTTGTTTTAAGAAATAAATGGAGGGGGAGATATGCTTTCTTTGCTCCCATTAACCAAAAGAATAGTTTGAACAACATAGGAATTAACTTTTCCATTAAGTTTAAGAGGACCTGCTTGAGACACAGCTGGACCTTGAGCTTTTAAAGGTGCTATAACTTTACACCGGTTTCATTTTTTTCTATTGTTGATATCTTCAAATGTTCTCATTTCTCTAGATTTATTTTTATAGTTAAATTTTCCCTAAAAATTAACCTCTTCATATATATTTTCAAATATAATGACCAAAAGGTACATATTGCATTCTTTTGAAATTTTCAATTATCCAGTTTTCCATTTTTCATGTTATATTTTAATAGGCTCTCTCTTTTTGTCATCTAATTTATTTGTCTTTTCAAAGAAACAATTTTTTGGATTTATTGAAAAATTCCATTTTTGGATGGGATGAGAGAAGATTAAATCCTTAAAATAATAGGCCAGGCATGGTGGCTCACACCTGTAATCCCAGAACTTTGGGAGGCCAAGGTGGGTGGATCACTTGAGGACAGGGGTTCAAGGCCAGCCTGGCCGATATGGTGAAACCCCTTCTCTACTAAAAACACAAAAATTAGCCGGGCATGGTGGCATGTACCTGTAGTCTCAGCTACTTGCAAAACTGAGGCACAAGAAATCACTCAAACCCGGGAGGTGGAGGTTGTATTGAGCCAAGATTGTGCCACTGCACTCCAGCCTGGGTGACAGAGCAAGACTATGTCTCAAAAAAACAAACAAACAAACAAAAACAAAACAAAACAAAAAAGAACTTTAAATAATAGTATATCGTTTTACAGATTATAAGATGAATAGATATTTATTGTAAAATGCACAAATAGTGCAACATTTCTTAAAGTAGACAGTGAAATACTTCGTGTTGCCATGTTTCTCCAAGAGGTGCTATTGGGCCTTCACACGAAGCAATTCTTCCTTATATAGAACTGTTTGTCTCAATGCACTGTTTGGCCCAATGCATGCTGCATGTGATCTCTACCCTTTACTTGTAAGTGCTTGTCATGTCTCCATCATTGATACAACCAAAAATAACCTACATTTCCAAAATCACTCCAAAGGAATGGTCCTGAGAAAGAGTTGAAAATTCTCAACTCCTCAGATTAGATCTCTATTAAATAATTGAACAAGTGTGCTAACTAATATGTGCAAAGCTGTTCATTATACAAGTTTATAAAAAACTGCAAAGATGGTAATGACTTGAATTTTCAATATATATGTTTTATAAAAATACTGGTAAAAATTAACATTTTACAGTCATTTTAAATGACAGCAAGATATCCAATGTATTTTCGAATGAAATATCAGGTCACTACAAATCATAATTAGCAAAATCTCATTTTTAAAAAAGTACACATATGCATTTTATGAGTGAGAGTATTTGAGTTCTAATTAAATTGTTGTCGGTGGATTTCTAAAGAATAGAGGAAATGATGAGGCAAGTGGGATTGTAGAGAGAGGGAGATTTCAATTTACATTTAATTCACTCCTGGAGTGTTTGAGTTTTTGTAATAAAACATTATAAAATGTTATATCATTTACAGTATGATCACTTACAAACTTTCATTTCAATTAAAAGGAAATTTTTAAAAAGAGGACTACCAAATAACTACTGCAGCCATTGTAGTTTCATAAATGACTTTTTCCTTCCTTCATGTTGTGTTAATGTGTGCCTGCTAGGTCAAGACCGAGATTTGACACTGTGTACAGTCAGGATATAAGTATCAAAACAGAAGATTACCTATCTGGGTACCCTAGCTTCCCCATTCCTGAGCAAGTTGGGAAGCCATAGGGTCCAACTCTCAATATGTACTAATGAAACAGAGATACTTTTGCCAAAGGATATTCATCTTGATGGTAAAAATATTAGCTAACATTTGTTAGCTGACAAAAATGAAGTATATTAAATATGCTAAGGGAAACTGTGGTTCAAGTGATAGAGATTTTTAATTCTTTTTGAGATCATGTAATTATACCCATGACAAGGTAAGTTTGATTCAGAATAATTTCTGCCAAAATAAAGGATGCTGTTGACGGCCTGCTTGTCCCCTGCCTATTGACTATTATTCTCAAACTCAAGCAAAATTAATTTTTAAACAACAGGATAAGAAATATGAGTAAGCTCTGCCTTTTGTGGGGCAGGTTGAAAGTATGGAAGAAATTCAGAAAGGACATAGTCAGGAATAGAAGAGAAAAGAAAAATATACGTTATTTTGGCCATTGATATGGTTTGGCTCTGTGTCCCCAACCAAATCTCATCTTGAATTTTAATCCCCACATGTAAAGGAAGGAACCTGGTGGGAGGTGATTGGATCATGGGAGCAGATTCCCCCATGCTGTTCTCATGATAATGAGTTAAGTTCTCAAGAGATCTGATGGGTTTATAAGTGTTTGACAGTTCCTCCTTCACATGCTTACTTTCTCCCTTGCCTGCCACCATAGAAGATATGTCTGCTTCTCCTCCCACCATCATGGTAAGTTTCCTGAGGCTTCTCCAGCATGCAGAACTGTGAGTCAATTAAACCTTTTTTCCTTTATAAATTACTCAGTCTCAGGAAAGTCTTTTATGACAGTGTGAAAACAGACTAATACAGTCATGAAAAATGAATAATGGTTAAATGGTAGGAAGAAGAAAGAACATTCTTGGCCTAGAGAGTACAAAAGGAAAGCCATGGGGTTGAGCCTAAAAAGAATACAAAGGAAGAGGAGAGAAGAGTACTAATTGTGCTCAGGAGCTGAATTGGAAAATTTTTTACAAAACCAAGAAATATGAAACTTAGTGAACTATTGTGGGACCAGTGAATAAAGAAATATTAAAGCGATGAAAAATAATTTAAGTAAATATGAGAAAAAAATTAAGAATATCTGTATATTTTTGATCAAAGGATGTAATGACTAAAGTTACATTATAAATTATTCTATCTATGGAATTAATTATGGACTGAAAAGAATAAAAGTCAGACAAACTATAAACTTCTCTCATTCTTTATTTTGGAACTTAAATAACTTATGTATCTAAGTTAATCAGATATTTTTATGTTATTTTTACAAAAGTACCTATGCATTAATTTAGAAAGATTTTTATTGTCTGTTTTCTATAAAAATAAAGTGTAAGATTTTACTACTTCAGGTAACATTTGCTATAAGTCAATCTATGTCTTCCAAGAAAATCTCTTGGTCAGGACTCATACTTCTCCACTATGTATCAGATTTGATTTCTTTTCAGAGATTTAAGATTTGTTAATGTGTCTCCTTAAACTGAAATAGGCGTAATTAATGTGGCTATAGTGAGAGTCATCTTCAATATAGTAATTGTGTTCTGAAACATTCATCTTAAAATGAAATATTTTCTCCTCTAACTGGAGTCTTTCCTTTACAATTAACTTAAACTTTTAGTCTTTACACTGGAAACTCTTCTTTAAAGAAGATATGACTATTTTGTTCTCATAAAAGCTAGCCTCTTGGAGAAGACAGAAACTGCAACGGCAGGAAGATTAATGTGGATCCTAGAATCTAGAAAGTTGTCTAGAGACTATTTAAAACGGTTACTGCAAGAAAGCTCAAAAAGAGAGTAATTATTCAGAATAGGAAGAGATAGAAACCCTTAAACAATTAAAATAACAATGCCAGGTGTGTATAGTCAGAGGGAGAGATTTTGCCTATATTATTCTGGGGAAAGAAATAAAATATTTCCGTATAACATCATAGAAATGTAAATGGACATGTTAAACTTCTCTGATGGGTAGTTTGAGAAAAATTTTAAAAATTGAAAGTTTTTTTTTTTTTTTGAGACGGAGTCTCACTGTGTCATCCAGGCTGGAGTGCAGTGGCGCCATCTCGGCTCACTGTGAGCTCACCCTCCTGGCTTCATGCCATTCTCCTGCCTCAGCCTCTCGAGTAGCGGGACTACAGGCACCCGCCACCGCGCCCGGCTAATTTTTTTTTTTTTTTGTATTTTCATTAGAGACGGGGTTTCATTGTGTTAGCCAGGATCGTCTCAATCTTCTGACCTCGTGATCCGCCTGCCTCGACCTCCCAAATTACTGGGAATACAGGCGCAATCCACCGCGCAAGGCCAAGATTATTGTTTTAAAGTGTGAAAATTAATATTGAATTCTTGTGTTTATATAATATGGTGTCCTATAATTTCTGTTTGGAATATAAAATCAGCAACTAACATGTATTTTCAAAGCATTATAAATACAGAGTGCTAAGTTACTTCACTGTGAAATGTAGTCATATATAGAATATAATAATTATACTAGATTCTTTTTAAATGGGCTGTCTAACATTATATTAAAAGGTTTCCCCAGTAATTCATTATATCAAAATGCTCCAGGCCAGGCGTGGTGGCTTACGCCTGTAATCCCAGCACTTTGGGAGGTCGAGGTGGGCGGATCACTTGAGGTCAGGAGTTGGAGACCAGCCTGGCCAACATGGTGAAACCCCGTCTCTAATAAAAAACCAAAAAATTAGCTGGGTGTGATAGTGGGCAACTGTAATCTCAGCTAATCAGGAGGCTGAGGCAGGAGAATTGCTTGAACTTGGAAGGCAGAGGTTGCAGTGTGCCAAGATCACACCACCCCTCTCCAGCCTGGGTGATAGAGTAAGACTCAGTCTCAAGGAAAAAAAAAAGCTCGAAAAATGTTTGCTTATTTTGGTAAAATTATTCATTGACTATGCTCAGAAATCAAGCAAACTGTCCATATTTCATTTTTAGAAATTACATATTAAAGATCTAAAACAAAGGATAAAATATATGCAAAAATATTTGTATTTCTGGATAAATTAGTTTCCTGAGTTAACTCCTTGACTGTTGACATTGAATCTATTTTAAATTAAACAAGGTGCTGATAAAACAAAAGACAAAGAAAGAAATTCAAAATAAAATTGAAAGATGAAATCAGAGCTTACCAGAGATAAAATTTCCTCTGACAGTGTAAAAGAGATCTTCATACAAAAAGCAGAATTTATATAGTCTCTTTCCAAAAGACCATAAAACCAATCAGTTAATAGTTGATTTTTATGTGAAAAAAGAGACTGTAAAAGAAAAAATAATGACACCAAAATCCCTTTTAAATTCAAAGAGTCATAAAGTTTCAAAAATGTAATTCAGATAAGAAATTAATGTCAGCTACATTCCTCCACAGTAAAGGTTTGCATCAACTTTTCAACTAATAGTTTTTTCATTCATTAGAAAACTTGTTTCAACCATTATTTTACTAGGTGTTATAACAGGGTACTACATTCTTTCATTTTTTTCTTCATTTATTAGCTGGAATAATTTCTAAAAGAACATTTCCTCCCAAATGTGTATTGATTACACCAAAACACAGTTTGGACAGGAAGAGCAAGAAAAGTAGACAAATTCTTGATTTTTATTCCCCTCCCCACTTTTCACAGTAATGAATTAGTGCTTCAACAAACTTTAATAGTGATTAAAAACTTATTTCCCATAATAAAAATTTTAAATATTTGTAAGTAAATGATAAATAATAATTTATCCAGTATTTCATGAGTACCTATAATCAGCCAGGATCCATTCTCCAACAATGCGGGGAAAGGAGCCCAGTTTAAAATTCCTGTCAGGACACCAGCTAGATGATGAAATAGAAAGCCTCAAAGCCCCTCCACCCTCCTCTCCAAGGAGACACCAGCTCCACAATAATACACAGATAAATCCCCTTTGTGAAAATTACAGAGGCAAATTTAAAGACTCTGTATTCCCTGGTAGGCTTCAAGCCAGGCACATCTAAACCAGCAGGTAAATTTGTTGCACTCACTCATCATCCCTCAGCAGCAGAACGCAATGGAGAGAAAGCTCCAAACTCCCAGCTCATCTCTAGGGGGAGAAAGAAAAGTCTAGACCATATGTCCAACATTTTGACTTTTTGGGAGGGCACTAGCACCTATCTACCCTGAATCTAAGTGCTAACAGGAAAGGATGCCAGATTGCATGCCTGCTGATAAAGCCACAGTTTGGACTGTCACTCAATCACCATCATTCCTCCTGTGACTCAGTATAACAAGATTGAGAGAATACAATTCCTGATTCCCCCACAGAAGTGAAAGAGAATACTGCAACACACATTCAGTGTTCAGACTTCAGGGGAGTTGCCAAGTGATTGTTTTCTGTCTTGCCTGAATTTAAGCGCTAACAGGAAAGCTTTCCAGGTTGGGGATATTAAGAACAAATGAGTTGAGGAAGTTTGGGTTAGCATACATTCACTTGTCATACCATCCTTCCCTGGATCAATATCCAATGAGTGGGAGAAAACCCTCAACTCCTGGCTTCCCCTTGGAGAAGGAAAAAGCTGGAGTGTGCATCCAGAATTCCAACTTTTCCAAGTCAGCCTGACGGACTGTTTTCTGTCTGACCGGATACTCTTGATGTCTGAGGACTGCTGAGAACAAAAGAGAGCTAGGGGGTTATAGTAACTCCAGATAACCTACAGTATTACAGATAGATAACAAAGAGAGCAAGAGATTACATGCTCCTGAAGAAAGACCTGCAAATTTTTCTAAGAATTTACACACAATTCCAGAGACAATACATTCACAGAAAGATTTGACATACTTCAGAATCTCTAATTGGGCTGACTGGTGAAAGGATTTACCAGTGCAAAACCAGTCTGTAAAGACAGGGAGAAGTGGTTATTTTTTTCAAATCCTAGAATCGCAACACAAAATTAAAAGGCACACAAGGAAACAGGGAAACATGGCCCAATAAAAGGAAGAAAATAAGTTTCCAAATATCAACCCTTCAAAAATGGAGGTATATAAATTATCTGGCAAAGTGACATATGCTGACACATTCTCCAGGATAGATCAAATGTTAGGTCACAAAACAAGTCTTAACAAACTTAAGACAAAGGAAATCAAGAACCTGTTTTGACCAAAAGTAGGATGAAGCAAAAATTCAATAGTAGAAGGAAAACTGAAACATTTACAAATATATGGAAATTAAACAACATACTATTGAACAACCAATGAGTCAAAGAAGAAATCAAAAAGAATATTAGAAAACAAGCTGACAAAAAAATAAAAAAACACAACATAGCAAAACTTAGAAATGCAGCAAAGGCAGTACTAAAGAGGGAAATTTATAACAATAAATGCCTACCTTAAAAAAGAAGAAAGATCTCAAATAAACAACCTACCTTTACAACTCAAGGAACTAAAACAGAAGAACTAAGCCCAAACCCAGCAAAAGGAAGGAAATAATACAGATTAATGCAAATAAAGGATATTTTCACACACATATTTTCATTATAACCAGAAAGTAGAACCAATGCAAGTGAATAGATTTAAAAAAACCTGTGGTATTACTATACAATGGAATATGGCAATTAAAAGGAGAAAAGACTCAACCAAATAAAATTAAAAATGAAAAAGTAGACATTGCAATTGATTCCACAGAAATAAAAAAAGATTATAAGAGACTGCTGTGAATGATTATGGTAGTAATTGGATAACCTAGAAAAAAATCAAATTATTGGAAATATACAACCCACAACACTGAATCAAGAAGAAATACAAAATATGAACAAATCTATAGCTAGTAAGGTGTTTAAATTAGTAATCAAAAATCTTCCAGCAAAGAAAATCTGAGGCGCAGGTGACTTTACTAGAGAATTCTGCCAACATTTAAGGAAGAATTAATGCCAATATTTCTCAAACATTCCTAAAAAATTAAAGAAGAAAGAACAATTCTAAACTCTTTTTGTGAAGCTAGCATAACCCTAATATCAAAGCCAGACAATGGCGCTACAAGAAAAAAAATTAAATATTCCTAATGAATGTAGATGCAAAATCCTCAACAAATAACAGCAAATTGAATTCAACAGCACTATAAAATATCATCCACCATAATTATGATGGATTTTTTCCTGGAATGCAAGAAGGGTTCAACATGTGAAAATCAATATAATATGCTTAATTAACAAAACAATTAAAATAACGTGTTCATCTCCGTAGATGGAGAAAGAGCATTTGATGAAATTCAACATTCTCTCGTTAGAAAAACACTTGAAAAAATAGGAATAGAAGGAAATTATTCCAACAGAATAAAGGCCATATGTAAAAACCCACAGCTCACATCATATTAATGAAGAAAAACTGAAATCCCTTCTTCTAAGATCAGGATCAGGAACAAGGCAAGGATGCCTTTATGAAGTACATAAAGTCCTAGCTAAAATAATTCAGCAAGAAAAAGATACAAAAGGGATCCAAAATGGAAAGGAAGAAGTAAAATTTTTTCTATTCACAGAAAACATCATCTTATATATAAAAAAACCCTAACGATTCAACAAAAAGCTCTTAGAACTAATAAAATGAATTCAGCAAAGTTGCAGGATTCAAAGTAAAGATTCAAAAAAACACAAATGGCAAACATTCTGAAAAGGAAATTAAGAAAACAATCCATTTGCAATGGCATCAAAATGAATAAAATACTTTGGAATAAAGTTAGCCAGTGGGGGAAAGACTTGTACACTGAATACTGCAAAATATTGCTGAAAGAAATTAAGGAAGACACAAGTAAATGGAAAGCCACCTCATTTTCATGAATTGAAAGAATATTTTTAAATTCTAATACTAGCCAAAGCAATTTACAGATTTGATGTAATCCCTTGGAATTGTATAAATTCCAATGATAATTTTAGAGAAATAGAAAGGACAGTTCTAAAATTCATATGGAACCACAACGGACCCTGAATATCCAAAACAATCCTAAGAAAGAGAAACAGAGGCCTCACATTTTCTGACTTTGAAATATATTACAAAGCTACAGCAATCCCAATAGTGTGATATTAACGTAAAACTAATCATATAGATGAATGGAACAGAATGGATTAGTGGAACAGAATAGAAAGCCCACTGGGAGGCCAAGGCGGGCAGATCACCTAAGGTCGGGAGTTCAAGACCAGCCTGGCTAACATGGTGAAACCCCGTCTCTATGAAAAAATACAAAAATTAGCTGGCCATGGTTATGGGCAACTGTAATTCCAGCTGCTCGGGAGGCTGAGGTAGGAGAATCACTTGAACCCAGGAGGAAGAGGTTGCAGTGAGCCAAGACCACACCGCTGCACTCCCACCTTGGTTACAGAGCAAGACTCCATCTCAAAAAGCAAGAATGAAAGAAAGAAAGAAAGAAAGAAAGAAAGAAAGAAAGAAAGAAAGAAAGAAAGAAAGAAAGAAAGAAAGAAAGAAAGCCCGGAAATAAACCCACATGCATATAGTCAAATGATCTTTGACGAGGGTGCTAAAACTATACAATGGAGAAAGGACAATTTCTTCAACAAATATTGTTGGGAAAACTGGATATCCATATGCAAAAGAATGAAAGTGAACCCTTATCTTACACTGTTCACAAATGTTAACTCCAAATGGATTGAAGACTTAAATGTAAGAACTAAAGCTGTAAAACTCCTACAAGAAAACATAAAGAAAGGCTTTATTACATTGGTCGTGGCAATAATTCCTTGGATTTGACACCAAAAGCACAGGCAATCAAATCAAAAATAGGTTAGGGTGATTACATCAAGATAAAATGCTTCTGTGCAAAAAAGGAAACAACAGAGTGAACAGGCAGCCTATAGAATTGGAGAAAATATTTGAAAACTGTATATGTGTTAAGGGCTTAATATCCAAAATATATAAGAAACACCTATAACTCAAAAGCAGATAAACACATAACCCAATTTTAAAACGGCCAAATTCTTAAATTGATATTTTTCAGGAAGACATGCAAATGACCAACAGGGATATAAAAAGATACTCAACATCATTAATCATCAGGGAAATGCTAATTAAAATCACAACAGAATTTATCACCTCATAACTGTGTGACCATTTTAAAAAAAAAATTGCAAGTGTTGATGAAGATGTGGAGAAATTGAGTTAGAACCTTAAGTACTGTCAGTAGGAATGTAAAATGGTAGAGCCACTATGGAAAACAGTATGGAGGGTCCTCAGAACATTAAAAAATAGACCTACCATATGATGCAGCAATCCCACTTGTGGGCGTTTTTCCAAAATAATTGAATAATTCCAAAATAATTGAAAACAAGATCTTGAAGTGATATTTGCATTCCCATATTCATTACAGAATTATTCACAATAGCCAAAAAGTAGAAACAATGTAAAAGTCCATCATCAAATGAACAGATAAAGAAAATATGGTGTATGTATATATATGTGTATATATATATATATATATGTATGGTGTATATATATATGGTGTATATATATAGTATGGTGTATATATATGTATGGTGTATATATATGGTATATATGTGTGTGTGTATATATATATATATATATACACACACACACACAATGGAATATTATTCACCCTTCAAAAGGGAAATTCTGTCATATTTCAACATGTATCAATCTTAAGGATATTGCGCTAAGTGAAATAAGCCAGACACAAAGACAAATATATCATGATTCCATTTATATGAGGTATTGAAAGTAGCCAAACACATGGAAACAAAAGATAAAATGGTAGTTGTCAGGGCCTGGAGGAAACAGGAAATCTGGGGTTGCTGTTCACCAGGTGTGGAGTTTCAGTCAAGCAAGATAAAAACATTCTAGATTTCAGCTGTACAACAATGTGTATATCATTAACAAAATGTTCTGCAAACTTAACATTTTGTTAAGATGGTAGATTTTTTTGTTATGTGTTTTTTAATTACAAAAATTTCTGTCTGTATTTAGTTTACATTTTAGTAAGGAAAGACAAATAAGCTAATAAGTGGTAATGATAAATGTTGTAAGGATATCTAGAGCAATAAAAGAAGTTATGGATATGGGAGTATAATTTTAGATAGTGAAGATTTCTGTATTCAAATGCCACATGGAAAAAGTACTAAGGGGAATGAGGAGATGAGTCATATGGAATGCCGAAGAGACAGAAGAAGGCAGGCAGAGAAAATAACAAGGATTAAAGACACTGGAGTAAAATCATGCTTTCTATATTTCAAAACAACAGCAAGGACACTAGTGTGACAGAGCAGGAGTGACCAATGGGAGGCTGGAGATTTTGTCAGAGATATTGTCAAGGCTCAGGATCGTACAGGGACTTGTAAGCCTGGAAAGGACTTTGAATTTTATTCAGAATGAGATGAGAAGCCATTGAAAAGTTTTTAAGCAGATGAGCAAAATAATCCACCTTGTATTTTAAGAGGAGCATTCTACCTTCTCTGTGGAATAGAGAGGTGGAAGGGCAAAGCTTGAAGCAGAGAGAGCAGTGAACAGTGTACTGTAATATTCTTATGTGAGAAATAGTGGAGGGAACGAGAGATGGTCAGCTTTAAACTGCCATTTGCTCTCTGTATCAGGGCTCAGGGACTTTCAGACTTTCCAGGGATTCCTTACAGTTTTTACATTCGTTTCTCAGTTGCAAACATAATCTCTTCACTTTATGAGAACTCTAGATCTGAATCCTTGTTATGAGTCAGGATTCCACTCTAGTTTACTCTCTTGTCAGTAACTAGACTTGAAATATTTTGATATTAATTGATATAGTAATAAGATTGGTTAGAGAAATAGCAAAGAGCAAGCTCCCCATCCTATGACCATATCAGCACCAGAAGAGAAAAACATATCTACACAGTTTTTCCCTTGGCATAGGCCTTGGTATTCTGTTAGGGAACAGGTTATAAAGGAAATACAAAGTGTCTTTGTACTTACTTTCAGAATATATTTTCTTTAACATGAAAAGAATCCAAGGCCTTTTTGCTTCTAATTGCTTTTTGTGTATCTACTACCATCCCTTGCTAAATTATTGATACGTTTCCTTAAATCTCGGCATGATGTCCTACATTCCAAATTTTCAATAGCTGAAAATTTCACCTTTTCAGTGCCTTCATGTTTATCTCAGTAAAAAGTTGAGAAAGAATGTAATAGAGTTATTTAATCAGATTTTTTTCATCTACCATAATTTTTGAATAAGGAAAAACATCAACACTTTTTCTCCTTACTTGGCAAATAATTTCCATAGAGAGGAAAAAAACAATCAAAACAGGTACAAAATGCAACAAAACCAAAGGACCATGTGAGGTGAAATTTAAAATGAGAAAAATGTCCACATTACTTTGGGCAATGCAACTCCTGGGAAATAGTAACTCAGCACCTGAGAGCTAAATAATTCTACAGGACTAAATATATATTCTGGTACCCAAGGGGAAAATGACATCATAGAGACGTTAGGTCTATTAAAACGTATTTGTAGATGTGTAGGTATAAAAAATGCTTTTAGAGATGGGAAGAGAAAAAAACTCATTTGTTTAACAAGTTCTGTTGGGTGCTTTTCACTAAAAGAGAAACATCATATAACACTGAGGATGTAAATTGCAGTACATTTCAAATTACATGAGAAACTAAAGAAAATATGTGTTTCAGGTCACTGAATAATTCATTCTTATTTAGTGTTTGTCCCTAATTTCTGTGATTTCATGAATAATTCAGAGCAATGATTTTACCTTTCTCTACAGCTGTATTTGGCAAATGTCCACATTATTTTTGTTGCAAAGATGCAGCCAAGTTTCTTAGAATAGGAACAATGTTTATAATGTATTTTTTCCATAATGAAAAATATTATGAAAGGGGAAACTAAGATATAGCTTACAGGGTTCTCTATTGTGATAACTAAAACAGACTTAGCCTCAAGTAAAACTGACACCTTGCTAACTGTTGGTGGTGAAGGAGAAAGAAGACAACACTGAACCAGACTGGGGAAAGATGAATTCAAATTAATTAGAGATTTGTCATCCAAAGAAAAACAAATTCAAGCTTGAACTGAGTTGACATTGATAGTTGTTATGAACTGCAAATCCCTCAAATTCATATGTTGAAATCCTAACTCTCAATGTATTGGTATTAGGAGGTAAACCTTTGGGAGGTAATTAGGTCATGAAGATGAAACCCTCATCGAAGGAAAGTAGTGCCCTTCTAAGAAGAGATACAAGAGAGATTTTTCTCTCCTCCATGTGAGGATAAAATAAGACAGCCATCTGTAAACCAGGAAGATAGACTTCACCAAGAACCCAACCATGCTGACTCCCTGATTTCAGATTTACAGCCTACAGATCTGTGAAAAACAAATGTTTATTGTTTTAGTCACTCAATCTGTGTTTTCTGTTATAGCAGCCCACATTGATTAAGAAAATACTACACCCTTTATTTGATAGATGAAGATAGTATCAGACAAGGTATCATATAAGTAAAAACCTAAGATTTATGTGTGATCATTTTACATTGGAGCAGCTACTGAAACTTGAGACCAAAACCTCTAGCTAACATCAGTATGTCAACCCAAAACATTTGGGACAGTAATGAAGATACAGCAAATGAATTGTTTTAATATATAATCAAGGCAAAGTTATCATCAGAATTATAGGAAAAAATCCACTAAATTTGGTTTATGAGAAATTCATGATTCATTGTATACCTTGATACTGGGCTTAAAGCAGCAATCCTAATTCCAGATCTACCTTCAAGTCTGGGTCAGTGTTCTCAAATGCTGCCAGTTTCATGTCAGGACTGGCTTAATATTGAAGGTAACTGAGCATTGCTAATGTCTGACTGGAGCTGAAAGAGGCCAAAAGCAGGGTTATAACTTTGGGAAAACTGACCTGGTGTTAACTTCCATACCTTCCATTTCAAACGGGAAAGTATCGCAATTAGAAGCTATTAGCAGTCTTATCTAATAACTTGTGGATAATTCCTTTTTTTCCTTTTTTTAAGAGTCAGGGTCTCACTCTCTCACCTAGGCTGGAGTGCAGTGGTGCAATTGTTATGGAATCTTTGGGGTGTCGATTTTCTGGTTGGAAAACTGTGGTTGGTGGCATCTTTGCCCGAGTTCTTGTCCTGCATCCAGGAAGAATGGTGTAGGTAGACAAGTGAAGGGTTAAAAGATAGGAGCTTTATTAAGTGTTAGAACAGCTCAGAGGAGACCCATAGTGAGTAGCTCCTCTATAGGTTGTTCTGTCAAGTGTTCAGCTCTCAGCAGAAAGGGAAACCCTGGAGAGGGTTGCTCCTGTCTGCAGCTGGTAGTTCCCAGACATCTCTGCAGGTCTCTGAAGCATTCAGCAGAGAAAGTAGCTGGACCTCCCATTGTCTCCAGCTATCAGCAAAAAGGATAGCTCCTTCCTGCCTCTAGTCTTCCCTCCTCTGTCTTCTGACCTGTTCTGGCTGAGTCCTGGGCTTTTATGGATGTCAGAGGGGAGGAAGTGTATGCCCATTGGTCCATGGGCAGCCATGAGCAGGCCCCGGAAAAAGCACCATGAGTTTTGCCTCCAGTCTGCAGGACTGGCAGCCTAGCCTGCAGGTGGGGTTTCACTGGGGACCCATCCCCTTCCACTCAGGAGCCTGTCTGCCTCCCACAGCCATCCATGGCACCCAGGCTGCTGGCATCAAGGGGCACTTGCAGGCCAGTGCTCAGCCACCCTCGGACCCCCTCAGCTTCCCCTCCCATGCTCCTGCTCCTTGGTCTCCAAAGTCCAGAGGGGCTGAGGTGGCAGGGGACTGGCATATCAGCACTGCTTCCAATGTGTGCACAACTGGCTGGGCTGTGACAGCACACTGCTGGGTCCCAACCCCACTCTGAGATCAGAGCACAAAGCCAGGAGGTGGGAGAGACCAGGGAGCAGGAGGAGGTGCCTCCAAGCCTGCAAGGGGCAAGGGGGACATTCCCAGGCTCCTCAAGAGTGCAGGGATGCCTGAGTCTGCAGCATTGGTTTGGGTGGCTGGGTGGTGGGCTGGGGTGGGGACAGAGTAGGGGAGTTGGATAAACTCCTGTCTGCTCCATGGAGTGGGAGGTCCAGGTCTACAGCTACAGCTGCAGTTAGGGCAGCTGCAGCGGCACCCAGGGAGCTCCCATTCCAACTCGGAAGGGGCAGGGCTCCCACTTGTCCCCATCCTGCCAACTCTAGGGAGCATACAACCCCGGCCACATCTCTCCCCTGCAGCTGGCATGATGGCAGCAGCCGCTGCCATCACAATCATAGCTTATTGTAGCCTCAAACTCCTGGGCCCAAGTGATTTTTTACCTCAGTCTCCCCAGTAGCTGGGGCCACAGGCATGTGCCACGATGCCCATCTAATTGTTTTTTTATTTTTTGTAGAGATGGTGGTCTGGCTGTATTGCCCAGGTTAATCTCTAATTCCTGGACTTAAGCAGTCTTCCTGCCTCATCCTCCTACATGGCTGGGATTACAGGCATGAGTGACTGTGCCCAGCTCGATAAATCCTTTCTTAATCAAAGTGTTCATCAGCAGCCTTACTTACCACAATCTTCCCAGATGATCTCAAGTATCCAAGGAAATTAAAAGTAGCTACTGCTGACAAAACTGTTGGGTTCCCTGATATTGTGCAAGAATAAAATTATGCTAGGTCTTCCGTTAGCTAGCTCTTCTTCTGTAACAGTCTCTTCCTATGTATTAATCAAAACTGATGCAACCTTTTAAAGAACTATTCCTAGAAACTTTCTCCCTTCCCAGTCAGAATTAATGTATTATTTATCCATTTAAAGGACTATATAAGTAGGACATGGTTTGGGTATATAGCAGCACTTAGACACGGCCATTTACTTTGTGGTTCAGTGATTTCTATGTGCTTCTGACTTGTATATTCTTTCAGCCCTTGTAGATGTAGTGGTGGTAGTTTCCCCAACTTAAATTTATCTTTATCATCCACCTTTATCCACAGTCCTCCTCATGATTAGCACATTGTCAATAAATATTTACTAAGCTGAACTGAAAGTTTTTATTATGCATAAATACTAAGATGTCCATGTCCATGGTCATGCAGGACAGCAGAAGATAATTTTTTTTACCAGTGTATCTATTGCTAACAGTTGCTTCAAGTTCAGGAGCCAACTCATGTATTAGACATGTAAATCTTGTGAAAATATTCATATTGGAAACAGCATGTAGCAAGTGCAAAGAGAACTAAATAAATCCTTTAATTTATCACAGTCCCTTCAAAGTATGAATTCTTCTTCTAGCATTACATCAAATTTGATAAAATCCAAAAATATTTTATCTCAATATTTTAAAAGTGTTGATGCTGTATACATTGAGTTATTGTACAATTGAATGGAACCCACATTCAAAGTTTTTCCTCAATGTTAAAATTAAATGGTTCTCTCTGTGATTCTTTCTGTTTGCAGTTCTTCTCATTTCATTGTTAGAATTTGCCTCTACTAATGTAATTCATTTGGCATTGCAGACGTTCTAATCTTTTCAAATGTGTATTTTGACAGGGGCCTCAAACATTCATCCTTGGTTTGTGCTGTGGGCTGAAAGATTATATCTCTCCAAAATTCATATATTGAAATCTAATTCCCAATATGTTGGTGTTAAGATGTGAGGCCAGGCTGGACACAGTGGCTCACACCTGTAATCCCAGCACTTTGGGAGGCTGAAGTGGACAGATCATGAGGTCAGGAGTTCAAGACCAGCCTGGCCAACATGGTAAAACTCCATCTCTACTAAAAATACAAAAATTAGCCAGGTGTGGTGGCACACGCCTGTAATCCCACCTACTCAGTAGGCTGAGGCAGGAGAATTGCTTGAACCTGGGAAGCAGAGGTTGCAGTGAGCTGAGATTGTGCCACTGCACTCCAGCCTGGGCAACAGAGCAAGACTCTATCTCAAAGAATAAATAAATAAATAAATAAATAAATAAATAAATAAATAAATAAAAGAAAGAAGGGAGGAATTTGGGATGTGAGTAGGTTAAGGGGGTTGGGGAGCAGTCATGAATGGGTTAGTCCCCTTATAAAAGAACCCATAGGGAGCTACTTTGCCCCTTTTGCCCTTATGCCATGTGAAGATGCAGCAGTAAGTTTGAGAAACAAACCTCACCAGGTAACAACTCTGCTGGCACCTTGATCTGGACTTCCCAACCCCCAGAACTGAGAATAATAAATTTGGTTTTTAAATTACCCAGTCTCACGTAATTTGTTACAGCAGTCCAAATGGACTCAGACAGGTTGTTAACACTTGAAAAATGAGTATTTCTATTGAATGGCATATTTTAGCCAAAGTTTTCTTGTACAAATACAGCCTATGGCCAAATAATTAATAGCTGACTCTCATTTGAATGGCCAAGATTTGCTCTCTATTTCTGTTATTTTATTTTTGTGCCTGTATGTTGGACATAGGCAAATTTTTACAAAAGAAACCAGAAAAGTTCAATAGTCTTTCATTGTCTGCCTTCACTAACTTCTTTTAAGTATATTTCAACAATTATCTTAATATTGTCACCGGTAGATTAAGCGTACTGTTATAAACACTCTATTTCTATTTATTCAAAGCTTGAATTGAGCTAGCTGCTAATAACATTTTTTAATTAGCATTGCAACCATATTCACCTACCATATTTTTCCCTCTCCTTTGATTTCTGGGTCATTACTCACTTTCACAATTTGTATGTGATTCACCATTCTATACCTACTTTTGCCTTACCTTAAAATATTTTTTAATTTAATACATTTACAATATTTTCCTTTTGCTTTTGGAATTGTATTACTATCATGGGGGTTTTCTTTTCCTTTTTCAAGAGTTTCTCAAAATTCTTGACCAAGGCCCTATCCCCTGAAGTGAGTAATATTCTTCACTATATTACCGCATCACATGTTTACATCTGGCTAAAGTAAGAAACACTACTCGTGTTCTGTAGCTAACTGATAATTGTTAAAATAAACTTAACAATTGATAACAAATTATAGAAAATGATTATTTTAAGGTTCTTTATACTCATAATATTTGTAAATAATATGAGTCATCACCTCTTTCTGTAGCTAATTGTATAGGGAGTACATGCAGTTAGTGGCATGTTTCTTAACACATTTCTCATATCAAGAATAACAAATACAATGCAGTGGGGACTGGAGAAAAGAAATTAAGTGTGGCTACATCTGCAAGTAACAATTGCAGCCACTTTGTCAAGGGTAAAACAATCGTCAATGAGCTATACAGATTGTTTGTCACCAGAATAACTGAATCAAGCAGTTCCAACTCATTAATTTTTTTCATTCCCATATACCTGAACATCTGGGACATGAAGAAATAATGTGTATGTGTTAATAGGCAAAGCTGTAGTAATGACTTCTACCTATTAGAAGCAGTTATCTATTTTCCTGTTACTATCTAATTTTTACACAAAAATACTTCAGATGAATATTGACAGAAACTCAGAAAGAAGTATGGCATAAACTAATATGAAGATAATGTAGTAATGGCAGAAAGTTACAGCTTAAAAGTTTTTACAGTGGGAAGATTATTGTAATAGTGAGAGCCATGTATAAGTTTGTTTTGAAATGATAATGTACAGCTAAAGAGTATAATGCTCAAATTTTTGTATATGTAGTTTTTGTAATTCAACAAGTAGGGTTAAGAGACAATAAGAATTATACAGAATGTTGGATTTTATTTCACATCTGTTCCTCTTGTCAGATATGGCCATCTTTCCCATGTTTCATCAGGTGTTCAGTAAGTTAACAACATTCACTCTGTGAAAAGTACCACATGATTTATTGCATAAATATAGTTGGAAATACATTGTGGTTCCTCATATCTTCAAGCTTATAATTCAGTTTGGAGACTACACTATATAAATGTAGAAATGCCATAATTATGCTTATAAATTGACTTTTTAAAACGTGCAAACTAATATGGTAGAAACTGAATACATAAGTATGGGGGTGCCATATGAAATAATAATCAATGCCAGTGGGATTAATCAAGGAAAGTTTCTTTGGGGAAATGAATTCTAAACAGAATTTGGTATATTTGTTTATTTAGCACTCATTTTATGTTTTTTAATTATAAATATAATGTATTCTCATATTCTCAAGGTAATAAATTTGCAAATTTTAAATTAATAGGAAGAGTAAAAGGAACTAAGATCCCACTGTCCAAAGGTAATCTTTATTCAGGTTCCGCTCTTTTCCTTCTATTTGGTTCTCTGACATTTTCATCATGGTTGCCATTATATCACATATTCAATATTATAACCCACTTTGTGTTTCAGTCAGTGTCTATACATACAACTTTGAATGATACAAATGTCTCATAGAAACTAAGTTTAATCAAATCAAGAAACTAAGTTTAATGCCAGTCTATATCAATGTACTGTTTCCTTCTAGCTAAATATTTAGGCTTTTCCAAATTTTGTTAACATAAATAACTCCAAGGATATTTTTGTTAACATTTTCTCTTAGTGTTATTTTCCTAAGGTAGACTTTCACAATTTACTATAATAAATTATAGAAAATGATCATTTTAAGGTTCCTTATACTTGTAATATTTGTAAATAATATGTTATCACCTCTTTTGAATTAGTTACTTCTGCTTGATATTTTATTGCATTGATCAGAATTCCCAGAATTTTAATATAATGCTAATTATTAAATCTTACATTCCTTCTCATGTTAATAGTTATTATTTTTTAAATATGATGCTATTAGCAAATTTTAGATTGGCATCCTTAATATATTTGTTAGATGTTAGTAATTCCACTTTTCCCTGTAACTGTATTTTTCTTTTTAATCAGAAATCAATCTTGAGTTTTGTTCAATAATTTTATGATATTTATTCTGATTTTTATATTACTTTCTATTAATATATTGGTAAGTTTTTCTAAGATTTTCCATATGTTTATCTGAAAGAAGTTCTGTAATTTTCTTCACTGTTGTCATTATCAGATTATATATCAGATTTACAAAAGTTTTGTTAAAAATTTCTTTCCCCCCCATTTTTCTATGTCATTGAACATTTTGTTGACATTTCACATTTCTTGATTATTGAAGGAAATCTATAAGTCCATTGCTTGTAAAGGTTTTTTTGGAGGAAAGTTACTCCTTTTTAGTACATACTACATTGTTATTGCTATATTCACCTATTAAAGTTAAATTATCTACTTTATTAAGACAAAATATTAATATATTATAGTATCAACTTTAAATATCTTCACATCTGTTGTTATATGCTTTATTTCTAATTTTTAATGTGTACTTTATCTTGATTAAATTTTATTGAAACTTATCTATTTTATTATTGTTTCTTTTTTAAACAAGCCAGTCAGGATTTTGCAATTATATTTTTTATGATTTATGATTTTATTGTTATTGTTACCCTCATATATCTTGCTTTTTTAAATAAATTTTTATAACTTCTTAAATTTGATGCTGTTTATTTTCTTTTTCTTAAGTAGACCTTTACCTATTCTTTCTTCACCCACTTATGTTTGAGTCACCTGCAATGTGTCAGCTTCTACATTCCCTGATCTTCCTTGTTACTTTCCCTTATTTCTTCCTATAATCCAGGTACAATGATCTTCCAATTTTCTCTCATGGCACCCTACACTTCTGTTATCTCAGCACATGCTATTCCATTGTGCAAATGGATGGGCAACTAAGAGCCTTTCAGGACTTTATCATAATATTTCAAAGTCATATTTTTCTTAAGAGACAGGGTTGTGTTCTATCACCTAGCCTGGGGGAGTGCAGTGGTGTGATCATGGTTCCCTGCAGCCTTGAACTCCTGGGTTCAAGCAATCCTCCCACTTCAGACTCTAGAATAGCTTGGACTACAAGGGTGTGCAGCCACACCCAGCTAATTTTTTGCTTTTCATTTTTGTAGAGATGGGGTCTCACTCTGTTGACCAGGCTGGTCTTGACCTCCTGGCCTCAAGTGATCTTCCCACCTTAGCCTCCCAAAGTACTGAAATTATAGGCATGAGCCACCACAACTGGTCTGAAAATTCTTAAATCCACTCATGGGCTATCTTCTAACTGTTCCCTTCCTCTATTTATGTCTCCAGTAAATTTCAACTCATTCTTCAAATCTGGCTTCTGAGTGACCTTTTCAGAGATCCTCCAATGTATCCAAGTAAATAAAATAACTGACTTCTATGTTTTTTTATTTTATGATTAAATATCAAAATATTGAAATAAACAATATATCCTAAATAGGTTGTCTTTCTATCTCGAGTTCTAGATTTTGAGGCCTTTGAAGATAGAAACAACGGAATCAGGTCCTTGAACACAGGAGTTAATCAGTAAGCATTTGTTGAATAAACAATACCAGGACATCTTTCCACTTTCCTAAAACTCATCAAAGAATTCTTACTCATTCTGATCCATCTTCCCTTATGATGAGACCAAACCACTCACTGTGGTCAATGGCATTCAAAAATAAAAAGTGGGGGATTTCCAGAGGTTAAAAAATGTGGATGAAACTATTTGAAATATTCATGTATTTATGAACTGATTCATTAAAAATTATCACTGTTAATATTTGTTAAATGCCTACACATCATTAGGGACCATGAGTATAGCAGAGAACAAAACAGAAAAATTTTCCGGCCACATGAAATCTATATTCTAGAGAACAGAAGAAATGGTCTGATAAGAATCAGGGAAGAACAAGATATGTCCAGATTAAATCGTAACCTTTATGTGGAATAAGAGTGAAATCACTGTAAGCTATGTTGATATTTGACCAGGCTACTTGAACACTTTTAGATAAGTGCTTTAAAGCCATTGGCGGCTTTTGAACAAGGAAATACTGTGGTCACTGAATTTCATGACAGAGTGCAATAGAAGTGGAAAATGTACATATGAATATTCTCAGGCCCCAATGTGCCATATCATGGAAACTTTGCAATTTTCCAGATGACAGAGAATAGAAATATGAGACATGACAATGGAAATGATAGTGAAAGGATGAATGTTAAATACACTGCAGAGGAGTAAGAACTGGCAAGAATTGACAAATGATGAGTTAAGCAAGGTATGAGAAAATGAGGAGTCAGGTGAGTAAGAAGGGAGGGGGAATAAAATCATGCATTGCTTAATAACAGAGATACTTTCTGAAAAATACATTGTTGGGCAATTTCATTTTCCTGCAAACATCATAGAGTGAACTTACACTAACCTAAATTGCAGCCCACTACTACACAACTAGGCAATATGGTATAGCCTATTGCTCCTAGGCTACAAAACTTTATAGCATGTTACTTTACTCAATACTGAAGGCAATTGTAACACAATGGTAGATATTTGTGTTTCTAAACAAACATCAACATAGAAAAGGTACAGTAAAATACAGTAAGATAATCTTATGGGTCTACCATTGTATATACAAGTCTGTCGTTGACCAAACATTGTTATGTGGTGCATGACTGTAATATGGTATCATGTTGAGCAGAAAGTCTCAACCTTCTCAGTTGAGGCACACTGATAAAAACTATAATAAGAAATGTATTACTGATTACAAAATCTCATAATTATGAGTAATTTGTTCTTTCACAAATTTAAGAGAATTTCTCCAGAATAACAACACTCACTTTCATTCCTGTATGCTTGTCTTTAAAAGTAGAAGGAAAAGTTGGTTGATGAAAATATGGCTAAAGTTGGAACTTCTCTCTCTTCTACCCTGGCTGCAGCATTAGTGAATAAGTATAATTTTTATGACTGTAACAATTAAATATTTCTCTTTCTGGACTTTACTTTTCCAGAAAGAGAATCTTTGGAGGAAAAGCTGATCTGTGAGGCAGTAAAGGAAAAGTGTTAATGTTTATGCCATATGAACCTTTAGAAGAAAGTCATTTTTTGATGGAAGCTTGCTTGTATCAATACATGCATGCATGGAAACAAATATTCTCTTCTTCCCCATGTCTTTTGTATGCTATCCTATTCCACCAGTCCTGAATTAGTGCTTTTGCTCTGCAGCTAACTCTCTCAAGTTTGTCTTTCTGAAGTCGGAATCTCTCTATTGAATGTTTCTGGCCTCAGTACCTACCCTGTAAATGCACTAAACCTGATCCATTTACAGACTAGATAGTTTTTTGGTCCAAAAGATAATTCATGGAATTTCCCTAATAAATGTATATTAATTTATATTACTTTAACAATTGATTCTCATTGATCCTGATGAGGATTGGCTATTAGTTGATTACCATGTGTATTTTATAAAGATACACGTGGCTGGCAGAAAAGAAGATATTTTATGCCATAAAGTATTATGAGACAATTTTTTAAAAATAAGACTATGATTTTCCTGAAACAAGCTATTTCTACAAACATAAGCTTTCATGAAATTTTATTTCTCATGATACCTTTATGATTACCTTATTGTATGCTGATTATATTAATAAAGTTAGAGATTCTATGAAGTTTTAAGATATTTTCTCTCTTTTATTTTTTTTTCTTTAAGTTCTGGGACAGAACATGTACAAAACATGCAGCTTTGTTACATAGGTACACATGTGCCATGGTGGTTTGCTGCACCTATCAACCCATCATCTAGGTTTGAAGCCGCACATGCATTAGGTATTTATTCTAATGCTCTCCCTCCTCTTGCTCCACACCCCCCGACAGGCCCTGGTGTGTGATGCTCCCCTCCGTGTGTCCATGTGTTCTCATTGTTCAACTCCCATTTATGAATGAGAAAATGCAGTGTTTGGTTTTCTGTTCCTGTGTTAGTTTGCTGAGAATGGTGGCTTCCAACTTCATCCATGTCCCTTCAAAAGACATGAACTCATTCTTTTTTATGACTGCATAGTATTCTATGGTGTATACATGCCACATTTTTTTATCCAGTCTATCATTGATGGGCATTTGGATTGGTTCCAAGTATTTGCTATTGTAAATAGTGCTGCAGTAAACATATGTGTGCATGTGTCTTTATAGTAGAATGATTTATAATCTATTGGGTATATACCCCGTAATGAGATGGCTGGGTCAAATAGTATTTCTGTCTCTAGATCCTTGAGGAATTGCCACACTGTCTTCCACAATGGTAGAACTAATTTACACTCCCACCAACAGTGTAAAAGCATTCCTATTTCTCCACAGCCTTGCCAGAATCTGTTGTTTCCTGACATTTTAATAATCATCATTCTAACTGGCACGAGAAGGTATCTCACTGTGGTTTTGATTTGTATTTCTCTAATGACCAGTGATGATGAGCGTTTTTTCATATGCTTATTGGCTGCATAAATGCCCCTTTTTTTTTTGAGTCGTATTTTTGCTCTTGTTGCCCAAGCTGGAGTAGTTAACAGCATGATCTCAGCTCCCTGCAATCTCCTCCTCCTGGGTTCAAGCGATTCTCCTGCCTCAGCCTCCCAAGTAGCTGGGATTACAGGCATGCATCACCATGCCCAGCTAATTTTTTGTATTTTTAGTTGAAACGGGGTTTCACCATGTTAGCCAGGCTGGTCTTGAACTCCTGACCTCAGGTGATCCACCCACCCTGGCCTCCCAAAGTGCTGGGATTACAGGCGTGAGTAACCATGCCCAGCCCTCAATGTCTTCTTCTGAGAAGTGTCTGCTTATATCCTTCACCCACTTTTTGATGGGGTTGTTTTTTTCTTGTAAATTTGTTTAAGTTCCTTGTAGATTCTGGATATTAGACCTTTGTCCAATGGGTAGATCACAGAAATGTTCTCCCATTCTTTAGGTTGCCAGTTCACACTGATGATAGTTTCTTTTGCTATGCAGAAGCTTTTTAGTTTAATTATATTCCATTAGTCAATTTTGGCTTTTGTTGCAATTGCTTTTGGTGTTTTAGTCATGAAGTCTGCTCATCCCTACGTCCTGAATGGTATTGGCTAGGCTTTCTTCTAGGATTTTTGTGGTTTTAAGTCTTTAATCTGTCTCGAGTTAATTTTTGTATAAAGTGTAAGGAAGGGGCCCAGTTTCTGTTTTCTGCATATGGCTAGCCAGTTTTCTCAGCACCATTTATGAAATAGGGAATGCTGTCCCTGTTGCTTGTTTTTGTCAGGTTTGTCGAAGACCAGAGGGTTGTAGATGTGTGGTATTATTTTTGAGGTATCTGTTCTGTTCCATTGGTCTATATATTTGTTAGGTACCAAAACCATGCTGTTTTGGTTACCATAGCCTTGTAGTATGGTTTGAAGTCAGGTAGCGTGATGCCTCCAACTTTGTTCTTTTTGCTTAGGATTATCTTGGCTATATGGACTCTTTTTTGATTCCATATGGAATTTAAAGTGGCTTTTTTCTAACTCTGTGAAGAAAGTCAATAGTAGCATGATAGGAATAGCATTGAATCTATAAATTACATTGAGCAGTATGGCCATTTTCATTATATTGATTCTTCCTATCCATGAGTATGAACTTTTTTTTCCCATTTGTTTGTGTCCTGTGTTATTTTCTTGAGCAGTGGTTTGTAGTTCTCCTTGAAGAGGTCCTTCACGTCCCTGGTAAGTTCTATTCCTTGGTAGTTTATTCTTTGTAGCAATTGTGAATGGGAATTGACTCATTATTTGGCTCTCTGCTTGTCTATTATTGGTGTATATGAATACTTGTGATTTTTTCACATTGATTTTGCATCCTGATACTTTGCAACTTAAAGAGTTTTGGGGCTGAGACAATGGGGTTTTCTACATATACAGTCATGTCATCTGCAAACAGAGGCAATTTGACTTCCTCTCTTCCTATTGGATACCTTTTATTTCTTTCTCTTGCCTGATTGCCCTGGCCAGAACTTCCAATCCTATGCTGAATAGGAGTGGTGAGAGAGGGCATCCTTGTGTTGTGCCAGTTTTCAAAGGGAATGCTTCTGCTTTTGCAATAAGTGTTTATTGTGTTGAAGTTTTGTGAAAATAGTAGATTAGGTTTTTCTACCAGTTGTGTATCTTAAAAAATCATTTAGTACCCAGTTTTTAAGTTTTAAGTAAAAGAGATCACAAGTGACTAATTAAAATAATAATGAGAGTACTATAATTATTCCAAAATAGTTGTTTCTAGTGGTGATATTTAGGGTGTATATTTGGTTTGGATTTTGTGCATATGTATTTCTAAGTTACCTACAGTGAATACATTTGTGGACATCAAACACTCTATGTTTCTTTTTTTGTGATAGCTTGTGCCTGACCTAATTCTACATTAGTGAACAGATTGAAGAAGTGAGGAGACATCATATAGATGTAGACACTTCACCAAGAAGTCCCCCTGCAGTGCCACAGGGGCAGTAGGCTCACTTATTCCATATCCTTGGCATTTGCAGGGATAGACATACACAGAGAGGCACGGGGAGCTCCTGAGGAGCAAGGGCAGATGGTCAATGTTGGGAAAAAGTTGCAGTGACCTAGACCCTCTTTCTTTTAATGGAAACTCAGGGAGGGATGGTCTGGCCATAAACTATTAATAGTACCTCTGGGAAATAATAACACTCCATACGGGGCCCATCAAAACTGTTTCTCAAATTTAAAAGAGCCACAGCGTTGCAGAACAGGGACTTAGAAATAGTAGAGGCAATTATATTTAAAATGGATGGTCACAAAACCCTGATTCTCCGTTAGTATGGTTTGCCTCCTCAGTAAATAAAACATGGAATCATAGCAGTAAAAGTATTTTGAGTCTGGCATTTTACAAATAGAAATGTGAATCCATTTTTACATTTAAAAGTGCAAATCAATAGAAAATATGTGGTTTTATACATAGGATTTTGGTTTAAGGACTATAGTTTAGTGCACAGTCTTCTACTTAAAAAATATATATCTGCATTCAAAACAAATTATTTGCTATGAAGCAGAGAGTGAAATTTATCAGGGTCTTAATGTTATAAGTTAAATTTTATATGGGTTATTAACCTGGTTTGGATTTTGTACATTTACACAACACCTAACAGAAGTGGTTTTCAAACCACATTCCACAGAATGTCCCTTTTTAAGGCTAAGTAATATTCCACTGTATATCTGTACCACATTTTGTTTATCCATTCCTCTGTCAATGAATGCTTCCACCTTTTGGCTATCATGAATAATGCTGCTGTGCACATGAATTTGCAAATATCTGTTGAAGTCCCTGCTTTCAATTTTTGTGGGTTTAAACCCAGAAGTGGACTTGCTGACTGATATAGTAATTCTGTGTTTCATTTCTATTTATTTATTTATTTATTTATTTTTGAGCTGGAGTCTGACTCTCTTGGCTCACTGCAACCTCCACCTCCCAGATTCAAGTGATTCTGCTTCCTCAGCCTCCTGAGTAGCTGGGATTACAGGCATGCAGCACCACTCCCAGCTAATTTTTGTATTTTTAGTTGAGACAGGGTTTCACCATGTTGGTCAGGCTGGTCTTGAACACCTGACCTCGTGATCTGGCCACCTCGGTGTCCTAAAGTGCTGGGATAACAGGCATGAGCCACTGAGCCCAGCCTATGTTCCATTTATTTTTAATTTAGGAACCACTGTACTCTTTTCCACCATGACTATACTGCTGTAGAGTCCACCGGCAATGTACAAGAGTTTCGACTTGGCTACATCCTCACCAACACTTGTTATTCCCTGCTTTTTTGATGATTGCCATCTTAATGTGTATGAAGTGGTATCTTACTATGGTTTTGATTTGTATTTCCTTAGTAATCAGTGATGTTCAGCATCTTTGATGTGCTTGATGGCCAGTTGTATATCTTTTTTGGGAAATTTTCTATGTAAGTCCTTTGCTGATTTTTTAATTAGGTTGTTTATTTATTGTTGAGTTGTAGGAATTCTTTTTATATTCTGCATACTGATCCCTTATCAAAGATATTATTTGAAATATTTTCTTCCATTCTGCCAGTTGTCTTCTGGTTGCACAAAAGTTTTAAATTTTGGTGAAGTCCAATTTATTTATTTTTTTTTTGTTACTTATGCTTTTGGTGTCAGAAAGCTTTTAGTTTATAATTTTAACTATATCATGTCTCCTGCCTCATATGTACCACTGGACAAAGTCCCTTTTATTTGCTCAGCTTCTGTCAGAGGTAAATGTATTTTGAAGTGGAGAACGAAGACAATTGCAAAATTGGCTTGGAGAACTAAGGTAATTATGAAAGTTCCAGATACAAGGAGAGAGGGCTCAATATGCCAGCAGTTCTCTACCAATCCATCCAAGAGTCTTCTTTTAGGATTGCCTAAATAATGCAGGGAATGGGTGCAAGACACACAAGTGTTCCAGAAGCATGTAAACAAGGTACAGAGAAGAGGATAAGATAAAATAAGATGAGATAAGAATATTAGGAAAGCCCTGTTCAAAAGATTGCCTACAGAGGCAAAAGGGACAGTTTCATTTTGCTGAGGGAAACAGGGTGGTAAGAAGCCTTGTGGGGGAAGATCCCCACTTACCCTGATACAGAGAGCTGTAAAATAACGTAATGGGAGAGCATTAGGCTGAGATAGCTCCCATGGCCTGGGTTCCTACATAGAAAAATATGAAACAAGCTTAGCCCACCACCAAGTGGCCTGCTGAGTATTAGCTGTGTAATGAGAGACCTACCGCCAGGATAGTTCAAATAATACAACTGCCCAAATTTTTGCCAAACAAATAATTTCTTTACTCTACTTCTACATTCACCCTATAAAAGCCTTCCCTACAAACGCCTCCAGTAGATCCTCCAACCACTTTCAGTTTGGAGCTGGCTGATCCATGAATCTCTGTTTGCTTAAATAAACTCTTTAAAATGTTAATATGCTTATGTTTATCTATTTTTTCTCATTTTTAAAAATTGAGATGGGATCTTCCTATGTTGTCCAGGCTGGTCTTAAACTCCTGAACTCAAAGGATCCGCCTGCCTCAGCCTCCTGAGTAGCTGGAACTATAGACGTGTGCCTCCACACCCAGCTTACATTTATCTTTAAACAAGGGTTTGACCCCTTTCTGAAATGTATTTCTGTTAAGACCTGTACCCTAAGTGATATGGCAGGCTCATTTTAGACCATTGGACACTTTTGTCTCTGGACCACAATTTTCCCTTTGTGACCTGCTCTCCTAAGAAATTCAAGTGTAATTCAAGTTAGTTTACCCTCTGCTGATCAGGGGAGATTGCTCTCGGTGCAATTCAAGACAGGCACTCACACCTTCATTCATACCCCAAATCTCAGCATCACACAATACACCCATGTAATAAACCTCCATAGGTACCCTCTGGAATCTAAAATGAAAGTTGAAATTCATTAAAATTTTAATTTCATCTTACTAAAAAACAAAGATAAATTTACTTCTTTCCAATTTTGATATACATTATACTGACCTACACACTATATTCTATGGTGAATTATATTGATTGAATTTCACATTTTAAACTAACACTGAGTTACTGTGAAAAACTCTATTGGGTCATAATGTATTATGTTTTTAATATATTTTAATACAATTTGCAAATATTCTGTTTTAAAATTACATCTATGTTCCATAAATAAATAAATATGTAAAAAATAATAAATGTTTATATTATTCAAGTGAAGATTGTCGCGATCTTTTTGAATATCTACTTAACCTCAGCTAGCTTTAAATTCAGAAGTAGCAACTCTGTAGAAATTCAACTTATTTCTACTTTATTACTCATACTTGTCTCCTTGAAGAAGCTTCATTGCTATCATCCAGTTTAGACTGGGATGTCACAGATCCCTGGACTGAGTAGTATAATACTCACTATTCAAATAAAATCAGATTATTATAATGTTATGGCACTTCCAAATACAAAAACGAAGCCCATGGATGTTAGGTTATGGTATAGAGACAAGTATTCCTACTTACTATCTTTTAGAGCAGACATATCCCAGCTAAGGTGATTGCAAAATGAAATGGAAACCATATTGTGGAAGGGGACTTGAGACTCAGATTGGATTTTCATTCCAACTCTTACATACACAAGCTCCATGACTCTGGATAAATTGCATATTCTCTTAGAGTTTCAAGTTCTTCATCTGTACAATGGAGGTTAATGCCTATGGGCTATGGCTGATGTAGGGATAAAAGAACCAACATGGATGCATGGGCAGGGCCTGGTCCATAGAGCAGCTGGCATCAACAATTGGAAGCCCCCTTCCCATCTTGTCGATGCGTGCACCACAAAATCCGGAATATGTGGGTATTAAAAGTACTCTTATAAGAGACATAATTGGAAACTTTTGCAAAAAGAGACTGGAAAGGTGTCACATCTTGTGGCATGAGGAGTTGTGGGCATATACTTGAACTTTGTGCTGTGAGATATCCACAGAACTTCAGTAGCTTAAGAGAACATTTTAGATGTCATCTTATTCATCTACCATAGAACTTCTTCTTCTTTTCTGAGATTTCCAGACAGTAACTTTTACAGCTCTAATAATGCAGTTCTCTCTGAATTGTTTGGACTATTCTAATAGATACAAAGCAGTATTTCACCAGCAGATGCTACTGCAGTTCATATGATGATTTCAAACTGAGAATCCCTTTAACGTTATGCAATACATTTTTTTTTTTGGAAATAGGATGAAAGTACTTTAAGATTAAAATCCTATGAAATAGGTTTACAGTAAATAATTATTTGTTGCAATGTCTATCTTACTATCTTATATGCACACATGTATTGGTGTCCTAATAAATATATGTGGTGAGTGAAAGTTACTTGAGGGCAGAGACTGTGCCATAGGTTCCCTGCACCGCTGATGCCTATCTCAGCATTTGATATACAGTAGATGCTCAGTAAATACTTTAACTTAAAAAATGCACTAAGAATAAATCTTAGAAGACATCAAAATACATATGAGTACAATCTAGGGACATGGTCAGGAGCTCAAAATTCAATCTTATTTATTTATTTATTTAGAGACAGAGTCTCACTGTGTCACCCAGGCTGGAATGCGGTGGCATGATCTCGGCTTGCTGCAACATTCCTCTCCCGGGTTCAAGCGATTCTCCTGCCTCAGCCTCCAGAGTATCTGGGATTACAGGTGCACACTAACATGCCCGGCTAATTTTTTTGTATTTTTAGTAGACACAGGGTTTCACCATGTTGGCCAGGCTGGTCTAAAACTCCTGAGCTCAGGTGATCTGCCCACTTTGGTCTCCCAAAATGCTGGGATTATAGGCATCAGCCACCGTGCATGACCACAAAATGTTTTAATGTAGCTTCAAAACTCCTTTGCAAATAGGTGTTTTCATAACAAGATGAAAACTAGAAAACATTGAGCTTTATATAATAGAAGGGTTCTGCCTTGATTTGCATGTGGCCCCATCATTTGTTTGCTATTGGGCCATGGTCAGGTTACTTAGCTGCTCTCTGCCTCCACATAGGCTTTATGCCTGTGCATCCCTCATCTACAAAATGGGAATAATAAGAATATCTAACAGTTAGAAGTGGAGAAAACATATATAAAGGCCTTTGAAAAGAGCTTGTCAAAGCTCAATAATTGTCCTCAATAATTGCTCTCAATAATTGCCAGCTATTATTCAATAATAATCAAAATCATGAAAATGTATGACTCAAAGAAAGATTCCTACTTCATATCCAGCTGGCCAAAAGAATATCAGACATTGGGCTTGTGAAAGGAATGACATTGAGATTTATTTTCACATTGCTAAGTTGGTTTTTTGTTTGCCATTCAATTTCTGCAGTCCCCACTCTAAGCCCATGGTCCACCTTTTTATTTTTCCTCCTAAGATGTCTTCCCTTCTCGTAAGATTTTCTTTGCATTAAGAAGGGCCCTTTTCATCCACCCACTCTTTTACCCTTCCCAGAAGTTGGTTAATGGGCACAAAAATACAGTTAGATGGAAGGAACAGAAGAAGTTCTAGTGTTCAATAGCACAGTAGGGTGATGATCGTTAACAATAACTTATTATACATTTCAAAATGGCTAGAGGAAAGATGTGGAATTTTCCTAACACAAATAAATGATAAATGTTTGAGGTGATGGAAATGCAAATTATGTTGATTTGATCAGTGCACATTGTATGCATGTATCAAAATATCACATGTACCTCAGAAATAATTATAATTGTCATGTATCAATAAAAACAAAAAGGGCCTATTTCTCTTTCCTTCCTCCCCGCATTCCCTCCTATCCCAGACATGTGTTGCTCCTGGGGCTCTCCTGCCCCACGTTCAGTCAGCACTGAGCCAGCAGGAAGGATCTCACAGGTCATATCCTGAGATCAACCCTCCACCCCTTCAGGTAATGATCCTCCTGCTCTTAGTCATTTATATCCTTTGGTTCATAGATATTTTGAGTCAAGTGCCTTCTAACTGCTAAGCTACATAATATCCCTTGGTTTTTAAAGATAATACAAAGTGGATTTTAGTAACAATCTTGAGTCATCACAGAAGCTAATGAAGTTGGGGATTCCATGAAGCCATCCAAGCACATAAAGCCCATTTCCTGGGTCCCTTTTCCTTAGCTCAAGGCCACAAAAATCAGAACATGAATTCCAGCCCATATTTGCATTATGTCTAAATAATTATGAATTATAAATGAAGCTAAAAAATAGCTAAATACATTCTATTCTTCTACTTCAATAAATATACCGCCATAATAACCCACAAGGTCGAAGTCGAGTGTAGAATTCTCTGATTTCTTGGTGCTCTGCACGGGAATGTGGTAGTAAAGGGAGAGCTGATCCTCAGCCCCAGGCTAAACTTTTTTCTTTCATCATAGCTAGCCCTGTCCTTACTTGAGAAGCCTTGCGTACCCCTGTGTGTGGGACTCCCTAGGCCCCATGCAAGCTCCATCCACAATTCTCACCCCTTCAGAGAGCAGAGCCTTGGTCACCATTTGGACAAACACAGTTTGCACTTTGAAATGGACCCAGGGAAGAGGCCATGCAGGCTCAGGCACATTTAGCCAGGGGCCTGAGTGCCCAGCGTGTGTCCTAGAAGAGAGGGTGAGAGCTCTGGGTGGGCCAGGGTACAGTCAGTGGAGGGCCAGAGAGGCACTTTCTCAAGCCCAGGATTCAGGGCAGGGGTCCTCTTGCCAAGATCGATGGCTATGATTCCTCCGTGAAATGACGACTGTGTCATGTCTTCTCAGCACACCTTTCATTCACTCTCAGCCACCGTGGGGAGTTCCACTGAAGCACAGGCTTCCCTTTTGCTGCCAGCAAACTCAAGCTACACTTTCCGCCCCGAGACATCTCCACTATTGTAGGATTTTGCCTGAGCACAAATACAGCCCAGAAACACTTGCAGGTTAACAGCCTCAGGGGAGGACCTCAACCAGTGTGTGACAGGTGGGCAAATGCTCGAGGCTCATGTTTCAGGTGGACAGTCCTGGATAACTTTCCAGAGCTTCTCAGAAGGTCCCGCATAAAAAAAAGTGCATGGGAGCAGCCTCAATAGCATGCCGTTATTTTGGCTTTTTTTTTCTTGCCTGGTTCACTCTTCTCACATCTCACTCTTGCTTCTTGGAATCACTTCCCAAATAAACCATCCACACCCAAGTCTTTACTTCAGCTCTGTTTTCAGGGGTACAGGCACACCTTGGAGATATTGCAGGTTTGGTTCTAAGTCACCACAATAAGGTGAATATCACAATAGAGCAAGTCACACGAAAGTTTTTGCAAGTCACAAGAAATTCTTTGCTTTCTGGTGCACATAAAAGTTATGTTGCCAGGCATGGTGGCTCACGCCTGTAATCCCAGCACATTGGGAGGCCGAGGCAGGTGGATCACCCGAGGTCAGAAGTTTGAGACCTGCGTGGCCAACATGGGGAAACCCTGTGAAAAAAGAAAAATGGTGGTGAGCGCCTGTATTCCTAGCTAATCAAGAGGCTGAGGCAGGAGAATTGTTTGAACCTGGGAGGCAGAGTTTGCAGTGAGCCAAGATCGAACCACTGCACTCCAACCTGGGCAACAGAGTGAGACTCCATCTCAAAAAAAAAAAAAAGTTATGTTTAAACTACTGTAGTCAATTAAGTGTGCAATAGCATTATGTCTAAAATAGAATGTATATACCTTACTTTGAAAATACTTGACTGCCAAAAAATGCTAACCATCATCTGGGCCTTCAGCAAGTCATCATCATTTTACTGGTGGATGGTCTTGCCTCAGTGTTGATAGCTACTGACTGATCAGGGTGATGGTTGCTGAGGACTGGAGAGGGTGTGGCAATTTCTTAAAATAACATGACAATGAAGTTTGCCGCATTGACTGACTCTTGCTTTCACAAAAGATTTCACTGTAGCATGCTGTACAGTTTGGTAGCATTTTACCCACAGTAGAATTTATATCAAAACTGGAACTAATCCTCTCAAACCCTGCCACTCCTCTATCAACTAAGTTTATGGAATATTCTAAGTCCTTTGTTGTTCTTTCCACAATGTTCACAGCATCTTCACCAGGAGTAGATTCCATCCCAAGAAACCACTGTCTTTGCTCATTCATCATAAGGAACTCTTCATCCATTAAGATTGCAGCAATTTGGGCAGGTGCTGTGGCTCATGCCTGTAATCCCAGCACTTTTGTAGGCTGAGGCGAGTGGATCATCTGACTTTGGGAGTTCGAGACCAGGCTGACCAACATGGTGAAACTCCATCTCTACTAAAGATACAAAATTAGCTGGGTGTCGTGGCACATGCCTACAGTACCAGCTACTCGGGAGGCTGAGGCAGGAGAATCGCTTGAAACCAGGAGGCGGAGGTTGCAGTGAGCTGAGATCTCACTATTGCACTCCAGCCTGGGCAACAAGAGCAAAACTTCAACTCAAAAAAAAAAAAAAAAAAGATTGCAGCAATTCACTCACATCTTCAGGCTCCACTTGTAATTCTAGTTCTCTTGCTATCTTCACCACAACTGTGGTTACTTCCTCTGCTAAAGTCTTGAACCCCTCAAAATCATTTATGAGGGTTGGAATCAAATTCTTCCAACCTCCTATGACTGCTGCTATTTTTACCTCCTCTGGTGAATCATGAATGTTCTTAGTGGCATCTACAATAGTGAATCCATTTATAGAGCACAGGTAGAGTAGATTTAGCATAATTCTTAAGAGGTGCCCTAGGATTTATGGAATGGCAAATAAGCATTGGCTTGTAATAAGAGAGTCAGTCTGTCCTATAAACCTTTTTTTTTTTCTTGAGATAAGGTCTCACTCTGTTGCCCAGGATGGATTGCAGTGGCATGATCTTGGCCCACTTCAGACTTCACCTCCTTGACTCAAGCAATCCTCCCACCTCAGCCTCCTGAGTAGCTGGACTAGTAGCATGCACCACCATACATGGCTTATTTTTTTTTATTCATTTATTTTTGGTTAGAGACAGGGTTTCACCATGTTGCCCAGGCTGGTCTCAAATTCCTAAGCTCAAGCCATTCTCCCACTTCAGCCTCCCAGAGTGCTGGGATTACAGACATGAGCCACCCTGCCTGGCCTCTAAATTCGTGTTATGGAGACTCATTTTCCTGGTTAAAATGTCCTGAATTGACTGTGGCCTGTTGGGAGGTGGGATGGAGGAAACTACTTATGGAAAGTGAAGAAGAAAGGGAAGTACACCAGAAGGAAGAAAGTGTCATCGATTTTTACATCAACGACTCCATGATAAAGAGAAAGAACAGGTAGCCTGTTTTCATGGCTGACCATTGGACTGTGGACTGCACCTGCATCTACCAGGTTCTTCTGTATAGTCCCAGTTTTAAATTTTTGACCCGATATTCATGAACACACTGCTACTGGTCAGAACTTTGTCCAGGTTTAAGCTTCAGAACATAATGTCTTCATGCATTGGGAGGCCTGGTTATGGTTATGATTCTGCCCTGGGGCATCTGTCCCTTCTGACCTGGAGGTAAACTTAGCATCTACTACTTACCTCCACAATTGAACAGCCAAGGATGGGCTGAGCACAGAGGCTCACATCTGTAACTCCAGCACTTTGGGAGGCCAAGGCAGGAGGATCACTTAAGGCCAGGAGTTCAAGACCAGCCTGGGCAATATAGTGCGATCTTGTCCTGTAAAAACAAACAAACAAACAAAACCAAGGATGGATGGGTGGAAGGGAGCAGTTCAACATGGGAAACCATTAATCTGAGAGCTGGAAGGACCCTTAGACCAGCCCCCTATTAACAGATGAGACTCTGCCCTGGGATTATAGCCTAAGGTAATGCATTGAACTTTTCTAGAGATTTGAAAATAATCAATCCTAAAACCCCCAAGCATACTGCTACTGTTTGCTATTGAAAACTGTTTTCTATTCCAGGTGTGGCGGTTCATGCCTGTAATCCCAACAGTTTGGAAGGTTGAGGCAAGTGGATTACCTGAGGTCAGGAGTTCAAGACCAGCCTGGCCAACATGGTGAAACCCTGTCTCTACTAAAAGTACAAAAAATTAGCAGGCCATGGTGGTGCATGCCTGTAATCCCAGGTGCTTGGGAGGCTGAGGCAGGAGAATACTTTGATCCTGGGAGGCAGAGGTTGCAGTGAGCTGAGATTGGACCATTGCACTCCAGCCTGGGCTACAAGACTCAAATTCTGTCTCAAAAATACTAATGATAATAATAATGTTTTCTACAAGCAAGGGGTTACTATGTACTGGGAACTGGTGTGAAGGGATCCACCATGTGTCAGCTTTTGGATTGATGACAGTTATTTCCAGATCATGCAGATGGGAATGCTTGTTGATCATCTTCTATGTTCTTTGTTATATTGATTGATTTTTTAGAAAGCTAGCATTTTTATAACAATAAAGTCATAAAATAAGTAACTAAAATAAAGTAAAATAATCTAAAAAGGCCAAGCACAGTGGCTCACACCTGTAATCCCAGCACTTTGGGAGGCCGAGGTGGGTGGATCATGTGAGGTCAGGAGTTCAAGACCAGCCTGGCCAACGTGGTGAAACACCATCTCTACTGAAAATACACAAATTAGCCAGATGTGGTGGCAGGCACCTGTAATCCCAGCTACTCAGGAGGTTGAGGCAAGAGAATTTCTTGAACCCAGGAGAAGGTGCTTGCAGCGAGCTGAGATTGCGCCATTGCATTCCAGCCTGGGTGACAAGAGCTAAACTCCGTCTCAAAACAAAACGAAACAAAAATTAAATGTAATTGAGTTGAATATTTAAACTTTTAATTGACATTTCAAATTAGATTCTAATTCCATTTAAAAGAGCATATCATAGAAGCAAATGTTCTCATTTATGTTAACTCTGTGGTTTCATTTAAGCAATTTGTTTTGTGAAGGGACACAAATCCAACCAGATTTTAACAGTGTATAAATATGTATTTATTAATTTAATTAGAATGACAATACTCTCAACTCCCCATTTGAATAAAGGAGAGCATCTGATCTGTGCTCTGGGACAGCATGCACTATAGGTATGTGGAAATAGTGATGCCCTCAGCTGTGTGGCAGGCTCAGTGGGACCTGGAGTGCAGGAGGAGCCTCTGGGCCATTCACCTCTGGCCACAAAAGTCATTGTCCATTTACCCCCAACTGCTATAGAAATATTATTTTCAGTGGTTGTTATGATGCAAAAGAAAAGAAACAGGGAGACTTATTAAACCTTTACGTATAAGTTATGTTAGTAAATAAAGTCTGCTTTCTTCTGGCTTAACTAAAAATCTATTCTAGTATTTATGCATTTTGGAAAACAAAGATGCCAATTTAAATATTATGAAGCAAAGCAATTGATTATTAGGTAAGACAGCCAAGTACAACTGCAGAATTATGGAGGTTATGTGTTACATGTATAAGAATATTTCATAGCAATAATCTTTTAAGACTCTGTGAAGACACTCCACAGTGAAGCAGAAATTAGAACAGAATTAATAATACTGTGTATGCTCTCAGTTCACCAATTTATCAAAACTAGCTTTATGATTCAGGAAGGTGTCTGCTCTTTTGCAATTGGAAGAAAAGAAATAATATTTTATTTTTTGACTCTTTAGATTTTCTTCACTAACAGTATTTCCAAGGCTAAGTAAGGGGGTTGCAAGTAACACCAAGAGAAAAAAGCAGTCTTGAGCAGCTTTTAAAAAATGGTCTTAAAATATGGAAAATGGAGCCAGGTGTGCTGGCTCACTCTTGTGATCCCAGCACTTCGGGAGCTTGAGGTGGGAGGATTGCTTGAGGCCAAAAGTTTGAGACCAGCCTGGGCAGCACAGCAAGATCCCCATCGTTACAAAAAATAATAATTTTTTAAAAATTAGCTGAATGAGGTGATGCATGCCTTAGAGTCCCAGTTACTTGGGAGGCTGAGGTAGGAGGAGTTCTTGAGCCCAGGAGTTCAAGTCTGCAGTGAGCTACGATTGCACCAGTCCTCAAGCCTGGGCAACAAAGTGAGACCCTGTCTCTCTCTATAAATATTTATATATATATATAAAATATATATATGATATGTATCATATAAATAAATATAAATGATACATAATATATATATCATATATATGAATATAAGTGATATATAATATATATATCATATATATAAATATAAGTGATATATAATATATATCATATATAAATATAAATGATATATAATATATATCATATATAAATATAAATGATATATATTATACATCATATATAAATATATGATGTATAATATATATCATATATATGAAATATATCATATATATGTATATGTATATGGAAAAGGGAAGGTGCCAAGAATATCAAAGACCTTATTGAAGAAGAGGAAAGATTTGTGCTGGCAAATATCAGAATTTTATAAAGCTACAGCAATTAAGACAGTGTGGTCTTCACTGATAAACTGACTGATGAAACAGAACAGAGAGTTCCCAAACAAATCTCCACAAATTTAATCTTTGATATGTGATGTAGTTGACATGGCAGATCAGCAAGGAAAGAAAGGACTTTTCAATAAATAGAATAGAAAAATAATGGTTATTGATATAGGAAACAAAATGAAATTATATTCTTACTTCATTCTATATACAAACATTAAATTCCAAAGGACCAAAGACTTACATGTCAGAAACAAAACTTTAAAACTTTTAGTAGAAAATGTAAGTGAATAAGACACAAAAAGCCATTTAACCATTAAAAAAGATTAGACATATTGACGCTCACAAAATTAAGAACTTTTTACATCAGAAAGTGGAAAGATAGGCTGGGCACAGTGTCTCAAGCCTGTAATCCCAACAGTACATCACCTGAGGTTAGGAGTTTGAGACCAGGCTGGCCAACATGGTGAAACCCTGTCTCTACTAAAAATACAAGAAATTAGCTTGGCATTAGTGGCAGACACCTGTAATCCCAGCTACTTAGGAAGCTGAGGCACAAGAATCATCTGAGCCCGGGAGGTGGAGGTTTCAATAAGCCACTGCACTCCAGCCTGAATAACAGAGCTAGACTCTGTCTCAAAAAAAAAATAGAAATTAAAAAATGAAAGTAAAAAAGTGAAAAGTAAACTATAAATTAGAAGATATTTGCAGTACCTAAAACCTATGAAATATTAACATCTTATCAACTAAGTATAAGGAACTGCAATGAATTAATTTTAAAAATAGCAACCCAACAGAAAATTGGGAAAATACATCAATAGGGATTTCACAAAAGAGAAAGCCCGCAAAATGTAAAAAATTTCTCAACCTCATTAGTAATCAGGAAAATGCCCAAGACACTACACATCTATTCTCCCCACAATTATTAAGAAGTTTGACAATACCAAATGTATTGGTTCACATTCACACTGCTGATAAAGACATACCTGAGACAGGGAAGAAAAAGAGGGTTAATTGTATTTAGGGATCCACATGGTTGAGGAGGCCTCAGAGTTATGGCGGTGGGTGAACAGCACTTCTTACATGGCAGTGGCAAGAGAATATGAGAAGGAGGCAAAAGAAGCAAAAGATGAAACCACTGATAAACCCATCAGATCTTGTGAGATTTATTCACTATCACAAGAATAGCATGGGAAAGACCGGCCCCAAAGATTCAACTACCTCCCCCTGGTTCCCTCCCCGAACATGTGGGAATTCTGAGCAACACAATTCAAGTTGTGGTGTGGGTAGGGACACAGTCAAACCATATTTTTCCACTTCTGGCCCCTCCAAATCTCATGTCCTCTCCAAATCTCATGTCCTCACATTTCAAAACGTATTATGCCTTCCCAACAGTCCCCCAAAATCTTAACTCATTTCAGCATTAACCCAAATGTCCACTGTCCAAAGTCTCATCTGAGACAAGGCAAGTCTCTTCTGCCTATGACCCTGTAAAATCCAAATCAAGCTAGTTACTTCCTAGATACAGTGGGGGTACAGATAATTGAGTAAATGCAGCTGTTCCAAATGGGAGAAATTGGCCAAAACAAAGGGGTTACAGGCCCCATGCAAGTCTGAAATCCAGCAAGGTAGTCAAATTTTAAAGCTCCAAAATGATCTCCATTGACTTCATGTTTCACATCAAGATCATGCTGATGCAAGAGGTGGGCTCCCACAGCCTTGGGTAGTTCTGTCCCTGTGGCTTTGCAGGGTATAGCCCACCTCCTGGCTGGTTTCATGGGCTGATGTTGAGTGACTGCAGCTTTTCCAGGCTCACAGTGCAAGCCATCAGTGAATCTACCATTCTGGGGCCTGGAGGAGAGTGGCCCTCTCCTCAAAGCTCCACTAGGAAGTGCCCCAGTAGGGACTCTGTGTAGGGGCTCCAACCCCACATTTCCTTTCTGCACAGCCCCAGCAGAGGTTCTCCATCAGAGCCCCACCCCTGCAGCAAGCTTCTGCTTGGACATCCCGGTATTTTAATACATCCTCTGAAATCTAGGTGGGGGTCTCCAAACCTCAATTCTTGACTTCTATGCATGTGCAGGCTCAACACCACGAGGAAGCTGCCAAGGCTTGGTGTTTGCACTCTCAAGGCCATGGCCTGAGTTCTATGTTGGCCCCTTTCAGCCATGGCTGGAAGGGCTGAAACGCAGAGAACCAAGGCCCTAGGCTGCACCCAGAACAGTCAACCTGTGCCCAGCCCAGAAAACCATTTTTTCCTCCTAGGCCTCTGGGCTTGTGATGGGAGGGGCTGCTGTGATAACCTGTGACATGTCCCGTAGAAATTTCCCCATTGTTTTGGGGATTAACATTCAGCTTCTCGTTACTTATGCAAATTTCTGCAGACTGCTCTAATTTATCCTCAGAAAGTGGGATTTTCTTCTCTATCACATTGTCAGCCTGCAAATTTTCCAAACTTGTATGCTCTGCTTCCTTTATGAAACCGAATTCCTTTAGCATCACCCAAGTCACCTCTTGAATGCTTTACTGCTTAGAAATTTCTTCCAGCAGATAACATAAATCATCTCTCTGAAGTTCAAAGTTCCACAAATCACTAGGGCAGGGGCAAAATGCTGCCATTCTTTTTGCTAAAACATAACAAGAGTCACCTTTGCTCCAGGTCCCAACAAGTCCCTCATCTCCATCTGAGACCACCTCAGCCTGGACCTTATTGTTCAAAACACTATCAGCATTTTTGTCAAAGCCATTCAACAAGTCTCTAGGAGGTTCCAAAATTTCCCATCTTTTCCAGTCTTTTTCTGAGCCCTCCAAACTCTTCCAACTTCTGCCTGTTACCAAGTTTCAAAGTCGCTTCCACATTTTTGGGTATCTTTTCAGCAGCACCCCACACCACTCGTATCAATTTACTGTATTAGTCTATTTTCACACTGCTGATAAAGACATACCCAAGTCTGAGAAGAAAAAGAGGTGTAAAGAAAAAGAACTGTAATCGGATTTACAGTCCCACATGGTGGGGGAGGCCTCAGAGTCATGGTAGGAAGTGAAAGGGACTTCTTAAATGGCAGCAGCAAGAGAAAATGAGGAGGAAGCCAAAGCAGAAACCCCTGATAAACCCATCAGATCTCACGAGGCTTATTCACTATCATGAGAATAGCACAGGAAACACTGGCCTCCATCATTCAGTTACCTCACCCTGGGTCCCTGCCACAACATGTGGGTATTCTGGGAAATAGAATTCAAGCTGAGATTTGAGTGGGGACACAGCCAAACCATATCACCAAATATGGAGAGACTGTGGATCAACAAGATCATCTCGAACTAATACAGGAGGTGAGAGTTTAAATTAGAACAACCACTTTGGAAAACAATTTGGATTATCTTATAAAGTTGAGCATTCTCATATGTTATGGCAAACTAATTTCTCTACCATAGGCCCTGGAGAAACTCTTGCCCGCATGTACCAGAAGTAGTAAAAAAATAAATGCTCATGTAATGCCATTCATAACAGCAAATATATGGAAACAAGCCAGATGTTCATTAATAGGAGAATGGGTAAATAAATTATACCCTTAAAAAACTAAATAATATGTCATTTAGGGCAGTCATATATATGCAATAAAACAATTTTTTTTAAAGGCAGGGAATCCTAAACATAAATTCAGGGTAGTAGTTACCCTGGGGCTGAAGGGTGTAAATCAGGAAAAAAGACAGAGGAGGAGCAGATGTTAGGGTCAGAACCCTAGTTCTTGGGTTGTGTTGTGGGTTCACAAGTGATTACCATATTATTCAAATACATTCAGATACATTTGCATAGAGGCCCAGGCACAGACAAGGATGAAATAGGAGCCAAGGTATGCTATGAGTCAAGGAATATGATTAATCAAATTTTGTGCACTTTAAGCCATTTGAAAAACAGAAAAGCAAAAGAGAAAAATAATTTTTAAAAAATTGAATATAGAGTGCTATGTTCTGAATGTGTTCCCCTAAAATTAATCACAATGTTATAGGATTAGGAAGTAGGGCCCTTAGGTAATGATTCATTCATGAAGAGAGTTCCTTCACAAATGGGTTTAGGGTCCTTACACAAGGACTGGAGGGAGTGGGCTTCCCCTGTTTTGCCCTTCCACCTTCTGCCATGTGAGGACACAGTGCATTTCCTCCTGAAGACACAGTGCACAAGATACCATCTTGGATGCAGAGACCAGGCCCTCAGCAGACACCAATCCTGCTGGCACCTTGATCTTGGACTTCTAGCCTATGGAACTGTGAGAAATACATTTCTGTTCTTCAGAAATTACCCAGTCTATTGTATTTTCTTATACAGTAGCACAAATTCATTAAGGCATAATGCCTCTTGTCATTTTCTTCTACAATTTTCTTTGTTGCCTCTTTAGCACTGCGTCGTTTTATATTTGATCCTTTGTAATATCTCTTACTTTTGGTTTTTCACATTTCTGTTCCAAGTGTATTCTTAGATACGTATTTTTCACTGTTTGTTAGTATCCAGGTCAGAAAGTCCAGGATACATTCTTTTAAGGGTTTAGTTTCTGCAACAATAAAGTATTAATGCCTCCTGTAAACTAGCTATTTCCTTTCCAATTGTAACTGCCATCTGGAAGCAAAATGGAATTACAGGCTATGAGTGTGGGGTTGATATTTAGTGTATCTAGAGTATGGTTAAATGCTGGTTTTTAATCACACAGATACTTCGATTGCTTGGCACACTAGGGTATCAGTTGCTAGTTATCTCTGTATTTATCCATGCTGTTACAGAGGGAAAGTACAGATGGTGAGGTTGGATCAGCTGTCATACCCATATTTGGGGAGCTTTGATTTTTTTTAACCTTCAGCTGCTTAACTGTCACACGTAGCAGCTCAGGTGAAAAGCACATTTATTATGGGGACTTTCCCTTATTGCTCTGTGGTGCACAAGAGCAGACCTATGTAGAAGCATTTAAGTATTTTGTTCATCAACAGGACAATTAAAGGAACAAATTCTTATTGTATCTTTTTTAGTCCCTGAAGACAAAACCACAGTGACAGTAACTAGGTCAAGGCATTGTATTCAGAGAGGGTCAGCCTTGGTCTTTGAGAGTGAGTCCCCTTTACCCCACTGTCAAGACTCACCGAGTAGATGGGAAAGTTCAGGTGGAACATGCAGTGAATAGCAAACACGGTGGGTGGCGCTCACTGTCATGCACTGCCATGCCTGCCATGGTCAGCAGACCTGTCTTCTACTTGACAACAGGCAGGCTGAGAAACATTTTCTTGGAGAGTTTCTTGATTCTTGCCAGTTGTGGCAGGATGGAATGACTTAGAGGAGCTCAGGAAGGTTGTTAAACAACACAGAAACACAAGGTGAATTGTACTCCTCAGCAGGCCTAGGTTAAAGCAGCAGGTACTTGATGCCTCAGACACTCCTGGGACACAACATAATGCCCCTAATGATTTGAAATTTGGTGGAGAGTGGGTTGCTAATCCCTGTGTCCAGGGACAAAAAGAGACATAAACAGCAAAAAGTTATAAAATAAGTGGGCCTAACATCTGCTTATTGTGGGAGGTAGGGATTTAAGATATAAGAATTTAGCTGCAGGAGCAAGCTCACACCTGTAATCTCAGCACTTGAGGAGGCCAACACAGGAGAACAGTTTGAGCCCAGGAGTTTGACATGAGCCAGGCAACATAGTAAGTCCCCATTCGTACAAAAATGTTTTTGGAGAAAAGTAGTTGAGTGTGGGGGCACATGCCTGTAGTCTCAGGTATGTGGGAGGCTGAGGCAAGAAAATCGCTTCAGCCTGGGAGATTGAGGCTGCAGTGAGCTCTGATCACCACAATGCACGCCAGCCTGTGAGTCCAGAGACCCGACCTGGTGCCTTGAAGGGGGGGGTCCCCCTGCACCGGTAGAAGTCAGCTCAAGGAGATTCTGAGAACAGGACTCCCGGGGTTCCGGCCCTGGAGGACCAGAAGCCCCCATTCCCATAACGCCCTCTACTACATGCCCGCTCCGGCCACCACCGCTACTGCCACAGAACCCCCGCCACGTGTCGCCGAACCTGTTTAAAGGGGCCACAGCCGGAGTTTGAAGAGGAAAGCAGGAGTCGGCCTGGGCAATGTGCATGCAGGAGGCATGAGCCCATTCTCCTGTGATGCTGACTCCAACGGTTGGCTGAGGACGATTCCCTGAGCCTTGACAAAGCAGGAGCCCTCTGTGGCAGTGCGTCGGTGTCGAGGCTCCAGCCTGACCAATCCAGGGGGTCGACAAAACAGATTCTGGACACTATGCTACACGGAGGGGCTACCAGGATGCAGAAACAGCAGACGGAGTCCGGGGAAAGCAGTGTGGCATCCCAGCCTCAGAGCTGCCATTACGGTGTTTGCGTGAGTCCACCAAAGTCGTGCCCCTCGTGATCTCGAGGACAGGTCTGCTTGTGTGCCCAAGGACTACTCTCTGACCCGAGGGTCATTCTCCCAAAGAGCAGAAACCCGCAGCCTCAGTGATTGCCTGGGGGGGGGGGGTGTCCCTCTGCCTCTGCTGTATGTCTGGTGCGTGTGTCTCCCATTCTCTCTTCTCTCTCTGTCACTCACTCTCTGTCTGTTTCTCTCACTTTCTCTGTCTCTCTGTGTGTGCGTGCCCGTGTGCGTGTGTGTTTCTGTGCCCAGTGCACTACAAAGCGATCTCTTGCATGTCAGCGTGTCTTTAGTGAACCCCTGTCTGCGTCTCTGCCTGGGTCATGTGGGCGATTGTCAATCATTTCAGCGGCGGTTCCACTTTGGCTTTCTGAAGACCTCGACAATGTGAAAAGCGTCGGTCTCAGAGAAACTGAAATTTCATCCCGATACTGAGCTACCTCTTTTCTAGAATCAAGATGACCACACTCCAACCAAAAAAAAAAAAAAAAAAAAAAGCAACAAGGAGCTCACTGTTTTCCAAGAGGGGAGGGACCAATGTGAAAGGAGATGGTTTTTCTCCTCACGGCTCTTCTCTGAGAAATGAAGCCACGCTACGAAACAATCTTCAAGAAGAAGCTAAAAACGGGACACAACAAGGATGCCTGTCAATGGAAAGCAGGCCTCTCAGGACAAGTCACCCGTTTGGCACACCTCCGCTTATGCCCTTGGCGGTGGTTTCCAGTTGTTCCACGGTTTCCACGGCTTCCAGGGCTGCTGGTTTCCAGGACTGGGGCTCGGTGCAGGGGAGGTGGACTAAGGGCTACCTGGGCGGTGGAGGGTTGGAGGTGGGGTGAATTTTGCAGAAACTCTTTGCTCCTTGGGCAGGCATTTCAAAATGGGGCTTAGGTCAGGCACGGGCCCCCTCCTGGTTCCCAGGTGTACTTTGATATTCTTTGGCATTGATGAAAAGTAACTTGTTCCCCCTTCCACCAGGCACAAGCCTGAACACCACCGTTTATTTTGCCATTGCCCCATATGCCTCCAGTGACACACAATCACACCATCTACTGTGGGATACGCCAGTACCACGCGTGGCCCCATGGTCTCCACTTTGGATTCACCCCTGTTCCTGTATACACGTGTCCTGTAAAGCACTGTCGGCTTTCCGGAGGCCCAGAGCTTTTAGAAGCCGCGCAGTCCACTGTTCTTTCAAAGGAGTAGGGAGGCAGACGGCTGATGGATCAGTGAATTTTCAGCTGACATCACGCCTTGAGACCCATGGGATCAATCTGTGCTGCAGGGACGCCCTGCCTGCCTCCTCAGATGTGGTGAGCCCATCCTGTCTCACTCCGAGGGGGCCAAAATTGGATCTGAAGGGGAGTCCCGAGAACCCAGTAGGCGCCCTGAAGCTCCCCCTCCCTCGGTGGAAGTCGGCTTAAGGAGGTCATGAGGACAGGACTCCCAGGGTTTTGGCCCTGGGACAGGACACCCGCGGTCCCCTCTCTCACGCAGCCCCAAACTGGACCCCGGATCCAGCAGCCTCCGCGGCTGCAGCAGAAGCCTCGCTGCCGCCATGCAACCGCGGTCTAATTTAAAGTGGAGGCAGCCTGACTGCCAGGAGTGGAGCGCGAGTTGGCCCAGCCAATGTGCATGCGCGAGGCGCGAGCAGTTTCTCACCTCACAGTGCTTCCCACGGTTGTCTTAGAAACTAGTCCCTGAGGCTTGGCAAAGCGGGAGCCCTCCGTGGCAGTGCTTGGGTGTCCGGCTCTGAGACTCCGGCCTGACCTCTCCACGGGGTCGATGGGAACGTCTCCGTTCGGCCAGGAGCCGACCAGGATGAGGAAACCACAGGCGTAGTCCGAGGGTAGCAGCACAGCATCTCAGCCTCAGGCCTGCCCGGATGATGTTGGGGTGAGCCTCCCCAAAATTCGTGCAGCCGTGAACTCGAGGACAGGTTGGCCTGCGTGTCCCTGGGCTGCTCTCTCACCTGAGGGTCATTCTTGTCGAGAGCAGAACCCCGCAGCCTCAGGGCTTGCATGGGGTTGTGTGTTTCAATGCCTCTGTTGTATGACTCTGTGTGTGTGTCTGTGTGTGTGTGTGTGTGTGAGTGTGTGTGTGCCTCCCATTCTCTCTTCTCTCTGTGTCTCTCAGTCTCTGTGTGTCTCTTTCACTCTCCCTGTCGGTTTCTGTGTGTGTGCCCGTGTGAGTATGTATCTTTGGCGGAATGTGCCCTATGCGCCACAAAGCGATTTCTCGCATGTCGCCCTGTCTTCGGTGAGCCTCTTTCTGTGTTTCTGCCTGGGTCATGAGGCCGGTTGTCAGTGGTTTTCACTGCCGCGGATCCGCTTTGGGTGTGTGAAGGCCTGGCCCACGTGAGGAGATGCGTCAGTCCCGGAGCAATTGAAATCTCATCCCCATCCTGAGGGGCCTCTTTTCTAGGATCAAGATGAACACACTGCAGCCAAGGACAAGAGCCCCAGAGGAGCTCTTTGTCCTGCAGGAGAGGGCCGGACACACGTCAGAGAAGATGGTTGTATCTTTTCACGGCTCTTCTCTGAGAAATGAAGCCACACCATGTTACAGTCTGGAAGAGGAAGCCGGGAATGGGAGATGGCAACAATCCCTGTCATTGGAACGCTGGCCTCTCTGGACAAGCCACCCTTTTGGAACCCCTTCCCTTATGCCTGTGGCGGTGGCATGGTGCTGTATCCTGCCTGGGCTCTGGGCTCTGGCCTCTGCTCTGTCCTCCCTCTTGCTCTCCCTACCCTGTTTCTCAGGGGCCTGGATGCCTCTCGCTCTGGTCAAATGTCTTCAACAAAGATGACTTCCCAGTCTGTCAGGGAGACACTTCCTGGAGATCCGTGTCATGATTGTTTCTCTCTCCAAACGTGTTTCTGCTTGATTGGGCAGGTCTCATGACCCTGGAGCTCTTGACTTCCCTACGTGTCTCAGGCAGGGAAGCTTCCTTCTTCTCCACGTTTCCCCTCATGGGTGGGGGGATTGCCTAGGATGAGCGCTAAGCGACCATGACTGGCCTTTTCTTCTAGGACAGAGGGTATCCCATTTCCTCTGCACTTCCTGTCTCATTCTTCAGGGACATCCTCTCCTCTGCTCCTGGGTGTACTGACTCCTTTGAACTTCTGTCCGAAACGAATGTCAGGGAACCAAAGGGACTGGGCTGGGGTTGGTGCTGTGGCTGGGGCTGGGTGCAGTCGAAGATGCGTCAGGGCTACCAGGGCGGTGGAGGGTTGGGGGTGGGGCGAATTTTGCAGAAATCTCTTTGCTCTTCTGGTAGGCATTTGAAAATGTGGCTTGGGTCAGGCACAGGCCCCCCAACCCACCAGGTCCCCGGTGTTCTTCGATTTTCCTGGACATTGATGGACAGGTCACTCGTTCCCCCCTTCCACCGGCACATACCTGGACAACACCGTGTGTTTCGCCGTCGCCCCGTATGCCTCCTGTGAAACACATTCACACCATCTGCTGTGGGATACGCCAGTGCCACGCGTGGTCACATGGTCTCCACCTCGGATTCGCCCCTGTTCCTGTTTGCACGTGTCCCATAAAGCGTGGTCTGCTTTCCGGAGCCCCAGGGCTTTTAGAAGCGGGGCAGGCCACTGCTCTTTCAAAGGACGAGGGAGGCAGAGGGCTGATGGATCAGTGCACTTGCAGCTGACACTAGGCCTTGATTCCTATGGGATCATTCTGTGCTGCAGGGAGGCCCTGCCTGCCTCACCAGATGTGGTGAGTCCATCCTATCTCACTCGGAGGGCGCCAAAATCAGATCTGAAGTGGAGTCCTGAGAACAGATGCAGGCGTCCTGATGTTCCCCATCCCTCGGTGGAAGTCAGCTCAAGGAGGCCCTGAGGACAGGACTCCTGGGGGTTTGGCCCTTTGACAGGACACCCGCGGGCCCTCTCCCACACCGCCCCAAACTGGACCCCGGATCCAGCCACCATCGCGGCTGCAGCAGGAGCCTCGCTGCCGCCACGCAGTGGTGGCGTTATTTAAAGGGGACGCAGCCTGACTGCCAGGAGTGGAGCGGGAGTCGGCCCAGCCAATGCGCATGCGCGAGGAGCCAGCGGCTTCTCCCATCACAGTGGTTCCCACCGTTGTCTTAGAAACCAGTCCCCGAGGCTTGGCAAAGCAGGAGCCCTCCATGGAGGTGCTTGGGTGTCGGGGCAAACCCCAGGCGGAGTCCGGGGGAAGCAGCACGGCATCCCAGCCTCAGGCCTGCCCGGACGGTGTTGGTTGGGGTGAGTCTCCCCAAAAGTCGTGCCGCCGTGATCTCAAGGACAGGTCGGGCTGCGTGCCCCTGGGCTGCTCTCTCACCCGAGGGTCTTTCTCATCGAGAGCAGAACCCCGCAGTCTCAGGGGTTGCCTGGGGGAGTGTGTTTCAATGCCTCTGCTGTATGACTCTGTGTGTTTGTGTGTGTGCGTGTGCGTGTGTGTGTCTGTGTGGGTGTGTGTGTGTCTCCCATTCTCTCTTCTCTCTCTGTCTCTCAGTCTCTGTGTGTTTCTTTCCCTCTTTCTGTGGGTTTGTGCGTGTGTGCCCTTGTGCGTGTGTGTCTTTGGCCGAATGTGCCCTGTACACCACAAAACGGTTTCTGGCATGGCGGCCTGTCTTTGGTGAGCCTCTTTCTGCGTCTCTGCCTGGGTCATGAGGCCAGTTGTCAATTGTTTTCGCCGCCACGGATCCGCTTTGTGTGCATGAGGACCTGGCCCACGGGAGGAGATGCGTCGGTCCCGGAGCAACTGAAATCTCATCCCCATCCTGAGCGGCCTCTTTTCTAGGATCAAGATGAACACACTGCAGCCAAGGACAAGAGCCCCACAGGAGCTCTTTGTCCTGCAGGAGAGCAGCGGACCCACGTCAGAGAAGATGCTTGTATCTTTTCACGGCTCTTCTCTGAGAAATGAAGCCACACCACGATACAGTCTGTAAGAAGAAACCAGGAATGAGAGATAGCAGCAATCCCTGTCACTGGAACACTGGCCTCTCTGGACAAGCTGCCCTTTTGGAACCTCTCCCTTTATGCACGTGGAGGTGACATGGTGCTGTATCCTGCCTTGGCTGTGGCCTCTGCTCTCTCCTCCCTCTTGCTCTGTCCTCCCTCTGCTCTGTCCTCCCTCCTGCTTCTTCTGCTCTGTCCTCCCTCTTGCTCTGCCTCCCCTGGCCTAGATGCCTCTCGCTCTGGCCACATGTCTTCCCTGTCCTTCAGGGACTTCCCAGTCCTTAACTTCCCAGTCTGTCAGGGAGACATTTCCTGGAGATCCCTGTTATGACTGTTTCTCTCTCCTAACCTGTTTCTGCTTGATTGGGCAGATCCCGTTACCACGGAGCTGTTTGCTCCCATAAGTGTCTCAGACAGGAAAGCTTGTTTGTTCTCCGTGTTTCCCTTCATTGGTGGGTGGAATGCCTAGAATGAGCTCTAGTCGATCGTGACTGGCCTTTTCTTCTAGCACAGGTGGTGGTGCATTTCCTCTGCACTTCCTGTCTCATTCTTGAGGGACATCCTCTCCTCTGCTCCTGGGTGGACTGACTCCCTGGATCTTTTGGCCATAACGAATGTCAGGGAACCAAGGGGACTGGGCTGGGTCTGGGGCTGGGGCTGGGGCTTGGGCTTGGGTTGGTGCTGGGACTGGGGCTTGGTGCAAGGGACGTTGTGTGAGGGCTACCTGGGCGATGGAGCTTTGGTGGTAGGGTGAATTTTGCAGAAACCTCTTTGCTCCTCTGGCAGGAATTTCAAAATTTGGCCCCGGTCAGTCACAAACTCCCTCCTGGTTCCCAGGTGTTCTTTAATTTTTCATTGCTATGATGGAAATGTCACTTGTTCCCCCCTTCCACCGGACACATGCCTAGACACCACCATTTGTTTCAGCTTTGCCCCACATTCCTCTGTTTACACACATTCACGCCATCTGCTGTGGGATGGGTCAGTGCCACGCGTCATCGCATGGTCTCCACCTGAGATTCGCCCCTGTTCCTGCTTGCACATGTCCTGTAAATTGCGGTCAGCTTCCGGAGCCCCAGGGCTTTTAGAAGCCCAGCAGGCCAGTGCTCTTTCAAAGGAGGAGGGAGGCAGAGGGCTGACGGATCAGTGAATTTTCAGCTGACACCAAGCCTTGAGACCCATGGGATCATTCTGTGCTGCAGTGAGGCCCTGCCTGCCTCACCAGATGTGATGAGCCCATCCTATCTCACTCGGAGGGGGCCAAAATCACATCTGAAGGGGAGTCCCGAGAACCCAGCAGGCGTCCTGAAGCTCCCCCTCCCTTGGTGGGAGTCGGCTCAAGGAGGTCCTGATGACAGGACTCCTGGGGGTTTGGCCCTGGGACAGGACACCGGCGGCACCCTCTCCCAGGCTGCCGCAAACTGGACCCCGGATCCAGTCACTGCCGAGGCTGCAACAGGAGCCCCTCTGCTACCGCGCAGTGGCTATTGTTTAAGGGGGCAGCTGCCTGACTTCCAGCACCGGAGCTTTAGTCAGCCTAGACAATGTGCCTCCATGAGGCTCTAGCTGATTGTCTTGTCACAGTGATTTCCACTGTTGTCTTAATATCCAGTCCCTGAATTTTGGCATAACAGGGGTTGTCCATGGCTGTGCTTCAGTGAAGGGGCTTCATGCCTCCAGCCTGTCTTGCAGGAATTTTAATACCCTTCCCATCCTGTGCTGCCTCCTTGCTAGGATCAAGACGACCACACCCCAACCAAGGACAAAGGCCTCACAGGTGCTCATTGTCCACCCGCACGAGTGTGCCCACAGACCTTCAAGAAGATGGTTCTCACTCCTCTCGCCCTTTGCCTCATTGAGAAATCTACCCACAGCTATACACTGGGACAGAAAAGGAAGCTGGCTACAAGATGGGGCAAGCATGTCTGCCACTTCCTGGCCAAGTCACCCATTTGGCACTTTTTCCCGGATGCCCGTGATAGTGGCATTGTGCTGTGGCATTGGCCTCTGCGCTGTCCTCCCTCTTGCTCTGTCTGCCCAGTTTCTGTGAAGCCTAGAGGCTTCTTAGTCTGGCTCAATGTCTTCAACAAAGAATACTTCCCAGTCTATTAGGGAGAAATTTCGTTGGGGTCTCTTTTATGATTGCTTCCCTCTCCAACCTATTTCTGGATGATAGGGAATGATGATCTTGGAGTTCTGGGCTTCCATACCTGTCCTGGACAGGGAAGCTCCCTTTGTCTGCATGTCCCAAGTGATGGCTTCGTGGTCAGTCCAGGAAGAGCGGGAGGCAACCCCACCATGGCTGACCTTTGTCTTCTAGAAAAGTTAGTGTTGCATCCCACCTGCCCTTCCTCTCTCATTCCTGAGGGCCATCCGGTTCCTCTGCTCCTGGGGAAAGTGCCTCCAAGCACTGAATCTTTTGGCTGCCACAGATGTCAGGGAGCCAAAGGGACTGGGTTTTTCTGGGTGCAGGGGACGTGGCGTCAGGGGTACCTACCGGTGGCGGGATGTCGGTGTGGTGTCGTTTATCAAAACCTCTTGGCCCCTCTGGCAGTCATCCCTGAATGTGGCTTGGACTCAGGCACAGGCCCTGTCTCACAGGTTTTCTAGTGTGCTTGGCTTTTCCTTGGCTTTGTGTGGGAGGTCCCAGTGACCCACCTGCACACACCTGGACGTCACCATCCGTCTCAGCATCGCCCCATACGGCCTCAAAGACACACACTGACTCCATCTACTCTTGGGGAACATTAGTGCCACGTGTGGTCACATTGGCTCCATCTCGGACTCGCCTCTGTCTCTCCTTGCACATGCCACGGAAAGCAGTGTCGGGATAACAGAGCCCCGAACCTTGGAGATGAAGTCAGACCACTGCTCCACCTAGGAAGGAGGGAGGCAGTGGGCTCATGGGTCAGTGCATTTTCAGCGACAGTACGCCTTGCAGCCCTTAGGATCTTTCTGTGCCCCAGCGAGACCCTTCCCGCCCCACTGCATTGTAACCCCATTCCTGATCACCCCGTGGGATCCATAGTCAGATCTGAAGAGGAGTCCAGAGAGCCCAGCCGCACCCTGAAGCTCCTCCTCCACTGGGAACCGAAGCAGAAGACCGATTAAGAAGGTCCTGATGACAGGACCTCTATGGGTCCAACCGTTGGGTCTCCCGCAGTACCCTCTTGTAGTCCTCTTCCCACCCGCCGCCTCGGACTGCGCTGCCACCGCCACCGCTGCCCCAGACCCCCGGCCGCGCATCGCCGCCATTTTTTAAAGGATCTGAGGCCTGACTCTCCGAAGCAAGCTGGGAGTCGGCCTTGCCAGTGCGCATGCGCAAGGCCTGAGCCTCCGCTTTGGTCGTAGTGATTGACACTGTTGCCCGGGGATGGGTTTCTGAGACTTTGCGAAGTAGGAGCCCCGTGTGATAGTGCGTCAGGGTCAAGTCTGAGAGCAGTCCTGGCCAGGGCATTAACAGGATGGTCTCCGGAGCCTGGGATTCTCGGAGGGTCGACCACCAGGAAGAAACCTCACAAGGAAGAAACCTCAGGCGGATCACCTGGGCGGCAGCGCGAGATCCCAGCCTCAGGCCTGGATTCGGGGAGAGTTGACGAGGCCTCTCTCCCAATCTTCACTTCACCCGCCGCCGCCCTACTCCCGCAGCCGCCGCTCCACGGTCATTTTTCTTTTCTTTCTTTTTTTTTTTTTTTTTTTATAGTCAGAGTCTCACTCTGTCGCTCAGTCGAGTGCAGTGGTGGGATCTCAGCTGACTGCAAACTCTGCCGCCTGTGTTCAAGTGATTCTCTTGCCTCCGCCTCCCGAGTACCTGGGACTACAGGGATTAGTCAGAGTCGGGGCTAAGACCAGTCATGGCCGGGGCTAAGACCAGTCATGGCCAGGGCATCAACAGGATAGTCTCTGGAGGCCGGGATTCACGGAGGGTCGTCCAGGAGGAAGAAGCTGCGGGCGGAGGGCCGGGGAAGCAGTGCGGGATCCCAGCCTCAGGCCTGCACGGACAGTGTGCCAGTGAGTCTCTTCAAAAAAGGAGAGGTTTTCTTGTGTGCCCCTGGGCTGCTCTCTCACCAGTGGGTTGTAGTCGTGGAGAGCAGAACCCTGAAAATTCAGGGGCTACCTGGGGGTAGGTGTTACCGTGCCACTGCTGTATGTCTTTGTGCGTTTGTGTGTGTACGTATATCTCTCTCTTGTTTCTCTCTCTCCCCTTTCTCACTCTTTTGCTCTGTGTCCGTCTGTGTGTGCGTGTTGGGACACATGTGCCCTGTGCGCCAGAGGGTGGTATTTTCTACGTCCTCCTTTCTTGTGGTCAGCCTCTCCCCGCGTCTCTGCCTGGCTTGTGTGGCCGGTTGTCAGTCATTTTTCCGGCGGTTCCAGTTTAGGTTTGTGAAGGTCCAGATGAGGTGGGGAGCTGCGTCTCTCTCATAAGAATTTAAATCGCCTCCCCACCCTGAAAGGCCTCTTTTCTAGGATTAAGGCCTCCACCCCCCAGCCAAGGATAATAGCCTTACCGGAGAGGTCGTTGTCTACCTGCAGGAACAGTGCAGAGCACCCTGAAAGAAGATGGTTCTCATTCGTCTCTCTCTTTCATCTCCTTGAGAAATCTAGCCACAGGGTAACACAGGTTTTGAGAGGATGGGACGTGGCAAGGATCTGTGAGTGTGCAGGCTGTGTTTCACATATCATTAAACATAGTCTAGTGAGGGTTCTGCAGATAGCTGGCATTTAAGTTTGTTTTATTGAATCAAGGAAAAGAAAAAATGCTAAGAAAAAAAATGACACAACTTGCCTGCCAGCCCATCTGACTGTTACAAATTTAATAGTAATTTTAATTTATCTTCTCATGTAAAGGTCTTTGGCAGTGATACCTAATTTCCTAAGATAGCCTTGCTTTATATTGTATGATTAAGATGTCATGCATATCAGAGTATCTGGAAATTCTTCCCAACGTCCTTGACATACGTGATTAATCACATTTCCAAAATAACATACCAAAACGCATAACAGAAAATCATTTTAAGTTGTGGTTCCTTCATGCACAAAACATTTCATGTGTGTCTGGCACTCTTCCGGCCACAGATTTCATCTTAACCTAAGTATTGAAATGCTTGTGCCCTTTGATTAATTTTTCTATGTAAATACTTTGATAATAAGCTACATTGAGGCCAGGTGCAGTGGCTCACACCTCTAATCCCAGTTCTTTGGGAGGCTGAGGCCAGCGGATCACGAAGTCAGGAGATCAAGACCATCCTGGACAACACGGTGAAACCCTGTCTCTTCAAATATACAAAGAATTAACCAGGTGAGGCCAGGCTCTGGCTCATGCCTGTAATTCCACACTTTGGGAGGCAGAGGAGGGTGGATCACCTAAGGTCAGGAGTTTGAGACCAGTCTACCCAACATGGCAAAACCCTGTTTTTACTAAAAATACAAAAAATTAGCCGGGTGTGGTGGCAGGCACCTGTAATCCCAGCTACTTGGGAGGCTGAGGCAGAAGAATCGCTTGAACCCAGGAGGCGGAGGTTGCATTGAGCTGAGATCATGCCACTGCAATGTCTGGCCTGGGCGACAAGAGTGAAACTCTGTCAAAAAAAAAAAAAAAAACCTGATCTATACTAAAAATACAAAAATTAGACCCTGAAGGTCATGTCCAAATGAGAAAGACATTGTTTGGCTCAAATTGTCTGACACTAAGGAATAGTGCAGACTGGACAAGTGAGGTGACTGACACCTGTAATCCCAGCCCTTTGGGAGGCTGAGGCTGGCGGATTACCTGAGGTCAGGAGTTGGAGACCAGCCTGACCAACATCGTGAAACTTCATCTCTACTAAAAAAAAGTACATGAAAATTAGCCAGCTATGGTCGTTCATGCCTGTAAATCCCAGCTACTCAGGAGGCTGAGGCAGGAGACTCACTTGAACCCAGGTGGCGGAGGTTGCGGTGAACAGAGATCGCACCACTGCACTCCAGCCTGGGCAACAAGAGTGAAACTCTGTTTCAAAAAACAGAATAGTGCAGAGTAAGAGCAGATTTATGTACGTATGTATGTATGTATTTATTTATTTATTTTCAGAGAAGCAGGGAATCTGGAATTTTGGGTGAAATGTCTGTTTCCAGAAGCTGAAAATGCTCTCAAATGGAAAATTCAGGTTAGCCTATATCAAGCTTCTCCTTGTTCTATGTGTGAATAGCATGGGACAGAGGGAACAGCTTGAGCCAAGGCAGGATGGTGGGATGGGACAGGTGGCCAGGGCTGCTGCACTGGGGGCCGTTGTGGAGGAATTGGCTGGAAATGCAGGTGGGACCAGACCATGAAGAGTCTCAAACACAGACTGAGGACTCTGACCTTTATCCTGGGGGTGGCAGGAAGCCATGTTAGGTGAAGGAACAAGGCTGTTTCTTCATCAGCACTAGTGCAAAGAAAGGCCAGGGAGGCCCTCAGAGGAAGCTTGCTGCTGGATTTGTTGATGTGCCTTTTCTCCTGCCTGCAGTAGGGTCAGAATGGCCTGGGGTACTGCACACTTCCTGCCAGGAATAGAAGGCCCCACAGCTATAGGACCTCTCTTCCGTTTAGTTCTTTGGAAGGATGAGCAAATTATTCAGCCTCTCTGAGCCTCAGTTTTCTCATCCATAAAATGAGGACAGTACACCAACCTCGCAGGTCACAAGGATGTTATGAAATCAGGTGAGCACAGCATAGCAGGTGTATTTTTGGGTCCTATTATTACATGTGAACCAAGTTGCCTAGTAGAAAATGCACAGGCTCAGGACACCTGTGTTTCAATCCCACTATGCCCCTGTAATGCCCAACTCTCAGGGATGATGGAAAGATTAAATTCATGGAGATGATGCTTGTGCAGCATCTGATACCCAGCAGATGCCTAAGAACCTAACCTACCACTCACCTGAGCAAGTACAAGCAGTCCTGCTCCTCCTGCAAGCACTGGGGATGCTGCCTCCCACCCACTTTAGAACACTGCTCCTCCTCCCTCTCTGCAGGGGGCATTTTGTAGGCCTCAGTCGCTGGGCTTGCTGTCCTCTCACCTGCCTCTCAGCACAGGGCTCAGAGCACGCATTCTTCACCTTTGCAAGAAGCTTCTCTATGCATCCCTGCCCCCAGGCTTGCTGAGTGCATTCACCTATTGTCTTATTTATAATCAGGACAGTGTTGCTCCCTACTGTATAGATGAGGAAATGGAGACCTAGAAAGGGAAGGAAAGACCAACACTTTGAGCACCTGCAATGTACATGGTGCCCAAGGACTGGGAGTAGAAGCAGAATCCCATCCACCTCCACCTAATCATACAGAGAAAAGAGACAGGAGCCCGGGGAGGGCAGTGCTGTGCCCAAGCTGTCAGCAAGCAGTAGGTAGAGCCCAGGCCCCTGCTTTCCCATGCCCACCCCTTCCCAGTTCAGGGCAAGGCCGCCTCTCCAGGGCCTTTCCATCCCCTAGAGAGGAAACTCCCCAAGTTCCTCTTACCAGACAGGAGAGCGAATGAGAGCAGAAAATTCCACTTCGGCACACACACCTGGAACCTGAGGCTGAAAGCTGGAATCCCAGACTTTGACACTCAAGGAGGCACCTCCACACTCTTTCAGCACCTGCACCTGGGACCTTCATGAGGACCTTGCTTCCCTCCCAGGGGAGAGGGGGTGTCCCAGAGACCCTGGGGCCCTTAGAAGGCTCTATGAGTTGGCAGTGACTGCAGCAGCGTGGTGGGATTGCGAGTGGTGTAGAAAGAAGGGGAAGCAGATCACAGCACTCAGGATGGCCAGAGCTGAAGGCATCAGAGTCCCCTGCCCTTGCTCTGCAAAAAAAAAAAAAAAAAAAAAACCCATGGCATATTCCCCTCCCACGGTCAGCAGTCGGCCCCAGAGGAGGAGCAGTGAGTCCTCAGGAGGACAGCAACCACTGCTGGCAAGCCATTGGTGTTCTCCTGTTGAACTGCACAGGTTGTCAGCATCAGACAAGGTCGCTCTGTGACCATGATGGGTCAAGACAAAGCAAGGTCACTTGGTAGCTATCATGGCTCAGCTCATGCAAAATATGGACAAAAATGACCTCACATCCCCTCCCGTGTGTCTATTTCATGACCACTACCTCTTTGTCAATTGCAGCATTAACTTTGGTCTTGTCTTCCTTCCCTCTAGGTAAGGTTGGGGAAGATGTCAGGTGATAGAATGTACCCTGCCTCTGACAGCATCCAATCTGGAGCAAAGGCTTCTTTCAACCCTCCCCCAAACTCCCAATACAAGCCCAAGTTCTGGAACAAGTACTTTCCAACACCTCCTTCAGAGAAGCTCCCTGGCTCCAGGCAGTGCTTGGTCCCCTCACTGCAGCAGGAAGCCCAGCTTGTGAACTGCAGGTGTGCTCCAGGTGGTTGCTGGATGCAGGGTATTGATAGATGGATCTCATCGATACCCCCACTGCATAACCATGTAAGCATATCATCCCCCACTTGCACATGAGGAAGCGAAGGTCCACAGGGTGGGGAAGGGAAGACATAATCTGTCCTTCAAATGCGATACTGGTGAGATGTGAGAGGCAGCATTCCTCATAACTCAGCGAGGCAGTGGGCATACCAGGACCCTCCCAGGCAGATCGGGTGTGTGGTTGGCCCCATTGCATAGCATGGGAGGGAGTGTGGGAGACCACACATGGGTCTTGCAACCTCTCCACTGGCCTGACCTCCCTGCAGACCCCAAGGACAGGGTTAAGCATCTGCTTGCTGGCAGGCCTGGACACCAGAGGTCTTTGCTTATGTCTAAGGTCCCTGTAGTTGTGGTTCACAGGATGGGGGCTGCTCCTGAGATTCAGCACCACACAGGCACTGCACAGCACTGTGCCATGGTGGTGGCACTCACTTTCCAGATAGGGCCCATGTTGCCAGCAGGCATGATGCATCATTTACCCTACCCTGAGTGCAATAGGTGGTTTTATAGAAAAAAACTTGGGCCAGACGCGGTGGCTCACACCTGTAATCCCAGCACTTTAGGAGGCCAAGGTGGGCGGATCACAAGGTCAGGAGCTCAAGACAAGCCTGGCTAATATAGTGAAACCTTGTCAGCATGAAAAATACAAAAATTAGCCAGATGTGGTGGTGGGCACCTGTAGTCCCAGCTACTCGGGAGGCTGAGGCAGGAGAATCGCTTGAACCCAGGAGGCGGAGGTTGTGGTGAGCCAAGATCATGCCACTGCACTCCAGCCTAGGCAACAGAGCAAGACTCCATCTCAAAAAAAAAAAAAAACAAAAACAAAAACAAACAAAAAAAAAAAAACAAAAGAAAAGGAAAAGTATTTGTAGATGAATGAAGGTGACTCCTTTGAATATTGAAAATGATTTTATTGTAGCCATTGGTCTGGCACTCATTCTGATGGGGTGACATGTGTCCCTGCCTTAGCCAGCAGAGCACAGGAGTGTGCTACACCTCCCCTCATCTGAAGATTCAGCCCATGAGCAGGAATGCCTGTCTTTGTGTCATATCAACACAGAGGATGTGTCTGGTTTCACCATTCACTGCAGAGGCAGAAATTACCCAGAAAGAAGAGATAGTCTGTTCCTGGGAGTGTGTCCTTTTGACCCAGCATGGGGGTCATCTCCCTTCCTTGGCCAGGACCCCCAACCTGAACACAGAGGCAGAGAACATGTGAAGGGCTCCCATTCCCAGGTGGTCCAGGGTGCAAGCTCTGAGCCTGTGGTCCTGGTCACTGCCCTTTTCTCCACAGCATGGCTGCCACCATCCTGGGCTGGGGCACAGCGGGGCTTTGCAGAGATCAGAATAACAAAAGCATTACTGAGATGCTGCAATAGGAGACTGTGATACCTTCGTGGGCTGCCAAGGCAGCCTAAGCTATTTCTTGCTGCACCCAGTGTCCCCCCAGACAGCTGTGTGGCTGTCACTGCCTCTCTTGTGTCCATTTTACTTCTCTTCTCCTTCCTGAGCTTCTGCTCTGAACTCTGTCTCTAACTTACAAGAAATCAAGCTCACTGGATTCTGAGCTCTTCAGTGTCAAGGACTGTGTCAGTAGTTCATATCTCTTTCTAGAGATCACAGTTTAGTATCTGGCACAGAGCAGATACTCAGTCAATGCCAAATGATTCATTTGCCAGAAAGCTGAATTTCATCCATAATGCTAGTCAATGCAAATACATTCTGCCAGTGGGGTGTGTTTGTCCTCTGAAGGCGTTTTCCCAGGCTTTGTAAATACATACACGCCATTTAGAAATTTGAATGTCAAAGAGTAAAGGAGCTTAGAAAGTAAACATTGGAGAAGTGTGGGAGGGTGGTGTTATTTGCAAAACATTCCTGGGTCCTTGTGAGTTCTATACACCTTCGATGAGCACCGATTCTGGGCCAGGCCAGACACCCAGCTGGACCCAGGAGATACTGAGGTGAGTAAAGCCAAAATGCCTCCCTTCAGCAGGAGGCAGGCAGTCACACCAAAGTGATAAAGGCACAAAACCCAGAGGCAGCAGAGGAGCAAAGACTGCCTTGTTCCAGGACTCTGTGACCTCAGGGAGAGCTTTCAGAGGAGGACATCTGTGCAGGGCTTGGAAGGATGAACACAAATTTGCCTAGCAGAAAAGGGAGCCAAGGAAATCCTGATGGAGAACAGCTTGGGTGAGAGTGTGAGTCACAGGATTGAGGGGTGCAGGCATGGAACTGGAGGAGCAGAAAGAATGAGGGGGGATAAAGTTGGGAGGTCAGCAGAGGTCAGTCACAGAAGGTTTTGAATCCTGGTGAGGGAGCAGTGGGTGCTGCACAAGGGACATGGACCTGGAGAAGATGCAGTTAGCTTTGAGTGAAGATGGAGCATGCCATCCACTAAGGAACCACAAGATGCAATAGAAATAAGAACCCTGAGAAGCCTGCACAAAGGATGAGAGGCCCAGGGGTAGTGCCAAGAAGGTCCCTGTCAGAGGCCAGCTTTGAACAGAGACAGAAAAGACTCTTGAGGGCCTCAGCTGCTGCAAACCTCCTCAACAAATCATATTTTACCTTCAAATATTTGCTAAAGAATACTAACTATTGGAAGAGCAATGGTCCATTGATAATAATTATTCCCTCACTGTACATTTTTTACAATTCTCAAAATGCTCTGGGTCCAGTGTCTCATTGGAACCCCCATAAAATCCCATTTTACAAATAGGGAAATGAGGCCCTGTGATGTCATGCCGAGGTTTGCAGCAGTTCCAGGATAGAAAATAGGGAGCACTTTCATCTCAGCCCTGGGTATAAGTCTCAAAGTTCCTTTTCTGGGAGGGGATCCTTGAGGCCATCCAGCAGCCCATAGTCTGAGTCTTCTTCTTCCTCCTTGGGCTTCTCCACACCTGTGTCCAAAGCCTCCTTCTCCTCCTTTGTTCTCAGGTACCACTACCAGTTGTTGGGCAGGGAGACCTCCCGCTGCTGCCCATCCTAGGGTGCATCCTCCAACATGGGTGCATTTTGGTTCAGCCAGCACCTACACCACCTGCAGCCCAGGTCTCCTGTGGTGGGCCTGAGCTTCCTCCCTATCAAATGGAGGTGTTTTGGGGTTGCTACCTTTGCTGAAGCCCATGTCCAGGTCATCTTGGAGGTGGCCAAGGGTACAGGGCCCTGGGGACAGGTCAGAGGGCTGCAGGGGCAAAAACCACGAGGATGAGGGGATCTCTAAGTCAGACTGCCTGGATCCACATCCCAGAGACTAGCTGCAAGGCCTGGGGAAGACTGATTCACCTCTCTGGGCATCAGTTTCCTCCCCTGTAAAGTGGGAGGTATAACAGATTCACTCCTACAGTTGTCTCTGAGCTTTACAGCAGGTAATGTGTGCAAAGTACTTTGCACAATGCCTGGCACATGGTAGGTGATAATAAATAGGGTTACTATGATATCATCATCTGAGCTAGGTCACTCATGCACTTCTCCAATGCTTCAGGGTTCCCCTCCATCCCTCACAGGGTAGCAGCAAGGGAAAGGGATGCCCCTGGTCTTGAGGAGCTCACATCTTCTCATTTCCCAGGGGTCTCCATCCAGTGCCCACACATGCCTGGCATGCAGCAGATGCCTCATCCACATCTGGTGAAACAGTGGAAAGCAGGTCATTGTCATGTATTGTTTGGCACAGAGTCTGCAGTAGGTGACAGAGCAGTGATTGACTGTAGTTGTGCCCACCAGTTCCTGTCCCTGAACTTTCAAGGATCAAGAGACCTTAGCAAGTCTAGTACCAGGGAGTGGGCACTGTGTGGTGGAGCAGGAGGCAGGTCCTAAGAAAGGCAGTGGGGTGAGGAGAGGAGCTCTGCCTTTGAGGTCTGGGAGATCCTCCACCAGGACCTCACCAAAGGCCCCAGGCAGGTCATGCCCCTTCCCAGAATCTCTCTATGCTCTTCTGTATAATGGGGCTAGCCTGGAAGAGACACTTGCACAACCATGTTCAGAGCAGCATCATCCACAATAACCAAAAGGTGGAAACAACCCAAGTGTCCATGGATGGACGGACGGATCAACAAAATGCTGTCTCTGCATACAGTGGAATAGTGTTCAGCCTTGAAAAGGAAGGAGATTCTGACACCTGCTGCATCAAGAATGAACCTTGAGGACATTAGGCTGAGCAAAATAAGCCAGACCAAAAAGACAAATGCTGTATTATTCCACTTTTCCAAGGCACCTAGAGTAGTCAAATCCATAGAGACAGACAGGAGAATGGTGGCTACCAGGTCCTGGGGAGGGTGGGGATTGGGGAGTTGTTTTTAAATGAGTTACAGAATGGTAGTGTTACAAGATGAAAAGCATTCTGGAAATTGGTTGCACAACATTGTGAATGTATTTAATGCCACCGAAATGTAAACTTAAACATAGTTAGACAGTAAATTTTAGTTAATTTTACCACAATTTTTAAAATGGGGTAGTTATGCCTGTCTCCTTGTGTTGCTGTAGGATTTCATGAGATAACATATAAGGAACCACCCAGCATGTTGCCTGGCACATAGTAACTGCTCAATAAATCACAACTGGATGCTATTGAAGATAAAGTTATCTGACTTCTCTGAGGCTTGCTCTCTTCAGCTGAAAATTCTCCCAGAATATATTAGATAAGACCCTACTGTATTATACTGGGTTCATAAATAGCACTCCCCATTTTCCCTTCCCACAGAGTGCAGTGAATAGAAGACACTTCTCTGCACCCCAAAAGCTCCATGCTGATTGCGAGAAGGAAATGCTGGATGGAGGGGTTCCTGGAACTACTGTGAGGGGTGAGCTTTCCCCAGATGTCTAGAAATGAGGCAGGGGCCCGACATCTTCCACCCCCACTAAGGTTGCCTTGCAGTTCCCAGCTGGCTCTATACTTCCTAGAAACTTCCACTTTTCTGCCTCCATTACCTCATAGCCCAGTCAGCACCATCATCATCATCACCATGATCGCCATCACCATCCTTACAATCACCAACACTATCATCATCGCCATCACCATTCTTACCTCCGCCATTCTCACCCCCGCCATTCTCACCATCATCGACACCAGCATCTTCTCCATAACTATCACTATCGTTATCACCACCTTCACCATCACCATCCTCACCATAATAATGATTGTCACCCTCCCCATCCTCATAATCATCATCATTATCATCATTACCATCACTATCATCATCACTATCACCATTCTCACCATCATCATCCTCATCATCATCACCATTATCCTCACCATAACTATCACTATTATCATCACCACCTTCACCATCACCATCCTTATGATCACCATCACAATCACCACCATCACCATTCTCACTATCACCATGTTCACCTTTACCATTCTCATCATCATCATCACCTTCATCATCCTCAACATAACTATCACTTCATTATCACCACCTCCACCTTCACCGTCACCATCCTCACCATCATCATCACCACCATCACATTGATCCTTGCTACATGGAACCATGCATTCTGGGTAGGAGGGCTCTTGGGTCAGGGCATCTAACACATCTTGGGGGATAGAAACCCAGCCCCTCAGGGTCTCACAGTTGGTGAAGTAACTGATTCTTGTGAGGTCATGTTCCTCTGGGTGATGTGGGATGTCACAAGACCAATAAATCTGGGCTGAAGCCCATCGCATCACTCCTTTTTTTTGTAAAATAAGCTCCATCATCAGTAGTAATATTGTATGACAGCAGAGAATAAGAACTCAGCAAATGTAAATAATTTGATGCTATGAGAAGCATATGAAGTGGAGTCCATATTCCGATATGCATCTATTCCAGTGAGGGCAATTCTTTACCACTTCCATGAAGGAAGGGAAAAAATATTATTACAACATTACCAGAAATCTGTCTGGTCTAGGCAAGGTAGTTCCTCTTTCCAGGGTCTCAGCATTGCTCATTGTCGGCAGTCAGGGCACTCATCTGGGCAGTAGGCAGCACTGCTGCAGGGAAGTTCATATTATTGGAAACATGCAGCATCTTCTCCTGCTACCATCACCACATTGTCCATGAACGCAATGGGCAAACAATGAGGAATCTGGGAAAAGTTCTCATAACCAGAACATAATCATCCATGTCAGGATATCAGCATTCACCCAACACTACTGTCCAATCAACAGATGTTATAATCTCATCCAAATTTTCTCAGTGGCGCCCTAAATACATTTTTTTTGAACTTTGTAATCCAGGATCCAATCCAGGATTTCCCATTGCATTAATTGTCATGTCTCTTAAGCTCCTTCAACTTCAAACAGTTCCTCTCTTTTGCCCTATTTTTCATAACCTTAAGAGTTTTAAAGATCATAAGCATTTATGAAGGATGTGTTCACCTTTTTCCATCTGATGGGTTTCCATATCCAGACTTAGGTCATGTATCTTTCACAAGAAAACCACAGAAATAATGCTGTGGTCTTCCTAGGACATCACAGCAGGAGGCATATGATCAAGTTTGTGCCAGATTTCTCCACCACAAAGTCATCATTCTTCCAATTGTAATTGAGAAGTATTTCATGTGAAGATATTAATTACACATACACATGAATGTATATTTATATGTAAAATACATACAAAATATTATGTCAATGTCTAACCAATATAAAAGTTATTAATTAGATATGTTTAATTTTATTTCCTACTAAGTCTTCAAAATCTGGTGTGTGTTTTCCCCTGACAGCACATCTCAATCCAGCCTAGCCACATTTCAAATGCTCAATATTCACATGGCTGTGGCTACCATATTTGTCAGGGCAGCACTAAAGCACTAAAGAACTTCTTCCTTGGAGAAGTTCTAAGCTTTCAAAATGTTTGGCAAATACATTTTATAAAATTCTTCAGAATCCATAAATAGGCAATTACACATTTAGTAAGCCATAGAATCCAACATGACATTAAAAATGAATCCCTCGACAAAAAAGAAGGTAGGCAAAATGTTCTTCACACCAAATGGACAAATCAATTATGATTACCTAGCATGCCCATTATTATTTTTTAACATCCTTCATTAATACCCCCAAACCCCATCAACAGGTAAATGAATAAATGCATTGAGGCCTATCTGAACAATGTCCCGATTCCTTACCATTCTTACTTCTTTTGCAAGCAGAAAAGACTCAGTATTAGCAAAGACTATTCGGATAATTTGTTCTTATGCCAGTAGTTGTAATTTCCTGGAGGTCTATGTGATATCACTTATGTACTTCAGTACCTCTCACAAGTACTTTTCCTGTTTGGCCATTTTCTGCAGTATATCCATGCTCTCATTTTCTCTATTCTTTTATTTCTATCCTACACTTTTCTTTCATCCTATAATTCTTTATCCTAAAAATATTAATTTAAGGATAACATCACAAAATAGTATATTTCTTCAGATGATACTCCAAATTGATACCTAATACACAGAAATGACTATCATGGACATAACCCACAACATGTGAAATGTATGGCTCATCCTACTGACATTATAAAGGAAAATTAATGACAACTGAATTTCTAGTCATTTTCCACCCAACCAGTTGCTTATAAACTGGCAAGGAATTGTAGGTATGTACACAGTGGCTATTTTTTGGTGGGGTGTTCAGCAACCCTCCTCTTGAGAGCCCCCCTTTTCTTTGAGGACCATTTCAATGGGCACCAACTAGGCCTGACCCAACCTACCAGCCCCAGCCCTAGAGGTGATCATGATGCCCAGCTCTGGCAAAAGACTCTACCCTTGGATCATAGCAACTGTTTCAGTACTTTTTTTTTGGAATCATCAGGAAGGACTCTTGCTTTTTCTACCACTGTGGTCTGCGAGGACAAAGTAAAGTGGGTTATTTGTAGCACTATCTCTTGCTACAGAGAGAGAAGAGAGTCACCTTCAGAAGGAAAAAATGAGGCTAAAACAAAAGGAAAAGTGTCAAGAGAAAGAAGGAGAACATTTCTTGATGATCTTATATAAGCCCCTGGGTCCACCTATGCATGACAGTGACTTGGGTTAAAGCTCTGTCACTTATAGGACCATTAACTTAAATATAAAATAAAGTATTAAAAGCTATGAACTTTTAGATGAAAATAAAGAAAAAAAAACTTCATAATATTCAATTAATCAAAAATATCTTAGATGAAGCCCCAGAAACCAAATGCATGAGAACAATTAATAAATTGGACCCCATCAAAATTAAGAGCATCTGCTAATTGAAAGATAGTGTTATGAGAACAAAAAAGAAAAGTCAAGGGGACAATACTGGCAAGTCTCATATCTAATAAGGGATTTGAATCCAGAGTATATAAAGAAACTATTAAAATTTAATAATGAGAAAAAAAGCAAAGAAAAAAAACAAAAAAAGAAGCCAAAAAAAAAGTGAACATACACTTTACCAAATATATACAGATGGCATGTAAGTACATAGATACTAAATGTTATTAGGCATTATGGAACCACAATAAAATACTATTGTACACACATGAAAATGTCTAAACTTTTAAAAGAAGGCCCATACAAAGTGTTGGCAAGAGTGTGGAATTCTTATATACTGCTGATAAAAATATAAAATGGTACAACCATTTTAGCAAACATTTTGACAGTCTCTTAAAACTAAACCTAAACCTATTAGCTATTGCACTCCTAATATTTACTCAAAGTTATAGGAACTTATGTACATGAATGTTCATTGCAAATGTATTTGTATAAGTCCAAAACCGGAAGCAATGCAAAAACCCATCAACAGGCAAATGGATATGTAAGTTGTGACCGATCTGCACAATAGAATACTACTTAGTAATAAAATTAATGACCTATTGATGCCTGCAATATAGCTGAATCTCAAAATAATTATGCTGTGTGAAAGATGCCAGACCCCTCCAAAAAAGGGTGCATACTACATTTCATTTATATAAATGTCTAGACAAGGCAAACTATTTTATAGTGACAGATTGGTGATTGCCAGGGAGAGTGGTAAGGTAGGAAGATACAGAAAGTTTGGGATTATAAAAGGGCAAGGGGAAACTTTTATGAGTGCTAGATATGTTCATTATTTTTATTTTGGTGATGGATTTGCAAGTACACATAAAAAATAACACGCGATGGAAGTAGAAACAGTATTTTTGTTTCTTTCTTAAAAAAGCACAATTTACTTACTAATGGGATGTTTGTGCCTGTTGGGCACACAGCACAACTTTTCAAATCTTAAAATCGGACTGGATCTCAACCACTGGACCTTATTCCTATTCCACACTGACTTTAGCACAATACTTGCTTTCATCGCGGTGATTAACAACACCCACCTTAAAGGTAAAGAAATGCACTTCTAACTAACTACTTTTGAAACTATGAACTGCTTCAGGCTAGTAGTTCTTAAGGTTTCCAGCAAATGTTGCTTTGTTTCCCTCAAAAATTTACAGCCTGGGCAACATGGCAAAACCCCATCTCTACTAAAATTACAAAACTTAGCCAGGCGTGGTGGTGCATGCCTGTTGTCCCAGCTACTCAGGGAGGCAGAGGCTGCAGTGAGCCTAGACCTCACACTCCAGCCAGGGGGACAGAGTGAGACCCCCATCTCAAATACACACACACACATACACATACTCACACACTATCCGCTGGTGCCCCGGTCAGTTAAACACAGCATCTCAGGGCACCTTAGCACACAGTGTGAGCACCATGGTCCTAAACCCTTCAATTAAAAGTGAAACATCTCTGGCTGGATTTTTAGAATATTTAGTTTTTAATGTTTTATATTATATTTATTTTTTATGTTTATTTAATTTATCTGAATACAAGAATCCAGACATTTGGAAGTAAAACAATGGAAAACATGCCTGCAAACACTAATCAGCACAAAGCTCATGTTGCTTTGTTATTATTGAAAGTTTAGTCTTACGCCAAGAAATATAGCTAAGATAAAAAAGATTTTACAATGTCGGTCACTAGAAAAGTATGCCAATTTTAAATATGTATAAATATAAAATATCCCTTCAAATTATTTACTACAGAAACTGATATAACTAAAAGATAAATGGTCTAATCTACAATATAGATTTTAACATACCTTTCAATTACCGATGGAACCAACAGAAGAAAAACCATAAGAGAAAGGGAAATTTGATGAACACAATGAAGAAACTTGACATAAACTGACATATACAGAACATGACACTCAACAACTACTGAATACACATCCTTTTCCAGTGCATGTATCATATTTACCAACATAGATTATATGTTGGAATTTAAAGGGACTCATCACAGAGTGTTCAGTCATGGGATTTTGCCTAAACTTGTCTGGCCTTCAACAGGGTTCAAATACAGTTAAATTCTTATTTCATCTAAAGAGTCCTATCTTTTTATTTGGAAATTTTACCGCAACAATCTAAATTTGCATAACAACTGAACCCAGCCCTTGGAACTTCAAGTTTATTCTAGCCAAAGGCAGATTAAACTGTCTAAGTAGTAATGTCCTTCAAATTGTTGTCCCCTGCTCCAGTAATGGAGCATAGCTCCAAGAAGCTAACAGACTATTTGTCCTTCATAGTATACATTCTATGTTACATCAAAACACGGTATAAAGCCTTGAAATCAGCAGCAGAGAGAAAATGAGATCAACAACCATCTAGCTGTGACCTCACTACTTAGTAATTACGCTTTTAGCTGACTCCTTTACTTGATTCCTAACTGCTTATTTCTGGCAAGGGAGCACTAATCCCTGACCAAGCTGACCTTTTAAGAAGTGAGCAGAATGAAAAAGCTCTACCACCAGTGATCAGTTTAACAAGCTGCAACACTAGTCACTGGCTGCAACTCTAGTCACTGGCTGCAACTCATATTGTGGGTTTTAAGAGCTCAGAATTAACATGGAAATACTATTGACTCCAAAAGAAACCCAGAAATCTCTGGGAATCCAGCAAAGATAAAAAGGGTCCTCTCAACAGTCACCACTCACACTTTGCTTTGTTTTGGTAACTATTTTATTACATATGGAGAATATCAAAAAAGTATGCCTTTTCCTCATTGTTAATGCTAACCCTAAAACGGTAAGGCTCTTGCAGGTTGAAACCCCCAGGCTCTCACTGGCCCTTCAACAGAAGGCAGTGAAGTCACCTGCAAGAGTGATCACCCAAAAGCTTCCAGGCTGGACAAGTTGGGACTCAGTTCTTGCAGTTCCCAAATTCACAGTTCTCTTGGGACATGGTTATTTATGAAGCTCCTGAAGATGAGAAATTCCACCCAGGAAATTATGTTTATAAAAGATTATTCACATCTAATTATCTCAGGAGACATTAACACAGCAATGTTGAAAATTTTCCATTAATTGTTAATCCATGGAGAAAAACTGAACAATTATTTTTTAAAATATGAAAAACTTCATATGATACAAATTATACTCCCACATGTGATTCAATTTCTATTCATTAATGCCGGAGAAGTTAATAATTACGAATTGTCAGTGGTAAAAAAAAATAAATCATTCATCATTGGAGAAGGCAGAAGGTTTAAAAGAGATAAGAATTGGTTTTTGGCTTTGGGGTGTTTTATGCTTTCCGAAAGGTTTTGCTCTTTTTTTTTTTTTTTTTTTTTTTTTTTGCTCATGGCTTTCTCTCTGTGTCTCTCTTTCTTTCTGATTTCAGTTTCTTTTGATTTCTCCTGCTTAGAAATGGTAACAGAACTTTGGATGTGGAACGTGCAGTAGGAGTTACACGAAGTGCGGGTCTGCACTTGGGGTGGTCAGCACGGCGGATGCCCAGCAAACGCACTGCCTGGTCCACATCCCGGAGTGGTCTCTACGCCCCAGTCGGCATCGCAGCTGATGGTGAAACTTTTGGTGTGGCAGAAGAGTGTCCACAAACTTTGGAAGGTATCCGCTGCCTCCTCCATAGCCGTGTATCCCTGCCGAGGGTGATCATCTCGAGGAGCGGAAAGTCCTGCTCATGGGCCAGGGCTGGCTGGCTGGAGCCACTTGCGCGGCGCAGCCCTGGCGGAGGTTCAGGCGGTCCCGGTGTCGCAAGCGGCTGTGAGTGATGCCTCCTTGGGGCCGGAGGGGTCCCAGGAAGGCTCCAGACCAGGGCTGACCAGCGGGCAGCATGGTGGCCGCGATGGAAGGTGACGGGGTTCGCAACGCCAGGGGACCCAGCAGAGCCCGAGCCCGGGCATCCCGCATCTCCAGCAGCACCCCGGGTAGGCGCTGGTGACGTGGCGGCCAGTGCACAAGGCCCACGACCCAGTCCCAGAGGCCAGCCCATCATCAGCTAACTTCAGGAATCCCGGGCCAGCTGAGGCCCCGGGCCCCACGGGCAAGACAAAAGGCAGAGGGTCCGCAGGCAGGGCCGAGAGCAGGCAGCCCAGGCCTGGCTCCACCGCCGCGGAGCTCGCAGGGCGCAGCAGGCACCGGGCAGCGACCAGGGCTTCCAGAGGAGGCTGTGCACCCCCGCAAAGGCTCCTGCCCAGCGTCCAGCCTATCCGCGGGGACTCCACGTGCACCCCCTCCTCATTGTCCTTGTCTAGGGCCTCGGCAAGCTCCTCGCTCCCATGGCGTGACTTCAGGGGCGCAGGAGCCTGGGCTGAGCAGGTGGAGTAGGGTGAGCACCGCCAAGAACCCAGTGAGAGTGGCGCCCCAGGGCGGCACAGGAGGCCGCATTTAACGTGTCAATCATCTCAAAGATATTATGGCATCTTCTTTTTTTTGACATCTTATAATATCTATAATGTCTATTATATCTTGTGATAGAATTATTAACACCACTTCATTGTGATTATTATGATTATTTTTATACCAACACATCTTCAATTATTAATATTCCCAGTTGCTAGAGAAAAATGAAACGACTAGTTTTGAAAGCCTTACTTCTGCCAATGGAAGCACATTCCAGCATGTCGCCAACGCAATCCATTTTCCACCACTTTCACAAGAAAAGTTACGGCACAATTATACTATCCTACCCTTATATACTTTTTGTGCATGTGTACTTGTATGTATGTATGTTATATATGTTTTATATATATATATATATATATATATATATATGTAAAATACGCCACAGATGAACAAGGATTAGAAAATTAAATGCACACAGGTCATGTCAGTGCTATGTATAATGTGGTGTACTAAGTATAGATGTTCAACAGTGTGGGATCCAGGCTGGGACAAGACTCCTAGTCTTAAGCAATTCTTTCTAGGTTCAGTCTCTGGAAATAATGCTTTGTATCAAATGTGCGAGAAAATTAATGGGTTTTAAAGACTATTCTATGTCAACTATAACATTTCCTTTGGGGATTTCTGTCCCTTATAATATCTACCTCATTTTTGAGGGATTCCTTGGGGCCTGGTTTTTCTTTTCCTTTCTACACATCGCTGTTCAGAGTGATGGATGGAGTTGTATTTTGAATAAAATAGCTAAGCATCCTTTTGTGAGCAAGGAGCATGATGGTACTCAGACCTACCATTTCTCGTTACAGTGGTTACAGTTACCTGGTGCCTGGACGTCCACTGGGACATGATACCCACTGGGATGTTTTTGTTTCAACCTGGTCTCTGATGTCAACCTGGGGATTGGGTATCCACCTAAGACCTGATGTTTACTTGGAGCCAGATGTGCACCTGAGGCCTGATGTCTATCTGTGGCCTTGTGTTCACCTGGGGACTGATGCACACCTGAAGCATAGGTATTCACCTGGGGCCTGATATCCACCTGTAGTATGGGTGTCAACCTTGGGGCGGATGTTCAGCTGGCGTCCACTGTCTACTTGGGGCCTGGTGTACCCATGGGGCCTGGGCATCCACCTGAGACTTGATGTTTAATATGGTCTGGAGTTCTCTTGGGGCCCGTTGTACCCCGGAGCCTGGGTGTACACCTGGAGCATGATGTCCCAGGTGGACACCTGGGTCCCAGGTGATCTTCAGGCCCTAGGTGAAAACTCCAGGCTCTAAGTGGACAACCAGGCCCCAAGCTGATGTTTACTGGGGCCAGATGTCTACGAGGCCCCAGGTGAAAAGTCCAGGCTCCAAATGGACAGCATGGCCCCACGTTCCAGGTAGACATTGGAATCCAAATCAACACCAGGCCCAAGATGGACACGCAGGCCTGTGGTGGACATCAGACTCCAGAAGGTCATCTGGCTTGAGGTGGACATCAAGCCCCAGGTGGATACCTAGTCCCCAGGTGGATATCAGGCCCCACTTTGACACCAGTCCCTGGGTAGATACCTAGGCCTCAGGTGGATATCCAGTCTCTAGCTAAGCATCAGGCTCCAGGTGGACCCAGTCCCTAGCTGACTGGGGACTAGTGTTCATATGGGGCCACATGTCCATCTGGGCCCTAGATGTCAACTTGTAGCCTGATGTCAACCTGGGAGCTGGTGTTCACCAGAGGACTAAAGTCCTCCTGGTGCCTGATGTCCAACTTGGGACATTGTGTCCACCTGGAGACTGATGTCCACTTGGGACCAGATGTCCAACTGGAGCAAGATGTCCACCTGTAGCCTAGAACTTCACCTAAGGCCTGATGTTCCCCAGGGCCTACAGGGCCTACGTATCTACCTAGGGACTTTTGTCCAGGTGGGGCCTGAGTTCCATCTGGGGCCTGCAATTAACCTGGGACCTGATGTCCACCTGAGGCCTGGGTGTTCCTCTGGAGTCTGATATCTATCTGGGGCCTGGGTGTCCTCCTGTGGTCTGATGTCCACTTGTAGGCTGGTGTCCACCTGGGGCCTGGGTGTCCACCTAGGAACCTGATGTATACCTGAAGTCCAGTATCTACCTGGGTACTGATGTCTACCAGGAAAGTGATATAAACCTGGGGCCTGATAGCCACCTGGGCCCTGAGTGTCCACATATGTTCTGATTTCCACTTTTGGCCTGAGTGTAGGGCCTGAGTGCCACCTGGGTCCTGATGTTCACCAGGAACCTAGGTATTCACTTGGGGCTTGCTGTTCACCTGGGGCCTAATGTCCCTGCGAGACCTGGTATTCACCTAGGGCCTGGGCAGCCACCTGTGGCCTGATGTTCAGTTGGTGACTAGGAATTCCACTAAGGCTTGATGTCCACCTGGGGCATAGGTAACCACTTGTGGCCTAGTGTTCCCCTGAAGCCTAGGTGTCACCCAGGGCATAATGTCTTCTTGGGGCCTGCTGTCCACCTGCAGACTGGTGTCTGCATAGGGCCGGTATCTACCTGGGGTCTGGTGTCTGCCTGGGGCCTACTGTCCACCTGAAGACTGAGTATAGACCTCAGACCTGATGTATGCCTGGGGCCTATTTATTGACGTGGGGACTAGCATTCATCTTGGGCCTCATGTCCACTTAAGCCCTGGGTGTCAACCTGGTGCCTAATGGCCACCAGGGATCTATGTACTCACTTGAGGCCTGGTGCTCCGACAGGGCCTAGGTATACACCTGGGGAATGATGTGCAGGTGGAGATGGATGTCTTCCTGGGTGCTGGTGTTCACCTGGGGACAAGGGTCTCCCTGGGGACCGGTGTTTATCGGGAGTCTCATATTCACCTTGAACCTGCTGTCTACCTAGGGCCTGATGTCCATGTTAAGGTTGGGTGTCCACCTGGGACCTGGTTGTCCACTTGGGACCTAATGTCTACCTAAGACCTAGTGTTCACCTACAGCCTGGGTGTCCACCTGGAGCCTGATGTTCAGCTGCAGATGCATCCACCCGAGACCTAGGTATCTACCCAGGGTCCGGTGTTGAACTGGGGTCTTATGTCCACCTGGGGACTAGATACCTACCTGAGGCTTGATGTCCACCTGGAGCCCGATATCCACCTCAGAGCTGGGTGTCCACCCAGGTTCTGGTATCCACATGGAGCCTGGAGTTCATCTGGGGCCCAGTGCCCACCTGGAACCTGGGTATCACCATGGGGCCTGGGTGTCCACTTGGAACGTGATGGGCACCTGGGACCTGAGTTTCCACCTAGGGCCTGATGACCACCTGAGGTCCAGGTGTCCACCTGGGGTCTGATGTCTACCTGAAGCCTAGGTAACCACCTAGGGCATGGTGTTACCTGTGCCTTGATTTGCACCTGAGCCTGCTGTACACCTGGGGCCTTTAGACTCCAAATGTCCATCTGAGGCCTGATGTACACCTCAAGTCCAGTGTCCACTTGTGGCCTGATGTCAACTTGGAAGCTGATATCCACCGGGGGACTGATGTTCTCCTGGGGCCTGATATCCGACTGGGATCAGATGTTCACCTAAGGCCTGGAGTTAATCTGGGGCCTGATGGTCACCAGGGTCCCAGGTGTCCACCTAGGGCCTAGTGTCCAACTAGGGCCTGATGTCCACCTGGAGTCTAGCATCCGCCTTGGCCCTGATGCTACTTGCAGCCTGGGTGTCTTCCTAGAACCTGAGTCCCCAGCTGGGCCCTGATGTCCACCTGAGGCCTGGTGTCCTTATAAGGCCTGATATCTACCTAAGGCCTGGGTATCCTCCTGCAGCCTGATGCTCACCTGTAGGCTGGTGTCCATATGGGGCCTGGGTGTCCACCTGTGAGCCTGATGTACACCTGGAGTCCAGTGTCCCCTTGGTTACTGATATGTACCAGGAAAATGGTATATACCTGGGGCCTGATATACACCTGGAGCCTGTGTGTCCACTTGAGCCCTGATGTCCACCTGGGGCCTCGTGTTTACCTGGGGCCTGTATCCACCCACTACCCAAAGTCAAGTTGGGAAAAGCGCCCAGGATAGGTGAGGAGCACAGAACAGGGACCTCATTCATAAGAAATTCTGCTGTAGAATGGGTGCTCTAAGCTCTTAAAACAGCCTCTGCCTCAGGAAAGACTGTCCAGGGCATAGGAAGCCCACACACAGGGTGGGATGACAAGTTTGCATCTGGCACTGCTGGGAGCCCTGGGGGCCTCTGCCCTTTTGGCCACGTTGTCTCCTGCCTCTTAGGGTGGTGGGATTCTGGGCTCTCATTGCAGCAGGTGGATTCACTTAGCTCTCCTCCCCTTTTAGCATTACTGTCTTCTGTAATAAACCTCTCACTTTGACCTGCCAGGCTGTCAAATGCTTTGATTGCCCTCTCTGTTTTGTTCCAATGGTTCATCATTCCAAATATCCACAATAGAAGGACAGATTTTAGTCTCTTCATACAATGGGATATTTCGCAGCTATTAAAACAAATAAAATAAATGCTTGTATATTGATATGCAAAGTTGTCCCACATCAATAACTTTTAAACACATTTTATGATCCCACATCTATATCTATACATAATGTTTGCCACTGCTTAAACCAAACAAAATCTAAGCTTTAGACTCCAAATGGAATTACAGGGGAGTCTTGATGTCTGTGTTCTGCAGTTCTGTCATGTTTGAAATTGTCAAATAAACATGGTGCCTTTCTGATAGCCACTCAGAATTCCTCCTCTCTGTCCACAAAGCATTTTCACCCTCCCTGTCCCATTTGCCCCAGCCCCGTGGAGCTTGCTGAGCTGGCACCATCCTCTCTTGTAATAGACAAAGACATTGAGGACCGGAGAGGGGAAGCACCTTGTTGACATCCCACAGCTCTGAGTCAAAGTGGAATTGGACTCCCTTACTAGCTGTTTCCTAAAGTCCAGGGAGCCCTGGAGGCCCAGGAATGTAAGGGCTGGAGCCTGGGGCTTTCTGTCCTGAAGTAGGGGAGGTGGGGCTACGCCTCACGGCTTGAGTGCATTTCCTCTCAAGTACAATAAGGGCTGCTTTGTAAGATGAAAAATATAAATGGCTGCCTGCAAATTTGTCAGGTAATGTGTTTGTCTCCCCTATGGGACTGTAAACTTGGTATAAGCAGGGACCTGTCTGAATCACCCTAGTGTCCCCAGCACCAGGCCAGAGACTGACATACAAAATGACTGACTTCATTAAATACCAACACCTTCTAGGTGCCAGGTACTGCTCTAGATGCTGGAATCTGCAGTGAATAAGATACCCAGAATCCCTGCCCCTGTGTAGCCCTCACTGTAGTACAGCAGAACAGATGATGAATAAGTAAGCATGTGGGGTGTGAGATGGGTGGGAGAGCTGCATTGTGGAACGGGGCAGTGTGCAAAGCAGACACTTAGGAAAGAACCTGAGGGTTGAGCTGTGGATATGATGGAGAAAAGTCACCCCTAACATGAGTGCAGACACTCCAGCTACAATAACAAGCGAAGGTGGAGAAGGAAGCACAGAGACAAGCAGCTGGGGAGATGTGGGGGTGGGATCCAGGGAAGGGTCTCTCTTTATCTATTTTCAAATTGAATAGGAAGCAAGGCAGCAGGTGTAAGGAAGACTGGGGAAGGTTTTAGAGGTTTAAGGAGGAAGGAGAAGGCACGATACTGTTGCCTGGGGACAAGGCAGCACTTCCAGGGCTGGGTGCCTGGGCTCCAGGGCAAGTCGCTTCATCTCTTCCTGTGCCAGCATCTCCTCAGCTGTGAAATGGTGATTATTATAGAACAGATTCATAGAGTTTTATGATAATTAAATCAGTTGGTATTCATAACATGCTTAGATTATATATATTTTTATTAAAATAACAAATAAAGAAGTCTGGCAGACTTATGGACTCAGGAAATGAGTGAGTTTGCAGGACATCATCCAGGGCCCACTGGAGGTTTGGGCTTGATGATTAAATGAGAGCAGAAGGCACGTGTGTTTCTCTCTGGCTTTGCTCAGCCACCTGAGTGCAGGAGCAGAGGGAGTGGGTGGCTGGATTTCAGCAGAGTGCAGTTTTGCCCTGGGAGTACAATCAATTGTGGGCAAGAGAGTGGAGAGTGTTAGAGAGGGTGGATGACAGGCTGGACCATATAGTGTCAGCTGGGAGGAGGGGAAATTTGCAAGAAAGTGAGTGAGACACATAAGTGAAAATTTGGAGTAATTGAAGTGTGTTGGATTTGGGAGGCAGCTGGAAAAAAGAAAGTGGTGGTCAAAAAAAGGGTGTTTGAAATTGAGCGTCTGGAGTGGCTACATTTTCTGCAGTGACAAGGACAAAAATATACAGGTAGGAGTGGGTGACTCAGGGAGGGTGGAGACAACGTCTCCAGGGGCGGAGGGACCAAGAGCCAGAGCATGAGGAGGACTCTCTATGTGCATGTTGGCATCACCTCAGCAGGAGAAAGTGCCCATGAACTGGGAGCCAAGGCTTCAATGCATAGGGATGTGGCCCTGGGTGCAATCTGAGGGCAAGAGCTTCAATATTGATTCCCTTCATGTGTCACCGTGTCCTTGGGTAATTGTAATTTTTCTTGTGCAAACGTCACAAAGTGTGCTTACACACACCTCAATATTGTACCTACCGTACACCTAGGCTCTATGGCACAGCCTACTGCTCTCAGGCTGCACACCTGGGCACAGGTTATTGCAGTGAATACTGTTGGCAGTTGTAGCACAATGGTCAGTACTTGTGCATTTAAACATATCATGAAAAGTGCAGTAAAAGCATAGTATTGCACTATATAAAAATATAGTATGGTACCTAGACATGGTGCACTGGTCTAGGACACTTACCATGAATGGAACGTGTAGGGCTGGAAGCTTCTCTGGGTGAGTCAGTGAGTGGTGAGTGAAGGTGAAGTCCTAGGGCATGACTGCACTACTGTAGATTTTATAAACACTGGACACTTAGGCTACACTATGAGATATATATTTCTTTTTCTATAGAATTATAAATCTTTTTTAATAAATATATTTTTAAAGTAACTGTGCCATAACGTTACAATTGTTATGTCACTGGGCTAGGCAGTAGGTGTCTTTCGGCTCCATTATAATTTCATGGGTCCACCACTGCACATGCGGTCTGGGTTAACAGAAACATCATTTCGTGGCACATGAATGTATTTTTATGGGAGAGAAAGATGATGAGCTGAAAGAGGGAGGCAATGAGAAGCAAGGAGGACCTATGCTGCTCAGGCCCAGGGAAGGGCTGCAGCAGAGGACAGCAAGGCAGCAGTGACCTCAGGGGATCGGGCCTCTTACTCACAGCAAGGAAGAAAAGGAAGAGTTCCCTGAGGCTGCTGGAAACCAGGGGGCTGCTGGTGCTGGAGCAGGATTTTGAGGACATGCAAAAGGGTTTCAGCAAGGGAGGGAGGGAGGAAGGAACTGGGGAGAGAGGGTCAGCCCAAGATAACCAGGCCTCTCCCAGGAATCTTCTGGCCACTCAGAAGCAGTGGTCATGCCCAGTTGAGTCCACAAAGGGCACCCAGTGCTCAGCGTGAGAACCTGGCCTGCCTATTGCCCAGCCCTCACACAGCCCAGCCATTGCTGCCACCTGCTGTAGCCCCTAAGATGGATCAGACTGGCCTTGTCCTCAACAGCCCTCACTGAGGCAGGTAAAAACACAGGCACCTGTGATAAGAGGCAGGCAGAGGCAAGTCACATAGTAGTGGCAGACCAGGTGCTGCAGGAGCCCAGTGCGATGGGCACTGAGTCCAGGCAGGCTTTGTAGAGGCAATGACTCAGGATTTGTGTTCCGGCTGTGATGGTGGCACATCCAGGAAGCAGCGCATGGTCCAGCTGGGCACATTGGGACTGGAGGCTGTTTTTTTGTTTTTGTTTTTGAGACGGAGTCTCACTCTGTCTCCAGGCTGGAGTGCAGTGGCATGATCTAAGCTCACTGGAGGAGGCTGGTTTTTAATGAGTCTCGAGGCCAAGGCAAGGGTCATGACCAGGGTCCAGCCTCAGTAATGCACTCACCCCTTCACCCTGGGGCACTGCTGCAGGCCCACCATCAGCAGCCTACATTTGCTCCCCTCCTGCCCTCTCTTCCCAGGAAGCCCCTCACCTGTCACTTCCTGAAGAATATGGAAGCCAAGGAGGTCTTCTTCAGGCATTCCTCTCCACCCATGCACTTCCTCCCTCCCTGCCAGCTTCAAAGGAATTGATTTCCAGAGAGACCCTTCCCAGTTGCCCCACCTTTCCGTCAGCCTCTTCCAGGAACTGTCCTCTGACATCTCTCTGTCTAGGTCTCCTTGTCACTCTTGTGCACACCAAGACTGTTCTCCCTTTTCCTGTCAGCCACTGAGTCCACTCAGATATCTTCTGCTTCCCAAAATTAAAATTACAAACCAAAACAGAGACAGCTTCCATGACCTTACACATTGTAGACACTTGGCTACAGCAGTGAATGACATAAACAAAGTCCCTTTCCTCATGTAGCCCTCATGCTAGTAGAGTGAAACAGATAATAAATAAACTAGTCAAATGTTCAGCATGTGAGTTGGTGATGACAGCACGGTGCTTCATGCCTGTAATCCTAGTGCTTTGGGAGGCCGAGATGTGAGGATGGCTAAGGTCAGGAATTTGAGACCAGTCTGGGTAACATAGTGAGACCCTGTATCTACAAAAAATAAAATAAAATAAAATAAAATAAAGGAAAAGTGAAGGAGGATGGAATGTATCAGTGGGAAAGAGGGATGGGAGAGCCACATTTTAGACAGGGTGGTCCAGGAGGGTATAGCTCCAACCACTATTCCTCTGGCCCATTCCACATCTATCCCCATCCCACCCCCTGCACAGTGCTTGGGTCAAAGCCTCTCAGTCTTGCTTGTATTTTTCCAGAGTTATCCAGGGACCAACTCCATCAGAACAGTGGGGTGAGGTCACAGCCCCTGCCTGTGAGAAGTGCAGATTCCTCTGCCTGGACCAGAATCCCTGGGAACTGGACCCAGGAATTTCCCAAGATCTCTGGGGGACTCTGAGACAGCCCAAAGTATGGGAGCTGCAGATTTTCTCCTGAAAAGGGAGCACTGTCTCAAGGGGTCCAGGTCACCCACCTCTACCTTGTAGCCACCAGACCAGTCTGAGCCTTGGAGAATGCTGCTCTTTCCTCCTGGAATGCCCTTCCCAGCTTTCCTTGCCTGGTAACTCTTACACATCCCGCAAGACCCAACTCAAGGACCACCTACTCCTGACGTCACTCCCTGAACTTTCTCCTGTGTTTCCACTCTCCTCTTCACCAAGCGATGTTGACATTTCTATGGGGCCATCTCTCTCTCTCTAGACCAGAAATGCCTACAGTTGCGGACCCCTGTAGTGCAATTTGTGTCAGTCTGGGGAGAGTGGATTTGGAGCCCAACCACCACTGAGGAAAATCTGTCTGATGGACATGGTGGGTTCCAGCCCAGACACAGGGGTCAGCGAGGGGTGGTGTGACAGTGAGCACAGACCCTGGGTGGTGGTGACAGTGGCTGTCATGGGGAGGAAAGGAATGGAAAAGGGACCTCATGGGAGCAGAAAGACAGGCCTTAGCTGCAGATGGGCCAGGACCCCGCCAGGAATCCAGAACACGCATCCTAATCCCAGCTCCACTATAAGTCCACAGCGGAACCCTGGCAACGACTTTCCCCTTTCTGAGCCTCATTTTACTCATCAGTAAAATGGTGACAATAACTCCAACTTCACCAAGGAGATGCCAGGCTCAATGAGATGATGGATCTGAAAATGCCTTATGTTTCATGGCACAAAGGAGAGGGATTCCTGACATGCGACAAGCCCAGGGAGAGAGGAAGGATGGGGTCTGTAAGTGGCCAGGTGGCAGCCCCACCCTTCCACACACACAAACACCCACCGTATCACCCACGCTGGTGATTTTCCCAGGAGGGCTCCCGGCCTGGAATTAGCACTGCCAGGTGGGCAGGGAGGACTGCAGTCCCATTACAGGGGTGAGGAAACAGGCTGCGGATGGTCCCACAGGGAATAAGGAACAGGGTCTAGCTCTCCACTGCAGGCAGGGAAGATTAAACTTGCTCCCTGGGAAGAGGAAGGGAGGCATTGACTGGCACTCCGTGATTTAGATGAGAAGCCCAGGCTCAGCCCGGTGACTTGAGCTTCCTCATGTAGAACGTGAAGGATGCAGAGGAGACAGAGAGCAGGAGGAAGAAGATAAGGAAGAGAGCAGCAAACTGGAGTCACTACAGGACACTAGCTACTCCAGGCTGCTCTGTCCCATTCTAAGAGAAAAGGAAAAGTGGGAGAGGGGATCACAGATCATGTCCAGATTCCTCACTGACATGGATGCTGCTATGGAAACTAAGATGGTCCAGGTTTGTGGTGGGAGAGATTGCAACGCTCTGCTTCCTGGAAATCTGTGTTTACAGCCAACACAGTTGCTGCCCAAGACGGCCCCACCTGAAGACCCCAGAGCTGCCCCAGCTTGCCAGGCTTCCCGTACTCCTGTTATCACCCCATGCTGCTGAGAACCTGCCTGGCAGGCTGCCCAGCCAAGGCCAGGACCTAATCTCAAGTGAAACTGACATGTCCTTGTGAGGGCTGAGGAACATCCTCTCTCCCCACAGAGCCTCATTCAGGTTCTCATCTACTTCCTTGCGGTCTGCCCCCGCTCCCTCAGGAGTTTGGAACCACATACTGTTCTGGAGGGGACCTCTCACTGCTGCCGAACCTGTCCTCCAGGATACCCACAAGTGTTCATCTCGGTCGTGGCTAAACAACTTATCATATGGTAGTGAACTATCTTCTGGGGCCCCAATATTTTGTTTATTTTTTAAAAATAAAATTAGTACCATTGTTTATTTTCTGAATGTACAGAAATATTTGTCTGATTATTATTTACATGCCCTTTGGGAAAACTTTATAAAATAAAAAAAATGAAGGAGAATCCTACCACGCAGAGATAATCACTTTATTTTTCTATTCATATTTGCACATACAGGTATATATGGGATCATGCTCTGTATCTGTTGGGAGTGCATTAATCTGAAAGTTCAGTCACTTAAACAAAGACAGGTTCATTTTTCTTACATAGTTAGAGTATCTATGGTTCCTGGCTATGGTTCACTGGTTCAACAATGTTAGGCCCAGCATCTTTGTGAGTCTATTGGAATTTAGCTTATGGCTGTAAGACGGCTACCGAAGCTCCAACCACTACATGAGTTTACAAGGCCAGCAAAAGCAGTCACTTCCGTATTCTTATTAGAAAAGCAAGAACGTCAGAGGTGACCCCCAGAGGATTTCTCTTTAGGTGTGGAAATCTGTGTTTAGATTGGCCAGAACCTGATCTCATGGCCATCCCTAGCACTAGAGAATAGCATTGTCATGATTGACTTTGGATCAGTCATAATTTATTGACTGAGAGTGCGCATGTGGTCCCCCAAAGATGATCAAGAAAGGAGGGAATTTGCAGTGTGTACTACAGCACGCATGCTGTTTTATGATCTGCTCTTTCTCTTAATTGCATATTTCAAACATCTTTCCATACTAAGAAATATAGATTCAGTCATTCATTTAACAACAAATTATTGAGAGTGTACTGTGTTCCAGGAACTTAACTTGGCATGGAGGACACAACAATGAACATAGTATACTCCTTGCCTCCATGGAGCTTAGGATCTAATGAGGGATACAGAAATTCATCAAAGAGGTTCACAAAGAAATGTAAAATTACGATTGTAATTTGTGCTGAAAAGGAGGGAGGTGTGTGGTGTGTGAGAGAAGTGACAGGAGATTTGACTCAATCAGGAGGGTCTGTGTTCTGAATAGCCATAAACCAGCCCCTTGCCTAGCTGTAGCACAATTATTTAGCCAATCTCTTATTGCTGGACATTTACATTCTTCCCACATCTTACTTACTATCATCAATGCAACAGTAAATACCCTTCTCTAAGTACCGCTTGGCACACTTGTCTGATTATTTCCTCGGGATAAATTCCTAGGGTAAAGCCAGGCACCATGGTTCATGCCTGTAATCACAGCTACTCAGGAGGCCAAAGTGGGAGGATCACTCGTGGCCAGTAGTTCGTGGCCAGCCTGGGCAACATAGGGAAGTCTTGACTCAAAAAAAAAAATCCTGGAAGAAATGAACATTTCTTAGATGTCGAATTGCCAGATCAAGGGGTGCACCATCACCATCCCCATACTCACCATCACCATCGTCATTATCGTCAGTCTCACCCTCACCATTCTCACCAGCATCAGCAGCAGCATCCTCACCATAACTATCAGTATCATCACCAACTTCACTATCACCACCCTCACCATCTCCATCATTATCACCACCACCACTTTCACCATCACCATCCTGACCATCACCATCATTATCACCTCATCATCACCATCCTTACCATCACCATCACCATGCTCACCTTCACCATTCTCACCATTCTCATCATCATCCTCAGCATAACTATCACTATCATTATCACCACCTTCACCATCACCTTCCTCATCATCACCATCATTATCACCTTACCATCACCATCCTTATCATCACCATCACCTCTGAAAATCTTGGAGGAAAAGGAGAGGAGGTAGCATTTTAAAATACAGGTACTTCGACGAGGAGGAACAGGCAGAGTTGAAGCTGGGGAGGGGATATCCAACAATGGAGACCCCCAGAACATAAAACTAAGAAGCTCAGGCTTTGCCCAGAATCAGAGGCATCCTTGAAGATTTATCAGCAGGAGAGTATGTAGTCAGATTCGTGTTTAGGCAGAACATTAAGCAATCCTCAGAAGGAAGAGGTAGAGGGAGGGAGGCCCACAGAGGAGACAGAACCTTCAACACAAACCAGGGTCCTGGTCCTGGGTCCAGCCAATCTGGCAGGAATGAGGAATGGGAGGCTCATGGGTAAAGGCTGTGGCCAGGCAGGGAAAGGCCTCACTCTCCCTGCCACTCCTTTCCCTGCTCCCCACTTTTCTGTCCCATCTTTGCTAATACGCTCAGCATCTCCAACTGCACCCACCCACTACATTTGCCCCAATTCCTCCTCCTCTCTCATGCCTGAGGCCCAGGTGGCTTCCAGAGCTGACCAGGTCTACTTTAGAATTTTAATGAGATAATCTGGGTAGAAGTGCTGGTGCCCTGCCAGCCACAGCAGGTACTGCTCATATGGTAAACTGGAACTGTCTTCTCAGTTCCTGTAGCCTTGAGTTCAAATTCTCCCTAATCCAGATGACCACCGCCTCTCACCTGAGCAGAGAAGCCTCCCATTGGTCTCGCTGCCCCAGACCTTCCTCTTTCCAGATATCAGCCTGATAATTTTCTCAAACTGCAAACCTGGTCATGTCCCTCCGTTGTCCCTTTGACTAAAGGGTAAGACCGCAATTCCTTAGCATAACACCCCAGGCACTGAGGAGCTGAGGCCCCTCCATTTCCACCTTGACTTCTTCCCCTCCCCCTCTAGTAGCATTGCTGACCCACTTGCCTTGTTCCTTCACCACATGGCTTTGATCCTGTTGCTCCTCTGCCTGGAGGGTCTTCCTACATCTTCTCTGCCCGGTGAATTTCTACTTAACCTACAAACCACGCTCACCTTCTCTGTGCATCCTACTTCGTCCCCATCTTGCCGCAAATTGTGTCTCTCACTAGACCTCCAGCCCCTAAAAATCAGGGACAGCTTAATGCATGTTGGAAATGGCTACTCCTCACTTAATTACCCTAATTAGCTAGTTATATTCCCTTATATTTATGTTTCCTCATTTACTGAAGCTTTCCACAGGCCAGGCACTGAGATCCGGGGGAGGACCCTGAGGGTAGGACAAGCATGAGCACTGAAGGCTACAATGGCACAGGCACCAAGAGACCATGTGGGGTGCAGGAAGCCTCATCTCTAGAGTGTCTTCCTGGTTTACCATGAGCTTTCTTCCCTTCCCTTATTGGAGTTAACTTGTGCTGGTTTTGAATAGCCTGTGTCCCTGAAACATGCACTCCCACACACATAAACAGACCCACACTTATCCACATGTACCCACCCATACATACACAGACCTCTCTGTGTATCTCCCAGAGCTACAAATGCCAATCTTGAGAATGAAGATTTTGCAAGTGCTCTGTGCCAGGCATGATGCCAGGTCCCTAACAACACAAGATCCCTCTGGTTTCTCCCACTCAGCTGTGCAAGTTTGGGGTTGAGGAGCTCCCCCTGCCAGGGTCACAGACGTGGAACATGAGGTAACAGCTATTTGAATGTAAGCCTGTAGGTCACCAAAACATATGCCATCTGCACCCCACCACACTGCCTCCAAAGCACATGAAGACATGAGTCTATCAACTGTGACTCATTAGTACCCAGTAATATTTCCTCCTCCACTTCGCTTCCCACTGCCTCTCCAGTATCTCCACCCACAGTCCCAGAGCCACCTCTGCTTAACAAGGAGGTGAAGACAGATGCTCCGTTCCACCCGATGCCATCTCCCAGGGTGCAGCCCCCTCATATGATGAAATCATATGTTGTTTTTCATCATATGGCTAGTGGTGAGATGGGTGGCTCTGGCCCCAGGACTTCTCCCCGGGACCTCTGCTCAGGACATGGCAGGGACAGAGGTGAGGTTACCATAAACTGCCTTGGAAATGACTACAAACCAGCTCACACCATTCCAGCACCTAACACTCTGACAGCCCAGGGTGGGCCCACAGAAGGGGAAGGGCTAGGGAGTCCAGGACCACAAGAGTCCCCCTTCCCTGAGCCCTTGAGCACAGCCACCCAGGTGTAAGGGACAATATGGGGGTTCTGGGGATTCCCAAGCCTGGGCTCTGGAGGTGAGTTCTAGCAGGGCCCCCAGATATCCTCCCCATCCATCCCCTCATCCTGTCTCACATATTGTAAAAAAATGGGGATAATAACGGTACCTCCCAGCACTGGCGTTATCTCCAGGCCTAGGTGTCCTGGATCCTTCTGCCCCCTTTACACTCTGTGCAGCATCCAGTCCTGCTTGAAAGGAGCTCCTCTACTCCCCCACCAAAGCTCTGGTGAATTAATGTCCCTGTGGGGTATAAGTGACAGACAGTAACTTCCTCAATCTCCTTGCAGCCTAATCTAAGAAGATGCCTTCTAAAGAATAGCATTCTAATGTGAAATTTTAGTCCTGTGAAAGGCTAATGGGAGAAATCAGATTCCTTTACAAGATTACAGAGAAAACAGGACAATGAGTATCTCTAAAAGAGAATGTTCACTTGGAGTGTCAATGGGGTTAGGTGGCCGATACGGAATGAAAGGCTTTCATTTGGCTCCCTGACTTGCTGGTTTTGGGGATTTCCCTGGTCCTGGTCATTACCTCTTTCCTCCTGCCCAGCATGTGCTCACACCAGCCCTCTGCCTCATAGTCCTTCCCACAGTCCCTTTTTCTTATCTTTTTTTAGACAAGGTAAGCTCAGAGGGACTTTTAATATGCCAATCGATGTTAATAAAACACAAGTCAAAGACAAGTGCAAACATGCTTTCAACCAACATTAATGAGGAAACAAGACACAAATTTTTTCTTTTTACATTTTATTTTATTTTTGAGATGGAATCTCGCTCTGTCGCCCAAGCTGGAGTGCAGTGGCATGATCTCCACTCACCACAGGTTCCTCCTCCTGGGTTCACGCCATTCTGCTGCCTCAGACTCCCGAGTAGCTGGGACTACAGGCGCCTGCAACCACGCCCGGCTAATTTTTGTATTATAGTACAGATGAGGTTTCACCGTGTTAGCCAGGATGGTCTCCATCTCCTGACCTCGTGATATGCCCGCCTCAGCCTCCCAAAGTGCTGGGATTACAGGTTGAGCCACTGAGCCTGGCCCTGTTTGTTCTTTTACATTAAATTTACAATGTATTTGCCATGTTTCAAAAATAAATTTAATTGGAATTTTATTGAAATTGTATGAGACATGATTTAGTCCAAGATGAACACACAACATTATTATTACTGTTTCCATCCAGCTATGTCATATTTCTTTGTTTTCTCTAGTTGTCTTTTATATCGCTCAATAAAATTTGTGGCTCTGGTACATTTCCTAATAATCATACATTATATTTCATTATTTCTAATTATTATAATGGATTGCATGTACATTTACTATGTACCAGATATTATGCAATATATTCATTATCTCAATTCATAAAACAATCATGTGATTTAGTTGGTGTTATTACTAGATTATTACCATTGTACAAGTAAAGAAAATAAAGACAAAAGAAAAGAGACTCAGCAAAATCAAACCAATAAAGACTTAATTAGAATTGTTGGGCATATAGTAAAAATTTAATACAACTCAATGAAAGCAAAAAAACATTTTAAAAAATGACCAGGCAGATTTGAGAAGGATCCAAACAGAAATTCCAGAAATAAAAACATAATTGTTGAAATTGAAGACAGATTTGACAGCAGATTACATACAATTGAAAAGGAAAATGTAAACTGGAAGACAGGCTGAAGAAATTGCTCAGAATAAAGCCCAAAGAAGTAAAAAATGAGAGAGAAACCAGAGACATGGAAGACAAGAATGATAAGATATTACAACTAACAGGATTTCGTAAGTAGAAAAATAAACTGTTAGAAAGGTTTTGTAAAAAAGATAACGGCTTGGAATTTTCCCAAAGTGATGAAAAATTCCACCCTTCATATTCAGGAAGCTCAAGTTGGACAGATTTAAAAGGAAAAAAAAATACCTAAATGTATCATCATAAAAATAACGGAACCTTGAAGAAAAGAATATATTGAAAACAACCAGAGAGAAAATTCACATTATCCATGAAAGAATATGGATTTAGACCAAGAGCTAATGTCTTAAAAATGGAAGCAAGAAGACAATGTACTGAGAAAAAATAATCACATATGAAATTAATATATCTTTTAATAAACAGGCCAAATATAAGACAATATTTAAGTCATAAAAACCAAACAAATGCTGAATTTGCTAACTAAGAGACCTTCACTAAAGGAAGTTCTAAGAGATGTTCTTCAGTAGAATGGTGTTCACCTAGATGGAAGACTTGAGTTGCGAGAAGAAATGGTGAGTACGTAAGAAGACAAATATGTGAGTAAATATAAATGAACACTGACTATACAACACGTAGTTTCCAGTGGATTAAGAATAAGATGAGAAGCAAAACCATAAAACTTCTAAAGATAATATAGTAAAACTACCTCAATAGCCCCAGTGGGTTTTCATATAAAACCTAAACAAATTCTGTTCACCAGAAAAACACTATCAGGATCAAAGACCCAAATATAAGGGGTAAAACTATAAAATTTGTAGAAGAAAACATAGGTATAAATCTGTGACCGTGAATTAGGCAATGGGTCTTAAATACAACACCAAATGCAAGAGTGACAAAAGGAAAAAACAAACTGGACTTTAACAAAATTTAAAACTTTTGTACATCAGAGGATACCATCAGGAAACTGAAAAGAACCCACAGGATGAGAGAAAATATCTATTAAGTCATACATCTGATGAGGAACTAATGTCCAGAATATATAAAGAATTCTTAGAATAACAAAAACACAACCCAATTAAACGAGCAAACAATCTAAATGAACATTTCTCTAAAAGGATATACAAATGGCCAATCAGCACATAAAAAGATGCTCAACATCATTAGTCATTAAGGATATGCAAATGAAAACTACAACTAGATACCACCTCACATGTACAAGGATAGCTATATTTTTTTAAAAAAGGAAAATAACGGACGTTGTCAAGGAGGTAGGAAAAACTGGAACCTCCATACACTGCTGGTAATAATATAAAATGGTACAGAGACTTTGGAAAACAGTTTTGAAGTTTTTCAAAAATTTAAACATAGATTTACCATATGCCCACTCCTAGATATATAAAGAAAATTGTAAAAATACGTCCACACAAAAACGAGTACATGAATCTCATCACAGTACATTATTAATCATAGTCAAAAAATGAACACAACTCAAATATCCATCGACTAATGAATGGATAAACAAACCATAGTATACTCATGCAGTGGGATTCAGGCATATAAAGCAATGAAGGGCTGACACAAGATACAACATGGATGAATCAGGACAACATGCTAAATAAATGAAGCCAAACACAAAGGGTCACATATGATTCTGTTTTTTCTGATATTTGGCATATGCTAGTCCATAGAGACAGAGAATAGTCTAGTGATTGCCAGGGGCTGGGGAAAGGGGGAAATGGGGAGTAACTGCTAGTAAGTATGGAGTTTCTTTTTGAAATGATAAAAATGTTCTAGAGTTAGAGAGTGGTGATAGCTGTACAACTTTATGAATACATTAAAAGCACTTAAAGTGTCTATAGTCCCATCTGCTCAGGAGGCTGTTGCAGGAGAATCACTTCAACTTGGGAGGCAGAGGTTGCAGTGAGCCAAGATCGCACCACTGCACTCCAGCCTGGGTGACAGAGTGAGACTTGAAATCTGGAAAAAAAATGCACTTAGTGTACACTTAAGAGTGGATACTGGGCTAAAAGTGAAGTTACAGGCCACAAACTAGGCAAATCTTCTATACACATATCTGACAAGGGACTTCAGGGAATCCTAAAAATTTCAATGACAAAATAGGAGACTATAGACAAAAGACATGAACAATGCACATAAAGAACCCAAATAACCCATAAACAAATGAAAATAAGCTCAGCCTCCTTCCAACCACAGAGAAGACTATTTCATATCCAAATGAAAAAATGATATCAAATAAAGGCAAGAATGTGCACAAACCAGCACCTACATAAGCTGCCAGTGGGAATGTAAAACGGTGTTACTTCTTAGCAAATTTGGTATCATCTATTAAATAGTTCACTGTGCATAATCTTGGGCCAAGCACTGCCATTCCTGGGCACATGCCCTAGAAAATCTCTACATGTGAACCAAAAACCAGCACCATTGTATGGAATAGAAAAAAAAATCAAAAATAGAATGGACAACAAAATTTCACTCTCTAAATCATATAATCAGACAGTGCAGCAAGGAAAATGAATGAATGTAAGAAAACCACAATAGTAGCAAAAAACAGCAAGTCAGAATATATAAGGCATGATTCCTTTTATGTAAAGTTTCAAAATATGGAAAACTCAAAAATATCTTCTGTAGGGAGAAAAACACACATTCTTAGAATATATTAAGCAAAGACATTTACTTGTTTCTTTTTCAGTTTAAGGATCTGGTGTTGTACTTTTGCAATTTCTCGATTTACACGATCCATACTCTGTATTAACTCTTCCTTTGAAAGTTTTGAAGGTGAAGCATTTTGATCATCTCCACATGGTTGCCCTGAAATTGGAGAGGATGGAGTTTCATGTATGCCTCCAAATGCTGGATCCTTTAGAGAATAAAACCAAGAAAAACAATTTATTTCTCACTAATAGAGTCCAGATTGCCTTAAATGAAAAAGTCAGTTTTAAACCACAGCAGAGCCATGTGTACTATGTGTCTAATGTTTAGTAGTAACTTTCATATTTACATATATGCAAATTCTCACCTCACTTTTGTAGTTTAGATATACCATGTACTATTTTGAAGAGCCTAAAAGCTATACAAAGTCAGGTGGGTTAGTGTTGATCAGCCTCTAGTGTAACAATACCGAAATTATAGAGAATTTATAGGTAAATAATGCAATTATGACAAAGGAAGATACCAACTTCTCAGCCATTTCTTTGCAATGGCTCTTCGAATGGTCTGAACAACTGGCTGGGATATAGTATTATTCCAGGTAAAACCTGTGTGTCCACCCAACTTAACAACTATAACATGGCCAAGTGCCCCTATCAAAAGTTTTCAGGCTTTCCAAACCAAAACTGAGATACACGAGTCAGAGAAGTGACCTAGGAACTTCAGTTGCTACTATCTCTGGGCCTACTTTCATAAAGCCCACACTACAGCATACGTAACATTTCCTTAGCCAAAAACATCCCATTGCACCTCTAAATCAGCAGAGCTGTAGCAGAATGAAAGCCCCTTCACCCAAAATCCACTACCCTCCAACACACATCCATACATATCTTATTAATTTCCACTCTGCTGTAAAGATATAAGCAATATTATAAAACAGATAAATTTTAGAGTACTAATTTTACTTAGACTACGAGAAACCTACAATGAGGGTAGTTCACAGGATTACAGAACCCTAAAATGTATTAAATAATGATTAAGGAACTGTGAAAAGTCAATAATTCTGAGCCAAGAACGCATACAGGAGATAACTGGACAGTTGCTTCAAAACACCTTAGTACAGATATTTCAGCTAATATACATTGATGAAAAACCTCATACTTTGTAATAGTATGCACTGAATCTAAGAGGCCTTCTGGGAAAATAAGATTATGGCTATACCCTAAAACCTGTACAATTCTGTAAGGAAAGCACCAATAAAAGCAATAACAATTCTAATAGACTTAATAGAGTTAAAGCTCCAGTATCCTTTGCATCTGGCATACGGTCAATGTTTGGCAGCTTTAAGCCCTACAGTTTATGATTCCTCTCTGAAGATGTAAATCCGTGAGGTCATTGGCTTCCAAAATAAACCAGTATGTTTCATCTAAATAAAATATCAGTGGCCAGGCATGGTGGCTCATGCCTGTAATCCCAGCACTTTGGGATGCCAAGGTGGGCAGATCACAAGTTCAGGAGTTCGAGACCAGCCTGACCAACATGGTGAAACCCCGTCTCTACTAAAAAAATACAAAAATTAGCTGGGCGTGGTGGCAAGCACCTGTAGTCCCAGCTACTCGGGAGGCTGAGGCAGGAGAATGGCTTGAACCCAGGAGGGAGAGGTTGCAGTGAGCTGAGATTGCACTATTGCACTCCAGCATGGGTGACAGAGCGAGACTCTGTCGCAAAAAAAAAAGAAAAAAAAGTCAGATTTGGCATACAACCATCTTGATCAACCTCTTTTTCTCCCCCTCCCTCCTTTATCAACGTTAAAAACATACAAGAAAATTTGTCTTCACATTGTCTTTTCAATGCTCGAATCTTCACTAACACTGTGAAAAGCACAATAGTTCTTAAATTCACTAAACCAGTTACTACTTGCACTAAATGAAAACTAAAGGCAGAATGTTCAAATATTTTTAAATCTTCATGTGTTGTGAAACCTTTTTCTTTCATTATGAGACAGCGTACTGCTGAGAACTTAGAAATGTTAATGCATAAAGAAAGATCTTTGGTGAACCACCAGGACTTTCATGATACATTAATATCATTCTCCCACTATATGCATATGAGTAAGTTTGTGTTACAGAAACATATATAATAGCAAAAGAGATTACATTTTGATTCAGCAGACTTCAAAAGTGCTCCTCGGGTGATTCTGATGCATGCTCAAAGAATTAATATTAGAAATAAATATTTTCCACTGACTTCCTTTCTAAATATTAAATATTTAATAAGAAACCAAATCCTTAAGTGCCTACTTATATAACAGGAATAGGGTGGTGGATCAAAATAGACAGATATCTGCCTTCATGAAGCTTATAATCTTGGATTGAAACAGCCAGATACCAATCCTGAAGAAAAAGAATTAGATTCTTACCTCATATCTTACATCAAAAAAAGCCAAGTAATAGCAAACATTTATAAGAGGCTTATTAGCAAATCGCAAAAAGCCTCACGTTAAAAAAAAAAAAAAAAGATTCACATTATCTTGCGTTCAGGAAGGCCAAAAGCAAAAGATATAAAAGACATTCGTTTTTAAAAAAGAAAAATTGATGGATAAAATAAAAAACAATCTTCTGCTGGGCACGATGGCTCACACCTGTAGTCCCAGCATTTTGGGAGGCCGAGGCAGACAGATCACTGGAGTTGAGGAGTTCGAGACCAGCCTGGCCAACATGGTAAAACCCCATCTCTACTAAAAATACAAAAATCAGCCAGGTGTGATGGTGCGAGCCTGTAATCCCAGCTACTTGGGAGGCTGAGGTTACGGTGAGCAGAGATGGCACCACTGCACTCCAACCTGGGTGACAGAGGAAGACTCCCTCTCAAACAAAAAAAAACAAAAAAAAAACCACACATGCAAAAACACAATCTTCTGCTTATCAAAACAGTAATAACAAATAAAAAAGGCAAATGATTAAATAGGGAAACCATTTGCAAAACATGCACTCTAACAACTCAATATAAAATAAACCAACAGAAAAATGGGCAACATATATGAAAAAACAATTTACAAAACAGGAAAAATAACTAATAAACAAATAAAAAATGTTAAATTTTACTAACATAATAAGTATAAGTTAAAAGCAATCATTCATCAAATTAATCTTTTTGTTAAACAATAAACGTGGTGTCAGCAAGGATACAGGAGGAGTGGGTACCTTTATATATTTTTATTTTTATTTTTTATTTTTTGAGACAAAGTCTCACTCTTGTCCCCCAGGCTGGAGTGCAATGGCGCAATCTCAGCTCACTGCAACCTCTGCCTCCCAGGTTCAAATGATTCTCTTGCCTCAGGCTCCTGAGTAGCTGGGATTACAGGTGCCTGCCATCACACCCGGCTAATTTTTGTATTTTTAGTAGAGACGGAGTTTCACCATGTTGGCCAGGCTGGTCTTGAACTCCTGACCTCTGGTGATCTGCCTGCCTCAGCCTCCCAAAGTGCTGGGATTACATGTGTGAACCACTGCACCCGGTCAAGAAGTGGGTACCTTTATACACTGTTGTCAGGAGTTAAGAACTGGCCCTAGTCTTTTGCAGGACAATCTGGAAATACCCACGGGAACCTTAAAAATCAACCTGGTCTGTAACTAATTATACTAAAAGAAATCTACCTTAAGGAAGTAAGTAAGAATGCATACAAAAAAAAACAACCTAAATAATGTATGGGCCAGCTGCAGTGGCTCATGCCTATAATCCCAGCACTTTGGGAGGCCAAGGTGTGCAGATCACCTGAGGTCAGGAATTCGAGACCAGCCTGGCCAACATGGTGAAACCTTGTCTCCACTAAAAATACAAAAATTAGCTGAACTTGGTGGCATGCGCCTGTAGTCCCAGCTACTCAGGAGCCTGAGGCAGGAGAATCGCTGGGAGGTATAGGTTGCAGTGAGTCAAGATCGTGCCACTGCACTCCAGCCTGGGCAACAAAGTAAGACTCTGTCTCAAAAAAAAAAAAAACAAAAAAAAACAATGCACGTCACAACACCGTACTTCTGAAGAAACAGGCAACCTAAATGTATGACAATTGATTAAATAAATAACTTTATTTATTCATATGTGGAATACTAAGTAGCCACTAACAATACAGTTGTAAACTTACTGGCACAAAAAGAAGCTAAGCACGTTACTTAAGCAAAAGTAAAGTTAAACAGAATGTACAAAGGGAGCACATTAAAATATTCATACGGGCTGACTCTGGACACACTGCCTATGGGTTAGCCCTGTTCCACAAGGAGCAGCAGCAAAAAACAAAAAACAAAAAAAAACCCATAAAATTAAATTAAATTAAATTAAAATTAAAATAATACACACACAATTAGGGAAGAATCAACATAAAATATTAATAACTTTTAACTGGTAAAACTGTAGGTAATTTTTTCTTTCAAGCTTATTTAATTCTTGTATAAATGATATACCTAGGCTTAACATTTAAAAAAAAATCTAACAGATGTTAGTTCTTTTTAAATCCTTACTTCTGGAGGTGGGCAGTTGGGAGAGAATGGGGAGAGGGAGACAGAAAGAGAAGTATTAGTTAGTAGTAGTGGTCATGGTTCACACTTTAGAGGAAAAAAAGCAGGACTAGAGTCAGGGGTCCTGGGTTAATTCCAACTCAGGAGGTACTAACTAGGTCACTTAATTTTTCTGAACACCGAGTTTCTCAACTATAACATGGAAATGGGTCACACTACAACACAACATGTCTCAATTTAATGAATGAGTTTTTAAGACACTTTTCTGCTAAAAAAAGAAATTCTATAAATTACATTTGTGGTAATGTATTCAGCCATGGAAGATGACCTTTATTCACTATATTTTTATATTTCTTTTTTTTAATGCAGCAGAACATTTCTTATAAACCCCACAGACTACTGTATGATAGAGATGTTTCACATGATAAGGTGGGTCACAAAACACCTAGAAGCTTAGCTAATTTCTAGCTTATGGCAAAGAATTTTTCCCCATCCAACTTACTATTTTGAAAAATTTCAAATTCACTTAAAAGTTGAAGGAACAGTATAATGGACACTCATTTATCCTTCATCTAGATTCACCAGTAGTTAATATTTTAACATATTTGCTTTCTGTGTGTGTCTATGTATGTGTATAAAACTTCATTTTGGCTGAACTATTTGAAAATAAATTGTAGATACATTTACTATCTTTTAAATTACTCTTCATTGCATGAAAACGCAAAGAAAATGTGTGGGTATTTATCTGAAATCAGGGAAGAAAGGGCAATTAGGCATAAAGGTTAATAAACATTATAGAAAAAAGATTTGATGGCAGTAAAAACATTTTAAACTTCAGTATGCTTTAAAAAAAAAAGAAAAATTGAAACAAAAAGACTCTGGGAAAAATATTAGAATACGTTAGGCAGGCAGATCACTTGAGGCCAGGAGTTCAAGACCAGCCTGGCCAACATAGCAAAAACTTGTCCCTACTAAAAATACAAAAAATTAGCTGGGGCTGGAAACAGTGGCTCATGCCTGTAATCTCAGCACTTTGGGAGGCTGAGGTTGATGGATCCCCTGAGGTCAGGAGTTCGAGACCAGCCTGACCAACATGGTAAAACCCCATCTCTACTAAAAATACAAAATTAGCCGGGCATGGTGGCGCATGCCTGTAATCCCAGCTACTTGTGAGGCTGAGGCAGGAGAATCACTTGAACCCGGGAGGCGGAGGTTGTGGTGAGCCAAGATCGCATCATTGCACTGCAGCCTGGGCAACAAGAGTGAAACTCCATCTCAAAAAAAAAAAAAACAAAAGTAGCTGGGCATGGTAGCACGTGCCTGCAGCTCCAGCTACTCAGGGGGCTGAGGCATGAGAATTGCTTGAACCCAGCAGGTGGAGGCTGCAGTGGGCCGAGATTGTACCAGTGCTCTCCAGCCTGAATGACAGAGCAAGAATGCCTCAAAAAAAAAAAACAAGTAGCCACAGGGGGGAAAATGTGTTTTATATATTAATGAACAAAAATTAAGAATGACCACAGGCTTCTAGTCAGAAACCATACAAGCCAGAATACAATGATATGACATCTCTTAAAATACTGAAACTGTCAACTTAGAATTCTATATCTAGTGAAAATAGTCTTCAGAAATAAAACCTTTTTCAGGCAAATAAAATCTGAGAGAATTAATTGCCAAAAGACCTAAACTGAGAGAAATGAAGTGCTTCAGGCAAAAACACAATAATATCAGAAGAAAACTTGAATGTACAAAAAGAATGAAGTGATGAAATATACACAGGCAATTAGAGAAGGAAAAAAACAATAAAGAGTAGAAATCAGTGAAATAGAAAAATAGTGAAAATGATTGAAACCAAAGCTAGTTCTTCAAAAATCTATTAAACTGATAAACCTCTAGGCAGATTGATTAAAAAAATAATAAAAACAAACATTATCGACATGAGGAACAACATCGCAACATATCTTAAAGGCACTGAAATGATGAGGAAATATTGAGACAAATTATGTCAATAAATCTGATACCTTAAACAACAAAATATATGCAAACTGACTCAAGAAAAAATTGAGTATCTGAATTATAACTATTAAAGCAATTGAATTCATATTTAAATTCTTCCACAAAAAAAATTCTGGGCCCAACAGTTTCACTGATAAATTCTATCAAATTTCTAAGGATGAAAAAGTATCAATCCTGGCCACCACGTAGTGGGCTGACACCTGAAATCCCAGCACTTTGGGAGGCTGAGGCGGGTAGATAACCTAAGGTCAGGAGTTTGAGACCAGCCTGGCCAACGTGGCGAAACCTTACTAAAAATACAAAAAATTAGCCAAGCATGGTGGCGGGCGCTTGTAATCCCAGCTACTTGGGAGGCTGAAGCAGGAGAATTGCTTGAACCAGGAAGAAGAGGTTGCAGTGAGCAGAGATCACGCAATTGCCCACTCTAACCTGGGTGACAGAGCGAGACTCAAAGAAAGAAAAAGGAGAAAGAGGAGAGAGAGAGAAAGAAAGAGAGAGAGAGAGAGAAAGGAAGGAAGAAAAAGAAAAAAAGAAAGACAAGAAAGAAAGAGAAAGAAAGAAAAGAAAGAAAGACAAGAAAGAAAGAAAGAAAGAAAAGAAAGAAAGAAAGAGAAAGAAAGAAAGAAAGAAAGAAAGAAAGAAAGAAAGAAAGAAAGAAAGAAAGAAAGAAAGAAAGAAGAGGGAAAGAAAGAAAAGTCCAGGCGCAGTGGCTCATGCCTATAATCCCAACACTTTGGGAGGCTGAGGCGGGCGGATCACTTGAGTTCAGAAGTTTGAGACCAGCCTGGCCAACACGGTGAAACCCCATCTCTACTGAAAATACAAAAATCAGCCACGTGTGGTGGCACGCACCTGTAATCCCAACTACTCAGGAGGCTGAGGCAGTAGAATCACTTGAACCTGGGAGATGGAGGTTGCAGTGAGCTGAGATCGTACCACTGCACTCCAGCCTAGATGACAGAGCAAGACTCCATCTCAAAGGAAAGTACCAATCGTACACAACCCCTTAAGAAAACACAGGAGTAAAGAGCACTCTCCAAGCTAACATCATTCTTAATGCAGAAAGACTGAAACTCAATGCTTACCACACCACATACAAAATTTTAATTCAAAATAGGTAATTTACCTAAATGAAAGACCTATAATTATAAAACTTAGAGAAGAAAACGTAAGTGAAAATTGGTCGGGCACGATGGCTCACACCTGTAATCCCAGCACTTTGGGAGGACAAGGCGGGTGGATCACAAGGACAGGAGATTGAGACCATCCTGGCTAACAGGGTGAAACCTCTCATCTCTACTAAAGATACAAAAAAAATTAGCTGGGCATGGTGGTGGGCGCCTGTAGTCCCAGCTACTCGGGAGGCTGAGGCAGGAGAATGGTGTGAACCCAGGAGGCGGAGCTTGCAGTGAGCCAAGATTGCACCACTACACTCCAGTCTGGGCGACAGAGTAAGACTTCGTCTTAAAAAAACAAAATCAAAAACAAAACAGAAATAGAAAAACAGAAAACGTAAGTGAAAATCTTAGTGACCTTGAATTTGGCAAAAACGTCTTAGGTTTGACACAAAAAGCACAAAAAATGAACAATAAAAATAATACATCGGGGCTGGGTGCAGTGGCTCACACCTGTAATCCCAGCACATTGGAAGGCTGAGGAGGGCGGATCACCTGAGGTCAGGAGTTCGAGACCAGCCTGGCTAACATGGAGAAACTCCATCTCTACTAAAAATACAAAAATTACCTGGGCGTGGTGGCACATGCCTGTAATTCCAGCTACTCAGGAGGCTGAGGCAGGAGAATTGCTTGAACCTGGGAGGCAGAGGTTGCAGTGAGCTGAGATGGCACCAAAGCACTCCAGCCTAGGCGACAGAGCAAGACTCTGTCTCAAAAAATAAACTACATCGGACTTGATAAAAATAAAAAATGTACGCTCTCCAAAGGATACTGTTAAGAAAATGAGGCAATACTTCTTTTAATAATTTAGATACAACAAATATATAGATATATGTTTTCTAAGTAATTTTACCTATAATAATCAAAAACTGGAATAGGTGACTGGATAAACAAATTGTGGTATACCCATACTCAACAATAAAAAGGAATGAACTGAGACATGCCAGACATGGATAGATCACAAAAGTATTATGCGAAGCAAAAGAGGTCATAGATGAAAGAGTTCCCATGAAGCTCAGAACGTGTACAATGTTTTATGATAGAAAGCAGATCAGTGGTTTCCTAGGAGATAAAGTTAGTACAAAGTGGGGGAGGAGGACTGACACGGGAGGGTGCCAAGGAGGATGGAGTGCCAAGGAACGTGCTGGAGTGTTAGAAATGTTGTTCGTCTTCATTTTGGTGACGGTTCTATGAGTTTATGAATTTGTCAAAATTTGTTACAATGTACACATATAATGAATGCATTCTAATATAGATATATGTGCGTATATATATAAACTAAACTGCAAAGTTAATTTTGTTTTTTTTAAGATGGGGTTTCACTCTTGTTGCCCAGGCTGGAGTGCACCGGCATGATTTTGGCTCACTGCAACCTCTGCCTCCTGGGTTCAAGCGATTCTCCTGCCTCAGCCTCCCAAGTAGCTGGGATTACAGGTGCCTGTCACAATGCCTGGCTAATTTTTTCATATTTTTAGTAGAGATGGGGTTTCACCATGTTGGCCAGGCTGGTCTCAAACTCCTGACCTCAAGTGATCCACCAGCCTCAGCCTCCCAAAGTGCTGGGATTACAGGCGTGAGCCACTGCACCCGGCCTGATTTTATGAAAAAACCAGCAGCAACAATAATCCAGAAAATTGGTAATCAGATGAATAACACTGGGGTAGGGGGACAACACAAGCAAAATTCAACACCCAGTCATGACAGAAATTCTCAAACTTGGAACAGAAAGCAACCTCTTCAACCAAAAAAGGCATCAAAAAAAAACGTGCAACTAACATTACACATAATGGTAAAAGACTAAATGCCTCCCTACACAGAAACAACATAGGAATGTCCATTCTAAGTCTGTAATCATGCCTACACTTCAAAGGAGTCCTCAGTAGGACCCCGTAGTACATTTTGTTGACAAATCTGCTTTCTTAGTCTCTGAGATGACTGTTTTATCCCATCCTTTCCTATTTTTCTTTAAACCTCTTACACCTATATCCTTGGTCTACTCTGAGATGATTATTTCACCTCATACTTTATTTTTCACAAGGTAAATCAATCTCTTACAAACTCTTCCTATGATAAAGTTTTCCTTCCTATCTACCATCCCTTCCTTCCTTCCTACCTACTATGCAAATCTTCCTACCATCAATCTCTCAAGAAGACAGAGGTCTTTATCCTGGCCATCACTCAAGACATGCCAAGTTATCTGGCCAGCTTAAAACTCAACCACAACTTGGGAGTATAAATATAGGTCTTACCCTAGAAATTCTAGAGAATTGATAAGTTTTCTATTTATCATCAACTCCTATCATCAAAAGCAAAGACAAGTTCAACTCCTGAAATTGGCATAAAGCCACAGTAAGAAGACAGAAATAATTAATTCCCAACCTTTGGTTCCTCGTCTTTGTAAATAGCTCTTGCCACTTTAAAAAAAGGTAAATTTGGTGGTTTCTACCAACATGTGTATTAAATAGGAAAAGTAAAGAAAAACACAAAAAACATGCAATTTGCATAGTATTTGTTCCTTACCTGCTGGTGGCAGGTGCTGGGAAATGTATACTTTACAGAGTGAGGAGGATAACAACTTTATTCTGTGCTGAATGCTCCTTGGTTGGGAGGATAACCTGAACTTGACATTATCAGTAAAGAAGTCCTCACCAGACTGTAAGATCAACGCCAATAAACAATCATGTTTCTAGGAAACCATCTCAACAGGATGGGAAAAAAATAGAATTAATAAGAACTAAAACACCAAGTGTACTTCTAATAAATTATAACTACAGCTACATAAATAAAACCACAATTACCAGTAAAAGCTTCCTCTCAAGTATTTACTTAATAAAAGTTACCAAGGTTTGAAAACATTAATACGTCACTTCTTTTCATATTTAAAATAGGTTAATATGTGACAAATAATATAATTAGCTATATAAAGTAAAAACAGTATATAAAAAACAGCATAATATCTGGCACATAGTAACTGCTCAGTAAATACCTTTCTATAAACGTCTGAGGAATATAAAGACAAAAATACATGGTTTTAAATTTGGGAGTTGATAAGTCAATTGTGAAAAGAATTCAAGAGTAGTTTTAAGGTAAGCATTTGTACAGAGGAAGTATTGTCTTTATTAAATAATTCTGAAGCAAGGATGATCAAATACTAAGTTTTGTAATCACAGATGGTAGGTAGATGGACATTTGTTATGTTATTCTTTGCATGCTTCTATGGAACTGAAATAGCAAATAAAGAAAAAGAAGGCCAGGAGCGGTGGCTCCTCCTGTAATCCCAGCACTCTGGGAGGCTGAGGCTGGTGGATCACTTGAGGTCAGGAGTTCGAGACCAGCCTGGCCAACGTGGTGAAACTTCTTTTCTACTAAAAATACAAAAATTAGCCGGGCATGGTGACATGCGCCTGTAATCCCAGCTACTTGGGAGGCTGAGGCAGGAGAATTGCTTGAGCCTGGGAGGCGGAGGTTGCAGTGAGCCAAGATCACACCATTGCACACCAGCTGGGGCAAAAAAAAAAAGAAAGAAAGAAAAAGCCATCCTCATTAAAAAGTATATTCCTATTTGTCCACAATTCTAGACTAATTTGATTTGTCTGTCTTTTCTTGTGCCAATGCCACACTTTTCAAATTACTCTGGTATTACGAGGTTTCATATCCAGCAGGGCAAGTTTCACCTCACTGTGCTTTGTTGTTGCTGCTACTTTCACCACCTTCCCAGCTATTCTAGCACATTTCCTCTTACACACAAGCATCAGAGTCAGCTTGTCAGGTCCCAGAGAAATTCTGGATGAGAACACATAAATATTGAATTCACAGACTGACTAATGGGAGAACAGGTACCCTTATACTCCTGAGTATTCCCATCCTAAAACATGATTATCTATGTTTATGTTTCAGGATAACACAAATATTTATGTTACACATAATTAATATGGGAGTATTTTACATACATACGGTAGAGAATATTACGTATGTATAGAAATGTGTGCCATAATATATAATTTCTATCTTAATTATATATAAAACTCCCATGACAAAAATTTTATATACACATATACACATGTGCATGTGTGTACATACACTCTTACTTTAAGACCGGAGTTCTATTATTACCTAATTGGGTGGTTTTAAAAAATAGAATTTAAATATAAGATGAAAATTATATAATTGTATACATAAAAATATAACATATAATTTTATATATATAAAATCTCCACCCATTTAATACTTTATTAGTAAAGTTTTAATTTTGTTTCCATCACTTCAAGGTATTTGGGAAGAGGGCAAATTCAAAAAATAATTCAGTATGACAAATTGATCAAATTCCCAGTTTTTATCAATATATTCTTTATCCAGTTAGGTTTAGAAAATAAAATTTTCTAGGGAATTGTCATTCAATCTAACTTTAAAACAAAACTTATAGGCTGGCCACAGTGGCTCACACCTGTAATCCCAGCACTTTGGGAAGTTAAGATCGGAGGATCTCCTAAGGCCAAGTATTCAAGACCAGCCTGGGCAATGAAGCCAGACCTATCTCTACAAGAAAATTAAAATAATAATAATAATAATTAGTTAGGCGGCCAGGTGCGGTGGCTCACGCATATAATCCCAGCACTTTGGGAGGCCGAGGCGGGCGGATCGTGAGGTCAGGAGATCGAGACCATCCTGGCTAACACGGTGAAACCCCGTCTCTATTAAAAATACAAAAAAGTAGCCGGGTGTGGTCGTGGGTGCTTGTAGTCCCAGCTACTCGGGAGACAGGCAGGAGAATGGCATGAACCCAGGAGGTGGAGCTTGCAGTGAGCCAAGATCGGGCCACTGCACTCCAGCCTCGGTGAAAGAGCGAGACTCTGTCTCAAAAAAAAAAAAGGAAAAAATTAATTAGGCATGGCGGTACACACCCATGGTCCCAGCTACCTGGGAGGCTGAGGCAGGAGGATCACTTGAGCCCAGGAGGTCAAGACTGCAGTGAGCCGTGATTGTGCCACTGCACTCCAGCCTGGGTGACACAATGAAACTCTGACTCAAAAAATAAAAGAAAAAACGTATAGAAAGAATTTTACGGCCAGGCGTGGTGGCTCACGCACTTTAGGAGGCCAATGCGGGCAGATCACGAGGTCAGAGTTCAAGGCCAGCCTGGCCAACATGGTGAAACCCAGTCTCTACTAAAGATACAAAAAATTAGCCAGGCATGGTGGCACACGCCTGTAAACCCAGCTACTTGGGAGGCTGAGGCAAGAGAATCACTTGAAGCTGGGAGGCAGAGGTTGCAGTGAGCTGAGATGGCACCACTGCACTCCAGCTTGGGTGAGGGGTCCAGACTCCCTCTCAAAAAAAAAAAAAAAAAGAACTTTAAAAAGTGCATGTGGTACCATGTAATATATAAATATTTTAAACAAATATATCATCCTTTCTCCTGATGTCACGTTTCCTGCTGTTGTGAAAGCTGACCAGGAGAAGAGTCAGAAGACTGACCAGATGTCCCTCAGTTTGATTTCTCCCTGCTCCCTTCCAAGGCCCGAGGCATGGAGGTCAGCAAATCTTAAGGATTGGAAGGTTGAGATTACCCAACTAACACTGATTTGACAGGTGAGGAATGTGAAGATCAGAGAAAGTCAATAATTCCTCCAATATCACAAAATTGTCTGTGGCAAAATGGGAAAAACTAATGTTTTTTGCAATGCTTTGCGGCTTTCTCAGCAAGTAGTGAACTGAGGAGGAGCTGAGATGTTCCATGAGACCACACATTAAAACCACCTGAGGAACTTTCTCCTCATCTATACATCTGCAACTGCTCCAGGTGGAAGGGGAAAAGCCAACATGTGGCATTGTGGGGAGGGTTGATCTTTTTGGAAATAAACATTATATGCAGGACTTAAGAGTTTTTAAAAGTACCACAGAATACAAAGTGAAAAATCTCCTCACCCTTCTCCTCCAGCTGCTACCCAGTTACCCTCCCAGAAGGCAACCGAAGTTACTAGTTTCTAGAGTGTCCTTTAGAAATATCCTACACATACATACACTCACACTTTTTCCCCTATGTAAATGGTGGCATACTAGAAACACACTGTTCTGTATCTTGCCTTTATTACTTAATACATCTTGGTTGGCCTGGCACGGTGGCTCACACCTGTAATCCCAGCACTTTGGGAGGCTGAGGCAGGTGGATCACGAGGTCAGGAGATCAAGATCATCCTGGCTAACATGGTGAAACCCCGTCTCTATTAAAAATACAAAAAAGTTAGCCAGGCATAGTGGCGGGCGCCTGTAGTCCCAGCTACTCAGGAGGCTGAGGTGGGGAGAATGGCATGAACCCAGGAGGCAGAGCTTGCAGTGAGCCGAGATCACATCACCAACCTCCAGCCTGGGCGACAGAGCGAGACTCCGTTCCCCCCCAAAAAAAAATACATCTTGGCAATTATTCTCATGCATCTATGGTTCTTTCTATTGCTAAAGAGTATTTCACTATATGGGCCAGGCGCGGTGGCTCACGCCTGTAATCCCAGCACTCTGGGAGGCTGAGGCGGGTGGATCACCTGAGGTCGAGAGTTCGAGACCAGCCTGACCAACATGCTGAAACCCCGTCTCTACTGAAAATACAAAAATTAGACAGGCATGGTGGCACATGCCTCTAATCCCAGCTACTCGAGAGGCTGAGGAAGGAGAATCGCTTGAACCCGGGAGGCAGAGGTTGTGGTGAGCCGAGATCGTGCCATTGCATTCCAGCCTGGGCAACAAGAATGAAACTCTGTCCAAACACAAGAGTATTGCACTATATGAACGTTCATGCATTTTGTAAAAGTTTTCCAACTAATTCTGATCTGCTGTCCTAAAACATGCTTTAAGTGATCTATCTCTGCACTCTCCTCCCAACTCAGACATCCCAAATAAATAAAGCTATAAATGGAATGCAGAGGCAAAAAAAAAAGATTTTAACCCAGGGTCATCCCATTTTTTTCTAACAGTGGCCTAAATGATTAGAAACCCATGAGGTACAATTTTTTATTGCACTTTGTTTAACTTTCAACTATGGTAAGTCCTGAGTTCAACAATTACACTCAATGTCACTCAAAGTCACAAGTTAAGTGACTTCTCCATTTTTTCCCTCGTCTCAGTAATCCTTCCTGTTTTCCTGGTTTTGTGGTATGACTTTAATGAAGTTTAACTTTATTATCTCAAAAAAAACAAAAAAGTCAGTTTTATTTAAAAGTACTATTCGCCAAATACAGAAGGAAAAAAAAAAACTAGCAAAATCAGGAAATTAGCCCCTACTAGCATACAAATTTACAGGTCAAAGCAAGCCCTTCCTGTCCTCACATGAACTGCAGCCTGGAGACCACTACAACCTCCTTCCTCAAAACTTATCCACGAGATACATGGCAACAGTGCTCAGATCTTGTTTTTTAACCAGAATGTTTTCCTCAAAAGTCTTAAATGAAAGCTAAATGTGCAAAAGGTACAATGGGGAAACATTCTGATCTAGTGAGAATGGAAGACCTAGGATTCATCTTTTCAGTCTCCCCCTGCCCTTCCCCATCCCTCCCTCCACCCTTCACTCCAGTCCTGGCTCACTAAGATACCTTGGCAGAATACTTTACATTTGAAACCTACTGAAATGAAAGAATCTAAAGTTCAGACTGAAGGGGAAGGGAGCACCTTAAGTGGCAGTATCAAATTATAATTTCAGTTCTTAGCACCAAAACTCATTAACTCAGGGTAGTTACATGGTTGACTCATGAACTAAAAAAATTCTATGAATTGTTCAAGAAATCTGATCAAGATTTTATAAGCAACTTCCTCATCTCTTAAATATCAACATATAATGTTTTAGGATGAGAACAATATAGTGATAATTATACATCACTGTCATAAAAGACAATAGCACTTCTAACTGAATTATACAGATAAACCCAGAACTAGCCTCTTACATATTGCAAACAGGTAACACAATATTGCAAAATGAAATTGATCTATTTAAGTTCCTTTTTAAATCTTCTCATACTAAATAAACACACACATATTTACTCAACAGGAAAATCTTGCAACAACAAAATTTCAAATACTATCCTGCCAAAAAAGAAGCAATTTTTCCTCTCAGCAGGAACTCCTGGCTTTTGGCCCACAACCTTTGCATAACCAAAATGTGTTATGCAAAGTTCAAGGTGGCCTAAGCTATCTTGGAAAAAAAGCTAAAAATGGCCGGGCACAGTGGCTCACACCTGTTATCCCAGCACTTTGGGAGGCCAAGGCCGGTGGATCACAAGATCAGGAAATCAAGACCATCCTGGCCAACATGGTGAAACTCCATCTCTACTAAAACACAAAAAAAAATTAGCCGGACATGATGGCGCACACCTGTAGTCGCAGATACTCGGGAGGCTGAGGCAGGGGAATCGCTTGAAGCTGGGAAGTGAAGGTTGTAGTGAGCTGGCATCGTGTCACTGCACTCCAGCTTGACAACAGAGCGAGACTCCATCTCAAAAAAAAAAAAAGCTAAAAATATACTTCACTGTGGCAGAACCACAGATGCCACTTCAGATGAGCAAGAACGAATCCACCAAGCGTCACAATACAGGTGAAGCCCACATTTCACCAAAGCAGAAGAAGGATCCTACAAAATATGCAATTTTTAACTGATAAAATAATAAAACCTCCTGATACAAAAGTATGGGATAGGGCAATGCCTCTATGACATTCAAATGCTAAAATATTAGTTATTAAACTGAAGCAAATCAGGTCACACCAGGTCCCACAAAGCTGTCCAGCTCTAGACCAATTCTAAAAGTATGTTAGGCAAGACAAGGCTAAGAAGGACCACCACCCCGGGCATCCCGACACCTAAAATCCTCCAACCTGGGGATAATTTAAAGAAAGCCGACCTCCTAAACTTATTACAGAGTCCAGCATCCAGGAGAGGAGAGACTAGAAATTATCTAAGTGAATTCTGTAATTTGTACAAGACCAGAGTGGTGCTATACTGGAATAAATTTTCTCCTGTAAAATAAACTAAAGCTTTCTTCCCTTTGTGGGGAAAAAAGCTACTGCTTCTCAGCCTTTTGGTTAGGATCTAATCTGGGGGATTGCCATTGACAAGGTATTTTATTTGCAGCCTCTTTTGACATCATGACATCTTACTTAAAGACAGAGAAACAAATGGAAGCTGAAGAAAAAAGCTTTTTAGTTAACCTATCCTACCTCTTATAAAGTATGATACTGAAAGAAAAATTTTAATAAGGATATAATTATTTGATAAATCTATGGGTACACATATTCAATAAGTAATTCTGGCCAGGCACAGTGGCTTATGGCTGTAATCCCAGCACTTTGGGAGGCCGAGGCAAGTGGATCACTAGAAGCCAGGAGTTTGAGACCAGCCTGGCCAAAAAGGCGAAACCCCGTCTACACTAAAAATACAAAAACTAACCGGGCATGGTGGCACATGTCTGTAATCCCAGCTACTCAGGAGGCTGAGCATGAGAATCACTTGAACTGAGGAGGTAGAGGTTGCAGTGAGACAAGATCATGCCACTGCACTCCAGCCTGAGCAACAGAACAAGACTCTATCTCAAAAAATAATAATAAATACATAATTCTTAAATGAAAGAAAAATGATGTTACTTTACCTCTACATAAAGTGGTGTCCCAAGACAGCAGTACAATGTAACAATATCCAACTGAGAACTCTGTAGTATGTCGGCACTACATTGAACTAATTCTCTGAACTGAATAACACTCACTCACTCAACTTATAAGAACAAATATATTTCAAAACCAGCCAAGCGCAGTGGCTCACGTCTCTAATCCCAGCACTTTGCGAAGCAGAAGAAGGTGGATCACTTGAGGTCAGGAGTTCAAGACCAGTCTGGCCAACCTGGTGAAACCTTGTCTCTATTAAAAATACAAAAAATATGGCTGGGCATGGTGGCTCACACCTGTCATCCCAGCACTTTGGGAGGCTGAGGCAGGAGGATCACGAGGTCAAGAGTTCAAGACCAGCTTGACCAACATGTGAAACCCCTCTCTACTAAAAATACAAAAATTAGCCAGGTGTAGTGGCATGTGCCTCTAATCCCAGCTACTTGGGAGGCTGAGGCAGGAGATTTGCTTGGACCCGGGAGGCAGAGGTTGCAGTGAGCAGAGATCCCACCACCGCATTCCAGCCTGGGTGACAGGGTGAGACTCCATCTCAAAAAAAAAAAATACAAAAAATTAGCCAGGCGTGGTGGTGCACACCTGTAATCACAGCTACTCAGGAAGCTGAGGCACAAGAATCACTTGAACCTGGGAGGCAGAGGTTGCAGTGAGCCGAAATCGCACCCCTGCACTCCAGGCTGGACGACAGAGCAAGACTTCATCTCAAAACAAACAAACAAAAAAGAACAAACATATTTCACAAGCAAAATGGATGACTACATGCCAATTCCCTCCTTGATTAACACAAAAGAAGAACAAAGAAATTGAGATAAGAAAAATTTTAATGTAGATATTTGGCCTGAATTAATAGATATAACAATATCTAAGTGGATATTACTAAAAGTTACCATTTATTGAGTTCTAGATATATACTAGGCAGTGTGCTAAGACTTAGTGTGTGCATGAGCTCACCTAAAAGTCTGGTTCCACTATTAGCTCTAAGGCTGTAGGGAGGCTACATAACTTCCTCAAGCTACGTTTTTCTAACTCAAAGACAGATACCTTAAAGATCATCTGCTGCTGCCTCCCCTTTGACCCACTAACAGAGACTACAGGTTATTAAGCAATATAAAACAAGGGTTATTAACAGACTGTGTTTTTTGCTGCACCCCTCTCAACACCCCAGAGCTCCATAAATCTTAAAGTCAAATGCTCTTAGCCTACTTTATTTTGGTACACACTTTAGAAACAAATAGAACTATCAAACACCTGTGAAGGCAAAGATCAGCTCTGTTCTGCTCTACACGGCCTCTGCAGCAGCTAGCAGTACTTAGCTCTCAGTAGCACCCACTCCAACAGCAAGTTGTTTAGCTGTTCCTTACACACACACACACACACACACACACACACACACACACACACAGACTCTGAAACTTCCCAGGCCTCTCCATGTAACTACCACCATCCTTACCTCTTGCTGCAAAAACTCCTAACTGGGCTTCCCACTTCAATAATTTCTCAACTCCAAAAGCCAAGTGTTCTTTTTTAACCTTAAATCAGAACATGTCACTCTCCTGCTTCAGATTCCCCAAGGATTTCCTACGCACTGCAAATAAAGTCTCAACTACTTACGATGACCCAAGGCCCTACTTGATTTGGCCTGCTTACTTTCCAGATTGCTCACTAGGCCCCAGGAACATGAGTTTCCTTTCAGTTTCTTCAGGAGCCCTTCTCTGCCAGGTCCTTCCTAGCTGGGCCCTTGTCCTTCTTTACTCTCTGCCAGGAATGCTGTTCCTGCCTCATTCAGGTAGCTAGCTCCTCCTCAAACTTAAGGTCTCAGTTCAAATGTCATCTCAGAAGGGTCTTTCCAACCACCTTACATAAAAGGTAAGCTCCCACGAGTTACTCTCAATCTCATCACCCTTTTGGTTCCTTTATAGGTTTATCATAATCTGAAATGGATTACATACTTCATTTTATTTGAGTATATTCTGTCTTCTCTCACTAGAATAAAAACTACCTGTTTGATTCTCTATAATATTTGTTCAATAAAATAAACAAACAAACTCCCATTCATGGGTCTGATGTTTTTTAAAATAAATAAACAAGAAATATACAAGACTTATTTGTACAGGACTCATTTAAAGCAAAGTTTGAAAATCTATTGAGAGATAAAAATCTATTAGAACACAGGACAGAAAGTACATAAAGATGTCAATTTCCCCAAACTTCACCTACAATTTCAGTATTCCCAATCAATATTCAGTATTCAATAAAAATCTCTATGATTTCTTTTTGAATGTCACAGAATGATTCTAAAGTTCATCTAGAAGAACACATAGACCAGAATTGTCAAAGTCTGAAAAAAAGAGTAATGAACAGGTAACTAACCCCATCTGTATTAAAATTATAAAATGATAGTAATTTAAAGTGTATGGTAATACACAAGAGACCAAAATAACAAGACCAATCAGAAATAGTCCCAAACACATTTAGTAAATGACAAAAGCTGCAATTCTAATAGTGGGGCAAAAAACAGATTATTCACTAAATGGTGCTGACACAACTAGCTAGTTGGGGTAGAATTCACACACAATTTTATCCCCCAAAATATGTCTCACTTCTTATACAAGAAATAAATTCCAGATGGATCAAAGAATTAGAAGTTTTAAAAAGAGAAGGAAAAGGAAAAAAGAAACCATTGAAGTATTAAATACACTCTGGGGACTTCTTTGTTTTAAAAATACACAAAGGCATGCAGTTAAAAAGTCCTCCTCTCACTCATTCTTCTTACTATGACAACCAATGTTTGTAAGTATCATATATCCTGTGATACACAAGCAAAAATGTATACATTGTTTTTCATCTTTAAAGCAAAGACACATAGAGGCATACAATGTTCCTCACTTTGTTTTTCTAGTTTAGTAGATAGGTGAATATTTTACATTTTGGAGCAAGGAAAGTCTTAAGTAGAGCACAAAACACAAAAGTCACATAAATAAATTAATAAGAGTCACAACTAACATTTATTACTTACTTACTTTGTGCCAGCCACTATGCCTAATGCTATTTACATTATCTTCATTTTACAAATAAGGAAATGAAGGTGTACAGAGGTTAAATAATGTGCCCAAAGTCCCACAGCAGCACAGTGCTGGGTTTGGATTTATCTGACTACATAACATTACAAAAGAATAGCTAGGGGGATATGTGCACACGTACAAAAAAAAGTGAATAAGGCCAGGCGTGCTGGCTCATGCCTGTAATCCCAACACTTTGGGAGGCCCAGGCGGGTGGATCACCTGAAGTCGGGAGTTTCAGACCAGCCTGACCAACATGGAGAAACCCCATGTCTAGTAAAAATACAAAATTAGCCAGGCATGGTGGTGCAGGCCTGTTACCCCAGCTACTCAGGAGGCTGAGGCAGGAGAATCACTTGAACCCAGGAGGCAGAGGTTGAGGTGAGCTGAAATCACACCATTGCACTCCAGCCCGGGCAACAAGAGCAAAACTCTGTCTCAAAAAAAAAAAAAGAAAAAGAAAAAGAAAAAAAAGAAAAGAAAAAGAAAGAAATAAAAAAGTGAATATGTAGAGAACTTTTAACCTGTTAAAAACCAGTAACCCCATCAGAAAATAAACAAAGAACAAAAGTAGGCAATTTATAAAAGACATAAGGCCAGGCACAGTGACGCACACCTGTAATCCCAGCACTTCGGGAGGCTGAGGTGGGTGGATCACCTGAGGTCAGGAGTACAAAACCAGCCTGACTAACATGGTGAAATCCCGTCTCTACTAAATACATAAATTAGCTGGGCGTGGTGGCAGATGGCTGTAATCCCAGTTACTTGGGAAGCTGAGGCAGGAGAATCGCTTGAACATGGGAGGCAGGGTTTGCAGTGAGCCGAGATCATGCCACTGCACTCCAGCCTGGGCAACAAGAGCGAGTCTCTGTCTAAAAAAAAAGAAAAAAAGACCAGGTGCGGTGTCTCACGTCTGTAATCCCAGCACTTTGGGAGGCCAAGGCGGGTGGATCACCTGAGGTCGAGAGTTTGAGACCAGCCTGGCCAACATGGAGAAACCCCATCTCTACTAAAACTATAAAACTAGCCGGGAGTGGTGGTGCATGCCTATAATCCCAGCTACTAGGGAGGATGAGGCAGGAGAATTGCTTGAACCCAGGACGCAGAGGTTGTGGTGAGCTGAGATCAAGCCATTGCACTCTAGCCCAGGCAACAAGAGCAACACTCTGTCTCAAAAAAAAAAAAAAAAAGAAAGAAATATAACTCTCTCCATATTAAAAAATGTTCAGCCTCAATAGTGATTTATAAAACACCAATCAGAATCACATTTTTTCAGTTCCTAAATTGTCAAAATGTCTGAAACTGTAATATCTAGTATTGGCCAGGGTATGGGGCATACCTGAATACTACTGGTAGCTTTACAAATTGGTACAACAACCTTTTGGAAAGAAAATGTATAAATATCTATCCATATCTACATTATTCACATCTTTTGATTTCAGCAACTCCACTTCTAGGAATCTATCCTACCAAGCTGTTTGTACAAGTACACAAAATACATATACATATGTACATGTGCATAAATATTCATACACACACGCAACTGTTTACAGCTTTGTTTTTCTGGCAAAAAAATAAAAATCCAGTGACCATAAGTTGATTAAGCAAATTATGGTATTTTCTTTTTTGTTGTTTGAAAGAGTCTCATTCTGTCGCACAGGCTGGAGTCCAGTGGCATGGCTCACTGCAACCTCCACCTCCCAGTTTCAAGTGATTCTCCTGCCTCAGCCTCCCAAGTAGCTGGGATTACAGGCACATGCCACTATGCCTGGCTAATTTTTGTATTTTTAGTAGAGATGGGGTTTCACCATGTTGGCCAGGCTGGTCTTGAATTCCTGACCTCCGGTGATCCAGCCACCTCGGCCTCCCAAAGTACTGGGACAACAGGCGCGAATCACTGTGCCTGGCAAATTATGGTATTTTCATGTACAAGAAATGGGGTATTAAGTTGCTGTTAATGATTGATAGAGTTAACTCTGAAATAAATAGACAAACTTGGAACAGTAGTATACAAAAGAATAGTATATTATGATCCCATATTATAGAAAATTATACAAACACAGAAAAAAAAACTGCAAGAATATGCAACAAACTCAGTAGATTACATCCAGGAAGTGGTTCTTTCAATTTCAGTATATATAAAAAATAATGTATTACTTATAATTAGTGAAAGATAAGATTTTAAAATAGCATATCCTCCTTCATGCGTTAAAATGATTTTGTGTGAATATAAAGTAACTTCTTTCTCCCCCCTCAACAGAATGTATATACTCCTACATCAGGTATATTTACATTCTGCATATTTTAGGTTATAACTCCTAGATAGCACAAGTTTTGATTTCATTCCAAATACCTCCAAATACATAAAAGTTATTGTATTAAAAATGAATTTAAAAATCTTAAAAGTAATGCAAAGTTAAACATCTTTGAACAGAAACTCAAAGTCATGATGATGACTACTTAAACATTTTCAAAATTACATAAATCTCTGTGTTATTGCCAAAGGAAGTGAATTGCCTAAAACAAATTACTCTGAATGTGAACAGTGTATGACAGTGATAATGGCAAGAAGAATGTCTGTCAGTTCAACCAAGTATGGGGTAAAGGGGCAATCTATAAGCATAAAGGTGACTCTCATCATAAATCTGAGTCAAATTTTCCTAGAAAAATGTAAACTTCGCCTGGCGCGGTGGCTCACTCCTGTAATCAATCCCAGCACTTTGGGAGGCCGAGGCAGGCAGATCACGAGGTCAGGAGATCGAGACCATCCTGGCTAACATGGTGAAACCCTGTCTCTACTAAAAATAGAAAAAATTAGCCAGGCGTGGTGGTGGTCACCTGTAGTCCCAGCTACTCTGGAGGCTGAGGCAGGAGAACAGCGTGAACCTGGGAGGTGGAGCTTGCAGTGAGCCGAGACCATGCCACTGCACTCCAGCCTTGGTGAGAGCGAGACTCCGTCTCAAAAAAAAAAAAGAAAAGAAAGAAAAATGTAACCTCAATATATTTGGTTTTTATATCAGTTTATTTGTGTATAACAAAGAATAAAAACAGCCAAACAGCCCAAATTTTGTTCCTTGAGTACACCGTAATGGGGGAAAGAAATCCAAATAAGTTGGGAATCTTGACTTTTCCTTTACTCCTGACTAATCTACTTAAGAATTTAATTTTTTATATAAAACTAGTCGATATTATTCTTTCAAAGGGAGTCCTAAATTCTATTATAATCCTATCAACCAACTGCCAACTGTTCCATATTTCTTTTTTTTTTTTTTTTTTTTTCTTGAGATGGAGTCTCGCTCTGTCACCAGGCTGGAGTGCAGTGGCGCAATCTTGGTTCACTGCAACCTCTGCCTCCTAGGTTTAAGCGATTCTCCTGCCTCAGCCTCCCAAGTAGCTGGGACTACAGGCACGTGCCACCATGCCCAGCTCATTTTGTTTTGTTTTTTTCTATTTTTAGTAGAGACGGGGTTTCACCATGTTGGCCCAAATGGTCTCAATCTCTGGACCTCGTGATCCACCTGCCTTGGCCTCCCAAAGTGCTGGGATTACAGGCATGAGCCACCGTGCCGGCCAATCTTTCCATATTTGTAACTCAGAGTTTTTTCCTAGGATTGAAACTACTCCAAAATTCCCTGCATATATAAATTAAAACATTATTGCATTCTAACACTATCTAGAACCACGAGTGCTATCTAGGATGAACCAATCCCATATTTACTCTCTCTTCCTCCCCCAAATCCCAACAAACAGAATTTTTTTTTTTAAAGAAATGCTTTTAACTAGGCTCTGTGGCCCGCACCTATAATCCCAGCACTTCAGGAGGCCAAGGGGGTAGGATCACTTGAGCCCAGCAATTTGAGGTCAGCCTGGGCAACATAATGAGACCCTGTTTCTACAAAATAAAAGAAGTTGACCAGGTCTGGTGGCACACACCTGTAGTCCCAGATACTCGGGAGGACTGCATGAGCCCAGGACTCGGAGGCTGCATTGAACTATGATTGCACCACTACCCTCCAGCCTGGGCAACAGAGAGAGACCCTCTCTGTAAAAAAGAAAAAAAAAAGAAATATTTTGATAATTTACTAATTACAGCTATGTTAGTCACTGACATTGGTGGAATTTCTACCTTTTTAATTTCCAAAAACTATTCAGCATCAAATTGCCATATGTGTATCAGACATCTTCTACAGCATCCACACTAACTCTAGCTGCTAAGCTCTTTTATGCATTCAACAATTATCTACTACTCCTGAGCACAGGGTGTTATTCTGGGAGTGGGAAAAGAGGAAAAAAATTTAAAAACTCAGATACAGACATGCCTACAAAGGGCTTATGGTCTAGAGGCAAAGGATCAAGAGTTTCCAGAATAAAAAATATACATTTTGGAGAAGAGGGAATAGGAGAGACACTTCCTGGATGATGTAATATGTGATCAAACCCTTGAAAAAAAGGATAAATTTAGACCTAGTAGAGTTTGGAAGAGTAAGGGAGGAAAGGAGTATTCCAGAAGCAAGCATAGTAACAAGAAAAAAACAAACAAAAAATTCTTCTTAATGCAACACAAAATAGCCCAAGTAGAATAAAGAAATATGCCACGCTTCAATATTTATGTAAAGATTATCAGCTTAATAAAAATATGCCTTTTCCTTTACAATAAATTTTATAGGCCGGGTATGGTGGCTCATGCCTGTAATCCCAGCACTTAGGGAGGCCATGGTGGGAGGATTACTTGAGCCCAGAATTCAAGACCAGGCTGGACAAAACAATCAGACCCCATCTCTATTTTTTAAAAATTAAAATAAAACAAATTTTAGAGCATGTATACATACAGAAAATGAATATTACAAATGAGCTTTTTGATGTAAAAAAAATCCATAAAGAATACAGCTGGCCAAGTGCGATGGCTCACACCTGTAATCCCAACACTTTGGGAGACCAAGGTGGGCAGATCACTTGAGGCCAGGAGTTTGAGATCAGCCTGGCCAACATGACGAAACTCTGTCTCTACTAAAAATACAAAAATTAGCCAGGTATGGTGGCATATGCCTGTAATCCCAGCTACTTGGGAGGCTGAGCATGAGAATTGCTTGAACCTGGCAAATGGAGGTTGCAGTGAGCTGAGACTGTGCCACTGCACTCCAGCCTGGGCAACACAGCAAGATGCTCTCAAAAAAAAAATCATGTTTGTGCTATTTATCTAAGCTTTTATATTAATATAACAATTGAAATCCTTCATACTTAAAAAAAAATCCAGAAGTCTGAGAGTAGGCAAAACAAACAACAGCTAATTTACAAAATAATTTAACCTATTTGTAGGCCAGGTGCAGTGGCTCACGCCTGTAATCCCAGTACTTTGGGAGGCCAAGATGGGCGGATCACCTGAGGTTGGGAGTTCGAGACCAGCCTGACCAATACGAAGAAACCCTGTCTCTACTAAAAAATGATTTTAACACAGTCTTTATTTCCCAAAGATTACTAAGTCATGTGAAATAAAAGGCATTAGAGATTCTATTTTTCTGACAAAATAGTTAAGACCCTTCCTTTTCTTCTAAGCCAAGTAATTAGGGCTCCTTTATGTATACATCACATACACAACACTTCTAGACAGGAAAAGATCTAGCAGTTGTAAGTTTTTCTTTCTCATTTTATGAACCCTAACACAACTTCCACAGACCATCTATGACATGAACTTTGTGACTTCTCCTGTATTTCCCTCTTTGATAATTAGTCATTCTACTTTAGGACAAAAATTTGCCATACAAGATCCTCTCTCATATAACATTTCTTTCCTTCATAACTTTTCTTACCATAAATACATCTTCATATCCACAACTTTCTTTAGATCTCTCTCCCCGACTGATTTCTGATGCCCACCGAAACCTAAAAGGTCAGATAATGCAAAGCAAAACAGAGGAGAGCCTTAGATTTTGAGAGAGACCTGTCTGCCTGAAGTTCTTGGGGTTCCATGAGGACAACAGAGGTTTCTCCTAAAATGGGGTTAGTAGCACCTTCTGTTTTTCTTTAAGGAGTCCCAGCCTGTCAGAAATTACCTTAGGTCCTCTCATGTGGGCACTGAGTGGCAACAAGACAGACTAGGGAACAGTGGCAACAAGACAGACAACTGAGCAGAAAAAGAAAAACTTACTACAGTCCCCACTGTAAAGATGGATAAACTGAGGCACCATGCAGTTTAAAAATTCATGTTGCCTAGAGTTGGGCTTCACAGCTCACTCTCTTAACCATCCTTTAATTTTGCTGAATCTTTGCCCAGTCACTGATGCACCTGTATGGTACCTCATGGCCCCCTTAGAGCTTAGAAGCTGGGTTTCATTCCTGCTCTACAGCTATATAATTATCAATTTTCCTCTGAATTTGTTGGATTCTAACCCTGTATTTCTAAAATTTTATTAATATTACTGAATCTTAAACGGAGCTGTGATGTCTTTAGTCTTTAGAAATATTAAACCTATAAACAAAGGACTATATGAAATTAAACTGTATTCAAATTTCTACATGATTTAAAACACTGAGGCAAAGTATTAAGAAACACACCTAAGAAACTGCAACCAATCTACTCTGGACAAAAATTTAGATACTATCTCTTCAAAATAAGCTGCCTAGTGGTATTTATACATATTCTTCCATATATCAACAGTATCTTACATGCTCATAGCCTTAAAAATAACTAAAAAGTGTCAGAATTATAGGCCTTACACATTTCTGTTGGCTTGAAAAATGATACAAAATGCATAAACTTCTACAGTGATCAGTTTAAAAAAAGAGTTCATACCAAAGGTAGTAACACTAGGAATCAAAGAGGGCTAAACATTGCAGGTTCTTAAAGGCAAAAGTTAATAAAACCTTGTTTTTGGTTGTGAATCTTTGCCTTACAACATTATACATATGACTCTCCCCCCTTCTTTTTCCTCTTGCAAAGTTGTGGTGATGAACCAGGTTTGCTCATGCAGATGACAATACTCTTGAAAATGGGGACAGAGAAAAAAATTGAAAGGAATACAGTTCAATTGATCATCTCATAAATTAGAACTTATTACCCCTGTGACTCTTGCATAGCTCCAGAAAAAATATGTGAGAGAGATAAAATGGCTGTTTGCTACCAATATTTTATGTGATGCTTCATTTTTTGATTCCTTGAATAACATTTACAACGCATTAGCCTATTTATGCCAGAGGTTACAATTTTTTGAATTTTTGCGTAAGTGAAAAATCAGACCTTGTCAATGACATTTAGCAGTAAGATATAAGTAATTCCCACATGCTTAGTGTGGAACACTAGGCATAAGTGGGTTAACACAATTATGAAAGCATAGCTATTCAAGTAACTAATTATACAACTGACTTTTTTTTCCCTCATCTCTAAAACATAGTAAGGGATCAGTTATTTAAAAAATACAACAGTGACAAGTATTTTATTTTTAACTCAGTTTTGGTTTGTTAAGGCCATTGCTTGGCATAAAAAAACAAAAACAGGAGGAGAAACAAGAATACAAACATGAAATAGAAGCAGTAGCAAAAGAAAATGAAGAGGAACAAGAAAATGAGAAGAAAATACACAATGGAAGAAAGGAAAAAGAACAGGTGTGGGGAATTGGAAGGCCTATTATGATACCTTTTATCCCCTCCTCGATTCATAAAATTTGAGTAACTCCAAGAGTATTACAACAGAGAACAAGCAAAAGGATACACAAATAGTCACCCCCTAAATTTTGTTAAGAATGAGATAATGCTGCCACTCACGCCTAGCTCAGGCACAAGCAGGAGGAGGGCATACTCCAGAGATTGCAGGAGAAGAGGGAGGACTCCTCTTTGCCCTAGGTGTACCACCACCACTGCCACCGAGACCTTCGTTACAACACCCACAGGTTCCTCCCCACCCCAGAATGGGATGGGCCCTGCAGTGCTCCTACTCCCCCTTCCTGGCCCCCAGACTTCCTACTGCTACCACCACTTGTGCCAATGCCAATACAACCAGTCACCCTCAACGTACCAGCCCACCCTACCAGGCTCCTACCACCAGGCCCCCGTGAGTGCCCTCCTACCACTCCAGTCGAGCTGTGGTCTCCATCTCCACCACCAACTGCATGAGGCAAGCTGCACAGCCACATCATCTGCTTGACCGTACCACAGGCAACTCCCCCTTCTCCTCCTTCAGCCTGGCTTGGAGCAGCTGGGCAGGCAAAGCCAGAAAAGCCCAGAACAGGACTCAGGGATTGGAACCATTAGAGCCTCACCTCGTTATGCTGGTGACTGGGTGTCAAGGATCAGTTTCATTGAAGGCACTCACACCCACCTTCCAAAGTCCAGCCTCTCCTTCTGGCAAAAGCTGGCCAGGACCTGGGGCCTGGGGTGGGAGTGAGTGCCTTCACTGAAACCGGCCCCTGGCCAAGTCCAGCTGGCCAGGAATTGCTGGGCCCCCCAAGGCTGCCCTCCTTGGGGAGCCTGAGTAGGAGAAACTCAGACCCAGCCAGCCCTCCCCACCCAAGGGCTGGTTCCCATTCCTGACACCTCCACCCACAGTGTCCTGTCTCCCACTTCCCCCATGGTGCCTACTACACCCTGCCCGGTAGTCCCAGGCGGTCTTCACAACACAAAGCATGAGGGCAGGCCGGGAAACCACAGTGGGTGTGGAGGCCCTGTCCTGCAATCCAGCTCGAGGGGGAGAAAATCACCTTCTGGAGTCTGGAGTCTGAGAAGAGGAAAACGATCCCTTACTTGGAAGCTACGAGAAGAAGAAGGCCACTGCTGTCGCTGCTGCTGCCACCTCCTCAGCTCGCCAATGCCACTGGCAGTGTAGCCCCCATGGCACCCCTAATCTGCCCCCTGCCACTAGCAGTGTAGCCCCCAGATAGCACATCCAACACACCCTACAGTTTCAGGCAATGTAACCCCAATACCCCCCCCAAAAGCACTTCCCCCACACCTCAGGGAGCATACCACCCAATAGTGCCCACAATCTGACCCAGCCACGGGCAGTTCAGCTCCTAATGATGCACCCCCAAGTCACAGGCAATGCAGCACCCAACAACGCCCCTAAATCACCCCCCACTGCCAACATTGTAGCCCCGCATAACTCCACCCAACCCACCCCCTGCTGCGGGCAGTGCAGCAGAAGATAGTGCCCCTAATCCTTCCCCAGCCACCAGCAATACAAGCTAGTGTACACAATCTGCCTCCCCCCACCACCCCTGCCACCACGGGCAGTATAGCCCCAGATAGCCAGGCAACCTGCCCCACCACCAGCAATGCAACCCCGGAGAGTGCCCCCAACCAGACCACTGCCACAGGCAGGGTAGCCTCTAGCAGTAAGCCCCAATAGGACACCCAACCCTTGCCCCAAGAGACATAAAGGGCAGGCCCGGAAAACTCACCTACCCCATCACATTTCTACTACTGTGGCTGAGCTGCAGTCTCCGACGTCACCACCAACCACAGCGAGGCGAGCCATGGTGGCACAGGTTCCAGCCTCCAGCACGTGGCAGTGCCTCTTCCTTCTAGTCCCCCAGCCCATCAGCAGAAGCTCCTGCTGCCGGCCACCATCCTACTGCTCTATCGCCACCACAAACCGCAACAAGGTAGTGACCCAGGCTCCAGGCTCCATCCATCCTCCACCCTCCAGCAGGCGGAAGGTTGTGGCCTCTTTCAGTCCTCTAAGCTGGGCACAGAGTTGCTCCTCTGCTCGACACCGAAGAGCCTGAAATGACCTGATGCGACCTCAGCATGCTTTATATATGAGGTTATGCAAATGCAGTTCCTGGACTACATGTTCTGATTGGACGAGAAAAAAACCTCTAGGCCTATTCTGATTGGACTTTATTTTCATGCTGTGATTGGTTGTGTTAAGACTTGCTCTCATCCAACCAGAACATGATCATAAAGTCCAATCAGAGTAAGCCTGGAGGTTTTTTTCTCATCCAATCAAGACATGCAGTCCAGGAACCACCGTGGGCATTACCGCAGTATATAAATGATGTTGAAGAGAGATAACGTTTTTTCAGGTTCCTGTATCTTCATGTCGAGTTGGTCGCTGCCCAACGTAGAGGACTAGGAATCAGGAGTCAGTGGCCGTATGCTGGAGGCTGGAGCCACGTGAACGCGGCTCGCCTTGCTGCGGTTGTTGGCAGTGATGGAGAGATAGCAGCGCGACTGGAGCGGTAGGAGAAGGAAAACAGTTTTGGGATAGATAGAGGAGAGTAAAGAGGGTAGTTAGTGCCAAAGGGAAAAAAGGATAGCTTAGCAGGAGAAGGCGTTGTGAAAAGATGGTGGGGAAAAAAGTTTTTGGGTAGATGGAGGGGTAAAAACATCACGGGGAGCGGGAGGGAAGGAAGGTTTTGCAGAAAGACGGTGGGTAAAAAGTTAAAGGGTAGATGGAGGGGGAAAAGAGGGTGGCAAGTGGGCGGAGGAAAGAGAGGGAGGTGATGGGGGAAAACGGGGCGAGCGGTAGGGAGAGAAGGTTTTGTGAAAAGACAGTGGGGAGAAAATACAGTAGGGGGGAAAAGTTTTTGGGTTGAGCAAAAGAGGGTAGCAAGTGGGAGAAGGAAAAAGGGTAGCCAGCAGGAGGAAGACAAGGTTTTGTGAAAAGACAGTGGCAGAAAAGAAAGACAGTGAAGAAAGAAAAGACGGTGGGTGAAAAGTGTTTCTATAGATGGAGAGGGGAAAGAGGGTGACAAGGAGGAAGGAAGAGGGTGGCAAGAGGGAGCAGGGATAGGGGGTTGGGGAAACAATGGAAAAATAGTTTGGGGTAGATGGAGGGGAAAAAAGGGTGGCAAGCAGGATGGGGGGAAAGAAGAGCACTAGTGGTAAAGTGGGGAGACTTTGAAAAGATTGTGGGGAAAGTTTTGGGGTGTAGATGGAGGGGGAAACAGGGAGGTGAATAGGCATGGGGAGAAGGCTTTGTGTAAAGATGGGGGGAAATGTTTTTGGGTAGATGGAGAAGGGAAGGAGAATGGAAATGGGGAACCGGGGGAAAGACGATGAAGAAAACAGTTTTTGGTTGGATGAAGGGGGGAAAGAGGGTAGTGAGCACCAGGAGTGGAGAGAAGGTTTTGGGAAAAGACGGGGGAAAATGTTTTTGCTTAGATAAAGGAGCAAAAGAGGGTGATAAGAGCGGGACGGGGAAAAAGAGGGTGGCCAGGGATAGGGGAAAAGACGGTGGGAAGAAACTGGGGAAAGGGTTTGGGTAGATGGATGCGGAAAAGGGTGTTGAGCAGGAGAGTAGAGAAGGCTTTATGAAATGAGGGTGGGCAAAAAATGATGAAGAAGTTTGGGGGCAGATGGTGAAAGAAAAAGGGTGGTGAGAGGGAGGGGGCCAAAGTCCGTCAGGAAAAGAAGGTAGGGAAATAATGGTGGGGGACAAAGTTTTGGGGTAGATTTTTTAAATAAGATCATTTGTGTGTTTGCTTTTGAGTAGTTTCAGTTCTTTATATATTTTGTGTATGAACCCCTTGCCTGATGCATGGTTTGCAAATACTTGTTTCCATTATCTGGGTTGTTTCATTTTTGTTAAATTTTAATTTAATTTAATTTTTTTTTGACGGAGTCTTGGTCTGTCGCCCAAGTTGGAGTGCAGTGGCACGATCTCCGCTCACTGCAAGCTCTGCCTCTTGGGTTCACGCCATTTTCCTGCCTCGGTCTCCCGAGTAGCTGGGACTACAGGCGCCTGCCACCACGCCCGGACACTTTTTTTGTATTTTTAGTAGAGACGAGGTTTCACCATGTTAGCCAGGATGGTCTTGATCTCCTGGCCTCATGATTGGCGCGCCTCAGCCTCCCAAAGTGCTGGGAGTGCAGGCATGAGCCACCGCGCCTGGCCTGTTTTTTCATTCTACTGATTGCTTCCTCTGCTTTGCAGAAGCTTTTTTTTTTGTTTTTTGTTTTTTGAGACAGAGTCTCGCTCTGTCGCCCAGGCTGGAATGCAGTGGCATGGTCTCAGCTCACTGCAAGCTCCGACTCCCGGGTTCATGCCATTCTCCTGCCTCAGCCTCCCGAGTAGCTGGGACTGCAGGCGCAGGCTACCAAGCCCGGCTAATTTTTTGTATTTTTAGTAGAGACAGGGTTTCACCCTGTTAGCCAGAATGGTCTCAATCTCCTGAACTCGTGATCCGCCCGCCTCGGCCTCAAAAAGTGCTGGGATTACAGGCGTGAGCCACTGAGCCCGGCCTGGAAACGTAACTTTATTTATTTTTTTTTTTTTTGAGACGGAGTCTCGCTGTGTCTCCCAGGTTGGAGTGCAGTGGCGCAATCTCGGCTCACAGCAAGCTCCGCCTCCCAGGTTCATGCCATTCTCCTGCCTCAGCCTCCCAAGTAGCTGAGACTACAGGCGCCCGCCAACACGCCCGGCTAATTTTTTGTATTTTTAGTAGAAACGGGGTTTCACCGTGTTAGCCAAGATGGTCTCGATCTCCTGACCTCGTGATCCGCCCGTCTCGGCCTCCCAAAGTGCTAGGATTACAGGCGTGAGCCACCGCGCCTGGCCAACTTTATTTTTTAGTGTTGTATTTGTATATATACTTTAATAGCCCTGAGTTTTATTAAAGTTGGTTTTAAAATATGTATCTTATTTTTCAGAAATATACCCTAAGGCATGTGATTAGTTGGGTGGCATGTTCTTTAGCTTTTACAATTGAAGGATTGTCATTCCTTTGTACAAAAAAAAAAAAATTAAACGTGAATTTTTATCAGATACTAGAGGAAAGAAGGCAGATACTAAATAATAAGTATTGTATGCTTCCATGTAAATAAAATTTGAAATTATATAAAGACAATGCATTAAACCTTTCTGGGGTTGAAGTGGGGAATTCATTGGCAAAGGTCATGCAATAAACGTGTAGGTGAAGGGAATATTCTATATTTGATTGTGTAGGTGGTTATCTAGCTTTATAAATTTGTAAAACTGAACTGGACTAAAATGTGTGCCTTATACGCAAATTATTCTATAAAATTGATTAAAACTAGTTAGAGAATCTGTCGAGGGGAAAAGAGAGAAAAGGCACGTGAAAAAATAATGCCAATGCACTAGAATTATCTTTGATGACATTAAATGTAGCCTGGTCTCCTCTTAATTCTTCTTAAAATTTATGTTGATTTCTCAATCCTTTGATACTTTTTCCTCAACACATCTTATATTCTCACATATGTTAATGTATGGCTACATAAGAGAGGGCTCTCTTACAGTTGGACTGGAACAGCTTGATATTTATATCTAGATATGAATTGGAAACATAACACTGATTCGTGAGCAAGATGAAAATGGCATGTGCTAGTTAGTGATTCATAATATGTTGATTTAAGTTTAGTGCCAACTGGTCTACATCGTTGAGAATGTTGAGTTTGATGGTTTACACAACTTGGCTTAAGAAGTATATGACCAACAATGTATGAGGGAGCCTGCTATAAAGACTTTTCTGCACTTCCCTTAAATTATTATAGTAAGCTCAAATCTTGAAGGTTCATGATACACAGATAAAATGTGTCCATGAGACTGAGAACGATCTTTAGGGAGAAAGGCTCTGTTCCTGAAAGACAGACTTTCAATGATTTCCTGCATTTTCTTTCTGTTGTACTTTACCTTTACCTTTATTAAACACTAATAAGGTGGTTCTTATAGGGCCTCATAGGCCTTTTTAGTTTTCCAACCTATTAATATATGGTGCAAACCTAGTAATTTTTTGCGTGATAGTATTGGGATTTTACTCGGAGGCTAGGCTTCACACTGTAAAAACAGCTTTTTGGAATTGTATCATTTTCAGTCTTTCCATCGTGTTCCACTGTCCCAGCCACACACACACCAGATAGGAAGACTACAAGCAACCTCAAAAGGTAACACATCTATAGTAGATGTTTTTACCTCTTGTAAAATCTAAGGAAAATATACTAAAAATGAAGGCATCAGTAAAACAGTATCATTTTAGGTTAACCTCGAGTATTTCAACATCAGTCTAGCTTCAGAACAATACATTTGCAAGGGGAAATGGGATACTTTTGTGGTTTTTTACACCTGTTATTTCAATTGAAATTGAAAAAAACTAATTTGAACTAACTATAACCATAAAAAGAAGGTTTTATCAGTATTGAAATAAAATAACAAAATGCATTTGTGGGTCTGACCTCAGGACGGATTTTAAATAGTCAGTAATACCTCTAACTCTCATTCCCCCTTCTCTGAGCATCAGCTTTATTCTTATTCCATCTTACTTAATTTGGCACTGACAGATACAGACTCATTCTTACAACATATACCATCAGAAGTAAAACCTCCACTGTCTCCAACTCTTGAAAAATCTGAGATGCACTTTGACTATTCTCAGATCATGGATCTATTGCTTGCATCAAAAAGTACTGCACAGGGAAGTAGATACTATAATCTCTGACATTACAGTTTCAAGGTTGGAGTGACAAAGGGATAGCTCCCTAATGAGGGAGGATCATAGAAATGATATTTTCATGGTCATACTTTTGTGAACTAGGCAGACATCCCTTCATGTCAACTACATCTCTACTTTGAACAGATAAATATCCATGCATATACAAAATTATGCAGTAATATAAGCATGACTTTTCATTAAAATTTTAACCAAAAGTCTATTTAGGTGAATAAATACTAATACAGGAGATAGTTCTGCTTGAATGATCTTTACCCCTGGGGAGACATAAATAAAAGAATGTCATACTTTATTATGAAATGACTGTCCAGCATATTTATGAGTAAACTTTCATAATAAATTTCTTTATTGTCTAAAATAAGCACAAAAACCCTTTTAGTTAATTAATATCCCTTTTTAATATACAGAATAAATATAAAAGCACAAATGGTATTATGCCAGCACACAAACAGTTTCTGTTAAAAGTCAATCCTGTATTTCAAAAACCTGACAAAATCATAATTGAAAATAGTGTCTTGTCTTAAATGCAGATATTGTGTAATCAGGGACATCCAAATCAACTTACATCCAAATATTTCACAATTAGTCTTATTCTGTGAAGTATTATAAAACCATGCCCTCAGGAATATAAAAGCACAAAGGGAGCCAGGACTCCAAATAGCCATTTATTCATTTCCTGAGGTTCGGTCCAATGAGGACTGCATTTTCTATATTATCAAGGCCATACAGACATTGGAGCTTAAGGGTAAGATCCAGTTTCATAGCAATTTGTTAAAGGATAAGCCAGTGTAATGACCCAAATGTTCACCATAATTACCATCTTGAGTGATGATGCTATGAATACAAAGGAACACTGCATCTCTAAAATAAACTACGTTTATATGACATGAGACCAATTTGATGGAAAGAAGGCAAACTGTGAATGGTAATTTTTTTTTTAATTGTTTTCATTGTGTGTACTGATATCTGAAAATACAATACCATATAATTAGAAAAGTTATAACAAAATAAGACTGGAAGCCTTAACTTTTTATATCAAATATTCTGCACACAAATACAGCCTTTTACTGATGATCTATGGCTCCAAAATATTGGTAGCTTTAATTATGCTTTGTAAAACAGAAGCTATGAATGCCTTACTACAGAAAGACACAAAGAATCATTTCCTTACTCACTCACTGCTAGTAGACCCTGAGGCACAGCATTTCCTGCCCAGATACCTGATTATTAATCCAGTTTTTGTTAGAGGTATACTAACTAACGGAGATTGGTGTTTAAACCAGTTAATGTAAAGAAATGCTGTAGGAACTGAAATATTCCTTTTAAATTAACAAAAGTGTTCTTTCTAGATAGACAAAGTTACATGAGGACCCAAATGTATACCAGAAAATCATTTGATGAATATGGAATTAATAAAAGAATGTTTTGTTATATGGTTTTAGTACTTTGTTGGTGCCAGGTTAAAGACATGGGGCCCTAGATTGGATAACTCTACAGAAGAGAATTTAATTTGTTTACCTGCTTCACTAGAAATACAACAATTAAGTCAGTGACTCTATTTTCCAATATTCATTTCCTCCATTTTCTCATCTCTTTTTGATTGATGGTATCATTTCGTTATTTCATTTTCATTGACATGGAATTCATTTTGGCTAAAATGACTTTTTGACTATTTGTGTGTATATATATGATTTTAAAATCAATGAACAATATTGTTTCTCTGTTTCCAAGATTATTCCTCTATATTCTCTAAAGTCGATACTGTGAAACAGTCCAGATATGAGTCTAGGAATGGCAGTACGAAATAACTGTAAAACTGGAAGCAACTTAGTAGGTAATCAATAGGGAAAATGAAACTCAATATAATTGACTCTAGTTAATGTAACGATGCATGCATTTTACATTTTTCTTGCATTCCTGAGATAAGTCGTGCCTGGTTATAGTACATTATATGTTTCATGTATTGCTGGATTTTGATCATCAGCATTTTGCTGAGGATTTTTTCCATCGATTTTTGTTAAAGATATTGTTATGTGTTTTTGTTTTCTTTTTTTTTTTTTTTTTTTTTGACGCTATAGTCTGGTTTTGTTATTAGGGTAATACTAGCTTCATAGAATAAACTGGGAAGTGTATTCTCTTTTTTTTTTTTTTGCAAGAGATTGTAAATAATTGTATTAATTCAACTTTGAAAGTTTGGTAGAGGCATTCTTGGCTAGAAGATTTGTTGCTGTTGTCATTGTTTCCTGAGGTGGTAGTTTTGATTACTAAATCTCTTTACTTGTTAAGATTTTATATTTCTCCTTGACTCATTTTTGCTAATTTGAATCTTTCTTAGAATTTGTCCAGTTCTTAAAAAAATCTAAATTTTAGATATAATTGTTCATAGGTAATTTTATAATAATTTTTATATCTTTAAGTTTAGTGTCCTTTTAAAAATTTCATTAATACTTGAATAGTTTCTCTTTCTTGTTGGTCAGTCTATGTAAATTGTGGCCACTGTTGATGTGTTCAAAGAAACAATTTTTGGCTTTGTTGACGTTCTCAATTGTTTTTCTATTTTGTATTTCACTAATTTGTATATCCCTAATACTTTCTTGTGGTTGCTGTAGTTTTAATTTGCTCTTCTTTTTTCAGTGCCTTATGGTGGCAGGTTAGAGAATGTCATTTCTGAGTATGAGAACTACTTTTACTGCATCACATAAGAGATATTATGCCTTCATAAAGTATTTTATCTTTTTTTAAAGTATTTTCTAATTTATCTTATTATTTCTTCTTGGACCCATCGGTTATTTAATAGAATGTTGTTTAATTTCCACATAATTCTGAGTTGCCCAAATTTTCCTATTGCTGATTTATTATTTTACTCAATTATTGTCTGAAAATATACTTTGTGTTATTCCAATGTTTAAATCATTGAGGTCTATTTTATAGCCTGGGATATGGTATTCCTGGATAATGTTGCGTGTGCACTTGAGAATCTACTGTTGTTACAGTGTTTCTTAAATATCTAATCAGTCTAGTTATTTTATAGTATTGTTCAAGTGTTCTATTTCTTTGTTGATCTTCTGCCTCGTCATTTTATCCATTTGTGAAAGTGAGTATTAAAGGCTGCAAGAAGTATGTTAAATTGTCTAATCTTCATTTTTGGAGGTTTCTATGTCAATGGATTTTGAAGTCTTTTTGTCACACATATATATGCTTATAATTATTTACTTTTGAGATATTGGCCCTTTTATTTTTATGAAATATCTCTCTTTACCTCTGTAACCCTTTTTATAAAGTCTATTTTTTCTGATATTAATGTAACAATTCCAGCTTTCTTGTGGTTACTGCCTGCATCATATAACATTTCCATCCTTTTTTTTCTATGAATTTTCATCTTTGGATCTGAAGTGTGTCTCCTGCAGACAACATGTAGATGGATCTTGTTTATTTAATTTGTTTTTCCTCCAGTCTGACAATCTGTCTTTTATTTGAATATTTAAATTCATTTTCACTTGAGGTTACTAGTATAGTTAGATTTACATGCATTATTTTACTTCAGTTTCTGTATACCTTATGTCTTTTCATTCCTCTATTCCTCCTCTACTGCTTTCTTTTGAATTAGGTATTTTTTATAAAACATTTAATTTAAATTTAATAATATTTTATCTATATTTTTCAATGTTTCCCCTAACTGTTACTTTAGGGTTTACTGTATGCATCTTATCACAATCAATTTTAGATGCATAACAATTCTAGTGACATATGTATATAGAAATTTTACTTTTGTTCACTTTTGTATACTTTGGCTGTCCTTCTTTTTGTGCTATTATGGCTGTACACATTACATCTATATATGCTATATACCCAGTAATTTATTGTTATAACTGTTACCTGATGATATGGTTTGTTGTTTTGTCCCCTCCAAAGTTCATGTTGAAACTTAATTTCAATGTGACAGCATTAAGAGCTGGAACCTTGAGGATATGATTAGGCTATTAGGGCTCTGTCCTCATGGATGGTATGAGTGTGTTATGGAAGGGCTGGAGGGAATTAGTACCCTTTGCCTTTTCATCCTTTTCACCATATGAAAATACAGCATTCACCCCCTCTGCAAAATGCAGTATTCAGGGCACCTCAGCAGACACCAAACCTGCCAGCAAATTGATCTTAAACTTCCAGCCTGCAGAACTATGAGAAATAAATTTCTTCTTTACAAATTTCTCAGTCTCTGGTGTATATATATATATATCAGCATGAACAGACTAACACACGACATAATTTTATGTCTTAAAAAAAGAGAGGAAAAGAAACGTACTATGTATTTACAGCTTTTATTGTATTAACAGTCTTATTTATTATTTCAGGTCTTTTCATTTGTTCAGCATTTGAAACTTCTTCCTGACACCAGAAGGGCTCTTCTTAGCTGTCTTTTTCCTGGGTTATTCCTGGTAAACTAGCTGACTTTTGTTTCAAAGCATATGTCTGTAATAAAGTGCCAGTCTCTCTTATTTGCTTTTTACCATCAGTTCATTGTTTTTTGAAGTACCCTTATGGTTGAATTTCCCCAAACTCTTCTTTTGGGAAAAGCTTTACACTCTGTGCTGTATGTTCTGCCCCTTCCTTTGGGCAAAACTTCTGAGCTTTGGCTCTGATGATTGCAGCAAAGAGAGCAGCATTCTCTTCTAGGAGTGACAGCCCTACTTTGAGACTGGGTCACTGGGATGAGAAGTAGCCATTGGCAATCTCAGTTTGCCACTCCTGGAATGAGAACTTTGCCTGACAGACAAACCAGAAAGAAGGCAGTCAGGGCTCAGTGTTCTCAGTGTGTTGCACCCAAACAGTCCTCATTTCAGGAATTAGAGCTGGTAGGAGGAAGTGACATCCTACTTCTTGGCCACATTCAACAAAAGCTTAATCTCAAGAACAAGTAGTGGCAGCAGGTGGGGGTTGAAGTGAAAAATTCTGATGTACTGTTACTCCCAGAAAGATACTATAGCCCCCCAGTGGGGTCTAGTAAAAAGACCCCACTTGGCTACGTTGCCTTGAGTAGAGTTTGTATCAAGATAGGCTGTGAGAAAGAGAGGTAAGAACGGATTGTGGATCAAATGGAAAAAAACTCTCACTGTTCTTAGTTTCAGTAGATTTTCTTGAATAAATACTTCATCATTTTCTACGTACCATTATGACTTTTCAAGTGACATAGGTCATGGTTGTTTTATAATTTTCAACAATTTTTTAAAAGATCCATGGAGCTCTTCACATTGCCATTCTAGAGGTGGAACTTCTGCATTTATTTCTTATGCAAGGAAATTAAGGCTTTCTTTAATTTCTCTTCTTTCTTCTAAAATATACTTTGGAATCTCACTCTACAGCAAATTGGGTCTCAGTGCCTTTCTTTCTCCATGAGAAGTCTGCTAGGTACTCAAATAATTTTTGTTTTATATTGTTATGTTTGAAAGGTTGTTTTGTTGTTAAACAAAAGACAATAGGAAGATCAACATGAAACCCTCACATTCATTGTACGAATATTATCTTTTCATTCAGAAAGAATTACAATATATTTGAGTGCTCATGAAGCTTTAAAAAGAAGTGGATTAAGTAATCAATCTCCCTAGACAGATAAGCACATGATATTTTGGTATTCCCCAACTTTTATTATTTGACTTTCATGTTCTAGCAAATAACTTTCAACAATTTGTCAACTTATTTGCAGTCATTTATATTTTATATTATTAATTCCATTATTTATGCATGTGTTGAATAGACTTTAATATATAGAGTAGATGTTGACACACTCGAATTTGTAACAGTGAAAAATTACTTTGATAGGTATTTCTTTTTTTCTGACAAAATTCTGAAGTGCTTTTCCATCTCTTCTAAAACAACATATAGAAAACGTGTTTTTTTCTCATTATTAAACATATGACTCATAATACAGCAAAACTAATTGGCTGTAAAGCAAACCTTTAAAAGAGAATAGTTTGATGAAAAATATAAGCATTTTTAGTTATACATAAGATCCCACAGAGCCAACTTAACCTTTTTTTCCAGATTTATGTCCCAATTTTAAACTTTAATTCCTACTGTCTAAGCATTGTGGCTAAAAGTATGAGATAATTAATTACTCCTGACATCCAACTTTTGTGATCATAGTAGGTGACATTCCTTTGAAAAAAATAACTTGAAAATTTTCTGGTAAATGTTACGTTTGTGTGTGTGTGCAGTTTCATTCTCATACCAAGCTCACATATCAAAGTTATAAGTGTTTTAATTATCTTTCAAGACTATGTCCTTGGATGCTATGCTGTATGCCAATATTTATATATGTTGAATATACTTAACTTTCATTTAACTTACATAGCCATAATGCTTAACTTTAATCAGAGATTCCTTACTAATTCTGATGAATGTTGGTAGAAAATATGCTGAAAATATGTTAGAATAATTTTTAATAAAAGGATAAAAGGAAAGAAGCTAGCAGAAGAGCCAACACCACAGAAAGCAAAGTCACATTCTGGATCCAAGCAATGTTTCCATGAGCAAAGAACCAGCACATTGAATTTACGAGACAGGGAGCAGAAGCAAGAGAGTGAAGAGGAAGTAGACTTCTTTTTGTTTTTGTTTTTTATTTGTTTTCTCATGAGAAGAGTGTACTAGTAGTAGAAGTAAGTTCTATGAATGAGACCAGAAAGACATAGGTAGAATATCTGGACCCTCTGTATAGGATAGGTAGTTATCATATTGTGTGTCCTGGAGGTAAGATTTATGTAAATTCAAGCCTACAATAGTATCAAGGCCTATTAAGCAAACATCCATTAGACAGCAAGAAAGACTAAGAGGCTTTCAAACTACAAGTGTCAATATTAAATGTGAAGCAAATATATAGACATTTGATACTATGACAAAAATAATGAGGTTTATCCTAATTTAATATTTTCTTCAGTTTAGTAATTATATATAGTTTTTCAAAACTTAACTAATCCTCTTTAAATATATTTCTATGAAATTTCCTGCTATACTTGGAATACAGTTTAGAGTGTAAACTCATTTTGTGGGATTTTTTTTTTGTTAAATCATGAAACAACATAGTGATAAATTTAAATAGTTTTGCCAATTGAATCATGTATGTGATAAAAAGGCTTTATATTTCTGATTCCTAAATCAGGTCATGGCAGTACAAATCATAAATCAAGTATTCTTATGTCCATTGTATAATTATAGAAGAATAATGCCCAAACCTTTTTTGAATGAGGGTATGTCATGAGCATCAAAACAGAAAAAAAAGTATGAAAATCTCTAAGAGTTTTACTCTGGAGAGTCATATAGATTGTGCATTATTTAGCTAACATTTTAAAACAAATATCTGAAATCACTTGTTTAACCCCTTTGAATAATGTACTATTTCCCTTAAGAGAAATTCGGTAATCTACTAAAGGTCCTTTTCATATAGCGCTAACTTCTCTCTCCAGTCACATGCCCTTACTGGTGTCTACGACCCAAACACACTAGTTGTCTCTCGATTTCACTAAGATGTTCTGCATTCTTCTCACAGCTTTTATGTCTATTGCTGCTTCTTCAAGGCATACTTCTCTAATATTTACTAGCCACTATTACTTTGAATCAGTTTAATGGTTTATTTTCGAGGAGACAAGGGCAAATTTTGCTGCTCTATATTCCCACAGTATTGTGGTCTTTATTAAAAACTCATCGGGCTAAAAATTGTTTGTGATTCCCATTTATTTACCTGCTAGATTCTAAATTCCATGAGGACTGGAAATGCAATCCTTTTATTTACCTGTGTATCTCAAACTTTGTATTCTTCCTGTGAGACAGTCATGTATTATAAAAATGAATGAAATTTTTGTGTCTGTAGACTGCGTTACCAATACCTCTTGCACTATGAAATTTTCCTTAATTTCAAAGAAGCCAAACATTATTTTTTTCTCATTTATATAGTTTGAAATTCTTTTCTGACAATAATGTTTCACCTATAAAAAGACCTATTAAAATTTATTTAATACTAAGGGGAGGGATAAAATAACTATGCATTTTTGGTTGAAAGCACAATTGTGTCTGATACTTTAATTATGCTATCTAATTTAACTTCTCATAAATGCCCAGAATATCAGAATATCATTCATGATTTACATACCAACTACTAAAATTTACAGCTATCAAATGGAAGACTCAGGTTTGTACTATGTCACATTTTCTCTTCTTTCCTTTTTGTGATGGTCTTCCAAACTGTGGAGAAAGAAAACATTTCTATTTGTGATTGCTTCTGCTAGTTATTTCTGCAAAACAAACTACTCAAATTCAGTGGCGTGATGCAATAATCATTTTGTCATCATATATTCTGGGGTCGGGGTTGAAAATGCAAAGTGGGGTGATATTTCTGTGGTCTACAGTATTTGGGGCCTCTGAGAAGTCCTAGATGTCTAGGAATGAATTAAACGTTGGACAATGAAATCTTCTGAAAGCCTCTTCATTTACATGTTTGGCTCCTGCATTGGTATGACTTAAAGGCTGGGCTCAAAATAATCTCTTAACCAGAGTGTCTGAATATTGCTTCTTCATGTAACTTGAGCTTCCTCACAGCATGGAATCATACAGGTAGCTTGCCTGAGTGTTTCAGTTAATGGGTCAATGTATTGCCTTTAATAATCTTGCCTCAGAAGTCACATAGAATTACTTTAATGCTGAGTCGGTTTACGCAATCACAGCCTAACAGAGGAAGAAACATGATGTCTACCCTTTGATGTGAGGACATTCAAAGTATTCGTGGCTATATTTTTAAAATGCCACAGTTATCTTCTTTTTAAAGAGATACCATATCCTTATTATCAGCAATAGAATCAGGATTTGAAAATAGTTTTTATGCTACATATGTATTTTTATAATCATTCTTGTTATTATAATTTTTATAGAAAGGGTGAAGGGGTAAGGATTATGTTTCATTCTTTCTCAAATTTTGTGCTCTATAGGTATTTTTATTTTTTGTCCATAATAGATTATGGTACAAAGGTAACTCGAAACTAGAGTGTAGAAACATAAAAAAATATAAGTTTTCATATCCAAGCAGTTGATAAGATATTCAAATTTAAAAAAGATTTTGAATTTGTTTTAAAAATTAAGTCTTCTAATTTTTTAAAAAGAGCTAACATAATTGTCCACTAATTGCCCATTAAATCTCCTCCTTAGTTCTACTTCCACAAAAGATATTATCATCTATGATTAATTTGGATTTCAGAGGAAGAAAATATAGTTTGAGGAAAATGGATTGTGGAGCAATCTCAATGCTAACTACTATAAAATAGCTTATTACTTGAAAAATGAGGATATTGTATGAATTTTCACTAGTCAATTGGTAGCAAAAACAATAAGTGATTGTAAATATGTCATATTTTAAATATCTTGTAAAGATGTTATGTACAGAGATATTATATGTTACTAGCATCTGGATTCAGAAAAATATCTAACTGGAACCAGGTTTCAGTTGGGTAATCATAGTGTGTCTAATAATTTTAATACAAGGTAAAAACATTTTCTGTTGAAAATCAGTTTTAAGTTAGGTTGTATTTATATTTTGAAAATTTAAGGACTCTTGAATATTCTTAAGTAAATTGCAATTTAATGCAATTGTAGTTAAAACTCAGCAGTATAGTGACACTTGATTAAAGCCATTATAAAGGAAACATAATCCCATACTGATGATGTTCACATTTCTTTGGGTTAAAGATCAGTTTATTTCATTGAGATTACAGTTCAGGAGAAAGGTTATTGACTACATGTATCTATAGTATTGTCTAAGCAACAGTTAGGAGTTTAGTTTGCATGTTTATTATTTTTGAGAGCACATCAATGTAATGAAATGTATTTAAAATTGTACCCATATATACATAATTATATATACTTATATACATATATTTTTTACAACAGTGTTTTCCTTGGAGATGATTCAATCAAATTGCAGAAGAGACACTTCTAATTAGTTATTAGGAAGTACAAGCTAGGATTGTTTTCCTGAACGTTTGTGACTAGCAATGATCTCTTACAGACGTGGGGGTCTGGACACTTGGACCTTATATTGGAAATGGTTAAAACATTGTTATCCAAAGAACGACAGTGGTTTGTTTGCCAAGTCTTTTTGTTTTGTTTTGTTCTTTTGAGACGGACTCTTGCTCTGTCACCCAGACTTGAGTGCAGTGGTGTTATCTCGGCTAACCGTAACCTCCGCCTCCCAGGTTCAAGCAATTATCCCGCCTCAGTTTCCTGAGTAGCTGGGATTACAGGCAACCGCCATCATGCCCAGCTAATTTTGTATTTTTAGTAGAGATGGTGTTTCACTATGTTGGTCAGGCTAGTCTTGAACTCCTGACCTCAATGAATCCATCTGCCTCAGCCTCCCAAAGTGCTGGGATTACAGGCTTGTGCCACTGCGCCCAGCTGCCAAGTCTTTTTGTGTTAGTATTGCTGTTGAATATATCTGGTGTTTTCATTCAAGAAAACACTTAAAAGCCATTTTAGGGGCCGGGCACGGTGGCTCACGCCTGTAATCCCAGCACCTTGGGAGGCCGAAGCAGGCGGATCACGAGGTCAGGAGATCAAGACCATCCTGGCTAACACGGTGAAACTCCGTCTCTACTAAAAATACAAAAAATTAGCCTGGCATAGTGGTGGGTGCCTGTTGTCCCAGCTACCCGGGAGGCTGAGTCAGGAGAATGGCATGAACCCGGGAGGCGGAGCTTGCAATCCAGCCTGGGTGACAGAACCAGACTCTGTCTCAAAAAAATAAAAACAAAAGCCATTTTAGGGTAAAAGAACCTTTCTCAGAACTATCACTGTACATATATCTTCCTGTTTCACTGATCCCTCTTCTCTCCTTTAGTTTTAACCTTTTGTGATAGCTCTTTATGCATCTTCTCCTTCTGGGAACGTTGAAGATGTGTTCTGTCTTATTGGTTTCTGTTACCACTAAGTACGTCCCTAAACAGGTGGTTTGATTTTATGACCACTCAGAAAACCCTTAAGTAAGATGCAAGCATGTGTTACTTTTCCCTACTCTACACTCATAAACTTCAAACAATTCCCTCTTCTGTCTGCATCCTCCAATAAGGATATAGACTTAGAACTTTTAAAATGGATGGATAACCACTCTTTACTGCAAGAGTGGAATACTATATTGGACCATGATTATAGGCAAGATCACCTAAACAGAATGGATAACTTTACACTGTGTGTAAGTACTCACTAGGCACTCTCCTAGTAGTGTCTCTACTTGATAGAGAAAAGTATTAGAAGAAAAATGAGCAACTTCATTCTCATGATTTCTAATATGTTATCATAAATATGAGGTCCTTCATTTCTGTTAAGTAGAAAACCAATGATGATACTGCTTACAGAAAACCATCTGTCCATGTTCATCTATATCAACAAACTTCCAGGCAATTTGCATTGGCACAAGCTGTTATTTCTGTCTTTGCTAATGTTTAACAATGTCAAGTGATCCTACTTCTTCCCAGGCAGCATGTTCTATAAAATTTTCAATGACATATTTGATACTCTGGAAAGATAGTATTTTTATTCTTCACAGGGTAGAACATGCATTACAAATTCTGTAATCAGTAAAATACGTGCAGTGAAATGGTTTCAATTTCATGTATGAATAATTTTTATGATGGTTATCTAATCTAAAATATTTATATTTCAATTAGTGTTTTACTTAATACTTTATTACTTCCTTTTAATCAATCAAAAAGGAGGTATTACCTGTCCAAAGGAAGCTTAGCTATGTATTATGCATTGGAGACTACATTAAGGAATTCACTAGGCAATGAGTTCTAGGTCTTAAAAGGGATATTAATTTAAAAAAATATTAAAGATGTGAAATTTTTAAACCCTCAGTCTTAGGTATTTCAGGATTGGTACTGGTAAACTAAAAGCCATGTGAATAAAAGGTTTAAAGAAGAAAATACTGTGTTGATTGAACAATATTTATTTTTTCCCAAATGACTAAGCTTTCAAATCAGGGACTAATCATGAAAAACCACATGACTTATTTTTAAATTAAAAACCATATTGAAATATATTTTTCTGGTTGAAGAGAGTTTTATTCTAAAAAGAAAAAATGTCTGAAGCAAAAAAAAAAGAAAACATATGCTCTTTTCTTATGTTTGCTCAAGCAGAATTTACCTCTGCAACTCATATAATTGGTGCTATAATTATGTACAGATATATTTTGATACTTCAAAGAATCTATAAAATTCCCTAAATGAAAATTATTTTAGATTAAACATGATATTAATGATCAAGACAGCTTTTTTTGCTTATAAGCAAGTTAGATTATATTGCTTATGAAAGTTTTTTTGTATTTTTATTTCATGTATCATGCAAAAATCATGCTAGACAATGAAAGGATATCATGTTTTCTCCTTTTTGCCTTATTACCATTTTTTTTTTCTGTGTTTAGTTCTGCCTTTGCTATATAGTGTGGAAATATAAAGAATTACAAGAGTTGCTCAGATGTCTTTTTCAAACCTCCAGGTTGCCAATATATTCACTTCATCACTCTTACCTGATTCCCACACATTCCTCTATGATCCTATAGAGCAGTATGTTTATTGTAAAATCTAACAGACCACCCAACTACGGTTTGCAACATCAAACCGTCATGCTTCTTGTACACAATATATTAGAAAAGTGGGTTTTTACATATCAGAGTAGAAATACATTTTGTACATATTTGAGGCATACTGTTATATTCTTAAGGAAATAATATTTTATTTAATTGAACCCACATGATTTTTACTATGATGTAATTACTCACTGACCACCAGGTCTACAGACAGCCTCTACCAGAATCAAGATACACATAGGTAAATTATTTTGAATACCTTTTGAAATCTGGGGTGCTCAATTTGGTCCACGCAGATTACCTTAATTAGTATACATCTATTGGTCATTGGCATACTTTTTAAAATGAGATATAAAATTATACAAATATCTGTAAGTTCTCTATAACATCTTTTTCTAGCAGCATTTTATAGCAGACAGAGGAGTTTGCTAGTAGATAGACAAAACAAAAAATAGAAACACTTCTTAAGCATACTTTTTTTACATGTCATAACATGAATCTACTATCATTTTTTAATTTTTACTTTTGTATTCTGAAAAAATGTTAAAATTGGTTATTACCACTGTTTCTCTGTTCTTTCCTAATAATGTCCTTTTCCTCTTTTGTCAGCATTTTAAAAAACATTCTTGTTCTCTAACACCTTTCTAGAAAATTCTGCTGACAAATTAAGTGGCAGCTAGAACAAGAGGAGATTTAAAGAATTATTGTTGATAATGAAAACAATGAAGTACATATTTGGCATGGGCATGTTGCATGTTGACAATATATCATTGCATAAATGTTTGAAATATTTTTCCTTTATGAAGTAATTGTCATCAAGATCAAAGCTATTGAATATATTTGCTGTATAACATTTTGTATAAAATAGATTTATATTGGTTTGAGCTGAACAGATATTTTTAATGAAATTGTCCTTGGCTAGACATGTTATGTCCATGTTATTTTAATTTTGTCTACTAACTGTCATTGGCAAAAATGTATCTAATACCTTACCTCTTTCCTCTTCTCTTCCCAAATCACATACAACTGAAAGATGCTAGACGTTAACAGTTCTGGTTAAGTAGTCTTCTAAAATGCTTTTTCATTTATGTCTAGAGAAAAAAATGTACAAAAATTCAGGACAGATTTTTCTTCAAGGTTTCAAGAGTAGACCATATATATTTTTTCAAGTAAATTTCTAAAGCTATATTTTAGAAATCAAAAAAGAAATATTTGCATTAAAACCATTATTCCCTTAAATTTTTAGAGGATTCTGTTTGACTTTGGCATGAGTAAAGTCCATTCTCTTATTTGCAGTGCTATTAGATATGAGGAGTTTTAGCAGAGATCCTGGAACAACTGCTGCCTATCAGGGTGTGAAATCAATGACATGGATTCTTGTAGAAACTATTTACTTCGCTATATCTCCCCAATATATGTATATACAAACAAGATATTTGATGCTGGTTTGAAATCCACAGCAAGAAGTACACCAGGAAGCATCAAAAACTATTAAGTATATTCAAAAATAGTTGAATGCATACCTCAGTTAGCAATGTTAACAGAGTTTGTGTCCCACAACCATTAGATTTTGCTACCCATAATTATCAGACCAAATTAATGTGAACACAACATCTTCACTCAAGGACACTATCATTGCAAATATCTGCTCATTTCAAAGCAATATAAATATGTTTTATACAAAATGGCACATAGTAAATGTATTTGATAGCTTAAATCTTGATGCCAATTACTTCATAAAGGAGCAAATATTGTCAAATATTTATGTAATGATGTATCATCAACATGCAGCTTGTGTTCCTTTAACACAGTAAATGCTTTCTTCTGAGAGAAAAGGGGCCTTGATTCTTCTATTTACTCATTCTTGCTGGAAAATTTTGCAAATATAGAAAGAAGAATGAATCTAGTAATTTTCCTTTTTTTTTTTTTTTTTTTTTGACGGAGTTTTGCTCTTGTTGCCCAGCCTGGAGTGCAATGGCATGATATTGGCTCACTGCAACCTCTGCCTCCTGGGTTCAAGCGATTCTCCTGCCTCAGCCTCCCGAGTAGCTGGGATTATAGGTATGCGCCACCACTCCCGACTAATTTTGTATTTTTAGTAGAGACGGGGTTTCCCCATGTTGGTCAGGCTAGTCTCAAGCTCCCGAACTCAGGTGATCCGCCAGCCTTGGCCTCCCAAAGTGCTAGGATTACAGGCGGGAGCCACTGCACCCGGCCGAACCTAATAATTTTTTAGAACCTCTTCCGTGCAAGCCAGACATTGTCCTAAGCATTTTAGAGACACTATCTCATGTATGTGTTTGAAAAAGATCCCTATGAAAGCTAATGTTTCTAAACTGTGAAAGATACCTTATTTGCTCCTTTAAATTCATGTGCCACTTTTTCCCATTACCTTTTTTAACATACATTATGTCTTCTGGGTCCTCTGACTTCTAAATGGCCTCAGCTCATGGTGAACCCTTAACAGGAGCTGCGAAGGATAAAGAGTTAGACCAGCATACTAATTCATCTTGCTTCTTCCCTGTAAGTAGCTACATCTTTAACCACTGATTCAAACAAAGCACAGACTGTACAAGATGTTTTACTTCTGATTTTGAGTAATGCACCTTCTCCTTCAGATGTGCTTGTGGTAAGGAAATGGCTGCTAGGAAGTGACAGGTTACTTCACTATCCTTTGTGGTATCTGTACCCCAACCCTAATCCATCCACTTGTAAATTAACCCTTCAGGAATTATACTTGTCTCCGTGTTCTATGTGTACTGCTTATGAACTGACATCTGTGTAAACTGTTGAGAATTCGAGAAGCTTAACTCAAACATTGTTTGAACATCTTATGGAAATAGATGGTGTGTCTCCACATTTCTATGAATATTAAGAGTGTTGATTTTTACTCTGTTGATTTTTAGCTTCTGTAAAGGTAATTTTTATTTTTTTATACTTATTTTTATGTATCATATGACTATTAATTGCTCCCAGGTAATGTGGACTAAAAGGGCTTTCTTAGTTTACACACACTCATGCACACACATACACAGATATGTATGCACGTACGTGAGACATTTGGAATTGTAAAACCTACTTCGGAGTGAAAAGGAAAGGGCATAGGCAAAATGCCATGGCTTACCTACAACTACAATTTGGATATTAGATATTTCTCTTTTGTTCTCTCTTCATAGAACTGCTTTGACTGCTCAGGCTTTTAGGGGCTCCAAATGAATTTTAGAATAGTTTTTTTTTTCTAATTCTGTGAAAAATGGTATTCATAGTTTCATAGGGATAGCATTGAATCTGTAGATTGCTTTGGACAGTATGGTCATTTTAACAATATTGATTCTTCCAATTCATGAGCATGGAATAATTTTGCATTGGTGTCATCTATGAGTTCTTTTACCAGCGTTTTACAGTTTTCTTCTTAGAGATCTTTTGCCTCCTTGGTTAGATGTATTTCCAGGTATTTTAATTTTTGTAACTATTTTAAATGAGATTATGTTCTTGTTTTCAGTCTTAGCTTGAACGTTATTGGGGTACACAAATGTGACTAATTTGTGTACATTGGTTTTTTTATCCTGAAGCTTTCCTGTAATAATTTATCAGTTCCAGGAGCCTTTTGTAGGAGTCTTTAGGTGCGGAATAATATCAGGTGAAGAGAGATAGTTTGATTTCTTTTTCTATTTGGATGCTCTTTTTTTTCTCTCTCTCTTGTTGATTTCTCTGGCTAGCACTTTCAGAACTATGTTGAATAGGAGTGGTGAGAGTGGCCATCCATATTTTGTTCCAGCTCTTAAGGGAAGGCTTCCAGCTTTTGCCTCTTCAGTATGATGTCAGCCATGGGTTTGTCATAGATGGCTGTTATTAGGGAGCATGTACCTTTAATGTCTAGTGTCTTGAGAATTTTTATCATGAACAGATGTTGGATTTTATTGAAATATTTTTCTGCATCTCTTGAGGTGGTCATATTTTTTTTGTTTCAAATTCTGTTTATGTGGTAAATCACATTTATTAAATCCCACATGTTGAACCAACCTTGCATCCCAGGAATGAAGCCTACTTGATCTTGGTGAATTAACTGATGTGCTATTCAATTTGGTTTCCTAGTAAATTGTTGAAGATTTTTGCATCTCTATTAATCAGAGATATTGGCCTGTAGTTTTCTTTGTTGTTGTGTCTTTGCCATGCATTGATATTAGGGTGACGCTGGCTTTGTAAAATGACTTGTGGGGGAGTCCTTTCTTCTTAATTTTTTGAAATAGTTTCAGAAGAATTTGTAACAACTCTTCTACATACATCTTGTAGAATTTGGCTGTGAATCCAGTTGGTCCAGACTTGTTTTGATTAGTAGGTTTTTTTTTTAATCACTGATTCAATTTCAGAACTCAATGTTGGTCTGTTCAGTGTTTCAATATCTTTCCCATTCAATCTTGGAAGATTGCATGTTCTCAGGAATTTATTTCTTCTAGATTTTCTAGTTTGTGTGCATAGAGGTGCTTATGATAGTCTCTGAGGATCTTTTGTATTTCTGTGTGATTGGTTGTAATGTCACCTCTCATTTCTGTTTGTGCATAATTAGACCTTCCCTCTGTTAGTGGTCTAACAATCCTGTTTATATTTTCAAAAAATAAACTTTTGGTTTTGTTAATTCTTTGTATGGGTTTTGAGGTCTCAATTTCATTCAGCTCCACAATGATTTTAGTTACTACTTCTCTTCTGCCAGCTTTGGAGTTAGCTTGTTATTCTTTTTCTAGTTCCTCTAGATGTGATGTTAGATCATTAGTTTGCAATCTTCCTAAATTTTTGAGGTAGGTGTTTAGCTATAAACTTTCCTCTTCACACTGCTTTCACCATATCCCAGAAATTTTAATATGTTTTGTCTCTCTTCACTTATTTCAAAGAATATTTTTCACTTCTGCCTATATTTTGTTGTTTGCCTGAAAGTTATTCAGGAGTAAGTTGTTTAATTTCCTTGCAATTTTGTGATTTTAAGATATCTTCTTGGCATTGATTTATATTTTTTCTTCTGTGTTCTGAGAATGTGGTTTGTATGACTTCTATTTTTTTTTTAATTTATTGAGACTTGCTTTATGGCTGAGCATGTGGTCCATCTTGAAATACGTTCTATATACATATGAGAAAAATGTGTATTTTGTCGTTGATGAATGGAAAATTCTGTAGATGTCTATTAGGTCCAGCTGACCAAATATCAATCTTAAGTCCAGAATTTCTTTGTTAGTTTTCTGCCTTGATGATTTGTCTAATACTGTTGGTGAGTTGTTGAAGTTCCCCACAATTACTGTGTGGGCTGTCTGGGGCTCCTTGTAGATCTAGAAGTATGTGTTTTATGAATATGGGTGCTCCAATATTGGGTGCAAATATAATTAAGATAGCTTAGTCTTCTTGTTGAATTGAACCCTTTATCATTATGTAATGCCTTTCTTTGCTGTTTTTTTACTGTTACTGGTTTGAAGTCTGTTTTTTCTGATGCAGGAATAGTGACTCCTTCACCTTTAAATTTTCCATGTGTGTGGTAGATCTTTCTCCAACCCTTTACTTAGAGCTTATGGATGCCATTACATGTGAGATGGGTCTCTTGAAGACATCAGATAGATCGGTCTTGGTTTTGTTTTTTTTTTAAGGTTGATCATATTTTAGAAAGGTATTGAGAAAAGTTGTCTTTCTGATAAATGTCATACTTCAGTAAGTAACAACTTGAGATTCACATCACAGAATTTGCCTTAGAGGTTGAGCAATAATAGCCTTTTTTTGGCTAGGCTTGTAGCTTCTCTAAAATTTCAGAATCTGGCCGGGTGTGATGACTCATGCCTCTAATCCCAGCATTTTGGGAGGCCGAGGCAGGTGCATCACGAGGTCAGGAGATCGAGACCATCCTGGCTAACATGGTGAAACCCCATCTCTACTAAAAACACACAAAAAAATTAGCCAGGCATGGTGGCGGGCGCCTGCAGTCCCAGCTTCTCAGAAGGCTGGGGCAGGAGAATGGCGTGAACCCGGGAGGTGGAGCTAGCAGTGAGCCTAGACTGCGCCACTGCAGTCCAGCCTGGGCAACAGAGTGAGACTCTGTCTCAGAAAAAAAAAAAAAAAAAAGAATTATCTCTCAAAAAAGTTTTATATGCAACTTTTTTTTATGTTTTACTAATATGAAGATGCATAGCATATAACGCACAAGTAATAAAATATTAGTTCCTTTTTCAGGGGGAGTTTTTGTTAATTTTTGCCAAACTCTTAAATCCATAGATAACTGACTGCAATTAGCAAATAAATAGAGTTTCAATATGAATATTGGTTACTATTTTTATATACATTAGTGGTAAGATAAAAGTAGCATTAAAAGCATTACTTGTTCACCAATGATACACTCTTCTGAGAATCAGAATTTTTTAATACAAGGATAATATGTCCGTGTATGTTGGGGCAGTTCACAATGTAATGGTTACAGACATAATTTAAAAAATAATTTGCATTATTAACATACTTTTATTCTTTATTTTTACTTTTATTAATTACTTTTATTCTACACAATCAACAAAATATTAAATCAAACCCTGATATGCGGTGTTAATTTTCATGCTGTAAATACTCTCTTCATGACTGAATTACAAGCTACAACCTGAGACCATTAATAGGAAGTTGGAGAGATGCACTTTAGCTTGCCATTATTTAGTGTTGCCATGATACAAACATCATCTATGTAAATATTTTCGGTAGCATAAATCACAGCAAAATATAGCGAAATACTTAGGAAGTGATGAATTTAAATTTAAATTTATTTTTATATTTAAATTTAAATGTATTTTCCTTATTTTTAATATAATTTAATTATAAATTAAAATGTTTATTTTTAATAATTTCTGTGTCTAAAAATGACCTCAAAATATTTCTAATAATTTCATAGTTGTATCTCATAAGTTGATATGAGATAGCTCTCAAACACAATTGTGTATAACTAAAAAGTCTAGAATTATAGCTAGTTTTAGAGTCAGGAAATAAAATGATGTGGTCAGAATTTTAATTCTCTCATCTAGGGAATAGCTAAGATTTAATTTTACATCTAGATTGGGTCACATGTTCACATCTGGACAAATTAATTACAGCCATCCAGTTAGAATACACTAGTCAGAACTGGGTCATGGACAACTTCTAGAATTTGCAGATTTATCAGGTTCACCTACACCTCATTGATTCAAACTTAAAAACATTATTCCATCAAAGAAAATTGGAGAAAGGAACTGCTAAACATTTATTGCATACTCTTTCCAAAAATATACACATACAGTATAAAATACTAACTAGTAATGAGAATATGTTTCTTGAAAATTTACTATATTTCAAACACTGTGCTAAAAACTTTTACATATTATCTCTTTAGATAAAATAAGACAACTTCATAATTAACATTATTTATCTTCATTTTAAATATGAGTAAGTCTCTAGTTATATCTTTCTATTTAAGATCATATATGGAAAGTATTAGGATGGTGCAAAAGCAATTGTGGTTTTGCCACTAAAAGCAACGGCAGATTACTTTTAGTTTGTAATAGTAGATTGTAATATGTGTTAAAATCTGTATTCCAATCTTGACTCCAAAACTTACATTTTACATATAGAATGCAACACACTTAGTGAACCCCACGTTCTCATCATTAAAAGTCCATTCACTTTTGTTCATGGCACTTTTGATCATAGCGTCGTAGAATATTTTAGCTGCAGAAGAAAGCTACCCATTGCCTAGAACATGAAAATAAGTGAGAGGTACTATCAATCTAGGATAAAAACAGTAGAACATGGCTCTAATGTATGAAGAATGTCTTCTTTAGGAGATCAATAAATAGTAAGTTGATTAGACAAAAACATGTGATTGACTAAGTTTGAATAATGAAAAAAGAAGGGGAAGACTAGAGCGGCAAGTAATAAGCTGAAGCTGGGGACACATGAAAAATTAGTAGAAAAAAACTTATTGAAAGAAAAAGTTGCAAATGCCTTTATTTTTGTTTATTTTAGGTCTATATGGCTTGATTAAGCTTTTCTTCCCAAATCCATGTATTCCAGGTAGATACAGTGAACTTCATTAGATTTGCTTCCAATAGTTTGTAGTCATTGTTTAATTGGGGATTTTTCTGCTACTCCAAATATCATATGGAATCCCAGTCATCTCTTATTGTCTTTTTTAAAAATGAACTCGCCAATATTTTATAGGTAATACAAGTCCAGAATAGTAAAATTATCCAATAAAGGCAAGCCAACTAATCAATTAATCTGAAAATAAAATTGTCACCTGAAATTCTCCTATGTAGGGGTCATTGCTGTTAAGCATTAAGGCCATCCACTATTGTGGGGCCAATTTAGTTCTATACACTTTCTGATACTCTCAACTGTGTCACTATAACATGTATCCCTTGTCCCGAACACCAAGTCTTTTTCTTATTCTTCTACTCTCTCAAATTCTTAAAATTAGACCCAGCATTGTCTGAAGGAAGAACTTGGGGCTGGGAATTAGGATCTTATCAATGAAAATGAAGTAATCTAAAGGTCACTGGATATCTTTAGATATTTATTAACATAGATGAAATATGGCTAGCAACATAGTTAGAAGCATAAGATATTGTGAACAGAAAATAAGAAGATGAAATTATCTAAAATAGGAAGTATAAAAAAAATCAAGGACATCGGAAGTGAGCCTGGGGGAGCAAAGTTTACTCCATCTTTTAAATAATGATTTTCTTTATTTCTTTAATAATACATTCTTTAGAAATTGTAAGGCTAGGTATTAAAACTTGTGATACCAATGTGCTCAAATTATGTCTACCCATTGGAGATTCTCACTTTTATTTTTTCAATTTATATTTTAGAAAAATTACTTGTCCCTGTTTAAATGTATATTCATCCCAAAAAAAACATAAATAAGATGTATAGTAGACTCAATACTTTTAAAAAAACTTAAATTCTAACATTCTGTAGTTCTTCCACATCTCATTTGTAAACCAAGTAACTGATTTTTAAATTAATGCCCTATAAATAGGTTAAATTTATTTTTAAATTTGCCCTCCAGAGAAAAGGGTTGTAGCATTTTATTTTCAACATACAAAATCAATTTAGATATTGAAATAACCTTGTCATTGGCAGATATTCTAACAGATGATCTAACCACTAATTTTTGCCTATGATTTATAGCAATTTTTTATTTGAATCTGTAGGATGTAAATACTTTTTACGCTGAACATGTCACCAAACAGTACAAGACTTTAAGCTAAAAGTTGCTAGAAAATACATAGGGACTCTTAAGGTGTTTGAAACAAAGATTTTACAAGGCTTATCGTCTGCTGAAAGAAAAAAAAATCATTTCTTCATTTCCAATAATGTCAGAATAGACAGGCCATTGTTGCACACATAACTGATTCTGACTGTGAGAATGAATTATCCCAAGTGAAATCCTCTAAATGCTTGCTTAACGCTATAGGATGAAAATTTGCAAGCAAGAAAAGTTGAAAAGCAAGCCTTGGGAATGAAAATTTGCAAGCAAGAAAAGTTGAAAAGCAAGCCTTGGGGGAAGAAACAGAGTATCAACATCACAATGAAATCTGCATTTGCCATTTTAAGTAGGATCCTGTAGCAGGACGTAGAGGAGCCTGCTGTGTTTAAAAATGATCTTTTGCCCTTGTGTGTATATGTTTCAGCATTGAAATAATCAGTCCTCTTTCAAATATAATTTGATAGCATAATTAAAGTACCCCACTAGCACAACTTTTGAAGCTAAGCTTTTCCTTTTTCTTGTGCACTTAGAAATTTTTTCACTTGTATTTGATAGCCCAGACCAATTGACTTAGAATTCCCTGCCTGATACTGTAAAGAATGTACTTCTATTTATGTCTTTTAACACATAGAATGTTCTAAACTGTCACCTCTAGTTATGGTAGCATGTAGGCAATGAAGCCTAACAGGACATCTGATTAACTAGATGTGACATGTTAGTATCACAGTACATCAAATTTGATATAACGCCCTTTTTTCACTTTGTATTATAAAATATTAGATTTTGCTTTTTTGTTATTTTTTGCTTTTCTTTTTAGATTCAGTAATACATAAAAATATCAAGTTTTAAAATTTAGTGAACCCAAGACCTAACGCCTTGAAGTAATTAACAAATGAGACAACATGTCTTTGCCTGTGCATATGCATTTAAACATATTTATTAATACAATCATGTTGGAGGCCTTGATTTACACAGCATCTTTTAGATAGTCAGAGGTTACTTTGGAGCAGCCTATACTTTTGACCTTTAGCAATGTTCTTGCAAACCAGTCATTCAATTCTACTGGAATGAGATTAAAACAATCCAAGTATGGCTGTGTATTCATATGCTTCTCCTTGTGTCCCTCTCCCCTCCCACCACCCCAAGGCTCTGGTAAAGAAATTTTTGTTTTTGTTCTCCAGACTCCTTATATAGGTCTTAATCTATTACTCTTTATTCACCAATGTCTGTATATTATAGTGACTGATTTCTTATTAATTCCTCTACCGAGACTCTTCTGCAAAATTCTTGAGAAAATGAATTCATTAAGTCCTCTTAAATTCTGATTGCAGTTTATGGTTGGCTCTTGGATTTTGGGATTCAAGTCTACCATTCACAGCCTAGAGAGACAAACATGATAGCAGTTGTTTTCTTTTGGATAAAGGAGTTAAGAGTTCTTCCATATAAACAGTTGGGGAAAAAGCAGACATATTTATTAGGCCCTATTTAAGAGTTTATTGACTCTGTTTAAAAAAATCATTAAAAACTTCAAAAAAAAGCAGAGTGCGGAAGTAACTTTCAATGCTGAACACTGAACATTGAAACTTGAACATTAAAGCTTGAACATTGGCTTACAAACACACCAACAGAACTATTATTATATGTATGTAACTTTGACTGTATGAATTTACATGCCAACTTGTAGATTTCTCTTTGTAGAAAAGAAAACATGAAAGATTAACATATTGTTTTATAGGCTGTTAACAAGTGCTGTATTTTATCTAGCAGTCTTATTTTAACAGTTCTCTCCACATTATCTTTATATGCCTGTTCCCCAAAATGTATTTTAAACCAGTTTTACCTTCTTTTTGGTTCCCTCATTAATGAGTTGTATATAATCTTAAAATATGTTTATCCTAGGTTTGTGTGAGAATCATCTTTTTAGTATTAAACTTCTAACTGTTGGTTATGTCCCAGATAACAGAGGAAAAGAAATGATTATACTTGAAGCATTTTTTTATTCCAATTAATCTCCATAATCTATTAAATTTAGCTCAAGTTACATTTGTGGAATGACTACTTATACAGGTAATGTGATAGCACCTGAAAGGAGAAAGGTTTCCTTGTCCCCCTTGCAGGGCATGTGACAGGGGAAGCGGCTTGCTTCTTCAGTGCCCCGCTGTTCAGACCTCTCCAGGAGGATACAGATGGGCAGGCTGTGGGGCTCCGACCCCACGGCAGTGTCCAGGGGTGAATGTTTACAGCTCCTGAAGCCCCAGTGGGTGAGTGTTTATAGGGTGCTCTTTTAGTTTTGCCATCTATAGGCTTGTGTTAACCACCTCAATTACACCCCCTACCTTGCTGCAAGGACAGAGGGCTTTCTGTACTCCAGGTTCTTGCCTTGATGTACTGGAAGAATTGGCTCACACTTGGGGTTGGAGAATGAGTGCAAGGTTTTATTTAGTGGCAGTGTCTCTCAGCAGATGCGGGAGCCAGAAGGGAGATGGTTTTACCCTGATGTGGGGCCGTGGAGCTTCTCCAACTGCTCTGGCCAAATTCTGCATCATTCTGCTGGCCGATGGCCTGCTGGCCTGCCAGTATCTTCCACCTGCTTGCTCCTCTTGACATCCTCTCGATGTCTAGCCGCTTGTGTGTCTGCCTGCTAGGGTCTCAGAGATTTTTATAGACACAGGATGCAGGCATAGCGGCCAAGGGTGGTCTTAGGAAATGCAACATTTGGGCAGAAGGCAGGTGAAACCCTAGCCAGGGACCATGCCCTCCTTTACCCAGCACTTCCCTTCCCCACTTCCGTATCATTTAAAGGGACCATGCCCTTCACTTCCCAGCACTCCCATATCACAGCTACTCATAAAAAGTGTCTACTGTCTGGTCGCTTCACTCGAAGAGATCCATGTAAGAAAATTTAAAAGAAGATATACAAGATAATAAATGGTAAATATTTATAGATAGTCATAATAAAGTAGATCATAAGAAAGGTGAAAGGCTGTAGAAACTGATTAAATAAAAACGTTATCTACAAATTCAGAAAATATACCATTCCTACTAAAAATTAAGTACATATTCAACTTATGTTAAAAATGACACTGTAACCTCTCTTCTGCTCTCGATGAAATCAACTTTTCTGTCAAATTTAAAGGATGATACTGTACAGCATTTCTCACTAACCATATTTTTTCAGCTTTTTTCTTTCTATTCTAACAACCCTTTAATTTTCTCAACATTCTTGGCCGATGGCTCTTACTTAATGCACCAGGCATTCAACAGTCAGCTACTTGGAATGTGACTGATATGGTGGATATGGATGTTTCCTCTGCCATTAAGGACATCAATTGCAACTGAAGAGTAACCACAGACAAAAAAGGCTTATGAGAAAATAACTAGTTCTCCACAATTTAACACTCTCAGTAAAAACCACCCATGACTTCATAATGTAACATTCTTTATTTTGGTACAAATATGAAAAAAATCAGATTCATAATACATTTGTCTTGAACTTTTTTTACTCATAAAGAAGAATTTTATCAGGAACGCTCACCAGTTCTACTGCCTCAGCTTTCTATTAGGCATGATTTTAGATGCAAAAATGTTTCTTAAATGAGGTTTTATATTGATCTCCCATTGTACTCAAGCACTCCCTAACATAAAAAACTCACAAGTATATAGTAAGTTTGAAGATAAGAGATTTATAAGTTTGATTTTCAATAGAAAGTACTTTATCCTAATTTACTTAGAAGAGAATAGCATATTTAGAAATGAAAAATAGTTTTCACTTTTTAATGCAACTAGTTAAAAATAGTTAACTGACTCTCATAAGGGGAAGGTATTTTGTAGTACTTAAGACGAATGATATACTTGTAAATATTACAGATACATTTTAAAGTTGACAGAGTATTCTCAGCAATTTTAAGTTATAATCTGTCAAAGACAAAATTATGCCACTACAGAGGATCCAAGATGATAGGTCTGATCTGTCAGTCATGAAGGTTTATAACAAATAGTATAGATTGAAGCAGATCAAGCATGAAGTCCAAGAAAATTGTCTACTGCTCTGTTGTATTGGCAAATTCCAAAGGTGTGGAGATTATAAAATTAGAAAGTGGCAAGTGAATAGTTTGAGAGACAATGGGCTCATCAATGGAGACATGACATAAACAACAGAATTACTTTACAAAAGGAAAATGGACATTTTTCAGAGACTGTCATCCCACCTATAATTGCTTTAACTAGTGCACAGATGACTTCCTAAGATGACAGGTATCAATCTTTTATCAACCTTTCTCTGCAGTGATGCATAGAACAGATGGTGTTAAGGTATCCAATGGAAGTGTCAGGGTCAATAACATAGGACATAATAATATAAAATCACTGCAACACTTATTCCACTGTTAGAAAAAAAGATAACAAAAAATAATGAACCAGATTACTGGCATTGAGGTTGAGCATGACGTCGCAGGAAAGACAAGGGCCTAAAATATGCCTCTCATTTATTTCAATAGGTATTTATGAAGCCAAAACTCTGTTCATATATTAGACAAGGTGTTGGAGAAAAAAGAATGAGAAAAAGAGAGGTGTGGTCCCTCCCTGCTGTCACAAAGTTTACTCAAATAACGTGTACTCAAGCAAGGAAGCAACATAGCATATTGCAATAGTGTGTGTTTCAATAGGAAAATACAAGTTAATTGCAGCAGCACATTTAGGAGGAAACAATTTTCCAGGAAGGATTTTCGGAGACATAGTTATTACAGGAGTAATTACTCATCATACTTAATACATATATACATTTATAATAGGTTGTACTTTTGTATACTACAATTCAAATGTGCCAACTTATTTTCTTTAGTCTATACAAGTTTATTTTCTTTAGTCTATACGAGTTTATCTTGCCCCATTACTCCTATTATTTAAAAAAAAGAAGAAAAATACATACATACATATGCATATACACATCTATATGTATATAACTCAGTCTCTACTGATTTAAAAATAGTTAATACTTATCAATTCAAATGTTCTCTCAAAGTCAACCAAAATTAACAGCCCCTGCTCAGAAATCATACATAAATCTAAAGTCTTCATGCTTATGTTGTACGTTCATGAATTTTTGTTTACAGAAATCAATATTTTATGCCAAAAATAGAATGCTGCTTAGAAAATAATTGAAAGAAGGAAATTCATTGTATAACAGAAGAGTAGCAGTTGACTGAGATAAAGAGATTGTTATATGCATGAGTTAAAATGCTTAATTGTGTTTGGATCCTATATCAGAACTAATTTCCTCTCTTTTTAGGTTAGCATTGAGATGAATCCTTTGATGATAAAGCCATATCATCACCTGTTTTACTCTAAACAAAGACATTTATAAAAATGGTAAACCTGATTACATTTCATAGTATTAAGAAAGATTCTTGTGTAAGATTGTTATTAATTTTTACAATGCTCCTAATGTCAGCTGAGGTAAAATTAATTAGAACAACCATACCTTAGGAAAATAGAGTCAAAGAGCAAAGATTATCACATATTTAAAGGAAATAAGAGCAGATGAAAGCTGTTCCTGAGGAACGAAGTAAAGAGAGTTTGAGACAGTGGAAGATGGAACAGGAAGAAAAAAAATAAGATAAAATGGTGACATCTCTTAAAACTGTTTTGGAAGAGTCATTTACACACTATGGATGAACAGCAATTTATTCCTGGAAAATGCTTGTTGCCCAGGTTGTGCAAATTCTCAGTTATGGATAGATTTAGTTATTGATCAGTCATACTGCTTTCAAGAATTTTAATGTTTTGATTTCTTAAAAAGTTCCCATGTATATAAACAAAGTCCATTTACTTGTTGGCATTATATTAGCCTCAGGGTGTTTGGAGGACTTGCATACTTGGAGACAAGGGCATTCCAGACGTCGGATGTTTTCAGGACAACCCTCTCACCCAGTGAGACAGATTGTATGTTTTTTTCACTGTGGCTTGCTCCTATTTATTCCTATTTCCTTCAGCCCAGAAAGGATTATTGTAATATATCAAGTTCATCAGCATTTTTAAAATTCTTACATTAATCTATTTAAATTGAGGTTCTATTTTACCTCAAAGATATCTATTACCTGTATTTATCTATCCAATCGAGTTCTTGCCACATATATTTTTTTTAATTCTGCAATTCCTCTGAAGATTTTAAGAGATCTTCGCTTGCTGGTTAGAATAATCCTCAAGTTTTTCTAATCATAGCACTTTTATTTTCTCATTCGTCTGATTAAAATTCTATCCTCTTCATTTACAAAGGTGAATATATTTGGAACTGTCATCTCCAATGAATGAAAAGCAATTAGAAACCCTAGAAAAGATATTTGAAATAATTATTACAAACCATTTTATAATTTGTTAATTTTTCCAGATTTCTATAAAAAGCAAATGCAAATAGGAAAGAAACAAGAACTGGGCTTTCATATATTTTCCAATCTGAGCTGACTTCAAGACTTGAAGATTAGCTAGTGGTAAACAAGAGAAAATAAATTTAAAATAAGGAGGATGAAAAATGTAGAAGTTATCAAAGATTAAAATTTTTTAAAATCTCAAAATTTTTGTTTAAAGAGATTCCCATCAAAGGAATTTGTATCAAAAAGACAATGAACAAAGCTGAAATGTAATTAGAATCAATAAGAAAATATCAGAGCTGGAAGGACATTAATAAATTCTTAGTAAAAATAGCATTATACAGATGAAAAAAAGTCAGGGGTCAAGAAACTTAATTGATTTGTCTAAGGTCATGTTACTTGTCAATTCATTTCCAAGACCAGTGTTTCTCCAAATAGAGATTAATGAAAAGAAGAAAGAAAAAGCAGATCTCCACTTTTTTTTTTTTTCACCTGGAGGTCCTGATTCATTTGGTGTGGAATGAAGCATCCAAATTTCCTGTTGTCTTGTCTAACAGCAGAAAACTATTAAATGGAAGAAAATAAGATGTGAACTGAAGTGGTAGAAAAAAATAAATGAGAAAAAGAAGAACAGGAGACTTTGTTTTTGGCAGTTTTTTTATTATACATATATCTACCTCAGCAGCCACATGAGGAGGGCTGGCTGGGTCTTTCTCCATTCTTTGGGCAAGTATATTTCAAAATATGTTTGAGACTATCACATCCAAATCACCAGACAGGAGATCATAGCTAGTCCCAGGCTTTTTTCAATGTAACTTAATAGAAATATCTGTGAATAGTTCCCCAAATTCTGCATTTTCAAAAAGCTCCCCACTTATGGAGCTGTCTCCTTGAGTGCAGGAAGGACAGGCTGTTTTACTTTATCACTGGGACACCAAGTACAGATCCTGGTTCCTAGGAGGTGCCTAGAAAATACATGATTGGTAAATAGTTAAATTGAATTAATAACTATAATAAGCAGTAAAACTTAATAAATGCTAATATTTTTTTAAAAATTGTACGTTTCTACTACTAGATATAGATTTTGGTTGGTGGTGGTCTTCTTTTACCAAAGTGTTGGTTTTTACACTTTTCCAAAAAATATCAGTTGCTATTCTGTACTCTATACAATCAGAAGGAAGTCAGTTTGAGCACATAAAAATGACATAATATTCTGTGGTATCAAGAATACACAGCTTGATACTTCAGATTTATTTTTATCTTTGAAAGATATTAATCAAATAAGTAATTTTTTAAAATGGAGAGATTTTAATAATTGAAACAAATACTAATTGTAAGAGTAAACTTGTAATGTAGCTGTAGGTTGAAATAAACTTGAAACAGTCTAGTGTCTGTATACCTTTTGCTTTCCCCAAGAACTATTTCTGCAAAATATCCACTAGCTTGCAGAGATAACCCACATAGACTAAGTTATTAATATGCAATCTTCCTTCCTGAAACAGTTTACATATGCAGTATACAGCATCTGGACTTGTAATTGAATTTTCAAAGTTTGCTGTGGTTTGGGAGCTGCATATGGGTCAGTAATCATTATCCAGACATCATCATTTATAGTACAAATACAATTGATCAACTCAATTATGGAAAGAGTCTCAGGGAAGGCTAGCACACCTATTTCTTAAACAAATATGTTACCCTCGAGCTGTAAAAGTAGCATTTCCATTAGCCATTGCCTTAGATTATTGTTAGATATTTGTTCTGGGATCTTTTAAAACAAGGCCCATAAGAAGAGTCAATATAAAAATCTTCAGACATAAGGTCCATCATATTATTCACAGAATTTAATCACTTTCTGGTTAACTCACTGCTCAAGTCAGCTTTGGATCTTTATCTTCTGAAGCTAATGTCAATAACACTTTATTTTTAATTTAACTAAATTCAGCTAACTGTAGGAGAAACAAATCATGGTTCTTTTTATTATTAGTTTCAGTAGATGGTTGCCAGGGCAAAATTGATAATTAGGGACAGTAAAGTATTCTTCAAATATTTTTTTCTTGTTACACATATGTAAGCCCAGGAGGTTGTTAAATGGAGATACTTTATAGATGCAGAAAGAAGAAAAAAAAATCAGTAAATATATGTTCTCACATTCTTGGGTCATTAGCTAACCTGACCAATTTCCTTTCCTCTTCGTCAATCCCGTTTTTTTTCTATTTTTTCCCTACTCCGAACAATTTATCTTCATGTTGCAGTGACTCACATTATGACCTACAAAACTCCTTGTAAAAAGACACACAACAGAAAAAGAGGCTAGTTGTGTAAGATAAATGCCAACCTAAAATAATGATAAAATATAATTTGATTGCAGGTTAAAGAAGAGAGAGGAAGGGCTATTTAATAGAGTTTTTGTTAAATATACGGTGAGCTTAAGGAAGAGGAACAGCTATTTGCCATCTTCACTGAAGTCACATGTAGCTTAGACTTAATATGAGAGACATGAAGAAGAGATTTTTGTCTGTAGATTTCTAATGGGAATTTTAGTCAGAGGACCATGCAACCATATAGTTTTGTTTCTTGTAAGATGTAGAGACATATGAGATAATTTATGAGCCATTCAACTTAAAGGTAGGAGGAAAGATCAATTGGTATTTTAAGGGTTCCTCTTTTCTGATACCATGTTGTCCTGGCTTCTTTGAGCCTCAGTTTTCCATCTCTGAGCTCCTTTGCTTTGAAGTTACAAAATACCACAGAGATCAAGGCTTACACTTTTAGCTGTTTGGGACAATGTCTGGTAGAACATGAGCAATGACCAAGAGTAAGCCGAGATCCTGAAGTTTTAGGGTTGTCTCTTCTGTCTCAAAATTTAACCCTTTCCAGTGATTTTAGTGGAGGATTGTGCATGAAAGAGACACCTGCTTCTTTCTTATTATCTAGACCTTGTCTATATCAATTAGATACATTTCTATCTCACCGAGGTACACTCCGAAATATTATATTTGCCCCAGTTCTCCCTGTGCCCTTGTTTCCTGGCCAGTTGTGAAATTTTGTTCTACATACTGCTAAGAAAATAAATGTACAATGTGATAAGTAGTGTTATGTAAAATGTGGGAGTTGTAGACTGAAGAAAGCATCTGGGCAAAGAAAACATAATAAAGTCAACAAAATGCTTCAAGATTGTTTTAAATTTTTATAAAGAGGAAACAACATAAAAATATGGTATGTGAAGGTAAAGAATTTCATGGAGGTTTCCAACTACACTTTAGCTATGGATATCTTTTTTTTTTTTTTTTTTTTTCAAAAGAAAGGTTTTGCTACTTTAACATGGACCTTAGATAAGCACTGAAGTTCAGTTGGAGAAACAGTAGGAAATTTGAAGCTTCTACTAAACCTCAGGGAATGTGGAAATAATTTCAAGAACCATGCATTTCGGCTCACATAACCAGTTTTAAAACCATAGCCCTCAATGTTACAGTCAAGTTTTGATGTAGCAAAAGGACATAATTATATTTACATTGATACCTTTAATATACAGCAATATATGATTTCTTCAAACCACGTAAGTGTAGACCATTAGTATTCCCTTTATGTCTTTTGCCTTAAACCAGCTATCATCAAAACACAATGTAATGCCAGTAAGGCTGTAAGAAAAGAAGGGAAGTGGTATTCTGGCCCCCTAATTCGGAGCAGGAGGGAGGGAACTACCACCTATCACTCCATGTATATGCAGGGCCAATTAAACCATGCAAGAATTTCTAAGATGAGTAAGTAGCTAACAATATCCTATTTCTTCTACTTAAATTAATGAAAAAAGTTTTGAGATTTATTTTAGGGTTTATTACCCTTTTCTTAAAATATCCATTTCTACCATCTCTGGAGATCTACTATCTTAACCTTAAGTCTCTGTTTTTATTAGTCAATGTTCATAATTGGAAGTATGTTTCCACCTCTGTCTCTCCTTCAAGATTAAACATTATGAAGAACAGGGCTCATGATTGGTGAATATTCATATATCTATGTTAACTTATATGGGACAATGTATTAATTGTTAAAATATGAATGTACGATACAAGACTTTTTGATATTGGAGGCTTCACGCATGAGTCCAAAGACACACCTATTATACAACTTAACATTTTCACAACTAATGGCCCATGTCAAAAAATATACACTTGAAGTATATCTTTAATAATTTTGCTTTTGAATAATTACAGTTATATTTTCAGGTGTTTTTGGAGTCTGTTTTGTTTTCGTGTTTTTTATTCCATCAAAAAGCTTACAGATTTTAGGAATTTGGATGTGTGTTATACCAGTCTAGATAATAATTGCTGATTACAATTAAAATACTAGGTCAAGTGAAAACTGGAACCAAGTTTAAAATTATTTTTATATCTCTTCACTCTTAGCCAGCAAAATATCCATGCTAGGTGAGATTATTATTCAAAATTATTGCTGTCCTCATCAAAGCAGCTCATATATTCCTTGCTAATACCATGTAACACCCACTGCTTCTCTGTGGGAGGAATATACTTCACACCGCTACTGTCAGGGTTGAGGATGTGACTTTGTTGGTGCATTTGTCAGCTTGTGCTGTAATAAGAAACTACTGTAGACTAGGAGGCTAAAACAACATTGATTTCTCACAGTTCTGGAGGTTGGAAGCCTGGGATCAAAGTGCCTGTAGGGTTGTTTTCTCCCAAGGCCTATGTCCTTGGCTTGCAGATGGTTACCTTCTTTTTGTGTCCTTGCATGGCCTTTTTTCTGGGTGCACACATCCCTGGTGTCTCTTGCTTTCTTCTTAAAAGGACACTAGTCCTGGCTGGGTGTGGTGGCTGATGCCTGTAATCCCAGCACTTTGGGAGGCTGAGGCGGGCGGATCATGAGGTCAGGAGATCGAGACCAGGGTGAAACCCCGTCTCTACTAAAAATACAAAAAATTTGCCGGTCGTGGTGGCAGGTGCCTGTAGTCCCAGCTGCTCAGGGGGCTGAGGCAGGAGAATGGCGTGAACCTAAGAGGCGGAGCTTGCAGTGAGCCGAGATCGCGCCACTGTACTCCAGCCTGGACCGACAGACCCAGACTCTGTCTCAAAAAAATAAAAAATAAAAAAAATAAAACAACCAAAGAACACTAGTCCTATTGGATTAGGGCCCCACCTTAATGACCACATTTCACCTTAATTGCCTCCTTAAAGGCTGTATCTTTGAATACACTCACATGGGCTGTTATATGCTTCAGCATGTGAATTTTGGGAGGACAAAATTTAGTCCATAACACCTGGGCTAATGGAACATGATTTAAAGTTTTTGCAAATTCTGAGTAAAAGATGAAAGATCCATTTAATGGTTGCTACAGCTCTCTTCCCTCTGCCATGAGGCCACTGTGTAGTCAAACAAGGCTGCCTCTTTACTGTGGGTTCTGGATTAAACAGGACATTGAACAGAACAGTAGACTACTTGTTACCACCATGTAAGGAGAAAATCAAGAGAATCTTTTTGTTTTCATCATTATGATTTAGAGACTTTCATGTCTCTTGATATCACAACTTAGCCCAGCAAGAGCTAAGTAATAAAGTAATCATTACTTATAAATAGAAAGCTTTTATTAAATTATGTGGCTTTGGTTTTGGAGGCAGGCTCCAGGCAGCAAGGGATTTATTATTAATGGTTGAATAAAATGCAGTAACAAACCATTTGGTAAAACTATTTGCTGCAAGTACCTAAAAGGCAATTGATAAAGCAAACAGGCTCCTGGTGATGTTACTAACATATCACTCTCTCCCCCAACCACTAATTAGCTACATTTACTAGAGCGACAAAAAGTGCTACAAGAAAAAGATGAGCTCAGAAAAGCACTGGCCAGTTTAGAAGAATTAAAAGAGAAAAAAACAGAAATTATCGGACTTGCAGGATTAAGATGTAAGTATTTTTCATGTCCAACTTGTAAAAGATAAGAAATGTTTTGAGTGACAAGTCCAATTAGGACTCAGTCTTTGATTTAGACAAAATCCAGAGAATAGCTTTCATATCCTCGTTGAAACCAACTAATTAAGCAACATGCCAAAATTCCTTTCAGCTCGACAAAAGGGCTCCATGAAGAGACTAAGGATGGACTTTTACATGAAAGTCTGATAATTTAATAAAACTATATTTTAATTTAGAGATAGGCTTTCATATGCAAAATATCATGGATGTAACTACAGGTATGCTAAGATGACTAAAAGAAAAACAATTTTACCCTTTCTTCCAGTTGATTGCATCTGCTCCTGAGGCTTCCGCATTCTTCACGTAGTTCTGGAGCCTTGGTTTTCAGCTCCATCAGCTCCTTTAAGCACTTCTCTGTATTGGTTATACTAGTTATACATTCTTCTAAATTTTTTTCAAAGTTTTCAACTTCTTTGCCTTTGGTTTGAATGTCCTCCCCTAGCTCGGAGTAATTTGATCGTCTGAAGCCTTCTTCTCTCAGCTCGTCAAAGTCATTCTCCGTCCAGCTTTGTTCCGTTGCTGGTGAGGAACTGCGTTCCTTTGGAGGAGGAGAGGCGCTCTGCTTTTTAGAGTTTCCAGTTTTTCTGCTCTGTTTTTTCCCTATCTTTGTGGTTTTGTCTACTTTTGGTCTTTGATGATGGTGATGTACAGATGGGTTTTTGGTGTGGATGTCCTTTCTGTTTGTTAGTTTTCCTTTTAACAGACAGGACCCTCAGCTGCAGGTCTGTTGGAGTACCCAGCCGTGTGAGGTGTCAGTGCTGGGGGGTGCCTCCCAGTTAGGCTGCTTGGGGGTCAGGGGTCAGGGACCCACTTGAGGAGGTAGTCTACCCGTTCTCAGATCTCCAGCTGCGAGCTGGGAGAACCACTGCTCTCTTCAAAGCTGTCAGACAGGGACATTTAAATCTGCAGAGGTTACTGCTGTCTTTTTGTTTGTCTGTGCCCTGCCCCCAGAGGTGGAGCCTACAGAGGCAGGCAGGCCTCCTGAGGTGTGGTGGGCTCCACCCAGTTCGAGCTTCCCTGCTGCTTTGTTTACCTCAGCAAGCCTGGGCAATGGCGGGCGCCCCTCCCACAGCCTCGCTGCCGCCTTGCAGTTTGATCTCAGACTGCTGTGCTAGCAATCAGCAAGACTCCGTGGGCGTAGGACCCTCTGAGCCAGGTGCAGGATATAATCTGGTGCGCCGTTTTTTAAGCCCATCAGAAAAGCGCAGTATTCGGGTGGGAGTGACCCAATTTTTCCAGGTGCCATCTGTCACCACTTTCTTTGACTAGGAAAGGGAACTCCCTGACCCCTTGCGCTTCCCGAGTGAGGCAATGCCTTGCCCTGCTTCGGCTCACGCACGGTGCATGCACTCACTGACCTGCACCCACTGTCTGGCAGTCCCTAGTGAGATGAACCCAGTACCTCAGATGGAAATGCAGAAATCACCCGTCTTCTGCGTCACTGAGGCTGGGAGCTGTAGACCCAGAACTGTTCCTATTCAGCCATCTTGGCTCAATGTCATCCCCATCAAGCTACCAATGACTTTCTTCACAGAATTGGAAAAAACTACTTTAAAGTTCATATGGAACCAAAAAAGAGCCCGCATCACCAAGTCAATCCTGAGCCAAAAGAACAAAGCTGGAGGCATCACACTACCTGACTTCAAACTATACTACAAGGCTACAGTAACCAAAACAGCATGGTACTGGTACCAAAACAGAGATATAGATTAATGGAATAGAACAGAGCCCTCAGAAATAACACCACATATCTACAACTATCTGATCTTTGACAAACCTGAGAAAAACAAGCAATGGGGAAAGGATTCCCTATTTAATAAATGGTGCTGGGAAAACTGGCTAGCCATATGTAGAAAGCTGAAATTGGATCCCTTCTTTACACCTTATACAAAAATCAATTCAAGATGGATTAAAGACTTAAATGTTAGACCTAAAACCATAAAAGCCCTAGAAGAAAACCTAGGCATTACCATTCAGGACATAGGCATGGGCAAGGACTTCATGTCTAAAACACCAAAAGCAATGGCAACAAAAGACAAAATTGACGAATGGGATCTAATTAAACTAAAGAGCTTCTGCACAGCAAAAGAAACTACCATCAGAGTGAACAGGCAACATACAAAATGGGAGAAAATTTTTGCAACCTACTCCTCTGACAAAGGGCTAATATCCAGAATCTACAATGAACTCAAACAAATTTACAAGAAAAAAACAAACAACCCCATCAAAAAGTGGGCAAAGGACATGAACAGACACTTCTCAAAAGAAGACATTTATGCAGCCAAAAAACACAGGAAAAAATGCTCATCATCACTGGCCGTCAGAGAAATGCAAATCAAAACCACAATGAGATACCATTTCACACCAGTTAGAATGGCAATCATTAAAAAGTCAGGAAACAATAGGTGCTGGAGAGGATGTGGAGAAATAGCAACACTTTTACACTGTTGGTGGGACTGTAAACTAGTTCAACCATTGTGGAAGTGAGTGTGGCGATTCCTCAGGGATCTAGAACTAGAAATACCATTTGACCCAGCCATCCCATTACTGGGTATATACCCAAAGGACTATAAATCATGCTGCTATAAAAACACATACACACGTATGTTTATTGTGGCACTATTCACAATAGGAAAGACTTGGAACCAACCCAAATGTCCAACAATGATAGACTGGATTAAGAGAATGTGGCACATATACACCATGGAATGCTATGCAGCCATAAAAAATGATGAGTTCATGTCCTTTGTAGGGACATGGATGAAATTGGAAATCATCATTCTCAGTAAACTATCCCAAGAACAAAAAACCAAACACCGCATATTCTCACTCGTAGGTGGGAATTGAACAATGAGAACACATGGACACAGGAAGGGGAACATCACACTCTGGGGACTGTTGTGGGGTGGCGGGAGGGGGGAGGGATAGCATTGGGAGATATACCTAATGCCAGATGACGAGTTAGTGAGTGCAGTGCACCAGCATGGCACATGTATACATATGTAACTAACCTTGCACATTGTGCATATGTACCCTAAAACTTAAAGTATAATAATAAAAAAATTAAAAAAATAACAAAAAAAAAAAAAAGAAAAACAATTTAAAAAATTCCATTGCAGTTTTAGAGAATCATTCTGCCAACAGGGCCACAGTACTGGATTCAAATGGACTATGACAATTTAAGACTTAAAATGACTTTGGAACATCTAATATTTTACAGACAGAATAAAGGTTAGAAAATGTATTCCAGTCTCCCTTGCTCCCCTAGAAGGAGGACATATTTTCTAGAGTCCTCTTCAGATATTTTAATGGAAGATAAAGGAAAAGGAGTAACCTCTCAAATGTTGTAGTCAAGAGTTTTGGAGAATACGAGATAGGGGAACTACTGCTGGGGAGCATAGTTAGGGACTTTGATGAAACATTAAGACTTCAGGTAAGATTTCAGAATGGCCTGGTCTTCTCTGAGCATTCTAGTCTACCTTTTGAGAATGAAAGCTTGTGAGTATGTGTGTATAATTGTATGTGTGTATGTATATGTGAATGCATGAGAGAGAGACTCAGAATAGTTACTTTAAAACACTCATATTTTTTCACAATTTCATAATATAGTATATACTATCACAGTTTTTGCATTATTTGAATTTTACTGTGTCAGTGTAGATTTTGTTAAAATTATTATTTTTTCTTTTAACTCTCTTTCAATTCATCTCTCTCTCTTTCACATAACACACACACATGCACACACACACACAGATGGCTTTTTGTAATAAAGAAGGAAACACAACTTTGAGATATGCAGCTAAATTAATAGGTTGGCTGAGTTGACAATGACCTTCATAGAGAAGTCTAAAGGAGAGGGAAGTTAGCATTCTCTGTCCAAAGAGTGAAACCTTTGTCAATTATTTTATGGTATGTCATTTTTTTCTTTCTTTTTTTTTTTTGAATGTTTGATATCTATTTGACTGTCAGTTGTACCAACTGATACTCACATGGCCTTGTAAAAAAATAAGATTTTTATTATAACTTTAAATCTGTTAGGTCCTGAGTTCAAGACTCTTCAGGAACAGAATGGAGGATAGTATGTGGGTGTAAAGTTTAATATTCTCAAAGAAAAAAGGAAGACAAGAGACAGAATGGGGGAAGTTGGTAGACATCTTTAAGCTCATATTTTTGTCTGTGTTTGGAGGTATTTATAAATGGAAGTTTCTAAATCCTCTTGTTCTTGAAATTGTGTATATTTGGAACCTACTTTTCAGTTTCTCATCCTCAAAAATTACTTTAAATTTAAAAGGACACATTTATAAATACCTTATAAATAAATCAAAATCTAAAATTTTCTTTTTATATGTTAAATATCTATTTGTTATTTACTCATTTATGTTGACACCATAGTGGTGTTTAGTTTATTATGCTGCTGAAGTAGCTTCTTAGTACATGATGGGATATATTTAATACTGCAGAACATTTCTGTACTAGACATCACACTGCCTAAGTTCTGCTTATGGGCAATATCAAACAGTCTACTCTACAATGAGGAGACTAATGGGAATTCAAAGAGTAAAAAAGACATTACATCCCAGTTCCTTCTTACACTAAGCTCGTCTGAGAATCATTCTTCAGCTACCTATTGAGTAAGTTGTTTATTGTTAGGGGCCTCTGTGGAAGAGGAAAGGAGTGACTGTAATTGAAGGTGTTTATCTGGGAAGGTTATGGGAATTTGAGAAAGATGAGATCCAAGCACTGAGCCAGTGGGAATGGAATTCAGTGATTGGAAGGCAGCATAATGGGAAATAAGATACAATGAAGGAGATAAAGCCAACAGAAGTAGGAACATAGAACAAGCTTTAAACAATTGCTAGGAGAAAGCAAACTAGGCCATTGTATCAATGTGCCTATGCAATATTATTGTAGCTTGCAAAATTACAAAAAGTAAGAACCTCCTTTAGAGAGATTGCACAGGGACATTAAGTTTTAAGTAGCAGAATCAAATTCAATACGGCAAAAATAGAAACTGCATTTTATCTTACAATTAGTTTCAAAATTAAATCAGGTATCTATGCTATCAGGCTGACTATCACATACTTAAACTCGAATTATTTTTGATAGCTTGCTATATACATGTAATAAATTACAGTAAATAAATGAGAGTAAGACTCAGATTTTCAGAAAACTACACTTCAACTTATAGGGACATAAATCAATGTTTGGATAACTGAAAAAACAAGGTATGCCAAGTTCCACATTAGGCATACAAAGAGATAATTAAAGGGATGCAGTGGAGGAAAACAACTTATCTAGTAGGAACACAAAAGTTTTTTTAAAAGCTGATATTTGCTTGGAAATAAAAAAAGAAAAACCTATATACTAAAAAGAAAAATGGTGGATATACATTCTATGCAGGAAAAAACATGTAAAAAATTTCAAGAATTAGAATAGTGAATATATTCTAATTGTCAAAATAATTATACATACATGCATATATAATTATATATTTTCCATATATACATATACACTATATACACACTATATATATACACACATATATATAACATATATATATATACTCATGTAGTTGGGACTCCTGCAGCTCATGTAGTTGGGACTATATATATAAAAATATAGTGTATGTGTGTGTACAAATGGCAAAGGACTGATAAAATGATTGAGATTTATAGCATTTTTTCCCCTCATTACCCAATTCTAAACTAATAATAAGTCTACTCTCATAAACCCATAAAACAAGTTGGGAAAATAAAAATTCACTCTTCTCATTGCAGTGATTACATATTTATTCTTTTATTTCTTTAACCATGAAAAAAACATTTTGTACTTTTCACGTAACAGAAAATGTATATAAACTACTGGCATAAACAAAGTAAAGTTCCCATTTTTACAAAGTTCATATTCTAATGAGAAAATAGAGTAACTGATGAAGAGAATAGAGCTACTTGACAAATGATAAAGTCTTTCTAAGGAAATATTTAAATGGAAAACTTAATGTAATGAATCAAGTATAGGAAGAGCCAACAAAAGAATTTTTCAGAATTTGGGAAGAAATACAGAGTTGTTAGTGTGAGAAAATACGCTATGGCAAGTCACAGGAAACAATAACTATGATATTCCAACTCTTCACATCAAGTGGTGGAGTCAGTTTCCCCTCTACTTGAACATGGGCTGACTTTGTGACTTTCGTTAGCAAAAGGAATATTGGTGGAAGTGACCTATGTGCCAGTTATAAGACGAGGCCTTGACATTGCAACTCTTGTAGTTGGGACTCCTGCTATTTCCATGAGAACAAGTCCAAGCTAGCCTGTTGGAAGATAAAACATTATGCAGAACTTAGTTTATTTATCTCATTTGTCCAAGCCATGGACCCAAAACTTATATGAGAAAGCCCAGCCAAGAAGAGCCAAAGTGAAATGCATCTGATCTGTTAGATGACCATGGTTGCATGATCAAGTCCAGCCAAGATCAGTCTAGCTTGATCAAGATCAAAAGAACTGCAAACCCAACATATAGAATCTTGGAGCAACAAGGAATTGTTATTTTAAGTGACTGAATTTTAAGGAGGGTTGTTAATCAGCAATAGATAATTGATACAATCTTAATAATAGATTTTTAATTTCACATTATAAGAAATTTCAAATTGGCTCACCCTGTATACCAGTATCATCAAGGACCCAGATGTTCTGCCAGCTTCAGCATATTTTTGCTTGTTTTTTCATTTGTTTTTATTTTTTCTCTTTACACTGACAGTGTTTCTTACAAGATGACTGATACTTTTCAAAGCACCATTTCTTGTTATAATGGCACTCAAGGTAGGAAGAAAAGATACTTCGATTTCTCATTTCTCTTTTTTTTTTTTTTCAGGAAAACAAAATCTTACCCAGAAGTTGCTCAGCACACTTCTGGCTAAAATTGAATCATTTACCCACTGAAACCCATCATATATAAAATAAATTGATAAGAAATTGACCAAGTTTTAATGTTATGATTTACTCCATAGGCATGCTGTCACTCAAACAAATTAATCACCTAAACATTAAAGAAGATGGTAAAAAATACTGGTAGAAAAAACACTAACACATTACAAATTTTTAAATGCTAATTACTCTGAAGTCTGCATACAAGTTAAGATGCACGTTGGAGAAGAGGGCAGGATCCATTCATACAAAGAACCATAATAAAGATATTGGATTTTTAAATAAGTGAGGAAAAATAGCAGTTAAGGAGAGTGGTGAATGGATTGTAGGTGAGAAAAAGAAGAGGAGAATCAGAGAAAAAAAGGAAACTAATTAGGAGACTATCTTCCTAAGTCCAAGTGAGAGAATGTGACTAGTGTGACATAGACGAGACTAAGAAAGCTATAAATAGCTAAAAGTGTATGGATTTGTAATGAGTTTTAGAAGCAGAGTTGCTAATGAAGCACTTTCTGTCAGGGAAATATACCACTCAGAATTTATTCCACTGTTTGTGTCACTGAAGTTCATGGTTTTGCCATTTCCTAAAACTGAAGGTTACTGGGGCAAGATTTGGGAGAGGGAAGGAGTGTACTGAGAACGTTAAATGTAAAACACCCATTAGACATTTAAGTGGAGCTGTTCAGAAAGCAATTTGATACATGAACCTATATCAACTGAGGATTTAGTACTGGAAATACTGATTGAGGGTTCAGTATATTGATGGTATTGCAAGTACTAGGTAAGAATCAAGTTACATAGGAGAAAGTAGACAAAGACTGCATCTACTAGCATTACTTCTCCAAACTCATCTGTCATTACCTAAAATTGTACAGTTGTACAATAAACAGCCTCAAACTTCATATATTAAATAGAATCCTAAAGTAAAACATGTGTTCAAAGGTTAACATGATGCCCACTTTCAAATTTTATGGATTTACTGCTATTTTATAAAATGCCTTAGAGGGTGTAAAAGAGTTACTGAAGCTTTTTTTTTTTTTTCTTTTTTTTTTTCTTTTTGAGGAGGAGTCTTGTTCTGTTGTCCAGGCTGGAGTGCAGTAGTGCAATCTCCGCTCACTGCAACCTCCACCTCCTGGGTTCAAGCGATTCTCTTGCCTCAGCCTCCTGAGTAGCTGGGACTACAGGTGCCTGCAACCATGCCCGGAAAATTTTTGTATTTTTAGTACAGACCATATTGGCCAGGCTGGTCTTGGACTTCTGACCTTATAATCCACCCTCCTCCACCTCCCAAAGTGCTGAGATTACAAGTGTGAGCCACTGTGCCTGGCCCCTAAAACTTTTAAATACTGCTGTGATTTGCTTCTTGGGAGCATTTAGCTCAGTAAGTACCAGATCAACCCACCAGCTTATGATATTGTTTAATACACGTGAATATCACCATTCCAGGGAAATCTTACAGTATCAAGCTTTGCAAGGAATAATTAGATGTGTCTTAGGAGCTTTTATTTTACTTTATTTCATATATATGGTGACTTAAAGCAGGGTAACAATATGCTGTGATAGCACACTGTTATCAAAATTTTTAAAAATAGTCTATGTTTGCATAACTAAGACCAGTTCAATTTTGCAAGCATGTGGGGCAAGTCTACTCTATTTCTATGAAACCCAAATTTCATAGAAATTTTCACAGAAATTGGGTTTCTGTGAAACCCAAATTAAACTTTGTTCACTTACACCTCTATGAATGTATAATTCCTCCCATCTTCATTGCTGTCAGATTTATAACTGCTTCATGTAATTTTCCTTAGAAGATTAATTTATGCAGAATTATTTAAAAACTAAAAACAATTTATTATGAAAGTGCTTATTAATTGAATTTATATTCATTATTTTTGATACAAAGTCACTTAAAAATTAATAGCACACATAGGATCCCACAATTCCACTTCCAAATATATATTTAAAAAAATTAGAAGCATGGACTCAAATGGAAATTTTTACACCAATGTTCATAGCAGCATTATTCAAAACAACCAAAAGGTGGAAGCTATCCAAATGTCCATCAACAGATAAATGGATAAATAGTTTGCACAATTCTGATTTACTTTTCTTAGATTATAATAACTTAATTTTAAATATCTGCAGAGCAAAAAGGCACAGAGATTGAAAAATACATTTTGGAAATATTGCCTTTAAAGGAATTTCTACTATTCAAATATAATACCAAAATAATATTTGTTAAAGCTTAACCAGGGACTAATTTACAACATAAGCTTAGCTTTGAAAAACAAACAAAAACAAAAACAGACCTTGTTCTAAAATGAAAACTGACTATTTGACTTAAAATTTGGAATTTTGAGCAAATAACTTTGTTTTAGAATTACATCTTGCTATTATTTACCATTGGGCAAATTCATGACTATTCATGAAGTAAATTAGTTTCCCTGCACCATTCACAGGGACTGCAACACAGTAAGGATTCAATAATTGTTTCTTGTTTAAATGAAAAAAAATAATGAATTTATAATATCTAGTTACTTTTTATTTTTAAATTAACAAACTTAATTTTTTGAACAGCTGTAGGTTTATAGAAGAATTGAGTGCAAAGTTCAGAAAATTCCCATATATCTACCCCACTAACATATGGTATATTTGTTCAAATTGATGAGAAATTATTGAAATATTAACTGAAATCCTTGGTATATATTTGGTTTGCTCTTTCTGGTTGTATATTTTGTGGGTTTTGAAAAATGTATAATGGCATGTGTTTACTATATTTAACTATATACATGCCATTATACATTGCACAGAATAGTTTGACTGCCAATCAGTGGTTGCCAAGGACATAGGAGGGGAGGAAGAGGGATCAATAGGTGGAATACAGGGATTCACGGTATCCGTTATCTCCTAGTTTGGCCTTTTCCAGAATATCATAGAGTTGGAATCACAGAGTATATAACCTTTGTCAGATTGGCTTCTTAACTTAGCAAGATGCATTTTTTGGACAAATCAGGTTGTCATAACAAAAATGGCATAAACTGGATGGCTTAAGCCATAGAAATGTGTTTCACACAGTTCTGGAGGCTGAGAAGTTTAAGATCAAAGGCTGAGAAGGTAAAATGGCCTCTTCTCTTAGCTTCTCAGTAGCCATTATCTTGCTGGTGTGCTCAAATGACCTCTTATTTGTGCATGCATGGGAAAAGAGAGCTTCTCTGATCTCTCTTCTAATAAGGACATCAATTCTTCTGAATTAGGGCTCCACACTTACGACCTATTTAACTTTAATTGCCTCCTAAAGACTTTATTTCCAAATGCAGTCGCATTGAGTATTAGGGATTCAATCTATGAATTGTGGAGACAAACCAGTATATGATATTTCACTCTTGGTCTCCCAAAATTCATATTCTTTTCACTTGCAAAACATATTCATCTTTTCCAACAGTCTTCCACATCCTAATTCATTCCAGCATCAGCTCTAAAGTGTAAAGTCTTATCTAAATGTCATCTAAATCAGGTATGAGTGGGACCTTAGGTATGATTCATCATGAAACAAAATTTCTCTCAAGCTGCAGACCTGTGAAACTAGAAAAGTTATGTGGTTCCAAAATACCACCTAACTTTTATAGTATGATGGGACAGGCATAGGATAAACATTCTCATTCCAAAAAGGATAAATAGAAATGGAGAAAGGAGTAGCAGCTCCCAAGCAAGTCCAAAAACAGACAAAGCAAATTTCATTAGATCTTAAGGTTCAATACTAATTCCCTCTGGCTCAATGACTCATCTTCTGGACTGATTGGGGTGGTGACTCTGCCCCCAAAGCCCTAAGTGGGGTTGTTGCCAGGCTCAGGTCTTCTTCCCAAGGCCTTGCTGGCAGAGGCCATCTGGCCAGTTGAAACTAAGCCGGTGACCCTGATAATTCTGAATTGCCTGCAGTGTTATTTTTCCCTTCTCTTGAAAAACAGTGTATGTTTGCAGTGAAATAACTCTGTTGTCTTGTCCTGTAGAATCTGAGAACACCCTCAGGCTTCCTTCACTTTATCTTATCTCCATCCCCATCAGTTCAAGCCGGCAGTGTTTCTGCCTGTATTATTCCATAAGCTCTTTATCAAGTGACAGTCTAGCTATACCTTTGGTATTCTCTTAGAACATGCTCTTCTCATTTTTTTGCAATACACTCAGATTGAGAATTTTCTACATCTTTCTACATTTGATTGTTTTTCCCTTAACAATACCTTCCTCAATTAATCTCTGTTCTAACATTTAACTATAAGCAGTTAGGAGTATTCAGGCCACACCATCACATTTTGCTTTGAAATCTCCTCAACTACCTGTCTAATTTCATTGTTCACAATTTTGATTTTTTGCAAAACACTGGAACATATTTTAGTCAAGCTCTTTGCCACTTTATAACAAGGATTACCTTTTCTCCAATTTTCAATAATCTGTACCTATTTTTGTCTGAGACATCACAAGAATGACCTTTAATATCATGTTTATACCAAAATTATATTCGTGATTATATATGTTTTCATTAAGAAGTTGGAGGCTTTCTATCTCCTTTTCTTTCTGAGCCCTCATCAGAGTCACCATTCATAGCCAATGTCCATCAACAGTCCCTCCTTGGCAATGTGGGTTTTTTTCTAGCATGCACCTCAAATCTCTTACTGCCCTCTCATTACCCAGTGCCAAAACTGCTTCCACATTTTAAGTACCTGTTAGAGCAGCATTCTCTTCTCTGTACCAAGATCCATTTTGATGAACTCAGTCACGTTGGGAGTTAGGACTTCAACATATGAATTGGGGAAGGTGGGCACGATTCAGTCCATAGTACATTTCAAATGCCAGATTAATAGAAAGCATGAGGAAGTTGTAATTTGTTATTCCAGAGTCTGCACAAACAGCTGTCACCATGCTTGGAGGCCATTTGTTAGATTGGCAGCATATGGGCCGCCATCGTTCCCTGCGGCAGGCAGAGTGAGTTGATGGTGGTGTGCTCTCCTTCGGACCTCCAGTTGGTTGTCATAGCCATCCTTCACAACCACTCCCAACTTAGTAAAGATGAACCTGGAGGAGCATTTGCTATCCCTGGTGTACAGAAGCAGAAAAGAACGAATGTACCAGCAGTTTTATCAGTAGTCAACATAGAGCATCCCCCTAAGATGAGATACGAGAACGTAGAAAATGACACTCCTCTGACTTATGGAACTATGATATAGTTATAGAGCTGCCATAGTGATCTATAGTTCAGAAAAGCCTGACTTCCAAACTCTATATTTAGTAATTCCTTAAATAGACAGGCTCAGGTATTTTTTCAAGTGAAGCAGATTCCCACATTTACTCCAGGGAATCCAGCATCCTAACCAGAGCTGGAATGATGTCAAAATATAACTTTCTTCTTTCATGAGCAAAACTCTTTATGTGTATTTTAATTAATATTATATTTTCTGCAAGTTCTTCATGGCACAAGAAAGTCAAATCAGATAAACTACATAATTTTACAGCTGTGGCAGAATTGTTTTGCCATTTCTGTGAGATGTATTCCTTCTGAGCATAGTATATAGACATATAATTCTGATTATATTATTACCTTGTATCTTTCCCTAGCAGAAATTAATTAATTTCTAATAGGTTGGGGTATGGCTTTCACCTAGTATAAGAAATTCAAATAATTATTAACCAAACAGGAAACAGTTTCCAAATCAGTATATGAAAATTTAATATGTGAATTTAAATATTCTTATATATATATATATGAAGTATTGTTTCAATAATTTATCAGTCATTTAAGTAGATGCTACTGTAAAGCAGGCCTTTTCAAATCGTATAATATTTGAAATCCATGATAAGCATACCAAGCACATGTTATATTTATTTTATAGATAATAAAACTAATAATCAGGCATATTATGTCTTTGCAAAAGGTTTTACAAACTTCAAAAATAATTATGCCAGGATCTGAATCTAGAACTTTTTGGTTATTGGTGTATCTATATTTCTTTTCTTATGCCTCTAAAAATGTATAGTCTCAGGTAAAAATTAATAATACAAAAAGTTATTTTTGGTATTTAGTGAAATTTTTATAAATTACTTCCTTGAGAAAGGGAATAAATAGTAATTGTAACACAATTTTACAAAATCTCTAATTGCCACATAACAGTTACTTACATTTTATGATGCTGAATAAGCAAACATTTATTTTTTGAGATCCACAAGATTGTCTTCCTATAATTTCTAATCATGTGGACTTAGGTGAAAATCTCTGTGCTATAAGGCTCCAGTGTGGCTCCTATAATCCCTACCTTCTGGCCATAACACCTTTGTGCTCTTAAGTGTGGGAAGGAACTGAGTTACCTCTAACAGTAGCAAATGGCAAATATGAGACCATGGGATTATGTGAACATGATTACATTACATGAGATTGTAACTGGTCTTGCTGGGAGACTCTCTGTCATTGGCTTTGAATAAATAAATTGTCATGTGTTGTGCTGCTACATGGAGAGGATCACAGCTTACAGAGTTGAGTGTGGCCATCAGCTAACAGCTAGCAGGAAGCTGAGGCCCTCAGGGTAACAGCCTTCCAGGTACTTGATGAATACTGTAAGGAACCATATGAATATGGAAGAGGATTCTTCCCCAGCTGAGATTCAGGTAAGACCATAGTCTTGGCTGCTACCTTGATTGCAGCCTTGTAAGGCTCTGAAGCAGAAGAGTCAGCTAAATTCCTAACCAACACAAACCATAAAATAATTCACTTGCTTTGTTTAATCTGCAGATTTCATAGTAATAATGCTGTGTGTCAATAGAGACACAATATTTCTTACATCTATACTTTATCATGCTTTATCACTGGCTATTTATACTGTCACTTCCAGAAATTTTAATAAGAAATAATTTACATATACACATACACAATCATATATATGTCTTCACATGCCCACACAAACACACAGCATATGTGCATATACAGTTGTTTGACTCAGAGAGCAGTGTATCTGACACTTAAAATATTTATTTCTAAAATATGCATTTCAAAATATATGGCTGGGCTAATTTTGTCTTTAAGTATCTGCCCTTGGAAAATGAACTGAATTTTTATAAGTAATGAGAAACCTGGGTAACGCTCTCCTAGAAGATTGGCCAAAAAGTGTAAGGCCTGAGGCATTGCCAATTACTAGCTTCCAGAAAATACCAGATGTAGAGGTCACTATTGTTATTACAAACTATGAAAATAAAAAATGTTTTAAAATTCTTTTTGTGCGATGAAAGGCTAAAAGCTGAAGTATGTGTTGCCATGGAAATAGTGTTTTGTTTACAGCACTTGTCTTTTCTAGAACTTATCCATTAAATGGTAGGAGAGAACCACTTCAATCTCGACATTGTATTGCACTCAGAGCTTTCATTACTAGAATAATATTTGTTCATTTTTCAATAAGCATAAAATGTTCCACTGCTCATTTTGTCCATTTGTTTAATGACACTGGTAGGTTTGTTACTTAAATCCATCTAAAGAAAATGAATATGTACTGGTTAATCCAACTGAACCCATGTAAATACACTACTGTGGCTCTAAACATTGGCAAATAGAACAAACCCTCACTACCATACAGGATGGAATGTTACAGATAATGTTCTGTTTCACAACCAATGACGATGGTGCCAGAACGCTCATGTTCTTGTTTCTCCTACTTTCTGATAATTTGTACTAATCAAGATAGTACTGGCATTGCAGATGCAGCAATCAAACATTTTACTTCTTGCTTTCACAAAATCACTCTAGTCCGGGTGAGTTTCGGGGGATTTGGCTGCTACACAGGAATTCATTGAGGTTGCTTTTGTCTTCCGGTTCCACAGTCTCAACACAAAGTCTCCTCATTGCCCTGGCAGAGGAACAGAATACTGGAGGGTTTTCTACTAACCCAAAGGGACACATATGATTTCTACTCACAGCTGTTTGGCTACAGCTTGTTTCATGGTCCTGGTTAATTGCAGGAGGGCTAGGCGAAACAGGAAAGTGCAGGTTGCATTTGTCAAGTGTTCTTAATCCTCTCACATCTATCATCCAGGTAAAATTTTTCACTGATCTGTGCCCACAAACCAGGGGGAGTATTTTTTTTAACCACCCACAAGCCTGTTGCTTTGGTCTGTTGTACTTTTGAATCTTCCGGTTCTCTTTTCTTTTTTTTTTTGTATTCCCTGACATGAAATAAAGTTATACATTTTATCCTTGCGATAGTTTGCTGAGAATGATGGTTTCCAGCTTCATCCATGTGCCTACAAAGGACATGAACTCATCGTTTTTTATGGCTACATAGTATGGGGGGAGCGGGGAGGGATAGCATTAGGACATACACCTAATGCTAAATGACGAGTTAATGGGTGCAGCACACCAACATGGCACATGTATACGTATGTAAAAATCCTGCACGTTGTGCACATGTACCCTAAAACTTAAAGTATAATAATAATAAAATTTAAAAAAATTATCCATTTTATAACTTTGTCAAATTCTACATGCTGTTTCCTTACTTGAGCTTAGATTTCTCTTTTTTGACCTAACAAGCCTGTACCATTTTAAAATTAAGTGTTTCAGTGGTACTTAAATAGAAATGCTCCTTTTATCCACCAGTCCGTTGCTGTCATAATACTGTATGTTAGGTGAAGATTTATTATATAATTTATCAGATTGAATATTTCTCATGTACATTCCATATCTCTCTGTGTGTGTGTCTCTCTCTGCCTCATTCTTTAACCTTCCCCTACTACAAAGAATACGGAATGTGACTACCCATGTCATAACTACCTGTGCTTCAAAAAGAATGTAGGTTACAGTATTTACACAGTTTATTGTTGAAATAGCTAAAGAGATTAGCATCATGCTTATGCATATTTAAGTGCTCAATACATAGTGCCTTTCATTACCATAAAAAATAATATTTGGAATATATGATTACTTATAATATATAGACTTGGCATAATCTGTAAATTTATGCTTATTCATAGTGACTGTTAAATTGTATAATTCATTTGATGAGATAGCATTCACAACATTAGAAAGTTAAACATAACCACTACAATATTCTACATTTTTGATTACTTGGTTTTGATTCTTTGTCTCATAGGCAAGAGAAATAGTATCAACAGAGGAATGGAATTATAACTAGAAATTCTGTTTTGGTAAATAAGCTGAGGACTTCCTAGAGAAGCTGTATGATGTGAAATAGTTGCAAATAATGACAAAGTAACTCATAGATAAGTTATTTTAAGCCTTTATTTGTTAGGTTGCTGCATAGAGCTGCAAAAGCATCAACAACATATTTCCTCAAAATGTAGAGTTTACAAGTTTTCTGAGCTCCCCGATGTTTGCAATCTATTCTAGTCTCAATGTCCTCTAATTTTACATCAATCATCTAATGACCTAGATTGCCCATTGCATGCAGCTACCTTTTCATGTTTCATTTGGTTAAAGGAAAATCAGCTTTACATTGTGAAAATGCATACTGTTGGCGAATTGTGAAATTGTGAGGAATTGTGCTGTAATTACTGAATATTGGCTCTCCATGAACATGTTGCTTAAATGTGGGAAGATCTGCCAGAGAAATTAAGTTTCTCTCCTCAATAGTCCATCGTTACAGCAACAATTGTGGAAATCAAGTGAGATGTGGAACCATTTTTGATTGCCTTAAATGGCACATTTATACATGCCAGCAAGAATCTATGCTTTTACATACATTGAAAAAGGGAAATGAAACCATCTGTGGATGTGGACTCTCTCGGGTTGAACATAGGTGGATCAGCTCGTACTCAACATCTGTTCAGGCTGGAAATGCAGAGGAAGTTTAATATGTTTACTCAATCATACTGGTTTCCTGGGTGCCAAGGCAGAAAATCTAAAACATATGACTAATATTCACACTGTGTAGGAGCTATTTAGAACAAAGGTGATGATCCTGGAAGAAAATGTGGAGACGCTATCTCAGGTGCCAGCACAGTTGGACTTCTTTGCTGCCAGCAATCAGCAGCCCTTAAACATCAATATTTCAAGGTTTTGTCGACCAGTGTACCAAGTAACCTCTAAAAACATTTGAGAAGAAATAGAAAATAACACTAGATTATTTCTTAACATATCAAAAGAATATCAACATAGGGCCTTGGATCCTTTTCATTCCCCATCCCTATAAGTCCATACAAAGTTATAATACATTTAATGTAGCATTCCAATCCAGATAGTAGTTTGTGGAGTTAAATTTCAAACTCCCTTTTTGAAAGTTTTCTTGCATTCATAAACACGTTAGCCAGGACAGCATGTTGCTGTAGGAACAAAAGAGGGGAGTTACAAAGAAGACAAATTATAAGAAATATATTTCTGTCAAAATTTTATGAAACATGAAAAATCATAAAACAATATTAGAAGAAAGTCTTATCAAATTCTATATAATGATTTTCATCAATATACTTGGCCTCTAATTAGTTAAAAGGAAGATCGTGCAATGCCCAGAGTTTTTATCTTGTGGTTACTATTCAATTTAAATTCTCATATTCCCCAAAATGTCCTTGTTTTAGTTGGTAAGACAGCAAGACAGTAGCTACAGTTCAGTGGAATTAAGTACTTTGCCATATTCCATGAAATATACAAGGAGAGGTCAGAAGAAACACAATTATTTTTGTCTGGCAGAATACAAAAAGGTGTCACAGAGTTGGCATTTGAATTGGATATTGAAAGATGAATGGAAATGCACTAGCTGGTGATGAAAAGAATATAATGGACTGAGGAAAGGTCCTTGAAAAAATAGTTATGGCTGAAAAGTTATATGGGAAATGATTATCAAAGGCTATTGATGTCAAACTAAGAAGATTACATTTTACCTAAAACACCTATGATCTTTCTTTAAAGTGGATGTAAGACTAGTTCCTCTTCCCCATTCTTATGTTTTCCATATTGTTGTCCTCCTTGTGAAAAATTCCACCACCGTTGTCAACACTTCCCTTTATATACCATACTAATATAATACTTTCCCCATGAGCAGAATGGATGAGATCATTCTCAGAAATGAATTAAAATTACTACATATATTGTGTTTGAAATGGAAAACCATGAATAGATACCTTTATAGTAATAAATCTTAACAGGTGAGTTGCATAGAATATGGTAGGTGGTATAAAAGTAGCAAAGTGCAGTGGGGAAGTTTGTAATTTCTAAGCAATTCTCTAAATATCTTTATTTAGCAATCATCTTTTAGGTCTGGTAGAGTGACTTAACTGAGAGATGCATTTCAGAAACATGGCTTACAGAAATCAGATATTTAGGGTAGTTACTTATAAATAAAATACAACATAAAGATAAGGCATTATATATACACACAGGAGCTTCATAATTACAATTATATTTGTAAAAGTATAATGTTTATTTAACTGACTAATAAAATTACACTAAAGAAAAATGACTTACTTTAAAGACATGACTTGTATAAGCAGACTTGTAGTTACCTACTTAATATTACATAAATTTGTTTAACAAGTAAACAGAGAAAGTTACAATATGAATCTTAATATATATATTATATATCTATCTGCTTTAAAAGTATGTGAATATATTTAACTTAAAAAATAGGATAAAGGAAAATCAGTCTATCAGAGGACAAAATTAATGATAGAAAAATAAGAAATCCATAAATGATATTAAAGCTTCCTTTCTCTGTTGTTGTTGCATATTATGAGTGGTTCTCATATTTACTGAAGAACTAAAGTAAAGTACTGGTTTGTAAGGTTGGGACATACTGACTATAAAGCTTAAGATTAAAATCAAGCAGAAAACCAAATACTGCATGTTCTCATTTATAAGTGGAAGCTAATCAGTAGGTACACAGGAATACAAAGAGGGGAAGGATAAACACTGGGAACTCCAAAAGAGGGGTGGAAGGAAGGGGAGGGAGGACTGAAAAACTACTTATTTGGTGCTATGCTCACTATGTGGGTGACAAGATCAATTGTACCCCAAACCTCAGCATCACATAATATGCCCATATAACAAATGCACACATGTATCCCCTGAATGTAAAATAAAAGTTAGAATTATAAGAAAATAAAAAGCAGGATGTTTCTAAAGGGGTTTCAGTTTGGAATGACCTAGAATTTAATGAATAGCAGATATTTAATAACCTAAATTAACAAGCAATGACAAAGAAATATTAATTATACATTATTTTAACCAAGCTGAGAGTTCACCTGTTTTGAGGTAGGCACAAATTAGCTAAATTCTGTTTTGTGCGGTTTTTTTTTCCCCCACAAAACGGCAAATTCTAAAGGCTATAAGTAGACCTCTGTTATTTTCAATGTATTTAAAATATTAAATAATTGTTTTATTTTACAGCAATCTTGCAGCCTTTAAATTATTTTAATAAGAAAAAATGACATATGATTTTTTTTAAATTTTATCAACTATTTGTTTTGGGTTTAATCTAAGTATTCCATAACATACCTAGGGCCAAAATGTTCCAATACTGAACCAAAATATGTCTCAATAAACAATAATAGTGCTCCAGGTATGGAAGTGCTGGGTGACTAATCAGGACTTGATTACTAGCATTAACTGTCATCAGTATTTCAATACTAACTTCAGTGCTAGTAAGACATCAATTTGCTGTAACAAGTATTTACAAAATATGCTGTGGTCACAAAAGTAGGATGTGCCATGTGACTTCGTCTCACATACAAAAAAATGTATGCAAGGTAATTAAAAAATTGGAGTTGTTTTGAAAATATCCTCATATTTACTGAGTTTAAATGTTCTTTTCATTATGAGGGTAATTAGATAATCAGGCTAAATGCACATATTTTGATAAACAAATGAATTCTTAGCAAAAATCCCAAGTATAAAAATAAGATTTATTTTAAATGAATGAGTGCTGTTTCTTTGAATTTGGACAATCTGTATATTTAAAATCTAATTTTCAAAATGATTTCAATTTTAAATTAAGAAAAATGCTTTACATACTTGAATCTAAAATTACATGTTATAATACTATATGTGTTTGGAGATATGTTTCTTTATACAACAAATAAATTATATTTACAGATGTGTGCCTAGAGAGAATATGTATCTGTAGGTACTTCACAATTAACAGGAATACTGCATTTGAGAGAGAGAGAGAGTTGGAGACAGATAGGCAGAGAAAATATGAGGCAAGGTGAGAGAGAGAATCCAATAATAATCTTCAGAGTAAAAAACAGAATTTTATGTTTTCCTCACCAACATAGACTCTTGCCTCTGTCTTACAATTGCTAATGAAGAACTATAATCTTCTCCTAAATCAGTCAGTAAAAGATAAATTTTATTTTACCTTCATTTCTTTTCAAATACTCTTCCTTTTTAATGTAGATCTGAGTTCTGTTTTTTATTTTATTTTGTTTTGTTCTGTTTTTGTAGAGATGGAGTGTCACTATGTGGCCCAGGCTAGTCTCCTGGCCTTAAGTGATCCTCCTGCCTCAGCCTCCCAAAGTGCTGAGATGACAAGCATGAGCTACTGCACCCGGCTGAAAGGTAAACTGTAGATCATCAGTATTGATAGCTCTACATGATACTTAAGCTGAACTCTGGCATAAAAATAACATATTAAACAGGATATAGGATGGTATAACCATTTACTTGTTAAAACTTAAATTTTAAATGATTTATTTATTCACATCAAAACAAAAGATATCTGAAAACATTTTCATTATTCCATTTAAGTAAGTTGAAAACATTGGACTTTTCTTAACCAATTTTCATCGAGTTATCACTGATTTTCATTAAATGATACTCCTTTTCAGCTCTTATCCACAGAGGTTTGCACTGTTTTCACAAAAATCGCAGATAATTTAAGCCTATGGCAGGAAGCAGGGGAAGGTCAGTGAAATAGCATTATCATATAGTGTCTTGTTCAGTGAAGTAACACTTAAAGAGAAGTGTCTGCTGGAAGCCAGCCAAATCATTGTCAGCTCTGGAACTGTCAGGTAGTTGAGTCTTCCAGGTTGTTATTCAAGTTCTCCTTTGAATTTAGGGAATGCTGGGATGAGTAAATGTCTTTCAGAATAAGTGAAATTTAAGAGTATTGTCCAGTTCAATGTTTCCATTGCATGAAATAATCATGGTTTGGTGAATAATAGCAAAACTGGAAGTGAGGAATGCTGTATATAGTTAGGTCTGTCCAGGTTTTAGCCTTTAGCACTGTCAAGGAACTTTTCCAAGGAGCTTTAATTACCTTACCTATAAACTAGGAACAGTAAAATAGACTCTTGTTCCCAGCAAGGCTGTTTTAGGAATCAGAGGGAACACATTTGTTAAAAGAGCATTTGAAATAAAAATTTATAACAACAGTGTTAATTCTCACAAGATTTTTGAGAATGTTTAAACATGAGCAATTATAATCTTCAACTTTGATCCAACAAAGTTCATAAGAAGATATATTGGCCGTCTTTAATTCATGCAATCATTCCGTGAGTCATTCAGCCATTCACTGAGCAACTATGATGTGTAAGTGAATATCTTTACAATTAATGTACTAAAAATCAAAAAGAAGAATAGCTAATAAGACTAACCATGTTGAAATATGGTTAATTACCTTAAAGGAAATATAGTTGACCTTGAATAATGCAAAGCATTAGGAGTGCCAACCCTCTGCACAGTTGAAAATGTGAGTATAACTTTTGACTCCTTGAAAACATAACTAATAATAGCCTAATGTTGACAGGAAGCCATACTGAAAACTTAAACAGTTAATTAACATATTTTGTATATTAAATGTGTTATAAACTTTATTTTTACAATAAATAAAGCTAAAGCAAAACATTATAAAGAAAATCATAAGAAAGATAAAATATATCTACTTCTTAATAAATAGAAGTGGATCATCATAAAGGTCTTCATCCTTTTTGTCTTCATGTTTTGTAAACTGAAGAGGAGGAGGAAGAGAAGGGGTTGGTCTTGCTGTCTCAGGAGTGTCAGAGGCAGGAGAGGTGGAGGCGCTGAAAGAGGCAGGAGAGCAGGCACACTTGTAACCTTTATTGGAAAAAAATCCATGTATTAGTGGACACACACAATTCAAACCCATTTTCTAAGGGTCACTTGTAGATAGAAAGTTGTACTGGGTTTGGAAACCAATATAATTTAGTTAGACCAAGACACTTCTAGCAAGAGGAATGAATTTGAAATGCAAATCATTTTTTTCTCTCAATCAATTCAGAAATCTGTACCTTAAATATGTTGTCATTCAAGACCTGCCTCATCAAATCATAGTACTCCTTCCTCGTCACATGTCACTCAGAATCTTATTATATTTAGAAATTTTAGTACTACCTTTTTTATAACTTTTATTTAAGTTCAGGGGTACAAGTGCAGGTTTGTTAAATAGGTAAACGTATCATGGGGTTTGTTACACAGATTATTTTACCACGCAGTTAATAAGTCTTGTACCCATTAGTATCCATTAGTTATTTTTCATAATCCTCACCCTCCTCCCACCCTCCACCCTCAAAAAGGCGCCAGCACTTGTTGTTCCCCTCTATAAATTAGCCCTTTGCTAGGGAAAATACAACATACAGTTATCTCTGACAAAGGCTTGAGAAGGCTCTTCTAAATATACACTACCCATTTTAGAAATCAGATTAAAAATATAGAGAAATTCATATTCTTTTTTAATAATAGAGGATCCTATTGTTCTTATAGACAACTAACCAGACTTCACATGAAAGTGGGAAATGTTTAATATAGTTTTGAGAAGTGAAGATTGAAAAATAATACAACAATAATGAGATGAAGCTGTACAACATCTGCGTTGAGCCATTTGACCCAAGCAGTGAATCAAAGATTTCAAGTAATGTGTATTTTTTATTATTTTTCTCTTCTTGGGGTAACTATAACACAATAAAAAAGAATTCATAAAAAATTCTAACGTATTAGTCCATTATGCTGCTATATACAACTGTTGAGGACTGGGTAATTTATAAAGAAAGAGATTTAATTGACTCACAGCTTTACATGGCTGGGGAGGCCTCAGGAAACTTACAATCATGGAGAAGACACCTCTTCCCAGCTTGGCAGGAGAGAGAATGAGTGCGGAACAAAGAGGGAAGCCTCTTGTAGAGCCATCAGATCTCTTGAGAACTCACTCACTATCATGCGAACAGCATGGGGGAAACCACCCCCATGATTCAATTATCTCCACCTGGTCCCACCCTTGACCTGCGGGGATTATTACAATTCAAGAGAAGATTTTGGGTGAGGACACGGAGTCAAACCATATCACCTATGATTTTTTTTTTTTTTTTTTTTTTTTTTTGCTATTTTAGGTTTTACTTTTATTTCCTTCTACGTAAAAGTTTCACACCTTTTAACTCGGCACATTCTCAACTTCTCCCATGTTAGTATCTAACATGGGGCAGTCCTTGCTTAACATGTTTCTCTCTATTCCGGACTTATATGCCTATTCCATTTCTCTGACTTTCAGCATTTTGATTTTTAGCCAATGTCACCTACTCTTAAAATGAGTTAATTACCATACAGTTTGATTATTGTCCCATTGTTCTGTTGGCTATTGGGCAGATCTGTCATTAATCTATATAACCATTTGGAAACATACTCTCTTAAATGTTTTTGAAGATAATTATATTTTCAGCTTCACTCTATGGAGAGATGATACAAGCACACACACATGCACACAGGACTCCAAATTTTCTTATCTTTATTAATGTTATTTCCAACCAGCACTTCTAAATCTTGATGTAACTTCTAACACTTCTTTATTTGTCTTTCCCTTCAATTTGAGCCACCAAAATTCCTTTTATTCCCATTTCTATGCCTACTCAGGATTTTATGAACTGACTACTAGATTTGCTCAATGGGCTCCTGCCATTTCAACATTTGAAGATCTGCCTTTATAATCAATCAAAACCATCCACCTCAGAATCACTTTTAGAAATACAACGTTGATCATGTCTCTCACTTTTTAAAACCCTTCAGTTTGTGACCCTGCTTATGATCCAAGGCCCAACCTTCTTTTTCAGACATTGATAGTTTTCTAAAGTCTAGCCTGAAGGACCCTTTCTATTCTTATTTTTCATATATTTGAAGAGACATCTTACTCCCCTCAAAACAGATAACTCATGGTTTTCTGGGTATATCTTCACATTCTTATTATTGTGTATCTGTTTATATTTTCCCCTAGAATTCATTTTCACTTCTCTTGACTCTTTTTTTTCAGTGGTCATATATATCAAATTTTCAACAAGAAGTTCTGCTTAATCACTCTATGGAGTGCTCATTCATGTGAAAGAGGAAGTTATAAAGTAATAAAGTCACAGTTAAATGAATGCTGTATTTGGGGATTTGATACAGGAAAACTAGAATGCCATGAACTAAGTTTTCCCTGCTACGTGGGTCTTTCCTCAACTAGATTATAATTCCTAAAGGTCACAGATCATATATGTCCTTCTTCCACTTCTTCATTTCTATTATTCCTTATAAATCTTTCAAATAAAATTTGCTCAGTATATTGTACTACTACTTGATCACCTAAGTATGAAGGCATATTCTATAAATGCAAGGCTCTGGGCAGAAATTTCTTCAATTTGTCCTGACTCAAGAAAGCCTTAAAACGATACATAAAGTTTCCCATTTTCTAGTTTTATTTCATAATTAGTTAATTGTACAAATGATTATTGAGAGATTTAGAGTGTTAGGTACTCTTTGAAGTTGCAAAAAAATGGCAGTGGAGAGAAAAAAGTTCCTGCTCTCAGTAGATATGTACTTTCCGTAACATTTGCTAATTTTACAATTCCATTTGTTGATTAACATGTGTCTTTACTCTCTCAAATTCTCCATCTTGTATTCTATACATTTACATAAGTTATATATCTCCAGTACAAATATTATCTCCCTTTTCCCTCCCCACTGGAGAGGCACCACTAATCACAGATTTTCATGCAGTAGACAGTATCAATAAATACTGTGTTTGTGAGCATCAGGCATGAAATGCATACATAAAAATATCATCATGGATATAACTATTTATAAGTTAATCTGGTGTCCAGATAGTTGTTATACTCTATAAAAACAAACCATTTTACTTGAAAGGAATTTTTTTTCTCTATTAGATTCATTTAAAGAAAGAAAGTCTTGTTCAAAGTTTTCAAGTTCTCAGAGTTCCTGTTGATCAAACACTTCCTAAGCTCAAGAAGCATCTTTAGAATGACTTACCATTTAAATTGTAGAGGTATACTTCCAGAAACAGTTTGTGTTTTCTAAAATCAGTTTAACTCGTGTTAAAATTTTTTGCACACATGCTGAAATGGTAAAAAAATAGAAAGTGTCATGTATTTCCATTAGTCTATCAATTGTCTCTTTGATATTACCTGTGAAAAATACAACAATATACTCAGCCCATGTGTCAGTAAATCTCAGCATGTCAGGATAAGTAATTCTCAACATTAATATCAACTTGCTTTCAGGAGGATAATAATGTTTAGGTCATTTTGACCTTGACGTCATTCCTGACTGCTTTTTTTCTCTCACACTGCTAACCAATTCATTACCAAATCCTTTCAGCATTACTTTTCAAATGGATGCAGAATCCAAACATTCTCAAAATCTCCACTACTCCAAATCCAATTACAGCCACAATAATTCCTAACCTTGTCTTAAAAAGACAGTCTAACATGTGTCCTGCCTCTACGCTTGCAGGTTTTCTTCTTTCCATAAACCACAATGATTCTTTAAAAATATGAATCAATTATGTTATCCCACCGTTTGAAGCCCTGCATGGCTTCCCACAGCATGCAGAATAAAATCCCAAGGTTCATGAAGGCTTCTATGCTATTCTCGGTCCCTTACTACCTCTCTGATATCATCTGTGATTACTCCCCTTCTTTCTTCAACCATACTGGTCTCATTATAGATCCAAGGCTCCAAGCATGCCTTGGCCTGCCTTAAAGCATTTATGCATGTTCTTCCCATGAACTAAAACACTCTACTCCCAGAAAGTCATGTAGTTGGTTCCTTTGTTTCCTTCTGTTTGTATTTAGATGGGACATTTTCAGAACAAGTATTCCTGGATCAAGTTATCTATACTGTCCATACTTTCTTCCACATTTTTTTCACCATTTCTTCAAGTATCATCACTTGCCTTATATTTTCTCATTTAGATTGGTGATTAATTATTTACTGTTCTTTTTTCCTGCTGCTGCCTACCATAGAACTTCTGTGAAGAAAGAAATATTGTTTTGCCCACATTTATAAAGTCAAAATCTATAGAAAAATGCTTGGAAAATGCTTATGATTCATGAATATTCTTTGAATGATTAAAGATTCTTGTTATTGAACAGTCTGAGAATCTTTATATAAAGGGGTTCTAATTTGAATGCTTTGTGTAATTTAAAGTAAAAATAGAATGTTTACATGAAATATTTAAATTAAATAGATATTTTTACACTCCACATATCAACCACTGAATAAATGTTTTTAAGTTTGTGTGAATGAACAAAAATGAAATATGTGAAATATGTATCACTACAGCCTAATCTTCAATGAAATCAATCAATTTTTAGATTTTTTGAGCTATGTCATGAAATAGAAGATAACATTATCTAAAAAAGATTCCAGAGTTTAAAGGGAAAATTTTTTTGGTCAAGCCTAGGTGTTTTTCATACTTTATAAAGGCAAAGTAATTTATTAAAATAGATTTCTATGTTTGTATTTTATATTCTTTATATTTTCAGTTCTGTAGCTTAAGCACTTGAATATAAACAGTTTTATACTGTCACATAATGTAAAACCCTTTGCATTGTTGTGATTATCTACAGTTAAAGACAATGAAGTCATCTAATACTCTCATTATGATCATCTCTATCTTAAAGATGGGTCACTATATTTCAAAACTTTAGAGTTGACAAAATTTAGAAAGAAAATAGGTAAAATATATTTCTGTATTGCAAAAATGTGCTTGCATGTGTGTTTGTGGAGAGAGAGTGAGAGAGCAAGAGAGATTTGTTTTACTACTCATACAAAAGCAAAGTTACAACATAGTATCTTAGGAAGAGTTTTATTGTTATCTTATTATAATCCAGTTGAGCTCTATAGAAATTCTCAGAATGTATAACATGAAAACCAATATTATTTGTGATTTCTACTGCTTCAACATTTACTGTCAAGATCCTTGACAGAAGATCTATTTTCTATACTTACTGTTTCAACACTCTTTCTCCCTTTTTCAGTGTTGTGTTCTTTTCTGAGAGGAACTTACTATTTCATCTTGTGATATGTTGAGGCTTGCTAGAAATTCAAGTCCAATTCACTAGGACTAAATATAGAAAACATCATATTTCCCAGCCAAGTATATAGTCATATCTTGTAAAGAGAAATATTACAATGTCCTTCTTTGATATAAAATATCGTAAAGATTTTCAATTCTTTAAATAGAATGGTGACATTTAAATACAGTATGTACACAGTAAATATGTCAAATGAAGTGGAAATATACTATTTCTCATAGTACTTCAAGTTCTTAAATTTTAGGAATGGTTACTGTATTAATACTGAACTGGGAAAAATCATTGTATCTGCATAATTTTTGATACTAATTGTTAATTTATTAAGAACATATGCTTGTGAGTGATGTCACTTTTCCTAGAATTTGACTATTATAAACAAAATAAAATGGAGATTGAGGGTTTTTTCTGTATTGCTGGGAATTATGGGAAAATAATTTAAAGGTAATGTCTTTACATTTTTATGACATATAAAGAATAAAACAACTACTACAGTCATACAGTTTTCTTGACAATTGTATCCATTAATCATTTAAGATAAATGTAACATTCCCTTTATATTATTATGTTTAGTAATTGTTTAAGAAACTTGCTTATTTGCTAAAATAAATGTTCTCAAATAATGCCAAGAATTATAACACTTTGAGATAATTACAGCAGGAAATAAAAACACCTTGTATTATTTTAATTTTAAAGATTTCTAATGTGCATAATAATATTCTGTATCAAAACACCAGCCCCAATACAATGGTAGGTATATTTTCAATTGGAAATTATAAAACCCAAATTTTTTTCTTGATATATCTATTTAGAGTAATCATGTTTTATTGGACCATAAAGGTGAACAGAATTTGTTAAAATGATTAGGCAAGTGATAGAATGAGCAAGAGAATAGCAGAAGAAATATCACAAAAAAATAAGAGAAACTTCATCATATCTAATCAAATTTAGTATACAGATATACAAATATGTAATGCTACCATTAATAGAAATGATGGTAAGAGAAATTAGGCAAATTTATTATGACACCAGAGTTTGTGAAATTGAGAATATCTTTACTAATGCATAGATGTATTGGTTAGTTTGAATATGGTTAATATTTCTCAAGTACCTATCCATTTCTGAGTACATGTGCATTTAACAGTGCTTAGGTAGGTGAAGCAGAATATGGAATCACATGTGCAAAAACCTAGTGTTTTTAGATAAAAACAATATTATTAATGATATAGTTATTATTTCTACTATTGAAAACATAACTTGCATTGAATGAGTTCTATTTTTTCTAACTAAATTCTTAAAATATAGATTATCATTCCAGACACCTGTGGTATGTTTTCTTACAAAATAGAACTGACAAACTTACTAAAGGTTTGACACACCATATTGTTCATGGCCAACAAACTTATGACTGACAGCATGCCTAGGACCCCAGGGACAAATCTTTAGAAGAGGAGTAGTGTCCAAAGACAGAGTTCAGGGAAAAGGTCTGGAACAGAGCAAGACTAATACCTCAGAGGGTAACAAAACCTGCCAAGGCCAAATTAAAATCAATCTATCAGTTTATAGGCAACTCGTGGCAAATACAGGGCCAGAGCTCTATGATTTTTTCCCACACAACCAATGAAAAACCACTTTTATAAATTCTACAGAGAGGAATATGATATTTTGTGATGGTAACTGACAAGCTGTCAATCTATCTTAGGTGTTTGAGATGCTCTGTCTCTTCCTATCCCAGGAAGACATTCCTTCTGTAGAATTACATTTTGTGAGATTGCCTCAGTGCTCCTTGGAGATTTATTTTTTACAGTCATCTTTAAAAATGCTGATACTACATGCTGCCATCTATAGTGTATCACACAGTTAAGATTGTATGAAAGATATCATTGGCTTTAACAAAAGACTGCTTTGGATCACATTTCTGCCAGTTACTAATTGAGTGACCTTGAGCTGTTTAGTGTATACCTTTTAACTTCAATTTTACTATCTCTAAAGTGATGATGACAATAAATGGCTCACAATATTGTTATGAAGGTTAATTGAAGAAATGGTAAAACATTTAAAGCAAGCACAGCAAAGATATGGTGGCTATAGTTTATATATATATATATATTATATATTTCTTTGACAGCTTAGTTCAGAGACTAATACACAACCACCACAATTCATGTTGGTGAAAATAAAAGTTATAAAGCTGGGATGGTATATAGCTTTCATCTCAGGTGTTAATGTCAATATATTCTTAATGGTTGCATAGTGGACTGTGTTAATAAAAGTTTTGGAGTTCAGAAAAGAGTTAGGAAGAATTTCTGATTATATGCATGCATACATACACTACATAATTACATTTCATTCAACAATGGACCACATACATGATGGTAGTCCCATTGTTCTATAATAGGGCTGAAAAAATTCTATCAGCTAGTATCTTCATAGCGGTTGTCATGTCAGAGTACACACATTTTTTTCACATCTTTGATGTGATGCTAGTGTAAACAAACCTATTCATTGCCAGTCTTGCAAAAATATTTCAAAAGTGAACTATTAAACAGTTTCAGGCATTACCTTCAGGAGACATTCCAGAAGAAACTATTGTTATTATAACAGCTGACTAGCTCCATTGGTGTTATTGCCCCTGAAGACCTTCCAGTGGGTCAAAACAGGGAATTTGAAAGAATAATATTAATGATCCTGACCCATTGAAGGCTTAAGCTAATATGTGTGTTTGTGTCTTAATTTTTAGCAAAAATTCAAAACCTTTAAGAAAATTAAAAATAGAATATAAGCTTACACAATAAGAATCTTAAAATATTTTTGTAAATTTGTATAATGTGTTTGTGTTTGAAGTGTTAATAGAGAATACTCAAAATAAGTCTGTAAAGTAAAAAAGTTATAGTTAGTGAAGGTTAATTTATTATTGAATAAAAATGTTTTTTAAAGAAAAGTAGTGCAGCCTAAGTGTAGAGTGTCCATAAAGTCTACAATAGTGTACAATAATGTCTCAGGCCTGCACATTCACTCACCACTAACTCGCTGACTTACCCAGAGTAACTTCCCAGTCCTGCAAGCTCCTGTCACAGTAAGTGCCCCTTTCAAGCATACCATTTTTGTCTTTTATGCCTTATTTTTAGTGTACCTTTTGTATGTTTAGATATACAGATATTTACCTTTGTATTATAATTGTCTACAGTATTCAGTAGAGTAACATGCTATATAGGTTTGTAGCTTAGGAGCAAAAGGCTGTACCATATAGCCTAGAAAAGTAGTAGGCTATACCATCTAGGTTTGTGTAACTACACCCTATGATGTTCCCACCGTTATGAAATTGTCTAAGGACACATTTCTCAGAACACATTCTCATTGTTAAAACAACACGTCTGTAATTGTTCAAAAAGATGAAGACACAACTATATATGTTGACCCAGAGGTAGAGAATTTAATTAAATAGAAATTTATTTTTCTTCAATCTAAATGATCTTAATTTGTATTGTTTATAATAGGTAACTATGTAAGTGGAAAATTAGCTAAGTCTTGAGGAATCATATAGGCACACAAAGACAATGTAATCCAAATATCTCAGCCATCAACATTGTCTATATTATCACCAACAAATCAATCATATAGATCTTCTTTGAAACTCTAGAAGAAGTTTTTCCACTAGAAATCTTCGTACCTTCTCTGGGAAATAAGAAAAAGTATCCTTAGAAACATGGTTCTTGACTCAGTTCTGATCAACAGAAAATTGATGGGCCTTTAGAACATTAAAGTACTAAATGCACACTTACACACAGAAATTTAGCTTAGAAGCTACATAAGCTCTGGAAAACTTTATAATTTTGAGTTGGTCAGGAGGTAATTTTCAGGCCTTCTCTCTGTAACTGGTTACAGAAATAACTCTTTCTCCCCAGTTCATCTGCATCTTGTTATTGGGCAGTGAGAAATAGCAGCCGGACCCTCAGTTTGGTCCAGGAACAGTTTGATGCCAATATTAACTGAAATTATGATTATTTAAATGAGATTGTGTCTTTATTCTAATATTCATTAGAAGTGAGTTATGTTACATTATTACAGAATACTGTATTATCATTTACTTTTTCCTTCTGAGACCGAAAGCACTAAAGTTGCATATTCATTCAGCCCTACATTGAAATTTTATTTTTTGAAATGTGTTACACAGTTTAATTTGATACTACACAACATTTTTGATGCTACAACAATAAATATGGGCTTTTAGAAAATGAAAAATGATGGGCTTTTAGAACATTAAAGATGCATGATAGCTGCCCAGGATAACCTGATTCAGAAAGTTGGAGTACAGCTCAAGATGTGTATTTTTTCAAGACTCCCAAGCAAATTCTGAAACACAGGGTGGTTAGGAAACATTGCCTTAAAGGCTTGGAGAATATAAAGTTTTTTTTTTTTTTTTTTTTTTTTTTTTTTTTTTTTTTGTGAGATGGAGTCTCGCTCTGTCGCCCAGGTCGGACTGCGGACTGCAGTGGCGCAATCTCGGCTCACTGCAAGCTCCGCTTCCCGGGTTCACGCCATTCTCCTGCCTCAGCCTCCCGAGTAGCTGGGACTACAGGCGCCCGCCACCGCGCCCGGCTAATTTTTTGTATTTTTAGTAGAGACGGGGTTTCACCTTGTTAGCCAGGATGGTCTCGATCTCCTGACCTCATGATCCACCCGCCTCGGCCTCCCAAAGTGCTGGGATTACAGGCGTGAGCCACCGCGCCCGGCGAGAATATAAAGTTTTAATTACATAATTGAGATATCAGAAAATATCTGATCATAATTGTTTTTTCTATTTCAAATTTGAGCAACTTTTTACACTTTATTACCACCATTAAAATGTGTTATAACATTATTTTCTATAAAATGTATGTATTTATTATATTTTATTTTTTACATTAATTTTATGGCTGCCTTCAGCCTGGGCTATACTGATATTGTAAAATACATATTTGGTCTTTGATTCTGTTTCCTGGCATACAATCTGGAATATCCAGAATTATGTATTTTTGTATGCTAATGAGCTTACTGATGGTTGGCAGCTTCTAGGTAACTTCAGGAAGGGCTAGTCACCTGAAAGACAAAGGCAGGAATACAGGGTTGGGACTTCGAGACCCACACTCCAGCTTCTGGGGAGGGAAGCGAGGGCTGAAGGTTAAGTTGATTATTAATGGCCACTAGTTTAATCAATCACATCTAATAACAAGGCACGCATGAAATCCCCAAAGGACAGGTTTTGGAGAGCTTCAGGATAGGTGAACACATGAAGGTTTCTGGAGAGCAGAATATGCCTATGGAGGGCATAGAAGATGCACACCATTTCCCACAGTCTTGCTCTATGCAACTCTTTCATCTGCATCCTTTGTAATCATCTTGATCATAAGCCAGTAATGTAAGTAAATCTTTTCCTGAGTTGTGCAGGGCCCTCTCGCAAATTAATGGAACCCAAGAAGAAGATCATGAGAACCTGAATTTATACTCAGTCGGTCAGAAGCCTAGGAAAAACAACCTGAGGATTGAGATTGGTTATAGAAGAGGAGGCAGTCTTGTGGGACTGAGCTTCCAACCTATGGGATCTGTCACTGTCTTCCGATCAATACTATCACAAACCCCATTAGTGTCTACTGTATAACTGACTGCTTGCTTGGTATGTAGGAAAAATCCCCCACACATTTGTTAAAAGATGTCTGTGTTGATTGTTGTGGTAGAAAAGCAGGGGAAAAACACTGTTTTTGCCACTCAGAGCTATTTCTCTCTTCTGTTTAATCAATGATATATACAAAATGTTGGCCTTATTAATAACAAATTTTAAACTGAATAATCTCAATGTTAATACATTTTAATGTATATTGTGAGAATAATTTGAAATCTATGTTGTTGAAATTTTAAATTCCTTTGAGCCTTAAAGGAATGTGATTATGGAGCCTGAGTCATACGGCAGGTAGCTAGCTGGAACCTAGGCAGCTATACCCTTTGTTTTCCTGATTATAGATTAGTCTTCTTCCTTCCTTACATTGTTTTGTAAAATGTTGTAAATGGCTAAAGGGCACCATGGAAGATCCCTTCCTTCTTCATTGTTCACCTTCATGGTAGATTAACTGCCCTCCTGCTTTGCTCAAAGACTTCATGGCTGTCACATGGTCTTATAATGGAATGTTAAGTGCATTCTTCTAACTTGGAAAAAAAAATAAAAACTAGATACAAAGAAAAGATTGGGAGCCGAGGCGGGCGGATCACGAGGTCAGGATATCAAGACCATCCTAGCTAACACAGAGAAACCCGTCTCTACTAAAAATGCAAAAAAAAAAATAGCTGGGCGTGGTCGCAGGCGCCTGTAGTCCCAGCTACTCGGGAGGTTGAGGCAGGAGAATGGCGTGAACCCGGGAGACAGAGCTTGCAGTGAACTTAGATCGTGCTGCTGCATTCTAGCCTGGGTGACAGAACAAGACTCCGTCTCAAAAAAAAAAAGAAAAAAGAAAACAAGCCGTAACTAAATTGTTGTAACTCATAAACCAGCCATGTACACACAATGTTGTAAGCCCATTAAATTTTATTTTCTGCCTATATAAGCAAAAACTTAGCAGCACTGGCTCCATTTCTCTGGAATCTTTTCACCAAATGCCTAATTCCAGCTTTTTGTTTGACCAAACGTTAAAAAACTGAATTCTGATCCTTTCGAATATTTTAGGTTGACACTATGATTCAATTGTCTTATTTTTTCTCTTGTTTTGTGGCAGGCCAGGTCTCACTAAGGCAGGCCTCCATAACAAATGTTTCAGCACTGACTGAGTGGTTAAGTTAAATATTAAAAGCCAGTGCCCTTACACAAAGGCTAGAATGTCATAAGAGACAACCACGAGTTTTGCCTAGGCCTTTCCTGAACCTTAAAGCATGATTAAACAAGCTTATTGGGAGTCTGCAGGAACTCCCCAAACCTTTGTGAATTAGCAGGAGACAAGACAAGAGTAATCACCCCAGTGCCTGGACCCATTTAAATTAAGTATAGTTACTGAAGCTCCAGAAGAAGGTCTTCAGGACTCAGACCTTAGTTATAGGTTAAAAGAAGTTAATCACTTATGTCTTTAGATGAATGCACACCTATGCATAGAAATATAGCTTAGAAGCTATACAAGCTCTGGAAAACTTTGCAATTTTGAGTTGGTCAGGAGATAATTTTCAAGCCGCCTCTCTGTAACTGGTTGCAGAAATGAAAACACTCTTTCTCCTCACTTCATCTGCATCTCATTATTAGGCAGTGAGAAATAGCAGCCCCACCCTCAGTTTGGTCCAGGAACAGTGTGATGCCAATATTAACTGAAATTATGATTATTTTAATGAGATTGTGTCTTTATTCCAATATTCATTAGAAGTGAGTTATGTTACATTATTATAGAATACTGTATTATCATTTACTTTTTCCTTCTGAGACCAAAAACACTAAAGTTGCATATTCATTCAGACCTACATTTAAATGTTATTTTTTGAAATGTGTTACACAGTTTAGTTTGAGATTACACAACATTTTTGATGCTACAGTAAATATTCTGTGCCATTTTAATATTTTAATGCATTATTCTTGACATTTTTCTGAATGCAGTGAAAATGCAATTTTAACAAATATAAGATTAGTATTTTGCAATGTTCCTTCAGTGTTTATCTTCACTTAATTCTAGTATAATATTTCCTTATTTTTAAAGATATACACATATATAATGACATGTACACATAATTATGACGTACATAAGTATATATATATGTATATGTATATATAAGTATTCAGACATATAAGTAATTTGGATGATGAGATTATTTGTCCATATTAATTCAATAAGCCACACACACTGTCAAATAAAGCCATCCTTAAATACCTGATTGATTAACTGAGTTAACGAGTAATTTAATCCTTATTATAAAAATTTAAAAATCACATGTAAAATGTGTTAAAACATATATAATCATAAGTTTATAAATTGTAACAAAAACTAATAAGAAAACATTTTAATAAGGCTGACTTCCTTGTTATTGATTATACTCATACTTCCGTCAACCACCTGTCTTTCTGGCCTCTTGCACTCTGGCCATCTTCAGGTATTTGTATTATTCTGAATTCCTCACACTCTTACCCTCCAATCTTTGTTCATGATCATGATGTTTTCTCTGGAACATTTACTCAAGCCTTCTATGTTTTCCTATAATTTTTCTTGATTCAGCTGTGATATAATGTCCTCTGAGATGCTATCTTTATATTTCTGAGCCGGCTTTAGTGATGCTTCTATGTGTTTGCAAAATAATTTGTGTATAATTCTGTCATGGAACATGTCTTCCTTGACTACAAAAGTCTATTTGTACTTTCCACAGGTAAGTTACCAATTTACTGTGTTAGTCTGTTCACATGCTGCTAATGAAGTCATACTTGAGACTGGGTAATTTATAAAGGAAAGAAATGTGATTGACTCAGTGTTCCACATGGCTGGGGAGGCCTTACAATCATGGCTGAAGGTGAATAAGGAGTGAAGTCACATCTTACAGGGCAACAGGCAAGGGAGCTGTGTAGGGGAATTCCCCTTTATAAAACCATCAGATCTTGTGAGGCTTAATCACTATCATGAGAACAGCATGGGAAAGAACCACTCCCGTGATTTAATTACCTCTCACTGGGTCCCTCCCACCACATCTGGGAATTATTGGAGCTACAATTAAAGATGAGATTTGGGTGGGGACACAGCTAAACCATATCACAACTCCATTAAAAAGTGGACAAAGGATATGAACATACGATTTTTCAAAAGCTATACATGTAGACAAGAAGTATATGAAAAAAAGCTCAATATGACTATTAGACAAATGCAAATCAAAACCACGTATCACACCAATCAGAATGGCTATTATTAAAAAGTCAAAAAAAAGCAGATACTGATAAGGTTGCAGATAAAAGGGAACGTGTACACTGTTGGTGTGAATGTAAATAAGTTCAACCATTGTGGAAAGCAGTATGGCAATTTCTCAAAGAGCTAAAAGCAGAACTACCATTCAACACAGCAATCCCATTAGTGAGTATATACCCAGAGAAATACATATATCACTCTATGATAAAGACAGAAATGTACATCATTCTACCATAGACACATGCATGTGAATGTTCATTGTAGCACTATTCACAATAGCAAAGACATAGAATCAACCTAAATGCCCATCAATAGCACACTGGATTATAAAAATATGGTACATATGCACAATGGAATACTATGCAGCCATAAAAAAGAATGAAATCATGTCTTTTATGAGAACATGTATGGAGTTGCAGGCTATTATCCTTAGCAAACTAACACAGGAGCAGAAAACCAAATACTGTGTATTCTCACTGATAAGTGGGAGCTACATGATGAAAACATATAAACCCAAAGAAGGAAACAACAGACACTGTAGTCTAATTGAATGTGGAGGGTTGGAGAAGGGAAAGGAGCAGTAAAGATAATTATTGTATGCTGGGCTTAATACCTGGGTGATGAAGTAATCTGTACAACAAACCCCCATGCCACCAGTTTATCTATGTAACAAACTCTGTTATATAGTCTTGAACCTAAAATAAAAGTTTATATTTAAAAAGATCAATAGTTACAAGTCATATTGATAGTATGTACATTTGACATAACCTGATATGTTTAGAATAGCACTTTACCTCTAAGATCTTTGCCCTAAAGATACATTACTCAAATCTAATCATAAGAAAAACAACAGACAAAAAGTTATACAAAATGCCAATATACCTGACCAATGATCTTCAAATTTATCAAGGTCGTAAAAAACAAAGAAAGTCTAAGAAACTGTCATAACCAAGCTGAGCCTTTGTAGAGATGTTGAGTAAAAGTAATATGGTAACTTGGATAAGTAACTGGAAAACTCGAGGAAGAAATAAAGTATTTAATTTCTAATAATTTATAAATTATAGTTAACATGCTGTAGATTAGATCTCCAGAGCTCATTCATCTTATAACTTAAAGTTTGTACCCTTTGACCAAAATGTCCCCATTTTCTTCACTCCCCTAGCCTCTGGCAACAGCCTTTCTACTCTCATTTATATGAATACAGCTTCTTTTTATTCCACATATATGTGACATATACTAATTAGTTTGATTCTGGGCATCACCTCAATGTATCAAAACATGGTACATCTTAAATATATACAATTTTTATTTGTTAGTTATACTTCAATAAAGTTAAGGAAGTAATAATGTACTAATTGATTTATTAACTATGAAAACTGTGTCCTACTAAGATATTAGTAATAGGAGAAATTGGGTGTGAAGATAGACTGGATCTTTGCACTATACTTGTAACAATTCTTAATACAATACTTCTTTAAAGCCAAGTGTATTTAAAAAAATCAAAATAAAGATATGCAAGGAATGATAACTTTATAATGTATGTAAAAGAGACTGAATTTTGAATCAAAGTAATAGTAACATTAAAGGAGTATGATTACGGAGAATAATTTTCCCAGGGGTTGTCAAGGGCAGAATATGTGTTTTTGTTTTCTCCTTCCCTATAAATTCATTCTCTAGGTTAAGACTTGGACTGGCATAGAGCCAATATTGCTTATATTTTTAATATTCTATTTTTTTCTATTTCTTATTTTATCATATACACACTCACACATACACCTCTACCCCAGCACTATCTCATCAATTTTGTTTCTTTATAACAAAAAGTTATGAACATGTTTGTAACTTTTAGGGCCGTATGTGATGGCTCATGCCTGTAATCCCAGCACTTTGGGAGGTGGGCAGATCACGAGGTCAGGAGTTGGAGACCAACCTGGCCAACACAGTGAAACCCTATCTCTACTAAAAATACAATAAATTAGCCTGGCGTGGTGGCGGGCGCCTGTAATTCTAGCTACTCTGGAGGCTGAGGCAGAAGAGTCGCTTGATCTAGGGAGGCGGAGGTTGCAGCGAGCCAAGATTGTGCCACTGCACATCAGCCTGGGTTACAGTGTGAGACTCCATCTCAAAACAAACACAACAACAAAGAACATGTTTATAACTTTTAAATTTGGACTTAATTTTTTTATTTCCTATATTTTGAATCCTCTTGAAACTAAAATTCTTAATGACAAAGCCAGATGTTACCTAATAAAGTACACATGCACACATTTTTATAAAAACAAACCCATGGATACAGCCATATTTATTTTTAAAAAGTCAACCATACTTTATATTAAAGACAATAATGAATTATAATCCAGTGGAGATAGTTTGTAGAAAAAATTATTAACTTTATTTTCTTCTATTTCATATAGTTTTCTTTACAATCACTTTTTTTTAACAAAATATTAGGTTTAGAGTGATTTCATTGCATACATGATTATGCAATGTTCCTTTTTTCTGCTTTTATTTTTATGTCTTTTTTCCTATTTTCTGTCAAAGTAGAAACCATCAAGGATTTTTTTTTTTCCACGATGAAGCCTCACTCTGTCACCCAGGCTGGAGTGCAGTGGCATGATGACAGCTGACTGCAACCACCGCCTCCCGGGTTCCAGTGATTCTTGTGTCTCAGCCTCCCAAGTAGCTGAAACTACAGGCGTGAGCCATCATGCCTGTAGAGACCGTGTTTTGCCATCTTCAAGGCTGGGCTCAAACTCCTGAACTCAGGTGATTCACCTGCCTCGACGTCCCAAAGTGCTGGGATTACAGGCGTGATCCACCACGCCAGGCCTATCAAGCCATTCTGGATAGGAAAGTGATATAAGTACATTTGAGGCTTTCAATATTTAAAACCATTTGATTTCAAGTTTCAGTTCTTCCGTCTCTGCTTGTGTAACCATGCACAGTTCCTTTGTTTAATAACTTTAGCTATAACATGGGCATGGAATAATATTAACATGGTAAGTTTATTGTGAGTGTAAAATTAAGCAGTGCACAAGCTCTTGAAAATGTACTTAATCAATATTACCTACAGCTATTTTATTAAAACATTTATTATCATTGATGAGTTTTACCCGAACTGGTATCTACAAACAACCATTTGATTGAATTTGGAAGGGAAATTTCTAGTCTAACTCAAAGTTTTTTCAAGGTTCATCTCTGGTCAACGGCTTGGTTGCAACCCAGTGAGAGATCCTGAACCAGAAATACCCAGACAAACTTCTCCTAGATTTTTGACCCTCAGAAATTGTGTGAGATAATCAATTTGCATTGTTTAAAGCTGATGAGTGTTAGAGCAATATATTATGTTGCAATAAATGCTTAGTATGTATTTCAGTACCTATAAGCGAGATGTTGTTGAAAGAACACCCTAAAATGTAGGAATAACTTTGAATTCCTTAGTGGACTTGGAGGAGAGAATGTGAAAAAACAAAACAAACAAACAAAAAATGCCTAAGGTATGTTAAGTAAATCGTTAATAGAATCCCAATGTTCTTTCGTAAGGTTATTTGTAATGCCTACAGGTGAATGAGGTAACTCTTATTTAAAACTGGAGGAAAGAGGATTTTTGTTATGTAATAGCAGAAGTTTATCAATACTACTGCTTCAATTTTGTGGTGTTTGAGGTTGAATTCTGTCCTACAAAAGATGGAAGTTGAACTCCTAACCCCTAATACCTCAGAACATGACCATATTTGGAGATGGGGCCTTTAAAGTGGTACTTATGGTTAGGATAGGTAATATGGGTGGCCCCTAATTCAATATTACTTGTGTCTTATAAGAAGAAGAGATTAAGATAGAGACAGAGGCAGGATTATGTGGAAACAACAGAAGAAGACAGCCATCTACAGGCCAAGGAAAGGGGCCTTGCAAGAAATCAATCTTACCAACACCTTGATCTCAGACTTCTAGGCTTCAGGATTATGAAAAAATAAATTTCTATTGTTTTAAGGCAAAAGATCTGTTATAATTTGCTATGGCAGCCTTAAAATCTAGTACACGTAGAAAATAAAAAATGTACCTAAAATGCTGGATAATTTGCTAAGTAGATTTTCAGCCAGAATATTGAAGGTGACACCTACTTCCTTCTTGTTGCTTATACCAACAGGCAAGGTTAAAGAGAGAAAGTAGGCTGGGCATGGTGGCTCACGCCTGTAATCGCAGCACTTTGGGAGGCCAAGGCGGGCAGATAATCTGAGGTCGGGAATCCGATACCAGCCCTAGCAACATGGAGAAACCCCATCTCTGCTAAAAATACAAAATTAGCCAGGAGGGGTGGTGCATGCCTATAATCACAGCTACTTGGGAGGCTGAGGCCAGAGAATTGCTTGAACCCAGGAGGCAGAGGTTACAGTGAGCCAAGATCATGCCACTGCACTCCAGCCTGGGCAACAAGAGCCAAACTCCATCTCAAAAGAAAAAAAAAAAAGAGAGAGAGAGAGAAAGTAAAAGAAAGACTGATGAAAAAGTTGGAGCCAGAACTCGCTGATTTTGAAAATAGCCTCTCCAGAGGGCAACTGATAATAAAAGTAATAAGAAATGGTTTCTGAGAAAAAATCAAATTTAGAGCAATGCCAGAAACCCTTGATCTAAAGATAAAGCTGACGGTAACTGTAAAATTACTTGTAAAGATCTCAGAAAGGTGAAATATATGCTGTCTATGAAGGTACAGCAAGGAACTGAGAGAGGCCTCTGGCCAACAGCCAGCAAGGAGCTGTTTTCCTCAGTCCAGCAACCTTCCAGAAACTGAATGACGCTAATAATGTGAGTTAGTTTAGAAATGGATCCTCCCTCAATTGAACCTTCAAATGAAACGGCAGCTTCAATCAACAGGTTTACTGCAACCTTGTAAACCTTGCACCTTGAGGTAAAACCATCCAGTTAAGATTCTCCCAGAGTTCTGAACTCAGAAATTGTGTGAGAGAGTAAATGGTTATTTTAAGCTGCAAAGTTTTGGGATAACAAATTATCCCAGTATAATTTCTTTTACTGCAATAGAGAATTAAAATGGTAAGGTTGCTGTGAATGTAAAACTAGATACTGCAAGAATGCCCTGCCACAGAATAAGCACCCCATCTAATGGCTATTTTATTACTATATCTATTACATTTGATAAGATTCTCCATTTATTAGCATATTATAAAAATATAGAAATAATAGCTTTAATTTTATCGATAGTTCAAGAACTTCTGAATAGATCACAACACAGAAAAATAACTTCTAAGATAACATTAGGCAAGCAATTAATCTATAATTTTTAAAATCATATCATTTGATTTCCTGTATTTATTCCTATGTGTGTCTCTTTGGTAAGTTTACAGCATCTTATTTTATCCAACCATAAAATGAGAAATAGTTTCCACCTACTCACTTTGCAGGATATTGTGAAAATTAATGAGGTAATATGTGTAAAGCTCTAGAAGCCTTTAAATAATGCTATAAACATGAGTATTTTATCCCAGTGGGTGGGTTCTATTTTTGTGAATGGCTTGCAACATAGGGATAGAAGAGATAATGGATAGATAAATAGATAAGTAGGCAAAATAGATAAGTAGCCAGACAGGAGACAAGGTAGGGAAAGAGAGAGAAAAAAATAGGATAAATAATAGTAGAAATTAATGGCTTTGTAGTTTTTACGGAATTATCTTTTTGGCTTACTGACCACATGTATTTTCAAGGATATTCAAACACCCAGTATTAGGCAGCTATCTGATTTCTTCTTGGAATTTTTGGACTGACCTAAGGGGAAATTAGTTAAAGCTTCGTAATTGAGGCAACACATTATTTTTTCTTCTAATCTATGCATTGTTATTCCTCATAATGAATAAAATCAATTGCAAATAATATAATTTTCTATACTTTATCAGCCCTTCTCCCCTATGCAATCTATATTTTTCAGAATAACAATGCTTTAATATTTCTATTCTATATAACTGCTTCTGTGTATTTAAATATAAGAACATATAGTAGGACATCACAATGAAAGTAATTTCAAGCTGGTGTTCAGTGACACACAAACTACCAAGCAATAGCATAGGTGACAAGTTATAACAAATTTCCAAAAAGAGAAAGAGACTATCTAAGCAAGATTTTCAAATGTACTATGTGACAATCTGTTGTGTGATCTGTAGCTAACTACATCCTCCCCCAAATTCAGTTGAAGAAAGACTTGAGCAATCATAAAAGAGCCTAGAAATTAACAGGGAGTTGTTGGTGAGCTTTGGGTCTTTCCAAAGTCCTTTTAGTGTAGGGATTGAGAAACTTCCTTCTTATATCAAGTCTCATGGGAAAAATAAAGAGTGTTTGTATATGTTCACTGGAATTGGGAGAAAACAGTATTTGGTACGTGATTCACTCCCTATTGTTTCAAAGGATTAAGAAACTAGCTTGACTGTCTTGACACAGTGAAATTCAAAACTAACATCGATTGAAAAGTAGCTGCACTCACAATGGTCATGGATTAAGGTTTAATGCTTCCCATTGATGTAATGAACCTGAATTATTTAACCAACATGTTAGAAACACCATCTGGAAAACAAAACAAAACAAAACAAAAAACATATCCTTCCAAATATAGAGGAAGAGGAGTACAGTTGAATCCCTAGAAGTTGAGCAAGAACACTTCTAAGTGACCTACAAGAATGTACCAAAGACTGTCACTGCATGTGAGGGACCCCTCAGTGACAAGACAGGTATTGTCCAAAGACCATACAGAAATGCTACAACCAGAATAAAGCCATCTTCTATGGATGCTCTTAATGATATCCATGCATTTATCACCCTCTCTGACCTCACCACTGTGTCCTAGTGGAATCACAGTGAGAGAAGAGAAGAATAATATGGTGGGGAAAATAGAAAAGAAACTTATTTTAGATGCTTTCCCTACAGGCTCTTTAATATTAAAATAGTTCAGTATAGAATGAGAAGCTTTAACTTTTCAAAGTTTTGAACTTCCAAGGAACTGGACATTTTATTAAAATGAGTCTGTGTGTTGACCTTAATTCCTGGGAATACTTTTCAGTACCAGAGAACCAAAAGACAAGTCACGGTATTTGCCTTGAATTTTATCAAAAGACAAAGAACATGTCTCCAAAGTAGGTTGAGCAGGAAGAGGGAGGAATAAATCAAGTTGTCCTTTGTTGTACCTAAGTCCCCAAAGTATACGTATTATATGCTATATTTCACATATATCACATATGATATATGTGTTCTATTTTATGACCCATATTATAAATTAGAAAACTAAATACCATCAAAATTAAATCACTTGCAAGTGTTCACATAGCAGGAAACGGGGAAAACCAGATTAAAAATCATCCTGGCTTCAGAATCCATATTATTAACTGATATACTATATACTGTATCTCTTTTGCTTTGGTATTTATATATACATATGCATATATATACATGTGTAGATACTTGTATATATATTATTTGTAATCTTTTAATAAAAAGTACAGTTATTATAGAGAAATACTGAGTGCAGAGTTATTCATTTTTTATCTTCTAGGTAAGATTTTTCCATAAATTTTATAAATAGGAAATAGAATTATCTTCAAGTATTAATGGGATAATGGAGATAGGTGGAAAAGAATAGAGAAACTACAAGTACTAGAACTTAAGTTTACTTCACAACTCTTGGGTGACATTTCAGATTGATTTATAATTTCAAAATAAATAAAGGCTTTATGAGAATACGTATTATATGCTATATTTCACATATATCACATATGATATATGTGTTCTATTTTATGACCCATATTACAACAAGATATACAACATATACAAACAAGAAGTTTGTAGAGTCCATTAGATGAGGATTCCATTCCATTCCATTCCATTCGACTCCATTCCATTCCATTCCACTGCATTCCATTACATCCGATTCCATTCCACTCCATTCCACTCTTCTCCACTCCACTCCACTCCAGCCCACTCCATTCCATTCCATTCCATTCCACAGCATTCCATTCAATTCCTTTGTTTCGAGAGCACCTCACTCTGTCACCCAGCCTGGAGTGCAGTGGCACAATCTCAGCTCCCATTCCATTCCATTCCATTCCATTCCATTCCATTCAATTACATTCCAGTCCACTCCACTGCACGTCACTCCACTCCATTCCATTTCACTCTGTTGCATTCCATTCCTTTCTTTCGACAGGATATCACTGTCTCACCCAGGCTGGAATGCAGTGGCACAATCTCAGCTCACGTTACATGTCAACTTTCCATTGCATTGCATTGTATTCCATTGCATTCCATTCCATTCCATTCCACTGCGTTCCACTCCACTCCACACCACTACATTCCATTACATCCGATTCCATTCCACTCCATTCCACTCCTCTCCACTCCACTGCACTCCACTCCACACCTTTCCATTCCATCCCATTCCATTCTGCTCCACTCTACTGCACTCCACTCCACTCTACTGCACTCCACTCCACCCCACTCCACTCCATTTCATTCCATTCCATTCCATCCCATTCCATTCCTCTCCATTCCGCTCCACTCCACTTCACTCCACTCCACTCGTCCACTCCATTCCATTGCATTCCATTCCATTCCATTCCATTCCGTTCCACTCTGTTCCATTCCACTCCACTCCACTCCATTCTATTACATCCTGTTCCATTCCACTCCTCTCCACTCCACTGCAATACACTCCACTCCTTTCCAATCCAACCCATTCCATTCCGCTCCTTTCCACTGCACTCCACTCCACCCCACTCCACTCCACTTCATTCCATTCCATTCCATCCCAATCCATCCCTCACCATTCCACTTCACTCCACTCCACTCCAGTCCACTCCATTCCATTCCACTGCATTCCATTCCATTCCTTTCTTTCAAGAGTATCTCTCTCTGTCACCCAGCCTGGAGTGCAGTGGCACAATCTCAGCTCCCATTCCTTTCCATTCCATTCGATTCCATTCGATTCCATTCGATGATTCCATTCGATTCCATTTGATAATTCCATTCGATTCCATTTCATGATTCCATTCGATTCCATTCTATGATTCCATTCGATTCCATTCGATGATGATTCCATTTGATTCAATTCGACGATGATTCCATTCAATTCCATTTGATGATGCCATTCGATTAAATTCAATGATGATTCCATTCGATTCCATTCGTTGATGATTCCTTTCGATTCCATTCTATGATGATTCCATTCAATGATGATTCCCTTCAATTCCATTCGATGATGATTCCATTCGATTCCATTCGATGCTGATTCCATTCGATTCCATTCGATGATGATTCCATTCGGGTCTATTCAATGAGGATTCCATTCGAGTCCATTCCATTCCACTCGAGTCTATTCCATTCCATTCCATGCCATTCCATTTCATTCCATTCCATTCCACTACATTCCATTACATCCGATTCCATTCCACTCCTCTCCACTCCATGCCATTCCATTCCATTCCACTCCATTCCACTGCATTCCATTCCATTCCTTTCTTTCGAGAGTATCTCACTCTGTCACCCAGCCTGGAGCACAGTGGCACAATCTCAGCTCCCATTCCATTCCATTTGATTCCATTCCAAGCCATTCGATTCGATTCGATTCGATTCGCTTCCATTCCATTCCACTCCACTCCACTCCACTCCACTGCACTCCACTCCACTCCACTTCATTCCATTCCATTCCGTTTCACTCCATTGCATTCCATTCCTTTCTTTCGACAGGATATCACTGTGTCACCCAGGCTTGAGTGCAGTGGCACCATCTCAGCTCAAATTACATGTCAACTTTCCATTGCATTGCATTCTATTCCATTGCATTCCATAGCATTGCATTCCATTCCATTCCACTGCATTCCACTCCACTCCAGTCCACTTCATTCCATTCCATTCCATTCCACTGCATTCCATTTCATTCCTTTCTTTCGAGAGTATCTCACTCTGTCACCCAGCCTGGAGTGCAGTGGCACAATTCAGCTCCCATTCCAGTCCATTCCATTCGATTCCATTTGATTCGATTCCATTCGATGATTCCATTCGATTCCATTTGATGATTCCATTCGATTCCATTCGATGATTCCATTCGATTCCATTCAATGATGATTCCATTCAGTTCCATTCGATGATTCCATTCGATTCTATTCAATGATGATTCCATTCGATTCCATTTGATGATACCATTCGATTCCATTCGATGATGATTCCATTCGATTCCATTCAATGATTCCATTCCATTTTATTTGATAATGATTCCATTCGATGATGATTCCATTCGATTCCATTCGATGATGATTCCATTCGATTCCATTCAATGATGATTCCATTCGATTCCATTCAATGATGATTCGTTTCGATCCATTTGATGATTTCATTTGATTCCATTTGATGATGAGTCCACTCGATTCCATTTGATGATGATTCCATTCGATTCCATTCGATGATTCCATTTGATTTCATTCGATGATGATTCCATTCAATTCCATTTGATGATTCCATTCGATTCCATTCGATTCCATTCGAGGATTCCATTCGATTCCATTCGATGATTATTCCATTCGAGTCCATCGGATGATGATTCCATTCCAGTCCATTCAATGATGATTCCATTCGAGTCCATCCGATGATGATTCCATTCGAGTCCATTCGATGATGATTCCATTCGAGTCCATTCAATGATGATTCCATTCGAGTCCATTCGATGATGATTCCATTCGAGTCCATTCGATGATGATTCCATTCGAGTCCATTCGATGATGATTCCATTCGAGTCCATTCGATGATGATTCCATTCGAGTCCATTCGATGATGATTCCATTCGAGTCCATCCGATGATGATTCCAGTTGAGTCAATTCCATTCAATTTGAGTCCATTCCATTCCATTCAATTCCATTCCATTCCACTCCACTCCACTCCTCTCCACTCCTCTCCAGTCCACTCCACTCCACTCCATTCCATTCCATTCCACTGCATTCCTTTCCATTCTTTTCTCTTGAGAGTATCTCACACTGTCACCCAGTCTGGAGCACAGTGGCACAATCTCAGCTCCCATTCCATTCCATTCCATTCGATTTGATTTGATTCAATTTGATTCCTTTCCATTCCACTCCATTCCACTCCACTCCATTCCATTTCACTCTGTTGCATTCCATTCCTTTCTTTTGACAAAATATCACTGTGTCACCCAGGCTGGAGTGCAGTGGCACAATCTCAGCTCACATTACATATCAACTTTCCATTGCAATGCATTCTATTCCATTGCATTCCATACCATTCCATTCCATTGCATTCCATTCCATTCCACTGCGTTCCATTCCACTCCACTCCACTCCACTACATTCCATTACATCCGATTCCATTCCACTCTATCCCACTCCTCTCCACTGCACTGCACTCCACTCCACTCCTTTCCATTCCATCCCATTTCATTCCACTCCATTCCACTGCAATCCACTCCACCCCACTCCACTCCACTTCATTGCATTCCATTCCATACCATTCCATTCCTCTCCATTCCACTCCACTCCACTTCACTCCACTCCACTGCAGTCCACCCCATTCCATTTCTTTCCTTTCCACTGCATTGCATTCCATTCCGTTCTTTCAATGGTATCTCACTCTGTCACTCAGCCTGGCACGCAGTGGCACAATCTCAGCTCTCATTCTATTCCATTCCATTCGATTTCATTTGATTCCATTTGATTCTATTCGTTTCATTTCCATTCAATTGCATTTGATGATTCCATTCGATTCCATTCAATGATTTCATTCGATTCCATTTGATTCCATTCTATTGCATTCGATGATTCGATTCGATTCCATTCAATGATTCATTTTGATTCCATTCGATGATGATTACATTTGATTCCATTCGATAATTCCGTTTGATTCCATTCGATGATGATTCCGTTCGATTCCATTCGATGATTCCATTCTATTCCATTCGATGATGATTACATTCGATTCCATTCGATGATTCCATTTGATTCCATTCGATGATGATTCCATTTGATTCAATTCAATGATTCCGTTTGATTCCATTCGACGATTCCACCCGATTCCATTCAATGATTCCGTTCGATTCCATTCGATGATTCCATTTGATTCCATTCGATGATGAGTATGTTCGATTCCATTCGATGATTCCACTCGATTCCATTCCATGATGATTCCATTCAATTCCATTCCATGATTCCATTCGATTCCATTCGATGATTCCATTGGATTCCATTCGATGATTCCATTTGATTCCATTTGATGATGATTCCATTCGATTCCATTCCATGATTCCATTTGATTCCCTTCGATGATTCCATTCGATGATGATTCCATTCGATTCCATTCGATGATTCCATTTGATGATTCCATTCGAGTCCATTTGATGACGATTCCATTCGAGTCCATTCAATGATGATTCCATTCGAGTCCATTCGATGATGATTCCATTCGAGTCCATTCTATTCCATTCCATTTTTTTCAAGTCCATTCCATTCCATTCCACTCAACTCCACTGCACTCCACTCCACTCCTCTCCACTCCAGTCCACTCCACTCCTCTCCATTCCATTCCATTCCACTGCATTCCATTCCATTCCTTACTTTCGAGAGTATCTCACTCTGTCACCCAGCCTGGAGTGCAGTGGCACAGTGTCAGCTCCCATTCCATTCCATTCCATGTGATTCCATTTGATTCTGTTTGATTCCATTCGATTCCATTCCATTCCATTCCATTCCATTAGATGCAATTCGATTCGATTCCATTCCATTCCACTCCACTCCACTCCACTCCACTCCACTCCACTCCACTCCATTCCATTTCTCTCCATTGCTTTCCATTCCTTTGTTTCGACAGCATATCACTGTGGCACCCAGGCAGGAGTGCAGTCACACAATCTCACCCCATATTACATGTCAAGTTTCCATTGCGTTGCATTCTATTCCATTGTATTCCATTCCATTCCATTCCTTTCAATTCCATTCCATTCCACTGCATTCCACTCCACTCTTCTCCACTCCACTACATTCCCTTACATCCGATTCCATTCCACTCCTCTCTACCCCACTGCACTCCACTCCACTCCTTTCCATTCCATCCCATTCCATTCTGCTTCATTCCACTGCAATCCACTCCATCCCACTCCACTCCACTTCATTCCATTCCATTCCATTCCATTCCTTTCCTCTCCATTCCACTCCACTTCACTCCACTCCACTCCACTCCACTCCACTCCACTCCACTCCACTCCATTCCATTCCATTCCTTTCTTTCAAGAGTATTTTCACTGTGTCATCCAGCCTGGAGTGCAGTGGCACAATCTCAGCTCACATTACATGTCAACTTTCAATTGCACTGCATTGCATTCTATTCCATTGCATTCCATTCCATTCCACTCCACTCCACTTCACTCCACTCCAATCCACTCCATTCCATTCCATTCCATTCTTTAGAGAGTACGTCACTCTGTCACCCAGCCTGCAGCGCAGTGGCACAATCTCAGCTCCCATTCCATTCCATTCCATTAGATGATTCCATTCGATGATTCCATTTGATTCCATTCGATGATTCCATTCAATTCCATTCGATGATTCATTCGATTCCATTCGATGATTCCATTCGATTTCATTTGGTGATGATTCCATTCAATTCCATTCGACGATGACTCCATTCGATTCCATTCGATGATAATTCCATTCAATTCCATTCGATGATTCCATTCGATGATTCAATTCAATGATGATTCCCTTCGATTCCATTCGATGCTGATTCCATTTGAGTCCATTCGATGATGATTCCACTCGAGTCCATTCGATGATGATTCCATTCGAGTCCATTCGATGATTATTCCATTCGATTCCAGTCAATGATGATTCCACTCGAGTCCATTCGATGATTATTCCATTCGATTCCAGTCGATGATTCCATTCGAGTCCATTTGATGAGGATTCCATTCGATTCCATTGGATGTTGATTCCATTCGATTCCATTCAATGACGATTCCATTCGAGTCCATTCGATGAGGATTCCATTCGAGTCCATTCCATTCCATTCGAGTCCATTCCATTCCGCTACATTCCGTTACATCCGAGTCCATTCCACTCCATTCCACTCCTCACCAATCGACTCCACTCCACTCCACTCCAGTCCTCTCCATTCCATTCCATTCCAAAGCATTCCATTCGATTCCATTCAATGATGATTCCATTTGATTCCATTGGATGATGATTCCATTCGAGTCCATTCGATGATGATTCCATTCGAGTCCATTCATGATGATATCATTCAAGTCCATTCAATGATGATTCCATTCGATTCCATTCGATGATGTTTCCATTCAAGTCCATTCGATGATTCAATTCGATTCCATTCCATGATTTCTTTCTATTCCATTCGATGACTCAATTCGATTCCATTCGATGATGATTCCATTTGACTCCATTCGATGATTCTGTTCGGTTTCATTTGATGATGATTCCATTCGATTCCATTCGATGATGATTCCATTCAATTTCATTCGATGATGATTCCATTCGAGTCCATTTGATGATGATTCCATTCAAGTCCATTCCATTCCCTTCGAGTCCATTCCTTTCCATTCGAGTCCATTCCATTCGAGTCCATTCCATTCCATTCCACTCCACTCCACTCCACTCCATTCCATGATGTTCCTTTCCATTCCATTCCACTCCACTCCATTACAATCCACACCACTCCACTCCATTCCATTCCATTCCACTCCACTGCATTCCTTTCCGTTCCATCCCATTCCATTCCTCTCCATTCCACTCCACTCCACTTCACTCCACTCCACTTGAGTCCACTCCATTCCATTCCATTCCACTGCATTCCATTCCATTCCTTTCTTTCGAGAGTATCTCACTCTGTTACCCTGCCTGGAGCGCAGTGGCACAATCTCACCTCCCATTCCATTCCATTCCATTCCGTTCCATTCCAGTTGATTTGATGCGATTCGATTCCATTCCATTCCGTTCCATTGCACTCCACTCCACTCCAGTCCAGTCCATTCCATTTCACTTCATTGCATTCCATTCCTTTCTTTTGACAGGATATCACTGTGTCACCCTGGCTGGAGTGCAGTGGCACAATCTTAGCTCACATTACATGTCAACTTTCCATTGCATTGCATTCTACTCCATTGCATTCCTTTGCATTCCATTCCATTCCGTTCCATTCCATTCCATTCCCCTGCACTCCACTCCACTCCACTACATTCCATTACATCCGATTCCATTCCACTCCTCTCCACTCCACTGCACTCCACTCCACTCCTTCCCGTACGATCACAATCCATTCCACTGCACTCCACTCTACCCCACTCCACTTCATTCCATTCCATTCCATCCCATTCCATTCCTCTCCATTCCACTCCACTCCACTTCACTCCACTCCACTCCAGTTCACTCCATGCCATTCCATTCCATTCCACTGCATTCCATTCCATTCCTTTCTTTTGATAGTATCTCACTCTGTCACCCAGCCTGGAGCACAGTGGCACAATCTCAGCTCCCATTCTATTCCATTCCATTCCATTCGATTTCATTCATGTCCATTTGATTCGATTAGATTCCATTCGATTCGATTAGATTCCATTCAATGATTCAATTCGATTCCGTTAGATGATTATTCGATTAAATTCCATTCGAAGATGATTCCATTTGATTCCATTTGATGATGATTCCATTCAGTGATTCCATTCGATTCCATTCGATGATGATTCGATTCAATTCCATTTGATGATGATTCCATTTGATTCCATTCGATGATGATTCCATTCGATTCCATTTGATGATGATTCCATTTGAGTCCATTCGAAGATTATTCAATTCGATTCCATTCGATTCCATTTGATGATGATTCCATTTGAGTCCATTCAATGATGATTCCATTCGAGTCCATTCAATGATGATTCCATTCGAGTTCATTCGATGATGATTCCATTCGAGTCAATTCGATGATGTTTCCATTCGAGTCCATTCCATTCCATTCGAGTCCATTCCTTTCAAGTCCATTCCATTCCATTCCATTCCTTTCCATTCCATTCCACTACATTCCATTACATCCGATTCCATTCCACTCCCTTCCACTCCTCTCCACTCCACTCAACTCCACTCCTTTCCATTCCATCCCATTCCTTTCTGCTCCATTCCACTGCACTCCACTCTGCCCCACTCCACTCCACTTTATTCCATTCCATTCCATCCCATTCCACTCTTCTCCATTCCACTCCACTCCACTTCACTCCACTTCACTCCACTCCACTCCACTCCAGTCCACTCCATTCCATTCCATTCCATTCCACTGCATTCCATTCCATTCCTTTATTTCCAGAGTATCTCACTCTGTCACCCATCCTGGGGTGCAGTGGCACAATCTCAGCTCCCATTCCATTCGAATCTATTCGATTCCATTCGATTTGATTCTACTCGATGCAATTCCATTCGGTTCCATTCGATTCCATTCGATGATTCCATTCGATTCCATATGATGATTCCATTCGATTCCATTCCATGATGATGCTGTTCGATTCCATTCGATGATTCCATTCGATTCCATTCGATAATTCCATTCGAGTCCATTCGATGACGATTCCATTCAAGTCCATTCAATGATGATTCCATTCGAGTCCATTTGATGATGATACCATTCGAGTTCATTCGATGATGATTACATTCCAGTCCATTCGACGATGATTCCATTCGAGTCCATTCCATTCCATTCCAGCCCATTCCATTCCAGTCCATTCCATTCCATTCCACTCCATTCCATTCCACTCCATTCCACTCAACTCCACTCCACTCCTGTCCACTCCACTCCATTCCGTTCCATTCCATTCCATTCTTTTCTTTCGAGAGTATCTCACTCTTTCAACAAGTGTGGAGCGCAGTGGCACAATCTCAGATCCTATTCCATTCCATTCGATTCCATTCAATTCGATTCCATTCAATTCCATTCCATTCCATTCCATTCGATTTGATGCAATTCGATTCCATTCCATTCCATTCCATTCCACTCCACTCCACTCCACTATATTCCATTCCATTCCATTCCACTCCACTCCACTCCACTCTATTCCATTCCATTCCATTTCACTCCATTGCATTCCATTCCTTTCTTTCGACAGGATATCACTGTGTCACCCAGGCAAGAGTGCAGTGGCACAATCTCAGCTCACATTACACGTCAACTTTCCATTGCATTGCATTCTATTCCATTGCATTCCATTCAATTCCATTCCATTCCACTGCGTTCCACTCCACTCCACACCACTACATTACATTACATCCGATTCCATTCCACTCCACTCCACTCCTCTCCACCCCACTGCACTCCACTCCACTCCTTTCCATTCCATCCCATTCCATTCCGCTCCATTCCACTGCACTCCACTCCACCTCACTCCACTCCACTTCATTCCATACCTTTCCATCCCATTCCATTCCTCTCCATTCCACTCCACTCTACTTCACTCCACTCCACTCCACTCCACTGCAGTCCACTCCATTCCATTCCATTCCATTCCATTCCTTTCTTTCGAGAGTATCTCACTCTGTCACCCAGCCTGGCATGCAGTGGCACAATCTCAGCTCCCATTCCATTCGATTTCATTTGATTCCATTCAATTCCATTCGATTCATTTCCGTTCGACTGCATTCGATGATTCCATTCAATTCCATTCAATTATTTCATTCGATTCCATTCGATTCCTTTCCATTCAATTGCATTCGATGATTCGATTTGATTCCATTCCATGATTCATTTCGATTCCATCCAATGATGATTCAATTCGATTATATTTGATGATGATTCGATTCGATTATATTTGATGATGATTCAATTCGATTCCATTCGATGATGATTCCATTCGATTCCATTCGATGATTCCATTCGATGATGATTCCATTCGATTCCATTCGATGATGATTCAATTCGATTCCATTCGATGATTCCATTCGATGATTCCACTCGATGATGATTACATTCGATTCCATTCAATGATGATTACATTCAATTCCATTCGATGACTCCGTTTGATTGCATTCGATGATGATTCCATGCGATTCCATTCGATGATTCCATTCGATTCCATTCGATGATGATTCCATTCGATTCCATTCGATGATTCCGTTTGATTCCATTCGATGATTCCATTCAATTCCATTCGATGATGATTATGTTTGATTCCATTCGATGATTCCACTCGATTCCATTCCATGATGATTCCGTTCAATTCCATTCCATGATTCCATTCGATTCCATTCGATGATGATTCCATTGGATTCCATTCCATGATTCCATTCGATTCCATTCGATGATTCCATTCGAGTCCATTCGATGACGATTCCAATCGAGTCCATTCGATGATTCCATTAGATGATTCCATTCGAGTCCATTCCATGATGATTCCATTTGAGTCCATTCGATGATGATTCCATTCCAGTCCATTCCATTCCATTCCATTTTTTTCGAGTCCATTCCATTCCATTCCACTCAACTCCACTGCACTCCACTCCACTCCTCTCCACTCCACCCCACTCCACTCCTCTCCATTCCATTCCATTCCATTCCACTGCATTCCATTCCATTCCTTACTTTTGAGAGTATGTCACTCTGCCACCCAGCCTGGAGTGCAGTGGCACAGTGTCAGCCCCCATTCCATTCCATTCAATGTGATTCCATTTGATTCTGTTTGACTCCATTCGATTCCATTCGATTCGATTCCATTCCATTCCATTCCATTAGATGCGATTCAATTCCATTCCAATCCATTCCATTCCACGCCACTCCACTCCACTCCACTCCATTCCATTCCATTTCTCTCCATTGTTTTCCATTCCTTTGTTTCAACAGGATATCACTGTGACACCCAGGCAGGAGTGCAGTCGGAAAATCTCAGCTCACATTACATGTCAAGTATCCATTGCATTGCATTCTATTCCATTGTATTCCATTCCATTCCATTGTCCAGCGAGGCCAGTGTTCCAGTGACAGGGATTGCTGCCATCACCCATTCCTGGCTTCCTCTTCCAGACCGTATCGTGGTGTGGCTTCATTTCTCAGAGAAGAGCCGTGAAAAGATACAAGCATCTTCTCTGTCGTGGGTCCACTGCTCTCCTGCGGGACAAAGAGCCCCTGTGGGGCTCTTGTCCTCGGCTGCAGTGTGTTCATCTTGATCCTAGAAAAGAGGCCGCTCAGGATGGGGATGAGATTTCAGTTGCTCCAGGACCGATGCATCTCCTCACGTGGGCCAGGTCTTCACACACACAAAGCGGATCCGGGCCGGCGAAAACCATTCACAACCGGCCTCCTGACCCAGGCAGAGACGCAGAAAGAGGCTCACCAAAGACGGGCCGCCATGCCAGAAACCGCTTTGTGGCGCACAGGGCACATTCCGCCAAAGACACACATGCACACGGGCACACACACACAAACCCACAGAGAGAGGGAAAGAAACACACAGAGACTGAGGGACAGAGACAGAAGAGAGAATGGGTGACACCCACACACTCACACACACCCCACACAGACATAGACCCGCACACAGTCATACAGCAGAGGCATTGAAACACACACCCCCAGGCAAGCCCTGAGGCTGCGGGGTTCTGCTCTCGACGAGATCGACACTCGGGTGAGAGAGCAGCCCAGGGGCACGCAGGCAGACCTGTCCTCCAGATCACGGCGGCACGACTTTTGGGGAGACTCACCCCAACCAACACCGTCTGGGCAGGCCTGAGGCTGGGATGCCGTGCTGTCTCCCCCGGACTCGACCTGGGGTTTCCTCATCCTGGTCGGCCCTTTGCGACTCCTGGCATATGGAGACGTCCCCGTCAACCCCGTGGAGAGGTCAGTCCGGAGCCTCAGAGCCCCGACACCCAAGCACTGCCACAGAGGGCTCCTGTTAGCCAAGCCTTGGGGACTGGTTTCTAAGTATAAATATTGCCCCTTTTTATTTATTAATTATCTTGTTTATTTTTTTCTTGGGTGTTTTTCAGTGTTTTATTGTCTGGATGAGTAGCCAGAAAGGCACTCTAAAATTACCATCTATTTATTCTTTGAATATGTCATTATGTGAGAAAACCCTTGTTATTTAATTTTTGAAAAATGTAACTTTTTTGAGAGATGTAAATATTTGTGATTAAAAACATAAAATTACCATTTTAAGTATTTTAATGTTGTATACTTAAACTATATGTTGAGTGCTTTTAAGTATATTTACATTATTTTGAAACAGATCTCTAGATCAATTTTATCTTTAAAAGTACAATTTGGCCAGGTGTGGTGGTTCACACCTGTAATCCCCACAATTTGGGAGGCCGAGGCAGGTGGATCACCTGAGGAGTTCAGGAGTTCAAGACCAGCCTGGCCAACATAGTGAAACCCTGCCTCTACTAAAAATACAAAAAATTAGCTGGGCATGGTGGCAGGCACCTGTAATCCCAGCCACTCAGGAGGCTGAGTCAGGAGAATCACTTGAACCCGGGAGGCTGAGGTTGCAGTGAGACAAGATGGCGCCATTACACTCCAGCCTGGACAACAAGAGCGTTACTCGGTCTCAAAAAAAAAAGTACAATTTAATATAAAATAAACTGTCTTCTCCTTCTCTCTTTTCTGTTTCTGAAGAACATCATTTTACTTTGTTTTGCCTGTCTCTTTTTGACTATCTTGTTTTAGTCAATATATTTTTCCCACATCTTCAATTTTAACAAATAAGTTATTCTGCTTTCAGTTCAGATTCATCAGGAAATTGAATCATATCCAGAAGAATTAAAACTGAAAGACTAATATGTTTGTTAAAGCAATGCAGATTCCCATTCTAATAAACCCTAAAATTTCTAAGGCTTGGCAAAATAATACATTTTCTCACACATCACCATCCCCTTTGGTTTATTTCTGGTTAAGAAAACTTGGCCGGGCGTGGTGGCTCATGCCTGTAATCCCAGCACTTTGGGAGGCTGAGAAGGGCGGATAACGAGGTCAGGAGATCGAGACCATCCTGGCTAATACATTGAAACCCCGTCTCTACTAATAATACAAAAATTTAGCAGGGCATGGCGGCGGGCACCTGCAGTCCCAGCTACTTGGGAGGCTGAGGCAGGAGAATGGCGTGAACCCAGGAGGCAGAGCTTACAGTGAGCCGAGATCGCGCCACTGCACTCCAGCCTGGGCGACTGAGTGAGACTCCGTTTCAGACAAAAAAAAAAAAAAAAAAAAAAAAAAAAGAAAACTTCTTTGTGATTATTCAGATATTAGATTTTTTAAAATTTTCTCTCTGCACTCTCTCTTTCTTCAGCCAACAGATGAAAAAAGATTCAAGGAAGACACATTTGCTTTTTATTCACACATCACTTCCCGTCACTATGCTGACCAGAGTCAATGTGAGCAGAGTTGAGAATAGCAATTTTCTGGCAGGACAGCCACTTCTCAGCAAAAAATGACACAATACTAGTATAAATCTTTCATGGAAGGCTCACGTATTTTCAGCAAATTAAGCATATGCATGAATAAAATTCTTGTGGTAAAAAAGGTTCATTTTGTTGATTCCTATTGAGCTCAGGTAGTGTTGGATGAAAAGCAAGCAAATATAGAGCAAAAAAATTATTTGAAATAGAAATATTGTGAAAAAGTTATTCTGTCAATTAAAGTAAAAATATTTTTATCTCACACTAGTCATCTTACCTATAGTTGTACAACATCAAATGCTACCTTTTATTAACAACTGTACTTCAAATAAGTATTCCATTTATATCACACTTCTTCACTGTTTCAATGGCTTCTGCACTTCATATCAGTGAAAAACAGGCCGGCTGGTGCCAGGAAATTGATGTGGTGCTATTGCTACTTTAAGAGTGATGAGGAAGAGCACTTGTCTGAATTGTTCCCATGAGACCAACACTGTTATCTGGCCCAAAGTACACACATTTCTTATTTTCCTCTAAATTTACTGATGAAATAAAATTCTTAGCTAAGAAAGGCTTGATCTCATTCAAAGATGTTTTGTGATATTTGGTTGACATTTCAGTGTGTCTGATTTAAATGGAATATTGAAAATTTTTATGAATCCAAGTAGAGTGTTATACATGAACAATCTCTTACTAAAAGCCTTTCTAAGGCACAGTAAAATTCATAAAGTTTCTTTATAATATAGAAGAAATGTGTTAGCTATGCTCCCAGGAATCAACTCTGAACACTGAGCATTCTCAGTTCCCAGTATTCACCCTGAGTCATTCAGGAAAAATTGGTATCTCTGTAAGGAGACAGAAAAAGATGTTTGGGGGAGGGTCACAATATTGCACATAAATATTTTCTACATGCACCTTTTAGGATCTTAATCTAATTGGTCTATTATTTGCATGGCTAGATAGTTACTGAAACTAGTCACACTATTTTGCTTTTTGCAGCTAATGACATCTGTTACCTATAAGTTTCATACAATAGCTTGCTCAGCTGAAACACGAATTTGTTGTTAATTTACCCTAAATGGAGGAACTAGATCTGCAATTTCCAATATTTCAAAGTTAAAGCAAATCAGAGAAGAGTAATGTGTGTATGTAGTATGCATTTTCTTGCCCAACTATCAAAATTCTTCTCATATTGCCTTTGATACTCCAGGTAGCCACCTAAAATATATGCCATCCTAATTTTTTAGCCAGGATATTAGATTTCAAAAGGTCAAGGACTTAATAATTGGTCAAAGCCAAAATCTTGTCTTTGCTTCTTGACCATATCAAAGAGCATGGCAATTATGCCAAGCCATTGAAAGATGTGGTTCTGATGACTTTTATTTTATTTCAAATGTTTTCTCTAATTGTTAGTCTTACTGCATTAATCTAAAAGAGAAACTATCTACATAAAAATTTATGTATTCAAGAAATATGTTAAGGTGTTCAAAGTTCAATATTGTATTACAGAATGGTAGAATTCTCTAAAATTAGAAAGTCAGATTATTATTAATAAATTCCTTATTTTTTCAACATTTTCCAATCTTGAAATTAAAAAATTGCATATGCTTTTTCATAAGTTCAGTTCTAGGAAGGTACTCATGGGTCTGCCTGGTACTTTTGTCATAAATTATGTAAAACTGAGTTACCTGAATGGTGCAGAAATGCTAATTTAATCAGAATGAGAATGAATACAGCCTTGTTGGTAGACTACTGGTATCCCAGAGGCTGATCATTTATTTCGGCTGTGTAGACATTGCTTCATAATGCCAGTGAGCCCTTGCAACCAAGTTGCCTTTGTTTCCCATCGATGTGGTCATGTTCTGGTCTCTGTTTTTCGTAAGCTGTCCCAGATGAGGGGTGATTATTTCTTGCATAAATGAGATTCCTTCTTTTTTCTCTGCCATGAGATCCTCCTATTCTCTCTACTGAAAGCAACATGTTGAAGGCAGAAATAGAGACAATATATAAATATATCCCTTGCCATGTGGCCAGGATAAACAGCTTATGACATCTCTTATCAAGAAGTTTGATTAATTTCAGGGAAGCAGGGGTGTTTTTCTATGATATGCTCTTTCTCTTAAAAGCACCTCTGATTAAGGCTAATAAAGATAATCTCTCTTACGATAAACAATAAGCCAACACATTAGTAACGTAATTACATGAATAATGTCCCACCACAGTCACACATTTTCTCACACTCAAGAGAAAAGGATTACACAGCAGGTGTGCACGGAAGTGGGAACCTGAGGGTCATCTGAGAATTTTGCCTACCCACCTGAATAGATTTCTAAAATCGCCTTTCAGTTGCTTTTGTTGTCTTTCTAAGTAAACAAAGATATCATCTGCAAATAATAATTAATTGAACTGCTTTTCAATTTTATTCATTAAAATAATTATTAACATTTTCTGGTTTACATGAAATAGTTCTCATTTATATTATACATTCACATACATATATATAAAACAATACAAATGTATCCATTTTAAATTTTTGTTAAATTTTTAAGAACGAATGTTAAAGGTAACTTCTTTTCTGTTTGAAATGGTTTTTATTATTGTATTCAAGAGTATTATCTCCGGAGTCAAAGTTGCTTGTGTTTTAATACTGGCTCTGCTATTGTAAGCAGGTTATTTCTCTCTCTAGCTCTGTTTTTTTTCTTTGTAAATTAAGAATAATAATACCTTTGTTATTAAGTTACTGTGTCTATTAGTCCATTCTCACATTTTTGTAGGGATGTACCCAAGGCTAGGTAAATTACAAAGGAAAGAGGTTAATTTGACTCACAATTCAGCATGGCTGGAAAGGCCTCAGGAGATTTACAATCATAATGAAAGGGGAAACAAATATGTCCTTTTTCATATGGTGACAAGAAGAGAAAATGTGCTGAGCAAAAGGGAGAAAAGCCCCTTAGAAAACCATCAGATCTTATGTGAACTCACTATCATGAGAACAGAATGAGGGTAACTGACCACATGATTCAATTACCTGCCACCAGGTGTCTCCCATGACACACAGAGATTATGGGAACTACAATTCACAATGAGATTTGGGTGTGGACACAGCCAGACCATATCACTGTGAAAACAAAATTTATTAACACATGTATAGTGTTATGGTTATTGCTCAGTACAAATTAGCTATTATTAACTAGATATTTATATGCTGCATTATGTTAATACATTCTTTCACACAAATATTTTTCCATTACATGAGTTTTCCAACCAATAGATGAATATATATTTAAATTACAATTTTATTCTAAATGTGGTGTATACATTTAGAATAATAGCATACACAATGGATCCCATGTAGCCTTAAAAAGGGGGGAAATATTGTCAATTGAAAAAATATGGATACATTTAGAGGATACTTTGCTAAGTACAATAAGCCAGGCACACAAACAAAAGTACTGCATGATTTCATTTATATGTAGAATCTAATAAAGTTTTAATAACAAAGCAGAATGTGGAATAATTGTTTACCAGAGGCAGATGTTGATAAAAGAATGCAGTTTTACAGACAAAATAAAGAGGTTTTGAGATCTATTGCACAGTAGGGTGATTATAGTCAATGATAATGTATGTATGTTTCAAAATAACTAACAGTAAGTTTTAATGTCTCACCACAAAAAATGATTGGTAAGTGAGGTGATAGATGTGTTAGTTAACTTGTCTTATTTCATATTTTATACACATATCAAAACATTACACTGTACCCCATAAATATGCAATTTTGATTTGTCAACCAAATATTATAGTAATACATTTTTTTTTTGTAAAACTTAACTTTAAAAATTGGGCCAGAGAAATAAATGATTCTTCATATCTTATAATTTCAGGAAAGATATGCATTTATTTTTAATTACACACAGCTTGGTTACTTAGTGATGTTGGTAAGTAAACTTTTGATATCATGAATAGTGTGAACCTATCACTCAATAATAAAATATGTTAATTATCATTGTTCAGAATAATATAATTCTTTCTTTTCTTTTCTTTCTTTTTTTTTTTTTTTTTGAGACGGAGTTTCGCTCTTGTGGCCCCGGTTAGAGTGCAATGGTGCCATCTCGGCTCACCGCAACTTCCACCTCCTGGGTTCAAGCGATTCTCCTGCCTCAGCCTCCCGAGTAGCTGGTAGCATGCGCCACCATACCCAGCTAATTTTGTATTTTTAGTAGAGATGGGGTTTCTCCTTGTTGGTCAGTCTGGTCTCAAACTCCCGACCTCAGGTAATCTGCCTGCCTCGGCCTCCCAAAGTGCTGGGATTACAGGCATGAGCCACTGCACCCGGCTTTATTTGAAAATAGAATACTTTACAAGATAGACTCTAAAGCAACTGTTTAAAGTAAAATTCTCTCAAGATAAATTATTTTCTTCAATTATAGAGAAAAGTTATTTAAATATACATTTTAAACTACCTTTAAATTTACCAAGTAAACCTAAAAATTAGTTGGCAAAAAATAATTTATTAAGCAAGTAGATCAGAAAACAATTTGTCTCTTTCTCTAATTTTAAAACTGACAAACACTCAGCATTTAAGTGCTTATTATCTAGTGTTACTAGAGTAGTAAAGAGCAGTACAAAATGAGGGATCTTTCTTTAGTATTTATATTCATGCTGTATGAGAATATATGAGAATTTGCCAAGGATAATATTAAAAATATCCATTGACTATTATATTCCCAAACTGACCAATTAAAATGAACGTGGATTACAACCCCCTGGTGTGGCCACCTTGTTGTTCCCAGGCTTAACATTGGTCCTGATCTAAAAAACTATACAAATCACCAGAGCTAATAAATTTTCTGTGCACTTGCTATATGCTGGGCACTCTTCTGACACCTTTATTTGCATTAATTGCTTTAATTTTACCAAAACCATAGGATTTAGGCAGTATTATCCTTACTGTGCAGCTGAAGAATCAAGCACAGAGATATCAAGAAACTGTCTCCAGGTCACACAGCCCATAAGTGACAGAACCAGGATGCAATCAGGGACCACCAGATACTGAGCTTTAATATTAACCATTATGGTCAGCCCCATCTCACTCATGTTTTTTTTTTTCCATTTTTTATTTAACATTTTTGCTTTGAATTTTCTAATTTAGTAGAAATGAAGCAGAATTTTAAAACAACTTTTTTGACCCCTAAATAGTATGGAGAACTTCATTTTGGGTACAAAGTACTCATAACAAGCCTAACACAAATACTTTGGTTGGTAAATGGTTTCCAACAACCCTGCTCCTCTCATTGCTTAAAAGAGTCACTAATGGTACTTTTGAAAAATATCTTTTATATTAAAAGCTACAATGAAACCGGGTGCAGTGGCTCAAACCTATAATCCTAGCACTGTGGGAGGCCAAAGTGGGCAGGTCACGAGTTCAGGAGTTTGAGACCAGCCTGACCAACATGGTGAAACCCCATCTCTACTAAAAACACAAAAATTAGCCGAGCGTGGTGGCGCGTGCCTGTAATCCCAGCTACTCATCAGGCTGAGACAGGAAAATTGCTTGGACCCAGGAGGTGGAGGTTGCAGTGAGCCAAGGTCACGCCATTGCACTGCAGCCTGGGTGACTAAGCGAGACTCCATCTCAAAAAAAACCAAAAACATACTTTTTCATATAGAATGAGTAAAGAATATTGTTTTCTCAGTGACTAAAATGAAACAAATTAGAATTACTAACCAGTCACTTACAATGTGGTTTCAAATGTGATTTAATGACCACATGTGTAGTTTCTTTGAACTCATTTTAACAACTTATTTCTATTGCTTCTTCACTTCTGTTAGAAAATAATTAAAATTTATGTTACTGAAAGCCTATGATTTTTTTTATTATTTATTTATTTTATTTTTGAGACGGAGTCTCCCTCTGTCACCAGGCTGGAGTTCAGTGGTGCAGTCTCTGCTCACTACAACCTCCAGCTCCTGGGTTCAGGCAATTCTCCTGCCTCAGCCTCCTGCGTAGCTGGGACTACAGGCACCCGCCACCTGTCCTGCTAATTTTTTTTTGTATTTTTAGTAGAGATGGGGTTTCATCATGTTGGCCAGGATGGTCTTGATCTCTTGACATTGTTATCCGTCGGCCTCCCAGAGTGCTGGGATTACAGACGAGAGCCACCGCGCCCGGCCCTAAGCCTGTGAATTTTATTCTAATCTTAGTGATCATCTTAAAGACCTTGTATGCTTATGATCATAGAAACCCTATTCACTACTTACATTTAGAAGAGAAGTAACTACTTTGCAGTAAACCAAATGGGATAATTCTTGCTATATTATAAGCATTACAATATTAATACCATCATCTAGATAGAACTTATAGATATCTGCATGTTCAAATTGTTTTAACATATAATAATTTAGAAACTATTAAGTTTTATAAACTATAAAGAACTAAAAAATGTATCAATGCATTTTCCTCAGTTTTTCTGTGCTATTTGTTACTTAACTTGTCAGCAATAGCGATAGAAAAATCTAGTATTTACTACTCTGGGTCCAGCAGAGCATGGGAGGAGCCAATGTGCTTTAGGGCTTTTACTTTCAGCTTGGGCACCTTTAGTTTCTGGTGCTGATGGCAATGTAACGGAAGACACTAAAAATCAGGGGTTGCCCTCTGTCGCATGATTGGTCACTGTGTGAACACAATAAACATCTTTGCATGAAAAATAACTGAGTAAATGTTTTAATCCAAAGGCTACCATAATCTCCAAAATTTGCTCAGAGAAAATGACCAAAATGTTGGCTACAGTTAGGTGACTAAGAGTGAAACTGTAGACTGTGAACTTTACCCACTCAAAAATAATCATAAAATAATAGAAAAATCTCTCAAGATTGTAACATTAATATGAAAAAGAAATATTATTCCATATTTTAAATCACAGAGCTCATTTTATTTGCAACATTTAACATTCAAACTCAAAAATACAAGATCCTGCATGAAAACATAAGTTGTGCTATAAATATATCATAAAAATAACATGTAATAATTATCCTTAATATTAACTCTCCTATAAATTTAATTTCTAAGATATATTTTCTAAATAATTTTGTATATGCTACAGTCTGTGTTAGAATCTAAAAAAAAATTTTTTTTTTACAAAGACAAATAGCGCTACCTGATTTAATTGTCTCACTTGTGGACAGTGGATACCTCTTATCTCAATTAACTGATCTGGAAGTTACATTGAGAAGCTATAAATAAGCTCAAACTCCCAAGTTTAACACAGTTTTTCACCATATTAAAAAATTCCAGACCGGGTGTGGTGGCTCACACCTATAATCCCAGCACTTTGGGAGGCCGAGGTGGGCAGAACATGAGGTCAGGAGATCAAGAGCATCCTAGCTAATGAGGTGAAACCCCGTCTCTACTAAAAATACAAAAAAATTAGCCAGGCATGGTGGCTTGCACCTGTAATCCCAGCTACTTGGGCTAAGGCAGGAGAATCACTTGAACCCAGGAGGCGGAGGTTGCAGTGAGCTGAGAATGTGCCACTGCACTCCAGCTTGGGCAACAGAGCAAGACTCTGTCTCAATAAAAAAAAAATTTAAAAAATTCCAAACTTCTCATCAGAACCTACAAAGTACTGTGTGAAATGACATGGCACAGAGAGAACAGTGAGAAAACCGTAGCCATAACACAGAAAAAAGGGGAAGGGCTGTGATGGATACATCATTAGGATAAACATAAAAGGTCACAAAAGATAATCAGAAAATTTAAAAGGCAGAATTTTTATGTAAATTCAGAGAGGCTGTTCTGCAGCCTGGGAACAGATGTCCTCTGCACATGCATAATCAATGTTATTTTATCACCATTAATATTTCCCATCTGTGACTGAGAGTTACAGACACTCAAGCAGGAATATTTATGACTAATTATGAAGCATCTAGTATACAGATAGCCCTATCATATATTTGTGCATTAGTCTCTTTTTATACTGCTATACAGATACTACCCAAGACTGGAAAATTTATATTGAAAGGAAGTTTAATTGACTCATGGTTCCATATGGCTGGGGAAGCCTCAAGAACCTTACGATAATGGGAGAAGGTGAGGGAGAAGCAAGTATCTTCTTCACTGGGTGGCAAGAGAGAGGGAGAGCAGGAAAAATGACCACTTATAAAACCATCCGATCTCATGAGAATTCACTCACTGTGAGAACACCATGGGTATCATTCTGCTCCTGGCCCCTTCCAAATCTCATGCCATTTTATATTTCAAAACCAAACATGTTTTCCCAACAGTCCCCCAAAGTCTTAACTCATTTTAGCATTAACCTGAAAGTCTAAGTCCAAAGTCTCATCTGAGACAAGGCAAGTCCCTGCTACTGATGAGCCTGTAAATCAAAAGCAAGTTAGTAACTTCCAAGATACAATGGGGTACAGGCCTTAGGTAAATTCTTCCATTTCAAATGGGAGAAATTTGCCAAAACCAAAGAGCTACAGGCCCCATGCAAGTTTGAATTCCAACAGGGCAGTCAGTAACTCTTAAAGGTCTGAGATGTTCTCATTTGACTCCATGTCTCACATGTGGGCCACGCTGATGCAAAGGGTGGGCCCTCATGGCCTTTGGAAGCTCCTTCATGGACTAGAATTGAATGCCTGTGGCTTTTCCAGATGCACAGTGCAAGATCATGGTGGATCTGTCATTCTGGGGTCTGGAGCATAGTGGCCTTCTCACAACTCCAGCAGGCAACTTCAGTGGGGACTCTGCGTGAGGGCTCCAACCCTACATTTCCCTTCAGCATTGTCCTATCACAGGTATTTTATGAGGGCTCTGCCCCTGTAGAAGACTTCTGACTGAATATCCAGGCATTTTTATACATCATCTGAAATCTAGGCAGAGGTTCCTAGAGCTCAACTCTCGTCTTATGTGCACTCACATGCCCAACACTGCATGGAAGACACCAAGGCTTGAGGATTGCACTTTCTAAAGAAATAGCCCAAGCTGGGCCTTGGCCCCTTTTAGCCACAGCTGGATGTGGAGCAGCTGGGATTAGGGCACCAAGTCCCAAGGCTTCACAGAACAGTGGGGCCCTGGCCTCAACCATGAAACCATTGTTTCCTCCTATGGCTCCTGGTCTGTGATGGAAGGACCTGTCTCACATCTTTGACATGACCTGAAGACATTTTCCCCATTGTCTTGGCTATTAACATTGAGCTCCTTTTTGCTTTTGCAAATTTCTGCAGTGGCTTTAATTTCTTTCCAAAAAATGGGTTTTTACTTTCTACCTCATGGTCAGGCTGCAAATTTTCCAAACTTTTATGTTCTGCTTCCATTTTAAACAGAAGTTTCTCATCTCCATCTGAGACCACCTCAGCTAGGACTTTATCATCCATATCACTATTAGCATTTTGGTCAAAAGCATTCAACAATCTTTAGGAAGTTCCAAACTTTCTCACATCTTCCTATCTTTTTCAGAGCTCTATATTACTCTGTTTTCACACTACTATGAAGATACTACCAGAGACTGGGTAATTTACATAAAAAGGAGGTTTAATTTACTCACAATTCTGCATGGCTGGGGAGGTCTCAAGAAACCTACAATTATGGTGGAAGGCAAAGGAAAACAAGCACCTTCTTCACTAGGCAGCAAGGGAGAGGGAGAACAGAAAAAAAAAAGCCACTTATAAAACCATTGGATCTTTTCAGAACTCATTATAATGAGAACAGCATGGGGGAAAATTACCCCCATGTTCCAATCACCTCCCAGCAAGTCCCTCCCTTGACACGTGGGGATTACAATTTGAGATAAGATTTGGGTGGCAAAAGATTTTACAGTAATGAATTCAATACAAGGCACATAATATAGATTTTGTTTTCAGAATATGAGGTTTCCAGGTTTCTAGTTAATTATCTACCTTATTAAAATGATCTTTTTGTTTCAATATTGTTCTTTTGTGAAAATACATAAAAACTCACACAAACACAATAACTTGCTACATAACTTTCTTATGCTTAAGGTATATCTTTTATTTATTTATTTTTTTTTTTGAGATGGTTTCTCGCTCTTTCACCCAGGCTGGAGTGCAGTAGCACCATCTCAGCTCACTGCTACCTCCACCTCCGAGGTTCAAGCAATTCTCCTGCCTCAGCCTCCTGAGTAACTGGGACCATGGGCATGCACCACCATGCCCAGCTAATTTTTTGTATTTTTAGTAGAGATGGGGTTTCACCATGTTGGCCAGGCTGGTCTTGAACTCCTAACCTCAAATGATCCTCCCACCTCAGGCTCCCAAAATGCTGGGAGCCACTGTGCTCGGCTGGTATATCTTTAGAGTAATATATTTGTATATGTAACTCTATGTAAATTGAAACTAAAAGTCTGTTTTTGTTTGTCAGCAGAGATGCCACATGTGCAAAAAATTTATAAAACAAAATTTTAAAAATATTTAATCAAGACTCAGAAATGTATGGGTATTAATTATACTCATGTAATTTTTATGATCATAAAATGACCCTGTGGTTAATAGTAATTCAATTGCACATATTGAAATAACTAAAACTGTATAATGGGATTGTTTGTAATACAAAGGATAAATACATGCTCAAGGTGATGAATGCCTCATTTACTCTGTTGTGATCATTAAATATTATGTGCATGTGTTAACATATCTCATATATGCCATAAGTGTGTATGCACACTACCCACAAAAATTAAAAAAAAATTAAATAAGGTAAAAAAGTACAAATTTGTCCTATGGGAACAAAATTCTTCAACTTGTTTGCTGTGTAAAACCTCTAGTAGGCCAGGCATGGTGGCTCATGCCTGTAATCCCAGCACTTCGGTACACCGAGGTGGGTGTATCACCTGAGGTCAGGAGTTTGAGACCAGCCTGGCCAACATGGGGAAACCTCATCTCTACTAAAAATACAAAAATTAGCCAGGAGTGGTGGTGCCTGCCTCTAGTTCCAGCTACTTGTGAGGCTGAAGCAGGAGAATCACTTGGACCCAGGAGGTGGAGGTTGCAGTGAGCTGAGATCGCACCACTGCACCCCAGTCTGGGTGACAGAGTAAGACTTAGTCTCAAAACAAACAAACAAAAACACTGGCAAAAAAGAGACTACTAGTGATGTCATTCCCCTACATTAACAAATAGTATATTGTCACCATCTTTTACGCAGAACCTTAAGATGAGACACGATAGAGTCAATGGCAGCTTAATACTTCTTTCAAAGCACAATAGTTTTAGCTCATTAAAAACAACTTTGTTTACATAAAGGTACAATTGATAAAATAATTTACTACTGACGTTCAAAGGTTTTCCTCACTAGAATTTAGAATATTACTCTGAACGCTCGCCTTATACATCACTAAAACAATGTTATAAGTCAACCACAAAGAACCTCTCCATTTAGATTTTCATTATGCATCTTACAACTTAATGTCCTTACTCATCCATAGGAAAGTTCATGAATAATGGACACCTATAAAAAACAATCTCATATCTCTGATTCAACAATTGGTCCAATACTTTCACAGAAACAATGGGAAGAAAGGATCAACATGAAGTAATTTGAAATGTGAGTTACATTACTATTTGCTTTTCAGAAAATCTATATTTTTTTTTACAAAGAAAGAAGCATACCTCGAATGTAATTATAAATCTCCAAATAAATCTACTTCTTTAAATTTATATTGTTAGATTTATATCTTTTTTACACTCAACACTCTGATTTAGTGTAATGTCTGAAGTTTCAGCACCTTCATTCTTTCTACTGTGAATCCTCAAATGTTTATGTAGACTTAATTTTTGATTAAACATATTTTCCCCATTTACTGCATCTGCAAAAATATTTTTTTAGTATAAACTAGTGTTTTCTAAACTGTAGTTTTTGAACAAATATTTTTTGACATTCATTTACACTTTCTCTCCAATATAAATTCTCCGATGTTCAACAAAGTTTGAGCATCTGTTTCAGGGTTTTCCTTTGATATAAAATGTGTACAATAAAATCCGTAATACAAATAAAGGTACTACACAATCCTCTTTATGTTTTAATGTTTGTCTTTAGAATAAATAGTCTTTGCTTTAAAGGCCTATGTTTTCTGAAAGGTCTTTTTACAGTAATCACATTTACGCTTTTTTTTTTTTTTTAAGATGGATTCTTGCTCTGTCACCCAGGCTGGAGTATGGTGGGGTGATCTTGACTCACTGCAACCTCCACCACCTGGGTTCAAGCAATTCTCCTGCTTCAGCCTCCTGAGTAGCTGGGATTACAGGTGCACACCACCATGCCTGTCTAATTTTTGTGTTTTTAGTAGAGATGGGGATTCACCATGTTAGCCAGGCTGGTCTTGAACTCCTGACCTCATGATCCACCTGCCATGAGCTCCCAAAGTGCTGGGATTACAGGCATGAGCCACCACATCTAGCCTATAATGCTTTTGTTAAGTATAAACTTTCTGATATTGAGTAAGATGTGAACAGACATTAATGGCTTTTCACATTCTTTATATTTTTACAATTTTTCTCTAGTATAAAAGGCTTCCTGTGCAATAAGATGGGAAAATTTGTTAAAAGTTTTGCCACATTTTTCATATTTGCCTGAGTTTTCTTCAGTATAAATTATCTTACCTACCATAACATGCAACTACCATTTAAAGGACTTACCTCATTTAACACATTTCTAGAGTTTTTCACCAGTATGATTTCTCTATTTTAGAAAAATGTCAGGTGTGGTTAAATGCTGTCACATTTTTTATGTATGTAGAGTTTCTCTCCAGTATAAAATATTTTAATTAATAAAGATGGAGAACCAGTTAAAAGCTTTGCCACATTTTTTTTTTTTTTTACAATTGCAGGGGTTCTCTCCAGTATCAATTATTTTACATTTATTCAAACAAAAAGTTTGAGGACTTTTAAAAGACATTTCCATATTCCTTATTGTAGGGTTTTTCTTCAGTATCAATTCTTTTAGTGTATAATAAGGGTTCAAGACTAGGTAAAAGCTTTACCACATTGTTTTTGTAGGGTTTGTCTCTAGAATGAATTATCTGATATTGTGTAAGGCCTGAGATGTGCTTAAATGTTTTGTCACATTTTTGACCTTTGTAGAGTCTCTCTAATATAAATTCTCTTAGGCTTTGGGAGGCTGAGGCAGGTGGTTCACCTGAAGTCAGGAGTTTGAGACCAGCCTGGTCAAAATGGTGAAACCCCATCTCTACTAAAAATACAAAACTCAGCCAGTGTGGTTGCACGTGCCTGTAATTCCAGCTACTCAGGAGGCTGAGGCAGGAGAATCGCTTGAACCCAGGAGGCAGAGGTTGCAGTGAGCTGACATCGTGCCACTGCACTCCAGCCTGGGTGACAAAGTGAGACTCTGTCTCAAAAAAATTTTTTTAAATAAATTCTCTTGGGTTCATTAAGGTTTGAGGGGTGGTTAAAGGCTGTTACTTTTTTTTTTACATTTATAAGACTTTTGTCCAATATGAATTATCTTATGGACAGCAGTGGTTTGGAACTGGTTAAAGAATTGGCCACATTCTCCACACTTGTAGTGATTTTTTCCAGTATAAATTATTTTATGTATTATAAGGCCTGAGGGCTGGACTTTACCACATTATTCATATTTGTAGGGTTTCTCTCCAGTATGCATATTCTTATGATTAGCAAGACTTGAATGCCACTTAAAAGTTTGGTCACATTCTTCACATTTGTAGGGTTTCTCTCCAGTATGAATCCTCTTATGAGTATTTAGAGTTGAGGAGAAGGTAAAGGCTTTCCCACATTCTTTACATTTGTAGAGTTTCTCTCCAGTATGAATTATCTTATGTTTCTTAAGGGTTGAGGAGCAGTTAAAGGCTTTGCCACATTCTTCACATTTGTAGGGTTTCTCTCCAGTATGAGTTCTCTTGTGGTAAGTGAAGGTTGAGGGTAAGCTAAAGGCTTTGCCACATTCTTCACAAGTGTAGGGTTTCTCTCCAGTATGAATCCTCTTATGAGTATTTAGAGTTGAGGAGAAGGTAAAGGCTTTCCCACATTCTTCACATGTGTAGAGTTTCTCCCCAGTATGAACTATCTTATGTTTCTTAAGGGTTGAGGATAAGCTAAAGGCTTTGCCACATTCTTCACATTTGTAGGGTCTCTCTCCAGTATGAATTCTCTTGTGGTTAGTAAGTGTTGAAGAGCGGCTAAAGGCTTTGCCACATTCTTCACATGTGTAGGGTTTCTCTCCAGTATGAATTCTCTTGTAGTTAGTAAGTGTTGAGCGGCTAAAGACTTTGCCACGTTCTTCACATGTGTAAGGTTTCTCTCCAGTATGAATTCTCTTATGTTTAGTAAGGGATGCAGACCAGCTAAAAGCTTTGCCACATTCCTCACATCTGTAGGGTTTCTCTCCAGTATGAATTCTTTTATGTCTAGTAAGGGTTGAAGAGCAGTTAAAGGATTTGCCACATTCTTCACATTTGTAAGACTTCTCCCTAGTATGAATTATCTGATGTTGATTTAGGCGTGAAAGCATGCAAAATGATTTGCCATCGTTTTTACATTTGAAATGTTTCTTTCCAGTATGTCTTGTCTTGTGTCTATTGGAATTTGAAAATTTACCAAAGACTTTGACGCATTTATGAGTCTGAAATGTTTTGTTTTGGGTAGCTGACAAACATTGGTTAACATAATTATAACCTCCTTTGTGCACCTCACACTCACCTACACTTTTACAGCATTTTTTTACTTGTAAATCCTCCTGTCCACATTTTCCATATCTTCTCAGTATCACTTTTTGGAGTGAATCTTTTATGCCCTGCTCTGACTGAAGGTCTTGGGTGAAATGAGAACATGTAACTGAAAGACATAAAAATCACAAGTTTCTCCACTTACTACACTCAGATAAATATATTTTGCAAATCAAATATATAAAATTATACAAAGTACATTAGCAAAATGGCATATCAAAATACCACAAGCCGTAATTCCTTCATAGATGTATAAATGTAACAAAATAGTAGTGATCAAAATACCTTTGTGGGAAATTTATAAGTAAGGTAACTGTGGGCACCAGGTGGGCACAATGCCAAGAGCCATAGAGAGACAAAAGAAAAGTCTGCTACATTTACCCAACACAGCCCTTCCTCATCCCCACTAGAAGAACATGGTGTCTTTAGGAGCAAACTGGCTTTTATCTCAAAAGAAAAATATTGGCACCTATATCTTTACTTTTGGCTTATGGGAGCCTTTCTCTCTTCCATGACAGAAAGTGCTGAATGAAATGCTGGTATACTTTGAAATGACACCTTTAAGTCTTTTGAAATCAAAAGTGAATGTTAACAACAGCAGAAAGACTGCTGTACCATGGACAGAAAACAGGTGTAGAAAGTAGTTACTGACTGCTAAGAGGAAACATGAAGAAGTCTTTTAACTGAAAAATAAATACAAAATTGCAGACAAGACACATCCTGAGAACATGTTTGAAAGACTCCGAGAATCTCTAGCCAAGACAATCGGTTTCAGGCTATGCCAGGAAAGAGCTGCATTATAAAGATCGTGAAAGGTAGTTTTCCATTAATGTCTAAATCTCAACCAAAGATTATTATGTTTATAAAATATTAGGGCAACACGGTCCAATCAAAAAAATAAAAAATTTTGAAAAAGAAACTATTAAGCTAAAGATTTATATATTAATTTTAAAAATATAAGATAATCCATATTATGCTCAGTGAGAGAAATGCAAAACTAGATACCTAAATAATATCAGAAAAATAAGAATATCAACAAAAGCTTGGAATAATAAAAATAAACAAACGTGTAGGTAAAAGAAAATAGCTGAAAACATTTAATGAAGAAGCTAAACAAACAAACTAGGATATACACAGAAAGGTCCATAACACATATTCATGCAAAGTTTCAAAAGTCACAAACTAGAAGATAATCTTGGGAGCTGCAAGATAAACGTGAGGTATTATTTATAAGCATAGTCCCCTGAGACAACTAGTGAATTTGTCAACAGAAACCTTGCAGATCAGAAAAAAACGTGCAAAATGGTCAAAGTGCTGAAAAAAAATCTTCATGGTGAGAATAATATAACCAGCAAACACGTACTACAAAATAAACAAAAAATAAAGATCTTCCAGAATAAACCAATGCTGGAAAAGCATATAAGCACTGCATGTGCCCTAAATAAAATGCTGAAAAGAGGTCCTTCCACTTAAAATTACATGATGAAAAAAATACATAACTTTCTGAAAAACATATGCATCTACAAAAAATAAAAGTCTGTGGCATTATTGTGATCATGCGGAAAACATTTTTAGTTGTTCTTTAAAATTTGAAAGATATAAGCATAAAAATAATCAAAAAACATAAAAAGATATAATTAGTGACATTAATAAGACATATGGGATAGATATAATGAGAATAAATTTTTCTATGCAACTGAAGTCATTTTTTTACCAGTTTAAAATATACTGTTGTAAATTAAGAGGTTTTCTAAAATCTCCAATGTAGCACAAAGAAAAAATCTTTATAGACACACAAAAGAAAATGAATCAATTACTAGCATGAGACAAATATCGATATTATTGATATTGATATTATATAATGGTAAAATGAGCCCATTTACTAGGAATCTGTAACTATTATGTCTACATATATGTATATGCATATATAATATCAGGGCTTCAAAATATATATTTATATACAGCAAATATTGACAGAAATGAAGCAAGAATTAAAATAGCAGCATAAAATTACAAACATTAAGATCTCATTTTCAACAAAAAAATTCAAATAAAAGATCAATTAAAAAAACAGAAAATCAGAAGAACATAATATAGTGTATTAATTCATTCTGCATTGCTATAAAAAATTGCCTGAGACTGGGTAATTTCTAAAGAAAAAGATTTCTTTGGTTCACTGTTCAGTAGAGTATACAAGAAGTATATGCCAGCATCTGCTTCTGGTGAGGATATGAGGAAGCTTACAATTATAGTGGAAGGCAAAAAAGAACCAACCATGTCACATAATGAAAGATGATGCGAGTGTGAGGTGGAGGAGCCAGGTTCCTTTAAGCAACCAGCTCTCATGTGAATTAATAGAGTGAGAACTCTATGATTACCAAGGGGATTGTGCCAAGTCATTCATGAGGGATTTGTCTCCATGATGCAAACACCTCTCATTAGGCCCCACATCTAACACTGGAGATTACATTTCAACATGAGATTTGGAGGGAACAACCATCTACACCATATTATAAACCAACTAGGCTAAACAGACATATGCAGAACTCCCCAGTCAATATTGCGGTTGGACACACAATATTCTTTTTTATATATATATTTTCATAATATGTTGTTTTTAATCATTTTTTAAAATTTATTTATTATTATTATACTTTAAGTTTTAGGGTACATGTGCACAATGTGCAGGTTAGTTACATATGTATACATGTGCCATGCTGGTGTGCTGCACCCAGTAACTCGTCATCTAGCATTAGGTATATCTCCCAATGCTATCCCTCCCCACTCCCCCCACCCCACAACAGTCCCCAGAGTGTGATGTTCCCCTTCCTGTGTCCATGTGTTCTCATTGTTCAATTCCCACCTACAAGTGAGAATATGTGGTGTTTTTGGTTTTTTGTTCTTGCGATAGTTTACTGAGAATGATGATTTCCAATTTCATCCAAGTCCCTACAAAGGACATGAACTCATCATTTATTATGGCTGCATAGCATACCATGGTGTGTATGTGCCACATTTTCTTAATCCAGTCTACCATTGTTGGACATTTGGGTTAGTTCCAAGTCTTCGCTATTGTGAATAGTGCCGCAATAAACATACGTGTGCATGTGGACATGCAATATTCTTATTTGCTCCTGGTGCATTCTGTTAGAACTCATAAGTCTTAGTAAATTTCAAAAGATCAGCCAGGTGCAGTGGCTCACAGGTGTAATCCCAGCACTTTGAGAGGCCGAGGTGGAAGGATCACTTGGGGTAAGAAGTTTGATACCAGCCTTGGAAACACAGTGAGACCGTCTTTACAAATAGTTAAAAATTAGCTGGGCATGGTGGGGTATGTCTGTAGTGCCAGCTACTCAGGAGGCCAAGGTGGAATGATTACTTGAGTACAAGAGGTTGAGGCTGCGGTGAGCCAAGATTGTGCTACTGCACTACAGTCTGGGCAACAGAGTGAGAAACACTGTGTCAAAAAAAAAAATGTAAGAAGAGCAAAATCATACAGTGTATGTTTTCTAACCAAAACTGAATAAAAAGAAAAAAAGTATAACTGGCAAATCAAAAATATATGGAAATAAACACACTCTTCAATGTATTCTTGCCCAGGGTTAAATATGTCAATTTAATTCAACATTTTTGCTCACGGGTCAAAATACTTAATTGATATCTTAATTTGCTAAGGTGTTAAGATAACCCACAGTGGTGAACAAATTTAATATAATCTGTATCAAAATTCTAAAAGTATATTTATTACTAAAATACTATTTAACATTTTTAAATTTTATTATGAACTATAGCTAGAGAAACACACATGAAAAACACAGAGGCATTATACTTCATAATTTCAAATCATAATAAAAAGCTGCAACAACAATAACTATGTGGTATTCACATAAGGACAGATAAAGACATGATAGAACAAAATAGGGAGGCCAGCAATGAACTCTTCTGTGTATGACCAAATAATCTGCCACAGGGTTGCCATGAGCAGACAATGCAGAAAATAAAATCCCTTCAACAGACAATGTTGAAAACTGGATATCTACATTGAAACAATGAAGTTGGATGTTTTAATTACATCATATAAAAAATTTTTTCAACAAAATACTTAGACTGAAAAAAAAGTAACGAAACTCTTAGAAAAAAAATATAGTGGAAAGACAGGACATTGGTCTTGGCACCATTTTCTTAGATATGCCATCAAATGCTTGAGCAACAAAGAGAAGAACAGAAAAATTTAACTAAATTTCAAACTTTCTGCAATCAAATACAACATTTAATAGAGTGACAGTGCCACCCAAGAAATGGGTGACAATATTTGAAAATCACATGTGATAACAACACTTAATATTGAGAATACATAACTCCTAGAACTAGAGAATAATAATTGAATTACATGATTTAGAAATGGACAAGTGAGCCGGGTGCAGTGGCTCACGCTTTTAATCCCAGAACTTTGGGATGCTGAGCTGGGCAGATCACCAGAGGTCAGGAATTCAAGACCAGCCTGAACAACATGGCGAAACTCCATCTCTACAAAAAATACAAAATTAGCTGCACATGGTGGCACATCCCTGTAAACCCAGTTACTCAGGAGGCTGAGGCAGGCGAATCATTTGGATGTGGGAGGCAGGGGTTGCCATGAGCCAAAATTGCACCATTGCACTCCAGCCTGAGCAACAAGAGTGAAACTCCATCTCAAAAAAAAAAAAAAAAGAAAAAAGAAATGGACAAATGATTGAACTACCTTTTAATTTAAAAAGATATACAAATGGGAAGAACTATTTGAAAGGTTGCACAAAATTAATAATTTATAGAAAAATGCAAAACAAAATCACAATACAAAACAAAAAAACAAAATTACCTTGCATCAATTAGGATGGCCACTATAAATTTTTTAAAAACACAAACTATGTTGATGATGTAAAGCAATTGAAACCTGTGTAAGCTGTTGATGAGAAAAAAAGACGCAGCCATCATAAAAAATATCATGAATGTTTTTCAAATAATTAAAAATGAAATTATCATACAATAAACAATTCCATTTATGAATCTATGTCTAAAATATGCAACACAGTAACATGAAGACATAAGAGGTACCCTGCTTGCATATTCCCCCACAGCAAGTCTCATAACCCAGCCTCTAAATAAATAAATAAATACATGGATAAAAATTTAAAAATAAAAAAATTGTAAAAAAAATTTATATGTCAAGGCTATAGTAATAAAAACAGAATGGCATGTGCAGAAAAATGGACAACCTCCAATGAAACAGAAACTACTATTCTCACACATTTGAGTCATGATGCAAAAAAGAACTTTAAAAATGGTTTCACATAGAGTTTCTCAAAAATGTGCAGATATTTGTGTGTCCCCAAAAGCAATGGCAAAGCAGTCAGTTTTTGCAGTCCCTTATAAGCCATAAAGAAAACTTTAGCTCGCACTATGAACTTGAAGGAAGAATACTAAACCGAAAGTAGAATCCTTAGAGAATTTAAAAGCATGGAGTAGAAGGTGTCCCTATGTAAGCATAATAGAAAAAAATGACTCTGGCTTCTCAGAAACTCTTCCATCGAAGTACAGCTCCCCAGACCACATTTTAAGGACTGGCTTCCTCCTTGACTTTTGTAACTCTCATCTGTGTCATCTGCTTCATTCGCTCTCACCTACCTGGGTGTTTGGCTACCATCTCATTTCTCTTTATATTCTGGGGCTCTTTATTTTGCTCCAGACAGGTGATCAAGTCTGGCTTAGAGACAGCAATACCTGTTTTATTAAGGAAAAAAAAGTAACATAAATCTGGCTGAATTCTTTAATTACCAAACAAGTATTATGCTTAGTAAAGAGGATATGATAGAAAATTCTAGAAAATTAAGATTGATTCGTAACAGATCTTTGTAGCTATTTAGAAAATACTTTAAATTTGTAGGTCCTTAATTTCACTATTCAGTGCTACTGAATCAAAAATTGGTGGTAGGAACTGAATTCTAAATTGTGGGCAATGATATTTTATGCCACGACAGTTTTGGAATTGCCACTAACCAAGAGCAAAAGATACATAAGCGCAAGAAAGGGAAAAGTTCAGGTCAAGATAAAACATCTTGAAGAATTTGCTATATACCAATGAATCCCCAAGATTTTCTTAAAACTGGAGAGCTAAAATTCATTCATGCAAAGCAGAAATTACCAAAATCATCTTAGAAAAGAGAGAAAGGCAATATATTAGGAATTGTGTATTGAAGTTTTCCTCACCCAGGGAGACCAGGTTTCTGTAGTTCTCTAACATCACATCTCTATATAAATTCTGCTGAGCATGATCCAGGCATTGCCATTCCGCCAGAGAAAATTCTATAGCTATGTCTCTGAATGTCAACAGTCCCTAAAAACAAAAAATAAACAAACAAAAAAAACACTCATGAACACACAAACAGTTACCATGTTGCCATAGGCAGAGATTTTTATTTGACTCATGTTAAATAAGAGAGTAAAAAGAAGTGGTTCTGACTTGTAAGAGTGACTAAAATTATTCATTAAGATAATGTTTAACATGGAAGTATTCTCTAACTGAGAAAAGAGGATAGCATAAGATCCACAATACCACTGTAGATATGATACTTTTCTGGGTGATGAATTATAAAATTAAGGGCATCAATATGGACATGTCTTTTTTTTTTTTTTTAAACCGAGGCTCACTCTGTTGCCCAGGCTGGAGTGCAGTGGCGTGATAATTGGCTCACTGCAACCTCCGCCTCCTGGGTTCAAGTGATTTTCCTGCCTCAGCCTCCTGAGTAGCTGGGACTACAGGCATGAGCCACCATGCCTGGCTAATTTTTGTATTTTTAGTAGAGACAGGGTTTCACAATGTTGGCCAGGCTGGTCTTGAACTCCTGATCTCAGGTGATCCACCCACCTCGGCCTCCCAAAATACTGGGATTGCAGGCATGAGCCACTGCACCCAGTCGGACATGTCTATTTTTGAGTGCTATATTTACGTCATACAGAATAAGTTATTTATATTTCTCAGGTAGAACATTCATGATGAGTTGGAAGGTTCCTCTTAAGTCTTAATATGTGCAATAAACTAAAGATCTTATACAGATTTTGTTTCAGGAGATTTGGGATAGAGTCTGAGTTTCTGAATTTCTAGCAAGCTCACCAATGTTTCTAGCCTAGTAAGAATAGTTTGTCAAACATCTAGTAAATGGCAGAGTCTGGGTTCTTCCCAGTTTCTCTCACCTGTAAATAAAGCTAAAAGCCTTCATTTTTAAAAGACAAATATAGATGCAAAAATCATCTAAAAAGAAAGGACAGCTTCCAGATTAAATGTGATGGTTTATGTACTTCAGCTAGTAAATGTCCTAAGTGTACTTAATAATTAAGGGAATAATAATTAACTCTATAGTAGAAAAAATGCCATAGAGATCTTGAGCCAAGTGAATAAAATTGTTATCAACTGTACTGGGACACATTTTTATTATGTGCTGATGCACACAGGACGCAACATCACTGCTGTGGTATTTCTTTCCTCCCAGAAAAGTAAATTGTAACTATATATATTTTATGAGACAAAATCTCTCTTTGTCACCCAGGCTGGAGTGCAATGGTGCTATCTTGGCTTACTGCAAACTCTGCCTCCTGGGTTCAAGCGATTCTCCTGCCTCAGCCCCTGAGTAGCTGGGATCACACGTACACGCTACCATGCCAGGCTAATTTTTGTATTTTTTTTTTTTTAGCAGAGACAAGGTTTCACCATGTTAGCCAGGTTGGTCTCGAACTCCTGACCTCATGTGATACAGCTGCCCAGACCTCCTAAAGTGCTGGGATTACAAGCGTGAGCCACTGCACCTGGCCTAAATTTAATTATAAAAAAAAATCAGTTTTCTGCAAAGTTGAAGATACAGATAACTTCCCTGCCTGTAATTTTTAATAGTAATTTTAAGTAGTCTTTCCTTAGCACCCTGGAGAGCAAGTATCTCCTAACAGTTTTTAGAACTTTCTGGGTAATAAATGCCATCCTGTTTAAATGAGCGTTACCTGTTCTGCATGGAACTAATAGAGCACACAGATGAAACCTCAACATGACATGTTTCACTTTTCACTAATACCAAAGACAACTGTGTTTCCCCAAAGAAATATTGAGTATCCACACCTTCTCATGTTCAACAGCTACAATAGGAACATTTTAAATATTGCAGGTCATAAATTTGTGGTGAGAATTCTGCATGGATACAAGAACCCGAGATGAAGAGAATGTATAGAAGGCTATGGTATACAGAAAAAAAATATTTTTTTCAGAACCCCTTGACTATCATAAAAATAAAAAATAATTGAAACAAACTCATTAGGGATAACAACACAAGTAGAGAAGTAAAAATTTGCAAGTTCCGAACACATGGCATTCCAAAAGGCAGAGTGGACGCTGCCTTTTTTTTTTTTTTTTTTTTGAGACACAGTCTCACTCTATCACCCAGGCTGGAGTGCGGTGGTGCAATCTCAGCTCACTGCAACCTCCACCTCTTGGGTTCAAGCGATTCTACTGCCTCAGCCCCCTGAGTAGCTGAGACTACAGGTGCATGCTACCACTCTCAGCTAATTTTTGTATTTTTAATAGAGATGGACTTTCACCATGTTGGTCAGGCTGGTCAGGCTCGTCTCGAACTCCAAACCTCATGATCTGCCCGCCTTGGCCTCCCTAAGTGCTCGGATTACAGGCGTGAGCCACCGCACCCGGCCTGAATGCTGCTCTTGATCTGAGACATGCTCACCTGAGAAAAAGTGATTTTTTTTCTCTTCCTCCTCTTTCCCTGAAATGCATTATCAGATGAGATGCTCTGGAACATATCAAACCTGCATCTTGAGAATATGCCTTTAAAGCACAACCTATTCACCTGCTACCACCACACACACCCACGGGCAGAAAGACCGAGACTTGCAGAAAACATTCACCCATTTTTGTTGTTAATAACTGAAAAGATTTAAGAGCAATGAGAGAAGAACAAGCTTCTCCATAACTATTAAAATATGTTTCTTTTTCCCCTGCCCTCCCCTATCAGACACCAGCAATGTTCTTTACAGTAATGGGAGCATGAACCGCACTGACCTCTTCCTACCAAACTGAAACAGGGCAGGCAGTGCAGCCTTCCTTTGATGCAAAGGTTGAACTAAACTCTCATGAATGTATCTTGAACCCCTCAAGTTTATAAATCACTTGGTAATCTTGGCCCTGCTTTATGCAATGTGATTCTGCGGGATCCAAAAGGGTCCAGGAATGGGCTTTTTCAACAAGTCCCCTGTAAATGCTGATTGTGCTTTCGCAGACACATTATTAGCATTAGCAAGAGAAAGCAGGCACAGAAGAGTCCCTTACACATACCACATTTGTCACAATACTAATACTTCTGCTACAAATAAAGACAACTAATCTCCATTCCAAAATATTATATTTTTTGTTGGCTTTTTTAAGTTTACAGAGACAACAGAAGACAGCAATGTCTGAGTGAATCTGCACTTGGGAAACCTGTACACATGTACTAAGCAGGTACTGTGTGCTCAGGAGCATGTCACAGAACACTGTGCTGGGAATAACACATTTTGTGATTTAATTTTCATAGCACCCTGGGAGCTGGTACTAAGTGTTGAATAATTTTTAGCATTTAGATTAAGAGCACAGCATTTTCATTTCTTCTTATGTTTATCATTAATTTTAAAAAGAAAATGTATAGGATAATTCAATACAAAAAACATGTGAAATGATACAATTACATAAAAATTGAATAATCAGCTTCCAAATGGCTATTTTGTAAATAATGAAATTAAGCCAGAAATAAAAAAATTTTGAAACTAATTAAACCTGAAATACAACATACCAGAAGCTCTGGGTTACAGCCAAGGCAGTGTTAAGAATAAAAAGTATATCACTAAACATCCACATCAACAAGTTAGAAAGATCTCAATTTAAAAATCTAATGTTAGAATTAAAAGAATTCAAAAAGAGCAAATCAACTTCAAAGATCACAAAAGACAAGAAATAACCAAAATCAGAGCTGAAATGAAGAAGGTTGAAACATAAATATTTATAGTTAAATAACTATTTATAAATAACTATAAAAAGCTCAATGGGCCGGGCACAGTGGCTCATGCCTTTAATCCCAGCACTCTGGGAGGCCGAGGTGGGCGGATCACAAGGTCAGGAGTTCCAGGCCAGCCTGGCCAACATGGTGAAACCCCGTCTGTACTAAAAACACAAAAATTAACCGGGTCTGGTGGTGGGCTCCTGTAATCCCCGCTATTCGGGAGGCTGAGGCAAAAGAATCGCTTTAATCTGGAAGGCAGAGGTTGCAGTGAGCCAAGATCGTGCCACTGTACTCCAGTCTGGACGAAAAGAGTGAAACTCCATGTCAGAAAAAAAAAAGAAAAGAAAGAAAAAAAAAGTTCAACAAAACCAGAAGTTGATTCTGGTGAAAGATAAAACACTACACTAACAAAGAAAAAAGAAATAATTCAAATAAACACAGTCAGAAACCAGAGGTTTGTGAGGTTGTGAAGAAAGGGAATGCTTATACGCTGCTGGTGAGAGTATAAATTTGTTTAAACATTGAGAAAAGCAGTTTGACAATTTTTCAAAAACCTGATAACAGAATTACCATTTGACCCGGCAACCCCACAATTGGGAATATACCCAATGAATGTAAGTTATTCTACCATGAAGACACATGCACACATATTTTTATTACAGCACTATTCACAATAGCAAAAACCAGAAATAAATCTGTATGTCTTCAATGGTAGACTGGATAAAGAAAATGTGGTACATAAAGACCATGAAATACGATGCAGTTATAAGAAAGAACAACATCATGTCATTTGCAGCAACATGGATGGAGCTGAAGACTGTTATTTTTAGAAAACTGGTGCAGGAGCAGAAAATCAAATACTGTATGTTGTCACTTATAAGTGGGAGCAAAATAATGAGAACATGTGGACAAAGATAAGAGAACAACAGACTCTGAGGCCTCGTTCAGGGTGAAGGGTTGGAGGATGAAGAAAACCAGAAAACAAATCTGTTGGGTACTATGCTTACTACCTGAGTGATAAAACAATCTGTACACAAAAACTTTATGATATGATTTTACCTATACAACAAACCTGCACATGTACTCCTGAACCTAAAATAAAAGGTAAAAGAAAAAAAATGTGGCTGGGTGTGGTGGCTCATGACTGTAATCCCAGCACTTTGGAAGGCCGAGGCGGGCAGATCACCTGAGGCCAGGAGTTCGAGACCAGCCTGGCCACCATTGTGAAACCTGTCTCTATTAAAAATACAAAAATTAGCTGGATGTGGTGGCACACACCTGTAATCCCAGCTACTCAAGAGGCTGAGGCAGGAGAATCGCTTGAACCTGGGAGGCAGAAGTTGCAGTGAGCCAAGATCACACCACTGCACTCCAGCCTGGGTGACAGAGCAAGACTTCATCTCAAAATAAAAAGAAAATTCATGGGTGGGAAAGGGTGCAAGGTAAGTGGTAAGACTGGTTTGTGCCACAGACGTGCTACAGACAGTGGTCCATGTGGGGCTATACTCTGATTTAGTCCTGTGTCCATGCAGGCAGATTAGACTATGATCAAGTGGTATAGACCCCTACATTGGTGGAGGAAACAGGTTGCTGCTGCAGATTCAGTGTCTGGGGTTGGGGATATGCCAGGAAACTTGTAGGCACTTTGGTGGGATTTTGGCAAGAAACACTAAAAGCATAAGTGCTGTGGTGGAATTCTTGAAGGTGGTGCCTAGTCCCGGGAGGGGTGTGGATGCATCAATGTCTAGTGGGTCTGTCTGTGAATGCATGAGAATCATGTGGTGGCAGCTCTGAAAGGAGGAGGTCTGTTATCACAATTCCTTTTCTCTAAGTTTTTAGTCCCCTTTCACCCTGAGAGGAGACCTAGAATCACAGGACAGTGTGCAGTGTGACAGCCTGTGTGCAAGAGAACAGAGACTCCCCTTACCAGACATCCAGAGTCCCCCTCCAGGCCAGGCCTCTGTAATATCTCTTTTCTGACACCAAATCTGTGGAGTTTGCTAAATACCAAGCAATTTGTTTTTTTTTTTTGAAATGCAGTCTCACTCTGTCGCCCAGGCTGGGGTGCAGTGGCACGATCTCGGCTCACTGCAACCTTCACCTCTCGGGTTCAAGTAATTCTCCTGCTACAGCTTCCTGAGTAGTTGGGATTACAGGCACCCGTCACCATGCTCGGCTAATTTTTGTATTTTTAGTAGAGATGGGGTTTCACCATGTTGGCCAGGCTGGCACCATGCAAATTTTTAACACCAACTTGTTGTCCAACATTTCCATCCTGATACCACCCGGAGTCAGCACAGACCATAATTCAGAGCTCAGTCTCATCATATTGCCCTTACTGCACATGCCTGTCACAAATCCCAGGGACCCATCTATGCTTCTCAGCTACTGTCTGTAAACTGGAGACTCCCATAATCTCCCTTAAGTTCAATAATTTGATAGAGATACTCACAGAATTGAGCTAAACCCTGTACTTACGTTAACCAGTTTACTATAAAACATGCAACCCAGAAGCCGGGCGTGATGGCTCACGCCTGTAATCCCAGCACGTTGGGAAGCCGAGGTGGGTGGATCATGAGGTCAGGAGTTCAAGACCAGCCTGGTCAAGATGGTGAAACCCCATCTCTACTAAAAATACAAAAATTAGCCGGGCATGGTGGTGGGTGCCTGTAATCCTAGCTACTCGGGAGGCTGAGGCAGGAGAATCTCTTGAACCTGGGAGGCGAAGGTTGTGGTGAGCCGATATTGTGCCACTGCATTCCAGCCTGGGTGACAGAGTGAGACTCCATCTCAAAAAACAAAAAACAAACAAACAAACAAAAAAACAAAAAAAACCATGCAACCCAGAAACAGTCAAATAGAAAAGAAAAGATGTACAAAAAAAAAGTTTGGGAAAGATGGGGCATATAGATAATCCTGGTAAATAGCTGTGATTAATAAAATTCCCCAGCCAGGCGCGACGGCTCATGTCTGTAATCCCAGCAGTTTGGGAAGCTGAGGCAGGTGGATCACCTGAAGTCAGGAGTTTGAGACCAACCTGGCCAACATGGTGAAATCCTGTCTTTACTAAAAATGCAAAAAATAAGCCAGCTGCAGTGGTGGGCACCTGTAATCCCAGCTATTTGGGAGGCTGAGGCAAGAGAATTGCTTGAATCCAGGAGGTGGAGATTGCAATGAGCTGAGATTGTGCCACTGCACTCCAGCCAGGGTGACAGAGTGAGACTCTATCTCTAAATAAATAAATAAATAAAATTCTCCATCCTTTGTGGTCTTCACCAACAGCTTAAGAGAAACATTTTTTCCTATTATGACTTAGATGGTTTTGTATTTTCTTACTTATCACATAGCCAGATATAGATTCTGGAAATTTCCACTTCTTTCTTATAAAAGAATCAGCTAAATACTTTTCTTCAGTGGCCAAAATATTTTTTAATCAACTTTGCTTAAATTTTTCTCTTCTCCCAGGGCTCCTGACCTTTGAGTACCTTCAGTCTGAGCCAACATACAACCCCATTTTCTGTCTCTCCTTAAGAACATGCTGACTTCAGGGTAAAACATTCTCTGATCTAGAATCTAATTTTGCCCCCTTCTATCATACCATTCTTACTTCATCCTCTTTCTAAACTTGTTTGCTATTCTCTATAAAAGAAAGTCCTTGTCTGCCTATACATTGATACCCTGAAAAATCTTACAGTTGACACTTTTTTCTGTTGTTGGGATTCAGAACTTTTTTTTTTTTTGAGAGGGAGTCTTGCTCTGTCACCCAGGCTGTAGTGCAATGGCGCTATCTCTGCTCACTGCAAGCTCCGCCTCCTGGGTTCATGCCATTCTCCTGCCTCAGCCTCCCAAGTAGCTGGGACTATAGGTGCCTGCCACCACGCCTGGCTAATGTTTCTGTATTTTTTAGTAGAGATGGGGTTTCACCGTGTTAGCTAGGATGGTCTCGATCTCCTGGCCTCATGATCCGCCCGCCTCGGCCTCCCAAAGTGCTAGGATTACAGGCATGAGCCACCACTCCCGGCCGGGATTCAGAATTCTTATCTAAATCTGAATATCTGAATTTGCTTTATTTTACAAAGTCCAGAAACTGCCCCAAAACACCTTTATTTTCAGTAAGATCCTCCCAATTCCCATCCATTCTAACCCTAACTACATCTGCCTGTGGGTCCCCAGGTTTCCCTGCCTCTGTTGCTTATCTCAGTATAAAGGCTTCTTCCATGGCTGGAGTGAGCAGGCTGGGACATCTGCAGGGAAGGCTCCCTAGAAAGAACTGACTAGGCCTTCAATAATCTCCTTTTGCAGGCTCCATATTGCTCATAGCTTGGAGTCACAGGGCTCAGGCTTTAATTTTCAAGTCAGAGATGTTCACTTAGTTTTAGAAATTAAGTGGTGATAAATCCAGAAAAATTACTGAAATGCAGTGTTTATACAAGGGAAAAATTTTTAAGGTGCTTACATTTTATAGCTCAATAAGAAAAGCAAAAGTATCTATCTCTTTCAGACAATACACATATCATTTACTTATTTCCATAAGAGGACATTCAGTAAACATTAGTAATATGAACAAACTTCTAGAAGGTGCCCAGTCCCATCTCATAAAGTTTAGCATAAAATTCAGAAATCAAGATAACAGGGCCAGGAGCAGTGGCTCATGCCTGTAATCCCAACAATTTGAGAGGCACAGGTGGGCAGACCACCTGAGGTCAGGAGTTCGAGACCAGCCTGGCCAACATGGCAAAACCCCATCTTTACTAAAAATACAAAAATTAGCCGGGTGTGGTGGCGGGTGTCTGTAATCCCAGCTACCTGGGAGGCTGAGTCAGGAGAATCACTTGAACCCGGGAGTCGGAGGTTGCAGTGAGCCAAGATCACACCACTGTACTCCAGCCTGGGTGACAAAGACTCGGTCTCCAAAATAAAAATAAGACAACGGATGTAGAACACAGGTTTTACTGTCACATATTAATTTTGCAAAAAGAGAGACTGATGTTTTGATGAATCTATGTAATTCCCCAGTTATCTCACACATTTTATTGTGCAAATGTATTCATTTCCGACAGCCATAATGGAAGAGACATTTTTCATATTCTCTCCCTTGGTAATATTCGCAAAGCTAAGCCTTAGAATACTGTGTGAAATCACACAGCCAAAAAATAACACACCTGAGAAAATTTCTACAGTTACTCTGAGAAAGAAAAGGGCAAATGTGAATTTTTAACCAATAGAATACATGACTACATTTTTTTTCTGAAACTTCCCTCTTTTATGCCCTTTGTAAATATTTTCTTACATATTGAGCTCTACTGATAAAATGCAATTTACAGTTAACTAACTTAAGTCGAAAGAAGTGAAACTATCTTTTCAAGGTGACAAACCCAGAGAGTGGCAGTGCTGATTGGAACAGACATGTCTGACTCATGTGTCAAATCAAACCGTCCAATCACTTGAGAGAGTCTCCCATGCGCATCCTGCTCACTGAAATGCTCAAGGACAACCACTCCAGGAGACACTGCACTGTGCCCTCATGAGTTCCCCAGGTGCAATTACTTTGAGATTCTTGCACCATCTTATTGGGGTCAGGTTTTTTTGCCTTTAGGGGTAGTTTTCTTCCCTTCACAAATCTGACAGAATCCAGAGGGCAGAAATTACTTCTGTGTTTTTCTCTCAATACCCGCATCTGATTGGCTGACCAGCAATATGTCTCCATGAAACCAAAGCTGAGTTAGGTAAAGATGATTCTAGTGTCCCAAGGGATTAGCATTTTACAGGAAGAGTATACCAGGAGATCACTCTCAGCCCCAGGCATCCATTTGCTCTCTTGGAAGGCTACACTTCATACCGCATGCTATTCTCAAAAAGAAAATAACTCAGGGGATGATATTCACTAGACACTCCAGCAGACACGGCCACAGTAGGTATCTTGGTTTATCCCCAAGCAGTACTAAGACCCAGAACCAGGAAAAACCTTAAGTGTGGCTGAAGAAACATTACCCTGTAGGGTTTCCCCCAAAAAAACTCAACCCACACATTATGATGTCTGTGCTTGGAGAAGACAAAAGAAGAGGCACAGAGATTTTTTACAATACAGTGTCAGAGGCTTAATCTCTGCTTTCTTTTTTTTTCTTTCTGAGACAGAGTCTCAATCTGTTGTCCAGGTTGGAGTGCAGTGGCACCATCTTGGCTCACTGCAACCTCCGTCTCCTGGGTGCAAGCAATTCTCCTGCCTCAGCCTCCTGAGTAGCTGGGATTACAGGCACTCACCACCACGCCCGGTTATTTTTTTTTGCATTTTTAGTAGAGATGGGGTTTCATCATGTTGGCCAGGTTGGTTTCCAACTCCTGACCTCAAGTGATTTGCTCGCCTCAGTCTCCCAAAGTGCTAGGATTACAGGCATGAGCCACCGCGTCCGGCCCCTGCTTTCTTCTTATGTGAAATATTTACAAATGGGAACTTTTTTTCCCATTTGACATTGAATGACACTTTTAAAGTGCCATCCAATGCTTTTAAAAAAAATAATTAATGTAAGTACTGTGTCTGAAACATACAAGAAAGGACAAATAGATAATAATATGAGTTAGAAAGAAAAGTTGACATTTGGGAATGTCACAAAAACTGAAAATTTAATATTTTATTGCAAGCCAGAGTTAGTCTGTGAGAACAGAATGGTTGACTTAAGACCCTGCTTAAGACACAGCTGAGGAAGGGCATGGTGGCTCATTCCTGTAATCCCAGCACTTTGGGAGGCCAAGATGGCCAGATCACCTGAGGTCAGGAATTTGAGACCAGCCTGGCCAAAATGGTGAAACCCCATCTCTATTAAAAATACAAAAATTAGCCATGTATGGTGGTGTAGGCCTGTAATCCCAGCTACCTGGGAGGCTGAGGCAGGAGAATCACTTGAACCCAGGAGGTGGAGGTTGTAGTGAGGCAAGATCACGCCACTGCATTCCAGCCTGGGCCACAGAGTGAGACTCCATCTCAAAAAAAAAAAAAAGAAAGAAAGAGTTGAAAAACGCAGGCTGGGTGTGATAGCCTATTCCTGTAATCCCAGCACTTTGAGAGACAAAGGTGGGCAGATCACTTGAGGCCAGGAGTTTGAGACCAGCCTGGCCAGCATGGCAACACTCTATCTCTACTAAAAATACAAAAATTAGCCAGGCATGGTGGCGGGTGCATGTAATCCCAGCTACTCAGGAGGCTGAGGCAGGCGAATCACTTGAACCCAGGAGGCGGAAGTTGCAGTGAGCTGAGATCACACCACTGAACTCCAGCTTGGGCAACATTGCGAGGCTCTATCTCAAAAAAAAAAAAAAAAAAAAAAAATCCAAGGGAAAACCAATTTCCTGTGGGGTGTAAAAATATTTAAACAGCAGCCAATTAGACTGAGGTGGATTGATTCTTCTCGGCTCTCACTTAAAAAAAAAAATCTATCTCAAATGTATCTCTTACAGCTGGGCACGGGGGGATCACGACTGTAATCCCAGCACTTTCGGAGGCCAAGGCAGGCGGATCACTTCAGGTCAGGATTTCAAGAGCACCCTGGCCAACATGGTGAAACCACGTCTCTACTAAAAAACAAAAGCCGGGCGTGGTGGTGGCAGTCTGTAATCCCAGCTACTCCGCAGCCTGAGGCGGGAGAATCGCCTGAACCCGGGAGGGCGGTTGCATTGAGCTGAGATCGTGCCATTGCACTCCAGCCTGGGCAACAGAGCGAGACTCCCTCTCAAAAAAAAAAAAATGCATTTCTTGGAAATTACTTTCTTGAAGAAAAATATTCAGGCCTAGTCAACCACAGACTGCCAATTAATCTCTGATGACATAACCAAGCCATTTTCACCTGGATCTTACAAACAAGGAAACTACCTAACTGTACCAAACCAATTATTTAATCGGGTTTGCTTCATCATGAAACTTATAACAAACTTTCCTTCAAGTCTCTCCCATGGATCACAACCCACAAACCATAGCTGGGCGCTCTAAGATTCTTGAATCACACTTTGATTCAATTCTCTGATATTTTTACAGCGACTCCCCATACATCTCTAAAAGAAAAAATGAGGAACTAGGGACCCCAGGGAACACAGCTCTTTCCACTCACGAATCCTGCACCCTAAGTCTGGATTCTTCCCTGATGACTTTCCCATCCCTGCACAGTCTGGGTGAGATGAGGCGCTGGGAGTGTAGAGCTGCCCAGAGAGGGCTCCAGTCCAGGGCAAAGCCACTGCAGAGGAAAAAGACAGAACTCCCAGGGTCCCAGCCGCTGGCCCAGGCAGCATCTTAACGCTCGAGGGGACTAAGAGCCGAGCTGGGACAAGGAGGATTTGGGTCCTCAGACTCCGGAGCTGACTGCGAGGAAGTTTGGGTCCTGCTACAGCCACTTTCAGTCAGTTCCAACCAGCCCCCACCCCTCTCTCACGGTGACAGACCCAGCACTCACCATTTCTCGGCTTCCAGGGGGTCCCGGTCTTTTAGCCATAAATCTGCGAATACTTGCAGGACACAAGGCCACAGAGGCTTGGCCTCCAGGAGCAGAGGACGCAGAGCAGTGAAGAGAAGGACTGGAGCTCTGGGCGCAGAGAAGCAAAAAGAACCCGTAACCTTACGGAAGCGTCCTGTTCTCTCCCGCTGCATTCCTGATTGGACAGTTTCTATTTCACGGCCCCTGATTGGATAAGGTTTGAGGCCCCACCCTTCATGCCCTGAGTGACGGAAAATTTGATCAGACACTGGGCTGAATAAAGCAAAAGTAACAGGTTAGGCTGCAGCCTTTACAGCCAAGGCTTCTTCCCTGATCTGAGCCAGGCCAACCCCAGAGGATACTTGCATTTAACCTTGTGTATAATGTCATATGCATTTATAAATGATATATAATATAGTTATTCATAAATTGAAAAAATATAAAGAATTATTTTACAATTTCAGATTTTATGACCTTCCTTGCTGCGGATCCTTTGCAGTGATATGGTTTGGCTCTGTAGCTCCACCCAAATCTCATCTCAAATTTTAATTCCTGGCCGGGCGCGGTGGCTCACGACTGTAATCCCAGCACTTAGGGAGGCCGAGCGGGGAAGGCGAAGGCGGGAGAGGGGAGGGCGGGGGGCGGGGAGGGATCACTTGAAGTCAGGAGTTCGAGACCAGCCTGGCCAACATGGTGAAACCCCGTCTCTACTAAAAATACAAAAATTAGCCAGGGTGGTGGCGGGCGCCTATAGGGTCAGCTACTCGGGAAGCTAAGGCAGAAAAATCACTTGAACCCAGGAGGCGGAGGTTGCAGTGAGCCGAGATCGCGCCATTGCACTCCAGCCTGGGCGACAGCAGGGAGATTCTGTCTCAAAAAAAAAAAAAAAAAAAAATTGTAATTCCCACATGTCAGGGCAGGCACCGGGTGGGAGGTGACTGGATCTTAGAGAGGGATTATCCTCATGCTATTCTTGTGATAGTAAGGGAGCTCTCAAGATATCCGATGGATTAAAACTGTGGCACATCCCCCTACCCTCCCCATCCCCAGTTCTCTCTCTTTTTCTACCCAGTAAGATGTGCCTTGCTTTCCCTTCACCTTCCGTCATGGTCATGATTGTAATTTTCCTGAGGATTCCTCAGCCATGTAGAACTATGACTTAATTAAACCACTTTTTAAAAACATTACGTGGTCTGAGGTATTTGTTTATAGCAGTGTGAAAATGACCTAATCCATGAAGGCAGCCTGAGATTTCACGAAGGAGGCAGTCCTCTGCAGTAAAATGTGAACCACAAGTAAATTTTGAATTTTCTATTAGGCAAATATTAAAAAGTAAAAAGAAAAAGGTGGGGCCGGGCACAGTGGCTCACACATGTAATTCCAGCATTTTGAGAGGCTGAGGCAGCAGAAAACCTGAGGTCAGGAGTTCGAGACCAGCCTGTCTAACATGGCGAAATCCTGTCTCTACTAAAAGTACAAAAATTAGCCAGGCATGGTGACAGGCACTTGTAATCTCAGCTACTCTGGAGGCTGATGCAGGAGAATCGCTTGAACCTGGGAGGCAGAGGTTGCAGTGGGCCAAGATTGCACCACTGCACTCCAGCCTGGTGACAGAGTGACTCTGTCTCCAAATAAAAAAGAAAGAAACAGATGGAATAATGGTAGAATTGATTGTAACAATTTAATCAGCCCAATATATCAAAAATATTACTATTTTAATATGTGATTAGTATGTAATGGTTAATAAAGCGTATACATTTTTGAAGCTAAATCTTTCAATGTAACCTTGTATTTTACCTTTCCAGCACATTGCAGTTCAGACCAACCACATTCCAGCACCCTGTGGCCATGTCAGAGGTGTTTGAACCAGAGCAAATGCATCTGGAATAGGTGTTAGGTAAAATGGGGCTGAGACCTACAGGACTGCTTTTCCATGAAGTCAGGCATTCTAAGTCACAGGATAAATAGGAGATTGGTGCAACATACAGTTCACAAAGACCTTGCTGATAAAACAGTTTGCAGTAAAGAAGCCACAGAAATCCACCAAAACCAAGATGTGAATAAAAGTGACCTCTGATTGTCCTCACAAATCATTACATGCTAATTACAATGCATTAGCACACTAAAGACGTTCCCACCAGCGCCATGACAGTTAACGAATGCCATGGCACATCAGAGAGTTACCTTACACGGTCTAAAAAGAAGATAAACACAGTTCTGGGAATTGCCCACCCCTTTCTTGTAAAACTCATGAATAATCTACCCCTTGTTTAGCATATAATCAAGAAATAACTGTAAGTATTTTTAGTTGAGCAGCCCACACTGTTGCTCTGCCTATGGAGTAGCTATTCTTTTATTCCTTTACTTTCCTAATAAATTTGCTTTTGCTTTGCACTGCAGACTCACTCAAAATTCTTTTTCTTTTTCTTTCTTTCTTTCTTTCTTTCTCTCTTCCTTTCTTCTCTCTCTCTCTCTCTCTCTCTTTCTCTCTTTTTCTTTCTTTCTTTCCTTTTTTCTTTGAGACAGAGTCCGGCTCTGTCACCCAAGCTGGAGTGCAGTGGCACCATCTCAGCTCACTGCAACCTCCACCTCCTGGGTTCAAGAGATTCTCCTGCCTCAGCCTCTGGAATAGCTGGGATTACAGGCACGCATCACCATGTCCAGCCAATTTTTGTATTTTTAGTAGAGATGGGAGCCAGGCTGGTCTCGAACTCCTGACCTCAGGTGATCTGCCTGCCTCTGCCTTCCAAACTGCTGGGGTTACAGGCATGAGCCACCACCCCCGGCCCTAAATTCTTTTTTTGTACGAGATCCAAGAACCCACACTTTGGTTCTGGATTGGGACCATTTCTGGAAGCTTCTTTTCAGTGAATCACAAAGGGATGATACTAAGGAAACCCCCAACCCAAAGGAAATACACGGAATCACCAATTGGCTAACCTTTCGTAAGTGGTGGCTTACCCAGGTATGGAATGGGATTGGGTTAGTAGCCCAACTTAGAGAAGTTAGAGTGTCTCCTAAGACAGATAAGACAAAAGGTCCCCTTTAATAAAAGGCAAGAACACTTGACAAAACTTGTGTTTGAGGTGCAACTTAGAAAGGTTACAGTTTTTCCTAAGATGTAGGGGGTTAGAGGCCTCTCTTAGTAAAGCCCCTCTGAGCTAAGATTAGATTTGGCATTATGGAATGTTAACCACTATAGTCTTTGGGTTTGTTTGCTTGTTTGTTTTGAGATGGAGTCTCACTCTTGTCACCCAGGCCAGAGTCCGATGGCGAGATCTTGGCTCACTGCAACTTCCGCCTCCCAAGTTCAAGCAATTCTCCTGCCTCAGCCTCCCAAGTAGCTGGGATTACAGGCACCCGCCACCACGCGCAGCTAAGTTTTGTATTTTTTGTAGAGACCGGGTTTCACCATGTTGGTCAGGCTGGTCTCAAACTCCTGACCTCGTGATCTGCCCACCTCAGCCTCCCAAAGTGCTGGGATTATAGGCATGAGCCACCGTGCCCATCCCTGTCTTTAGATTAATCTGCCTTGCACTTTTTGCTGATGACTGTGGCTGACAGAATTAGGCGAGTACAGGATCATGGAACATGGGGAGCTTTTCCCTCCCTAAAGTGGGAAACTTGAGAGCTGACAGGACTGCAGAAAAAGATTCTTTCACAACCAACAAGCAGCCACCGAAACTTATTATTCAATGCAATGCATGGGTCTTTCTCTGGCTTATCTGAGCTCCTCACCTTTCCCACCCTGCCATAGGCAATGCTTGTCTCTCTGTCTCTCTCTCTCTCTCTCTCTCTATCTATATATACACATATATATACACACACATATATATACACACATATATACACATATATATACACATATATACACATATATACACACATATATACACGTATATATACACACATATATACACGTATATATACACACATATATACACACATATATATACACACACACATATACACACACACACACACACACACACACACACACATATATATACATATATATGTGTTGGGATTACAGGCATGAGCCACTTTGCCAAGACTGTTTCAGGGACTTCTGCCAGAAGTTTCAACATGTGGTCTCTGGGAAAGATGGTGACCCAGAGTAACAGAAAAGGTAGGAAAGGGAAATACATATATATATATGTGTGTGTGTGTTTATATATGTGTATATATATATGTGTGTGTGTATATATATGTGTATATATATGTGTGTGTGTGTGTGTGTATATATATATATATATATATATATAGAGAGAGAGAGAGAGAGAGAGAGAGAGAGAGAGAGAGAGAGAGAGAGAGAAGGTAATACTCCAATGGGAGATGGGCTAATTTTCTCTTTTTGGGATCCAGGTTCTAGAATAAAAATAGTAGTCTTAATTTGGAGAGGGATCAGTTTTGCCTATATACATATTTATATATATATCCCTATATATATGTGTATATATATTTATATATATATCCCTATATATATATCCCTATATATGTGTATATATATTTATATATATCCCTATATATATATCCTTATATATGTATATATACATATATATATACATATATATATACATATATATACATATATATATACATATATATATAAATATATATATACATATATGTGTATATATATCCCTATATATGTGTATATATATTTATATATATCCCTATATATGTATACATTTATATATATCCCTATATATGTATATATTTATATATATCCCTACATATGTATATATATTTATATATATACATATATATGTATATATTTATATATATCCTTATATATGTATATATATATTTATATATATTTCTATATATGGGCTATATATATATTTCTATATATAGGCTATATATATTTCTATATATAGCCTATATATGTTTATATATAGGCTAAATATATATAAATATATATATAGGCTAAATATATATTGATATATACGCTATATATATATATTTATATATAGGCTATATATATATTTATATATAGGCTGTATATATATAAATATATACAGCCTATATATATTTATATATATTATATATATAAATATATACAGCCTATATATATTTATATATATAATATATAAATATATAAAATATATAAAATATATAAAAAATATATGCATAGTTGTATAAATATATAAATATATATAGGCTATATATAAATATATATATAACCTATATATAAATGTATATATAGCCTATAGATAAATATATGTAGCCTATATATAAATATATATAGGCTATATATAAATATATATGTAGCCTATATATAAATATATATAGCCTATATATAAATATACATAGCCTATATATAAATATATATAGCCTATATATAAATATATATATATAAAAATGTATATAGCCTATATATAAATATATATACGCTATATATATTTTTATATATAGGCCTATATATTAGCCTATATATATATTTATATATAGGCTATATATACATCTTATATATGGCTATATATATTTTTATATATAGCCTATATATATAGCCCATATATACATTTATATAGGCTATATATATATATTTATATATAGGCTATATATATTTATATATAGGCTATATGTATATATATGTATAGGCTGTATATATTTTATATATAGGCTACATATATATTTTTATATAGGCTATATATATTTATATATAGGTTATATATATTTATATATAGGCTATATATTTATATATAGGCTATGTATATTTATATATATAGGCCATATTTATATATATATAGCCTATATATATTTATATATAGGCTATATATATTTATATATAGGTTATATATATTTATATATATAGCCTATATATATTTATATATTTATATAAATATGTATTTATTTTTTATATTTTTATATATTTTATATATTTATATATAGGCTATATATATAGGCTATATATATTTGTATATATAGGCTATATTTATATATTATATATAATAGTTGTTATATATAATATATAATATATATAATAGTTATTATATATAATATATAATAGTTATTATATATCATATATACTATATATAATATATAATAGTTATTAATAGTAATAATTGTTATGTAAAATTGTTGTATGCAACAGAAGTAACAAAAATCTCCCTGTCAGTTGTGGCTTTAATAATGACTGTCCTAAGACTTCTTTGTCATCCACAGACAATTGTTGTCTTGTTTTAATCCTCTTTGAAAGGTGATTGATAATCAGCTATAGGATGTTGACAGGTGCTATTAAATGCAGGTTTCCGATAACTTTGGAAATATTTGGCATTAGAATAAAGAAAAAACTTTCAGGACTCTCAAAGAGAGGTGAAATGTTCATCAATATCAAGCAGAATGGGAGATAACTGCATGGAGTAAACTAATATAAGACTGAAGTAACCTTTTTGACTCTGCTTAAAATATTACTGATCCTTTGTTCTGTTATTAAATGCTACTTTTATCTGTTGTTTTTGAAATATTTTTTGAAAGAAGTTGAATCTTTGAATAAACCAATAACAAGTTCTAAAATTGAGGCAGTAATAAATAGCCTACTAAGCAAAAAAAGCCCAGGACTAGATGTTTTCACAGCTGAATTCTACCAGAGGTACAAAGAACAGCTGGTACCATTTCTTTTGAAACTATTCCAAACAATTGACAAAGAGGGACTCCTCCCTAACTCATTTAATGAGATGTGCATCATCCTGATACCAAAACCTGACCCTGGTGGCACTGGTGGTAGTGCAGCATGAGAGGGGGTGGGGTTGGGGTTTATCCGTGGGCCAGGGTTTAGTGGATTCCCTGGGCAGCACACTGCCTGGCTCTATTCTCTTCATCTTAGATGTATTGGGAGGGTATGATACACAGAGAAAGAGGAGACCCATTTCAATAAAGGGTGTGAATAGGGAAACTGAAATCAAGGACCAATCTTTGCAGGAAGGCTGCTTGTATCTAACTCTGAGAACAGACTGGGGCGGCATGGGATTGGAGGAGAGGAGGGAGCCTCTTAAGAGAAAGGCCCCAAGAGGTTGGGCCCCTGCTCCCTCCCTTCCCCACAAGGCCCCTTCGGCATCTTCTATCCAGGCCCTGTCAGTATCCTGTCCTTTCCTCTGTGACTAGAAAATCAAAGTTCTCCAGGAGATGTAGCCACTCCAGGTGGCTGAAAAAAAATGACTATCAGCCCAAGGAGCAATTTTGGATCTGTTTTCAGGTAATGAAGTAGCTAAGTGAGAATGAGACAAGAGAACCCAGCAAATTAGCAGAGGGGAGGAGAAGACTCTTTTGTGGCCAGCTGCAGAGAGCCTGTGGCCATAGCTCCCTGGTCAGTGTCAGGTCCTGTTGCATAGTGACCACCGGGGCACAAACATTCCAGCTGGGCAGGTACTGGGAGGGAGACCTGAGGTGTGACTCCCAGTAGCCTCACAGCTGCCTTAATGTCCTGCAGCTGCAACCATTTCTGCCAGCTGCCGCCCCCATCCCAGCAGGCCAGCAGCTCATTCAGCAGCTGTAGTGTCCGAGGCTCCACCAGAATGTGATTCAGGACATCAGCCCTGTACCATCCTTGACCTAGAGAGTGAGCCCCAGGGGACAACCTCGATGCAAGTGGCAACTTAGCTTCATGGTGTCTGTTACCAAAGACCAATAGCTCCTGCTGGTTGGGATTAGATCCCAGGACCTCTGCAGGTGAGGTGGGTGACCATAAGGCAGGCACCCCAATATTTGACGCTCTGGGGCTTAACACCCCCACAATAGGCACATGGCACCCCCACTTTACAGACACTCCAGTGAAGGTCAAAGCAGCCCTGAGTGGGGAAGACTCTGACCCAGAGCCCTGGGTCCCACCATACAATTCTCAAACCAAGGTCTAAAAACTCTTCCTCAAAATGGCTAGGGGTCAATATTCGCAGCTTTGCCAACCCCTCTCGATGGCAATGACTCAAATCTGCAGCTGTAGCATGACGGCAGCCTCCTGCAGACAACCTGTGAGTGAAGGCACAAGGCTTCAATCTCATAGAACTTTCCTTACAGGCACTGAAAACTCCAATTTCAAAACGCCACAAAGTATGATTCTTCTTTTGGTTTGTTCGACCATTTGGAAATGTAAAATTCATCCTTCGCTCATGGGAGACAGAAGAGCAGGTGGGGACAGGCTGCACTTTGATGACCTCTGGCAGAAATGAAGCTAAGAGGACGAAATGAGAGGATGGGGCAAGGCCTGCCCCCTCTCAGCTGAGATTTACCCCAGGAGGGGTCCCTGTCAACACCACCCTACTTATCCCTCATCTTGGCTTCAAGAGCAGTTCAGATGAAGAGCAGGGGAACAGAAAAGACCTCAGCAACAAAAAGGAAGGAGACGCAGGGTTGGGCAGCCATGTGGATGGGTGGCACTCAACAGTGCACGTGGCAGCAGCCATTTTAAAAAAATTTTATTTATTTTATTTTATTTTATTTTATTTTTTGAGACAGAGTCTTGCTGTGTCGCCCAGGCTGGAGTGAAGTGGCACAATCTCAGCTTACTGCAACTTCCACCTGCCAGATACAAGCGATTCCCCTGCCTCAGCCTCCCCAGTAGCTGGGATTACAGAGGTGCTCCACCACACCTAGCTAATTTTTGTAATTTCAATAGAGACAGGGTTTCACCATGTTTGCCAGACTGGTCTCAAACTCCTGACCTCATGATCTGCTTGCCTCTGCCTCCGAAAGTGCTGGGGTTACAGGCGTAAGCCGCTGCACCTGGCCTAATTTTTATATTTTTAGTAGAGACAGGGTTTTGCCATGTTGGCCAGGCTGGTCTTGAACTCCCGACCTCAGGTGATCCACTTGCCTTGGCCTCCCAAAGTGCTAGGATTACAGTTGTGAGCCATTGCACCTGGCCAGCAGCAGCCATTTATACCAAGTTGAGCAAGGCACAACCAGCCCTAGGGGGACAGTAGTGGGGGCTCTGTGTGGTAGAGGACATTCTGTATTCTACAGCTTATATGGAAGCTCCACACAACAGTCATTACAGAAAACACACTGGGAAAAAGGGCAATATACAAATAGGACACCAGTACTGGCCAGTTGGGTCTCAATGGTCACTGGAGTAAAGAGGTCCAAGTGGGCCCACAAGGTGTGGCTGGTAGTTGGCTTGTGTCTGCGGGAAGCCTGGGACTCCCATCTAACAGAGGAGGACCCAGCCTGGGGTGAGGAAGCCATCAGAGTCACCAGGTGAGTGGGTCAGAGCAGGCGGGGATCCCTGGCCTCTCCCAGTGAGGGCTGAGAAGCTGGGGTGGGAACACAACCCATGGGCAGATGCACATGTCCCTGGGCCCTTCCCACTGCCCAGTGACTGCCCAGTTCCTAAGGAGCCACTGAGGCCTGAGACCCAGGGACACGCAACCTGATCATCACCCCCAGGCCTTTCTGCCAAGACCAGACAATGCCCAGTGCAGGCAGGTGGTCTGGGACTGGGGTCTGGAACAGGGGTGCATGTTTCTACTGGCAGGTGCCCTGACCTAGACCTGCCTGAGCTGGCTGCACCATCACTTGTTATTCTGCCTATGTATGGCCTAGATTCAAAGGTCCAGCTGTCTATTCTGGCAAAACCATTCCCTGGCTCCTCTGCCAGGCCCAATTGTGCCTGACCTGCCTAAGCCAGCCCCACCTGCCCAGTGATCACCAGAATCCTGCCAGCCAGAAGGACCCACATTTGTCCCCTGAAATATCCACAGGAGCCTGTCTTATTTATTTATTTATTTATCGAGACGGAGTCTCCCTCTGTCACCTAAGCTGGAGTGCAGTGGTACGATCTCGGAGGCGCCTGTCTTTTGCAGGGGCCACAGCTCAGGGTCAGCTCTCTGGAAGCCCCAGAGTCAGGTGTACTCCTGTCCTGACTTCCAGCCTTCCAGTTCTGGCTGTCATGTCTTTTTGGGACCACTCAGCATTGGGAGCTGCCTGAGGCCCCCACATGGCAGAGAACATGCTGGTCATGACAGCCTCAGCCCAAGACCCTGGCCCAAGAGCAATAGCCAGTTGGTTCTAGTGTCTGGATCGTGACAACAGATGAAGCCATCTGCACAAATACTGCCTTCAACCTGGTCCAGTGATGGACTGGGGGGCCACAGAGCAGCCCCCAGGCCAGCCCTGCCCAGTGTTTCCATCAGTGTGGCATGAAAAAAGGACCCTGTACTCAGTCAAAAGCTGAGCCCTGACCTGCCCACCCACCCTGCCCACGAGGGACTCTGACTTCAGGCAGAGGCAGGCAGCAGAGCTGTCAACTTCTGTGATTCTATCCCAGGGCCCACAAGGGCCTCAGGAGACCCAAAAGGAGCTGAGCTGGGGGAGTCAGGGAGGGGCCTGCTGAGTGAAGGGCAGCGTGGGCCTGGGCGTGAGTCGGCACTAAGAGCACATGGCCTGGCTCCCACTGGAGAGGAGGCAGCAGGGGAGAGTCCTGCAGAGCCCTCACACACTCCACTCAGCTCCCAGGTACATGTAGTGCCCTAAGCCTCCCAGGATACCCAGGAATGGTTCTTTCTTGGTCAAGAAAAGAGGCAACCCCACCCATACCCACACAGGCACTGATGCCCACACACATCAGAGAACAAAGCTTTTGTGCCCAGGGTGGGGCAAAGGGGGTATATCCCCTCCTTCCCCCTGTGGATCCCATAACACTTGCTCCTCCTGGTGCCCCACCCCCACCCCACAGGGTGCTGACTACAACCAAAGTGCCCCATGGAAAGAACAGCCCATGGATGGAGCCCAAGAGGCGCTATGACCTGAACAGGCCATGCTGGGTCTAAGGTAATATTTCCCAATCACAGAGTCTCTAACTGCCACCCACTGGCCCTGTGCTTCCATTTCCCTTGGTGGCACAGGGTAACAATCCCACTCTGAAGGCTGGGGACCCGAAGAGGCCACCACCCCCAGTTAAATGTCTGCATTGTGAAAGCGGGGGCAAGAGACATTCCCTGCCTTGGGTCTCTTGCCTTGGGACTGATGTGCATCAGGCCACGGCCAGCCCAGCCTGCTGGAGAGGGCTGTGTTCCCTGTGCTCTGTGTGGGGAATGGTGCTCACAGTTCTGGGTCACTACTAGTAACTCCCCCAAAACACAGGGGCAGGCGTGCTCCATTATATAAGCCTTCAGTCAGTCCCAGAGAAAAAGCATCAAATTCACTCATGTCTGAAGCTGGCCGCCCCAAGGCATTTGGGTTTTGGGGTGAGATAAGGATCTGGAGTCAGCAATCAAGTGTTCTGGTTTTGGAAACACATGAAGTTCTCTGCAGCTCTCCCAAGTACAGGACATGGTGCCAGGTCTGTGCTTTAAAAAAGCCTAAGAGGAGGGGGTGCCTGGGAGGAACTCTGAAGCCAAGGGTAAGGGTTTCACCTTTCCTACCTCCCCACCAGAAACATTCCACAACGTCTCATGACAAACTCAGAATAGGGAAAGAAAAAAAAAAGGAGGCAGGGTGCACGAAAGTGGAAGGGTGGGAGTGAGTAATAAGAGATTACAGGGGATCATCTGGCTCAATCCTGAAACACCCCTGCCATATCATGCCCTATCAGTCCTCTCAGACAGCTGAGGTATCTGAGGTCTGGAGGAGGCACCCAGAGCCTGGATAGGCAGCTGGCAGCCTGGAGCCCCTGAGGTCCAGGCAGATTCCACCACAAGCCTGAGCCAGAGGCAGCGGGATCCCCCAGTTCATTCACTTGGAAATCACTCAGGTTGGCTGGGCCACTGGCCCTCCCCAAACCCTCCCCTCCCACTTATCAGGTGACAGCCTTCCTGAGAAGCTGCCAGGCGAGGGATGAGGATGCCTCGGTCCCCCTAGGAATTGGCTGTCCCCAGGGGGCAGGTGCCCGGCAGCCACACACCAGGCCACTGCTCTCTGCTTACTGCGTGGAGCCTGGGGCACATGTAAGGAGCAGGTGGCACGTGGAGCGCATAGTCTGGCTTGGCTGGGGACTGTAGGTACTGCACCTTGGGGACCATGGTACCCCTGCAGGTTGAGGTTGGAGCACCCTTACTCCTGCTGGCCCCACAAACCCTCCTAGAAGACCCACCATGTCCCACCTGACCTTGACAGCCAGCGGCTCCACAGCCCTGGGACATTGGCCCACTCCCCTCCTCTTTGCATTCTGCATACCTTGGGAAAGACCTATTGGCCCGCCAGGTATGAAAGCAGGATTGGGGCAGTGGTGACGCTAGAGGGTGTCACCTTGTCATGCCGGGCACTGGGGGCTGGACATGAGCTCATGCACTCACACCCACCCTCCAAAGTCCAGCCTCTCGCTTTTGCCAAAGCTGGCCAGGAACTGGGGCCTCGGGGCAGAGGGGACAGATGTCTCCGTGCCGGCTCCTTGCAGCGTCCTCGCAGTTGGGTGTCACTTCTGCCGCTGCAGGTGCTACATCAAACGCTGTGCCCAGGTGACTCCAGCTGCGATCTTCAGGAAGCAGGGACAGCAAAACCGGGCATTGGCCCCACGGTGCCACTCACACCTGGTGACTACTTTCCACCCAGGCGCCCGTTCCGTGTCCTCGAAGCCTCAACCCACTGAACCTGGGCCTTTGCCTTGTGCAGGCTGAGTAGCTGAGCCTTTCTTCACCTGCCATTCTCCAGGAGCTCCGAGGAGGCGCTGGCCACAGCGGCCACAGCCAGGCAGAGCACAACGGTGCAGGCCGAGGTGCCCAAGGTGGAGAGGGGACCTTAGCGTCTTCAACTAGTGCCCTCAACTACCGGCGGGCATGCTCCCCCCAGGCCCGTCTATGGCACCTGCAGAAGGAGGGTTATGAGAAGCAGGCTGCTCATCATAACTCCAGTTCTGGGCCCCCTGGATGTGGGATAGAGGGGGACAGGCAGAGCTGGGATGTGACTGTGATGGGGATGGGTCTGTCAAGGGCTGGCTGGGAGCTCCAGCCTCCTCTCTTCTTAGTAGGGGTCTGAGGCCCATCTGCAGCCTCTTTGACTCCTTTTATTCTGCAGAACACCCAGACTCCAGCCTTCTCATGGGAATCATAAGGTGCACGAGGCCCAGGGTTCTTTCGGCCTCTTCCCAACCATGGTCTTTGTATTTCCCCCATATATTTGGAGGACAGGAGGCCCTTATTATGAACTCAAATTCCACCCACCTTATAGTTGGTCCTGGGATTTGTCCTGTTGGTCAGAATCTAAGCGGATGGCTCCCTACCTAGAAGAGGCCATTGGGCATCTCATCTCACATTCCGTGGACATGACCTGCTATGATGTCCATCTACTTTGAAGGAGTGTCTAACTCCTTGAATAGAATTGAGGCCCAGAGATCTGTATGCTGTAGTCATTGAATTATGCCAAGGTTCTAGCAAAGTAACCACACAAAGTTAATTGCTTAATATTTCTGTGTTAAATGAATGAATGCCAACCAGAACCTTCTTAGATATGAGTGGGCAAGGGACCCCTGTCTCCAGCACCCAGGGACCCCTAAGCTGTCTATATAAAGGATGACGACTAGCTAGAAAAAAAAATCCTTCACACTTTCTTTAAAATGGAAAACATTATTAATTTGTCTTAATGAATAAAACAGATTTGCTTTCTATGTGCTGTTTTAAATACAATGTAAAAAATGTGGCAAAGCCTTTAACAACTGTTCACACTTTACTCAACATCAGATAATTCATACTAGAAGATCACTATACATGTAATGGATGTAGATAGAGTTTTATCTTAAATATAAACCTTAGAAATAACCAGAATTCATAAAGAATTCTTCCACAGGGAAACTTTTCAAATGCAATAAGTGTGAGGGAGTATTCAAAAATCAAGTCTAACTAAACCTCAGAGAATTCCCACGAGAAAGTACAAAGGCACTATAATTTTCAAACTTTACATTAGACAAGAATACTTAATATAGAGAATAATCTAAAGTTAAAACAATTCGATAATTTACTGGTTTGTATTTTCGCAAGAAGCAAGGACTATGATATTTGGACAGGTATAATTATATTTCAATGGATACTTGCTTTGTATTGTCATTATTTGAGATTATTTAAGGAACATCTATTATTGATGTAATTCAACTCTTAAATCGGTTGTCACTATGCCTACATTCCTAGTGTTTATATGAAAACACTATAAACAATGTGACCTATTGTTGCTGCATCAGAGCTGGGAGAGGCCATTCTATATGAATTTCTCCATGGAAATTCATGGCAAATGTAAAATTAAAAAATAAAAATTAAAAAATAACTGCTGGATCACACCTGTAATCCCAGCACTTTGGGAAGCCAAGCAGGGTGGATCACTTGAGGTCAGGAGTTTGAGAGCAGCCTGGCCAACATGGTGAAGCCCCGTCTCTACTAAAAATACAAAAAAAAAAAATAGCCAGGTGTGGTGGTGGGTGCCTGTAGTCCCAGCTACTGGGGAGGCTGAGGCAGGAAAATTGCTTGAACCCGGGAGGTAGAGGTTGCAGTGAGCAGAGAATGTACCATTGCACTCCAGCCCGGGCAACAAGAGCAAAACTCCATCTCAAAAAAAAAAAAAAATTAAAGAGAGATGCTGTTTGTGGTTTACTTACTCTGCATGAGGTAGGTATACTGGGAATTATTCTTCTCTATTAAAGGAAGAGTGAAAAATTCCGAATTTTTGAAATAAATAATTTTACCAATCATCTCTCCTTAAGGGATAAAAAAGCTGGGCAGTCTATTAAAATACCAGTGTATTATAGTAAAAGGTTAAAGTCTTAAATATTATTCAGTGTGATAATTTTTTTTTTAAATTACAGATAGAGAGAACGCCTCCATGAAAGGTTTTAAATGTATTTTAAATCAATGTTTCCTAAATAACCTTCATCTTTAAAAATAGATAAAGGAAGTATCAAGATAATTTCATCAGAGAAAAAAATAATGCTTGTTCAATGTTTGTGACTGTATTTTGACCAAGAAGACTATAATGGATTTTGGAATGCCTTACTTAGACTATGTGTTAACTTAGTTTTAATTAATAAACTAAACGTTTTTCAGTGTTTTAACACTGATATGCAATAAATGAAATGTTATCCTGCCACAAATGTTAAACTATTTCACTTTAATCAAGATTGGGGGCAACAGATGGTAACAATATACTATTGGGTAATACAGTGAAATGACATATTTAGTAATGATTTGTTCAGAGAACTCAAATAATGTGGAGACTATTGTCAAAAGTTCTACTTCATATTTTTTTTAACTTTTTGGTAACTACAGGAAGATTATGTCAGTTATGATAAAGATCAGAAAAATACAAAAATTAGCTGGGTGTGGTGGTGTGTGCCTGTAATCCCAGCTACTTCGGAGGCTGAGGCAGGAGAATCACTTGAACCCAGGTGGCGGAGGTTGCAGTGAGCCAAGATCGCGCCACTGCACTCCAGCCTGGATGACAGAGACTCCGTCTCAAAAAAAAAAAAATTACTGAATATTTTTCTTTGCACATTTCCTGTACATGGGCCAACTGAACACATAAAGATTTTTGTGCTTTGGTTTACATTGAATGCAATATACAAATATATTAGGCTAAAAATAAACTATATGTGTAAGAGAAATATAGAGGAGGAAATTGTGTGTGTGTGTGTATGTATGTGTGTATGTATTCTTTAAATTGAAAAGGAAATTGTGGACCAAAAAGATAGTGTTGGAAGAGTTGACAATTTGCTAGCAAATCAGGAACCTCACAAATGCTTCAAGCAAAATGAGTTTCTCTACTGTACACTGAACTTATTTTTCCCAAATCTGAGGTCTCCTGGGTTCAGAATCTTCCTTATATATATATATATTTTTTTTTTGTTTAGTTGCCTATTATTCACATGAGAACAAATATATAATTTTTTCTTCCAAAGTTTATGAAATATTTTTATATTATCTGCTCAGTGATTTTAAAAATGTTTTCATAAAACTGAATGTTGCTCAGAAGTTTATTTGAAGATTTAATTCTACAGTGAGTGAGCGTATTACATTTTATTTCACTATTGCATTCCATTTTCTCCCTTAACGATTGGAGAAAAAACTATTTAAGTCAAAATTTTCTTTAGTTAATTGTTCCTTCTATTTATGTTAAGTGACAGCATACAATTTTAAAAATGTTACCAGGCTGATTTTTTTTCCGGTGGAAATTTATGAGGTTTTATGAGTTATGAAGTTGTTTTAATGTTTATATAAAGTAAACAAATACAGAGGACAGTGCTGGGTGTGTAGCAGGTACTCAACATTTAAGAGAAAACTGTTTCTTTTTTTTTTTTCTTTTTTGAGACAGACTCTCATTCTGTCACCCAGGCTGGAGTACAGTGGCGCAATCTCGGCTCACTGCAACCTCCGCCTCCTGGGTTCAAGTGATTCTCCTGCCTCAGCCTCCCAAGTAGCTGGGACTATAGGCACATGCCACCACGCCAGGCTAATTTTTTGTATTTTTAGTAGATACGGGGTTTCACTGTGATAGCCAGGATGGTCTCGATCTCCTGACCTCGTGATCTGCCCATTTCGGCCTCCCAATGTGCTGGGATTACAGGCATGAGCCACCGCACCCGGCAGAGAAAACTGTTTCTATTGGAGTAATATTACATCTTTCAGGTAAGAGACTGAAACATTTAGAGTGAAGAAATAGCATTGATTGTGCATGTGGAGAGAGGACACCTGCTCTTCAACTGAACTGACTGAATTTAGAAAAGAAAATTCTGCTTGTTTTATTTTATAATTATCTCCAGTTCCTCATTCCCTCTTTATTTTTATCCCCAGTTACATATGCATCAAAGCCATTTTCTTGTCTGTCTTATAGTTACAGCTTTGTCACTGCTCTCCTTACCCCATGGAATCTCACACAAGACATTTTCAGTTCTGATGAATAGTTTGGAATTTTTGCAACGCAATGATAAATGGTTTTTTACTGAAGAGTTTGAGGCCACTTATAGGTTTTAAATAGCACATTCTGATCACTTAATTGAGGTAAGAGAAAAGTAATGCAATAGTCCAGAGGATCAGATCACTTTCACATTTGGATAACCAACACCGAAGTCCACTTAAAACCATTCAGACACCTGTCTCTGACTGCATCTTCTGTGGGCCAATATCCTTGCTGGAGAAGACACACAATACGCACCCAGATACTGGTTCTCCAAGTGATTTCCCTGAGCAAGCAGCATTGGAAACACCTGAGAACTTGTAGAAAAAGAATATTCTTGAGCCATAGACAAGAACTACGGAGCAAGTAACACGAAGGAGAGCCCAGTAATCTGTGATATTTCAAACCCCGCAAGTGATCCAGATGCACCTCAGGGTCCCAGCTGGACTATAACCACCTTTTTGAGAAAGAAAAAAAATGTCTCTTCTGACTGGCATACCCAGATATAGTGCTCTGTTCTCCAGGTGACACAGTGTGCATTTTAACACTTATTTCTCTCACCTATTTCATCAATTTTGTTTATGGAGGGCAGAAGGATTCCATCTATTCAAGCAACACCAGGATTAGGATATGCACTGTTCTTTGCAATACAGCTTATTTAGACATGGATTTCTAAATGTTCACAAAGCCCTCTAAAGACCACGTAGCAGTCACGTGACCTGGCTCCAACAAACTCAACTACAATCTCAATTAAAATCTCATCAGCCCAGGGACCCAATAGGAGAAAGTATTTATCTTTCAAAACTATCCTATGATGAGTGGCAGTTGTGTTTACTCCTTCGTATTCAGGGACACAAACATAAGGCTGCACAGATCTTAAAGAATCTGAAAAACATGATCATCACCCAAAGAAACTAATAAAGCTGTAGTAAAAATCTGCAAAGAAATGGAGGTCTCAGAATTGACTGACAAAGAATTTAAAATAATCATCAAGAAATTTCAATAAGATGCAAAAGAACACCGATAGATTACTAAAAATGTTATGAAACAACACAGAAACAAAATGAGAATTACAATAATGAAATAGGCTGATCATGGTGGCTTATACTTGTGAAAATTGCAATTTGGGAGGCTAAGGCTGGAGGATTGCATGGGACCAAGAATTTAAGATTAACCTGGCCAACATAACAAGACCCCAACTATATTAAAAATTATTTTAATAGATAAATAGAAACCATAAAAAACAACCAAACAGAAATCCTGCAACTGAAATAAACAATGGCAGAACGGGAAACATGTAATAGAAATGTTTAACAGGAGACTCAATCCTAAAGAAGAAAAATTCAGCAAATTCCAAAACAGGCTATTTAAAAGTAACCAATATATAACCAAGTGAACAAATATACACATTTCAGAAATTTCAGAAAAAGGGAGAAAGAGGAAAAGAGCTTTAAATATGTAATGTCTTAAACCTTTCCAAATCTAGAAAATAATGTGAACATCCAGTTTTATGAAGCTCCAAATACCTTGAGCAAGAAGAACCTAATAAAGATTGCCCTTGGACACATTATGATTGTCAAAATACAGAGATAAAGCACAAACCTTGAAAACAGCAAGCAATAAATTCTTCACATAGAAGGAAACCTTTATAATGGTATCAGTGGATTTTTCAGCAGAAACCTTGCAAGCAAACTGGGAGACCATATATTCAAAATGCTGAGAGAAGAAAAAAACCTGACAGTTAAGAAGAGTATATCCAACAAGGCTCTTTAGAAATAATAGAGATCAAGACATTCTAACATTCCAAGACAAAAAAGAGGGTGAGGGAATTTATCACACCTCAATCTGTTCTGCAAGAAATGCTGAAAGGAAGTCTTCACATTGATATGACCGAAGGCTAATAATACCAAAAATATTGAGGAATAAATGTCACTGAAAATGGTAAATAAACAGTGAAATTTAGAATACTCTAATACTGTAGTGGTTTTGCATAAGTCACTTTGACCTTTAGTGTAAGATTTATAAAAAATATTAAAAATAAAATAGCTACAATAATTTGTTAATGGACACACAACATAAAAAGTTGTAAAGTGTGACATACATAATATAAAATGTGTGAAAGGGAGAAAATTTGTAAAGTTTTTCTATGCATAGAAGTTAAATTGTCATCATCTTAAACAAGGTTGTTAAGATACAAGATGTTTTATGTAAGTCTCATGATAACCACCAGGAAAAAAACTGTAGTAGATACACAGAAGAAAAAGAGAAAGTAATTAAAGCATATAAAAACAACAAAAATGAAACAAAAATTTAAGCTTGGGTGGTGGCTCATGCCTATAATCTCAGCACTTTGGGAGGCCAAGGTGGGAGAATCATGTGGCAGCCACAACTAAGGGCTGTGTTGGGTGTCTGCCATAGAATCCCTGTACATCAGATGCCTAATAAGTGCTGAGGCAGATGAGGCTCCTGGGCAGATGGGTGGGTGACCTATAGACCTTCTTGCACCTCAGCGAGCACCTCCAACAACAAATGGGCCAGGCCTCCACTTTTCTTTCTATCGGTCCCATCTCATTTGACGTGCCCAGTCACTCTGTGCAGTTGTCACTATTCATGTCCCATATCCACTGCCTGCATGTGGACACGGAAGGCTGGGGGTGAAGAAACTCATTGAGGTCACACAGTTGGTGACACATGGAGCTAGGATAAGACCCACATCACTGGACTCTACTCAGGGAATGGCTGGAGTGAGACAGCTGGTGCCAGAGGCATGGCTTGACCCTGCCCTGCCCTGAAGAGCAGAGCTGCTCCCCACTTCCATCAGAGTCAACTGCTTTGCCAGCAGCTGGGGATTGCAATGCCTCAGAAGAGTGTGCAGCTGGAACCAAAATGCCCAGGCAAGGGCAGTGTGGCTATGCCATGGGCCTGTTACTGGGGAGCATAGGCACCCCCCTCAGTGGGTGCAGTGGAGGCTGGCAGCTGTGAAACATTGTGACCCACTTGCCACCTACCTTCCTCAAAAACAGGGTGGATTCTTTGGGAGGCCGAGGCGGGTGGATCACCTGAGGTCCGGAGTTTGAGTCCAGCCTGACCAACATGGAGAAACCCCGTCTCTACTAAAAATACAAAATTAGCCCGGCGTGGTGGCACATGCCTGTAATCCCAGCTACTGCGGGGGCTGAGGTAGGAGAACGGCTTGAACCCGGGAGACAGAGGTTGCTGTGAGCCGAGATCTCGCCATTGCACTGCAGCCTGGACAACAAGAGGGAAACTCCATCTCAAAAAAAAAACCAGGGTGGATTCCACTGTTGGGGTGCATGAAAGTACCTGGTCTCCACACTTCCTCCTTGGCCTTGTGGCAGCAATAGCAGTGGCAGTAGTGACTGTGGCAGGAGCCCCAGGGTGGACCATTGGCCTTTGGGGCCAGGCTCTCAGAAGAATGCTGGACCACAGCCGAAATGCTCACGCAGGGGCAGGTCAGCTGCACTGTGGACTCGACACTGGGGAAGGCAGGTGTTGTCTAGCAGGACCCAGTCATCTCACAGATCTCTGAGGCTCAGTTTATTTTTCTTCAATCATTCGTCTGAAACATTGTCTTCAGATTGGTTAATTTCTAGGGCTCTGTCTTTAAGTTTATTTCTTCTGTTTCTAATCAGATGATCCTCTCAATAGTACTTTTTTATTATCATCTTTCTATTTGGCTTTTTTATAATTTCCATTTCTCTTCTGAGATTCCACATTTGCCCAATCGTTATGAGAATATTTTTCTTTACCTCCATGACCATATTTATAATAGCTGCTTTCCAGTTCTTGTCATCTTATTACAACACCTTGGACATCTTTGAGCTAGCTTCTGATGGCTGTTTTACTTTTAATCTTGTATATGAATTACATTATCCTGCTTTTTTCACACATCTCATGAATTTTAAAATTATATGCTAGAAACTATAAATGACAGATAGACACTCTAGATTCTGTTATGCTTTTTGAGGAGTATTGTTATTTTTCTAGAAGAAACTTAATTTGACTAAACTCAACTCCAATCCCTAACTCCCCTACAGTGGACAAAGCTGAAATTCTCATTCACTTCTTACCCATACATGTATTATACCATATGTATTACACATAAATATATTTCTATATAATTACACATTTTATCAAAAATGTATTACTTTTCCTGTGAGAGTCTTGTTAAACAAGCTAGGAAGCCAGAAATTCAGTTTTGTTTGCTTTTTGATTTTTTTAATGAATGGAATTAGATACTATGCACGCTTTTTAATTTGGTTTCTTTTATGCAGCATTATGATATTCATTCATACCATGGTATGTATGTATAGTTTTTTTTTTAGCAAGGAAACATTTGGTAATCTGACATGCAACTGTAAAGGTGGTTTGAAGTTAGAGTTATCCTTTAACATCCATTTTGTTGACAAGGACTGAGAGGAGGCAATTCACCTGAGCAAAAGTTACCTAAGAAAATGAGCTCACTCATTCTAAACTTCAGAACCCAGCTGTGGCTACTCTGCTCTTTTCAGGAATGAGGTACATTTATTTTTCTCCCAGTGGCTCTCCTTTCTAACAATCGCAGGGTCAGGGCCATCTGCTTCTACAGGTAACATGAGAATTATGGGCCTGAGGGAGATAAACTGACAGCATCCCTTCCTTATAACCATGGCTCAGGGACCACAATTCACACACAGACTCACTCCAAGACTCAGCCAGGTGAGCGTCTGTTTCTCAGCTTCATTACCAGTGAGCGATCAAGACTCAGGTGGGCGATGTCTGTAATTCTCTCATGATTTGTTCTTACATCTCACTGAATTATAACTAGTCAGTACATGTTTCTAGATGAAATATTAATATTATGAATATACAAATATATAGATTTGTGGAAGAAAATTTGACATTATGTAATTATATTTGAATTTGAATTTTGACTATTTTCCATTTTAATAAAGTAGTACAAATTATTTTATGCATTTATGCAAATCTTTACATTTTAAGACAGTACAAATCTGCACTGATTCAGAGTGATGTAATTATACTACTTCAGGTTTATTTAAATTTGGAGATGCTGTAGTGTATTTCTAATACTTAAGGATGATTTGAACGATCATGTGATAAAACAAGATTTTTTTTTCATATTTCCAGAAAACTTTTTTATTTCTTTAGATATATAAAACACTGTTACTTTATATTCTCTCTGATAATTCCAGTATCTGTGTCTACAGAGTCTACCTGTTGTTTCTGCTGGGTCTCATAGTGTATTGTTTTCTTGTGGTGTTTATGAATTTTAAAACAGGAGATCACATTTTCTTTTCTTTTCTCTTTCCTTCCTTCTTTCTTTTTTCTTTTTTTTTTTTTTTGTAGATATGCGGGGGGTCTCTCACTACATTGGCCAGGCTGGCCTCAAACTCCTGGCCTCAGGTGCTGGGATTCCAGGCGTGAGCCACCGCGGCCGACTGAGATATTCATTTTCCTTGGAACTTGATCAACACAAAATCCTGAGGCCTAGTGTGGTTGTTTCCTCTGGGGCTCATTCTCAACCAGGGACACTTCTGCCTCCAGGGACACATTGTGACATCCTGAGACAGTTCTAGGTGTCATAACTGTGTGTGCATGCACGTGTATGTACCCGCGCATGCTACTGGCACCTCATGGATAGAGGCCAGGGATGCTGCTCACATCTTGCAAGGAGACTGACCCACCCAGCGTCACTAGGGCAGGCTCCAGGCAGGGTCCGCATGTGCCTCTGCCAGCCACCTAGACTGTGCCAGCCGGGGCCACTTTAAATTCTCCCCTCGTGGTCTCTAGGGCCACACACTAGCCTGATTGCAAGCTGTAAACTTGGATGACCCATATTTTTTTCACCTTGCATGGAACACCAAGGCTGAGAGGCAGTTTTCCGGGAGGTGCCAGCCTGTCTCACATTTCTGCCTTAGCTGCGGGGTCCAGCTCTATGTGGGCGGTCTCCTGATGAAGTCACCCTGGGACAGACACTGTTCTGTCTTCTGCTTCCAGTCCTGTAAAGATGCCCGGATCCCCCAGGGCATGGCAGGCACCCTCAAAGGCAGATGTGGGGAGGCCCTGGTGGGCAGACCCCAGCCTGCTGATGTCGGGGGGCTTCTCCCCGGCTGCCGCTGGCCCATCCACTGCACTGCAGTCCACCTGGTGCTGGCGCTGTGGGACACAGGCCTTCAGGACCCGCTCCCTTTCCCACCCAGGAGGGTTGAGGCCTGGCGTTCTTATGTCCTCTGGAAGCCTCCCTCCCATCCTCAGGGTAGGAAAACAGCTGCACGCTGGTCTGGCTTGGGCCTGTCCTGGGACACCTCTGCAGCCCGGGTACAGCAGGGGATGTGGCTCTGTGGGTTTGCTGTGGGCAGGTTATCGTGGAGCTGGGTTCCAGAAGGGAGTTGCCGTGCTGGCTGCCAGGACCCCTCCTCTGAGACAGGGGTGCCTTGTGGGACAGTGCACCAAAGTGCCCTGGCCACGAGGGGATCCTGCGCCCCACACACACTGACCCTGCATCGGGGGCCCTGCGCCCCACACACCCTGACCCTGCATCGGGGGCACTGCGTCCCACACACACTGACCCCGCATCAGGGACCCTGTGCACCCCGCCCCCCCCCCTACACACACACACACTGAACCTGCACTGGGGGCCCTGGGCTGCAGAAGCCATCCGTGATATTGCCGTGCCCCTGGCTCTGGTGGCACTGGGGCCCTCCAGGCTGGGCTGAGCATGAGGCCCCCACCAGTGCGTACCCCAGCACCAGCGGGAGTGGGCCTGGGCACAGGGGCAGGGAGTGACACCCAAGGGGACCTGTCCCAGCCTCCTCCTGTACCTTGGCTGGGTTCTCCTTTTCCTTGGCTGAGAGAAGTGGTTCCTCCTGGATGAAACCTGGGATCAGGCTGAGCGTGGGAGGAAAGCGGGGTGAGCAGGACCCCAGACCTAGAGAATCCTGAGTGAGGGGGTGACAGACTCTCCCTATGACACGCCTGGAAAGTGGGGGCCCAGGCACCTGGGGACAGGGCCCTCCTGGGGAGCCAGGTTCACAGGTTGTTTTGTGGGACACAACGTGGGGCAGCGTCCTGGCCAGGATGAGGAAGACCATCACCGCGGGGTCTGCGGGAGGCACAAGCAAGCCAAGCTCTCGTCCACCCGGCTCCGGGATCTGCTGCAGCCAGAGTCTCTCAGCCTTGGCCAGGACCTGAAGTCCGACCGCCATCCCTGGGGCTTCCCTGCCAGGCGAGCAACCCCCGCTTAGAGGCCTTCCCCATCCCCTCCATCTGCTCCCGTCCGAGAGACAGCCTCCTTGTCCTGGTGCCCTGGTTGAGGTGGGGGTAAGCTGCCCTTGGACCCCCCAGGTCTGGGGCGCAGCCTCAGCGCCGCATCTGTGCCGTCTAGCGCCGTCTGCTGGCCGTTATCGGAAGTGCAGCCTGGCGTGAGCAGTGCCTTTCCCTGGAGATGGGACCCAGGGCAGCACCGCTGGAAACCGGGCGACCAGAGATCTGGTAACTGGTGGAGGGGTCCCTCACTGTCCACTGACAGCGGCAGTAGTAGCTGCGGACTATGCGGACTCAAGAGAGCCTCAGCCCATGTCAGCACCGGAAGCCAAAACCGAGTCAAGGGCTCGGTGTGGGGGCCAGACGGGGACAGGCCCGGGGAGCCTGGATGGCAAGGGGTGCAGGAAGGCGCCCATTCCGGGACTGCCTGGGCCTGCCGGGGATCTCCAGCCAGAGAGGTTGGGTGCGACAGAGTGCTCGCTCCGAAGGGCTGAGTGCCAGGCTGGCCCCGTGGGCCGGCTCAGCCCACACCAGCAAGATGAAGGTGGGGTCCAGAGGCCCCCCCGTCCTGCTGGCTCAGGGCGCGGGCCTCAAACAGCTGCTTAATGAGCGCTGACTTCTCTTGCTCCAGCTGCGTGATGCACTCACTCTTCTCGGTCGCCTCCTGGGTAAGGAGTCAGTTCTGCTCCTTCAGCATGAGGATGGTCTGCTGCTGACAGCCCGGGGACGAGGTTGACCTTAGGGCAGAGCAGGGGGCCCGGCGGAGGACGTGGGCAGGGCCCAGCTGGCACAGGCCGCAGCCAGCAGCTCCCCCAGGCACCTGGTCACCTCCTGTACCTTGGACAGTAGCCGCCCCAGTGGGCGGGGGCTCCCCGTGGCCCCAAAGTCGGCGCTGGCTCTGCTCTGGCCCAGGCGGCACTGGCGCTCCTGCACCCGTTGCAGCTGCTGCTGGTACCAATCACGGCCCCGCGCCATCATCTCCAAACCCTGCAGCAGCACCTCCTTCTCCTGCTCCAGCTCCTTCATCTGCTTCAGCAGGCCGCAGTCCACGCCGCTGGTGATGGTGTGCCTCTGACGTTCTCCTCGGGCGCTGGGCCCCGCGGGGCATCCCCTGAGTCTGCCTCCAAGGCCCTGCAGGTCGCTGCACCTGCGTCCGCGCTGGGGCTCTGTTCCAGGACCGCGCTCTGGGACCGCTCCGGTTCCACGGGGCAGGGCGCCGCCTCGGCGGGGGCGCACAGCTGCTCTGGGCTGCGGGCCGCGCGGCTGGGACAAGCCAGAGAAGCGCGCTCGCCCAGGGGCAGGGGCTTCCTCTCCGGGACCATCCGCGGCTCGTCGGCCGGCGCGAACAGCAGGCGCTGCGGCAGCTGGTTCCCGGGCCGGGCCGGGCTGGGGCGTGGGTGGGGTCCCGGGGGCCGCCGTCGGCGCTCAGCAGCGCGGTGCGCAGGCCGACCACGAAGCGCTCGAAGGTCAGGTAGCCGCTGGCCGGGGCCACTTCGCGCAGGCCCTCCAGGACCCCGCGGGGCAGCTCCCGCGCGTTGGCGCCCTGCCAGCGGGACTGGATCTCGCGCAGGTGCTCGCAACCGCGCCGCCGGTCGTACAGGATGTGGAACAGCGTGCGCAGGCTCTGCAGGAAGGCGAGCGACAGCCCGTCTGTGCTGCGCGCGGGCGCGGCGGGAGGCATGCGGCTCCGCTGGGCCGTCGTGTCCCGGGCCATGGGCACCCGGGCTCAGTCCACGCGTCCACCTGTGTGCGTCCCCGCGCGGCCCCGTGGCGGGGCCGGCCAGACGCGCTCCCAAGGTTTTTAAAATACTTCACATTAAGAAGATTTTAGTAGATGACCATAATAAAATTACGTTTAATCCTATTACACTAATTGCTAATAGGGAGTTTTTTTTACTACCACAAACTATCTGAAAAGAACATCTTCTGCTATGTATCTGCTATATAATTTTTACAGGATACATGAAACTTTGCATGCATGAATGTGATGTTCAGCATGATGTCAGACTGATGTGATATCACAGCCACTCAATGCATTATTATTTTTTTCCAAAATATATCAGGTGATTGCTTTTTCCATTAGCACAAAATCTACTTCAGTTCTGTTCTACAAACACCCATGATTCATTTTTATATACATGTCACAGTTCTGGGTGATGAAAACTAAATGAAGGAATGCAAAAAGTGAAAACTAAATGCTTAATAAAGAAGTGTGTCCTTGATACTATAGGAGCACAGATAATGTGCGCCCTCTACAGATGTGACTGTGCATGTGTGGGTGTTCGATCAACTTAATAATTTTGTTTATCATATAATGATCAGGCTGTAGGTTTAAGAATTTATATGTGATAATCAACATTAATCAAAATAAATGGATGGATTTAAAATGATAATGACGGTGATAATTTTGAATCTGAAGTAAGTAACATTGATGATGGAAGTTTTATTGGTTGATTTTTTCAGGTACATAAAATATTTCCTCTTTGCCATTAAAGTGAACACAGTTTCCACTTATGTTATCATTCAAAAGTGCCTTCTTTGCCCAAGCTGTTACTGGAGTCTTGGCCAACATCTTCCTCCTTTTCTCTGGTACCACGATGCTCCTTCTGGATCCTAAGCCCACTGACCTGACCACCAGTCACTTGGCCCTTGTCCACATCATGATGCTGCTCACCATTGTGTTCTTGGTGTCTCCAGACCTTTTTGAGTCCCTTCATTTTGACTTCAAGTGTAAGACGCTTTTCTACCTGAGCAGGGTGATGAGGGACCTCTGCGTCTGCACCACCTGCCTCCTGAGCACGCTCTAGGCCATCACCATCAGCCCCAGCACTTCCTGGTTGGTTAGGTTTAAACATAAATTCACAAATCATATTTCATATATTCTTGTCTTCTTATGGTCCCTCAGTTGTCCTGCAGTAGTTACATAATCTTTGACACTGTGGTTTATTTTAATATGACTCAGACCAGTTTTCTGACACTCAATAAAACTGCCTCATTTCCCCAAGGAAGTCCATCATCTGGAGCCTTATTTTTCTACTCTGTCATTATCCAGAGATGTCTCCTTTGTGGGAATTATGCTGCTCTCCAGTGCATACATGGTGACTCTCTTGTGCAGGCATGAGAGGCCATCCCAGCACTTTCACAGCACCAGACTCTCCAAGAGTCTCTCCAGAAAAAAGGGCCTCCGAGACCATCTTGCTGTTGGTGAGTTTCTTTGTGGTTATGTACCAGATGGATTTGATTCTGTCATCCTACTTGATTCTGATATAAACATATGATTCAGTCATCCTGGGTGTCCAGAGGCTTGTGACCAGGGCCTATGCCACTGTGAGCCCTTTGGTGCTAATAAGTTCTGAAAAAAGGATAATTGATATTCTGCAAATGATGAGACAGAAGTATTGTATATTTTTTTCCATGAAAATAATTATCTGAAAAGGAGATTCTAACATCAGTTAAATTATTCAAGTATCAGAGGATTTGATAATTTATTTCATTACATTGTATAGAGTTTAGCACTTTTATTTTATGTAAATCATTTGGAAACTGATGCTGCCAAAGACTTGATGGATCCTTTTGTTCATTGTCCACCATGATTTGATAGCCCAATATGTTTGCAGTTTCTTGCATTTCATTTTGATTCCTTGAACTCCATTTTAAATTTTTTTTCTTTTTGAAGTGTATTCTTAATAAGCTCATATTGGTAATAAGATTTCCCACTTTTTTACTTTTGGAAATCATGTAGTGCATCCTCACTTATTCAAAATATGTTAGTGAAGTATCTAATTATTGGTTGAACAGTGACTTATCTCAGCACTCTTACTTATTTCTCTGTTTTCTGACTGAACACGGGCTGTGAAGACTTTGCTCTCACCTTCATTGGTTCTCTCTTCTTTTCTCTCTTATGGCTTTAAAATTTTTTCTTTTCTTTGCTGTTATGCAGTTTGACTTTTATTTCTGTTGAGTATTTTTTATTGGTAGGCCACTATTAATCACAATACACTTCTGCATTCAAGGGTTCCCATCTGATATTCAGTTTCAGAAATTTATAAATATTTGTTATTAATGTGATTTGTTATTTATATGTAAGCTAGTGAAACCAATGTATTTGATTTCATTTCATTTTATTCTTTGTACATGTATACTCATTTTTGTATTGTGATCATTTCATTTTTCTGTAGTTCTTTTATTTACTCATCTCAGTATTCTAGTTCACTAATCCTGTTGTTATTAACTTGGTTTAATAATTAAACCATACACTGTATATTAAATTTATTTAAGTTTCAGTTGTTCAATTTCTGTTTGAGTCTTTGCAAAACATGCCTGTTTAGTGTGTGTGTGTGTGTGTGTGTGTGTGTGTGTGTGTGTGTGTGTGTGTGTTTGAGAAAGAATCTCTGTCACCCAGGCTTGAGTTCAGTGGTGGTCATAGCTCACTGCAACCTCAAATTCCCAGTCTCAAAAGACCCTCTCACCTCCACCTCCCCAGTAGCTGACAGTACAAGCACACACCACTGTGCCTGGCTTATTTTTTTATATCTATTTGTTGTAGAGACAACTTTTGCTTTGTTGCCCAGGCTGATCTCAAACTCCTGGCCTCAAGTGATCCTCCTGCTTTGGCCACCGCAAAGTGCTTGGGAGTACAGGCATGAGCCACTGCCCCCAGTGCCCGCTTTAGAACTTCATGTGTTTTCAAAATTATTTTGATATTCTCTTTCCCTATTTGTGTTACTTATTTTAAATACGTTTCCAATCTGTGAAGTTTACGTGATGTATAATTTCTTTCCCTTTTTTGGGTAGCTTCTTTTGTGTGCTTCATAATTGCAATTTGGTTCTTACATTATAGAGATCTCACATTTGGGATGCCCCAGTTAGTAATTTTCTCTGTATGTATATTCCAAGGGGCAGAGTGGACGATTTTCACAGGCTTGAGGTCTGTGTAATCAGCCCTGCAATCAGAGCTGTACCTGAAGGCAGCTCTAACTTCTCACTTTCATGACTCCTGTGAATTTGCCTCTTGATTCACTTCTGGTCCTGGGAAGCTCCCATATTTTTCTATCAGTTCTGCTGGGCAGTTTTAAAATTCTTGTAAACTTTAAAGATTTTTAATTTACTACATTAAATGACCTTTGAGAATATGTTATTCTGTGCTAAAACATCAAATGTCCACATGCATATATGAGTAAAAAATTTTACATAAATATTTTGTGTAGAACAATGCCCCATGAGAAATTTCAATTTTTCTCATTTGAAACATCTCAATGCCCATGTATTATACACTAACAATATCTGTGAAGTATAAATATTTTCTTAATACTTGGAAGAATTTTTATGTTTTGGACAAATGTCTGAAGTGATCATGCTCCACTTTAATGCATAACTCCTGCATGTGGGCAGAATTGCTGTTTTTCTATAAAATTAAGAATGTTAATTAGTAAAATTAAATATATAAATTCAGGTCTTTTGGTTTCAGTCACAAAGCTTCCTCCTTAGCATTTCTCTGGTGCTGTAAAAGTAATGTCAGTTTGAATGTTCTATTTAATCTAGATGTCATTTAAAACAATCTTAGGGATCAAAGGCTACCCATTGGGTACAGTGTACACTGCACCAACATCTCAGAGATCACCACTAAAAACTTATCCCTCTAACCAAACACCACCTGTTCCCCAAAAACCTAGTAAAATAAAAATTCACATAAAGTTAAAAAAATAATAAAACAATCTAAAAGGAAATTTGCATGTGGCTACATGTTACTTGTTGGTTACACTTTAGTTTTTATTGTCATTTTAAAGTGTTCAAGAAACATTACTTATAGGATTTCTACCTTTGTGAAGTTAAAGACACTAATTTAGGTTTAAAATCTTGCAATATCAAATGATTTTCTTGGTATTGGAAAATTATAGGCCAGGTGCGGTGGCTCACGCCTGTAATCCCAGCACTTTAAGAGGCTGAGGCAGGTGGATCATGAGCTCAGGAGATCGTGACCATCTTGACTAACACGGTGAAACCCCGTCTCCACTAAAAATACAAAAAATTAGCCAGGGATGGCTGTGGGCGCCTGCAGTCCCAGGTACTCAGGAGGCTAATGCAGGAGAATGGCGTGAACCCGGGAGGCAGAGCTTGCAGTGAGCCGAGATCAAGATTGCGCCGCTGTACTCCAGCCTGGGCGACAGAGACAGACTCGATCTCAAAAAAAAAAAAAAAAGAAAGAAAGAAAAGAAAATTTTGTCCATCCTCTATTTAGTGCTCAAAAATGCTGATCACTTTTTCACTTGATTAACTTTCTAACAAAGTTTCAAACTTACTGCTAGTTACTTAATGCTCTATTTTTTCTATAGCAGACAGTTGATTTCATAATCATTTTAATATCAATTAATATCATTGTAAATGTATTTTTTTATTTAATCTCTGTGTACACATAAACTCTTTGGTATTAAATCTATGTGGAAGTGGCTTGAAATTGCTCCTAACACATCATTAATTATATCTAAGCATTAACCACTCTGATTAATCAGATTTTCATCTCTTTCTACTGTTTTGCATTTACTGTGTCATTCTGTGTTTATTAAAATTTATAATTCCTTTTCTTTAAACATATTTCCAACATATAAACTTTATGCGATGTACAAATATTAATATTTAGGAGGCAGTTTCAGTTTTTCATGTAGGCAAAATCAAGTCTAATGATGCAGTTTTTCAATTAACTTTATTCTTTGTTACCTATTTATAGCATTTAAATTTAATGAGCCCATAATTATATATATATACATATACATATCAATGATGACTGCGGTCAAACAATTTAACATATACATGAACTCATGTAGTTTCCTTTTGGTGTCAAAGCACCTAAAGTTTACCCTGTTCAAAAATCACTAGTATATAATATAAAAATAGTAACTATAACCTTTAAATTGTACTTTAGTCCTCTAGATTCATTTATTTTATATAACTGAAACGTTGACTTGTGTCTCTTATCCCCCAAATCATCACTCTATCATGTCTCTATGTATTAAACCTTTTTAAAGATTTCATATGTAACAGAAATTATGCAGTATTTTTCTCTCTCCCTAAGTTATTTTACTTAGCTTAATATCCTCCAGATTCATTTATGTTATCACAAATGGCAGTATCTTCAACTTCTTAAAAGCTGAAAAATATTATATTATTATATATTATACACACACACACATACATGCACAAACACCTCCCCCACATTTTCTTTTCTCCACTCATCCATCAATGCACAGTAACTTCATCCCATGGCTTGGCTGTTGGGAGCAATGCTGTGGTGGGGCACGGAGAAGAGGGGAGTGAAGATATCTCTATCAGATGCTGATTTCATTTCCTGTTGATATATAATTCATAGGAGGGATTGCTGAGCCATATGGTAGTTCTATTTTTAGATTCTCAGGAACTTTCATACTGTTTTCCATAATGGCTGTACTAACTTACATTTTAACCAGCAGTGTACAAAGGTTCCCTTCTCTCCACACCATCACCAACACTTGTTATCTCTTGTCCTTTTTATAACAGCCATCCTAAGAGATGGGAGGTGATATCCCATTGGTATTTAATCAGAAACTGTAAAACTCCTAGAAGAAAACACAGGGCAAATGCTCCCTGACATTGGTTCAGATACTAATTTATTAAATACGACATTGAAAACACAAGCAACAAAAAACAAAAATACAAGTAGGAGTATATCTAACCCTAAAGCTTCTGCACAGGAGAAGTCAATCAATGAAATTAAAAAGCAGCTTATGACCTCAGAGAAAATATTTGTTAACAATATACCTCATAAGGGGTGAAAATCAAAATACATAAGAAGCCACACAACTGAATAGAAAAGAAGAGAGAAAACTCACCAAAATCTAATAACCTGATTTAAAAACAAGCAAAGAACCTGAATAGATATTTATCTCTTAAAAAAGATATAAAAATGGCTAACAAGTGCTCAACATCAGTGGTCATCAGGAAAATGCAAACCAAAGTCCTCATTTACTTTAGCTTCTATACTTTATTTCACACAATAAATATGAATGTGTACAGAAGGTACAGTAATCTCCAGCCTACAACAGAGGGCCCTGAGACTGGTGACTCGGGGATGCATCTGCATGGAGCCGGCCTGGGGTGGGGTGGATGATGCTGAAGAGGACAGCAGATGATGTAGAACCAGGGGCAGTGACTCACCTGGGACCCCTCAGCAGAGGAGCCTCTGTGGGTCCCCAAAGCCCAGCTGTACCCTCTGGGGACCTGCTACCTGCTGGCTTGGTCAGCACCACGGACAGAGGACAGGTGGGTGAGGCTGAGTCAGAACAGTGGGAGGAGGACAGCCAGGTGCCCCAAGCCAGGGCTGCTGGCTGACAGCCATGAGAACCCCCTGAGGCTAGGGGTGGGGTAAATGGCAAAGCTGGACACCTGTGGGGCCCTCAGTCACCCTCATTGCCTCTGGCACCACCCCAGCAGTGCAGAGCAACACAATTAGTAAGTGGACCAGCCAGGCATGTGGCTGGATCTGGGAAGTCTTGCTCAGGGCCTCTGACAGGACAAGGGAAAAGAAGGGCCACTGGGGCTGGAGAGAGGGTCACAGCCTCTGGGTCAGACACGATGGAGAAATGAGGAAAAGAGAAGGGGTGGTGGCCGATATGCAGGAGAGGCAAGCGGATGCGGGATGATCAGAGTCCATTAGACAGGATGGGCTCCAGGTGCATCCTCGCTGTATTGGGCACTTCTCAGCATTGCCTGGAACTGAGCCTGGCAATATAGTCACATTTTGGGAGACTGCTGTCAGGGCCCAACCACACACCTCTGGGCAGCCGTGTCCCATCTCAGGACTGGACTTTCTCAGCTCCCATAGGGGATGCTGCCTGCAGCCCAGGAGGGGCAGCCCCATTGTGCAGCCTGAGCCCCCATGGATCCTGAGCAGCCTCTGCCTGGCCCTGTGCTCCCTCTGCTCCATTGCCCCGGCCCCTCCTGAGTGTCAGCCAGCGTGGAGGCCCTGTCTGTTCTTTCTTCCCTATGTGGGCTCCTGGGCTGAGACCTGGGTCAGATGAGGATGGGGCTGGTCCTTCCCTGAGGCCTGCTCAGGTAAGGGGGTGGCCCCCAGCCTGGTCCAGGTCCTCAGCTCTCCCCATGGCCTTACATTGAGACAGAGCTGCCCCTGTCTGTGCCCTGGAGGTGGAGGTAAGAACCTGACTCTGCTGCATGGGAGCTGCTCCATAGATGTGCGACTTGGTGGGGGTTTGGTGAGGCAGAGGCTGTGGCCTGTGGGCATGGGTGCTGGTGAGTGGGAGTGACACATTGTCACTGGGAGAGGCCACAGTTCCTGCTGAATCTCACACTAAACTCCAGCCCTGCAGGTGTTTTACCACAGCCACCACCGAGAATCACAGTAGTGTCTCAGGAATCGCGGCCCGCTGCCCACCAGGGCCCTACTTGGAGGCCAAGATCCAACCAAAGCCCAGTGTGTCTGTGCCCTGGGAACAGTGTGTCCTGTGGTCATGAGGCCAGGCCACAAGTGTCCATTCATCAGGGGCTGGGTTCTCTCCTATTCTGGCTCCTTCCAGTTCAGTCACATCGGGGCCCCTAAGCACATGACCCAGCATCCAAGAATCACTCCAGGAAGCCTGGCAGCTCAGCTCACTCCATCACTTCTTATCTGCAGCAAAAACATCAGGGCATCAGATGCACAGATAAATGGCTATGAATGCTTAACAACTGGAATAAATCTAGGAACAGTGAGAAGGCACAGTGGTGAGTGAGTGTCCCCCGTGACCACTCTTCAGGGTTTAGGACAGGTGCCCATTGTTGCTGCCTGGTGCTGCCTGCCTCTCAGACAGAGAAGGGTACACTTTCCTCACCAAAAGGACAACAGGCCTGGTCCCCAGCCCTTCTGCCCATCCCTGCAAGGATCACCTTGCTGGGAGGAATCTGATGCCAGGGCCTGGGCCACTTCTAAGCCAGGAACGGGAACATCTTCTGGTCACCCCAAAGGAAGGAATAAATCCTGATCAGAGTTCACAACCTGAGCTCTTGCTCACTCTTTATTCAGGGGAAGGGAGGCCCAGTCCTAGGCAGACTGAACCTCTCCTGAGGAAACGTGGAGCCAAAGGCTGGAAGCTTCCAGAATCCTTAGGTTCGGATCCCCCTTGGGGTCACCCTGAGGCCTGTCTCACCAGAGCATTCTTCTGTCCACAGATGTCTCATTGGATCCGCAAAGGAAACCTCACAGATGTCTGGGGCCCAGCATGGTCATCCCTACTGAATGTCGAGAAGGCGAAGGCCAAGAACCCAGGGAAATACCAGGTCTGGTCCTTCCAGTCCCAGCCAGAGCAGGATGCATAGGCCGGACCGTGTCAGAAGCCCCGTTACCCAGATGGAGGGAAAGTCAACCCCAAGGGGGCAGAAGGGGTCAGTCACAAATCCTGGGCAGACAGTGGCATGGGCAACACAGGTGAGCTGCGTGCTGCTGACTTTCCCTGGCTTTGGAAATAAAGAGAAGTTTCTGCAGAAAAAGCCTCCTTTCCTTCCAGAACTGCTATTTCATGACAGCAATTTTGACAGTGAGTCTTGTGTCTGTTCTGAGGCTTGGCCCTGCTCTATAGAAAATGAAGCAGGCCAAGATGTCCTCAGTGAACGTGCACCAGAATGACCTTGATGTGAGCCACACCTTCATAAGCCACGCCATGTTGAGAGAGCGCCGCAGCATCAAGTAAGGCATGTGGGGCATGGAGGGTCCCAGGGGAGGTGGGCAATCTGAAGGGATGCGGCATCTGAGGGGCAATGGGGAGGTCTCAGGACAGGGGAAGGATCTCAGAGAAGAGGGTGACAGCCCAGCCTACTGCCTGGAGTTCTAGCCTTGGGAAGGGTCTGCAGAGGAGCCTGGAATAGTGAGGTTTTCAGGGCAGTCCAGCGGGCTCTGAACACCTCTGCTCCTTCTGTGAAGACAAGCAAATGTTGTGTACCCAGATTGCCACCTTAAAATGGCTTCTACATTTGTTGATTCATGGGATAAGTGTGCACAAGAGACCCCAGGCCAGGGACCCTGCTGCCCTACAGGGCCTGGCTTCCCCAGCTTAGGGGTCTGGCTCCTCCAGAAGGACCCAGCTCCCTTCCTCTGCACAGGAGGCAGATGCAGGTCCCTGCATGGCACACAAACCATGCCCTGCCTGAGAGGGGGTATCATACGGCTGGGGCTGGGACTCAGGGCCAGCATCCTGGGCAGACTGGGCCAGGACTCATCTTGGGAGAGTACTTGGGGAGCCCCTTCTTTCAGGGGCCACATTTGATGGAGGTGAGACCACCCCTATAAGAAGCTGCAAAACCTTACCTGATCCAGCCTCCTGTGGGAGGTCTCACCCCATACATAGGGGACCCCCAGCACCACAGACTGAGGCCCCAGTAGGCCCTGCTCAGGCCACCAGCCCTCTACCTTGAAGGACCAGGTCCTCCCATGCCTGCTGTCCCCACCAACTCCTACTTCAAGCTCATCACAAGCTCATCCTGAGGCTCTGGTACATCTGCCTTCTCCAGGGCAAGCACATGCTCACAGCCAGGGCACATGTGGCATTGAAAGTGCACGGAACCCTGTCCCCATGTGCCCGAGGGCGCTGGGGGAGCACACAAGTACATGAAACCTGGCCCGAGGGCAGTGCCCACACTGCCCACAGAACCTTCTGCTTTAGCCCAGAGGGAGGGCCAAACCAATCCAGCCCTGGTGGGCTGGACAGGGCACCATGAGTCCTCCTGGAAACTGAACCCACCCCTAACACAACTCAGATGAAAGGCAGGAGTGTGGCGAGCGCTTCCCTGCCTGGGCTTTCCGGTATCTGTTGCCTCCTGTGCAGAGCTGGACCCCAGGGGTGTCCAGAAAGGACCCAGCACTGCCCAGTGCAAGGTGCACAGGGCAGAAACAGGGTGAAGGCACAGAACCCTCCCAGGAGACCCCTCCTGGCCTGACGCCCAGCCCCAAACCTAGACCCTCTCCTGAAGCTCTCCTGTTTGTCCTGTGGGAGCTCTCCCAAGACGCAGTGTCCCAGGCCTGGGCTCTGGATGATGATGTGGTTCTCAGGCACTTTTAGGCCTCCATGGCTGAGCTCAGAAGGATGCACTGTGACCTGCCCCCTAGGTGGACTCCAGCACCAGGTCCCTTCCTGAGTCACCATCTAAGACAGTAAATAGTGGGCAGTGCCCAGGACCCTCCATCCCTGCTTCCCAGGCCTTCCTTCTCCTCCTCCTCTTCCTTCTCTAAGAAGCTTCTAAAAACAGGCCAGCTGGGCCCCAAGGCAGGTGTTGGACTCACCTCAGTAACAGGGCAGGGGATGAGGGCAAGACCCCTCCAAGCCCCCCACCACACCCTTCCACTCCTGCCCTAGAAGAACCCTGGAGGGCCCTGGAGGGTTCAGTCCCATCTGTGCCAGCCCACACACATAGCTGCGAGCACCAACAGGGCCAGAGAGCAACAGGGGTCCCCACTCACGAGTTCCCATACCCCAGGCGGCACACACCCCTCACTGTGGGATCAGCAGGGCCCCTCACTCACAAATGCCCATGCCCAGGCGGCACACACCCCTCACTGTGGGATCAGCAGCCTGTAGGTGTTTCCTCAGTGTCAGACCAGGTGGGTTACTAGAGACCCCAAGACTCCAAAAACTCAAACCATACAAGGGTCAGATGAGCTTGGGGGAGAAGTGGACCAAGTTCACTTTCCATTCAGCTAAACATACAAAGATCTCTACGAAGGCCCTGGTCCTGGGGTGAGTGTCTCTGGCACCCAGGCCTCTGTGGGCATCCCTCAGCATGGAGACCCTTCCCAAGGGGGGTGGGCTGGCCCTCCCTGGCCCACCAGCCCAGCTCCAGAAGCCCAGAAGCTGACCTGAGGCCAAGGCCCAGCAGCATGAGAATTCCATAGAGCCCACGACAGCAGGTCACTCTCTGGGGGCCCAGCGGCTCAAGATGTGGAAAGTCTGTTCCTATCTCAGGATAGACCATGGGATTTTTGGTGAGTTCTGTGTTGAAATTCTCTCCCAAACTCCCCATGGACCTGGACATCCGGGGCTCATGGTGTCCACAGTGCAGCTTTGAGCAGGGATGCCGAACCCCTGTTCTTTCATCTTCCCTGGACACCCCCAGGACCATAGGACAGGCCCTGGCCCTGAAGACCATCAGGGCCCCCACAACCAGGCCTTGCCCAGCCCACTGAAATCCCAGCAGTAGGGCCATAGACACTCCCCTTGCATGGTGGCACCTGGACCTGACCTTTCTCAGGGGCCACTGAGCAGCACAGCCTTAAAGGAGCCAAGACAGCACCCAGACAACCCCAGGCAGCTCCTGCGCCCGGTGAAATCAGTGTCAATGTGGAAGCTGGACTCAGAGGCTGCTGTAGAGGAGAAGGATTGTGGCATCTTCAGAGCCCTAGCCAGCCAGCAGCCTGTCACATGTCCCCATGCCTGCCCACTTGTGTGACAGAGCCTCCCTCACAGGGCAAACATCCCAGACCTACAGATGCCAAGCCCAGCCCAAGCCCTGGGAGAAAAGGGACCCAGGAGAACCACGGGTGCCCCAGAAATAGCCAAGATAACAAAACAGGGGACTGAACTTCCTGGGGCACTGGCCAAAACTAGAATTTGGCCCAAGGAAGAGCAAGCCCCTTAAAGTAGTGTGTGGGTACGCAGGGCCCCCACAAGGCAGGCATGCCTGGCAGGGCCAAGGCAGTGACGTTACCAGGCTCAAAGAGCAACCATCCACATCGCCAAGGGTGGGATAGGAGCAGGTGGACCAGCCTCCAACCTCTTCAACTCAAGGAAGCAGCGATGGCTAGGCTCTCACACCCTGAGTGGCCACCATCCGACCATCAGTGGAGCAGAGGCCAGAGACCATCAATCTATCAGATGGTCCTGGGGCCCTGCTTCCACTGCACAAGAATGCCTTCAAGTCACATGATCAAGAAGAAGCTGGGCAAGAATGGGCCCAGGAGCCCGGGTCCCTGGGTCTGCTGTCCTCAGCAGGTGCCAAGGACAGAAAAAGTCAGAAAAGGTGTCTATGGTCAGAAAAAGTCAGAAAGGTAGTCTCACTCCTTGGAAGGAGGCTCCAAGGTGGGGACCAGAGCTGCAGGGGGAGGAGGAGCTCCTGGCAGCACTGAAATAGGCTCTGGCAGGATCCCAGAGTCTGTGGTTCCATCCTTCTATTTTTCCTTTTCTTTGAGAGCTTGGAATCTTCTTCCATTTGATGGTAAGTCTGCAGCCATGGACAATCAATTTACAAAAGGACTTCTCAGCACCATTTCCGCAGCCTGCCCTGTGGAAAGCTGATGAGAGCACACTGCTGTCTCGCACAAGTGACCATCCAGATTTCGCCAACAGGTAGAGATTATTTCTTAAATCTGTCTCAGTAATGGTATCCCCCAGACCATCAACATAGAGTGGGGGCAGACTTCTCCACCAGTGGGTCCAGATGACCCATGGTTGAAGCCTGCTCTAGAAGCTCATCTGCTATGGGGTCATTGTTTCCGCATATCGATCTTTCATATTCTGATCAGCAAGGGGTCATCTGGATCTGCAGGCTTCTCATGTCTGTGCGGACACTCCCCTCCTCTCTCACCCTCTCCTTTTACCCACAAAGAGCAAATGTGGGGCTTATTCCTTAAGTAGTAAGAGTGTGTCCTGGGCCAGTTTGAGCAGCGTGTCACTGGTAGATGCAGCTTTCCCCAGCAGGACAGCTGGTCATGTTCTATCAGGGTTAGAATTCCCTCTCTCCATATCTGCAGTCACCTTTTAAAGACAGTTCTGCATCATGAAGCTGGACGGGCAGTCCTACTCCAGGTGTGAGAGGCAGGTCTGATGGACATTTCCTGCAGGCTTGGCACCCTTCAGTCTTCTTGGAATGCATGTGCACCCCAGAGCCCCAGCCAGACACTGAATGGCCTGGCACAGATTTTGCACTTTTTCTCATACTTTTCTTTGGTCATTCAGATACATGGGTTTTCTCCAGGACACGTGTGACACAGAAGAGAGAAGCATCCTCCCAGGTTTGTCTGTTTTAGGTGCTGGAGCCCAGAGAGGTCTCCTCTTGAGAGGATCGGCAGGCAGCTGTAGCTTTTCAGGTGGGAGAGAGGACCCCCACAATCCCGCCGGCCCCAGCTCTTCTTTCTGGCTCTGTTCTTGAGACCCTGGGCAATTGCCTTTGACCGTGTGTGATTCGTCTTTCTTGACTCAAGGTGAACCTCACTTCCAAGGAATCTCCATTCCTGGAGGAAACTCTTGGCTTCCTAGTATCTCCAAGAACTGGCCTGGAAGAGACAGAGAAATGTGGATAAATCTTGAAATACTCACAGTGTATCCTTGGTACTTTTCAAAGACCCTCCCCTCTACACTGACAGGGCTTAAGGAAACCTTGTGTCTGCTGCTGGGAGATGACAAAACCTTAAATGAGAAGGTCAAGAACCAGGATCCCTGGAAAAAGAAATGTCCAATCTCTAAACTCATAGACATGTTGGAGAACATCTGTGTGTCTGGATATTTATTGTGTCCAATGATGGATAATGACTCAAAAACTCACTGGCTGTGGTGGCTCACACCATTAATCCCAGCAATTTGGGAGGCCGAGGCAGGTGGATCACCTGAGGTCAGGAGTTTGAGACCAGCCTGGCCAACATGGTGAAACCCCGTCTCTACTAAAAATACAAAACTTAGCAGGATACCATGGTGTGAGCCTGTAAACCCAGCTACTTGAGAGGCTGAGGCAAGACAGTCATTTGAACCCAGGAGGCAGAGGTTGCAGTGAGCTAAGATCGTCCCACTGTACTCCGGCCTGGGCAACAGAGACCCTGTCTCAAAGAAATAAAAAAAACCCTAACAAACAAAAATAAAATGCGAAAGCAAAAAGATTTTGGCTAAGTACTCCTGGCCTGGAAGGGCTCTTTGTTTTACATGCAGGTGATCTGTCCTGAAAAGAGGCCTCCTGGTCACAAAGTCTTACTGGGTAAGAGCTCCAAGTACACAGAGCCACAGGCCCATCATCCATGGAGCTGCCTCTGCTGCCCAGGATGGAAACATGGAAACTCAGGGTAAAGGCGACTGAGGCTAGAACAAAAAGATTAGGGGGAAAAAAAGAAAACTAATCTGAAAAAATTAAAGAAAAATATTCTAACATAAAGTAATTTTTATTAAAGCCTTGTCTCTGAATAAGTTAAATATGGCATATCACAGTATTGTACATAATAATTTAAAATTTTAACTATTGGCCAAGCACAGTGGCTCATGCCTGTAATCCCAGCGCTTTGGGAGGCCAAGGTGGGAGAATTGTGTAAACCTAGGAATTGGAACTAGCCTGGGCCACAGAGTGAGACCATGTCTCTGCCAAACAATAAAACATTAGCTGGGCATGGTGGCATGGCCTGTAAAACAATAAATAAAAATGAAACTCTAACTGTCACAAACTAAGCTACAATATTTATGTCATCATAAAGTAATAGACAATGTATTTCATTCCAAAAGAAATAATCAAGAATTGATTTCAAAATCAATTCAGAGCTTTGCCTTCTCTGTATGGTGGAAGAGCAAGAAACAGACTCCCTCTGGAACCAAACACATAGGAAGCCAGACCAACTACATGAACCAGATGTTTCCAGACACTAGAAGCATCTGCAAGGAGCACAGGACTGAGGTCTGGAGGCTGAAACTAAGGGGACCACATTGCTGCCCCAGCTTAGAGCCTGCAGAGCCTCCTGGCAGTGCAGGGTGGTTGGATATAGGCAACGCATGGAAGTCCCCACATTAAAGAGATAGGGTTGAGAATGTGAGGAGAGAAAAACACGGGGCTGAGTACCAGAGAGTAGGGAGGAGTGGCTGAAGTAGGGGTAAGATTGGTGAGTAGAAGATGGGGGCTCATTAAACCATTGGCAGCTATATGGGTAAATACCAATCAAGATAAATAATATTACCCAGTACAAAAGAGAAAAGGCACCCTACACTTTTTTTTTTTTTTTGAGACAGAGTCTTGCTCTGTCACCTAGGCTATAGTGCAATGGCGTGATCTTGACTCACTGCAACCTCCACCTCCTGGTTTCAAGTGATTCTCCTGCCTCAGCCTCCTGAGTAGCTGGGATTACAGGCACACGCCACCATGCCTGGCTAATTTTTGTATTTTTAGTAGAGACGGGGTTTCACCATGTCGGTCAGGTGGTCTCGAACTCCTGACCTAGTGATCTGCCTGCCTCGGCCTCCCAAAGTGCTGGTATGAGCCACCATGCCCAGCCCACCCTACATTTTTTTTTCAGAGCATTTTTACAGAAAACTTGTCATTATGAGTATAATATTGTCTAAAAGTAGCAGAGGAGGGAACATTTCCCAATATATTTTAGAAGGCTAGTATTACTCTCCAACAGAATCAGAGAAAGGCAGTACCAAAAAAAAAAAAAAAACCCTGGAAAACAGTATGCCTCATGAAACTCGACGTGGAAATCCCCAACAAAATGTTATTCAACAGAACCACATGCTTCACCCATGGGTGAATTTCTTCTAGGAATCATAAAGATTTGGGGAAATCAAAGGAAATCTTTTGTTAAGAATCAAAGTTGTAGACTCCTGTCTTGAGTTGATTACTTTGAATTTTTGGTCCCAAAATATATACAGGACCTGGTCTAATTCTATGATCTTTAGCACATGCAGCCAGATGCTGAAGAGAAATAGATACAACAGCGATATGGGAGTTATCCTCTCTAAACCCCAACTGAAAAACCCTGGAGTCAGAAGTTTCAGGTGAACGAGGGAAGGAGAAACAATTCAAACATTTAAATTTAAATTGCTATGAGAATACTGACTTGTTAGAAACTGAAGGAGCGAGCAATGCTTCTAAAGTCCAGCCTTTTCCATCGGAATACGGAGACAGACAACCTCGAAGTGCAGTTTCTTCACAATTGTCTTATCCAGTCATAACATTAATTTCCCTATGAATCAAATCATAAAATAAATATTAAACTCGTGACATATTCTCTGACTAAAAGAAGGCAAGATAAACTGAACGGTTAGTTGTCAGTGTAGTAAATTATGTACAAGAATCTTATCACTGCATTTTTTAATTACAATGGAATTAGAAATAATCTAAGTTTCTATAAAAGAATAAACAGTGAAACAAATCTTGTATGCCCATTGGAATACATTTAAGACATTAAAAATAGGGAGTTAGAATCTCATGCATTGATATAGAATAATGTAAATGATATATTGCCTGTGAAATAGCAAAATTAAAAAATATAGTATGATACAATTTGTGTTCAAAAACTGTACATGTATTTATCTTCTTTTTTTTGTTGGGGGGGGCAGGGTCTCACTCTGTTGCCCAGACAGGAGTGCAATGGCATGATCACAGCTCACTGCAGCCTCGACCTCCTGAGCTCAAGGGATCCTCCCTGCTTGGCCTCCCAAAGTGTTGGGATTACAGACATGAGCCACCGCACCTGGCCAACTTTATGTGTATTTATAAATTTATAGAAAACATCCAGAAGAATCAACACCAAGCTATAATAATTCCTTCTAAGAAGGGAGTGAGTTTGGAACGAAGAGGAAGACATGGGAGAATTTTGTTACATAAAGATCTCTATGATCTGCCATTATTCAAACAGCATGCATTTCTTTTATAATTAGAAACAGAAAAACATACACACATTGTTACCATTTGGTAGGAGGGCAATAGTTTTGTTTTCATCAGTATTTGAATTACAGGTGCGTGAAAGCACGAACCTGGAAGAGAAATCCCAGAGGAATAATTAGAACCAAAAAAATCGCACCTCAAAAAGTGAGTGGGTGTTATCTTTACATAACAACAAGCATTCCACGTAAGTGCTGGTCGCTGCTCCAGCTCCCTCAAATCACCTAAGCCCTGCCAAGGGGAAGGCGGAGGATAGGGAAGGCCAAGGGCCAGCAAGTGCTCTCCCCAACTGAAGGCCTGTTTCTAGAAGTTTCCTGTCATTAAGAAGAAAATGGAGTCCAAATGGGATGTGGACCCCTTCGGGATGCTGGCAGAGAAACACAAAGAATATGCCACAGTCATACCTTAGAGGAAGACTTCTAGGTTGAGACTTGAAATTCATCAAAAGCTTGTGTGAAGTAAATAAAGCTACTCTACCTCTCCAAGTGTCAGTTTTCTCACCTATAAAATGAGAACCACATGTCAACTTCATGAAATTGTTGCCAGAGTTAAATTCACAAAGATAATTAAAAATGACTGTTACTGTTACTGTAAGGGTCCACATTACTTTTTAAAAAAGAAAAAAAAAACAGCATCAGACTTCAAAATACACAAAAGGAATAATGTCCATGTGTCCAAAGATGAGATGATCAGCTTTTGAAGCAGCCTGAGGTGCATGAGAATGAGATCTATCCCTAACTAGAACTCTTCACAGCTCCACTGGAAGAGGACACACACAGGGCCCCAAGAAGCTAAGTGCATGGCCAGTGTAGAGTGACTGGTGTAGTGAGGGTGGAATCCCCAAAGACCCTCTGAAATGCAGTTACACAACAGGCTCCCAGGAAACACTGGACCAAACCAGGCAGCTGAGCAGATACTACCAGGAATGGGGTGAGCAGAGGAGGGTCAGAGCCACAAATCTCAGCAGAATACACCAAACTGCAAGGAGCTCCTGGCTCTGTGAACAGCAGCTGTGGCTGCATCAGGACCAATCTTGTGAGGCAGCTGCTGGGGACAGCTGAGATCACGTGTTTTTGCAGCCACCCACCCAACAGCAGTGCCTCTTGAACACAGATCACAAAATCCTCTCCATTCATCTTTAAGGTGACGGATGATGGATGAACTCACATTACAACATCCCCACCAACACTTGCGGACGAGTGTATTTAGAAACTCCCACCTAAAGAGGGAACAGTCAAGAGTAGAATGAGAATATTGAGGGATGGGGGAAGAATGCAGGTACTTGACCCCACAAACTCTACTGAAAACAAGGGAAGAGCTGTTATGCTGTGGTCTCCCTATACTTCACCTCACCACATCCATAGATGCCACATGGTTCTTGTTCCTTTATTGACAAAGGTGCTGATGAGCCCGTGTGTAATTGATCCTGAAGGAGTAAATTCTTCACAAAGTACAATAACAGTGTCTAATATCCATGACCAGAGTTTTTAGGCTTTTTTAAAATAGTAATCCGCATTCAGGAATCAGAAATGAAGCCTGTTGGAATGTGTGATATGAACAAGGTCTTATTTTTATGTAGATTAACACCTTGGTTTTTACGGATTAAACACAAAAGCATAAAAGCTGGAGCCATTCCAGAATCAAAGGAACTTTCCCTGAGGACACCTGGAATTAAGGGACATCAATTATTAGGAAGCTACACGAAACCAGAAGTGCTCCCAGAAGTTTCCATTGTCTGGACAGAAAAATTAAACAGATCAGCCCGAGAGAGTAAAGGTACCTCCGTGAGTGCCGGGGGTGATGAACATTCCATTCAAAGCAAAGTTGTGAAGCCTGAGGAGTTTCAAAGACTCCCCAAGTGCTCTATACCTTGAAAGTCGCTCACACAAAGCTGGAGCACCACCTGTTCCTGAGAATCAGGTTGCCATTGTGTCTTTGAGACACTGCCCAGTCAGGCCTCGGTTGAGATGAGGCCAATGATGTCACGTGTAAAATGCCTAAACTATCTTCATCTTTAGGTAGCTATTTGGGGAACTTTCCACCAAATGGGTTGGGGGAAAATGGCGCACCAGAGACACACGCCTGGGATGTGAGATTTTCTCTTCTGCTGTTAGCATCTCCTGGGTAAACCAATAATGACCCTCTCTGCCACCTCAACATCCACATCCGCGAAAAAGGCGCTGGTGAGGGTGACATTTTCATGAAGCCACAGAGCATGTTGCCCCACGCAAAGCTCTGAACTTGTGCACTGGCGGGCCGGGCGGCGGATTTCTCCCCATAGCGGCTGCACTGCGCTCTGGCTGGAGAGAAAAGAGGGCAGCGGCACAGTGGACAGTGCCTGGACCGCAGGCCAGTTCCCACAGCAGCTTAGGAAAGCAGGTGGCTCCCTGGGCTGGAGGAGGCGTGATGTCCAGGAAAGACCCCGGGTGCAGGTGGGAGAGGGAACCCAGCCTAGCAGCGGGAAGTGAGGTGAGGACCACACCCGTCCGAGTTGGACAAGGGCGAGGTGCACTTCGCGGCGTCACACCCTCCTCACTGCCCAACCCGGACCTGCCCCTCCTGTCCCTCTCCGGACTCACATCCCATGGCAAGGAGGTGTCCGAAATCAGTAGCCAGCATCGCTGTGGAAGCGGCGAGATCCACACTGCCCTGCCCAACCCTCTTGGGCTGCCCGCCTTCTCGCATATCGCCTGCTAGGATTCTAGTCCAGCCGCCTTGCCACCAACGGGCGGGGAACCGTTAAGAGCTACAGTTTCCAGCCTGCGTGGCCAGGAGCGCACCGCCCCGCTCCTCCCGCAAGAACTGCGCCCCGCCCCTGAGACCGGGGCATGCTGGGATTGCAGTCCCGAAGCGCTTGAAACAACGGGCGGGAGCGGTGAAGAGACTACAGCTCCCAGCATGCAGAGCCAGGCCGGCAGAGCCAGGCCGGCACAGCCCGGCTTCCCCCTTCAGGACTGCGCGCCGCCCCATGTTCATGCTGGCTGGGATTGTAATCCGGTCGCCCTGCAATTAAAAAACTGGAAGCTAATCAAAGATGACAAGTCCCAGTATGCCAGGCGTAGCTCCCGCCCTCCAATCCACACCTTCCCGAGTCCAGAGCAGTTCTGCCATGCCAAAGGGGAGCCTGGTTGTTCCCGAACCTCTCTTGCCTGCCAAGTGACAGCGAGACCAGGCGGCTTGTCTTATCGTGTAATTATGTCACTACCTCTCCCTGAGATGCTGGCTTCATGCTTCGTCATTGCCAGAAGTTTGATTTCTCACGGAGCAGCAGGGGACCTGGAGCTACTCGCAAAGCTGTCACGGTTGCCATATCTTGGAGCAGTACTCGCCCCGCCCCTTCTCCTCGCCCCGCTCCTTCCCTCTGCGCTGCCTCTCCCCTCGGCACCGCCCCTCCGTCTCGCCCCACCCCTGACACGCCCCCTTTGAACATGCGCAGTGTAGTCCCTGCGTAGGACGGGCTAATCGCCAGGTGTCTGACTGTTCTCCGACTTCTTGGCATCCTACGCGGGAAGCTCCCTCGTGAGTGTCTGAAACCGTCCGTTCGCTGCCAGAAATGGATATATGCGTTCCCTGATAACCTAGCACTTGCCTTTTCAAAGCCACCATTTCCTCTATCCTCTAGGCTGTCGCAAATCCTCCTGTTCATCCCAGGAGTGCCCCTTGGACCCCGGGCTGGCTGCATGACCCACACCTGGGTCAGGCCTCTCACAGGGACGCTCCTGCCACTCTGACAAAGAGTTGAAAACGTCACAGCGAAAGGCCTGACCCTGCTGCATCCAGTCAGGAAACAGCCACAGGGAAGGGAGCCCCTAAGACACTTTGGGAGCCACATCCACCGCTTCTCTGCCCCCGATCCAGGCTGGTTCCCAGACCTTGGGGTCCTAGTGTGGACCTCCCGGCCGTAATTAACGCAGGTGCAGGGCCAGAGAGCCCCTTGGTCCCTCCCAACACATAAGGGAAGTTTGTGTGGTGAGGTCATGAACAGTGTCTGCGTTTCTGCTGTGAATAGGACCTTCATGGAAACACTTAATTTCCCTTTTTAAATATCCCTTTGGAACCACGTTTAATAATTTGCTGGTGGAACTTAACAGTGATAATTCTTTGAATCCATTTTTCTTTTTTCTTTTTTTGACACGGAGTCTCACTCTGTAGCCCAGGCTGGAGTGCAGTGACTGACTCGATCTGGGCTCACTGAAACCTCCGCCTCCTGGGTTCAAGCAATTGTTCTGCCCCAGCCTCCCCAGTAGTTGAAATTACAGACACCCGCCACCTTGCCGGGCTAATTTTTGTATTTTTAGTACAGATGGGGTTTCGCCATGTTGGCCAGTCTGGTCTCGAACTCCTGATCTCAAGTGATCCGCCCGTCTCAGCCTCTCAAAGTGCTGGGATTGCAGGCGTGAGCCACTGTGCCCGGCCTGAATCCATTTTAACATTTAGTTTTCCAGATTAACTCGAAGTACCCCACGACTACACGCTAATGAAACTAGAGGAGGCACAGCCTCAGCTCCGTGCAGGAGGGACGCACAAGAGCAGAATCTCCGTGGGACATCTTTCTGGAGCATCAGTATTACTGCAGGATTTGGAAGAAACGAATTTAAATAATTTCCAACGTAAGACACTGGAAATTTAAGAGAAGGCTGGAAAGTCATTGGCCTTTAATAACTGTCAGTCATCTGTGCCTAAGTCAGACTTTCTCCAAGAAAAAAAAAAAAAAAACTCTAAGGAGAACCTATTTTTCATTCTTCTAAGTAGTTAAAATTAGAAATCACAGCAAGTCAATAGAAAGCTCTGCCCTGCTAGTCTTCTAAATCACAATATGGCCTTGGTATGGATTTATTTGTATTTTTTGGAGGGGTGTGTTGACATGTTGGGTATAAAAATTGGGGGGTTTTGACAAATTTTGGAAGTTTTCAGCTATTAGTTGGTGATTTACTTTGTACCTCATTTAATTTTCCTGTCCCCTCTTCAACTTGGACTCAATCACTCCACAGGTCTCTAAGACTCTTCATTTTCTTTAAGATTTTTCACTCTTTTATTCAGAATGGACAATTTCTATTGCTCTGTGTTCTGTTTCTAATCTTTGAATAAGCTCAAAAGTATTTTTTAAATTTCCTTATCTTCCTATTGTTTCGTAATTTCCATGTCTTTGCTGAGGTTCCACAGCTCTTCATTCATGATTAGAATATTTTCCTTTACCCCCATGAACAGATTTATAATGGCTGCCTTTAAACATCCTGAATTACAACATCTTAAATATCTTAGGATCACTTCTACTGCCTGCTTTTTAAATTGTGTATGGATCTCATTTTCGTGTTTCTTCACACGTCTCATGAATTTTAATGTTGTGTACTAAAACTGTAAAGAATCATTATAGAGACTCTCGATTATGTTGTGTACCTTTGAAAAGCAGTGTTATTGTTTACAAATGGTGTTAATTGGGCTAGATTCAAACGTCAACACCTATCTCCCCTATAGTGGGCACAGCTGAAATCCTCATTCAGTTCTTACTCACACGTAGGTCATATTTGTATTATATAGATGTGTTTCTATAACAATATATAATATACTATTCAAGTTTCATCATTATAATCTGTGTTAATTCAACAAGCTACTCCAGTGTTACTGAAAGCCAGGAGCTCAGTTTTGTCTGCTTATTGGATTTTGTATAAATCAAATTATATAGTATGTACACTTTTACATTTACTTACTTTTATGGAACATTATATTTGTGATATGCATTCATGCTGTTGCAGATAGATATAGTCTGTTCTTTTTTTTTTTCCGAGATGGAGTCTCGCTCTGTTGCTCAGGCTAGAGTGCAGTGGTGCAATCTTGGTTCACTTCAACCTCCACCTCCTGGGTTCAAGCAATTCTCTTGCCTCAGCCTCTTGAGTAGCTGGGATTAGAGGTATGCACCACCACACCTTGCTATTTTTTGTACTTTTAGTAGAGATGGGGCTTCACCATGTTGGCCAGGCTGTTCTTGAACTCCTGACCTCAGGTGATCTGCCCACCTCCACCTCCCAAAGTACTGGGATTACAGGCTTGAGCCACTGCGCCCGGCCAACAATTTTTTTTTTCATTTTAACAGTCTTTAAGTGTGCAGGTCAAAGGAATTAAGCAGAGTCACACAGTTTTACGAGCATCCTCCATATTTATAGGGAGTGTTTTTCATCTTGCAAAACTGAAACTCTGTACCCGTTAAACACCTCACCTACCTTCCTGTAGCCCCAGGAATAACTCTTCTACTTTGTGTCTCTGTAAACTTAACTACTTTAAGTACCTTGTATGAGTGGAGTCATACAGTATAGTGAAGAAATCATGAGAAAGTATAATACACACTATATAACATATGTTTATTTATTTGAACAAAAATACTAACAGAGATCAGTAGTACATGATAGAGGGAGATAAAAAAGAGAAAAGGATTGGACAGACACATTAAAATTATGACAATGATGCTCAAGTATTACAGTAGTGAGTCCCCTGCCCCAGTCACAGGGCTGATAACAGTGGAGCTGGGAGCCCAGCCCAAACTTCACTGAGCCCTGAGGCACTCTGCCCCTGCCACCTGGGCACTCAGTAGACCTGAGATTCTTCATGGCCTGGTATTCTTGGCCTTGAGGGTGTGGCTGGCCTACTGGGATGGGGCTCAGCAGCAGGACAGGTTGTAACTGTAGGACACAGCAGCAGCTGTGAGACTCCAGGAGCCACACCTCCGGCCTCCCTCCCAGTGCCTGCCCATTCAACAGGGCCTGCTGCTGACCAGGGAGCCGTGGCCACAGGATGTCTGAAACTGACCACAAGACAGAGTCTCCGCCCACCCTCTGTCAATCCGCTAGGCTCTCACCTCTCAATCAGACTGTGCGGCTCCACGGACTTGAAACCAACCCCATACCTCCTGAGTCCGAAGATGATAATTCCCTCTTGTCACGGAAGCAGCTGCATTTCTTGGAGGACTTTAATCTCCTGGAGCCAGAGGGGAAAAACAGGAGGCTGACAGGGCCTGGGTGGAAGATGCCGAAGGGCCCTTGGGGACGGAGTAAACTGGGGCTGATCTCTAGGGCTTTTCTCTTAGTAGGTCCCCTCTTCTCCAATCCCATGCAGCCCCACCCTTTTCTCAGAGTTGGATATAAACAGAGAAACAGCCCCCGCTAGGAATTTGTCCAGGATTCCTGTCCCCTACCCACACCCTCCATTGGGATGGGTCTCGTCCTCTGTGTATCAAACCCTCCCAATAAATCCAGGTTGCAGAGGATGGAGCCGGGGAGTGTTCTACCCAGGGTCAGTGGGTGGGGGTCTCTGACTTCCACATCCCCATCCTCCCCCAAAGTGAGGGCCCCAGCTGCGCCCCTTTTTCCTTTCTGGGTGTTGATCACATTTCCCTGGAAGACAGCCAGCCAAAGACCCTCAGAAAGGACCCTGGCCCATGACTTGCCCCCATCCCCACACCCTCCCACACTGCCAGGCCAGCAGGGGTGAAAAATGTGCATAGAACAGCACTGGGACCTGCATCAGGCTCTGGGCTCTAGACGAGGAGGTGTGGGAGCTGTAGCTCAGGGACCTTCTGCCCCAACACTCTCTGACAACAGACAGACAAACGGAGGCCCAGTATACAAAGAAAATGCTCGGCCACTTAGGAGCTGCCTGACTTGGGAGGGGCATAATTTCCCTCTCCTTCCGTGGGCACCGCCTGAGGGAGAGGCTGAGTCCAGCTCCTGCGGCTCCTGCAGCTTTGCAGTCAGGCAGCTCTGCAGCTTCACCACTCAGGGAACAGGGACTGGCAGCTGCTCTGGAGCCTCCACCATTCAGAGGTAAAATGGGCCTGACGCCCCAGCTCAGGGGGCATGGGGAGGACGGTGGGGTTCACACAAGAGGAGGCTTGCTGAGATGGAAGGGCTGAGTCCAAGGCTGTTTCCTCCCAAACCTCAGGATCCCGGTCCCCAACCTGCCTGCCCCAGGCTCACTCCCATCCACACAGTCCTTCATGGCAGTGTCCAGGTTCACCAGTTCAGTAAGGAACCCCCACAGAGAAGGCACATCACCTTGGCCATTGGGGTGGTAGTGGTGGTGAGCCCCCACAGAGAAGGCACATCACCTTGGCCATTGGGGTGGTAGTGGTGGTGAGCCCCCACTGTCAGGTGCCCACCCAAAACCTGCCCCCTGAAATATCACCAATCACTCCTGCCCAGACACCCCCTCCCCAGGTCTCCCACTTGGAACAGCCCAGGACCCTCAGCTGCCTCCCCCAGCCCTCCCCCTCCTCTCCCCTGTCTCCCCAGCTGGACTCCAAGGCCACTAGACACCCCCAGTTACTTCTATGGTGGAATGTTAACAAGTCACAAGGTCATGGGGTCCCCTGTCCCAGCTTTTGCCAAATCTACACTGAACCCAGCTCACCCAGGCGGTTTCTCTGCTCCCTCTAATGGAGGCATTTCAGGCCCTGTGGCCACAGGAGGGCAGGGCTGGGGGAGGAAGACCCCTTACTCTCTTGATGTGGAGGCCTCCAGCTGTGGGGGAAGAAGCCTGTCTTCCGACTCCCTGGAGCCCCTCTCACCACAGATTACTCGCCTGCTGCCCCACAGCCTCATCTGCGCTGTCTAGGGATTCGTCACCAGGTCACCCCTGTCCACTGGGTCATACTTTCCGCTCCACCTCTCGGCTGCCATCTGTGGGGCTAAGAGCAGTGTGGGAGAAGCCTGGTGGATGGGTCGCATGACGTGTCTGAGACCATCCTCACTATCTTTGCTGAGGGTGAGCACCAGGCCTGGAGAGGTGGGGCGGGGCGGGGCCCGGTGCTGCCCAGTGGGGCCTGTGGCTGGAACCCCGGCCTAGGCCTTTGGCGAAGTGGGACCCTCACCCTCAGCCCCAGCCAAGAACGGCAAGGTCGGCTCCCCACCCCAGCACAGGCTGGACGATCCATGGCTTCAGGCCAGGACAGAACCCCTGAGATCGGTGGGATCCCCCTGTTTCTTCAAGGAACACCTCCTCTTGCTTTCCACAGCAGGAATTCGAGCAGGCCACAGTGGAGCCTCTTCCATGCCTGTTGGATGCAGCCTCTCTTGCAGGGATGCACATCTTTGAGTTGGAGCCATAGCCTTGACCCTGGGCCTCTGGGGCCCTGACCCTAACCAAGGGCCCCAGAGCTCCCTCTTGGGTTTGCAAGCACGTGAAGATACAGGGAGAGAGGCTAAGTGCAGTGGCTCACGCCTATAATCCCAGCACTTTAGGAGGCTGAGGTGGGCAGATCACCTGAAGTCAGGAGTTTGAGACCAGACTGGCCAACCTGATGATACACTGGTCTCTACTGAAAATACAAAAAAATTAACTAGGCGTGGTGGTGCACACCTGTAATCCTAACTACTTGGGAGGCCGAGGCAGGAGAATCACTTGAACCTGGGAGGAGGAGGTTGCAGTGAACCGAGATCATGCCACTGAACTCCAGCCTGGTCTACAGAGTTAGACTATCTCAATAAATAAATAAATAAATAAAAAATCCACATACCTCTCACCCAATTTGCCTGCTAGGAAATTCCTTGTGAGCACCAAGAACTTTACTGAACTCTAAGTCATCCCTCTGCTCACCTGAGACAAACACATATTTGATTGGTTCCTCTGCTGGAAAAATGCACATTCCCAGAGCTAGACAAAGGCATACATTATGGCCAGGGGTGGTGGCTCACACCTGATATCCCAGCACTTTGGGATGCCAAGGAGGGTGGGTCACCTGAGGTCAGGAGATCACGACTCGCCTGACCAACATGGTGAAACCCGTTTCATTTTTTTTTTTTGAGACAGAGTCTTGCTCTGTAACCCAGGTTGGGGTGCAGTGGTGCAATCTCTGCACATTGCAACCTCTGCCTCCTGAGTTCAAGCAATTCTCCTTCCTCAGCCTCCAGAGTAGCTGGGATTATAGGCACATGCCACTACTGCCTGGCTAATTTTTGTATTTTTAGTAGAGATGGGGTTTTGCCATGTTGGCCAGGCTGGTCTTGAACTCCTGACCTCAGCTGATCTGCCTGCCTCAGCCTCCAAAAGTGTTAGGATTACAGGCGTGAGCCACCACGCCTGGTGAAATCCCATTTCTACTAAAAATACAAAAATTAGCCAGGTGTGGTGGCAGGCACCTGTAATCACAGCTACTCGGGAGGCTGAGGGAGGAGCATCACTTGAAACTGGGAGGCAGAGGTTTGCAGTGAGCTGAGGTTGTGCTATTGCACTCCAGCCCAGGCAACAAGAGCGAAACTCTGTCCAAAAAAAAGGAAAGAAAGAAAAAGAAAGAAAAAAAGAAAGACAGAAAGAAGGAAGGAAGGAAGGGGAAGGGGAAGGGGAAGGAAAGAAGACAGAAAACAGCCTAAGTGACTCTTCCTCTACCCTTCCCCCAGATGTATATTGTGTATTTGGTGAAAGTCTGATTAAAGGCCGGGCATGGTGGCTCATGCCTATAATCCCACCTCTTTGGAAGGCTGAGGTGGGTGGATCACCTGAGGTCAGGAGTTCGAGACCAGCCTGGCCAAGATGGTGAAACCCCATCTCTACTAAAAATACAAAAATTAGCTGGGTGTGGTGGTTGTCGCCTGTAATCCCAGCTACTTGGGAGCCTGAGGCAAGAGAGTCGCTTGAACCCAGGAGTCCGAGGTTGCAGTAAGCCAAGATGGTGCCATTGCACTTCAATCTGGGTGATAAGAGCAAAACTCCACCTCAAAAAAAAAAAAAAGAAAAAAAGAAAAAGAAAAAAAAGAAAGGCTGATTAAAGACTCAAAAGAATGCGACCATTTGTCTCTTATCTATTCACACCTTTTAAAAATGTCTTCTCTTTCCCAATATCTGTCCTTTCTCTTTTAAATATTGAACCCCTCAAATAATCTTTGGAGAAAGACACAGACCTACCTCCCAGACATGCATCCTTAATGTTGGCAAAATAAACTTTCTTTTTCTTTAAGATGGAATCTCACTCTGTTGCCCAGACTGGAGTACATTGGTGTGATCTTGCCTCAATGCAATCTCGCCTTCCAGGATCAAGCAGTTCTCCTGCCTCAGCCTCCTGAGTAGCTAGGATGATGGCTAATTTTTGTATTTTTTGTAGAGACAGGGTTTCACCACATTGGCCAGGCTGGTCTCAAACTCCTGGCCTCAAGTGATCCACCTGCCTCAGCCTCCCAGTGCTGGGATTACAGGCATGAGCCATGGCGCCCAGCCCAAAATAAATTGTCTAAATTGATCAAGACCTGTCTCAGAAATGTTTTGGTTTATACCTTCTGCTATGATTGGAAGCCTCCTGAGGCCTCACCAGAAACAAATGCCAATACTATGCTTCCTGTACAGCCTGCAGAACTGTGAGCAAATACATCCCTTTTCTTTACAAATTACCCAGTTGCAGGTATTCTTTGAGTACAATGAAGAAAGGACTAATACAAAGAGACTCAAGATTTCCCTTTATAGCAAGTGCTCAATAAATATCAGCAAAATGGTTCGGTGATGATGCTGCTGAAGATGATCACTTAGGAAATTTAGGGCCTCAGTGAGATCCAGATTTGGCTAACTTAAGTGGGAAGGAAATTTGTTAGAGGAACATGAGTGAGCTTATAGAACTTATGAGAAAGCAGAAGAGTCAGTTCAAAACAACCCAGAAACGCCAGCAGTCCAGTAGATCCTGACAGCAAGAAGCAGATATGCTGATAGCGGCAATGAGCTATTCCTATTTCAGCCATCCTCCCACTTCATCCTTCCTAACAGAACCTATTTTGCTCATTTTGCACAATAACTCTCTGCCCCCGCCCCTCCCAGGGGCTCCAGGAACATGGGCCTCAGCCAAGCCTCAAGGGACTGATTTTCATTGCTCTAAGTCAGTCACAGTGTCCTCCACCCCAACAAGGCCAGTGATTGATTTAGACTGGACACAGAATGCAATTTTAGCCAATGAGACGTGTTGAGAAATTTATTGGAGGCTTCTGGGAAAGGTTTCCTTGCTCTTCGAAAGAGATAGAGGCTTATTTCACTTTGTATAATACACGTTTTCTTCTTTTTGAAGGCTGAATAATATTCTTTCTCTTTTTTTTTTGAGACAGAGTTTTGCTCTTGTTGCCCAAGCTGCAGTGCAATGGCACAATCTCAGCTCACTGCAACCTCCGCCTCCCAGGTTCAAGCGATTCTCCTGCCTCAGCCTGCCTAGTAGCTGGGATTACAGGTATGTGCCACCACACCTGGCTAATTTTTTGTATTTTTAGTAGAGACAGGGTTTCTCCATGTTGGTCAGGCTGGTCTCAAACTCCCGACCTCAGGTGATCCATCCGCCTCAGGCTCCCAAAGTGCTGGGATTACAGGTGTGAGACACCGCGCCCAGCCAATAATATTCTTTTGTATGCATATACCACATTATCTTTATTCATCCATCCTTCAGTGGAAATTTGAGTTGTTTCTGCATCTTGACTATTGTAAATAATGCTGTAATGAAGATGGGAGTGCAAATATCTCTTTGAAGCCTGACTTCAGTCTTTTTCTTTTTTTTTTTTTTCGAGATGGAGTCTCGCTCTGTTGCCCAGGCTGGAGTGCAGTGGCACGATCTTGGCTCGTGACTTCAGTCGTTTTGAATAAATATCTAGGGGTGATATTGCTGGATCATTATGCTGGGTGAAATAAGCCAGTCCCAGAAGGACAAATGCTGCATGATTCCGACAGCCAAACTCACAGAAGCAGACAGTAGAAGGTGGTTGCCAGGGGTTGAGGGAGGCAGGAATGGGGAGCTGCTGTTCAGTGGGTTTGAAGTTTCAGTTATGCAAGATGAATAAGTTCTAGAGAGCTGCTGTGCAACATCGTATCTATAGCTAACAATGCCATAGTGTACACTTAAAAGTTTGTTTAAAAGGTAGCTCTCATGTTAAATGTTCTTACTACAATTTAAAAAGGCATTTATAAAACATCATTATGTGCAGTTTCCAATGCTGCCCACACTTAAAAAAATTATTTATGAGAGTGCTTAGATAAAAGAAAAAAGGAGAGGGAGGTTTTATCTCACAAGTGTTGTTAGAGAAGGGCTGTGATGTCTGGAGCAGCAGCAGCCATCTTGAGTCAATGAGGAGAGCCAGCTGGAAGACAAATCCTGAGTTCTAGGACCTGAGTCTTTGCTGATGTCACCAAGCTGCCAAATTAACCAATCTCTGATTCCCCATCACTTCCAAACATCTGATCTATGAGATAATAAGTTTCCTTACTTTTAAAGCCTCTTGAGGTTGAGTTTCTATTCCTTACAGTCAAAAGGATTGGACCAGTGTGCCAAAATCTATGGATTAGTGGTTGCTTCCAAATTGCCCTTGACATTGCTCACCTGCCTTCTGAGTAGTGCAGAGGGACTGATTCTCACTGCCAGGGAGGCTGAGCACCAGAGGCTTCATCTGGCTGCCTGGCATATTTGTGGCCTGCAGATGTATTCAGGGTTCAGGCAGGAGGACTGCCAGAAACTACCCTACCTGCCAGCTCCTTAGCGGAGTTCAGACTGCACCATTCTGGGCTTCAGTTTCTCCATGTGTGAACTGCGGATGGTAAAAAACCACCAATGTCACAGGGTGTTACAAGGATTAAATGAGTTATTTCAAGTAAAGTAATGGGCACAATGCCAGCACATGGTAAGTGCTCAGTAAATATGAGCTATTACTGTTATCATGTTGTTATTATAACTTGGGGAGAGGGATGAAGGAACTCAGGCAGGCCCCATGTGTGTGGCCTGTGCAGAGAGAGACTGGCAGCCTGGAGGGGTGAGACCTGGGTGGAAATGAAGAATTCAACCAAAGCAAGTAAAGAAACTGCCAGAAGACTGAGCCCTTGAGAATCTCCCGATGTCTGGGAGTAATCCCAGCATCTCCATCTTTTTTTTTTTTGAGATGGAATTTCACTCCTATTGCCCAGGCTGGAGTGCAATGGCACGATCTCAACTCACTGCAACTTCCACCTCCCGGGTTCAAGCGATTCTGCTGCCTCAGCCTACCGAGCAGCTGGGACTACAAGAGTATGCCAACATACCCAGCTAATTTTTGTGTTTTTAGTGGATATGAGGTTTCACAATGTTGGTCAGGCTGGTCTCAAACTCCTGACCTCAAATGATCCGCCCACCTCAGCCTCCCAAAGTGTGAGATTACAGGCATGAGCCACCATGCCCGGCCAGATCTCCATCTTTTGAAGAACATGACTGTCTTCTCTAGGCAGGTGGGAGGCTGAGGGACACCCCAGCATCAAGCCAAAAACAGCCAAGGCAGCATTCGTGCCTCCCCCTTCCAAAGGCCCCCCCATGTCTCCAGGGCTTAGGAGCCTCCAGCTCTAGGCTGCGGGGATCCCCTCTGCCATTGAGGCCTGGCCCCTCTATACTGGGCCCTGAGCATGTACCTGGCTCCCCCAGTGTACCCGAGGGCCTTGCTGTCACTGGATGGATTGAACAACTCAACCGAGTGTGCATGCTCATGCTAACCAACATTCAGTCACTTCCCCTCACATTCATGGACCAGTTGGTTCCTTCTCATTTCTCAGGGGACACCATGACCCTTCCTGTGAACTCTCCATGATGCAGGCAAGAATCTGAGTCACCCAGAGTTAGCAACCTGATGCAAGTTTGTCTCCCAATCCCCTGGCCTGGCTCTCAGATGAAAACAAATAATAATAATAATAATAATAATAATAATAATAATAATGAATACAGCCACTAATTCCCACAGTGTCCTGAGAGCTTTACAGGTACCTGCACTGACTTTCAGGTATTTACATGCTTGTCCTCATTTTCTAGGTGAGGAGACTGAGTCCCAGAGAAGTTGAGTAACTTGCTTATAAGGAGGAGTCGCGATCTGAAGCTAAGCAGTAGGGTAGATACATTCAAGCATGTTTGATTAGACATTTAGCAAAACACCTTTGCTGAAAAAAAAGTTTTGAAAAAAAGTTATGGAAAAAAATATTGGAAACTCTATTTTTAAATGTATCACCAGCTTGGGAGGCCAAGGCGGGCAGATCACCTGAGGCCAGGAGTTCAAGACCAGCCTGGCCAACGTGGTAAAACCGCGTCTCTACTAAAAATACAAAAAAAATTAGCCAGGCATGGTGGCAGGCACCTGTAATCCCAGCTACTCAGGAGGCTGTGGCAGTAGAATCACTTGTACTCGGGAGATGGAGGTTGCAGCGAGCTGAGATCGCACCATTGCACTCCAGCCTGGGCAAGAAGAGTGAAACTCCATCTCAAAAAAATAAAAATAAAAATAAATAAATGTATCACCAGCTCCATTCGTTCATCAGACACATATTTCCATAGTAGATACCTTGTGCCTGGAAGGTGCTTCTTACAAGGGACATGGGAGTGAACAAACACGTAAGGTCCCCTCCCCGCTGGAACTCGTAGTCCAGTGAATACAATCAATCTGTTTAGGACTTGAGCATTTGAAATTGAGACTGCCTTGTACCTATAATTATCAGAACTGTGTGAGATCCTGAGGTGGAAAGATGGTGACTTCTCTGGGCTTTTTTGCTCAAACACAATTCTTTTAAGAAAGAGACCTGCATCTTGGGCTCCCCACCGCAGTGTGAGGATGTGAGAAAGACCCAGGGACCTCATGGACCATGTAATGTCACAGAAGGCACAGGACTACCAGGTGCAGTGGCTCACACCATAATCCCAGCACTTTGGGAGGTGGGCATGGGAGATTGCTTGAGGTCAGGAGTTCAAGACCAGCCTGAGCAACACAGCAAGACACTGTCTCTGCAAAAAAACAAAAACCAAAAACCACACAGCTGGGAGGTCAGAGGAGCTGCCTGGAATTCCAGCCTGGACCCTCACCAGCATGTGACCCAGGGCAGGCCATGTGCTCTCTCCTCAGGAAGCCTCAATTTTCTCATCTGGAGACAGGGACAATGAATCCCTTCCAGGATCACCATGAGAATACAGGTGGAGCATCTCTAATTCGCAAATCTGAAATCCGAAATGCTCCCAAATCCGAAACTTTTTGAGTGCCGACCTGACGCCGTAAGTGAAGGCCCACGGTTGTCTGTTGTCCCTGTTGTTTCACGGCTGAGCTCCGTATCTGCTGATATTGCTGTTCTGCTTGATCATCTTGAACTCCTTATTTTTCCACTGTATTAATGCTATGTCATACCTTTTACCATGGGTACTTATGTGTGAGTAAGTGTAAGGCAATGATTGCTTATTGATAGCATATAAATTCAGAGTCAGGAATAAGGGTGATGCCAAACAACCACAGATTGTCCACATGGGTAACTGAGATAGGCGTGGGATGCCTTTCTTTCTGATGGTGCAATGTACACAACATTTGTTTCATGCACAAAATTATTAAAAATTGTATACAATTGCATTCAAGCTGTGTGTATAAGGTGTGTATGAAACATAAGTAAATGTCATGTTCAGACTTGGGCTCCATCCCTAAGATATCTCATTGTGTATATGCAAATATTCCAAAATTTGGAAAATATAGAAATCCAAAACACTTCTGGTCCTAAGCATTTTGGATAAAGGATCCTTAACCTGTACCCTGTGTCAGTGTGGGATACACTATGTAGGAAAATGTATTCCCGGTTCAACCCCCAGTCTGCCTGAGGGAAAGTCGATTCCAGAAAGGCCAAGTGATGAAAGTTCCTCATCTTTGTCGACCTCATCTGGGCTCAAACACGTTATAGACCTCAATGTCAAAGGACCCCTGAAGTCCCTTCAACAAGGGAGTTGGCTGGATGAGGACTGTGGTGGCCTGGAGGGTGGCTGTGACTCAGCCTCCATGGGAAATGCATCCCAGTCATGCCAAAAAGCCATCTTCCTCAAGAGAAGCCAGGGATCCTGAGAGTTTGATAAAAACTCTCCCAATTTTTAGGCCAGGTGCAATGGCTCACACCTGCAATCCCAGCACTCAGCCCGATGAGTGGGCGAATCACCCGAGGTCAGGAGTTCAAGACCAGCCTGGCCAACATGGAGAAACTCCATTTCTAATTAAAAAAAAAAATTAGCCGGGCGTGGTGGCAGGTGCCTGTAATCCCAGCTGTTCAGGAGGCTGACGCAGAGGAATCACTTGAATCTGGGAGGCAGAGGTTGCAGTGAGCCGAGATCACACCACTACACTCCTGCCTGGACAATAGAGAGAGACTCAGTCTCAAAAAATAAAAATTAAAAAATAAGAAACTCTCCTAATTTTTAAACATTTCCCACTAATGAAGGCAAAGCATTGGCCTACCACCTTGCACCTTCTGGGATGGCAAATGATCAAAAAGACAGACACTAGCAAATGTTGGTGAGGGTTTGAGCAACTAGAACTCTCATATCTTGCTGGTGGGATTGTATAAAGGTACAGCCGATTTGGAAAACAGTCTAGCAATTCCCCAAAAGTGTAGATTGAGTTACCACATGACCCAGACATTCCACTTCTAGGTATATACCCAAGAGATACAGAGGTATATGTCCGTGCAAAAACTGACACACAAATGTTCATAGCAGCACAATTCATCATAGCTGCACAGTGAAAAGAGCTCCAATGTCCATCACTGGACGAATGGGTAGACACCATGTGGTGGGGCCATGCAGCGGAATATTATTTGGCAACAAAAAGAATGAACTACGAATTCATGCTACAATGTGAATGAACCTCAAAAACATGATGCTGAGTGAAAGAAGCCAGACACAAAAGGCCACATAGGGCACGATTCCATTCCTAGGAAATGCCAAGAAGTGGCAGATTTATAGAAACAGCAAGTAGATTGGTGATTTGGGGAGGCTGGGGTGAGGGGGTATGGGGAGTAGGCATGGGATATGGGGTGTTTTGGGGAGGTGATGAAAATGTTCTAAAATTGATTGCAGTGATGGTTGCCCAACTCTGTGAACGTACTTAAAACCATTGAATTGTACAATTTTACAGCGTGAATTTTATGTTAGGTGAACTATATTTTGCTAGAGCTGTTAAAATACAAAAGTGCTGGCCTAACAGAGCTCCTTGGTGGGTTAGAGTCAACCACAGGCCACGCTTTTTCCATTCCTTGATTCCGGAGGTTATCCTCAGTTATCCAGAAATTTCAGCTATCTGGAACACCATTTCCTGCACACCAGGCGGGACTGTCCCAGAAGGCAGAATTTCCCCATGAGGCCCGGTAGTGACAGAGAAACATTCTGGAATGAGAGATGAAGGATGTTGCTGCTGACACTTCCCTTTTTGCTTTTTCGTAAAAATAAGCCATTAAATGTAGGCAGAGAAAGGCTCTGTTGGTAACTTCTAGCCCCAAACAAGAAGGAAGTGGAGTGGGTGAGCTTGTGGGAAGACAGTGGTGGGCAGAGGCCACGTGAGGTCGTGCAGACCCTGGGTGGCCTGAAAGGAGGTTCAGCAGGACAAGCGCTGACCTGATCGCTGGCTGGTTTTGCCCCTTCACCCATCAGCTAGTGGCTGAGCACCTACCTCATGTCAGGCACTGTGTTGGGTGGTGGGAGAATGTCACATGGGTGCATCTTAGGAACATCCACACAGGGGAAGGAGCTGGAGAGAATCTGGTGAGGACTCTTTGGGGACGTGACGTTTCAGCTGTGACTTGAACGAAGTGACATCTGGGGCAGGGGATCTGCATGGGGGCAGGAACTGCAAGTGCGCAGGTGCTGGGCTGTAGCATGCGTGGTCCCAGAGAAAGAGGCTGCACAGCTGCAGCCAAGGGGAAGAGGGAGACAGGGTCAGTTAGGTCAGGGAGGCCACGAGGGAGGTCCCAGACCAGGCAGGGCCTTGCAGGATGTTGCGAGAACTTTGGCTTTGCTCTAAAAGAGGTGGGAGCCATGGAAAGCTCTGTGCAGAAAGCCCTGACCTGACCTCGGTTCTAATAGTATCCCTCCAGCCCAAGGGGAGAATGGGTTGGGGTAGGGGCAGAGCAGGGAGTCCAGGTGACTGCAGGAGGCCAGAGGGGAGCAGGGAACAGTGGCTGGTCCAGGGTGGTGCAGGCTGAGGTGGGAAAAGGTAGTCATTGTTTTCTTCCACTCCACAATGTACCTGCTGCCTAGAGATACAGGGCAGGTGAAACCAGAGATTCCACACACATATTAGACACACACACACACACATGCAGACACACACATACACTCTCATATATGTCCTCTATGGATCCTATGCACATATGAGACACACACTTATATATGTCCTTCATAGATATAGATCCTATGCACATATTTCACACACACTCATATATGTCTACATAGATGTAGATTCTACATGCATATTATACACACACATATATATTGTACATTTATATAGGTTCTACATACATGTTACACACATATATATTTTGCATACATATAGATTTGGCACATATATGAGACACACATTCAATATTCATATACATTACCTATAGAATACTTCCTTATTTGCATTCTATTTGTATGTGTGGATTGGAGACATATTATACACACACATATAGACTCTGCATACATAGAGATTTGACACATGTACTATACACACACACTCATAGACTCTACATACACATAGATTTGTCACACATATTATAAACCAAGTTGACCCTGAGTTCTGGCACCCGGAGTCCGTGAACTTGGGTCTTGAAAAGGGCCCAGCTGGCCGGGCGTGGTGGCTCATGCCTGTAATCCCAGCACTTTGGGAGGCCGAGGCGGATGGATCACGAGGTCAGGAGATTGAGACCATCCTGGCTAACACAGTGAAACCCCATCTCTACTAAAAATACAAAAAAATTAGCCGGGCGTGTTGGTGGGCACCTGTGGTCCCAGCTACTCCAGAGGCTGAGGCAGGAGAATGGCATGAACCCGGGAGGCGGAGCTTGCAGTGAGCCAAGATCACACCTCTGCACCCCAGCCTGGGCGACAGAGCGAGACTCTGTCTCAGGAAAAAAAAAAAAAAAAAAGGAAGGGGCTCAGCTGTGGAGTTAGGGAGTGCAGGATCTGCTGCTTAGAGCTGTGGGACTCAGGCTTTGCTTCTCTGAACCTCATTTTCCTCATGTTTAAAATGGGATGACAATACCTGCCTTGTGGGGTTGTCAGGAAGTCTTGGTGAGATCACCATTTATGCAAAGCAGCTGATCTGCTCGGGAGGACTATTTAGTAGCAGTCATCACACTAATAACGAGGTGTGTTTGGGGGCCAAGCAAACCACACAGAGCACCTTCCTGGAACACAGGTGTGCACTCACGCCTACACGCCCTCTCTCCCGCTCAGTGTGAATGGGAAAAGGAGTAGGCCTGGGGCCTCTGTTTGGGCAGGGTGAACCAAGAACTCCAATGGAAACCTGTGAGTCAGCGACAAGCATAAAACAGTTAATGGGCGCACTGCTTCAGCTACAGTAATAATGGGGAGATGGATGCCTAGATAATGTCCAGAAGGCAGGTGGATTAGTCAGGGCTATCTCAGTTGAAAGGAACAAAAATCCAACTAAAAACAGTTTAGGTGAAAGATAATTTATTGGGTCACATAAAAATTCCATGGGTGCTTGCTTCAGGCATATCTAGATCCAGGTGTTTGAATGATATCGTTTTCCACGTCTCTCTGGAAGAGGGAGTTAATCAATATAACTAACTAACTAACCAACACACCTAATGCTCAATAAGTGCTAGCTGTTATTACTACAACTGCTGCTGCTACTGCCACGGTGACTATGACTCCCACTGATACTAATATGATCCTATCAGCCCAGCAACCCAGAGGGAAACCCCAGCACTCTCTCTCAACCATTCCTATCAAAGCCCCCAGACTGGCTCTCACGGGCTGTGACTGGATCATGTGGCCATCTCTTACCATGCCGCGTGGCCCATGGCCAGGTTCTCAGTCACATGGACCTCCTTGAAGCTAGAAGTTGGGTCAGCTTTGCTCAAACTCCATGGACTGAGAGTGACAGAGCAAGACTCCTCAATGGAATATCAGAAAGACAGAGAGTGGAGACCGGCCATGGCCAGCCATCCTTCATGTGGGCCCTGGCAGGGCCATCTCTGCTGCCTGCCTGTCCCCCCCACATGGAAGTTGGCTGTGCCTGTCCAGTCATCCTCTTACACGCTAGCCCTCCCATCACTTGGGAGTCCTGAGGCCTATAATTTTCCATAATGTTACTTTCATTGCACAAAAGAGGCCTCTGGAGTTAAATAGACTTAGGTGATACTCAGTTCCACTGTTTAATTAGCTTCACCTCCCTGTGCCTTAGTTTCCCCCATTTGTGAAATGTGGACAATGATTCTCACCTCCTTAATTCAGCAGATATTTTATGGAACACTATTTCTGGTACTTAGTGGCTACCACCTGCTTTAACACTTTCACTTTGACTCTCGCAAGAACCCTGAGAGTTCAATATAACCATCCATTTTTACACATGAGGAAACTGAGGCACAGAGAGGCACAGTCACTTGTCCAAGGTCCCCCTGCCAAGGAGAGGCAGAGCCAGGATTTGAACCCAGGGGTGATCAAGCTCAGTGGCTGTCCACATCGCCAGTGCTTCACCTGAGGAGGCTGGCAAGGTGTGTCCTCTTTCACCTGCCTCAGTTTTCCTCATTGGTGAAATGGCCTCATGGCTTTGGAGCAAAGAGAATGACAGATAAAAGGGACAAATGACACCGGGATCTCCATTTGTTTAACAAGTACTTATTGAGAACCTACTGTGTGCAGGGCACCAAGCCAAGCTGTGGAGAAAACAGAAGCAGGTGACCAGATGGGAGAGCTCGAGAAGCCGCTAGGAGGAGGAGGCAGTTGAGCTGTGACCTGGAGCAGGTGGAGGGGCCTCCCTGGGAAGATCTGGGTGTGGGAAGCACCTGCCAGGGAGGGGGCACCTCAAGTGCAAAGGCCCTGAGGTGGGGACAGGTGAGACAAGACCAGGACAAGCCCCGCTCTTGCTGTTGTCTGGAAACTAAGGCACAAAGAGAGGAGGGGACGGAGCCAAGGCCATGCAGCTGGCAGAGGTGGAGCTGGGATGTTAGGGGAGGAACAGAGGTCACAACCTCCACAGGCTTCTTCCCCCACCCCTCACTCTCAGCCAGTCTTCCTTCCCTTCCTGAGCCGCCCCAGCTGTGGCGGGGGCCGCTGCTGTCCTGGTTCCCTTGTTTAATTACAAGCAACATTTTTCACCCTCACTTAATGATGCAACAGACACCCGTGGATCTGCCACCATCTGGCCCCACTTTCTGGCTTGAGATGATGAGTCCCAGTGACTTTGAGGGCTGAGAGGGGAGCAAGGGGGAGGCACCTCGACTGGGAGGGTGCCGAGCTTGGCATGGCCTCAGCTCTGTGATGTACCTGGCCACGTCTCCAAGTCCTCATCAGCAGAATTGGGACAATTGAGGGCTGGCGCGAGGGTCTGTGAGACAAGAGCTGCTTGGCAAAGAGGAGCCCTCAGCCCTAAAGGGGGCCTCGAGGGACCAGGATGCCACCCCAGGAAGGCAGAGTTAGCCCCTCCTGTGTCTCAAAAGTAGAGTAGAGAGGGTACAATTCCGCCTTCCGGCAACCTGTGTAGGCAGCAGAGTTCCCATTCCTCAGATGGGAAGAATGAGGCCCCAGGAGGCTCCAAGAGGCTCAGGGACTTGCCCCAGGCCCTGGCATCTGAGTGTGGGAGTGGGTTCATGGTTCCAAAGTCCTCCCTTTCCACAAGAGTGTCTTGCAAACTGCAATTTTTCTCGGGCTGTCAGTTATGAGGGGAAGAGCCCACCCCTGGTTTATTCCCCTGGGAGCTTGGCATGGGGCTCTGTGTGTGGCCCTGCATCAGCTAAGATGTCCCGGCTGATTTGAAGCCAAAACTGGCCCTTCCAGCTGGGGACAGGAGCAAATGTGAATTATTTTCAATGCCCTAATTAATAATAATAGTAATATTCACTGACAATTACTAAACACTGACTATGCACCAGGTACTTTCCATGAATTCTCTCATTTTCAAATGATCACCAGCCTTCTGAGGGAGGCGCTGCCGTACTCACCCCGCAGGTGAGGAGCCCAAGGCACTGAGCATGTGGTGGCAGAGGCAGGATTTGAACCCAGGCCCTGCAGACAGCAGAGACGGGCGCTGCTGAGAGTCGACTGTGGAACACGGGGCTTTTTCCAACTCCGTCCTCTTCTGGCCTTTCTTTAAGAGGTGGTGCCAGCAGCTGGATTCCACTTTGAGATGCAGTGTTTCCTGGGGTTGGAGCTCTGGGAAAATCCCAACAGCAAGCATCCCGGGCTGCCTCCTGCAGGTGCATGGGTTGAGGACATCCATGCAGAGGCTGGACTTGTCCAGGAAGGGGTGGGAGGCACAGATATCAGGGCCCTCGGCCCCCAGGAGCCGTGAGGTGAAAAGAGATGCCTGAAAGTCCCCTTGTCCAGGCTGCCTAGCCAGCTAGAAGCTTCTGAGCCGCTCTCCAGTCCTCTGCCTATCATCCCCATCAAACCCATGAGCTGGGCCTGGTGGCCACACCCCCTCAACCCCTCACTCCAGCTCCGGGCTTGACCTGACCCCAGCCTTGCCTCCTCCTCATCTCCCTGCGCTGCCATCACCCCTAGGATCCATTCTCCACCCATGATTAGAGGGAACCTGTTAGGACCCAAGGCTGACTGTGCCCCTCCCCTGGTGAAACACTTTCGAGGGCTCCCCATTGCTCTTGGACTAACCCCCTAAGTTTTGTTGCAGCCTCCACGGCCTTGCATGGCATCTTCTGGTAGTCTCTGTACTTCACCCATGCTGGCCTCCCTTCTGTCTCCAGAGCCCACTCAGCCAGTTTCTACCTCAGGAACTTTGCACTCTCTGTGCCCTTTTCCTTGACTTCTCTGCCACTGGATCACACCGCTGTGTCATCCTAGTCCACACTGCGGCCAGAGGGAGCTTCCTGGACCCTACATCTCAGCAGGTCCTCTGCTGCCTAAGTACTCTCTTGGGCTAGATACCCCATCCCCAAATCCAAAGTCCTGGATGGGGCTGAGGCTGCCTGCGCCTCCTCCAGCCTCCTCTCCTGAGCTTCTTTTAGTGCGCTCAAAGGCCTGCCTCTCTGCCAGGGTTTCTGAGCCTCTGGCTGGGCCATTCTCCATTGTGGGGCTGTTCTGTGCTCTGTAGGACACTAAGCAGCATCTGGGGCTTCGATCCACTGGATGCCAGCAGCACTCTCCTCAGTTGTGAAAACTAACATCTCCAGACAGCACCAAATGTTCCCGGGGAGAACAAAATCACCGCGGTCAGGACCCCCTGGGCCAGGCTTTTGTCCCTGCTGTGCTCTCTTTTGGGGACACTCCCTGCCAGCCCTCTGCACCTACCCTGCTCACCCCTCTCTGTATTTCACAACCTTTAGATGCCACCCACGAGGAACCTTCCCAGCCCAGGCAGGTCAGGAGGCTTCTGGGTGCTCCCACAATGCCTTATACTCATCATCGCGGACCCGATGATGCCATCTTGTAATTGTCAGGGGGCATGTTGGCCCACCCCTCACTCCACCCCTGGGGATGTCAGCTGCACAAGGGCAGGCTCTGTGTCTGCTCTGTCCCCCACGGCATGACATGCGTAAGCACTGAGCACAGGGCTTGGCACGAAGGGATGCTCAGTTCACATTTTACCATCTCTCCACCTGTCTCTGCCTCTGTCATTCATCACAACACACCCCAAGTCCACACATGTGCAGGTGTCATGAGTGCTGAGAAGAATCAGACGTGGTTCCTGCCCTCAGCCCACTCACACTCTGGCAGGCAACACAACACAGTGCGGGAGCCACAGGGGCCCTGGCAGGTCCAAAGAGGCATCAGATCCAACCTATGGGGAGGAGGGGAAGGTCAAGATGGGCTTCCTAGGGGAGGTGATGTCTGGATGACTGAAAGGATGAAAAGGAGGATCAGGAAAAATAGTGCCAGGATACGGGCTGCCCAGCGTGGTGAATGTCCTAAATGCCAACTGAGTTGTTCACTTTAAAATGTTTAATTGCATGTTATATGAATTTCACCTCAATTTTTACAAATGATAAAAAAAATAGTGCAAACAGAGTTCCAAACAGAGGGAATAGAATGTGTAAATGTCTGGTGGACAGAAACTGAAGGTCATTTCACTGGAGCTGCACATCAAAGGAGCAGATATCGGAAGTGGTGATGAGACAGGAGAGCTGGCCAGGGGCCTGTGGCCACGGAGAGGAGTTTGGGCTTTTTGTTGGGTGAGTGGGAGCCACAGAAGGTTGTAGGCAGAGGAAGGAGTGTGGAGAAGACAGTGAGGCTGGAAGCAGGAAGAGCAGAGGAGGGGCAATGGCCACAGTCCGTGGGTGAGAGTGAGGGGCCTGGCCCAGGGCTTAGCCAGGGAGGTGAGGAGATGTGGTTGGATGTAGGAGATGTCTAGGGCATAAACCCCACAGTTACGATGGTGTACCTGTGGAAGGTGAGAGGGGAGCATCACAGACAACGTCTGTGCTGCCTCAGTTAGGAGCCCTTCCAGAACCTGCCCCCATGTCCCCCAACAGCCTTCTATGCAAGGGCAGGGACAGGGACCCAGCTCTGTGCCTCCCTCCTCAGGGTCTCTGCCTCCCACAAGACTCCATAAAGGGTGGTCTTGGCGCTCCCATGACCTTCTGTGTGACCTCTGGCTAATCTCTTGGCCTCTCTGGGCCTGTTTCTGGGGCATCTTTGTCTACCCTTCCGGGAGGAGTGAGAGGCACAGGAAACCACTTCCCAGGCAGAGGACCTTGAAGAACCTGTCCTGCTGGGTGAGGCCCTTACCTGCCCCTCCCAGGATACTCAGCAGGTGAGGGGGCACCTGGTGTATAGCCTGGGCAAGAGACCCAGCTCCACCACACCCTGCATGACTGACTGGCCTCTGCTCACCTAAGGGGCCCTGGGGTCTAATCCTCCAATCCCAGGGGCTGTACCCCCAGGCCCAGCCTGGGATTCTGAGCCCCACACTCTGGCCAGGAATGGGGGATGAACACCCTCCCTCAGCAGCCCGCGGTCAAGGGCATGTGGGCTGGAGCCAGGGTCTTGGGGCAAATCCCAGCTCTGCCCCTTCCTGCTGAGCTGCCTCACGCAAGTGACTCAACCTCTCTGATGCCCAAAGAAAGAGATCTGTCATGGAGGCTACATCCCACATGAGTGGGGCTTTTCCACATGGGGTACGTATGAGTCCCAGTTCACACACTGGCACTGTAGAGTTTCTTCATGTTTCCACAAATGGAACTGATTTTCCATCTTGTGCCATGGTTATGCCAGGCTGGAGGGGGCTTTATCTAATGGTGATTCCCACCCTTGCCACCGCCCCACCCCACTTCTCCTGGGAAGGCCCTGGGTCCCTTGGTCTTTCGTGAGGCCAAGGTGTTGGGGATAGGAGTGAGGACGGGGGCATTGGTGTTGGGTGTTGTCTTCCCACTAGGCATTGCCTGATGCAGGCTGGCCCCCACCTGAGGCTCTGCTTGCTGCTGTGGCTGTCCCTTTCCCATTGCCCCTGGTCCTAGGGGTCATTTGGCTGCTTCCCAGCTACTTCAAGGGCTGCTTGGAGGCTGCCTTTCCAGAATCCTGGAGAAGTTGCTTCTACCTAAGGTTCTGGGCCTCTCTGGGCTCAGTCCCAGGCTAGGGGCCACCCCTGACACCCCCTCTCTGTACCTACCCTGCGACGCTGGCTCTGGTTCTGGGTAGGGGAGCCTTGCTCTCTGCAAGATGTGAGTTCTTCCTGCTCCTCTCAACTTTTGAAACTCAAAAGCCAGGAAGCCTCCTGGGATCCCCGTACTTGGTGTCCCAGCCCTTCCCGGGGGCACTGAGTACAGACTTAGAGGGAGAAAGGGCAGAAGGGTGGAAGGGAGAAAGGAAGAGAGCAGGGGCCTGGTGGTGTGCAGGGCAGGGAAGACAGGCCAGTTCTGCAACCTCCCCAGACAGCAGCCCTCAGGATCCCTTTACATTGTAAAAAACTGCTGAGAACCCCAAGGAGCTCTTGCTTGTGTGGATTCTATCAGTCGATATTCATGTTAGAAATGAAAACTAAGAAATGTGTAACTATTTGTTCACTCAAATGTAATAATAAATTCATTACATGAACATAACATTTTTATAATAAATAACTATGCATTTTAAAACAGACAAACCTAGTGAGAGAAGTGGCATTTGTTGGATTGTGGATATTTCTGCCTCTCTTTCTAACAGCTGGCCTCGGGGGACAGCGGGTCCTCACACCTGCTTCTGTGGTGGATCTGCTGTGAGACTTTGTTTAGGATTAAGTACCTGAGAAAACCTGGCTTCCAAAGGAATATAGTTGGAAAAAGGGAGGATATTGTCACATTGTGAAATACATATATATTGAGACACAGTCTCACTCTGTCACCCAGGCTGCAGTGCAGTGGCGCAATCTCAGCTCACTGCAGCCTCCGCCTCCGCCTCCTGGGTTCAAGTGATTCTTCTGCCTCAGCCTCCCAAGTAGCTGGGATTACAGATATCCACCCCCATGCCCAGCTAATTTTGGTATTTTTAGTAGAGATGGATATTGGCCAGGCTGGTCTTGAACTCCTGACCTCAGGTGATCTGCCTGCCTCAGCCTCCCAGAGTGCTGGGATTACAGGCATGAGCCACCACACCCGGCCATGAATTTTCCTTAATGCTACACAAAACCTAGCCAGTGGTAATGTCTTAAATTCAGTTGCAATGTGCAACCTAAACATCTATCAGTGAACTTTTCAAACTCTTTACACTCGTGTGAGAATGAGAGTAAAAACAGCAAATAATCCTATGAAGCCCTTGAATGGATCTTGGAGACCCCTAGGGATCCTTGGACCACACTTTTAGAACTGTTGTGTTCTCAAAAAGAAGTATCCCAGCAGTCAGAAAGCTGCTGGTTGACCCCTACCAGGGACAGACCAGGGTATGATGAAGAACGCAGGTTCAATTCCCATTTCTGCTGCTTCCTGGCTGTGTGTCCCTGGGCAGGTCACTGCTTCTCTAAGTCTCAATGTCTTCATTTCTAAAATGGTGATAACAAGACCTACCTTACAGGCTTGTGGTCAGGACCCATGAAAAGTAGGGTGTGAATGCAAAGCCCTTGCTCGTATATGTTCTTTCCTGCCACAGGCCCTTTGCACAGGCTGTTCCCTCCATCTGAAACCCCTTCCTTCCCAGCTTTGCCAAGGGAACTTGTTTCCCTTTAGCTCTTGGCTTAAGTGCTTCTTCCTCCAAGAAGCCTTCCCTGACTTCCCTGGAATGTCTGTTAGAAACCCCTAGAGCATGATCAAAGCTTTATATTTTTCAGGGTTATAGGTGATTATCTATCTCCCACCAATCCCTAAGCCTGGGTTGATTTTGCCCTCTGCCATAGGAGCTTGTGTGGAATGAATGCTGTTGATAGAATATTCATCCTTGTCATCTTTGCTGATATTTTGGTCTTTCCATCCTTGGAATGAAAAAGCTGGGCTCTGACAAGGGGTCCCTCCCCAACCCCCACCTTCTCTGCCAGCAGCTGGACTGCACCAAGTGGCGGGAGGTGGGAGGTGGGGCTCATGCTCTAAAGCTGCAGGGTTCTCTCTGGGGACCCAGTCCTGCCTGAGCCACCTTTATGTGGGGTTCCCCGGAGGCCTCCGGGGTCATGCTCCCCATCTCGACAGCTCTTTCATTTCTGCACACGGTGGCTGCCCTGCCTTACAGCAATCTCTCAAGCATCCAGGCTGGCAGATGCCCTTCTCCCTTCCCTACTCTCCTTTCAGACAGGCTCAGTCAAGGATTTCTTCTCCCCAACCCCAAGCCGACTGTCTCTGTGTCCCTGTCATCATGGCACACATCCCACACTCTCATCTTCCCCAACCCCAGGTAGCACATTCCTCAAAGGCCACGATTGTGTCTTCATCATCTTCGTCCCCCCAGGATCAGACACTGGGCCTGGTGTCCAGTAAGGGTCCAATACATATTTGCTAAAATGACATGAACGCAGGACTCTGGGAGAGGTTCCTCTTATCAAAGGAGGTTGTACAAGTTAGCTTTGGGCTTTAAGGAATAGAAACTCAGTTCACACTGATTTAAAGTATAAAAGAGACTTATTGGCTTGTATTAATGAAAAGCCGAGTAGAAGAGTGAGCTTCAGACTTGGTTTGATCAGAGCTTCAACTTCCGTGTGTCAGTTTTTGTTTGTTTGTTTGTTTCCTCTGGCTGGTTTTCTTCACGGCGTAAAAACAAGCATGACAATTTCAGGTCTCATTCTGTCCAAACAAAGATCTCTTTGAGTGGCTACTTGAAAGTCATCTTTTCCAGAAGCTCCTGACATTGATTCTTCTTTAGACTCAAACTAACCTGCTTACATGTCCGTCCTTGAACCAGTGGCTAAAGCTGAAGGTGAGATTCAGAAAATTAGCTTAGATTTGGAGTCAGGAAGGCAGTCAGCTCCCCCAAAAGGGGGACCACATGAGAGAAGCGTGGCAATCCCTTCAAAATTGGAGTAGTTACCAAAAGAACAGAAAGTGGGCAAGACCGTCAAAGCATCCACTCTAGGAGTTTAATTATGTTCAAATCCATAGCAAAAAAAGAAGCTGTTTTTCGAGCAAAAACCAACCCAGGGAAAACTTTGCTAAATGTCCAGATATTTCACCAGAACCTTGTGTCAAACATAAGATAACAGATTTCTGTGGTCTCTGACTGAATTTTGCTGACCAAATCCAAAGTCAATTCACAGAGCCTCAGATGACTTTACTGAATTTTTAAAAATGTGTTTGTTTTTCTCATTATGATAACAATACATGCTTGTTGTTAAAATATTTAAATAATGCAGAAAAGCATTTAAAATAGTGGTTCTCAACCAAGGGTTGTTTAGTCCCCCAGGAGACATGTGGCAATATCTGGATACATTTTTGGTTGTTAGGATTGGGGGTAGGGGTGCTCCTGGCATCTAGTGGGGAGAGGCCAGATATGCCACTAAACATCCCACAGTGCCCAGGACAGTCCCCTGCAATGAAAATTATCTGACACAAAATGTCAATAGTGTCAAGGTTGAGAAACCCTGATTTAAAGGAATGTAAAAATTACCCCTACCGCCCAGAAATAAACACTGCCAACATTTTGGGAAACATCCTTTAGATTACACTTTTTAATGTATGCCCATTGCACACACAACTTAATACAAATGAGATTATGCACACGAAAATGCTTTTCTCTACAATGTCATGGCCATCTCTCTACATTACCTTTTTTGTTTGTTTGTTTGTTTGTTTGTTTTTTGAGAGAGAGTCTCACTGTGGTACCCAGGCTGGAACGTCGTGGAATGATCTCGGCTCACTGCAGCCTCCACTGCCTAGGTTCAAGAGCTTCTCCTACCTCAGCCTCCCGAGTAGCTGGGATTACAGGCGCCTGTCACCACACCTGGCTAATTTTTGTATGTTTAGTAGAGATGGGGTTTTGCCATGTTCATCAGGCTGGTCTTGAACTCCTGACCTTGTGATCTGCCCACCTTGGCCTCCCAAAGTGCTGGGATTACAGGTGTGAGCCACTGAGTCTGGCCCTCTATATTGTCATTTTAATGAGTATTTTTAATAGAGCTTAACACAATGTTTTATATTTAACACAATTTCATAATTTTTTAATACAGCATTTCATTATATGAGGACTATTGTTTGCTTAATGAATCTTCTGTAGTTTGGCATTTCAGAGTTTTTTCCCCCAGTTTTTCATTATAAACAATGCTGCAATGAACGACCTTCCCCATAGAGACTACTTGGCCTATTACATCTTAGAATAAATGCCCTCAAATTAAATTTCCAGGTTGCTTTAAAATTTCTGCCCAGTGAATGGCATGGTGCTTGTTGCCATTCTGCTCCCAGAGACCCTTGTAGAGCCCTTTGGGAGAGTATGAGAATCTACTCTGCAACACTGAGAGTTGCCAATCTTTTTTTGTCTTTGCTAAACTGATAGGCAGAAAATGACATATCATTGTAGCTTTTATTTACATTTCCTTGATAACTGGTGGGGTGGAACTTGTCTTCACACGTTTTGTACTTCTTCATTTGTGAATAGTTGATTTTTTTTTTGAGGCAGGGTCTCCCTTTGTCTCCCAGGCTGGAGTGCAATGGCACAATCTCAGCTCACTGCAGTCTCCACTTCCCAGGCTCAGACGATCCTCCCACATCAGCCTCCCAAGTAGCTGGGACTACAGGCATATGCCACCACACCTGTCTAATTTTCCCTATTTTTTGCAGAGACGAGATCTTGCTGTGTTACCAGGTTTGTCTTAAACTCCTGAGCACAAGTAATCCTCCCACCTCGGCCTCCCGAAGTGCTGGGATTATAGGCACGAGCCACCTCACCTGCCAGAATAGTGGATTTTTAATAAAGGGTTTGCCTGTTACTGTTTTGCAAAGAACTCTTTGTATATTAAGGATAGTAAAGCTTTCTAAGAGTCTTATAATTGATGATAAAAGTCTCCCTCCCTCCCTCCCTCCCTCCCTCCCTCCCTCCCTACCTTCCTTCTTTCCTTCCTTTCTTTTTGTTCCCTTCTGCTTTCTAAGGATATACTTGGTGTTTGGCAAGCATTGCATGAATTACATTAGGAAAAACTTTTGTAACAAACCCATGTAACAACTGTTCTTTGTTCCCTGCCTCCTGATAATGCTCAGAGCCACAGCAACAGCCTTTGCCCAACTCCATGTCATTAATCCTTGATCTTTTCCTCTGAATAGCAGATTGCTTTCCGGGGCTGGCAACACAGTTTCATTTTCACCTTCCTGCTGATGGAACTGCTCTGGCTCTGTGCCACACGGCTGTTTACATAAGAAATGATTTGATTATATTCTACAACCAATGGCAGCCTTTCTCAGAATAAAGAAACCAGAAACATGTAATCAAAGCCATTAACTGTGTACAAAGAAATGCAGCCCACTCTAAATTTCCCACCAACCATAATCACAGTTTTCCAGAGAAAAATAAGAACAGGGTTACGGTTCCCTACTAAAAATGTGTTAGGGGAAAGACTTTTAAAAGGAAATTGTGGCTATAGATCAGTTACACTCTCAGATCAACACTTGATCCTTGACTCCAATCCCAACTCTGTAACTCACTGTCCTTGTGACCTTGGAAAAGTCATTTACTGCCCAGAGCCTCCGTTTCTTTATTGTAAAATGGCTGTAATAGTAATATCAACCTCAGAGGTTTATGAGAGGATTAAGTGAGATAGTGCATAAGAACACTTTCTTAGTCAGAATGTCTTCAGCCACAAGGAGCAAAACACTTGACTAAAGAAGGCAAAATAAAAAGATAGAGGACTTATAATTTCATTTAACAGGGTTGTTTCATTTAGAGGCATAAAGATATAACCAGTGATTCACATTATTTTCATCTTCCTGCTATGCCATTCTCAGCAATTTATGGACACGTCTCCTCATGGTTTCAAGACAGCTGTTGTGGCTCCAGGCATCACACTGGGACATGATAAAATCAAACAAAGAGGAGGAGGGCATTTTTTCCCCTGTGTCTCCTTTTATGATGGAGAAAATTGTTCCCAAATTTCCCTTCTGCAGATCTGCAGACTTCTTATTGGCCAAGATGGCATCACATCTATAATTCCAAACGAATCACTGACGGAGGAATGAGAATGGCCACAGTTGGCTTGGACCTATAACTCACTCTGAAGCCGGGGCGAGGAATAGCCACTTTCCCTGAGCTCCTGAGTAGAGGCATAACCAACAAAACTGAATCCCGTCAGCAAAGAAGTCATGGATGTGCAACCACTGTGTCTACCGTAAGCACAACTCCCGGCACACATGAGGTGCCCTCAAAGGCTGGCACTTGGCAAGCTCGAGACTGGGAGTCCACACAGTGCTCCAGGTGGAAGGATCATGACTGTAATTAGCCAGGGAGTCCCCCTGGGTACCAGACCCTGGTATGCAAAGACCCAGTCAGCATCTCCACTTGATTGGCTTATGGGAACCTCAAATCCAACACACTATATTTGAACTCATCATATTTCCTCCCCACTGGACTTCTCTGTTGGTACACACCTTGCTCAAGCCAGAAGATGGCTGGCCCTCAAGAGTCCCTGCTTTCCTTCTCCATCTGTGCCCATGTCTCTCCAGCTCTGCCATCATCTTCCACCTGGACACCAGCCAAGCCCCCACTCTCCCTGCTGCTGTCTGGGCATCAACAGCCCATGCTGTTTCCTCTGAACAGAACTCTTCCCACTCCTGTTTCCCTGTCACCTTGCTCAGGAAAGCTCTTCTGAGCCCCCCAAGTTGAACGCCTCATTACAAACCTCACATCCTGACGTACATCTCTCCATTGCCCTGATCACACTTCTTATTTACCTGTGTGATTATTTCACACGTGTCTCACCCCACCAGGTTGCAACTCCATGAGAATGGGAATTAGGTCTGTTTTGTTCACTGATAACCTTTAGTGCTTGACACATAGTAGGGCCTCAATTTTTTTCCTGAATCCTATAAATGAATAAATTCATTCCCTGCCCTGTGGCCAGGGAGATCGCTCTAAGAAGCAAATCTAATCACTCCCTCTCCTTCCATAAGCCTTCCATGACTCCCTTTTACCCACAGGACAAAGTCCAAAGGGCTTAACCTGGCTCTTTCAGGCTCCTCAAAGTGGCTTCTGCCACCTCTCCAGCCCCATCTCACCTGCCCCATTATCCTTTATGGTCCAGCCATCCTCCACTTCTTTAGGTACCTCAAATTCTCCATGTTCTCTCCTGCCCCTGGATCTGCCTATACGCTATGTCTCTCCTGGAAACTTTGTCTCAAAAAGTCTTCATTCTCATTGTCAAGGCTTTAAAATTTGCCTCTTTTGGGGAAGGTTTAGTTCGCAAGCTCATTCTGGAATTCTGGGTTCCTTCTCTCTAGTTGTCATCCTCAATCCATAGCTTCCAGTCAAGTCCAAAACAGCTGCTATAGCTTCTCCATCACATCTACGTTCCAGGCAGAGGGGAGAGAGAAAGGCTCATTCCTCTTAAGGGCATGCCTCAGAAGCGGTGCCTATCACCTCTACTTAATCCCATTGGCTGGAGCTTAGTCATATGACCACACGTAATTGCAAAGGAGGCTGGAAAATAGAATCACTATCTGCCGATTATGTTAGCGTGTTTCCCACTAATGCTCCAAAATTCTCTCAGTATGAAAAAAAAGCTGATGGATATTGGCGGACACTGATGGTCCCTGCCACACTCACCCTCACAGTGCTGAGCATGGAGTTATTTCTGCCCAGTCAGAATGTGAGCTCCCTAAGGACAGGAACCGTATATGGTGGTCATTGAAGCATCCCCTGCAACTCGCAGAGTGCTGGTTGTGACACATGGCAAATCAGAGTGAATGGCAGAGGCTGGAAATACAAGGTGGAGAAACTGAGGCAGGACCTAGTTGAGTTCCACACATGTTTTCTGGGTGCTGATTACACATAAGACCCTCGGCTCAGTCCCGGTGCCTGGGGGGCAGCAACACTTGTCTGGCCTGGCAGTGTCCCAAAAAACACCGAGTTGGGGGCTGCAAGTCCCCACCTGGTGGGGCAGCTGCAGAAACAGAGCAGAATCCACAGTCAGAACAAGAGGCGCCACAAGGGCCTGCAGGTAAGGCAGGTCCCAGGCCCTCAGCCCACCTGGCCCTGGCCCACTGCACTTCTGGCCACTCCCCAACATTATCTGGCCTTGGGCGCAGCCCTAAGCACCTGCCTTTCCCTGGGTTCCCCTCCCATGGGTTCTCCTCCCCTGTTGGCTGTCATGGGAAAGGCCTTATGGGAGCTCTCCAGGTCCAAGCTCCAGCCTCACAGCTGCCGTACTTGCTGTTCCCTCTGACTAGATTTCCCTTCCGTGCTGCTCTAGCTTCTCCTGCACTCAGCTTAGACAGCACCTTCTCACTCTCTCCAAAGACCACTGCCCACGCCGGGCCCTCTCCACCACATTGCGCATCTTGTTGCTTCCCAGCATGGGTCTGTGTGGGGTCATCGGGGAACACTGCTCTTATTTATTCATTTGTTGGCTTCTTTGCTGTCTGTCTCCCCCAGTAGAGGACATGGACCTTTTCTGTCTTGTTTTCCACGGTATCCAGTGTCCAGCCCAGGGCCTGGCACATAGTAGGTGTTCAGGTAATATCTATGGACTAAATAAATACACACACAGTGAGGGAAGACAAGAGAATTAGCACTCACTGCACTCGTATGACATGCCAGCCACACGCATTGTTCACTCTGAGTCCCATGACACCACTGCCTGGTCAGAATCATTATCCCCATTTCACAGCTGAGGAAACTGAGACTCAGGGAAATGAAGTGACTCGACTGAGGTTACACCAATAGGAAGGTCCAAGTCTCAGATGGGGGGAAATATTTATAACGAAACGCAAAGATCTTGGAGGAGGCGGTGGATTCTTGGTTGTACACATCGATCAAAGCTCATCAAACTGTACACTTTAAATCAGAGGTTCTCAACCCAGGATGGTTTACCCCCAGGAGACATTCGGCAAAGTGCAGAGACATTTGGTCAGCATGGGGGTAGGTGATGCTACTGGTGTCTCGTGGGTAGAGGCAGGAGATGCCGCTCAACATCCTACAGTGCCCAGGACAGCCGCCACAGCAAAGAATTGTCTGACCCAAAATGTCAACAGTGCTAGGTTGAGAAACTCTGCTTTGAAGGAATGCAGTTTACTGAACATAAATTATATATTCCATTTATTAAGGTATAATCAATGCATTTTTTGTAAAATAGAAAAGAACTAACATAATTGGAAAAGAAAGAAACCAACTAAGCACAAAACAATGGCCAAATAATTTAAAAAGGCAAAGAACAGATCAGAAAATACAAAGAGCTAATACATAAATGATAAGGGGCTCCACATTAATACTAACAAGAGAAATTCAAATTATAACAAATGGCCTGGGGTTGCCTCATGTCTGTAATCCCTGCTCTTTGGGACGCTGAGTTAGGAGGATCGCTTGAAGTCAGGAGTTTGGGAATAGCCTAGGCAACATAGTAAGACCCCCATCGCTACAAAAAAATTAAAAATTAGCTAGGTGTGGTGGCATCAGTCTGTAGTCCCAGCTTCTCAGGGGGCTGAGGTAGGAGGATGGCTTGAGCCCAGGAGTTTGAGGCTGCAATGAGCTATAGCTAAAAAAAAAATTACAACAAAAATAATCATAATGGGAATTTTTTTTAAATGACAGATGGCTTGGTGAGTGTGGGGGAAGTAGGCCCTCTCATCCTCTCATGTGTGGGTGGAGGGAGTGCAAATTGGCAAAGCCCTGGTGGTGATGAGGTAGCTCTATCCATCATTGCCCAGCATGCCCAATTTTGTAGAAATACACATGCGCTCAGAGAGCTGCCTGCGGATGCTCACTGTGGTATTGTTTATAATAGTGAAGTTTTGGCAGGAAAACTAAATATCAATGAATGTGGAATTTGGTAAATAAACCATGGTCCATCCATGCCATGGAATACCATGTAGCAGATCAAAATGATAAGGCAAATCTCTACACACATAGTTAGGCGGAACAGAAAAGCAGGCTGCAAAACCACATTTACAATCTCTTTCGAATCAGGCAGCACAAAAGAAATCCAGGGCTGATGCCGCTAGCACTTGCCATCATTCATCACCCCTTTTCCCAAGTTTTGAATGGGGCAGCAATGTGCCCAAGTGAAATAAGACCTCCCCAGACTCCCCTGAAACCACGCAGGTGCAATGGTAGCCATGAGACCCAGGGTGCACACACTTTGTCCCTTCCCTGCCCTCTTGCCTTGCTGAGAAGCAACCCTCTTGAGCCAGGAGTTTGAAAGTCACATACCAACATGGGACACCAGGAAGCTGGTCACTGGTGATGTCCCTGAGCAAGTCTACAAGCCCAGACTTGCTCACGTCTGGACTTCTTTTTACACAAAAAAATGAACTCCCATCTGGCAAAACCCTAGTGCCTGCTACTTTTTACTTGCAGTCAAATGCAATCTCAGAGGCAGCAAACTCACTGGGGAGGAGGTTGGTTGAGTCTTCTGCAACAGAACTGTATTCAAGTGTCATTTATATAGTTAAGACTTTTCTAAAATAAATCAATAAAGTAAATAAAGCCTGTCTGGCTAGAGTCTGTGGGACCTTTGCTGTTTCTTTCAAAAAGTGTTTGTCAATTGGCTCAAGTCCCTCTTGACCCAGGCAAAAATGCCAAGGGGAAGGTGGATGGGCATCAAGAGATTTCCCTGTGACCGGCTGAAGGAGAGGTTGGGATGCTGTTTTCTTAGGGAAAGGACTAGAGGACTAGAGCCTCAGTCTCTCACTCCAGGGAGGCTCAGGAGTCAGTCCAACCAGCCCAACCCGGGCTTCCCCTACTTCATAATTGGTGACCCTCTAGCCTAGACATGCCAGCCTCCAGGCAGTGACCTGGCCTTCTCTCCCACCTGTTTGTCCTCTTCCCAGAAGCAGGACACTCCCTTTATGTCAGGCCAAAGCCCCCCCACCCCTGGGGAAGGAGAGGAATGCCACCTGTCATCACCGGATGGGTGAGTCACCTCCTGCAGGCTGGAGGCCATAGCCAGCCCAACCTCTCTCTTTGGCCCCCCAGCTCTCCCCTGTGGGTGAGGAAGCTGATGGATGTTGAGAATATCACCCTAAAAATCATGACAGCAACAGCTGCCATCTCTGCGGCATGGAACCTGTCACTGGAAGCTTAAGTACACAGCCCTGGGTTCCAAGCCCAGATCCCATGTTCTAACCTGGTAATTTGTGGGGAGTCACCCCTTCCTGATCTCCATTTATGCATTTGGCAAACATTTATTATGCAAGCACTCTGAACTGGGTAAGGGGTGCTGAGGATGCCACAACGAACACCCCAAAACCATCCTGCCCCGTGGAACCCATTGGGTAGAGATGTTCAAAACTTACAATAATAATAATGTTAATAAATTTTAAAATTCTGAGTGTCGATTGGTGATGATGTCACAGAGAGAAGGGGTGAGGAGTGCTGGTGCAGAGAGTCTTGTTCATGTAACCAGCTGGTCTAGGATAACCTGAGATACATTGAAAATGAAGGAAAGGGCTGGGTGCAGTGGCTAACACCTGTAGTCCCAGCACTTTGGGAGGCCGAGGAAGTCAGATCACCTGAGGTCAGGAGTTTGAGACCAGCCTGGCCAACATGGTGAAACCCCGTCTCTACTAAAAATACAAAAATTAGCTGGGCGTGGTGGCGAGTGCCTGTAATCCCAGCTACTCGGGAGGCTGAGGCATGACAATTACTTGAACCCAGGAGGCGGAGATTGCAGCGAGCCAAGATCATGCCACTGCACTCCAGCCTGGTGTATCAGGAAAAAAAAAAAAAAAAAAAAAAAACAACAGAAAGAAAGAAAAGAAAAGAAAAAGGAAAAAGGAAAAAAAGAAAATGAGGGAAAGACCTGGAGGAGGTGAGAGAGGGAGGCTTGTGGTTCTCTCAGGGCACAGAGTCTCAGGAAGAGGGAACAGCAAGTGCAAAGGCCCTGAGGCTGCCGTGTGCCTGATATGTTCCAGGAGGAGGGAGGAAGCCAGTGTGGCTGGAGGGAAGATGTCAGAAAGGCAGAGTGGGGGCATACAACCACACGGGATTTAGGGACACTGCCAAGATCTTGTCTTTGACTCTGGGTGACATGGGAGCCACAGGAGGGTGCTGAGCAGAGCAGAGACGTGATCCGACTTCCTTTGGGTATCAAGACAATGATAGAATGGGGGAGATAGTTTGGAAGCCATGGCAACAATCCAAGCACACACTGGTGGTGGCTCATGCCAGGGCAGGGCTGCGGAGCTTGGAGGGTGGTGGGATCCTGGATGCAGGCTGTGGTTGGGAGGTGGTGAGGCAGAGGCTAGAGAAAGAGGAGAGTCAGTGAGGACACTCAGGTGTTTGGCCTGGCCCCTGGAAGTGTAGCAGGACGAGCCGCAGACAAAACTCCTCAGACACCGGATTAAAGAAGGAAGAGGTTTTTATTCGGCCGGGAGCATCGGCAGACTCGCATCTTAAGAGCCGAGCTCCTTGAAAAAGAAATTCCTAGCCTTTTTAAGGGCTTACAACTCTAAGGGGTCCACGTGAAAGGGTCATGATAGATCAAGTAAGCGTGAGGAACGTGACCGGGGGCTACATACATCAGCTAACAGAACAAAAAGTTTTACAGTGCTTTTTCATACAATGTCTGGAATTTACAGATAACACCAGTAGTTTTGGTCAGGGGTTAATATTATTCTTATTATTTTAGCCACCAGGGCCAGGTGGTGGCGCCAAGGTCGTCTAGCTATTTATCTTACTTCTGTTTCTTTCCAACTTTTTGCTTTCTCCCTTTTCTCCTGTCTTATAAACTAGGGAAAAGGGGAGGTGGGGGAGAAGCTGGGAAGGGCAACAGGAGAAGTGATGGTCTTGTTCCATAGAAAGAGAGAGGTGACACTTTCAGAGGCAAAGATGATGCGGGAAACGTAGGATCCTGCTGGAGGAGGAGTTTGGTTTCTTACCTGGGACGTATGAGATGCCTGTTAGGAATATTGAGTCGTAGCTGGATATTCAAGACTGAGTTCAAGGCAGGAAATGTATGTTTAGAGGCTTTTAGCTTGGACACAGTATTTAGAGACTCAGTTTCTTTGTCTGTAAAATGGAGATTAAACAGCAACTGCTTTGCAAGATTGCTGTGAGCCTGGGTTGAGGACTGAGACGCCTTGGGCAGGTAGCAAAGTGCAGGTAAATGTCAACTCTGTTACTTCCATGCCCAGCTCACCCAATGCTCATGAGGTCATTATTATTGCATCAGTTTTAATTTTACAGGAAGTGGAGGTTTAGAGAGGTTAAGTGATTGGTCCAAGGTCACACAGCCTGAAAATGGCATAGCCAGGATGCAAGGATGAATCTAGAGTCTTGTTCTTGTCCTTCTACCCTACTGCCTCCCCCCTGCTCTCCCAGCACCAGGCCGTTGGATCCTGAACTGACCAGACTTGGGGGGGCTCCCAGTTGGGTAGGGAGACAACTGTGAGTGGAAATGCCTCCAGGCAGACAGAACCTGAGCCTGCCCCACTAGGGAACAAACTAGAAGTGGGGCTAGTGAGGCAGCATAGCCATGTGGTTAAGAGAAGCACCACGATGCCAGACCACCTGGGTCCAATTTGGCTCTACCCTCACTAGGTGTGTGATCCTGGAGATGTGACTCATGTTTTTTTGTGCCTCAGTTTCCACTGTTGTAAAATGGGATAATACAGGTTGTTGGGAGGACTTGAGTGAGTTGGTCCGTGCAAAGTGCTTAGAACAGGACCAGAAACTCAATAGGTGCTCCAGTTCAGTTTCCACCAAACGTGCGCCCCCAGGGCCTGAAGCCACCTGCCATGCCTTTGGGTCCCCGTCTGTCCCTTGCTCAAGGTTCACATCTTGCCTTGGCTGCTGTGAGCTATGTGTTTTTGGGTTTCCTACCCAACTTCCCTGCGCCCACTTCTTCTGACCCCAAAGTGGGGACAATATCTACCGGTGGTGAGGATCAACAGGCACAGTGCATGCAAAGGACACTGGATTGTAACTGTGACAGGACTCAAGTGGGAGCTCAGTGTGCATGAATGTTCATGCGAGCTGGAAACCCAGATGCCCCCCTGCAATGGAACACTACTCAGCCATAAAAAAGGAACAAGCGCGTGATATTTGCAACAATGCAAAGAATCTTGCAGGCATTGTGTTGAGATGAAAAAGAACACTCCTGGTTTTTGAAACTCTAGATGAAACACAACTAAACTATGGTGACAGCAAGCAGATCAGTGGCTCCCTTGGCTGGGCTAGGGATGGGGAGTTGTTTGGAAAGGGATATAAGGGAATTGGTTTTAGAAATGTTTTGAATGTTGTTTTGGGTGGTTGATTTGTTGGAATTCATCAAACTAAACCCATAAGACCTGTGCATTTTATTGCATGTTCATCATATCCCACTTTTTAAAATTTTTATTTTTATTTAATTTTATTTTTTGAAACAAGGTCTCACTCTGTTGCCCAGACTGGAGTGGACTGGTGCAATCACAGCTCACTGCAGCCATGACCTTCCTGGGCTCAGGCGATCCTCCCATCTCAGCCTCCTGAGTAGCTGGTAACACAGGCATACGTCACCAGGCCCAGCTAATTTTTCTACTTTTTGTACAGATGGGGGTCTCACTATATTGCCCAGGCTGGTCTCAAACTCCTGGGCTCAAGTGATCCTCTGGCTTCAGCCTCCCAAATTGCTGGGATTACAGGCATGAGCCACCATGCCCTGCCCCCAATTATTTTAAAAAGCAACAAAAAAGTTTTCATTGTCATCATCATAAATTTGTTCTTATTTCTCTGACTGTTCTATGGCACCAAGTGCCCCCTTCGCCCCCTCTCTTGATGCCAGCAGAGACCCAGAGCTAAGTTTGGGGTGACTTTTCCCTACCTCTGGTCCATCAAAGGCCTCTGCCACATAAGGCAGATGAGCTGACACTGTAGAAAGAGCCCTCAGACCCAGGTCCAAACCTGACTCTGGCTACACCTCGTCCTTGCTCTCTGCCCCTGAGTGGGTCATTTAAGCCTCAGTTTCCTCATCTGTTAAATGGGGCTAATAGTGGTGCTCTGCTTGTGAGGTGGTTGCCATGATTCTTGGGGATTCTTGGAGATGAGAGGTGTGCAGGGCTGTGGATATTGGAGGCTCACAGAAACAAAACAGAATAAAGCAAAAACCCCCAAAGGAAAAAAAAAACCCAAAACCAAAATAAGGCGAAGCAGCTGGGAGAGGGTGGGGGTGACTGAGCGCAGTGGCCTGGAGCCAGAGTGCTGGGCATCAGGTCTTGCTCCTGGGCCATTCCCCTCACCTCTCTGTGCCTCAGTTTCTGCATTTGTAAAGCAAGGATGATACCAGCACCCACCCCATAGGCTGTGTGAGGGCTGATTGAGTCACTCATGGAGAGAACAGTGCGTGGTGCATGGTGCGTGTGGCTGTTATACTCAGGGTTGAGAAGGGAAGGAGTGCACCACCTGGGGGGTAACTCAGAGAGCCCAGTCCCTCTTGAATTGCTGCCCAGCCCAGGCCATGGTGTCCCAGCAGGTGAAGGGGTGGGCAGTCCAGACCCCAGCCCTATCAGATGCAGCTGCAGGGGCTGTAGCTCACCGAGGCCTGGGGCCTGCCCTGGGCTCCTCACTTGGCTCCCGTGGCTGGGACAGACTGCTTCCTTCCTCTCTCCTGGTGCCAGGCAGGCACAGAAACCACCTGATGTCAGCAAAGCCTGCCCACCCACTGGTGGGGAGGAAGTGGGCAGGTGCCCAGCGACAGATGAGCCCGGCAGATGTGGCCTGAGGCAGCACAGTCAGGGCTGACATGGGCATCATGCACCACGGGGCTTTCGGAACTGGCCCCGGTCCTGTTTGCCCGCATCGAGCCGGTCAGGGTGGAGAGGGGCAGGGGTGCTGGGGTCAGGGCATGCACTGACCAGGTGTCTGTCCCCACTCCTCAAAACACAACCAGGAGATGAGTGCACTGGGGCAGCGGCCTGTGGAAGAGGGGCAGGGTGTGTGTCCAGGTGTGTCTGGAGGGTGGAGTCGACTGTGCGTGTGTGTGGAGGTGACTGTGTGTCTGGCATGTGAATGTAACATTTTAGGAAGGTGAGTGAGCTTGTGCACATGCGTGTGTGTGTGTGCACGTGTGTGGCTGAGCATGTGAGAGTGGGTAGACATCTGTGTGCCATGTGTGGGAGCCAGGCAAGGGGCAGTGTGTATGGCTGAGTGTGCCAGCACATTTCTGAGCATTTACTCGTGTGCGTCTGGGTGTGTGAATGACAAAATGAGTGTATATGGTTAATTGTATGAGCGTGAGAGTGAGTGTGGGGAGGGGATGTGTGTATCCTTGACTGTGGGAGTCAGAGTGTGTGTATGTGTGTGCACGCACATGCGCTGTTGTGAAAAGTTCTGCAAGAACCCCTCCTCTCCTTTTTTTAAAAATTTTTTGAGATGGAGTCTTGCTCTGTTCCCCAGGCTGGAGTGCAGTGGTGTGATCTTGGCTCACTGCAACCTCCACATCCCGAGTTCAAGTGATTCTCCTGCCTCAGCCTCCCGGGAAGCTGGGATTACATGCGTGCAACACCATGCCCTGATACTTTTTGTATTTTTTTTTTAGTAGAGATGGGGTTTCACCATGTTGGCTGGTCTTGAACTCCTGAACTCAGGTGATCCACCCATCTGGGCCTCCCAAAGTGCTGGGATTACAGGTGTGAGCCACTGTGCCCAGCCAAGAAACCCCTTTTGCATACAGAGCTTTGCTCCTTTGCCCAAAAATATTCATGAACAGGTGGGGTCAGCTGGTGGATGTGTTTAAAATCTTGACAGAAGTGGCCAAGGAGCTCTTTAGAAAGGGCAGAGGGGAGCGGTAATATCCAAGTTGATCCCTGACCTATCAGAACAGGTGTCAGCTGCAAATACCCAAGCCAGCTGAGCCAGCCCTGGTCACCCCAACTTCTGTTCCCACCAGCAGCAGCCAAGAGGGCTTGACCTTGAGTCATTCTCAGGCCACCCCCAAAGCAAACCAGCAAATGGTCAGCTTTATGATAACAAAGTCAACATATTACAATCTCATGGGCGGTCAGTTACAATGGCAAACATTCATTCATTCATTCATTCACCAATATTCACTGAGCACCTACTATGCCCCAGGCACAGTTTCTGGTGCTGGGAATGCCGCCGAGAACAAGATGGACAAAAATTCCTTTGCTGGTGGCACTGGTGGGAACAAGCAGAGGATAAAATAAGTGAACAGCCTGTGGAGAGGGTTAATTGGTGGTAAGTGCTGTAGATAAAAATAAAGCAGGAACAGTAGATCCTGAACACCAGGTGGGTTTGCAGTTTTAAAAAGATTGGTCAGCTGGAGCTTTATGGGAAGCTGGCATTTCAGTGAAGACTTGAAGGAGGTGAGGGCTGAGCCACATGGATCTCTAGCGGAAGAGCAACCCCTGGGTGGAGGCCACGGCAAGTGCGAAGGACCGGTGATAGCATATGCCTGGCCAGTTCAAGGAACAGAGAAGGGGCCAGTGTGGATTTAGTAGCTTTTTAAAAACTGATGATAAAAGAAAATGGTGCCTGTGGAACCACCACACGGAAAAACGAATAAAATGGAAATTGAAAGTCCACAGTCACTGAAGGGTGGGGGCAGGGAAGATGCACTAAGGATCCGGGTGTCTGGGGTACAGTTCACTTGATAAAGCGACTTTCTGTTTTGACAAGGCAATGCCAAAACAGTGCAGCTGCGCCCAAACCTCCCAGCCGCAGCAAAACACCCAGCGTTTTTACAGCTTTCACCCCAGGCCTGAGCTGAGCCAGGCACATAGTAGGCACTCGCTCTGCCTTCTACATCCTCCCAGTTCCCTGAGTCCTGAGAGGGTGAGGAAAGATGAGTATAGACCCCCCAAGGTACATACAGACTGACTTATCCCCAAATCCCCACAGGCCACCAGCCAGGCCCCCAGCAGCCCCAGAATGACAGCTTCATCTCTTCCTCCTCCTGCTTTTATGAGCTGTGAAGGAGGCTTGTCTTGCACTGCACAATTGCCCCTTAATTGCTACTTCCTCTCTGTTATGAATTATGTCATGGATATGGCCGCTCACGTTATTAAACTTCCATACAGGCCTTATCATCTGCAGCCCAGCCAGCAACCCAGCCTGACCTACTTTCCCACTGGATTTCAAAACCGCCGCCCTTGTCCTGTCACTGGACTTTTCCTAAGGAGAGTCTACTGTGCCCAAAAACTTGACACTAAAAATAAAAACTAGAATGGAGAAGGGGGGCCACAGCTGGCCCCACCGAAGGCCTGAGGCTCAGAGCAGCTTCTGGTGACTGGGGCCAAACCCCTCCTTGCCTAGAAGCTTCCTCAGAAAACCTGTCCTTGGGATGCAGATCTTGAATAATCTCTTCATTCTACTGATGAGGAGACAGGAACCCAGAAAGGAGAAAAAAGGATCGTCTCAGAGTCAGGCAGATCCGGCTTTGAGTCTAGCTTTGGCTGTGTGTCTTCAATAGTAAATTTTCCTCCTTGAACCTTGGCTTCCTCCTCCAGGGAGAAAAACCCACCTGAATGTGATTAGTTCACAGATATCAAAAGTGGAAATAGACCCTGAGTCCTTAGCTAAGGACCAGAGCGACCTTGGCAGAAATGTGCACAGGAAATCACATGGCCTCTGTCTCACCATCAGGTGTTCCAGGAATGACAAAAGTGTTCCCTTTTCCCCATTTCACTCAAGTCTAGAATCAGGCATATCTTGGTTTGTTAGAAGTCAGCTCACTACAAAACCCAGGTATTCCCCGGGACACACTGAACTGCAAGGGGCAGGGAAACTCAACTCAAAATGACTTCATCATTAAGGAAATGTGTCTTCCCGTACATTGAGAAACCCAGAGATGGCCTGGCGGCTCCCACAGGCATGCATTCGGCTTCGAGGAACACAGACCCTGACCCCAGCAGAGTTTATTTGTATTGCCCCCCTGCTACAAGAAATCCAGAGGCATCCAGAGCTGATGGGGTGACTCAAGGGTGCTACCAGGGGCTCAGATTCTTTCCCAGTTTTGTTGTTGTTGTTGTTGTTTTTATTGTTGTTTTGCGACAGTCTCACTCTGTCGCCCAGGCTGGAGGGCAATTGTGCGATCTTGGCTCACTGCAACCTCTGCCTCCTGGGCTCAAGAAATTCTCCTGCCTCAGCCTTCCAGGTAGCTGAGAGTACAGGCGCCCACCACCACACCTGGCTAATTTTCATATTTTGAGTAGAGACGTGGTTTTGCCATGTTGGTGAGGCTGGTCTTGAGCTCCTGACCTCAAGTGATCTGCCCATCTTAGCCTCCCAAAGTGCTGGAATTACTGGCATGAGCTGCTGCACCTGGCCACTTTCCCAGTTTTTGCTCAGCCATCTCGAACATGTGGCTTCTGTCCTCATGGTTGGCCATAATTGCAGCATGACCATTCCACCCTCAGCTCATATCCACATTACAGGCCAGAAGAGGGGGCAAGGGCTGAGCAGTGTGTCCACCATGTTTGTCTCTTTTTAGAAAGCTCTTCCGGGGCCCCACGGGGCAAATGTGGCTTCCATATCATTGGTCATACTGGATCATGTGGCCACTCCTGGCTGCAAGGCAGTCTAGGAGAGTGAGTGCCTTTTGCTGGCTCATTGCCATCCCAATAAAGTCAGGGTTCTGTCAACAAGGAAGAAAAGGAGTGAGGGCATTGGGCAGGCACTGAGCAGTGTCTGCCCCAGTAGTTCAAGAATTGTTGATACAATGGCTGAAAGACATCTTCCAATACCTGTGTTCTCTTTCTTTTTCCATTCTACCAACCTCAGTGTGTGGGCTTCTGTGCTGAGACTTGTTTTATCCTCTCAGTTTCAGGAGGGGGTCCCTTCCTTGAAGGCATATGCTGATGCCCCCTCAAACAAAAGAGGGTTCTCCTACCAGCGAGGAGAGTTGAAAAGAGCTGTGGTTGGGCAGTTGACAATGTCTGTTCCACCTCTATTCACTGAAACTTCTTCTGTCCCATCCTCTTTTCAGTTCAGCTCCCTGCAATTTCATTTCCATCTCACCGCATGGATCAGTCACCTATGCCTACAGGAATGCTGCCTGAGAAACCACCCCCAACCTTTTATTATCTTGAATAGGGAGTTGGCTGCAGGTTGGTGGACCTTGGCTGGACCCATTAATGCATTTCCTGTTCAGCTGGAGGTGGGCTGTCTTGGCTGGGCTGGCTCTGCTCTGCCTCATGGGTCCCTCATCCTTCTCCTGGGACCAGTGGGCCTTTCTGAGCATGGCTGTTGATGGGGGGGCACAGGCACAACAGCCACGTGGAAACATGCAAAAGATCTTTTTTTTCTTTTTTCCTTTTTTTGAGATGGAGTCTCACTCTGTCGCCCAGGCTGGAGTGTAGTGGAGTGATCTCGACTCACTGCAACCTCTGCCTCCTGGGTTCAAGTGATTCTCCTGCCTCAGCCTCCCAAGTAGCTGGGATTACAGGTACGTGCCATCATGCTCAGCTAATTGTTTTGTATTTCTTTTTTTGAGATGGAGTCTTGCTCTGTCACCCAGGCTGGTGTGCAATGGCATGGATCTCCGCTCACTGCAGCCTCTGCCTCCTGGGTTCAAGTGATTCTCCTGCCTCAGCCTCCTGAGTAGCTGGGATTACAGATGTGCGTCACCACGCCCAGCTAATTTTTTGTATTTTTAGTAGAGACAGGGTTTTACCATGTTGACCAGGCTGATCTTGAACTCCTGACCTCGTGATCTGCCCGCCTTGGCCTCCCAAACTGCTGGGATTACAGGTGTGAACCACTGCGCCCGACCAATTGTTTTGTATTTTTAGTAGAGATGGGGTTTCACTATGTTGGCCAGGCTGCTATCAAACTCCTGACCTTTTGACCCACTGCCTCAGCTTCCCAAAGTGCTGGGATTACAGGCATGAGCCACCATGCCCAGCCACATGCAAGAGATCTTAAAGCCTGGTCTCAAAATGACACACTGTTACTTTCATCTCATGCTATTGGCAAAAGCAAGTCCCATGGCCGAACTGAAGTCAAGGCTGGGCAAATACACTCCATCCCTTTTGTGGGAGGAACCACAAAGTCACGTGGGTGACTGTCTTCCTTATCATCGCTGTTTGCCGATGCTCTTCCAACCTCTCTGAGTTTGTTTTGGTATCATTTATGGGTTCCTCTTCTCTCTCCCTTCAAACACTGGGGAGCCCTAAGCGTTCCATCCCAGCTCTTCTTTTCTGTCTCTATGTGTAGTCTCTGGGCCATCTCAACCATTCTCTAGTTTTCAGTCACCATTTTGGCACTAATGACCCCCAAATCCATTAGTGGGCTCTCTCCTGACTCCAGCTGCCGAGTGGGCATGCCACCTGAACATCTCACAGAATCCCCAGATCTTTCTCCTGCTTTGACCTCAGCACCCTCAGCCTCAGCCCCACCTCAAACTCCTTCCTCCTTTATTCCCATGACACACAACCCCCTCCATGCAGCTGCCCAATCTGGGAACCTGGATGTCAGCAAGACCCTGTCTCCATGGTCCATTCATGTTACAGCTGATGCTGACCATGACCACTGGCTGAGTACTTCCTGTGTGCCAAGGACAGGGCTAAGCCTCATCCCCATATTTTCTGATTTAATTCCTGAAACACCCCCTGGGGAGGGAGGCACTGATATCAAGTTGTTTGTATTCCATATGGCGCATGCCCTCATGGGACAGGTGGCTTCTTTCAGAAGCTGCAGTGATCTCTCCCAAACCAATTGATTCTGTCAATCCTTAGTGAAAAATCCTTCAGAATCCTCATTGTCCCAGAGACCTGGGCTAAACCCCTTGGTCTGAAGTGGTCAAGTCCAAGATTCTTTCATTTATTTACACACAAAAGGAAATGACTGTGCTCGCTCCATGTGCCAGAGGCACTGGAGAAACACGAGAGGCCCTGGGAACTTAGGCCCAATGGCAAGAGAGAAAATAATAAATATCTAACATGTCAGGTAGTGATGAAGAGATATGAAGACAAATAAGGCAAGGCAAGGGGAGAATTATTTACGAAGGGTCACTATTTCAGGAGGGAATTCAGGGTCAGCCTCTCTGCTAAGAACGGATTGCAATGAAGTAAGGCGGCAGAAAGTGCAAAGGTGCTGGGGTAGAAAAGGGCTTGGTGGCCGCCTGTGCAATGAGTGTGAGAGGTGAAGGAGGCCACAGTATGGGCGTGGCTTCTTCCCTGAGTGAAATGGAGAGTCATGGGAGGGTTTTGAGCAGAGGAGGGCCCTGCCTTGACTTTGATTTTACAGAATCCCTCTGGCTGCATGTGGATAACAGTCTTCATGGGGACCAGGAAAGGGAGAAGTCTGCAGCAGGCAGCAAGGTTTTTCAGGCCTCATGACACTTAGATCACAGAGAGGATTCAGGGGTTTGAGTGACATTCTCAAAAGGCACAGGAAAACCAAACAGGATTTTTGGGTTAACCAGAACCTGCCAGAAGATGGACGGTGCCCAGCATGCCCTGCCCCCAGGCACCCTGGCCCATGGGCCTTTTCTGCAGCATCTTCAGCGAGTGTGGACACTGTGGTGCTGGTGTTGCTGGTGGGTTTTCCCCTGTGCCTGCCTCCTGGCTGTTGAGGACAGTGCTGGGGAGGATGTGAGCACTTAGCACCCCAGTGTGGTCTGGGCAATGGTGGCCCAGCTCCCACCAAAGACACTGACTTCTTTGAACCCGAGAACAAACATAGACATTCTTAGTTCTGCAAAAAAAAAAAAAAGCCCTGCGTCCATGCACGCTGTATCCCCCCCCATCACCAAACTCACTTGTCTCACTGCACAATCCTTCAAAGTACAACACAATGTGTTTATGTCTGTGGTTTAGGTTCCCAAAACCTGTGACATCAGATAAGTGCGATGTTCACAAAAACAAACATCGCAGAAAGGGAAAAAAAATGACCAAAAAGAAGCCGCTGGTTTCAGCCTCGACTTCCTCTCCCAAGAAAAAGGGGCTCTATGTGGTTGAGGTTTCACTGTATCCAGGCTGGGGGTCAGAGGAATGCCGTCCTGTCCTCTTTCCAACTGCTCGCACCTCAGCCTTTGATGTGTGACTCTCTGAGCCTGAAAAATCTCACCTGCAAAATGGAAATGCCAATCTCCACCTCTTGGGACTCATAAAAGTAATTCAACAAAAGATAATAAAAATATACAATAATTGCTCATCTTTGGATCAATTGTGTTCCATAGGTCATTTCCTTAGTAAGTCCTCACATCGGCCTGTGTTTTGCCTTCACGTGGGGTGGCTACTGAGAACATCTCCAGTTGACAGATGGGGAAACTAAGCCTTCAAGTAGGAAAAATAGACAGTTATGAAACACTGCATGGTCAGTTTAGAAAATGTAAACATGTAATATATAAATTAAGTAAATAAATAACAAAATATAAAAATATAATTAGGCAAAAAAGTTTGGCCGGTTAAATGCCCGAAAGACACAGTGGTTTCCTGGGTATCAGAGTGACCACTGAGACAGGAGTCCCACCGTTGTTTCTTTCTCGTCATTCCTGTCTCAGCAAAATGTCACCTCTGCTGAGAGGCCCTCCCCAAGCTCTTGCCTAAGGTGGCCCTCCAGTCCCTCTTATTCCACTCACCTTATTTTATCTCTTTATGCCCTGACCGTCACTGGAATGCACCGTATTTTTTCATCTGTTTCTGCACTTACCGCCTGTGTTCCCTGCTAGAGCTTCAGACCTACGAAAGCGGGAACTTCACCCCGTCCCCAGAGCCTTGCCCAGTGCCTGGCACTAGTGGATCTCGATAAATCTTCCTGGACCAACAGACGGTGTTTTCTTATTTTTTTTTTTTTTTTTTTTTTTTTTTTGAGACGGTGTCTCGCTCTGCCGCCCAGGCCGGACTGCGGACTGCAGTGGCGCAATCTCGGCTCACTGCAAGCTCTGCTTCCCGGGTTCACGCCGTTCTCCTGCCTCAGCCTCCCGAGTAGCTGGGACTACAGGCGCCTGCCACCGTGCCCGGCTAATTTTTTGTATTTTTAGTAGAGACGGGGTTTCACCTTGTTAGCCAGGATGGTCTCGATCTCCTGACCTCATGATCCACCCGCCTCGGCCTCCCAAAGTGCTGGGATTACAGGCGTGAGCCACCGCGCCCGGCCTCTTATTTCTTAAAAATGTACTTTGCACACTGGGCAAGTCGTGACTCACATCTGTAATCCCAGCAATTTAGGTGGCCGAGGTGGGAGGATCACTTGAGTCTAGGAGTTCAACACCCACCTGGGAAACATAGTGAGACCCTATCTCTATAAAAAAAAGTTAAAGTATTAGCAGGGCATGGTGGTACCTGCCTGTAGTTCCAGCCTCTCTGGAGGCTGAAGTGGGAGGATTACTTGAACCCAGGAGGTCGAGGCTGCAGTGAGCCATAATCATGCCACCGCACTCGAGCCTTGGTGACAGCTAGACCTTGTCTCAAAAATCAAAATAAAAAATAAGTTGCTTTGCTTTTTAAAGAGCAAAGCACACCATATGGGTTATTTTTAATTGTTGTTTTAAGTGCTGGTCAAAAATGAGCTGGCAGAAGCCTCAGCAGGAAGGCACGGCCTCGGCGGGCTTATCTGGCTGAGTATGAAGGAAGTGGGCACCCTGGCTTCCCACAGAGTGGGTCAAGCAGTGAACATCCCAGAGTTTCCCAGCCCAGCCTGCCCCCAGTTCTGTGGCAATGGAGATCTCCCCATCTGGGACAGCATGTTCAGCGTGTTAAGTCTCCCCCATGGGGTGAGGCTGCCCTGAATCTCAGGGGGCAACAGGGATCCCCTGGGCCAAACACAGCCCCCAGGAGGCGTTGCTTGGCCCATGCAGTTCAAAGAGCTTGGAATTTTGGCATTATTTTAAAAAATCAAGATATTTTGGAAGAAAACTAAAAAAATCCTCCCAAAGGGCACCAAATAAGATGAGAATAATTGGATGGGAAGATTTCACATCCTTAAGATGATAATTCTGCCAACATATATAAGCTTAATGCAATTTAAAGTAGCGACACACAGGGTTGTTTTAGTTGGATAAAACAATCTTCGAGTTCACGAAGAAAAAAGTATAAAATAAAAGAACAGTGGGAAGGATCAGGACAAAGATAATATTTCAACTCACTGGGAAAATGGAATATTTAATCCAGGGCCCCAGCAGAGCCCACTATCAGCAAAAAATAAAAATGGACTCCCATCTTCTACTACAAATCCAGAGAGTTCACATAAAACACCTGGCTTGTCCGAAAGTCCCGACCACACTGGGCTCTCATTTTTGTAAGGCAGCAATGGACTGATGCTGAGTTGCATCTCAGGGACTCTCCACTTCACCACAGTCTCCACCACTCCCTACGGCATCCCACCTGACTGCCTTTAATCATCTGTGTGTCTTGCTTGGCCGTTCATAACCTCTGAACTCACTGCACAACAGAAGGACTCAGGGAACCTTTGAAGTTGGATTTCTGCTGTTAGCCACCTTTGTACTATTTTCATTTTTCTTAGTGGAAATGCGTATTTTCAGGAGGGATGTGGCTTGAGGCATGATTAAGTGCATGGACCTGGGCCGGGCGTGGTGGCTCATGTCTGTAATTCCAACGCTTTGGGAGGCTAAGGTGGGAGGAACTCCTGAGGCCAGGAGTTCAAGACCAGCCTGGGTGACAGAGTGAGACCCTGCCTCTAAAAAAGAAAGAAGAAAGGAAAGGAAGAAAGAAAGAAACAAAGAAAAAGAGAGAGGGAGAGAGAGAGAAAGAAAGAAAGAAAGAAAGAAAGAGAGAGAAAGAGGAGGGAGGGAGAAAGGAAGGAGAAGAAAGAAAGAAAGAAAAGAAAGAAAGAAAGAAAGAAAGAGAAAGAAACAAAGAAACAAAGAAAGAAGAGAAAGAAAGGAAGGAAAAAAGAAAGAAAGAGAAAGGAAGGAAGGAAGAAAGGGAGAGAGCATGGAGCCAGAAGCTAGAGAGGTTTGAGTAACCTCTGAAGAGTGACTTCCCCTCTCAGTGCCTCAGTTTTCTCCTCTGCCACATGGGGATAATAAGAGCTGTCACACGTCATGTTAGTTGCAGCGATTTGTGCCATTCTGCAAAATTCTTAGCCCAGGGCCCAGTGCAGAGTCAGTGCCAGGGAAACAGTGGTGATGACAAAAACCCTCCCTTCACATCTACGGCTTTTAGTTCTCAGGCTTCTAAGGGAGGAAAGAAAAAGGAAGAAACGGTGGGAGGAGAGGTGCAGAGCAGAGGATTTACTTTTACCTTTGATCTCCTTTTGCCAAAAAGGAGGGGAGAAAGTAAATAAACAGCCCTGACCTCCTTTGATTCCAGCGCCTGCCCGGCACAGAGCTCCAGAGCTGATAAGAACCAGCCAAGTTCTAATTGGGCAACTCCACCCTCCTGACCAGGCCTTCCCTTGGCATTTGGAATCCGGGACTCCAAAGCCCTCCCCTGCACCCCGCTGTCAGCGCACACTGTTAATTCTCTTCTCATCTTCCCAACCACGGGGGAAAAGATGGAGAGAAATTCCCCACTGTGGAACCCCACGCAAAACAATCGGGTGGGTTTGGAGATGAGAAAAGGGCCTTGGAAAGCGTTTTCCGAATACATTAGAAACCCAGTCCCCCGATCCCAGGAAGAAGCCCCCACACTGGGGACTTGTGGGAAAATGAAATGCTCAGGGATTTTTCCTGGCAATGAATTAAGCAGAAGGCAGGTGAAGTTCTTGGTGCAGAGCAGAACCACCCCTCCCATCCCCCAGTGGTTGGTGGAGAGAAGCTACATGGCACCGTAGGTAATGATGTAGCTTTGAACCCATTAGTTTATGGTGATGTGACTTTGGGCAAGTGACTCATCCCTGTCGAACTTCAGTTTCTCATCAGCCCTAGCACTGGGCTCATGGGATTGTTAAAGGTTAACTGAGGTTGTGCCCATTGGGTGCCCGGTGCATATATGGCAGGTGCTTGCAATTGGACACTATGATTGTAAAATGGCTTAGAGATCCCAGGATGGCCTCAGAAGGAGAGACAAAAAAATTACCCAGGCCTCATGTCCAGAAAGATGAAAGAGGATCAGCTTGAAATCTCTAAGGGCACCAAGGGCCATACAGTGGCTTGAAGTTGAGAGGAGGCACCAGGTCTGCTTGAAGTCGAGAGAAGGTAAATTCAGGACAAAGTTTAGCAAACACAGAATACATTCCCTCCACATTCCCCCCAGGTAGGCCCTAGCTGATGGCTCTAAGAGCTTCCCCAGGGCCTCTGCTAAATAGCTCAGAGCTAAGGCAGAGGGCCTGGGAGAAGAGGCAGAGGTGAGGGGTCCCTCCCACCCCTGCCTCCTCCTGGCTGTGTGACCTGTGTGCCTAGCCTCAGTTTCTCCACCTGTAAAATGAGGTCATAATAACACCAACCCTATAGGTTTTGAGGATAGAATACATGGCATTCAGTTGGCGCTCAATGAATGAACAAAAGTCACGAACCACAACTACTTCCAGGATGAGGCTGTGGAAGCGGTTGTCAGCAGGGGAAGAACTGACAGCTCTTGACTCCTTCCTTAGGAAGCCCGGGCTCAATTCCACATCCAGGCCCCACCTACCTACCCTGGAGGCAGGGGCTTGCTCTGCTTTGCGCATTCCCAAGTCCCCAGGGCCAGGCATAGAGCAAGTATTTGTTCAGTGAATGCATGAACCTAGATATTCTGTGGAGTCAACCTCCACTGAGAGCAAAGGGAGGCCCAGAGAGGCCAGGTAATTTGCCCGAGGCCTCACGGCCCCCTGCCTGCCTGAAGGCAGTGCTGGAACTGGGCCTGAGCTGAGCCTGGTCTGCACCCCTACTTGCTCTGGGCCTTCCCCTCAGGGAAGCCTGCTGTCCCCTTCCTGAACACAACCTGCCCAGGCTTCCCCCACCCGGCAGAACAGGCACAAGGAAATCCTCAGGTGACCCCTTCCACGAATGTTCCGGATGCTCACTGCCCTCGGCAGGGACTGGCCTTCCCCTCTCTCCCTGGTAGGCTGACGGCCACCAGCTTGCTGCCTGCAGGCCTCGTCTGGCTTCAGACGAGTTTCGTATGACCTGCACTGTGTGGTTCTGTGTGACCCGCACTGTGTGGTTCTGTATAACTTGTTTCCTTCATCATTTTGAATCATTTGCCAATATTTAAAAATTGGCGATTTCATATAAAACCCAGAATTTCCAGCTTCTTTTGGAAAGTTGGCCTCTCTGGCCACCAGGCCTGCTTTTTTCTGGCCCTGGTCAGCAGGAGCTTCGTCCTAGGTCTCTTTAGTCCCCTTGCTCTGACCTAGTGGTCCTCACTCACCCCTGGGCCTACTCTCCCAGCCTTGCAGCCTTCTCACATAAAGGACCAGGTCTGCCTGGAGACCAGGCCACCCACTCTCCCGCCACTGTGCAGGGCCTCCTCTGTTCGCCCTCAGCCTGAGGCACTCCCAAGGAAAGCCAAAAAGGCAGGGTTGGAGCCAGACTCTAGGTGTGCAGTAGACAGAATAATGGCCCCCCAAAGGTGCCCGTGTCCTAATCCCTGGAGCCTGTGAATACGTGACCTTACATGGCAAAGGGACTTTGTAGGTGTGATTCAATTCAGGGTCTTGAGATGGAAAGATGAGCCTGGCTTATCCAGTGGGCCCAAGGCAGTCACCAGGGGACTTATGAGAGGGAGATGGGAGGGTTGGGCCCAGAGACGTGATGGTGGGAGCAGAGGTGGGAGCGGTGCAAGCCAGCAAGTGCCATTGGCCTCAAGACAAGCATGGATTCTCCCCTGAAGCCTCCAGAAGGAACCCATACTGCCCCGCACCTTGATTTTCCCCTTGCAAGACCCACTTTGGCTTTCTGACTTTCAGAACAGTAAGGTCATGAATGTGCTTGATTTGAAGTTTGGTATAATGTGTTACAGCAGCAATAGGAAACATCCCAGGGTTTGAACCCAGGCTTGGCCACTCCTTGGCTGTGTGCCCTGGGGCAGGTGACATAGTGCTGAGCCTGTGCTTTCCCATCTGAAAAGGGGGTAATCAGAGACCTCTGTTAGATGGGGGCTGTGTGTGGGAGTGAAGTCATTGGCACAGGTGAGCTGTGGGGCAGAGCCCTGACCACTTACGCGCTAGACGCCACCACAGTTAGCATCGCCCTCCTACTTCCTCTCACTTCTCTTGCTGTTATTGAAACCAACTGAGAGCAGGCTTTTGAATCTGCCCACTGCTGCCCAAGATAAAGATGAAACTTCCTACTTAGGATCCTACATAATCTGCCTTGCCTAACAATAACAGTAATGATTAAAACAATAATATCCACTAGCACTGATGAAGCACTTGGCAAGAGCCAGATATTGACTAGGCATTACACTCATTTAGACCAGGTGCAGTGGCTCACACTCATCCCAGTGCTTTAGGAGGCAAAGTGGGAGAATCTCTTGAGGCCAAGAGTTCAACACCAACCCCAGCAACATAGCGAGACACCCCCATCCCTACAAAAAATAAAACATTTGCCATGTGTGGTGGCATGTACCTGTAGTCCCAGCTACTCAGGAGGTGGAGATGGGAGGATTGCTTGAGCCCTGGAGGTTAAGGCTGCAGTAAGCTGAGATCTCACCACTGCACTCCAGCCTAGGTGACAGAGTGAGTGACACCCAGTCTCAAAAATAAACCACACACACACACAAAAATTATTTAGGCCAGATGCAGTGGCTCACGCCTGTAATTCCAGCACCTTGGGAGGCTGAGGAAGAAAGATCACCTAAGACTAGGAGTTTGAGACCTGACTGAGCAACAGAGTGAGACCTCATCTCTACAAAAAAATTAAAAATCAGCCAGGCATGGTGGTGTGCACCTGTAGTCCCAGCTTTTCGGGAGGCTAAGGCAGGCAGATCACTTGAGCCGAGGAGTTGGGAGGCTGCAATGAGCTATGATCAAGCCACTGCACTCCAACCGGGGTGACAGAGTGAGACTCTGGTTTCTAAAATAAATAAATAATAACTTCAAAAATCCATCTAATGCTCACAACAATCCTATCACTTCCCTATTTTTCTGATAGGTAAACTGAGGCCCAGGGGATTAAGTCACTTGCCCAGGATCCCCTGGTAGGCTGGTCACTAGCTGTGATTTGAACCTACATGGTTGGGTCTTGGAGCCTGGATGCTAACAATGGGGCCATGCTGCCTCCATGTGTGAGCAGACCAGGGAAGAACACTCAGGGCCCCAGGGAGTGGCCAGAGACTCAGTGATCATGGCCTGCCCTCCACACACTGCCTATGTTAGGTACAATCCTGGACCCCAAAGATCTGAGGGTCGTGGCTCCTCCTGGTACACAGTTGTAACCATGAGTGTGTTTATTTTGCAAAACAGTTTCCAGCAGTGCCCACTCTCTGCTGGACACCTGGTTCCAGAAAAAATGCAGACCCCTCCCCTGTGCTTAAGATTGTGGAGACAGGCTGGTTGTGGTGGCTCACGTCTGTAATCCCACTTTGGGAGGCTGAGGTGGGCGGATTACCTGAGGTCAGGAGTTCGAGATCAGCCTGGCCAACATAGTGAAACCCCGTCTCTATTAAAAATATAAAAATTAGCCGGACATGGCAATGGGCACCTGTAATCCCAGCTACTCAGGAATCGCTTGCACCCAGGAGGCGGAGGTTGCAGTGAGTTGAGATCATGCCATTGCACTCCAGCCTGGGCAACAGAGCAAGACTCTGTCTTAAAACAACAACAACAAAAGATTGTGGAGACAAATGAGTGCCTAGGCTGTCACAGCCCAGTGAGGGACAGCAGGGGCATGGGGGCAGGGGGAGGTCAGGGGAAGCTCCGTGAGATGGGGCCGTCTGAGGAGAAGCCCAAGGAAGCTGATGCTGGCATCCTCGAACGGCTGGGCTGAGTGCTGCAAAGAGGATCCAACCAGGAAGGCCCTGGTGAGAAGGAGCCCGTGTGCTTGGAGAGGTGGATGTGGTCACAGGTGGCTGGAGTGCTGGAGAGAGTGGAAATGTCAAGAGGTCAGCCCGGGCTCAACCACTCACTGTGTGACCTTGGGCAACCTTCACCGCTTTTCTGAGCCTCGGTGTCCGCATCTATAAAATGGGAATAAGGATAGCAGCCACCTCCTGGGGTGGTTCTGAGGATTCGATGCATCAATATGTGCAAAGGTCAGTGCCTGGCATCAGGAGGGGCTGCATCGGTGAGAGTCGGTCTTGTTGCTGTGATTATTATGAATACGAAGCATCGAGTTGTCAGCCTGCATGCCACCTCCCCTTCCAATCAGCTCCTCAGATGTAGAAGCCATGGAGCTCCCACAAGTTCATGGGGATGACCTATGCGAGACCAGTGAGGACGCCCCCTGCCTGTGGGGAGGGATGTCTTCCCAAGAAATTTCATGTCCGCCATCCCAGATCCGGAATCCAGACCGGCATCCACACTCCCTGGGGTTCCCAGCTTCCGGCAGCTTAGCCCTCTGCCTGGTGTTCGCCCTCCATGTCCCTCCTGACCTTTTGTGTATGACACGTGTCCTTCCCCTGCTCCCTTGAGCTCCTTCCTCATCTTCACCAATACCATTTGTCAGTCACACTCAATGCCAAGTTTCTCTTTTTCAAGCACATTAATGATAGGAATTGCTGAGAGTTTCTGAGCACTTGCTACGTGCTTGACACTTATATTCATTCGTTTATTCATTCTGCAAGTAGCCGGAATGTATCCTGTGTGCATTGGAGTTCCTCGGAAATAACAGACAAAGGTCCTTGCACTTCCTGCTGGGATTAACATCTTGGGGGTGGGGAGTAGAGACAATCATAAAGAAACTGGCAAAGTCTACAAACTATTCCTTGTACCCATAAACTCCCTGAATCACAACAATAACCTTATGAGAGGTTTCCCCCCATTTTTCAGGTGAGAAAAACCAAGGCTCAGAGAGAAGGACTTGCCTAAAGGTCACACAGCTATGAAATATCCAAGCCGGGATTCGAACCCACACCTGTCAGACTCCAGAGCCTCTGCTCCTTCTCTCTCTGGGAGCCTGTCTACTAAGATGTTGGCCCAGCTCCACATACAGTCATCTGCCTTGCCAGCAGCACATTTGAGAAGCTCCACAATGTCTGAGGTGGGGAGTGTTGGTGCCCAGGGGCACAGCTCACTCCCACAAGGCCCCAGGCAGGGTGAGCTCTGCCCTCCCTTCCAGCAGCCTCTGACCGGGAAGGCCAAGTACACAGTCACTGGCCAGAGCCTGCAGGAACAGGATGTCCTGGTCCTCCTGCCCTGGTGGGGCCCAGCAAGCTATTTTTGGGCACGTTTATTGATGGGACACGGGTGCTCAGCTGGACTCCTGATTCAAGAGGAAGGCCCCAGACTGGACCAGGGTGGTTCTGCTTCTCCAGGCCCTTGGCTGCTTTGGAACAGCAACCATCTGCTACACCCCAGGTCAAGGGTGTAGCCTGAGCTGGCTGGCTCCAGGAAGAGCAAGGTTCACCACGGGTGTGGATAGATCTGGGGGGGTCACACAGACTACTACTATTTCCCGAAATTCTGGAGCCCGATTAATTCATAGGCATGCAGAACACAGAATGAGTATGACAGCAGGTTTCGAGGTTAGACTTGGGTTCAAACCCCTGCTGTGTCCCCTACTAGCAACTTTACCATGGGCAAGCCAGGCCAACTCCTGGAGGCTCCGTTTCCCTTCCTGTAAAATAATAACAGTCCTTACACACGGGGAGGGAATGAAGCTTGAATTAGATAGCCCCCACAGCGCAAAGCCTGGCATACAGTAAGTACTCAATAATGAATAATAACTTTGCAAATAATGATTGACAGCTGGCATTTATTGGGAGTTTAGCAGGTGTGAGGCAGTGGGCTAAATTACTGACATTTTAAAAAATCTCACTTCACCCCCCAACAATTCCTGGAGGAAGGTGAATGATGCACTTATAGGTGCCATTATTATTCCCTTTTACAGATGGGAAAACACAGATAAGAACTCTGAGGTTCACAAAGAGGAATGATTTGCCCGATATCACCCAGCAGATGTGTGGCAGAAAAAGCTGCCTTTGAACTCAGGCCCTAAGACAGGACAGGGCCAGGCTGCAGAGCTGTGCCTCACTCCCCCATTTCCCTCCCAAGAGGACTGGTTACAAAGACCCCGTCAATACCTGAGTCCACGCCATGTCATGCGCCCCTCAGTCACACCCTGTCCCAGGAGGTAACATCCTGGGCCTTCCTGTTGATGGAAACTTACTGCCGATGGAAATCCAGACACCAACATTCCTGAATATTCCCTTGACCCTTCTTCCTGCCGTTGGGGTTATTTTGTTTTCCTAGTTCACCCGCGAGGATTCTGCAAGAAACTGGCTGGGTTGGCAAAGGCTCTGGGCTGACTTGGAGGGCACTATGCTGTGTATGCTGGGGTGGATGAGGGGGGCCCGGTGGGCAGGGGAGGGCAGAGGCTCGCATGCCCGGGCATCTCAAGGCACAAAGTCATTGCAGTGTTTCCTTGGTAAAGTGCCCTCCTGGCCTGCACCTCTTTACAATTCAACCCAGTGCCCTGAGGGTACATTGCAGCCTCCTTCAGCTGAAAGAAGCAGCCTTTTGTGATCTGTCCTCTGCCTTTCTAGCCTTCTTTCCCACCACTGGACCCCCTCCAAAAAGAACATGCTTTGCCCTGCTTCCAGGCCTTTGCCCCTGCTGTGCCCTCCTCCTGGGCCACTTTCCCTCCATGGTTCTCTCGCCATGGGCTTCTTCTCCTGGTACTTCAGGACTCCTCCACCAGGAGGCCCTCCCAGAATCCCCCCAGCCCCCTACTTGGGGTTGCCACTGTGACACAGGGACATTGCTTCCAGAACTACGTTGTACTCTAGACTACAATGCCCAGCTGGTGAGCTGACACCTCCACGTAGGTTTCACGCAGGCCCCTAAGCTTCACAAAGCGGAATACTCCATTTATTTCCTCTCCTAAAACCCCAGCCCTGCCCACCTGTCTTCCCAGCTCAGGAAATAGTGCTGCCCTCCACACAGGTGTTCAGGCAAGGTCCTGGAGGCCCCTTGTTCCTCTTTCCCTCACCCCACACATCCCATCCATCGCAAGTCTTGCTGACTTGACTGCCAAATACATTCTGAATCTGTGCCCTTGTTGCCACTTTCACAGCTACCACCGAGGTGCAGGCTGCCACCGTCCTTGCCCACCTGAACCGTGGCAGTGAGCTCCTCCTCCCTGGTCTCCTGGCTTCCAGCTTTGTTCCACTCAATCCACACAGTCAGAGGAAATATTTCAAAAGACAAACTGGCCGGGCACAGTGGCTCACGCCTATAATCCCAGCACTTTGGAAGGCCTAGGCGGGTGGATCACTTGAGGTCAGGAGTTCGAGACCAGCCTGGTCAATAAGATGAAACCCCATCTCCACTAAAAATACAAAAATTAGCCAGACATGGTGGGGCATGCCTGTAATCCCAGCTACTCGGGAGGCTTGGGTGGGAGAATCACTTGGGCCCAGGAGGCGGATGTTGCAGTGAGCCAATATCGCACCATTGCACTCTAGCCTGGGCAACACAGTGAGACTCCATCTCAAAAAAAAAAAAAAAGATAAACCCAGTCATGTCCCTTCCCTGCTCAAATCCTCCAGGGCTTCTCACCCCTCTTAGAATAAAACTTCACCTCCTACCTTGGCCTATAAGACCTTGTATAATCTGACCCTTGCCCACCTCCCCAGTCCCATTCCTACCTCTCTCTCCATTCACTGTGCTCCTGCCACGCTGGCCTCCTTCCCATTTCTGAACTAGCAAGCTTGTTCCTGCCTCTAGGTAGAAACTTGCTCTTCCTTTTGTCTGAACCTTTTTCAGCCAGGTATCTGTCTGGCTCACTCTCTCACTTTATTCAGGTCTCTGCTCAGATATCACCTCCCCGGAGAAGCCTTCCATGATTTACCCATCTCAAATACTCCCCTCCATCATCTATCCCTCTACCTGCTTTATTTTCATTCACTGTAGTTACTACTATCTGACATAGTCCGTATTTGTCAGTATTTTTTTTTTTGAGTCTTGCTCTGTTGTCTAGGCTGGAGTGCAGTGGTACGATCTCAGCTCACTGCAACCCCTGCCTCCTGGGTTCAAGTGATTCTCCTGCCTCAGCCTCCCATGTAGCTGGCATTACAGGCGTCTGCTACCATGCCCGGCTAATTTTTGTATTTTTAGTAGAGACGGGGTTTCAGCATGTTGGCCAGGCTGGTCTCGAACTCCTGACCTCAGTCAATCCGCCTGCCTCGGCCTCCCAAAGTGCCATATATATCAGTATTCTAAAAATCTGGGGGTGAGGTGCAGTGGCTCACACCTGTAATCCCAGCACTTTGGGAGGCCAAGGCAGGTGGATCACCTGAGGTCAAGAGTTCTAGACCAGCCTGGCGAACATGGTGAAACCTGTCTCTACTAAAAATACAAAAAATTAGCCAGGCATTGTGGCGTGTGCCTCTAATCCCAGCTACTCAGGAGGCTAAGGCAGGAGAATCACTTGAACCCGGAGGCGAAGGTTGCAGTGAGCCGAGATGGCACCATTGCAGTCCAGCCTGGGTGACAAGAGTGAGATTTCATCACAAAAAAAAAAAAATCTGGTTTACTGCTAAATGTTTAATGACGCCTTCTCAACAAGGGGGAGCCCTGATTTTTACACGTATTCATTTGTGTGGTGTTAATACTCCCACCATGATCCATTTGGAGCTACCAGTGTGACTTACTGAGCATGGCATTGGGAAGACCATGTTATATACTATTTCCACCATGGGATATGGTATATGATATAATGTGACACAACAGACATCAATCACTTCAAGAACACAGAGAACAGTGAAATGGTGAGAAAGTGGTGATCTGTGAGCAGTTGTTACCTTTGTTTTTGTTTTAACTTATTTAACTGGAAGTTCGTGCAATTTAATTCTTAGTGACAGCTGTGTGTGAAAACTAGCCTGCAGAATTCCTGAGCCAGTAGGAGCTGGTGCCAGCAATCCCACTGGTTGAAAGAGACATGAGGGCAGGCATGTTTCCACCTTGTTCCTGGCTGTTTCCTGGGGCCTGGAACAGTAGAAGGAGCTCAGGGTAGGTGTTCAGCCCGCATTTGTTGGCTATTTTATAGTGCACCTGTTTGCATCAGAGAGCACAAACTGTTTGCCTCAGCTTGACTTCGTGGGCTGAGTCCAACCCACAAGCGGGTGTCATTTGGCTCTCAGAATGTTTTCGACATTTTTACAAAATTTATTGCCAACATTTAAAAGTCAAGGTTTTTTTGCTGTTGTTGTTGTTTTTCATGAAATCTCACATAAACCTAGATTTGTACCTTCTCCTGGAAAATCAGAAGCTCTGGACCCAAATCCCTCATGACAACAGTGGCTGGAGCTGAGGGGCGCGCAGCCAGCCCCTTCAGACTGCGCGTGGGCTCGCCAGTTTCCTCAGGCCCCACCCCTCCCCGAAGTCTCACACCAGGCCCACTTCATTTGTTAGTGTAACCCACTGGGCCTGTGGATATTTGAGTTGCCACTGCCATCTTGGCCTGCATCTTAGCACTTGTCGCAGTGTGGACCTGTCACAGTGTCCCTGCCAGACAGTGAGCACCTTGGGGACAGGCTTTGTGAGGGAGTCCCCCTGGGGTCCCCACTCCTGGCACATAGTAGGTCCCCAGGTTCTGGAACTGGATTAAATGTTTGTTGTCCAGTGAATCCCAACCCCCGCCCAGCTACCTGAATAGGGGCATGCACTAAACTCAAGCCCCGACCTGAATGTGACAAAAAGGTTGGCCGAGGCCAGGGTTTAAAAATACCCCAGGGCTGGTCAGCTGCGAGATGCTTGGAGGTGTTGAAACAACCAGGCCAGCGCTGGCTGGAGGCCAGTCCACCCACTTTACTCTGTGTGATGTGGGCTAACGGGAGGGGTCACCAGCAGGTCCTGGCATCGGGGGGTGGGGGGTGGGAGGACTAGGTGCAGGCCCCTCCCCCATGGCCCTGCTTGGGAAACGTCAGAGCTGTTTATAAACAGCATGGGGTGACATGACATAATTTCGCATAAAGGGTTACCAGGCAGTGCATGGACACAGGGCAGCCTCCCCTGAGCCACGGTCTCCTGGCATCAAGAAAGCTGGGATGCTGCTATAGCACTGTGGTCTCCCCGCAGCCTTCAGAGCCATGGCCCAGCCCGCCAGAGCCAGGCTTGAAAATAATGCTTCCAGCACAGTCTCCTGGGGGACAGCCAGCATAGGGGCTGGACAGGGAAGGAACGAGCTCTGCTGGAGCACCCACTGGATGCCAGGCATGTCAGAGGCATGAGCTCATGGAGCTGCACACGGGCCTTGGGAGGGAGGGACTGTCATCCAGATGGGGAAACTGAGGCTCGGGGAGTGGTGCCACTGGCTCAATGTTTCCCAGTAAGCAGCAGTGCTGCCATGCCAATCCATGAGACAAGAGTGACGAGAAGGCAGACTGTGTGACACGCTGCTGTTCTGGAGTCCCTGGAACAGCATCTGGCCTTAGCAGGCCTCAGGAGGCAGCTCCCATGGAACTTGGCCAGGATTGAAACCTGCTCTCCCACCACAGCTCATCTCCATCCAGGGCACCCCCATCCTTCCAGATGCTCAGGCCAGATACCAGGGTGTCATCCTCAACTCCTCTCTTTCCCTCACCCCTCACACCACTTGCTGCTCCATCCAGACACAGCCACCCCTCCCTGCCCTGGCCCAATCCCACCTCTCTCACCTGGCCCCTGCAGGAGCCTCCTTCCTGGTCTCCTGCTTCCACCCTCACCCCGACAATCTTGCCTCCATCAGTGTCCAAGATAACACACTTGACTCATATCGTCCATCACCTGAATGTATTAGGATGCAACAGTGAACAGAACACACATGTCCCCGCCAGCGTAGAGCTGGCATTATGGAGTGGGGGAGGAAGGGGGCATCAGACTTCATAGGTAAATTAAATAGATCATGTTTCTGATGGCAGTGAGTGCTAAGGTGAAAAGTAAGCTGGGGAAGGAGGAGGGGAGCATCAGAGAGGAACAAATCTAAGTAGAGGGTGGGGGTGCAGGGCAGGAAAGGTCTCACTGAGCAAATATTTGAGTACAGCCTCAAAGAGATGAGGGATAGGGCAATGGGGATTTCCAGAGGAAGGGCATTCCTGGTAGAGTAAACAGCAAGTGCAAAGCCCTGAGGATGGACCGTGCCTGGCATGAGCGAGGATGGCAGAGAAGAGGCCCGTGTGGCTGCAGCAGAATGAGTGAGGGGCAGCATGGGAGGATGTGAGCTCAGAGAGGTGAAGGGCAGAGCCCATGGAAGCCTGCATGTCGAACGAAGGACTTAGCTTTCCTCTGGGGTAGGTGGGAGCCATGGAGTGTTCTGAACAGAAGAGGGCACAGTCTGACTTCTTTCTGAAAGAATCCCTCTGGCCGGGTAGAGGATGGGCTGTCAGGAGCCAGGATGAAGGGGACAGTCAGGGTGACTGCAGTGGTTCAAGCAGAAGAGAATGGCGAATGGGCCCAAGGGGTGGCTGTGGAGGTGAAGAGGCAGGGAGGACAGATCTTGGATTCCAGATCTGTTCTAAGGTGGAGCAGATGGGGCATGCTGCTGGCCTAGATGTGATCAATAGAAATCAAGACGCCAAGGATGTTTGGGTTTCTGTTAACACAGGAACAGAAAACCAAACACCGAATGTTCTCACTTATAAGTGGGAGCTGAACGATGAGAACACATGGACACAGGGAGGGGAACAACACACACTGGGACCTGTCAGGGGGGTTAGGGGAGGAAGAGCACCAGGAAAAATAGCAAATGCTTGTCGGGCTTAATACCTAGGTGATGGGTTGATAGGTACAGCAAACCACGATGGCACACGTTTACCTGTGTGACAAACATGCAAGGCCTGCATATGTACCCCGGAACTTAAAATAAAATCTAAAAATAAAAGCCAAGGATGGCTCCAAGGTTCCAGATAGAGCAGCCAGAAGGATGGAGCTTCTGCCTTATGAAGATGCCCAATCGCTGTGCTGGGCTCCGGGAAGGATGGGGGTGGGGCAGCCCTTCCCTGGGGGGCACATGGGCCCTGTGTGAAGGTCATCCCCGATACAGTGGCCTTTGCTTTATGAAATTCCCTGCTGATTCATGGCAGGATTCTTCTCCAGCTCCTCCTTCCCATCCCTGTCCCTGAGTCCCTTGTAAATTGTGCAGGAACCACCAGGTCCCTCCTCCCCCTTGATTCCTGAAGAGCAACATATGCTCCTATAGCCCTCATCATGCACCTGGCAGGATCCTGGCCCTTTACCTTTGTGAACTTAGGTGATCATCACAGCAATTCCAGGAGCTGGGGGCTCTTGTTACACTTATTTCATAAATGGAGAAAAAAAGGCCCAGAGAGGTTAAGTCACTTGTCCAGGATCACACAGCTATCAGGTTGTAGAGGCAGGATACGATCCCAGGCAGTCAGGCCTAGGCCTCATGCCCTTAACCACTACACTTACTATCTCACCCTTGGTCATGAGGAGTCAAACTGGGCTTGAAAGATTGGGTGAGGGGAGAGGGCTTCAGTGGCCCCTTCCACATAATAGAAACAGTTGCCATTTTCTGAGTACCTCTCCTGTGCCTAGTTCTATACCCAGGCTTCTTCCATCCTGCATATCAACAGAAGGGGTATTACAAGGATTGCACCCATTCTACAGATAAGAAAACTGAGGCTCAGAGAGGGGAAAAGCCATGTCCACAGTTACAGCCAGGACTGAGAATGTGGAGCTCTGGGACTCCAGACCCCATTCTGTCCCCTCCTCCACACTTCGTGTGCTTGTCACCCACTTCCTACCTTGGTGGTGAGGGGGGTGCTCAGGGGTCAATGGCCACGCTGCATTTTCTTCTTGCTGGAAGCATATGGAGGACAGGAGAAGTGACAGATTGCACAGCTGCACGGATTCCTGCTCTAAGGGCATGTAGATTTTGTCTGGCACAATCAACATGTCTGAGGCCAGCTCTGGGCCAGGTGCTAGAGAGACCTAGATAGGAACACAGAGTGGAAGGTGAGAAAGATCAAGGCCCTAGGTGGCTTTGATGAGATAGACAGTGGTGGGGTTGTCACAGAAGTTCACAGAAGCCTCTCAGAGGAGCAGGTGCACGTGAACCTTGTGCCCTGGGCAGCCTCTTCACCTCTCTGGATCAGTTTCCACCTCTGTGACACGGGGTGGTCATGCCTGCCACCCCATCTCACAGAGCTGGTCAGGACTAAAAGTGAGCACCAAGGGGGCACGCACTATCTCCACCTTGCCCTCTGCTGTCTTCCAGGACAGAAAGAGCACAGGCCCCAGCTTGTTGAAGGCATTCTGGGGACCTGGCACACAGGAGGTGCTCACAGCCTGCTGGAAAGAAATAAAGAAAGAGACTTCTTTGGGACTTATCTTCTTCCCCCATAAGGTGAATTATTTCCATGCAGTTTACAAAGACATAGACCCTCTCAACCACCTGGCAAGGTGAATACTAAGATCTTCTTTGCTTAACAGGTAAGAAAAACGAACACCTAGAGAAGTTACGAGATTTCACCAAGGTCCTAGAGCTAAGAAGGGATGGAGCTAGGATTTGAATTTCACTCCCTCTGCCTCCTCAGCATTCACAGAACTAATCACAGAACTGAACTAATAACAGCTTGTGTTTTGTGGAGCATTTATTACATGCCATGTGTTACTCCAAACACTTTACCTATATTAACTAATATTAGTCTCTACCTCGAATGTGTGGGAGAGGTGATATTTTCTTCCCATTTTACCCATAAAGAAAGAGGTTAAGGGCCAGGAGCAGTGGCTTAGGCCTGTAGTCCCAGCACTTTGGAAGGCTGAGGTAGAAGAATTGCTTGAGTCCAGGTGTTTAAGACCAGCCCGGGGAACATAGCAAGACCCCCATCTCTACGAAAAATAAAAAATTAGCTGGGTGTGCTGGATCATACCTATAGTTCCAACTACTTGGGAGGCTGAAGTGGGAGGACTGCTTGAGCCCAGGAGGTCAAGGCTGCAGTGAGCTGTGACTGTGCCACTGCATTCCAGCTCTGTCTCAAAATAAAATTTTAAAAAAGAAAGAGGTTGGCCGGGTGCGGTGGCTCATGCCTATAATCCCAGCACTTTGGGAGGCCAAGGCAGGTGGATCATCTGAGATCAGGAGTTCAAGACCAGCCTGACCAACCAACATGGCAAAATCCTGTGTCTACTAAAAATACAAAAATTAGCTGGGCATGGTGGTGGGCTTCTGTAGTCCCAGCTACTTAGGAGGCTGAGGCAGGAGAATCACTTGAACCTGGGATGCAGAGGTTGCAGTGAGCCAAGATTGTGCCACTGCACTCTAGCATGGATGACAGAGCAAGACTCAGTCTCAAAAAAAAAAAAAAAAAAAGGAAATAAATAAATAAATGAATGGAAAAGAAAAAAGAAAGAGGTTAAGTAACTTGTGCAAGGTCACAAGTAATTTGCAAAGCCAGGATTCAAACTCAGGCAGTCTGGCTCCAGAGCATGGTCTTAAATCACAACGCCCTGCAGGAGAGGGTTGGCAATGTCAGGCCGGGCACAGAGCCTGGCACACGGGGAGCACTTATTGGATTGTAAAAACCTTGCAAACCACGTAGAGACAAGTAGGGCTTTCCTATTCTGAACCACACTGAGGTCTCCCTTGAGAATTAACTTATTTCTATTTCTTCCTGTGAGTCCCACTTGACAGAGAAGAAGCTGCCCATGGGCCATTTTCCCCCTTTCTCCCCACTCCTCTAGGAAAATTCTGGGCAGCATCCACCAGGTCACTGCTGCCGGCCAGAGGACTGGCTAGAGCAGAGTTTGGCCAGGTTATCGGGTTTTGTGGTCAGCCACCTTTGCCTCTGACCAGAGCTGTCTTTCCAAAACAGAACATTCAGTCACTGCCTGTCCCTGTGCCCAGCTGTCATCCCTGTGCCCAGCTGTCCTTGTGCCCCGAACTTTCTTTCTGCCCACTGACCCGGGGCTTTTCCTCATATTCTTGTCTCTTACTGACATCTCGCGAAGAAGACCGGAGCAGAGAAAAGAGAGTCAGGGGGCAGGCTGAGAGAAACAATGAGGAGACAGAGAGAGAAAGAAGAGACAGAGAAAGAGGCAACAGATAGACAGAAGAGAAAGAGGAGACCAGAAAGACAGACAGAGAAAGAGGAGACAGAAAGAGGCAACAGATGGATAGAGAAAGAGACAGAGAAAGACAGAGAAAGAGGAGAAGACAGAAAGACAGACAGACAAAGAGGAGACAGAGATGGAGAGAAAGACAGAGACAGGAGGGCCCTGCAGGTGCCCTCCAAAGCTGTCTCAAGGGCAGGGTTTGTAAAAATGCATCTTGACCTTCTCCCAAGGCTGCAGCATCTTCTCCCAACAACCCCCAACCTGCCACCAACCCAGCAAGTCCTAAGAGACCTTGGTTTCCTTCCCCCCTCACCTCCATGCAAAATCCCACACCTAACTAACTCCTCCTTATTTCCCTTCCTCCAGGAAGCCCTGCCTGCCCCCACGGCCCCTCTATGCACCCTGATTACACCTCTCTCATACTTTTTGGTTCATTGATAGGTTCGCCTCCTCCACTGGAATGGCAGCTCCTAGAGGGCAGGGTCTGGATCGGTCTGGCTCACCCTACATCCCTGCACTCAGCCTGGTGCCTGACACATAGTAGGTGCTCAATAAATGTTGGTTGAATGAAGGATTAAGCCAGCTGCTATGTGTCAGCTCCTTGGAGAATCCTTCCCTGGTATGGCTTACAACTGTTTGGATTTCATCGTGTGATTTTTTGATTTAGGGTCTGTGTGGTCTCTGGTCCCAAGAAGGCAGAGTCTAAGTCTGCTGTGTTCATCCTTGTCTACCCAGCGCTTAGAACAGTGCCTGGCACAGAGTAGGTGCTTCAATATTGGTTGAACGAATGAATGGATGCATGAGCAAATGAATTGACCACTAGCCCTCTGAAAGTTTTGAATCAGATTTTTTAACCCATTTGAACCAGTTCAAATGTTCCCCATTGCCCTTCAAATCAGACCCCAAGTCCTGCCAAGGCCCATGAGGCTCTGCAAGATCTGGCCCTTGCCATGTCTCCAACCTCTGCCCTTCTCCCGCCACCCCTATAGGCACCAATGTCTCCAGGGTGCCCAGTGTGGTAGCAGTTCTCATCCCCCTCCACACCCCACCATAAGTCATGTCAACAGAGCTGGGTTTGTTTGTTGGTTTTTTCTGTGAAGAAGACTGCCTAGAAAAATGGAGCACTTTTGCACAAACAACCTCAATGTCACCAATGGACCTTGGCCACTGTGGGACAGTCTCCAAGGTTTGGCCAGCCAGCTTCCCAGGGCCCTGACCTGAGACAGGGTTTGCGCCCTGGTCACTCTGTCCCTCTCCCACCCGACCCTCTAAAGGGCTGACTGTCTCGGTGGGAGGGGTGTCCTTGGAGCCTCTGAGTCTGACCTTCATGTTCTGCAGGAAGCCAGGGGAGAGGACCCAATGGAGTAGACCCCACCACATCCTTTAGGCTCAGACCAGGCCTCACCCCCTCCAGAAAGCTGCCTTGGCCACTTTCCTGGCATCTATGGACTCCTCACCCTAATTGAATCTCATATCATGCTTGGCTGAAATTCTCTACTGGACTGTTTATTCCACTGGACTGTGCTCCAAGTGGTTAAGGCCAAGTATTTTCTGTCTTGGTGTCCCCAGAGCCCAGGTCTGGCCTATGAGGGTCATCAGCAAATATGCACTGAATGAACAAAGGATTATTGAACAACTGCTTCCTGCCTTGGTGCATGCTGACCTCTGTCTCTCTCACCAGGATGGGGTCCCAAGGACCTTGTCTCTTTTATCTTTGCTCCTCAGTGTCTAACACTGCTTGACACATTGGTGGCACCATGAAACATGTGTGGAATAAATGAACAAGGCCTTCCTACCATCCATCATATCTACCTCTCCTCCTGGACTGGGAGCTCTATGAGGTCAGGGAGCAAGCCTTACTTATTTCTAGCTCCTCTGAATCTAGCACTGGACCTGGTACAAAGGAGATGCTTGGTAGGTACTTACTGGATGGATGGATGGATGGATGGATGGATGGATGGATGGATGGATGGAATTGAAACTGATGGATCAATGGAGGAATGAATGGATGGTTGGACAGAGTGAATGAATAGAATGGGCAGATGAAAGTGCAGGTGGGTGGATGGGTGGCAGATGGGTGGATGAAAGGCTGAATAGATAAATACTACAGTCCAGGTTGTGAATGTGGGAAATACTGCTTTCCCCCCTACCCCCCACACACAAAAGCCACCATTTTAGAAGAGCTAAAATGAGGTCAGAGAATGACTCAGCTAGAGTTTTTATGAGAGATGTTTAAAATTAAAAAAAAATGAGAAAGATGGGTCTCAGAGGCTCTGAACTTCTTAAGCAAAACCCTATAAGCTGGCCATGCTTTCTTGCAGCTTTTATGTGATAGTTATGGAGGGCCTGCCATATTTAGTGCCCCTGGGTTTGGCCTAGAAGTAGAAAGAAATTTCAGATGTGGACCCTAACCCCAGGTTGCTCAGCGTCAGGCATATGCCCATTCATCCTCAGTGCGTCTTCTTGTTGGGGTGTCCAAATAACAAAGGTTTGGGAAACAAACACAGATTTGTATCCTGACTTCTTTTCTGTGTGACCTCAAGCAAGTAGCTTGGCTTCTCTGAACCCTGGTTTGCTCATCCTGCTTTGCAGGGTTGTTGCAAGCACACAACCTGCCCATGCTTATTAAATGCTGAGCCCAGGCTGGGATTGCCATCGGTGATTGGTAAACACTAAACTGGGCCTCAGTGTGTGATGCTGTTGACTTGCTGTGTGATGCTGTCAGAATGTCGGGAATTTTCTGTTCCTTCATTTCAGCTCAGTGACATTCATCCTTAACAAGGGCCATGAACTAAAGAAGAGCTCAAGCTGGGGAACCCAGTAGACCTGGGTTTGGGATCCTTTGCTCCCCGGCTGCATGGTTTCAGACAAGCCACTGTGCCTGTCTGAACCTCAATTCCTGCATCTACACTGCAGACCTCCTTGCTGTTTCTCAAGCACAGCTATCACCCCTGCACCCAAGCACTCCTTTGGCAAGAGAGCCGAAGAAAGTGAGTTCCTGGCATCCACCTTGGGGAGGTGTGGGCCCCTAAAGGTGGTGCTGCCCACACAGGTCTGCCTCGAGGCACTCCAGAGTAAAGAGGTGTGCAGAGGGATCTGGAAGGGCAAACAGAAGACATCTGGCTTCTCATCCTGTCTGGAAGAGGACCCCCATTCCATGTGGTCCCACTAGCCTACTGATTTATGTTTCCAACAGTTTATACCACATGGCTTCATAGAACATGTTTATTCAGCGGGGTGTGGTGGCTCACACCTGGAATCCCAACACTTTGGGAGGCCAGGGCAGATTGCTCGAGGCCAGGAGTTCGAGACCAGCCTGGGCAACATGGCAAAACCCCATTTCTACTAAAATTACAAAAATTAGTCAGGCATGGGGGCACATGCCTGTAATCCCAGCTACTCAGGAGGCTGAGACAAGAGAATTGCTTGAACCCAGAAGGTGGAGGTTGCAGTGAGCTGAGATTGCACCACTGCACCCCAGCCTGGTTGACAGAGCAAGACTCTGTCTCAAAACAACAACAACAAAAGAACATGTGTATTCATTTTTTTTTCTAGTCTATCCCCCCACCTGATACTCCTGTGTGCTCCATGAGAGGAGAGTTTCTGTGTGTTTTTGTTTTTGTTTTTTTTTTGACATGGAGTCTCACTTGGTCGCCCAGGCTGGAGTGCAATGGCATGGTCTCAGCTCACTGCAACCTCTGCCTCCCGGGTTCAAGTGATTCTCCAGCCTCAGCCTCCTGAGTAGCTGGGATTACAGGTGCATGCCACGACACCTGGCTAATTTTTGTATTTTTAGTAGAGATGGGGTTTCACTATGTTGGCCAGGCTGGTCTCAAACTCCTGACCTTGTAATCCACCCCCCTTGGTCTCCAAAAGTGCTGGGATTACAGGCATAAGCCACTGCACCAGGCCTACGTTTCTGTGCGTCTTGATTGCTTTTCCATCCTCGGGTTCTAAAGCCCAGACAGGCACATGGTCTTTGTTAAGTAAATGTGTTGAATAAATGGATGTATGAATGGATTAGCACATAAAGAAATGAATGCATGAATGGATAGGTGCATGAATAGCTGGGCCTAGCAGAATCAGCTAAGAGGCTTAACCACACACACACACACACACACACACAAACACACACAGAGACACAAACACACACACCTACATATGCATACAGAGGTGCTCCAGCCCTGCTCCAAAAATAAAAATAAGAATCAACCCTTAATGATCACTTACTCATTAAGTATACCAACCCCCATGTTTAGCCTGTGATGTAGGGCATTTCACTGAATCCTCATGACCACCCTCTGCGGTAGGGACTAATGCTATACTTTTTTCATATGTCAACCCTGAGGCTCAGACAGGTAAAGTCACTGATCCCAGGTCACACAGCCAAGAGGTGGAGGAGCCAAAATTGAATCCAAGATCTGATTCCAGAACCATGCCTGACCTTACTAGGCCAGCGGGGTCGCCTCCGAATCTAGATTTTTAGGGTTCCCCAGGGGATTCTGATGCATAGCCAGGTTGAGAACTCCTCGGCCAGAGCACTGAGGTTTGGGGGAGTCTGCTGGCTTTGGGACAGCTGATCCAGCCCCTGTGCTGCCTCGCAGCCTGGTTCCTTATCTCTGACATGGGCGTGATGGCAGCGCCTACCTCAGGGGATTTCAGGAGAACCTAATGAGTTAATCCACGCAACATGTGAAGCAGAACACAGTAAGCACTTCTCACAGCTCCCCTGTGTGCAGACAGATGCATTTCCAACCTCCTAGTGCAGTGCCTGGGACAAGCTGGAAAGGGCATCTCATCAGCATTCAAGAGGCTACTGCATCTAAGAGTGAACAGGGATGCTGGAGCAGTTCTGTCCCCCAGAAAAACATCTTGCAGAAATACTCGCACATGTCCACAGACGTGTGTACCCTACAGACCATGACAACATGGCTCATGATAGCAAAAGCCAGGAAGCAGGCCCAATAGACATGTTTAGGGCAGGGGTCTCCACTTCAGCAAGGCGGACATTTGGGGTCACATAATTCCCTGTTGTGGGGGCTGTCCTTGGCATTGTGGGATGTTTAGCAGAATCCCTGGCTTCTACCATCTAGATGCAGTAGCATGCCCCTACTCCAAGTTGTGACGACAAAATATGTTTCCAACATTGCTGAATGTACCCTGGAGGAAAAAAACAATCACCCCATCCAAGTGGAGAAGTATGTGACATGCCCAAGATGATGGAGCTCATATTTCAGCAAACCTGTGACTTTATACTGCACGAAGTCCCAGGTCACAGTTTTCCTATTTGCTTTTTGTGTGTTACTTAGACTTTGCTCCATTCACAATCATGTGTTCTATGACTAGAAATAATTTCATTTCTTCTTTTCCCATCTGGCTGCCTTGGCATGTTTGAGGACAGAACTTGCACAACACAAATTGTAGCTCAAGTGGATTATGTAACTGCACAGGGATGCTTTTACGGGAATTTAACTTTGTTCAAATATTGAAAATTTGTAAAATGGAGAATAAAAAGAAGAAAATGAATTTTTTTAATGGGATCACCCACAGAGGGCAATTTTCTAGCAGTTTGCTCCTCTGAGTAGCTTTCTCCATTTTGAAATTTTATTATAAAGGTGTGATCACACTGTGTGTACAATTTCAAATCCTGCTAGTTTCAAAGTCTTCAAAATCATACTTCTCATGTTATTACAAAATTTTCTTTGACGTTCTCTTCAACTGTTGTATTTTTTTCTCTCTCATCCTCTGATCTTCCCTAATCCTTAATAATGAAAATTGCAGGCTGAGCGTGGTGGCTCACACCTGTAATCCCAGCACTTTGGGAGGCTGGAGAAAGCGGATCACCTGAGGTTGGGAGTTTGAGACCAGCCTGACCAACATGGAGAAACCCCATCTCTACAAAAAATACAAAAAAAGCCGGGCATGATGGTGCATGCCTGTAATCCCAGATACTTGAGAGGCTGAGGCAGGAGAATTGCTTGAACCCAGGAAATGGAGGTTGTAGTGAGCCAAGATTGCACCATTGTACTCCTGCTGGGCAACAAGGGCAAAACTCTGTCTCTAAATAAATAAATAATGGAAATTGCAAGCTTTCATTGGGCATGTGACCACCCAGAAGAAAATCTACACTTCCCAGCCTCTCTTGCAGCTAGGTGTCCATGTGGCCAATGGGATATAAGTAACTTCCAAGTAATGTCCTTAGGAAGGGGTGCCTCTACTTTTTCCCATCCTCCTTGCTGGCTGGAGTGCAGATGTGATGGCCAGAACCTGAGTGGCCATCTTGGGACAAAGTGGAGCAACAAGAGAGAAGGACCCTGAGTCCCCAGTGAATTTGTGCAGCCACACTACTAGTCCTAGACTGCCACCTCCATGCATCTTTTATGTAACAAACAAACTTCTGGCTGGGCACAGAGGCTCATGCCTGTAATCCCAGTACTTTGAGAGGCTGAGGCAGGTGGATCATGAGGTCAGGAGTTCGAGACCAGCCTGGCCAACATGATGAAACTCCGTCTCTACAAAAAATACAAAAATTAGTCAGGAGTGGTGGCGGGGGCCTGTAATCCCAGCTACTTGGGAGGCTAAGGCAGGACAACCACTTGAACCTGGGAGGCAGAGGTTGCAGTGAGCCAAGATAGTGCCATTGCACTCCAGCCTGGGTGACAGAGCAAGACTCTGTCTCAAAAAAAAAATTTCATTTGAGCCCCTGTTATTTTGGCTTTTCTGACTCTCAAAGGTGAACCTAATCCTAAGTATTACACTAATATTTTGTGCAGAAGGTGTCTCTAACATCCTTTTAGGAATCATTTCCTGATTTTTTTTTTTTGAGATGGAGTCTCACTCTGCTGCCCAGGCTGGAGTACAGCAGTGTGATCTCAGCTCACTGCAATCTCTGCCTCCTGGGTTCAAGCAATTCTCCTGCCTCAGCCTCTGGAGTAGCTGGGATTACAAGCACCTGCCACCATGCCTGGCTAATTTTTGTATTTTTAGTGGCACTTCCTTAGAGAGATGTGAGCTATTAAGGTAGAAAATTCCCTAAAGGGTGACCACAGGGTGTGGGCCAGAAAGTAGGGCAAAAGTCAGCTCCTCTGGCAAAGACAGCTGGGCTTGTGGGAAGAATCCAGAAAGGCTTCTAGCATCACCTTCTCCATTTCTCCTCCACTGAGGGCAACAGAACAGCAGGGAGAAGTAAATGACAAAAGTGTCATTCCCATTTGTGTCACCCTTGGGGTTCAACCAGCTCTGCAGAGGCTAAGTTAGAGTGGAGACCTTTTGATCTGTCCTCACTTCACTGACCTGAGGCCAGCAAGTCAACGTGGATGTCGCTATCTGATGGATGTGTGTCTCCTGGACCCCTGACCACATCCTTCAAGGAGACATTTGTGAAGGATGTGTTTGCTTTGTCCACTGTTGTACTGAACGGCACCAGCATCCAAATAAGCCCTGGCACACAGTAGGTGCTCAACAGATAAATCTTGAATGAATGAATGATGGCATTGGACTCTCAGCCTTGGAAGTAACCTTGGAGTCTGGAGTTAACATGGATTGACTCAACCAGTATTTCCTGAGCACCAACCATGCTCCAGGCCCTATTTTAGGTGCTGGGGATACTGCAGGAAAGAAAAGAGAGTCCCAAGTCCCTGTCCTCAGAGTGAAGGAGATGGGCAATCCATTTTAAAACCCCAAAATATTAATATAACACAGCACAACACAGCATAACATCATATAATCTGATCTAATACAATACCAAGTAAAATGTTTTACAAGGAAATGTAAAACTGGGTAAGAGACTTGGAGATGCTAATTTAGAAAAATAATTGAGGAAGACCTCTCTGAGAAGGTGATGCTCAAGCAGAGATCTGAAGTAGTAAGGGAGTGAGCTGAGCAAATATCAGAGGGAAGTGTATTCTGGGTGGAGAGAACAGCCAGCGCAAAGGCCCTGAGGCAGGAATGAATGAGCTTGGCACATGCCCTTTGTGGTGAGGTGGCCAGGGAGGCAAGGGTTACACCAAGTTTCCCAACTTCAGCAAATCTACAGAACCCTTAACTGGTGGAAACGGGAGATAGGAGAGATGAGCTCTTCACTCTTAAGCCTCTCTGGGCAAACGTGATGTCAGGGACAGACAGTAAATCTTGACTTGTCCCAGAAAACAATGGGCCCATGTAACCAGTGAAGTGTAAGCCTCAAAGTAATTGGCCGAAGGGCTGGGGCATGGGTGGGTCATATGGAATTTGTTAACAGATCTGCATTAGAAAAAGAGCTTCCCACTTGGGGGCAGCAGAAGCTTCTGGCTAACATCAAAAAGATGTTTATTGTGGTGATTCTGTGCAGACATGAAAAATGGAGACTCACCACACAGAGATGTGGAAAGATATCCCCAATACATTAAGTGAAAAGGTAGGTCACAGGACAGTATTACATACTGTACATTCCCCTTTGAAAATTCACTAGTCATTCATTCAGAAAATATTCATTATGGACCTACTGTGGTGTGGAAGACCCAGACGCAGTCAAGCCTGCCTCTTGGAACTGACCACACAGTGGAGAAGGCAGATAACGATCAGATCAGTACACAAATATATCATCCAAACCTTTGATCAGCACTAAGGAAAGATACCTGAAGCTACTAAGGAAAGATACCTGATGCTAACAGAAAGTGAACATATATCAAGTGATGGAAAAAGCCTGTGAGGATGTGCTCCAAAATGTCAAAGGGGTAGTAAGGTTTCAGATGATTCCACTTTCCTTTTTTGTTTATTTGTGTGTTTGTTTTTTTGGATGGGGTCTCACTCTGTCACCCAGGCTGGAGTGCAGTGGCATGATCATGGCTCCTTGGGCTCAAGCCATCCTCCCACCTTAGCCTGCTGAGTAGCTGGGACCACAGGCGTGCACCACCACACCTGGCTAATTTTTTGTTTTTGTTTTTTTAATTTTGTAGAGACGAAGGTCTTGCTATGTTGCCCAGGCTGGTCTTGAACCCCTGGGCTCAAGTAATCCTCCTGTAAAGTGCTGGGATTACAGGTGTGTGTCACCACACCTGGCTTGATTCCACTTTTCTTATGCTCCTCTTTCTTTTGATTGTCTGTAGGTTCTGATTTTTTAAAATAATGTCATGATTTATAATCGAGTGAATAAAAAAAAAACCTCAAAATGAGTAAGAGCAGGACAGCTGCAACTCATGGGTCTGCAGAGGACTTAGACCCAGGGAAGGAAGAAAACACAAGAAACTGATCAACAGAGGCTCGAGTGGGAGGTTGCCTCACTTCTCCATGGACACCTTTTGAACCTTTTGAATGTGTAAGTATTCAAATAATAGTAATAAGCAAAAGTATTTTTAAATGAAACTTTGAGTCAAGTTTTATTTTCATGAAAAATGAAAAAGCAGACAACAGTAGGATCTCAATATAAATACATGAGCTGAGCTGAATTCCCATGGACATCTTAGAATGGTTCTCTCGGGGTCACCTTTTTAGTTTTCTTCTTGTACTTTTCTGTGTCTCCTATATTTAAAATAAGAATAAAAAAAGACAAGAAAGAAAGGCTACTGAATATAGAGCATTTACCACAACAGGCAAGATCTCATTCTGGGTGCTTTACAAACATGCTTTTGCTTCATCTCCACAACCTTCTCATTCCTTACTTTCATTTGGCAGATGAGGAAACTGAGGGTCAGAGAGCAAAGCCACTGGCCAGGGTCACCCGGCTGGATTGGACCCGCATCAGTCAGATCCTAAAGTCTGTTTTTAAACTAGGAAGCTCAAATACCCTTCCAATGTCCTTCAAGGAAACTACTTTGCTTTGAAAATCAGGGGGAAGAAACAAACAAACCAAACAAGAAATATGACTTTTTTTAACCACTTATTTAAGCTCTGATGGGACTTGAGACCAGCTGGGCTTGGAGAGGGTTTCTCAGCAGGGCACTGTTTGTGTTGTGGGTGGGGCTGTCCTGCCTGGCAGTCCCCCATGGCACATCCCTGCCTGCTCGTCAGCCATGCTCCCTTGTCATTGTGACATCCAGATCCCCCCATCTCTGCCAGCCTCCCCTCCTTGAAGACTGCTGGCCTAGACACTGCAGTGACACCAAATTCCTACTGGGGCCTCGCTCCTGCTGTGCTGTGAGCCACTGTGGGTAGATGCCCCCTCCGGACCTGAGAAGCAGGTGCCTCAATGGCCTTGTTTTACAAGGAGACTCAGAGAGGCTGGGTGACTTGCCTGGGTCACACAGCCAAGACTTGGCCCCATGCTATACTGTCTACCCTCTGGGACCAAGTCTTTGTGGTTGTGGGGTCAAAGTGGGGGAAGGGAAAAGATGAGTGGCCTGCAGCCCCAGGCTCACAGGGAAGGCAGCCACCAAGCGCTGTCCACTCTCCAGCCAGCTGAGGCCAGGCTGGGAGAAGCGAAGCTTTGCTACCAGCCTGGGCAGGCCAGGCCTGGCGGCAGGCATGCGGCCACTACAGTGGGACTGGGAAGCCGAGCACTCCCTCCCGCCTGCCCGGCAGCATCCCATGGCCACCCGCCAGGCCCTGCCTGACATCTGGGTCTGACCAGGGACATAACGTGCTGGCATGGGGACAAGGGCTGACTGCAGAGAGACAGAGCCACAAGGCAGGATGGCCAGGGGAGGCGGGCAGGCAGAGGAGAGAGAGAAAGGGAGAGAGAAACAGGCAGAGTGAGAGAGAGAGAGAGCGAGAGACAGGGGGTGAGAAAGAGAAACACAGAGACGGAGAGAGAAGAAAACAGAGGGAGGGAGAGAGACAGAGAAAGTTAAAAGAGAAACAGACAGAAAAGAGACACAGAGAAGGAGAAAAATACAACTAGGAAGACGACTGAGCCAGCTGCCTGCCTGGGTGGGGGCAGCCGTGCCTGCATGTCCTCCATTTGTGCAGGGGCACACACGCCAGAGGCCTCAGGTAGCACTTGCAGAGGTGAGGATGCAAACAGCCCTTTCTCTAGCTCCCACTATTCCCAGAAGCCTTCATCAGCCTCAGCCTCAGCCTCAGCCTCCAAATTCCCACTGTGTGCCAAGCATGCTTCTGAGCACTTCACAGGATTAATCTACTCAATCCTCCTGACAGCCCCAAGAGATGAAGTGCTATCATTATCTCATTTTACAGATGAAGATGCTGAGGCTCAGAGAGCTGGAGTCACTGGTCCAAGGCCATCTGCTAAGGAGTGGCAGGGCCAGGCAGCCACTTAACCATGGAGCAGCTACGATTCCCTGCACAACTTGAGCACCAGCCTGTGCCGGGTTTTACCACAAGCACCCGGATCATCCGAGCAGGCAGTGGTTCTTGGCTAGGGGTGATTTTGCCCCCACAGGGGACATTAGGCTATATGTGGGGACATTTGGGGTTATCACAACTGGGGAGAAGGTACTGGCATCTGATGGGTGGAGGCCAGGGATGCTGCTCAATGCCCTACAGTGCACCGGACAACCCGCACAGCAGAGAATTATCCAGCCCCAAATGTCAGTAGCACCGAAGTTGAGAACCTTCTATAAGGTAAGTTCTGTTACAATCTCCATGTTATAGATGTGGAAACTGAGGCACAGAGAGAGGGTGCCACTTGCACAAGAAGCTCACTTCATGCCCCTGCTCTTCCATAAGACCCCACTGCCAATCTGCATTAAGACACCCCTGCCTCCATTCTAGGCCTTCTGAGTCCTCACTTGCTCAGTACAGATGATGCTTCGCCTCCTCTCAATATACGAAGGTAGTCTTAGTCATTGACAGAAAAGAAGATCAAGCCACAAAGTCACTGGGAATGTACGAATGCCTTAAAATGAATTTGTATTTTATTCACTGCAGCATTGAGGAACATTTGAAAGAAACCATACATGGATTCATGGGGCAAGTATTTCCTGAGCACCTACTATGTACCAGGCCCTGTCCTTGGTGCTGGAGATACAACCGAGAACCAGACAGACCCAGCCCCTCCTGGGTCTTTAGGAGGTGACAGTCTGGTGAGGAAGGCAGATGATAGACAAGAAAACAAACACACATCCAAGGTTACTTTTGACTGTGTGAAATATAATTGTGGGGCAGGAGAAGGGCTTCTAGGGAGGGTGATGTCCAACAGGGCCTCTCTGAGAAGATGAGACCCAAAGGAAGAGAAAGGTCCAGTCTTACGAAGAGGCAGGAATGAAAAGTTCCAGGCAATAGGGTTTGTGCAGTGGCTCACGCCTGTAATGGCAACACTTTGGGAGGCTGAGGCAGATGGATCACCTGAGGTCAGGACTTCGAGACCTGCCTGGCCAACATGGTGAAATCCCCTCTCCACTAAAAATACAAAAATTAGCCAGGCATGGTGGCACACACTTGTAATCCCAGCTACTTGGGAGGCTGAAGCAGGAGAATCGCTTGAACCTGGGAGGCAGAGGTTGCAGTGAGCTGAGATTGCGCCACTGCACTCCAGCCTGGGTGACACAGCAAGGCTCTGTCTCAAAAAAAAAGAAAGGAAAAGGAAAAGGAAAAGGAAAGGAAAGGGGAAAGGAAAGGGTAATAGGAAAGAGAAGAGAACAAGAAGAGAAGGGAAGGGAAGGGAAGGGAGAGGAAAAAAAGAAAAGAAGGCCTGGCACGGTGGCTCACGCCTGTAATCCCAGCACTTTGGGAGGTCAAGGCAGGCGGATCACAAGGTCAGGAGTTTGAAACCAGCCTGGCCAACAATAGTGAAACCCATCTCTACTAAAAATGCAAAAATTAGCTGGGCGTGGTGGTGTGCACCTGTAGTCCCAGCTACTTGGGAGGCTGAGGCAGGAGAATCACTTGAACCTGGGAGGCAGAGGTTGCAGTGAGCTGAGACTGCACCACTGCACTCCAGCCTGGGCAACAGAGCAAAACTCTGTCTCAAAAAGAAAAAAGAAAAAGAAAAGAAATGAAATGAAATGAAAAGTTCCTGGTATAGGGAACAGCATGTGCCAAGGCCCTCACGCAGGTGCTTGCCTGGAGTGTTGAAGTACAACCAAGAGGCCAGTAACTGGAACCAAGTGAGGCAGGAGAGGAGAAGATGAGATGGGCAGTCACAGGAGAAGAGATGTGTGGTACCATGTGACCACTGTAAGGGCTTTGCATGTGGGAAGTGGGAGCCATGGCAGGGTTTTGAGGAGAGGAGGCACAGGGTCTGATTCACGCTCTAACAGGAGCCTCTTGGATGCTTTGGTTAGCTGAATAGTGGCCCTTCAAAGATGTTCATGTCTTAATCCCCCGAATCTGTGAGTGTTACTTTATATGGCAAAAGGAACTTGGCAGCTGTGATTCAGTGAAGGCTCTGAAGATGGGATGGTTATCTTGGATCACCCAGGTGGGGCCAATTAATCACAGGAGTCCTTATACCACCGAGGCAGATGGAGACCTGCCCACAGAGGAGGAGAAGGCAAAGAGGAGAGAGAATGACAGAAAGAGACTGCAGTGATGTGCTTTGAGAGTGGAGGGCGGGGCCATAAGCCAAGGGTCATGTACAGCCACTAGAAGCTGAAACAAACAAGCAGACAGATTCTCTCCTGGAGCCTCCAGAAGGAAGTGGTCCCACCAACACTTTGACTTCTCACCTCCAGAACTGTAAGAGAATAAATGTGTGTTGTTTTCAGCCACTAAGTTAGTGGCCATTTGTTTTGGTGGCAAGAGGAACTGAGTGAGATGTGGTGGGGAGGATAGACTGTAGGAGGGTGAGGGTGGGAGCAGGGGGACCCATGGGGAGAGGCTACTGTGATTGTCCAGGCAGAAAAGAATGGCAGATGAAGAGAAGTGGATGCCTCACTTGACCATCTCTGGTCTGGTGCCCAGGACATGGAGCTGGCCACCGTGTGGTTCTTGTTTTGAAGAAGACTCCAGCTACAGGAGGCCCAAGAACAGTTCTGGGAAATGGGAAGGATGGGCTTAGCTGGGCTAGAACCTCATGTCGGTCAGGTCTCTGACCCAGTGTCCTCATGCAGGGCGGTGTCCTGACCACCCCAGCCTGAGGAGCCCTCCCATGGCTCCTGCTCCCTCACTCGGCTTCAGTTTACTGTGCGTGTTCCATCATCATCCTGTGTGCTACACCTCTGTCTGTTTCTTCATTGTCTGGCCCCAAATGAGGAAGGACTTTGCCCATCCTGCTTTATCTGGGGAAACAGCCCCTGATATTTCAATGTACGTCCTTTTCTATTTTCCCTAAGTGTCGGCTGGTCTGAGAAATAAAGGGAGAGTACGAAAGAGATAAATTTTAAAGCTGGGTGTCCAGGGGAGACATCACACATCAGCAGGTTCCATGATGCTCCCTGATCCACAAAACCAGCAAGTTTTTATTAGCAATTTTCAAAGAGGAGGGACTGTATGATTAGGGTGTGGGTCACAGAGATCACATGCTTCAAGGGCAAAAAAAGATCACAAGGCAGAAGGTCAGGGCAAGATCACAAGGTCAGGGTGAAACTAGAATTACTAATGAAGTTCCATGTCCCACTGTGCACGCATTGTCATTGATAAACATCTTAACATGGTTCAAGAGCAGAGAACCGGTCTGACTGGAATTCACCAGGCTGGAATTTCTGAATACTAGCAAGCCTGGGGGTGCTGCAGGAGGCCAGGGCATGTTTCATCCCTTATATGCAACTGCATAAGGCAGACACCCCCAGAGCGGCCATTTTAGAGCCCCCGCCCCCTGAGGAATGCATTCTTTTCCCAGAGCAGTTAATTATTAATATTCTTTACTGGGGAAAGAATTCAGCGATATTGGCCAGGCATGGTGGCTCACGCCTGTAATCCCAACACTTTGGGAGGCCAAGGTGGGCGGATCATGAGGTCAGGAGATTGAGACCGTCCTGGCTAACACGGTGAAACCCCATCTCTAATAAAAATACAAAAAATTAGCTGGGCGTGGTGGTGGGCACCTGTAGTCCCAGCTACTCAGGAGACTGAGGCAGGAGAATGGTGTGAACCCAGGAGGCGGAGCTTGCAGTGAGCTGAGATCATGCCACTGCACTCCAGCCTGGGTGACAGAGCAGGACTCCATCTCAAAAAATAATAATAATAATAATAATAATAAAGGCATTCTAAGCCATAGGATGAGATAAGAGGTCAGCACAAGGTCATAAAGACCTTGCTGATAAAACAGGATGCAGTAAAGGAGCTAGCCAAACCCACCAAGACCAAAATGGCCACGAGAGTGACCTCTGGTTATCTTCACTGCTACACTCCACCAGCACAATGACAGTTTACAAATGCCATGGCAACGTCAGGAAGTTATGCTATATGGTCTAAAAGGGGGAGGCATGAATAATCCACCCCTTGTTTAGCATATCATCAAGAAATAACCATAAAAATGGGCAACCAGGCAGGGCACAGTGACTCATACCTGTAATCCCAGCACTTTGGGAGGCCAAGGGAGGCAGATCACCTGAAGTTGTGTGTTCGAGACCAGCCTGACGAACATGGAGAAACCCCGTCTCTACTTAAAATACAAAATTAGCTGGGCTTGGTGGCACATGCCTGTAATATCAGCTACTCGGGAGGCTGAGGCAGGAGAATCGCTTGAACCTGGGAGGCAGAGGTTACAGTGAGCTGAGATCATGCCATTGCACTCCAGCCTGGGCCACAGAGCAAGACTCCATCTCAAAAAATAAATTAATAAAATAAAGTCTACTTTTAAAAAATTCAGAAGGTCTGGCTACATGGCTCCCACATTTTTACAGGACCACAATGGCTGCAGTGAGTTCCAGGTGCCTCTGTAGATAAAGTGTGTGTGCCCCACACTGCCAGTCCCTGTGGGCACCTGTGTGATGACTCAGGCATGAAGGGAGAAGTTCCTGGTGAGAAAGAGAACAGGGTGAAAGTGTCGCCTGCAGGAGTGGCCAGTGAGGAGGAAAGAGGAGGGTGACACCCGCCTGTGTCAGCCCCTGCTCATCATCTCCCCAGCAGGAGCCTCCTGTGCACTTTCCACAGGGCAGAGTGAGCCACTCTTGATTCGCCCTTCCTCTGCCCAGGCCTGCTGTGGGCGGCTGCCTATCGAGGTACACAGCCCGTGAAGCAGCCACGCTCTGCCACTGAGGCTTGGCAGTTTGAATGGAGGCCAGCCTATGAGATTAGGCTGGGCAGGATGTGAAAAATCAGAAGCTGCCTGCCTAACTACTCCTGGGAAATTGTTCCCGAGACCATGCCCTTCCTGCGTCTACTTGTAGCATCACTCTTTCATTGACAAACATGTATTGAGTACTAGGCAAGTCCAAAGGAGGCCTTGAAGTAGATACAGCAGGACAGGCAAGTGGCTGGTTCAGTGGCCAGCTGCTGTTTGTACCTGACTACTATTCCTCCCCCATGTTCTGGTAGCAGCACCCTTCCACTACTATCACCACATGTGCCTCTCCAACTAGAGCAGGTGGATGAATTAGGCCTGGGAATCAGCATACTCCTTTCCCCCAGCCCCAGGGATTGGTCTGAGATAGACATGTGACCCCAGTCTGGCCAATCACAGTCAACCCCCAGATATGTGCTGAGGCTACATAGAAAGTCAGCTTCTGCTCACTTGGCTTGTCAATCTGGCAGAACGGAAGCTGGGGGATACTGGGGACTATTTTTGCCACCACATAAGGTGACCCTAACGGACATGGAGGAAAACAGAGCTGAGAAGTGGAAACAACATTATTCCTAAACAACACGTGCATACCTGAATCCAGCCATTCCTGAAGTTGAAACCATCTGGACTTTTCATTTACATAAACCAAAACATTCACAGAAACACACACTATTTTTTTTAAGTCACTTTGAGTTGGGTTTGTTTCTGTCACTTTCAACCAAAAGACCCTTACTATACAAGTGGATGTGTATAGTTGTTTCCAGGCTGGAAAACAAATAGCTATGGCAAAAGCAGACCACGAGACATTCATGTAAAACCTGGGAGTTGATGGCCGGGTGCGGTGGCTCACACCTGTAATCCCAGTACTTTGGGAGGCTGAGGCAGGTGGATCACTTGAGGTCAGGAGTTCAAGGCCAGCCTGGGCAACATGGCAAAACACTGTCTCTACTAAAAATACAAAAATTAGCTGGGTGTGGTGGCATGCACCTGTAATCCCAGCTACTGGAGAGGCTGAGGCACAAGAATGGAGAATTGCCTCCCTCTGAACTTTTTATTTGGTGCTATAAATAAACCCTTTTGGGTCTGAGCCACAGTCAGGTGGATTTCCAGTTACTTTCAGCCAAATGCATTTCTACCTGTAACACCTACTCAGGACCATAAGTTGCTCTGGATTCCCACGATACACATGGAGATACTGAAGTCTGCAATGCAGAGAAAACTTCTGCAGTGTCATGGGGTGGAGTCATGAGCTACTGACTCACAACCCAGTGCTCTTTCCACTCAAGACAACCTCATGGTCCATTCCTTTCATTCAGGCTGCTGTATACATGGCCAACAGCTGCTTTGTAAATTAAACACTTCCCATGGAGGCAGTGATGAAGATGACCTTGCCCCTGAATCTTTCCAGCCTCTTATATAAATCGCCCCAGGTCACTGTCTCCATGCCTTTGGACCCAGGACAGCTTCCCTACATCCTTTAAAATGATGAGATAACCAAATGTAAACCCAGTGCTCCTGGAAAGGTGTGAGTCATGCATTATGGAACAGAAGGTTCACAGCCAGGAGTCTGCCTATCATACTTGTCACCCAGCCTTCCAGGCTTGTGTGGAGCTTGTTCACTGAAAAACTGATTCATCTGCAGCTTGTGGCCAGCTCTGACACTCAGATCATTTTCTGCTCATCTTGTGCCTGGCTAGTCACCTTTAATTAGGTGCTGTCAACTTCCTGTCTTCCTGTCTCTGTCCATGTTGTCTTTCCCCCTATTTTTTTTTTTTTTTTTTTTTTTTGAGACGGAGTCTTGCTCTGTCACCCAGGCTGGAGTGCAGTGGCGCAATCTTGGCTCACTGCAAACTCCACCTCCTGGGTTCACACCATTCTCCTGCCTCAGCCTCCCAAGTACGTGGCACTACAGGCACCCACCACCATGCCCGGCTAATTTTTTGTATTTTTAGTAGAGATGAGATTTCACTGTGTTAGTCAGGATTGTCTCAATCTCCTGGTCTCATGGTCCATCCGCCTCAGCCTCCCGAAGTGCTGGGATTACAGGTGTAAGCCACCGCGCCTGGCCTTTTTTTTTTTTTTTTTTTTGACAGAATCTCACTGTGTATCCCAGGCTGGAATGCAATGGCGTGATCTTGGCTCACTGCAACCTCCGCCTCCTGGGTTCAAGTGATTCTTGTGCTTCAGCCTCCCAAGTAGCTGGGACTACAGGCACACAGCCACCATGCCCAGCTAATTTTTGTATTTTGAGTAGAGACAGGGTTTCACCATGTTGGCCGGGCTGGTCTTGAACTCCTGACCTCAGTGATTTGTCTGCCTCGCCTCCCAAAGTGCGGGGATTACAGGTGTGAGCTACTATACCTGGCCTCAATTTTGTTTTGTTTTGAGACAGGGTCTCACTCTGTCACCCAGGCCAGAGTACAGCTATACAATCACAGCTCACTGCAGCCTCAACCTCCCTGGGCTCAGGTGATCCTCCTGCCTCAGCCTCCTGTGTAGCTGGGACTATAGGCATGTGCCACCACCCCTGGCCAATTTTTGTATTTTTTGTAGAGATGGAGTCTCCTTATGTTGCCCTGGCTGGCCTCAAACTGCTAGACTCAAGTGATCTGCCCGCCTCAGCCTTCCAAAGTGTTGAGATTATAGGCGTGAGACACCGTGCCTGGCCTTTCTTTCAAATTTTAAAAATCGTTTAAAAACATAAAAACCAGCCAGGCGTGGTGGCTCATGCCTGTAATCCCAGCACTTTGGGAGGCTGAGGTGGGTGGGTCACCTGAGTTCAGGAGTTCGAGACCAGCCTGACCAACATGGTGAAACCCCGTCTCAACTAAATACAAAAAATTAGCCAGGCGTGGGGGTGCATGCCTGTAATCCCAGCTACTTGGGAGGCTGAGGCAGGAGAATCACTTGAACCCAGGAGGGGGAGGTTGTAGTGAGCCAAGATTGCGCCGTTGTACTCCAGCCTTGGTAACAAGAGTGAAACTCTGTCTCCAAAAAATAAAAAAAAAGTAAAAACCATTCGTAGCTTGCAGGCCATACAGAACAGTGAGACAGATTTGGCTTGAGGACTATAATTTGCCAATCCATCTATAAGCCACTGATGCAAAATGAAATTGTAGAGAAGGCGTCAGAGATCGATTTTGTTTCTGCCACTCATTAGTGCGTGACCTGTGCAAATGGCTTCTCCCTCCATCCCCACTATCCTCTTCTGTAAAATGGGTCTTTCTGCATAAGCTTTATAGGGCTGTTGTGAGGATCTGGGAAGCCTTGGGCAAAAAGCCTTTAGCACCATTCAGGGCTCTTAGAAGCTGTCCGTGTTAGGTGTTGCTATGAACCTTAAGAGGGAATGAGAGGATAGCTGGAAGAGAGTCAACCCTGCAGAGGCCAAGAAGGAAGAGAGAAACACATTTGTCCTAAGATGGGACAAGGCTGTTTTTTTCCAGGATTTTCAGTAAGAAAATGAAAGAGCATCCAAGCATCTCAGGGCACAGTCCAGGCTGCAAGCTTCTTGGCTGTCTGGCCTCTGCCCGTCTTTCCCACTCTCTGCTCCAGCCTATAGCTCCCTTCCCCACAGCTCTGTGAGCCCCTCAGCTGCCCCGGGACCCTCTGCTCCTCTGCTCCTCTGGGAATCCAGTCCCCTCTGGCTGGATGCCCCACCTTCTCCTGGAGTCTACAACTCAGCCCTCTGCAGCCAGCCCAGCTTCTGTGCGGAATTCCCTGGCAGCTGGTATGAGGGAGTGCCCGGCATCCCCTCCTCATCCTGTAACAGTGGATAAGGGCCAGCTGTTAGCATCACTGCTGTTATTACTATTACACAAACCCTTCCAATGGATCCACACCACCTAAGCAGCACCAGGAAGCCAGGGAAATGCCAGAAGCAATAACAGTCAGCAACTGTGTAGTACCTCCTGTGTACTGTGCTGCATTGCACATAGGTGCCATTCCAAGCCCTTCGTGCTATTAACTCATTTAATTGTCACAACGTATGAGGTGGGTACTGTGTTAACTCCATTTTACAGATAAGGAAACAGATTTAGAGTGGTTAAGTAACTAACCACTGGGAAAGCTAGATTCAAATTTGAGGGTTGGTTCTAAAACCCATTGTTTTAATTAATACCATACACTGCTGCCTTATGGCATTTTATCATTTGAAATAACAACATTTCATTTCCTGAACACTCACCTTGTGCCAGCTACTAGGCTCAGGATTACCTCTGCTCACCCCCAAAGACCCTATGAGTTCATTTAATTATTAAATAGTCCCATTTTACAGAAGATGGAACTGAGGCATAGAAAGATAATACCTCACACAGTGTGGCAAATTGTGTGTGTTTTTTTTTTTTAGATACAGCATCTTGCTATGTCACCCAGGCTGGAGTCCAGTGGCAAGATCATAGCCCACTGCAGCCTCCTGGGCTCCTGCCTCGGCCTCCCAAAATGCTGGAATTACAGGGAGTGCACCCAGCTGCACATCGTGTTTTCTTAAGATGCTCACAGCAGCATCTCTCATCCTCATGATCTATTTCTTCTTCTTCTTTTTTTTTGTTAAAAAACCCCAGCTTTATTGAGATATAATTCACATACCATAAAACTCACCCTTTTAAAGTACACAATCCAGTGGGTTTTGGTATATTCACACAGTTATGCAATCATCACCACTATCTAATTTTAAAACACTTGCATTGCCCCCAAAAGGAATCTCACACCTATTAGCAGTTACTCCCCCTTCCCACCATGTTGTGAGGAGACCCAAACCAGCCCAAATGAAGAGACCACACGGAGAAGTCACACACAGGTGTCTTCTGTGGCACCTGCTGCGCAGCTGCCAAACACACAAGTGAAGACTCTCTGACCAAGGCCAGCACCCCAGCCACCAAGTCACCCTCAGCCTCCAGGGTGTCCCAGCCAAGGCCCCAGACACTGTGGAGCAGAGACAAGCTGTCCTGCTGTGCCGTCTGCATTCCTGACCACAGGATCTGAGAGATATCATTCCAGGTGAGTAGAATGGCTGCTTTACACTGCTCTGCTCTAGGGTGGGTTTGTTATGCAGGAGGAGTAACCAAGCCACAGCTGGTAAGGGACAAGGCTCAGATTTGAACCCCAGTCCATCTGGCTTTGGGGCCATCCCTTAAACCACATGTAGGCTGGATGATCCCCTGGACGTGGAGGAGTCAGCACTCCCTTTCTTGTGCAATTGACTCAGTGCATCAGGGTGATGTGGCCTTTCTGTAGCTGACCTTCTGGAAGCACATAAACGGGGACAGAAATGCTTTCCTTTTGTTTTGTCAGTTTATTGCTGCTGCTGCTGCAGTTGTTGTTTAATACATATGAATTCTTGTTCTTATTTTTTGCTAGTTAGAGTAAGGCTGGGCGTGGTGGGTCTCACCTGTAACCCCAGCACCTTGGGAGGCCAAGGTGGGCAGATTGTTTGAATCCCACAGTTTGAGACCAGCCTGGGCAACGTAGTGAAACCCCATCTCTACAAAAAAAAAAAAAATTTAGCCAGGCACGGTTGCATGTGCCTGTAGTCCCAGCTACTTGGGAGGCTGAGGTGAGAGGATGGCTTGAGTCTGGGAGGCGGATGTTGTAGTGAGCCGAGGTTGCACCATTACACTCAAGTCTGGCTGACAGAGTGAGAGCTTACCTGAGAAGAAAAGAAAGAGAGAGAGAGGAAGAAAGAAAGAAAGAGAGAGAGAGAGAGAGAGAGAGAGAGAGAAAGAAAGAAAGAAAGAAAGAAAGAAAGAAAGAGAAAGAAAGAAAAAGAAGGAAAGAAAGAAAGAGAGAGAGAGGAAGAAAGGGGGGAAGAAAGGAAGCAGGAAAGGAGGAAAGGAAAAAAGGAAGAGAAAGAAGAAGGAAAGAAAGAAAGAAAAATTAAGAAAGAAAGAAGGAAAGAAAGGCAGGTGAAAAAGAAAGAAAGAGAGAGAAAGAAAGAAAGAGAGAAAGGAAGGAAGGAAGGAAGGAAGGAAGGAAGGAAGGAAGGAAGGAAGGAAGGAAGGAAGGAAGGAAAAGTTAGAATAAATAGATAAGGAAACACAAAAAAATCAACCTGCCATCCCCGCCAGGCAGGAAAAAACTCCACGTAACACTTGAGTCTTGTAGAATTGTATCTTCCAGGCATTTAATTCACACAATTTCACTGTGCATCAGCAGGCCAAAAAAGGGTGATGGGGAGAGTGGCCCTTTTTTTTTTCTTTTCTTTTTCTTTTTCTTTTTTTTTTTTTTTTTTTGAGACAGAGTCTTGCCCTGCTGGTCAGGCTGGAGTACAATGGTGCGACCTCAGTTTACTGCAACCTCTGCTTCCGGGGTTCAAGTGATTCTCTTGCCTCAGCCTCCAGAGTAGCTGGGATTACAGGTACACACCACCACGCCTGGCTAATTTTTGTATTTTTAGTAGAGATGGGGTTTCACCATGTTATCCAGGCATATCTCGAACTTCTGGCCTCAAGTTATCTGCCTGCCTCAGCCTACCAAAGTGCTAGGATTACAGGCGTGAGCCACCAAGCCTGGCTGAGAATGACAATCTTAATATGGCAAGTGAGTGTAGTTGGCAGATCCTATTTTTTGTTCAACATGGTCCCAAGCACAAGATGACCCCCCAGATCTGGAGGCTATTTTGATTTGCTAAGTGTTTGTAATGCACCACAGTTGAGAGGAAATTTAACATATTTTTCACGATCATTTTTGATTCTACATAAAAAAGACATTTTTTATCCCTTCCAAAATGGGATTGAGCTACACAGATGGTTTTGTACCTGACTTTTTCACGTAACAACGTACTTTGAACTGCTTTTGTGCAAGCAGCTTTCTCCTGGCCTTGTTCATGGGAAGGAAGCATTCTGGGAGTCCACCTGTGCTCTCGCAGCGTGGCAGTCAAAGTCTAACAGAACACCACAAGCTGTGCAGTCAGGATGCTGAATGAAAGAAGCCAGATGGGAAGAGCACACACTTTGTGCTTCCCTTTATAGAAAGTTCAAAACCAGCAAAAGTCATCTATGGAGTTAGAATTCAAGACAGCCGTTAACCTTGGGGGCGGTGGTGGGGAGGATTTACCAGGAGAGTCATCAAGGGGGCTTCTGGAATGTCCTGTGTACATCTGGGTGCTCATTCCACAAATGTGTCCACTTGGCGAGAATTCACTGAGCTCTTTGTGTATGATGTGTGCACTTTTCCTTGCAATTAAAACACACACAAAAAAGCACACGCAGATGCATGCAAGCACACACACACATACATAGACACACACAAACAGTGTTCATAGAGCACAGGCTGTGCTGTCTGGAAATACATGTTTAATGCTTTTGCCACATATGGGCAGAGGTGAAGGTTGAGAGGACTGGGTATGAAGTTGGGAACCCAGGTCCAAATCCTGGCTCAGCCACTGTTAAATGTGTGACCTTGGGCAAGTTACTTAACCTCTCTGAGCCTCAGTTTCCTCATCTGGACTCTGTACCAAGCCCACAAGACCACAGAAGCAGCCCCTGCTTGCATCTCCATCTGGCTCTTCCATTCTTCTCTGGCTGTCTCTCTAAGCCCACGCCACACTGGCCACCATTCTTGTTCCTATCACAGCGAAGCTCAATGTGGCCTCAGGGCTTTTGCCCTAGCTATTCCTGCTGTCTGGAGTTACCCTTTCCCTGATTTTCTTGTGGCTGGTTCCTTTTCCTCCTTCATGTCTCAGTTCAAAGGTTACCTTCTTAGAGAGGAGAGCCCCTCACTGACCACTCTCCACACCTGCCATCATCAATTCCATTCCCTGGCCTCAGTTTCTTCCAGTGCCTCTCGGGTTCTGAAATTGTCATATTTGCTTTTTGCATTGTTGTTGCTCTTTGCTTGTTATCTGCTTGGCACTCCCTCTAGACCCATGGGCTCTAGGAGATGAGGAATCGTGATTGTCTTGTTCATTGCTACATCTCCATCACCTAAAACAATATGTCTTTGTTGAATTAATCAATCAATCTATACAGTGATCTGATTCTACTTTATGGAATTCTCGGGAAGTTTTGAAAGTGTGTTTTAAACAGCCAGGTTTATAAGAATGAGGGAACTTTGAAAGCTGTTTGAATGTGGTTAACTCAGATAGCTGAGAAGAATCTAGATGAGATAGCACCTCATCTCTCTCAAGATGCTTCGTGAGCTGCGTCTTCCATAATTTCATCTACGCTGAAAGTCACTACACCTTTTGTGACCACCCGCCCCCCACCTCCACCTTTTGCTATTTGCATCTTTTGTTATTGGCCATTTGGCTGGAACAAAATCACTAATATTCTTATTAGTGTATTTATTTCTATGTTGTATTAACATGGTTTTGTTTCGTTTTGTTTTGATTTGTTTTGAGACAGAGTCTCACTCTGTTACCCAGGCTGGAGTGCAGTGGCGTGATCTTGGCTCACTGCAACCTCTGCCTCCCAGGTTCAAGAGATTCTCCTGCCTCAGCTTCCCGAGTAGCTGGGATTACAGGCATGTGCCACCAAGCCCTGCTAATTTTTGTATTTTTAGTAGAGATGGGGTTTCACCATGTTGGTTAGGCTGGTCTCAAACTCTTGACCTCAGGAAATCTGCCCGCGTTGGCCTCCCAAAGTCCTGGGATTACAGGTGTGAGCCACCATGCCCGGCGAACATGGTTTTAAGATGATCAAAAGGTACAAAGAGTGTACAAGGAGGAGTCTGTCTCCCTCTGACTCCTGCCCTAGAGCCAGTTAGTGTTTCTAGGTACCTAGTAAGTGCTTCCAGAAATGTTCTGTGTGGAAACAGGCATGTGGGCTACATCCTCATCTTTCCTGTTTACACAGAAAGGATCTAGTTCAAGACCCTGCTTTATATCTTTGCTTTTTCTTCTTTTTTCTTTATAATTGATCTTGGAGCTGTTTCCATATCACACATTGTATGTGTGTGTCTTAGTTGCACAGAAAGGTGTACTCATCAAGAGCTCAGAGAGTAACTGGTCTCTTTCTCTCTCTCTCTCTCTCTCTTCTTTTGAGATGAAGTTTTGCTCTTGTCACCCAGGCTGGAGTGCAGTGTCCTGATCTCGGCTCACTGCAACCTCCGCCTCCCAAGTTCAAGTGATTCTCCGACTTCAGCCTCCTGAGTAGCTGGCATTACAGGTGTGTACCACCACGCCCAGCTAATTTTTGTACTTTTAGTAGAGACAGGGTTTCACCATGTTGGCCAGGCTGGTCTCGAACTCCTGACCTCAGGTGATCTGCCTGCCTCCGCCTCCCAAAGTGCTGGGATTACTGGCATGAGCCACTGCATCTGGCCCCTTTTTCTTTTTCTTTTTCTTTTTCTTTTTCTTTTTTTTTTTTTTTTTGAGACGGGGTTTTGGTCTGTCACACAGGCTGGAGTGCAGTGGCACAGTCTTAGATCACTGCAGCCTCTAACTCCCAGGTTCAAGCAATCCTCCCACTTCAACCTCCTGAGTAGCTGCGACTACAGTCATTCTTTTTAAAAACCGTAGAACACTGATGGACACCTCGGGCAGCTCCAGTCTTTCGCTTCTGCAGGCAGTGATTTGGTGATGGTCCTTGCATGCACCTTTGGGCACAGGAAAATCACTGAGTCCTTTTGAATCTGGTGAAGTGGCCCGAGAGTTTACCCCTCCCCAACCTCATCTTCACCCCTTCAGCCCACCCCACCCTTGCTGGTGTTTGTGTCTTGGCCTTTTAAGGACTTTTTCAAAATTGACTTTGGCTTCTTGGCCTGAACTCTGAAGTGTCTGAGATGAAAAGATAGCAGGCTTGGCTGAGGGGGCTGGGGGCAAACAGTGAACCTGAGGCCCTCAGCCCCAGCGCAGGAGGGGCCACAGTCCCAAGTCTCTCCCGTCTCCAGCTGTGGGAGCAGGTGATGTGGCTGGAGGAGGAAGCTGAATTGTGTTGGGCTCCAGATGAGTTTGGGAACCAGAAGGAAGCGGGAAGCTGGCCCCACACAGACCCACTTCTCTTGGCCTTCGAGAACAGCACCAAGAGGCACAACATGGGTTCAGTATTTACTGGGGCCTCTCCTAAACCAAACAGGACACCACGGGCAAGTTGGAGCAAAGTCCTGGCAAACCTGAAGACACATCCCGTGGAGCCCCAAGGAGCCGAGGGTCACAGGAGGGGCCCTGCCTTCAAGGCCGTGGCAGACAGCACTGGCACCATCTCCACACAAAGTCACCGAGTGATGTTCAGTCGTCTGAGGCCGGGGATTGTAACTGCCCTGCTCTGATCTAGGCCACAGAAGTGAACAAATCAGTTCGGATTCCCACCCTCTAGAAATTTCTTCAGTTTAGGTGGGAAGAGAGAGGATAAACAGGCAAAAACTGGCCAGGGTGCAGGGGGCTACAGTGGAGAGTGGCCCGGCTGTGGGGGCAGAACAGGGGTACTGCCCAGCCTGGAGGGGGAAAGCCTCCCCAGTCATGCCTCGTCCCAGCTTAAAATGCTTTGGGGCCTCCCAGGGTTTCTCAGGGCTCCTGGGACCATGGCCTCTGCATGATCTTCCCTGACCACCTCTACCAGCAGGGTCAGTGGTGCCAGCTTGGCAACATTTGGTGCCCATGTCTACCTGGGGTCCCTGCATGGCTGCTCCCTCTGCTGGCAGTGCCCTCACCTCCCACCTCCCACTCGTCCTTCAGCTCTCAGCTGAGATGTCACCTTCTCCTCCAGGAAGCCTTCCTTGATGTCCCTGGATAGTCTTGGGGCTATCACATGCTCCTGTACATTCCTCATCCCTGCTTCAGTCACTCTGGATTGGGGTTACTTGTTTGTGGGTGGCCCAAGGTAGCCCAGCATGGCCAGAACCCAGCCCTGTGGCTGACCCTGCTGGATTCAAATGCTAGCTCCGCCTCTTAGCTGTGCAATCTTGGGCCTCAGTTTTCTCATCTGGAAAAAGGGCATAGTGATGGCACCTACCTCACAGGGTGGTTGTGAGGAAGAAGCAATTTAATACACGTACTTAGAATGACATCTGGCACCGAGTTTGCACTCAGTAAATGTTGGCTCTGCCATTATGCCTGTTTTCTCTCCCACAGAACATAGCAGGTGCTCACTTCACATTTGCATGCTAAATTAGTGCAGCCATTCAAATATGCTTGTGAAAATGAGCAATGAGGGGAAAGGCTTAGGTAATTCAGATGCTACTCGACTTGGGATGGGGCTGTGGCCTGATAAACCCACTGTAAGTTGAAAATATCATTTGGTCAAAATTGCATTTAGCACAGCCAACCTACTGAACATCATCATAGCTTAGCCTAGCCTCCCTTAAAGGTGCTTGAAACCTTTACACTTGCCTACATTGGGTAAAATCATCTAACACAAAGCCTATTTTATAATAAAGTGTTGAATATTTCATGTAAAATTATCGTACTCTGTATTGCTAGCCTGATAAAAGATTAAAATTCAAAATTCAAAGTATGATTTCTACCAAATGCCTATCTCTTTCATATCATCATAAACTCAAAAAATCCTAAAATGAACCATTGTAAGTCAAGGATCACCTGTAATGGAAATATTTTTTAAAACACAACAGTAAAGAGTGGAACAGTAATGATTTACAACTATGCAACACACACACACACACATACACACACAGTCCAATACCCTGGCTTGGGGGAAAGAAAGAAACAGACTGTTTAGTGTGGTTTTGTTAGAAGGATGGGACAAAAATTTTTTTTCTTTCTTGTTTGATGTGTGTTTTTTTCTAATCTTCTTTAATAAGCACAGTTTCAATTTAAATGGGAAAAAATAACAACGAATCTAGAGAAGGAACCTGCAAGCCCTCTCTGTTCCATAGAGTTTTCCCACAAACTGGGGCAGTGGGTGGGGTAGGTGGGGTGTGGCAGGGTGGTCAGAGAAAGAGCTGCCCTTTAGAAGTTAAGCAAGAGCTGGAAAACCAATGTGTGCCAGGTGGGGATAGGGTGTGAGCTTGACCAGGGGAAGTTGTGGCGACTAATAACAAAGCAACCCATTTCCTAACTCTGGGCATGGCAAGACATGCTGGATGCCCCCACTCCCCAGACCCCAAGATGGAGCTAGCAACCCTGCCTAACGCCACAGCCCTGTGTTTCCCTGCAGCATAACACGTGTCACACCGCAGCATCTGTAAAGAAAGGGCCTCGCCACATGCCCCTACTCGCATATGTTACCTCACCTCACCTGCCTAATCCTGAAGACCTGCCTGCAAGCAGTAAGGTACTACTGTTAGCCCCATTTCACAGAGGGGGAAACTGAGGCTCAAAAGGTGTAATAATTTGCCCAAGGTTGCCCAGCTGATCAATGACAGAGTCTGAACTTAATAGCATTTGGGCTGGATGTGGTGGCTGAGGCCTATAATCCCAACACTTTGGGAGGCCAGGTCAGAAGAATTACTTGAGTCCAGGAGTTCAAGACCAGCTTGAGCAACATAGTGAGATCTCATCTCTACAAAAATTAAAAAATTAGCTGGGCACTGTGGCATGCACCTGTATTCCCAGCTACTCAAGAGACTAAGGCAGAAGGATCTCTTGAGCCCTGGAGGTTGAGGCTGCCGTCAGTCATGATGGTGCCACTGCACTCCAATCTGGGTGACAGTGAGACTGTGACACACACACACACACACACACACATATTTTAACACCATTTGGTTTTATCCTTGTCCGTGGTGTCTGTGATTTGTCATCTTTTTTTCATTTTCACTAAAGTAGATGTTAACAAATGGAAGGCTGGAAGAATGGATGGATGGGATAAATGGGTGGATGGATGGATGGAAGGATGGATGGATGAATGGATGAGAGATGGATGATGGATGGAGGGATGAATGAATGGAAGGATTGGTGGATGGATGGAAGGATGGACAGATGGATGAAAGGAAGGATGGGCAGGTGGAAGGATGGACAGATGAGAGATAGATGATGGCTGGAGAGATGGATGAACAGAGAGATGGGTGGATGGATGAATGGATGGTTGGGTGGGTGAGGGATAGATGATGGATGAAGGAATGAATGAATGGATGGGTAATGAATTAATGGATGACTGGGTGGATGGAATGCATGCATAGAATGAATGGGTGACTGAATACATAAAAGAACTAACTAAATAAATAATGATGAAAGGCAGGGGACACTAACAGGGTGAAAGGGTTTGTTCCTGGACACTGAATGTGTCCTTTGGAAAGATTGGAAACTGGCAGTTATCAGGGTAAATTGGGCTGCAGACATATTTTGTTTGATCTTCACAGGGTTTTTAATTTTTTGAATTGTCATTATTTTAAAATTAGAAAATTTCACATTGAAAATCTAGACTTCTGGTTTCTCCTGCAAAATTGGGCCAGCACCCATACCAGGAAATAATATACTGGGACTGACGGGGCCGAGCCTTCTGAGTGCTCACAGTCCCCACTGCTCCACAACGCAGCCCTGCTATCGAGGTTGTGTCAGCTGCCATTTATCATGGCAATTTGGGCTGGTGTTTTTCTCAGTACCATTATGAGGAAAATGAAAAATCTCTTACAGGTGGCTCTTCGTCAAAAGTGGAAAATGAACTTAGGTAAAGAGGAAATTGGGAAAGAAGTGTGTCTTTGTGGCCATGGAGAATACTCCTGGGGATTTGATGGATGAGCAATGCATCTTGCCTGAGTGGTTAGGGGCACAGATGCTAGAGCCTGATGGCCTGGGTTCAAGCCCCTATTCTACTAAATACTGGCTGTGTGGCCTCGTGCAAGTCACTGAACGTTTCTGGCCTCAGTTTCCTCATCTGTAAAGCAGAGGTGGTGTCAGTCCCGCCTCACATAGTGTCAATGATTTTCTCTCCGTGGGGCTCTCTAGGTGTGAGCTGCTGTTATCTTGCACAGGGCTGGCTCCCGTCATGTATATGACCTGCCCACCCTGGTCCACAGCAGCGGTTCTCAACCAAGGGCAACTGTGCCCCCCAGTGGACATTTAGCAATGTCTAGAGACATCTTGGGTTGTCACAACTTGGGTGGGGAGGGGCTGCCAACATCTTATGGGTAGAGGCCGGGGAGACTGTGAACAGCCTACGAAGCTCAGGACAGATCCCTGCAGCAAAAGATTCTGCTGCCCCGTGTGCTCCGCCCCGTGTACTACGTGCGGAGGCTGAAGAACCCCGATCTACAGCAATCCAAGTCCCCAGAGGGGCTGAGCCATGACCAGATATCTAGGAGTCCCTGAAGGCTGCCAGAGGTGATTCCCTCCAGACGTGGCAGGAGCCATTCACTCAGGCCTGAGCCACCTCAGCCCTCAGGATCATCAGGCCCCAAGTAGTGCTCTGTCCCAGGGTGCCTGGCCCCAGCCGGCTCCCAGCTCCCACAACAGGCAAGAAATGTGTTCCTAGCACCCCCTGGTGGCCCGGCCCTAAACTACATGATGTTTCCCAGCCCGGAGTGGTGGGAGGGGAGGATGAGGACATACCTCCCGGATGTTTAATCCAGACTAGTTGGGAACATGGGGATTTAACGTCATGGAAGGCGGTAGCCAATGTTCCAAAGACGAATTGACATAGGTTTGAATCTCAGATCGTCCACTGACCATCTGGGAGGCCTTGGACAAATCCTGTGACTCTCCTGGGCCTCAGTTTCCTCATCTGTGATGAGTATGATGTTATTTACATCACAGTTTCGTTGGGAGGATTAAATTAAGTGCATAAACAGATGAAACATACGAGATGCTTCACAAGCCTCCTCTCGGATACTTGTTATTGTTGTGTTCATAGCAATTCATAGCCACTTGTGTTTGATGAACTGCCAGTGTACCCAGAGTGATTTTTTCACTATCAACAAATAATCTTGCTGCAAAGAAATACAGATACAGGAAAGGATGCACAATATATTATCAAATGACCACAGGCCTCAGAAACATTTTATACAATGAGATCTCATTTTTTTGTTTGATATATCTATATCTGTGTGTGTGTGTGTGTGTGTGTGTGTGTGTGTGTGTGTGTGTGTAGAGAGAGAGAGAATCTTGCTTGTTACCCAGGCTGGAGTGAACACAACTCACTGCAGCCTCCACCTCCTAGGCTCAAGCAATCCTCTCACCTCAACCTTCCAAGTAGTTGGGACTACAAGCACCTGCCATCATACCAAGCTAATTTTTGTATTTTTACTAGAGACAGGGTTTCACCGTGTTGCACAGACAGGTCTCGAACTCCTGGACTCAAGTGATCCTCCAACCTCCGCCTCCTAAAGCACTGGGATTACAGGTGTGAGCCACTGCACCCTGCCTGATATATCTATATTTTTAAATATGTACATTTATAACATGTATGAGAAACAAAGACCTCATTTTCTTAGCATATAAAAATCCCTGGCAGATCAACAAAAAGACAATTATCCAAGAGAAAAATAGACAACTTGAATGCTTTGCCACCAGAAAAGGAATATAAATGGTCTTTGAACATATTTTTTAATGTCCAATCTAACATATAAACAATGAATATGTAGATTAGAACTATGGTGAACGCCTTTTTCCCTAGCGGCAAGGCCAAGATCAAGAAGTCCAATAATACTTGGCCTTGGCTAGAATGTGGGGAAACCAGAGCTCACGTAGGTTGCTGGTACAAATGATGATTGGTAGGTACAACCTTAGAGAGCATTTAGACAACCAGTGTCAAGATGTTTAAATGCACCTGCCATATGACTGGGCGATTCAGTTGTTAACAGTGTATCCATCAGAAATAGCTCTGAATACATGGAAAGACTTCTGTGAAAAGGATACTAATTGCAGCATTGTTTGTTGCAGCAAAACCCTGGAAACACCTCCATGACTATCACCAGAAAACTTGTTAGATAAATTATTATATTCAGACAATGGAATTGTGCAAAGAACGCTCTCCTAGTGCTGATCTGGAAAGATCTGCCAAGGTACATTGCTAAGTTGAAAAAAACAAAATCCCAATGCAGAACAGGGTGTGTGGTATGCTTCTATTTAGAGAAATGTGTACAGGAATCCATGCACATGTTTGCTTATCTATGTTCTGGATGTCTCTGTAATGATCCCCAAGAAATGATAACCAGGATGGATTCTGGGGAGGGAAGCTTGGAGTTTTAAAGCTGGGAAAGGGGGCTAAGGATTAGAGGGAGAAGACCCACTGTAAATCCTTTGGTATCTTTTGAATTTTTGCGTGTGAATACATTCCCTTGTTAATTTTTTAAAAATGAACTTTTTAATGCATTGATAGATGACAGAGAGAAAAATGCCTCGAAGGATATGCTCCAAGGTGTCAACAGCACTTATCTCTGGGTGGCTGATGTGAATTAAAAGTGACTTTTATTTTGTTCCTTTTTATTATTTCTTTAATCAATTATTTATTTTGAGACAGGGTCTTGCTCTATCACCCAGGCTGGAGTGCAGTGATGCGATCACCAATCACTGAAACCTCTGCCTCCCGGGCTTAAGCAATCCTCCTAGCTCAGCCTCCTGAGTAACTGGGACTATAGGCACATGCTACCATGCCTGGCTGATTTTTTATTTTTGATTTTTTTTTTGTAAAGATGAGGTCCCACTAAGTTGCCCAGACTGAACTTGAACTCCTGAGCTCAAACTATCCTCCTGTCTCAGCTTCCCAAAGTGCTGGGATTACAGGTGTCAGCCACTATGCCCGGTCTGTTCTTTTTTAAAAATACAGAGACAGGGTCTCACTCTGTCACCTAGGCTGGAGTACAGTGGCACAATCATAGCACCCTGCAGCCTTGACCTTCTGGGCTCAAGTAATCCTCCAGCTTCAGCCTCCCAAGTAGCTGGGACCACAGGCATGCACCACCACTTCTGGCTATATTTTGTTCTTTTTACTTAGATTTTCTAGTTTTAAAAAATAATTACCAGCCAGGTGCGGTGGCTCATGCCTGTAAATCCCAGCACTCTAGGAGGCCGAGACGGGAGGATCATTTGAGCCCAGGAGTTCGAGACCAGCCTGGGCAACATAGTGAAACCCTGTCTCTACTAAAAATACAAAAAAAAATAAAATTAGCTGGGCATGGTGGCGCTCACCTGTAGTCCCAGCTACTCAGGAGGCTGAGGCAGGAGAAACGCTTGAACCAGGGAGGCAGAGGTTGCAGTGAGCCCAGATCACACCACTGCACTCCAGCCTGGGTGACAGAGTGAGACTCTGTCTCAAAATAAAATAAAATAAAAATAAAAAAAATAATTATCAAGGTATATTCAGCTAATTTTTTTTAATTAAGTAAGTAAACACCTCAGTGTTCTCTTGGTAGAATCAGGTGAAGACTAACTTCTACATGAAAAAAAGAAAAGACCAAAAACACATACACTTCTCTAAACAGGCAGATTATTTTCATTGCCAAGGACATTACAGAGACTGAGGTCAGGTGGTTGGAAATATATTCTATGAAAAATCAAGAATTAATACAACAGTCCCTCCATGCACTTTCTGGTCATTGAAACGCCAAGCTTCTAACTCAGAGTTCAAATTCTGACTGCCACTTACCAGCTGGGCAAGTTGCTCCCACGCCGTTGACCTCAGTTTCCTCGCCTGTAGTCTGAGACCACATTGCTGCTGGCAGGCTCGAGTGAGATCATGCCTGTGAAGTACTTGGCTCAGGCGTACTCAGAGACCTCGTTCAAACAGGGAACAGGCAGAAATTCTGCACCCCTCAAGGGTGACAGGGCGGAGGGAGGACAGGAGGGGCTCCTTTGCCGGACTGGGGATTCGTGTGCAACTAGCTGGGCAGGGAGTCCCCCACAAACCGGCCGGCTCAGAGGTTCTTCCGACAGTTTGGAGAGAGTGACACCAAGTGGCCAAGTCTGAAACTACACCTTCAAGCCGGAGGGTTAGAGCCTCTCCCGGACCCCTCCAGCTGCAGTCCTGAGCCAGGCACTGAACTTCCCTGAATCTCAATTATTTTTCTGCTGTGAAATGGAGGTAATGCTGCCTACCTGGCAGAGCGGAGGTGGGAATTAAATGAGGTAGCCCGCAGAGATTCTCTCCAGGGCCGCCATGTTGCACAACTTCAGGGGCCCCATTCATAAAATTGTGCACCGTGGCGGCACCTCTAACAGGTGGCTGCCATTATCATTACTCCCTCAAACACTGAGTTTCCTTCTGTACTCCCCTAGAGCGATTCTGAAGCCGGGTCTTCCAGAGTATAGACCAAGTACCAGTGGGGATTCGTGAGGAGATCTTGGTGGGTACACTACCCCAGTATCAAGTAACATTTCATTCTCTGCCAATCATTCTGATCTCATCTAGGCGACAGTCTCAGTTTGATAGGAACATGACGTCAACGCCTTTCTAACACTTACCTGCCTCCCTTCCAAACTTTCTGTTTGAGAGTGGGCCTCAGACTTAGTGTCTTCAAGAGGCAAAATTATTTGGCTAGAATTTAATAAAGTTACATGTTTTCATAATATTGACTTTTTGTGGTCACCTTCTATTGAGAGCAAGTGGTGCTGGTTTTCCCTTTACAGTAGATGTGGTAGATTGTATTATTGTCAAAGTATTTATTCCATTGGCAATTCCCTGGTGACCCTCCTGATTGAAGTCAGGCTTAGCTGTGTGACTTCCTTTGGGCAACAGACTGTGAGCTAAGCTTTCAAGAAGCGGCTTTGTCACGTGGTTTCTGTCTGCTATGAGAATGGCCTGCCCCAGGAATGGGCTGCACCTTTAACGTGGATCAGAGTAAAGGTGACATACAGCCCAGAGCTGCAGTGACCCACTATCAACAAGCAATGAGAAAGTAACTGAGGATTCATATTCTCAATATGAATAAGAAATCGACCTTTGTCATTAACAGGCTCCTGAGATGCTGGGGCTGTTTGTTATTGCAGTAAAACATAGCTCGAGTTGACTGATGCAGTAGAGATATCAAGTTTCCTTCAAAAATAAATATACTGGGCCTGGCATGGTGGCTCACGCCTGTAATCCCAGCACTTTGGGAGGCCGAGGCGGGTGGATCAAGAGGTCAGGAGTTCGAGACCATCCTGGCCAACATGGTAAAACCCCGTCTCTACTAAAAATACAAAAATTAGCTGGGTGTGGTGGCACACGCCTGTACTCCCAGCTACTCAGGAGGCTGAGGCAGGAGAATCACTTGAACCCAAGAGGCAGAGGCTGTAGTGAGCCGAGATTGCACCACTGCACTCCAGCCTGGGTGACACAGCAAGACTCTGTCTCAAAAACTAATTAATAAATAAAATAAACTGGCCTGGTGCAGTGACTCATGCCTGTAATCCCAGCACTTTGGGAGGCCAAGGTGGGAAGATTACCTGAGGTCAGGAGTTTGAGACCAGCCTGGGCAACATGGTGAAACCCATCTCTACTAAAAATACAAAAAAAAATTAGCCAGGCGTGATGGTGCACACTTGTAGGCTCAGCTACTAGGGAGGCTGAGGTGGGAGGATAGCTTGAACCCAGGAGGTGGAAGTTGCAGTGAGCTGAGATCGCGCCACTGCAGTCCAGCCTGGGCAACAGAGTGAGACTCTGTCTAAATAAATAAATAAATAAATAAATATACTGGCCTGATGCAGTGGCTCACCCCTGCAATCCCAGCACTTTGAGGCCAAGGCGTGTGGATCACCTGAGGTCAGGAGTTTGAGACCAGCCTGGACAACATGGTGAAACCCCTGCATACTCCTGCCCTCCTTATCCTGTTTGGTTTTTGCTGTTGTTGTTGTTTTTTGTTTGTTTGGTTTTTTGAGACAGAGTCTCTTACTCTGTCACCCAGACTGGAGTGCAGTGGCATGATCTCAGGTCACTGCAACCTCCACCTCCTGGGTTCAAGCAATTCCTCTGCCTCAGCCTCCAGGGTAGCTGGGATTACAGGCGCCCACCACCATGCCCAGCTAATGTTTTGTAGTTTTAGTAGAGATGGGATTTTACCATGTTGGTCAGGCTGGTCTTGAACTCCTGACCTCAAGTGATCCACCCACCTTGGCCTCCCAAAATGCTGGGATTACAGATGTGAGCCATCACACCTGGCCTTTGCTGTTGTTTTGTTTTGTTTTGTTGCTGCATATCACCTATCGTCCTCTGACCATATTCACATTTATTTGTTTATTTTCTGTATCCCTGTCGCAATTAGAATGTCAACTCCCTCCTTAAAGGCAAGCATTTTGTGGGTTTGGTTTTTTTTTCTTCCACTTTATAGCCCAGTGCCTAGAACACTGCCTGGCACATAGTAGGTGCTCAGTAAGTATTTGCTGAATGAAGGAATGAGTACATGATGGCAAAGGTAGGCAACAGCAGCTCCAGGCCCATGCTGCACTAGCTTCAAGTCCAGCTGAAAACACTTCTCTTTCAGCCGGGCACGGTAGCTCATGCCTATAATCCCAGCACTTTGGGAGGCTGAGGCTGGCAGATCACTTGAGGTCAGGAGTTCAAAACCAGCCTAGTCAACATAATGAAACCCTGTCTCTACTAAAAATCCAAAAAAAAATAGCCAGGCATGGTGGCAGGCACCTGTAATCCCAACTACTTGGGAGGCTGAGGCATGAGAATCTCTTGAGCCTGGGAGACAGAGGTTGCAGTGAGCCGAGATCGCTCCAGTGTACTCTCAGCCTGGGCGACAGAGCAAGACTCTGCCTCAAAAACAGAAAACAAAAAACCTTCTCTTTCCCAGTGTTCTGAAAAAAGTACAGAATTGAATCCTTGGAATGAAGCACACTGATTGTCCAGGCCTAGCTCAGATGCCTGTATTTAAATCCAGAAGTAGGCTCAGCCCCATCTAAACCATGTGAACTGACAAACAATTTAACAGCATTTCACTGAGCAAAGAACAGTTCATGAATTGGGCAGCCCCTGAACCAGAACAGGTCTAGAGAGTCTCTGGCACAGCCATTAGGTGAAGGAAGATTTATGGACAAAAAAAGGAATGTGACCTACAAAAACCAGAAGTAAGATACAGAAACAGCCAGGTGGATCACCAGAGGTCAGGAGTTTGAGACCAGCCTCGCCAACATGGTGAAACCCCATCTCTACTAAAAATACAAAAATTAGCCGGGTATGGTGGTGCGTGCCTGTAATCTCAGCTACCTGGGAGGCCAAGGCAGGAGAATCACTTGAATCCACGAGGTGGAGGTTGCAGTGAGTCAAGATTGCACCACTGCACTCCAGCCTGGGCGACAGAGCATGATCCATCTCAAAATAAATAAATAAAATAAAATATACCAAGAGGCAGCTTTAGACTAAACGTAATTTAGTGGTTTATTGTTTAGTGTCTCTCTCTTGACCCATCCCCACTGCAACATGCCCAAGGATGGAAGCTTTGGAAAGACAGGCTGTATTTGTTTTGTTTCCTGATGAATCACAAATAGTGCATAGTATGTGCTTAATAAGTGTGTTGAATGAATGTATGAATTAGTAAAACTTAACTTCTACTGCTGTCACCTTGAGGAAGTTGTTAAATGTCTCTGAGCCTTAGTTTCCTAAGCTACAAAAGGCTCTAATGGGACAGGTATGGTGGCTCACACTTGTAATCCTAGCACTTTGGGAGGCTGGGATGGGAGAATTTATTGGGCACAGGAGCTCAAGGCCAGCATAGACAATGTAGAGAGACACCATCGCTATTAAAAAAAAAATAGAAAAAAATAGCCAGGCATCATGGCATGTACCTGTAGTCTCAGCTATGAAGGAGGCTGAGGTGGAAGGATTGCTTGAGCCCAGGAGTTCAAGGCGCAGTGAGTTATGATTGCACCACTGCACTCCAGCCAGGGCAACAGAGTGAGACCCTGCCTCAAAAAAAAAAAAAAAAGGCCTGGCGCGGTGGCTCACACCTGTAAACCCAGCACTTTGGAAGGCTGAGGTGGGCAGATCACTTGAGATCAGGAATTCTAGAGCAGCCTGGCCAACATGGTGAAACCCCATCTCTACTAAAATACAAAAATTAGCTGGGCATGGTAGTTTGCACCTGTAATCCCAGCTACTCAGGAAGCTGAGGTAGGATCATTGCTTGGACCCAGGAGGCGGAAGTTGCAGTGAGCTGAGATTGTGTCACTGCACTCCAGTCTGGGTGAATGAGCGAGACTTCATCTCAAAAAAAGAAAAAAAAAAGCTTTAATGTGTCTTACTGAGGATCAATGAAAGCATATAATGCACATGAGTCATGAGTGCTTAGTAGCACAGAGCCCGCACATGTGGGAGTGATGATTTTTGTGGTTAAAGTTTCTGTCACTGTTGTCATTTATCCGTAGCCTATCTCACCTGCACAGACCTGACACCATGAAGAGTCCAGCATTCTCAGCCTTTTCCCTTAGTCATCAAAAAGAAAAATATTTAATAATGTAAATAGAATTCACCTGACGGCTGTTCTAATGTCCCTTGCATTATATTATTTGAAAGCTTGATTTGCACCCGTAGGCTCAATAAATGAATTTGAGGAAATCACTGAAATGATTTAAAATGAAATGAACTGACACAAACAGTACCTTGTGGCCAGGCTCAGTGGCTCACGCCTGTAATCCCAGCACTTTGGGAGGCCGAGGCAGGTGGATCATGAGGTCAGGAGATTGAGACCATCCTGGTCAACATGGTGAAACCTCATCTCTACTAAAAATACAAAACAATTAGCAGGGCGTGGTGGCATGTGCCTGTTCAGGAGGCTGAGGTGGGAGAAACGCTTGAACCAGGGATGCGGAGGTTGCAGTGAGCTGAGATTGTGCCACTGCACTTCAGCCTGGCAACAGAGCGAGACTCTGTCTCAAAAAAAAAAAAAAAAAAGCAAGAAAGAAAAAGAAAAAGTACATCCTGAAAGGCTTCTAGAGAGATGAGAAATGAAAAATGCAGTGTCTCCTTGTTACTATATAGTATTAAAATGTTCTTAATACTATTCTCAGTTAAATGTTATGAATATTATTCTCAGTAATAGTTAATACTATTACTCAGTTAATACTATTCTTAGTTACTGATCAATATTATTATATTTTCTTTCTTTCTTTTTCTTTTTTTTTTTTTTTTTTTGAGAGAAGTCTCACTCTTGTCCCCCAGGCCAGAGTGCAATGCCGCGATCTCGGCTCACTGCAACCTCCACCTCCCAGGTTCAAGCAATTCTCCTGCCTCAGCCTCCCGAGTAGCTGGGATTACAGGCAACCACCACTATGCCCGGCTAATTTTTGTATTTTTAGTAGAGACAGAGTTTCACCACGTTGGCCAGGCTGGTCTTGAACTCTTGGCCTCAGGTGATCCGCCTGCCTTGGCCTCCCAAAGCGCTGGAATTACAGGTGTGAGCCACCGTGCCCAGCCTATATTTTCATAAAGAAAACAATTTATGAAGGCTTATATATGTTCATTGTGGTTCGCTCTCAAACATCCTCATTTTTCTAAAAGGACATCTGTTTATTTGATCACACATTTTTCAACCACGATTGACAAGACCCTAACCTCTACAGCTGAACAGAAATTATTATATTTGAGGAGGGGATGTCAATGTATAACCAAATTCAGAGATTAAGGTTTGAAACTTCAATTCTGGTATGAAACCAGAATGCCAAATTACTAATTTACAGGCAGGAAATATGACAGTTAACCTCACGTTATTAGCAATCTAAGCAGAACATTTTTTCCCAAGGAAAAGGGAAAAATGTTAAATGACTTTATAGACTTTGGGCCTTTAATTTTTTCTAATGATTAGAGCAGGGAACTAGACTTAGCACCCACTCTCCTAATACAATAGATTTGTATTTTTAGTAGAGACAGGGTTTTGCCATGCCTGGTTCCCAGCTTGTTTCTTAAGTACTGGGAAGCATTACTGGTGCATGTCATTTGGTACCATATATTCACTGCAATTTCAATGAAATTTCCATCAAAATAATTTTTGGAAACGTAATCAGTTCATTCAAAAATGAATCTAGAAAACTGAAGAAAAGTTCAGAAATGGAGAATAATGAATCTGGAATTCCTCTCCAGTTATCGACCTATCCTAAAAGCTACAATAATTAAGTAGGTGAGTGGTGGCTTAAGAACTGACAGACCAGTAGACGATACTGGAGAACTTATGAAGAGACCTACGTGCAGACAAGATTACTAAACAAATAATTTGGGGGCGTTTAAAATGATCTAAACCTCCCCCTATATCACACACACACAAATATATATTCTGGGTAGTTTTTTGGGGTGTTTTTGTTTGTTTCTTTGTTTGTTTTTTGAGACAGAGTCTCACTCTGCCATCCAGGCTGGAGTGCAGTAGTGCAATCTCAGCTCACTGCAACCTCTCTCTCCCTGGATCATGTGACTCTACTGCTTCAGCCTGGGATTACAGGCACCTGCCACCATGGCTGGTTAATTTTTTTTGTATTTTTATTAGAGATGGCATTTTGCCATGTTGGCCAGGCTGGTCTTGAACTCCTGACCTCAAGTGATCTGCCCTCCTCAGCCTCCCAAAGTGCTGAGATTACAGGTGTGAGCCACCACACCCAGCCATTCTGGGTAGACGAAAGGTTAATTATTAAAAATAACTTAAAAAGGTAACATAACATTGCTATGTATTCTTGGTACAGGTAACACCTTCTGGAACCTGGCACAAAAATCAAATATCACAAAGGAAAAGACTGAGGCTTTTTCCTATATAAGAATTAGAAATTCCTGGGAAAGTTACAAACTCAAGAGCCAGAATTTGGGGAAAAATATGTTTTAAGGCATATACTGCACAAATGGTTAATATTTATGACATCACATCTCTTTCATGTAGTTTTGTGAAAGGTGATCCTACAAATTGAGTCATTCTTGTCATGCTCAATGAAAGCAGAATAGAGCGACCGGGGCAGAAAACACTCAGGGTGCATAGCATTGCTCCGAGAATGTAATTCTCTGCAAGCCTGGCTGCAGATACTGCCTGCTGTCACCTGAAACCCTATTTGTCTAAGGCCACTGAAACAACCTGCTGGGAGTCTATGGCTGGTCTTACCCACCACTGTCACTCACCCATCAGAGCGTGCCAGCTCCCCAAAACTCACTAGTGCCAATGAACTTCCTTTCAAGACAATGCACGACATTTTTCCTTTTTTTAATAAAACCTCCAATCTCGGCTGGGTGTGGTGGCTCATGCCTGTAATCTGAGCACTTTGGGAGGCCAAGGCGGGTGGATCACCTGAGGTCAGGAGTTCAAGACCATCCTGGCTAACATGGTGAAACCCCGTCTCTACTAAAAATACAAAAAGTAGCTGGGCGTGGTGGTGGGTGCCTGTAATCCCAGCTACTCAGGAGGCTGAGGCAGGAGAGTCGCTTGAACCCAGGAGGCGGAGGTTACAGTAGCCGAGATTGTGCCACTGCACTCTGGCCTGGCGACAGAGTGAGACTCCATCAAAACAAAACAAAACAAAGCAAAAAAACAAAACAAACAAACAAACACACACAAAACCTCCAATCTCCAGTTTGTTCTTTGGACATATTGAAGGCCACCTGGTCTGTGTGTATGCCCCAAATGACAAGTCCTTCTTGCCAAATAAAACAGTTGAATTTAGAGATTCATCTCTACATTTTGGGTTCAACAGTTTAAATCTGAGGATGAAATAAATGATAAACTCATAGACTAAATTTGCCATCCTGATATATAAATCTGAGGTAGGGTGTGGTGGCTCACACCTGTAATCCCAACACTTTCGGTGGCCAAGTCAGGTGGATCACCTGAGGTCAGGCGGTCGAGACCAGCCTGGCCAACATGGCGAAACCCAATCTCTATTTTTTTTTTTTTTTTTTTTTTTTTTGAGACGGAGTCTCGCTCTGTCGCCCAGGCCAGACTGCGGACTGCAGTGGCGCAATCTCGGCTCACTGCAAGCTCCGCTTCCCGGGTTCACGCCATTCTCCTGCCTCAGCCTCCCGAGTAGCTGGGACTACAGGCGCCCGCCACCATGCCCGGCTAATTTTTTGTATTTTTAGTAGAGACGGGGTTTCACCTTGTTAGCCAGGATGGTCTCGATCTCCTGACCTCATGATCCACCCGCCTCGGCCTCCCAAAGTGCTGGGATTACAGGCGTGAGCCATCGCGCCCGGCCCCAATCTCTATTAAAAATACAAAAATTAGCCGGGCGTGGTGCTGGGTGCCTCTAATCCCAGCTACTCAGGAGGATGAGGCAGGAGAATGGCTTGAATCTGGGAGGTGGAAGTTGTAGTGAGCCGGGATTGTGCCACTGCACTCCAGCCTGGGTGAACTCCAGCCTGGGTGACACAGGAATAATCCATCTCAAAAAATAATAATAAAATAATTGAAAAATTTGGTTAAAACTTTTTACAACTCCCTCAAAGAAAACGAGGCCTTGACTTGGGGAAAGTGATTCTATATATTTTTTTTTGAGACATGATTTCTCTCCCACTACCCAGGCTGGAGTGCAGTGGTGCATTCTTGGCTCACTACAACCTCCACCCCACCAGGCTCAAGTGATCCTCCTGCCTCAGCCTCCTGAGTAGCTGGGACTACAGGTGTCCACCACCATGCCTGGCTAATTTTTGTATTTTAGTAGAGATGGAGTTTCATCATGTTGGCCAGGCTGGTCTCAAACTCCTGACCTCAAGTGATCTGCCCACCTTGGCCTCCCAAAGTGCTGTGATTACAAGTGTGAACCACCATGCCTGGCCTCGCCCGGTCATTCTGCAATCCTTCCTAAGCTTCCATGAGCAGCCATGGTCCCTCACCTCCAGCAATGAGGTACCCTGACATTCCAGAGGAGACCAGAATTTTGAGGACTAAGATCACCAGAATTCACTGCGTAAGCACGCGTATCAACAAAGCTGTGTTAACTTAACTAAAGTTACAGAACAGGATATGGAGTTTAACACCTACTTTTCCAACTCAGCCCTGTATTCCACCTCGTTTGTACATGAGTAAATCTCTGTTCTAGCTTTTACACAGACCAATGTCTCTTCTCTTGTTCTATCATCTCAAACTCAATAGCAAGTTGTACTGATTTGGTTCTCTTCGTAATGTTTCTATCGTGCCCTTGGCACTTCAAGCCTCTACTTATAAACTTCCTCTTTTCTTTCCCTTTCTTTTTGACCTTCTCTGGTTTCTTCCTACCCAACCCTCAATCTCACTTTCTTTTCTTCAGAAACCACATGTGGTTTTATTCACAATTATTTTCTCACTGCCTAGGATAGCGCTTTGCAAATACTAGGATCTCAATACACACTTCTTGGATAAATAAATAACACATATGGATGCTACAAATCTATAAGAAAATATCGCATAGAATTCAGCACAAAAAAATGGGCAGAACTTATGAACAAGTAAGCCACAGGAAAAAAAATATGTCGATTGGGGCTAAGGAGTGAGGTACTGTTATATAGTATAAATAGCTCATGTCAGGATAATTTTGGAGGGAGGGATTTTACCACTATCAGAGTAAAACTGATACATACCCTTTGGTCCAGCAATCCTGCTTCTACCCAGAAATATGCTGTCATATACACAAAGGTACTCACTGAGTCATTGCATGAAATACTCGATAATTGGAAATCATTCCAGAGTCCACCTATAGAAGAACAGTAAATATGTCCAGCTGAAATCTAGATCATAGCCCAGGTGACTCTCTTTAAAGATGTGAATTCAAAGGCCCAGTCTCTCTTCAAGTTGTGGCTCTGCCATCTTAGAGTCCTTTGCTTTCACTGTGTGGGTGAGGGAGAGAGTGAGGAAGGTGTTATGAGATATTTCGTGGCCAGCCTGGAAGTGTTCTCCACCACCTGTGCCCACCACTTAGTTACATGGTCCCACCTCGGTGCAAGAGGAGTTGGGTTCTTTCTGTGTACATGGGAGAAAAATTAAAAAGTTGATTTGGAAATAGTTTCAAGGTCATTTGCTAAAGTGCAAAATGTAAGCTTCGGAATGCATCAAGGAATGATTTCATATATTTAAAAACTGCAATGAGTGTGTTCTTGCCCTTACGTAATAGTTAACATTTCTCTAAATATATTAATAGTTAACATTTTTCTAAGTAACAGTATAGTGAGTGGAATTTTTCCTGTTGCCCTGAAATTAATGACTAGAGTTCAAAGTTGATGTCAAAATGGGCTTAGCGTTTCCATATTCTATTATTTTTTTTCTTTTTGAGACAGGGTCTCACTGTGTTGCCCAGGCTGAAGTGCAGTGGCACAATCATAGTCCACTGTAGCCTCCACCTCCCAGGCTCAAGCAATCCTCCCACCTCAGCCTCCCAAGTAGCTGGGCCTATGGGCACATGTCAACACGCCCGGCTAATTTTTTAATTTTTTGTAGAGACGGGGTCTCACTATGATGCCCAGGCTGGTCTTGAACTGCTGGAGGATCACTCAAGTGATCCTCATCTGGGCCTCCCAAAGTGCTGGGATTACAAGCATGAGCCACCATGCCCAGCCAACATTTCCATATTCTAAAGAGGACTATACTCAAATGTCACCCCCACACCCTAATCATCTGAGAATCCACTCATGTACAAGTCTAAATAGGGAAGATACTGTGGGGAGGAGGAGAGTCACTTGAGCCTTGAGGGGGGGCAACAGTTATACTCTGAGGCTTTTCTTTTCTTTTCTTTTCTTTTTTTTTTTTTGAGACAGAGTTTTGCTCTGTCTCCAGGCTGGAGTGCAGTGGTGTGATCTCGGCTCACTTCAACCTCCACCTCCCGGGTTCAAGCCATTCTCCTGTCTCAGCCTCCTGAATAGCTGGGATTATAGGTGCTTTCCACCACACCCAGCTAATTTTTGTATTTTTAGTAGAGACGGGATTTTGCCATATTGACCAGGCTGGTCTCGAACTCCTGACCTGAGGCAATCTGCTGGCCTCAGTCTCCCAAAGTGCTGGGATTACATGCGTGAGCCACCATGATCAGCCTTTGTTTATTGTTTAAACCATCACTCTTCCTACCTACTTCCATCAACCATGTTGGCCAGGATGGTCTCAATCTCCTGACCTTGTGATCCACCCACCTTGGCCTCCCAAAGTGTTGGGATTACAGGTGTGAGCCACCGCACCCTGCCTCTGAGGCTTTTTCTTCTGTCCCCAGGAGGACTCCAATAGAAAAACGTACAGAGATGCTGGGAGCCTGCTAGAATTGGACATTTGTATCACCTGCCCCAGCTGTGTTTTGTTGAGCTGAAGGATCCACATGGTCACTCAAGTGCAGTCCTCAGAACAAAGAGAAGTATAGTGAGGAGTTGTTGGAGGGTTTGTCACGGATTCCTGGAGTTTGGAAGCCTATGTGAGCCACAGACACTCCCCTTCCAGAGATTTCTTAATGCAGGAGGCTCACTGCACCACAAGGGCAAAAGGAAACTGTAAGGTATTGTGCCTGGAAAAAAAGGATAGGTGGACGGAATGAGTCATCCACAGTCCACCTCTTCCATTCTTTGGAGAATTAATAGATCTTCCTGGCTCTTGCAACTGCTCACAAGGAAGTCCTATGGTCAGAGAAGGGGACGGAAGGAGTAGGGCTGCCAGGCCAGCAGGCAACACGTTATTTGTCAGAGGTCGCATGACCTGATGGTTGGAAGGCAAAGGAAGAAAGCCATTTGAGAGTCCAGATGAAGGATGGGCTGAGGTGCAGTTGAACTTGACCGTAAGAAAACTCATATTGCATCTATGAAGATATCAATGGCTATATCTGCAGAAGACATAGGCAGTTAGAACCAGAAATTCCAGAAAAAAACCTGAGAAACCGCTGAAAAATGACAATTATTTCCTGAATCCCCACTTCTTTCCTTCAACCAACTAGAGAACCTAGAGCATTAGAGGAGAGTAGCACGTGGCTGGTCTCAGGATTAGGCCCTGCTTGCCAATCCTTCCTTCTCCCCTGGGAGGTTGGTGAAGGCACCGAGAGGAGAGTTTAGAATAAAATATTAGAGTAAAAGCCATGATGAGACTGAAGTCTTAGACGGGATGTTTAGTAATCAAAAGTCACTGAAGTTATTGGATCTCCCAGAGAAACCCTTAATGGCCAAAAATAGGTGATCTGATACCTTGTGGTTGATCAAAAAGAGTGTAAAAAAGTTTTATTTTTATTTATTTATTTTTGAGACAGAGTTGCACTCTGTTGCCCAGGCTGGAATGCAGTGACCATCACTTTGCCCGTGGCTTTGTGTGTCACCTATAGGGAGGGTGACTGTTAATGGTGCTGAGACCAGAGGAAGTTCTGGAGAACTGTTTGAGAAAATCTATGCAGCTCACTGCAGCCTCCACCTCCCAGGTTAAAGCAATTCTCTTGCCTCAGTCTCCCTAGTAGCTGGGATTACAGGCACCTGCCACCATGCCCGGCTAATTTTTGCATTTTTATTAGAGGCCAGGTTTCACCATATTGGCCAGGCTGGTCTTGAACTCCTGACCTCATTTGATCCTCCTCCCTCCACCTCCCAAAGTGCTAGGATTACAGGCAGGAGCCACCATGCCCGGCCAAGTTTTATCTGTATTCCCCACTGAAGTACAGCTCCAATAAGCTTAAATTATGTCTTTGAATTAAAAGAAGAAAGTTAAAAAGCTGTATCTTCGTAATGCTCTCTGTTTATTAGTTTTACCTGGAGTTGAGTAAACATTTTAAAATTTCCTTTTTTTTAAGCTATGCATCATTCTTTGTTTATACTGTTGGTTGGTTATTCATTCTGCACCATTACTTTGTCTTCTCCCCTTTTTATCATGTCTTCAGCAGGGGGTTGGAATTCCACATGCTCTCTCCTACATTCATCACTTTGCATTATTTTTCTATTAATGTTTTATATGGTGTCTTTTTCTTGATTCTGACTTTTATTTGGCTAATTTGATTTTCTGCCACATCAGTTCAATCTTTTACTGTTTTGCTAACAATCTGATTTTGGTCATTGCATTTCTCTTCATGGACTGACTTCGTACATTAACTGCAACATCTTTTAAAGCACCTCTTGAATTACAAGTAAGATGTCTTTTGGGGGATGAGGATTACTTGATTTTAAATCCTAACCCTTCCATTTAAAAACTGTGGTGACCTTATCATCATAGAGAAAGGGATAAGCCAAGAACTTTGAATTCATTGTGATATGTTCCATAACAGCAGAGAGAAGCTGGCAGCGTGTATTTAAAGGGCCAAGGGAGATTTGGGTCCGTGGAGACAGAGAAGGCCATGCTAGGGTGTTCAATCTTTTGGTTTCCCTGGGCCAGGGAAGAAGGACTGTCTTGGGCCATACATAAAATACACTAACACTAACAATAGCTGACGAGCTAAAAAAAAAAAATGCAAAAAAAGTCTCATAATGTTTTAAGACAGTTTATGAATTTGCATTGGGCCACATTCAAAGACGTCCCGGGCCACATGCAGCCCATAGGTGGCGGGTTGGACAAGCTTGATCCAAAGATTCAGTGTGATGGAAATAGGAATTGCTGGGTTTGTGTGCTAAGATTAAAAGTCAAAAAAGAGTTAGGTCCTGCAGGTTCTTGTATGATTGAATCAAGTATAAGATTTTATCTTGTAGATAAGTACTTCTTAAGTACACACCCTGGACTCAAGAAACCTCAGGTTATTCTTGTCACATGCCCCTGGATTTTAATTTTATTATCATTATTATTATTATTTGAGACAGGGTCTCACTTTGTCACCCAGGCTGGAGTGCAGTGGCACGATCTTGGCTCACTGTAGCCTGGAACTCTTGGGCTCAAGCGAACCTCCTGTCTCAGCCTTCTGAGTAGCTGGGACTTCAGGTTTGTGCCACCACACCCATCTAATTTTTAAAAAAATTTCTGTAGAGACAGGGTCTCACTATGTTGCTCAGGCTGGTCTCAAACTCCTAGGTTCAAACAATCTTCCCACCTCAGCCTCCCAAAATGCTGGGATTACAGGTGTAAGCCACCATGCCTGGTTTTAAAACATTATTTTAAAAGTACTGGCTGGGTGTGGTGGCTCATGCCTGTAACCCCAGCACTTTAGGAGGCTGAGGTGGGTGGATCATCTGAGGTCAGGAGTTCAAGACCAACCTGGCCAACATGGCAAAACCTGTCTCTACTGAAAATACAGAACTTAGCAGGGCGTAGTGGCGGGCATCTGTAATCCCAGCTACATGGGGGGGCTGAGGCAGGGAGAATCGCTTGAACCCAGGAGGCAGAGGTTGCAGTGAGCCAAGATCGCACCATTGCACTCCAGCCTGGGTGACAGAGTGAGTCTCTGTCTCAATAATAATAATAATAATTAAGCAACATATACTCTATGGCATAGAATGCAAAATCAAAATAAAATGCTAAGATAAACCTGATGTCTGTCCAAGTATCTCTGGTGGCCCACTCCGAGCCTGCAAGAGTGCCTGGTCATTCCCATATACCACTTGGGACATCAACTAGGAGACTCCGTCAGCATCCCCACAACCTCTCCATGCAGGCTTCACTCTCTGAAGAAAGGGCTTCCTCTTAATCCTTCTCACATAAGCCATGAGGGGCTCTGATTAGATCGTTTAGCTGTAATAACATCCCAGCCCTTCAGAAGCCAGTACTGCAAACAAAGATAAACTAAAGACAGTATTCTCCACCAATACTGATGTCTTTTCAATTTATGCAGTCCAGAGTGCTGTGGTCTGCACCGTCCCCTGCCTGCAATGATTAATGGCCTGGCCCTAGCTAGGGTCCAGAAAGAGAGAGCCAGGAGAAGGAGACACAGTGGGTTTTATATTATCATCACTGCAACAAACTCCTTCGGGGGTGTCAGCGCTGACTGTGGGGTTCTGATTATGAAATATGATGCATATTGAATTTAATGACCTTCTCTGCCCTTCTAGTGAGTTCACTGCTTCCCAATGTCATTTTCTGTTCTCATCTGAGTGGTAATAAAAGTTATATAATTGATTATGGTGGCTCTGTAACCACTGTGTGTTTTACGATAAATTGCATTTTGAGACCTTACTTCCCAGGGGAAAAGTGCATCGTCAGAAGGATTATTCTGAGATGGGCTCTGGGACCCCAGTCTCCAAGACAATGGGGAATAAGGTGAAGCTGCCATTTTTTAGGGAATGATTCCCTAAGAACACTCATTTCAAGCAGTTATATATCAAAGGTCAGTGTGGACCAGTGGAAAATGATAAAACAGTTTCCAAAGCAAAAATGACTCTGGGCCAACCAGAATCAATGTAGACTTGACAAGGTCTAACCTGTTACTAATTCAAGAAGGGGAAACCTGGGAGAATATGAACTCAAAACTGGGCAGGCAGTCCTGAATGTCCTATTCTTTTCGTGTGTGTTCAAACTAACCTTTGGTTATTCTCCCATGGGAAGGTCATCCCCATTTGTGGGTAGGAAGGAGGAGAAGAAGAGAAATACTTCGTGAGTGATAACTGTGTACCAGACCTTTGCTAGGCACTCCATGGCACGATGTCACCGACTCTCACAGCACGTGTGTAAACCAGGCCTCATCACCCCCAATTTGTAAATAGTGCAATTTAGGCTCAGCTAACTTGAGTAAAATTCCCAGAATCCCAGATCCAGTGGGGGTCAGGGCCAGGGGTCCAGTGCAGGGGCATCTGATGCCTAGGAGTGTGTTCTGCAGGCCAAAAGCACTCATCTAACCTAGGAGCTCAATAGAGATGCAAACTCTCAGATCCCTGCCTTGCTGAGCCCGTGAAAGGGTGAGAAGCATGCCTTAGACTCCAAGCCATGAAGCTGGCAGGGGATGGAAAGTTTCCTAACACTTGGGGCCATTAGGTCATGCTCCTCTCTTTACTGTCCAGAGGGACTGCTATGTTATGTAGCAGTGACCACCAGAACTTTCAATTCATTCATTAGTCATCCAGCTGGAGGTAGTGGTATTGGGGACAGGGCTGCCCAAACTTCAGTGTCTGACAATCGCCTCTATTGATGGTCAAAGGACAGTTTCCTTAATTCTGTGCTGTAATAGTCATAATTCTCCAGACAAAAAGAACTGGGAGAGAGAGATATGTAGATAAATACATAGATAGATAGATAAATACATACATACATATACACAGACAAATACACATATACATACATAGATTACAAATAGATACATAGATACATGATAGATACATACATACATACATCTGTATATACACAGATAGATACATAAATAGGTACATATGCAGATACATAGATAGGTACATAGATAGATACATAGATAGACACATAGATAAATGATATGTAGATACATAGATCCAGATAGGTAGATGATAGATACATAGATGATATATAGATACATAAATAAATAGAGTTAGAGACATAGATAGGTGATATATAGAGACATAGCTACATACAGATAGATGATTGATAGATACATAGATGATAGATACAAAGATACGTAGAGACAGATGATGATGGATAGAGATAGATAGATAGATAGATAGATAGATAGATAGATAGATAGATAGATAGATAGATTTTAAGGAGAAGGCTCATAACATTATGGAGGCTGACAAGTCTAGACTCTGCAGGTTAGACTGTCAGGCGAGACCTGGGGAACAGCTGATGCTGCAGTGTAAGTCAAGGCCAGCCATCTGCTGTCAGAATGTCCCCTTGCTTAGGGGAGATCAGCCTTTTGTTCTATTCACATCTTCTACTGATTGGATGAGGTCTACCCGCACAAGGTGGGGCGATTTGCTTTACTCAAAGTCCACCAATTTAAATGTCAATCTAATTCAAAAACAACCTCATAGGAACATCCAGAATAATATCTGGCCACATATCCAGATACTGTTGCCAGCCAAGTTGACACATAAAATTAACATCCCATGTATCTTGGTTGTGGTAGTGGTCACACACATCTAGATATGTGGGAAAATGACATGGAACTATACTCATAGATTGTACCAATGTCACATATTAGGTTTTGACGTACTATCATTATTTATTCAATAATTATTTCAATTACTTAAACAATTGTTTAATAATTATTAAGATAAAACCATCAAGGGCACCTACATGGGAGTTCACTGTACTATCTTTGCAACTTCCTGTGTGTCTAAAATTATTTCCCAAAAAAAAAGCTTGATTTTTTTTTTAATCGTGCACATTCCTATCCATTTGTAGCTGCTCCTCCAAATTCCCCAGCTCCAGGATTCTGATCCACTTGGACAATTGGCAGTTTGGTTGCAAATAGGCTACTGCTGACCTCCATGTAAAAATTGTCCCTAGTGGAGACATTATCTGAGTGGAGCTGTGATAATATGTACAAAAAGGAACTGTTTAGCACTTTTTTACTTTAGAGGGGAAAAAAAGGAGTAGCAAATTAGGAGAGAATATAGTACTGCAAGTAAACAATAGTCCTTTGTAATTTTTGGTTTATAGCATCATTCAGTGTTAGAAAAGGAAGGGACAGTGGGGGTTGACTCTTCCAGGTACCTCATTGGACAGATGAGAAAGAGACCAGAAACATAAATTGCCTCCCTCTTGAGTTACCTGTCCAGACACTCTCCTCGTTAGTAACAAAATCTGGACCAGAAGCAGAGCCCTGGGACTCTCAGGGCCTGAGCCAACCAATCACAATATCCCTTCCAGATAAGTTTCACAAGACTTCCAACACTTTGTCATATTTTATTCTCTCCAAAGTCCTCTGTGGTAGGAAGGGTAGATATTGCTAAGGTCATTTTACAGGTGCAGAGACCAAGGTTAGGGAGGTGACTCTCCGTGAGACAATAGACTTGGCAGGTGCTCTTTCCCCTGCAAGAAAGTTAAGTAACACATTTTAAGTCCCACAAAGCACCTGCCTTGGCCTCCAAAAGTGCTGGGATTACAGGTGTGAAATGGGTGTTTTCAATGGAAGAGAACAGACTAGTCAATCCCTAGGATCCAGAGAGAGTAAATAAATAAGCCAATTAAATGTTTGATAAATAAATGAGTGAAAAAAATTCTTGTTGGATCCATTGATCAATGAGTATCTATTAAATACCAGCTATGAGCCTTACTATGATGAAACTAAAGAAAGGAAGATGACACCACTTTTTTTCCTTTTTAATTGAGTTTAATTTTATTATAGATTCAGCTGGGTGCAGTGGCTCACACCTGTAATCCCAGCACTTTGGGAGGCCAAGGCGGATGGATCACAAGGTCAGGAGATCGAGACCATCCTGGCCAACATGGTGAAATCCCATCTCTACTAAAATATAAAAAATTAGCTGGGAGTGGTGGTGCACACCCGTAGTTCCAGCTACTCGGGCGGCTGAGGCAGGAGAATCACTTGAACCTGGGAGGCAGAGATTGCAGTGAGCCAAGATTGCACCACTGCACTCCAGACTGGCAACAGAGCAAGACTCCATCTCAAAAAAAAATTTATTATAGATTCAGGGGGTATATGTGCATAGGTGGATTGCACACTGGTGGGACTGGGCTTCCAGTGTGCTCATTACTAAGAGTGAACATGGTACCCAATGGGCACTTTTTAATCCCTTGCCCTTCTGCACCCTCTCTACTTTTGGAGTCCCCAGAGTCTGTTATTTCCATCTTTATATCTATGTGTACCCACTGTTTAGTTCCCATGTATAAGTGAGAACATTCAGCATATGGTTTTTGTTTCTGAGTTAGTTCACTTAGGATAATGGTCTCTAGCTCCACTCATTTTGCATCAAAGTACGTGATTTCATTCTTTTTATGGCTGCATAGTATTCCACAGTGTATATGCACCACATTTTCTTTATTCAATCAACCACTGATGGACACTTATGTTGCTTTGATGACTTAGCTATTGTGAATATTGCTGTGATGAGCATAGGAGTATAAGACATTAAATCTTTTCTTAAAGAATATACAATTAGTTGCACAAAGAAGAGAAATATCTATTAAACACCAGAAAGCAGGATAGACTACTATGGAACTAAGTGCTTTGTAGAGACGTTTATTGCTGGGTGGAATTCACTGGAAATGGCTCCGTGGAAGTCATGCCAGTTACCCTAAACCAGGCTACAATGGGTAGCTCTTGGAAAGCAGAGAAAAGCTGGGACAGATTTCAAAGAGAATGCCATAGTTTGGATGTTTGCCCCTCCAAATCTCATGTTGAAATGTGATCGCCAGTGTTGGAGTTGGGGCCTGGTGGGAGGTGTTTGGGTACAGGAGGCAGATCCTTCATGAATGGTTGTGTGCCCTCACTATGGTAATAAGTTACCATGAAATCTGATTGTTAAAAAGAGTTTGGGACCACCCCCATCTCTCTCCCGCTTCCTCTCCAGCCATGCGACACACCTGCTCCCCTTTCACCTTACCCCATGAGTGAAAGCCTCCTGAAGTCTTGCCAGAAGCCAAGCAGAAGCTGGCACCATGCTTATACAGCCTGCAGAACTGGGACCCAAATACACCTCTTTCCTTGATCAATTATCCAGTCTCAGGTATTCCTTTATAGTAATGCAAAGTGTGTCTGGACTAACACAGACAATAAATGCCTAAGCTTGTGCACATGCCCATGAAAACCTGAAATGGCCGGAAGGATTTGGACTGGAAGGTGGTGAAAATTCCACTGATGAAGCCAGGAAAAATGTCCATTGATCACATGGAATCAAAGAATTTCTGGATTAGAAAAAACCTTGAAGGTCATCTACCAAACACTTGAATCCTTTCTACAGCTTAGCCTCCTACCATCTCACTTCCTGTTTCCTATGCATAAGAAACAACAATTTGTGTCCATCAATGGATGATTGGATAAAGAACCTGTGTTTTATATATATACATAATGGAATACTATTCATCCATAAAACACAGCAAAATTATGTCTTTTGCAGCAAGATAGATAGAACTAGAGGCCACTATTTCATGCAAAACAACTCAGAAACACAAACACAAATGTCACATGTCCTCACTTATAAGTGGGAGCTAAATAAATGTATATACATGTAAAAGGAGTGTGGAATTATAGATATTGGAAACTCTGAAAGGTGGGAGGGTGAGTGGGGGCTGAGGGATGAGAAATTGCTTAATAGGTACAATGTACATTACTTGGGTGATGGACACACTAAAAGCCAAGACTTTATTACTATGCAATATATGCATGTAACAAAATTGCACTTGGACCCCTTCATTGTATACCAAAATCACAGAAACAAAAACAAAAAACCCTAGAGGAAGTCTCAGTCAAAAGACCTGGAGTAAACCCAAGGTACTGATAACCTCAGAAAAGCAAATTACAAATTAAATATAGGAATCACGTCTCCCAACCTCTTAATTTTACAAGGCAGCAAATTGGATTCAGACAGGTAGAAGGCTTTCCAAAGGTCACACAGCTTGCCAGAGCTCCTTACCGGACACTCTGCCTCCCGACTCCCTGCCAGGTCACATAACACCTGGCCCAGGTCTCTACTGTGCCCAAGAATTCCCTGGCTCTGTTTTGCACCTAACTGGATTTTTCATCACCATGGATGAAAAATGTTAATAACATTTTCTCTCCAAACATCCTTTCTCCAAGGAATAATAGATCAAGGAAAGAGAAAGGTTTGCTGTCATGGAGGGACATTATCATTTTTATACAAATGCTAAAACACTTCTGAGCTCTCAGCCTGAACTAAGCTACCTTAATCTTACCTGTGTCTCACACCTGGGGAAACTTGGTTTAGCAAAAGGAGTCGAATCCGTTTCAAGTGTTCTATCTTAAGCCTCTCAGTTCGCACTCAGTTTGTTTTATCACAGAGTCACAGGAATCAAAGGCCTTCACTGCAGTTTAGGCAGCTTGCCAATACCTGTTTTATAGCAATAAAATATGTACAAATTAAAGAATCTCATGTGGAAAATTCATTCAACAGCCTCAAAAGCCAAATGAATGGTATTGACTTTGAACACAATGTGGCGGCAATCAAACTGGATTGGATCATGCTTTTCAATGTATGTCTACATTTTAAGAAGGAAGATAATTACGAATTATGAAAATAACTAACAGAGACAATGGCACAGCAAAGCTGTTGTTTATGAAACATGAAAGGGACATTTTCAGAGGAGTAGGGGGAATGAGTCGTTCTCAGCACCTGCCAGGGAATAGTGAATATGAGACAGAGACAAAGTACAAGTCTGGCATCGGCTTCTCTCCCTAGTCATTTCACATGGGGATTCGTGCTACTGAGCTTGTATTTGAAGAGGTTGATGTGGAGGTTAGGGGGTGGGGGGCGAGGTTTCCAGCTCTGTGTCCCACACAGTATGGGATTAAATATGCATTAATCACCCTCTACATCACAATTCTCTAATAGAACCAGGCAATACCTAGGTACATGGATGAAAATGTTCTCTGGATGATCAGTTGCCAAGCTCTCTTTCTCTAAATGAAATTATTCTGTAAAACATCTCTTGCAACATGGGGTCTGTGAAACAGGGTTTCTTTTGCCAGTTTTCCTATCAGATGTGAGACCCTGGGGAAGCCATTCAACCTATCTGTTCCTCTATTTCCCCAACTTGAAGGTTAGGGAGGCTGGGCATGGTGTCTCATGCCTGTAATACCAGTACTTTAGGAGGCCAAAGCAGGAGGATCACTTGAGGCCAGGAGTTTGAGGCCAGGAGTTTGAGATCAGCCTGGGCAACATAGTGAGACCCCATTGCTACAAATAAATTTCTAAAATTAGCCAGGTGTGGTGGTGTACACCTATAGTCCCAGCTATGTGGGAGGCTGAGGTGGGAGGATCATTTGAGCCCAGGGGTTTGAGGCTACAATCAGCTATGATCCTGTCGCTGCAATCAGCTATAATCCTATCACTGCACTCCAGCCTGTGCAACACAGTGAGCCCCTGTCTCAATCAAAGAAAAGAAAAAGAAAGTTATGGGATTGGCTAACAAATCTCCAACATGTTGTGTGTCTGTGCTACAATGCACATGGTGTCCCTTGGAGATGTGAATGTGGAGGCCATGTAGACACTTGGGGGAACAGCACCTTGGGGGGAGTAGGCAGCATGATTTTAGAACATAAGCATGTCTAGGGTGTTTGGGGAGCAGCAATGAGGCCAGGGTTGCTGAAGTGAGAGAAGGAAAGAACAGGACATGAGACTAGAGTTAAATGGGGGCCTGATCATGTTGAGCCTTGAAAACTGCTGTGTGTCGCTTTTTACCCTGAGAACAATGGAAGTTTGGTGGGATTGTGAGTTGAGGAATTGTGTGATCTGACTTAGCATTTTACCGGGGTTCCCTCTGATCTGTGGGGTAAGAATACACTGAAAGGGACTGAGGGTAGAATCACAGAGATCGGTTAGGTGGCTGTGATAATCCAGGTAAGAAATGACAGTGGCTGGTTACCAGAATAAGAGCTCTGGAGGTGATGATAAATTGTCAAATTTTGGATTTGTGGGGGAAGGTTGTAGGGGACATTCAGCAGAATGTGGTGCTGCTAATCCTCCCTACCAGCCTTTCATATAACTGAGAATCCCGATGACCTCAAAGACAAATATAATCTTCCATCGTAACACATGTTGGTGACACTGTTCCCAGCTCATGGCTCTGACATCTTCCATTTGCATTTTTAATTTTCCAATAAAGCTTCAAGTACATATATATTACTCGGGTTCAGTTGCAGTATTTGTGAACTTCTCTCTGAATAACAAGTCCTTATGGTCAGACAAAAAATGGCGTATCACAGGCTTTTCCTGAAACAATGCAAAAGTGACTTTTTTTTTCCAAATACCTACCAGCTTAGGCTGAGTTCTCTCAAAAAGCAGAAACTCAGACAAGGGCTTATTCTGGGCAGTTTATTTTGGGAAGTCATCCCAGGGAACAGGAAAGGAGATCTTGGAAAAGGGACATGGAGAAGGAAGTTATGTCAGCCAGTGCATTCCAGAAAAAGAAAATTAGTCAATCAATCAATCTATCTATCTATCTATCCATAAAACATTAGATCTGTCTACATCTATCTATAAAATATTAAGAGATTTATTTTAAGGATAGGCTCATGCAATGATAGGAACTGGCAAGTCTGAAATCCACAGGACAGGCCAGCAGCCTGGACACTCAAGGGTGAACAGATGCTGCGGCCTCGAGACAGTATTTCTTCTTCTTTGAGAAATCTCAGTTCTAACTCTTAAGGTCTTTCAAATGATGGGATGAGGCCCTGCTGTTACAGGAAAGGGGTCTCGATCCAGACCCCAAGAGAGGGTTCTTGGATGTCACACAAGAAAGAATTCAGGGTGAGTCCATAGAGTAAAGTGAAGGCAAGTTTATTAGGAAAGGAAAATAGTAAAGAATGGCTACTTCATAAACAGAGCAGCCCCGAGGGCCATGGGTTGCCCATTTTTATGATTATTTCTTGATGATATGCTAAACAAGGGGTGGATTATTCATGCTTCCCCTTTTATACCATATAGGGTAACTTCGTGATGTTACCATGGCATTTGTAAACCATCATGGTGCTGGTGGGAGTGTAGTAGTGAGGGTGACCAGAGGTCACTCTTGTGGCCATCTTGGTTTTGGTGAGTTTTGGCTGGCTTCTTTACTGCAACCTGTTTTATCAGCAAGGCCTGTATCTTGTGCTGACCTCCTGTCTCATCCTGTGACTTCGAAGGCCTTAACCATCTGGGAATGCAGCCCAGTAGGTCTCAGCCTCATTTTACCCAGCTCCTATTTAAGACGCAGTTGCTCTGGTTTAAACACCTCTGACACAGCCACATTACTAAGGGTAATCCCCCTTACTTAAATAGAAGTGGTTATGGATGTTAACCACGTCTTAAAAATACCTTCACAGCAACATCTAGATTCCTCTTTGATTAAATAGCTGGGTGCAACAGCCTACCCAAGTTGACACATCAAACTCACAGACATAGAAAGTGTAGCCAAATATTTGCAAAAATGGTTGCCATTATTCACTTCACTGTGTATAAGTTCATCTGCAATGCAGCCTTGTGGCTCCTTTCATCCAGAGATAGAGTATATTTGAATCTGGGCTAACCTTGTGATTTTCTGGGACAAATAGAATGGATCAGGAGTGACATTGTTTCAGTTTCAGCCTAGACATCAACAGGATTTGCACGCTTCCTTTTGCTGCAACCTACAATGTGAAGAAGCCCAGGCTAGCCTGATGAAGAACAAGAAACCACAATGACATCCCAGCAGGGGCTGCCCTAGCCTATCCTGTACCCATCTGACTCAGCACCTGCCCACAGAATGCATGAGCCAGCCCAGCTGAGATCAGCTAATTCTGGAATAGATAAGCAGAACGCCCATCTGATCCACACATTTATGAGCCAAATAAATGGTTGTTGTCTTAAGCAACTAAGATCTGGAATGGTTTGTTATACAACAAAAGCTATCTAATACAGAAGCAAAATCAATACAAGGGTGATTTATCAAGCTAGTCACTGCTAAGGGAAATTGGGGCTGGGCTATGAACTTTAGGACTGGTAACCTGAGAGTCAGAAAAGCATTAATTCACTGGTCCACTTCTTAGTTGGTTAAGGATTGCCCCATGGGGTGTTAATGTTTTCAAACCTCCAGAATATGCACACATAAGTGTCCACAGGATTCCTCTATGGGTCCCATGCTGCAACATCAAAGAAGCTCTTGATGCAAAAGCAAGACCCCTGCAGTGCACCTGACTCAAGGTACTGTCAGTTTATATACGGACAAATGAGGCAGAAGATGAACTAAGGGTATGTAAACTGGGGCACAGTGTATTCCCAGTATAGTTGCATGACTACAAACTGCTCAAGCTCACCACTAACTTCAGTCTGTCTCAGACCTTTATAAGGTGGCAGACAGCTGGCAGCAATCTTTAATATAGTGGGTTAATGGACTAAGCTACAATTCCTGCTATTGCAACTGGTCTTGAGAGTGCAATAGATCTATCTCTTCAATCGACCATTCTTTTAAACACTCTTCACTTCGGCCAGCACCTTAGTAAGTCTGGAATACTTACTACAAGATCTTTTTGTGCAAGGGGTCTGAAACCTTCTTTGCTTTGCTCTTCCTGAACCGGGTTTGCTGCACTTGCCATCTCCAGCTATCTCTGAGCATAGAAGCACCAAGAAGAATCTTATTGCTCATTTTCTGCTCACTAATGTGTAGCCATAGCCTCATTTTCTCATGGTAATCAGGAAAGTATTAATACAATATTTCTTCTAAAATTGATTTTTTTTTGCCTCTTGGTCCACACAAATGAAGAATCCAACATGCCCAGGTGATAGCTGTGGTTTCAAGATTAGTGGAATTCTTACTGTGACCCCTAGGGGAAGAATTTCCTCCTTAGAAACCAGAACTTCTTTTCCATCAGGGACTAAAGTTTTGGGAAGAAGAGTCATAAATATTTTAAATGCGTCATGAAGAGTGATAGTGAGAGGATCCAAACCCACTTTCACTGCTTGGTTCCTGGCCCCAGGCATTGGAGTTTCTTGGGGACACCATAGATTGGCTTCACTGCATATACTGCATCCTGGAGGACAAGTCTCCAACACAACAGGATTTTCTTCCCTTGAGCCGGCACCTTCACCAAGACTTTAGCAGATCATTTACATATTGTACTGGAGTGGCTGCTTCAGGGTGATGTCATTTATGATAGAAGCAGTGGATCCCATGGTCATGCACGCTTTGTCACAATTCCAAAAAAATCCTAGGTTGGTGCAAAAATAATTGCGGTTTTTGCCATTAAAAGTAGTGACCCATGTACTGCATGTGAGTCAAGGTACTGTCAATTTATACATTGGCAAATCAGACAAAAGATAAAATAAGGGAATGTAAAGTGCGGCACATGGAATACTTTAAAAGTAATGGCAAAAACGGGAATTACCTTTGCTCCAACCTAATGGATCTCTTGATTTGAAGCAATGTGGTTGGTAATTCCGTATCAGTAAATCAGGCATTCCTTCACCCTTGTATGGTAGTGCCAGCAGAGGCACCAAGGCCAGGGAAGACAGACCATGTTGGGAATAGGTAATAATTCAAATAAACGCAAAATGCTTTCATCTCTAGGTTGAAGGAAGATCAGTTTAATCAACTTGCCACCTAATAACTAGAGGAGTTTCTCACAGATGGCACTGTAATACATGCTCAGAGCCAATCTTTGCTGCTAGCAAGCTAAATATTCAGCAATAGCAACAACTAGATCAATCTCAGACCATGTGTAATGTGCCCCATGACCAACTCTTTAGTCAATTGTATAAGCGCCAATGTAGCCTAAGACAGAGAATGACTAACACCCATCATCGCTGAGTCATCCCATCCATCTGGTCACTAACCAACCACTGTGGGGAAGATGTTCTCTAGCGAGCATTACAATGAGTCATGGACTGGGTGCAGTGGCTCACGCGCATAATCCCAGCACTTTGGGAGGCTGAGGCAGGCAGATCACAAGGTCAGGAGTTTGAGACCAGCCTGGCCAATATGGTGAAAGCTCATCTCTACTAAAAATACAAAAAAATTAGCTGGGCGCGGTGGCGCATGACTGTAATCCCAGCTACTCAGAAGGCTGAGGCAGGAGAATTGCTTGAACCCAGGAGATGGAGGTTGCAGTGAGCCAAGATTGTGCCACTGCACTCCAGCCTGGGCGACAGAGCGAGACTCTGTCTGGGTCAGAGTGGTGTTTTCCCAAGCACTATATGCTACCTAATATTAAGTAATACTAAGTATATTAACCTATCTGTGAGCCACGTCTGACTGTCTTATCTGTAAGCTGATCGGATGGAATATCCATCATGCCCTAAGTATAAGCTCAAGGAGAGGTACTCAATATGGAAGTCTAGACCATCAGTTCATGCTTCCTATTTGTGCTTTCTGGCCTTGTTCTGATCCAACTCTAAATGAGCTATTTCCATCCACAATAAATTGTTGTGCCTACCCAAGCTTGTGACTCCAGTGTCTTTCATAATTTTTAGCTAATGATGGGAAACGTTTTTCTGAGGTCCTGTGGTTGTTCAGTCTCTACTAAGGCACGATAACATGTCTGGAGGTGATTTTTCTTTTTTATTCTTTTCTTTTTTTTTTTTTTTTGAGATGATGTCTCACTCTGTCATCCAGGCTGGAGTGCAGTGGCACGATCTCAGCTCACTGCAAGCTCCACCTCCCAGGTTCACGCCATTCCCCTGCCTCAGCCTCCCAAGTAGCTGGGACTACAGGTGCCCACCACCACGCCTGGCTAATTTTTTGTATTTTTAGTAGATACAGGGTTTCACTGTGTTAGCCAGGCTGGTCTTGATCTCCTGACCTCAGGTGATCCACTCACCTTGGCCTCCCAAAGTGCCGGGATTATAGGCATGAGCCACCATGCCTGGCCCACATAAAACTTTGGAAGCCTATAACCTTTTTCACTGTGGACACCTGTGTCCTTGACATGCACGAGTCTCTGAAGAATGGGAGCTTCCTGGTATAAGGCTCAGCCCCCAATCTGCCAGTGGTTCACTCTGCTGTCACTGACCATATGTCTTTTCTTGTTTCCCACCATATAAAAATAAGTCTACCCTAAACCTTCAGATAAGAATTACGCAGATACTCCCAGACAGGTACAAGGAAGAAGCTGAAGGAGGCTCTGGTACTACTCAACATTGTACTCCAGGTAGAACCACCTTCTCCTTTACCACCTTCCTGAGCTCCTACCAGGACTTCACCACCAATCCACAGTTCCTGGGCCAGTTATTTAGTAGGTGTCTCTCTCCTCCAAGACACAGTGGTGACTCTGCAAGCTACCAGGTGGGTGCTAAGGATATCACTGCAGCTCTCTGAGCCTGTCTATGCCTCAGAAAAGTGGGAAGATGAACTTCATAGAGTTCTTGTAGGGACTAAATGGCGTAAGATGCAGCAAGCAGATGCCGAGTGCCTGTCTCTGTACAAAAGCTGCTTAGGATGCTCTGGTTGCTTATATATCTTTTTTCTGTCTTTTTGCCCAAGAAGTTCTCTGTCTCATTGGCCTGTGTCCCTCAAAATTTGGAAGATGCACCTAGAAAGCAAAGCTATTTTTGCATTGGTAAGCCATATTTGGGATTCCTTCTAGCTGGATTTTGTCCTTGACACAGAATGAACAAACTTCCCAGGGTGCTGAAGAGGAGTCCCAACCCAACTCAGATATCTGAGGAGATTATTGTTGAGGTTTGTTTATTCAATACATACATTTTCAGCACAATGTGTAAAGTCAGTTTTCTAGATGTTTGGCATAACTCAGTGAACAAAGATGACAGTCCCTGGGCCTCTGCATGTTTACTGCTAATTATGGAACTTCTATTACACAGCGAGCACTGCCCTGTGTGTGTTCATTTATGTGCCAAAACAACCTCATAATGTATGAAGCCTTCTATTGTTTACATAAACAAATTGGCTCAATAAACTTGACTATGTCCATTACAAAAAGAAGAATCACGAAAGAAAAAGTGGCTTAAATGGAGTTCTCCAATTAAAAGAGAAAGGATGGAATGTAACTTAAAACACTCACTGTAGAAACACCAACATCTAACAGTTATTTTCTGAGCACGATTAAATTTCATAAAAGTCATTCTTATAATCACAGAGGACATCATAAAAAGAATACTTCATGAACCTTGGAATGAGAAAATTATATACTAGGTCCAGCATAAGAGATGGAAAAGAAAAAAAACAGAGGACTTCCATGGAGATTCTGAGCCAAGGGGCCATAAGATTTTAGATAAATGAATTTAGTACAAAGCAGAGAAAATATATTTGTTTTCAGAATCTTTGAGGTTTTGATCTGCCTAGTAAATTATCAACACTTTTAAAAATTATCTGCATTGATCTAAAGTTTGTCTTTTTTGTAAAAATAGGCACACACTCACACACAAGCATAGTTACATTCACCACAAATCTCTTCCACCTGAAGTTTACCTATAAAGTGATATATTTGTATATGTAAACCCTTGTAAATCAAAACTAAAAATCTGTGTTTTGCAGATTAGAGTGAGCATATTCAGAAAAAATGTCAAATAAAAATTTTGAAATAGTCATTCAGAATTCAGAAATATGTGAAAATGCTTTATCATACTCATGCAATCTGTATTATAACCATAATAATGATCCTGTAGTTACAAAAAGAAAAAAAAATGAAAGTATTACCTCTAGTAACAACATTCCACTGGGAAAAGGGATTACAAAATATGTCTTTGTACTATGTTATCCTCTACTATGCTATCCAATAGTATATTGTTACCATCAGTTATCTACAACATGCGATAAGGTGGGATAGGTTAACGTTGGTGGCAGGATGCATTTCATTCAATGGAAAACAGTCTTAACACATTAAAAACAATTTTATTCCATTAAAATAAATTAAGTTCAAACATTATCTCAAAAAGTACTTTAAACTCCACTGCATTTCATTATTTTAATGTGTAACTGGTAAAATAATTTACTTCTAAGATTCAAAATGCTTCTCTTATACTACAATGCAGAATAACATTACCCTGAACACCTACCTCAAGAATCACAACACTATTATAACCGTCCTCTCCACTTAGATTTTCTTCATGAGTCGTACGTTTAAATGTCCTTAGTGTTCCACGGAAAAGTGTATTAATGGTGCTCACCTAATAGAGAAAGTTGTCTCAGAGCTCTGATGCAGAAACCATTGACCACATGCTTTCACATAAGCACTAGAAATGAAGATATAACATCAAGAAATTTGTGTTTAATTTGCATAAATATTTGCTTTTCAAAACAACTAAAATTATTTCAATTCCAAAAAGTATCATTGTAATTATATCTGTCCAAAGAGAAAATCAATATCCTTCTCCATTTAAACTTACATACAAGTAAGCAACCTATTTTAAATTATTCTCTATAATCAACATGATTAGAGTAATGCCTCAAAACGTTATTGCCTTAGTCCTTTCTACTGTCAATCTATGACATTTACTTTGGCTTGATTTCTACTTTACTTTTTCACATTATTTAAATCTGTATAATATGTTATAGTAGAAACTCTCCAGTGTTTTATGAGGTATATGTATGGAACAAAAGTTTTTCCACATTAATTACATCCATAGAGTTTCTCCTCAATATAAAGTTTGAGGAACTCCTGGAGAGTTTCCCTTCGGTATAAATTCTTCAGTGTACAATAAAATCTGTGATATAAGTAAGGTATTGGGACTTTCTTTATATTTGTAATGTTTTTCTTCAGTAAAATAATCTTGTGCATTTTAAGGGTTATATTTTGTGAAAGATCTTTCAACAGTCATTATATTTATACCAATTTTATTTAGTATGAAATCAACAATGTAGATTGTGATGTCAGCATTCATTAATGGTTTTGCCACATTCTTTAACTTGGTAGGATTTCTCTCCAGAATGAATTCACTTACAGTAAAAGTTGAGCACAAATTACAACCTTTGCTACATTCCCTACAATGGTAGGGGTTCTCAATCATGTGAATTATCTTATATTCAGTAAGGATTGAGCATTGATCAAAGACTTACCACATTCTTCACATTTCTAGGGTTTCTCTCCAGTGTGAATTCTCTTATGTTTAGTAAGGTTTGAGAAGCAGTTAAAGGCTTTGCCACATTTTTCACACTTATAGGGTTCCTCTCCAGTATGAATTCTCTTGTGTCCAATAAGATGTGAGCTCTGGTTAAAGGTTTTGCCACATTCTTCACATTTGTAGCATTTCCCTTCAGTATGAGTTCTCTTATGTTTAGTAAGGCTTGAGCCATGCATAAAAGCTATTCCACACTCTTCACCATTGTAGGATTTCTCTCCAGTATGAATTCTGTTATGTCCAATAAGATGTGAGCGCTGGTTAAAGGCTTTGCCACATTCTTCACATTTGTAGGGTTTCCCTACAGTAAGAATTCTCTTATTTTGAATAAGGTTTGAGAACCAGTTAAAGGCTTTGCCACATTCCTCACATTTCTATGGTTTCTCTCCTGCATGAATTCCCCTATGTTGAGTAAGGATTAAGCACCAGTTAAAAGCTTTCCCACATTCATGACATTGAATGATTTTGCTAAGAGTAGTTGATAAACATTGGTTAAGTCCATTACAACTTTTTTTCTGTCCCTTACACTCACCCACACTTTTCCAGTCTTTTCTTATGTTTAAATTTTCAGTGCCAAACTTTCATATCTTCTCATTATCACTTTTGGGAATAAATGTTTTATGCTTTGCTCAGGCAAAAGGTCTGGAGTAAGATGAGAGGACACAGCTAAAAGAAATAAAAATAAATAAAGAAAAATAAATAAAGAAAAATAAACTTATTAGACTCAGGTGAATATACTTTACAAATACAAAATATAAAATTATACCAAGCACAATAAGATGGCATAATACCACAAGTCCAAACTCCTTCATAGACATGTAAACTTAACAAAAATATATTGGACAAAATGCCTTTGTAAAATCTCTAAAAACCGGTTAAGAGATTGCAGTGCCACAGATGAGAACGATGCAAAAAGCCACATAGAAGACAAAAGAACATTTGTTACATTTACCCACCACAGCCACACCTCCTCCCTAATATAAAATAATGCCTTTAAGTGTAAACTCTCAACTCCTGGCTTCTCTCTCAAAAGTGAAAAAAAGTGGCACATGTGTCCATACTTCTGGCTTTGAGGGATCTTTCCAAAGACTGGTTTCTGTCTACTGTGACACAGAGTGCTGAAAGAAATGGTGCTATACTTTGAATGACAGGTGAGTGTCTGTGAGACACAAGGTAAATGATTGTTACAGCAGCAGAGAGACTGTAGGACCACAGAGAAACAGCAGGTGTACCAACTAATTACAGGCTCTTCAGCAGAAACATGGGCAAATCCACATAACTCAATAAAGGGAACAAAAATCTAGGGAAGAGACATCTTAAGAACAGGTTTGAGAAATTCTCAATATCTAGCTCGGTAAAGTGATGTCAGACACTGCAGGGAAGTAAGCCCCTTTATACAGACTGTGACAGCTGACTTTTTTTAATGTACATATCTCAACCAAATGTTACAATATATATAAAGTGTCAGACTAACATGATCCAATCAAAGAAACAAGTGTGCAGAAATCAACCCTAAAGAAATAAGGATGTATAAATTGCCTTAGAAAAATCAAAAGAACCATCTCAATTATGCTCAATGTGTAAAATGGGAACCAAGAAAACTAACTGTAATCAGGAAAATAAGAATATCAATAAAATGACAAAAAGAAACAAATTTTAGAGCAGAAGTATACAAAAAAATGACTGACAAATTATCCAGTGTAAGAAAAAAAAATACTAAACCTGAAGCTCAACAAACTTCAACTTGGATAAAGAGACTCATAACAAGACACAATATAAGCAAAGTCTTGAAAGTCACAGAAAAGAAGATAATCTTGAATGCAGAAAGTCAAGAGATGTATCATCTGTATGCATGCTCCTGCAAGATTACCAGTGAATTTTTGAACAAAAACCCTGCAGACAAGAGGGGAGTTGGGTTATATAGTCCATGTGCTGAAGGAACAAAACGTTTTAGCAAAATTGTCCTACAAAATTTTTAAAAATAAAGATTTCCCAAGATAACTAAATGCTGAGAAAGTACCTCACCAGTATAACTGTCCTACCAGAAATGCAAGAAGAAGTCTTTCCCATTGAAAATTTAGAATGATAGAAAAAAAACAAATCAGATAAAAATACACAACTCACTGGGAAAGATATGCACATACATAAAAATAATACTTTGTAGTATGATAAAAATTAGGCAGAAAACAATTGTGCTTTAAAATTTGAAAGACATCATGAAAATTAAAACACCCATTAATATATGATATACTTAGTGACATTATAATTTGAGGGCAGATGTAATGAGCAAGAATGTTTATATGCAACTGAGTGCAAGTTGTTACCAGTTTAAAATATACAGTTGTAGCTTTAAGAGATTTTATGTAATTTACATGGGAACCATAAAGAAAATGCAGATACACAATAGAAAATAAAAAAGCAAAGCATGTCACTGCAAATATCAACAAGACACAAAGGAATACAAAGTAAATAGGGACAAAATAGCTACAACAGTCAAATAAAACAATAAAATGGTAATTGCAAGTCATTTCCTTTTAGAAAAGTATTAAAATATTCATGGAGTAAACTTCCCAATCAAAAGGCAAATATTAAATAAAGGGATTTTTTTTAATTTAGAGAACAAAATTCACCTATGTCATGTCTCCATGTCTCCTCACCTCAGATCTAATGATGAAAATAGACTGAAAGCTACAGGATGGAAAAAGACATTCCATGCAAGTGTTAACCAAATGAGAGATGCAGAACTAATTATATTAAGTCAAAAGCTGTCATATTTTATAAAATATAGTTTAAGTCAAAACTCACAAGAGACAACCAAGGACATTATATTATAATAAAATGGTTCATTCACTGGGAACCTATTTATATCTCCTATCAGGGTTCCCAAATATATAAAGCAAGCATTGACACAAATGAAGTAATATAACAAGGGGAGAGTACTTCAATACTTTCAGTAATGAATAATAAAGCATGACAGAACATTAATAAGGGAACAAAGAACTTGAAAACAATGTAAAGCAATTACACCTAAAACACATATACAGGACATGCCACACAACAGCAGAATCCACAATCTTTTCAATAGCTCATAAGAAAATTCTGGATACAACACCCGTTATCTCACAAAACAAGTCTTAATCTGTTTTTTAAACTTGAATCTTACACACTATTATTTTTGGCCAAATTGAATGAAACTAAAAATCACTTACAGAAAGAAAACCAAAAAAAAATCACAAAATATGAAAATTAAACAATACACTCTTAAGCATGCTCTTGTTCAAAGGCTGGAAGACTTCATACTGTGAAGAGGGCCAAACTGACCAAATTGATCTATCTACACATTCAATACGATCCCTTTCAAATTCCAAATTTCACTTTTCCAAAAATAGGAAAACAACTCCCAAATCATATGGAATATCAAGAAACCACAAAGAGACTGACCATTTAAAAAAGGAAAACAATATTGGAGACATTGTGCTTAATGATTTCAGAATACAAAATGAGGGTAGGGTAATCAAAGCACTTTGGTACTGGCATAAAAGTAAAACCCTACACCAACAAAACAGAATACAGCACAGATAAAAACTCTCACATGTATGGTTAAATGAGTTATTAACACCATTTACTGTGGCATTATTCACAAAAGCCAATAGGTAAAAGCAACCCAAATTTCCCTCACCAAATGAATGGATAAATATAATTTGGAATATAAAAATAATGGAATGTAACTCAGTTTTAAAAAAAAAAGACATCTTCTAACATCTACCATAAACATAAATCTTGATGACTTTATGTTAAATTTAACGAGCCAGTCGAAAAAAGAAAAATACTGTATGAATCTGCTTATATGGGATATCTAAAGTAGTTACACTATTAAAAAGAGAAAATAGAATAATGTTTGGAGAAAGACAGACAATGGGAAGTAGGATTCACATGGATTGTGTATTAGTTTCACAAGATAAAAACATTCTAGGCTGGGCACGGTGGCTCACGCCTGTAATCCCAGCACTTTGGGAGGCCAAGGCAGGCAGATCACGTGAGGTTGGGAATTCAATACCAGCCTGACCAACGTGGTAAAATCCCGTCTCTACGAAAAATACAAAAAATTAGCCAGGCATGGTGGCACATTCCTGTAATCCCAACTACTCAGGAGGATGAGCCAGGAGAATTATCTGAAAAAAAATCAAAATAACCACCGCAATTATGCTCAATATGTAACATGGGAACACAGACAACTAAGTGTAATAAGGAAAATAAGAACTGGGGAGATTGCAGTGAGCCAAGATTGCACCACTGCACTCCAGCCTGGGTGACAGAATGAGACTCTGTCTCAATGAAATAACATAAAAATAGAAAACTTTCTACAGATATATTGCTAACGGTGTCAATATATGTAACATAAACTAAACTACATAATTTGAAGTGTTAAGATTGTACATTTTGGTGTGTATTTTGACAATAAAAATAAATAAAATTACAATAGATAGAGTTATGAAGCTTTTCAAAACTTACCTCCAAATCACAAAATGTTTCTCACACAAGATCATACATATTCACCAATAAACAGGTGTGGAAAGTAAGACAATTTCCATGACTACTCACTGACGCAGAGAAAATAACCATCTATCACCAACCAAAATAACAATTATATACAAATTATTTTTAAAATGTGGGTAATATTTATACAGGCAAACAAACATAAAAATAATTATGGTGGCAATAGACGTATGGCTGGTTCATATTTGACTTTTGCTGTACACTGGCTTAAAGTGTATGAAGTTGAATATTGTCATACAGAATTATAATATATAAATCAAAACAAAAACACAATTAAGTAAAATGAGGTAGCCTATCCTAAACCATGAGATATCGACATATAAAGTTGCAAAACAAAAATTTAAAAACATATTAACCTAAAAAGTCTTGAATAAACATAGTTCACTACTGAATCCTTCTAGATACCTAAAATTTTCAACTATGACTGGGCATCCATAAAGAGGAAATATTTGATTTCATTAAAATGTCATCTTTTAGGTTCAAGGGTTACATGTGCAGGGTTTTTACATGGGTGTATAGTGTGATGTTGAGGTTTGGGGTAGGTGAGCATAGTACCCAGCAGGTAGATTTTCAACCCTTGGCCCACTCCCTCTCCCCTCCCCGTGGTCTCCAGTGTCTGCTGTTCCCATCTTTATGTGGCATGATCACTGCTTACTGCAGCCTTGACCTCCCAGGTTCAAGTGATCCTCCTGCCTCAGCCTCCTGAGTAGCAGGGACTGCAGGCATGCACCACCACATACAGCTAATTTTTGTACTTTTAGTAGAGACTGGGTTTCAATACATTGTCCAGGTTTGCCTCTAACTCCTGGGCTCAAGTAATCCACTTGCCTAAGCTTCCCAAATTGCTGGGATTACACGTGTGAGCCACTGCACCTGGCAGAAATGTTTTAATCTGAGGAATGTGAACTACCTCTAAGTTATTAAGCCCATGCAGGCACAGAAATTAGGCAGCAGTTATGTCTCACTTCCCCCCTTGAGCTATGTAATCATTTTGTGAAGCTGCCTGCTCTGCGGAATCTGGACTGACTGATGCAGCAAGTGGCTAGAAATTAACCTAAAATTCCACATGCTGGACAACAAAACCCACACCCTATAGTTCAACGATGTATATTCAATCACTATCAGTGTTATTTCTTGTGCAGTTTATGAGCATCATTCCTCAAAGTGTCACCCAAGAGCTGTGAATCATGGGCCAACCCTTTTGTGTACCAGTGCATAGGTAAACCAGTGTGAATTCCTGACAATATTGTATCAGCCCACTTTCTATTCTTTTGTCTTTATAAACCTTGTAACAAAGGGCAAATGTGGTTCCTATTTGAGGTTACTTCAGTCTGAGTCTCCCAAGCAGCCGTCCTCACCATGGCCTCAAATAAATTCTTTAAAATTATATTTTGTGGCTGGGCGCGGTTGGCTCACGCTTCTAATCCCAGCACTTTGGGAGGCCTAGGTGTGCAGATCTCCTGAGGCCAGGAGTTCAAGACAAGCCTGGCCAACATGATGAAACCCCTTCTCTACTAAAAATACAAAAACTAGCTAGGCATGGTGGTGGGTGCCTGTAATCCCAGCTACTCAAGAGGCTGAGGCGGGATAATTGCTTGAACCCAGAAGGTGGAGATTGCAGTGAGCTGAGATCATGCCACTGCACTCCAGCCTGGGCAACAAGAGTGAACCTCTCTCTCAAAAAAAATTATATTTTGTGCCTTAGCTTTTTTCGTTAGGTCAATATTTCTAGTGTGGTGAGCAGGACTGCAGGTTTCAGAGACTCTCTTCCCACCCCTCAACCAACCAACACTCCTGGACTCGGTGCCTGGCTGACCAGAACCTCTTGCGTTCCTCTGGCTCCAAGTACACTGTTGAGTGTAACGGGCGAGTCCTCCTGAATTTAGACCTCCTTACTGGTTGGTGAGGCCTAGACTTTACTTGAGTTATTCTTTTCAACCCTCCCTTTCTAGAAAAGATGTTTCCATCTCCAGCCACAGGCAGGAGATTCAGGTTTCGGAATTTAAAAGAAAGAAAGAAAGAAAAGAAAACTTCTTTCTCTGTCTCAGGATAGGAGGTCTGGGGTATGATGCTGGCAGTCTAACACTGATGGTTTCACTTTTTTTTTTGTGATAGAGTCTCACTCTGTCACCCAGGCTGGAGTGCCATGGCATGGTATTGTCTCACCACAACCTCTGCCTCCCAGGTTCAAGCGATTCTCCTGCCTCAGCCTCCCGAGTAGCTGGGATTACAAGCATGTGCCACCACATCTAGCTTATTTTTGTATTTTTAGTAAAGATGGGGTTTCACCACGCTGGCCATGCTGGTCTCAAACTCCTGACCTTAGGTGATCCACCCACCATGGCCTCCTAGAGTGCTGGGATTACAGGCGTGAGCCACCGAGCCCAGCTGATTTTTTTTTTAAGACTGCTCTTCTTTCACTCCCTCAAGGAAATCCTTAAGCTCAAACAGCCTGTTGGACTTTGCAGCAAAATTTATAATAGATCACTTGGAGACTTACCATGTCTTTGGAGTACTCATTTGTAACCTTTTCTAACCCCATAAACAGTGTTTGTTTTCCCATTTTACTGACTGTCTCTTTTAGTCTTCTGTCTTGCCTTTGTGGGTAGATGGTCAGCTGAGAAGCAAAGACCCTAGAAGATAGGGCCTGCAGACATGATTGCACCGCATTTGATTATGAATGAGCTAAAACTTTCTGCTCTCTTTGGAGACCCTGGTTAAAGCCATAAAAGACTTTTTAGTTTTGGTCTCATGTGTGTTTATTTGTGTTGGTTTTCAGTCACTTATTCAGGTATACTTTTGATTTAAATTTAGGGTTTAGATTTATAGTGTAATAGCACCCCTTTGCTCTGTCCTGTTAGCCTTCTCTCCTAAGCTAAATAAAAACATATACTCAGAAAGAAAGGAAACTGTTTATTAAAACATTTCAGAGACAAACAACTTTAAATAGTGGTTACCCTAGACCTCTTTAGTAAACAAATATGCCCCATCTCCAAAACTCCCTCTTGATGTAAATTTCAGACTGGAAAAGCCAATAAACAGTAATGTTTGCTATTTACCTGGTTAAAACCTGATTTTACAAAAATTAAGAGCTCTACAGGAAAAAGTTCACTTCAATAAAACTGATATTTAAGTTATATATGTATAAATACATTGATTTGAGGTGTTTTCTCTAACTGACCTCAAATCAATGTACGTATAACTTAAATATCAGTTTTAAATATCAGTTGCTTGGCAGTCAACTGAATTCCTCTCTTCTCAAACCCCTGCTACTATATGTGCTTCCCCTGTCTGTTCTTCCTCTTGTTGATATGACTTTTGCCAAGGATAATGTAAAAACTTCATTGGCCTTTTGGAAAACAAGATCTTCTCAAACTGCCTCCTCTAGGACTAATTCTTCCATTTACTTCTATCTGTCTCACTTCCCTCTTGCCACCTTTCACACCATGTGAGGGGACCTAAAGGAAACTTCTAGCAGCCTGGGAGCCCCTTGAAGAACACAGAAAAGGGTGGCCAGGCTGGGCACGGTCACTCACACGTATAATCCCACCACTTTGGGAGGCCAAGGCAGCTGGATCACCTGAGGTCAGGAGTTCAAGACCAGCTTGGCCAACATGGTGAAACCCCATCTCTACTAAAAATACAAAAATCAGCCGGGTGTGGTGGCATACACCTGTAATCCAAGCTACTCGGGAGGCTGAGGCAGGAGAATCACTTCAACCTGGGAGGCAGAGATTGCAGTGAGCCGAGATCAAGCCACTGCACTCCAGCCTGGGTGACAGAGTGAGAATCTGTCTCAAAAAAAAAAAAAAAGAAAAGAAAAGAAAAATAAAAAGCAAACAAAACAAAACAAAAAGGGAAACAGCCTGTTTCATCCACCGTTCATAAGGAAGCTCATACTCTGGACTAAACACAGGCCCAAGCTTAGTAACCACTCTGACCATGGAGATGGAGCCCAGGGTAGCTCACTTCTAGGTGGTGAGTGAGAGAAACCCAAGCAGCTGGGAAACTTATTTCTGGGAGCTCCACACTCCCTCCTGTTCCAGATGGAAAACCTCTCTCCTCCAGGGAAATGATTCTCACCAGTGGCCACACTCACCTGGAGTCAGTTTAAGGTTCTCACCTGTAATGTCTTTTTTCTTTTTCTTTCTTTTTCCTTCCTTCCTTCCTTCCTTCCTTCCTTCCTTCCTTCCTTCCTTCCTTCCTTCCTTCCTTCCTTTCTTTGTTTCTTTGTTTCTTTCTTCCTTTCTTTTTTTTTGAGACAGGGTTTCCCTGTGTCACCCAGGCTGGAGTATAGTGGTGCAATCTCGGCTCACTGCACCCTCTGCTTCCCGGGCTCAAGTGATCCTCTCACCTCAGCCTCTGGAGTAGCTGGGACCACAGCTACTCTAATTTTAATAGAGATGAGGTTTCCCGTATTGCCCAGGCTGGTCTAAGACTCCTGAGCTCAAGCGATCTGCTTGTCTTTGCCTCCCAAAGTGCTGGGATTACAAGGGTGAGCCACCACACCCAGCCTGTGATGTCTTTTTTCTGACAACACTTCTGACAGCAAATGTGTGCAGCTTGCTGAATACAAACCAATTCTCCAAAACAAACTGGTTGTCCACCAATTCAATTCTGTCACCACCGAGTTAGCACAGATCTCACAAGTTCAGGGCTCAGTCCCACCAACTGCCCCCACTGCAGATGCCAGTCACAAGCTCTGGGGCCCATCTATACTGAGCAACTGTCTATAAATCAGGGGCTCCCATAAGCCCTCACTTCCAATAATTTGATAGAACTTCTCACAGTACTCAGGGAAACATTTTACTTAAGTTTACCAGTTTGTTATAAAATATACAACTCAGAGACTGGGCATGATGGCTTATGCCTGTAATCTCAGAACTTTGGGAGGCCAAGGTGGGTGGATCAGCTGAGGTCAGGAGTTCAAGACCAGCCTAGCCAACATGGTGAAACCCCGTCTCTACTAAAAATATAAAAATTAGCCAGACGTGGTAGTGAGTGTCTGTAATCCCAGCTACACGTGAGGCTGAGGCAGAAGAATCACTTGAACCTGGGAGGCGGAGGCTGCAGTGAGCCAAGATCACGCCATTGTATTCCAGCATGGGGGACAGAGCAAGACTTCATCTCAAAATAAGGAAAAAAAAGAGTGAATCTTATACTATGCAAATTTTTAAAAATTTACTAGGATTTTTGGGGGATTCAGATAGAATGCAGAGAGTGACAAATGAGTCTAACTGTACTACAAATGTATAATCACCCCTAAAAGTGTGGAGATAGAGTCCTGACCTAAGTAACTTTGGAAAGCAGTGTTTTGATTGAAGGCTGTAAGACTCAAGTTTGTATACAAACACTGGAATCTAGTTGGTAAATTCGTTTCCTGCAAGAATATGGGTTAGTAATTCTGAAACTACTTTATATGTTAGAATATATTTTGGAGACAATTACTGCCCATTTCTCAATATAGTTGTAAAACAGCTGCACATAAACAAAGGAAGAATGTTAGAAAAAACCCATGGTTCTGGACTGAAGTTGGAAATGTCAGAATGAAGCCATGTCTACTGTAAACATACATTCAGGATGGATGGATGGGTGGATGGATGGATGGATAGATAGATCAATTGATTGATCGATCGATAGATAGATAGACGTGGGCATATTTGAGTTTATATTTATATACACAATTTCAAAGTCAGTCTCCTGAGAGGTCCAGAAGCAGTTATATCCCAGTATCAATGACCACAACTAGCTCTGTAGATCTTGATTTCTAAATACCATTCTTTAATAAAAGGAAACAAAGCTTGTAAAAATGGATAATTCTAGGGCTGAAAATGGAAAACAGAAAAGCTGAGTAGAGTTTCTTGTAGAACCAGAAAGTTGAAAAGTGGTTTTCAAAAAAGAGAGATGTCAAAACGAGCTTACCTGGCAGACATCCCAATAGCCCAAGCTGGAATAATATGAACAATGAAATGATGATAGCATTGAACTACAACTCACAGAATAAAATAAATATCCATGAGTTCATATGATATAAAAAAGATTAGGTAAATAAGGAAGGAAAGAATGAAGAATGGAAGGAAGGAAGGAAGTTTAAAATTTTCCTTGCAGAATTCCAGAATACTAAACATTATAGATAGATAATTCAGATATAAAATTACCACTAGAACACCACAGTAATAATTATTATAAGCAAGATTCACTGAACAATTCAAAAATGGTGACTGAAAATTCTAGGAACGGTGTGAATTTGTACAGTGCCAAAGCATCGGCCTCCAAATATCAGGCAGATACTTAATTTTTCTTTTAATTTTGTGAAAAGACTTACGACTTTTTTTTTTGGAGACAGAGTCTCACTCTGTCACTCAGGCTGGAGTGCAGTAGCATGATCTCGGCTCACTGCAACCTCCACATCCCAGGTTCAAGTGATTCTCCTGCTTCAGCCTCCCAAGTAGCTGGGATTACAGTGCCACCAGGCCCGGCTAATTTTTGTATTTTTAGTAGAGATGGGGTTTCACCACGTTGGCCAGGCTGGTCTTGAACTCCTGACCTCAAGTGATCTGCCCACCTCAGCCTCCCAGAGTATCTAGGCTCACTGCAACCTCCACCTCCCGGGTTACAGTGATTCTCCTGCTTCAGCCTCCTGAGTAGCTGGGATTACAGTGCCACCATGCCCAGCTAATTTTTGTATTTTTAGTAGAGATGGAGTTTCACCACGTTGGCCAGGCTGGTCTCGAACTGACCTCAAGCGATCTGCCTGCCTCAGCCTCCCAGAGTATCTAGGCTCACTGCAACCTCCACCACCAAGATTCCAGCGATTCTGCCACCTAAGCTTCCCAAGTAGCTGGGAATACAGGTGCCCACAACCACGCCTGGATAATTTTTGTGTTTTTAGTAGGGATGGGGTTTCACCATGTTGGCCAGGCTGGTCTCGAACTCCCGACTTCAGGTGATCCGCCTGCCTCAGCCTTCCAAAGTGCTGGGATTACAGGCGTGAGCCACTGTGCCCAGCTGACTTATGACTATTTATAGCAAAAATGGTAACATTGTAATGTGTAATTCATATCAAGCAGATGTAAAATTTGTAATGATAGCACAATAAATAGAATGAGTTCAATAAAATTGTTCCAGAGCAAAGTTTTTATAATGTACATTGATTAAAATCGCACAGTATTAACTCTACATAGATTGTGGTATGTTAAAGGTGCATATTCCAAACCCTGGAGCAACCAAGAAAAAATGCAAAGAGGTGTCACTTAAATGCTAATAAAGAAATTAAATATTAAAAATTATACAAGGTTGTTCATAGACCTTTTAGTCATAATAACCTAAAGCAGAAAGACACATGGATGAACAAATTACAGGACAATTATACAACAAGATACTCTTCAGCAGTACAAAGGAACCAACTACTGAAGCATGCACCGGGATGACTCTCCTAAACCTCCTAAATTTGACAGGGTGGACAGAAAGTAATACAGACCATATGATTCCAGGCAAAAGTAACGTATGTTGAAAAAAAATTAGTCCAGAGATAGCCTCTGGGGAGAAAAAAAAATGCCTGGGAAAAACAAAAGGGAATTTCTGAGGATAATGAAAACATTCTATTCTTTTTTTTTTTTTTTTTTTTTGAGACAGAGTCTCACTCTTGTCACCCAGGGTGGTGTGCAATGCCACGATCTCAGCTCACTGCAACCTCCCACTCCTGGGTTCGAGCAATTCTGCCTCAGCCTCCTGAGCAGTTGGGATTTCAGGCACCTGCCACCATGCCTAGCTAATTTTTGTATTTTTAGTAGAGACGGGGTTTCACCATGTTGGCCAGGCTGGTCTCAAACTTCTGACCTCAGGTGATCCACATGAGCCACTGTGCCTGGCTGAAAACATTCTATTCTTAAAACAGGTGAAGGTTACATGGGGGGTGTATTTATTTCTTAAAACGGTGAAGTTAAGATTTGTGCCTTTTAACATATGTAAGTCCAACCTTACAGAAAAAAAACCCTACAAAGTAATAATATGGGTGTGGGGAATGGGTTGAAGTATAGACGAAACAAAAATAACACCTGATTAGTAGTTATCAAAACTAAGTGACAGGTCTATTATATTGGTCTATTTTGCATATGTTTAAAGTGTTCTGTGGCCAGGCACAGTGGCTCACATTTGTAAACCCAGCACTTTGGAAGGCCGAGGTGGGCAAATTGCTTAAGGTCAGGAGTTCAAGACTAGCCTGGCCAACATGGTAAAACCCTATGTCTACTAAAAATACAAAAGTTAGCCAGGCATGGTGGCAGGTGCCTGTAATCCCAGCTACTCAGGAGGCTAAGTCAGGAGAATCGCTGGAACCCAGGGGGCAGAGGTTGCAGTGAGCCGAGATTGTGCCACTGCACTTCAGCCTGGTTGGCAGAGTGATATTCATTCTCAAAAATAAATAAATAAAAATAAAACGTTTTGTAGCAAAACAATTGTATAAAAAGGCAAAATCTATCTACAAGGCTAATGTTTAAGATCTTGGTGACCTTTGTTGGAGAAGGAAAGGAGGGGGAAAATGATGGTTGAGGCATACATGAGGCTGGTTATAAAAATACATTCGCTTTGTAATAATTCATTGAGGTTTACATGAATGCTTTGTGCATGCATTTCTGTATGCATGTTATACATCAGTAAATATATTTTTTTGAGACAGGATCTCACTCTGTTGACCAAGCTGGAGTGCAGCAGCAAGAGCTCAGCTCACTGCAGCCTCCACCTCCTGGGCTCAGTGGATCCTCCCACCTCAGCTTCCCAAGTGGCTGGGACTACAGGCACGTGCCACCACACCCCACTTTTTTGTATTTCTTGTAGAGACAGGGTTTCGCCATGTTGCTCAGGCTTGTTTGAACTCCTGGGTCAAGGGATCCACCCGCTTCTGCCTCCCAAAGTGCTGAGATCACAGGCGTGAGACTCCACATCTGCCCCACCAATAAAAATTTTAAATATTACATATTTGCAGAAAAACCCTAACACGGCACCTGAGAATAATGGCAGCATTTTGTTTATTTGCTTGTTTGTTTTGTTTTAAAGTGGAACACATTTGCTCAGGTCACCATGAGATGGATTTTAATGTTTTGAAGTATCTATTCATGTTCCAACATTCGAGTGACCTCCTGGGTCTTTCCATTTTTGCCTGCATTTGGTGAGTGGTATGGTGTGCATTTTGGGGGATGCATTTCTCCCCAGCAAAGTCCTCTCCCAATAATGATGCTCAGCAAGGTTAGGGAATCTAGCACAGGGCCCTGTGCATACAGTAGGGCGCTTGTGGAACTGGGTTGAATCAGAAACAAAATGAGTAGTAGAAGCCAATTCCTACAAAGGATGCTAAATAGGTAACGCAGGTAGGTCTGGAAGACCAAAATCCAGCAGCCAATATTTTTGCATTCATTGGAGAAAACATTTACAACTAGTTCACCAGAAGATGTTGGTGTAAGGTAAGTTTTGGGGACTTGGCTGCACACTATAATCATCTGGAGAACTTTAAAAACATTGTTGCCTGGTGGTGGTGGGCACCTGTAATCCCAGCTACTCGGGAGGCTGAGGCAGGAGAATCTCTTGAACCTGGGAAGCAGAGGCTGCAGTCAGCCTCAATCGCACCATTGCACTCTAGCCTGGGCGACACACACACACACACACACACACACACACACACACACAAAGAAAAGAAAGAAAGAAAAAAATTGTTGCCTGGGACTCACTCAGGGATTCTGATTTATTGGTCTTTTGCAACTTGGCTTTGGGAGATTTTTGGCCCACCTGTCACCTCCAGTGATTCTGATGTGAAGCAAAGGGTAATGTTCATTGGTTCAGTGTGAAGGATGGATTAAATGTACATGATTTCCATGTGGACTGCTGGTATTTTCCCTCATGGATGCTCCTGAGTTTGGGCTTTTGGAAAACAGTTCTGGCCTGTAAAATCAAAAGATGGGCCATGCACGGTGGCTCACGCCTGTAATCCCAGCACTTTGGGAGGCCAAGGCAGGTGGACTACCTGAGATCAGGAGTTCAAGAAGAGCCTGGCCAACATGGTGAAACACTGTCACTACTAAAACTACAAAAATTAGTTGGGTGTGGTGGCACGCACCTGTAATCCCAGCTACTCCATAGGCTGAGGCAGGAGAATCGCTTGAACCCGGGAAGCAGAGGTTGCAGAGAGCCAAGACTGTGCCACTGAACTCCAGGCTGGGCAACAGAGTGAGACTCCATCTGAAAACAAAAAACAAAAGATGACTTAAAGATGTACTCAGTTTTCTGGGCTAAATTGCAGCAAGGGAAAATGTCTTCTTGGCACCTCTATTTTTATGTCACTTGTTTTCAGAGTAACAGGTTGTTTCAGGTGCAGTATTTTTTTTTTTTTCTGAGATGGAGTCTCACTCTGTCACCAGACTGGAGTGCAGTAGTGCAATCTTGGCTCACTGCAACCACCGACTCCCCTGGTTCAAGCGATTCTCCTGTCTCAGCCTCCGGAATAGCTGGGATTACAGGCACGCGCCACCATGCCCAGCTAATTCTTGTATTTTTAGTAGAGATGGGGTTTCACCATGTTGCCCAGGATGGTCTTGATCTCCTGACCTCATGATTTGCCCGCCCCAGCCTCCAAAAGTGCTGGGATTACAGGCCTGAGCCACCACGCCTGGCCCAGGTGCAGTATTTTGATTTAGTCTGTGTTGAAAGGAAACAGCCTAGATACCAAAAAGGGATGAAAAGAATTTGCAGACACATGGAGTGCATTATACATGCTTTTAAATTTATTCTATGGTGAGAAATGAAAAATAAAATATTGGGCCTTGATTTCCTAAACTCAGCCATTCCCCCAAATTATTTCATGTCCTTTCAAGGGTCTTCAGAAGCATTTTTTGGAGGGATTATTCCAAGAGCAGTGAAGGGGGCTAGATGGATAAGAATCTCAATGGAATCCTGCTTCTTCTGCAGAAGAGTCATTCTCTAGAAACTTGAGAGCCCAGGGATGCTGCATAAGTAGCATGGCCTATGGAGGTTCATGGGCTTTGAAATCAGGTGAGGGTGATCCTGAGTCCCAGCCCAGCAGTTTAGTAGTTGCACAGTTTTGGACAAGTCTCTTGACTTGGAACATGTATATAAACCTTGTCTGCAAGAAAAGGCAAAGTGATACTGATTGCAAAAATGACAGCTATTCTTCATCCTTCCCTATATCTATGCCCTTTGGAATGTGCTTTTTCAGCTACTCCCATCAATAGGTAGAGTGTGTTTCTCAAAACTTAAATCTGTCCAGCCTTATTTGTTCTGGCCAATAGAAAGCTGTGAATATGACAGTATGCCAGCTTTGGGCTTAGGCTGAAAAGATCTTAAAAACTTCTGCCTTTTCTTTTGGAATCCTGCCATTCCCATGGGAAGAAGCCCACGATGGAGGATGAGATACCATGATGGGAAGGGGGAGAATCAAGGTGTCTCCATTGACAGCCAGCTCACTCTCAGAAACAGAGCTGCCTCCTCAACCAGCAGCTGACCACATACGCCTGAAGGATCCCAGGTGAGACCAGAAGAATGGCCCAGCTGAGTTCAGCCTAAATAGCTTAGCAGCTCAAATGTAAGCTAAAACAAATTTTGGGTTTTTTATTATTTTTTTTCGAGATGGAGTTTCGTTCTTTTTGCCCAGGCTGGAGTGCAATGGTGCAGTCTCGGCTCACTGCAACCTCTGCCTCCCGGGTTCCAGAGATTCTCCTGCCTTAGCCTCCCAAGTAGTCGGGATTACAGGCACCCACCACCATGCCCAGCTAATTTTTGTGTGTGTGTGTGTATTTTTAGTAGAGACGAGGTTTCACCATGTTGGCCAGGCTGGTCTCGAACTCCTGACCTCAGGTGATCCACCTCAGCCTCCCAAAGTGCTGAGATTATAGGCATGAGCCACCACACCCAGCCTTGGTTTTTGTTTTGTTTTGTTTTGTTTTTTAATGTAGGCATAGTTAACTAATACATACCCTCATTACAGATAGGATGCCAGGATTCAAGAACAGGTTAATTACAAGTTCCCTGACAAACAGCACATTACAGGTACTGATTTTCTATATCACTTATTTATGTGGTGGTGTGCACCTGTGGTCCCAGCTACTTGGGAGGCTGAGTTGGGAGGATCGTTTGAACCTGGAAAGTTGACGCTGCAATGAGCCATGATTGTGCCACTGCACTCCAGCCTGGGTGACAGAGGGAGACCTGTCTTCCCCCCGCCCAACCCCCGCAAAAAAAAGGAAGAAAAGAAAGAAAGAAATTTTCCTTTAATCTATTACCTCCACATCTAAACTCTGGAGGTCAGGGCTGTGGACACATCTGAAGACATGGGATTTCATCCTCCTGGGGCCTCATCATTCTTTTTTCACTGTCTGGTTTCTGGAAGGAGGATGGCCCCTCCTCAAGCAGCAGATGGGTAGCAGTTGTCTACCTGTGGACACTTTCTGCTTGTGAGCCCCATGCTCTCTTTCAGGGCACCACCTCTCCCACCTATCAGCCTGAGGGGAGATGCTGGTAGGAAGGGGGTGTTCCCTTGCCTCTGGCAGAAAAGGAGAGAGTTCAGGCCTTCACCTCCCCTTAAGTCAGGGGAGCCAGTGCTCTCAGAGCTGTGCTTCAACGTGGCAGCCACTGACCACGTAGGGCATCTGGAATGTGGCTGGTTTTAAGTGAGATGTGCTGGAAACTTAAAATATAGAGTGAGTTTCTAAGATTTCCTACCAAAGAAAACTTTATTAATAACTGTATGCCCCCTGGTCTCGAACTCCTGACCTCAGGTGATTCTTCTGCCTTGGCCTCCCAAAGTGCTGGGATTACAAGTGTGAACCACTATGCCCAGCCTGTTTCCTTTTCCTTTAAGCAGTGACTAGAAAAGTTAAATGACACACATGGCTCACATTTTTTTTTCTAATGGAAATTGCTGCCTTAAAGAATTGCCTCTTTTCAAAGCTCAGGCTGCCACCTCAAAAGACCAAACAAACGTCAGGAAGAATTCAGGAAGTGCAGGAGGCCAACAGTGGAACCCAGAAAGGCACAGCCAAGTTCTGCTTAAATGTACGTGTTCCCCTGGAGGAGCCATGTGCCAGCACTGGAAGGAAGCCCTGGAGCAAAGAGTGGAGCCAGCCAAATACCGGTCCTTCGGGCCTCCTGTCCCAGGCCAGAACACAGCTTCTGTCAATCAGGGCCCTGCGCACCGCGCCCGGAGCCCTATCCAATCAGAGGCGCTTGTGTGGGAACTGTCCACTAGGAGGAAGGGGCAGCCTTCCACTGTATGGCGGGGTCTTTAGTTTTCGGACCCGTGGAGCTCCGCGTTTGGTGTCCGTTGCTCCGTCCGGTTTTCTCCGTGAGGCTCCACGTGACTCCGCCATTGCCTCCGTGGACCTGGGACCTGCAGGTACTGGAAGGTCCCTTGGGAAGATGTTGGGACACCACAGAAGACAACCACTGGTGAGTGTGCCGGAGGCGCCTGGTCGGAACCGGCTGTGGGGGGAACCCGGGCCTCCTCGCGGTCGGTGCAGGGACCAGGATTCGAGTCCTCTTCGGCGCAGCTCCGCCCTCAGTCTGCTAAGGTGCAAGATGGTAGCAAGGCGGCCGCCGGGAGCCCGGGCGTCCAGTATCGCCTGGTCCCTGGTCGGTGACTTTGGCTCGCTCCAGCCCTCCCGGGACAGCTCCACGCCCACAGCCCCGCATTTCCCCAAGTTGTGCGGGACCTCTGGGGAATCTTCAGGGGAGAATCCCAACTCGAGGTGCCGCATTCCTGGGTGGGAGGAGCTGTGGTCTGTGGGGTCCTTAGTCCCTCCTTTTTCCTGTTAAAAAACAAAAAACAAACAAACAAACAAACAAACAAAACCACAATTGGGCATGGTGGCTCACGCCTGTAATCCCAGCACTTTGGTAGGCCGAGGTGGGCGGATCACCTGAGGTCGGGAGTTCGAGATCAGGCTGACCAACAAGGAGAAACCCCGTCTCTACTAAAAATACAAAATTAGCCAGGTGTGGTGGCACGCGCCTGTAGTCCCAGCTACTCAGGAGGCTGAGGCAGGAGAATCGCTTGAACCCGGGAGGTGGAGGGCAGTGAGCAGAGATTGCGCCATTACACTCCAGCCTGGGTGACAGAGCAGGACTCCGTCTCAAAAACAACAACAAAAAAATAGGCTCCATTAAAACTGTTAAAAAGCTTAGTTGAGCAAAGAGTGATTCACGAATTGGAGAGAACCCAGCCATGGTTTGTGTTTTTAGGGCTACTGGAGGGGCTGGGAGGAAAGGCTTTCATCAAGTGCATGAGGAAGCCGACCAAATCCAAATTCAAAACTGACGATACTGAGGTAGTCGCCTTATTTCAACTCTCCAGGTGGAGATTTTCTGGAGATTGACAGGAGGTTTGGTTAAGCCTGAATTTTGCTTTCCCTAAGGCAGTAATTTACAAGAAATACATTTAGTTCGATTTTATTTTGTTTGTATGTTGTAAGATCCAAGGGCATTAGAGCCACTTCCATCAAATTCTCTGCTTTTTAATTATTTTAATACTCTACTGGGGGACTGGTTTTCCCCTGCATTTTGTGTGTTGTTTGTATGTGTGTTTGACACATCATGTCTCAAATCGCCCACTCTGATTTTTTTTTTAAATCCACCACTCTGCTCCCCCAGCCTAATTCAGGCTCGCAGTAAAAACTAGTCCTTTATTGTACACTTTTTTTTTTTTTTTGGATGGAGTTTTGCTCTTGTTGCCCAGGCAGGAGTGCAGTGGTGCGATCTCCACTCACTCTGCAACCTCCGCCACCCGGTTTCAAGTGATTCTCCTGCCTCAGCCTCCCAAGTAGCTGGGTAGCTGAGATTACAGGCTCCTGCCACCCCGCCCAGCTATTTTTTTTTTTTTTTGTATTTTTAGTAGAGACAGGGTTTCCCCACATTGGCCTGGCTGGTCTTGAACTCCTGACCTCAAGTGATCTGCCTGCCTCATCCTCCCAAGGTGTTGGTATTACAGGCGTGAACCACCATGCCTGGCTTATTGTACACTTTAGACACAGTATTTTAATTGTTAGTCTTTTTTTCACAGAGCACTGGATGGCACTCTTTTTTTTTATTATTATACTTTAAGTTTTAGGGTACATGTGCACAATGTGCAGGTTTGTTACATAAGTATACATGTGCCATGTTGGTGTGCTGCACCCATTAACTCATCATTTAGCATTAGGCATATCTCCTAATGCTATCCCTCCCCCCTTCCGCCACCCCACAACAGTCCCCAGTGTGTGATGTTCCCCTTTCTGTGTCCATGTGTTCTCATTGTTCAATTCCCACCTATGAGTGAGAACATGCAGTGTTTGGTTTTTTGTCCTTGTGATAGTTTGCTGAGAATGATGGTTTCCAGCTTCATCCATGTCCCTACAAAGGACATGAACTCATCATTTTTTATGGCTGCATAGTATTCCATGGTGTATATGTGCCACATTTTCTTAATCCAGTCTGTCATTGTTGGACATTTGGGTTGGTTCCAAGTCTTTAATATTGTGAATAGTGCTGCAATAAACATACGTGTGCATGTGTCTTTATAGCAGCATGATTTATAATCCTTTGGGTATATACCCAGTAATGGGATGGCTGGGTCAAATGGTATTTCTATTTCTAGATCCCTGAGGAATCACCACACTGACTTCCACAATGGTTGAACTAGTTTACAGTCCCACCAACAGTGTAAAAGTGTTCCTATTTCTCCACATCCTCTCCAGCACCTGTTGTTTCCTGACTTTTTAATGATCACTATTCTAACTGATGCGAGATGGTATCTCATTGTGGTTTTGATTTGCATTTCTCTGATGGCCAGTGATGATGAGCATTTTTTCATGTGTTTTTTGGCTGCATAAATGTCTTCTCTTGAGAAGTGTCTGTTCATATCCTTTGCCCACTTTTTGATGGGGTTGTTTGTTTTTTTCTTGTAAATTTGCTTGAGTTCATTGTAGATTCTGGATATTAGCCCTTTGTCAGATGAGTAGGTTGCAAAAATTTTCTCCCATTCTGTAGGTTGCCTGTTGACTCTGATGGTGGTTTCTTTTGCTGTGCAGAAGCTCTTTAGTTTAATTAGATCCCATTTGTCAATTTTGGCTTTTGTTGCCATTGCTTATGGTGTTTTAGACATGAAGCCCTTGCCCATGCCTATGTCCTGAATGGTATTGCCTAGGTTTTCTTCTAGGGTTTTTATGGTTTTAGGTCTAACATGTAAGTCTTTAATCCATCTTGAATTAATTTTTGTATAAGGTGTAAAGGAAGGGATCCAGTTTCAGCTTTCTACATATGGCTAGCCAGTTTTCCCAGCACCATTTATTAAATAGGGAATCCTTTCCCCATTGCTTGTTTTTGTCAGGTTTGTCAAAGATCAGATAGTTGTGGATATGTGGCATTATTTCTGAGGGCTCTGTTCTGTTCCATTGGTCTATATCTCTGTTTTGGTACCAGTACCATGCTGTTTTGGTTACTGTAGCCTTGTAGTATAGTTTGAAGTCAGGTAGTGTGATGCCTCCAGCTTTGTTCTTTTGGCTTAGGATTGACTTGGCAATGCAGGCTCTTTTTTTGTTCCATATGAACTTTAAAGTAGTTTTTTCCAATTCTGTGAAGAAAGTCATTGGTAGCTTGATGGGGATGGCATTGAATCTATAAATTACCTTGGGTAGTATGGCCATTTTCATGATATTGATTCTTCCTACCCATGAGCATGGAATGTTCTTCCATTTGTTTGTATCCTCTTTTATTTCCTTGAGCGGTGGTTTGTAGTTCTCCTTGAAGAGGTCCTTCACATCCCTTGTAAGTTGGATTCCTAGGTATTTTATTCTCTTTGAAGCAATTGTGAATGGGAGTTCACTCATGATTTGGCTCTCTGCTTGTCTGTTATTGGTGTATAAGAATGCTTGTGATTTTTGCACATTGATTTTGTATCCCGAGACTTTGCTGAAGTTGCTTATCAGCTTAAGGAGATTTTGGGCTGAGATGATGGGGTTTTCCAGATATACAATCATGTCATCTGCAAACAGGGACAATTTGACTTCCTCTTTTCCTAATTGAATGCCCTTTATTTCCTTCTCCTGCCTAATTGCCCTGGCCAGAACTTCCAACACTATGTTGAATAGGAGTGGTGAGAGAGGGCATCCCTGTCTTGTGTGGATGGCACTCTTTTAAAGACTTGGCTTTTGTTTGTAAACATTTCATAGGAGAGGAAATCAGGGAATTGTTCCTTGACACTCCACGGTAAATAATCTTTGTCCCTCTCCTTTGATCTTCCCTAGGTACAGGGAACTGACAGTTTATCAGAATGTCCTTGGGTTGAGGTTTTTGCTCTGGAAACTTGATGGGTTATGTGTCCTTTGCCACAACTGTCTGGGAGTGACCCAAGATGCCCTCACTGGCCACGTGAATTTAGGATGAACAAATGGTGCTGCCAGGTCTTCTACTTGAGGGATAATTATGATTATCTTATTTCTGTCTTTGTAATCTCTTAGCAGGTTTTATGTCACTTATGTCATGGTCTGGTTTAATGATGTAATAAAACAGTTTTCAGCTGATCACCTGAGGTCAGGAGTTTGAAACCAGCCTGGCCAACATGGTGAAACTCCGGCTCTACTAAAATTACAAAAAAATTAGCTGGGCATGGTAGCAGGCGCCTGTAATCCCAGCTACCTGGGAGGCTGAGGCAGGAGAATAACTTGAACCCAGGAGGCAGAGGTTGCAGTGAGCCGAGATTGCACCACTGCACTCCAGCAGCCTGGGAAACAAGAGCGAGACTCCATCTAAAAACACACACACACACACACACACACACACACACACACACACACACACAAAATTTGTGTTCTACCATTCTGAAGAATTCTTTTAGGGTCAGAAATGATTTTATTTTTAATTATATTTTCTAAACACTGTCCAGAATTGCCAGGTGTAATAAAAAACATATAAGATGCACACCAGGCTTCACTGTAGAGGGGGCTTCCAGCCACAACCACAATTGTGCGGCAAAGTGCATGCTGTCCTAAAAATCAGTTAGCAGAATACTCTTCCTGTGTATTTGAGATCTGCATTCCCTTCTAGAGCAGTTTGACCAGTTTGCAGCAAAATAACTGCACAGGGCAGCGACCAGCCATACCACCTCTGTCCTTCAGCACTCTGGCATCTTCAGATCTGAAACTGATTAGGAGGCAATGGAGCCCAGGATCCCAATCAGATCACACATGTGCATTGAGTATGCCAGAGAATATCAAGCTTCCCCCTCCTCCTCTTGCCCCAATGCCCACAAATTGCAGAGGGCACCTGCTAGTTCCCCACCCCTGCAAAACTTAAATCTGCAGCTCCAAATTCTGAATTTAGGTCCTGGGATTTGAGAAAAGAAGAGAACTTTTATCATAAAACTGCAAGTCCTTTTAATTATCAGGCCCAGAGAGACATTAAATTGAGATGGCAATCACAGGTTTTACTCCCCACTTTGAGCTATATATTCATCTCTTAAAACTTCTTGCTGTTACCACAAACTAACAATACCTATACCCACGCACTATATAGCCAATCACTAATAACCCACATACTATATAGCCAGTCACTAATAAGTGTTATTTCTGTAAATCAGTGAGAATTTCTGACAACTTTATATGAACCCACTCCCTGCCCCCATTTTTGTCTTTAAAAATCCAGTTGTGGCCAAGTGCAGTGGCTCATGCATGTGCTTGGATTACAGGCATGAGTCACCTATAATGCCAGCACTTTAGGAGCCTGAGGTGGGCGGATCATCTGAGGTGAGGAGTTCGAGACCAGCTTGGCCAATGTGGTGAAACCCCATCTCTACTAAACATACAGAAATTAGCCGGGTGTGGTGGCACATGCCTGTAGTCCCAGGTTCTTAGGACGCTGAGGTGACAGAATCACTTGAACTCAGGAGGCGGAGGTTGCAGTGAGTCGAGATCGTGCCACTGCACTCCAGCCTGGGCGACAGAGCAAGATTCTGTCTTCAAAAAAAAAATTAAAAAAATCCAGTTGTAACTGCTACTAATTGAAATGTGTATTCAGGGCAAGCTGAATGTATGTTCCTGGGTGGCAATCCTCTAGCCTGGCCCAGACTCTCTGCTTATGTTTTGCTTCAACTTCTTCCTTTTGATCAGTGTGTCCTATAGAATGTGTTAGAGCAGCCTCCATGGGGGGTAGTCTCCTCTGGTTTTACTCTGCTTGCTGTTATATCCACGAATACAAAGCCAGGTTGACCCCACCTAGAATCTGCACATAAGAGCTGGCTTCCACCTGGGATTCACAAGACAGGGCCAGACTTTGAATTGAGGATGGACAGAAAACCCAGGGGAGACATCTTCTGCCTCGTGAGAGGTCAACATAGACATTGTGAAGCCCCCTTTTCAGAGTGGGGTCCTTTGAGTTGTTCAGATTTTGTCCAGTGACCTGCTGCAGTTGCATGAGAGGTTCCTGGTGTGAAAAGAGTCTGGTGGTAGAATCTGTAAGTGTAAGCACCTTGACCATGGGAGGTCAGAGCCACAGAATCTCTAGAGCCATGATCACAACAGTTAGCTGCACACTGTGATACTGGAGTAAGATATTCTTGCCCTTCCTCTTAGCTAATCAGGGACAAGTAATACCACATCTGGATCCAGGATCTACAGCCCTACCAGAGTGACTTCATTCTGTCTTCTGAACCCACAGGGACAGCCCAAGTCTCTCCTGCCTGGATCACCATGGGCCATCAACCCAGGGTCACTGGGGACCCTCTCACCAGAACCAGGGTGTCTTTGAGACATTTGGTGATGTCCTATGCAGACTGGGGTCAGGGTAAACACAGAGTCTAATTCTGCTTTTATTTCAGAGGAAGAGGAATGCATTATCTAGGGTTTGTTCCTCCTCTCACAGAAGAAATCTCCTTGGTTGGTACCCAGATGGGAGTTGCTGCAGCTTCCTGGTACTTGGGTGAAGAACGGGGAGGAGGTTTGTAGATGCAAACTGATAGATAAACCAGTTGCTTCCATTTCATATGGCTATTAGAAAAACACGAAGCAGCCATGACATGGTACCTATTTTCTGGAAACTTTCAGTCTAGAGCAACCAGATAAACTAGCATCATGTACTTAGTACAAAGAAAGGAGGTGTACAGAGGACTTGGCCTTCATCTGGGCCACCTTCTCATGTCGTTATTAGTTCCAGTTTTGCTGCCTGAAAAGCCATTCATGGGCAGAATTGTTGGAATTGTTGTTATGTTTTTGGGGTTTTGTTTTGAGACAGAGTCTTGCTCTGTCACCCAGGCTGGAGTGCAGTGGCATGATCGCTGCTCACTGCATTCTCAACCTCCTGGACTCAAGCACTCCTCTAGCCTCAGCCTCCCAAGAAGCTGGGACTGTAAGTGTGCACCACCACGCCTGGCTAATTTTTGTGTTTTTTAGTAGAGATGGGGTTTCCACCGTGTTGCCCAGGCTGGCCTGAAACTCCTGGGCTTAAGCAATCAGCCCACCTCAGCCTCCCAAAGTACTGGGATTACAGGTATGAGCCACCACATCTGTCTGAGTTATTCTTGTTGTTATTATTACTTCTACTGATTTTATCTTGCTAAGAATAAAAATTCAGCTTCTAATGAAATTGTCCTAGAAAACCTAAGGGTTTTGGTTAAATTGCTTGTTACCGTATGTTATAAATAGGTAAGTGGCTAATTAGGTTTCAAGTATACAAACTCTGGGGGTCAAGTTTCTCCTGTGCAGTCTTAGGAAAGATAGAATTGGACATACTCCAGCTGCAAAGTGATCAGAAGCCTAGGTCTTGCTCCCTGGCCCAGCTCTGCTCAGATCCACTGTCTTCTGAGCCTTGCCTAGGTCTGGCCCAACTCTGGAATCTCCCCTCACAGAACCTGGTAGAGGAGATGAGAGTTTTGTGCTCCTGCCATCTCTTCAGAGTTGGTACTCCCAATTTTTCCAAACCCTAAAGCAGGTAAATGGGAGTAAAATACTATATGTTTAATTTCTGTCTTTTAAAACCATTACTTCTAGAGACATCTCCCCGACAACCTGTTTTCCATTTGCAGATCCAGTAGTTGCTCCACAATTCACAAAAACGTTCATATAAACAACAATGAAAAATCCCTCTGAACTTAATCCTTAATCCTACTTCATGCTTTCTTTCTGTATCCCTCCCATCTGTCCACATTTAGAATCTCTTCTCTTCACCTTCTCATTTCACCTGGAGTCAAATTAAGAACTTTGCCCATGGCAACTTGGTAAATATGGTGTGGGTTTTTCTGTTTTTTTTTTTTTTTTTTTTTTTTCAGTGACTGTTGACATTCAGGGATGTGGCCATAGTATTCTCTCTGGAGGATTGGGAATACTTGGACTCTGCTCAGTGGAATTTGCATAGGGACATGATGTTAGAGACCTACAGAAACCTGGTCTACCTGGGTGAGGATAACTTTAATATACAAATTTTATTCCGTACTAAGGATTCCATATTCTTTCTTCGTAGTGACCCAGGTGACCTCCCTGTTATTATCACACCAAAGGAAATGAACAGTAATTCCGTAATCACTCCCTTGCTCACAGAGACACAAAGGTATCTTTCACCTTGTTCCTCAAGTCTTTTCCTGCCTCAGGGCCTTTGCACTTTCTGTGGCCTCTCCCTGGCATCTCTCTCCCCAGATTGTGCTCTAAAAACTCTTTCTCACTGCTTGGGTTTCAGCATAATGTCACCCCCTGGGAGAGTTTGTCCCTGTCTGTTTCACCTAAAAATGCTTCCCAATCACTCTATCCTCCCTCCCCATTTTAGCGTCTTCCTATGACATACCACTATCTGAAATTCTGTTTTTATTTTCTGTCTGTGACTGCGGTCTATGTCCCCCTCCCCACTCCCCACCCCACACTACCTGCAGAAGAGCAGGGGCCATGTCCATTTGTTCACTGTTATAGCTGCAGTGCCCAGAAGATTGTCTTGCATGGAGTAGATATTCAATAGATATTGGTTAAACGAATGAATGAATATCCTATATGTGATGTTTTCAAACAGAAGAGGTAGTAAAATGGAGGGATTGGACCCCATTTTTTAGAGATAAATCCACACAGCTTCAATCCCAGTGCTACCACGTACCAACTGTGTGTTACTGTGGTAAGGCCTCTGTCCCTTAAACTCACCTGCCAAATAGGGACAATGGCAATCTTCTCTCCACCTTCTAGGACTGTTGTGAGTTATTAATGAGCTTATACACCAAGAGCTTAGAACAGTGTCTGGCATCTAACACCAACCTTTCTTAAGCACTTACGATTAATGTTGAATAGTCTGGCCAGAGGCCCATGATTTTAAGCACCACTGGCTGTTCACAGGCTCACACAGAAACTGTCTCCAAGCATAGTGCCCCAGGAGAACTTCTTGGAAGTGCTGATGCTGCCCTGTGTGAGACCAGCTAGGTCAACATGTGCCTGGAAAAAGCTCTGGTTGTTTACAGCAGGCATCTGGGCTGATGGGTCAGGGCCTGTGGTTAAACATTTTGATTCCCACCCCTGAGACCAGCCCTTGGAAGCTCACGCAGGAGCCGAGGCAGGGAACCTGGAGAGAAGAGGACAAACAGAGATTTCTCTCTGCTAAATGAGAGTGAACCCACTGGCAAGGGTCTGACTCTGTGGATTCCCTCCCACTCCACTCTGGTAGGTAGACTTTGTTATGCATTTTACCTTATTAGTGGCCTGTACTTTTTTTTTTTTTAGACAAGGTCTTGCTCTGTTGCCTGGGCTGGAGTATAGTGCAATCATGGCTCACTGCAGCCTGACCTTCTGGGCTCAAATGATCCTCTCACCTCAGCCTCCTGAGTTTCTGGGACCACAAGTGCATGCCAACACACCTGGCTATTTTTTTAATTTTTTTGTAGAGATGAGGTCTCACTACATTGCCCAGGCTGGTCTCAAACTCCTGGGCTCAAGCAGTCCTTCTGCCTTGGCCTCCCAAAGTACTGGGATTATAGGCATGGGCCACCATACCCAGCAGCCTGTACATTTTTAAAAAGAGAATATTTGGTACTGGATGTCCACATGCAGGGGCATGTAGGTGAAGATGCTTTTGAGCTAAAGCTGCAATAAAAAAAAATGAGTTAGGACTGGGCGTGGTGGCTCACGCCTATAATCCCAGCACTTTGGGAGGCTGAGGTAGGCAGATTGTCTGGGGTCAGGAGTTCAAGACCAGCTTAGACAACATGGCCAACATGACGAAACCCCATCTCTACTAAAAATAGAAAATTAGCTGGGCGTGGTGGCACACACCTGTGGTCCCAGGTACTTGGGAAGTTGAGGCACAAGAATTGCTTGAACCCGGAAGTTGGAGGTTGCAGTGAGCTGAGATCGCACCACTGCACTCCAGTTAGGAAACTAAGAGAAGTGTTGGAAATTTGGACAATAAAAATTGCATTTAACTGGAAATAAATAAGGTAGTCTACCCAAGAAAGTGTGTATGTAATATAGGTAATGGGATGACCGGCTTTAATGCAGTTGACTCGGCTAGCATTTCCACTGTGCTGGGTGGAGCAGTGTCCCCCCACCCCACTTCATGCCAATCCAGAACCTCAGAATGTGACCTTCTGTGGAATTGGGGACCTTGCAGATGCAGATAGTTAAGATGAGATTATACTTAGATTAGGGTGGACCCTAATCCAATGATTGGTATCCTTCTAAGAAGAGAAAGTGGGGGCCAGGCGTGGTTGCTCATGCCTGTAAACCCAACACTTTGGGAGACCAAGATGGGTGGATCACTTGAGGTCCGGAGTTTGAGACCAGCCTGGCCAACATGGTGAAATCCCACCTCTATTAAAAATACAAAAATTAGCTGGGCTTGGTGGTGTGCACCTGTAATCCCAGCTACGAGGGAGGCTGAGGCAGAAGAATCACTTGAATCCAGGAGGCAGAGGTTGCAGTGAGCCAAGATTGCGCCATTGCACTCCAGCCTGGGTGACAGAATGGGACTGTCTCACACACACACAAAAAGAGACAGAGAGAGTGGGGACACAGAGATACAGGAAAGAAGTTCATGTGAAGGAGGAGACAGAGATCAGAGTGATGCTGCTGCCAGCCAAGGACATCAGGGATTCTGGCAGCCACCAGCAGCTGGAAAGACCCTCCCTGGGGCCTTTGGAGGAGTGTGGCCCTGCTGGCACCTTGATTTTGGACTTCTGGCCTCCGGAACTATGAGAGAGTCAATTACTGCTGTTTTGAGTCTCCCAGTTGGTGGTTATTGTTATAACTGCCCTAGGAAATGGATATGCCCATCAATGAGTTGGGGTGGGGGGGTCACTCCTCTTCTCCCAGGGTGAATGAGTGATGGTGGCAGTGGAAAGAGATGTCCCCACGGTGACACCAGAGCAGGAATCTCAGCCCAGGCCCCAAATCAAAGATTCTGATTTAATGGTTCAGTGATAGATCCAGGCCTGGGTATTTTTTTTTAAACAAGTTTATTGAGATATAATTTACATAACATAAAATTCACCCATTTTAAGTGTACCATTGAATGATTTTTAAGTTTCCCAGGTTGTGCAACCGTTACCGTAATCCGGTTTTAGAACATCTTCATCATCCCGATTCTGTCCCTCGTGGGCATGGGTAGTTTTCAAAGCTCCCTAGGTGGCTCCAGCCTGCACCAGGGCTGAGAACTCCTGCTCCCTGGGGAGTCCTGGGGGAAAAGGAGAGTGGTATAAGGTTTCCCCAGAGGTGCTCAGGACTAGTTGACCTTGAAATAAATGTGTAGGTAACTTCAAAACATGCCAGTAGGCATCCACAGAAGCAGTTTTGGTTGCGGTGGTGGGGAGAGGGTGGGAGGCTGGCTGCTGAGGTGGATGAAAGCCCATCCGGGCTGTGGATAGTGTCTGGGGAGGGGGTGAGGAAGGAGGGGGTGGTCCCATTTCCACCCAGCTGGAGAGAGCCCTGTGTCCACTCCCCAGTGCACACATCGTGTCTGCCCTGGAAGTTAGGGTGGGGGATGGGAGCTGGGAACTGGGGTTGCTAGCAGGGAGTCCAGTGGGTGTCAGGAGGCCCAGCCTGGCCCCTGCATGGCCCAGAGTCAGGTACGTGAAGCTCACTGTCCCAGAGGGGTGAAGCACCACCCCCAAGAGCACATAGCAAGGCTAACACAGGGGAGAAGAGGACCCAGGGCTTTGACTCTTTTATTTATTTATTTATTTATTTATTTTTGAGATGGAGTCTTGCTCTGTCACCCAGGGTGGAGTGCAGGGGTGTGATCTTGGCTCCCTGCAACCTCCAACTTCCTGGTTCAACCAATTCTCCTGCCTCAGCCTCCCAAGGAGCTGGGATTACAGGCACACAGCACCATGCCCAGCTAATTTTTGTATTTTTAGTAGAGACGGGGTTTCCCCATGTTGGCCAGGCTGGTCTCGAACTCCTGACCTCAAGTGATCTGCCCACCTCAGCCTCCCAAAGTACTGGGATTACAGGTGTGAGCCACCGCCCCCAGCCTCTACTCTTGTTCCACCTTGGTGCAGCTCCCTGAGCCCTGTGCAATCCTGGAGAGAGTCTGGGGCCAGCTTGGTCCTGATCAGCACCCAGGGCCGGTCTCTGCTGGGCTCCCGCTGGAGCATTTCCTTGCCTGCCTTCCAGCAAGACCTTGCCTTGCCATGTGAGTCTGACCTGAGAAGTGTCTCCTGTCCATCACATCCTGGTCCTCTGCCAGGACTTGGTGGAATCTCTGCCCACTTGGCACCCAGGTCTGTCCTCACCCTGCGATGGCTCTTGGGTGACTCATCAATTTGTGCTTGTATCCGGTCGTCTGTGGCTCTGGCAGGTCCTGGTACCCACAAGGGCTGGGCTGCCAACCAGGGTTGCAGCAGAGGCCTCTGGGGTGAGCCTGGCTTATCCTATCGGTTCCCCTTCACCTCAGAGCGAGTGATTTATGAGTATCACAGCTACTGCTGATTGAATATTCACTGCACACATACAGGACATCAGCTCTGAATAGCAGATCCTCATCGGTAAACGGACTCCCAGATCTCCCCCAGCCTTGGATCCTTTCAGGACCACTGCGTAGATCACACGTGAGTGTGAATGTAGAACAGAAGGATAAGGTGTTTTCTTCTTCATTAACCATATTCCATGCTAGCAACTTTCCAGAAGTTTCCCCTGTGGCTAAGGAATATGTAACAGGTACTGCCTGTTTGCAGCTGCATTCGCTCAGGGTCATAAGGCATCACACGCCGGGCTATAGGAGTTCTCAGCTGGTGGTGTCTGTTTAGACGATTAGTGAATTAAGGGCTTGTTTCTTTGACTTCAACAAGGGACCACATCCCAGTGGGCAATTAACAGACGCTATTTGGGATGGATGGCCACAGGCTCTCTGTGTCAGCGGTGAAGACCCCCAAACAGGCATTGTTCTTGGGTTACCCACAGGCTGAGTTCTGACCCTGCAGTGTCACTGCAGAGCAGGGAGCCAGCCTCCCCAGGAGGACAGGCCGACAGGGAAGACACCTGAGCTGCTTTGTAGGGGAGCTGCCATCCTGGTAGAGAAGGGGCTGCTTTGGGGTTTTTTGTTTGTTTGTTTGTTTGTTTGTTTGAGTCTTGCTTTGTCGCCTGGGCTGGAGTGCAGTGGTGCGATCTCGGCTGACTGCAATCTCCGCCTCCTGGGTTCAAGTGATTCTCCTGCCTCAGCCTCCTGAGTAGCTGGGATTACAGGTGCCTGCCACCACGCCCAGCTAATTTTTTTTATTTTTAGTAGAGACGGGGTTTCACCCTGTTGGCCAGGCTGGTCTCAAACTCCTGACCTCATGATTCACCCACCTCGGCCTCCCAAAGTGCTGGGATTACAGGTATGAGTCACCGTGCCCAGCCTGCTTTGTGTTTTGGAGGCTGCCTGCATGGGCTCCAGGAAGGTGTTTTGATCAAGGTGACCTGAGGGTGCAGCAGCCTTGGACATGTTTGGTGACATGTTCTTGTATTCACTCATTTGAAAAATCCGTTTAAAGTTGCCACCAAGTCACAGTAACTGTATCAAGACCCCAAGGCCCAAAAAGGTGACTTTCATGACCCCCTGCTCCCAGGGGGCCTAGAGTCTACTGGGCAAAAAAGCTACAAGTGAGCTCCTCAGAGTTTGTGACAGAAAGTCTTGTATTTTACCACCACCTACCTGCTTTTTCCCTTTGATTGGTTTGGGTGGTCATGTACCCAGCTCAAGATCACTGAAGCCAGTGGTCCTCGAAATGTCGTCCCTGGACTGGCAGCATCTGCATCACCAGAGAACTTGTTAGAAATGCCAAATCTTGGGCCCCATCCCAGTTCCACTGAATCAGAAACTCTGTGGGTGGGGCCCAGCCATCTCTCCTTTAACTAGCACCACTTACCCTGCACCAGTCATATGCATGGGCACTTGACTGGTTCTTGCCAGTGAGATGTCAGGCAGTATTTGCTGGGTTTTGGAGAAGTCGTTTTCTTCCTGTTAAAAAGGCCAGAGTCTTGGAAGGAGGAGGCCTTGCCTCATGCCCCCTTCCTGCTGCTCTGTGTGTGGTCCTGAGCGCACATGTGCATGGCATTGAAGAGTCAATGTATGGCCAGGAAGGGCAATGTCACTGTCACCAATCAGCTGAGCCTGACTGAGCAGAAAAGACCAGCCCAGGGAGTTCTTATTAACAAGACAGCAAATGCGTTCATAACATTGCTACTTGTAGCCAAGAGCACCCCCAACTGATCCAGGTTCATGAGGTTGATAATGATGTAGGTATGACCAGAACACCTCCCTGGCTTATTATGATGTTGCATAAGTCCTTTTCTTGCTGTGTACCTTTGTGACATCTGTAGTTCAAAAACCTTGGCCAGACCAACTTAGACCCTTTACGATGGCTACTGTCAAAACCCAGAAAATCACAAGTGTTGGTGAGGATATGGAGAAATTAGAACTCTTATACACTGTTGGTGGGAATGTAAAACGTTTGAGTGTAGCCACCGTGGAAAACAATATGGCAGTTCCTCAAAAAATTGAACATAGAATCATCATAGGATCCAGCCATCCCACTTCTAGGTATATACCCTGAAGAACTGAAAACAGGGACTTGAAGAGAGATTTGTCCCCCATGCTCATAGCAGCATTATTCACAATAGCCAAAAGGTGAAAGCAACTCAAGTGTCTATAAATGAATGTTTAAGATGGTAAATTTTATGTTTGTGTATTTTATCATAATTCAACATTTTTTCCCATGTCCATAGAAATGAAATAATAAACTTTATTAAAATTAAACTTTTTTTTTTTAAGAAACATGGCTGGGCCTGGTGGCTCACACCTGTAATCTCAGCACTTTGGGAGGAGGCCAAGGCTGGTGGATCACTTGAGCTCAGGAGTTTGAGCCTGGGCAACATGGCAAAACCCTGTCTCTGCCAAAAGCAAAACAAAACCAAAAGTTAGCTGGGTATGGGTGCATGTGCCTGTGGTTCCAGCCACTTGGGAGGCTGAGGTGGGAGGATCGCTTGAGCCCAGGAGGTCAAGGCTGCAGTGAGCCATGATTGTGCCACTGTGCTCCAGGCTGGGTGACAGAGCGAGACCCTGTCTCAAAAAATAAACAAATAAATAAAAAAAGAAAAAAGAAACATACATACACAACTCTTAAAATCCACACCCTTTCCTTCATTTATGTCTACAGGGCGATGGTCACTGTTGTTCTTGCCGCTCCTCTGAGTTCTGGTCTCATTTATCCAACAGACATCTTGACATCTCCACCTGGATGTTTTGAAGGCAACTTAAGCCAGTGCGCCTGGGTCTGAACTCCTGACCTTCCTTCCCAAACCTGCTCCTCCTGCTGTGTTTGTCTTTGGAGTGACTTCCACTTCTATCCATTATAAGTCAGAAATCACCTCCTCCTCAATCTCCTCCGCTGGCTTAATCCATTTCAAATCCCTTGTGATTGTCCTTCCTAAATACCTGCCAAGGGCGGCCACCCCTGCCAATCTCCTCCAGTGTCACCTCTGACAACTGCAGTGGTACCCGACCCAGCTCCCTGTGCAGACCAGGGCACCGCCCACATTCACATTTTACGACAGGAGCCAGAGTGAGCTTTTCCAACTGCAGATCTGATTGATTTCATTCTAGTTTCACTCTCAGTAATCAATGCCATATGAAAATATTTCACAGAAAAATCCAGCCCCTCCCATTATAAATTGCCATACAGGCTTCTCCTGGGTTGATTTCTTATCTAGTTATAAGAGCCAAGCTGTCTTCTGGGTCTCTTTGGACTGAGTCTCTCAGGTTTGGGGTCTGACCTTGAGGGTGGGTGGGACAAATATCACTGATGGTTGATGCCTTAGTTTGGGTTGTCCCACGTGCAGACTCTGAGACAAGAATTTGAGAGCAAGTAGTTTATTTGAGAGGTGACCTTAGGAAGCTCTGGCAGGGCTTTAGGAAGTGCAACAGGAAAGGAAGGAGGCCAATTCAGGGCGTAGTATTCAGCCAGGTGGTGCAGAGGACAGCTGGAGTTCAGTCCCATGGAGAAATCACACACAACAGAGGAATCCCAGGAGCAAGGGAGCGTGGGTATTTATACACCAACTCCTATGAGTTATTATTTGGGGGTTGTTGGAGGTGAGTGTTAATCCCCTGGCACCGCCCACCTGCCGCAGGTGTGGGTAGAGTGGCCTGCTGAGGTCATGGACAAAAGCCTGCAGGCAAAAAGAAGAAGATATTGGCAGTTAGAAGTGGCTCTGTGCCTGCTGGAGTGTTCCAGGGCTATGTGCAGGGCACGAACAGCACCTGCTCCCCTGGGGATGATGACAGGTGACACTGGGTGACTCAGATCTTCCTGACATAACATGGAGACACGTGGTTAGAAAGCCAGTCCATTGTCTGAAGGAGAAGAGTCCCAGTTTGGTGCTAATATTCTTAACACCTTTCCAACACTGTTCATCTCCATCTGGAACCAAGAAAGAGCCAGCCTTTGGCCTAGCGTCTTTGGTAGGCCATCGTATGTACCTACCTGCAATTGATGATGTTGCTTTGGTTTCTACTTAATTTTTTCCAATAAACTTAAGCATATAAAGTTTGCTATTGAAATAAATTTATATACTTAAAAAATAAATTGATCTTTAAAGTGTTCGATGCCATCCCAGGCTGCCCTCCATGTGACAGGTGGCAGGCAATGCCTAAATCAAGGGGACACAGTGCACGCTCTGCCATGGTCATCTCAGGCCTCTGCCCTCTGGGTTCCAGCCCCTCTCTAACCTGGTTCTCACTTTTCCCTGTCCACTCCATCCACCAAAGCCGCCTTCTCGCTCCCACTAAGTACGTTCTTGGCTCTGGCTTTGTTCCCACCCCACCCCTCCTCCCTCCTTTCTTTTCAATGTCCTGCTTATGCTTGGAGGCCTGACTCCAACACCACCTCCCCACCCCACCTGAGTCCCCGACCACCCCCGCCCACACACTCCCAGTGGGAGCTGAGGACTTCCTGCTGGGGCCACCCCCACTCCAGGATTATTTCATCCTGGTGCTGTGCTATTGACTGTTGACAGGTGGGTCCCCCACCAGCCCCAGTGTTTTGTGGGAACAGAGTCCTGGCCCTCTCTGAGCCTGGCCTGGTGCTGTCTCAGAAGAGCCCATGGTCTGCGCTGAGCCAGTGCAAGAGCAGAGTGGACCGCAGCTTCCTCCTCCATGGCGCTCCCGACGCCCCTCAGGTGACTCCAGCCAACCAGGGGTTCCAGCAGAGAGAAGGATGATTATGGGTGTGACTGTGGCCCTTTTCCTTCCATGGCTCAGGCTGCACTGTGGGAGCTTGTCCCCTTTTAGCTGCTGCACCAGTCCATCCATTTCTTGCCATTGCCCCGTGGAGTCTGTGGCATTAGCCTTTTCTCCGGGTTCTGACTGAGACCAGGTAGAACTGCCTGGGGGCAGTTCTACACTACCTTGAGTGCCTGGTTACAGGGTGACAGCACTTCCAGGGTCTCTGGGTTGGGTTTGGGGAGGCACCAGAGGCCTGAGCAGATGGCTGGGTTGGTTATGCCTGCTGGGCAGGGTACAAAGCCAGGAGTGGGTGGGGCAGGGAGACCATGAGGAGCCTGTGCAGCCCGTTTTGTCTCAGCAGAGGGGTGAGTCCCAGCAGCTTCCCCGGGCCAGGGCGTCAGCCGAGTCCTGGGAGTGCAGGCAGCCCCCAAGCTGGGCATCTGGGCAGCGGGTGGGGGGGGGCTTCAGGGAGGACGCGGTGGGTAGCATATGCCTCAGGGGACGCGTGTGCATGTGAGAGGGTGACAGTGTGTGTATATGTGTGCCTATGAATGTGTTTGTGACTGTGAGAGTGAGGGTGTGTGTATGTGAGTCTGTACATGTGTGAATGTGTGTATGTGAGTGTATGAACCTGTGTGTATGTATGTATGCATGTATGTGTGAATGTGTGTATGTGTGAGTGTAGGTGTGTTGGGGCCTGTGTGTATGTGTGTGTGAATGTGTGTGAGTGTAGATGTATGTGAACCTGCGTGTGTGTGAGCCTGTATATGTGAGTGTGAGCCTGTGTGTGTGTGTATTAGTCTGTGTGTGTATGTGTGAGACTGTATGAGTGTGTGAGCCTGTGTGTGAGAATGTATGTATGTGTGTGTATGTGTGCGTGAGAGTGTGTTTGTAAGGGCGTGAGAGTGTGCGCATGTGTGGGAGACAGAGTGTCTGGAGGAGGCAGGCAGTGGGATATGGGAGCAGGGAGAGCAAGGTGACCTCCAAGGAGAAATGGTGTCTGGGCAACCCCGAGAGCCTGAGATGTGGCCTGGGGGCTACCATGGACGGGAGGGAAGCAGGAGGGTCAGGATGACTCATGCTCTGGTTCTTGTCACTAAAAGTCAGAGCAGCTGAAACTCACCAAGCATCACTCACATCAGACACTGGTCTAAGCACCTTACATGCATTCTCTATATTTTTATTTAACAAATACTTACATTGCGCTTGCTGTGTGGAGGCACTGCTCTAGTTGATTTACAAAACGAAACAAGAAGCATCGAAAACACATTGAATCAACAAAACACCATCATGAATTCTCACAACTGCCCTGTGTGGGAGGCACTGCCACTCCCTCCATCTGCAGAGGGGTAGGGGAGCCCGAGAGCTGGCGGGTGGAGGGCTGGGTGGGGTGGAACTGGCATCTGCCTCCAGGGCTGGGCTCCTCCCATTGGTGATGCCTGGGTTTCATTGTGCTCGTAAAAGCCACGGGTCAATTATGCTTATTAACTGTTCTGCAGGTGGGAAAATGGAGTCACACAGGGGTGAGCAATTTGCTCAGCTTGAAAGTGGCAGAGCCAGGACCCAGCCCAGGCCATGGCTCGGGACCCACTCTGTAACCACTAACTGGGGGCCCCACAGTAATGAGCTATTTGAAGAAAGGCGAGTCTCTGACCTTGGCTGTGCCTCAGTTTCTTCATTTGCCAAGTGGGGCTCTGCTGCCCCTGCCTCTGCCCTGCTGACTTGCAAGAAGAGTGAGAGAATGGAATTGGACGAAGGCTTCCAGAAACTTCCATCAGGAAAGCTCCCTAGCCTGGGAGAAAGCCGGTCCTGGCTGGCTCTGCCTGCAATGCCCTCAGTGGCCAGTCACGTCCCCTCCTTGACCTGCAGGTTCCTCACTGGAGCGGGGGTGGCCCGAGATGAACCCTCAGATGCACCAAGCCCCACACCCTGATTGTCCGGCTCTGTTCTGATGGACAGCCAGGAACTGGGTGTCTGGAGACGGGCAGACTCGACCATTTGAGGCTCGTTCTAGGAAGTGTGTTCAGTGCGGCCAAGCTTGGTGACTCTGGGGCTTCTGGAATGGTTCCCATGCCAGAGAATTACAAAAAGATCCTTTGTACTGAGAAGATAAAGTACAACTTATTCTCTTAGGGACACCTTCCTGGAGGGAAACCAGACAAGAAGTCCAGCCCCAGGAATCAGACTCCCTGGGCCAGGCAGCTTCTGTCTGTCTCCCCGAGTTCTCCGCAGAGGGAGCACTCTCAGAAGAGTCCACCTTTCATTCATACTCCAGCTCTTTTCAGAGCAGCTTCTACGTGCCAGGCATGCTCTAGGCACCAGCGATGCAACTGTGGATGAAAAAGACCAAGGCGCTGTTCTCGGGGAGCTGGCGGGGTGGGAGGGGCAGTGAACAACAAGTACAGCCTGCCCCCGCAAGTACAGTCACAGACATATGTGTGTATGTGTGCACATATACTTGAAATATCAAGTGGCTGGAGGGTTTGCTTTAGACTGGGGGATGTGGAAGTCCTCTCTGAGATGCGCCCCCTTTGAGCAGAGGCCTGAAGGAATTAAATGAGTCTTCCGTGTGTGCACATCTGGGGGAGGAAGTTTCCAGGCAGACGGACCCGCATGTGCAAAGGCCCTGGGTGGAGTGTGCTGGGTGTGTTCTAGGAGGGTCAGCATGGAGGGAACAAGGAGGAGAGCTGGAGCTGAGGTTATGGAGAGCCTCGTGGGTCATGGCAAAGACATCTGGGTCATATTCTGAGATAGATGAGGTGGGGTTTGGCACAGAGGACTTGATGTATTTTGCCTTAATATTTTAAAAGGATCCCTCTGGCTGCCTGTGAGCATGGATGGTGCAGGATCAATGCAGGGAGTCGATGTAGGGAGACCAGCAAGGAGGCGATTTGCCACAGTCAAGAAGGGATGATGGACACCCAGGCCTCCATATTCAGAGTGGTGTGGTCAGGCGATCACATGGTGGCCATCATCAGAAGCTAAAGCCAGCAGGTTTGGTAGATGGTTGGGATATAGAGGAATAAGAGAAAGAGGAGGGTTATGCTGACTCTAAGATTTGGCCTAATCGCCAGAAGGTTTGTAGGCGCCTTTTTTTTTAATGGGAGTGACCGGCTTGGAGGGAAGACAAGGGGCATCAGAAACCTGCAGGAGTGTGCACTGTGTGACCCTGATGCCCAAAGGTGACCCTGGGGCCAAGCAGTGTCTTCACCCTTAGTCTCTAGGGCCCCTGCCCACCTGCAGAAGGGACCCTAAACACTAACCTTTGATTTAAATCCAAAACATTCTTCCCTAACGTAAAGTTGCCCAGGGCAGTATTGGTTTCTCTTTTAAAGGCTCCACCTGGATTCTATTCTAAGGGTGGGGGTGCATATCTAGAAAGGATGGGCAGCCCCTGCAGGGAAAGAATGAATGGGACTGGGTGCAGTGGCTCACACCTGTAATCCCAGCACTTTGGGAGGCCGAGGTGTGTGGATCACTTGAGGTCAAGAGTTCGAGACTAGCCTGGCCAACATGGTGAAACCCTGTCTCTACTAAAAAAATACAAAAATTAGCTGGGTGTGGTGGCACACGCCCATAGTCCCAGATACTTGGGAGGCTGAGGCATGAGATTTGCTTGAACCTGGGAATCGGAGGTTGCACTTGTGGTAGGCGTTATTAAGAAATTATTTTAGGCAGATAGAAAGGAAAAGGGGTCCTTGGGAAGTTTTCATTTTTTAAAGCATCTCCGGAAAAGTTTCTCATAAAGCCTGGGCTCTTAGAGCCAGGCTGGCAACCTTTGATATGCAAATGCCAGCCATTAGAAACTGGGTACACCCAAACATGGAGATTCCGGAGCCTTCTTGCCCTTTCCTGACCTGTTCCTGGCAACATAGCCGCCCCCACATATCCCCACATATCCCATCATGGCGCCCTGTATTTGCATATTAAAAGACTAGGGTGGGAGGGCCAGCTTTTTCATGGGCTACCATGAATGACATGCCTGGTCAAACCAATCCCCTGAGCCCTATGCAAATCAGACACCGCCTCCTCCAGCCTCTGTATATATACCTGGCTGGTATCCGTGGCAGGTGGGGACCTCCTTTTTAGGCTTTGGAGCCCCCATTCCTCTGTCTCTGTACAGGGGAGCTTCTTCCTTCTCCCTTCCTTCTTGCCTATTAAACTCTCCGCTCCTTAAAACCACTCCATGTGTGTCCGTGTCATCTTATCTAATTCGACATGAGACAAGAGCCCTGGTGTTCCTCCCCTCATCGGAACTGTATCACAGTGAGCCAAGGTGGAGCCACTGCACTCCAGCCTGGGCAACAGAGTGAAAGTTCGTCTCAAAAAAAAAAAAAAATTAATGGAAGAAGCCGGGCCTGGTGGCTCACGCCTGTAATCCCAGCACTTTGGGAGGCTGAGGCGGGTGGATCACTTGAGGTAAGGAGTTCAAGACCAGCCTGGCCAACATAGTGAAACTCCGTCTTTACTAAAAATACAAAAATTAGCCGGGCTACTCGGGAGGGCGGCTGAGGCAGGAGAATGGCTTGAACCAGGGAGGCAGAGGTTGCAGTGAGCCGAGATCGCGCCACTGCACTCCATCCTGGGTGACACAATGAGACTGTCTCAAAAAAAAAAAAAAGTAGCAGAGAGAAACCAGTGAAACAGGAAGGCAGAGGAGGTGAAAGAGGAGAGCAGGCAGGGGCCAGATGGCACAGAGCCTGGCAGCCACTGTCAAGGGTGCTGCCGGGCTCGAAAGCTGGGGCATGAGGGCGTCAGGTGAGTGCTCTTAAAGTCCAGGTGGCCTGAGGAAAAGATAAAGCATGGGGGACATTCAGCCAGACAGGACCAGGTCCCACCCATGTGCCACCCCCATTGTGGCCTCTGCCCCTCCCTCCCAGCAGGTGACCCCGCATCCCTCAGAGGCTGAGGTGTGGGGTAAGTGGAGGCTTTGAGTCTCTATTTCCTGAGCCCACATGCCCCCCTATCTCTAGGCAGGGACCCTCGGCCAGCTCAGGGGTAAGAATGCAGCAACGGTCAGCGGTGATGTCCCCTGTGAAGAGCCCTGATTGGATTTCTAAGGCGTCTCCAGCCCCGAGGGCCGCAGAGAGGCCCTGGCCAGGGACCTTTATCCACATGCCTCTCACTCCCCTGATTGAATCTATCGATTCCCTGTCTATCACCACCTTCCCCGAGACACAAGGATGGGATGGTTAAAATGATTTACTTATTTCAAGACACTGGGGCTTGGCAGAGAAACCAATAGGTGAATGTTAGAATGTTTTCCCTTAATTATTCAGGCTCTCTGAAGAAGAATCTGGAATATCTTGCTGTGAATGGAGCCAAGGTAGAGATGAGGCTGCAGCCACTGGAAGGGTTCTCTGAACCACCTGCCCTCCTGCCTGCGTCCCCCCAGAGCACAGGTGTGTTTAATTCACCTGTAGTCAGTGAAAGTTGGTGGAGCATCTCTGCCACATCAAGCACTGGTCTAGCTGCAGGGACACAGAGATGGAAACCATGCGGCCTCGGACCCTTCAGCTACTCACAGTCTATTGAAAGAGGAGGAGTGTTTGGGGCATGATTAGAGCTATAGTTTAAGGATGGATAGACCAGGTTAGGAGTGCGGTGAAGAGGAAATTCATGGAAGGGATACAGAAACAGAGCTGGAAATGTACACAAGGGTGAGGATATTTGATGCTTAAGAATTTTTAATAAATTATTTCTTTTGTTTCTTTGAATACAAAAGAAACCTTTACAAAATTTTAAAAATAAATATTATTATAGGCCACACTCTGATCATTACAAATGACATTAAAATAAATGGTAAAGAAATAGCCCTGGCCAGATGTGGTGGCTCATACCTGTAATCCCAGGACTTTGGGAGGCCGATGCAGGTGGATCACTTGAGCTCAGGAGTTCCAGATGAGCCTGGCCAACATGGAGAAACCCCATCTCTACCAAAAACACAAAAAATTAGCCAGATGTGGGGGTGTGCACCTGTGGTCCCAGCTACTCGGGAGGCTGAGGTGGGAGCTCTCATCTGAGCCCAAGAAACAAAGGTAGTAAGCTGAGATCACATGCCACTGCACTCCAGCCTGGGTGACAGAGTAAGACTCTGTCTCAATAAATACATAAATAAAATAAAACATGGCCCTGCTAGGAATGCTCTGTGTCTTGATTGGGATGATGTTTACTTGAGTAGACACATTTGTCAAAATGCATTGAATGGGACACAGAGAACAGTGCCTTTTACTGGGGAAGGGATTCTCTCCTAGATAACTCCCAGATCAAAGCAGAAACCAAAACTAGAATGATGGTTTCTAGAAAACAACAAGAATAGTTTACACCAGCATCTGAGGGACTCGGCTAGCGCTGTACTCAGAAGAAAATTTATAGTCTTAAATGCTTGTATTGCTCCAGAGTTTCAAAAGGGCGATGGTAAAAGTACTGAGTTCTTAAAAAATAGGAAAAAACAAAAAAACAAAACAAAACAGAACAAAAAACCCAAAATAATCCAAGATAAAATGGGGAGAGGAAATTAAAGATAAGAGCCAACATCGAATATGCACAGGGTGTGGACGGTGAGTTTTTCGGGGAGTTAGTGATGGGAGCACGACACTTTGGAAGTGTATTTTTCCATTTCAGGAGCTGGAGGGTTTTTACGCAGTAGAGTGACTGTGCTTGGAGCTGGATGGAGAAAGACCATGGAGGGTGCAGGGTGGAAAGCTGACTGGGGAAGACCGATAGTCACTGTCTGCCTGGCCTGTTCTTGTTCTCTTCCTGGGCTCTAAGATCTCTCTCTCTCTCTCTCTCTCTCTCCGCCCCCCCCCCCTCTCTCTCTCTTTCTTTCTTTCTTTCTTTTTTTGATGGACCCTCCCTCTGTCACCCAGGCTGGAGCGCAATGGCGTGATCTCAGCTCACTGCAACCTCCGCCTCCTGGGTTCAAGAAATTCTCCCATCTCAGCCTCCCATGTAGCTTGGACTACAGGCACATGCCACCACTTCCGGCTAATTTTTGTATCTTTAGTAGAGACAGGGTTTTGCCATATTGGCCAGGCTGGTCTTGAACTTCTGACCTCATGTGATCCACTTGCCTCAGCCTCCCAAAGTGCTAGGATTACAGGTGTGAGCCACCATGCCCAGCCAAGATTTCTTTTCCTTCTCTAAATCATTACAGGGGGTCTGGATACCAGCTGTGCCCTGCCTCTGGATTATGCAGCCCAGAAATGCAATTTCAAGAGAGTGGGTTGATCTGTGCCAAGTCACATCTTCACCAAAGAAATCTGGGCTCTGATGGGGTCTGTGATGGACTTGTACATGTGCCATCTGGGGGATGGAGGGTGGGGTGGTGGCCAGGATGGGCCTGTCTGGAAAAGAGGCTTCCCTGAGCCAAGACAGTGGGGGCCACAGGGGACTCTGGGATGGGAGGGCCAGCCCAGCCAGGGTCCTTGGGGGATCTGGAGGGGACATGACAAAGCAGGAGGGTAGGAGGGGAGCCAGGAATGGGAAGCTGGGGAAGCCAGAGCAGCAGAGGCTGGAGCAAATCCCATGGGAAAGAACCAGGAATGGGTGGTTCCTGAGGGAGTGGCTCAAACAGCCTCGCAGTGGGGTGGCTCACCTTTAAAGAATGCCTTGCTCAGGCTGGGCACGGTGTCTCAGGCCTGTAATGCCAGAACTTTGGGAGGACAAGTGAGATGAGGTTGGTTGCAGTGAGCCGAGATCGTGCCATTGCACTCCAGCCTGGGCAACAGAGCGAGACTCCATCTCAAAAACAAAACAAAACAAAAAATGCCTTGCTCTTCCTCAATCAAAATCCCACTGGGAGTAAAAATATTGAATGACAGCATGCATAAGAAAAGTGCCCAGGCCAGGAGCGGTGGCTCACACCTGTAATCCCAGCACTTTGTGGGGCCGAGGTGGGTCGATTACTTGAAGTCAGGAGTTTGAGACCAGCCTGGGCAACATAGTGAGACCTCATCTCTATTAAAAAAAAAAAGGAGGAGGAGGAGGAGAGGAGGAAGAGGAAGAGGAAGAAAAGAAACGTGTCCAGATCATAAGAGTACATTTCAATTAATCCTCACCAGGTACACGCACCTCTGCCCAGACCCTCTGTCCAGACCCTAGATAAAGAAACAGCAATCTCACTACACAGAGTCCAACTGAATGCCTCTCAGAGGGCCACATTCTCCTCTTCAGTGTTGAGGAAATTGGATCCAAAAGAGACTTGGGTCTCTTTCAGTTGTTTCATTTGAGTATTCTATGGGCAGATTTTTATGTATTGGACTTCTTGAGATGGGACTTACCTGTGTTTAATTTATCTTGATTTCACCCCACTGGGTAACAAATACAGTGGACCCTGAACAACACAGGTTAGAACTACCAGAGACCACATATACGCAGATTTTCTTCTGCCTCTGCCACCCCGAGACAGTAAGACCAACCCCTTCTCTTCCTCCTCCTACTCCTCAGCCTACTCAATGTGAAGAAGACAAGGATGAAGACCTTTATGATGACCCACTTCCACTTAATGAAGAGTAAATGTATATTCCCTTCCGTATGATTTTCTTAATAACATTTTCTTTGCTCTAGCCGACTTTATTATAGGAATACAACATATGATACATTTAACATACAAAAACTGTTTATGTTGACCAGTAAGGCTTCTGGTCAACAGTAGGCTATCAGTGGTTAAGTTTTTGCAGAGTCAAAATTACATGTGGATTTTCGACTGCATGGGGTTTGGTGCCCCTAACTCCCACATTGTTCAAGAATCAACTGTATTCCAAATGACAGAATGTAATGCCAGACATCTGGAAAAGACTGATGTATTTTTCTGACCACCAGAAGAAAATCCACCCAGGGAATCGGTCAGCGGAGGCAGGCACTCAGGTTTCACGGAGCCATGAGTTGGAGGGATTCTGCCAGCTTGGGTGATGAGGGGCTCACAGGTCCCACGAAGGTGACAGTAGCCTGGGAGCTGCTTCCTTGAAAACTCTGAACGGGCTGGGACCTGTGGAGAGGGACCAGTGAGGGCTCAAGGGACGGGTCTGAGCTGGTTTTTAAAGTTTATCTGTGTTAGAGAAACTGCCGCTCCAACATCAAGAATAAATCAGCTCCATTTCCCATCACCTCGGTTGCTTCTTTTTCCCATCTCTTCCTCTCTGTAAATTTTGCCTCAGTAAGAAAAATGTATTATGGTTTCTGAAGGCAACCACTTCCCCCTGTTCCCTTATGAACAGTTGGGCAAAGAATGAATTTAGATTTTTTTGTAGTGTCAAGGCCTCTCTCATTAAATTACTGCCACCATCTCTTGTCTCTCCTGGTAAGTGAGTTTAATGATCTTTTGCTCCTTATTCTCTTGAAAACTGCTTCATGTGCTTCTGGCTTAGGCAATCTTAATGCTTTGGGCAGCTTTCGGTTTCCTGACTGTAGCCTGCACTCCAGACCTCATCCCCAGCCCGTCCCTATCCTCATCTCCGCCCAGCGCTTCCCGTCTTCCCACATTCCTCTTCTCAGCCCCTGTTCTCTCTGCACTTATTTGCTCTCTGACATTCCCGTATTTTCTACTTCTACTGAAATCCTGATTGTATCTAGTCATGTTTTTTTGATTTTTTAAAAAACTGAAATGTCTGTAATTCCAACACTTTGGGAGGCCGAGGTGGGCGGATTGCTTGAGCCCAGGAGTTTGAGACCAGCCCGGGCAATATGGCAAGGCCCTATCTCTACAAAAAATACAAAAACTAGCCAGGCATGGTGGCATGCACCTGTATTCACAGCTACTCAGGAGAGCGAGGCAAGAGGATTGCTTGAGCCCGGGAGGTTGAGGCTGCAGTGGGCCATGATCACACCACTGCATTCAGCCTGGGCAACAGAGAGAGACCCTGTCTTAAAGACAAACAAACAAACATCCCTGAAATGTTGGCTGGATGTGGTGGCTCACACCTGCAATCCCAGCACTTTGAGAGGCCGAGGTGGGCAGATCACTTGAGGCCAGGAGTTGAAGACCAGCCTGGCCAACATAGAAAAACCCCATCACTACTAAAATTACAAAAATTAGCTGGGTGTGGTGGCGGGTGCCTGTAATCCCAGCTACTCAGGGAGACTGAGGCATGATAATTGCTTGAACCTGGGAGGCTGAGGTTGCAGTGAGCTGAGATCATGCCACTGCGCTCCAGCCTGGGCAACAGAGTGAGACTTCGTCTCAAAACAAACAAACAAATACACACACACACACACACACACACAAACCCTGAAATGTGATGATGACCATTGTGTCTTTATCAACAGCCATTGCTTGCCTGCTTACGTTAGTTGGAGTGGGAGGGTAGGCAGCTGGAAGTATTGGGCATTCCCCTGGCCTGTGCATTTTGAATGATGAATACAAAACTGCTCAATTCACCAAAAGCAATCATGTAAGAAAAGAACGTTTCACTTCTTCATATGGGCCCCTGATTACATGTGATGCAGGTGACAATTACATATGTCCCCTTAACAGTTTGGAAAATTCTAGTGAAGAGAGGAGTTTAATTCCCTTCACACTGAACTGAAACAATTAATTCTCTATAAAAATCTGCATGATGGATCATGTTGCATTTCAAACCTCTACAGACTGTCTCATATAAATGTCTGTTTCTTTTTTTTTTTGAGACAGAATCTCACTTTGTCACCCAGGCTGGAGTGCAGTGGTGCAATCTTGGTTCACTGCAACTTCTGCCTCCCAGGACCAACAGTGGTCCTGGTCTCAGAGTTCATGCCCTGTAGCTGCTGTGTGTCCAGCAGCTGGCAGGGCGAGAGGTTTGCGGGGGTGCATCACTCCCACAGACACACAGCACCCAGCAGAACCCTGGCCTAAAGCCATGCAGCTCTGGGGTCTCCCAAGCCCACCTGGGAGCAGGCCCTGGGGCACAGCTGTGGGGGACAGGGACTTCCAATGTACAAAACAGGCCACAAGCTGGGCAAGCTGCTCCTTCCATAACCTCAGACCTTTCTTCTGACCCAGTCAGGACCAGCTCCTGGGAGCTTGCAGACAATCCTGGGCCCAGAGAAGCAGGCAGATGTGGCTGTTGGTAGCACTAATATGGGTTATGAATATCATCCTGTGGTTATTACTTTACTGACGTTACCCGCCAGCACACTCGATCCTGCACGTGTCCCTTCACTTCACGCTCACGGGGTTTGCATGATGGGATGAGCACTCCCAGCAGGTGATGAAGGTGATAAATGGCACCGGACATTCCTGGAACACCTGTTGGTGCCCAGGGCGGGGCTTAGTGCTCCATTTGAGTCTGGAGACTTTACTCTGCAATAGTAGCTGTGTGACCCCAGGTAAGTGGTTTAACCTTTCTGTGCCTCTTCTTTCTCAACTCTAAAGGAGGATAATAAAGTCCCTGCCCTCAAGCAATCAAAGATGTGTAAGAAGGGCCTGGCACATGGCAGGCAGGCAGTATACATGGTTGGGATTAACCCCACTATACAGATGAGGAAACTGAGGCTCAGAGGCACTGGCCTGGCAGGAAGTAGGAACTGCATCCAGGCTTATCTGATGCTGAGCGCTTTGGCCTCCTTCCCTTATGGCTGCTCCCCACTCCACACTGGGACAGATGCTGGAGGGGCAAACCCCAAATACCCTCCCTAACCAGAAACTGAAATACCAAAATCCACCAGATCCCAGCCCTTATGGCTGCCTTCAGAAGGGACAGAGCAGAGGGCCACCCCCTCGCATACACACAGGGGCTGACCATCCAAGGACCCCAATCACCTAGCTGAGAGCACCCCTGCTCCCATGGGGACACTGACCGCTCTGAGTGCCTGGCATTCAGGCCTCGAGCCACCCACTAGGCACAGCACAGGGCCTCCTTGGAACGCATCCATCTCCAGGGGCCGTTTCTCTGCAGGATGGCGCTGCTGCTGTGGGGAGGACCCCTCCTTCCTTCACGACAACCTGCCCTCACCTGGCTTGTCTCTTGGTAGACGTTGTCCCACACATCTCTGTCATTTGCATGCCACAATGGTGACAGTCTTCCTGGCCATGCTTGTGATAGGGCCTTTTAGTTTCTGACTGACACATTCCAGCCCGGCTTCAACTGCTTTCACTTACAAAGGCAGGTTTCCCTTCCCAGCCTCACATGGCGGTGGTCTCAGTGGAATTCAGGAGGCTGTGGGCTGTGAGGAGGGCAGCAAAGAACCCCAGCCCACCCCAAGCAGGAGATGGCAGGGTCCATCCGGCTGTCTGGAGACAGCCAAGACCCTCGGCCACTGCAGTTCTCCCCACTAAGCCTGGGCCCCCACTCCCGCTCCACACTGGGACAGATGCTGCAGGGGCAAACCCCAAATACCCTCCCTAACCAGAAACCGAAATACTGAAATCCACCAGATCGCAGCCCGGCCTGGTCAGATAGTGTGACTTTCCAACGAAGTCGAAAATACATATTTTTAGAATTAAACTGTAAATGTTGGCAACTAATTCAAATTCAATTGTGTTTTTTTTTTTTTTCATGGAGGGCTTTCTGGTGAAAACCAGACCCCACCTGGGAGCAGGCCCCGGGGGGACAGCTGTGGGAGAAGAGGATCTCCACCGCAAGTGCAAAGAACAGGCCACGAGCTGGGCACAGATGCCTCTTCCCGAGCCTACCTGGGAGTGAAAACCGGAAAACATACTAGACAAATTCTGAAAGAGCTGTAACACCTTATATTATTTTAAAAGTCTGCAGGTTGAGTTTATCCCAGACCCTTTACAGCTTTTTCCTTCTGACTGGTGAGGCCTCAGCTCAAATGTCACCTCCTCAGAGAGGCCCTCCCCCATGGCCCTATTTAAGTTGCCCCCACCAGAGTCACAGTCAGCGACACGCACCCTTCATTTCCTTCTTGGTGCTGAACGCTACCTGCAAGTGCCTCATCATTTGCGGTTGACATCTGCATTGTCCACCAGCGCTTAGGGTCCGTGAGGAGAGAGGCACGTCGCCTTGTGCCCTGGTGAATCCCAAATCCCCGCCCTGAGCACAGCACCTGGCACAGAACAGACACAGGCAATGAGTGCTGCTGAAATTTCCCCATGGAGCCAGTGGTGATCTGTCCAGGCTCTACAGCCCTCCCCCTAAATGTGTTCAGAGATGGGGACACTGGGGCCATCCTCCTTGCTCCACTCCTGGTGAAGAGCCCTCAGACCCATAGGATGGGCTTGTCAATATCACCTTCTCAGGTGAGCCTCATACATAAGCAGGTTCGGTGGGTTAACCAAGCCTACGTCTTTAACCCATGTGACAACCACAGTACCAGGGTTCTGCCATCAAATCTTTTCTATCCTCAGTCCTGCCTTGAGAATTCAGACTCTCCCAGAATTCAGTTTCACAGACTCAGAAGAGAATGTGATGCCAAATTGTTCTGAAATGTTTGGTAAAGCAAGATCAAATGATTACATTTGTGATCTGAAATCATTTGTTTGTGTCATGCCAACCCATATCTCCTCCAAATTATTTTCTTTAAATTCTCCCCAGAACGGGGAGCAGTATTAATTGTTGCCAATGAAAAGACTGCCCCTTTCATCAAAGCCATGAGCTTTATCTGCCATTTTTGAATATAACACTGGCTTAGTGAAAGCGATTGTAAATAGCAGGTCTTCTTTGTGCATTTTATGCTTCCAAATGTGCTAGTTGGAATAAAGAAGTGAAAAGTTTAAAAATCCTCTCTTGTAAATGTTTGGAAATTGCACTAGAGTTATTTCTTGCTCTTTGAGGGGAGAGGTCATCCTGCAAACGCACAGTCACACCTGTTCGGCTCCCCCGGGTTCTGAATGTCACTAGACCCCCACATCCCCCCGACCTTGGCAGGTCAGACTCTGTGAAGGATGCTCACTGTCTGTGTGACCTCACACCAGGTACAGGGACCAAGGGAAAGAGGCACATCTGGCTTGTAGGACAGTCCTGCAAGGCCACTTTTCTGGTAGGGAGGTGACACTTTCAAAGGAATCTCTCATTTCTCCCAGCTCCAGTCAGTTTCAACAGCAGGTGGGGTTTTCTTTCCTCTCAATTATTATAGATTTTTTTTCTAATAATCAAAGTCACAACTCATTTTGAAAGTTTTTAAAAATAGAAGAAAACAAGATTTTAAATCACAAGTGATTCCAACACCAAAGATAAGCAGCATTCGCATTTTGCTATGTAGTGCTCCTATTAGACAATACACACACATATGATCACACACACTTATGCATTTTTGCTTCATTAAAACAGAATAAAGCTTTATGGGCCAGGTGCAGTGGCTCATGCCTGTAATCACAGCACTTTGGCAGTCCAAGACAGGAGGATCACTGAAGGTCAGGAGTTTGAGACCAGCTTGGACAACATGGGGAAACCCCAGCTCTACTAAAAATATGAAAATTAGCTGGGTGTGGTGCATGCACCTGTAATCTCAGCTACTTGGAAGGCTGAGGCAGGAGAATTGTTTGAACCCAGGAGGCGGAGGTTGAAGTGAGCCGAGATCTCACCATTGCACTCCAGCCTGGGCAACAGAGTGAGACTCTGTCTCAAAAAAAAAAAAAAAGAGCTTTGTTTACACTAAACAATATTTTGTGTCCATATTTACATATAGATAACAACAGATCACTATTAGTTTTGGTATGTGCATATGTAGATATAAGTATTACATGAATTTCCTGCTTTTTATTCAATTACAGTTATATCACCTATCAGTGATGTAACTTCAGCCAAGACAGAAGTTTATCTCATAAAAACCAAGACTGGGCCGGGCACAGTGGCTCACGCCTGTAATCCCAGCACTTTGGGAGGCTAAGGCGAGTGTTTCACTTGAGGTCATGAGTTTGAGACTAGCCTGCTCAACGTGGTTAAACCCTATCTCTACTAAAAATAAAAAAATAACTGAATATGGTGGCACGCATCAGTAATCCCAGCTACTCGGGAGGCTGAGGCATGAGAATCACTTGAACCCAGGAAGCAGAAGTTGCAATGAGCTGAGATCATGCCATTGTACTCCAGCCTGGGCAACAGGGCAAGACTCTGTCTCAAAAAATAAAAAAGTAAAAACAAAACCGGAGGTTGTCAGTCTGGGGTGGCATTAGGGACTTTCATTTCCTTCCAGAGGACATTCTGCTATCCGCAGGGTAGAATCAAGGTTCAAGATGACAAGAATAGCTCCAACCATCATATGCTTATTCCAGGAAGCATGTCAAAGGATGGAACAACTAAGAAATGACACTAAAGATATGTGTCAGTCCATCTGCATTGCTATAAAGGAATTCCTGAGGCTGGGTTATTTATAGAAAAGAGGTTTAATTGGCTCACAGTTCTGCAGGCTGTACAGGCATGGCACCAGCATCTGCTCCTGGGGAGGCCTCAGGAAGCTTCCAATCATGGCAGAAGGTGAAAGGGAAGCAGATACATCATATGGCGAGAGAAAGAGCAAGAGAAGGAGGAGGATGTGTCAGGCCCTTTAAACAACCAGATCTCCCATAAACTCAGAGCAAGAACTCAGTCATTGCCATCGGGACAGCACCAAGCCATTGTGAGAGGGATCTGCCCACATCACCAAAACACCTCCCACCACGCCCCACCTCCAACATCAGGGATCACATTTCAACATGAAATGTGGAGGGGACCAACATCCAAACCATATCAAGACAGAAGTTACAGAAGGGGGTCTCCAAAAATACCACCCAACAATTTTATTACCTCCCATTGGCCAGAACCTGGTCACCTGGCCACAACTCACTGCAAGGAAGCCTGGGAAAATGTAGGGTGTGCCCACCCACTAGGAGAGGGGAGCACTGGTGCCAGGGTGCAGGACCACCAGCGGGCATTTATGCTTCCTACTCCTTTCTTCTTATAAAAATCCTTAGAGATTCATCTTTGCATATTTTTCTGACTATTTCCTAGGGATAAATGCCTATTAATGAAATTTGGGACCAAAAGTTATGCACTTTCATTGGCCAGTTGCCAAATTGCCCTCTAGAAACGTTGTACCAATGAACTCACCCAAGAGGTGGGGTTCTATTTCATGAAATGTTTCTCCACCCCACATTTCCTTTTAATCCACACCCTTTGGCCTTTATTAGGCTTACACATCTCTTCAGAATCCCTGCTTCCTACATCATAATCTTGGGATTTAATACATGTTTTTCGTTCAGGTTATTATTAATATCAGATTTATCTGACTATGCATGAACACAGCCACAGCCTTAGGGAAAGAGATGTGTCTTTCAATGGTGAAGAGAATAAAAATTAATAATCCTTAGAGACTTTGAAACTGAAGTGGTCAGGGAAGGGTGGAAAGAACAGATCTCATTCTATGAAGAGCATGGAGGGATTTTCACAAAGCATGTAGTGCTGAGTACAGCAGACCAGGCACCCGGGGGGCACCCAGAGAGCAGCCTTTCCTCAACAGAAGAGGAGTGAGCACCGCACAGAGTTGCAGAAAGGGAATCCCGGACAGGGGTAACAGTAGATGCAAAGGCCCCATGGCAGGCACCAACTTGTCCAGGTTTGCCCAGAACTTTCCCGGTTTTAACACTAGAAATCCCACGTCCCAGGAAACTTCTGAGTCTCAGCCAAGCTGGGATGATTTGCCTGGAACTGCCCCTGTTATAAAACTGAAAGGTCTGTGCCCCACCAGCCCCCTCAGTCCTGAGCAAGCTGAGGCAGTGGGTCACCCTAGACTGGAGCAATGTGCATGACAGTGGGAAGAGCCAGTGACTCTCTTTCGTGTCCCCTCCCCCCTCAACTTCAGAAGTCACCCAGGTGGGCACTGGCATCCAGGATGAAAACTTCCCAGCATCCTTTGCAGCAAGGAGTGGCCACATGACCAGGCAGTGGCCAATGCACATGAGGCCAGTGCACAGCAACTGCCTTTAGAGGAAGGAAGATTTGTGTCCTCATATTCTCTTCTCCCCTCCCTGCTCACTGGCAGTAGATAGGATGGACACTGTGGGGGAAGCTACACCCTAAGAAAGTCAGAGCAGCAAGATGGAAGTAGCCTAAGACCCTGAAAAATGCACAAAGAAGAATCACCCGACTGGCTTGGACTTTCATGTGAAAGGAATGAACCTCTGTCTTAGTAAAGCCACTGTCTTTACTAAGTTCAGGGTCCTTGTCACGTTCACTGAGGCTGTAACATAATTGTTAGAAAGAACAGGAGTGGGAGGGGAGATGGAGTCGGAGAGTCAGGCAGAGGTTAGATCACATCGGGCCTGTAGGCCAAGGCGGAGGAAGAAACAGGCGACACAGGACTCAAGGACAACACCTGCTCCCAGGCAAAAGGAGTTTGTTGTGGGTGCCCCTCCCTGTCTGTGTGTCCAGTGTGTGGATATTCTTTATACTTTGCCCATACTGTACAAATGCTTTTTTTCTATTCAATATTTAGAAGACATTGCATTAAATAGCAAGATGGCAGATGAACATCAGGAAAGAACATTAGGAACATCCACAGTGTTCCATCCAGGAACCTTCACCATGGAAACCCTTGTGCTCATGGGCCTGGTCTCAAGACACATTCAGCTGTTGGGGATCAGAGGCCGCACTCATCGTAGCAGAGAGGCAGGACCAACTGGGAGAGGGTCATTCTGTGACACCTACTGCATCACCGGGCTGTGTGAAGTGACTCAGCTGCCAGAACTCACACAATATCATTCTACACCAAAACCTCACGGGAAAAATCGTAAGTTCTCAGTTTCTCCATTAATAGCAACTCTCAGATTAATCTCCGTCCTCCATTGCTTCTCCATGAAACAACTTTTTATAGCTTTGCTTGGGTCTATTTTTCCATTTATTTTTTATTTTACTAACTGATTGAAAGATATATATTGTGTGTGTGTGATTTTGTCTCTGTCAGCCAGGATAATCATGGTTTAATTCCTATTATTATTATTACCAACATCCTTTAGTTTTTTTAAGCTTTTCAATTCCTAAGGGTATTAATCAGGAACTTTCTGTCTTATGAGACAGAAAAGAAATCCAAACTGTATAAGAGGAAAAAGAATGCACTCATCACTAGCATTGAGAAGTTCCCAAGCTTAGCTTGCTTGGGCTACAGCTACATCACCGTTTCCAGGGTCATCCTGTAACTCTCTCTACTTCCCCAACTTTGGCTCCATGTTTAGCTCCCCGACCCTCAGACTTAAACAGCAGCACTGGCTCCTCCCCAGATCTCCAGCTCCCTGACCCTCAAACTCCAACTGCAGCACCAGCTCCACCTGGGTCTCCAGCTCCATGATCCTCAAACTACAACAGCAGCACCAGCTCCCCCGTGGATCTCCAGCTCAATGACTCTCAGACTTGGGAGGTGGCACTGGCTCCCAACCAAGGCTCCAGCTCCACAAACCTCAAACTAGAACAGCAGCACCAGCTACTCCCTGGGTCTCCAGCTCCCTCAAACTTCAACTATAGCACTGGCTCTTCCCTGGGGCCACCAGCTCCACAACCCTCAACTTACACGGTGGTAGCACCAGCTCCTCCCCAGGTCTCCAGCTCCACGACCATCAAACTTGAACTGCAACACCAGCTCCTCTTCAGCCTCCAGCTCCACAATCCTCCAACAACAACAGCAACACTGGCTCCTCCCTGAATCTCCAGCTCAACAACTCACAGACTTGAGAGGCAGCACCGGCACCTCCCCAAGGCTCCAGCTCCATGACCCTCAGATTTGAACAGTGGTAGCACCAGCTCCTGTCCAGGTCTCCAGCTTCACTATCCTTAAACTAGAACAGCAGCACCGCCGCCTCCCTGGGTTTCCAGCTCCATGACTCTAAGACATGAATGAAAGAACCGGGTCACCCCAGCACTCCAACTCCAAGACCCACAGATTTGAACGGCAGCACTGGCTCTTCCCGGGATCTCCAGCTCCACGGCCCTCAAACTAGATCAGCAGCACCGGCTCCTCTCTGGTTCTCCAGCTCCACAATCCTCACACATGAACAATAGTACCAGCTCCTCCTTGGGTCTCCAGCTTCACTACCCTCAGACTAGAACAGCAACACTGGTTCCTCCGTGGACCTCCAGCTCTACAATCCTCAGAAATGAACAGCAGCAGCACCGCCTCCTACCTTTGTCTCCACTTCCACAACCCTCAAACTACAACAGCAGTACCGGCCTCTCCCCAGGTCTCCACATACATGACCCTCAAAATAGAATGGCATCATAGGCTCCCTCCTGGATCTCCAGCTCCCAAACCCTCAAACTTCAATTGACACACCAGATCCTCCCCACAGCTAAATAGCAGCACGGGCTCTTCCCCAAAGCTCCAGATCCACGAACCTCTGACTTAAGTGGCGGTAGCACCGGCTCCTCCCTAGGTCTCCAGTTCCACGACCCTCAAACTATACACCAGCACCAGCTCCTCCCCAGGTCTCAGGCTCCATGACCCTCAGACTTAAAAAGCCATAGTATGGACTTCTCCCTGGGGCTCCAGCTCTACAACCCTCAGACATGAACAGCAGCAGCACCGGCTCCTCGCCCTGTCTCCACTTCCACGACCCTCAAACTACAACAACAGTACCAGCCTCTCCCCAGGTCTCCAGATCCACGACCCTCAAAATAGAATGGCATCACCGGCTCCTCCCTGGGTCTCCAGCTCCCAAACCCTCAAACTTCAATTGACACACCAGATCCTCCCCACAGTTAAACAGCAGCACGGGCTGTTCCCCAAAGCTCCAGATCCATGACCCTCTGACTTAAATGGCGGTAGCACCGGCTCCTTCCTAGGTCTGCAGTTCCATGACCCTCAAACTACACAGCAGCACCGGCTCCTCCCCAGGTCTACAGCTCCACCACCCTCACACTAGACACCAAGACTACCTCCTCCCCACTCTCCAGCTACATGACCCTCAGACTTGAACAGCAGCGGCTCCTCCCTGTACCTAAAGCCCCATTATGCTCAGACTTGAACAACAGCAACACCAGCTCCCCCACAGGGCTCCAGCTCGAGGACCCACAGATTTAAACAGCAGCACCGGCTCTTCCTGTGACCTCCAGCTCCACTAACCTCAAACTAGAACAGCAGCATCGGCTCCTCCTTGGGTCTCCAGCTTCACTACCCTCAGGCTAGAACAGCAACACCGGTTCCTCCCTGGGTCTCCAGCTCAATGACTCTCAGATTTGAAACGCAGCACCGGCTCCTCACAAAGTTTCTGGCTCCAAGGCCCTCAAACTATAATAGCAGCAGCTGCTGCACCCTGGGTCTCCAGCTCCACAACCCTCAAAGTAGAAAAGCAGCCCTGGCTCTTCCCCAGGTCTCCAGCTCCTCGAGTCTGAGGGTTGTAGAGCTGGAGACCCAGGGAGGAGTCAGTGCTGCTGTTCTAGTTTGAGGGTCGTGGATCTGGAGACCCAGGGTGGAGCCGGTGCTGCTGTTCTAGTGTGAAGGTCATGGAGCTGGAAGACCCCGGAAGGATCTGCTGCTGCTGTCCTAGTTTGAAGGTCATGGAGCTGGAGACCCAGGAAGGAGTCATTTGAACAGCAGCACTGGCCCCTCCCCAGGTCTCAGGCTCCATGACCCTCAGACTTAAAAAGCCGTAGTATGGACTTCTCCCTGGGTCTCCAGCTCTACAACCCTCAGACATGAACAGCAGCAGCACCGGCTCCTTCCCCTGTCTCCGGTTCCACGACCGTCAAACTTCAACAGCAGTACCAGCCTCTCCCAAGGTCTCCAGATCCACGACCCTCAAAATAGAATGGCATCATCAGCTCCTCCCTGGGTCTCCAGCTCCCAAACCCTCAAACTTCAACTGACACACCGGATCCCTCCAAGGTTAAACAGCAGCATGGGCTGTTACCCAAAGCTCCAGATCCATGACCCTCTGACTTAAATGGTGGTAGCACTGGCTGCTCCCTAGGTCTCCAGTTCCATGACCCTCAAACTACACAGCACCGGCTCTTCCCCAGGTCTACTGCTCCACCACCCTCACACTAGACACCAACACTACCTCCTCCCCGCTCTCCAGCTACACGACCCTCAGACTTGAACAGCAGCAGTGGCTCCTCCCTAGATTTCCAGCTCCATGACCCTCAACCTGCAACCGCAGCACGAGCTCTTCCCTGTACCTCAAGCCCCATGACCCTCTGACTTGAACAACAGCAACACCAGCCACCCCCAGGTCTCCAGCTCCACAACCCTCAGCCTTAAGCAACAGCAGCACCAGCTCCTCCCTGGGTCTCCAGATTCACACCCCTCAGATTAGAACAGCACCCCTCCTCTCTGAGTCTCCAGCTCCATGACCCTCAAACTACAACAGCAACACGGGCTCCTCCCTGCATCTCCAGCTCAACAACTCTCAGACTTGAGAGGCGGCACCGGCAACTCCCCAAGGCTCCGGCTCCATGACCCTCAGATTTGAATAATGGTAGCACCATCTGCTATCCAGGTCTCCAGCTTCATGATCCTTAAACTAGAACAGCAGCACCACTGCCTCCCTGGATTTCCAGCTCCACGACCCTAAGACATGAATGGCAGAACTAGCTCCCCACCAGTTTTCCAGCTCCAGGACCCACAGATTTAAAGGACAGCACCAGCTCTTCCCGGGATCTCCAGCTCCACTACCCTCAAACTAGAACAGCAGCACTGGCTCCTCCCTGGGTCTCCAGCTCCCAAACCATCAAACTTCAACTGACACACAGGAACCTCCCCACAGTTAAACAGCAGCACGGGCTGTTCCCCAAAACTCCAGATCCACAACCTTCTGACTTAAATGGCAGTAGCACTGGCTCCTCCCTAGGTCTCCAGTTCCATGACCCTCAAACTACACAGCAGTACCAGCTCCTCCCCAGGTGTACAGCTCCACCACCCTCACACTAGACACCAAGACTACCTCCTCCCCGCTCTCTAGCTACACGACCCTCAGACTTGAACAGCAGCAGCGGATCCTCCCTGTACCTCAAGCCCCATGACCTCGGATTTCAACAACAACAACACCAGCTCCTGCCTAGGGCTCCAGCTCCAGGACCCACAGATTTAAACGACGGCACCGGCTCTCCCCAGGATCTCCAGCGCCACTACCCTTAAACTAGAACAGCAGCACCGCCTCCTCTCTGGTTCTTCAGTTCCACAACACTCAGGCATGAACAGCAGCACCGGCTCTTCCTTGGGTCTCCAGCTTCACTACCCTCAGACTAGAACAGCAACACTTGTTCCTCCCTGGATCTCCAGCTCAATGACTCCCAGACTTGAAAGGCAGCACCAACTCCTCCATGGATCTCCAGCTCCATGACACTCAAAACAACATGGCTCCTCCCTGGGTCTGCAGCTCCAGGACCCTCGAACTACAACAACATTGTTCCTCCCTGGGTCTGCGGCTCCATGATCCTCAAACTCGAACAAGACCTCTCCTCCCTGGGTCTCCAGCTTCCGGACCCTCAAATTACAACAACATTGCTCCTGCCTGGGTCTGCAGCTCCACGACCCTCAAATAAGAACAAGACCTCTCCTCCCTGGGTCTCCAGCTTCCTGACCCTCGAACTACAACAACATTGCTCCTGCCTGGGTCTGTAGCTCGACAACCCTCAAACTAGAACAAGACCTCTCCTCCCTGGGTCTCCAGCTTCCGGACCCTCGAATTACAACAACAATGCTCCTGCCTGGGTCTGCAGCTCCATTACCCTCAAATAACAACAAGACCTCTCCTCCCTGGGTCGCCAGCTTCCGGACTCGAACTACAACACTGCTCCTCCCTGGATCTGTAGCTCGACGACCCTTAGCTAGAACAAGACCTCTTTTCCCTGGTTTGCCAGCTTCCGGACCCTCAAACTAAAACAACATTGCTCCTGCCTGGGTCTGCAGCTCCACGACCCTCAATCTCAAACAAGACCTCTCCTCCCTGCGTCGTCAGCTTCTGGACCCTCAAATTACAACAACATTGCTCCTGCCTGGGTCTGCAGCTCCATGACCCTCAAATAACAACAAGACCTCTCCTCCCTGGGTCGCCAGCTTCCTGACCCTTGAATTACAACAACATTGCACCTGCCTGGGCCTGTAGCTCGATGACCCTCGAACTAGAACAAGAACTCTCCTCCCTGAGTCGCCAGCTTCCTGACCCTCGAACTACAACAGCATTGCTCCTCCATGGGTCTGCAGCTCCACAACCCTGAAACTAGAACAAGACCTCTCCTCCCTGGGTCTGCAGCTCCACCACCCTCACCCTAGAACAGCAGCACCAGCTCCTTCCTGGACCTCCAGCTCAATGACTCTCAGACTTCAAAGGCAGCACCAGCTCCACCCCCAGGCTCCAGCTCCAACACCCTCAGATTTGAGCAGCGACAACACCAGCTCCTTTCTGGGTCTTCTGTTTCACGATCCTTAAATTAGAACAGCAGCACCATCTTCTCCCTGGGTCTCCAGCTCCATGAGACTCAAGCTAGAATAGCAGCACCAGCTCCTCTTGGATCTTCAGCTCCACGACCCTAAGACATCAGTGGTAGCACCGGCTCCTCCCCTGGGCTCCAGCTCCAGGACCCTCAGACTTGAACAAAAACACCAGCTCCTCCCCAGGCCTCCAGCTCCTTGACCCTCATAAACAATCCCTTCTTATGAAATGTAGCAGTCAGGAAAACTGTAGAGGAAGTAAATAAATACATGTTTTCTTTCAAATTGATGTTTCTTTTCTGTTCACGCAAGTCTGGAAGCTTTGCTACTTTCCATCAACCTTGCAATCTACTTATATTCAATTGTAAGATGGAAATCCACCATTTGAAATAATTTTAAAACTTAGTAATTCTTTTTTACTATGATCTTATCTCACAGCTCTAGAAACGATCTTTCCCTTTGCCTGTGCAGAAGTCTTATGAACATTCAAACTATGAATTTAGTTGGTTGAGATTGCTAGAATACACATTATCCCCAAATGTTACTGCCCTCCTTAAAATCTTCTAACACGTTCCTATCATCCGAGCATAAATGCCAGTTTCCATCCCCAGCCCACAGTGCCCAGCACAGCCCTGCCCTCTGCCCTGACCTTAGGGTCTCCCCTCTGCTGTTACTTTCCTGCCAGACAGGCCTCTGTCACTTCCTCAAACCACACAGGCTCAGGCCTGACTCCGGGCCTTTGCCCCTGCTGCGCCCTCTGTGTGGAGTGCCATTCCCCGGCTCCCCATCCTCCTCTCAACCGGCTCAGCTCCAGCCTGCTGGTCAGGTCAACTAACACACAATGTCCTCCCCGCTAGGCCTTTGCACATGCTGTTCTCTTAGCCCGAAACACTTCCCCCCTCACCATGCGTGTTCACTTTTCTAATTTCCATTCATCCTTGGAGTCTCCACTGAAATATCGCCCCCCTGCCTGCCCCCACCACTTGGACTTAATCTTGGTTAGATTGAAAACCCTGATCTCCTGACTCCAGGAAGCTAGATGCTATCATGGCACTTGGAAGTTTCCCATTGCAACGTTTTGCACACTTGTAATTATTCTATTAGGTTGGTGCAGAAGTCATTGCAGTTTTTGTCATTACTTTTAATGAATTGCAGCACCAGCTCCTCCCCGCTTTTGATTGCCATTACCTTTAATGGCAAAAACCAGAATTACTGCTGCACCAACCTAATAGAATAATTTATATTTATTCACCCATCCTCTGTCTTCCCCTCTAGAAAGTAAGCTCCACGAGAATAGGGACCAAATCTACTCCAATCACTCCACCTTCCTTGCACATTGTAAATAATCATTTACCAACTGACTGATAGAGAAATATCTTCATTGTTGCTGGGATGAGCCACGTAACATGACACTCCCCTTTGAAAGTCAATGTCATGGACAGTTAGCATTTGCTTTTCACTCCTGCACCCGTGGCTTGGCTGGGCTTAGGCTGATCTAGTCTGGGCTTGACTCCAGGCTGAGGGTTGGAACCCTGCGTGCTCCACATGCCTCTCATCCTGCAGCCAGAGCCAATGTTCCCTGGGGCACACTCACCTCGTGGGAAAAATCAAGAACATTAAAGGGCAGGCCTGGCAGCGCAGACACATTCCAGGCTTCTGCCTGTGCCACGTTTATGAAAATCTCATTGGCATAAGCAAGTCTTCCAGCCACGAGCAATACCTGTGGGATGGATACGTCTCTCCATCCTCCCTCAGGCCCTGGTAAGGATGTGGATGTGTCATACTCTTACAGGGGGAGTGAAATATTGAGGCCCAACATTAAATCACCTACAGCAAGATATGTCAGCCTCTGTGTCCCCACACTGGAATCATGCTTCATCAGCAGGTTTACCTGAGCTGACTCCCCTTTGCAATGGTGCCTGCAGGTTTAGGCCAATGCTGTTCCTTGTGGAAGACAGAGAAGCCTCAATTGGCCTCTGACTGTTGGCAAGAACAAGATATTAGGTTGGTGCAAAACAACCATAACCCCCAGGTGGCCTGTGCCCAGTAAGACAGGAGAGTGGCAGGAAGAACTGTGGAAGCTCAGGGAGGCTCCCATCCCCAGCCCCTCCCCGCTTGCTCCCATCTCTGCTTTCTTGTTTTTCTTTTTTCTTTTCTTTTTTTTTTCTCAAGACAGGGTCTTACTCTGTCACCCAGGCCAGAGTGCAATGGCGTGTTCTTGGCTTACTGCAACCTCCACCTCCCAGGCTCAAGCAATCCTCCCACCTCAGCTTCCCCAGTGGCTGAGACCACAGGCACATGCTATCACACCCAGCTAAATTTTTTTTTTTTTTTGTAGACACAGGATTTTGCCATGTTGCCCAGGCTGGTCTCAAACTCCTGAGCTCAAGCAATCTGCCCACCTCGACCTCCCAAAGGGCAAGGATTACACACATGAGTCACTGAGTCCACCCTGCTTTCTTTTTCTTTTTTTTTTTGAGACGGAGTCTCGCTGTCGCCCAGGCTGGAGTGCAGTGGTGCGATCTCGGCTCACTGCAGGCTCTGCCCCCCGGGGTTCACGCCATTCTCCTGCCTCAGCCTCCCAAGTAGCTGGGACTACAGGCGCCCACCACCTCGCCCAGCTATTTTTTTGTATTTTTAGTAGAGACGGGGTTTCACTATGTTAGCCAGGATGGTCTCGATCTCCTGACCTCGTGATCCGCCTGCTTCGGCCTCCCAAAGTGCTGGGATTACAGGCGTGAGCCACTGCGCCCGGCCTGCTTTATTTTTCTTTACAGTAACTGGAAACTTCTAATGTGCTAAGTACACGTGTATTTTCTTTCTTTTTTGTCTTCCCTAGAATAGGAGCTTAATGTGGGCAAGTATTTTTGTTTATCTCAGTTATCACCCTATCCCCAGTGGCGGAACAGTGTCCGGCACATGAATTGAATGGTATGTTCTAAATAAATATTTTTAGCAAATAAATAAATGAAATATCCTACAAGAGAAAGCTAGTATTTGGAACTTACCCATCAACAGAATGAAAAAGCCGAAGACCTTTAGCCTGTCACTACCTCTGAACGCACCCAACCCCACAGGAGCCAGCAGAGAAAAAACAAGAACAAAGGTGAGGAAAAGAGCGGGTGCTTCCCCCCGCAACTAAGGACTCTCGAGGCTTAGGCTGAACTTGAGCTGAAGAAAGGACTAATCTAGGAGATGGGTGTGAGATAAAAGTTTAGATTTGTCTGGCCTGGATTTTGTAACACCTAAACACCAGTTATTCCATTCGTTTTTGTTCTTGTTTTTTTGAGACAGAGTCTTGCTCTGTCTCCCAGACTGGAGTGCAGTGGTGTGATCTCAGCTCACTGCAACCTCCGCCTTCCAGGTTCAAGTGATTCTCCTGCCTCAGCCTCCTGAGTAGCTGGGATTATAGGCACATGTCACTACGCCCAGCCAATTTTCTATTTTCAGTAGAGACGGGGTTTCTCCATGTTGACCAGGCTGGTCTTGAACGCCTGACCTCAAGTAATCTGCCCACCTCAGCTTCCCAAAGTGCTGGGATTACAGGCGTGAGACACCAGGCCCTGCTATATTCCTTTCATTATTAACAAATCTGCTATGATAAATCAAAGTGACCAAAACCCTAGGGAAACTTCCCCTGATGTCATCAAGGAGCAGAGACCAGAGACCTATCAGCAGGATGGGGACTAGGGCGAGGCAGGGGAGGGAGGCGTTCATCTGTGGATTATCAGGGTCCAGCAAGGGAGGCATGAAGTTTAAGGGGGCACCAAAAAATTCACTCATCAGGCTGGGCGTGGTGGCTCACACCTGTAATCCCAGCACTTTGGGAGGCTGAGGCAGGCAGATCACGAGGTCAGGAGATCAAAACCATCCTGGCTAACATGTTGAAACCCCGTTTATATGAAAAATACAAAAAATTAGCCAGGTGTGGTGGTGTGAGCCTGTAGTCCCAGTTACTTGGGAGGCTGAGGCAAGAGAATCACTTGAACCCGGGAAAGAGAGGCTCCAGTGAGCCAAGATCGCGCCACTGCACTCCAGCCTGAGCGACAGAGCAAGACTCCGTCTCAAAAAAAAAAAAGAGAAAACAATCTCAGTTACAGGACCTCAGGCCTCCACACAGACACAATCAAGGAGTTTATTTATTTAAAACACAGCCCTGTGTAGGTGTAGGATGGGGAATGATTCTTATTTTCAATTTTATTCTCTTTCTCTGTTGCTTGGCATCTCTGGCCATGAGCCCGTCATTTCTGTAATCAGAGCACAGAATGTGGAGAGGAGAAGGACAGGCCGCCTGGCAATGTGGTCCTGTTTTGCCTGGACCAGCCTTTGTGTGAGGACCTCTGCCCAATGGGCAGATTCGCGTCCCTGAGGAAAGAGGAGGAGCCAGGTAGTGGAACATTTGAGGTGACGGCCCTTCCCCAGCTGCCCAGGGCCCGCTAGGCACCGATGGTCATTCCCAGCATGTGGGGTTGGCCTTTGGGGGTCTGGTCAGGACTCTTGGGGCTATCAGGGTCTGGCAGACCCTGGTCTGGGTGTGAAGACACCTGGGGCATCTCAGACGCCCTCTCTGGCCACTCACACACCCAGCACTGAGAGGCCACGGCATGTCTGCCCACCCCCATGTTCTTGTTCACTTGGCAGCTGGCCAGTCATCGTGGACACTGACCGTAGCTCGAGGGTAGGGTCCCCAAGTTCCTGCTGGGCCAGCAATTGTGCCCCTTGTGCTGCTGTATCTTGGGGTGCCAGCACGGGGTCTCCATAGGGATAGAGACAGTATCTCTGCACCAACCAGTGGGCACATAGCTGTGTTTCAGTACAAACACCAGGGCCAGCTGGACAACGCAGCCTAGGCCCAGCAGCTCTGATTTGCCTGAATCCCAGAGTTGGCATGGTGGGGTCATTGATTCCAGCCAAACCAGAGAGCACGTCCTTGGGCAGGACGAGGAGTGCTCAGAGCAGGTAAATGGAGCTCTGCAGGGAATGACATCTCCTCCGAGAAGTGAGGGCCATGAAATCAATCCAGGGACACTCTCTGAGCACCCCCAGGGTGCACACCCAGCCTCAGGGAGCAGGGAAATAGCCAGCAAGGACAGGTTTTTGCTCTGTGGATGGGCCAGAAAGAGGGGGTGCAGCAAAGGAATCATAATCACAGAGGAGAAAACGGCCAGAGTCACAGCCTGCTTTGTCCCTTTCTCACTGGGTGCTGCCAGAAGTCCAGTCCAAGCCAGCAACTCCCGAGCACAGGTATCAAAATGGACTGAGACCCTCTAATCACCTCCTGGTGTCTTGAGACAGCCTCCTACCCACCAGCCCCCACTGCGGGGCCCTGCACTGGCTTCTCCAAGAAGAAACTGGGAGGCTGAGGGGCTGACCTGCGGGGAGACCTTTCACTCAGTGCCCGAGAACCTGTTGAATGTTTAACTCATCCTTAAAAAACATGCCTGCCTCTTTGTATGTCTAACTCTCTGTAAGGAGCATGTGTTACTTTGCTGAAGAAGGAAAACATCACTCCAGACCACCTGTGCATTTAGCAAACACCAATTCCCAGCCCAGAGCAGTGGATTTGCTGCTGCAAAAAGCAAAAGCCCAAAACCCACGTGGAGCCTTCAAAGGCCGCCTGGCCCCCAGCTCACCCTTCAGAATTCACTGACGGGTGTGTTTGGGGCTGTTTCTTCTTGGTGTCTGGTGTCAGGAAAGAGAAGACACAGGGACACCAGTTGGGGGTTTAATCCCATCAGACCCAATCCTCGGTTCTCTGTGCCCCTTACATTACACCCATTGAGATGCTGCTGGGGCTGAATGAACCACCAGCTGCTGCCCTGAGCAGGGAGTCAGATCTGTCCTTGGTCAGACGGTTGAAGCCATGCACACCCTCTAGGGCCCTGCAGGGGGGTGGGGAGTCACCCCTTGGTTTTATCTCACAGCAAGGATGACCCCTCACTGGGCACCCCAGCTCAGACCTCAAGGGAAACAGGATCTACGGAAGATGGGTGGAAGGATGGGGCCCTGGTGGGAGGACTCACAGGGTAAGAGACCCCACCCACTCAGGCGATTCACACTCAGGGTCTTTGGGGCTCTCAGAGGAAACATTGGTTCACAGTGAACACAGGTCCAGCTATTCAGGGTCACAATTATCTGCAGCAGGCACAACCACCCACTCTCAAAAGATGAATTCAGTAAGGCAGAAACTTAAGCTCAAGATGAATTTTTATTGAAAATGATTTCTGTAATCATGTTTTATTTACCTGTATTTACAGACTAAAGTTTCAATATGGCACCTTAATTCCTTAACGAAGAGAAAGAATGTATATCTTGTGGTAATGGGGACCAGCAGCTCCATGAATCAAAGCTTTCTGTGGCTCGATCTAGTTCAGAGTCTGAGTGATACATTTAATGTGCCAGCAAAAGCCTCTGGTAAACAGGGAGCAGTGTTACAGCCAGCAGAGCCCAAGAGCTTGCCAGAGCTGATGGAGATTGAAGGGAGCAGGTTGGAGCTCCTCCTGAGGCAGAATGAGAGGAAGGCTCTCCCCATCTCCTGAGTGTCGGGCTGGACTCAAAGGGGAGAGAAAATATTTTAAATAAAACAAAACACTGTCGTTGCAATAAAATGTGACAATTCTCTTCTTCCCTCTCCTTTTTTTCTTTTCTTTTTTCTTTTCTTTTTTTTTTTTTTTTTTTTGGACACAGGTTCTTGTTATGTCACCCACCTAGGCTGGATTACAGGGGCATGATCTTGACTCACTGCAGCCTCAATCTTCCAGGCTCAAGTAATCCTCCTGCCTCCTCAGTAGCTGAGACCACAGGCATGTGCCACATCTGGTTTTTTGTTTTTTGTTTTTTTTTTAAGACATGAGGTCTGGCCACATTGTCCAGGCTGATCTCAAACTCCTGGGCTCAAGCAACCTGCCCACCTCTGCCTCCCAAAGTGCTGGGATTACAGGTGTCAGCCATCACACCCGGCTCCCTTCTCTTTCTATTTCACCTGACACTGTCTCTGCATCCCCATCTCTTAGCACTCTCCTGACTTCTTAGATACCCTGGCCTCATCTCTGATCTGCCTGATCTCTGGCCTTTGCACTTGCTGTTCCTCCCACCTAGTACACTGCTCCCTCAAATCACCCGTTGCAGCCCCTTCTTATCCTTCAGGACTCAGCCCACAAGTCACCTCCTCAGAGAGGCCCTCCCAGACCACCCAAAATGAGACAGTAGCTCCACCCTCACGACTCTTTATCCCATATCCCAATCTGTGTCCTTTGTTGTACTTTTCACAGTCTGAATGATGTTTATGTGTTGACCTGCATGCTGTCCATCCTCATAGACTGGAACTTCCTGAGAGTGTCGTGAGATTAGACGGCTCTTACTCACCGCTGTGTCCCAGACACCAGCACAGCGGCCTGTGTTTAAAGGTGTTAAGTGACTGGACAATATTTGTTAAGTGACTGGACAGATACGGAAGTGGACGGTTACACTGACAGTTTTTACAGGGGGACGTGTTGCTTTGCCTTTGACTTGTTCCACTGTTCTCGTATATAACATGGGCCTGACCAGGAAGAGGTGGTGCCTGGACATGACGAAAAACTTTCACACGATCTGTTGGACAATAAACCACATAAGTACCCCTTCTCTATCCCTTATTCTATACCTTCATGGATAAATCACTAGACCTCACGTGGGCCCAGGAATTTTGAAATATATTTTTAAACAAATTGCTAATGTAGACAGCGATCCTAAAATATAGAGAGACATATAGATAGTCGCCTGAGCCCTGCATGCTCTACTCATGACTTTGCAATCCATCCTTCGAGGAAGTCTGCAGTGAAGATGGCCCTTCAGAACTGCGATGAATTGAGTCAAGGGGCTGGATCTTTAGACCCCTGTGTTTACCACCAGTCTTTGGAGATGGAGGGACCTCAGGAAGGGTGATTGGGCAAAGCAGCTCCTGTCAGCCAGAGGCATTTTCTGGGGAGGGTCTCAGCTGTGAGCTCTCAGCAGGCAACCCCCTAGGCAGTGGGGCTGCTTCTGAAAGGCGACATGGGGGACACATCCCAGCATCTGGACCAAGCCATGAGTCTTTCTCACCCGGGCCATTGCGCAAAAGCTTCCCGACAGGCCTCCCTTCTTCCACTCTTGCCCCATTTCCCTATTTTCCACACAGCAGCCAGAGGAAGCCTGTGAAACCTAGGTCGGGTCTTGTGCTTCCTCTGCTCAGAACCCTCCATGGCTCCCACATACTCAGAGTAAAACCCCGAGCTTCATGGTAACCACTGAGGCCCACAGATTCTGTCCCCAAGGCTTCTCTGACCTCACCTCCCACTGCTCCTCTCCTCACTTGGCCGCAGCTGTGGCTCCCTCCCCGGTTTTCCTGGAACATGCCAGCACACCTGTTGCCAACTTTGTACTCATTGTTCTTTTGCCTGGAAGGCTCCACCCTCGATGTCATCCTGGCCCACAGCTTTAGCTCCTCTGGTCTTCGCTCAAATGGTGGCTTCTCAGCAGGGTCTTCCCTGACCATCCTACAGAAAATCAACAACCACCCTCCATAGGGGGCTGAACAAGGGCCCCCCATATGTGTCCACATTCAAACCCCTGGGACCTGTGTGCATGTCCATTGCAAAGGGGCTTTGCTGATGTAGTTAAGTGAAGGATCTTGAGATCGAAAGATGACTCTGGATGACCTGGGTGGGCCCAGTGTAATCACAGGGGTCTTTATAAGAGTGGGGCAGGAGGGTCTGAGTCAAAGGAGCTGTAGCGACAGGGCAGATACTGGAATCATGTGCTTGAGGATGGAGGAAGGCGCCACGAGCCCCGGAATATGAGGGGCTTAAAAGAAAATACAGGCCGGACCAGCACTTTGGGAGGCCGAGGCGGGTAGATCACTTGAGGTCAGGAGTTCAAGACCAGCCTGGCCAACATGGTGAAACCCTGTCTCTACTAATAATACAAAAATAATTAGCTGGACCTGGTGGTGTGCATCTGTAGTCCCAGCTACTTGGGAAGCTGAGGCAGGAGAATCACTTGAACCCAGGAGGCAGAGGCTGCAGTGAGCCAAGATTGCACCACTGCACTCCAGCCTGGGTGTCAGAGCGAGACTCCATCTCTAAAAAAAAGAAAGAGACAAAGACAGAGAGGGAAAAAAAAGGAAGGAAGGAAGGGGAAGGGAAGGGAAGGGAAAGGAAGGGAAGGGGGAAGTGGAAGGGGAAGGGGAAGGAAAGGAAGGGAAGGAGGGAGGGAGGAAAGCAGGGAGGGAAGGAGAGGCAAGGGGAGGGAGAAAGAGAGAAAGAGAGGGAGAGAAGAACAAAGGAAAGAAAGAGGAGAGGAGGGGAGGGCAGGGAAGGGGAGGAGATGGAAGATAAGGGAAGGGAAGGAGGGGAGGGGAATGAAAGGGAGGAGAAAGAGAAGGGAGAAAGGAAAGAAAGAAAGGAAAGGAAAGGAAGAGAAGGGAAGGGAAGGGAGAAAGAAAAAAAAGAGAGAAAGAGAGAAAAAGAAAGAAAGAAGGAAAGAAACAAAGAGAAAGAAAAAAAAAGAAAGAGGTGGAGGGGAGGGGAGGGAGGGAGGGAATAGAAGGGAATGGAAGGGAAGAAGGGAAGGGGAAGGAAAGGGAGGAGAAAGAGAAGGGAGAAAGAAAGAGAGGAAGGAAGGAAAGAAAGAAAGGAAAGGAAGAGAAGGGAAGGGAAGGGAGAAAGAAAGAAAAAGAAAGGAAGAAATGAAGAAAGGAAGGAAGGAAGGAAGGAAATACAGACACTGAAAATGCAAAGAATCCTGCCCTCAGGGCATCCAGCAGGAGCCAGCCCTGTTGACACCTTGACTTAACCCAGTGAAACTGATGGCAGACTCCTGACCTTCAGAGCTAGGAGAGAGTCCATCTGTGTTGTTTGAAGCTATCAGGTTGGTGGTGATTTGTCACAGCAAGCACAGGAAGCTAACACACCCTCCCACATACCTGGGACTTCCTATCCCCAAGCCTGCTGAATGTCTCCCCGTAGCATGGATTAGCAGCTGACATTCGTACCTTTCACTGATTTGTTTATCCCTCTCCACTTACTGAATGTCTGCTCCATAAAAGCAGTGATTTTGTTTGTTGCGAGATCCCCTGCACCTAGCACAGTGCCTGGCAGATAGCAGGTGCTCAGTAAACATCCTCTGCAATGCTGTACCTGAGTCCTGAGGAGGGAGGAGGAGCAGATCCTGGGATGAGCTGGGGGCAGAGCTCCAGGCAGAGGCAGCAGCAAGGGTAGAGTCTGAGTCACAGCCAATCCCATCCTTCTAGGTGGTCGCTGTAGGACCCCTGGATAAACATCCTCCTAGCCCTGCCTCCACGGAGAAGTCCATTCAACTGAAGCCATGGAAGTTGAGGACTCACTTAAGAGCCCCTACAGTGAGACATTAAGAGCATAGACCCTGAAGCCAGGCTGCCTAGGTTCAAATCTCAGCTCTGCCACTCACTAGCTGAGTGACTCTGGGCTAATTAATTAACCTCTCTGTGCCAATTTCCTCATCTACAGAATAAGGATAATGATAGTGCCCATCTCATAGGGCTGTTGTGAGGATTGAAATAGCTAATGCATTTAGCACAGTGCCTGGCACACAGTACACATGGTCTACTGTTCCTATTTGGGTGGAAAAGTCCAGCAAGTTGCAAAGATTGCTAAAAAGCAATGAGAGTATACCAGGGTGTCTAAACTGACAAGCAAAGGGTGTGATTAAAAGACAAACCAGGTTGGCAGCAGAACATTCACTTTCCTTGGCCTGGGCCACAGAAAAGGAATTGAAAGGTAGCCTGGCAATGCTTTGAGAAAAATTAATCACCCCTGTTGCCTGTCTGCCCCTGCCCATCCCATTTAACCTGCACTCTCCCGCACCTTACCCTACCCCTAAAGGGATCCTGGAGCCTCCTGTTGCACAGGCTGGGCCTTGACGTTCACAACACACCCCAGCTCGGCCCAGCAAGTTGTTTTCCAGCCCCATCTGCCCAGACACAGCCCTGTAAAGAGAGGGCTGAATGCAGAGCCAGGGCTGTGTTGACTGCAGAAGGGAAGGAAGAAAATAGATGGGATGGCGTCTGCACAGTGGGGGTTGGTGCGTCGTGTGGGTCTCACATGTGGCTTCCCTCCAACAAGCCCCCTGCACTCTCCACCAGATGTAAGGAGGGAGGGGTGAAAGTGGGGTTTTCGCCAGAGGCAGTAGAGCTGGGGAGGGGCCCGGGCTGTAGGGACCTGTGTACAGGGCATGAGATGTCACTGGGGGCTTCCTATATGAGACACAGTGAGTCATCAGGGTGCAGAGTGGAGGCTCTGAAGGAAGAGCCCAGGGGAATATGGGAAAGAGGTGACATGAGAATCCATCAGCCACCACCCCAGTCCTTCCCTCCTCCGTCCAGGAGCAGGGCGAGGGCCCAGGAGACAGGGTGAGCTTTCTGCGGGAGGGACACCTGCCCTGAGAGGAACCTGGGCTGTCATAGCCGCACAGACACTGCAAGCCAGGAGCAGTGGCCACACCCGTAAAGCAGGGGCATCAGAAGGGGGCAGAGGCACAAGCTTGTCACCCGAGGGCTGTGAGCATCTGTCTTTGTAGTGACCAAGGGGAGACAAAGCAAATGACGGAGATGCCTTCTAGTCAGAAGTGGTTCTCTCCACAGGTCTCCAGGGACAGTGGGTCCAGGGGGCAGGAACGGTGGGGGGCTGTCACGGGTGCCGCATCAGGATGTCCCCTTCTGCCCTGAGCAGCGGGCAGTCCCCTTGAGGATTCCATGTCATCAGCCTCTGGCCCGAGGGCTTCCCAGTGCCTCCCTTTCTCTGTTTTGGGTGACTTGGGCAGGCACTGGCATCTACATCTGTGCACTCTTGGCCCCTGGTGGGTGTGAACTGGGCCTTCCCATCAGACACACTTCAATCGCATCCCACACAGCCCAGGGCCAGGCCTTGGCACCTCATGCACAGACTCAGATGACGCACCCGGGATCCGGGCACTGAGACTCTGCACATGGCCTCATCCCAGTGTCTCAGAGGGAAATGAGGCTTGAATTTCTCCTAGGACACTGGACACCCCGCATCTCACAGTGCTGCATAAGAGGATGCTTGGCGCTACATCCTCCCTGCAATAACCATCATTTAATAAGGCCAGAAGAAGTGGAGAAGGCGCGGCCCACGGGGCAGACATGTGTTAAAAAGCAGCCCCCACCCACGCACAAGCAGCCCTCAGAGGTGTCCAGGCAGCTCCAACCAGCAGATACCGGGCACCCAGAATGTGCAGAGCCAGCCCAGATCGCAGCCTGGATCTCAATTTGCAAGAAAGAACTTGCCGGGTTGAGCAGCTGCCACGAGTCCCAGCGGCTTGGCAGTTTCTCCTGGAGGCTGTTCTCAGAGCCAGACCAGGGACGAGGGCTCCCCCTTGGCCACTATGGGCCCCCGCAGTCTGCACCGAGCTTGGAGTCACCAGGCTGATTTCACGGATGTTTACAGAGCCTGCAGGAGACCATAGCTTAGTGTGTCCCCTGCTAATTAAAGGACAACGGCCAGTTGTTCCCCGTCAGAGATTACAAAGGATGATTGCTTTGGACCCAGGGAGCGGATGGGTGACAGGGGGTGTGGGTCCCTCTTCCCCGGGGTTCCCAGCCATTGGCTCCACTGGGCAGCACCCGGCCCCGCCCAGCCCCTCATGGTCTGGCACTCGCCCTCAACAAAGATGGCGCGAACGGCCTCAGGCGCATCACGTGACATGTGCGTCACGCGACCCACCTGCAAGGCTCCTCCCGCGGTGCTCTTAGCCCTGCAGACTGCTGCCGAGCAGAGGAGCGGGAAGCGTGGTCTGGAGGTTATCCTGGCGGCGTTCTGGCGCAGTTATGGTGCTGCGCGCTGGCGCTGCAGGGCAGGTTGCTGTACCCCCGGGAGAGCCCGTCGCGGGAGCTCAAGAAGCTGGACGGCCTCTGAAGCTTCAGCGCCTACTTCTCCGACAACCGGCGCCGGGGCTTCTAGGAGCAGTGTTACGGTCCTCGGCTGCGAGAGGTGCGTGCTCGGGGCAGGGCCGTCAGGCGCACGGAAGCCCGGCGGAGGGAGTGGGAGTGGGGGAGCACGGGCATCCCGTCAGGCTCCTTCACCTGAGCGCCTTGAGACTGGGAGCCCAACTGGGAGGAGGTTAAAGGTCAGCGGGCTTGGAGGCGCGGGCTTGGAGGACAGGGAGACCAGGGGGAACCAGGAGGGCCGAGGCGGAGGAGGCGGGAGGAGGAAGCACTCCTGCCGAGCCCCCTCCCGAGGCGAAGCCTGAGCCCTAGCAGTGTCCTTTTTTTATGTTTATTTTTAATTTTTAAAATTTTTTGAGACTGGGTTTGGCCCTGTCGCCCAGGCTGGAGCGCAGTGTTGCAATCCTAATTTCTGGGCTCAAGCGATCCTCCCACCCCAGCTTTGCAAGTTAGCTGGAGCCACCACGCCTGGCTAATTAAAAAAAAATTTTTTGACCGGGCTCGGTGGCGCACGCCTGTAATTCCAGCACTTTGGATGGCCGAGATGGGCAAATGACCTGAGGCCAGGAGTTCGAGACCAGTCTGGCCAACATGGTGAAACCTTGTCTCTGCTAAAAATATAAAAACTACCCGGGTGTGGTGGTGCATGCCTGTAATTCCAGCGACTTGGGAGACTGAGGCAGGAGAATTGCTTGAACCCAGAAGGCGCAGGTTGCAGTGAGCCGAGATCACGCCACTGCACTCCAGCGTGGGTGACAGAGTGAGACTCCGTCTCAAACAACAACAACAAAAAACAACTTATTTTTTTTAAGGTATAGGGTCTCACTATGTTGCCCAGGCTGGTCTCAAACTCCTGGCCTCAAGCCATCCTCCCACGTTGACCTCCCAAAGCACTGATTATAGACATGACCCACCCAGACACTCGTCTGGCCAGAGCCGCAGGCGCTGCACAGAGCTGGGCCCAGGGATGGGGAGGAGGGGACAGTTTAGACGTCCTGAGGTCAGCTCTGCCGAGGCAGGAGGGTCCCTTGGTTTTCAAGTTCAGATAGAGGACAGAACGTGACAGGCCAGGGATGCCACCCCTGTTCCCCTCCTGACTTGGATGTGGTTAGCAGAGAAGTGGGACCAGGTGAGATCTGAGCCGCTTTTGCCTGGTCTCCATCCTCTTTTTCTGACTTTGCGGCATTCAGTACAGGAGGAAGAGAGGAGAGGACTGGGTGCCAGTGTGTGCCCTACTCACAGTGTCCTAAGCAAAGCCCCCCATCCCCCCAACCAGCTTTCCTCCCTGTGCCAGGCAGTGGGTCATCTGCCTCTTAGTTATGCGTCTGAACTTTCTTGCCTCGGACTGGGATGTGGCCCTGGGCTCGCTCCTGTCTTGGGAGATATTGGGCCCCATCCACTCCGAGAAGGAACTCCTGGCTCCACTAGCCCAGGTGCACAAACCACTCTGGCAGTTGACCTGTCATCAGCGAGTTATCTGTCCGTTCTGTCAAGAGTCCCCGCTATGTGTCAGGGCTTGTGCTAGGCCTGGGGACACAGCTGTGCAGCACACTGGTCCCAGATCCCTTTGGGGGCCTAGGAGCTGAGTCCGGCCCTTCTTTCCACAGTAAGGCCCCACCCTGGACATGCCGGTTTCTTCCACCTTCAACGACATTGGCCAGGACTGGTGGCCGCAGCCTTTTTTCGGCCAGATGTGGTACGAACAGGAAGTGACCCTGCCAGAGCGATGGACCCAGGACCTGCACACAAGAGTGGTGCTGAGGATTGGCAGTGCCCACTCCTATGCCATCATGGTCAGTGTGGCCAGGAGGAGGCAGGGTGGGTGGGTAGGAATGGCTGCTGAACAGCATGGGACCCCCAACTGCCACCCACAGCCTATCTCCTGGGGTGGGACAATGGGGTGCCCAGCCTTGTCCTGGGGGCTGTGCCCTGTGTAGGGGGATAAGTGGCCTGATCTACCCCATTGGGATATCATTCTTCCCGTCTCGCTGGCAGGCCCCTAAGCCCCATGCTGCAGGTTATGTGAGGGAGTACCTGATAGCAGGGCCCCTCCTCATGCCCTGACCTGCTGCCCCCTCCCCATATCTCCTGTGTCTGCAGTGGGTGAATGGGATCGAAGCGCTGGAGGGTGAGAGGGGCTGTCTCCCCTTCCAGGCCAACATCAGCAGCCTGGTCCTGGTGGGTCCCCTGCCCTCCCACCTCCACATCACTGTCACCATCAACAACACACTCACTCCCTCCACCCTGCCACCAGGGACCAACCACGATATGACCAACACCTTTATGTGGGTACCATCCTGCCTCAACCACACGCACACACCTTCCTGCCCAACCCTGTGGTCTTCCTGCTAGGGACAGGGTGGCCTTCGCAGAATGGAGGCCCTGGATCTGGGGAGACTGGGGAGGCCTGTGAACTGAGGTCAAGGGACCCAGGGCAAGGGCCCAGCGAACCGTAGTCCTCCCACCCTAGATATCTCAGGGGTTACTTTGTCTGGAACACAGACTTTGACTTCTTCAACTATGCAGGACTGCAGCGGTCTGTGCTTCTGTACACAACACCCACCACCTACATTGATGACATCACCATCACCACCGGCGTGGAGCATGACAGTGGTGAGGGTTTCTGGTAGGACCCTCCCTCAGCAGGGCCAGGGTGGCTCTGTTTGTTCCCTGTTTGGAAATTTCTCCCAGGAAAAAGGAGCTGCCAGCATCTCTAAACCCTCACAGGTTCCCATCCCCCTAGGAAGCTAAAATCCAGCTTGTCTGAGTGGGCACAGGCTCCTGAAATCACCCATGTGGTTGACCTGGCTTGGAGAAGAGGGGTCTGGCCTAAGGTGACACAGCTCAGGGTGGCAATCCTGTCCCTTCCCCATGGTGCTGCTCTCACTCCAGCTCTCCTTGCTACACATCGTGCTCAAGGAACAGGCAGCTTCGGGGGGCTGGGCACAGTGGCTCACTCCTGTCAACCCAGCTCTTTGCAAGGAGGCCCTGGTAGGAGGATCACTTGAGGCCAGGAGTTGAAGACCAGCCTGGGCAACATAGCGAGACCATCACCACAAAAAATTAAAAAATTAGCCAGGCATGGTGATTTGTGCCGGTAGTCCCAGCTGCTGAGGCAGGAGAATCACTTGAGCCTGGGAGGTCAAGGGTGCAGTGAGCTATGACTGTGCCACTACACTCTGGTCTGGGCAACAGAGGGAGACCTTGCCTTTTATTTATTTATTTTTTTTGTGATGGAGTCTCACTCTGTTGACCAGGCTAGAGGGCAGTGGTGTGATCTCGGCTCACTGCAACCTCTGTCTCATGGGTTCAAGCGATTCTCCTGCCTCAGCCTCCCCAGTAGCTGGGATTACAGGCACCCAACACCACGCCCAGCTAATTTTTGTATGTTGTTAGTAGAGATGGTATTTCACCATGTTGGCCTGGCTGGTCTTGAACTCCTGACCTCAGGCGATCCATCCACCTCAGCCTCACAAAGTGTAAGGATTACAGGCGTGACCCACCGTGCCCGGCTGGGATGCTCTGTCTTTAAGAAAAAAAAAAAATTCAGTTGTTTTACTTTTTTAAAATATATCTTTTTCTTTTTCTGAGATTAGGCCTTGCACTATCACCCAGAGTGGAGTGCAGTGGCGAGATTATTGACAGCTGTTGTGGGGCCGCAGTACTAAGTTTAAAAGAATTAAGGCTGGGTGTTGTAGCTAATGCCTGTCATCACAGCACTTTGGGAGGCCAAGGTTGGCAGATCACTTGAGCTCAAAAGTTCAAGACCCGCCTGGGTAACATAGTGAGACCCTGTCTCAAAATAAATAAATAAATTAAATTAAATGAAAAATAAGAATTTAAACAGAATCACAAGGCAAAGACAAGGCAGCATAGAGCAGTTGCAAAGGAAAAGTATTTTGGAAGTTAAGTGCAGAATAGCCAGGGCGCAGTGGCTCATGCCTGTAATCCCAGCACGTTCAGAGGCCGAGGCAGGTGGATCACTTGAGCTCAGGAGTTCAGACCAGCCTGGCCAACATTAGCTGGGCATGTTGGCGTGTGCCTGTAATACTAGCTACTCAGGAGGTTGAGATGGGAGAATTGCTTGAACCCGGGAGGTGGACGTTGCAGTGAGCTGAGATTGCAACACTGCTCTCCAGCCTGGGTGACAGAGTGACACCCCGTCTCAAAAAAAATAGTGAAGTGCAAAATACACGGTTCACCCTGAGAGAGAGAATTCAGGGCAGGCTGCTCACAAGGATGAGACAGCACTGATTATTACAAGGGAAACTCCCTTTAAGGCGCTGGGAAGAGGTGTTACTCTAAGAACATTCTGGGTCGTCCTCTTGGTGCACATGCGCAGTAGCTGCACTTGCTTGTTCACAGGTCGCATGTCTCAGTGCTGTAGTTGTTGCATCCAAAGGACATGGTCACTTTCTTGACGGCGTACCCTGCCTCAAGATCGTAGCTCACTGCAGCCCCGAACTCCTGGCTCAAGCAATCCTCCCACTTCAGCCTCCCAAGTAGCTGGGGCTGCAGGGGCTGCTGGGGCTGCAGGCATGCACCAACATGCCCAGCTAATTTTTTTGTATTTTTAAGGAAGAAGTGGTTTCCCTCTGTTACCCAGGCTGGTCTTGAACTCCTGGGCTCAAGCGGTCCTTCCATCTCAGCCTTCCTGTGTTGGGATTACAGGTGTGACCACTGTGCCTGGCCAAAAAAGTCTTTTTTTAAATTTAAAAAAAGCGCCGGACACGGTGGCTCATGCCTGTAATGCCAGCACTTTTGGAGGCCACGTCAGGTGGATCACCTGAGGAGTAGGTGTGACTTCTACAATTGGTTTGGTGGAAATCAAATCCAAGTACTACTACAGCCGATGGACAGGGGACCAGGCCTTCTGTGATGGTGAATGATAGCATCCCCAAAAGTTAAAAATACCAAATGTGTGACAGTGCTCCCGTGACTGGTTAATAGGGTGATAGTCGGTAGTCCATGGAGATGTCTTATTTAAGGGGAACATGTGGGCAATCTTAGTTTTATGGTCCTGAGGTAAGAACCAGATGCCAGGTATAGTTTCAGTATAGTCACCCCCAAGTATTATAGGCCTGGAGCGAGGAGGGTAACATGCCCAAGTGGGATGAGGATTTCTAGAAGGTTGGTAGATTAAGAGACCAAAATTTGGTAGGAGATATCCATGTTGGGAGGGTGGTTTTGACTGAAATGTGCTATGTCCAATGAACAAATGAATGTACTATGTAATATTAAGCATTTTGAGTACTGGTCGATATCCATGTGGAACTAGTTCTATATGTAAGTGTAGTATTATGTACGATAGTTAAAGAATTGCTAATACTTGCTTATATTCATGTGGAGCAAGTTTGTAATGTCATATAATCTGAGAATATACTGTGTACAATCAAGCATTGATAGTGCTATATATTCATGGAGACTAGCAATAACGCACAAAGTACATAAAAGTATTAATGTATTAGTGCTGATGGTCAGCACTTACATAGTAGTTAAAATGCGCGCCAAAAAGAATACAGAGAATAGTTTAATTAGAATCTCGGCTTTGGGTGTTGATGGTGAAGTGGGAATGCTTTTTCTCTGAGTTGTCCTAGGGAGGGGACTCTCCATTTCTGCTTTACAAGACTGGTGTATTGGATTATACTACAAGGGCAGTTTCATTTAAGTAGTTTATTTTCGATTAGGGTGGTGAGTGGTATGAGGGCAAGAATAATAGAGAAATATATCATAGATGCTATCTGTCCGATGGTAATAAAAGGATGTTCAACTGGCTGTCCTCCAATTCATGTGAGTGTGAATAGGTCGGTGACTAAGATTCAGGACAGATATTGACTTAATGGGCGGAATATGATGCTTTGTTGTTTGCCATGTGTGGAGGGCAGGAACAACTGCTAGAATGAGAATGGATAATCGAAGGGCCAGTACGCCTCATAGTTTATTGGGGATGGATCATAAGATTGCGTATGCAAATAAAAAGTATCACTGTGGTTTAATGTGGGGCAGGGTATTTAGGGGGTTGACTAAGGTGTAATGATGTGGGTCACTCAGGAGGTCAGGCGAAAACAGTACTAGAATTATTAAAAGGAGGAGGAGAAAAATTAAACCTAGAATATCTTTGGTTGTATAGTAAGGGTGGAAGGTGATTTTGTCAGAATGTGATGAAATTCCTGAAGGATTTTTAGACCCTGTTTCGTGTAGGAATAAAAGGTGGAGAAGTGTTAGGGCTATTATGGTGAAAGGTAAGATGAAGTGGAAGGCGAAGAATCGTGTAAGAGTGGCTTTGTCAACTGGAAATCCACCTCCGATTCATTGGACAAGGTCAGTTCCAATATATGGGATGGCTGATAGTAGGTTTGTGGTTACGGTAGCGCCTCAGAATGATATTTGGCCTCATGGAAGAACATAGCCTATAAATGCTGTTGCTGTGGTTGTGAGTAGGAGCATAATGCCACTATGTCAGATTTCTAAATATATGAATGACCCTTAATATAAGCTTCCGCCGACGTGTAGGAAGAGGCAGATGAAGAATGTTGAAGAGCCATTAGTGTGAAAATAGTGGACTCTTCAGCTGTAGTCCACATCTCGGTTAATATAGGCGACTGAAGAGAAAGCAAACGAGGTATCTGGTGTGTAGTGTATGGCCAGAAATAACCCTGTGAGGATCTGGAGGATTAAGCAGGTACCAAGAAGTGAGCCGAAGTTTCATCATATAGAGATATTAGATGGTGCGGGGAGATCAATGAATGAGTAACTAATGATTTTTATTAGTGGGTTTGTTTTACATGTAATGGTCATTAGTGTTCTTGAAGTACAGTGATGGTTTTTCATATCATTAGTCATGGCTATAACCCATGTGGGAATCATGACATATGCTTTATTCTTACTAAGTGTTCTTTTGTTATGGGATTTGTAGGTTTTCCTTCTAAACCTTCTCCTATTTATGGGGGTTTAGGGTTAATTCTTAGTGGTGCTGTAGGTTGTGTTGTGTTGAATTATGGTGGGGCTTTTATGGGATTAATAGTCTTTTTTATTTATTTGGGGGGGATGATGGTTGTTTTTGGATATACTGCGGTGATGGCTATTGAGGAATACCCTGAGGCATGAGGATCAAGTATTGAGGTTTTAGGAACTTTAGTACTGGGGCTACCAATAGAGTTGTTGTTACTTTGATGAATGGTGAGTATGATGGGGTGGTCATCATAGTTAATTTTATTAGTGTGGGAAGTTGAATAATTTTTGAGGGTGAGGGGCCAGGGTTGATCTGTGAGGATTCTCCGGGTGCTGGTGGTTTATATAATTATGGGTGTTGATTGGTGGTAGTTGCTGGTTGAACACTGTTTGTTTGTATTTATGTTGCAGTTGAAATTACTTGGGGTAATAGATTAGATAATTAAGAGTAAAGTTAAAAAGGGTGGAATAAAAAAATAAAATTTAATTAGGCGTTTTTGAGTAGTTATGGTAATGGAGGCTGTGATTTGGGTCTGTGAAATTGTCTTTGGTATGAACTTTTCTAGTCAAGTTAGATCTAGCAGAAGTGATGCCAGGTTTTGGCTTGTAGATAGGTTTGAGTGAGGGGTTGTACGATGAATTGTGATTGAGTAGAATCCTAATATATTGGAGAAGTTGAATGTTTGTAATGGATATGTTATCTTAAGATTATTAGTTATAAAACTAAGTTCCATTGCCAGTAAGAGTCCTAGGACGGTTACACCCAAGGCTGTAAGTTTTAGTTGTTTGGGGGGATGAAGTTAGGGATAATGCTGTTGGTGATGAGAAACCCAGGGAAGATACTGCTGACTATAAAGCATTTAATTGGGTTTATTAGGGAAGGGTTATTTTCGTCAATGCTGATTAGGGTTGGGAAGCGGGGTTGTCCTATTAGAGCAAAGAAAATAATTTGGATACTATAGACTCTTGTTAGGGAGGTGGCAATAAGAGTAGTAGAGAGGGCTCAGGCTTTGATATATGATGTGTTTGCAGTTGTGATAATGAGATCTTTAGAATAAAAGCCTGTGAGGAAAAGCATAGCCGTAAGTGCTAGGCTGCCAATAATAAGGGAGGAGGAAGTAAGGGGTAAAGTCTTAAATAGTCCTCCTGTTTTTCGGATATCTTGTTCATCGTTGAGGTTATGGGTGATGGATCCTGAACATATAAATAATATAGCTTTAGAAAAGGCATGGGTGCAGATATGTAGGAATGCTAGGTGTGCTTGATTAATGCCAGTTGTGACTATTATAAGGCCTAGTTGACTTGAGGTGGATAACGCTACGATTTTGTTGATAACATTTTGTGTTAGAGCACAAATTGCTGTAAATAAGGTGGCAATAACCCCTAAACACAGTGTAAGGGTTTGGATTAATATACTATTTTCTATTAAAAGGTGGAAGTGGATAAGCAGGAAAACTCCTGCTACAACTATAGTGCTAGAGTGGAGTACGGCTGAGGCTGGGGTTGGGCCTTCCATGGTGGAAGGAAGTCAGGGGTGGAGGCCAAATTGAGCTGACTTTCCTGCTGCTGCTAAGAGAAGGCCAATTAATGGAAGAAGGTCGGGGGAAGGATTTAGGATAAATGCTTGTTGAGGTTCTTATGTATTGCAGGATGAGAGGAATCATGCTATAGCTAAAATGAAGCCAATATTGCCAATGTGGTTATATAGAATTGCTTGGAGGGCTGCTGTATTAGCATCTGCTCGGCCGTGTCATCAGCCAATCAGTAAAAAAAGACATAATTCCTATGCCTTCTTATCTGACAAGAAGTTGAAAAAGGTTGTGAAAAAAGGTTGGTGGTAACTAGAATATTGTGGTGAGGAAAATAAATATTTGAAAAATTGATTAATGTTGGGATCTGATTTTATATACCATATTGAGAATTCTCTAATAGATCAGGTGACAAATAGTGCTACTGGGATAAATTTTATGGAGAAGTAGTCTAGTTTGAAGCTTAGTGAGAGATTAAGGTTTGGATTGTTATTCCATATCAGTTTGAGATGATGGCTTCTTGGTCTATATACACAAACATTGTGGGAATGAAGCTAATGGTGAAGGTGCATACAGTAGATATTTTTACGTGATATGGATATGAGTTCTTGTGAGAGTTGATTAATGTAGTGATTGTAAGGTTAAGGAGATTAAATTTATAGTAATGGAAAAATACATGATTATTACTTGTATTTGGAGTTGCACCAATATTTTTGGTTCCTGAGACCAATGGATAGCTCTTATCCTCTACAACTTGAGAAAGCCATGTTGTTAGGCATGGGGGCATGAGTTAGCAGTTCTTGCATACTTTCTCAGTAAATAAGAAATTGCAGACTTCTATTACTAAACCCACAATCTAATGTTTTGATTAAACTATACTTACAGGGTATAAAACCTATAATAATCTTAGGGTTTAGGGATAATAGGAGAATAGGTGCAAGGTGTGTAAGTATTAGCATCTTTTCTTGTGTGGAGGAAGGTTTAATACTGTTAATGTAATATGTAAGTGTTCCTTGTGTTGTGATAAGCATGTATAGGGAATAAAGGGCTGTGATTAATATATTAGTCCTATAAGCATAATGATGATGTTTGATCAGGAGAATGAAGCCACCATTACAAAGAGTTCTCCTATTAGATTAGTGGTGGGGGGTAAGGCAAGGTTAGTAAGGTTTGCTATAAGTCATCAAAAGGCTGTTAGTGGGAGTAGTGTTTGAAGACCTTAAAAGAGTAATATGATTCGGCTATGGATTCACTCATAGTTTGAATTTGCTAGGCAGAATAGTAAGGTTGAAGTAAGTCCATGGGCAATTATGAGGGTAATTGCACCGGTAAAGCTTCAGGGAGTTTGAATGAGGATAGCCTTAATAACAAGTGCTGTATGACTTACAGAGTAATATGCAATAAGTGATTCTAGATCAGTTTGTCGTAGACAAATAGAGCTTATCATAACTATCCCTCATAAGGATAACATGAGGAAGGGGTAAGGTGTATATTCTGTCAGGGGGCTGAGGATAAGGGTAACCCGTATTATGCCATAGCTGCCTGGTTTTAGGAGAACTGCTGCAAGTACTATTGAGCCTGCAATAGGGGCTTGTACATGGGCTTTAGGAAGTCATAGGTGAAGTCCGTGTAGGGGTATTTTTACTATAAAACCCATAATACATGTTAATCATACAAGGTTATTGGATCAGGAAATTAATAGTTCTTGGGTGTTAAATATTATTATTATCGTGTTCAGTGAACCGAGGTATTTTGAGTATATAAATAAGTATAGTAAGCAGGGGGAAGAGATCCCACTAGTGTATAAGATAAGAAATACGAGCTTGCATTGAGGCGTTCTGGTTGGTTACCTCAGGGGGTGATCATAATTAAGGTAGGGATAAGTGTAGCTTCAAAGAGAATATAAAATATAATTAGTTCTGTGGCTGTCAATTCCATAATTAAAGAAAATTGTAGGGAAACCAATATGGAAATAATAGAGCTTTTTCCATGGGGGTGACTCATTGGAGAGGTGGTACTGGCTTGCTATAATTCTAAGAGGTAGTAGTCAGGCTGTTAAGATTAGAAGGGGTGATGTCAGCAGATCAGAAGAGAAAGTTAATGAGAAGTTGAATAGATTGTCATTAAATTGATTAAAAAATAACAGGGCAATGAAGCTGATGATTAGGCTGTGAATAGTCATATTGATTCAGATTATAGAGTTTTTAGAGAGTCATTTTATTGGTAGCAGTGTAATTATTGGAATAATAATAATTTTTAGCATTGAAGTAAATTTAGGTTATGTACATAGTCTAGGCCATACATGTTGGAGATTGAAACTAGTAAGGCAAGGCCCGCTGTGCCTTCGCAGGCAGCAAATACTAGGAGGGTAATGGGTATTATGAATGCTAGGGTGAAATGTATATTTAAAGGTATAAGGGTATTTATGATGAATAATGATAATATTATTCCTTCTAGGCATAGTGGGGATGATATCAGGTGGGATCAATAGATTAATATCCCCAGAAGTGATATGGTATATGCTAATATGATATTGATACAAATAGAGCACATTTGGTTAATATGTTCTATCATAATCTAATGAGTCAAAATCATTTATTTTGACTTAAACTATCTACCAAGTCAGTTCAGTCTAATCCTTTTTGAGTTCATTCATGAGTTAACCCTAGGACTAAAATGGTAACTAGTATTAAGAGCTGTGCTGATTATTAGTGTCAGGTTGCTTGTTTGAAGGGCTCATGGCAAGGGTAGTAGTAGGACGATTTCTAAGTCAAATAGGAGGAATGTGATGGCTACTAGAAAAAATTTTATGGAGAAGGGAATGTGGGTGGGGGGTAATGGGTCAAATCTGCATTCGTAGGGGCTGGATTTTTTTTATATAAATATTAAGTTGTGGGAGCCAAAACATAATAACTATTAGCGATAGAGCTAATAGGGTGTTGACTGCTAGGGCAGGTTAATTACTCTTTTTCGGATGTTGTCGAAACTGATTGGAAGTCAATGGTACTGTTTATATACTAAAAGAGTAAGATCCTCATCAGTAAATAGAAATATAGAAGAATAGTCATACTACATCTACAAAGTGTCAATATCAGGCCACGGCTTCAAAGCCAAAGTGATGGCTAGATGTAAAGTGGTATGTAAAGTTGGCAGGGGAGACAGATAGTGAGGAATGTTGATCCCATAACGATGTGAAGTCCGTGAAAGCCTGTAGGTGTAAAGAATGTTGAGCCATAAATTCCATCAGAAATAGCAAAGGGAGCCTCAGAGTATTCTGAGACTTGTAGGAGGGTGAAGTAAATACGTAAGGTAATTGTGATAAGTAGTGCTTGAATTATTTGTTTTCGATTATTTTCTATTAGGCTGTGATGGGCTCAGGTAATTGAAACCCCTGATGCAAGTAATACAGATGTATTCGGGAGGAGTACTTCCAGAGGGTCAAGGGGAGAAATGCCTGTTAGGGGTCGGTGTCCTCCTAGTTCTAGAGTTGGGGCTAGGCTAGAATGGTAGAATGCCAAGAAGAACCCAGCAAAAAAAAAAAAATTACTTCTGAGATATTAAATAGAACTATTCCATATTGGAGGCCTTTTTGGACAGTTGTTGTATGGTGGCTTTGAAATGTACTTTCTCAGATAATGTCATGTCACCATTGATATATAGTCAGTGTATTGTTTAGTAGGCCTAAGGTTAAAAGAGTAATAGAGTTAAAGTGAAGTCATAATAGCTAGGCCAGATGTTATTAGGAGAGCTGAGAGAGACCCTGTTAACAGCCAAGGGCTGGTTTGACTAAATGATAGGTGTGTGTTTGGTGGGTCATTATGTGTTGTCATATAAATAAAGGCTTACTAATAGCATGAAGACACAAGTTTGGATAAGGGCCACAGCGAATTTGAGAGTGGTCTATAGAATTAGAATAATAAGGGTGATTGAAGCTGTGGGAAGATTAATAGTTGATAATACTAGTGTGGTTCCTCCAGTTAAGTGTATGAGTAAGTGACCGGCTGTAATGTTGGCTGTTAAATGTACAGCTAGTGCCATTAGTTGAATAAGTGGACTAATGGTTTGGATGATTACTAGTATAGGGGTAAGTGGAATGTGTGTGCCTGGTGGTAGGAAGTGAGCTAAGGAGTTTTTAGTTTTAAATTAGAAGCCTGTGATTACTGTGCCTGCTCATAAGGGGATTGCTATACTGAGATTTATTGATAATCGGGTAGTTGGTATAAATGAGTGGGGTAGAAACTCAAGGAGATTGGCTAAGGCAGTAAAGAGAATTAGGGATATTAGTATAAGGGATCAGGTTCATCCTTTAATAGTATGTGTGATTATTATTTGTTTTAGAACAAGTTGAACTAGTGATTGTTGAATAGAAATCAATTGGTTATTGATTAGGTAGTTGGAGGTTGGAAGGAGTGTGGTGGGAAAGAAGATGATTAGTGCTGCTGTGGGTAAACCGAGGATTGTCGGGGCAGTAAATGAGGTGAGCAGATTTTCGTTCATTTTAGTTGTCAAGGGTTGTTACGTTTTTGTGTTTTGATTATTTTTGGTGTAGGGGGTGTGTGGTAAATGAACTTTGATAGTTTTAATTGAATAATGGAGAATAAAGTTATGATTGTTGATACAGTAATAATAGGTCGTGTGGAAGTATCTAGTTGAGGCATTCACTGTAGAGAGGTGTGATTTCTCTCAGTCTTTAACTGAAAAGGTTAACGCTGGGGTAGCTTTACAGTGATATTATAGTGCAGATGTAGACCAAGTTTTGAAAGTTTTTAATGGGACTAATTCTAGAACAATAGGTATAAAACTGTGGTTTTATACAAATTTCTGCACATTGTCCATAGTAGACAATGTTTAAGCATCCAGGGATTGCATCTGTTTTTAACCGTAGTGAGGAAGTAGTTCATGAGTGCAGGAGAGCTTTGGGTGCGATTAACATGCAGATGGGAATTTCTCTTGGGATGACTGTTCAGTTATTGACTTCCAGGAGTCGAAGTTCTCCTCGTTTTAAGTCGGCTGTCGGAAGCATAAGAATCGAAGCTTAATTCTTCAGAATCTGTGTACTCGTAGCTTCAATACCATTGATGTCCAATTGTTTTAACAGTGAGAGAGGGGTTATTGATTTCATCTGTTATATACAGGCTGTGTATGGATGGGAGGGCAATTAAGATTAAGCTGATGGCAGGCAAGATAGTTCAGACAGTCTTTAATTCGTGGGCATCTGTGGTGCTAGTATGAATTAGTTTTGTTGTGTTAGAGAAATAATGTATAGAACCAGGGAACTAATTAGGAAAATAATTATAAGAGTGTGGTCATGGAAGGTAAGTAGTTCTTCTATAGTAGGGGATGAAGCGTCTTGAAGACCTAATTGAACTGGATGGGCCATTAAGATATATAGGGCTTAACCTATAACTTAACTTTGACAAAGTTATGAAATAATTTTACTAATATCTTATCGAGAAACTTGTAGAGGTTATGGGATTGGCTTGAAACAGTCTGTGGAGGTTCTATTCCTTCCTTTTTCACTTAGGTCTTCATGTAGGTTGGTTCTTCGAATGTGTGATAGGGTGGTGGACAGCCATACAGTCATTCTAAGTTGGTAGATGGTTGTGCAATTGTTAGAACTTTTCGTTTTGAAGCAAAGGCTTCTCAGATCATGAAAATTATTAGCATTACTGCTGTTAGGGAAATAAATGAGCCTCTGGATGAAATAATATTTCATGTGGTGTATACATCGGGATAATTGGAGTAACATCGAGGCATACCGGATAGGCCGAGGAAATGCTGCGGGGGAAAAAAGTTAAATTGGCACCTCTAAATATGATGGCAAAGTCAGTTTTAACATAGATTTGATTAAGCGTATAACCTGAAAAAAGGGGGAATCAGTGGACAAAGCCTCCTATAATAGCAAATACGGCTCCTATTGATAAGACTTAATGGAAATGGGCTACAACATAATATGTGTCATGTAAAACAGTATCTAGTGTTGAATTGGCTAGTACAATGCCGGTTAGACCTCCTACTGTAAAAAGGAAAATAAATCCCAGGGCTTAGAGTATTGTGGGAGATTATTTAATGTTACTGCCTTGTAGTGTAGCCGATCAGCTAGACTTTGACACCAGTAGGAATAGCAATAATTATAGTAGCTGAGGTGAAGTATGCTCATGTATCTACATATGTTCCTACTGTAAATATGTGGTGAGCCCATACAATAAACCCTAAGAAGCCAATTGATATTATGGCTCACACTATGCCCATGTACCCAAATGGCTCTTTTTTTCCAGAGTAGTATGTTGTGATATGGGAAATTATCCTGAAGCCTGGTAGGATGAAGATACAGACTTCGGGGTGACCAGAGAATCAGAATAAGTGCTGATATACGATAGGATTCACCTCCACCAGCTGGGTCGATAAAAGTAGTATTAAGATTGTGGTCAGTTAACAGTATTATAATGCCGGCAGCTAGGACTGGGAGAGAAAGGAGTAGGAGAACTGCTGTAATTAGGACTAATCAGACGAAAAGGGGTGTGTGACATTGGCACGTAGCTGGAAGTTTTATGTTAATAATTGTGGTGATAAAGTTAATGGCCCCTAAAATAGAAGAGACACCTGCCAAATGGAGTGAGAAGATGGGTAAATCTACAGAGGCTCCCGCATGTGTTAGGTTTCCTACTAAGGAGGGGTTAGACTGTTCAGCCGGTTCCAGCGCCGGCCTCTACTACAGTGGATGCAAGTAATAGTAGGAAAGAGGGTGAGAGGGGTCAGAAACTCATATTATTTATCCGGGAAAATGCTATGTCGGGGGCGCCAGTTATCAGAGGGATTAACCAGTTGCCGAAACCTCCAATTATAATTGATATTCCTGTAAAGAAAATTATGACAAATGCATGACCGGTAACAATGACATTGTAAATTTGATCATTTCCTAGTAGAGTACCTGGTTGGCCCAGTTCCACTCGAATAAGGAGGCTTAAGGCTGTACCCACTATCCCTGCTCATGCACCGAATAGCAGGTATAATGTCCCGATATCTTTATGGTTGGATGAGAACAATCCACGGTTGGTGAACATAGGTGAAGTGAGAAAAGGTAAAAAGGCCGAGTAAGCATTAGACTGTAAATCTAAAGACAGAGGTAAAAAGGCCGGGTAAGCATTAGACTGTAAATCTAAAGACAGAGGTCAAGGCCTCTTTTTAGCAGTCCTGAGGTGATTTTCATGTTGCATTGCAAATTCAAAGGAGCACCTTCAATCCTGCTGGGGCTTCTCCTCCTTTTTTCCCCCAAAGGCGGGAGAAGTAGATTGAAGCCAGTTGATTAGGGTGTTTAGGTGTTAGCTAAATTTTCATGGGTTTAAGTCCCAACAGTCTAGCCATGGCTTAGCTTAATTAAAGTGATTGATTTGCATTCAATTGATGCAGAATACAGTTTTGCAGTCTTTAGGTTTTTTGCAGAAACTAAGTATAATTCACTTGTTAAGAGCTTTGAAGGCTCTTGGTCTTACTTAACCTAAATTTCTAGATTATAGGTAGCGTTAGTGGAGAGATTGGTAGGAGGAGGGTAGAGAAGATGATAAGTGGGGGGAGAAGTAATATGGGTTTTGTGTTTTCAAACTACCATTTTATTTTTATATTATTGGATGTGGGGAATATTGTCACTGAAGTGGAGTAAACTAAGCATATGTAAATATACAGATTGAGTAGAGTTATGATAGCTATAATGGTTGGGATAATAAGACTTATTTTTTGTAAACTCTTGAATGGTGATTCATTTAGGCAGGAATCCTGTTAATGGGGGTAAACTTCCTAGGGATAATAAAATTGATAGAATTATAGATAGTAACCATGTTAATTTGTTTCAGGCGTGAGATAGTGATAGGGTTGTGGTGCTTGAATTCAGGCTGAGTGCTAGGAATACAGTGGTGGTTAAGATGAAGTAAATAGGTTAAAAGTGGTAATGTTTGGGTTATATATTAGTACTGCTGTTATTCAACCTATATGAGTAATTGGGGAGTAGACTAGAATTTTATGTAGTCGTGTTTGGTTAAGTCCTCCTCAACTGCCCACTGTAATAGGTAGGATTGAGATAGATAGGAGGATGTTCGTGTTTACTGATGGAAAAATTTGATGTATTACTGAAATAGAGGCTAGATTTGTCATGTGAGGAGGAGTATACCGGATGTTAGGAAAGTTCCTTGAGTTACTTCTGGAGCTCAGAAGTGAAAAGGGGCTATCCTTAGTTTTATTACTAAGGCTGTTACTATTATTAAGGATGAAAATTGGTTAATAGTATTTATTATTGTTCACTGTCTGGAGAACAGGTTATTGGAGAGAATACTTATTATGAGGACTGTAGATGTGGTTGCCTGTATAAGGAAATATTTAGTGTCTGTTTCTGTAGAGCGGGGGTTTGTTTTTTTAACTAAGATTGTGATGAGGGCTAATATATTTATTTCTAAGCCTGTTCAGATGAAAAATCAGTGTGAGCCTAGCATTGTGATAAGAGTACCTGTAAAAATAGTAAGGTAAAATAATAAGTTGACCTTATGGGTTAATTAGGACGGGAAGGGTATAACCAACATTTTCGGGGTATGGGCCTGATAGCTTATTTAGCTGACCTTACCTTAGGACGTGGTGTGATAGGTAGCATGGGGAATTTTGGATTCTCAGGGGTGGGTTCAATTCCTATAGTTCTAGAAATAAGAGGTTGAAATCCTCTGTTGTTTACTCTATCAAAGTAATTCTTTTGTCAGCCGTATTTCTTACATTTGAGGTGGGATGCTGGAGATTAGGATGGGTATTGAGATATGTCATATACAGAATGCTAGTGTAAGTAGTAGAAAATTTTTTCATAGGAGGTGTGTGAGTTGATTGTAGCCGAAACGGGGATATGCTGTTTGAATTCATAAAAATAGGGAGGTTAAGAGGAGGGTCTTGGTAATGAAATATGTAGCATAGAGTTCTGGTGAATATATAGTGTGTAATGTTCCTAGAAAAATTGTAGTAGTTAGGGCATTTATTACGATAATATTCATGTATTCTGCTATGAAGAAGAGGGCAAATGGACCTGCGGTATATTTGACGTTGAAACCTGAGACTAACTGATTCTCCTTCTGTTAGGTCAAAAGGGGCTCCATTAGTTTCTGCTAATGTAGAGATAAATCATATTATGGCTAGGGGTCATGATGGTAGGAGCAGTCAGAGGGACTCCAGAATTGCTGATCCAGAGAGAGTGTCTAAAAATCTATTCTCAGAAATGAAGGAAGGCCTTATGTCCGTGAAACAGCAGATAGTATTAAAATAATCATTGTACTACCTATAACACAAGGAGAACTGGAATAGAGAACCAGAAGATTGCTGTGGTGACAATTCTACTGACTCCATTGATGGGGCACACCCCATTCTAAGTGGGAAATCTGTTTTTAGACAATTGCATTAAAAAGTTCCTGTCACTGGGTATGGTGGCTCACACCTATAATCCCAGCACTTTGGGAGGCTGATAGGGAAGGATCTTTTGATCCCAAGGTAGGAGGCCATCCTGGCCAACATAGCAAAACCCCTTCTCTACAAAAAATAAAAATAGTGAAAAATTAGCCAGTTGTGGTGGTGAATGTCTGCAGTTCTGGCTATTCAGGAGGCTGAGGAAGGAGGATCCCTTGAGCCTGGGAGTTCTTGAGGCTGCAGGGAGGTATGATCACACCACTGCACTCCAGGCTGGGCAACAGAGTGAGACCTTGTCTCTAAAAAAGAGAAAGGAAAAAGTTTTCTCCCTAACCAAACCACAATCAGCTGACCAGTGCCTGTCACCCATGAACTTGAACACATGTGTTCTGACCCCACCAGAAGGAACGAACCTGTCTTAGTTCAGGGAGATCCAGGGTTTGCATAGCTCTTCTCCAGGACTGAGCTAATACTCACATTTGCCTCCCCTGTTCTGCTATCAGCTGGCTTGATCTTTTCCTCTTCCTTTGTCTTTTAACATCTATTTACACCAAAGCTCAGTACTGGCTTCCTATGGCTGCTGTAATACATTACCACAAACTTAAAAAATTTTTTTTTAATGATTTTGGCCAGGCATGGTGGCTCACACCTGTAATCCCAGCACTTTTGGAGGCCGAGGCAGGCAGATCTCTTGAGGTCACAAGAGTTCAAGACCAGCCTGGCCAACATGGCGAAATCTCATCTCTACTAAAAATACAAAAGTTAGCTGGGTGTGGTGGCATGTACCTGTAGTCCCAGCTACTTGAGAGGCTGAGGTGGGAGAATCGCATGAACCTGGGAGGCAGAGGTTGCAGTGAGCCGAGACCATGCCCCTGCACTCCAGCCTAGGTAATAGAGTGAGATTCCTTCCTAAAAAAAGAAAAAAGAGAAACCAAACTTTTAAATAATTTTATTTTATTTTTTTAAAAACTGAGATGGGGTCTTAAACTCCTAAGCTCAAGCCATCCACCTGCCACAACCTCCCAAAGTGCTGGGATTACAGGCATGAGCCACCATGCCTGGCCTAAACCATGAATTCAGTGACTCAACGTAATATGTGTTATCTTATAATTCTGGATGTCACAAGTCTAAAATTGGTTTTTCTGAGATGAAATCAAGTGGCATCCAGGATCTATAGGAGGATCCATTTCCCTGTTTTTTCCAGTTTCTAGAGGCCACCTGCATTCCTTGGCTTGTAGTTCCTTCTTCCGTCTTCAAGACCAGTGGTGTAGCATCTTCAGGTCTCTCTCTGCTTCCATTGTTGATCTTACTTTTTTTTTTTTTTTTTTTGAGACAGTGTCTCGCTCTGTCACCCAGGCTGAAGTGCAGTGGCTCGATTGGCTCACTGCATCCTCTACCTCCCAGTTTCAAGCAATTCTCCTGCCTCAGCCTCCCGAGTAGCTGGGACTACAGGTGCCTGCCACCATGCCTGGCTAATATTTTTGTATTTTTAGTAGAGATAGGGTTTCGCCATGTTAGTCAGGCTGGTCTCAAACTCCTGAACTCAGATGATCCACCCACCTTGGCCTCCCAGAGTGCTGGGATTTCAGGCATGAGCCACCACACCTGGCCTAGTCCCATTACTTTCAGTGGGAAAATCCCCAATTACTTTGGCACCAATATAATAGTAACATCAAGGATCACTGGTCACAGATCAGCATGACAGATATTATTATAACATAATTATAGAGTGGGCGTGGTGGCTCATGCCTGTAATCCCAGCACCATGGAAGGCTGAGGTGGGTGGATCACCTGAGGTCAGGAGTTCAAGACCAGTGTGAGTAAAATGGTGAAACCCTCTCTCTATTAAAATGCAAAAACTTAGCCGGGCATGGTGGTATATGCCTGTAGTCCCAGCTATGTGGGAGACTGAGGCAGGAGAATCACTTGAACCTGGGAGGTGGAGGTTGCAATGAGTTGAGATCACACCATTGCACTCCAGCCTGGACAAGAAGAGCGAAATTCTGTCTCAAATAATAATAATAATAATTATTATTATTATTATTGTTATTCTGGGCACAGTGGCTCATGTCTGAAATCCCAGCACTTTGGGAGGCCAAGGCGGGTGGATCACATGAGGTCAGGAGTTCAAGACCAGCCTGGCCAACATGGTGAAACCCCGTCTCTACTAAAAATACAAATATTAGCTGGAAGTGGTGGTGGATACCTGCAATCCCAGCTACTTGGGAGGCTGGGGCAGAATTGCTTGAACCCAGGAGGGGAAGGTTGCAGTGAGCTGAGATCATGCTATTGCACTTTAGCCTGGTTGACAAGAGCAAGACTCTGTCTAAAAAATAAATAAAATAAAATGAAGAGGAGGAGGAGGAAACAGCCAGGTGAGGTGACTCACGCCTGTAAAGGAAGAGGTGGAGGTGGAGGTGGAGGTGGAGGTGCAGGTGGTGGTGGAGGTGGAGGTGGTAACAGCCAGGCGTGATGGCTCCTGCCTGTAGAAGAGGAGTTGGAGTTGGAGGAGGAGGAGGAAACAGACAGGTGAGGTGGCTCACACCTGTGAAGGAGGAGGAGGAGGAGGAAACAGCCAGGCAGGTGGCTCAGGCCTGTAGAGGAGGAGGAGGAGGAAACAGCCAGGCACACTGCCTCCTGCATGTAAAATGAGGAGGAGGAGGAAACAGCCAGGCGTGGTGGCTCACCCCTATAAAAGAGGAGGAGGAGGAGGAAATAGCCAGGTGTGGGGCTCACGCCTGTAAAGGAGGAGGAGGAGGAAACAGCCAGATGTCATGGCTCATGCCTGTTAAAGGAGGAGGAGGAAACAGCTAGGTGTGGTGGCTCACGCCTCGAGGAGGAGGAGGAGGCAGCAGCGGAAACAGCCAAGTGTTGTGGCTCACACCTGTAAAAGGAGGAGGAGGAGGAGGAGGAAGAGGAAACAGCCAGGCATGGTGGCTGATGCCTGTAAAAGAGAAGGAGGAGGAGGAAACAGCCAGGCATGGTGGCTCACGCCTCTCAAAGAGGAAGAGGACAGCCAGACACAGAGGCTCACGCCTGTAGAGGAGGAGGAAGAGGAGGAGGAGGAGGAGGAAACAGGCGCGGTGGCTCACACCTGTAAAAGAGGAGGAGAAGGAGGAAACAGCCAAGTGTGGTGGCTCACGCCTGTAAAAGAGGAGGAGGAGGAAACAGGTGTGGTGGCTCATGCCTGTAAAAGAGGAGGAGGAGGAGGTGGAGGAAATAGCCAGGCTTGGTGGCTCAGGCCTGTAAAGGAGGAGGAGGAGGAAACAGTCAGGTGAGGTGGCTCATGCCAGAGGAGGGGGAGGAGGAGGAGGAGGGGGAGGAGACAGGCACAGTGGCTCATGCTTGTATAAGCGGAGGAGGTGGAGGAGGAAACAGCCAGGCGAGGTGGCTCATGCTTATGGAGGAGGAAGAAACAGCCAGGTGTGGTGGCTCACGCCTGTAAAAGAGAAGGAGGAGGATGAGGAAACAGCTAGGCTTGGTGGCTCACCCCTGTAAAAGAGGAGGAGGAGGAGGAAATAGCCAGGTGTGGTGGCTCACGCCTGTAAAGGAAGAGGAGGAGGAAACTGCCAGGTGCCGTGGCTCATCCCTGTTAAAGGGGGAGGAGGAGGAAACAGCCAGGCATGGAGGCTCACGCCTGTAAAGGAGGAGGAGGGGGAAACAGCCAGGCATCATGGCTCATGCCTGTTAAAGGAGGAGAAGGAGGAGGAGGAAACAGCCAGGCATGGTGGCTCACGCCTGCAAAGGAGGAAAAAACAGAGTCATGTGCCTCACGCCTGTAAAGGAGGAAGAGGAAGAGAGGAAGGAAAAGGAAACAGCCAGGTGTGATGGCTCACGCCTGTAAAGGAGGAGAAGGAGGAGGAGGAAACAGCAGCTCACGTGTGTAAAAGAGGAGGAGGAGAAAACAGTCGTGGTGGCTCACGCCTGTGAAAGTGGAGGAGGAGGAGGAAATAGCCAGGTGCGATGGCTCAAGTCTGTAGAAGAGGAGGAGGAGGAGGAAAAAACAGCCAGTTGTGGCCGATGGCTGTAAAGGAGGGGAAGGAGGAGGAAACATCCCGGCGAGGTGGCTCAGGTCTGTAGAGGAGGAGGAGGAAGAAACAGCCAGGCGTGGTGGCTCACATCTGTAAAGGAGGATGAGGAGGAGAAAGTAATAGCCAGGCAGTGGCTCCCGCCTTTAAATGAGGAGGAGGACAACAAAGAACCAGAGGAGGTGGCTCACACCTGTGGAGGAGGAGGAGGAGGAAGCCAGGCTTGATGGCTCACGCCTGTAAAGGAGAAGGAGGAAGAGGAATAAACAGCCAGGCACGCTGGCTCCTGCCTTTAAATGAGGAGGAGGAGGAAGAGGGAAAAGAAAGCTGTCAGCGTGTACCACATCTTGGAGGGCAGCATCCCAGATCTGCGGAGTGTTAGCTTCAGACTGGTACATTCACCGAGCCTTTCAGGGCTGCCCCATCTTCCTACCAGGCTGCTCATTTCTTCTTTTTTCTCTTATTATTTTTTTTTTTTTGGAGACAGTGTCCCTCTGTGGCCCAGGCTAGAGTGCAGTGGCGTGATCTCGGCTCACTGCAGCGTCTGCCTCCTGGATTCAAGTGGTTCTCCTCTCTCAGCCTCCTGAGCAGCTGGGATTACAGGCGCATGCCACCACACCCAGCTAATTTTTTTGTATTTTTAGTACAGACGGGATTTCACCATATTGACCAGGCTGGTCTCGAACTCCTGCCCTTGTGATCTGCCTGCCTTGGCCTCCCAAAGTGCTAGGATTATAGGCATGACCCACCACGCCCAGCCTTAATTATATTTTTTGTAGAGATGGGGGTCTCACTGTGTTTCCCAGGTTGGTCTCAAATTCCTTTCCTCAAGAGATCCTCCCACGTTGGCCTCCCAAAGTGCTGAGATTACAGGTGTGAGCCACTATGCCTAGTCTTAATTTTTGTATTTTGGTATTTAGTATTTTTGTATATTTAGTAGAGACAGGGTTTTGCCATGGTCTTGAACTCCTGGACTCAAGCAATCTGCCCACCTTGGCCTCCCAAGGTGGAATCTCACTCTATTGCATCCAACAGGCATGGAAGAGGCTCTGCTGTGGCCTGCTCAAATTCCTGCTGTGGAAAGCAAGAGAAGGTGCTCCTTGAAGAAACAGGGGGATCCCACCGATCTCAGGGGTTCTTTCCTGGCCTGCAGCCCTGGATCGTCCAGACTGTGCTGGGGTGGGGAACCGACCTTGCCCTTCTTGGCTGGGGCTGAGAGTGAGGGTCCCGCTTCCCCAAAGGCCTAGCCCGGGGTTCCAGCCACAGGCCCCACTGGGCAGCGCCAGGCCCATCCCGCCCCTCTAGGCCTGGCACTCGCCCTCAGCAAAGATGGCGCGGATCGTCTCAGGTACCTGATGCGACCTGTCCGCAGCCTCCTCCTGCACTGCTCTTAGCCCTGCAGACGGTGGCCAAGCAGTGGAGTGGAAAGCGTGACCTAGTGGACAGGTGTGGCCTGCACGGCGTTTGGGCCGCTGTTGCTGTGTGCTGGCACTGCAAGGCGGGATGCTGTACCCCAAGGAGAGTCCGTCGCGGGAGCCCAAGGAGCTGGGTGGCCTCTGGAGCTTCCCTGCCGATTTGGACAACCGACGCCAGGGCTTTAAGGAGAAGTGGTACCCGCGGCCACTGCAGGAGGTGAGGACTCGGGGCAGGGCCTGGAGGCACCCGGAAGCCCGGCAGTGGGAGAGAGGAGCCCCAGCCCCCTGCAGGCTCCTTCCCCTGGGCATCCCGGAGCTGGGGGCCCAAAGGAGGTTAAAGGTCAATGGGCTTGGAGCGGGACTAGTGGATGGGGACCCGGGGAAACCGGGAAGACCAAGGCAGAGGAGGTGGGAAGAGGAGGAAGTGCTCCTGCAGAGCCCCCTCCTGAGGTGAAGGGTGAGCCTGGGCAGTGTCCTTTTTAATGTTTATTTTTAATTTATAAATTTTTTTGAGACTGGGTTTGGCCCTGTTACCCAGGCTGGAGCTGAGTGGTGCAATCCATTGAGCTCAAGTGATTCTCCTGCCCCAGCCTTGCAAGTTAGCTGGGGCCACCACGCCTGGCTAATCAGAAAAAAACCTTGGACAGGCTAGGTGGCTCACTCCTGTAATCCCAGCACTTTGGGAGGCGCAGGCGGGCAAATCACCTGAGGCCAGGAGTTCGAGACCAGCCTGGCCAACATGGTGAAACACTGCCTCTACTAAAAATATAAAAATTAGCCAGGTGTGGTTGGTTCATGCCTGTAATCCCAGCTACTTGGAAGACTGAGGCAAGAAAATCGCTTGAACCCAGGAGGCGGAGGTTGCAATGAGCCGAGATAACACCACTGCACTCCAGCCTGGGTGACAGAGTGAGACTCCGTTTAAAAAAAACACTGAAAAAACTTTTTTTTTTTTTTAAGATACAGGGTCTCACTGCATTGCCCAGGCTGGTCTCAAATTCCTGGCCTCAAGCCATCCTCCCACGTTGACCTCCCAAAGTGCTGATTACAGGCTTTTGATTACCCACACACTCATCTAGCCAGAGTGGCATGTGCTGCACAGAGCCGGGCCTGGGGATTGGGAGGAGGGGACAGTTTAGACGTTCTGAGGTCAGCTCTGCCGAGGCAGGAAGGTCCCTTGGTTTTCAAGGTTCAGATAGAGGACAGGACATGACATCAGGCCAAGGACGCCACCCCTGTTCCCCTTCTGACTTGGATGTGGTCAGTAGAGAAATGGGACCAGGTGAGGTCTGGGCTGCGTTTGCCTATTCTACATTCTCTTTTTCTGACTTTGAGGCATTCAGTACAGGAGGAAGAGGAGAGGGCTGTGTGCTAGCGTGCACCCCACTCAGAGTGTCCTAAGCAAAGCTCCCCCATCCCCCCAACCAGCCTTCCTCCCTGTGACAGGCAGTAGGTCATCTGTCTCGGGAGATATTGGGCCCCATCCACTCCCGAGGAGGAACTCCTGGCCCCACTGGCCCAGGTGCACAAACCGCCCTGGCAGTTGACCTGTTGCAGCAAGTTATCTGTACGTTCCACCAAGGGTTCCTGCTGTATGTCAGGACTTGCGCTAGGCCTGCGGGGGGGCACAGCTGTGCAGCACACTGGCCCCAGATCTTTTTGGGGACCTAGGAGCTGAGCCTGGCCCCTCTCTCCGCAGTCAGGCCCCACCCTGGACGTGCTGGTTCCCTTCAGCTTCAACGACATTGGCCAGGACTGGCGCCTGCGGCATTTTGTTAGCTGGATGTTGTACGAATGGGAGGTGACCCTGCCGGAGAAATGGACCCAGGACCTGCGTGCAAGAGTGGTGCTGAGGATTGGCAGTGCCCACTCCTATGATATCGTGGTCAGTGCAGCCAGGAGCAGGCAGGGTGGGTGGGTGGGCATGGCTGCCGACCAGCATGGGACCCCCAGCAGCCACCCACAGCCTGTCTTCTGGCGTGGGATGGTGGGGGTCCCTGCTCTGCCCTGCCCTGGGGGCTATGTCCTGTGTAGGGGGATAGGTGGCCTGATCTACCCCATCGGGATGCCATTCTTCCCATCTGCCTGGCAGGCCCCTGAGCCCCATGCTGCAGGTTATGTGAGGGAGTGCCCAATAGCAGGGCCTCTCCTTATGCGCTGACCTGCCACCCCCTCCCCATATCTCCTTTGTCTGCAGTGGGTGAATGGTGTCAACACGCTAGAGCATGAGGGGCTGACATCAGCAGCTTGGTCCAGGTGGGGCCTCTGCCCTCCTGCCTCTGCGTCACTAATCAACATCAGTAATATGCTCAACCCCAAGAGGGGGGGTCCCTGCCACCAGGGACCATCTGCTACATGACCAACACCTCCAAGTGGGTACCATCCTGTCTCCACTGCACGCACCCACCTTCCCATCCCACCCTGTGGTCTTCCTGCTAGGGACAGGGTGGCCTTCGCAGAGTGGAGGCCCTGGATCTGGGGAGGCTGGGGAGGCCTGTGAGCTGAAGTCAAAGGACCCAGGGCAAGGGCCCAGAGAACCACAATCTTCACACCCTAGGTATCCCAAGGGTTGTTTTGTCCAGAACACAGACTGACTTCTTCAACTACGCGGGACTGCAGTGGTCTGTGCTTCTGTACACGACACCCACCACCTACATCGATGACATCACCATCACCACCGGTGTGGAGCATGACAGTGGTGAGGGCTTCTGGTAAGATCCTCCCTCCGTGGGGCCCTGAGTGGCTCTGTTTGTTCCCTGTTTGGAAAGCTCTCCCAGGAAAAAGGTGCTCCCAGCATCTCTAAACCCCCACAGGTTCCCATCCACCTACAAAGCTAAAATCCAGCCTATCTGAGCAGACGCGGGCTCCTGAAATCACCTGTGTGGTTGACCTCACTTGGAGAAGAGGAGTTTGGCCTAACGTCACACAGCTCAGGGCGGCTGTCCTGTCCTTTCCCCACGGTGCTGCTCTCACTCCAGCTCCCCTTGCTACACATCATGCTCAAGGAACAGGCAGCTTTGGAGGAACAGGCACAGTGGCTCGTGCCTGTCCTCTCAGCTCTTTGCAAGGAGGCCCTGGTAGGAGGATCACTTGAGGCTAGGAGTTCAAGACCAGCCTGGGCAACAGCGAGACCATCACCACAAAAAATTAAAAAATTAGTCAGGCATGGTGATGTGTGCTGGTAGTCCCAGCTACTGAGACAGGAGAATCACTTGAACCTGGGAGGTCAAGGGTGCAGTGAGCTACGACTACACCACTGCGCTCCGGTCTGGGCAGCAGAGGGAGACCCTGTCTTTTTTTTTTTTTTTTTTTTTTTTTTTTTTGTGATGGAGTCTCACTCTGTTGACCAGGCTGGAGGGCAGTGGTACAATCTCGGCTCACTGCAACCTCCGCCTCCTGGTTTCAAAGGATTCTCCTGTGTCAGCCTCCCGAGTAGCTGGGATTACAGGCACCTGCCACCATGCCCAGTTAATTTTTGTATTTTTTTTTTAGTAAAGACAGGGTTTCACCATGTTAACCTGGCTGGACTTGAACTCCTGACCTGAGGTGATGCACATGCCTCAGCATCCCAGAGTGTAAGGATTTTTAAAGTTTTTTTTTCTTGTTTTAAATATATCTTTTTCTTTTTCTGAGATGAGGCCTTACACTGTCGCCCATGCTGGAGTACAGTGGCGAGATTATTGACAGCTGTTTTGGGGCTGCAGTTCCAAGTTTAAAAGAGTTTAGGCTGGGTGCGGTGGTTAATGTCTGTCTTGGGAGGCCAAGGTGGACAGATAGCTTGAGCTCAAAAGTTCGAGACCCGCCTGGGCAACATAGTGAGACCCTGTCTCAAATAAATAAATAAATAAATAAATAAATAAATAAAATTAAATAAATAGGAATTTAAACAAGAATCACACAGCAAAGGTGATGCAGCATAGAGCAATTTATTGCAAAGAAAAAAGTATTTTGGAAGTTAAGTGCAGAATAGCCCGGGCACAGTGGCTCATCCCTCTAATCTCAGCACTTTTGGAGGCCGAGGCAGGTGGATCACTTGAGGAGTTCAAATCAGCCTGGCCAACATTAGCTTGGCGTGGTGGCGTGTGCCTGTAATACCAGCTACTCGGGTGGTTGAGATGGGAGAATTGCTCGAACTTCTGAGGTGGAGGTTGCAGTGAGCTGAGATTGCAACACTGCACTCCAGCCTGGGTGACAGAGCGAGACCCCTTCTCAAAAAAAATAGTGAAGTGCAAAATACACAGTTCACCCTGAGAGAGAATTCAGGGCAGGCTGCTCGTAGCAATGAGACAGCACTGATTATTACTGGCGAAACTCCCTTTCTGGGAGTCTTCCATGATGAATTCCTAAGGAGCTGGGAAGAGGTGTAAGCACGTTTTGGGCTGTCCTTTGGTTGCGTATGCATAGTAGCTGTACATGCTTGTTCACATGTCACATATCTCAGCACCATGATTGGCACGTCTCAAGGACGTGTTCGCTTCCTTGACTACCTACCCTGCCTTAAGATGTATCTTACTGCAGCCTCGAACTCCTGGCTCAAGCAATCCTCCCGTTTCAGCCTTCCAAGTAGCTGGGGCTGCTGGGGCTGCAGGCAGACACCACCACGCTTGGCTAATTTTTTGTATTTTTAGGGAAGAAGTGGTTTCCCTATGTTAACCAGGCTGGTCTTGAACTCCTGGGCTCAAGCGATCCTTCCACCTCAGCCTCCCCAAGTGTTGGGATTACAGGTGTGACCACTCTGCCTGGTCAAAAAAATCTTTTTTTAAATTGAAAAAAAGTGCCAGACACGGTGGCTCACGCCTGTAATCCCAGCACTTTGGGAGGCTGAGTTGAGTGGATCACATGAGGAGTAGGTGTGATTTCTACAATTGGTTTGGTGGAAATCAAATCCAAGTATGACTACAGCTGATGGCAAGGGGACAAGGCCTTTCGCCATGGTGAGTCATAGCATCCCCAAAAGTTAAAAATACCAAATGCATGACAGTGCTCCCGTGTCTGGTTAATATGGTGATAGTCACTAGTCCATCGAGATGTCTTATTTAAGGGGAACGTATGGGCAATCTTAGTTTTATGGCCCTGAGCTAAGAACCAGATGCCAGGTATAGTTTCAGTATAGTCAACCCCAAGTATTATGGGCCCGGAGCAAGGAGGGTAACACATCCAAGCAGGATGATGATTTCTCGGAGGTTGGTAGACTAAGAGACCAAAATTTAGTAGGAGATAACCATGTTGGGAGGGTGGTTTTGACTGAAATGTGCTATGTCCAATGAACCAATGAATGCACTATGTAATATTAAGAATTTTGAGTGCTGGTCGATATCCATATGGAACTAGTTCTATGTGTAAGTGTAGTATTATATACGATAGTTAAGAAATTGCTAATACTTGTTTATATGTGTGTGGAGCAAGCTTGTAATGTCATACAATCTGTGAATGTACTGTGTACAATCAAGCATTGATAATTCTATATATTCATGGGGACTAGCAGTAATGCACGAAGTACATAAAAGTATTAATGTATTAGTGCTGATGGTCAGGACTTACATAGTAGTAAAAATGCGTGCCAAAAAAAATACAGAGAATAGTTTAATTAGAATCTCAGCTTTGGGTGTTGATGGTGAAGTGGGAATGCTTTTTCTCTGAGTTGCCCTAGGGAGGGGACTCTCCATTTCTGCTTTACAAGACTGGTGTATTGGATTATACTACAAGGGCAGTTTCATTTAAGTAGTTTATTCTTGATTAGGGCAGTGAGTGGTATGAGAACAAGAATAATAGAGAAATATATCACAGATGCTATCTGTCCGATGGTAATGAAAGGATGTTCAACTGGCTGTCCTCTGATTCATGTGAGTGTGAATACGTCGGTGACTAAGGTTCAGAACAGATATTGACTCCTGGTTTATTGGGGATGGATCGTAAGATTGTGTATACAAATAAAAAGTATCACTGTGGTTTTATGTGGGGCAGGGTATTTGGGGGTTGACTAAGGGGTAATTATCTGGGTCGCTCAGGAGGTCAGGCAGAAACAGTACTAGAATTATTAACATGAGGAGGAGAAAAATTAAACCTAGAATATCTTTGGTTGTTTAGTAAGGGTGGAAGGTGATTTTGTCAGAATGTGATGAAATTCCTGAAGGGTTATTAGACCCTGTTTCGTGTAGGAATAAAAGGTGGAGAATTGTCAGGGCTATTATGGTGAAAGGTAAGATGAAGTGGAAGTTGAAGAGTTGTGTAAGAGTGGCTTTGTAAACTGGAAATCCACCTTCGATTCATGGGACAAGGTCAGTTCCAATATATGGGAAGGCTGATAGTAGGTTTGTGATTACTGTAGTGCCTCAGAATGGTATCTGGCCTCATGGAAGCACATAGCCTATAAATGCTGTTGCTGTGGTTATGAGTAGGAGGATAATGCCAGTGTTTCATGTTTCTAAATGTACGAATGACCCATAATATAAGCCTCCGCCGACGTGTAGGAAGAGGCAGATGAAGAATGTTGAAGGGCCATTAGTGTGAAAACAGCGGACTCTTCAGCCGTAGTCCACATCTCGGTTAATATGGGCAATAGAAGAGAAAGCAATTGGGGTATCTGGTGTCTAGTGTATGGCCAGAAACAGGTACCAAGAAGTGAGCCAAAGTTTCATCATATAGAGATATTAGATGGTGTGGGGAGATCAATGAATGAGTAATTAATGATTTTTATTAGTGGGTTTGTTTTACATGTAATGGTCATTAGTGTTCTTGAAGTACAGTGATGGTTTTTCATATCATTAGTCATGGCTATAACCCATGTGGGAATAATGACATATGCTTTATTCTTATTAAGTGTTCTTTTGTTACGGGATTTGTAGGTTTTTTTTCTAAACCTTCTATTTATGGGGGTTTAGGGTTAATTCTTAGTGGTGCTGTAGGTTGTGTTATTGTGTTGAATTATGGTGGGGCTTTTATGGGACTAATAGTCTTTTTTGTTTATTTGGGGGGGATGATGGTTGTTTTTGGTTATACTGTGGTGATGGCTATTGAGGAATACCCTGAGGCATGAGGATCAAGTATTGATGTTTTAGAAACTTTATTATTGGGGCTACTAATAGAGTTGTTGTTACTTTGATGAATGATGAGTATGATGGGGTGGTCATCATAGTTAATTTTATTAGTGTGGGAAGTTGAATAATTTTTGAGGGGGAGGTGCCAGGGTTAATGCATCAGGATTCTGTGGGTGCGGGTGCTTTATATAATTATGGGTGTTGATTGTTCGTAGTTGCTGATTGAACATTGTTAGTATTTATGTGGCAGTTGAAATTACTCTGGGTAATAGATTAGATAATTAAGAGTAAAGTTAAGAAGGATGGAATAACAAAAGAAAAAATAAAATTTAATTAGGCCTTTTTGAGTAGTTATGGTAATGGAGGCTTTGAGTTGCGTCTGTGAAATTGTCTTTGGTATGGACTTTTCTAGTCAAATTAGGTCTAGCAGAAGTGATGCCAGATTTTGGCTTGTAGGTAGGTTTGAGTGAGGGGTTGTACGGTGAATTGTGATTGAGTAAAATCCTTATATATTGGAGAAGCTGAATGTTTGTAATGGATATGTTATCTTAAGATTATTAGTTATAAAACTAAGTTCCATTGCCAGTAAGAGTCTTCGGAAGGTTACACCTCGGGCTGTGAGTTTTAGGTGAGGTGATATTGTTGTTTGGGAGGATGAAGTGTAGGGATAATGCTATTGGTGATGAGAAACCCAGCGAAGATACTGCCGACTATAAGGCATTTAATTGGGTTTATTAGGGAAGAGTTATTTTTGTCAATGCTGATTAGGGTTGGGACGTGGGATTGTCCTATTAGAGCAAAGAAAATAATTTGGATATTATAGACACTTGCTAGGGAGGTGGCAATAAGAGTAGTAGAGAGGGCTCAGGCGTTGGTATAGGGATGTGTTTGCACTTTTGATAATGAGATCTTTAGAGTAAAAGCCTGTGAGGAAAGGCATAGCCATAAGTGCTAGGCTGCCAATAATAAGGGAGGAGGAAGTAAGGGGTAAAGTCTTAAATAGTCCTCCTATTTTTCAGGTATCTTGTTTATTGTTGAGGTTATGGATGATGGATCCTGAACTTATAAATAATATAGCTTTAAAAAAGGTGTGGGTGCAAATGTGTAGGAATGCTAGGTGTGGTTGATTCTTGCCCATTGTGGCTATTATAAGGCCTAGTTGACTTGAGGTGGAGAATGCTACGATTTTGTTGATCACATTTTGTGTTAGAGCACAAATTGCTGTAAATAAGGTGGCAATAGCCCCTAAACACATTTTAAGGGTTTGGATTAACATATTATTTTCTATTAAGGGGTGGAAGTGGATAAGCAGTAAAATTCCTGCTACAACTACAGCGCTAGAGTGGAGTAGGGCTGAGACTGGGGTTGGACCTTCCATGGCGGAAGGAGGTCAGGGGTAGAGGCCAAATTGAGCTGACTTTCCCGCTGCTGCTAAGAGAAGGCCAATTAATGGCAGATCAGGGGTAGGATTTAGGATAAATGCTCGTTGAGGTTCTCATGTATTGTAAGATGAGAGGAATCATGCTATAGCTAAAATGAAGCCAATATCGCCAATGCGGTTATACAGAATCGCTTGGAGGGCTGCTGTATTAGCATCTGCTCAGCTGTGTCATCAGCCAGTTAGTAAAACCAGACATAATTCCTACACCTTCTCATCTGATAAAAAGTTGAAAAAATGTTGTTGGTGGTAACTAGAATTAATATTGTGGTGAGGAAAATAAGTAAATATTTGAAAAATCGATTAATGTTAGGATCTGATTTTATATATCAAGAATTCTATAAGAGATCAGGTGACAAATAGTGCTACTGGGATAAATTTTATGGAGAAGTAGTCTAGTTTGAAGCTTAGTGAGAGTTTAAGGGTTTGGATTGTTATTGAATGTCAGTTTGAGATGATGGCTTCTTGGTCTATATACACAAACGTTGTGGGAATGAGGCTAATGGTGAAGGTGCATGCAGTAGATATTTTTACATAATATGGATCCAAGTTCTTGTGAGGGTTGATTAAGGTGGTAGTAATTGGTAAGGTTAAGGAGATTAAGGTTATTATAGTAATGGAAAAATACGTGATTATTACTTTTATTTTGAGTTGCACCAATATGTTTGGTTTCTAAGACCAACGGATAGCTCTTATCCTCTACAACTTGAGAAAGCCATGTTGTTAGGCACAGGGGCATGAGTTAGCAGTTCTTGCATACTTTCTCAGTAAATAAGAAGTTGCAGACTTTTATTATTAGACCCACAATCTAATGTTTTGATTAAACTATATTTACAGGGTATAAAACCTACAATAATCTTAGGGTTTAGGGATAATAGGAGAATAGGTGCAAAGTGTATGTGTATTAGTATATTTTCTCGTGTAGAGGAAGGTTTAATGCTATTAATGTAATATGTGTTTCTTGTTGTATTGTGATAAGTATGTATAGGGAATAAAAGGCTGTGATTAATATTAAATCCTATAAGCATAATGGTGATGTTTGATCAGGAGAGTGAAGCCACCATTACAAAGAGTTCTCCCATTAGATTAATGGTGGGGGGTAAGGCAAGGTTAATAAGATTTGCTCTAAGTCATCAAAAGGCTATTAGTGGGAGTAGTGTTTGAAGCCCTCTGGAGGGTAATATGATTTGGCTATGGATTCGCTCATAGTTTGAATCTGCTAGGCAGAGTAGTAAGGACGAAGGAAGTCCATGGGCAATTTTGAGGGTAATTGCACCAGTAAAGCTTCAGGGGGTTTGAATGAGGATAGACATAATAATAAGTGCTATACGGCTTGTGGAAGAATATGCAATAAGTGATTCTAGATCAGTTTGTCGTAGACAAATAGAGCTTATCATAACTATCCCTCATAAGGATAACATGAGGAAGGGGTAGACTGTATATTCTGTCAGGGGGCTGAGGATAAGGGTAAGCCATATTATGCCGTAGCTGCCTGGTTTTAGGAGAACTGCTCTAAGTACTATTGAGCCTGCAATAGGGGCTTCTACATGAGCTTTAGGAAGTCATACGTGAAGTCCGTATGGGGGTATTTTTACTATAAAACCCATAACACATGCTAATCATATAAGGTTATTTGATCAGGAGATTAATAGTTCTTGGGTGTTAAATATTATTATCATGTTCAGTGAACCTAAGGTATTTTGAGTATAAATAAGTATCATAAGTAGAGGGAAGAGATCCCACTAGTGTATAAAATAAGAAATATGAGCTTGCATTGAGGCGTTCTGGTTGGTTACCCCAGGGGGTGATAATAATTAAGGTAGGGATAAGTGTAGCTTCAAAGGAAATATAAAATGTAATTAGTTCTGTGGCTGTGAATGCCATGACTAAAGAAAATTGTAGGGTAATCAATATGGAAATATAGAGCTTTTTCCATGGGGGTGACTCATTGGAGAGGTGGTACTGGCTTGCTATAATTACAAGAGGTAGTAGTCAGGCTGTTAAGATTAGGAGAGGTGATGTCAGTGGATCAGAAGAGAAAGTTAATGAGAAGTTGAATAGATTGTCATTGAATTGATTAATAAATAATAGGGCAATGAAACTAATGATTAGGCTGTGAATAGTCATATTGATTTAGATTATTGAGTTTTTAGAGAATCATGTTATTGGTAGCAGTATAATTGTTGGAATAATAATTTTTAGCATCGAAGTAAATTTAGGTTATATACATAGTCTAGGCTATAGGTGTTGGAGATGGAAACTAGTAAGGCTGTAAATACTAGGAGGGTAATGGGTATTATGAATGCCACGGTGAAATATATATTTAAAGGTATAAGGGTATTTATGATGAATAATGATAATATTCCTTCTAGGCATAGTAGGGATGTTATCAGATGGGATGGATAGATTAATATCCCCAGAAGTGATATGGTATATGCTAATATGATATTGATATAAATAGAGGGCATTTGGTAAATATGTTGTATCATAATCTAATGAGTCAAAATCATTTATTTTGGCTTAAACTATCTACCAATTCAGTTCAATCTAATCCTTTTTGAGTTCATTCATCAGTTAACCCTAGGACTAAAATGATAACTAGTATAAGGGCTGTGCTGTTTGTTAGTGTCAGATTGCTTGTTTGAAGGGCTTATGGCAAGGGTAGTAAGTAGTAGGGCGATTTCTAAGTCAAATAGGGGGAATGTGATGGCTATTAGAAAAAATTTTATGGAGAAAGGAATGTGGGCGGAGGATAACAGGTCAAATCCGCATTCGTAGGGGCTGGATTTTTTTTATATAAATATTAAGTAGTGGGAGCCAAAATGTAATAACTGTTAGTGATAGGGCTAATAGGGTGTTGATTACTAAGGCTAGTATTAGGTTAATTACTCTTTTTCGGATGTTGTCCAAACTAAATGATTGGAAGTCAGTGGTACTGTTTATACTAAAAGAGTAAGATCCTCATCAGTAAATAGAAATATACAAGAATAGTCATACTACATCTACAAAGTGTCAATATCAGGTGGCGTCTTCAAAGCCAAAGTGATGGCTAGATGTAAAGTGGTATTTTAATTTGCAGGGGAGACAGATAGTGAGGAATGTTGATCCAATAATGATGTGAAGTCCGTGAAAGCCTGTAGGTGTAAAGAATGTTGGGCCATAAATTCCATCAGAAATAGCAAAGGGAGCCTCAAAGTATTCTGAGACTTGTAGGAGGGTGAAGTAAATACGTAAGGTAATTGTGATAAGTAGTGCTTGAATTATTTGTTTTCGATTATTTTCTATTAGGCTGTGATGGGCTCAGGTAATTGAAACCCCTGATGCAAGTAATACAGATGTATTCGGGAGGAGTACTTCCAGAGGGTCAAGGGGAGAAATGCTTGTTGGGGGTCAGTGTCTTCCTAGTTCTGGAATTGGGGCTAGACTAGAATGGTAGAATGCCCAGAAAAATCCAGCAAAGAAAAATACTTCTGAGATAATAAATAGTACTATTCCATATCAGATGCCTTTTTGGACAATTGTTGTATGGTGGCCTTGAAATGTACTTTCTCAGATAATGTCATGTCACCATTGATATATAGTCAGTGTATTGTTTAGTAGGCCTAAGGTTAAAAGAGTAATAGAGTTAAAGTGAAATCATATAGCTAAGCTGGATGTAACTAGGAGAGAGGAGAGAGCCCTTGTTAAGGGCTGAGTTTGACGAAATGATAGGTGTGTGTTTGGTGGGTCATTATGTGTTGTCATATAAATAAAGGCTTACTAATAGCGTAAAGGCATAAGCTTGGATAAGGGCCACAGCGAATTCGAGAGTGGTCAATAGAATTCGAATAATAAGGGTGTTTGAAGCTGTGGGAAGGTTAATAATTGATAATACTAGCGTGGCTCCTCCAATTAAGTGTATGAGTAAGTGACCGGCTGTAATGTTGGCTGTTAAATGTACAGCTAGTGCCATTGGTTGAATAAGTAGACTAGTGGTTTTGATGATTACTAGTATAGGGGTAAGTAGTATGGGTGTGCCTTGTGGTAGGAAGTGAGCTAAGGAGTTTTTAGTTTTAAAGTGGAAGGCTGTGATTACTGTGCCTGCTCATAAGGGGATTGTTATACCTAGATTTATTGATAGTTGGGTAGTCGGTGTAAATGAGTGGGGTAGAAGCCCAAGGAGATTGGTTAAGGCAATAAAGAGAATTAGGGATATTAGTATAAGGGATCAGGTTCATCCTTTAATAGTATGTGTGATTATTATTTGTTTTAGAACAAGTTGAACTAGTGATTGTTGAATAGAAATCAATCAGTTATTGATTAGATAGTTGGAGATTGGAAGCAGTGTGGTGAGAAACAAGATGATTAGTGCTGCTGCGGGTAAACCGAGGATTGTCGGGGCAGTAAATGAGGTGAGCAGATTTTCGTTCATTTTAGTTGTCAAGGGTTGTTATGTTTTTGTGTTTTAATTATTTTTGGTGTAGGGGGTGTGTGGTAAATGAACTTTGGTAGTTTTAATTGAATAACGGAGAATAAAGTTATGATTGTTGATATAATAATAATAGGTCATGTGGAAGTATCTAGTTGAGGCATTCACTGTAGAGAGGTGTGATTTCTCTCAGCCTTTAACTGAAAAGGTTAACACTGGGGTAGCTTTTTTTTTTTTTTTTTTTTTGAGACGGAGTCTCGCTTTGTCACCCAGGCTGGATGGAGTGCAGAAGCGCGATCTCAGCTCACTGCAAGCTCCACCTCACAGGTTCACGCGATTCTCCTGCTTCAGCCTCCTGAGTAGCTGGGACTACAGGTGCCCGCCACCATGCCCAGCTAATTATTTTTTTTGTATTTTTATTAGAGATGGGGTTTCACCATGTTATCCAGGATGGTCTCGATCTCCTGACCTCGTGATCCACCTGCCTCAGCCTCCCAAAGTGAGCCAGGCTACATATTGAGAATTTCTCAAACCTGTTCTTAAGATGTCTCTTCCCTAGATTTGTGTTCCGTTTATTGAGTTATGTGGATTTGCCCATGTTCCTGCTGAAGAGCCTGTAATTAGTTGGTACACCTGCTGTTTGTCTGTGGTCCTACAGTCTCTCTGTGCTGTAACAATCATTTACCTTTTGTCTCATAGACACTAACCTGACATTCAAAGTATAGCACCATTTCTTTCAGCACTCTGTGTCACGGTAGACAGAAACCAGTCTTTGGAAAGACCCCTCAAAGCCAGAAGTATGGACACATGTGCCACTATTTTTTTTTTTTTCACTTTTGAGAGAGAAGCCAGGAGTCGAGAGTTTACACTTAAAGGCATTATTTTGTATTGGGGAGGAGGTATGGCTGTGGTGGATAAATGTAACAAATGTTCTTTTGTCTTCTATGTGGCTTTTGGCATCATTCTCATCTGTGGCACTGCAATCTTTTAACTGGTTTTTAGAGCTGTTACAATGGCATTTTCGTCAATATATTTTTGTTAAGTTTACATGTCTATTAAGGAATTTGGGCTTGTGGTATTATGCCATTTTATTGTGCTTGGTATAATTTTATATTTTGTATTCATAGAGTATGCTTACCTGAGTCTAATAAGTGGTATAATTTATTTATTTATTTATTTTTAGCTGTGTCCTCTCATTTTACTCCAGACCTTTTGCCTGGGCAGAGCATAAAACATTTATTCCCAAAAGTGATAATGAGAAGATATGAAAGCTATGGCATTGAAAATTTAAAGTTAAAAGACTGGAAAAGCGTGGGTTAGTGTACGGGACAGAAAAAAGTTATAGTGGACTTAACCAATGTTAATCTTTCAATGTGATGAATGTGGCAAAGCTTTTAACTGGTGCTTAATCTTTATTCAACATAAGAGAATTAATACAGGAGAGAAACCATACAAATGTGAGGAATGTGGAAAAGCCTTTAACTGGTTTTCAAACCTTATTCGAAATAAGAGAATTCGTACTGTAGAGAAACTCTACAAATGTGAAGAATGTGCCGAAGGCTTCAACCAGGGCTCACATCTCACTGAACGCAAGAGAACTCATACTGGAAGGAAATCCTACACATGTGAAGAATGTGGCAAAACTTTTAACTGGTTCTCATACTTTTCTCAACATAAGAGGATTCATACTGGAGAGAAACCATACAACTGTGAAGAATGTGAAAAAGCTTTTATGCATGGCTGAATCCTTACCAAAAATTAGAAAATTCATACTAGAGAGAAATGCTACAAATGTGAAGAATGTGCCAAAACCGTTAACCAGAGCTCACATCTTATTGGACACAAGAGAATTCATACTGGAGAGCCACCCTACAAATGTGAAAAATGTGGTAAAGCCTTTAACTGGTTCTCAAACCTTACTAAATATAAGAGAATTCATACTGGAGAGAAACCCTAGAAATATGAAGAATGTCATAAGTCTTTGATCAATGCTCAATCCTTACTGAATATAAGATAATTCACATGATAGAGAACCCCTACAATTGTAAGGAATGTAGCAAAGATTTTAATTTGTGCTCACTTTTATTGTAAGTAAATTCATTCTGGAGAGAAACCCTATACATGTGAAGATATGGCAAAATCCAGCCTTCAGGCCTTATAATACATAAAATTATTTATACTGGAAAAAAAAATCACTACAAGTGTGGAGAATTTGACCAGGCCTTTAACCAGTTCCAAACCTTTATTGTACATAAGGGAATTCATATTGGACAAAAATCTTGTAAATGTAAAAAAATGTAACAAAGCCTTTAACCAGCCCTCACACCTTAATGAACCTAAGAGAATTTATTTTTAAAAACAATTTTTTTTAAAGATGGAATCTCACTTTTTCACCCAGGCAGGAGTGCAGTGGCACTATCTTGGCTCACTGCAGCCTCTGCCTTCCTGGTTCAATTGATTCTCCTGCCTCAGTCACCTGAGTAGCTGGGATTACAGGTGCATGCCACCACACTGGCTGATTTTTGTATTTTTGGTAGAGATGGGGTTTCAGCATGGTGGGCAGGCTGGTCTCGAACTCCTGACCTCAGGTGATCCACCTGCCTGAGCCTTCCAAAGCCTAAGAGAATTTGTATTAGAGAGACCCTACAAGGGTTAAAAATGTGACAGAACCTTTAAGCACATCTCAGGCCTTACACAATATCTGATCATTCTTTCTACGGAGAAGCCCTACAAAAGCAAAGAATGTGGTAAAGCTTTCAACTAGTCTTGAACCCTTATTATACATGAGAATTAATACGAAGAGAAACCCTACAATAAGGAATATGGCAATGTCTTTAAAAAGTCCTTAAACCTGAATAAATGTAAGATAATTGATATTGGAGAGAACCCCAGCAATTGTAGAAAAAAACATGTGGCAAAGCCTTTAACTGGTTCTCCATCCTTATTAATTAAACAATTTCATACTGGAGAGAAACTCCACATACATAAAAAATGTGATGGAGCATTTAACCACACCTCAGTCTTTTCTAAGAAACAAACCATACTGGTGAGAAACTCTAGAAATGTGTTCAATGTGGCAAGGCCTTTAAATGGTAGTCACACGTTTATGGTAGGTAAGATAATTTATACCGAAGAAAACTACAACTATGAAGAATGTGGCAAAACTTTTAACAAATTCTCACACCTTATTGCACTAGAAAGGATTTATGTTAGAGAAAAATTGTACAAATACAAGAATGTGAAAAGCCATTAATATCCACTCACATCTTAATATCAGAAAGTTCATACTTAATAAAAGCATTAAAGGCCGGGTGTGGTGGCTCACGCCTACAATTCCAGCACTTTGGGAGGCTAAGGTGGGTGGATCATGAGGTTAGGAGTTCAAGACCAGTGTGGCCAACATGGTGAAACCCCATCTCTACTAAAAATACAAAAATTAGCAGGGTGTGTTGGCATGTGCCTGTAGTCCCAGCTACTCGGGAGGCTGAGGCAGAATTGCTTGAATCTGGAAGGCAGAGGTTGCAGTCAGCCAAGATCAAGCCACTACACCACAGCCTGGGTGACAGGAAGACTCTATCCATTATAAATGTGATTACATTATAAATGTGATTACTATAAAAAGACCTTTCAGAAAATATAGGTCTTTAAAGACTATTTATTCTGAAGACAAACATTACAAAAAGAGGATTGTAGTACCTTTACTTGCATTACAGATTTTATTGTGCACATTTTATATTAAAGGAAAACCCTGAAGCAGATGCTCAGACTTTGTTGAACATCAGAGACTTTATATTGGAAAGTCTAAAAATGTAATGAATGTGAAAAAACATTTGTACAAAAACTACAGCTTAGAAAACACCAGTTTATGCTAAATATTTTTGCAGATCTAGTAAATGGGGAAAATATATTTAATCAAAAATTAAGTCTATATAAACATTTGAGGATTCACAATAGAAAGAATGAAGGCACTGAAACTTCAGACATTACACTAAATCAGAGTGTTGAGTGTAAAAAAGGTCCAAAGGTAACACTATATACATTGTAAAGTAGATTTTTTTAGAGATTTATAGTTACATTCGAGGTATGCTTCTTTTTCTGTGAAAAACATTAGATTTTCTGAAAAGCAAATAATAATGTATCTGAAGTCTCAGATTACTTCATGTTGATTCTTTCTTCCCGTTGTGAAAGTATTTGTGTGATTGTTGCATCAGAGATATGAGAGATAGTTTTTTATTAGATGTCCATTATTCATGAACTTTTCTATGGAAGAGTAAGGACATTAAGTTGTAAGATGCATAATGAAAATGTAAATGGAGAGGCTCTTTGTTGTTGACTTAACATTGTTTTAGTGATGTATAAGGCAGGTGTTCAGAGTAATATTCTGAATTCTAGTGAGAGGAAAACGTTTGAATATTAGTAGTAAATTATTTTATCAATTGTACTTTTATGTAAATAAAATGCAATAAATTTTTTAAAAATTTAAAGATTATGTGTGAACATAATTTTTTCATTAAACAAAGTTGTTTTTAATATGATAAAACTATAGTGCTTTGAACGAAGTGTTAATTTGCCATCTTAAGGTTCTAAGTAAAAGACGGTAACAATATACTATTAATGTAGGGGAATGACATCTCTAGTAATACCTTTTTTGCCAGTGTTTTTTGTTTGTTTGTTTGTTTTGAGATGGAGTCTTGCTCTGTTGTCCAGGCCGGAGTGCAGTGGCACGATCTCGGCTCACTGCAACCTCCGCCTCCTGGATCCAAGTGTTTCTCCTGCCGCAGCCTCCCAAGTAGCTGGACTGCAGGCACATGCCTCCACACCTGGCTAATTTTTGTATTTGTAGTAGAGATGGGGTTTCATCATGTTGGCCAGGCTGGGCTCGAACTCCTGATCTCAGGTGATTCACCTGCCTCGGCGTCCCAAAGTGCTGGGATTACAAGTGTGAGCCACCACACCTGGACTGCCAGTGGTTTTTAACTGCAAATAAGTTGAAGAATTTTTTTTTTCCCATAGGTCAAATTTGTATTCAGGCAGAAGTCTTCTGCAGGGGCAGAGCCCTCATGGAGAACCTGCGCTAGGGCAATGCAGAAGGGAAATGTGGGGTTGGAGCTCTCATGCAGAGTCCCCACTGAAGCTGCCAACTGGAGTTGTGAGAAGGCCACTATACTCCAGACCCCAAAATGCCAGATTCACTATGAGCTTGCACTGAGCACCTGGAAAAGCCACAGGCATTCAATTCCAGTCCATGAAGGAGCTGCTCAAGGCCATGAGGGCCCACCCTTCGCATCAGCATGATCCACGTGTGAGACATGGAGTCAAATGAGATCATCTCAGACCTTTAAGATTTAATGACTGACCCGACCCGTTGGAATTCAAACTTACATAGGGCCTGTATCTCCTTGGTTTGGGCCAATTTCTCCCATTTGAAATAGAATTTATCTAATGCCTGTACCCCTATTGTATCTTGGGGGTAACTAACTTGCTTTTGATTTACAGGCCCATAGGCAGCAGGGACTTGCCTTGTCTCAGATGTATGTAGACTTTTGCGTTAATGCTAAAATGAGTTAAGACACTGGGGGACTGTTGGGAAAGTATGTTTGCTTTTGAAATATAAAAAGAGCATTATATTTGGAAGGAGCCAGGAACAGAATGATACCCATGGTCTTCTCATGATAGTGAGTAAGTTCTCATGAGATCAGATGGTTTTATAAGTGGTAATTTTTCCTCCCTTCCCTCTCTCCTGCCACCTAGTGAAGAAGATACCTGCTTCTCCTTCACCCTCTCCCATTATTGTAAGGTTCCTGAGGCCTCCCCAGCCATGTGGAACTGTGAGTCAATTAAACTTCCTTTCATCATAAATTATCCAGGCTTGGGTAGTATCTTTATAGCAGTGTAAAAAGAGACTAAGGCACAAATATAAGATAGGGCTGTCTGTGTCCTAGATGCTTCATAATCAGCCATAATTATTCCTGCTGGAGTTTCTTTGTAACTCTCAGCCACAGATGGAAAATATTCATGGTGAAACTGTAACATTGATTCTGCATGTGCAGAGGACATCTGTTCCCAGGCTGCCTCTGAATTTAAATAAAAATTCTGCTTTTTAAATTTTCTGATTATCTTTTGTTTTGTGTCTTTTTATGTCTATCCAAATGATGTGTCCATCACAGCTCTTCCCCTTTTTTCTGTACTATGGCTACAGCTTTCTCACTGTTCTCTCTGTACAATGTCATTTCACACAGTACTTTGTAGGTTCTGATGAGAAGTTTGGAATTTTTTAATATGGTGAAAAACTGTGTTAAACTTGGGAGTTTGAGCTTATTTATAGCTTCTCGATGTAACTTCCAGATCACTTAATTGAGATAAGAGGCATACACTGTCTACAGGTGAGAAGATTAAATCAGGAAGCACTGTTTGTCTTAGTAAAAATTTTTTATTAGATTCTAAGACAAAGTGTAGCATATACAAAATTAGTTAGAAAATATATTTTAGAAATTAAACTTATCAGAGAGTTAATATTAAGGGATAATTAAATGTAATTTTTATCATATATTTATAGCACAACTTATGTTTTCATGCAGAATCATGTATTTTTTAGTGTGAATGTTAAATGTTGCAAATAAAATGAGCTCTGTGGATTTACAATTTGGAATATTTCTTTTTTCATATTAATGTTACAATCTTGAGAGATTTTTCCATTATTTTATGATTATTTTTGAGTGGGTGAGGTTCACAGTCTATAGTTTTCACTCTTAGTCACCTAAGTGTAGCCAACATTTTGGGCATTTTTCTGGGAAAATTTTGGAGATTATGGCAGCTTTTGGGTTAAAACATTTACTCAGTTGTTTTTCATGCAAAGACGTTTATTGTGTTCACAACCAATCATGTGACAGAGGGCAACACCTGATTTTCAGTGTCTTCCATTACATTGCCATCAGCACCAGAAACTAAAGGTGCCCAAGCTGAAAGTAAAAGCCCTAAAGCACATTGGCTCGTCCCATGCTCTGCTGGACCCACAATATGCAGAGTTTCTATTGCTATTGCTGACAAATTAAATAACAAACAGCACAGAAAAACTGAGGAAAATGCATTGATACATTTTTTAGTTCTTTATAGAAATTTATGGTTTCTAAATATTATAAGTTAAAACAATTTCAACATGCAGATATCTCTAAGTTCTAGCTAGATGATGGTACTAATGTTGGAATCACTGATCATTTTGAGCAACAATTGCCCTGTTTGGTCTACTGCAAAGCAATTATTTCTCTTCTAAACGTAAATAGTGAAAAGGGTTTCTATGATCGTAAGTATACAAGGTCTTTTAAGATGATCACTAAGATTAAAATTCACACCTATTTAGTAACATAAATTTTAATTATTTTCTAACAGAAGTGAAGAAGCAGTAGAAATAAATTGTTAAAATGAGCTCAAAGAAACTACACATGTGGTCATTAAATAACATTTAAAACCACATTGTAAGCGACTGATTAGTAATTCTAATTTGTTTCATTTTAGTAACTGAGAAAACAATATTCTTTAATCATTCCATATGAAAAAGTATTCTTTTATTAGTGTTTTCAAAACTTTCAGGAACTTTAGAGCACTCAATGAATAAGGTTGTACATTTAGATCACAAATTTTAAATAAAATAATAGGCTTATTCTAGCTTTTTTTTTTTCAGATGGAGTTTTACTCTTTTGCTCAGGCTGGAGTGCAATGGCGTGACATCGGCTCACTGCAAGCTCTGCCTCCCAGGTTCAAGTGATTCTCCTGCCTCAGCCTCCCGAGTAGCTGGGATTACAGTCACTGCTACCACACCCGACTAATTTTTATGTTTTTAGTAGAGATGGAGTTTCAATACATTGGCCAACCTGGTCTCAAACTCCTGACCTCAAGTAATCCACATGCCTGGCCTCCCAAAGTCCTAGGATTATAGGTTTGAGCCACTGCACCCAGCTTCATTGTAGCTCTTAGTGTAAAAGCTATTTTTCAAAAGTATCATTAGTGACTCTTAAGTAATGAGAGGAATGACGTGGTTAGAAAGCGTTTACCAACCAAAGTATTTATGTTAGGCTTTGTTATGAGTACTTTGAATGCAAAATGAAGTTCTCCATACTATCTAAGGGTCAAAAAAGTTGTTTTTAAATTCTGCTTCATTTCTACTAAATTAGAAAATTCAAACTAAAAATGTTAAATAAAAAATGGAAAAAAAAACATTGAGTGTGAGGGGGCTGGCCATAATGGTTAATATTAAAACTCAATATCTGGTGGTCTCTGATTGCATCCTGGTTCTGACACTTATGGGCTGTGTGACCTGGAGGTAGTTTCTTGACGTCTCTGTGCTTGACTGTTCATCTTTACAGTAAGGATAACACTACCTAAATCCTAGGTTTTTGGTAAAATTAAAGCAATTAATACAAATAAAGGTGTCAGAAGAGTGCCTAGCATATAGTGAGTGTACAGAAAATTTATTAGCTCTGGTGATTTGTATAGTGTTTTAGATCAGAACCAATGTTAAGCCTGGGAACAACAAGGTGTCCACACCAGGGGGTTCAATCCATGTTCATTTTAATTGGTCAGTTTGGGACTATAATAGTCGATGGATATTTTTAATATTATCCTTGGCAAATTTTCATATATTCTCATACAGCATGAATATAAATACTAAAGAAAGATCCCTCATCTTGTACTGCTTTTTACCACTCTAGAAATGCCAGATAATAAACACTTAAATGCTGAGTGTTGTTCAGTTTTAAAATTAGGCAAAGAGGCAAATTGTTTTCTGATCTACTTGTTTAATAAATTATTTTTTGCCAACTAATTTTTTATGTTCACTTGATAAATTTAAAGGTAGTTTAAAATCAATATTTAAATAACTTTTCTCTATAAGTGAAGGAAATCATTTATCTTGAGAGAATTTTACTTTAAACAGTTGCTTTAGAGTCTGTCTTTGAAAGTATTCTATTATCAAATAAGACCAGGCGTGGTGGCTTATGCCTGTAATCTCAGCACTTCATAAGGCCGAGGCGGGCGGATCACCTGAGGTCGGGAGTTTGAGACCAGCCTGACCAACATTGAGAAACCCCATCTCTACTAAAAATACAGAATTAGCCTAGCATGGTGGGACATGCCTGTAATTCCGGCTACTTGGGAGGCTGAGGCAGGAGAATCACTTGAACCTGGGAGGTGGAGGATGCAGTGAGCCGAGATCACACCACTGTGCTCCAGCCTGGGCAACAAGAGCAAAACTCCATCTCAAAAAAAAGAAAGCAAGCATTGTATTATTCTGAACAGTGATAATTAACATTTTATTGAGTGATAAGCCATGTGTAATTAAAAATACATGTATACTGTTCCTGAAATTATAAGATATGAAGAAACATTTATTTCTCTGGCCCTATTTTTTAAAGTTAATAAAAAAAACACATGTATTACTGGGATATTTGGTTGACAAATTAAAATTGTATACATTTATGTGGTACAGTGTAATGTTTTGATACGTGTATAAAATATGGACTAATTAAGTCAAGTTAACTAACATCTATCACCTCACTTACCTATCATTTTTTGTGGTGAGACATTAAAACTTACTGTTATTTTGAAATATACCTACATTATCATTGATTATAATCGCCCTACTGTGCAATAGATCTGAAAACCTCTTTATCCTGTCTGTAAAACTTTGCATTCTTTTATCAACAACAGCCTCTGATAACCAATTTTTCCACATTCTACTTTGTTATTTCAACTTTATTAGATTCTACACATAAGTGAAATCATGCAGTATTTTTCTTTGTGTGTCTGGCTTTTGTACTTAGCAAAATATCCTCTAAATTTATCCATATTTTTTCAATTGACAGTGTTTCCCCCTTTTAAGGCTACATAATGTTCCATTGTGTATACTATTATTCTAAATGTATATACCATATTTAGAACAAAATTGTAATTTATATATTCATCTATTGGTTGGAAAACTCAATGTGTAATGGAAAAATATTTGTTTGAAAGCATGTATTAACATAATTCAGCATATAAATATCTCATTAATAATAGCAAATTTGTACTGAGCATTAACCATAATACTATACATGTGTTAATAAATTTTGTTCGCACAGTGATATGGTCTGGCTGTGTCCACACCCAAATCTCATTATGAATTGTAGTTCACATAATTTCTATGTGTCATGGGAGACACCTGGTGGGAGGTAATTGAATCCTGCAGTGAGTTACCCTCATTCTGTTGTCTTGATAATGCGTAAGTTCGCATGAGGTCTAATGGTTTTATAAGGGGCTTTTCTCCCTTTTGCTCAGCACCTTTTCTCTTCTGGCCACCGTATAAAAAAGGACATGTTTGTTTTCCCTTTCATTGTGATTGTAAATCTCCTGAGGCCTCCCTGGTCATGCTGAACTGTGAGGCAAGTTAACCTCTTTCCTTTATAATTTACCTAGTCTTGGGTATGCCCTCATAGCGGTGTGAGAATGGACTAATACACTCAGTAACTTAATAACAAAGGTATTATTATTATCCTCAATTTACAAAGAAAGAAACAGAGCCACAGAAATAACCTGCTCACAGTAGCAGAGCCAGCATTAAAACACAAGGAACTTTGACTCCAGAGATAATACTGTTGAATACAACAATAAAAACACTTTCAAACAGAAAATAAGTTATCTTTAACATCCATTCTTAAAAATTTAACAAAAATTAAAAATGGACACATTTGTATTGTTATATAGGTATGTATGTGAATGTATAATATAAATGAGAAATAACTTCATATAAGCCAGAAAAATCATTATTTTAATGAATAAAATTGAAAAGCAGTGAAATTAATTATTATTTGCAGATGATATCTTCGTTTTCTTAGACAACAAAAGCAACTAAAAGGCTATTTTAGAAATCTATTCAGGTGGGTAGGCAAAATTCTCAGAAGACCCTCAGGTTCCCACTTCAGTGCACACCTGCTGTGTAATCCTTTTAGTGTGAGAAAATGTGTGACTGTGGCGGGACATTATTCATGTAATTAGGTTACTAATCAATTGGCTTCCTGTTTATCATAAGAGAGATTATCTTGATTAGACTAAACTTAATCAGAGGTGCTTTTAAGAGAAAGAGCACATTATAGAAAAACATCCCTGCTTCCCTGAAATTAGTCAAACTTCCAGGTAAGCCAGATTGTAAGCTGCTTATGGTGGCCACATGGCAAAGGACATATTTTTATATTGTCTCTATTTCTGTCTTCAACATGTTGCTTTCAGTAGGGAGAATAGGAGGATCTCTTGGCAGGGAAAAAAGAAGGGATCTCATTTATGCAAGAAATAATCACCCCTCATCTGGGACAGCTTAAGAAAAACAGAGACCAGAACATGATCACATGAATGGGAAATAAAGGCAACTTGGTTGCAAGGGCTCCCTGGCATTAGGAAGCAATGTCTACACAGCCGAAGTAAATGGTCAGCCTCTGGGATACCAACAGTCTACCAACAAGGCTGAATTCTTTCTCATTCTGATTAAATTAGCATTTCTGCACCATTCAGGTAACTCAGTTTTACATAATTCATGACAAAAATGCCATGCAGACAGGTGAGTGCCCTCCTAGAATTGAACTTATCATGAAAAAACATACCCAATTCTTTAATTTCCACATTGGAAAATGTTGAAAAAACAATTTATTAATAATAATCTGACGTTATAATTTTAGAGAATTCTACTATTCTGTAATAGAATATTGAACTTTGAACACCTTAACATGAATATTTCTTGAATGCATAAATTGTTATGTAGATAGTTTCTCTTAGATTAATGCAATAAGACTAACAATCAGAGAAAACATTTGAAATAAAAGTCATCAGAACCACATCTTTCAAAGGCTTGGCATAATTGCCATGCTCTTTGAAATGGTCAAGAAGCAAAGACAAGAGTTTGGCTTTGCCAATTATTAAGTCCTTGAGCTTTTGAAATCTGATATCCTGGCTAAAAAGTTAGGAGGGACTGTTTTTTAGGTGGCTGCCTAGAGTGTCCAATGCAATGTGAGAAGAATTTTAATATGCAAGAAAATGCATGTTAAATACACATATTACTCTTCTCTGATTTGCCTTAACACAGAGATTGGAAATTGCAAATGTAGTCCTTCAATTTAGGGTAAGTTAACAAAAGACTCATGTTTCAGCTGAGCAAGTTATTGTATGAAACTTATAGGTAATAGATGTCATTAGCTGCAAAAAACAAAATAATGTGACTAGATTCAGTAATTGTCTAGCCAGGCAAATGATAGACCAATTAGATTAAGATCCTAACAGGTGCATGTAGAAAGCATTTATGTGCAATGTTGTGACCTTCCCCCAAACACCTGTCTCCTTACAGAGATACCAATTTTTCCTGAATGACTCAGGGTGAATACTGGGGACTGAGAATGCTCAGTGTTCAGAGTTGATTACTGGGAACAGAGTTAACACATTTCTTCTATATTATGAAGAAATTTTATGAATATTACTCTGCCTCAGAATGGGTTTTTATAAAAGATTGTTCATGTATAACACTCTATTTGGATTCATGGAAATTTTCAATATTCCATTTAAGTCAGAGACACTGAAATGTCAACCAAATTTCATAAAACATGTTTGAATGAGATCAAACCTTTCTTAGCTAAGAATTTTATTTCATCAGTAAATTTAGAGGAAAATAAGAAATGTGTGTACTCTGGGCCAAATCACAGTGTTTGCGACATGGGAACAATTCAGACAAGTGCTCTTCAACATCACATCACTTTTTTTTTTTTTTTTTTTGAGAAGGAGTCTCACTCTGTCACCAGGCTGGAATGCAGTGGCACGATCTTGGCTCACTGCAGCCTCCACCTCCCAGATTGAAGCGATTCTCCTGCCTCAACCTCCCTAGTAGCTGGGACTACAGGCGCATGCCACCATGCCCAGTTACTTTTTGTATTTTTGGTAGAGATGGGGTTTCACCATGTTGGCCAGAATGGTCTGGATCTCTTGACCTCGTGATCCGCCTGCCTCGGCCTCCCAAAGTGCTAGGATTACACGTCATCACTCTTAAAGTAGTAATAGCACCACATCAATTTCCTGGTACCAGCTCGCCTGTTTTTCACTGATATGAAGTGCAGAAGGCATTGAAACCATGAAGAAGGGTGATATAAATGGAATACTTATATGAAGTACAGTTGTTAATAAAAAGCATTTGATACTGTACAACTATAGGTAAACGATTAGTAGGAGATAAAAATATTTTTACTTTAATTGACAATAACTTTATTCACAATATTTCCATTTCAAATAACTATTTTTGCTCTATATTTGCTGGTTTTTTATCTGATATTACCTGAGCGCAATAGGAATCAACAAAATGAATATTATACCACAATAATTTTATTAATGCATATGCTTAATTTGCTGAAAATATATTAGCTTACTATTAAATATTTATACTTTTATTGTGTCATTTTTTGCTCAGAAGTGGCCGTCCTGCCAGAAAACTGCTATTCTCAGCTCTGCTCACATTGACTTTGCTCAGCATAGTGATTGGAAATGATGTGTGGATAAAAAGCAAATATGTCTTCTTTGCATCTTTTTTCATCTGTTGGGTGAAGGAAGAGGAAAATGCAGTTAGAATATTTTTACAAATCTAATCTCCGAATAATCACAAAGAAGTTTTCTTAACCAGAAATAAACCAAAGGGGATGTCTATGTAAGCAGAAAATGTATTATTTTGCTAAGCCTTTGAAATTTTAGGGTTTATTACTATGGCAATCTGCATTGCTTTAACAAACATATTAGTCTTTCAGTTTTAATTCTTCTGGATATGATTCAATTTCCTGATGAATCTGAACTGAGAGCAGAATAACATTTTTAAAAATTAAAGATGTGGGGAAAAAATATGTTGACTGAAATAAAATAGTCAAAAAGAGACAGACAAAACAGAAAGTAAAATGATGTTCTCCAGAAGCAGAAAAGAGAGAAGACAGTTTATTGGACATTAAATTGTACTTTTTAAAGATAAAATTGATCCAGAGATCTCTTTCAAAAAATGTAAATATACTTAAAAGTACTAAACATATAGTTGAAATGTACAACTTTAAAATGTTTAAGATAGTAATTTTATGTTTTTAATCACAAATATTTATATGTATCAAAACGTTATATTTTTCAAAAATTACTTCAAATAACAAGTGTTTTTCTCACTCAACATATATTCAAACAATAAATAGATGGTAATTTTAGACTGCCTTTTTTACTACTCATCTAGGCAATGAAACACAACCACCTGAGAAAAGAAATAAACAAGATAATTAATAAAATGGGGCAATATTTGTACAGGCAAATATCACATAAGTAACTTTTATAGGCAATAGACATGTCTGACTTATGGGGCCAGGCGTGGTGGTTCACGCCTGTAATCTCAGCACTTCGGGAGACTGAGGCGGGTGGATCACGAGGTCAGGAGTTCGAGACCAGCCTGGCCAGCATGGCGAAACACTGTCTCTACTAAAAATACAAAAATTAGCCAGGCATGGTGGCCCACCCTGTAGCCCTAGCTACTCAGGAGGCTGAGGCAGGAGAATTGCTTGAACCCAGAAAGCAGAGGTTGCAGTGAGCTGAGATCTCACCACTGCACTCCAGCCTGGGCATGACAGAGTGAGACTCCATCTCAAAAAAAAAAAAAAAGAAAGAAATGTCTGACTTATACTTGTTTCTTTAAATTTGCCCCAAGTGAAACCCAGCAATTTATATTTTAATTAAACACCACATTTTTATAAATAATACAGAGTGAAAAATTACCATCCAAATCATAAATATAATGTTAAAAACAAAAATACAATTTATTAATCAAAGGAAACCTATATGAAAAAAATGCAGTAAAATGGAGTTAAAAAATGAAACATGTTGACCTACAAAATACTGAATATTAGCATAGATGTATCAGAAAAATAATTCTTTAAATAACTAAGTTTTCAAATGTGAACTTTGGCATGTTTAATTATTGGCATGCAATGTATAGCAGTAAAATTTCACAAAAAATGCATTATAAGAATTAATAAAAGACTAATGAAAGTGGAACCTTTTAATTAATAAGTATTTAAAAGATACTAGGTAATGTTATGTTATTAATATATGGGTGCTATTACACAAAATATAAGATCTATAATACAGCCATATGAACAAGAAAATAATATTGCAAAGCAAAAAATATATAATTTTTATAATACTGTGAGATTATATATAAAATAAATATTGGTATTAAATTACATCATTATTTAGTTACAGGTGGAGAAAAATGAGTAAAATACTAGTGATACGTGTAATGGTGGTGGATGAATTGCTTTTAACTCAGGGATAAAAGCTACAAGACAAAAGTATTAAAAATACATATAATTGAAATAATTTGTTATTAGATACACAGTATAAAAATGTAAAGTGATATAAATCATGTATTGAGAGTAAAATCGTTGAGTCTCTATACATAGAGGCTCAATTGTTATTATCTTAAGCTAGACTGTTACGAGATGTTTTATGTAAGTCTCTTGGTAATTAAAAGAAAATTTGTAGTATATACACAAAAAGGAATCAAGAGGCTGGGAGTCGTGGCTCACGCCTGTAATCCCAACACTTGGGGAGGCTGAGGCGGGCAGATCACCTGAGGTCGGGAGTTCGAGACCAGCCTGACAAACATGGAGAAACCCCCATCTCTACTAAAAAAACAAAATTAGCCACCACATTAGCCATGCGTGGTGGCGCAGGCCTGTAATTCCAGCCACACGGGAGGCTGAGGCAGGAGAATCGCTTGAACACAAGAGGCAAAGATTACAGTGAGCGGAGATCACGCCATTGCACTCCAGCCTGGGCAACAACTCAAAACAAAAAAAGGCCGGGCGTGGTGGCTCAGGCCTGTAATTCTAGCACTTTGGGAGGCCGAGGCGGGTGGATCACGAGGTCAGGAGATCGAGACCATTGTGGCTAACATGGTGAAATCCCATCTCTACTAAAAACACAAAAAAAATTAGCAGGGTGTGGTGGCGGGCGCCTGTAGTTCCAGCTACTCGGGAGGCTGAGGCAGGAGAATGTCATGAACCCGGGAGGCAGAGCTTGCAGTGAGCCGAGATCGTGACACTGCACTCCAGCCTGGGCAACAGAGCAAGACTCTGTCTCAAAAAAAAAAAAAAAAAAAAAAAAAGTAAGCTCTCTGGCTCTCTGGTGCACACCTTCTGTAATTCTTATGCCTTTGGCCATTTTGTGATGTGGAAATATGATTCTCATCAGATGTCAATGGGTTGGTCTTGGACTTCCATAATCTAAAATTGTGAGCTAAGTAAACTTCTATTCTTTATACAATACCAACTCTAGAATATTCTGTTATTAAAGCAGAAAATGAAAAGATTCACAGAATGTCTAAATAGATTTTAAGGATCAACAGTATGCTTCACACAGGTGACTTATTTTAGATTTAAGGGCACACATAGGTTAATGGTTAAAGAATTTTAAAAACCCATACCAATAATAATTGAACGAGTGTAAGTGTGGCTATATTTATATCAGAAAAAAACAGACTTTTAGAAAAAAATCTGTCCCAAGAGACAAAGATCACTCTATAATAAAAAGAGGATAATTTGGCCCTCCGGCCCCGCCCCACAGGGTGGCCTGGCAGTTTGGTCTGGAGCAGCTGAAACTGGTTTGAGCGTAGCCGCTTCCTGCCGCGACTGGCCGCCCTGGGGAGCGCTGGCGAGGCACCGACAGCGGGGGTCCGATACCTCTGCCCGCGGTACTCTCTCTCGGGCGGGGCGGCAACGCGGACCCGTGGACTAGCGAACCCGGCAGCACGACATCATAAAATAAACCCATCAGAATGACACCTTCTCAGGTTACCTTTGAAATAAGAGGAACTCTTTTACCAGAAGTTTTTGCAATATGTGGAAGCTGTGATGCTTTGGGAAACTGGAATCCTCAAAATGCTGTGGCTCTTCTTCCAGAGAATGAGACAGGTGGAAGAAGCTAAGATTGTATCAGAATGAGGGCAATGCCCTAAAACCTGTCTTAGCAGAGCCAGCATGTTATGGAAAGCAACCATTGTACTCAGTAGAGGAGTATCAGTTCAGCATTGCTACTTCAAAGGGTACTTTTTAGAACCAAAGACTATCGGTGGTCCATGTCAAGTGATAGTTCACAAGTGGGAGACTCATCTACAACCACGATCAATAACCCCGTTAGAAAGTGAAATTGTTATTGACCATGGACAATTTGGAATCCACAGTGGTGTTGAAACTCTGGATTCTGCATGGCTGGCATGTCAGACTGAAATAAGATTACGATTGCATTATTCTGAAAAACCTCCTGTGTCAATAACCAAGAAAAAATTTTAAAAATCTAGATTTAGGGTGAAGCTGACACTAGAGGGCCTGGAGGAAGATGAGGATGATAGGGTATCTCCCACTGTACTTCACAAAATGTCCAATAGCATGGAGATATCCTTAATATGTGACAATGAGTTCCAGTGCAGGCATTCACAGCTGGAGTGTGGTTATGGCTTACAGTCTGATCGTTGGACAGAGTACAGCATACAGACAATGGGACCAGATAACCTGGAACTAATCTTTGATTTTTTTGAAGAAGATCTCAGTGAGCACATAGTTCAAGGTGATGCCCTCCCTGGATGTGTGGGTACAGCTTGTCTCTTATCATCCACCATTGCTGAGAGTGGAAAGAGTGCTGGAATTCTTACTCTTCCCATCATGAGCAGAAATTCCAGGAAAACAATAGGCAAAGTGAGAGTTGACTATATAATTATTAAGCCATTGCCAGGATACAGTTGTGACATGAAATCTTCATTTTCCAGTATTGGAAGCCAAGAATACCATTGGATGTTGGCCATCGAGGTGTGGGAAACGCTACAACTGCCCAGCTGGCTAAAGAAAATACTATTGCTTCTTTAAGAAATGCTGCTAGTCACGGTGCAGCCTTTGTAGAATTTGATGTACACCTTTCAAAGGACTTTGTGCCCATGGTATATCATGATCTTACCTGTTGTTTGACTATGAAAAAGAAATTTGATGCTGATCCAGTTGAATTATTTGAAATTCCAGTAAAAAAAATTAACATTTGACCATCTCCAGTTGTTAAAGCTCACTCATGTGACTGCACTGAAATCTAAGGATTGGAAAGAATCTGTGGTCCAGGAGGAAAATTCCTTTTCAGAAAATCAGGCATTTCCTTCTCGTAAGATGGTTTTAGAGTGTTTGCCAGAAGATGTAGGGTTTAACATTGAAATAAAATGGATCTGCCAGCAAAGGGATGGAATGTGGGATGGTAACTTATCAACATATTTTGGCATGAATCTGTTTTTGGATATAACTTTAAAAACTGTTTTAGAAAATTCTGGGAAGAGAGAATAGTGTTTTCTTCATTTGATGCAGATATTTGCACAATGGTTTGGCAAAGGCAGAACAAATATCCCATATTATTTTTAACTGAAGGAAAATCTGAGATTTATCCTGAACTCATGGACCTCAGATCTCCGACAACCCCCATTGCAATGAGCTTTGCACAGTTTGAAAATCTACTAGGGATAGGCTGGGTGCGGTGGCTCGCGCCTGTAACCCCAGCACTTTGGGAGGCCGAGGAGGGTGGATCACCTGAGGTCAGAAGTTCAAGATCAGCTTAGTCAACATGGTGAAACCCAGTCTCTACTAAATATACAAAAATTAGCTGGGCACCGTGGTGGGCACCTGTAATCCCAGCTACTCGGCAGGCTGAGGCAGGAGAATCGCTTGAATCCGGGAGGCGGAGGTTGCAGTGAGTCGAGATCACACCATTGTGCTCCGGCCTGGGAAACAAGAGCGAAACTTCGTCTAAAAAAAAAAGAAAGAAAAGAAAATCTACTGGAAATAAATGTACATACTGAAGACTTGCTCAGAAACCCATCCTATATTCAAGAGGCAAAAGCTAAGGGACTAATCATATTCTGCTGGGGTGATGAAAGCAGTGATCCTGAAAAGAGAAGAAAATTGATGGAACTTGGAGTTAATGGTCTATTTTATGATAGGATATATGATTGGATGCCTGAACAACCAAGTGGAGCAACTGGAATGCCTGAAGCAAGAATTGCCAGAGTGTAAGGGCTGTTTGTGTCCCACTGTTAGCCACTTTGTTCCCTCATCTTTGTGTGAGGAGCCTGATACCCATGTGGATGCCAATGGCATTGATAATGTGGAGAATACTTAGTTTTTATTGCACAGAGGTCATTTTGGGGGCATGCACCGCTGTTCTGGGTATTCATTTTTCATCATTGAGCATCGTTGATCTATGCCTTTTGGGCTTCTCATTTCAACGAAACAATAATGAAGTATTTAACTCTTTCACTATAGTTCTTGCAAGTATGCTATTTAAATTACTTAGCCAGGTGTAATTGCCAGTCAGTCTCTTTACAGTGAGAAAATGTATTGGTTGGTAATATAAATATTTTAAACTAAATATATAAATCTATAATGTTAAATGTTCATTAAAAGCATAGCACTTTGAAATTAAATATATAAATAGCTCATATTACACTTACAGCTTTTCGTTTGATCAGGTCTGAAATCTTTAGCACTTAAGGAAAATGACTATGCGTAATTATACCTGACCATGGAAAAAATAAGTACCTCAAATGCATGCATTTGCACTGGTGATTCCAACTGCACAAATCTTTGTGCCTTCTTGTATATAGGTATTTTTTACATGGGTTGACATGCACATAACAGCATTTTCTTTCAGTATGAACCTTGAGGCTGCTGCCATTTTTCCACTTAATCAAACCAGCCTGAAGGTGAACCTTGAAACTTGTTTCATAAATCTTTCAAAAGTTGTTTTACATCGATATTAAAATTTCAAGATGCTGCAGGGTAATTTAATGTATAAAATATTAGTAAGAAAAAGTATGTATTGCATACTTAGTAGAATAGATCACAACATATAAATTCAATTCAGTGCATGCTTTAACTGTTAAGCATGAGGTTGTACATGTTTACTGTTAGGTCCTTGCATCCATGGTGCTAAATGAGTATGAGAAGATGTCAAGGACTGGACATATTTTGTTGCCTTAAAAAAAATGGCTGTAGGCATTTTAAATATGCTTATTTTGTGTGTCTCACTACCTATTACACACTGTTGCTTTGTGGGTTTTTTTGTGTATGTGTGTCTGGAACAGTAGTTAAATTTCCATGCAGAAAAATAAATGTACTGAATTCTCATATTAGTATTCTTTATTGTATATCATGCATGTAATTTATTTAGAAATGTAGAAGGTCTTACTAAATGTATATGCATGTGTTTCACATTATACTAGGATTTCTTGGATTAGAAGCAGATTGTGTTAACTGTAACTTAAGAATGAATATTAAATAAAATAATACAGATTTTGTTTTCATTACAAAATGAAAAAAAGAGGATAATTTGTCAAGAGGATATAACAATTAAAAAATATATGCACCCAATATTGGAGAACATAAATATATAAACATATATAAACAGAACTTTAGAAAAAACAAATATGACAATAATAGAGGACTTTGTTACTCTACTGAAAACAATAGATTATTCAGACAGAAAACTAGAAAGAAAACAATGTGCTTGGATAGCGCTGAGGAACACTGCAAACCCCGGACATATGTAGACTATTTCATGTAGCAGTATGAGAATACACATTCTTATCAAGCACAAATGGAACATTATCCATGATAGACCATATCTTGGGCCAACAAAAACAACAAGCTCTATTCAAATTTAAAAAGATTAAAATTATAGCAACTTCTTTTTGTTTTTTGTTTTTGAGATGGAGTCTCGCTCTGTCAACCAGGCCGGAGTGCAATGTTGTGATCCGAGCTCATTACAACCTCCACCTCCCGGATTCAAGCAATTCTCCTGCCTCAGCCTCCCAAGTAGCTGAGATTACAGGCATGCAACACCATGCCCAGCTAATTTTGTATTTTTAGTAAAGACGGGGCTTCACCAATGTTGGTCAGTCTGGTCTCAATCTCCTGACCTCAGGTAATCCAACTGCCTAGGCCTCCCAAAGTGCTGGGATTACAGGCAGGAGTCACTGCACCCAGCCATATCAGTTTTTAAAATTACAATTTAATAAAACTAGAAATCAATAGCCCAAGAAAAATTTTAAAACTCACAAATATGTGGGCAGTAAACAACATGTTCCTGGACAACCAATGGGTCAAAGAGAAAAAGCAAAGGGAAATCAGAAAGTATAATGAGAAAAAAGAAAATAGAAACAACATACAATAAAAAAAACCCACAAAACCGTTCTAAATCAGAAGTTTATAATGCTATATTTCTATATTAACAAAAAGGAAAAGATGTCAAATAGAAAACATAACTTTAATTCACAAAATACTTGAAAAAGAACAAATAAATAATCCCAATGTTAGCAAAATAAGGAAAATAACAGGCCGGGCTCGGTGGCTCACGCCGGTAATCCCAGCACTTTGGGAGGCTGAGGTGGGCAGATCACCTGAAGTCAGGAGTTCGAGACCAGCCTGGAAACATGGTGAAACCCCGTCTCTACTAAAAATGCAAAAATTAGCCAGGTGTGGTGGCAGGCGCCTGTAATTCCAGCTACTCAGGAGGCTGAGGCAGAAGCATCGTTTGAACCCAGGAGGCGGAGGTGGCCATAAGCCGAGATTGCACCACTGTACTCCAGCCTGGGTGTCAAAAGCAAAACTCTGTCTCAAAATAAATAAATAAATAAATAATAAAAATAAATAAAAGAAAAAGAAAAAATAATAAAATTAGAACAGAAATAGATTTCATAAATATTGAAAAGACAAGAAAAAAGATAAAAAGCAGAGAAAGAATTTACATGTAAAAGGTATTTAACATTTTAAGAAAAAAAGAAGAGTAAATTCCCATTTTTATTTTTTAGTTGAATGATTAAGTGTCTTGTCTTTATTTTGTATTTATGCTTACAATAAGCAGGTCCAAAAAATTTATCCTGAACTCATGGACATATGATTTCCAGTAGGGTTTGTATTTAGGCATCAGAGGTGTGGCCTTGTGTTTGTGAAAGAGTGTTTGTGGAAAAGAAGAAGACAGAATAAGAGAAGGTGTTATAAAAAAAAAAAACCTATGGGGGCTGGGCGCAGTGGCTTATTCCTGTAATCCCAGCACTTTGTGGAGGCCGAGGCGGGTGGATCACCTAAGGTCAAGAGTTCGAGACCAGCTTATCCAGCATGGTGAAATCTCATCTCTACTAAAAATACAAAAATGAGCTGGGCATGGTGGTGGCACCTGTAATCCCAGCTACTTGGGAGGCTGATGCAAGAGGATCTTTTGAACTTGGGAGGAAGAGCCTGCAGTGAGCCGAGATCCTGCCACTGCACTCCATCCTAGGTGAAAACAACAAAACTCTGTTTCAAAAAAATAAAAAAAGAAAGAAAGAAAAGGAAAGAAAGAAAGAAAGAGAAAGAAAAGGAAGGAAGGAAAGAAAGAAAGAAAAAAGAAAGAAAGAGAAAAAGAAAGAAAAAGAAAGAAAGAAAGAGGGAGGGAAAGAAAGGAAGAGAAAGAAAGAAAGAGGGAGGGAAAGAAAGAAAGGAAAAGAAAGGGAGGGAAAGAAAGAAAGGAAATAAAGGAAAAGAAAGAAAGAAAAGGGAAAGGGAAAAGGAAAGGAAGGGAAGGGAAGGGAAGGAAATGAAACGAAAGGAAAGGAAAGGAAAAAAACCTATGGGTAGGGAACAGTACCCAGTTGGTGAAAAGACTGGCTAGTGCTACGGACACTGGTCCAGACAGGGTAGCTCTGACTTATAAATGTGTGCATGCAGGCAGATGGGAGGGATGGATGACCCAGAAGCCTAGGCTAGTGGAGAAAATGGGTCACTGGTGCAGATTCAAGATCTGGGCATAAAAATAAGCCATGAGTCCTCTCGGCACTTACATAGCCTATTGGCAGAAAACTCTAGAAGGAGAAGTTCTCTCAGCACAATTTCTGAGGGTGAAGCCTTGTCATGGGAGGAGTGTGGCTACATCACTGCCCAGTGTGCATGGGTGTGAGTGTGCAGGAATCACTTTCTAGCAACAGGGTGGGGACAGGAGCCTGTCCTCAGAGTTGCTTTCCTTTGAGTTCTCAGTTTCCTCTGAACCCGGATGAGACCTGGAATCACAGGACAATTCACAGCGCAACAGCTTGTGTGCAGAAGAATAGAGTCTCCATTCCCCAAAAGACCCACAGTCTCCCTCCAACCAAGGCTGCTGTGATGTCTTTGTTCTCACACCAAATATCTGGCATTTGCTGAACACCAGCCAACTCTTCAACACCAACTGGATGTTCAACAACTCAATTCTGACAGAATCCAGAGTCACCATGACCCGACCACTTCAGGACTCAGTTCCTCAATATAGTCCCCAATGCACATGCCAGGGACAAGCACCAGGGGCCCATCTATACCCCTAAGCAGGTATGTATAAATCATGGGATTTCATAAATTTCTCCCTGAAGTTTAATAATTTGAGAAAACTACTCACAGAACTTGGCAAAACACTCTACCTATGTTTACCAGGTTACTATAAAGAATACAATTCAGGAAATGACAACTGGAAAAAAATGTATAGAGCACAGAAAAGTAAGTGGGAGAGAAAGACGGGGTGGGTAGTGCGTCCTGGTAAATAGTTACAATTAAGAAAACTCCCTAATGCTTTGTGTTCCGTAAGAACAGCTTACTGCAAAGAAAGATCCTTACCATTATGACTGAGATGATATGCCCACTTTTAGATATCACAGATTCACAGACTCCACATTCCCATTGTTCTTCACACACATTTAAATAATTTTGTCTTCAGGATTCAGAATAAAATATTTGTTAAGCAAACTTTGCTTAAGTTTCTCTCTTTCCCCCAGACCCCTGGACTCTGCCCCACCTCCAGTCTGAGCAAACATACAACCCCTCTTGATGTCCCTCCCAAGAACAGGCTGACTTCAGGGTGCAACATTCTCTAATCTTGCGTTGATTTTGCCACCCTCCATTCTGCCCTCCTCTCCCACCTTCTTTCTAATCTTGCTTGCTCCTCCATATGAATGACAGCCCTTTTCAGCCTAACTTTTGAGACGTTTGCAGATATTATATTTGGTGCTTCCCCCCATTGCAACACTACTTTATTTATTAATTTTATTTGAGACAGAGTCTCACTCTGTCACCTAGGCTGGAGTGCAGTGGTGTGATATCGGCTCACTGCAACTTCCGCCTCCCAGGTTCAAGCAATACTCCTGCCTCCGCCTCCCGAGTAGCTGGTATTACAGGTGCCCGCAACCACACCCAGCTAATTTTTGTATTCTTAGTAGAGACAGGGTTTCACCATGTTGACCAGGCTGGTCTTGAACTCCTGACCTCAAGTGATCCACCTGCCTTGGCCTCCCAAAGTGCTAAGATTACAGGTGTGGGACACCGTGCCCAGCCACAACATTACTTTAGAATAAAGTTACTTCTTACCTACATCTAAATTTATTTTATTTGACAATATCTAAAAACAGCCCCAAAACAATAACAATTACATTCTGACAGAGGACATCACAACCCTCCTCCCATCTCAACTCTCACTGCACCTGCCCGTGCATCCCCACAGCTGAGATGGTGACATATACTTTGACCCAGCTTACAGGCATTGTAATAACTCTTACACATAGGCACAGCCAAAGAGAGAGATTTTGACTCTCATAAATAGGACTAGGGCCATGGGTAAGGTCCTGGGTCTTCTACTCGTATGAAAATCACAGATGATTATGACACCCATGCATATTGAATAAACCCCGTGGGTGGTAGAGTAGAGAAAGTCTCATAACAGGGCCCAGAACACAGGTGAGATTGAGAGTCCTGTATGAACACACAGCCAAAAGTAGAAATTGTCACATGCCCAAGTGTACACAAGTCACAATTGAGGTTCTGAATCTCACACCCAGGGGCAGTCAAGAGTTGGAATTGAGACTCTCATATACGGATCCAGTCCACAGGTGAAGTGGGGACTCTCCAACCAGGATTCAGCACAGCACTGAGGTTGTGACTCCCCTACTGGGACACAGCTTGGAGAAGAAATTGGGGCTCTCATGAGAGGATGCAATCCACTGTTGAGATTGTGACTCATGTACTTGGACCTAAGTCTCAGGAATGGTTGAATCTTACACCCGGAGTGGGGAAATGTGTGGAATTGGGAGTCTCATTCCTGGGCCTTCCTTCAAGTTTAATTGTGACACGCACTTCTACCTAGAACCTTAGTAATTTGATAGTCCTTCTGGGCTCAACACACAGATATCTTATGAGTTATACCTGGGCCAAGTACCAAGGTACTGTGACTATATTGCCTGGCTACTTCCCTGAAAGGTATTGTAATGTATCTCTTTACTGAGCACCTAGGTGAAGTAAATCTTCTCCTGCCTGGACCCTGCCCACAGGTGAAGTTACGACATATCACTAAGCCTAGTACTTAATGATGTGACTGTCCTGTCTTGTTTGTGCCCTGCCCTGAAGAAGCACTGTGACATTACTGGTCTAAGTAAAAAGGTAATTCAAGTCTTCTGCCTGGGACATGTGCACAGGGGGGATTGTAAATATCTCTTGGCTTATCAACATGATGATGTGATTCTCCTCTCTTGTCTGGAACCTTTTTCTAGTTGGGATCACAACATATTGCTGGGCCCAGCACTGGGTGATGTTATTCTTCTCCCAGGGCCCAGCCCACAAATGGCATTGTGGCGTCTCTCTGGGCCTAGGTGATGTGACTCTGCTTTTCTGCCTGGACACTTTCCACAAAAGGAATTGTGACACGTAGCTGGACCCAGCTCCCTGGTGATGTAACTGTCCTGTCTTGGCCCTGTGCAAAGGGGGCATTGTGATATATTGCTTGGCCAAGCAGCTAGGTGATATGACTCTCCTGAATAGGCCCTGCACTGAAAGAGGATTTTCACTCATTGCTGGGCCAGTCATATAGGTGATGTGTCTCTCCTCTGTTGCCTGGACCCTGCCCAAGTAAGAATTGTGGCATATCACTTACCCAGCACCCAGGTGATAGGACTCTCATGTCTGCTTCCTGATGACAGGTGAAATTGCGACATATACATGGTCACAGCTCACAGGTGAGATGATGACTCTCATACCTGGATCCAGCTAAGAGAACAGATTTTGACTCTGATATCTAGGCTTAGGGCAACAGATAAGGTCCTGGGTCTCCTACTTAAATAAAGGTCATAGTGTATTATGATATCAAGGCATATTGTATAAAGCCCTCAAATGATACAGTGTCATAACAGGACCCAGAACGAAGGTGAGATTGTGACTCTCATATGCACATCCATCTGATAGAATTGTCACCCTCACACATAGACAGTTCTCACTGGTGAGGTCCTAAATCTCACACTCAAATGCAATCCAGACTTGGAATTGTGACTGTCATATATAGATGCAGCTACAGGTGAGATAGTGACTCATTTTTTAACCCAGCTCACAGAAACAGCAATGAAACTCATACCTGGACCCGGTCAATAGCAGAAATTCACAATCCGGGACATTTTCCTGCTAAAGGTATAAGAGTCAACACCTCTTGTGGGTTTGAGTTCAACTATGCAAGTCAGTCACAACAGTGGACTAAATCAATGCACGAGAGCCCAAATCTCACCAACAGACTGTGTTTTGATAGGGGAAGCACAGCCCCCAGGTGTTCTAAATCCTGGACTTGGTGTTATCATCTCATCTGTCGATTGGATTGATGCATGAGAGTCACAATTCCAACTTGATTGCCTCTTGGTGAGCGATTCAGAACCTCAACAGTGGGTTCTGTTAATGTGGAAGGCTGATAATCCTTACTTTTATTTGAGTTTGCATACAACAGCCACAGTTTTACCACAGTTTTAGCTGGGCTCTATTTTGGCACTCTTTGTAGCATTTGAGGGCTTCATTCAACGTGCATGCAAGTTGTAATATTCCGTGACCATCCTACAAGTTGAAGACACAGGACCTTAGTTTTTGCCCTAAGACTACAAAGGTCAAAATATCTTCAGGTGTGAGTCATCATTCCACCTGTAAGCTGTGCCCATGTGTAGTTCCCAATTCCAACTGTGGAGAGAGACCAGGAACAAAGTTTGGATCTCCTGGGTGCTGGCCAAAGATATGTCACAATTGCCACTTTGGGCAGGGTCAAAAGTCTCCCCTGAGTGCAGGGGCAATTCAGGAGAGTCATATCACCTAGGTACTGGGCTCAGCAATATGTCACAATGCCCCTTGTGGGCAGGGCCAAGGCAGGACTGTTACATTACCTGGAAGCTGGACCCAGTGATATGTCACAATGTCTCTTGGGGGCAGGGTTCAGGCAGGAAAGAAGAGTCACATCACGTAGGTGATGGGCCTAGAGATATTTCACAATGCCTTCTGTAATTAGAACCCAGAAAAAAGAGTTATATCATTTGGGTTAAAGGTCTTGTGATATGTCACAATCCCAACTAAGGGCAGGACCCAGGCAGAAAAGGAGAGTCACTTCCTTTGATGATTGGTCCAGAGATACATTACAATTTCCCCTGAGGACAGCTCTCATGCAGAAGAGGAACTGAATATACTGCATGGCCCAGGTATATGTGACAATCTCAACTGTACACTGGGCCCAAGCAACAGAGTAAAATTAATCAGAGGCTGGGAAAATGTATATGTCACAATTACACCTGCAGAAAGGTTTAAAGATAAGATTTAAAACCCCACAAATGTCCTGGCTTCACTTATGACAGTCAACATATCTTGCGAGATATGGTTAAGTATTTGACTCACAACCTCAACAGTGGACTGGCTGTGTGCATGAGAGCCTGAACCCCACTTACAGTGTCCCAGTAGCAGAGCCACAGCCTCACAGGGCTGCTGAATCTTGGTGTGGGAATCACCATGCTACCTGTGGACTGCGTTCACATATGAGAGTCATAATTCCAACTTTGACTGCCTCTGAGTGTGAGATTGAGGACGTTGTAAGGAGGCTGTGTTCAGGTGGGAGGGTGACAATTCATACTGTTAGCCAGGTGTGCATATGAGAGTCACAATCTCACCTGTTTGCTGCTCCCTGTTATGACACTGTCTGTACCACCTGAGGGTTTTATATGGCACATGTGAGATTCACAATCTGCTTTGAGACATTTGTGCTTGCCCAGGCATTTGTTAACAATCCCAAATGTAGGATCATGCCCATTGCCCTAAGCCCAAGCATGAGAGTCAACATCTCTCCTATTTTTGGTTCCAGGTAGGAGAGTCATTTTTGTTCCTGTGATCTGGTTACAGAAATTGGTCAACATCCCTCCTGTGGCTCAATCCACATGTGACCGACATGATCCAACTGTGGACTGTATCTGTCAGTGAGATTCAGGAACTATTTTGCTCTCTCCCTATATAAAGGTGACAATTTTAACAGTCAGCTGAGTGTGCATCCAATAGTCACAACCTCAGTGTTGTGCTGGGTCTTATTATGACACTCTCTGTACCATCTGAGGGCTTTACACAACATGCATGTGTGTGGTAATCACCTGTGATTTTTCTTAAAGTAGAAAACCCAGAACTGTATTTTTTGGCCTAAGCCCAGCTATGAAAGTCAATACCTCTCCTACTGGCTGGGTCCGGGTATAAGAGTCATCGCTGCGCCTGTAGGCTGAGTCCAGCTATGACTCACCATCTGACCTTTGGACAGATCCACATTGGATGGTCAATATTCTAACTGTGTATCGTGTCCTCATATGAGAGTCAAGACTTCACCAATAAGTTTTGTCAATGTGTGAGGAAGACAATTTTAATTGTCAACTAAGTGTGCCTATAAGATTCACAATTTTACCTCGGTGCTGGACTCTGTTTTAACACTCTTTTTATCACTCAAAGACTTTATAGAATATACATGAGTGTGATATATTGTGTGATCTTTCTACATGTAGAAGACCCAGATCATTGCCTGTTTTTCTAAGCCTAGCTAGAAGAGTTAAAATGTCTTCTACTGGCTGGGTTCACATATGTGAGTCTTCATTATACCTGTGAGCTGGGCCTAATGTGTGACCATCCCACCTGTGGGCAGAGACTAGGAGGGAGAATCACATCAACTAGGTGCTGGGCCAGCAATATGTCAATATTTTTACTATGGGCAGGGTCCTGTCAATAAAAGTCACATCTCCTGGGTGCTAGGAAAAGCAATATGTCACAATCCACCCTGTAAACACGTTCCAGGTAGAAGACGGTCACACCATCTAGGTGATGGGCCTAGTGATATGTAACCATTCCTCCTGCAAACAGATTCAAGGCAAAAAAAGAGTCACATAACATAGGTGATGGTCCTAAAGATATCTCGCAGTAACCCCTGCGGACTGGCCCAGGCAGAAAGGGAGAGTCACATCACCTAGGTGATTGGCCCAGAGATATGTCACAATACCCTGGGAGGGCAGAGCCCAAGCAGGAAAGTCACATTATCTAGGTGCTCAACCTAAGAATATTTCACAATTTAAACTGCAGGCCGGGCCCAGGCAAAAGAGAAAAATCAGTCAGATACTGAGTGAAACTATATGACACAATCACACCTGTGAAAAGGTTCAGAGATAAAATTTACAGTCTCTCACATGCCCCAGCTTCAGGATCAGAGTCAATACTTCCTTTGAGTTGCACCGAAAATGCCTATTGTGGCACCTCCTCTGTTTTTTCAAAGGAGTTCCAGGCTGTTAGAGCTTGAATATCCACAATTAATTAAGCCAACTTTAGGGCCAGGTGTGGTGGCTCACGCCTGTAATCGTAGCACTTTGGGAGTCCGAGGAGGGTGGATCACCTGAGGTCAGGAGTTCAAGACCAACCTGACCAACATAGTGAAACCCCACTCTTTTTTTTCTTTTTTAGTATTTAGTAAAAATACAAAAAATACAAATAGCAGCCAGGTGTAGTGGTGGATGCCTGTAATCCCAGCTACTCGGAAGGCTGTGGCAGGAGAATTTCTTGGTCTTGCGAGGCAGAGTTGTAGTGAGCAAAGATTGTGCCGCTGCATTCCATCTCAAAAAATAATACAATTAAGCTGACTTTTAACCATGATGCTCTTTTTAAAAAAAATTATTTAATTCTCTTACTACTTGACTTTAGTCATGTAAAGTGCCAATATTTCTGACTTTTGAACTTCACTACCATAACCTCCCAAGTGAAACCAATGAGCCTTTCTTTTTTTTGAGACAGTGTCTCCCTCTGTCACCCAGGCTGGAGTGCAGCGGCCAAACTCGGCTCACTGCAACCTCCATCTCCTGAAACCAATAAGCTTTAATTAAGGTTATGAAGGTAACGACAAGTGTACAAGGTATTTTCAAAAAGGTGGCAAGCAGTTTTACAAATCTGGAATCTTCAAAGGTAGCTCAGAAAAAGGAAAATCCAAGATGGTTGGTGGAGGGGAAGAGAATCAACAAATATTCACACAGATATCAAATCAGAAAGGACTCATTTCCTAAGCCAGAAATTGAACCCTGAACCCGGGCTGCCACTGTGAGACAGCAAAGCCCAGCTACTGAGCTACAGCATGGAGCAGTCTCCATTGGAGTCTCCCAGAAGAAGCCTCCAGCAGCCAATTTTGAGCTTGCAAAGGTTTTTAACTGCTCAAGATCATTTTTAGAGTTAAGTATAACATAAATTTCAAAATTTATGTATGCCAGATGGTAGAAACCAAGAGAAAATACTGCCACATGGCTACAAGGTCAAGCTCCCAAGAACATAAAACAAGAGGGAAATTTCATCCATTATTTTCTTGCTGTTGTTGTTGTTTGTTTCAGGGACTTCTTTTTTGTTTCTTTGGGGGTATTTTTTTTTTGAGATGGAGTCTTGCTCTGTCTCCCAGGCTGGAGTGCAGTAGCGTGAACTCAGCTCACTGCAACCTCTGCCTCCCAGGTTCAAGCAATTCTCCCTGCCTCAGCCTCCTGAGTAGCTGAAACTGCAAGTGTCTGCCACCACCCTGGCTAATTTTTGTATTTTTTGTAGAGATGAGGTTTCGCCATGTTGGCCGGGCTGGTCTTCAACTCCTGACCTCAGGTGATCCGCCCACCTCGGCCTCCCAAAATGCTGAGATTACAGGCGTGAGTCACCATGCCTGGCCTGTTTCAGGGACTTCTGACTGGAAGTTTCAACATGTGATCTCTGCGCAAGATGGTGGCCCAGAGTAACAGAAAAGATAGGAAAGGAAAGAGAGAGAGAGAGAGAGAGAGAGAGAGAGAGAGAGAGAGATTGAGAGAGAGATTGCCTATGGCAGGGCAGGAAAGGTGAGGAGCTCAGGAAAGCCAGAGAAAGACCCAAGCATTGCACTGAATCAAAAGTTTAGGTGGCTGCTTGTTGGTTGTGAAAGAATCTTTTTTGCAGTCCCATCTGCTCTCAAGTTTCCCACTTTAGGGAGGAAAAATCTCCACATGTTCCATGATTCTGTACTCACCTAATTCTGTCAGTCACAGCCACTAGCAAAAAGTGCAAGGCAAATTAATACAAAGACAAGTCCTGGTTCAGTGGCTCATGCCTGTAATCCCAGCACTTTGGGAGGCTGAGGCAGGTGGATCAGCTGAGGTCAGGAGTTCAAGACCAGCCTGGCCAACATGGTGAAACCCCATCTCTACTAAAAATACAAAAATTAGCCAGGTGTGGTGGTGGGCGCCTGTAATCCCAGCTACTTGGGAAGCTGAGGAAGGAGAATCGGTTGAACCTGGGAGGTGGAGGTTGCAGTGAGCCAAGATCTCACTGCTGCACTCCAGCCTGAGCGACAAGAGTGAGACTCTATCTCAAAACAAACAAAAAAACAAACAAACAAACACAAAGACAGCAATGGTTAACATTCCATAATGCCCAATCTAATTTTAGCCGAGAGGGACTTTACTGAGAGGGGCCTCTAACCCCCTAAATTTTAGGAAAGACTCTAACTTTTCTAAGTTGCACCTCAAACACAAGTTTTTCAAGTGTTCTTGCCTTTTATTAAAAGAGACCTTTTATCTTATCTGTCTTAGGAGACACTCTAACGCCACTAAATTGGGCTACTAACCCGATCCCATTCTTTACCCAGGTATGCCACCACTTACAAAAAGTTAGCCAATTGGTAATTCAGTCTATTTCCTTTGAGTTGTGGGTTTCCTTGGTATCATCCTTTTGTAATTCACTGAAAAGAAGCTTCCAGAAATGGCCCCAATTCAGAAACGAAGATTGGGTTCTTGGATCTCGTACAAGAAATAATTTAGAGCCTTATGCCTATAACCCTGGCTTATGCCTGTAACCCCGGCAATTTGGGAGGCAGAGGCGGGAGGATCACTTGAGGTCAGGAGTTCGAGATCAGCCTGGCCAACATGGTGAAACCCCATCTCTACTAAAAATAAAAAAATTAGCCGGGCATGGTGGCGCATGCCTGTAATCCCAGCTACTCCAGAGGCTGAGGCAGGAGAATCTCTTGAACTCAGGAGGCAGATGTTGTAGTGAGCCGAGATGGCGCCACTGCACTCCAGCCTGGGTGACAGAGCAGGATGCTGTCTCAAAGACAAAAAAAAAAAAAAAAAAAAAGATAGAAGAAAGAATTTTGGGTGAGTCTGCAGTGCAAAGCAAAAGCAAATTTATTAGGAAAGTAGAGGAATAAAAGAATAGCTACTCTCTAGGCAGAGCAGCAATGTGGGCCACTCAACTAAGGATATTTAACAGTTATTTCTTGATTATATGCTAAGCAAGGGGTGGATTATTCATGAGTTTTACAAGAAAGGCATGGGCAATTTCCAGAACTGGGTGTTTCTCTTCTTTTTAGACCATGTAAGGTAACTCTCTGATGTTGCCATGGCATTCGTTAACTGTCATGGCGCTGGTGGGAATGTCTTTCACGTGCTAATGCATTATAATTAGCGTGTAATGATTCCTGAGGACAATCAGAGGTCCCTTTCATTCCCACCTTGGTTTTGGTGGATTTTTGTCGCTTCTTTACTGCAAACTGTTTTATCAGCAAGGTCTTTGTAAAATGGATCTCGTGCCAATCTTCTATTTATCCTGTGACTTAGAAAGCCAGGCCTCATGGAAATGCAGTCCTGTAGGTTTCAGCCCCATTTTACCCAGCACCTATTCCAGATGCAGTTTCTCTGCTTCAGATGCCTCTGACATAGCTACAGGGTGCTGGAATGTGGCTAGTGTGAACTGCAATGTGCTAGAAAGGTAAAATACAAGATTACATTCAAAGATTTAGCTTCAAAAATGTATATGCTTTATTAACCATTACATGCTAATCACATATTAAAATAATAATAATTTGGATATATTGGGCTGATTAAGTTGTTGCAATCAATTCCACCTGTTATTCCACCTGTTTCTTTCTTTTTTATTTTGAGACAGAGTCCCTCTGTTGCCAGGCTGGGGTGCTGTGGTGTGATCTCGGGTCACTGCAACCTCTGCCTCTTGGGTTCAAGCAATTCTCCTGTCTCAGCCTCCCTAGTAGCTGAGATTGCAGATGCCTGTCACCACGCCCAGCTAATTTTTCTACTTTTGGTAGAGCAGGGGTTTCATCATGTAAGCCAGGCTGGTCTCGAACTCCTGACTTCAGATGGTTCACCACCTCGGCCTCTCAAAGTGCTGGGATTACAGGCGTGAGCCACTGCGCCCAGCTCCACCTTTTTCTTTTTACTTTTTAACATTTGGCTACTAGAAAATTCAAAATTTACATGTGGCTTATATTTTACTGCAGAGGATTTCCTCCCTTTTGAAATCTCAGGCTGCCCGCATGTATTAGTCCATTTTCACACTGCTACAAACAAATAGCTCAGACTGAGTCATTTTTTTTTTTAAGTAAATTGAATCATAGTCCTACATGGCTGCAGAATCCTTGGGAAACTTAAATTCATGACCATGACAGAAGGTGAAGGGAAAGCAAGGCACATCTTACATGGTGGAAAAAGAGAAAGAACCGGGGAGGACGTGCCACATTTTTAAACTGTCAGGTGTCTTGAGAGCTCCCTTACTACCACCAGAACAGCATGAGGATAATCCACACCAATGATCCAATCACCTCCTGCCCGGTCCCTGCCCTGACAAACGGGAATTACAATTTTTTTTTCTTTCAGAGGAAGTCTCTCTGTGTCACCCAGGCTGGAGTGCAATGGCGCCATCTCGGCTCACTGCAACCTCCACCCCCTGGGTTCAAGCAATTCTCCTGCCTCAGTCTCCCGAGTAGCCGGGACTACAGGCACACTGCCACGCCAGGCTAATTTTTGTATTTTTAGTAGAGACGGGGTTTCACGATATTTGCCAGGCCTGTCTCGAACTCCTGAACTAGTGACCTGCCGGCCTCGGCCTCCCAAAGTGCTGGGATTATAGGTGTGAGCCACTGCACACGGACGAGAATTACAATTTGAGATTAGATTTGGGTGGAGCCAGAAAGACACACCATGTCACTGCAAAGGATCCGCAGCAAGGAAGGTCATAAAATCCTACATTTTAAAATAATTGTCATTATTTCAATTTATGAATAAATATTATATATCATTTATAAATGCATATGACATTATACACAAGGTTAAATGCAAATATCCTCTGAAGTTGGCCTGGCTCCGATCGAGGAAGAAGCCCTGCCTGTGAAGGCTGCAGCCTAGGCTGTTATTTTTGCTTCACTCAGCCCAGTGTCTGATCAAATATTCCCTCACTCAGGGCATGAAGGGTGGGGCCTGAAACCTTATCCAATCAGGAGCCGTGGACTAGAAACTGTCCAATCAGGCTTGCAGCTGGAAAGAACAGGCTACTTCCGTAATTTTGCGGGTCCTTTGTGTTTCTCTGCGTCCAGAGCTGCAGTTCTCCTCTTCACTGCTCTGTGTCCTCTGCTCCTAGAGGCCAAGCCTATGTGTCCTTGTGTCCTGCAGGTATCTGCAGATTTATGGCTAAAAGACCAGGACCCCCTGGAAGCCGAGAAATGGTGAGTGCTGGGTCTGTCATCGTGAGAGAGGGGTGGGGGCTGATTGGAACCGGCAGAAAGTGGCTGTAGCAGGTCCCAGACTTTCTTGCAGTCAGTTCCAGGGCCTGCCGACCCAAATCCTCTTTGGCCCAGCTCGGCTCTCGTCCCCTCCAGCCGCAAGATGGTGCCTGGGCCAGCACCTGGCACCCTGGGGTTTTTGTCTTTTTCCTCTGCAGTGGCTTTACCCTGGACTGGAGGCCTCTCTGGTTTGCTCTGCACTCCCAGCGCCTCATCTCACCCAGATTGTACAGGGATAGGAAAGTCATCAGGGGAGAATCCTGACTCAGGGTGCAAGATTCATGAGTGGAAAGAGCTGTGGTCCTGGGGTCCTTAGTTCCTCATTTTTCCTTTTAGAGATGTATGGGAGTCACTGTAAAAATGAGAATCTGATCAAAGTGTGATTCAAGAATCATAGAGCACCCAGCTATGGTTTGTGGGTTGTGATCCATGGGAGAGACTTGAAGAAAAGTCTGTTATAAGTTGCATGATGAAGCAAACCAGATTCAATAATTGGTTTGGTACAGTTATGTAGTTTCCTTATTTGTGAGATCCAGGTGAAAATTTCTTGGTTATGTCATCAGAGATTAATTGGCAGTCTGTGGTTGCCTAGGCCAAATATTTTCTTCAAGATAGTAATTTACAAGAAATGTTTTTTTTTTGTTTGTTTGTTTGTTTTTTATTTTTGAGAGGGAGTCTCGCTCTGTCCTCCAGGCTGGAGTGCAGTGGTGCGATCTCACCTCATTACAACCTCTGCCTCCCAGGTTCAAGTAATTGTCCTGCCTTAGCCTCCCGAGTGGCTGGAATTACAGGTGTGTGCCACCAGGCCCAACTAATTTTTGTATTTTTAGTAGAGACAGGATTTCACCATGTTGGCCAGGTAGGTCTCCAACTTTTGGCCTCAGGTGATCTGCCTGCCTCAGCCTCCCAATGGGCTGGGGTTACAGGTGTGAGCCACCGCACCCAGCTGATTTTTTTTTTTACCTTTTATTTTAGGTTCAGGGGTACATGTGCAGGTTTGTTGTATAGGTAAAATCATATCATGAAGTTTTTGTGTACAGATTATGTTATCACTCAAGTACTAAGTATAGTACCCAACAGATTTGTTTTCTGATTTTCTTCATCCTCTGATCCTCTACCCTGAACAGACCTCTACCCTCAGTGTCTGTTGTTCTCTTATTTGTGTCCACGTGTTCTCATTATTTTGCTCCCACTTATAAGTGACAACATACAGTTTTTTATTTTCTGTTCCAGCACTAGTTTTCTAAAAATAATGATCTCCAGTTCAATCGACATTGCTGCAAAGGACATGATGTTGTTCTTTCTTATAGTGCATCATATTTCGTGGTGTTTACATACGACGTTTTCTTTATCCAGTCTACCATTGAAGACATACAGGATTATTTCTTGTTTTTGCTATTGTGAATCGTGCTGTAATAAACATATGCGTGCATGTGTCTTCATGGTAGAAAAACTTACATTCACTGGGTATATTCCCAATTGCGGGATTGGGAATGGTAATTCTGTTTTCAGGTTTTTGTCAAAATGCCAAACTGCTTTTCTCAATGGTTAAATAAATTTATACTCTCACCAGCAGCATATAAGCATTCAATTTCTCCACAACCTCACAAGCATCTGTTTTTGTTTTTGTTTTTACTTTTTATTCTAATTGTTTTTATTTGAATTATTTCTTTTTTTCCCATTAGTCTAGTGTTTTATCTATCTTATTATGTTTACATAGAATTAACTTCTGGTTCCTTTGAATTTTTTTTTTTTTAAGACAGAGTTTCACTCTTACACCCAGGCTGGAGTGCAGTGGTGCGGTCTCAGCTCACTGCAACCTCTGCCTTCCAGTTTCAAGCAATTCTCCTGCCTCAGCCTTTGGAGTAGCTGGGATTACAGGCATGTGCCACCACAGCCAGCTAATTTTTGTGTTTTTAGTAGAGATTGGCTTTCACTATGTTGGCTAGGCTGGTCTCAAACCCCTGAACTCGTGATCTTCCCGCCCTGGCCTCCCAAAGTGCTGGGATTACAGGAGCAAGCCACAGCACATGCGTGGCCCATTGAACTTTTTATAGTTATTTATGTCTCAAACTTCTTCATTTCAGCTCTGATTTTGGTTATTTCTTGACTTTTGTGAGCTCTGAAGTTGGTTTGCTCTTACTTTTGAAATTCTTTTAATTGTAACATTAGATTTTTAAATTGAGATCTTTCTAACTTTTTGATGTGGATGTTTAGTGATATACATTTTGTCCTTAACACTGCCTTAGCTCTAACCCTGAGATTCTGGTATGTTGTATTTCGGTTGTAATTAGTTTCAAAAATTTTATTTCTGCCTTAATTTCATTATTTCCAAAATAGCCATTTGGAAGCTGATTATTCCATTTTTATGTAATTGCATCCTTTCACATGTTTTTTTGTATTGAATTATTCTATACATTTTCTTTTTAAAATTAATGAGAAAGATAAGAAGAAATAAAAATGCTGTGCTCTTAATCCAAATGCTAAAAATTATTCAGCACTTAGTACCAACTCCCAGGGTGCTATGAAAATTAAATCACAAAATGTGTTATTCCCAGCGCAGTGTTCTGTGACATGCTCCTGAGCACACAATACCTGCTTAATAAACATTTTATTAGTACATGTGTACAGGTTTCCCAGGTGCAGATTCACTCAGACATTACTGTCTTCTGTTGTCCCTGTAAACTTAAAAAAGCCAACAAAAATATAGCATTTCAGGGTGGAAATTGGTTGTTTTTATTTGTAGCAGTAGTATTAGTATTGTGACAAATGTGGTGTGTGTAAGGGACTCTGCTGTGCCTGCTTTCTCTTGCTAATGCTAATAATGTGTCTGCGAAAGCACAATCAGCATTTACAGGGGACTTGTAAAAGCCCATTCCTGGACCCTTTTGGATCCTGCAGAATCACGTTGCATAGAGCGGGGCCAAGATTACCAAGTGATTTATAAACTTGAGGGGTTCAAGATACTTTCAGGAGAGTTTAGTTCAACCTTTGCATCATAGGAAGGCTGCACTGCCTGCCCTGTTTCAGTTTGGTAGGAAGAGGTCAGTGCGGTTCATGCTCCCATTACTGTAAAGAAAATTGTTGGTTTCTGATAGGGGAGGGCAGGGACAAAGAAACTTATATTTTAATAGTTATGGAGAAGCTTGTTGTTCTCTCATTGCTCTTAAATCTTTTCAGTTATAAACAACAAAAATGGGTGAATGTTTTCTGCAAGTCTCGGTCTTTCTGCCGTGGGTGTGTGTGGTGGTAGCAGGTGAATAGGTTGTGCTTTAAAGGCATATTCTCAAGATGCAGGTTTGATATGTCCAGAGCATCTCATCTGAAAATACATTTCAGAGAAAGAGGAGGAAAAGAAACAAATCACTTTTTCTCAGGTGAGCATGTCTCAGATCAAGCGCAGTGTCCACTGCTGCCTTTTGGAATGCCTTGTGTTCAGATCTTGCAAATTTTTACTTCTCTACTTGTGCTGTTGATCCCTAATGAGTTTGTTTCAACTATTTTTTGTGATTTTTATGATAGTCAAGGGGTTCTGAAAAAAATATTTGTTTTCTATATGCCATAGCATTCTATACATTTCTCTTCATCTTGGATTCTTGTATATCATGCAGAATTCTTAGAACAAATTTATGACCTACGATATTTAAAATGTTCCCATTGTAGCTGTTGAACATTAGAAGGTGTGGATACTCAAGATTTCTATTGGGGAAATACCGTTGTCTTTGGAGATTAGTGAAAAGTGAAACATGTTCTATTGAGGTTTCATCTGTGTGCTCTATTAGTTCCATGCAGGACAGTGTTTAGAAAATGCTCATTTAAACAGGGTGGCATTTATTACACAGAAAGTTCTGAAAAAACTGTTAGGAGATACTTGCTTTCCAGGGTGCTAAGGAAAGACTACTTAAAATTACTGATAAAAATTACAGAACAGGGAAGTTATCTGCACCTTCAACTTTGCATAAAACTGATGTTTCTTTTTGATTAAATTTAGGCCAGACACAATGGCTTTGGCTTGTAATCCCAGCACATTGGGAGGCCGAGGCAGGTGGATCACGTGAGGTCAGGAGTTCAAGGCCAGCCTGACCAACATGGTGGAACAACATCTCTACTAAAAAAAAATACAAAAATTAGCCAGGCATGGTGCATGCACCTGTAATCCCAGCTACTTGGGAGGTTGAGGCAGGAGAATTGCTTGAACTCAGGAAGTTGAGGTTGCAGTGAGATTAGATGGTACCACTGCACTCCAGCCTGGGTGACACAGCGAGACTCTGTCTCAAAAAAAAAAAAAAAATATATATATATATAATAAAATTAAATGTAGATTATAATTTACTTTTCTGAGAGGAGAGAAATGCCACAGCAGTGATGTTGTGTTGTGTGTGCATCAGCACATAATAAAAATGTGTCCTAATAAAGTTGATAACAATTTTATTCACTTGGTTCAAGATCTCTATGACATTTTTTTCCACTCTAGAGTTAATTCTTATTCTCTTAATTGTTAAGGACACTTAGGAGATTTACTAGCTGAAGTGCATAAACCATCACATTTAATCTGGAAGCTGTCCTTTCCTTTTAGATGACTTTTGCTTATATTTGTCTTTTAAAAATGAAGGCTCTTATCTTTATTTACAGGTGAGAGAAACTGGGAAAAACCCAGACTCTGCCATTTACTGGATATTTGACAAAATATTCTTACTAGGCTAGAAACATTGGTGAGCTTGCTAAAAATTCAGAAATTCAGACTTCCTCGGAAATCTCCTGAAACAAAATCTCACAAGATCTTTAGTTTATTGCACATACTAAGACTTGAGAGGTATCTTCCAACTCATCATGACTGTTCTATCTGAGAAATATACACAACTTATTCTATATGATGTAAATATAGCACTCAAAAATAGACATGTCCGGCCAGGCGCAGTGGCTCATGCCTGCCATCCCAGCACTTTGGGAGGCTGAGGTGGGTGGATCACCTGAGGTGAGGAGTGCAAGACCTGCCAGGTCCACATGGAGAAACCCCATCTCTACTAAAAATACAAAAATTAGCCAGTCATGGTGGCTCATGCCTGTAGTCCCAGCTACCCAGGAGGCTGAGGCAGGAGAATCGATTGAACCCTGGAGGTGGAGGTTGCACTGAGCCAAGATCATACCACTGCACTCCAGCCTGGGCAACAGAGTGAGACTCGGTCTCAAAAAAAAAAAAAAGAAAAAAAAAAGAAAAACAGAAAAGAAAAAGACATGTCCATGTTGATGCCCTTAATTTTATAATGTATCATCCAGAAAAGTATCAAATCTACAGCAGTATTGTGGATCTTATGCTATCCTCTTTTCTCAGAGTTAGAGAATACTTCAGTGTTAAAAATTATCTTATTGAATAATTTTAGTCACTCTTGTAAGTGAGAACCACTTCTTTTTACTCTCTTTTTTAACTTGAGTCAAATAAAAATCTCTGCCTATGGCCGTGTGGTAAGTGCTTGTGTGTTCATGAGTGGTTTTGTTTGTTTGTTTTCCAGGGACTGTTGACATTCAGAGACATAGCTATAGAATTCTCTCTGGAGGAATGGCAATGCCTGGATTGTGCTCAGCGGAATTTATATAGAGATGTGATGTTAGAGAACTACAGAAACCTGGTCTCCCTGGGTGAGGATAACTTCAGTACATAATTCCTAATATATTGCTTTTCTCTTTTCTAAGATGTTTTTGGTAATTTCTGCTTTGCATGAATGAATTTTAGATCTCCAATTTTAAGAAAATCTTGGGGATTCATTGCTGTAGAACAAATTCTTCAAGATGTTTTATCTTGACCAGAACTTTTGCCTTTCCTGAGCTTATGTATCTTTTGCTCTAGGTTAGTGGGAATTCCAAAAATGCCATGGCATAAAAGATCGTTGCCCACACATTAGAATTCAGTTGCTGCCACCAATTTTTGATTCAGTAGTACTGAGTAGTGAAATTAAGGACCTACAAATTTAAAATATTTTCTGAATATTTAGAAAGTTCTATTATGAATCAATATTAATCTTCTAGAATTTTCTATTATATCCTCTAAGCATAATACTAATTTGGTAATTAAAGAATTCAGCATGATCTATGTTACTTTTTTTTCTTAATAAAACAGGTATTGCTGTCTCTAAGCCAGACTTGATCACCTGTCTGGAGCAAAATAAAGAGTCCCAGAATATAAAGAGAAATGAGATGGTAGCCAAACACCCAGGTAGGTGAGAGCGAATGAAGCAGATGAGACAGATGAGAGGTACACAAATCAAGGAGGCAGCCAGTCCTTAAAATGTGGTCTGGGGAGCTGTGCTTTGATGAAAAGAGTTTCTGAGAAGCTCAAGTCATTTTTTTCTTTTGCTCTCACATAGGGACACCTCCTGCCTCATGCTGTTAAAGTCTCTAAGGATTCCACTTCTGCTTCAATAATCTTTCTTCAAGTTCACAGTGTGAGCCAAAGTTTTCTTTAAAGGTTATCAGGGACTGCGCAAACTGACTGCTTTGCCATTGCTTTTGGGGACACACTAATATCTGCATATTTTTGAAAAACTCTAAACCATTAAAATTTTTTTTTGCATCATGTCTAAAATGTGTGAGAATAGTAGTTTCTCTTTCATTGGTGGTCATCCATTTTTCTGCACATGCCATTCTGTTTTTATTACTATAGCCTTGAAATATATTTTAAAGTTTTTACAAATTTTTTACAAATTTTTTAATTTTTTATATATATTTATTTATTTAGAGGCTTGGTTATCCCCCCACTTGCTGTGGGGGGATATGCAAGCAGGGTACCTTTTATGTCTTCATTTTACTGTGTTGCATATTTTAGATATAGACTCATAAATGGTATTGCTGTATTATATAATAATTTCATTTTAGATTATTTAAAGAACGCTTATGATGTTTTTATGATGGCTGTATCTTTTTTCTCATAAAAAACAACTTACATAGGTTTCAATTTCTTTACATCATCAACAGTTGGTGTTTTAAAAAAATTTATAGTGGCCATCCTAATTGATGTAAGGTGATTTTGTTTTGTATTGTGATTATGTTTTGCATTTTTCTATAAATTATTAATTTTGTGCAACCTTTCAAATGCTTCTTCCCATTTGTATATCTTTTTTATTAAAATTTAGTTTAATCATTTTTCCATTTCTTTTTTTTTGAGACGGAGTTTCACTCTTGTTTCCCAGGCAACAAGGGCAATGGTGCGATTTCAGCTCACAGCAACCTCTGCCTCCTGGATTCAAATGATTCTCCTGCCTCAGCCTCCTGAGTAGCTGGGATCAGGGATGTGCCACCACACCCAGCTAATTTTGTATTTATAGTAGTGGTGGGTTTCACCATGTTGGTCAGGCTGGTCTTGAATTCCTGACCTCAGGTGATCTGCCCACCTCAGCCTCCCAAAGTTCTGGGATCACACGTGTGAGCCACCGCACCTGGCTCATTTGTCCATTTCTAAATCAAGTAATTCAATTATCGTTGTCTAGTTCTAGGAGTAGTTTGTGTATTCTCAATATTAAGTCTTATCACATGTGATTTTCAAATATTGTCACCGATTTCTTGGGAGACACTGTCACTGTATTAAATGTTTTATTTGATTGCAGAAATTTTGAAGTTTAGCCCAATTAAATTTTTCTGTTCTCCTCTTTGTTGCACATGCATTTGATGGCATATCTAAGAAAATGTGCCAAGACCAATGTCATGTCTTTGCACTATACTTTTTTTCTAAGAGTTTCATTAGGTTTTTCTTAGTCTAAGTACTTTGTTTAAAATATTTTTTGTATGTGATGCAATTAAACCATTCAACTTCATTTTTTCAATGTAGATGTCCAGTTTTCAACATTAGCTGTTGAAGGGATTATATTTTCTCCATTGTCTGCTCATGGCAAACTTGAGGCAGATTATTTGGTCATACACAGAAGAGTTCATTGCTGGGCTTTCTATTTTGTTCTATCATGTCTTTATCTGTCTTTTTGTGAGTACCACATAGTTATTGTTATTGCAGCTTTTTATTATGTTTTGAAATTATGAAGTATAGTGCCTCTGTGTTTTTCATGTGTGTTTCTCTAGATTTGGTTCATAATAAAATTTAAAAATTTTAAACAATATTTCAGGAATAAATATACTTTTGGAATTTTGATACAGATTATATTAAATTTGTTCACCACTGTGGGTTATACTGACATCTTAACAAATTAAGTCATCACTTAAATATGTTGGCCCTTGAGAAAAAATATTAAATTAATTTAAATTATTTGACCCTGTGCAAGAATACAGTGAAGAGTGTGTTTATTTCCATGTATTTTTGATTTGCCAGTATTACTTTTTTTCTTTTTAGTTTTATTCAGTTTGGGTTAGAAAACATATACTGTATGATTTTGCTCTTCTTATTTTTTTTTTGACTCAGATTTTCTCACTCTGTTTCCCAGACTGTAGTGCAGTAGCACAATCTTGGCTCACTGCAGCCTCAACCTCTTGGACTCAAGTAATCCTTTCACCTTGGCCTACTGAGCGGCTGGCACTAGAGGCATACCCCACAATGCTCAGCTAATTTTGAATTATTTGTAGAGACAGGGTCTCACTGTGTTCCCAAGGCTAGTATCAAACTTCTTGCCCCAAGTGATTCTTCCACCTTGGCCTCCCAAACTGCTGGGATTACACCTGTGAGCCACTGCACCTGGCTGATCTTTTGAAATTTACCAAGACTTATGTGTTCTAACAGAACGCACCAGGTGCAAATAAGAATATTGTGTATCCACTTGCTTTTGACTGGAGAGTTCTGTACATGTCTGTTTAGCCTATTTGGTTTGTGATATGGTGTAGATGCCCTCCAAATCGCATGTTGAAATGTAATCTCCACTGTTGGATTGGGGCCTAATGAGAGCTGTTTGCATCATGGAGACAAATCCCCTCATGAATGACTTGGCACAATCATAGAGTTCTCACTCTACTAATTCACATGAGAGCTGGTTGCTTAAAGGAACCTGGCTCCTCCACCTCACACTCACGTCGTCTTTCACCATGTGACATGTTTGGTTCTTCTTTGCCTTCCACTATAATTGTAAGCTTCTTCATATCCTCACCAGAAGCAGATGCTGGCATATACTTCTTGTACAGTCTACTGAACTGTGAATCAAAAAAATCTTTTTCTTTATGAATTACCCAGTCTGAGGTTATTTTCTATGGCAATGCAAAATAAATTCATACACAATATAATATTCTTCAGGTTTTCAGTTTTTTTAATTGATTTTTTATTTAAATTTTTTATTATTGAAAAGGAGGTCTTAATGTTTATAATTTTGTGTTGCTATTTTATTTCTTGCTTCATTTCTGTCAATATTTGCTTTATATGTTTTGAAGCCCTGATGTTATATATGCATATACATATAGATAGACATAATAATTATAGATTCCTAGTAAATGGACTCATTTTACCATTATATAATATCAATCTTTGTCTCATTCTAGTAATCGACTCATTTGCTTTCATGTGTCTATAAAGACTTTTTCTTTGTGCTACATTGGAGATTCTGTAAAACATCTTAAATGTTACAACAGTATATTTTAAACTGGTAAAAAAATGACTTCAGTTGCATAGAAAAATTTGTCCTCATTATATCTACCCCATACTTCTTATTGATGTTGCTAATTATATCTTTTTATGTTTTATGATTTTTATGCTTATATTTTTCAAATTTTAAAGAATAACTAAAAGTATTTTCTGCACCATCACAATAATGCCACAGAATTTTACTTTTTGTATATGCATATGTTTTTCAGAAAGTTATGTATTTTCATATGATTACATATATTTTTCATCATGTTATTTTAAGTGGAAAGACCTCTTTTCAGCATTTTATTTAGGGCACATACAATGATTATGTGCCAGCATTTATTCATTCTGGAAGAGTTTTATTTTTCTTTATGTTGTAGTACATTTTTCTGGTTTTATTATTCTCACCATGAAAATTTTTTTCAGCCTTTGACCATTTTACACAGTTCTTTTCTGACCTGCAAGGTTTCTGTTTACAAATTCACTGGCTGTCTCAGAGGACTATGCTTATAAATAATACCTCACTTTTATCTTGCAGCTCCCAAGATTATCTTCTGGTTTGTGACTTTTGAAACTTTGCTTAAATTTGTGTTGCGGATCTTTTTGTGTATATCCTAGTTTGTTTGTTTAGCTTCTTCATTTTTTACATACTTTTTTCTTACTTTAAAATTTTTTCAGTTATTCTTTTTTACCTCCACCTTGTTTATTTTTATTATTGCAAGTTTTGTTGGTATTCTTATTTTTCTTATTTTATTTGGGTGTCTGGTTTTCCATTTTTCTCATTGAGCATAATATGGATTATCTTAAATTTTAAAAATCAAGATCTACATCTTTGTTTTTATAGTTGCTTTTTCAAAATTTTTGATTTTTTTGATTGGACCATGTTATCCTCATGTTTTATATACATTGTAATCTTTGTTTGAGATTTAGACACTAACATAAAACTACCTTTCATGATCTTTATAATGCAGCTCCTTCCTGTCATAGCATGACACCAATTGTCTTTGGTAGAGATTCTGGGATTCTCACAAACATGTTCTCAGGATGTGTTTTGTCTGCAATTTGTATTTATTTTTCAATTAAAAGACTTCTTCATATTTCTTCTTAGTGGTCAGTAACTACGTTCTACACCTATCTTCTGCCCATCATACTGCAGTCTTTCTGCAGTTGTAACATTCACTTTTGAGCTCAGAAGACTTAAAGCTGTTATTAAAGGCACTATGTTCTTCTACTGGGCATGAGGAAGGGCTGTGTTGGGTAAATGTAGCAGACTTTTCTTTTCTCTCTATATGGCTCTGGACATCATGCTCACATGGTGCACACACTTACTTTATTTATAAATTTCCAACAAAGGTATTTTGATCACTATGATTTTGTTACATTTATACATCTATGAAGGAATTATGGCCTGTGGTATTTTGATATGGCATTTTGCTAATGTACCTTGTGTAATTTTATATATTTCATGTGTAGAATATATTTATATGAGTCCAGAAAGTGGAGTAACTTGTGCTTTTTGTGTCTTTCAGTTACGCGTTCCCATTTCACCCAAGACCTTCAGCCAGAGCAGGGCATCAAAGATTCACTCCAAAAAGTAATACCAAGAACATATGGAAAATGTGGACATGAGAAATTACAATTTAAAAAATGCTGTAAAAGTGTGGGTGAATATGAGGTGCACAAGGGAGGTTATAGTGAAGTTAACCAATGTTTGTCAACTACCCAAAACAAAATATTTCAGACTCATAAATATGTCAAAGTCTTTGGTAAATTTTCAAATTCCAATAGAGATAAAACAAGATATACTGGAAATAAACATTTCAAATGTAACAAATATGGCAAATCATTTTGCATGCTTTCACACCTAAATCAACATCAGGTAATTCATACTAGGGAGAAGTCCTACAAATGCAAAGAATGTGGCAAATCCTTTAACTGCTCCTCAAACCATACTACACATAAAATAATTCATACTGGAGAGAAACCATATAGATGTGAGGAATGTGGCAAAGCCTTTAGCTGGTCTGCAAACCTTACTAGACATAAGAGAACTCATACTGGAGAGAAACCCTACACGTGTGAAGAATGTGGCCAAGCCTTTAGGCGCTCCTCAGCACTTACTAACCACAAGAGAATTCATACTGGAGAGAGACCCTACAAATGTGAAGAATGTGGCAAAGCCTTTAGCGTATCCTCAACCCTCACTGACCACAAGAGAATTCATACTGGAGAGAAACCCTGCAGGTGTGAGGAATGTGGCAAAGCCTTTAGCTGGTCCTCAAACCTTACTAGACATAAGAGAATTCATACTAGAGAGAAACCCTATGCCTGTGAAGAATGTGGCCAAGCCTTTAGCTTATCCTCGAACCTTATGAGACATAGGAGAATTCATACTGGAGAGAAACCCTACACATGTGAAGAATGTGGCCAAGACTTTAGGCGCTCCTCAGCACTTACTATCCACAAGAGAATTCATACTGGAGAGAGACCCTACAAATGTGAAGAGTGTGGCAAAGTCTTTAGCTTATCCTCAACCCTCACTGACCACAAGAGAATTCATACTGGAGAGAGACCCTACAAATGTGAAGAATGTGGCAAAGCCTTTAGCTTATCCTCAACCCTCACTGACCACAAGAGAATTCATACTGGAGAGAGACCCTACACATGTGAAGAATGTGGCAAAGCCTTTAATTGCTCCTCAACCCTTATGCAACATAAGAGAATTCATACTGGAGAGAAACCCTACAAATGTGAAGAATGTGAGCAAGCTTTTAAGTGGCATTCAAGTCTTGCTAAACATAAGATAATTCACACTGGAGAGAAACCCTACAAATGTGAATAATATGGCAAAGTCCACCCTCAGGCCTTATAATACATAAAATAATTTACACTGGAAAAAAACACTACAAATGTAGAGAATGTGGCCAAGCCTTTAACCAGTTCCAAACCTTAATTGAATGTAAGAGAATTCATATTGGACAGAAATTTTATAAATGTAAAAAAATGTAACAAAGCCTTTAACCAACCCTCAAACCTTAATAAACCTAAGAGAATTTATTTTAAAAAAATTTTTTTGAGTTGGAGTCTCCCTGTGTCACCCAGGCTGGAGTGCAGTGTCATGATCTCAGCTCACTGTAACCTCTGCCTTCCGGGTTCAAGCGATTCTCCTGCCTCAGCCTCCTGAGTAGCTGGGATTACAGGCGTGTGCCACCACACTGGCTGATTTGTGTATTTTTAGTAGAGATAGAGTTTCACCATGTTGGCCAGGATGGTCTTGAACTCCTGACCTCAGGTGATCCACCTTTGTCAGCCTCCCAAAGCCTAAGAGAACTTATATTACAGAGACCCTAGAAACATAAAAAAAGTGACAAAACCTTTAAGCACATCTCAGGCCTTACATATTATCTGATCATTCATTCTAGAGAGAAACTCTACAAAAGCAAAGAATGTGGTAAAGCTGTTAACTAGTCTTGAACCCTTATTATACATAAGAGAATTAATACTGAAGAGAAACCCTACAATAAGGAATATGGTAATGTCTTTAAAAAGTCCTCAAACCTGAATAAATGTAAGATAATTGATATTGGAGAGAAACCCTGCAATTGCAGAAAAAAATGTGGCAAACCCTTTAACTGGTTCTCCATGCTTACTCACTAAAAAATTTTATACTGGAGAGAAACTCTGCTTACATAAAAATGTGACAGAGCATTTAAGCACACCTCAAACTTTTCTAAAAAAGAGAAATCATACTGGTGAGAAACTCTAGAAATGTGTTAAATGTGGCAAGGACTTTAAATGGTAGTCACACGTTATGGTAGGTAAGATAGTTTATACTGAAGAAGACTCCTACAAATATGAAGAATGTGGCAAAACTTTTAACAAATTCTCACACCTTATGGTACAGGAAAGCATTTATACTAGAGAAAAATTGTACAAAGAATGTGAAAAACCATTAATATCAGGTCACATCTTACTCAATATCAGAAAGTTTATACTTAATAAAGGGATTATAGGTCAGGTGTGTTGGCTCATGCCTATAATTCCAGCACTTTGGGAGACCAAGGTCGGTGGATCATGAGGTCAGGAGTTCAAGACCAGCCTGGCCAACATGGTGAAACTCCATCTCTACTAAAAATAGAAAAACTAGCTGGGTGTGGTGGCGTGCACTTGTAATCCCAGCTACTTGGCAGGCAGAGGTAGGAGAATTGCTTGAACCGGGGAGGCAGAGGTTGCAGTGAGCTGAGATAGAGCCACTACACTACAGCCTGGGTGACAGAGCAAGACTCTGTCTCAAAAAAAAAATTATAAATGTGATTACTGTAAAAAGACCTTTTGGAAAATATAGGCCTTTAAAGTAAAGACCAGTTATTCTGAAGACAAACATACAAACTTAAAGAGGATTGCTGTACCTTTACTTCCATTACAGATTTTATTGTACACATTTTATATTAAAGGAAAAATTTGAAGATCTGAGAAGATGCTCAAACTTTGTTGAACATTAGAGAATTTATATTGGAGAGAAAGTCTAAACATGTAATGAATGTGAAAAACATTTTTTCAAAACCTCCAGCTTAGAAAACACCAGTTTGTACTAAATATTTTTGCAGAACCAGTAAATGGGGAAAACATATTAAATCAAAAATTAAGTCTATATAAGCATCTGAGGGGTCACAGTAGAAAGAATGAAGGCACTGAAACTTCATACATTACACTAAATCAGAGGGTTGAGTGTAAAAGAGATCCAAAGCTAACACCATATACATGTTAAAGAAGTAGTTTTTTTCGAGATTCATAATTACCTTCGAGGTATGCTTCTTTCTTCTATAAAAAAATAGTTTCTGAACAGCAAATAATAATGTAACTCAAGTCTCAGATTCCGTCATGTTGACTCTTCCCATTGTTTGTGAAAGTATTTGATCAGTTGTTTCATCAGAGATAGGAGAGATTGTTTTTTATCAATTGTACGTTTATGTAATAAAATGCAATAAATTTAAAAATTTTTTAAAGATTATGTGTCAACTTAATTTTTTCATTAAACAAAGTTGTTTTTAATGTGTTAAAACTATTGTGCTTTGAATGAAGTATTAATTTGTCATCAGATTTAATGGGTCCCATTTTACTTAAGGTTCTAAGTAAAAGATGGTAACAATGTACTATTTGTTAATGTAGGGGAATGACATCTCTAGTAATCTCTTTTTTGCCAGTGTTGGTTGGTTGGTTGGTTGTTTGTTTTGAAATGGAGTCTTGCTCTGTTGCTTAGGCTGGAGTGCAGTGGCATGATGTCGGCTCACTGCAAACTTTACCTCCTGGGTCCAAGCGATTCTCCTGCCTTCAGTCTGCCAAGTAGCAGGGACTACATGCACATTCCACCACGCCTGGCTAATTTTTGTATTTTTAGTAGAGATGAGGTTTCACCATGTTGGCCAGGCTGGTCTTTAACTCCTGATCTCAGGTGATCCACCCGCCTCAGTGCCCCAAATTGGTGGGGTTACAAGCGTGGGTCACCATGCCTGTCCTGCCAGTGGTTTAAACTGCAAATAAGTAGAATAATTTTTTTCTCATAGATCAAATTTGTATTCTTTTTTACCCTATTTAGATTTCTAAAAAAATTTTGTGGGTGGATAGTGTGCATACACACTTATGGCATATATGAGATATTTTAACACAGGCATACATTAGTTAATTATCACAGCAGCGTATATGAGGTATTCCTCAACTCGAGCACGTATTTATCCTTTGTATTACAAGCTCATTATACAGTTTTATTTTAATATGTACAATTGAATTATTACTAACCATAGGGTCATTTTATGGTCATAAAAATTGCATGAGTATAATTAATATACATTTCTGAGTCTTGATTAAATATTTTTTAAAAATTGTTTTGTATATTTTTGGTACTTGTGGCCTCTCTGCTGACAAACAAAAACAGACTTTTAGTTTTGATTTACATAGAGTTATATATACAAATATATTACTCTAAAGATATATCAGCCAGGCACTGTGGCTCATGCCTGTAATCTCAGCACTTTGTGAGGCTGAGTGGGGCAGATAATTTGAGGTCAGGAGTTCAAGACCAGCCTGGCCAACATGGTGAAACCCCATCTCTACTAAAAATACAAAAAATTAGCTGGGTGTGGTGGTACATGCCTGTATTCCCAGCAACTAGGGAGGCTGGGGCAGGAGAATCGCTTGGTCCTGGGAGGCAGAGGTTGCAGTGAGCCAAGGTGGCAGACCTGCACTCCAGCCAGGATGACAGAGCGAGACACCATTAAAAAAATAAATAAATATATATACATATATATATACACACATATAAGAAAGTTATGTAGCAAGTGAGTGTGTTTGTGTGTGAGTTTGTATGCATTTTCAGAACAGAAGAACAATATTGAAACAAAAAAGATTATTTTAATAAGGTGGATAATTAAAGAGAAACCTGGAAACCTCAGAGATTCTCAAAAAAATCTATATTCTGTGACTTGTATTGAATTCATTACCGTAAAATTTTATCCCACCCAAATCTTATCTCAAATTGTAATCCCCATGTTTCAAGGGAGGGACTTGGTGGGAGGTGATTGGAATATGGGGGTAATTTTCCCCCATGCTGTTCTCATTATAGTGAGTTCTCAAAGGATCTGGTGGTTGCATAAGTGGTGTTTTTTTCTGCTCTGCCTCTCTCTTGCTGCCTAGTAAAGAAGGTACTTGCTTCTCCTTTGCCTTCCACCGTAACTGTAGGTTTCCTGAGACCTCCCCAGCAATGCAGAATTGTGAGTAAATTAAACTTCCTTTCTGTATAAATTACCCATTCTCTGGTAGTAACTTAATAGTAGTGTGAAAACAAACTAATACAGAAAATTAATACAGGTAGTTTGGGGCACTGCTATAAAGACAGTTGAAAATGTGGAAGTGACTTTGGAACTGGGTAATAGGCAGAGGTTGAAACAGTTTAGAGAACTCAGAAAAAAATAGAAAAATATGGGAAAGTTTGGAACTTCCTAGAGGCTTGTTGAATGCTTTTGACCCAAATGCTAATAGTGATGTAGATGATAAAGTCCAGGCTGAGGTTGTCTCAGATGGAGATGAGAAACTTAATTTTTAAATGGCAGCAGAACATAAAAGTTTGGAAAGTTTGCACCTGACCATGAGGTAGAATATAAAACCCCATTTTTTTGGAAAGAAAATCAAGCCACTGCAGAAATTTACAAAAGTAAAGAGAAGCTGAATGTTAATAGCCAAGACAATGGGGAAAATGTCTTCAGGTCATGTCAAAGATCTGAGACAGTTTCTTCTATCACAGGCCAGGAACTCTAGGAGGAAAAAATGGTTTCATGGTCGAGGCCCAGGGAGGGCCCCACTGCTTTATGAAGCCTTGGGGCTGGGTGCCCTGCATCCCAGCTGCTCCAGATCCAGCTGTGGCTAAAAGGGGCCAAAGTACAGCTTGGGTTGTTCCTTCAGAAAGTGCAATCCTCAAGCCTTGGTGGCTTCCATGTGGTATTGGCCATGCATGTGCACAGAAGACAAGAGTTGAGCTCTAGAAACCTCTGCCTAGATTTCAGAGGATGTATAAAAATGCCTGGGTGTTCAGGCAGAAGTCTACAGGGGCAGAGCCCTCAAGGATAACCTGTGCTAGGGCAATGCAGAAGGGAAATGTGGGGTTGGAGCCCTCATGCAGAGTCCCCACTGAAGCTGCCTACTGGAGTTGTGAGAAGGCCACTGTACTCCAGACCCCTAAATAACAGATTCACCATGAGCTTGCACCGTGCACCTAGAAAAGCCACAGGCACACAATTCCAGTCCATAAAGGAGCTTCCCAAGGCCATGAGGGCCCACCCATTGCATCAGCATGGCCCACATGTGAGACATGGAGTCAAATGAGAACATCTCAGAGCTTTAAGACTTAATGACTGCCCCATTGGAATTCAAACTTGCATGAGGCCTGTAGCTCTTTGGTTTTGGCCAATTTCTCCCATTTGTAATGGGAGAATTTATCTAATGCCTGTACCTCCATTGTATCTTGGAAGTTACTAACTTGCTTTTGATTTACAGGCTCACAGGTAGCAGGGATTTGCCTTGTCTCAGATGAGACTTTGGACTTAGACTTTTGGGTTAATGCTAACTTGAGTTAAGACTTGGGGGACTGTTGGGAAAGCATGTTTGGTTTTGAAATATAAAAAGGGCATGAGATTTGGAAGGGGCCAGAGGCAGAATGATACTCATGCTGTTCTTGTGATAGTGAGTGAGTTCTCATGAGTTTGGATGGTTTTATAAGTGGTAATTTTTCCTGCTCTCCATCTCCTAGTGAAAAGGATACCTGCTTCTCCTTCACCTTCTCCCATTATTGTAAGGTTCTTGAGGCCTCCCCAGCCATGCTGAGCCGTGAGTCAAATAAACCTCTTTCCTTTATAATTTACCTAGTCTTTGGTGTGTTCTTCAGCAGTGTGAGAATGGACTAATAGACAAAGTAACTTAATAACAAAGGTGTCACTATTATTTTCAATTTACAAAAAAAAAAAAAAGAAAAGAGCCAGAGAGAGAAATAACTTGCTCACAATAGCAGAGCCAGTATTAAAACAGTATCAACTTTAACTCCAGAGATAATACTCTTGAATAAAACAATAAAAACACTTCAAACAGAAAAGAAGTTACCTTTAACATCCATTCTTAAAAATTTAACAAAAATGAAAATGGATACATTTGTATTGCTATATATTTGTATATATGTGAATGTATATTACAAATAAGAAATACTTCATATAAGCCAGAAAAAGATAATTATTTTAATGAATACAATTGAAAAGCAGTTCAATTAATTATTATTTGGAGATGATATCTTTGTTTACTTAGAAAGACAGCAAAAGCAACTGAAAGGTGATTTTAGAAATCTATTCAGGTGGGTAGGGAAAATTCTCAGATGACCCTCAGGTTCCCACTTCAGTGCACACCTGCTGTGTAACCCTTTTCTCTTGAGCATCACAAAATGTGTGTGACTGTGGCAAAACAGTATTCATGTATTTATATTACTAATGTATTGGCTTCCTTTTTATCATACGAGAGATTATCTTGATTAGGCTAAACTTAATCAGAGGTGCTTTAAGAGAAAGAGCACATCATAGAAAAACATCCCTGCTTCCCTGAAATTAATCAAACTTCTTGGTAAGCAATGTCGTAAAGTGTTTATGGTGGCCACATGGCAAGGTATATGTTTGTATATTGTCTCCGTTTCTGCCTTCAACATATTGCTTTCAGTAAGGAGAATAGGAGGATCTCATTGCAGAGGAAAAAGAAGGGATCTCATTTATGCAAGAAATAATCACCCCTCATCTGGGACAGCTTAAGAAAAACAGAGACCAGAACATGACCTCATCAATGGGAAATAAAGACAACTTGGTTGAAAGGGCTCCCTGGCGTTATGAAGCAATGTCTACACAGCTGAAGTAAATGATCAGCCTCTGGGATACCAATAGTCTACCAACAAGGCCGTATTCATTTTCATTCTGATTGCATTGGCACTTCTGCACCATTCTGGTAACTCAGATTTACATAATTCATGACAAAGATACCTGCAGGGTGCGGTGGCTCATGCCTGTTATCCTAGAACTTTGGGAGGGCGAGGTGGGTGGATCACCTGAGATTGTGAGTTCAAGACCAGCCTGATCAACATGGAGAAACCCCGTCTCTACTAAAAATATAAAATTAGCCGGGCATGGTGGTGCATGCCTGTAATCCCAGCTACTCAAGAGGCTGAGGCAGGAGACTGGCTTGAACCCTGGAGGCGAAGGTTTCAGTGAGCCAAGATCATGCCATTGCACTCCAGCCTGGGCAACAGGAGCAAAACTCCATCCCCTCCTGCCAAAAAAAGGAAAAAAATACCATGCAGACCAGTGAGTACTATCCTAGAATTGAACTTATCATGAAAAAGCCTTGCCAATTCTTTAATTTCAACATTGGAAAATGTTGAAAAAAATAATGAATTTATTAATAATAATCTGACTTTCTAATTTTAGACTATTCTACTATTCTATACTACAATATTGAACTTTGATCATCGTAACATGAACATTTCGTGAATGCATAAGTTGTTATGTAGATAGGTTCTCTTTTAGATTAACACAATAAGACAATTAGAGCAAACAATTAGAAAAAACATTTGAAATCAAATAAAAGTCATCAGATCCACATCTTTCAATGGCTTGGCATAATTGCCATGCTCTTTGAAAGAAGCAAAGGCAAGATTTTGGCTTAGCCCAATTATTAAGTCCTTGACCTTTTGAAATCTAATATCCTGGCTAAAAAAAGCAGTAGGGAATATTTTTTGGGTGGCTGTCTAAAGTGTCCAAGGCAATATGAGAAGAATTTTAATAGTTAAGTAAGAAAATGCATACCACATACACACATCACTCTTCTCTACTTTGCTCTAACATTGAAAGATTAGAAATTGCAAATCTAGTCCCTCAATTTCGGGTAAATTAGCAAAAGATTCATGTTTCAGCTGAGCAAATTGTTGTATGAAACTTATAGGTAACAGATGTCATTATCTGCAAAACACAAAATAGTATGATTAGATCCAGTAACTATCTAGTCATGCAAATGATAGACCAATTAGATTAAGATCCTAAGAGGTGCAGGTAGAAAGCATTTATGTGCAATGTTGTGACCCTTCCCCAAACACATTTTTCTGACTCCTTACAGAGATACCAACTTTTCTGAATGACTCAGAGTGAATACTGGAAACTGAGAATGCTCAGTGTTCAGAGTTGATTACTGGGAACATAGTTAACACATTTCTTCTATATTATGAAGAAATTTTATGAATCTTAAGACAAAGCCTTTTTTTTTTTTCTTTTTGAGACGGAGTTTCACTCTTGTTGCCCATGCTGGAGTGCAATGGCGTGATCTCGGCTCAACTCAACCTCTGCCTCTCGGGTTCAAGTCAGTCTTCTGCCTCAGCCTTCCGAGTAGCTGGGATTACAGGCATGTGCCACCATGCCTGGCTAATTTTCTATTTTTAGTAGAGACGGGATTTCTCCACGTTGGTCAGGCTGGTCTCGAACTCCCGACCTCAGTTGATCCGCCCGCCTCGGCCTCCCAAAGTGCTGGGATTGCAGGCATGAGCCACTGCACCCAACCCAGAAAGGTTTTTAATAAAAGACTGTTCGTGTATAACACTCTATTTGGATTCATAGAAATTTTCAATATGCCATTTAAGTCAAAGGCACTGAAATGTCAACCAAATTTCACAAAATGTATTTGAATGAGATCAAGTCTTCCTTAGCTGAGAATTGTATTTCATCAGTAAATTTAGAAGAAAATAATAAATGTGTTTACTTTAGACCGTATAACAGTGTTTGCCACATGGGAACAATTCAGACAAGTGCTCTTCATCATTACTCTTAAAGTAGCAATAGCACCACATCCATTTCCTGGTACCAGCCAGCCTGTTTTTCACTGATATGAAGTGCAGAAGGCATTGAAACAGTGAAGAAGGGTGATATAAATGGAATACTTATATGAAGTACAATTGTTAATAAAAGGTAGCATTTGATATTATACGACTATAGTAAGATGATTAGTATGAGATAAAAATATTTTTACTTTAATTGACAGAATATCTTAATCCACATTATTTCTATTTCGAATAATTTTTTTTGCTCTATGTTTGCTGCCTTTTTATTTGCTATTACCTGAGCTTAATAAGAATCAACAAAATGAATCTTTATTTTACCACAAGAATTGTATTCGTGCATATGCTTAATTTGTTGAAAACATGTTAGCTTTCCATGAAAGATTTATGCTTTTATTGTGTCATTTTTTGCCAAGAAGTGGCTGTCCTGCCAGAAAACTGCTATTCTGAGCTCTGCTCACTTTGACTCTGCTCGGCATAGTGACTGGAAGTGATGTGTGGATAAAAAGCAAATGTGTCTTCTTTTCATCTTTTTTGATCTATTGGCTTTAGAAAGAGGAGAATGTGGATAGAAAATTTAGAAAAAAATCTAATCTCCAAATAATCATGAAGAAGTTTTTTTTAACCAGAAGTAAACCAAAGGGGAAGGTGGTTTGTGCAGAAAATGTATTATTTTGCTAAGCCTTTGAAATTGTAGGGTTTATTAGTATGACAACCTGCATTGCTTTAACAAACATATTAGTCTTTTAGTTTTAATTCTTCTGGATATGATTCAATTTCCTGATGAATCTGAACTGAGAGGAGAATAACTTATTTGTTAAAATTAAAGACGCAGGAAAAAATATGTTGACTAAAATAAGATAGTCAAAAAGAGACAGACAAAACAGAAAGTAAAATGATGTTCTTCAGACGCGGAAAAGAGAGAAGGAGAAGACAGTTTATTGAACATTAGATTGTACTTTTTAAAGATAAAATTATCTAGAGATCTGTTTCATATAATGTAAATATACTTAAAAGTACTAAACATATAGCTTAAGTATATAACTTTAAAATGTTTAAGACGGTAATTTTATGTTTTTAATCACAAATATTTACAACTCTCAAAAAATAGTTGCATTTTTCAAAAATTACTTCAAATACCAAGTGTTTTTCTCACACAATAACATAGATTCAAACAATAAATAGACAGTAATTTTAGACTGCCTTTCTGACTATTCATCCAGACAATAGAACACTGACAACCACCTGAGAAAAGAAATAAACAAGATAACTAATAAAGAAAATGGATCAATATTTATACACGCAAATATCACATAAGTAACTTTTATAGGCAATAGAAATGTCTGACTTACGGGGCTGGGCGTGGTGGCTCACGCCTGTAATCCTAGCACTTTGGGAGATTGAGCCAGGTGGATGATGAGGTCAGGAGTTCAAGACCAGCCTGGCCAGCATGGTGAAATGCCATCTCTACTAAAAATACAAAAAATTAGCCAGGCATGGTGGTGGGCACCTGTAGTCCCAGCTACTCAGGAGGCTGAGGCAGGAGAATTGCTTGAACCTGGAGGCAGAGGTGGCAGTGAGCCTGGATCCTGCCACTGCACTCCAGCCTGGGTGACAGAGCGAGACTCCATATCCAAACAAACAAACAAAAATAAGAAATATCTGACTTATACTTTTTTTTAAAATTTGCTCCAAGTGAAACCCAGGGATTTATATTTGAGTTAAACACCACATTTTTTTTTTCTTAAGACGGAGAAGATTCACTCTTGTTGCCCAGGCTGGAGTGCAATGGCATGATCTTGGCTCACTGCAACCTCCACCTCCCAGGTTCAAGCAATTCTCCTGCCTCAGCCTCCCGAGGAGCTGGGATTACAGGCATGCACCACCACGCCCAGCTAATTTTGTATTTTTAGTAGAGACGGGGTTTCTGCATGTTGGTCAGGCTGGTCTCAAACTCCCAACCTCAGGTGATCTGCCTGCCTCAGCCTCCCAAAGTGCTGGGGTTACAGGCGTGAGCCACCGTGCCCTGCCCTGTTAAACACCGCATTTTTATAAATAATACCGAATGAAAATTACCTTCCACATCATAAATGTAACGTTAAAAACAAAAATACAATTTAATAATCAAAAGAAACCTGTACGAAAAAAATGCAGTATAATGGACTTAAAAACAAAAATAAAACATGTTGACCTATAAAATATGGAATATTAGCATAGATGTATCAGAAAATAATTCTTTAAATAATTACAGTTTTCAAATATGACTATGAACTTATGAAAATCTGGCATTTTTAATTATTGGCATGCAATGTATAGTAGTAAATTTCCACAAAAAAATACATTAGAAGAATTAGAAAAAGTCTAATGAAAATGGAACCTTTTAAAGTATTTAAAAGATACTAGGTAAAGTTATTTATGTTATTAATATATTATTGTTATTACACAAAATATAAGATCTACAATACAACCATATGAACACAAGAAAATAATATTCCAAAGCAAAAACAATTTAATTTTTTAGAATACTGTGAGATTATATATAAAATAAATATTGGAATTAAATTATATCATTGTTTAGGTATAAGTGGAGAAAAATGAATAAAATACTAATGACACCTGTAATGGTGGTGCATGAATTACTTTTAACTTAGGGATAAAAGCTACAAGACAAAAGTATCCAAAATACATATAGCTTAAATAATTTATTATGAGATACACAATATAAAAAATGTAAAGTGCGATATAAATCGTGTATTGAAGAGAGTAAACCTGTTGAGTCTTTCTATGCATCGAAATAGCATTGTTATTATCGTAAGCTAGAGTGTTATATCTATGAGATGTGTTATGTAAATCTCTTGGTAACTAAATGAAAATTTGTACTATACACACAAAAGAAAAAAGGAATCAAGCGGCCGGGCGCAGTGGCTTATTCCTGTAATCCCAGCACTTTGGGAGGCGGAGACGGACAGATCACCTGAGGCCGGGAGTTCGAGACCAGCCTGACCAACATGGAGAAAATCCGTCTCTACTAAAATACAAAATTAGTCAGATGTGGTGGCAATTGCCTGTAATCCCAGCTATTCGGGAGGCTGAGGAAGGAGAATTGCTTGAACTTGGGAGATGGAGGTTGAGTTGGTGCCATTGCACTCTAGCCTGGAAAATGAGAGTGAAACTCTATCTCAAAAAAAAAAAAAAAGAAAAAAAAGAAAACAAAAGAAAGAAAAGAAATGGGAATCAAAGCATATAATAACAAAAGCAAAAAAAAAAAAAAACCTAGAAAACACAAGAAAAGAGAGCATGAAAAGAAAACCAAAGACATTATTTTGTTGGTGCAAAAGTAATTGCAGTTTTTGCCATTAAAAGTCATGGCAAATCAATAATTTTTAAAATATCAAATAATTTAATTATCTAATAAAAACGCATCGCTATGGTTTGAATGCCCCCTTCAAAATTCATGCTGAAATTTAACTGTCATCGTTATAAAATTATAAATTAGACCTTTAAGAAGATATCAGGTTTTGAGGGATCTACTCTCATGAATGAATTAATGTCATTGTTTCCAGAGTGGGTTAGCTGGCAGGAAATTGGGTCTATTATAAAAGTAAGCTCTCTTATGTTCACCTTCTGTCGTCCTCATGCCTTTGGCCATTTTGTGATGTGGAAATCTGATTCTCATCAGATGTCAATGGCGTGCTCTTGGACTTCCATAATCTAAAATTGTGAGCTATGTAAACTTCTATTCTTTATAAAATACCAACTCTAAGGCCGAGCACGGTGGATCACACTTGTAATCCCAGCACTTTGGGAGGCTGAGGCGGCTGGATCACCTGAGATCAGGAGTTCGAGACCAGCCTGGCCAACATGGTGAAACCCCTTCTCTACTAAAAATACAAAATTTAGCTGGGTGTCATGGCAGGTGCCTATAATCCCAGCTACTCAAGAGGCTGAGGTGGGAGAATAGCTTGAACCCGGGAGGGGGAGGTTTCAGTGAACTGAGATGGTGCCACTGCACTCCCACCTGGGCAACAAGAGCAAAACTCTATCTCAAGAAAAAAACAATTTACCTCTACATGATGAGCCACATCTCTACTCAGTGTGTGAAAAATACATTCTTTTTTTTTCTGCCACCCCAGACTTCTGGGAAAGGAGCCTGGAGCTGTGCCCAAGCATCCCAGCCTTTGCCCTCAATTGCAAACAGAGTGGAGTGTCTCTTAGCTCAGGAGTTTGTGCTACTCAAGAGTTTGCACAAACACAAAGCTGAGAAATACTGCTTGCTGAAAGGGGTGTAAAAGGCAAAGGACAAACCAGTTGTCCTCTGAAGGGGAGACACTTCTATTCTGTGTTGGCTACGATCTTGGAGAATGCAGGCAGGGAACGAGTTTTGCCCATTTTCCAATGAGAGACCCCTTGTGGTAAGAGAGGCTCTTCTCTCTCTACCTGCTGAGTTACTTCATCTCTTTGGTACCAAATTTCCTCATGTTTAAAATTAGGGAGTGAAACCACACATCCCCTAAGATTCTTTCCTCTTAGCCGTTCTATGAGTTAATTAATGAGATTTGTTTTCCCATTAGCATACATCCAAAAAGGTACTCAAGGTAGATTTTCCATGTTTCCTCGAATCATGTAACTGCCCAAGATGGAGTGGTAGTGTTTGGAGGAGAAGCCCTTCCTTGCTTCCTTTATTTCCATTTTAGAGACAAAATCTCTCCCTGTCACTCATGCTGGGGAGCAGTGGTGCAATCCTGTCTCATTGCAACCTCAAACTTCTGGCCTCAAGCAGTCCTCCCATCCCAGCCTCTAGAGTAGCTGGGACAACAGGCATATACCACCATGTCCAGCTAATTTTAAAAATTATTTTGGGCTGGGGGCGGTGGCTCATGCCTGTAATCCCAGTACTTTGGGAGGCCGAGGCAGGCAGATCACCTGAGATCAGGAGTTCGAAACCAGCCTGGCTAACATGGTGAAACCCAGCTCTACTAAAAATACAAAAAATTAGCCAGGTGTGGTGGTGCACGCCTATAATCCCAGCTGCTTTGCAGGCTGAGGCAGGAGAATCACTTGAACCCAGGAGGTGGAGGTTTCAGTGAGCTAAGATCACACCACTGCACTCCAGCCTGGGCAACAAGAGTGAAACTCCATCTCAACAAAACAAAACAAAACAAAACAAACAAACAAAAACCAAAAATAAAAATTATAATAAAATAAAATTATTTTGTAGAGACAGGGTCTTACTATGTTGCCCAGGCTGGTCTCAAACTCCTGGCCTCAATTGATCCTTCTGCTGCCTCAGCCTCCCAAAGTGCTGGGATTGCAGGCTTGAGACATTGTGCCTGGCCCTTCATTGCTTTTTAATAAACTTAATTACCTTCATTTGAATACCTTTAGAACTACATTGGTTTTGTATTTCGAGGCTAGAGTTGATTTCCATAAATAGTCATTTTGAGCCAGGTCTTTTGAATAAAGTGAGTGGTCAGAGATGATGCCACAACTTTGGCTAAAACAGTTTCCCAGAGAGCACGCTGTGAACTCTAAAATACTGTGTGCTGGTCACCATACCACAGTTCACTCTTCTTGCAAACTCAGTATTGCAAATTAATAAAACTTTTTAATTCAATTTATTTTATTTTTTTTAGACAGAGTCTCACTCTGTCACACAGGCTGGAGTGCAGCAGTGTGATCTTGGCTCACTGCAACTTCCGCCTCCTGGGTTCAAGCAATTCTCCTGCCTAAGCCTCCCATCTGGCTGGGATTACAGACATGTGCCACCACGTCTGGCTAATTTTTGTATTTTTTTTTGAGATAGAGTCTTGCTCTGTTGCCCAGGCTGGAGTACAGTGGTGCGATCTCGGCTCACTGCCACCACCGTCTCCCAGGTTCAAGCGATTCTTATACCTCAGCCTCCCGAGTAGCTGGGATTACAGGTGTGTGCCACCATGCCCAGCTAATTTTTGTATTTTTAGTAGAGATGGGGTTTCACCATTTGGCCAGGCTGGTCTTGCACTCCTGGTCTCACGTGATCCTCCAACCTCGGACTCCCAAAGTGCTGGGATCACAGGCGTGAGCCACCGTGCCTGGCCAATACCCTCCTCTTACGTCTGGATTAGACCTGCTGGCTTGCTTCTTTTTTTTATGAGACAAGGTCTTGCTTTGTCCTCCAGGCTGGAGTGCAGTAATGCAATAGTTCATTGCAGCCTCCTGAGCTCAAGAGATCCTCCTGCCTCAGCCTCCTGAGTAACTGAGACCACAGACACATGCCACCACTCTCACCTAATTTTCTGTAGAGGCAGGGTCTCACTATGTTGCCTAGGCTGGTCTTGAACTTCTGGCCTCAAGTAATCTTCTCACTTCAGCCTTCCAAAGGGCTGGGATTACAGGTGTGAGCCACTGTGCCCAGCAAGAAATAAGAAGGTTTAATTTATTGGTGTGAGCTGTCCGGTTGGCTGTGCAGAGAGCCGCTGATGTGAGTGGATTCAGGGCCAGGGTGAGAAGCCGTGATCCTTATGAGCTTCTCTGCACCTCCACCTTTTGGAAAAGGGCAGGGTCCCCACAGTCAGACTCCCCACCAGCTCTTGGTAGGCCCTGACTCAACAACCTTCTGATTTGTTGTCATTGTGTTTCCTGGCATGTGGCACTAAGCACTATTTTTTTTTTTTTTGAGTCAGGGTCTCACTCTGTTGCCTGGACTGGAGTGCAGTTGTGCAATCTCAGCTCACTGCAACCTTGACCTTCCAGGCTCAAGCAATCCTTCTGCCTCAGCCTCCAAAGTAGCTGGGATCACAGACACCTGCCACTACACCTGGCTAATTTTTGTATTATTATTATTATTTTTAGAGATACTGGGTATCCCTATGTTGCCCAGGCTGTCTTGAACTCCCGGGCGATCCTCCCACCTCAGCCTCCCAAAGTGCTGAAGTTACAAATGTGAGTCATCACAACCCGGACAGAGTTTTTTAAAAACCAACTTGAGATTTTATTTCAAAATTTAAACAAGATTTTAAAATGTTTAAATTAGGCTGAGTGCAGTGGCTCATGCCTATAATCCTAGCAATTTGAGAGGACAAGGCAGGAGGATTACCTGAGGTCAGGAGTTCGAGATCAACCTGGCCAACATGGTGAAACTCTGTCTCTACTAAAACTACAGAAATGATCTGGGTGTTGTGGCACACGCCTGTAATCCCAGCTACTCGGGAGGCTGAGGCAGGAGAATCGCTTGAACCCAGGAGACAGAAGTTGCTGTGAGCTAAGATTGTGCCACTGCACTCCAGCCTGGATGACAGAGAGGGACTCTGTGTAAAAAAAAAAAAAAAAAAAAAAAAAAAAAAAAAACTAATAATAAATAAACAAACTAATTAAATGTTTAAATTATTTTCTTAGCTGGGCATAGTGGTGTACACCTGTGGTTCTGGCTACTTGGGGCACTGTGGTAGGAGGATGGCTTGAGCCTGGGAGGTAGAGGCTGCAGTGAGCTATGATCATACCACTACACTCCAGCCTGGGTGACAGAGCAAGAACTTGTCTCAAGAAAAATTATTTTCCTCTGAGTCTCAGGTATTCTAACAAGGCTTGGCAGCCCCCATTTTGTGGCAAGGGCCTGGCAAACAGGTTCCGTGTGTATCATTGAGGTCGTTGTGGAGTAACATTTCCTCGGGCTGCATCAGCCTGTGGGTGAAAGTAAAGTTGGGTGCGGTGGCTCTCCCCTGGATTCCTTGATGCTTTTAATACCCTGAGTCCTCCACCCCACTCTGAGCCACATTGACACTTGTGCACCAAGGTGTGTGGTGTGGCCCCAGTGCCCACAGGATCACTTGTGAGAACTGCTCCTTCAGCCCCACCTGTGGCCTCTCCTTCTCCAGGGTGAAGTCTGGTTCCTGATGTTCATGCCATGCCCCTTCTCACCAGGGTGCATGGGCATCACTGCCTCCAAAACACCTGATTGAAACCTGTTCCTGGTGGGGCCACCTCACCTGTCCAGGATGGCTTTCTCTGAAGCCAGTTCTCCCACCACAGAGGGAAGTAAAGAAAATTTTGAAAACTAACAGGGCACAGTGGCTCACGCCTGTAATCCCAGCACATTGGAAGGCTGAGGGGGGCAGATCACTCAAGATCAGGAGTTCGAGACCAGCCTGGCCAACATGGCAAAACCCAATCTCTACTAAAAATACAAAATATTAGCCAGGCATAGTGGTGTGCGCCTGTAGTCCCAGCTACTCAGGAGGCTGAGGCAGGAGAATGGCGAGAACCCGGGAGATGGGTTCTGAGCAGCCATGAAGAGTAGGAAGATAACTCCACCTACCTCTCGCTGGGTCTATGGGGAAAACATTGATTAAAGCAGACCAGGTCTTCAGAGAGAGACTAGGTTTGATGAGTAAGAGATTCAAAAAGCTAGAAGGAAAGGAGGATGTTTAAGTTACTCTTACTGCATAATATATAACCCCAAAACTTTAGGTGCTTAAAATAGCAACCTTGCTGGGCACAGTGGCTCACACCTGTAATCTCAGCACTTTGGGAGGCCGAGGCAGGTGGATCACCTGAGGTCGGGAGTTCGAAACCAGCCTGACCAACATGAAGACATCCTGTCTCTATTAAAAATACAAAATTAGCCGGGCATGGTGGCAGACGCCTGTAATTGCAGCTACTCAGGAGGCTGAGGCAGGAGAATCACTTGAACCTTGGAGGCAGAGATTGCCATGAGCCGAGATCACACCATTGCACCCCAACCTGGACAACAAGAGTGAAACTCATTTTTTTTTTTTAAAAAAAAAAAGGCCAGGCACGGTGGCTCACGCCTGTAATCCCAGCACTTTGGGAGGGCGAGGCGGGCAGATCACGAGGTCAGATCGAAACCATCCTGGCTAACACGGTGAAACCCTGTCTCTACTAGAACTACAAATTTAGCTGGGTAGTGGTCGGCTCCTGTAGTCCCAGCTACTCAGGAGGCTGAGGCAGGAGAATGGCAAGAACCTGGGAGGTGGAGCTTGCAGTGAGCCCAGATTGCGCCACTGCACTCCAGCCTGGGGGACAGAGAAAGACTCCCTCTCAAAAAAAAAAAAAGTTTTTTTTTTCATGGTTCTGGGAGTTGATGGGTTCAGGTAGGTGATTGTCAGTAGGGGTCTCTCATGCTGTCGTAGTGGCTGGGCTGGAGTCTTCGCAAAGCCTTCTTCAGTCCCATGTGTGGAAACTGATGTTGGCTGTCATCTGAAACCTGTGCTGGGACTGTTGATTGGAACATCAAAATGTGGCCTCTCCCTGTCATCTGGGCTTCCTCACAGCATGGTGGCTGGGTTCAAAGAGCAAGCATCCCAGGAGGACCACGGAGAAATGGTGTCCCCTTTCATGACCTACCTTGAATCACTTCTGCCAGTCACAGACCTTCTTGAATTCAAGGGGAGGGAGCACAGACCCGACCTCACCATGGGAGCAATGTTAAGGTCATGCTGCAGAACAGCATGTGCTATTATTATTATTATTATTATTAGGGAGTCTTGCTCTGTCATGCAGGCTGGAGTGTAGTGGTGCAATGTCGACTCATTGCAACTTCTGCCTCCTGGGTTCAAGTGATTCTTCTGCCTCAGCCTCCTGAGTAGCTGGGATTACAGGCGCCTGCTACCACACCCAGCTAAATTTTGTACTTTTAGTAGAGACGGAGTTTCACCATGTTGGCCAGGCTGGTCTCAAACTCCTGACCTCAAGTGATCCACCTGCCTCTGCCTCCCAAAGTGCAGGGATTACAGGTGTGAGCCACCGCACCCAGCACATGCTATTAGTAAAAAGTCAGAAAACAGTCAGGTGTGGTGATTTGCACCTATAATTCTGCACTTTGGGAGGCCGAGGTGGGCAGATCACTTGAGGTCAGGAGTTTGAGACCCGCCTAGGCAACATCAGACCCGCATATCTATAAAAATAAAAAATAAATATAAAATTAAAAGTCAGAAAACCAAAGATATTGATGAGGATGCAGAGAAAAGGGAATGCTTATACACTGTTGGTGGGAATGTAAATTATTACAACCCTTGCAGAAAACATTATGGAGATTTCTCAAAGAAATAAAAACAGAACTGCCGTTCAAACAGCAATCTCACTACTGGATATCTTCCCAAAGGTGGCTCACACCTGTAATCCCAGCACTTTGGGAGGCTGAGTTGGGCAGATCATGAGGTCAGGAGTTCGAGACCAGCCTGGCCAACATAGTGAAACACCATTTCTACGAAAAATACAAAAAATTTAGCTAGGCGTGATGGTGGTAGGTGCCTGTAATCCCAGCTACTCGGGAGGCTGAGGTAGGAGACTCTGTTGAACCTGGGAAGCAAAGGTTGCAGTGAGCCGAGATCGTGCCATTGCACTCCAGTCTGGGCGACAAGAGCAAAACTCCATCTCAAAAAAAAAAAAATTGAGTAAATGGGTTATTTCCCCAAGATTGCCTTTTTAAAGAAAACCAGTTTTATAAACCTGTTTTCTAGAAAATCAGTTCTGTAAACCAATATTCATCAGGCTTATCATGTGGCTTTTTAGATTTTGAATTATTTTTTTGTGAGGATTTTTATTAGTATGTTTCCTAATAATGGGCCATGTTTAAATTTTTTTGTTATATTTTTGAAGTATGCCTTACTTGATCATGTTGTGATATAATTATAACATATGCTGCTTTCTCTTTGCTTGGATTTTAAAATTTTGCAGTTAAAATTATTTTCTTTTTTGTGTGCTTTGTCAGGTTTCCACATCAGTGTTACACTAGTATTTTAATGGCTTATTTTATTCTATTCTTTTATTTTCAAATTTTCTATATCCTTAAGCTTAAAAATGTCTCTTTTAAACAGTATATAATTTAGGTTTTTTATTATTAGGTTTTATAATTTTTGTATTTTAATTGGAGCATTTAGTTTGTATAATATAGTTAATATACTCTTTGCTTTCTATTTTCATCAAAAATTTGAATAGAATAAAAAGCTGACCTCCCCCAAGCAAGAGGGAATTCTCTGGCAGATTGCCTTTGGACTTGAATTACAACTCTTTCCTGAATCTCCAGCCTGCTAGCCTCTTCTATTATGAGTCAATTCCTTAAAATAAATCTGTATGATATATATTTAATATAATTAATATATAATGTGGCTGCTACCTAGTAGAATTAATATATGCTTAATATGACATATAATATAATTACAGTAGTACCCCCTTATCTGGGGGAAGGATTATGTTCCAAGACCCTCAGTGGATGCCTGAAACCACAGATGTATTTTTCTCTATACATACATAGCTGCGATAAAGTTTAATATATAAATTAGGCACAGTAAAAAATTAACAGGAATAACAAATAATACAATAATTATAATAATATGCCAGCATGTTTCTTTTTCTCTTTTTTCTTGCCTTTTGGATTGATAGACTTTTTTACCATCCTAGCTTTTTCCTCTCTTGCCAAGTTACAGATCCTGTTCTTTTAACGGTTACCCTACAGATTACAACACATAGCTTTCATATATTTTGGGTGTTAAAACAGCTGGTGATCCCAGAAGGTGGAAGAACTTGGAGATAATTGGGACATGAAATGATCTACAGCAGTTGGTATTCTAATCTCTCTTTTCTTCATAGTTCTTCTTTTCTTGCTTCCATTTTTCACATCTTGAATTTTTCTCTTCAAGGAAATGATATATTTCTTTTCAGTGCAAACCCAGTGTTTGCTCTTGATTTTGAGCTTTCTTTTGTCTCTCAAGACGTACAAAGCAGCTGCCAACTATTCCATGGTTTCCCAGCTGGAGGAGCCCTGCCCTGCACCCTTGCAGCAGCCCTGAAGCAGACAACCCAGGGAGCACCCGCTGGGGCACCCCCGGCTGGCACCAGCATACAAAGTGGTCAGAAATGTGCTGTTAGCCCTCAATGGGGCTGCTTAATAAATCACAGTTATACTTCCCTCTTTGGTCCAAAAGTTTTGAGAGAGAGAGAGAGCACGAGCATACGTGTGTGTCCTTCACAGGACACCATATGAAAGTAAAAAGGCAACCCATAAAATGGGAGAAAATATTTGCAAATTACATTTCTGATAAGACACATCTGTTAAACTCTTACAAGTTAATAATTTTATTTAAAAAATGACCCAAGTAAAACAGTTAGCAAAGGGTCTGAATGAACATTTTGCCAAGGCAGATAAACATACGGCCAATAAGCACATGAAACGATGCTCAGCACCATTTGCCATCAGGGACATGAAAATCAAAACCACAATGAGATACCATGCCACACCTACCAGAGTGGCTGAAATTTAAAAAGACAGCCAGAACAAGTGTTGGCAAAGATGTGGAAAAATCTTTGGTCGTGGTGGAAAAGAGATTTATTTTGCTGGTAGAAACCGCTAATGGAAAAGGTTAAGCATAGAGTTACAATTTTTTTTTTTTTTTGGGCACAGGGCCTGGCTCTTCACCTAGGCTGGAGCACAGTGGCACGATCTCAGCTCACAGCAACCTCTGCCACCCACACTCAAACAATCCTCCCACCAGAGCCTCCCACCTCACCATTACCCTTGCAATGGAAAGAAAAAGCCTTATCAGATATACCTTATCAGATATATAATTTGCAAATATTTTCTACAGTAGCTATTTCTAGAGTGGCTGGGACTATAGGTGCCACCATACCCAGCTAATTTTTGTATTTTTTTTAGAGACACGGTCTCACTTTATTGCACAGGCTGGTCTGGGTATCCTGAGCTGAAACAATCTACCTGCCTCGGCCTCCCAAAGTGCTAGGATTACAGATGTGAGCCACCTTACCCAGAGAGGTAAGGGTAGTCATGCTTGCCAGACCTACAGAAATTTTTCTCTTGGTTTTGAATATACTCAAGATTGATTGGATAGGTGTACTGAAGTAAAAATGATATCATATTAGTTAATTTTAATTAGCTAGATGTTGGGACAGAAATGTGAAGGCCACATAGTCTGTCAACATTAAATTTTAAAAGAACTGAGCACTGAATGGAAGACAAGGACATCAAGGGAATACATGTTAATGCAACTTCTTTACAGGTGGAAATGTAATTCTCACATAGGAGACTCATTTATTATGTAGTTTTCATCTTGGCAAGGAAGACTGCTCTTTCTTTATCCACAATCGGTAATTTCTAAATCTTTCCTAGCCTAGGGCATGGAGGCCAAATACTACTGTGGGTCAAGTGGGTCCATCTTTTTCTTAGGTGACTGTATCACATATGCCTGAAATATAATTTTAAATATGAGATAATAATATCACCTCCTGCCTAGCTATGACTACAGGCAGTCTAGCACCAAAGGAGGTCAGAAGTTCCCTCTTTATATTTAGTCCATCTTTCTGTTCAACGCATTTGTAGATTGAGTGGTTTTTGTATTACGAATCAGGTTTATTCTCTCCCAAGGCAGGAAGTTTTCAATTATTACATTTTTTAATACACAGCAGGTGGATTTTGTCTGAAAGATGGTTTTATGCCAGGATATCGTTATTTGTTTCACTATTGAGCTACGGAACCTTAGAATTATTTTAAATATTGGGAAGGTATAACCTGTCTCCCATGAAAGACCTTTGTAGTGGTAAATTTGTCAACCTTGATAATTTTACTCAAACTTTTTTTCTTTTTTTTTTTGAGATGGAGTCTCACTCTTGTCACCCAGGTTGGAGTGCAATGGCATGATCTCAGCTCACTGCAACCTCCACCTCCCAGGTTCAAGCAATTCTCCTGCCTCAGCCTCCCAAGTAGCTGGGACTACAGGCGCCCACCACCACGCCCGGCTAATTTTTGTATTTTTAGTAGAGACAGGGTTTCACCACCTTGGCCAGGCTGCTCTCGAACTCCTGACCTCAGGTGATCCACCTGCTTCGGCCTCCCAAAGTGGGCTGGGATTACAGGCGTGAGCCACCGTGCCCGGCCCAAACTTTGTGAAGAAAAAAAAAAAACACCCACATTTTAAGTAATAATTTTTATGTATTTGTATCTAGGTCTTGGGGGGGTTTTTTTGGTCTATTTTATTATATAGGAGTGAGAATTTAAAGCAGTGGCTAGGGTTCTGAAGTCTGTGGGTCAAATTTTTAGCAGGGAAGGGGGATGTTGAATGGGTTCACTGACTTGCCAAACTTTCTGAAATATAATTGAGATTTTTATCATGTCTTTATATTCTGGAGACAGATTACATATTTAGAATCTCAAAGAGGTTATCTACCTAAAATATTGAAAATTGTAGGTACAAAGTACTTTATATAATTAAAAGTGTGCATCATCATTTATAGTGATTACTGTGCTGAAAATAATGTATTAATTTTAAATTTTGAAACAATTCTAAACAAAAGTTACAAGTACAGTATATAACCTTTTTAAAGATATTTGAGATGGATGCTTCTCTTTTGTCCCTCTAAATACCTTAGTATATTTCTCTTCTTTAAGGATATTCTCCTATATAGCCATAATATACCATCAATATCAGAAAGTAACAAATGTATGTTATACACACACAGACACACACATTTATATATATGTTTTGTGTGTGTGTGTGTGTGTGTGTGTGTGTTGAAAAATATAAGTGTACACTTCAATCTCCAATTTCAGTCCATCATTAGAGGGGCCCTAATTTTCATCCCTCCCATATTTGTATTGTCTTTCTGATGGTGAGATACCATTATCCTCCATATGTGTACCTATTTGATCAATTCTCGAGTAATTAATCCATCACCTCCTTTAGGTTCTTCCCTTTCTTCTCTGAAAAATATCAGGGAAGAACCTGAGGGAGGTGATGGATTAGTTAATTGCAGGGGGATTAGTGTAATTAAGGGGGAGGCAGTGGCCCTGCTTACCTCTCTTGTGCTGTGATGTCTCATGCCAGGCCATTCTTCTCATATGGATGCCCCCTCATCCTTTTTAACTCAGACATCTCATGCTAGTCCATTCTTCTCACGCCCTATTAGAAACGTTTCCTCATTCTGCAGGCTGTAATACCCTGTTCTGGGCCACTGTGGTTTTCTCTCCAGCATGGACACCTACCTTTCTCAGTCTCACGTAATGACTTTTGGACTGAATTTTTAGGAAGAAATGTGGAAAAGAAAGAGCCGAAGTAATTTTGAAGTGTTTAAAACACAATATTTAACTGTACCATAGAATTAATTGATATGTGAATAGAATAGATTTTTGATGCCTAAAAATGTAGAAACATTAGTAAAATTGTAATTTTGGACTGCCATAGAAAAAAGTAATGGAGATAAAAAGCTCTGAAAAAACTTAGCTTGGAAATTAAAATTATCTGCCTATGCGTACAAGTGTTACAGAGTTTTCATTGATAATATTTATATATATTTTGATAAACTAAGTAGGATGTCCCCCAAACTTACTAACAGTTGAAACAAATAGGCTGATATTTAGAAGGAAGAAAGTTTTAGACTTTGGGGCTTCTGTTTCTTGCACTGCCCAGAATTCTTTAAGTAAGCAGATGATAAATACGAGCTAATTGTGCATATCAAAGAATCAAATGTGAAGATTTGTAGTTCATTCTTAACTAACTCAAGTTTTTAATGATAGAATGCTATAAATTGTTTATTATGTTACAGATGGAAATAATTACAACAATAACATAAAGGATGAGCTCTTCCATAGCATGCTTGTCCTGGTTCAGAGGATAAATTTTAACTGAATGATTAGTAATTAACTTTATGTACATCAGCAGTGTAAGTGCTAAGAATTACTGATCAAGCAGATGACATGAAAATGAAAATGATTACTTCTACCCTCAAAGGAATTTCCAGGAAAATGCACACTGCTAATTATGTTTAATTGCATAAATGCTGTAGTAATGTACATTTAAAGTGCCATGTAAATAGTCAGGAGTTTTTATTTGGATTTATGTGCTAACTTTATTAGTCTGATAGGATTGATTAGAATCTTGAAACAAGTAACTCACTATTGTGTATAAATTTGGAATTTACAGTTTATTTTGGCAATTTTGTAAAAGAACTTATTTTATTCATGTTTTTGACTTATGTTTTTGTCACACCATGAAAATAAGCCTTCTGTATTTAAACTAACTTTATATCTACTGTATAATACTCAGTGCCGCAGCTGTCACACTGAAAAGAATATCATACTTAGTCTAGTTTAAAACTTCAATTTCTATCACAAACAAGCTATATGACCCTGGACAGATCACTTTGAATCTCACTTTCCTTTTCTTTTTTTTTCTTTTTTGGAGATGGAGTCTGTCTGTGTCGCCCAGGCTGGAGTGCAGTGGCGTGATCTCCGCTCACTGCAAGCTCCGCCTCCCAGGTTCAGGGCATTCTCTTGCCTCCGCCTCCCAAGTAGCTGGGACTATAGGCGCCCGCCACTACGCCCGCCTAATTTTTTTTTTTTTTTTTGTATTTTTAGTACAGATGGGGTTTCACCGTGTTAGCCAGGATAGTCTCCTTCTCCTGACCTCGTGATCCGCCCACCTCGCCCTCCCAAAGTGCTGGGATTACAGGCATGAGCCACCGAGCCTGGCCGAATCTCTTTCCTTTTCTCAACAAATATTTACCTAGCCTTTTTTTTTTTTTTTTGAGATGGAGTCTCGGTTTGTTGCCCAGGCTAGAGGGCAATGGCATGATCTCGGCTCACTGCAACCTCCGCCCCCCTAGGTTCAAGCGATTCTCCTGCCTCAGCCTCTCAAGTAGCTGGGACTACAGGCGTGCACCACCACAACAGGCTAATTTCTGTATTTATAGTAGAGACAGGGTTTCGCCATGTTGGCCAGGCTGATCTTGAACTCCTGACTTCAAGTGATCCGCCCACCTTGGCTGGGATTACAAGCATGAGCCATCGCTCCGAGCCTTACCTAGTCTTTTCTAAGCCAAACACTGCACTTTGATTACAAAAAAGTAAAAGAAGGCCAGGCTCATTCATGTATGTAATTCCAGCACTTTGGAAGGCCCAGGTAGGAGGATTACTTGAGCCTAGGAGTTCGAGATGAGCCTTGGCAACAGAGTGAAACCCCATTTCTAAAAAAATATTAAAAATAAAAATAAAACACTTTGGGAGGCCGAGGCAGGCAGATCACGAGGTCAGGAGATGGAGACTATCCTGGCTAACACAGTGAAACCCCGTCTCTACTAAAATTACAAAAAAATTTGCCGGGCGTCGTGGCGGGCACCTGTAGTCCCAGCTACTCGAGAGGTTGAGGCAGGAGAATGGCGTGAACCCGACAGGCGGAGCTTGCATTGAGCAGAGATCCGCCGCTGCACTCCAGCCTGGGCGACAGAGAGAGACTCCGTCTCATAAATAAATAAATAAATAAATAAATAAATAAATAAGAGCTGTGGTAGGGTTCCCTAAGAACCTGTGGGTATGGGAAGGTGGTAGAGTGGAGATACTTACACAGGAATGCTGTGCACTATGAGTGACTACCCCTGCCTCACAGAGGGCTTGAGATAATTGTGTATATGAATGTACTTAGTATATATATTACATATGTAAAATACCTAGTAAATCTGTAAATTGTATAAATGTTAATTTTAAACATATTTTTATTTGTGCATTTTCATGACTTAGTTTTAAGATCCAAAAAGAGGAATGCAGAAAAGGGAAAGCAGGGATGGTAGTCAATGATGTACAATTAATAAGCTAAATATTTCATTAATCCTTACTTTGGACTTCTGTTTTGGTTGAACTCTTTTGGTTACAAAGATTTGGGGCAAATGTGTGCTCTTTGTAATTCAGTACAGATTGCTGGGCAAAGCTCTTTTCTGCTGAGAGTCAGATTTAAAAGATGGTTGATAACTTATTCTTTTCCTTTTTAAAACATGGTTTAGATGTGTAGCTTGGGTTCTTAAATTCTGTGCAGGTAAATATTGTGCTCAAGTTTTTTATGTCACATGACTATTTAGTCTGAAGGGTGCACTTGCTTTGTAGTTGCTGAATATTAATGCTACTCCTTGCAAACCTTTTGAGTATATTGCTTTCCCTTGACTGTGTCAGGTATTTAATATCAGTGATAGAAAGAATCTTAGGGATTGCTTTTATTAAAAGTTAATAAACTTTAAAAAAAGTTTTAGTTTGAAATTTTGAGCCTGATTTTTTATATGTGGATGTTTGCCTTTCTTGTTGAATCAACATGAATTATATATTTGTTTGAAATGTAGTTGGATATTTAGATAACTCCTGTTTTTTGATGTAACAGATATTCAGATATATGGCTTGAAATTTTCTTCCTATAAAAACTAGGACTTGTTACAAAATGTTTTTTGATTAGAAAAGTAATATGAGGCCGGGCACGGTGGTTCATGCCTGTAATCCCAGCACTTTGGGAGGCTGAGGCGGGCGGATCACGAGGTCAGGAGATCGAGACTATCCTGGCTAACACGGTGAAACCCCATCTCTACCAAAAATACAAAAAATTAGTCAGGCGAGGTGGCGGGCGCCTGTAGTCCCAGCTACTCGGGAGGCTGAGGCAGCAGAATGGCGTGAACCCCGGGGGCAGAGCCTGCAGTAAGCCAAGAGCGCGCCACTGCACTCCAGACTGGGCGACAGCGAGACTCCATCTCAAAAAAAAAAAAAAAAAAAAAAAAAAGGAATATGAAGGAGTATATGGCATTTTAAGAGGACATCACCATTGTTAAATTTTGTTATATTTTCTGCATCTTAGGCATAGTTGTAATAGCATATTCATTTTGTATACTTTCTTCATCTAATGCTATGGCAAGCATTTCTGTGTGTCAGAACTTTAAAAACTAATTTTCAACGGCTGAATAATATTTTTATAGGTGTATCATCATAAGCTTAGCCTACCTCCCATTGTTGCACCTGGAAAGTCTCCCCCTGCCACCACACACACACTTCTTTATTGTTAAAATAGTACTGCAGTATTTTTCTCTGTGTGTTTCATTCCTAGAAGTAGATGGCATGGTAAAGGATGTTAACTGAAAATGTCATACCAACTAATACAGTTTCTATAGTGTGTGAATGCCCATATGTATCTCATCCTTGCCAGTATTGAGTGGAAATCTCTTTTATTTTCCTGGAGAAGTTGGTTCTTTAGGAGGAGAGAAGCACTGGGGAGTATCTTCAGGGTGGCTGAACTTTGAAACCTCTTCAATAAATAACTTCCCACTCTGTAATTTGCCCACCTGTATTACCCCACCCCCAAGCCTCAGACTTTAGGAAATGGCATCAGGCCTATACGTCTGGAGAGTTCAGAGTTCTTTGAGGTAAATCATTCCTTCCAATGGGACCTAGAATTCCTTGAGTTGCAGAATTTTACTGACTAGACCCAGGAGGTCTCAGGAGTCCAGAGTTGATTGGAGCTTGGCTCAGAATTCCAAGGGGGCCTGTAACTCCATGAGGCCCAGATTTCCTGGCTCAGGAAAATTGGGAGGCCTGGGATACTGTGGCTTAGACCCAAGCTGAAAGATGAACACAGATCTTTATGGCTTGAAGGTGTATGAAATTATGTCACTACATTAGAGCAGCACCTCTACTCACCTATGGGAATCTGCAGCTGAGCTGTGACACGTAGAAGCTGGCCATGTCCAGATTGGTGGTTCTGAAATGGGCAGCCATGTGCACATAGTTGTACAATGTGAATGAAGCTCACTTGTTGATACTCCATGGCCAGCATGCTGTGGAGGTAACGTTCCCGAAGGGCAGCTCGAGCCCACTGCTCCTGGGATTCCTGCGATTCTTGAGTATGGGACACTCTTGGATTTCAGGAACCTCTGGCTTCAACTGCCCCAGCATCCATCGGGGCAAAGCCAAGGCTGAGGCCATCAGGGCCCCAGGGTAACTGGAGCATGGGCACAGGAATAGTCAGTGGAGTCTGCATTGTCTTGGCGAGGTCTGCAGCTGCTCGGAAATCTCTTTTAAATGTCAAATTTGGTATTTACTAATTCAGTATTAGACCAAGATATTACATTTTAATTTATGTGCCTTTGATTACTTATTTGAAATTTTAAAAAAAGTACTGTTCTTTATTCTGAAATTTTGTACTTGCAACTTTTTTAGTGTCAGAAGTCTTCTTTTCAAAACTTTTTTTGCCTAGCTTTTTATTAAGTATAGTCACAACACTAATGACAGTTTCATTGTTATATTTCTTGTGAATGTTGTAACTTAAAAATAAATGAGTGCAGTACTCATTTATTTTTAAAGAAATATCAGTGAGATGCTACCTGACTTCAAACTATACTACAAGGCTACAGTAAACAAAACAGCATGGTACTGGTACCAAAACAGAGATATAGACCAATGGAACAGAACAGAGCCCTCAGAAGTAATGCTGCATATCTACAACCCTCTGATCTTTGACAAACCTGATAAAAACAAGAAATGGGGAAAGGATTCCCTATTTAATAAATGGTGCTGGGAAAACTGGCTAGCCATAGGTAGAAAGCTGAAACTGGATCCCTTCCTTAAACCTTATACAAAAATTAATTCAAGATGGATTAAAGACTTAAATGTTAGACCTAAAACCATAAAAACCCTAGAAGAAAACCTAGGCAATACCATTCAGGACATAGGCATGTGCAAGGACTTCATGTCTAAAACACCAAAAGCAATGGCAACAAAAGCCAAAATTGACAAATGGGATCTAATTAAACTAAAGAGCTTCTTCCAAGTCTTTGCTATTGTGAATAATGCCACAATAAACACACGTGTGCATGTGTCTTTATAGCAGCATGATTTATAGTCATTTGGGTATATACCCAGTAATGGGATGGCTGGGTCAAATGGTATTTCTAGTTCTAGATCCCTGAGGAATCACCACACTGACTTCCACAATGGTTGAACTAGTTTACAGTCCCACCAACAGTGGAAAAGTGTTCCTGTTTCTCCACATCCTCTCCAGCACCTGTTGTTTCCTGACTTTTTAATGATTGCCATTCTAACTGGTGTGAGATGATATCTCATAGTGGTTTTGATTTGCATTTCTCTGATGGCCAGTGATGATGAGCATTTTTTCATGTGTTTTTTGGCTGCATAAATGTCTTCTTTTGAGAAGTGTCTGTTCATGTCCCTCGCCCACTTTTTGATGGGGTTGTTTGTTTTTTTCTTGTAAATTTGTTTGAGTTCATTGTAGATTCTGGATATTAGCCCTTTGTCAGATGAGTAGGTTGCAAAAATTTTCTCCCATGTTGTAGGTTGCCTGTTCACTCTGATGGTAGTTTCTTTTGCTGTGCAGAAGCTCTTTAGTTTAATTAGATCCCATTTGTCAATTTTGGCTTTGGTTGCCATTGCTTTTGGTGTTTTGGACATGAAGTCCTTGCACATGCCTATGTCCTGAATGGTAATGCCTAGGTTTTCTTCTAGGGTTTTTATGGTTTTAGGTCTAACGTTTAAATCTTTAATCCATCTTGAATTGATTTTTGTATAAGGTGTAAGGAAGGGATCCAGTTTCAGCTTTCTACATATGGCTAGCCAGTTTTCCCAGCACCATTTATTAAATAGGGAATCCTTTCCCCATTGCTTGTTTTTCTCAGGTTTGTCAAAGATCAGATAGTTGTAGGTATGCGGCGTTATTTCTGAGGGCTCTGTTCTGTTCCATTGATCTATATCTCTGTTTTGGTACCAGTACCATGCTGTTTCCCTTATTCATCCAAAAAAAACATTTTTTCAGGTATCTGCTATGCTGCCTGTTTTTATATAACTATGGTGTTTTGGATAATAACACATTATTTCAGCCCTTCTGAATACAACTCAACTAGTCATCTTGATGTGGTGCATTTAGATCATACATGAGTCACCTGCTTCTCATGCTCACACTGGCTAAAATGTCAGTACCCTCAGTGAATGCGTGAGATTAAATTAGTAAAATGCAAATAGTATTGTAGAAATACACATGGTTTTCACTAAGTTATTAGTCTTTTTAAATGAGGCCTGTCATTATGTCATCAGATCTAAAACTCATCTAATGTCTGAATAGTGGGTTTCTATGAAGCATGGTTATGTTTATTCCCTAATGATTTTACATCTGGTCTGGCCAAATGCAATATTCTAAAGTTTATCTTGTACTAATTGCTCTAATGATCTCTAGCTTGCATTTTCTGGAAAACAGAAACTATCTAAAATTAGATTGTGATTATTAAATAAATCTGGTTCAAATAAGGAAAAAAAAAAGAGCTTCTGCACAGCAAAAGAAACTACCATCAGAGTGAACAGGCAACCTACAGAATGGGAGAAAATTTTTGCAATCTACTCATCTGACAAAGGGCTAATATCCAGAATCTACAATGAACTCAAACAAATTTACAAGAAAAAACCATACAACACCATCAACAAGTGGGTGAAGGATATGAACAGACACTTCTGAAAAGAAGATATTTATGCAGCCAACAGACACATGAAAAAATGTTCGTCATCACTGGCCATCAGAGAAATGCAAATCAAAACCACAATGAGATACCACCTCACACCAGTTAGAATGGCAGTCATTAAAAAGTCAGGAAACAACAGGTGCTGGAGAGGATGTGGAGAAATAGGCACACTTTTCCACTGTTGGTGGGACTGTAAACTAGTTCAACCATTGTGGAAGTCAGTGTGACGATTCCTCAGGGATCTAGAACTAGAAATACCATTTGACGCCGCCATCCCATTACTGGGTATATACCCAAAGGATTATAAATCATGCTGCTATAAAGACACATACACACGTATGTTTATTGCAGCACTATTCACAATAACAAAGACTTGGAACCAAGCCAAATGTCCAACAATGATAGACTGGATTAAGAAAATGTGACACATATACACCATGGAATACTATGCAGCCATAAAAAATGATGAGTTCATGCCCTTTGTAGGGACATGGATGAAGCTTGAAACCATCATTCTCAGCAAATTATCACAAGGACAAAAAACCAAACACCGCATATTCTCACTCATAGGTGGGAATTGAACAATGAGAACACATGGACACAGGAAGGGGAACATCACACACCGGGGCCTGTCGTGGGGTCGGGGGAGGGATAGCATTAGGAGATATACCTAATGTTAATGACGAGTTAATGGGTGCAGCACACCAACATGGCACATGTATACATATGTAACTAACCTGCACGTTGTGCACATGTACCCTAAAACTTAAAGTATAATAATAATAAAAAAAGAAATATCAGTGAGATATAATTCACATAATCACTGGCATGATTCATATAGTTCACCCCTGGTCCTTAGGGGATATATTTTGGTATATGAGATTTATAGAAAGTAAGAACTTAAAAGAATCTATAGGTTATCTAATTCAAACAGTTAAAACCTACCCACTTCTGCTTTGAAAGCCACTTCTTAGAACTTGCATTGTCTTGGCAAGGTCCGCAGCTGCTCAGAAATCTCTTTTAAATGTCAAATTTGGTATTTACTAATTCAGTATTAGACCAAGATATTACATTTTAATTTATGTGCCTTTGATTACTTATTTGAAATTTTAAAAAAAGTACTGTTCTTTATTCTGAAATTTTGTACTTGCAACTTTTTTAGTGTCAGAAGTCTTCTTTTCAAAACTTTTTTTGCCTAGCTTTTTATTAAGTATAGTCACAACACTAATGACAGTTTCATTGTTATATTTCTTGTGAATGTTGTAACTTAAAAATAAATGAGTGCAGTACTCATTTATTTTTAAAGAAATATCAGTGAGATGCTACCTGACTTCAAACTATACTACAAGGCTACAGTAAACAAAACAGCATGGTACTGGTACCAAAACAGAGATATAGACCAATGGAACAGAACAGAGCCCTCAGAAATAATGCTGCATATCTACAACCCTCTGATCTTTGACACTGATCTTAGAACCACTCTATAGAACATGCTACCTGATCAAGAATAAATCAACACCTTGCTTCCCCTCTTCTATCCATTAGATATCCAGGTAAAATAATATCTCTTTTCCTGATATTTCTCCTTTACTTACGCTCTAGCGTGCCCTATGGCCAGCTGTAAGTTGCCCTCTACTTTTAGAGAGCCCTTTGCTATGTTTCTGCAAAATCTACTTTTTCTGATTCATGTAATTCAAAACTAGCCCTATTTTCTTCCATATTAAAACTCTTTCTTTCTTAATTAATGCTGGCCCAAAATAGAAATTAGAGGGAAAGTCTTATTCCAGGATCTGAAAGACTAACAGTATTCACAAAAATACTTGATTTTTAAGGGGGAATGTGTATTGAATGATCAATTAGAATTTCAGGTAATGGGAAGAATTTCGAGGAACATTGAGGGACAGCTCAGAGACAGTATCTAAACTGTCAATTTGAACTCTTTTCAGTTTAGCAAAAGAACTTACAGAAACTTGGTATATATCTTATGAAACGCTGCAGACCCTAACCTAGGTCAGGCAATACCTTTTACTACAAAATTGGGATAATCATTTTCTAAATCATGAAGAAAATGTTCTGAGTAGGCTGCAAGGATTTCTCTGGTAACATGATGATTTAAAAATGAAGCTGTCCACTTGAACTGGGTTGTATAAAGTATGCTTTTATTTCTGAGTATAGCAAGAAAGATCATAACATACCTCTTAGTGCCTCCCAGCCTCCGACATGTAGCAAGTGAAAGCTGTTTGAATTGGCAAATGAGGTAGTTATTGAGTAGCTGGTTGGAATGTTTGCTACCAGCTACAGAGCAGAATTGTTACTTAGTTCTTAGTACTGGTGCAATTACAGTAATTAGAATAAGTAAACTTCTTTTAAGATAATTGCAGGGCCAGGTTATATAGAGCCTATTTAGCTTGCCTTTTAGTGTTAGCATGTATATCAGTGTGTATGTTAAAGGATATACTAATAGATTTTGAGGAGATGAAATTGTCTTATAGCAAATTCCAGATCAATATATGTATGGGATGCCTTGAAAATGATTGGTATCTAATGTAGTCCAGACCAGCGGCTCCCAGTTTTTTGGCACCAGGGACTGGTTTTATGGAAGACAATTTTTCTGCCAGGGTGTGTGTGGGTGTGTGTGGGGGGGCAGGGGATGGGTGATGGATGGTTTCAGGATGAAACTGATCATGAGGCATTAGATTCTTATAAGGAGGACGCAACCTAGATCCCTCACATGCGCAGTGCACAATAGGGTTTGCATTCCTTTGAGAATCTGATGCTGCTGCTAATCTGACAGGAGGCGGAGCTCCAGCAGTAAAGCTCACCACCACTCACCTCCTACTGTGTGGCCCGGTTCCTAACAGGCCACGGACTGGGGGTTGGGGACGCCTGATCTGGATTGTTCTTCACAGATTAAATCTTCACCAGATTAAGCTTATGAAAAAGTAAAACAAAGAATAGCGCCCTCCCTTGGCAAAACATTTTGGTGTGATATCTTTTCTTCATTTTACAGCCAGATATAAAGAAAAAATAAACTTCTACTTTTAAATTTCCCATCCAGCACTTAATTTCTCACCATTTGGCTTCTCCCCTTAATGCAAAACTACTTTTATTAAAGGTCAGTAAAAGGCATTCTGATTGTATTTTTCTTTAACTTATTTGGCATTATTGACCATTTTTCCTTGAAACTCTTCCTCACTTTTTGTGCTGTTGCCTCCTGATTTACCTGGTTGTGTTGAAGCTGCTTTATTAGGATCCTTTCCTATGGGCCACCTTTAAATGTTGATGTAATCTGGCATATTGCCCTATGTCATCCTTTATTTACTAGAATTTCTTAATTTTCTTTTTATGGAGAGGACAACATGAACATAAGAATTTCTTAATTTCATCTACCTTTCAAATCATTTTGGGAAGCTTCTTCAAAGTAGTCCTGGAAACACTTGCCTAGATATTCTGGGCTTTGGGTCAAGGATGGAATATTCATCTATTTTGAAACAGCTCCTGGGATGACACTAATATGTATTTTAGTTAAGAACTGTAGTTTGTTACTGTCTCATCTCTTAATAATAGGTTTCATTTGAGGTGCTTTTTAAAATGTCAAGCCCAGTGCATTTAATTAATAGAGTAAGTATCTTGATCAAGGTCACATACTTGTATGTGATTGAACTAGGATTTGAATTTGAACAAAATTGATTTCAAAACCCAGGAGAAAAACGAAGGAAGGAGTTAGAGGAACAAGATAGAAAAGCTCCACAATGTTATCACCAGCTCCTCTGAGGCTTTCCTCTTGCCTCAACTCTAACATGGTAAAACATTCTGAAAGGACTTAAAGATTCTGTTTCTAAAAATCCTTTGCTTTCTTTTCTATACAATTGCTACAAAATGGTAAAAGTGGCCCCTTGTATCTGCAGATATCCCAGAAAGTTGAAATGCTTATTGAAATGATACTCCATCTTTCAAAGCCTCATTGAAATGTGACCTCCTTTCCAGGCTGGTGTGATTTCTCGGTTTCCTGAAATTCTTTCTCTTTGGGGTATTTCATTCATGGTCTTGATAAAATTCTGCCTTGTTTATTTGTTCGTTGTTTGTTTGCATATCTTACTTCTTCTACCATACTAAACTTTTTAAGGGCAAAGACTACATCTTATCTTTGCATTCCTCATTCATTTATTTGATAAAAATTTAATGATCACTTATAAAGTGTCAGATACTACTACTTTTAGTCTCAGAAAATCTAGAGATTAATAAGAAATGGATACAAAGTTGAGATGCTGAGTAAAGCAAAGATAAGCAATTATCTTTAAAGCAGGACTTCTCAGATCCTTTTATTATAAATACTGTAGGAACCCAATCCCAAAGACCTGAAGAAACCTGACATTAGCTATTATAAACAGATATTATTGTGACTTTCTTCAAAACCTTATGAACAAATATTTGATGAATGTTTTATTGTTAGGCTTGAAATTTAACATTCATGAGTAGTGACGGAATATATGGCTTTCATCAGTGAGACCTCAAAGATAAGAAAGACATGGGTTATTTTAACCTGCTTATTAGGTTAATGTACAGTGTTGTATTACTGACTCTAGTTACTCTTGTTTCATTATTTTCATAGAGTAACACCTTAAATTGTAAATATTATATTTTGTTTTAACAAGAACAAAGAAATTTTTAATCCAGTTATTTACTCTTAAGCTGCAGTAAAATGAGGGAATGATAACGACATTGTTGCAAAACATGTATAGTGCATTTCAAAGTCAAAATAAATGTAAAATAGACATTAATTTGGAACATTAAAAAATATTGTGTTTATTAAAATATTAGTTTGAAGAAATATGAAATGTTACAGATAGTCTTTTTATCTTGAGTAGTTTTTTCTTAAGCCAGTATATATATTATTCTGAACTCTATTATTCTTAAATGTTTTCTTAATAATGCAGAAGTACACTGGATTTGGGTTGTTTCCACAGATTTCGTGTTTAAGTAGAGTTTGATTTGATAGGACTGATTATAGTTCTCTATTCTTTTGCATTAATGACACTACTTCCTTCCCTTTAGTAAGGCCAATGAGCAAGGATCAATTGTAGTAATAAGTCACTTTGAGGTTATTAGAACAAGGCTGCTGTATTTTGTCTTGTAATTATAGGCCATCTGACATTTTGCTATGGAAGTAAATATTATCTACTAAATGTGAGTAGAAATTAATATTAATGTCCAAACTCAGGCAGAGCCTCACTGCTTTCAACATTCCTTTTTATTTATTTTGAGGCCAGTACCCTTTAGTGTCAATAAATTGCCAAACTTACTCTTCTACTCCATCCCCCTGCATCCCTGTTTCAAATGTTTATTCCCTTCTTAAGGCTACTTCACCTTTGATCCTTATTCTTAGTAGTTACACTAGGGTCCTTTCTTTTTCTGTGAGAAAACATGAATAGTAATAAAATATATTCCACTGCAACTACCTATTATTGATATTGAAGTGTCCACTGTGCCAAGGTATGATTCTAATGAGATCACTTATTCCTCACAACCACTCTGTGTTGTTGTAGGTACTGCTGTTATCTGCATTTCATAGATAAGGGCGCTGACACACAGAAGTTATGGTTTGCCCAAGGTCACAAGACGAATTTATTGATGGAACTGAGATAAGAGATTTCAAGGAAATTTTAAGCTCTAATGGACTACTATAACCTTTGCCCCTAGACTTTTTCAAAGTTACACAACTACTTTCTCACAATTATTGGTACTTTTGAAAAAAAAGAGAGATAGATTAAGGGTATGTGATACTTACGGAAGCACAGAAAAATTGGGAATACACTTAATTTACACCTTCAGGGTACTTCTTAGGAAAAATTTCCAGGGAAGAATAGTATTACCAAACTATTTTCATATTTCTCAGGTGCTGTATTTTCCTCTGCTACCAAGTAAAAGGACTGCTCACTCATTACACAATGGTTTGTTTTTAGAGCTCCCATAGCAATGTCATACAGTCACAGTGATTTGAGTAAGGTGACTTTGCTTATGGGAAATAAACTGTATTTTATCAGGCTTATTTAAATGACATTTTGATAACCTCTGTGTTATGATACTAGAATCATTAAGACAATACAATAACCTACAAATATCTCATCTGTATGAGCTTGCTCAATGGGTTTTGACTGAGTACTTTCACTGAGACTGTTCACTGAATCAGTGTTATTCTTGAAAGGACATAGATCTATTATCATATCTTGTAAAAGGTTCTTTTTTCCCTCTTTCTCAGCCTGCTAAAGAGGTTAGGATTTAGTTTCAGGACAGATGGGGGATTTGATACTAGGGGTAGGTAAAAGTACTCAGTCTGACAAGATTAAAGGCTATTGAACTTAGTTTCTCTCTTCTTCCTCTTCTAAATTTTGAATTGCTTTATCCTTTACTTTTCCATTTGAAACTCATTGTGGGTAGTGCAGTAAAAGCAGTGGCCCTGGTGCTCACACATGTAATCCCAGCACTTTGGGAGGCTGAGGCAGGAGGATTGCTTGAATTCATGAGTTTGAGATCAGCCTGGACAACATAGTGAGACCTCATCTCCTAAAAATGTATTAGCTGGACATGGTGGCATGCACCTGTAGTCTCAGCTACTTGGGAGGCTGAGGTGGGAGGATCACTTGAGCCCAGCAGGCAGAAGTTGCAGTAAGCTGTGATTGTGCCACTTACTTCAACCTGGGCGACAGAGTGAGACTCTTCTCAAAAAAAAAAAAAAAAAAAAGACTAAGTGGGCCAGGACAAAGAGGTCAAGAAGCATGTTCCTTTCATCTGCTCAGAGTCTGGGAAGTATAGTATGATTAAGGACATGAGATTTGCCATTCAGATTGAGCTGTAGCTGTGCTACTTGGTAGAGATATTTGTCATTGGCAAGTTACTTCTCAGAGGTTTTGTTTACTTACTTATCTGTAAAATTGTGTAAAGAATCTTATGCAGAGTTTTGTAATTATTGCAGTCATTGAATGCATGTAAAGTGCCTAGCTCAGTGTCTTTCTTATAGTTATTGAATAAAAATATTAAGTATTATTGTTAATGAAGATACTGGTGAAATATCCCATGTCAGATATGGTCCAACCTGGTTAACCAGATTAGGAAGGTACTTGGGAATTTGGGGACAGAGTCTTTAATGGATAAATGAGAGTGGGTATTTAGAAAGGCAGTAGAACATGCTGCCTAGTGTCAAATACTGACATTACCCCTTATTAACTATTTGGCACTAGCAAGTTATTTCATTTTGTTTCCAAACTGTAACAATAATGATACAGATTGAATATCCCTAATCCAAAAATCTGAAATCTCAAATACTCCGAAGTTTGAAACTTTGAATGCTGACATGATGCTCAAAGGAAATGCTCATTGAACCAATTTTTGGATTTTGGATTTTCAGATTAGGGATGCTGAACTGATGAGCAATGCAAATATTCTAAAATTTGAAAAAGCCCCAAATCCAAAACGCTTCTGGTCCCAAGCATTTTGGATAAGTGATACACAACCTGTAGTATCAGTCTCATGGGATTATAAAGGTTAATTAAGTCAATGCTTGTAAAATACTGGCACACAGAATAATTTACAACTTACTGGCTGTCATTGTCATTATTTTCCATGCATAGTGGTATCAGTGCTAGATGATTTGGGGGTTCAAAATTTGAAAAATGCCCCCCAGGGGACATTTGTCAATGTCTGGAAGCATTTTTGGTTGTCACAGCTGGGGAGGAGAGAGGCTAACTGGCATCTAATGGGTAAAGGCCAGGGATGCTGCCAAGCATCCTTCAACGAACAAGACACTCCTCACAGTAAAGAATTGTCCAACCCAAAATGTCAGTAGTGCCAAGATTGAGAATTCCTGCAGTACAGCTGTCTGGATCTGTAGTTGTCAGCATCTGCAGTAACCTGCGCCTGATGCTTCCCTTTCATTTGCTCTGTAGTATCTTACTGGACTCAATACTCATTTTTCTCTTAACTCTTATCCCAGTATTCCCAATCATTATATTTGCAGGTAGCCTGTTCTCAGGCATTCTTCTTGACCTCTTTGTAGTATAACATATTATCAACCCCTTTAAAGAGTTAAAAGTAAAAATTAAATATTATATAATTTATGGTTCTTGTAGAAAAACTGATATACAAAGAGAGAAAATTTAAATGTTTCACTACCTTTTCCATCTAGAAATAAACACTATTAGAAACTTGGTATATTCCCTTTTATTATTACCCTCCCCTCAGCCTCCCAAAGAAAGAAAAGTTTATAAAATATACATTTTTATTTTTAAGAAACTAAATTCTAAAGACATTTAGTAAAAGGTGAGTTTCCTTTTTTCTCCTGCCTTCATTTCCAGTCCTGTCTCTAGAGATAAGCATTAAACTGGTGCAAGTCTTTTGCCATTTTTTTATACTTTTATATACGCCAGGCATTCCCATGTCAATTTTTTTGTGTGTAAACAGTGCCGTGCTATAAGTACTGTTCTGTGACTGTTTTTTCCCTGTCACTGAATATACTGTACATATATTCCTGTCTGCATATTCTTTGCAATTATGTGGTATTCTGAAATATCTCTATCATGATTTATACAGTCAGCTATTAATGAAGATGGATGCTTATAGTTATAAACAGTGCTTAGGTTCCTTGGATTTCTAGGCATACATATAAATGCTTCTGTAATATACATTTCTGAAAGTGAAACCCTGGGTCAAAAGGCATGTAGATTTAAATTTTGATAGATTGCCAAATTATTCTTCAGAAAAGCTGTACCAGTTTACAGTTTCACCAAGAACCACACTGATGGTTGAGTTATTTTCTTTAGGCTTATTTTAAGCATGGGTTTTTCTCTGAATACTTTAGTCACATATCTTAGTTTTTTATGTGTAATACTCATTTTGTTTGTATTTGAGTAATTTTCACATAAGAAGAGTTAGAGAGATAGGTAAGTAGGCAGATGGATTACATGATTTTTTGTTAATTTTTAATTTCGCTACCTTCAGAGAATATGATCTGTAGGTTCCAGTATTGATTTATTTTTCTGTGTAGCCTTACATAGGATCAGCTTATTTAAGTATTCCATAGGTTTCAAAAATATGTTTATTCTCTGGGTAGAAATTTCTGTGTATATATTTGACAATTAAGCATATTATTTAAATCATTTTTACTTTTTAAGCACTTGATTTATCCATATCCAAAAGACCTATTAGTCTTTTAACGTGGAATTTGCTAACTTCCCATTGTTTCCAAGTTTTTGCCTTAAATATTTTAAAAATTTTTGTTATTTATGTTCTTGCCTCTGTCATATCAAACTTTCATGTCTTTCTAATTTCCTTAAATGAATCACAGAAATAATGCAACTACTTATTGAGCACTTAATGTGTACCAGGCACTGTGCTTAGATTTCACATATATTATCTAATTTATTCCTCATAGTTCATACTCTTATACTAATTCGATATGTAAGAAAACCAAAAATGCAAGTATCTTGCTCACTATAATTATGGAATTATAATAACGGAATTATACAGTATGTATTCTTTCTGGACTGGCTTCTTTCACTTACCAGTATACATTGGTCCATGTCTTTTCATGGCTTGTTAGCTAATTTCTTTTTGGTGCTGAGTGATATTCCATTTTCTGGATGTACCACAGTGTATTTATCCATTCAACTACTGAAGGACATTGTGATTGCTTCCATATCTTGGCAGTTATAAACAAAGCTGCTGCAAATACCTGTGTGCAAGACTTTCTGTGGATCTAAGTTTTTAACTTAGCTGGGTAAACATCAAGAAGAGCAATTGCTGGATCATTGCCTTGTGTCCTTACTGCTCTTAAAGATCAGATCCTGCTCTTAAAGATGAGATCTGTTCAGTTTTTTACTTCTTAGAATGGAGTGGCAACTTCCAAGCTCCTTATGTACAGAACCAGAAAAAGCAGACTGAGTTCTCAACTACTTTTTGGTACCCATTTTTTCGGCCTCCTTACTCTGAATGAAACTTGTCTCTTTGAGGGTCATTTCCCCTGTGGCATATAACTCTCTCAAGCGGGAGCTTTTGTTTCACCTCATGAGCCTCAAGGTGGGAGATGGTCTTGGTTACTTTCCTTATTTCTCATCCAAGTTTGTGTTAAAGGCTTCTGTTTCTTTGGGTCTTCCAATTTAGAAGGAAATAGAAATCCCTTTAGTTCAGAATAAATTGTTCTAAGAATTAAATATAAAGTTCTCAATTATAGGATAAAATAATTAAGGTCTTATTGATTTGGCTTTTCTAATTGAATTCAATTCTAGGGGAAGAAGTGCTTTGATTTTCCTGCTTCCTTGATTCTAAGATAAGATCTACTCTGAAACATATAATCAAATTTGATTTGAGGGAGGTTAAATAGTACAGTCAATTACATTTTGATTATGAGACATTTGTTTTTAGAAATATTAGGGGGCAAAATTGTATCTTAGAGTTGAGGAAATGGAACAGTTCTCAATCTGTTATGAAAGGTTTACTTTGCCCAGAGGCAACTTAAAAAGAAAACTACAACTAGCATAGAAATAACTCAAGCATAAATGTGGAGCTGAGAACTAGAGAAACACCTGTTACACAGGAGCTGTGTTGAATTGGAATCAGAAATTATCTTTTTCTTGGCCAGATGATACCCTTTGTTGTTTGCAGTGTTGACTTTGATAGAGAACACCCAGTTAGTGTAGTTATGTTTCACATTGTAGTTGGTCTTAAAAAAATAGGAAACCTAATCATTTATCTTTAAATTGCAGTTTTCCCACGTGTTTGATAAGTTTTTAAACTTTTGTAACCATGGATAAAGTTTCTTGAAATACAATACAGTTTGGTTTTAACACCACTTGGGAATTGAATTAGAAAGCTTTGGTCCATAATTTCAGTGTAAGTAGTCTAGGAATTGATGGAAGTTAATTTATTTATATATCCCATGATACGTTAAATATCTCATAGCTGAGTTCAGGGTATACAGCGTATTACTTCACATAGTCAATGTTAAGAATTTAAAAGATAAAGAAAAAATCCAATGGGAAAAAATATAATCTTAACTGAAAGTATAACTATGTATTTGCTAATTTTTAAAGAGTATTAAAAAAGCAGAAAGCATTTAGAAATTTGATGGCAGATAGTACTACAAGGTACACACTGTTTAGAATAAAGGGAGAAACCTTCATCACTGTTTCCAAAAAGGGAAGTTACTCAAAAAAGCGTGGGGTGGGGCGATGGCAAACAGTCCAGTCCTTAACTAGGAAAATCATGAACCACTTTTACTTCTTTTTTTTGAGACAGAGTCTCGCTCTGTCACCCAGGCTGGAGTGCAGTGGTGCGATCTTGGCTCACTGCAGCCTCCGCCGCCCGGGTTCAAGCAATTCTCTTGCTTCAGCCTCCTGAGTAGCTGGGATTACAGACATGTGCCACCATGACCGGGTAATTTTTTTGTATTTTTAGTAGAGACAGGGTTTTGCCACGTTGCCCAGGCCGGTCTTGAACTCCTGAGCTGAAAAGATCCCCCCACCTCGGCCTCCCAAAATTCTAAGATTACAGGCGTCAGCCACCATGCCCAGCCCCCACTTTTATTTCTGATTTTAGTAATTTGAGTCTCTCTTTTATTCTCAATCTAGTTTATGGGTGGTCAATTTCGTTTATTCTTTTGAAGAACTAACAATTGGTTTTGTTGATTGTTATTTTTTTGTTTGTTTTTTTTTTTTTTTTTGAGACGGAGTCTAGCCCTGTCGCCAGGCTGGAGTGCGTGCAGTGGCGTGATCCCGGCTCACTGCAACCTCCGCCTCCCGGGTTCAAGCAATTCTCCCGCCTCAGCCTCCCGAGTAGCTGGGATTATAGGCACGCGCCGCCACGCCCAGCTAATTTTTGTATTTTTAGTAGAGACGGGGTTTCGCCATGTTGGGCAGGATGGTCTCAATCTCCTGACCCCGTGATCTGCCCATCTCAGCCTCCCGAAGTGCTGGGATTGCAGGCATGAGTCACTGAGCCCGGCTGATTTCTATTCTTTTCTTTCTTTCTTTCTTTCTTTTTTTTTTTTTTTTTGACACAGAGTTTTACTCTTGTTGCCCAGGCTGGAGTGCAGTGACGCTATCTCGGCTCACTGCAACCTCTGCCTCCTGGGTTCAAGCGATTCTTCTGCCTTAGCCTCCCAAGTAGCTGAGATTACAGGCACGCACCACCACACCCAGCTAATTTTGTATTTTTAGTAGAGACAGGGTTTCACCATGTTGGTCAGGCTGGTCTTGAACTCCTGACCTCAGGTGATCCACCCTCCTCAGCCTCCCAAAATGCTGGGATTACAGGCGTGAGCCGCCATGCCCAGCCCGATTTCTACTCTTAAAATCTCTTCTATTTATCTCTGCTCTAATCTTTATTTTTTTCTTGTTTTTGCTAGCTTTGAGTTTAGTTTGCTCTTCTTCTTCTAGTTCCTTATAGTGTAAACATATTGTGTAGCCTTGTAGCTTTCATAAATGGCACCCATTGCTTCTCTCACCGGATGAGGTCCCACTTAGGTAGACAGGAATCAGTCCTTCTGGCCGACCAGAGAGGGTAAAATGTTACGAGTTAGGTCTGCACTCTTCCCGCCCATTTGAAGGGAATGAATTGGGAGTTGGTTTGCTGCCTCCTCCAGACCCAGATAAACTGCAGAAGGGGTGGGACAGGATCACAGAAAAATGTCACAAAAGTTTTACATGTTTTTTTTTTTTTTCTTAATTGGGCATTTGCTTTGTTGCTATAGACATTTGACTGTTTTTCACAGGTCCTGTAAGGTTAATTCAACTAGTTTCTGGTTGTTTTTGGTGTTTCTGTGAGGGAATGAGTCTGCGAGCTTTTTAATTTGCCGTTTTGCTGATGCCACTCAATAATGCTTTTTAAATTATGAAAATAATAGAATCATGTTGAAGGAAGTTTGCAGCCCCCAGAAGTATAACAAACTAAGAAAAAAATCTCACCCTCATTGTACTAACCCCAGAGTAGCCACCATTTACATTTTACTGTATTACCTTTCAGACTTTTATTTTTCTTCCTCTCTCTTTTCCCTTTGTCCTGCGTCGTCTTATTCCCCCACTCCTCACCACCAATAAAAAGGGAAAAAACTGAAAAAAAGCCCTCTAAACATGATTTATTGAGTACAGTGTTAATATTTTAATTAGCATACTTTTGTTTTTAATTTCCCAAACATTGTTGTATATACTAAAATTTTCATTTATATTTCTAAAAGGAAATATTGTAGATATTTCTGGTAACATCCAAATGCTTGGGTTTTATTCTAGTCTTTCTGCCTTCAAGGTTTAAGAGTTAAGAAAGAATCAGGTGTGGCCAACCCGTGTTACTTTCCTGTGACTTAGACCTTTATGGCATTTTTACATCTAGTAAAAAGTGGCATGCTCTCAGTCAAAGGGGTAAGCCCAAACCATGTGGAAAGGATCTTATCTCTTTTGAAAGCTAATATAAAAAGAATTCCTCTTAGACATATAAATATTGTGACATCAGTTACTTACGCTAAACATGCTTATTATTCTAAGTGAATTATTAACAATAAATACTTTAACTCTGTGCCATGTTAATTATCATAATATGATTTCTAATTTGTTTTAACCTTAGGTTATATATACCTTGAGACCATTTATATTTTGTTATACTTGTAATAGTTACTATACACTAGACTATGTATATTGGACTAGACATGGAGAGTCAAAAAAGTGTATGTGATCAGAGTGGAAATCATGCCGTAGCTTCCTTCATGTCTACCTCGAGTAGAAGCGGTAGAAAAAGTAATTACCTAAGATTTTTTTGGATTCTGGTTTATGGAGAAGCACCCTTATGTTTAGGCTGATGGGTGGCTAAATTAGAAAGTATTTTTTGTGATTTAGAATTTTATATGGAGATGTTCATTGTGATTAATTATTCTTTGTATTAGCAGATTTTTGCTTTTTGTAGCTGCATGATTTCTTTTGGTCATCCATTATTGTCTATTAATAAAGAAAAACTTTATTTCACTGAAGCAGTGATACATAATCCAACTTGGATTTTTTTTAAAATCACTGAATTTTTTCCTTGGGAATACATTACTGTTAAAAATGTAAATTATTAGATAATTACTTTTAATGAATATAAGTGGTATAATTAGAAGGCTGAAAAGAATCCTTGGAAACATGAGTCTAATTTGATAGCTACGAAACTGAGGACAAGACACTCTTTGTAGCATATTTTCTAATGTCATTTCATTGTCTCACCAAGAAGTACTTGCATAAAGCAAGTTGGATTATAGCATCTGTTGAATATTTAAGGTTGGGTAAAATGGGTGAGTTTAACAGATATTTTCCCTTATTTCTTTTAGGGGAATCTGGATTGGGAAAGTCGACATTAATCAACTCATTATTCCTCACAGATTTGTATTCTCCAGAGTACCCAGGTCCTTCTCATAGAATTAAAAAGACTGTACAGGTATGGATATTAGTATTGTTAATTGATGATAAGCTGGAATAATATTAAGACATACAAAGCACATGTTGTAACTTTTATTATGCTTCCTTAGAGGTAAGATGCAATTTTGCCCTTAGCCAGTGTAAGATGGTAAATATGACTTCATAAAATTAAAAAGAAGAAGGAGTACAGTTAATCAGAAGAATTATCTTGACTAGAACTTTCCAATTGTCCTAAGACTCTCCTAGAGATGAAACTGTGACATAGTAACCAATTCTCCTGGAGTTGTACTATCTAGTATGATAGTCATTTGCCAAATGTTTACATCAGTTAAATGAATTAAATTAAAAATGCAATTTCTCTTTTGCTCCAGATACATTTCAAGTGCTCAGCAGCCACATGTGGCAAGTGGCTGCCATTCTATGCAGCACATATATAAAGATTTTCATCATTTCAGAAAATTGCATTGGACAGTGTAGAGAAAACATGATTCATAGAAAAGCTATTGTTATTTAAATACAGTGTTCTATATTAGTCAGTGGGGTAATACCATATCATAGTTGAATGGCAATAGCAATTCTGTAAGACTCCCAAGGTATATGTGATCTAATTTACTGCTTCTCAGTCTTTGCTATGCATTCCAATCCTGGGCATCCTGTTAAATTTAGTTCTTCTAGTAGTTCTGAGATGGGCTGTGTTTCTACATTTCTAACAAGATCCCAGGTGGTGCTGATGCTGCTGGATGGTAGATCACACTTTATAGAGCAAGGGGCTAGACTCTAGATATGCACTTTTTATTAAATAGTACAGCAGCCTGTAGCCGTATATGGCTATTAATCTTTGAAATGTGGGTAGTCTGAATTGTGATGTTCTGCAAATATAAAATATACCACCGATTTCTAAGACTGAGCATGGAAAAAATCTCCATAATTTTTTTATATTGATTGTATACTGCAGTGATCATATTTTGGATGTATCAGGTTAAATAAAATTGATTAATTTCACCTTTTTCCTATTTTAAAAGTGGCTACTAAGAAAATTTTAAATTGCTTATATGATTGACATGGTATTTTTATTTGGCAGCACTGCTCTAAACTGTTGATGAAAAATACTGTTGGTGGCCTCTGCTTGTGTAATATATAGGACATGAGCAGAGAGGAGGCAAGTGAACAGTTCTGGCTGGAGTAGGCTTCATGGAGGCAGTGATGCTTTTAGCTGGATTTGAAGAAGTGGAAGTGATCATCCCAGTGCACAGGATGGAAGGACTGTCTGTATATTCTGGGCAGTAACTCATACATATCAAACTGCAAGATGGAGTTTAGTAACTAGAATCTCAAAGGAGTAATTTTGCGAAGTGAATATCTTATTTCTCCTTTTTAATGTTCCTCTCTATTATAGGATTTTTTTGGTAACCTTCATAGGACTTGAGATTTAAAATTACCTGCAAAATTATGCTGTAAAATCTTGATCCTACCTGCTTATTTATTTTGCCTGACGTGCCTGAAGTGGAGTGGTAGAGCTTTAGAAGTAACTGTTGTGGCTATAAGAGAACATGAATTTATCAAGGGACAGAGTCTGGGAGATGAGATTTTTGGAAAACCCAGACTTAGGACTAAAGGGAGTGAACTATCAGAGAATTGCATGGAAATGTCAGTACGATATGAATCAGAGTAATTGAATATCACATTTTATTCACAAAGGGGGAGATTCAAGAAGCTGGATTGTAAAGTAACAGTAAGGGTTTTCTGGATGTAAGGAATGATAAAAATGTACAATAATACACTTTTTTTTTGAGATGGAGTCTCATTCTTGTACCCAGGCTGGAGTGCAGTGCACGATCTTGGCTTACTGCAACCTCCACCTCCTGGGTTCAAGCAATTCTCCTGCCTCAGCCTCCCAAGTAGCTGGGATTACAGGTGCCCACCACCACACCTGGCTGATTTTTGTATTTTTAGTAGAGATGGGATTCCACCATGTTGGCCAGGCTGGTCTCAAATTCCTCAGCTCATGTAATCCATACGCCTTGGCCTCCCAAAGTGCTGGGATTACAGGTGTGAGCCACCACACCCAGCCAACAATACACCTTTATGTTTGTCTCCCAGAAGGGAGTTTTAGTAACGTGGTGAAGATGAATGATGGCAGATATAGGAAGTTTGAAATAGAATAGATGATGAGAAGAGGGAGGACTGACAATACAGAGTATTGCCACCCCATGTATATCCAAGAACACTGCATTGGTAAAGGATATCCATAGAGGAGCTAAGGGTACCTTCAGTGTCTTGAATTATTAATAATGATGACATCATCCCATATGTATTGTGGATTTATCTCATATGTATTGATTTTATATATGATAGAAATGCTATAAACAAAAATTTGTTTAACCAAAATACCACATTCACCTAGACAATTTGAAGAAACAGAAATTTATTCTAAAATTCCCTAGTTTAAAAACAACTTGATATGTGTTCTGAAATATATTATTATGTATTAATAAAAACTCACATATTACCTTAGTAATATTGCTAAAAGGCAGTTTCTTTTAGATTTTATGAGCTTCAGTAGTAGCTAATCTACAGTTTCTTGTCTAGTATTTAAATAGATAATATAAAGATGAACACTCTTTCATAGAAAGGTCATCCTTCAGTAACTGCTTTGGGAGATTTATGGGGTTTTATTTTTTTTGAAACAGAGTCTTGCCCGGTCGCCCAGGCTGGAGCGCAGTGGCACAATCTCGGCTCACTGCAAGCTCCGCCTCCCGGGTTCACGCCATTCTCCTGCCTCAGCCTCCCCAGCAGCTGGGACTACAGGTGCATGCCGCCATGCCAGGCTAATTTTTTTATCTTTAGTAGAGACGGGGTTTCACCGTGTTAGTCAGGATGGTCTCGATCTCCTGACCTTGTGATCTGCCCGCTTCCACCTCCCAAAGTGCTGGGATTACAGGCGTGAGCCACCGCACCCAGCCGAGGATTTATTTTCTTTATTTAAAAAAATATTTTTGGCCAGGCGCAGTGGCTCACGCCTGTAATCCCAGCACTTTGGGAGGCCGAGGCGGGTGGATCACAAGGTCAAGAGATCGAGACCATCCTAGCTAACACGGTGAAACCCCGTCTCTACTAAAAATACAAAAAATTAGCAGGGCGTGGTGGCGGGCGCCTGTAGTCCCAGCTACTCGGGAGGCTGAGGCAGGAGAATGGCATGAACCCGGAGGCGAACCCGGAGGCGGAGCTTGCAGTGAGCTGAGATCATGCCACTGCACTCCAGGCTGGGTGACAGAGCGAGACTCCGTCTCAAAAAAAAAAAAAATACAAAAAGTAGCCGGGTGTGGTGACATGCTCCTGTAGTCCCAGCTACTCAGGAGGCCGAGGCAGGAGAATCACTTGAACCCAGGAGGCAGAGGTTGTAGGGAGCCGAGATTGCAACGCTGCACTCCAGCCTGGCGACAGAGGGAGACTCCGTCTCAAAAAAAAATTAATGTTTTCCTCTATGTTATTTTAGGAATCAAGCAACATGGGAGGTGTTGAGACAGCACAAGCGGGCAGGGAGGAGCGTTGAAGAGCAGGCAGGCTCGCTGGGAAAGCGGAGGTCGGGGACAGGGAGACAGCGTGGGATGGAGAGGGCATCTGAGGGGAGACGGTCAGAGGTCGACTGCTGTCCTCAAGCCCTTTTTCAAAGTCATCCCACCTCTTTGAAAGGCTCATTTGCCATTTAACAGCTGTTGACGTTTCTTTAAAAATGAATCTGAGGGTATGTGGCTGGGAAGCAGGCACCAGCATCAAGAGGCGGAGGAAAAACAAGGTCCCTGGGCTGAGGATCCCACCCTGGGCAAAGCCTGTAGTGCATAGAAGTGGCGGGAAACTTAGGGGTCCAAGAGGCTGACCTACAGGGAGCTGGCCATTTGCACCCACCCTTCCTATCCTAGGCAAAAGAGGGAGCGAGCTGAGGTAAAGTTAGAACTAGGCTTCTTTAAAGTAACAGATTAAGCACTATTTAATTTCTGGTCTAGACCTCAAAGGAGTTAAAACAGGTGATTTCCACCAGATTTTCTTGGTTCTGGGTTTGTTCCATGAGAAGCTGTAGGTTCAATCCTGTACAAGTTCTAGAACCTTCCGGAACCTGCAGAACCTATTTGGGCAGTTGAAGTGAGTGGAGAAAGCAGGAATCTCAAAATATCTCAATATGAAGACACCACTCCTTCCCCTCTCTTCACTGCCCTCACAAAAGCAGGTCCTCCACGCCACTGCTGCCTACTCACACCGCTGCACTCTCACTAATAAGGCCATTTCTTTCTTGACTTCGCTGTGCTCTTGGCCCAGTGACAGTGATCAGAAATAATCAGGGGCGATCAAGCCCATGCTACCCTGGACAGGGGGTAATATTTCCATTGAGGGCCTCCCTAGTGGCTTTCCCTCTCTGAGCAGCGGGGACATGTGACAGCACAGGGCAGCCCGTGGGGGTTATGGCGGGGTGAGAAATCTTCCTGTGGCTGTGGAATTCTTGATAAGGTGGCGAACGTGTTGTGCAGCGGCATCCTGAGGGCTGCCCGCCCTCCCAGGCGCCCAGGGCGGGCAGGCAAGCTGCACGCTGTCATCGCCTAAGTCAGCGGCATTGGGCACTCTTAATTACAGGGGAAGCAGAATCTGATTGCACTTTCTGTGCCAGCTCCTGACTTCGTTTGCATTGTCCTTTTTTTTTTCTTTTTCATACCTCAATGTACTAAATCTGAAAGATGTTTAGAGCTAGATTTTCACCAGCACGTATTCAGAAATGAATACGGGGATGAGGAATATCATTCATTTATCCTTGCATTGGCTGAGCAAATATTTATTGAGTGCCTGTTGTATCCAGGTGCTGTGCTTGGTGATAGGGGGATTCTCAGATTTGTTTTCTAAGGTGAAATAATTGGAATTTGGAGCCACTGATATTTTCCATGATCATCACAAGGGAGAGGGGAGCTATAATATTTGGATATCATAATGTGGTAAACTGGAAGTAATCAGCCCAGAAGACGCTGCCTGGTTCCTGGAAGGTGAAGATTGAGATGCAGGCCCATAGTTGGGAAGCTCTGCCTTAGATCTGGGCTTTGTGTTGTTTCCATTAATGAGGCATAAGGTGGAAAGGTGGTGCCTGTCATCTGGGCTTGACAATCTCAAATGCCCTAGAAGAAAGTCTTCCCCTCCTATGCCCATTTCTCTTTCTCTTTTCTTTTTTTTATTATACTTTTAAGTTCTAGGGTCCATGTGCACAACGTGCAGGTTTGATACATAGGTATACAAGTGCCATGTTGGTTTGCTGCACCCATCAACTCATCATTTACATTAGGTATTTCTCCTAATGCTATCCCTTCCCCAGCCCTCCACCTCCTGTCAGGCTCCCGGGTGTGATGTTCCCCGCCTTGTGTCCAAGTGATCTCATTGTTCACTTCTCACCTATGAGTGAGAATATACAGTGTTTGGTTTTCTGTCCTTGTGATAGTTTGCTGAGAATGATGGTTTCCAGCTTCATCCATGTCCCTGCAAAGGACATGAACTCATCCTTTTTTATGGCTGCATAGTATTTCATGGTGTATATGTGCCACATTTTCTTAATCCAGTCTATCATTGATGGACATTTGGGTTGGTTCCAAGTCTTTGCTACTGTGAATAGTGCCACAATAAACATACGTGTGCATGATTTATAGTAGCATGGTTTATAATCCTTTGGGTATATACCCAGTAATGGGATGGCTGGGTCAAAGGGTATTTCTAGTTCTAGATCCTTGAGGAATCGCCACACTGTCTTCCACAATGGTTGAACTAATTTACACTCCCACCAACAGTGTAAAACTGTTCCTATTTCTCCACACCCTCTCTAGCATCTGCTGTTTCCTGACTTTAATGATTGCCATTCTAACTGATGTGAGATGGTATCTCGTTGTGGTTTTCATTTGCATTTCCCTGATGACCAGTGATGATGAGCATTTTTTCATGTGTCTGTTGGCTGCATAGGTGTCTTCTTTTGAAAAGTGTCTGTTCATATCCTTTGCCTACATTTTGATGGAGTTGTTTTTTTCTTGTAAATTTGTTTGAGTTCTTTGTAGATACTGGATATTAGCCCTTTGTCAGGTGGGTAGATTGCAAAAATTTTCTCCCATTCTGTAGGTTGCCTGTTCACTCTGATGGTAGTTTCTTTTGCTGTGCAGAAGCTCTTTAGTTTAATTAGATCCCATTTGTCAATTTTGGCTTTTGTTGCCATTGCTTTCGGTGTTTGTCATGAAGTCCTTGCTATGGGTCTTAAAATCTCTATGGAATCTAAATTTGGTGTCAAGTTAGCTTATTTTTTATTGGTCTACTTTGAGTGTAAATGAAAACAGATGAATGCTACCTTCCTTAACAATAGTCTTTTGTTAATTTTAAATCTGAAATTTTTGTTTTGGTAAAATTTTGAATTTATATTAAAGCTTTTTTAGCTTTATGCCCCCTAGCTATTAACAGAAGCAAACTCTTGCTGTTTATTTATGACAGAACACACATGCAGGACTTGAAAGATGTTACTAACAATGTCCACTACGAGAACTATGGAAGCAGAAAACTGGCAGCTGTGACTTATCATGGAGTTGATAACAACAAGAATAAAGGGCAGCTGACTAAGTAAGTATATATTTTTTCTCCAAAAAAGGTATTCTTTCTGTAGTCAATAATCATATTGTTTCATTTTCATTAAATTTCTCCTGGCTCCTCAGTAGAAAATTTGGATAATGTTCTCTATGCACAACAGCATAAATGTATATTGTTATGCTTTGTTAATAGTAGACACTTTTTTGAATGAACCATTTTGATGGAGTTTTCACTTACAGATTGTGTGGAAACAAAGGACAGGCTTTAATAAAAGGAATAGGTAGATGAATTTATTCTTGCTTACCTTCTGTAATCCTATTCCAGGGAGTAAATTAGCTGGAGTTTTGGTTTCTTCTTTTGGTTATTAGAGTGGTGTAAGTGACTACGAATTGTGTAGCTTTGTCCTATTGAGCTTGTATCTCAAGCTGTGGTGTTTTTATGTGGGGGTCGAAAAAAGAGATGTGTGAGGAAGCTGGTAACCATGTCTGTGCCCTCCTTTTAAAAAATTTGTCATTATTGAAGATCATAATTACACCATATGTCACTTAACAATGGGGCTATTCTGAGAAATGTGTCATTGGGCTATTTCATCATTCTGTAAACATCATAGAGTGTACCTACACAAACCTAGATGGTAGAGCCTTCTACACACCTAGGTTATGTGCTCTAGCTATTGCTTGTAGGCTATAAACCTATATAGCGTGTTACTGTACTGAATGTCATAGACAGTTGTAACATAATGTTAAGTATTTGTGTATCTAAACATAGAAAAGGTGCAGTAAAAATACAGTATAAAAGATTAAAAATGGGATATGTGTATAGGGCACTTGTTGTGAATGGAGCTTGCAGGACAGGAGCTTGCTCTGGATGAGTCAGTGAGAGAGTGGTGAGTGAATGTGAAGGCCTAGGACATTACTGTACACTACTGTGGACTTTATTAACACTGTACACTTGGGCTATACTAAATTTATTTTTTAAATTTGTCTTTAATAATCTTATTTTGCTGTAACTTTTATAACTTAAATTTTAAAAAACTTTTTGATTCTTTTGTAGTAACACTTAGCTTAAAACACAAACACATTGAACAGATGTACAAAAATATTATCTTTATAATCTTTATTCTATAAGCTTTTTTCTATTTTAAAAGTTCTTTCTTTTTTCCCTTCAAACTTTTTTTTTTTTCTTAAAAACGAAGACGTAAACTTACACATTAGCCCAGGCCTACTCAGAGTCAAGATCATCAAGATGCTACCGGGCAGTAGGAATTTTTCAGTTCCTAGGGGCCACCATCATATATGCAGTCCCTTGTTGACTGAAATGTCATTATGCAGTGCATAGCTGTATTACAAAACCATTTTAAATAACGGGCATTTGTAGCTAGGTGTTAGCTACCATTAGACGAAAATCCTAAAGGATCAACTATATAAATACGAAAGACAAGTTCTGAAAGTAGCTATAGTGTTTTCCATAGTGGTTAACATGCCTTATAATGGAATAAAAAAATGTCCCTTCTTAAATATTTAAAATATAAGATTCTGTTTGAGGTAAGCCTCAGTACGTGAACAAAAGGAAGGCTTTTTATCTCTTTTGAGCAAAATGTTTATTGAACAACTTTGGCAAAAAATGTAAGGATCCATCATAGTGAATATTGTTCATAAAATCCTAATTCACTTTAAACTCATTATCATTAACGATGAACTTTTTAACTCATTAAAAGAAACACATACACAAAGCTACTGATAATTTTGTATGTTAAAATACTACCAGTACATATTTTTTGTTAAATATATGTACTTATTCAATATATTTTTTAAATGTTTGTTATGTTGTAGATATAAGGAATTGTTTATTTGTGCTGGGATTACAGGCATGAGCCACAGCGCTTGGCCATATAAGGCTTTTTAAAGTAGTGCTGTTGGATGCAGGTAAGATAATTCAGAGAAAAATTGTAAACTTTACAGTATCATGAAGTTTTTTTCTAAATATACAAAATTCTACTGTGTGGATACATGAGTTAAACTATATCCCAGGTGAAAACATAAATAGTAGAATTCTACTGGAAATATATCTCTTAAAGAGAGGAATGATGACCATACTTTGCCTATGCAAATATAAAAAATGTTTGCATTGCTAAAACGCAAATTGCTCCAGGAGCTAGCATAATATTTTATGTTAATAATAAGTAGGAAAATAAACATTTTAGAAAATAAAGCCAAGTGGGGAATGGCTGTAATTGGAATGGATATTTGATACGATTTGATAAATTAGATTGTTACTACTTCATTGAATAACACATACTGAATCTGAAAGAAATCACTTAGAAGTTTTATCGATTGGTTGTACCTTACATTGTCTTGAAAATGTTAGCAATTTCAAAAAATATTTTTGTTAAATTTTTCTTTAAAAATCATTAACAACTTATGGTTCTTTAGCTGATGTAAGGTGCTTTTCCTCATAGCTCAGTACATATCCATGAATAACTGAAAAGAAAGACTAATGTTTAAATAAGTGAAGTAAGCAGGTGTGAGTTTAGGCTTCTTTTAATGTTCTTTTTGTATTGCTCTCACGTGACTCTCCATAGCAATGTATTCTTTGATAGTGGTAGCGAGGAGGGGTTGAGAGTTGCAAGAATTTTGGCATGGAAGGTGAACCTATTGAAAATTTATAGTTAAATTGATCTTTGGCAATGTATGCTTCACAAAGTGCTAATCACACTTTGGTTTTAAAATATAAGCCAAACTTTTTAAAGATGTTAGACATTGAATAGTAAAATACATTCATGTGCCACATAACGATGTTTCGGTCAATGACTGACTGCATATACGACAAATTCCCATAATATTATCATGCCATACCATAGAGCCTAAGTGTGTAGTAGGTTATACTATCTAGGGTTGTGTAAGTACACTCTGTGTTGTTCGTGCAATGACAAATGAATTTCTCAGCATGTATCCCAATTTTTAAGCAATGCATGACTGTAGATCAATTTATCTTATGTTTAAATTTTCTGAGGTAGTTTTGGGCAAACTGTAGAGTCTATTGAAACATGAAATAAAAAACCAAACACCGCATATTCTCACTCATAGGTGGGAATTGAACAATGAGAACACATGGACACAGGAAGGGGAACATCACACACTGGGGCCTGTTGTGGGGTGGGGGGAGGGGGGAGGGATAGCATTAGGAGATATACCTAATGTTAAATGACGAGTTAATGGGTGCAGCACACCAACATGGCACATGTATACATATGTAACTAAACTGCACGTTGTGCACAGGTACCCTAGAACTTAAAGTATAATAAAAAAATAAAAAATTAAAATTAAAATTAAAAATGTAAGTGTAGATGTCTGAAAATGTGCCTTTCTGTTATGTCAAGAGCCCTAGAACAATTCTATTTTAGAGGGACTTAAAACAAGAATTAGATTGTGTGGTTTAAATCTGAAGAATTAGATTGTGTGGTTTAAATCTGAAGACTAGATGAACTTGTCCAGTCAGCTATAATTCATCTCAAGGTTAGATCTAGAGAAGTGGATGCTATTCTTAGCAGCTATCCAGTAATTACCTGTTTCTGACAAAGAAAGTATGGAGCCATCTAAGTGCTTCTTATATCCTTAGAGAATGTATCTTGCATCCCTGTATGGAGGTTAGTGGATGGTTGGAAGCCACAGAAACGGTAACCTCTGAAATCAAAGAAAATTCAGCAAGGGTTTGTAAAGGAAAGGGCAGAAGAGTTGGTCATACCCAGATTGCTGATCTCTTAAAGGAAGTGATCCCCAATAAGAGAAGGGCCGTCTCTTTTTTTTTCTTTTTGCTAAACATCCTTCTTGAAGTTTTATCTGCCTCCTTTTTCCTTGATCTTCCTTGTACCCTTTACTTAAAGTCACATTTGATTGGTGACTCTTTTTCAGAACTAATGTCTATCATTGGTACCAATTGTGACAATAGATACCTTGCTCCAAGTTGGGGGCAAACCCTAGTCTCTCTTTCCTTTATGTTAACTTATTTTTCTCTTCTTTATAGCCTTCTCCATCAGTCATCTTGGGAAAACTTTATAAGTGAATGACTAAAAATACAAGTTTCAAAGGTAGATCCTCAGAATTCTTGATACATGACAAGAGTTTTCATTTTGTGACCTACTAACCACTGGAGCAAAAGTATGTAAATCTACTTGCTTACTGTGTTCTTTAGGAAAGACCACCACACATAATTTAAATGAAACATGATTGTCTTTTATTACACTCCAAATGTGGGTCGGGTGTAATGCAGCAAAGTAGAACTTGACTAGGTCATCCTTCTGTGGTGGCTCTAATTTTATTGGTCACATGAAGGGGTGTGGCTTGCAAGAATTTTAACCTGATAAAGACAACCCTAGAAGGAGCTAAATCTTTGGGGATTTAGTTTCATATTCAGGTTATGTTGTAACCATTTTCTTTTTCTTGTTTTACTAGGCTTTTTCCATTACTTTGTCTGGATTTTTAATTTCGCTGGTAGGTTTGTGAGCTTTACTACTATATGTGTGTGGGTAAGAGTTTCCTATTAAAAAGCAGGCAGGCAATGATATAACTTAAATGGTTTTTCCAGCCATTTAATAAAAGGTTTTACTTGGAACAAAATAGTAAATGTGAAGACAAAAAGTGATCTCCCTACATTTTCTATATTGTAAGCACAATTGTTTGTTTTGATTTTTAAAAAATTAATCAAGATGACTAGAAGTGAGGTGTTAGTTTAAAAATTAAAAATTTGAAAGATAATTTTTACTGGTGAGAGACTTCAAAAAATTCATTTTAAATATGCATGAATGAACATTTTTTCACAGTATTTGAGTATATTTGGTCAGATTATTTTTACAAGGCTAAAATCTTACAGTATCTTAGCTGTTAGATATTGCAGATTTCTTTTAGAAAGTACACACATTTAGCAGATTTAGAACTTTGAACAGACTTTCAGAAGACAATCGCACAACATATTTATTTTCATAGTGATTTAGTGTAATGATTATGAAAGTAATTTGGGAAATAAATTAGCTTTAGCAAATTTTACTGTAATTTTTTTTATTTAGGGCACATACCTTAGTAATTTAATTGTGAAAGCTATGCGTTTGCCTTTAATTGAAGCTTTTAGCATGCTTTACTTTAAATGTACTAAACCACTAATTTTTGTTCCTTTAGATATGATACAGTTGAAAGCATGTAAGGCGGGGGATTGTTTTTCTAAAGACATAGCAGTTTTACTATACAGGGATTTTTAATATTTAAATTTTGAATTTAAAAGAAGATTTTTTTCTTTTTCTTTGAGATGGAGTCCTGCTCTGTCACCCAGGCTGGAGTTCAGTGACACAATATTGGCTCACTGCAACCTCTGCCTCCTGGGTTCAAGCAATTCTCCTGCCTCAGCCTACCAAGTAGCTGGGATTACAGGTGTGCACCACCATGCCCAGCTAATTTTTGTATTTTTAGTAGAGACGGGGTTTCACCATGTTGGCCAGGCTGGTTTCGAACTCCTGATCTTGTGATCTGCCTTCCTTGGCCTCCCAAAGTGCTGGGATTACAGGTGTGAGCCACTGTGCCCGGCCTAAAAGAAGATTTTGAAACATCATTGCATGTTTTCTCTGCAGTCTCTTATTTTTCCCCTAGAGTTATTTAAATAATAATTTAGGTGGCAAAATTACCTGCTCCTTCCCAAGGATAAAGTAAAATAAACATTTTATAGATAAGTTATGTAAGTAGGAATAGATATTTAATTCTCTCTGATTTCTAATTTAATGCATTTACAATCACATTTATATTGTTGAATAATATTAAGTTGCTTAAATACACATATTCAGTTACTAAAGGTTAGCAATTAAAAATCATTTTTAGATTATTTCTTTTCTAGAGCTTAAAAAAGATTTTTGGGGTGTTAGGGGACAGTGGGAATTATAGACTCCTTGAAAATCTAGCAAAAGCTTTGGACCCTTTCACCAGAAGAATACTGGCAAACACAAACACACATTTGGTATGCTGTTTCAGGGCAGTCACCGACACTGGGTGTGCTCAGGAGATCAGAAGCAACTATATTAAAAACACCTGCCATTAATATGAGGCATATATTATTAAGAAGGATCTCATCAACTTTTAACAAAAAAAAAAAATTACACTTGAAAATGTATTTCAGCTGACTCCAGTTTTTGTTTTGTTTTTTGAGATGGAGTCTCACTCTGTCACCCAGGCTGGAGTGTCGCGGGGCGATCTCGGCTCACTGCAACCTCCACCTCCCAGGTTCCAGCGATTCTCCTACCTTAGCCTCCTGAGTAGCTGGGACTACAGGCATGTGCCACCACACCCAGCTAATTTCTGTATTTTTAGTAGATATGGGGTTTTCTCATGTTGGCCAGGCTGGTCTCTAACTCCCGGCCTCACTCCCGGCCTCAGGTGATCTGCCTGCCTCGGCCTCCCAAAGTGCTGGGATTATAGACATGAGCCACTGCGCCTGGCCTGGACTTCCTCTTCTGAGCGCCCTGCTGACATGTCCTGATGATGACTGTTCCTGCAGAGGTCTGCAGAACCCCCAGTTACCTGGCCCTGAGATCATGGAGTGCTCCCTTGCCCAGGCTCCCTTGCCCAGGGAGGCCCCGCCTCTCCTGACATGCTGGAGGGGACCTGCCTTAACTTTCTCGGGTACCCTCTCCTCCCCTCCCAGGTCTCCCGATTCCTGTTGGTGCAACCCCAGAGCTGCTGCACAACGGAAGAGGCCTTGGCACACCCCTTCTTCCTGCAGTACGTGGTGGAGGAAGTGCGGCACTTCAGTCCCCGGGGGAAGTTCAAGGTACGAAGCCTCCTGACCCAGACCCTACGGCAGTTGCCGCCAGCTCCCCAAGTGCAAACCTCTAAGCCGTCTCCTCTCCCAGGGGTCCTTATACCCCGCGGGTTTCCAGAGTACCCACCCCTCCCCTCCCAGCCGCCCTGTGATGGCTTCAGAGATGGCAGGTGTCAGCCCACTGGCTCCGTCCCTGAGGATGCTGGCCAAGTGGGAAGTGGGGGACACTAGGAGGGCCCCGCAGAAGCCATCGAAGGCTTCGTGGCAAACGAGCCCAGAGAGTCCTGTGCTGGAGGGGCAGGGCCTGGCAGGGCGTGGGCTGCAGCCCAGCTTCTCTGCCTGGCCCTGCAGGTGATCGCTCTGACTGTGCTGGCTTCAGTGCTGATCTACTGCCAGTACCACCGGGTGAACCCAGTGACCCGGGAGATCGTCATCCGAGACCCACCCCTACACCCTCCAGCCTCTGCGCCGGCTCATCGACGCCTACGCTTTCCGAATCTATGGCCCCTGGGCGAGGAAGGGGCAGCAGCAGAACTGGGCAGCCCTTTTCAAGAACACACCCAAGGCCGTGCTCCTCTCCCTGGCCGAGGAGGACTACTGAGGGGCTGGCCAGTCAGGGAGGGCTGGGGGCCAGGTGGGGAGGGGAAGCCATGGAAATACAAGTCAAAGGGGTAAGATGCATGCAGGCCTCTGCAGAAGGAGCGCTTGGCCCTGGCCTGGAACCCCTGGAGCTGAGGCCACGATCGCTTCTGTGCACAAGGGAAGCGGGTTTTCCTACCACACAGCAATACCTACAGGCTGGGGCAGGCCCTGGGTTGGCAGAGATCACACTTGGCCTGAGAACCAGGAACCCCCTGCTCCTCCACTTCCTAGATGAGCCGCCATCTCCGTTTCTTTTTAGGAGAGGCCCAGAGTTACTGACACTAGGGCCCTCTTCCCTTAGGGTCCCAGGGTGAGGATGAAAGACACAGAAATGTCTGAGATACACAATCGCAGGAGATTTTATTGACCCCATGACATCCAGTGACAGTGTGGGAGCAGGCTACTCTCCAGGGACATGTTTCTGGAGGCATATGGAGAAGGGGGCCCAGGTGAGGTGGCTCACACCTGTAATCTCAGCACTTTGGGAGGTCGAGGTGGGACGATCGCTTGAGGCCAGGAGTTCGAGACCAGCCTGGGCAACATAGTGAGATCCTATCACTACAGAAATTCAAAAAATTAGCCAGGCATGGTGGTGCATACTTGTAGTCCCAGCTACTGAGGAGGCTGAGGTGGGAGAATTGCTTGAGCCCAGGAGCTCAAGGCTGCAGTGAGCTGTGATCTCCACTGCACTCTAGCCTGGGCAACAGAGCAAGACCCTGTCTCAAAAAAAAAAAAAGAAAAAGAAAAAAGAAATGGAAGGGGAAGCTTCTGATATTTCTCTTTCTGGAGTACTGTTTGCTTTGTGATTCCCACAATGCACTGCTTCACCTAGTACATCATTCGGTTCTCCCAGACCTTTTAGGACTGAACTGTGCTTTAGATAGTTACATGCCTGCCTGTTACACAGTGGAAACTAGTTTTCTTCAGAGGGACACGAAATGACAGATGAGGCCATGAAGAAAGCATTCTCCTTCCACAGCAACTAGCTAGGAAAGCGAACACACAAGTGATCCTCCTGCCTCAACCTCCCTACTAGCTGGGACTACCAGTGTGTGCTACCATGAAGGGCTAATTTTTTTTTTTAATTTTTAGTAGAGATGAGGTGTGTGTTGCCCAGGATGGTCTTACTCCTGGGCTCAAGTGATCCTCCCACCTCAGCCTCCCAAATTGTTGGAATTCCTGTTGTGAGCCACTGCATCCAGCCCTTCATCACATATCTAAAAACAATCACCAGAGGTAGATGTAGCAGGTGTTATTGTTATTAACTCCATTTAACAGATGAAAAACACTGAAGCAAATGGAAGTGAAAAATTGGGCTTTTAAAATGGAGTTTTGGCCGGGCATGGTGGCTCATGCCCAAAAGTGGTAGAGATTGAGAAATAATTAGCATTAACTCATCAACAAAATTCAAGTATTTTGATTGTTAATACTTTCAGCTTGATCCCAGTGCAAGAAAACAATCTGAAATGGGAACAAATATTTATTTTTTTTTTTAAAGTTCACTACTATATGGATTTTTTTTTTTTTTGACGGAGTCTCACTCTGTCACCCAGGCTGGAATGCAGTGGTGCAATCTCAGCTCACTGCAATCTCCGCCTCCCGAGTTCATGCCATTGTCCTGCCTCAGCCTCCCGAGTAGCTGGGACTACAGGCGCCCGTCACCACGCCTGGCTAATTTTTTGTATTTTTAGTGAAGATGGGGTTTCACCGTGTTAGCCAGGATGGTCTCAATCTCCGGACCTCGTGATCCGCCCACCTCGGCCTCCCAAAGTGCTGGGATTACAGGCGTAATCCCACCTGTAAAGCCACCATGCCCGGGCCATTATATGGAAAAGTTTCAAGAAACTGAAACATTCAACAATAAAAAATTAATTGGTAAGTTATGTTTTTTACCTAAAGGAATATTGTGTAGTCATTTTAAAAAACTTTATAAATTTCTAATTGTAAGAGAAGATAGTAATGATATACTAAGTGAAAAAAATTAAAAATTTACTTCATTTAACCTCAACTGTTATGTTTTCTTTCTTTCTTTCTTTCTCTTTCTTTCTTTCTTTCTTTCGTCTTTCTTTCTTCTTTCTTTTTCTTTCTTTCTTTCTCTCTCTCTTCTTTCTCTCTCTCTCTCTCCCTCCCTCCCTCTCTCTCTCTTTCTTTCTTTTTTTTTTTTGATGGAGTCTTGCTATGTATCCCAGGCTGGAGTGCAGTGGTGGGATCTCGGCTCACTGCAACCTCCGCCTCCTGGGTTCAAGTGATTCTCCTGCCTCAGCCTGGCAAGTAGCTAGTACTACAGGCACGTGCCACCAAGCCCAGCTAATTTTTGTTGTTTTATTTTTAGTAGAGACAGCGTTTCACCGTGTTTGTCAGGCTGCTCTCCAACTCCTGACCTCAATCTGAAATGGGAACAAAGATTTATTAAAAAGAAAAAAAAAGTTTGCTACTATATGGATTACAGGTGTGAAACACTGCACCCAGCCTTGGTTTTTTGTTTTGTTTTTTTGAAACGAAGTCTCACTCCGTCACCCAGGCTGATGATCCACCTGCCTAGGCCTCAGATGATCCACCTGCCTAGGCCTCCCAAAGTGCTGGGATTACAGGCATGAGACACTGCGCCCAGCCTCTTTTTTTTTTCTTTTTTTTAAAATAGAGATGGGGTTTTGCTACGTTGACTAGACTGGTCTCGACCTCCTGACCTCAAGCAATCCTCCCATCTTGGCCTCCCAAAGTACTGGGTTAACAGGTGTGAGTTACTGTGCCGGCCCTCACCTGTTTTTTTTAAATGCAGAAACATTACTGGAAAGGCTGCAGTGAGCTGTGATCACACCACTGCAGTTTAGGAGTGTGAGACCTTCCTAGGTAACAGGGTGAAACCCCACCTCTACAAAAAGTACAATTTTTTTTTTTTTGTAGATGGAGTCTCACTCTGTCACCCAGGCTGGAGTGCAGTGGTGTCATCTTGGCTCACTGCAACCTCCGCCTCCTGGGTTCAAGTGATTCTCCTGCCTCAGCCTCCTGAGTAGCTGGGATTATAGGCACCTGCCACCTTGCCCAGCTAATTTTTGTATTTTTACTAGAGACGGGGTTTCATGTTGGCCAGGCTGGTCTTGAACCTCACCTCAGGTGACCCACCTGCCTCGGCCTCCCAAAGTGCTGAGATTACAGGCGTGAACCATTGGCCTCTACCCTTCTCTTTACTAGAGCAAAGGAATATTTCCATTTCTAGTTACCTAGTTACCCACTAGGTCAGGGAAGACAGAAACTGCTTTTAATATTCTTTTGCTGCTTGAAGAATTAACTCAATCATATGCCCTGACCAATTCACATGGAATTAAACTCTTGGGTCTAGCAAATGGTGTTTATTTCACTAGGGGGAGGAGAAACCTTTATGAAGTAGGTCTACAGCGGAGCCAACCTTATCTGTTGCTATAATTTTGCCCCAGTTTTTAAAGGCCTCATTAAAGATATCAAGGCCATGATTCCACAGGGATTTATAAACTCATCAGGGACATGTCAGGGAATGAGATAATGAAGACAACACACTATTTGGTGAGTTATCGCCGGAGCCACACTGTATTTGGCTGTGAGCACTGTATATCGTGGCTTAATTAGAGACACCCATTAACCAGGAGCCAGACTGACATTTTTATCTTGCGCCCATACTTCTAAATTATTCCTCAAATGGAATATGTCGTAGCAGCCAAGATATCCAACCCTGACATTACACGCATGGACCCAACCAGCCAATAGGCCTGGAAGAAAATCAGACAGTAGCGTCCTGGACCATTCTCTTATTTATTTAACGTGTGTTCATTCATTCCCCAGAGTGTTGTTGGAATCAATTAAAGATAAAAGACACAAAGCCATGCCATGCAGAATAAATGAGATAGATAGATAGATAGATGATAGAAATAGATAGATGCTAGATAGATAGATAGATAGATATGTATAGATGGAGAGAGAGAAACAGATGGATAGGCATAGAGAGATAAGTAGAAGATAGATAGATATATAGATAGATAGATAGATATAGGTGGAGAGAGAAACAGATGAATAGGAATAGATAGATGGATAGATAGATGATAGATAGAGGAATAGATGGATACATAGATGATAGATAAATATAGATACATATAGATGGAGAGAGAAAAATGGATAGATATATGGATAGATGGATAGGGAGAGATACATAGATATAGATCAATAGATGGATACATGATAGATAAATACATATGTATAGATGGAGAGAAATGGATAGATAGATGGATAGGGATAAATAGAAGTAGATGGATACAGAGATGGATAGACAGATATAGACAGATGTGAAAAATACATATATATGTGTATGTGTAGTTATAAATATGTATATATGTAGTAACAAATATGTGTATATGTATTTATACACGTGTGTGTGTGTGTGTGTGTGTGTGTGTGTGTGTGAACTCTCCATGCATCCTGGGTTGTCAGAGACAAGAAGGAGCCCAGCAGAAAGTACCCGCTGAGGGAGACATGAAAACTCTGAATTTTGAATGTGTTCCCCACACCACGCAGCTCCATAGCACAGCATAAAACATTTGGCATTTGGAAGCATTTTGTGCTTTTCTGTTGGTTTTGGGTTAAATTCTGTTTGTAGTTCTATGTATTTAGGGGGTGCAAGTGCAGGTTTCTTAGGGAATATATTGTGGAGTGGTGAAGTCTGGGCTTTTCATGTACCCATCGCCCAAATAGTGAACATTATACCCAATAGGTACTTTTTCAGTCCTCACCCCCTCCCAGCCTCCCACCTTTCATAGTCTCCAATGTCTATTATTCCCTCTGTATGACCATGTGTATGCACTGATTAGCTCCCACTTACAAGTGAGACCGTGTGGTATTTGGCTTTCTGTTCCTGAGTTATTTCACCTAGGATTATGGCCTCCAGTTCCATTCACATTGCTACAAAAGACATTATTTTATTTCATTCTTTTTAATGGCTGAGTAGTATTTCATGGTGTCTATATAGCACATTTTTAAAATCCAATCTTCCCTTGATGGGCACTTAGGTGGATTCCACATCTTTGCTTTTGTGAATAATGCTGCGATAAACATACAAGTGCAGGTGTCTTTTTGATATCTTTATTTTTAGAGGCATTTTGAAGCATAAGTGGACTGTGGGAAGGCAGAGATCCATCCATGAGAAGGGCATGTCAGGCAAAAAGAATGGCTTGGACAAAGGGTGACAGTGTAGAAATACATGGTGTGAATGAGGATAAAACACAACAAGCCCCATTTGGATTGAGCAAAATATACTGCAGGAGAGAGAACTGGATGCAGTTATGGCATGAATCAGAAATAATTTCAACTTCCTAAGGGGAAGTTGTGAAACTTGATTTCCATCATATCTGGGAAGTGAATAAAGCCCAGAAAGTTTAAGGTATCAGTTTGAAGAACTTGAGTGTTATGGTTCATGCCACTGGGCCTCTGGGGATCGTGTTGAATAAATATTTAGAAATAGTGCTTTATGAGTATTGCTGTTAATTAAGTATTAAGGAGTAATCATGTCATTGCCTGATGGCCTCTTATCCCCCACTGCACAGATACAGCCAATTTACTGAGACAGAAGTATTGTAATAAAGAGTTTAATAAACACAGAGCCAGCTAAACAGGATATAGGAGTTTATTACTCACATCAGTCTCCCTGAAAGCTTGGAAGCTAGGGTTTTCATGGCTAATTTGGCCGGGAGGGGCTAAGCAATGGGTATTGCTTATTGGTTGAAGATAAAATCATAGGGGTGTGGAAAACAGTCCCCGTGAGCCGAGTCAGCCTTTGGGTGGGGACCACAGGACTGGGTTGAGTCATGAGTCATGGGTCCAAATGGAGTTAGTTGTAAGAATGCAATAGTCTGAAAAACATCTCAAAAGGCCCCTTTTAGGTTCTACAATAGAGATGTTATCTATATGAGCAATTGGGGAAGTCACAAATCTTGTGAAGTCTGGATTCATGAATCCTGAGTGATTAGGGATTATAAGAAAGCAAGCTATGGAACAATGGGTGGTTATTATTTAACTAAGCCTACATCTGAGCAGATTTCAGTCCCCTCCTATAATCCCAATCTCGTGGTTTTTCACGGATCTTACAAAGATAGTTTCAGTACTGAGACAAGGAGGGGTTCAGTTTTAGAAAGGGAGTCCTATTATCCTTGATTCAAAGTCAAACTGTAAATTAAATTTCTCCCATGGTTAGGTTGGTCTATGCCAAGAATGAACAAAGGCAGCTTGGAGGTTAGAAGCAAAATGGAATCAGGTCAGATTTCTTTCCCTGTCATAATTTTTCTATGTCATGTTTCTCTCACTGTCATACTTTTTGCAAAGGTGGTTTCAATCATAACGAAGATACCTGAGCTACAACATTTCCAAGTTTTTTTTGGTTTGTTTTTTTGTTTTTGAGACAGAGTCTTGCTCTGTTGCCCAGGCTGGAGTGCAGTGGCGCCATCTCGGCTCACTGCAAGCTCTGCCTCCCGGGTTCACACCATTCTCCTGCCTCAGCCTCCCAAGTAGCTAGGACTACAGGCGCCTGCCACCACACCTGGCTAATTTTTTGTATTTTTAGTAGAGACGGGTTTCACCGTGTTAGCCAGGATGGTCTCGATCTCCTGACCTCGTGATCCGCCCGCCTCGGCCTCCCAAAGTGCTGGGATTACAGGCCTGAGCCACCACGCTCGGCCCATTTCCAAGTTTTATCAGCATCTCTTCTAGAGATTAAACAGGTACTGCACAGGGTTGACCTTCAAACCATAGGTGGAATGAACAGAAGCTTGTGCGTGGCCCACATGAGAAAAGATGGCACATCCTGTGGTCTTCCACGAAGTGTCTCTAGCAGTCATGGTGGCAGCATTCCAGCAAAGGGTAGCTAAGGGCTGCAGGATAGAAAATTCCGAAAGCAATGATTTCTTCCAGTTGTGCAGTGGAAGCCTTCTCCTGCAAGAAAGAAACCAAAGCAAAGATCAGACTACAAGCAGCAAGGTCAGAGTCCATGGGGAGAAAGTTTACAGGCACCTTCCCACAGAAAGCCAAACATCAGGAGCCAGAAGAGAAAGCTTCCTAAAGAAGCCAGAGAAGTCAAGACTAGCCCCACCTGGCTGGAATTTCCAGAGACAAACGTTAAACCACAGCCTGAAAATGCAGTTGCATGTTTCAACCCGGTCTTATCCTCTAGGTGAGGCTAGACCCTGCCTGCCTGGTCTCATGCTTATTACTCTGTGCAACGTAGGTGGACAAGAAATACCCCTGGAAGGACCTGGGAGGGGAAAATAATGCCACCTTCAGTTTCGGTTTTCAGAAAGGGGTTCGCAAGGAAAGTACATTTGTCCAGGAATCAGGTCTGAGTGCCATAGCCCAGTACACAGGCTATGGAACCAGCAAATTTGAGTTCCAATCCAAAACTCTGTCTCCGAACCAGATTAAGAGACAGGGTCCTAGGCCATGTCAACATGTCATACATCAGAAATGTGGTGTCTGTTCTGGACTTCTGCTTTGCTGGTTTGCCCTTAACATGGTAGGTGATATGCTGATCCTGACTCATCGAATAAATAGTGAACAAATATTTAAAAGAGGTACAAGGCTGGGTGTGGTGGCTCACACCTGTAATTGCAACACTTTGGGAGGCCAAGGCAAGAGGATTGGTTCAACCCAGTTCGAGACCAGCCGAGCAATATATTGAGACCACCATCTCTGCAAAATAAAAAAAAAATAATTAGCCAGGTGTGGTGGTGCGTACCTGTAGTCCCTGCTACTCATCAGGCTGAGGTGGGAGGATTGCTTGAGCAGGGGAGGTCGAGGCTGCAGTGAGCTATGATCATGCCACTGCACTCCAGCCTGGGTGACAGAGCAAGACTCTATCTCAGAAAAAAAAAGAGAGATATAAACATTTTAACATTATTTTATGAAATGTTATAAAAAATAAAAATTACAAACTTATCCTGGGTGTTCTGTCCTCTCTGCTCTGCTTCTTCTAACTGGGTGATCTTAGGACAGATGTTTAATGCCTCCAAGCCTCACTCTTCTCATCTGCAAGAATGTAATAGGTCCTGTAATCCCAGCACTTTGGAAGGTGAGGCAGGTGAATCACTTGAGATCAGGAGTTCGAGACCAGCCTGACCGACATGGTGAAACCCCGTCTCTACTAAAAATACAAAAATTAAGCCAGGTGTGGTGGTGGATGCGTGTAATCCCAGCTACTTGGGAGGCTGAGGCAGAATTGCTTGAAAGCAGGAGGCGGAGGTTGCAGTGAACCAAGATCATGCCACTGCACTCCAGCCTGGGTGACAGAGTGAGACTCCATCTCCAAAATAAACAAAAAAAAGAATGCAATAGGAAGTGCAATATTTTTCCTAAGGCTGTTCAAGGGGTGAGTGGCGGGTGTTCTATAAATTGTGATTATTCATCCCTAGCTCTGCCAGTAAGTGTTTGCTCTTACATAGCTCACTTTTCCTTTCCGAAGTTCAGTGTTCTCACATGCAAAATGGGGGGTTCAGACCAGATAACCCCTAAGAAGTAAAAGCGAGCTTTCTGTTTTTCATTGTGCTGTGTTTCCAAAGCAGCACCTGGTGAGAAAGCAAGCGGTGCCCCACCTGGAAGCAGGAAGAGAACTAGTGTCTTGAGGTTACTGTGTTAGTCCATTTTGCATTGCTATAAGGCAATACCTGAGACTGGGTAATTAGAGAGAAAAGAGGTTTATTTGGCTCATGGTTCTGCAGGCTGTCCAAGAAGCATGGTGCCAGTGTCTGCTTCTGGTGAGGACCTCAGGAAGCTTCCAATCATGGTAGAAGGTGAATGAGGAGCCAGTGAATCACATGGAGAGAGAGGAAGCAAGAAAGAGAGGAGGAGGTGCCAGGCTCCTTTAAACAACCAGCTCTTCATGCCTGTAATTCCTGCCCTTTGGGGGGCTAAGGCGGATGGATCACATGGTCAGGAGATTGAGACCATCCTGGCTAACACAGTGAAAACCCATCTCTACTAAAAATATAAAAAATTAGCCAGGCGGGGTGGTGGGCGCCTGTAGCCCCAGCTACTCATAAGGCTGAGGCAGGTGAATCGCTTGAACCCGGGAGGTGGAGGTTGCAGTGAGCTGACATCATGCCACTGCAATTCTGCCTGGGTGACAGAGCGAGACTCTGTCTCAAAATAAATTAAAAAAAAAAATAGCTGGATGTTCTGTTGTGCACCTGTAGAACTAGCTTCTTGGGAGGGAGAGGGAGGAGGATGGCTCGATCCCAGGAGTTCAAGGCTGCAGTGAGCTATGATTGTGCCATTGCACTACAGCCTGGGCAACAGATCAATTTGAGACAGAGTCTCACCCTGTCACCCAGGCTGGAGTGCAGTGGCATGATCTCGGCTCACTGCAAGCTCTGCCTCCCGGGTTCATGCCATTCTCCTACCTGAGCCTCCAGGTTAGCCGGGACTACAGGCACCCGCCACCATGCCCGGCTAATTTTTTGTATTTTTTAGGAGAGATGGGGTTTCACCGTGTTAGCCATGACAGTCTCGGTCTCCTGACCTCGTGATCCACCTGCCTTGGCCTCCCAAAGTGCTGAGATTACAGGTGTGAGTCACCGTGCCAGGCCCAAGATGTGATCCGCCTGCCTCGGCCTCCCAAAGTGCTGGGATTACAGGTGTGAGCCACCAGGCCCAGCCCAAGACCTGTCACTCTGTCGCCCAGGCTGGAGTGCAGTGGAGCAATCTCGGCTCACTGCCAGCTCTGCCTCACGGGTTCACGCCATTCTCCTGCCTCAGCCTCCTGAGTAGCTGGGACTACAGGCACCCACCACCATGCCAGGCTAATTTTTTTTGTATTTTTAGTAGAGACGGGGTTTCACCATGTTAGCCAGGATGGTCTGGATCTCCTGACCTCGTGATCTGCCCTCCTCGGCCTCCCAAAATGCTGGGATTACAGGCGTGAGCCACCGCACCCGGCCAAGACCTGTCTTAAAAAAAAAATTCGTGGCCGGGCATGGTGGCTCACACCTGTAATCCCAGCACTTTGGGAGGCCGAGGTAGGCGGATCACGAGGTCAGGAGATGGAGACCATCCTGGCTAACAGGTGAAACCCCATCTCTAATTAAAATACAAAAAATTAGCCAGTTGTGGTGGTGGGCACCTGTAGTCCCAGCTACTCAGGAGGCTGAGGCAGAAGAATGCACCACCACACTCCAGCCTGGGCAACAGAGCAAGACTCCATCTCAAAAAAAAAAAAAAAAAATTCATGTTGGAAAGGGTTTTTAATTTTTAGTAGATATGAGTTCTCGCTATGTTGCCCAGCCTCTCTCGAATTTCTGAGCTCAGGCAATCCTCCCAGCTTGGCCTCTCAAAGTGCTGGGATTACAGGTGTGGGCCACCATGCCTGGCTGGAAAGGAGTCTTATTGGACAAGCCAAAAGCTGTTTCCCATGATAATAATCTCTCCATTAGGAAGATGTATATCCAATAACTGGCCTTACAGCTTAGCTATGCTTTTCATCATCGATGTATTAATACAATGTCATTGTAATTCTGGACAGGAAACTGGATTAAGCCACTTTTCTTTCTTTCTTTTTTTTTTTTTTTTTTGAGATGGAGTCTCGCTCTGTTGTCCAGGCTGGAGTGCAGTGGCGTGATCTCAGCTCACTGCAAGCTCTGCCTCCTGGGTTCACGCCATTCTCCTGTCTCAGCCTCCCGAGTAGCTGGGACTACAGGCACCCACCACCATGCCTGGCTAATTTTTTGTATTTTTAGTAGAGATGGGGATTCACCATGTTAGCCAGGATGGTCTCTATCTCCTGACCTCGTGATCCGCCTACTTCAGCCTCCCAGAGTGCTGGGATTACAGGCGTGAGACACCACACCCGGCCCTTCAGCCACTTTTCAAATGCCAGGGTAGGGCGCTTCCCAGGTTTTAACTTACAGAAGAACCCTGATGTGTCAAGTTGATACATTTCTTTCTTTCTTCTTCTTTTTTTTTTTCTTTTGACGTAGTCTCTCTCTGTTACCCAAGCTGGAGTGTAGTGGCGCAATCTCAGCCCACTGCACCCTCTCCCTCCCAGGTTCAAGCAATTCTCATGCCTCAGCCTCCCGAGTAGCTGGAATTACAGGAGTGCACCACCACGCCCAGCTAATTTTTGAATTTTACTAGAAATGGGGTTTGTCCATGTTGGCCAGGCTGGTCTGAAACTCCTGACCTGAAATGATCCGCCTGCCTCGATCTCCCAAAGTGCTGAGATTACAGGTGTGAGCCACTGCGCCCAGCCCAGCTGGTAAATTTCTGAGTTTAGTGAAAGTTAAAATGGCAGCTCGATTGTTTAAAACAATGTGATGAGAAGAACGTCTTTGTCTATGTGTGTCAACCCCATGGGATCTGCGTGGCATCCCTCAAGTTGGTGAAAAATATTTACCATATAATAGAGAATAAAAGATTCTCACCACTAACTGATAATCCTGCTAAACAGCAGCTGCTTTTAAAGGGAGTAGACAATCATTGAAATCCAGGTAACTTTAAAGAATTCACCAGCCGGAATCTGTAGGTCCAGAGTATTTTATAAAAGATCAGGTCTCTTTGTAGAGGGAGGTAGCAAGGTTAATATAATGAAGTACAATTTGCTGCTATACTAGACATGTAATCTAATAACAGTATAGTATGATAAGAAAATTTAAATATGTAGTTTTGAAAAGGTTTCAGAAGGGCTCAATGGTTCTGCATCAGAAAGTGAATTTCAGTAACAAGAGGAGACTCAAGGCAGGGCTAATTAGAAGGCTCAGGGGACATTCACAGGGTCAATTAGGCTGTTCACACAATCTTCCTTAAATGGATCAGAAAGCCTAGGGCAGAGATACTGTGAACTAGAAAAATGAAAAGGGTCAACAATTCAACAGTAAAGAGAAATTTCAGTTAAGAGTTATATCTAATGTAAATGAGGAGTTAATGGGTGCAGCAAACCAACACGGCACATGTATACATATGTAACAGATCTGCACGTTTTGCACATGTACCCTAGAACTTAAAGTATAACAATAATAATAATTTTAAAAAGTTATATCAGTAAACATAATTAGGCCAAATTTACCCATAAAAATAAAATACATATTTTTTAAAAAACCCAAAAAGGGTGGTAGAAACACATTTTGAGTAAAAAGGCGATGATTAACTAGATTTTTTTTTTGAGATGGGATCTCACTTTGTTGCCCAGGCTGGGGTGCAATGGCACGATCTTGGCTCACTGCAGCCTTGACCTCCTGGGCTTAAGCAATCCTCCCTCCTCAGTCTCCCAAGTAGCTAAGACTATGGTGAGCACCACCATGCCCAGCTAATTTAATTTTTTTAGAGAGATGATCTTGCTACGTTACCCAGGCTGGTCTCCAGCTCCTGGGCTCAAGTGATCCTCCTGCCTTGGCCTCTCAAAGTGTTGAGGTTATAGGTGTGCACCAGTGTGCTTGGCCAACTAGATTTTTTTTAAAGGCTAATTAAGGCAAGGTTTGAAGCCAGACTAACCAATATTATATGTGGCATAATAATGTTAGGGAGAAATAAGAAATGCTAAACAGCACAGTAAATAGAAACATGAGCTTCAACTTCTCTTAAATAATCAAGTAAGAAAATCTATAAAATATGTAAAATAAAAATGGAATGAAATGTACTGTATAAAAGTGTAATCCTACTATTAGGTCGGTGCAAAAGTATTTGCAGTTTTGCCGTTACTTTTTTTTTTGAGATGAAATCTCGCTCTTGTCCCCCAGGCTGGAGTGCAGTGGTGTGATCTCGGCTCACTGCAACCTCCACCTCCCACGTGCAAGCAATTCTCTTGCCTCGGCCCCCCAAGTAGCTGGAATTACAGGCACCTGCCACCATGCCTGGCTAATTTTTGTATTTTTTAGTAGAGACGGGGTTTCACCAAGTTGGCCAGGCTGGTCTAGGACTCCTGACCTCAGGTGATCCACCTGCCTCAGCCTCCCAAAGTCCTGGGATTACAGGCGTGAGCCACCGTGCCTGGCCTACTTCTTTTTTTTTTTTTGAGATGGACTTTCACCATTCTCACCCAGGCTGGAGTGCAGTGGCATGACCTATGCTCACTGTAACCTCTGCCCCCTGGGTTCAAGCAATTCTCATGCCTCAGCCTCCCCAATAGCTGGAATTACAGGCACCCACTACCACGCACAGCTAATTTTTGTATTTTTGGTAGAGGCGGAGTTTTGCCGTGTTGGCCAGGATGGTCTTGAAATCCTGACCTCAGGTGATGTGCCTGCCTCGGCCTCCCAAAGTGCTGGGATTACAGGCGTGAGCCACCGCACCCGACCTGCCATTACTTTTAATGGCAATAACTGCAATTACTTTTGCACTGACCTAATAGAAAACTAACTACCCCACTAGGAGAATCTCACACAGTTGTGGGGTTTTAATCCCATGGAATCTAGAAACCACTTCACAGTTCAATTTACAGAGGGGAAATCACTGGAGCATTTGGTTAACATGGAAAAGGACACAGACTTAAACCAAGAGCCTCCACAATTCTTCCCAGAGCTATAATAGAATGCTCCTCTTGAAAACAGGAATGAAAGAAAAGGATCAGAGGCTCTGAGTGTCACAAAGGGTGCACATTCACTACTTGTAGGTAATGCAGTCTCATGCAATCCAAGGGATTCACTTGAGCAAATGGACTGGGACAATCATGGGTTCAGCAAAGCGCTATGTTTCTTGGTAAAGACAAGAAAATAACAAACTCCCCTATACCAGTAATAAACATCCACAAAATAAAATAAAAGATCTTTCTCATTTACAACAGGGATAAACATATAAGCATGTGGGAATTAAAATAATGTAGTATAAATTCCACCAATAGAAAAATCAGATTACAAAATGCTTGGAGCAAAGGAAAAGAATGATACATTTCTTAGTGCAGTTGCATTAAATATAAAGAAACATACATTTCTTTCCCAAGTTAATTTATAAAAGTTGGTAAAATGGCTGGACATGGTGGCTCATGCCTGTAATCCCGCACTTTGGGAGGCTAAGGCGGGCAGATCTCGAGGTCAGGAGTTTGAGACCAGCCTGCCCAACATGGTGCAACCCCGCCTCCACTAAAAATACAAAAATTAGCTTCGCATGGTAGTGGGTGCCTGTAATCCCAGCTACTCAGGAGGCTGAGGCAGGAGGAAGGAGAATCACTTGAACCCATGAAGCAGAGGTTGCAGTGAGCCAAGATCACACCACTGCCACTCCAGCCTGGGTGGCAGAATGAGACTCCGTCTCCAAAAAAAAAAAAAAAAAAAAGTTGGTAAAATGATGAGATGCATAGAGAAAAAATAGGTGCCCAAAATACTAAAGGTCGTTGTTTTTGTTTAAAGTAAAAACAATAGTAAACTGGCTATACAAGATATTGAAATAGAAAACAAGGAGACTTCATCAAAAGAGTGTGGCACTTATTAGAGTGAAAAACTAGACTGATAGAATGAAATTATAGACAGAAATCCAGATGTATGTGTAATTATGCCCGATTTGTCAGATATTATTTATCGGGGGAAGAAGTCATCAATATTATTGGGCAAACTGAGTATTAAAGAATAAGAAAAAGAAACAGATATTACTCTATATGCTATAATAAACTTCAGACAAGTTAAAGATACAATAAATCACTGAAGAATAAGAAAATGGATTGAGGAGAAAAGACTGTTTTCTTTTCTTTTTTTTTTTTTGAGACGGAGTCTCATGCTGTCTCCCAGGCTGGGGTGCAGTGGCATGATCTCAGCTCACTGTAACCTCCACCTCCCGGGTTCAAGGATTCTCCTGCTTCAGCCTCCCAAGTAGCTGGGATTATAGGCATTCACCACCACACTGGGGTAATTTTTGTATTTAGAGTACAGATAGGGTTTCACCATGTTGGACAGGCTGGTCTTGAACTCCTGACCTCAAGTGATCCACCCACCTTGGCCTCCCAAAGTGCCAGAATTACAGGCATGAGCCACCATGCCCGACCTGAAAAGACTATTTTCCATCATTGAAACCATATTAGAAATGATGAAGGATAAGATTGATGGGACCTATCTTATTTATATATATTATTATTTATGTGTGGTTGTACAAACACACACACACACACACACACAAGTTGACCCTTGAATATGGGTCTGAACAGTATGGTTCCACTTCACCTTGAATATTTTTTGGTAAAATTACACTGAGTGTGCCTGGCTCCCCTCCCACCTCCTCCTCTGCTGTCACCAGAGACAGCAAGACCAACCCTCCTCTTCCTCTTCCTTGGCCTACTTGATGTGAAGACAACGGGGATGAAGACCTTTTTGATGATCCACTTCCACTTAACAGAAAGTGTGTTTTCTTATCCTTAGGATTTCCTTAACATTTTCTTTTCTCTACCTTACTTTATTGGAAGAATATTGTATATAACGTATGTAACTTACAAAACATCTTAATCGCCAGTTTATGTAACTGGTAAGGCTTCCGGTCACTAACAGGCTGTCAGTAAAACTTTTGAGGAGTCAAAAGTTGTACTTGGATTTTTCACTGTGTGAGGGTCAGTACCTCTAACCCCTGTGTTGTTCAAAGGTCAACTATATATGATTCTTCTGGACAGTGAAAATCACTAAAACTCGAGTGAAAAGAAAGGCAATTAACTGACAGGTAAAGTAATCATAAATGTGAGTGAGTAGCTAAAATCCAGAACATGTGTAGAATTACTACCCAGTTCCCACTGTACCCATCTTCACAGGATATAAGGAAACACAGAGAGAGTAAAATAAATAGGGATCGGGTGCTGTGGCTCACGTCTGTAATCCCAGCACTTTGGGAGGCAGAGGGGGAAGGATCACTTGAGCCCAGGAGTTCGAGACAGCCTGGGCAACATAGTGAGATCTCATCTCCAAAAATAAAAAAAATTAGCTGGGTGTGCTGGCACTTGCCTGTAGTCCCAGTTACTCAGGAGGCTGAGGTGGGAGGATCCCTTGAGCCCAGGAGGTCAAGGCTGCAGTGAGTGGTGATTGCACCACTGCATTCCAGCCTGGGTGACAAAGCTAGATCCTGCCTCAAAACAAAGAAGCAAACAAATAAAAAGTCACGTGGTACAAAGTGGCACTGTGCAAAGCGGTGGGGCAAAGACAGAGGAGGATCCGGCCACAGGCATCAAGGCTCTGTTAATCTGACGCAGATGCTTAACCCTTCCTTTGCCATGGTCCCCTCTGGAAGTCTTGTAAAGAATACAGGCGTCTATTCACAATATTTTAAAGACTTAAGTCCATAAGTCTATTATAGGAAGTAAGCCTAATCATGTTTTAAGGACCAAGGAAAACAACTATTCTGAAGTGCAGTTATTGCAATTTATTTTTTATTTTTTATTTTTTCTGAGACTGACTCTAGTTCTGTTGCCCAAGGCTGGAGTGCAGTGGTGTGATCTCAGCTCACTGCAACATCCACCTCCTGGGTTCAAGTGATTCTCCTTCCTCAGCCTCCTGAGTAGCTGGGAGGCCTGCTACCACACCTAGTGAATTTTTTATACTTTTAGTAGAGATGAGGTTTCACCATGTTGGTCAGACTGGACTAAACGCCTAACCTCAAGTGATCTGCCCACCTTGGCTTCCCAGAGTGTTGGGATTACAGGCATGAGCCACTGTGCCCAGACAATACTTTTCTAAAACCAGATTTGTGATATAGGAACAACTGTTCTTTACTGTTGCTCTAAATATCTAAGAACCGCTGACATTTTGAAGATGAATCCAAACAGCGTTTGTGATCCCTGCAACAACGGGAATGAGATGTGAAAGCCTCTGTGATTTCCACTCACAGCAAGGTCACGGTCTGCAATTAGCTCGGTGTGGGGGCTTCATTTGCAATGGAAGGAAATGCTACATTGCAGTTAGACATTGATGGAAATAAAGATATATTTTTTCTGGGTTCAATTCGTGAAGCTCTCGGGTTCTCTCTATAGACCCCACATGAAAAGCCCCTAGAATGGGGGAGACCAGAGCCCTCTTTCACCAGAGCAGGTAAGTGTGGGCACAGGAGCAGGCAAGGCAGGGCAGGATCTGCTTGTCAGGAAAGGTGGAACCAGCTGTAAGATGAGCTGGGGAAAGGGCCTGGGATTCCACAGGATGGGGAAATTCGATTTAGCATAAGATGAGGCTGGGAAGGCAGGGCTGTATCCCAAAATGCCTGTGCATCATGCTGTGATTTTGGACTTGCCCTTAGAGACGAGAGAGCGCGCCACGGAGAGATTTTAAGTGGGACAGGTTTTAGCAGGATCAGACATATTTTAGAAAGATAATTTTAGCAGATGCATGGAGGGTGGTTTTGTCCAGGGAGAAACTGGTGGCACAGGGTCAAGTTTGGAAGATCTTGAAGAAGTGAGACCAAGAGATGAAAAACAAATTAAGGCCGGGAATGGTGGCTCACACTTGTAATTCCAGCACTTTGGGAGGCTGAGGCAGGTGAATCACTTGAGGTCAGGAGTTCATGACCAGCCTGGCCAACATGGTGAAACTCCGTCACTACTAAAAATACAAAAATTAGCCAGGTGTGGTAGTGGGTGTCTGTAATCCCCACTACTCGGGAACTTAAGGCAGGAGAATTGCTTGAACCTGGGAGGTGGAGGTGTCAATAAGCAGAGATTGTGCCACTGTACTCCAGGTTGGGTGACACAGCGAGACCCTGTCTCAAAAAATAAAAAAAAGAGAGAAAAAAGAAAAGAGAAGGAAAACACATTAAAATGACAGTAGTAAGAGAGGCGATGAAGTTGGGAATGTACAATATTGCCAGAACTAACACGAATTAGACAGGAGGGCTCACAAAGGAGTGAAGAAATACCATCCATTTCTGGACTGAAGGAGGAGCAGATATCGCTGGGCAGAGGAAAAAAGCAGAAGGGGCTGACTATAGGGAAGGGGGAAGTTATGGAGAATAACAAGTTAAGCTGAGTTTGAGATGCTCATGGTAGAAATGTCTAGTAAGGAACTGAAAATACAGAGGTTTTTCTATTGGGAAAGGAAACTTTTCTTTTTTATTATTATACTTTAAGTTTTAGGGTACATGTGCACAGTGTGCAGGTTAGTTACATATGTATACCTGTGCCATGCTGGTGCGCTGCACCCACTAACTTGTCATCTAGCATTAGGTGTATCTCCCAATGCTATCCCTCCCCCCTCCCCCCACCCCACAACAGTCCCCAGAGTGTGATGTTCCCCTTCCTGTGTCCATGTGATCTCATTGTTCAATTCCCACCTATGAGTGAGAATATGCGGTGTTTGGTTTTTTGTTCTTGCGATAGTTTACTGAGAATGATGATTTCCAATTTCATCCATGTCCCTACAAAGGACATGAACTCATCATTTTTTATGGCTGCATAGTATTCCATGGTGTATATGTGCCACATTTTCTTAATCCAGTCTATCATTGTTGGACATTTGGCTTGGTTCCAAGTCTTTGCTATTGTGAATAATGCCGCAATAAATATACGTGTGCATGTGTCTTTATAGCAGCATGATTTATAGTCCTTGGGTATATACCAGTAATGGGATGGCTGGGTCAAATGGTATTTCTAGTTCTAGATCCCTGAGGAATCACCACACTGACTTACACAAGGGTTGAACTACTTTACAGTCCCACCAACAGTGTAAAAGTGTTCCTATTTCTCCACATCCTCTCCAGCACCTGTTGTTTCCTGACTTTTTAAAGATTGCCATTCTAACTGGTGTGAGATGGTATCTCATTATTGTTTTGATTTGCATTTCTCTGATGGCCAGTGATGATGAGCATTTTTTCATGTGTTTTTTGGCTGCATAAATGTCTTCTTTTGAGAACTGTCTGTTCATGTCCTTCGCCCACTTTTTGATGGGGTTGTTTGTTTTTTTCTTGTAAATTTGTTTGAGTTCATTGTAGATTCTGGATATTAGCCCTTTGTCAGATGAGTAGGTTGCGAAAATTTTCTCCCATTCTGTAGGTTGCCTGTTCACTCTGATGGTAGTTTCTTTTGCTGTGCAGAAGCTCTTTAGTTTAATTAGATCCCATTTGTCAATTTTGGCTTTTGTTGCCATTGCTTTTGGTGTTTTAGACATGAAGTCCTTGCCCATGCCTATGTCCTGAATGGTAATGCCTAGGTTTTCTTCTAGGGTTTTTATGGTTTTAGGTCTAACGTTTAAGTCTTTAATCCATCTTGAATTGATTTTTGTATAAGGTGTAAGGAAGGGATCCAGTTTCAGCTTTCTACATATGGCTAGCCAGTTTTCCCAGCACCATTTATTAAATAGGGAATCCTTTCCCCATTGCTTGTTTTTCTCAGGTTTGTCAAAGATCAGATAGTTGTAGATATGCGGCATTATTTCTGAGGGCTCTGTTCTATTCCATTGATCTATATCTCTGTTTTGGTACCAGTACCATGCTGTTTTGGTTACTGTAGCCTTGTAGTATAGTTTGAAGTCAGGTAGTGTGATGCCTCCAGCTTTGTTCTTTTGGCTTAGGATTGACTTGGCGATGCGGGCTCTTTTTTGGTTCCATATGAACTTTAAAGTAGTTTTTTCCAATTCTGTGAAGAAAGGCATTGGTAGCTTAATGGGGATGGCATTGAATCTGTAAATTACCTTGGGCAGTATGGCCATTTTCACGATATTGATTCTTCCTACGCATGAACATGGAATGTTCTTCCATTTGTTTGTATCCTCTTTTATTTCTTTGAGCAGTGGTTTGTAGTTCTCCTGGAAGAGGTCCTTCACATCCCTTGTAAGTTGGATTCCTAGGTATTTTATTCTCTTTGAAGCAATTGTGAAAGGGAGTTCACTCGTGATTTGGCTGTTTGTCTGTTGTTTGTGTATAAGAATGCTTGTGATTTTTGTACATTGATTTTGTATCCTGAGACTTTGCTGAAGTTGCTTATCAGCTTAAGGAGATTTTGGATTGAGACAATGGGGTTTTCTAGATATACAATCATGTTGTCTGTAAACAGGGACAATTTGACTTCCTCTTTTCCTAATTGAATACCCTTTATTTCCTTCTCCTGCCTAATTGCCGTGGCCAGAACTTCCAACACTATGTTGAATAGGAGTGGTGAGAGAGGGCATCCCTGTCTTGTGCCAGTTTTCAAAGGGAATGCTTCCAGTTTTTGCCCATTCAGTATGATATTGGCTGTGGGTTTGTCATAGATAGCTCTTATTATTTTGAAATACATCCCATCAATACCTAATTTATTGAGAGTTTTTAGCATGAAGCGTTGTTGAATTTTGTCAAAGGCCTTTTCTACATCTATTGAGATAATCGTGGTTTTTGTCTTTGGCTCGGTTTATATGCTGGATTACATTTATTGATTTGCATATACTGAACCAGCCTTGCATCCCAGGGATGAAGCCCACTTGATCATGGTGGATAAGCTTTTTGATGTGCTGCTGGATTCGTTTTGCCAGTATTTTATTGAGGATTTTTGCATCAATGTTCATCAAGGATATTGGTCTAAAATTCTCTTTTTTGGTTGTGTCTCTGCCCGGCTTTGGTATCAGAATGATGCTGGCCTCATAAAATGAGTTAGGGAGGATTCCCTCTTTTTCTATTGATTGGAATAGTTTCAGAAGGAATGGTACCAGTTCCTCCTTGTACCTCCGGTAGAATTCGGCTGTGAATCCATCTGGTCCTGGACTCTTTTTGGTTGGTAAGCTATTGATTATTGCCATAATTTCAGATCCTGTTATTGGTCTATTCAGAGATTCAACTTCTTCCTGGTTTAGTCTTGGGAGAGTGTATGTGTCAAGGAATTTATCCATTTCTTCTAGGGTTTCTAGTTTATTTGCGTAGAGGTGTTTGTAGTATTCTCTGATGGTAGTTTGTATTTCTGTGGGATCGGTGGTGATATCCCCTTTATCATTTTTTATTGCATCTATTTGATTCTTCTCTCTTTTTTTATTAGTCTTGCTAGCGGTCTATCAATTTTGTTGATCCTTTCAAAAAACCAGCTCCTGGATTCATTAATTTTTTGAAGGGTTTTTTGTGTCTCTATTTCCTTCAGTTCTGCTCTGATTTTAGTTATTTCTTGCCTTCTGCTAGCTTTTGAATGTGTTTGCTCTTGCTTTTCTAGTTCTTTTAATTGTGATGTTAGGGTTTCAATTTTGGATCTTTCCTGCTTTCTCTTGTGGGCATTTAGTGCTATAAACTTCCCTCTACACACTGCTTTGAATGCGTCCCAGAGATTCTGGTATGTTGTGTCTTTGTTCTCATTGGTTTCAAAGAACATCTTTATTTCTGCCTTCATTTTCTTATGTACCCAGTAGTCATTCAGGAGCAGGTTGTTCAGTTTCCATGTAGTTGAGCGGTTTTGAGTGAGATTCTTAATCCTGAGTTCTAGTTTGATTGCACTGTGGTCTGAGAGATAGTTTGTTATAATTTCTGTTCTTTTACATTTGCTGAGGAGAGCTTTACTTCCAACTATGTGGTCAATTTTGGAATAGATGTGGTGTGGTGCTGAAAAAAATGTATATTCTGTTGATTTGGGGTGGAGAGTTCTGTAGATGTCTATTAGGTCCACTTGGTGCAGAGCTGAGTTCAATTCCTGAGTATCCTTGTTGACTTTCTGTCTCGTTGATCTGTCTAACGTTGACAGTGGGGTGTTAAAGTCTCCCATTATTAATGTGTGGTAGTCTAAGTCTCTTTGTAGGTAACTCAGGACTTGCTTTATGAATCTGGGTGCTCCTGTATTGGGTGCATATATATTTAGGATAGTTAGCTCTTCTTGTTGAATTGATCCCTTTACCATTATGTAATGGCCTTCTTTGTCTCTTTTGATCTTTGTTGGTTTAAAGTCTGTTTTATCAGAGACTAGGATTGCAACCCCTGCCCTTTTTTGTTTTCCATTGGCTTGGTAGATCTTCCTCCATCCTTTTATTTTGAGCCTATGTGTGTCTCTGCACGTGAGATGGGTTTCCTGAATACAGCACACTGATGGGTCTTGACTCTTTATCCAATTTGCCAGTCTGTGTCTTTTAATTGGAGCATTTAGTCCATTTACATTTAAAGTTAATATTGTTATGTGTGAATTTGATCCTGTCATTATGATGTTAGCTGGTTATTTTGCTCGTTAGTTGATGCAGTTTCTTCCTAGTCTCCATGGTCTTTACATTTTGGCATGATTTTGCAGCAGCTGGTACCGGTTGTTCCTTTCCATGTTTAACCCTTCCTTCAGGAGCTCTTTTAGAGCAGGCCTGGTGGTGACAAAATCTCTCAGCATTTGCTTGTCTGTAAAGGATTTTATTTCTCCTTCACTTATGAAGCTTAGTTTGGCTGGATATGAAATTCTGGGTTGAAAATTCTTTTCTTTAAGAATGTTGAATATTGGCCCCCACTCTCTTCTGGCTTGTAGGGTTTCTGCTGAGAGATCCGCTGTTAAGTCTGATGGGCTTCCCTTTGAGGGTAACCCGACCTTTCTCTCTGGCTGACCTTAACATTTTTTCCTTCATTTCAACTTTGGTGAATCTGACAATTATGTGTCTTGGAGTTGCTCTTCTCGAGGAGTATCTTTGTGGCATTCTCTGTATTTCCTGAATCTGAACGTTTGCCTGCCTTGCTAGATTGGGGAAGTTCTCCTCGATAATATCCTGCAGAGTGTTTTCCAGCTTGGTTCCATTCTCCCCATCACTTTCCGGTACACCAATCAGATGTAGATTTGGTCTTTTCACATAGTCCCATATTTCTTGGAGGCTTTGCTCATTTCTTTTTCTTCTTTTTTCTCTAAACTTCCCTTCTCGCTTCATTTCATTCATTTCATCTTCCATTGCTGATACCCTTTCTTCCAGTTGATCGCATCGGCTCCTGAGGCTTCTGCATTCTTCACGTAGTTCTCGAGCCTTGGTTTTCAGCTCCATCAGCTCCTTTAAGCACTTCTCTGTATTGGTTATTGTAGTTATACATTCTTCTAAATTTTTTTCAAAGTTTTCAACTTCTTTGCCTTTGGTTTGAATGTCCTCCTGTAGCTCGGAGTAATTTGATCATCTGAAGCCTTCTTCTCTCAGCTTGTCAAAGTCATTCTCCATCCAGCTTTGTTCCGTTGCTGGTGAGGAACTGCATTCCTTTGGAGGAGGAGAGGCGCTCTGCTTTTTAGCGTTTCCAATTTTTCTGTTCTGTTTTTTCCCCATCTTTGTGGTTTTATCTACTTTTGGTCTTTGATGATGGTGATGTATAGATGGGTTTTTGGTGTGGATGTCCTTTCTGTTTGTTAGTTTTCCTTCTAACAGACAGGACCCTCAGCTGCAGGTCTGTTGGAGTACCCTGCCGTGTGAGGTGTCAGTGTGCCCCAGCTGGGGGGTGCCTCGCAGTTAGGCTGCTCGGGGGTCGGGGTCAGGGACCCACTTGAGGAGGCAGTCTGCCTGTTCTCAGATCTCCAGCTGTGTACTGGGAGAACCACTGCTCTCTTCAAAGCTGTCAGACAGGGACATTTAAGTCTGCAGAGGTTACTGCTGTCTTTTTGTTTGTCTGTGCCCTGCCTCCAGAGGTGGCGCCTACAGAGCCAGGCAGGCCTCCTTGAGTTGTGGTGGGTTCCACCCAGTTCGAGCTTCCCTGCTGCCTTGTTTACCTAAGCAAGCCTGGGCAATGGTGGGTGCCCCTCCCCCAGCCTCGCTGCCACCTTGCAGTTTGATCTCAGACTGCTGTGCTAGCAATCAGCGAGACTCCGTGGGTGTAGGACCCTCCGAGCCAGGTGTGGGATATAATCTCGTGATGCGCCGTTTTTTAAGCCCATCGGAAAAGCGCAGTATTTGGGTGGGAGTGACCCGATTTTCCAGGTGCTGTCCATCACCCCTTTCCTTGACTAGGAAAGGGAACTCCCTGACTCCTTGCGCTTCCCGAGTGAGGCAATGCCTCGCCCTGCTTCGGCTCACGCACGGTGAGTGCACCCACTGACCTGCGCCCACTGTCTGGCACTCCCTAGTGAAATGAACCCGGTACCTCAGATGGAAATGCAGAAATCACCCGTCTTCTGCGTCGCTCACGCTGGGAGCTGTAGACCTGAGCTGTTCCTATTCGGCCATCTTGGTTCCTCCCCCAAAATGAAACTTTTTTATTGCTCTGTAAGGGCTTACACTATCTCTCTCTCTCTCTCTCTGTCTCTCTCTCTCTCTCTCTCTCTCACACACACACACACACACACACACACTCTGTTATATACATTGCAAATATTTTTGCCAGTCTGTCTAAATTCATATGTCCATCTGTCCATCCATGCATTTATCCACCCACCCATCCATCTCCATAAAGCTCTGAATTTCCCTTTGTGATTTCTACTTTTGGCATCATGCTTAAAAAAAAATTTTTTTTCTACCCCCTTATTTTATAAATATCCACTAAAATTGTTCCTAGTGTCTTCATGGGTTTTTTTTGAGTCAATTTAAATGTTTTAAACTTCTAGACCAAGTGTGATGGCTCACGCCAGTAATCTCAGCACTTTGGCAGGCCGAGGTGGGTGGATCACTTGAGGTCAGGAGTTCAAGATCAGCCTGGCCAACATGGTGAAACCCTGTCTCTACTAAAAATTCAAAAATTGGCTGGGTTTGGTGGCATGTGCCTGTAATGCCAGCTACTTGGGAGGCTGAGGCAGGAGAATCACTTGAACCCAAGAGGTGGAGGTTGCAGTAAACCGAGATCACACCACTGCACTCAGGTCTGGGCAACAGAGTGAGGCCCTTTCTCAAAAAATAAATAAGTAAATAAATAAATAAATAAATAAATAAATAAATAAATGTTTTAAACATGTAGACTTTATTTTGCATGGGGCTCAGCTCTGACTCTATTGGCTTCTACATAGATGACCTGTTAGTCTACCATTTCCTAAAGACTCTGTCCTTCTTTAATGTACTTAAATTTGAGCTATTTTAAAACTTTTTTTTTTGTTTTTTACCCAGCACTATGGGATGCCAAGGTGGGTGGATCACGAGGTCAGGAGATCAAGACCATCCTGGCTAACACTGTGAAACCCCATCTCTACTAAAAAAAATACAAAAAATTAGCCGGGCGTGGTGGCGGGCGCCTGTAGTGCCAGCTACTCGGGAGACTGAGGCAGGAGAATGGCATGAACCCAGGAGGTGGAGCTTGCAGCGAGCCGAGATCATGCCACTGCACCCCAGCCTGGGCGACAGAGCGAGACTCTGTCTCAAAAAAAAAATGACTTTTTTTTAAAAAATAGAGATGATGTCTTGTGGTTTTGCCCAGGCTGGTCTTGAATTCCTGGCCTCAAATGACCCTACTGCCTCGGCCTCCCAAAGTGTTGGGATTACAGGTGTGAGCTGCTGCACCCGGCCAATTGATCAATTTTTATATACAAGTTTTTCTTCTTTTGGCAGTCCGCAAAAATTCAGAAAGCTACTATAAGAAAATGACAATCAACCATCTGTGTACAAAAAGAATTAGCCACTTAACACAACTGGTCCTTTTTCCATTGTAAAAATCCATAGGAAATTGGATTTGTAATTATGTTTCGGCTTTCCATGGAAACCACAGAGCAGCCGGTCATCTATATATTCAGCAAATCCTTCAAATTGCAGAGGTGTTTTTTTTTTTTTGAGACAGAGTCTCACTCTGTTGCCTATGCTGGAATGCAGTGGCATGATCTTGCTCACCACAACCGCTGCCTACCAGGGTCAAGTGATTCTCGTGCCTCAGCCTCCTAGTAGCTGGGACTACAGGCATGCACCACCATACCCGGCTAATTTTTGTATTTTTAGTAGAGATGGGGTTTCACTATATTGGCCAGGCTGGTCTTGAACTCCTGACCTCGAGATCCACCCACCTCAGCCTCCCCAAGTGCTGGGATTACAAGTGTGAGCCACCATACCCAGCCTGCAGAGATTTTTTTTTAGGGATGGGAAGATCACAGAAATGCATCAAAGCACATATTGTCCAAATAAGAAGAAGTGAAAAGGTAAAAATATAGGCTATCCCATAAAATTTCAAGAATAAGCTGTGCTTTTGTGCTTCAGGCTATTTTGATAGCAAGCATTCTCAACACTACATATTTTTTAGTTTTTTTGAGACGGAGTCTTGCTCTGTCGCCCAGGCTGGAGTGCAGTGGCACGATCTCAGCTCACTGCAACCTCTGCCTCCTGGGTTCAAGCGATTCTCCCACCTCAGTGATAGCGATAGAAAAATTGGATTACAAAATGCTTGGAACAAAGGAGAAGAATGACACATTTCTTCTGTGCAGTTGCATTAAATATAAAGAAACATACATTTATCTCCCTAGTTAATTTATAAAAGTTGGTAAAATGGCTGGGCATGGTGGCTCATGCCTGTAATCCCTTAGTAGCTGGGATTGCAAGTGCCTGCCACCACACCCAGCTAATTTTTGTGTTTTTAGCAGAGGCGGTGTTTCAACATGTTGGCCAGGCTGGTCTCAAACTCCTGACCTCAAGTGATCTGCATCTCTTGGCCTCCAAAATTGCTGGGATTATAGCTATGAGCCACCGCACCAGACCCCAGTGTTGACTTTTTAGAGACATATCTATGAAGGCATTTGCAGCTTTGTAATGGTTTGAACTTGGACTTTTGGCCACCGTATTAGTGGCACCTCAGTGGTGACTAATGCAGATTTTAAAATTTAGGGTCCCTGAGGAAGATGATGGGAAACAAAACCTTTCACCTGGCTCTCCCTGCTGTGGCATGCTAATATGGATGAGTAGGTCTTGCAGTGCAGATAATGATTTTTACAAATTCATCGTGGAAAGTGACAGAATTCTTTCGAGTGGGGAGAGACCTTAAGCAAGGGGAGGTAAGCAGACCTTTTTCAAATGTGCCAGGTGATGCCAGGTGCCTTGCAGGTCCTGTGCCAGGCACTGGCATGACATTCTTTGTTTCTGAAACAGAATCTCCCTCTGTTGCCCAGGCTGGAGTGCAGTGGCGCTATCTGGGCTCACTGCAACATCCACCTCCCGGGTTCAAGTGATTCTCCTGCCTCAGCCTCCTGAGTAGCTGGAATTACAGGCACCCGCCACCACATTTGGCAGATTTTTGTATTTTTAATAGAGACGGGGTTTCACCATGCTGGCCAGGCTGGTCTCGAACTCAAGACCTCAAGTGATCCACCCACCTCAGCCTCCCAAAATGCTGGGATTACGGGCGAGGTATGGCATTCTTTCATTTCACTTATGAAAATACTAAGGCCCGAGTATTTAAACCTCCTGCCCTGCTGGAGGTTACATAATTCATGGAGTGGGGAATCAAACCCAGGTCTTTACAATGTTGCCACCCAGCTTCTTCCCATCACTACTCATGCTTTGCTGGGTGCCCTGGATGCAGCCGTGCCTGAAGGCCACTCCACAAACAGGCCCTGCTGGGAGACAGTATCAGAGATCCAGGACTCTGGGAAGTAGAACTGGGCAAGAAAGTGCAAGGGGCTGACAAATGGGCTGGCTCTCCATCCTGCCTGGCATCTGGTCTGATCCTGTTGTAGTACTAGTGAGGTGGGTGCTGTGGCCGAGGGAGGGGCTTTGTGGGGCCACACCTGGGGACAGATGGGACCAGAGTCAGGGTCTCTGAACTGTGTGCATCATCCACTGTCCCTGACTTTTCACTAGAGATGTCTACAAACATCACAGAGCAGCAGTCTAGGAACAGGGGCTCCCTGCCAGTGCTGCTGTGAGCCCTTGGAGAATTCTGCACTTCCAAAATCTCTTATCTGATGGCCTTGGGAAGCTATCTCAAGATGCCACAGCTGGCCGGGTGTGGTGGCTCATGCCTGTAATCCCAGCACTTCTGGAGGCTGAGGCGGGCGGATCACCTGAGGTCAGGAGTTCAAGACCAGCTTGGCCAACATGACAGTATTTTTACTGTCTCTAGTAAAAATACAAAAATTAGCCTGGTATGGTGGCATGCACCTCCCACCCACCTGGGAGGTTGAGATGGGAGGATTGCTTGAGCCGGGCAGTGCAGGTTGCAGTGAGTGGAGATTGCGCCACTGCCTTCCAGCCTGGGTGACAGAGCAAGACCCTGTCTCAAAATTAAATAAGTAAAATTAGAAAAAAAAAATAAACAACTGGTATACTTGGTTGTAGCTGCAGGGATTATCAGTTACCCTCTGTCCATAACCCTTAAGTGAAAGCCTTGTCTAGGGGCCACTGATCTTGGTGGACCTGGCAGGGGAGCAGTACACTCCAGGTGTCTTAGTAGGGCCATTCCTAAAGTCCTAAAGATGGCATTGGGCAGTACAAGGGACTTCTGCACAGCACACACACACCAGGTCTGCATCTTCTCTGCAGGACGTGCAGCGTTTTATGCTGTAGCCCCAGAGATTTCAGTCTCTGCTTTTACGAAGGCATCCCCTGGAGATTATGTGAGTACTTCAACAAGTGCAACCAATTTCCCTCCATATGCAAAGTGTGGGTTGTGGAGAATTCACGTGTGCAGCACTCCCTGGTTTCCTGGGGGAAGTTGCCACTGATGGTGTATTTATTTTCCTTGGGAAAGCCAAGAAGAATGAACCCCAAACTCACCGACTCACCAGACACAATGTCCGCCACAGGTGGGACATCAGTGCTGGGGCTTACCTGGGATGTCAATCAATCTTTTGTAGACATTCAAGAAAGCTGCTTCAGCTTCCTTGCTTCTTTTAATAACGTGTCAATCTGAAAGGGAAGGAAAGAAAGGAAAGAAAGAAAAGAAAACAAAGAGCTCAATATTTGTCAAGAGGTAATTTACAAAGCATTACACATCTAGTGAAGTCCCGCAGCAAGGGGAAGTCTGATTCCTCCGCGTAGATGCTTGACAACTGGGCTTCAACCTCTTAGAGGAAATGCCTGCAAACCACAAAAAGGCCCCTTTCATGAAGGTAAAAGAGGCAGGAGCAGAGATTTGGGAATATGGAGCCATTCACTATACAGCAGGGAACACTGGGTGGGTCTTCCATAGAGAATGGTCTGGCGTGCGTGCCCTTCGTGGTCTTTTTCTTTCTGCAAGTACTAAGAGCTGGCCATGTGCTAGACACTGCTGGGGGGCCGGGGGTGGGCGGAAGAGACAGTTCCTACCCCCAGGAGCTCAGGGTCTAGGAGGGAAACAGGTACGTAATTAAGAAGTAATTAAATCCCTGGGGACATGGAGAAGGGAACCTCAGGCAGGAAAATCGTGACCTTGGAGCAGAGTCTTAAAAAGTATTTCACCCCAGTGGATGGGTAAGACACCGCATGTAAATGGAAGAACATACTCAAACGCCCGGAGCAAAGAATTTCATAAAATTCCTTTTTTTTTTTTTTAAGACAGTTTTGCACTGTCTCCCAGGCTGAGGGGCAGTGGCGCGATCTCGGCTCCAAACTCTGCCTCCCGAGTTCAAGAGATTCTCGTGCCTCAGCCTCATGAGTAGTGGAATTACAGGTGCCCACCACCATGCCCGGCTAATTTTTGTATTTTTAGTATAAATGAGGTTTCATTATGTTGGCCAGGCTGGTCTCAAACTGCTGACCTCAGGTGATCCACCCGCCGCAGCCTCCCAAAGTGCTGGGATTACAGGCCTAAACCACTGCGCCTGACCTATGTGTTCTCTTTTGAGATACTCATTCACATGTCAGCTTGTGCTCCATTCCTGGAGTCCAGATTAAGAGCCCACCAATGGGGCTACAACACACCATGGGGGATAGGGGACCCACGAGAGTCTGCCGGGTGGGAACGTGGATACATATGCAGGATCTGTGGGTGACGCAGTTGGGCAAGCAAATGGGGTCAGATCGTGAGGGGCACAAGAGCAAGTGGTGCAGGGTGACCGTCATCACCTGGGCAGCAGTCGGGGAGAAAAGAGCACAGGGGGCGGCAAGGAGGAAGAGATCACTCTGGAGTCATTGCTCTCATCCAAGGGAGACATGCTGGGCAGTGGCTGTGGGTGTTGAGGAGGACGAGAGGGCGGCTGGAGAGATCAGTGGCACACACAGTTGATGTGAGGCCCAGAAGAACAAGGCGAATCGAGGACGATGCCCAGGATTCCAGATTAGGTAACTGGTGAGGTTTTGCGATCGTGGCCAGGATTGGTTTGTTTTGTGAACTGACTAGCTGAGCCAGTTTCCTCCAGCGTAGACGTCTATTCTTCAGCTGTGCCGGACGCACATGCAAAGAGCCTGCCGTGGTTGGACCGACTTATTAGAATATTTAGCTTACCTACACACTTGCTGAGACAACAGATCACGCTTTACAGCCAAAACACACAAGACTGCACGTGCACCAATTTCATACTGGCTCAGGCAAAGGACAGTAAATTATATATTCCTTCTGTCCCTTCCTAGAACTATGCTGTCTCTGATGTTATTAAAGAGGCAAAAAGATGTGGTTTAATTACAGGGCCTTTCAGCTGAGCCACCTGGCAGTTTGTTAAGGGCTGAGAGAGGTCCCCTGATTAAGGATGTGGGGTTCTCAGGACTAGGGGATGAGGGCTAGTGGGAGCTGGGCCTAGAAAATCAAATGCATAGCAGACTAGTGTAATGCAAGCATTTCCAACTTCTAACAAGCTGTGCACTAAGATTCCAATTTGAAAGTCAGTTGTTTGGAACTCAGACACATTCGCCCCCCCACCGCCCCCTGCCCCCCGCCCCCCAACCTGATAAGTTAAGGCTGTGATTCTAGGCCAGTTGTGGTGGCTCACACCTGTAATCACAGCACTTTGGGAGGGTGAGATGGGAGGATGGCTTGAGCTGAGGAGTTCAAGACCAGCCTGGGAAAAATAATGAGGTATCTACAAATTAAAATTTAACAATAAAAATTTTACAGAATAAAAAATAAAAAAATTAGCTGGGTGGGGTGGCAATGCACCTATAATACCAGCTACTTGGGAGGCTGAAGTGGGAGGATTGCCTGAGCCTAGGAGTTCGAGGCTGCAGTGAGCTGTATTCACACAACTGCACTCCAGCCTGGGGAACACAGTGAGACCCTGTCTCAAATTAAAAAAAAAAAAAAAAACACACACACACACACACAAAATGTTGTGAATTTGGTGTTGAGTAGAGTTTCAGAACACTCTACAAGGACTGTTTTTTGAGATAGAGGCTTGCTTTGTTGCCTAGGTTGGAGTGCAGTGGCACAGTCTCAGCTCACTGCAGCCTCTGCCTCCTGGGTTCAAGCAATTCTCCTGCCTCAGCTTCCCAAGTGGCTGAGACTATAGGAGTGCGCCACCATGCCCAGCTAATTATTTGTTTTGTATTTTTAGTGGAGATAGGGTTTCATCATGTTGGCCAGGCTAGTCTGGTCTTGAACTCCTGACCTCAGGTGATCCACCCGCCTCAGCCTGCCAAAGTGCTGGGATTACAGGCATGAGCCACCATGCCTTGCCTGCAAGGACTATTAATATGACATGACCGCCCTTTGTTTTTAAAATAACTCCCTCCCCCTTTATTAGCAATTCATACTCATTGTGTGATCAGAAAAATATCAAATATATAGAAAAAAATTAAAAGTATAATTACAATGTGCCACTCACAGGCAGGAATCAGACTGTGAGGTCTGTATTTCTAAGTTTGTTTTCCTAATTATACAAAAAAATATCATTGCGGCCAGGTGCAGTGGTTTATGCCTGTAATCCCAGCACTTTGGGAGGCCAACGTGGACAGATCACAAGGTCAGGAGTTCGAGACCAGCCTGGCTAAGATGGTGAAACCTCATCTCTACTAAAAATACAAAAATTAGTTGGGTGTGGTGGCATGCACCTGTAATCCCAGCTACTCAGGAAGCTGAGGCAGAATCGCTTGAACCCGGGAGGCGGAGGTTGCAGTGAGCTGAGATAATGCCACTACACTCTAGCCTAGGCAACAGAGTGAGACTCCGTCTCAAAAAAAAAAATAAATCAGTGACATGAAATGCAGACACACAAGAGACTGATGTATTATACATTAGAGTGGTCTCGGGCTGGGGGTGGGCAGGAAGGAGGGGCTGGTAGATGCCAACTGAAGGGTGTGGGATTTCCTTTTGGGTGATGAAAATGTTTTACAATTGTCTGTGGTGACAGCTGTACAACTTTGTGAATATCCTAAAAGTCAATGAACTGCAGATTTTAAATGGGTGAATTATATGGTATGTGAATTGTATCTCAGTCAAGCTGCTTAAAACGGGTGTGTGTATGTACATATTCGAAATCAACCTATACATAAGATTGTGCATTGTGCTTTCTTTACCTGTCGTATCATGTATCTTTCTCAATATCCATTACAAATTTTGGGAACTGTCTAAATGGTACTGTTTCAACTGTACCTAAGCCCACATATTATAGATGTCTGCAGTAAGCAACGGATTTGGAGTTGCTTCTCCAGACGAATTGGAACACTCCCTGGGGCCCTTCTAAGAGAGGCAGGTGGGTAGCAGAGCCTGTCCAGAAAGCTGGGCAGATGCCCTGGCTGCTGTCCGTACTGATTGACAGCCACACAGAGGCTTCTCTTCCTGGCTTAGGATCTGCCTAGGGAGGGCCCTTCACTTCCCAGGTATTCCGACTGAGGGTACTAGGTGGCTGCATCTCCTGGAGGCAAGGGCTGGGATCTGGAAGGATCCTGAACTCTGTCCTCCTGTCAACTATGTTATTCCCAGGGATGTGGGGTTTGGTAATTTACATGGCACACTTCGGGGCTGTAACAGGTTGAATTGTGTCTCCCGAAAGATGATGAAGTCCTGACCCTCAATACCTGTGAAGATGACCTTATTTGGAACTAGGGTCTCTGTAGGTGATCAAGATAAGGCAAGGTCATTAGCCTGGGCCCTCGTCCAATAGGATCCGATAAGAAGGAGAAACGTGGACACAGAGACAGACACATAGACAGGATGTCACAGGGAGACAAAGGAAAGGCTAGGCTGATGATCTACAAGACAAAGATGACCAGGAAACCACCAGAAGCTGGGACAGGGACACAGTAGATTCTCCCCTACAGCCAGCAGAAGGAACCAGCCCCGTGGACATCGGTGTTTTAAAACCACTCTGCTGAGCTGGGCATGGTAGCTCACACCTGTAATCCCAGCACTTTGGGAGGCCGAGGTGGGTGGATCACCTGAGGTCAGGAGATCTAGACCAGACTGGCCAACATGGTGAAATGCTGTCTCCACCAAAAATACAAAAATTAGCCAGGCGTGGTGGTGGGAGCCTGTAATACTAGCTACTTGGGAGGCTGAGGCAGGAGAATTGCTTGAACCCAGGAGGCAGAGGTTGCACTGAGCTGAGATCATGCCGCTGCATTCCAGCCTGGCGACAGAGCAAGACTCCATCCCCCACACACAAAAAAATTAATTAATTAATTAAAAAAAACCACTCCAAGCATGTCGTTTTGTCTAAACTAGCATAAAAACCAAAAACCCTAGTGTTCCTCCACCCATTGGAGCTGTATCACAGGGACCACGACTTTCAGACCTCTCCCCATGCCCTCTTCCACTAACACAGGGAAATTCCAGCCCAGTCCTGAGGAACATGGTCAGGTCGATGGGTTTAATTAATTCAGTATGCAAATGGGCCATGAGGTTTCTTAAAAGAGATGACTTAAAAGATCCTTTTCTAAATGATGAAGTCCCCTCAGCCCCACAGACAAGAATGGGCCCCAAGGCTGGGCGCAGTGGCTCATGCCTGTAATCCCAACAATTTAGGAAACGGAGGCAGGAATTCAAGACCAGCCTGGGCAGCAGAGTGAGACTCTATCTCTACCAAAAATAAAAATTAGTTGGCCGGGCGCGGTGGCTCAAGCCTGTAATCCCAGCACTTTGGGAAGCCGAGGCGGGTGGATCACGAGGTCAGGAGATCGAGACCATCCTGGCTAACACGGTGAAACCCCATCTTTACTAAAAATACAAAAAAATTAGCCAGGCGTGGTGGCAAGCGCCTGTAGTCCTAGCTATTCAGGAGGCTGAGGCAGGAGAATGGCATGAACCCGGGAGGCAGAGCTTGCAGTGAGCCGAGATCGCGCCACTGCACTCCAGCCTGGGCGACAGAGCGAGACTCCGTCTCAAAAAACAAAAACAAAAATTAGCCAGGCATGGTGGTGTGCACCTGTAATCCCAGCACTTTGGGAAACTGAGGTGGGAGGAGGACTTGAGCCCAGGAATTGAAGACCAGCTTGGGCAGCATAGCGAGACCCTATCTCTACAAAAAAATACAAATTAGCCAGCCACAGCGGTGCACACCTGTAGTCCCAGCTACTCGGAGGCTGAGGTGGGAGGGGCTCAAGGCTGGAGTGAACTATGATTGAGCCACTGCACTCCAGCCTGGAAGACCAAACGAGACTGTGGTTTTTTTAAAAAAACAAAACAAAACAAAACAAAAAAACAGAATGACCCTGGAGGTGGAGTTCAGTCCATCCTCCCTCTGCAGCTCACCCAGTCTGTGGTGGGCTTTCCCTTCCTGTGACTTCACTGCTGCAGCCTAGTTCCGTGTTCCGTGCTTTGCTTACTTGGAACACCCTTGGCTGGCCTCTCCACTCAAAACCTATCTATTCTGCAAGACCCGATGCACACACCACTTCCCCCAGACCTCGAGCTGGGTTCCTGGGCTGTTCTGAGTCTGAAGGGAGGGAGGGAGCCAGGCCTTTGAATGCCAGCCCCACCTCATCTGCATGAGGAGGAGACAGCAGCCACCTCCTGGGGCTGGACGAGTCGCTGACCTACGCTGGCGAGGGCCCCAGTACCAGATACAACACAGTGACTCTGCCACACAGAACAGCTTCCCTCCAGGTGTCCACACGGCTACTGGCCAGGAAGAGCACCCGTGGGAGGGAGGGAGGAAGGGACAGTGTTGTGCTCATCTTCATGGCCCGCACCCACCCACCTCCCTGCAGGGAGCCCAGCCCGTCCACTGCATGCCTTGGAGGTGCAAGCCAAGGCTTGGTAACACAGCTCCCTCTGAGAAGGGGAGGGATCTGCGAATGAGCAAGTGTCTAGGGCGAGGTCTTAATGCAAGGATTGCTGAAGAGAGGATCCCAGGCTAGGGTTCCGGCTCCCTCATGCCTGCGTGCACGTTAGCTTGAGGTAGGTACCATGCCCTTAAAACCATTTAGGGCCGGGCACAGTTGTTCATGCCTGTAATCCCAGCACTTCGGGAGGCCAAGGTGGGAGGATTGCTTGAGCCCAGGAGTTCAAGACCAACCTGGGCAGCATAGCAAAACCCCATTTCACACCGCTCTCACACAGACACAAAACCATTTAGAAGAAGCTAAACTGGGACGGATCTAGAAACGTCAGACACTGGCCTGTGGCCCTGGGTAAAACCTGTCCTGCTCTGAGGGATAGCCTATTTTTCAGGCTCACCTCCTGCCACACCCAGTCACTCCCAGTTCCCGGAACACATGAGCAATTTCCCCTCTGCCTGTAAGGCGCCTCCCAGGAATGCTACCCTGATCCCAGGGCTCAGAGCAGATCCATCTCCCAGTCGTGGCCACTCCCAACACAATGTGGGACTGTCCTGGAGTTCTAGGATGACAGATAAGGCTGCCTGACTCAGGGATCCTGAATTCCTGGAAAACTAAGCTGTAGCATCAACCGCCTTTCCTCCTGACCATGGGCACACAGTGGGTGTTTAATATGCTTTTAATATTTTCCTCAATGGCCAACTGCATGGTTTGCAGATGTGACCCAAGGGTTCAGGAATCCAGGTTTAAATCTTTATGAAAATGCTCAATATGTAAAGAGTTCTTGACTGGGTGTGGTGGCTCACGCCTGTAATCCCAGCACTTTGGGAGGCCAAGGTGGGTGGATCACTTGAGGTCAGGAGTTCAAGACCAGTCTGGCCAACATGGTGAACCCTCGTCTCTACTAAAAATACAAAAATTAGCCGGGTGGGGTGGCAGGCACCTGTAATACCAGCTTCTCAGAAGGCTGAGGCATGAGAATCGCTTGAACCTGGGAGGTGGAGGTTGCAGTGAACCGAGATCACACCACTGCACTCCAGCCTGGGCAACAGAGTGAGACTCCGTCTCAAAAAATATATAAATAAATAAATAAATAGAAAATGCTTAACATGTAAAGAGTTCTCTGTGTAGTAAGCATTGTTTTGTGTGCTGTGAGACAATGACAGCCATTTGGCTGGCAGTAGCTCCTGGGAGGTGTGTTTCTCCACTGTACACACACAATGGTGCTCTCCAGCCGTTTTCCTGCAGTGACCCACACATCCACACTAATGACTGCTGCTGGATTCCATGGTTATCTTTTCAGCAACATCAATTTCATAAGGTTGAGTTTTTCTTTTTAAATGTAATAAGTGTTACATTTAAAGACAAATGTGTAGGCACAGTGGCTCACACCTATAATCCCAACACTTTGGGAGACCAAGGCAGGATCACTTGAGGCAAGGAGTTCGAGACCAGCCTGGCCTTCGTGGCAAAACCCTGTCTCTACTAAAAATACAAAAATTAGCCAGGCGAGGTGGCCCTTGCCTGTGATCCCAGCTACTTGGGAGGCTGAGGCAGGAGAATCACTTGAACCCAGGAGGCAAATGTTGCAGTAAGCCGAGATTGTGCCACTGCACCCCAGCCTGAGCGAGAGTAACATACAGTAAAAATAAAGACTAAACAACCAATATCTTGAGAGCTGAGGGATTTTTGTGTGTTTGTTTTGAAGCTTGTTTATTTTTGACAGGAGTGGGAAGAGGGGAAGATCATATAAGTAAAAAGGGCACTAAGTTTGAAATCAGAAGACTGGATTAAGGCATGGCTCTATCATGCATTTTGGCTCAGGCTGGGAGTGGTGGCTCACACCCGCAATCCCGGCACTTTGGGAAACTGAGGCAGGAGGACTGCTTGAGGCCAACAGTTTGAGACCAGCCTGGGCAACATAGAGAGAACACTTCATTTTTTGTGGATGAATATCTTTTTTTTTTTTTTTTTTTTTTTTTTTGGAGACGGAGTCTAATTTTGTTGCCCAGGCTGGAGTGTAGTGGCGTGATCCCAGCTCACTTCAACCTCCGCCTCCTGGGTTCACGTGATCCTCCTGCCTCAGCTTCCTGAGTAGCTGGGATTACAGGGGCTCATCACCATGACCAGCTAATTTTTGCATGTTGGCCAGGCTGGCCTCAAACTCCTGACCTCAGGTGATCCTCCCACCTCAGCCTCCCAAAGTGCAGGGAGCCACCTCTTCCAAAGAGCTGGGAGCTCACATGCGTGAGCCATTGTGCTTGGCCAACCTCTTGTAAGCTTTCAATAGGATTGTGTGCAAATGCCTATAATTAGGTCTAGCACTCAATGGGCACAGAACATGCTATGACTGTTCCAAGGCATACTGCACGCACAGTGTCAAGTCCAAAACCTCACTAGAGCATGGTCTATTCACCACCACTGTTGCTCACCAAGCTCACGGTAAAAAGGATAATAGTAATTTGTGCACTGGGCTGCAGCAGGCTTTGGGGACCTGCGTGGGGGTGGGGGGTGCACCAGGAGACTAGCTGTCCAGTGGGTGCCTCCCCATGTGCTGCACAACAGGGTACCTGGCATGCCAGGTGGGAGGCACAGAGGGAGACAAGGATGTGGACTGCACAAGGGCCCCAGATCACCAAGGTGTGAATCGGAAAGACTGGACTTCAGATCATCTGTGGGGGTGGTAACCGAGGCTTAAGAAGTGCTGTGTATTTTTTGTTTCTGAGATGGATTTTCACTCTTGTCATCCAGGCTGAAGTGCAGTGGCATGATCTCAGCTCACTGCAGCCTTCGCCTCCCAGGTTCAAGCAATTCTCATGCCTCAGCCTCCGAGTAGCTGAGATTACAGGCACATGCTAGCACATCCGCCTAATTTTTGGATTTTTAGTAGAGACAGGGTTTCGCCATGTTGCTGAGGCTGGTCTTGAACTCCTGACCTCAAGTGATCTGCCGGCCTTGGCCTACCAAAGTGCTGGGATTACAGGCGTAAGCCACTGCACCTGGCCAAGAAGTGCTATGTATTTTGAAATAAGAAAGGCTCATCTCTCCAGTGTACCATGCCCATGTGGTAGGCAAGTCCACGCCACACACAGCCAAGAGCCTGGGTATGTTTTTGGCAGACCAGGGTTTGATTTCCAGCTCCAACATAAAACAGGTACTCTGCCTGGGCCGTTCAATCAACCTCTCTGGGCCTCAGTTTTTTCATCTGCAAAGTGGGGCGATACATCTTGGTTGCTGTCAAGATCAAAGCCGTGGTGACCGTTGGAAAACAGCGAAGGAGTCGCTGCCTCACCAGCTCCACTTCTCAGACGCAGAAACCCATCAAGCCACTTGGAACCTGGCCCCTGGCCCTTCCTAGTGATATGATAAAATCCAGCATTGTGCACTGGGGCTGGGGGCCACATGGTTGATGGAAAGAATATGTGCTTTGATGGAAAGACAGACTTACGTTTGAATCTTAGTTCCAGCACACACTGGCTGGGTGACTGGGAGGCAGGTTATTTAAATACTGAAGCATTTGGCTGGGCACAGTGGCTAACACCTGTAAATACCAGTACTTTGGGAGGCCAAGGCAGACAGATCACCTGAGGTCAGGAGTTCGAGACCAGCCTGGTCAACATGGTGAAATTCTGTCTCTACTGAAAATACAAACATTAGCCAGGCATGGTGGCACATGCCTGTAATTCCAGCTACTTCGGAGGGTTAGGCAGGAGAATGGTGTGAACCCAGGAGGCGGAGGTTGCAGTGAGCTGAGATCACACCACTGCACTCCAGCCTGGGTGACAGAGCAAGACTCTGTCACAAAAAAAAAAAAATATATATATATATATATACTGAAGCCTTGGTCTCTTCGTCTATTAAGTGAGGGTAGTAACTCCCTCCTTGTTAAGCTGTTGTGATTATAAACATGAGAACCTCCTACATCAAGTATCTGACACAGTCTGGATAGAAACCAAATCAACATCACAAACCTTCACTAATAAATCCAAAGTCAGCACCTTTCTTTCCACCACACCATAGGTTATTCTCTGTCGTGATCAAACCAAGCAGGAAGCCAAGATGTGGAAAGTCCTGGAGGACCAGGACACTTAAGCAACATTTAAGATGCTGCTGGCTCTTCTTTACATGAGAGATCTCCCCCAGCCCCCCATTCTTCCTTCTGTGCCTGGACCTGCCCGGGGTCAGTGCTGCCCAGGCAGGAAGCGGAAGCCCAGGTCAAGACCCACGTGGGCCTGGCTCGTTTCTCTCCTGGGGGGCGTTCTGCAACCCTCTGCCTGGTGCTGGGGTCGACCAGATGCCCCGGAGCTTCCAGACTCCCATCTGGGAGGTCCTGGTTCCTGTCGCTGGCCGGTAGATTTTGTGGTGTGGCTGAGCGAGAGTGGGTGCAGAATTGTGTCGGCACACTGATGTCGCGTGGTTTATAGAGCCAAGGGCCCCGCAGAGAAGACGTGCTCAGAGCCCTGCCCACCCTCACGGGGTGGCCCACCATGGCCCTGACCCACCCTGCCTCACACTGGGCAGTGGCTCATGGCCATACGAAGAAAAATCCCACAGCCTGCCCACCCCAAGGCCCTCCCTCCCAGCCTCGTGACCCTAATCGCGGCTTCCAGCACCTCAAACATGACCACTAGCTCACAGCAGGCCCCACCCAGGAACACCCGTCCCCAGGCTGCACTCCCGGCCCTGTCCTGCAGACCTCCGCGTCAAAGGCCCCCAACGGGACAGGGGTCCTCTAACTGCCCCCCACCTCTGCGCGCCCTCTGTTCCATTCCTTTTTGCCCCCTGCCTGAATCACACACAATCTTGTTGCATCCATCCTCTTCCCACCCTGCGCCCGTGTGTCATTGTGGCCCTACTGCGTCCTCAGAGCAGGAGGGTGCAGCGACACGGCAGGCACTGGGTAAATGCCCCATGGTGGGGGTGTGTAAGCGGCGTCGGGGTGCGGCCGCTGTGAGGGGCAGCTCCTCTTGTGGCTGGGGCGGAGCTGAGGACACTCGGAGTTGGGGTGGGAGAGACGGGACTCAGGACTTAGAGGGAGCGGAAGGGGGCGGGGCTGGGAAGGGAGGTAGGGCGGGGAGCTGGGGGAGCGGGTGGGACTGGGCTGTGTGGGGCCAAGCTGAGTCGGGGGGTGGGATGCAGCTGGGCGTGGCTGAGTGGGGGCGGAGCTGAGTGGGGGGCGGGATGCAGCTGGACCACTCATTGTAGGAATTGCTGGAAGGGGCTGGTGGAGCAGGTCTGGTTGTGGGAGTGGGGTGGTGGCAGTGGGCAGGGCCGGCGGTGATGGAGGAGCCTGTGTGTTGGGGCAGGGCCGGTGGTGGAGGGCGGGGCCGGCGGGGAGGGGTCTGTGTGTGGGCGGGGCTGGGGCGGGGCGGAGCGGGGCTGGGGCGGGGCGGAGCGGGGCTGGGGCGGGGCAGGGCGGTGCAGGGAGCTGGGCGGATTAGGCCCCCGGCCCACTGTGCACGCTCCCCAGGCACTGCGGGCGTGATGATCTCTCTGAGCCGCATCCTCACGGAGCTACTGCTGCCCGACGAGCGCGCCAGCATGCTCATCTTCTTCCTGGTGTCGGTGGCGCTGGAGCTGCTGTGCTTCCTGCTGCACCTGTTAGTGCGGTGCAGTGGCTTCGTGCTCTTCTATACCACACGGCCGCGCGACAGCCGCCGGGGCAGGCCAGGCCTGGGCAGGGGCTCTGGCTACCGCGTGCACCACGACGTCGTCGCCGGGGACGTCCACTTCGTAAGTGCGCACCGCCCACCTCCGTTCCCTCCTCTGTCCCCACCGCGACGTAGGGAAGTACCTGGGGCCCAGCCCCTGCCCTGCATCCCAGGCTGCGGCCTCCTGCTGTGGTGGAGAATCCTTCCCGCCAGCACCCTTTATTCTGTCGACTCAGGTGTGGGTTCTTAGTGGCACCCCACGTCTCGTGGCCTAAGGCCCCACTCCACCCGCATCTGTGGTCCGGAGATCTGCCCAGCTGCTGTGTCCCACGGTGTGGGGCGTGCATGGTCCCTGTCCGCAGTGACACCCCACATGATGTACACTAAAGTTTCCATCCCTGGGACAGCCCACGTTCGTTCTGAGGGTCTCAGCCCTCCTGGCTGCGCCAACCCACGTTGGAGAGTCCTCCTGCAGGCTCAGCCTGGCAGCAAACTCTCTAGGAAGCTCACACTCTTCCTCCCTAGAGACGGGACGCCAGGAGGGAAGTCAGGGCTCAGGGATAACCCTGGGTTCCCTGAGGGGGTGTGGCGGGGCCCCCAGAATTTCCCACAGAAGTCACCAGCCAGGAAAGGGAGTGGTCTCCCAGGTGGGGATAGACAGGCGGAGAGGGAGGGCCAGGGGCTTGGTTCTGTGGCCCCTGGCTCTGCTGGGCTTCCCTGTCACAGCACAGAGGCACTGCCCCTACGGGGTCCCCAGCACAGACAGCCCCTGCCAGGAGGTGCCCTATCCCACCATCCCTGGGCAGGCAGCTGTCCTTGGGGGGCTGGGGTGCCCTCTGGTGGCAGCAGCACTGCACAGACCCCCAGGGTCAGGGCCGGCAGCTGTACAGGCCTGGGGACACCTGCAGGGTGAGGTCAGGAGTGCCAGGCCATGCAGAGGCGGGTCGAGGGAGCCATTGGTCCTCATTCCTGAGGGTCCAGAACCAGAACGGTCTTGATGCAGGTCTTGATCCAGTGAGTCACCTGGGCACTTGGCTGGGGACACTGAAGTGAGCCAGAAACACATCCCCAGGGGAGCCCCCAGACCCAGAGAGGGGCCCAGGATGGAAGGGGACAAGCCAGGGGAGGGGTGTGTCCCTCTCATGGTCAGGGAGGTTCCCTGAAGGACTTTTGGGCTAAGACCTGACCCACAGGTAGGGTGTTGGGGCACAGGGAAAAGTGTGTGCAGTGGCTCAGAGGTTGGGAGGAGCTCCGTTGGGTTTAGAGGAGGGGAGAAGCAAAGGGGTCATGGGGGACTAGATGCTCTTGTTGGTTTGGTCAGAAGCTGGTAGAGGGTTCACAGGAGTGATGAGATGGAATTTGCTGCATCAGAACTGTGAGAGACAGCCAGGCTCATTGGCTCACAGCTGCAATACTAGCTATACAGGAGGCCAAGTTGGGAGGATCGCTTGAGCCAAAGAGTTTGAGATCAGCCTGGGCAACATAGCAAGACCCTGTGTCTACAAAAAAGAAAACAGCAAAAATAATTGGCCTGGGTGATGGCACATGGCTGTAGTCCCCACTACTTGGGAGGCTGAGGTGGGAGGATTGCCTGAGCCCAGAAAGTTGAGGCTGCAGTGAGCTGTGACTGCACCACTGCACTCCAGCCTGGGCAACAGAGCAAGACCCTCTCTCTAAAACAAAAAAGAAATGTGAAGTGAGAGACCTTGATAAATTGGGGGAGGGGTGTCTGCACATAGTAGGCACCACCTGAATGTCAGCACCAGCCCCAGTGTGGCTCTTCTTCTGATTGGGCCTGAATTCCTGGCCCGTGTCTCCTGTCCTCCCCTCCACTCCAACCCCATCCCACTCCATCCTCCCTCCAGGAGCACCCAGCCCCGGCCCTGGCCCCCAACGGGTCCCCAAAGGACAGCCCAGCCCATGAGGTGACCGGCAGCGGCGGGGCCTACATGTGCTTTGACGTACTGTGGCCAAGGGTCCAGCGCAGCTGGCCCACCTTCAGAGGTGAGTGCGGGAGGTCCCTCTGCAGCCCTGGGGCTGGCACCCAGGCAGGGGGTGAGGGGGTGGGGGAGGCAGGCAGGGGTCCCCGTGGGCGCTGCCTCTGACCCCCACCCGCCACCGCCCAGCCGTGTTACTGCACCGCTACGTGGTGGCAGGGGTGATCTGGGCCGACATGCTCTCCATCGCCGTGACCTACTTCATCACGCTGTGCCTGTTCCCCGACCTTGAGTCTGAGATCTGCCACTGCATCCTGGGCGAGTGGCTGCCCATCCTCATCATGGCTGTGTTCAACCTGTCAGACTTCGTGGGCAAGGTGGGCTGCCTGCCCTGCCCGGTGTCGGGGGACACCATGGGGTGGGGGTGACGGGGAGGCCCTGGCCCATCCGGGAAGTGTTCTGAGTGAAGGATGCATGTGGCTCCCAGGTGGAAAGGGCAAGAGCCATGCAGTGGCACCATCCTGGACAGTGTCCTCTGGAGGACAGCCCCGGCCTGATCTCACTGGGGCGCTCCGGAGTGTCAGCTGTATCTCAGAGGACAGGCGTGGCCCTCACCCTCTCGCCTCATGGTCACAGATCCCCCGGGGATGAGCACAGGAGGATGCCCCAGAGGGGACCCAGAGAGGGCAGGGACACTTAGAAATGGCTCAAAGAAATGGCCAGGTGCAGTGGCTTATGCCTGTAATCCCAGCAGTTTGGGAGGCCAGAGATGGGTAGATCACTTGAGGCCAGGAGTTCGAGACCAACCTTGCCAACATGGTGAAACCCCGTGTCTACTGAAAATACAAAAATTAAATGGAAGTGGTGAAGTGTGCCTGTAGTCCCAGCTACTCGGGAAGCTGAGGCAGGAGAATCGCTTGAACCCAGGAGGTGGAGGGTGCAGTGAGCCGAGATTGTGCCACTGCACTCCAGCCTGGGTGACAGCACGAGACTCTGTCTCAAAAAACAAGCAAGCAAACAAAAAAAATCACTCAGCCGTGGTGGTGCGTGCCTATGGTCCCAGCTACTCGGGAGGCTGAGGTGGGAGGATGGCTTGAGCCCAGGAGTTTGAGGCTGCAGTGAGCCACCATCGTGTCACTGCACTCGAGCTTGGGGGATAGACCGATACCCTGACTCTAAGGGAAAAAAATGTAAGTGGAATTTGGGGGGTTTTAGAGGGGCGATCCGGAGAAGGGCAGGGGTGCAGGCTGAGCTGGACAGGCCCAGAAGTGTTTAGGGATGGGGATGTGGCTGGAGGCTGTCGGGGTTATGAGGGGAGTGGGGCTGTGGCCAGGACAGGGCGGCCCCGTGCCTGGCTCTCTGCAGATCCTGGCAGCCCTGCCTGTGGACTGGCGGGGCACCCACCTGCTGGCCTGCTCCTGCCTGCGTGTGGTCTTCATCCCCCTCTTCACCCTGTGCGTCTACCCCAGCGGCATGCCCGCCCTCCGCCACCCCGCCTGGCCCTGCATTTTCTCACTGCTCATGGGCATCAGCAACGGCTCCTTCGGCAGCGTGCCCATGATCTTGGCAGCAGGCAAAGTGAGCCCCAAGCAGCGGGAGCCGGCAGGTGAGGCCCGCGGGACATGGGGGTGGGGGCGTCCTCCCAGCAGCGCAATGCCCACCTTGCGAGGAAACCCAGGCCAGACCACAAGAAGGTGCATTTGGGTTCTGGGGGTTCAGAACAGTCAACGTCTGGGAGGCCATAGGTGTGGGGACATTCTCAGCCACTTTATTCACTCATTTATTCGTTCGTTCATCCCACAACTACTTGGTGAGCCCCTCCTGTGGACCAAGTGCTTTTCAAGGCACTGGGGACATAGTGGCGACAAAACGGCGCTCCCTGTGCTGTGGGACTGACTGTCCAGATGTGGAGGCAGCCCAGGCCGGGCACAGTGGCTCGTACCTGCAATCCCAGCACTTTGGAAGGGCAAAGTGGGTGGATCACTTGAGCCCAGGAGTTAAAGACCATCCTGGGCAACACAGTGAGAGCCTCTCCTCTCTACAAAAATGTTTAAAAAATTAGCTGGATATGGTAGCATGTGCCTATGGTCCCAGCTACTCGGGAGGCTGAGATGGGAGGATCACTTGAGCCCAGGAGTTTGAGGTTGCAGCTGTGATCATGCCATGCACTCCAGCCTGGGTGACAGAGCAAGATCCTGTCTGAAAAAAAAAAAAGATCCCAGATCGGCGTGACTGGTTGAATGGCAGTAAGTCCTATGGGGAAAAATAAAGCAGAGAAACAGGAGTGATGGGATGGGAGAGTCAGGCTCAGGAGCCAGCAGTGTAAAAGGAGCAATCTGGGAAGACCTCACTGAGGAGGTGACTTTTGAGCAAAGACCTGGAGGAGGTAGCAAGGGAGATAGCCATGTGAGGATGCAAGGGAAAGGCATCCAGGAAGAGGGAACAGCATGTGCAAAGATCCTGCGGCACTGAGGCCAGGGGACGGAGCAGAAGAGGAACGGGATTTGATGGTTGATAAAGCATCCCCCCAGCTGCCGTGGGCATGGAGGTGAGTGAGGAGCTACTTCACCAGTCCAAGCCCTTGAGAATGGGGCTCAAACCTGGAGGAGGTTGACGTGGCACTGGGAGGTGCCAGATTCCAGGTCTTGTTTGGACAGCAGCCCAAAGGACCGGCTGATGGGTTGAGAGGTAGGGTGTGAGAGAGGGAAGGGGGCTCCAGGTTTGGGGTCCACTGCTCAAGGCAAGAAGGCTGGCACTGGCACAGACTGAGATGGGAAGGGGCCTCGCAGGGAGGGGTTGGGGTTGGGTTTGGGACTTGGTACATTCGAGGTGCCCATCGGACATCCCAAATTGTCCCTGATAGGGAGGAAGCTGTAGGTCGGAGAGTGGAGTTTTTTTTTCTTTTTAGATGGAGTCTTGCTCTGTTCCCCAGGCTGGAGTGCAGTGGCATGATCTCAGCTCACTGCAACCTCTGCCTCGCAGGTTCAAGCAATTCTCATGCCTCAGCCTTCTGAGTAGCTGGGATTATGGATGCCCACCACCATACCTGGCTAATTTTTGTATTTTTAGTAGAGGTGAGATTTCACCATCTTGGCCAGGCTGGTCTCGAACTCCTAACCTCAGGTGATCTGCCTGCCTCAGCCTGCCAAAGTGCTGGGATTACAGGTGTGAGCCACCACACCTGGCTGAGACTGGAGATTAAAACGGGGAGGGTTGGGGCCAGGCGCACTGGCTCAGGACGGTGTTTTGGGAGGCCAAGGTAGGACTATTGCTTGGGACCAGCCTGGGCAGTATAGCGAGACCGAGTCTCTACAAAAAATTTTTTTACATTAGCCAGGCGTGGTGGTGCATGCCTGTGGTCCCAGGTACTCGGGAGGCTGAGGTGGGAGGATCACGTGAGCCCAGGAGGTCAAGGCTGCAGGAAGCTATGGTTGTACCACTGCACTCTGGTCTGGGCAACAGAGCAAGACCTTGTCTTTAAATTTTAAAAATGGGGGCTTGGGGGACTCAGAGAAGCAGGCAAGGCCTGGAGTGCATAGCAGATGGCCTCGGGAAGAAGCAACGAGGAAGGACAGGATCTGGAGAGGGTGCTCCCAGGAGGAGCGATGGGGCAGCGGGTCCTGGAGGGGTGGCACGGTTCATGCAGGTGTCACCGCACCTCACACCCGAGCAGCTGTGGCCACCAGGTGGCCGCCCTGGCCCTGCTCCCCTCAGGCCAGTGTTGTCCACAGGGAACACCATGACTGTGTCCTACGTGTCAGGGCTGACACTGGGGTCCGCCGTGGCCTACTGCACCTACAGCCTCACCCGCGATGCCCACGGCAGCTGCCTGCACGCCTCCACCGCCAATGGCTCCATCCTCACAGGCCTCTGAGCCAGCCCCGCCCACTGCCAGGGACACCGAGGGCCTGACCAGGGGCCCCGAGGCCTGAGGGCCCCTCCCCCATCCCCACCTCAGTGCCTGCGGGGCCCTGAGCCTCCCCCTGTGCCAGCAGCACCACTCCCTCAGGGTCTAGCCATCCCCCACCCTGGACTGAAGTTCTGCAAAGTCCTTTGAGGACCAGAACACGTTTCTGCGACCCGGGGCTCTGGCCAGCACTCTGTTCTGTGTTTGGTCTCATACCTGCGTCTACCTTCTATCTGTGTCCAGCGGCCCCAGCTCCAGCCCAGCCAGCACTCTGCAGGGTCACACGCACCATGTCACCACCCAGGACAGCAGACACCCGCCAGAGTGTGCGTGCCCAGTGACTGCACCCCGGCCCTCATCACCCGCTGGCACTGATCAGGGCACCACCTGGCCCAGCCTCCATCAGGGACCCCTCCTCATGAACCCTGGAGCCCTGAGAGGAGAGGGGCAGTCCCCCACCTTGTCACCCTCAGGGCTTCCCCTTCTGTCCTCATTCTTAGAGACTGCTTCTCCCAAACAAAACACGTTAGCCATGAAGGAGTCGGAGCCCTGGGTCCGAATGGACCCGCCTGCAGTCTGCGTCAGCCTCTGGGAAACCACAGCGGTGATGCCAGCTGGGCACGTCAGGACCTCCCCACACACCCACGTGATGCCACAGGTCGGGGGATGTGCCTGACTAGGGAGCCCTCCTATTGCCTTCCTGGCCCGGGATAGAAGAGGGGAGGTAAGTCTGGGGGCTTCGAAGCCGGGCCCCCCACCCTGGCTGAAGTCAGCTTGACCTAGGTCTTGACCCTCATCCAGCAAGGGACCCGACAGACCCAAGGGTCCCTAGAATGTAAGGAGGGGTTGGGGGTCACTCCAGCCCGGGCCTCCCAGAACACCAGGCCCGTGTGGGTGGCACCCTGAGTTCAGGGAATCCTAAGGGTATCCTTCCAGAGACGGCGTTTCCAGGGGGGAGGACCGCCCACCCTTCCAGATCCCCGGCCCCGGCTGTGACTGCCCTGTTTCACCCCTGCTGTGTCCCGTCACCCGTCTGTCCACTAACTGTACCACACCAGCCATTAAAAGATGAAGGCAGACGGCTGCACCGCCGCCTGCAAGCAGAGTTTGTGCATGGACGGGGGCTGGGACTGCCATCTCGGGATCCCGGTGGAACTTGGGCCGCCCCGGATAAGCCGGTCCTCAGTCTTCCCATCTGTGAGGTAGGCCGGGTGGATCAGGGAGCAGGAGGGTGTCCTCACACCGGGTAGGCTTGGTTTGTGGGCAGGGCTGGGTGGTGGGGTGAGAGCTGGGAGCACTTGGGGTTTGTCGCTCACCTTGATGACCGCCCCCCAGTCTTCATGAGGATCAGGGAGGATGGCCGCATGCAGCCCATTTGAAGGGGAAACGAAGCGGGCGCAGCTTGGCCCCTGCCCCTTGGGGACTGCACTGCATCCTAGGAGTCAGAGCCTCCTGGCCTCGAGCCTCATCTCTTTTGCTGATTTGTGCAATTTGGACAAAATCCTGCACTGTTCTGTGCCTCGTTTCTTTCTTTCTTTCTTTTTTTTTTTTTTTGAGACTGAGTCTTGCTCTTGTCGCCCAGGCTGGAGTGCAGTGGCACGATCTTGGCTCACTGCAACCTCCGCCTCCCAGGTTCAAGTGATTCTCCTGCTTCAGCCTCTCAAGTAGCTGGGATTACAGGTACGCACCACCACACCTGGCTAATTTTTCTTGTAGAGACCGGGTTTCACCATGTTGGCCATGCTGGTCTCGAACTCCTGACCTCAAGTGATCCACCTGCCTCATCCTCCCAAAGTGTTGGGATTACAGGTGTGAGCCACTGCACCTGGCCTGTGCCTCATTTTTGTTTTTTCTTTCTTTATAAGACAGGCTCTCGCTCTGTCACCAAGGCTGGAGTACAGTGGTGCCATCATAGCTCACTGCAGCCTCCACCTCCTGGGCTCCAGTGATCCTCCCACCTCAGCCTCCCAAATAGCTGTGAATACAGGCACGTGCCACCACGCCTGGCTAGGTTCTTTTATTTTGTGTAGAGATGGGGTCTTGCTGTTGCCCAGACTGGTCTCAAAGTCTGGGCCTCAAGTGTTCCCCCTGCCTTGGCCTCCCAAAGTGCCAGGATTACAGGTATGAGTCACTGCGCCCAGACTGGTCTCAAATTCTGGGCCTCAAGTGTTCCCCCTGCCTTGGCCTCCCAAAGTGCAAGGATTACAGGTATGAGTCACTGCGCCCAGCCTGTTCTGTCCTTAGCTTCCCCAAGGAATGGGGCTGGTCCAGGTTTTGATGTGGGTCCCTTAAAGGAGGGCACGAGGGCCACCTGTGCTCTGGCAGGCATCCTCCCTGGGGTCCAGGTGGGCAGCCACTTGGGCCAAGACTGCGCCAGGTGACACCAGAGCATTTCCCAGAGCCCACGCTGGGCCCTTCCCTTGCCCGAGGCCGGCTGACTGCCCTCCCGGGGTTACCCTCTTTGCAAAGCCCCGAATGTCCTCTGCAGGCCACCCACACTAACCAGGTCACTCACTGGGCAGCCAGACCCCCACTTATAGCTTCCCTAGGCCCCAGTGCAGAGATGCCATCCACCCCCATCTAGGTGAGGGCTTGGGGCCACTCTTAGCATTAGTATCATTTTCTTCTAGTATCATTTTGTGGTAGGCATGGCTGGGAATGTGCAGCTTTGCTTTTTTTTTTTGAGGAGTTTCGCTTTTGTTGCCCAGGCTGGAGTGCAATGGCTCGATTTCAGCTCACTGCAACCTCTGCCTCCCGGGTTCAAGCGATTCTCCTGCCTCAGCCTCCCGAGTAGCTGGGATTACAGGCATGTGCCACCATGCCTGGCTAATTTTGTGCTTTTAGTAGAGACGGGGTTTCTCCATTTTGGTCAGGCTGGTCTTGAACTCCCGACCTCAGGTGAGCCACCTTCCTCAGCCTCCCGAAGTGCTGGGATTACGGGCGTGAGCCACCATGCCTGGCACTGTTTTTTTGAGATGGAATCTCGTTCTGTCACCCCGGCTGGAGGGCAGTGGCGCGATCTCAGCTCACTGTAACATCTGCCGTGGGTTCAAGCGATTCTCCTGCCTCAGCCTCCCAAGTAGCTGGGATTACAGGCACGCTCCACCACACCCAGCTAATTTTTTTGTATTTTTAGTAGAGATGGGGTTTCACCATATTGGCCAGGCTGGTCTCGAACTCCTGACCTCAAGTGATCCGCCTGCCTTGGCCTCCCAAAGTGCTGGGATTACAGGCATCAGCCACCACACCCAGCCAACTTAACTTTTAATTTTTTCTCAGGTAAATTTGTTCAATTTCTTTTTTTTTTTTTTGAGATAATCTCTGTCACCCCCAGGCCAGAGTGCAGTGGTGCAATCTCAACTCATTGCAACCTCCACCTGCCGGGTCCCAGTGATTCTCCCACCTCAGCCTCCCGAGTAGCTGGGATTACAGGTGTGGGCTACCACACCTGGCTAATTTTTGTATTTTTAGTAGAGACGGGGTTTCACCACATTGCTCAGGCTGGTCTCGAACTCCTAGCCTGAAGTGATCCTCCTGCCTCAGCCTCCTAAAGTGCTGGCATTACAGGCGTGAGCCACCGTGCCCAGCCGAATAGCTCATTTAGATGGCTGCATGTGGTCACTGCCCCTGCACGGGTGGCACCCAACTTCCAGTCGAATCCTGCTTCTTGGTGCCCTGATATGGCAGAATCCCCCAGACACCACCCCTACTCCAGCTCCTGAAATAAACCACTCCAGACAATTTTATTTTTCCAATTAAATCTTTTCTTTTTTTTTAATGAAAAAAGATCACACAGAATTTGCCAACAAACAAAATTCCAAAAGAAACATTAAAAAAAAAAAAAACAATAATTCCCCCAAAAAACAAACCCAAAGTCTGGCTATTCCTTCCCTCAAGATTGTCTGGTCGAGGCCTTGGTTTCCCTGGAAGGCCTGGGGCCTGGTTAAGTGCTTTCTGGGGCCCAAGCAGGGACCCTGGGCTCGGGCCGGCTCCTGCTCTCCCTAACACTTCTCTATCCTGGGGGGTGAGTACAGTACACTTGGCGGGGTGGGCGGGGGGTGTGCTGGAGACCGGGAGGCTGGTGAAGCCGGTGCTAGACACTACAATCTAATAGGAAATAAAAAATAATATTCTGCACATCAGAATGTGTTTTTTTTATAATTTTATAGCTATTTTTCACAGTTTTAAAAAGTTTATATATATTTATATATATTTATCTTTATATATATAATTAAAAAGTTGACTCCATTTAAAGGCTTAGGATACAGGGGCAGGGCGAGTCTCTTGGTACAATAAAACTGTACAGGTTAAGAAGTGCCACCTCCCTCCTGGGTGGGGAGGGGCCGGGCGTGGCCAGGCGAGGGTTTCAGCACCATTGGGGTTTTCTGTAGTGTGAGGGTTTGGACCAGGGTGGGCCTGTGCCGGGCCCTCTCCACCTGGTGCCTTTGATACTCCGGGCTGCAACCCCACCCTGCTGTGTTCCCCAAGTCTAGGCCATCCTGAGAGGGTGGGGGCAAGGCCCCTGGCACAGTCAGTAGGCCAGCTGGCATCGGGCCACCCCATCCCATGCACGGTGGGAGGCCTTGGGGTGGGCTCCATGCTAAGGGTGCCCGGGAAGCCCAGAGTGAGCGTCAGTTTGGTTCCTTAGAAGCGCCCCTCCCCACTGAATCCCCAGTCTGCATGGGCCTGGGGGCACCCGGGCCCCCATGCAGCAGCAGGCTGGAGGGCCGGCCTGGCCAAGTGCTTGCAACGTGCTGGGCAGGAAGGGCCGGTCCCGGCTGAGACTGCCCTGAGGGGGACAGCAGGGCCATACCCTGATAGCTAAGAGGGGCCCCTGTCCTGGGGGCACTGAGGGGTTGGAAGGTGGGGCTGGAAGCATGTGCACATGCATGCACACACGTGCATGCACACGGGCACACACATGCACAAACATGCTCACCCGGGCGTCCACGTGCACACCTGGCCCCATGCTCACGCCTGCAGGAGCGCTCGCATGCACACAACGCACATGGTCTCCGAACCATGGCAGTGATGGAGAGGGGTCCCTGGCCGCCCTCGGGGCACAGGTGGCCGGTGGCCAGCAGGGCCCGGCGGGCTCAGCAGAGCACGGGCATGCCATCCGTGGAAAAGATCATGCCTGTGGTGGGCTCGTAGGTGCCCGCGAGGTAGTACAGGCCCTCGCTGTCCTGGTACTTCTTGGTCTTCAGCATCTGCGCATACTGCTCCAGGCCCACCACCAGGCACTTGTGCGACACCGTCTGCACGTCATTTTCGTCCACATGCGAGGACTGGTATAGCGCGCACTGCGGGCACGCGGGGACATCAGGATGGCAGGTGGGGGGGCACAAAGGCCGAGGGAGCCCCAGGGAGCCACAGGGACAGAGACAGAAGCAGAGGGAGCCCCAGGGACTGAGAGAGAGACCAGGTCAGAGACAGAGGCTGAGGAAGAGACAGACCAACAAAAGAGAGACAGAGACTGAGAGATGGAGAGCAAATGAGAGACAGAAGACAAGGAGAGACAGACCAACAAAAGAGAGACAGAGACTGAGAGATGAAGAGCAAATGAGAGACAGAAGACAAGGATAGACAGAACAAGAGATCCAAAGACGCAGAGAGACAGAGACCGAGACTGAGATCGAGAGACCCAGAGAGACACAGAGACTGAAAGATAGAGGTTGGGAGAGACCCAGAGAGAGTCAGAGGGCAAGAATGGCCAGAGACTCAGAGACAGACACTGGGAGAGCAGAGGAGACCCAGAGACAGAGATAGACGCAGAGACCGGGAGAGACAGAGAACAGGAGCCAGGCACTGAGAGTGGCAGGTCAGAGGCTGAGGGAGACCATGGGGGACAGAGCAGCAGATGCTGAGCTGAGCCCTGTCTGAGCTGCCCGGAAGGAGGCAGCCATCCCCAACCCACCCACCACCACCACCACCTACCTCCATGAAGTCCTTCCTCTGGCTGGAGACCTGCAGGGCCGCCGGGAGGCTGCGGCTGGACTTCTGGTCCCAGTGCTGTGTGGGGGAGAGAGGAGGGGCTTGGGTGAGCCCAGGGGCTGCAGCACCTGACCCCAGGCCCCAGGACAGGGCTGACCCACTGGGCAGGGCTGCTGATGCTCCAGCACCCAGAATGCCTCGCCCTCAGGTCTGCCCTACACCACCTAGGACTGGGGGGCCCAGCCCGGGGGGCCGCAGCCGGGCTGCAGGCTCACCTGGCCCTGGTGGAACTGCTTGCCTGGGCTGGTCTCCTCGGGGTGGTAGAACCACTTGACGCGGACCACCATGTTGTTGCCCCACGACTCCCACATGCTCTGGATGCAGCCGATGTAGGGCAGGTTGGGGCGGCCGGCAGAGAGGAACACGGCACAGTCCCCAGTACGGATCATCTCCTTGCCGCACACGATGGCCTTGTAGAAGAGCTTGTGGGCCTTGCCCTTCATGCCACGCTGCTGCAAGGACACATGTGTCAAGGCACAGGCCCTGGCCCAGCCCTGAGGAGCCCGCCGCCTGGCAGGCTCTGCGCTTGGGACTCCAGGCCCTTGGCCTCTAAGTCAACCCCTATCCAACTCTTGGGAGAGGAGGAAGCCCCTTGTCTTGCTCCAAGTGGGGAAGCCCCTCTTCCACCTCTTTGATATGCTGGGTCTCCAAGAGGCGCTTCCCTTAATCTAAGGATTCTGCCACTACGAGACTTTTTATTTTTGAGACAGGGTCTCCCTCTGTTGCCCAGGCTGGAGCGCAGTGGCGCCATCATGACTCACTGCAGCCACGAACTCCTAGACTCAAGAAATCCTCTCCCACCTCAGCCTCTGAGGAGCTGAGAATACAGGCGCACACCATGCCCGGCTAATTTTGATTATTTTTGTAGAGAACAAGGTCTCACTATGTTGCCCAGGATGGTCTCAGACTTTTGGCCTCAAACCACCTTCCCACCTTTGCCTCCCAAAGCACTAGGATCGCAGTGTCAGCCACTGCACCTGGCCTTATTTTTCTTTTGAAAATTACTTTTTTCAGAGAAAGGGTCTTGCTCTGTCACCCAGGCAGGACTGCAGTGGTACTATCATAGCTCACTGCAGCCTCAATCTCCTGGGCTCAAGCCATCCTCCTCCCTCGGCCGCCTGAGTTGATGGGACTACAGGAATGCACGGCTAATATTTTCATTTTTGTAGAGATGGGGGTTTCACTATGTTGCCCAAGATGGTCTCGAACTTTTGGCCTCAAGTGATCCTCCCACATAAGCCACCCAAAGAGCTGGGATTACAGGCGTGAGCTACCACACCTGGCCTTTTTTATCTTTTAAAAATTGTTATTATTATTATTATTCTTTTTGAGATGAAGTCTCACTCTGTCGCCCAGGCTGGAGTGCAGTGGCACTATCTTGGCTCACTGTAGCCTCTGCCTCCCAGGTTCAAGCAGTTCTACTGCCTCAGCCTCCCAAGTAGATGGGATTACAGGCGTGCACCACCACACCTGGCTAATTTTTGTGTGTGTATTTTTAGTAGAGACGGGGTTTCACCATGTTGGCAGTCTGGTCTCGAACTCCTGACCTCAAGTGATCCTCCTGCCTGGGCCTCCCAAAATGCTGGGATTACAGGTGTGAGCCACTGCGCCCGGCTAAAACTATTATTTTTTTCAAGACAAGGTCTCACACTATCGCCCAGGTTGGAGTATAGTGGCACAATCATAGCTCACTGCAGCCTTGACCTCCCAAGCTTAAGTGATCCTCCCGCCTGGGCCTCCCAAAGTGCTGGGATTACAGACTTAAGCCACTGCACCTGGACAAGAGAGACTTGAAACTCCATTCTAGAGCAGCTTTGGAAATGCTGCCTGAGACACCACTGACCCCTACTGGAACATGCAGGTGCTCCTGCCCCACATCTACAGCACGTTGGGGGCTCCTTGCCAGCCTGCCTGAACCACCCTCACTTCTCACACTGGGTCCTGTCATGTGTATGTGCCTGTGTGTGCACATGTTCATCTGTGCATTTGTGCATGTGTGTTCATGCATGGATGCATGTGCATGCGTGTATGTGCCTACACTTGTGCACATGTTCGTGTGTGTGCACGTGTGTTCGTGTGTGCGCCCACGTGTTTGCGTGTGTATGCACGTGTACTCATGTGTGCGTGCACATGTGCATGGATGCATGTGCACACATGTATGTGCCAACATTTGTGTACGTGTGCAAGAGTGCGTTTGGGTGGGTGTAGTGTATTTGTGTGCATGTGTGTGCATGTTCATGTTTACATGGTTCGTGTATGTGCCTGCATTCACATGTACGTCTGTGTGCATGTGTACTTGCTTTTGTGTGTGGCTGTATGTGCATTCGTGTGTACATGTGCATGCATATGTGTGCGTGTGTGCGTGTGTGCATGTGCCTGTGTTTTTGAGTGCACTGTGTGCAAGTGTGTGTGCATGTGTGTAGACAGCCACAGGTAGGCTAGAAGGGCTCCTTCTGAACAGCTATCCCACTGCTGCAGGCAGGGCACACGGGACCCTGACCTGGCCAGCCAGGACTTTGTTTTCCAGGCCATATTGATTCACTCAGGGGTGGGCACATGATCCTGGCCAGGCCAAGGAGCTTCAATCGTGGACTTTTGCTAGCAAACCCAGGAAGGAGGTACCTTCTGCTGGGACTGCCACACTAGTGGCCAGGAGCCCGGGGCATGGCTGGGAACACTAAAATGCCATGCACAACAGGCTGTCAGGCCCCGCACCTGGAATCCCAGCACTCTGGGAGGCCGAGGCAGGAGGATCACTTGAGCCCAGGGGTTCAAGACCAGCCCAGGCAACACAGTGAGACCCTGTCTCTACAAAAATATTTAAAAATCAGCTGGGTAGCATGGTGGCACACGTCTGTAGTCCCAGCTACTCAGGAGGCCGAGGTGGGAAAACTGCTTGGGCCCAGATGTTCAAAGCTGCAGTGAGCTATGATGGCGCTGCTGCACTCCAGCCTGGGTGACGGAGCAAGATCCTCTCTCTAAAAAAAAAAAAAAAGAAAGAAAAGAAAAAGCCAGGCGCGGTGGCTCACACCTGTAATCCCAGCACTTTGGGAGTCCGAGGCAGGCAGATCACTTGAGGCCAGGAGAGTTTGAGATCATCCTGACCCACATGGGGAAACCCCCATCTCTACTAAAAATACAAAAATTAGCCAGGCGTGGTGGCGTGCGCCTGTAATCCCAGCTACTTGGGAGGCTGAAGCGGGAGAATTGCTTGAACCCGGGAGGCAGAGGGTGCAGTAAGCCAAGATCACACCACCTCACTCCAGCCTGGGCAACAGAGAGAGACTCAGTCTCAAAAAAAGAAAAAGGAAACAATCCCAGAGGCCTGGAAAGCCCCTTCCACGTGGCGCTGACGCCTGTGGGTCTGTGCTGATCTTTGCACGTTTCCTTCATCTGGGCTCCACATGAGGGTGGCTCTGCCTCCCAGGACCAGAGGGCAGGACCGCTCTGCTCTGAAGGACTCAGGCATCGGAGTCCGACAGACCCAGGTGCCTGAGGACACTCTGAGACTCAGTGTACCCATCCATAAAGTGGGACGCCAGCCCTCCACCCTGGGGTTCTGGGAGGTTACCACACGCGGAGACACGGCGTGAAGCCGTGGGACCAGCAGAGAGAGACAAGGCCCCCGGCCCCTCGGCCGTGCCCGGGCGCGAGCTTGCTCACCTGGGTGGGCTTGCCGAACCACTTCCAGAGCTGCCAGGCTGGCAGGAAGGCATCAATCTTGGGCCGGTTCTCCACGGACGGCAGGTGCTGCCGCTTGGCCAGCTCCTTGGTGGTGGGGAGGTGGACGCCCTCTCTCTTCTTGGGTCGGCTCTTGGCCCCGGCCTGAGCCTTGGGCTGCAGAGGCTGTGTGGGCTGCGGAGGAGGCGCCTGGGGCTGGGGCGCGGGCGTCTTCTTGCCTGGGGAGTGGGCCGAGGGCCGCGCCTTGCCGGCCTGCTTGGTGGCCTTGGTGGGGAGCGCCGCCTGCGCAGAAGGGCCAGCCGTGGGGGCGGGGGCTGCCTCATCGTCCGAGCTGCAGGAAGAGTCCTCATCTGTGGTGGAGGAAGAAGAAGAGGAAGAGGAGGAGGAGGATGAGGATGAGGAAGAGGAGGAGGAGGAAGAGGAGGAAGACGAAGAGGAAGAGGAGGAGGAGGAAGAGGAGGAGGAGGAGGAGGAGGGGGAGGAGGAGGCCGGTGAGGCCGCCCTGGAGCTGGCAGCGCTGCAGTTACGGCCCCCGGCGCCACGGCCCCCGGCGCCGCAGCCCCCGTCCCCGTTCTTGTCGCCTTCCTCCTCCCCTTCTGTCTCCGAGCCACTGCTGCTGCTGCTGCTGCTCTCGGACTCTTCGGCCCCGTCCTGCTCAGCCTGGGCCTTGTCCGGGCTCTTGGGGTTCCCAGAGTCCTCGAACGTGAGCCCCGGCCCGGGTTCCTGGGCGAGGTCCCGGTTGGTGGCCTTGGGCCAGGGTGCCTTGGGCTCGCTGCTGCCGGCCGCCGGGTGATAGCTGCCCAGGCTCAGGAGGCTCTTGGGCTCCTGCCAGCCCCCCGCCCCCGGATCCTCCCGGAGCAGCAGGGCCTCTTTAGCCTTCTTGCTTTTGGGTGACATGACACCCCCGTGATCCAGTTTGACAAGCAGCTCGGCCTCCTCCCCCGGCCTCCGAGGGCCCTTGGCACCCGACTCCTCGGCTGCCCGCGCCTTCTTGGGCTTGGGGCGTGTGGCAGGCATGGTGATGAGGGGTGCTGGGGCCAGGGTGGTGGCAGGAGCTGGCAGCTCCACAAATGGCTCGGGTGCTGGGCAGCTGGTGAAGGCGGGTGGTGCGGGACTGGGCTGCGGCAGTGCCCGGCGCACCTTGGGGGCCTTGGCTCGCTTGTCCACAGGCTCTGGGGGGCTCTTCTTGGAACCTGGGGTGCTGCTTGGCTCCAGGGCTAAGGGGGTACTGGGGACTTCGTCTGTTGGGTTCCCTTCCTCCAGGGTAGAAGCTCTGTCTGCAAAACAAAACAGATGAGAGGCTGGGGCGGAGGCTTCCTGGCAGAGATGAGCTGTGGCTTTCATCAGAAAGGCCTGCTTCTGTGAGTTTTGTTTTTGTTTTTGTTTTTTTTTGAGATGGGGTCTCAGTCACCCAAGCTGGAGTGCAGTGGCGTGATTAAAGCTCATTGCAGCCCTAACCTCCCTGGGCTCATGTGAGCCTCCAGCCTCAGTCTCCCAAGTAACCTGAGGCCACAAGCATGCGCCACTATGCCTGGGGAATTTTTTGTATTATTATTATTTTTTTTTTTTTTTGTAGAGATACAGTTTTGCTCTGTTGCCCAGGCTGGTCTTAAACTCCTGGGCTCAAGCGATCCCTGTGCCTGGGCCTCCTAGAGTGCTGAGAATAGGTGTGGACCACTGCGCCCAGCAGAAAGGCCTGGTTTCAATCCTGGCCCTGCTACTTCTTGAGTGGAACCTGGCTGCAGCCTTCTTAGGCCTCCTTCGGCAGTTCCCCTATAACAACCTTAAGTTGTGTTGGCCCCAAAGCGGGTCCTCCTCTGCTTTCAGCCTGCACGAAGCATTTTCTCTGGATTCTGGAAAGAAACACAGGCCAGCTGCAGCTCAGCTCTGCCTCTGACAAACCAACCTGCCTCCCTCAGCCTCAGTTTCCTCATCTGTCACCTGGTCAGAACGGCCCTGTGGTGCAGGTGCAGAGTTCTCTTTTTTTTTTGAGATGGAGTTTCACTCTTGTTGCCCAGGCTGGAGTGTAATGGCGCGATCTTGGCTCACTGCAACCTCCAGCTCCCAGGTTCAAGCGATTCTCCTGCCTCAGCCTCCCACGTGGTTGGGATTACAGGCACTCACCACCATGCCCGGCTAATTTTTATATTTTTAGTAGAGATGGGGTTTCACCACGTTGGCCAGACTGGTCTTGAACTGACATCAGGCGATCTGCTCGCCTTGGCCTCCCAAAGCGCTGGGATTACAGGTGTGAGGCACCGCACTCGGCTCAGAGTTCTTACAGACAGCAGGCAGGCACTTCGACAGGTTCCCAAGCCCGGAGTTTGGATGCACGAAGGAGCTCCCCCCACCGCCCCTGCCCTGGGGACCGGGCCAACCTACCACCCCTGGCCTTGGCGCTGGGTTTCCACCCACGCCCACGGGCCTTGGCTCCTGGCTCCTCCGACCCAGCCGTGCCACCGTCTTTGCCCTCCCCAGTGTCTTTGCTGGTCTTCCGGCTGCGGCGCTTGGCACTTGGCACCAGGAGGGCCGGGGATGGCTCAGCACCTGTGGGGCAGAGGACAGAGTGGCTCGTCAGGCCTGGGGTCCCCAGCTTGGAGCTTCCAAGACCATGGTCTGTCCCGGGGATCAGGGATGGGGGCGGAAGCAACTGACACCAGGTGTCTGACCCCGGGTGGGCTCCCATGACAGGCTGTGAGGTCCAGCAGGGGAAACCCCGTCTGCAGGGGGCAGCCAGAGGCTGCCGAATAATGAAGTAAAACAAAGCACTTTGTGGAACTGGGACAGGTGGATAAAGATGCTGACTTTTGTTGGTTTTTTTGTTTTTTTTTTGTTTTTTTTCAGACAGAGTCTCACTCTGTAGCCAGGATGGAGTGCAGTGGCAGGATCTCAGCTCACTGCAACCTCCGCCTCTCAGGTTCAAGGGATCCTCCTGCCTCAGCCTCCCGAGTAGCTGGGACTACAGGTGCATGTCACCACGCCTGGCTAATTTTTGTATTTTTAATAGAGACAGGGTTTCACCATATTGGCCGGTATGGTCTCGATCTCTTGACCTCATGATCCGCCCATCTTGGCCTCCCAAAGTGCTGGGATTACAGGCGTGAGCCACCTCACCCAGCCATTAACAATTTTTGATCAGCTTCCCATGGCCTGGGCCACTGGGCTTGTGCTGTCCTCATGGACCCAGGACCCGGGAACCCTGGGATCTCACAGGAGCCCATCCATGGATTCTGCTACTTCTATCACCTGTGGCTCCAAATGACTTCAGACACAGCCCAGAGCTGGGCTTGGAGGGCGAGAGCCTGGGTGGGCGGCCCCTGGCAGGAGCCCGGGTGTCATGAGCTTGTCACTTACATTGGATCTTATAGTCAGGGGGCAGGAGGCGGATATGTGAGAGGGGGATCCTGCCCGTGTCTCCGTTGTCAGACTCCACGGTGGTCAAGTCCCCATCCTCCTCCAGGTCCAGTAACCCTGTGGGAGGAGGGGAGGCTCAGGGGAGGCCCTCCGACCTCCAGCTCCCTAGTGAGGCACAAAGGTCGGGATGGCAGAAACTGGCCCCTGTGCAGCCCTGGTCTCTATGGTACAGCAGTGGGGACATGGGTGGAGGGTATACAGTGGCTCAGAATGTGGGTGTTAGAGCCAGGCCATCCGGGCAGGAGAAATGGGTCTCCCTTTCTTTTTTTTTTTTTTGAGACAGAGTTTCACTCTCGATGCCCAGGCTGGAGTGCAATGGCGTGATCTTGACTTGCCGCAACCTCTGCCTCCCGGGTTCAAGTGATTCTCCTGCCTCGGCCTCCCAAGTAGCTGGGATTACAGACATGCACCACCATGCCCGGCTAATTCTGTATTTTTAGTAGAGATAGGGTTTCTCCATGTTGGTCAGGCTGGTCTCAAACTCCCGACCTCAGGTGATCTGCCCACCTCAGCCTCCCAAAGTGCTGGGATTACAGGCGTGAGCCACTGTCCCTGGCCTGGGTCTCCCATTTCTAGCTGACTTTGGGTGACACAAGACAGCTGAGCACATGCACCTGTGCCCGCTCACGCACAAGACCCTCCTGCAACCACAGCAAAGGAGGGACACAGGTGTCAACCCTGAAGGACATGAAGAATGGGAAAGGGGAGGGCGGCAGTGGGAGACGGTGGCATTTCCGGAGAGATGCCGGGATGAACGTGCAGGAGCAGGCTTTGATCTCCTAGGAGGAGGTGATACCCACGAGGAGGAGGTGGTTTTCCCAAGAGAATCCTGCCAAGGCTCGGGCTCGAGAGGCCCCAACCACCTCCAGAGGCAGGGCTGAGGGAGACCTCAACACTGAACAGGCTGAGGGTGGCCCAGCTGGCAGGAGCTGGGAGGTTCACCCTAGAGAGAGGCTCCAGACTGAAGGACACTGAGCGCAGGGAGGAGGCTGGACAGGCCCCCCAAAGGGTGATAGCCCAGCCCTCTTCCCAAAAGCCAGATGCTGGGACTATATCCCCAAGGATGTGAGTCTTGCAGAATCTGGGCAAGACTTCCTGTCCACCCGCTATGACAAAGACTCATGAGTGCACAGGGTTCCCATCAGCTTGATAATGTTCCCTTCATTCAGGGTCCCCAGATGCCTAAGAAGTTCTAACCAGAGGAAGAGCACAGCACCAGCAAACAGAAGGAGGGGGGACTGGGAAGAGAGAGGGAGCTGCAGAAAGCTAAAATGAGGCCAGGCGCAGTGGCTCACGCCTGTAATCCCAGCACTTTGGGAGGCCGAGAGAGGCAGATCACCTGAGGTCAGGAGTTCGAGGCCAGTCAGGCCAACATGGTGAAATCCCGTCTCTACTAAAAATACAAAAAATTAGCTGGGCATGGTGGTGCATGCCTGTAATCCCAGCTACTCCAGAGGCTGAGGCAGGAGAATCACTTGAACCCGGGAGGTAGAGGCTGCAGTAAGCTGAGATCACTGCACTGCACTCCGGCCTGGGTGACAGAGCAAGACTCTGTCTCAAAAAAATACAGAAAGTTAAAATGAAAAACAATCCTCTGAGAAAGTTTAAAAAGAAATGTGTTGATAAAACAAAAAAAAAATTTTAAGGAATATTCAGAGAATAAGAAAGAACTCTTAAGGATTTTTTTTTTTTTTTTGAGACAGGGTGTCATTCTGTCACCCAGGCTGGAATGCAATGGCGCAATCATAGCTCACTGAAGCCTCGACCACCCAGGCTCAGGTGATCCTCCCGCTTCGGTCTCCCAAGTAGCAAGGACAACAGGTACACACCACCAAGCCTGTATAATTTTTTTTTTTTTGAGACAGAGTCTCACTATGTTACCCAGGCTAGAGTGCAGCAGTGTGATCTCGGCTCACTGCAACCTCTACTTCCCAGGTTCAGGTGATTCCTTCCTGCCTCAGCCTCCCGAGTAGCTGGGATTACAGGCACCCGCCACAATGCCCAGCTTATTTTTGTATTTTTAATAGAGACGGGGTTTCACCATGCTGCCCAGGCTGGTCTCAAACCCTGACCTCAGGTGATCTGCCCACCTTGGCCTCCCAAAGTGTTGAGATTACAGATGTGAGCCACCACGCCTGGCCCAAGCCTGGCTAATTTTTGTATCTTTTTGTAGAGACATGGTCTTGCTATGTTGCCCAGGCTGGTTTCGAACTCCTGGGTTCAAGTGATCTGCCCGCATCAGGCTCCCAAACTGCTGGGACTACAGACGTAAGCCACTGCAGCTGGTGGAGAATTTTTTTAAATGACAGCAGAAAATTTTAAAATTCAAGAAAACAGAAGGGGTTAGAAGATAAAAGTAGAGAAAATCTCTCCGCAAGTTGAACAAAATAAGAAAATATTAACAGAAAAAAAGACACACACACCAGGGGCCATGGGACCTAGCCCAAGTTCCAGGGAAAACATGAAATTCACAAGAGAAGTTATCCAAGTTGTGCTACAAGTAGAGCTTCCAAGAATCAAGGAAATTTGCTTCAAAATCAAAGCCTCCCTCTGCAGATACCAAGCATGATGAGAACACACACACACACACACACGAAATTCCAGATCTAGGGACAGTGAGAAGATCCTAAAAGTTTCCAGAGATAAAAAAGCAGGTCTCCTACAATGATTTTGGAATCACAATGTTGAATGTCTTCAACATGGGAAGCAAGAGAAAAATAGAAAAATGTCTTTGAAATGGTGAGGGGAACTATTTCCAGTCGTGAATTTATACCCAGCTCAACTATCTCTAAAGAATAAGGGTACCCAGCTCAACTATCTCTAAAAAATAAGGGTAGAATGAAGAGATTTGCAAATACACGAGGATGTGAGAAATTTAACTCCCACAGACTCTTCCTCAGAAAGCTACTCAAAGATCCACTGTTTAAAACAAGGAGCTGAACCAAAAAAGAGAAAAACATGCAACGCAACAAAAGTGGTTCCCAGGATGAGGGACAGGGAAGGCCCAAGAATCCAGAATGATACCCATGAGGCAGGCCTAGAACACAGCCAGCACCTCCCAGTACAGGGGGACAGCGTGTGCCAGGAAATCCGAATCTAAGGCCAACTTCTGCTTTATTAACAGCACTTTTAGAATTTGGATGATAAATGAGTGACTAATACAATGGAAAAAACTAAGTCTTCTGGCCTGAGATCCTCTACTCAGGCTGGACCAGTCATCTGTTGTTTTGCTGAGCTGGCATTGGCTTCCATCTTCTGGGTATGAATGGATTGTAGGCCAAGCAGTGGACTGTATTTGGCATGTGAGTGGGCTTTTTTTTTTTGCACAGGCGGGGAATGTCTAATCCACATCCATACCCCCTCTCTAGGACACATTGCTTTTGCAAAAGCTAAGGGTTGGACCATTTGACTGTCTTTCTTGCCTGTCTGATATCCACACCTAAATTTCCTAGGTTACCTGTTGTTTTTCTCCATCCAGCCCCCATTTTTTTTCTTTTTTTGAGACGTAGTCACACTCTGTCACCCAGGCTGGAGTGCAGTGGTGCAATCTTGGCTCACTGCAACCTCTGCCTCCCAGGTTTGAACAATTCTCCTGCCTCAGCCTCCCAAGTAGCTGGGATTACAGGCGCCTGCCACCATGACCAGCTAATTTTTGTATTTTTAGTAGAGATGGGGTTTTACTACGTTGGCTAAGCTGGTCTTGAACTCCTGACCTCAAGTGATCCACCTACCTTGGCCTCCCAAAGTGCTGGGATTACAGGCATGAGCCACCACACCCAGCCTCATTCTCTCTTATTCTAACAACATGTCCACTTTGCAGGGGAAGCCACCCTCCCATCTTTCTCAGTCCACGAATAAAAGGGAGGTGACCTCACTCCTTAGCCCCAGGGATGAGAATCTGACCCAGGCCCGGTCGATCAGACTCACGGCGGTAGGATCAATGAAAACCATGTGGCCCAAGTCAGTTCACACTAGAACTTGTGTGGGAAAACCGGGACTGAGAAATCGTACAATGGTAAGATTTCTTAAGATGGTAAAATACAATCTCCAAGGAGCTAGTGTGAAGCCAGCACAGATGACAGCACTGCTGACAGATACTCAGAGCTGGAGTCCTGATGACATCGTTTAAATGGCACCTGGATCCAACCATGCCTGAAGGCCATACAGTTTTCAGTTATGTGAGCCCACACGTCTTTATCCTTAAGCAGTTAGAGTTGGGTTTTAGTAGCCAAACAAGTCCATACTGAGATGTTAGACGGCAGGGGAGAGTTGGGGAGGAGGTATCTCACCTCAGACCACGGTGCCTGGGTAGAGACAGCGGTACTGCTGGCTCCAGTAGGCTGCAATCCTGGTCCCTTGTGGCAAGAAGCGAGTGGCAGCTGGCCTCACATCGATGATCTAGGAGGGCATGGGATGAGTCCAAGGTGTGGACACAGTTATGGCCGTGGCCTTGGACACCCAGCCCACCCCAAGCCTCCCGAGGCCCCGCCCCTCCCCCTCTCACCACCTCCTGCAGCAACTCCTCCAGACAGTAGATGTGGGGCTGGTTCCCACGCTCACCCTCCACCACCACACGGTATCTGTAGGAGCAAACGAGGTGTGAGGTGGCAGAGGCCAAGACCTCCCCAGAGGGCCTCAACCCCACCAGCACCAGCACTGCCTCCTAGACCACTGGGAGGTGACACCAGGACTCAGAGGTTTGCTGACTTGCTGAATTTGGGAATTCTCCCCCTTTCTGGGTTCATTTTCTTCATCTGTAGGACTAGGGGTTGTAGAGCACACCAGGCTGGCGCAGTCCAGATCCTGAGAGAGGCCAGCATGCTCTCTCACCCCTTCCCACTGTGGCTCCTGCCATGGAGCAGCCGTGCCCAGCCCCTGGGAGGGTTCACCCAGTACTCCCTCAAAGTGCCCAGGGCCTCCCCGTCAGCTCTGAGCCCACTCATGCCCCTGCCCTGTGCCTTCGGGGGAAGCCACAGCCCAGAAAGGAGAAGCAGCCAGGCACAGAGGCGGCCAGGACACGGGGCGGGTATGGGACACGGGGCAGGTATGGGACATGGGGCTCTGCGCCGGACCTCCCACCCCACTCACATGTCTGGCGAGTGCACGGTCTGCACGTGCCCAGCCTACAGCAGCTTGTCGTCCAAGGGGATGAGCACACGCAGGCCGTCCTTCAGCTCGTCCTTGTCGATGATGCAGGAGCGAGGGGCTGCAGGGGTTGGATCGTGAGGCAAGACTGGAGCCAGGGGTGTCTGCGACACCTCTCCCTCCTCCTGTCACCCGCAAGTCATCCCCTTGGAATGGAGGCCCTGGTGCTGGGTGGGCCTGTGGGGCTGAGACATGTGCACTCCTTCGTCTGCCTGTATGTGTACCCGTGCAGACCTGTGTGTACCAGTGGGCACGCACAGGGTGCCGTGGCCAGCCCCTCTCCTCCCCTCTCCTCCCCTCTCCTCCCAGCCCCCTCCCCGGCCTGGCCCCAGATGTCTGCAAAGACCCCAGGTGGGTGTGAACCCAGGGATGAAAGCCTGCACGTGCTGTCTCTTCCCACCTCAAGACCAGCAGCCTCTGGGCCTGGCATGAAGCTCTGGGTTCCAGCCATCACCGGACACTCACAGCGACCATCCTCCATCATGACGTCTGCCCTCACCTTACTGCTGCCCTCAGCCAAACTTCTAGGACTTTCTTTTTATTTTATTTATTTATTTATTTATTTTTGAGATGGAGTTTCAATCTTGTTGCCCAGGCTGGAATGCAATGGCATGATCTCGGCTCACTGCAACCTCTGCCTCCCGGGTTTAAGCGATTCTCGTGCCTCAGCCTCCCAAGTAGCTGGAATTACAGGCACCCGCCACCACGCCTGGCTAATTTTTGTATTTTTAGTAGAGATGGGGTTCCGCCATGTTGGCCAGGCTGGTCCCGAGCCCCTGACCTTGGGTGATCCACCCGCCTCAGCCTCCCAAGTGCTGGGATTACCGGTGTGAGCCACTGTGCCCGGCCTCTTTTTTTTACATAATTTTTTCAGGCCAGGTGCGGTGGCTCACGCCTGTAATCTCAGCACTTTGGGAGGCTGAGGCAGGCAGATCACAAGGTCAGGAGATCAAGACCATTCTAGCCAACATGGTGAAACCCTGTCTCTACTAAAAACACAAATATTAGCCAGGCGTGGCAGTGCATGCCTGTAGTCCCAGCTACTTGGGAGGCTGAGACAAGAGAATTGCTTGAACCTGGGAGGCAGAAGCTGCAGTGAACCAAGATCACGCCACTGCACTCCAGCCTGGGTGACAGAGAGTGAGATTCCGTCTCAATAATAATAATAATAATAATCTTTTCAGAGACAAGGTCTTGCTCTGTCATCCATCCTGGAGTGCAGTGGCAAGATCATAGCTCACTGCAGCCTCGAACTCCTGGGTTCAAGCCATCCTCCCACCTTAGCCTCCTGAGTAGCTGGGACTATAGGTGCACACCACCATGCCTGGCTAATTATTTTTTGTAGAGACAGGGTCTTGCTACGTTGCCCAACTGATCTTGAACTCCTAGTCTCAAGTGATCCTCCCACCTCGGCCTCCCAAAGCACTGGGATTACAGGTACATGTGACCACACCCCACCTACCTCTGAGACTTTCCATCCACTTTTTCTTTCTGGTGGAAATGAATGCCCAGGGGCAAACTTCCCTAAGGCAGTCACCTCTCATTGCCCCAACTCTCTGCTCCCTCCCTCTCCCTGCCCCTGCTGAGACACTTGGGCCTGCCCTTCCTTCTCAGTGGGACCTTTCACCTGGTCTGTCCCCGACATTCCCATTACCCAGATGACTCGCTGGGAGAGGGATGGTTGGGACCACCCTATCCCTGCCTGTGCCTGCACAGAGCCCTCACGTGGCCTTGTCACAGGCAGAGTTGACTTCCCACGCCTTGACGTTGGGCTTGGCCATGTGGCTCTCAGAAGTGGCCGGGGCCCAATGCTGAGCCTAGGCCTTGAGAGAGCTCTTAAGCCCAACTTTTCCTCTTAAGCCACGGGTCTGGCAGGATAAACAATGCATGCAGAGAGGACCACAGACCTGGAGCAGCTGACCCCTGGCCAGCCCATCACCGCAGGAGCGAGGCCACGGGGGGTCTGCATGGCCACCCAGCAGCCCTACGTGCCCCTGAGACGCACACAGGTGGCGGTTGGTTGTCACATAGCAGCAGGTGACCAATGCAGCCTTGGGGCGGCCGACTCCTTCTCACTTGCTCCCCCATCCATACCCACGATCTCGCCTCTGGGCTACAGACCCCTGGGTCCGAGCCTGGGCATGACTTCCCAATAGTCATCAAACCCCAGTAGATGACCCTCCCTGACCTGGGTCTCAGGGACAGGGCCTCTGCCCACCCCCACACCTGTCCTCACCCTTCCCTTCCCCTCTCCTCTGCCTGCACCCCCGACCCCACCTCCCATCCACTCTCCCTCCTAATGTGTGCACCCTGCCCCGCCTCCTTCCCTGCTGCCCCCACGGCAGCCCCAGGCTACAACCCACTCTCGCCTGGACAGCACAGCCTCCTAACTGGACTCCCTGCCTTCCCTGGGGCCCCCACTCATTCTCTGTGCATCACCAGACAGCTTTTTTTTTTTTTTTTTTGAGACACAGTTTCGCTCTTTTTGCCCAGGCTGTAGTGCAATGGCATGATCTTGGCTCACCGCAACCTCCGCCTCCTGGGTTCAAGTGATTCTCCCGCCCCAGCCTCCCGGGTAGCTGGGATTACATGCACCCACCACCACACCCAGCTAATTTTTGTATTTTCAGTAGAATCAGGGTTTCACCATGTTGGCCAGGCTGGTCTGGAACTCCTGACCTCAGGTGATCTGCCCAACTCGGTCTCCTAAAGTGCTGGGATTACAGGCATGGGCCACCACGCTCGGCCCAGACAGCTCGTTTTAAAGCCAATCTGACCATATCACATCCCCACATCTAACCTCAGAGAGCTTCTCATTTTCCTTAGGGCCAACACGGAACTCCTTCCCAAGCCCCGCAGGACCTGCCTCCTCCCTGGTCCCAAGGCGGCTCTCTTGCCTCATCTGCAGTTGACTAAGCTGCAGCCAGTCCAGCCTTCTCATCCACCCGGGTAACAGCCTCAGGATCTCTGCTCCTGCGGTTCCCTGGCCCCAGCTAGCCCAGCCCGTCCGTCTCAAGCCTTGCTCAGATCTGCCTCCCCCAGGGGAGGCTCCAGCAGCCCCGCCCGGCACATGTGGCATCATGGCCACTCACCCGGGGTCAGCGGCCGCTCCGCAGCCCCGCCACGTGGCAGGTGCTCGTCCTCAGAGAAGCTCGAGTCTTGGTTGGGTTCAAAGTCCTCCTCGGCTGCCATGCTCTCCATCAGCTTGCTCACAGCGCCCCCCTTGCTGAGGTTCTGGGGACAGAGCATGGCCGACAAATGACTTAGGACCTGAACGGGGGTCCTGCCGGGCTGGGGACCCTCTCTGGAAACCTGGAGCCACAGTCAGGCCACAGGGGGAATCTGTCATGTGCATGGCAGGGATCCCAGTTAGGGGCACCCCAGAGGCCAGGGGGAGGGTGAAATGGGCCCAAAACCCAGCTGGCCCATGCTCAGTACTTGGTGCTCAATACTCAGTACTCTGTGCTCAGTATCAGCACTCAGCACTCAGTACTCACTACCATACCTCTGTTCATCACTATGGCAGGTGCCTCCGTTCCCTTCTTAGAGAAACTTCAGCAGCATCTCCAGCATTTCCACCCAATGGGCTTGAGGAAAAACCACTTGGGCAGGGGCTAGCAGGTGTCGGGAGTGGGCATGCCATCATCTGCCACTTGGGCAGATTCACCCAAGCCTGAGGGCCCTGTAAGGACCTGGTGCTGGGCTGAGGGCCTGTCACCCAGGTCTCCTGGTCTCTGTTCCAGTGTCCCTCGCCCCCGCTAGAGCAGACATTTCCTGAGGACAGGAGCAGAGTCCCCAGTATCTCCTTATCCCTGGAGCACGGGGACAGCCACGTCACCCTCGTCACCCGCAACCTCTCTGAGCCACAGCTACAGGGGGGATGAATACAGAGCAGCAGGTGGAGCCCCTGGCCCCGACCACAGGAGCATGGCTCAGCCCCCCACAGCCCCCCACCAGGGCACGGTGAGCCTCACCTCCTTCTTCACCTCCTTCCCTTTGGCCTTGGCTTTGCTCCTTCTGGCAGCAGTCAGGGAGATGCCGTGAGGAGCCCTGGCCTCAGAGGGCAAGGCGGGAGCTTGGGGTGGCAGCAGCCCAGCTCCTGGCATGGCCTCTTTCCCTTTCTTCTTCTGAAGGAGGAAGCAGCAGAGAGGATCCATGAAATAGCAGGGAAAGTGCAGGCAGCACTCCTGTCCCCCTGACTCACTCACTCCCAAGTTCTGTGCCACCCCAAGTGTGCCCTCCCAGGAGGAACAAAACGCCCCTTCTCTCTCTCCCTGCAAGTGTTTTTGGTTTTGGGGTTTTTTTTGTTTTTTTTTTTTTGAGACGGAGTCTCGCTCTCACCCAGGCTGGAGTGAAGTGGTGCTATCTCGGCTCACTGCAAGCTCCGCCTCCCGGGTTCACGCCATTCTCCTGCCTCAGCCTCCCGAGTAGCTGGGACCACAGGCACCCGCCACCACACCCGGCTAATGTTTTTGTATTTTCAGTAGAGACGGGGTTTTACCGTGTTCGCGAGGATGGTCTCAATCTCCTGACTTTGTGATTCGCCCGCCTCGGCCTCCCAAAGTGCTGGGATTACAGGCGTGAGCAACCGCGCCCGCCCGGCTTTTTTTTTTTTTTTTTGGAGACAAGGTCTCGCTCTGTTGCCCAGGCCAGAGGACTGTGGCACCATCACCACTAAATGCAGCCTCGACCTCCCGTGCTCACGTTATCCTCCTACCTCAGCCTCCTGAGTAGCTGGACTACAGGTGCACACCACCACACCCAGCTAAGTTTTTATTTTTTATTTTTTTAGAGACAGGGTCTTCCTATGTTGCCCAGGCTGGTCTCAAACTCCTGGCCTCAAGCAATCCTCCTGCCTTGGCCTTCCAAAGTGCTGGGATTACAGGCTGTTTTTAATGTTTATTATCTTATTACTAGTATATATTACTTGTTGCCCCATCTGCCCAAAAAAGACAACACTGAAGTGTATATATGTTGCAAGTTCCTCTCCAGTGACCCTCCTACCAACTCCACAGAGTCAGCTACTAGTAACAGCATGGTATATCCTTCTAGAACTTTCCACAAGCACACACAACCCTGTAAATATGAAGGCTACGCAGACACAACCATGCAGACACAGTATTTAAAAAAAAAAGTGGGAATTTACCAATAGTCCTGCTTTGCAACGTTTCCCCCCTAACATGACTGATACATATAAAAGGAGCTTCATTTTAACAGCAGCCTATTGAGCCAAGGTATGGAGAAACCGTAATGCACTTACTTTAACCACCCCCGCGATGAGAAGGGCCTGTAGGCTGCCTCCGTTTTCTCACTCTCTGTTTTGTTGTTGTTTTTGAGACAGGGTCTCGCTCTGTTGCCCAGGCTGGAGTGCCGTGGTGCAATGACAGCCGACTATAGTCTCAACCTCCTGGGCTCAAGCAATCCTCCTGCCTCAGCCTCCCAAGTAGCTTGGACTACAGACATGTACCACCATGCCCAGCTAAAAAATCTACACTTTCTAAAAGGAACATGTCTAAAACAAATGGCCATTAGCTGGGCATGGTGGCGGGTGCCTGTAATCTCAGCTACTCGGGTGGCTGAGGCAGAAGCATCGCTTGCACCCAGTAGGTGGAGGTTGCAATGAGCCGAGATCATGCCATTGCACTCCAGCCTGGGCAAAAAAGAGCAAAACTCCGTCTCAAAAATAAAATAAAATTAAGAAAAAAAAAAGGCCAGGCGCGGTGACTCATGCCTGTAATCCCAGCACTTTGGGAGGCCGAGGCGGGCGGATCACGAGGTTAGGAGATCGAGACCATCCTGGCTAACACGGTGAAACCCCATCTCTACTAAAAATATAAAAAAGTAGCCGGGCATGGTGGCACGCACCTGTAGTCCCAGCTACTTGGGAGGCTGAGGCAGGAGAATCGCTTGAACCAGGAGACGGACGTTGCAGTGAGCCGAGATCGTGCCACTGCACTCCAGCCTGGGCGACAGAGTGAGACTCTGTGTCAAAAAACAAACAAACAACAACAACAACAAAAACAAATGGTCAAGGCCAGGAGAGGTAGAAAAGTAATAAATAAAGATAATAATGGTAAAATGTTACCAAGACAACAACAGAAGTCACAGTGTCCATATCCAAAATGAAAGTCAAAGCAAAGAGCATTAAAAGAAACAAAAAATGGCATGTTCTAGGGAAAAAGAATATACAGTTTAATCCCCATTTTGGGGGGGGAGACTATATATATGTATGTGTGTTTGTGTGTGTGTGTGTGTGTGTGTCTGTGTGTTTTATTTTCTTGTTGCTGCTGAACTCTTTAATGCAAGTCATCCTTCTGGAATCAGAGGCATCTTAGGCGCTGAAGGAATGTTAGTGGCGCTGTCCCCTTATCTCTGGGATCTGTCATTAAGCAGATAGCTGCAGCTCCTGGTACATGTCCCTGCAGCTGTACCCACGGGGGAACAAAAGGAAATGACAGCAGAAAAAAAAAGGCCTGAATGGATTTTTCTTTTATCTTCCAAATTACTGTTATAATCAGATAAAACCAGTAACTGTTTCTTTCCCTTTGATCAGAAAACCCACGGCTGGGAGCCTTCCCCTACTTTTTTGTAAAAAAAAAAAATAAAGTAAATAAGAAAATAATTTCCGATGTGATAGAAGTTCTGTAAGCAAAACAGAGACACTGCCTGCTTTGGTAATTATGACAGCAAAACACCATCATCACCCAAACCACCAACCGCCAGCAGGGTCAGTGGTGGGAGACAGGCAGGCAGTGGAATGGCATTCAACCATTTAAAAATACTGACAGCCAGGCGCGGTGGCTCACGCCTGTAATCCCAGCACTTCGGGAGGCCAAGGCAGGCAGATCACTTGAGGCCAGGGGTTCGAGACCAGCCCAGCCAACATGGTGAAACCCCATCTCTACTAAAAATACAAAAATTAGTCAGGTGTGAGGGCACGAGCCTATAATCCCAGCTACTTGGGAGGCTGAGACAAGAGAATCACTTGAACCCGGGAGGCAGAGGTTGCAGTGAGCTGAGGTTGCACCACTGCACTCCAGCCTGGGCCACAAGAGTGAGACTCTGTCTCAAAAAATAAAAAAAAATACTGATGTCCAGGCATGGTGGCTCACGCCTATAATCCCAGCACTGTGGGAGGCTAAGGCAGGAGGACTGCTTGAGCCCAGGAGTTCAAGACCAGCCTGGGCAACATAAGGAGACCCCACCCCATCTGCATGAAAATATTTTTTTTTAATTAGTCAGACGTGGTGGTATACACCTGTAATCCCAGCACTTTGGGAGGTCGAGGCAGGAGGATCACTTGAGCCCAAGAGTTTGAAACCAGCCTGGGCAACACAGTGAGACCACCTTTCCTGCTGCCGCTTTTTTTTTTTTTTGAGACGGAGTCTCGCTCTGTCACCCAGGCTGGAGTGCAGTGGCACAATCTCAGCTCACTGCAACCTCCGCCTCCTGGGTTCAAGCGATTCTTCTGCCTCAGCCTCCCGAGTAGCTAGGACTACAGGCGACTGCCACCACACCCGGCTACTTTTTTGTATTTTTTTAGTAGAGGTGGGGTTTCACCATATTGGCTAGGCTGGTCTCGAACTCCTGACCTCGTGATCCACCCGCCTCGGACTCCCAAAGTGCTGGGATTACACGTATGAGCCATTGCGCCCGGCTGAGACCACCGTCTCTTATTAAAAGAAAAATTAGCTAGGTGTGTTGGTGTGCACCTGTGGTCCCATCTACTCAGAGGAGACTGAGGCAGGAAAACTGCTCGAACTTGGAAATTCGAGGCTGCAGTGAGCTACAATCAGCACTGCACTCCAGACTGGGAAACAGAGCAAGACTCTTGTCTCTTATAAATAAATACAATAAAAATATTGATAGAAGACTGGGCATGGTGGCTCATGCCTATAATTGCAACACTTTGGGAGGCTGAGGTGGGCCGATCACCTGAGGTCAGGAGTTCAAGACGAGACTGGCCAACATGGCAAAACCTTGTCTCTACTAAAAATACAAAAATGAGCCGGGCATGGTGGTGAGCACCTGTAATCCCAGCTACTCGGGAGGCTGAGGCAAGAGAATCGCTTGAATCTGGGAGGCAGAGGTTTCAGCGAGCCAAGATCTCACCACTGTACTCCAGTCTGGGCAGTAGGACAGATTCTGTCTTTAAAAAAAAAAAGATAGAAAATAAAAGTAAAAGCCCATCCCATGTGGCAGTACACATGATATAACACAGACTGAACTAAGTCTGAAAAGCAGAATACAGCCAGGCACGGTGGCCCACGACTGCAATCCCAGCACTTTGGGAGGCTGAGGTGGGCAGATCATTTGAGGTCAGGAGTTCTCTCTGGCCACCCTGCAGTTTGTTGTGAGTCTTCCCTCCTGCACAGGTGGGGAAGCCCTTCAAGGTCCACTCCACAGTTTTCTTGAGTGTGGGACACTTTACGATCCACAGATATTTGACAGGACCCGTGAATGGAAGGAAATAAAAGATTTTTTGTTCATTTTTGCAGACACAGTCACAGGATCCTAGAGGATGTATTTAGAATATGACATCTAAATATAATTTTCTCCTGGGTTTTTCAGAAAATTCCCATCATCTGCCATGCAGAACTGTGTAAACCCAATTTGCTCATGCAAACTCTGAACTCACTATTCTCACAGCCTCCCAAAGCCTGACCCTATCAGGTGCTCCCCTGTCTTTTTGACCAAGATTGCTTGTTTGATTTTGAACACAGTCATTTCCCAGGGAGCCTGGCGATTTTCTATCTCTTCTGTTTAGGCCGACACCTTCCTCACTGCAGAAATAGGCCTTGGGGGCTCTTGCTCCCCTGTGAGTGCCCTGCCGTGCTCCACAGCTACACTGTGTTTACTTTTTATTTATTTATTTTTTTGAGATGGAGTCTCTCCCTCTGTTGCCCAGGCTGGAATGCAGTGGCATGACCTCGGCTCACCACAACCTCCGCCTCCCAGGTTCAAGCGATTCTCCTGCCTTAGCCTCCCGAGTAGCTGGGATTACAGGTGTGCACCACCATCCCCGCCTGATTTTCATATTTTTACTAGAGACAGGGTTTTACTATGTTGGCCAGCCTGGTCTCGAATTCCTGACCTCAAGTGATCTGCTCACCTCGGCCTCCCAAAGTGCCGGGATTATAGGCATGAACCACAGCGCCCTGCCAGCTTCACTGTGTTAGCTAAGTCTTCAGGGACCCCCTCCCGTCATTGCTGTATTCCTTCTTAGCGGTTAGCAACTCAAATACACAGCCTACTGCCCCCTGACAAGGAGAGCGTGTGAACCAGGAAGACAGCCTTGGCTCCTCTGTCCTGTGTTCAAGTCCCCAAGATGACCAAGAGGAAGAGGAGGTGGCAAAGTGACAATAGCGAAAGCACCAATACTGAGAATGTGGCCATTTCTGGACATCAAGCAGTAAACAGTTCAAAAGCTTCAAGTGCAGACCAGGTATGGCGGCTCACACCTGTAATTTCAGCGCTTTGGTGGCTGAGGCAGGAGGCTCACTTGAGGTTAGAAGTTTGAGACCAGCCTGGGCAACATAGCGATACCTCATCTCTGCAAAAAACACAAAAATTAGCCGGGCATGGTGGTGCACACCTGTAGTCTCAGCTACTCAGGAGACTGAGGCAGGAGGATTACTTCAGCCAAAGATTTTGAGGCTGGAGTGAGCTGTGATTGTCCCATAGCGCTCCAGCCTGGGTGACATAATGAGACTCTGTCTTTTTTTTTTTTTTTTTTTGGAGCTAAGAGTTTGGGTCTGTCACCCATGCTGGGGTACAGTGGCATGATCTCAGCTCACTGCAACCTCTGCCTCCTGGGTTCAAGTGATTCTCCTGCCTCATCTTTCCGAGTACCTGGGACTATAGGTATGCACCACCACGCCCAGCTAATTTTTTTGTATTTTTGCAATTTTAGTAGAGACAGAGTTTCACCATGTTGGCCAGGCTGGTCTCAAACCCCCAGCCTCAAGGAATTCACCCACCTCAGCCTCCCAAAGTGCTGGGATAACAGGTGTGAGCTACCGTGCTCAACCAATAAAGCCTTTTTTTTTTTTTGAGACAGGTTCTCACTCTGTCACCCAGGCTGGAGTACAATGGCTCAATCCTAGCTCACTGCAACCTCCGTCTCCTGGGTCTAAGCGATTCTCATGCCTCAGCCTCCCAAGTAGCTGGGACTACAGGCGTGCGCCACCATACCCGGCTAATTTTTGTATTTTTAGTAGAGGCAGGGTTTCACCTTTTTGGCCAGGCTGGTCTCGAATTCCTGAGTTCAAGTGATCCACTAGCCTCGGCTTCCCAAATTGCTGGGATCATAGGTGTGAGCCACCACACCAGGCCTAAATAAAGCCATTTTGAAAAGAGAGAGTAAGAAGTAAACGAACACACTTCCTGGCCTTGGTCCCGCTTGGAGAGGATTATCCTGGAGCTGGTGGAGCAGGGTCCCCCCGGAATCCACTGAGTCAGCAGATGATGCTACGTTCCCGCCTTTCCCCAGGAGGGTGGTGTGGGGGCTGCTGTGAAACTGATCACACAGATCTGGGTGGGCGGCCTGGAGCCCTTGAGCTACAGGGCCTGGGTGCTTCCCCACCACGACTATGGCCAAGGCCTGCCTGAGTGGTGGGGGCCGAGGCAGCTGCAGCCACGATAACAGCTGCTCCCAGAAGGCCCCGTCTCCTGGGCAGCCACAGTATCTATCCGACAGTTCCCATTCTGTGAGGCCCAGGGTGGATCGATGCAGACAGTCCATCTCATTTATCACTCACTTAAGTACCACCCAGCAGGGCCTCCTGGGAGCCTGCTGGCCACAAGCCCTGCAGGCCACAGCCGTGGCAAATCCAGACCTCGCCCTGAACTGCAAGGAGAAAACACACTCAGCCTAAGCCCCTGCCCCTCTGGCCACGCGGCTGCCTTGTCACCGTCGAGGAAGTGTGCCCAGAAGGAGCGGCCAGGGCTTTCCTTCCTCATCTCCTGCCCAGAGCAGCCCCTTCCAGGCCACAGGCTCAGAGCCTTAGCCTGCAGGCCGAGGGCAGGCCCGGGGACACAGTGAGGGGCCTGGGCTATTTGAACAGCAGGGAGAATTTTGCATGCAGCATCACAGAGGTAAGAGGCTCGATTCTTAGGGCTTCTTTCCAGTATTAAGGAGCTCAAGACCTGTGTCCACTCTGATTTGGTAAATCAGGGTTCTTTGAAGTCATGATAAAAATGCAGGGCCAGGTACTTTGTGAGGCCAAGGCAGGTGGATCACTTGAGCATGCTTGTAGCCCTAGCTACTCAGGAGGCTGGGGCAGGAGAATCGCTTGAACCCAGGAGGTGGAGGTTGCAGTGAGTCAAGATCACGCCACTGCATTCCAGCCTGGGCAACAGAGGAAGACTGCATTTCAAAAAAAAAGAAAGAAAGAAAAATGCAGAGACGAATCTCTGAAATTAAAACGTTTTAATTGGGTGGGGTGGGGTGGCTCACGCCTATAATCCCAGCACTTTGGGAGGCCGAGGTGGGCGGATCACTTGAGGTCGGGAGTTCGACACCAGCCTGGTCAACACGGTGAAACCCCGTCTCTACCAAAAATACAAAAATTAGCAAGGCGTGGTGGTGCACACTTTTAATCCCAGCTACTCAGGAGGCTGAGGCAGGAGAATCGCTTGAACCCGGGAGATGGAGGTTGCAGTGAGCCGAGATTGCACCACTGCACTCCAGCCTGGGTGACAAAGCGAGACCCTATCTCAAAAAAAAAAATAAAGAAAATACAGTGTTTTATTTGGGAAGACAGAACTGTAATTCGGGGCATTCACACTGACTAGGTATGTCCAAGAACAAAATGGAGGTAGGAGGTTTTACAGAGAAAGAGAGAGAGAGAGAGAGAGAGAGAGAGAGAGAAGGGAAATGTTACGTATTGCTCTTAGAATTAATTTTTTTTTTTTTGAGACAGGGTCTCACTCTGTTGCCCAGGCTGGAGTGCAGTGGCTCAATCATAGCTCACTGCAGTCTGGACTTCCCAGGCTCAAGTACTCCTACCGCCTCAGCGTCCCAAGTAGCTGGGACTACAGGCACGCACCACCATGCTGGCTAATTTTCTCTTTCTTTCTTTCTTTTTGAGATGGAGTTTCGCTCTTGTTGCCGAGGCTGGAGTGCAATGTCCCAGTCTTGGCTCACCACAAACTCCACCTCCCGAGTTCAAGTGATTCTCCTGCCTCAGCCTCCGAAGTAGCTGGAATTACAGGCATGTGCCACCATGCCCAGCTAATTTTTGTATTTTTAGTAGAGATGGGGGTTTCGCCATATTGGTCAGGCTAGTCTTGAACTCCTGACCTCAGGTGATCCACCCGCCTTGGCCTCCCAAAGCGCTGGCATTACAGGCGTGAGCCACCATGCCCGGCCCACGCTAGCTAATTTTCTTTGTGTGTGTGCGTGTGTGTGTGTGTGTGTGTGTTTTGTTTTTGTTTTTTTTGTGATGGAGTTTTGATCTTGTTGCCCAAGCTGGAGTGCAATGGCGCGATCTCAGCTCACTTCAACCTCTGCCTCCCGGGTTCAAGTGATTCTCCTGCCTCAGCCTCCCAAGTAGCTGGGATTACAGGCGCATGCCACCACGCCTGGCTAATTTTTTGTATTTTTAGTAGAAACGGGGTTTCACCATGTTAGCCAGGCTGGTCTCGAACTCCTGACCTCAGGTGATCCACCCACCTCGGCCTCCCAAAGTGCTGGGATTACAGGCGTGAGCCACTGCGCCCGGCCCAATTTTATTTGTTTTTGTAGAGATGAGGTCTCGCTATGTTGCCCAGGCTGGTCTTGAACTCCTGGCCTCAAGTGATCCTCCTGCTTCAAGGCTCCCAAAGTGCTGGGATTACAGGTGTGAGTCACCACACCCAGCACATACTGCTCTTTGAGAAAGATCCTTGGTGCTAGTGAGGTTCCCAGGAAGGGAACCTGGGAAGCTCTGATTGACAGGTGATAGAGGTGGGCAAAATTAGTCCTAGGGTTGCAGTGAGCTATCTCAGCAGCTGTACAGAAAACTGGCCTCAAATTACAGCAGCAGTGCCAGCCTTGGGGCTTGCGGAGAATGACATTTTTGGAGCATGGTTCTGTGTCAGTTTTTCCCCCCTGGCCTCTTGACGCTGTTTTAGTTGAGTATGACAAGAATGACCCAGTTCAGATGATCAATCTTCACAGTTCAAATCCCAACGCCACCACATGCCAGCTGGGTTAATGTCCTAGGACTGCCATGGCAAAGTATTGCAGACTGGGTGGCTTCAACCACAGAACTTGATTCTCTCACTGTTCTGGAGGTCAGAAGTCTGAGATTGAGGTGTCTGCCAGGGCCACCCACACTCCCTCCAAGGTCTCTGTGGGGATCCTTCCTGCCCCTTCCAGCCTCTGGTGGCTCCAGGTGTTCCTCGCTTTGAGGCTGCATCGCTCCAGGCTCTGTCTCTTCTCTGTGTCTCTGTCTTCTCCTCTGTCATTGGGTTTAAGGCCCACCCTAAATCCAATACAACCTCATCTCAAGACCCTTAACTAATTACATCTGCATTCACCCTATTTCTTTTTCTTTTTTTTTTTTTTTTTGTGAGATGGAGTCAGGCTCTGTCACCCAGGCTGGAGTGCAATGGCGCAATTCTGGCTCACTGCAACCTCCACCTCCAGGTTCAAGTGATTCTCCTGCCTCAGCCTCCCGAATGGTTGGGATTACAGGCATGCACCACCACGCCCAGCTAATTTTGTATTTTTAGTAGAGATGGGGGTTTCGCCATATTGGCCAGGCTGGTCTTGAACCCCTGACCTCAGGTGATCCACCCACCTCAGCCTCCCAAAGTTCTGGGATTACAGGTGTGAGCCATTGTGCCCAGCCCATCCTTTTTTTTTTTTTCAATAGGGTCTCGCTCTAGCACCCAGGCTGGAATGCAATGGTGCAATCTCAGCTCATTGCAACCTCCGCCTCCCAGATTCAAGCGATTCCCCTGCCTCAGCCTCCCTAATAGCTGGGATTACAGGCACGTGCCACCATGCCCAACTAATTTTTGTATTTTTAGTAGAGACGGGGGTCTCACTGTGTTGGCCAGGCTGGTCTCAAACTCTTTTTTTTTTTTTGAGATGGAGTTTCGCTTTTGTTGCCCAAGCTGGAGTGCAATGGCGCGATCGTGGCTCACTGCAACCTCTGCCTCCCAGGTTCAAGCAATTCTCATGCCTCCACCTCCCAGGTTCAAGAATTCTGGTGCCACCGCCTCCCAGGTTCAAGCAATTCTCGTGCCTCAGCCTCCCGAGTAGCTGGGATTACAGGCATGCGCCACCATGCCCAGCTAATTTTTTATTTTTAGTAGAGATGGGGTTTCTCCATGTTGGTCTCAAACTCTCGACCTCAGGTGATCCGCCTACCTTGGCCTCCCAAAGTGCTGAGATTACAGGCGGGAGCCACCGCACCCAGCTAAAGATGGCATCTTTTTTTTTTTTTGAGACGGATTCTCACTCTGTCACCCAGGCTGGAGTGCGGTGGCGAGATCTCAGCTCACTGCAAGCTCCGCCTCCCGGGTTCACGCCATTCTTCTGCCTCAGCCTCCCAAAGATGACATCTTAACATATGTCCCTGAGTTGTTTTTCAGAAACCTGGACCCCCCCACCAAACGATCTGTTGACAGGCCTAGACCTCAGGGGGAGCTGAGGACAGAACTCTGACCCCTGTTCTTTGTTCTAAATTATTTCCCCACGGGCCGGCAGGAGGTCCTGTCCACAGGCCAGAGCTAACATTCTTTTCTACTGATCCCAGATTTTTAAACAAAGCTTCACCTGCTTAAAGCAATTGCAAATTAGAAAATCTTCAGGTCGGGCGCGGTGGCTCATGCCTGTAATCTCAACACTTTGGGAGGCCAAGGTAGGCAGATCATGAGGTCAGGAGATCAAGACCATCCCGGCCAATATGGTGAAGCCACGTCTCTACTAAAAATACAAAAATTAGCTGGGCATGGTGGTGCATGCCTGTAATCCCAGCTACTCGGGAGGCTGAGGGAGGAGAACCGCTTGAACCCAGGAGGTGGAGGTTGCAGTGAGCTGAGATCGCACCACTGCACTCCAGCCTGGCAACAGAGCGAGACTCCATCAAAAAAAAAAGCATTTCAAATCTTCCTATGACCTGTGGGTCCCTGCTTCGAGATATCCCACTTCTATTTATTTATTTATTTATTTTTGAGATGGAGTCTCGCTCTGTCTCCCAGGCTGGAGTGCAATGGTGTGATCTTGGCTCCCTGCAACCTCCACCTCCTGGGCTCAAGCGATTTTCCTGCCTCAGCCTCTGGAGCAGCTGGGATTACAGGTGCGCGCGCACCACCACACCCAGCTAATTTTTTGTATTTTCAGTAAAGAGAGGGTTTCACCATGTCGCCCAGGCTCGCCTCGAACTCCTGGCCTCAAGTGATCCACCCTCGTCGGCCTCCCAAAGTGCTGGGATTATAGGCGTCAGCTGCCGTGCCCAGATCCTCCCCACCTTTAAAAGCCCTTGCCCACAAGCCATTGGGAAGCCGTCAGGGAGTCTGGGTTTTAAGCACGAGCTGAGCTGCCCAATTCTCCCTGTTTGGAGTCCTGCACGAAACGCCTCATTTTCTCTTCACTGCAGCCCTGATGTCAGAATTAGGCTTTGCTGTGCGAGGCGGGTAGACTCTGGTTTGGTAACAACAGTCCAAAGGCATGTACCCTCTGTTGCAGAAGAGCTGATGGAGGGGGGCTCTGTGGGCAGTGGGGATATTTTAGGTGGGGCTTTGTTCCCTGCCCCCAGCCCCGAACTCCAGGCCTCATCTCTCCTGATGGTGGCGAAACCGAGAACCTGACTCTGGAATTTACTATCTCTGTCCCTCGCAGTTGGTGTGGGGGCTGCCTTCTGGGGGACTCATATTTGCATAAGCCAGGGGAGGGTTTGGCTGCAAAAGAGCCACGAACGAACGAAGGATCACAAAAGCAACACAAATGCTTCGAAGCGCTTAAAATAAAACCCAGCAAAGAAGCAGGCCAGTTAAGAGAAGGTGCGATTACCTAGTAGTCATTTTAAATTCACGCTCGGCCCTCCAATCTTCTTAAGTGGTGGCCTGACTTTGCGTTTCAGCTGGACCTGGAATACATTCGGTATTCACTTTTCAGAAGCGATGCACCAGCCTACGGTCCCAGCTCACGTCTAGGGGGGGTAGGCACCATTATTTCTGCGCTGTAAATGGAAAGGCTGCCGTCAGAGGTTATGTGGGAGGGTGAGAAAAAATGTGGAGGGTTTTAGCAACAGAAATGTACCAGGTGGATACAGATCCCCCAGCTATAAACACATGGCTGAGCTCAAAAGAAAGAGAGGCGAATTCTCAAATGTGAGAGCAGGAAGGCTGTCTTATGGCACCTGGGGCCAGGAACGTGGACCCCAGATCCAGGCTCTAGCTTGGGGCTGCAGTATAATATCCACACCAGTTGCGACTTGACCTTGAATTTGTTTGAGATGCAAGAAAAGAGACGGCTCAAAATGCAAATCACTGGCCAGACACGGCGACTCACTCCTGTAATCCCAGTACTTTGGGCTGCCGAGGCAGGTGGATCACCTGAGGCCAGGAGTTTGAGACCAGACTGGCCAACATGGTGATACCCCATCTCTACTAAAAAATACAAAAATTAGCTGGGACTTGTAATCCCAGCTACTCGGGAGGCTGAGGCAGGAGAATCTCTTGAACCCAGGAGGTGGAGGTTGCAGTGAGCCAAGATTGTGCCATTGCACTCCAGTCTGGGCAACAAGAGTGAAACTCCGTCTCAAAAAAAAAAAAAAAAAAAAGGAAATCATTGAAGAGCTGTTCAGTCAAGAGAGATTCCTGAAGAAGGCTCAGGATGTCTGGTGTATCCAGGGAGCTCAGGTGCTTGCCAGGGCCTGGGGGAGGTTGAAATGTGGAGGGTTTGCTTCATGGGTGGAGAGCTTCTGTTAGGAATGGTGAAAAAGTTATGTAATCAGATGGTTTGCACAACATCGTGAATGCACACGATGCCGCTGCATTGTTCACTTAAAATAGCTGCAACAGTCACTTTTATATTGTGTATATTTCCCCACAATTAAAACCAAAAGAGGCGGGCGTGGTGGCTCATGCCTGTAATCCCAGCACTTTGGGAGTCCGAGCCAGGCAGGTTGCTTGAGTTCAGGAGCTCAAGACCAGCTTGACCAATGTGGTGAAACCCTGTCTCTACTAAAATATAAAAAAAATTAGCTGGGTGTGGTGGCAGGCACCTGTAGTACCAGCTCCTTGGGAGGCTGAGGCACAAGAATCACTTGAACCCGGGAGGTGGAGTTTGCAGTGAACCGAGATCGCGCCGTTGCACTCCAGCCTGGGCAACAGAGTGAGACTTGGTCTCAAAAAAAAAAAAAAAAAAAAAAGAATGCTCAGCTGTCCGGTTATGAAAGTAATATTCGTGAATCAATTTTTTTTTTTGAGACGGAATCACTCTGTCACCCAGACTGGAGTGCAGTGGCATGATCTCAGCTCACTGCAAGCTCCACCTCCTGGGTTCAAGTGATTCTCCTGCCTCAGCCTCCTGAGTAGCTGGGATTACAGGCGCCCACCACCGCACCTGGCTAATTTTTGTATTTTTGTAGTAGAGACGGGGGTTTCACCATGTTGGCCAGGCTGGTCTTGAACTCCTGACCTCAGGCAATCCACCCACCTCAGCCTCCCAAAGTGCTGGGATTACAGGCGTGAGCCACCACACCTGGCAGAATCAATCATTTTCTACATGCCAGCAATGATAGATTAGAAAAAACAGTGGTGGAGGGGAGACACCACAAGACTGGCAGGAAATCACTCACAATAGCAGCAAAGACATAAAACACTGAGTAATTAATTAAATGAAATTAATACAATTTATATGAAAAACAGCTACAGTATCTGGAGTGGCTCAGGAAATATTTGTTAGCAAATGAATAATTACAAATTTTATAGGGATATAAAAGAAACAAGAAAAAAAAGAAAATATTTACCACTTTTTTATAGGAAAAAAAGGCAGTAACAATCCAAGACATTGGAATAAGCCTATTGGTATAAAGACTGATTATTGGCCAGGCACGATGGCTCATGCCTATAATCCCAACACTTTGGGAGGCCAAGATTTGAGGATTGCTGAAGTCCAGGAGTTTCAGACCAGCCTGGGCAACATAATGAGACCCCCATCTCTATAAAAAATTGTTTTAAGTTAGCCAGGTATAGTGGCACACTCCTGTAGTCCCAGCTACTCAGGAGGCTAAGGTGGGAGGATCGCTTGAGCCAAGGAGGTGGAGGCTGCAGTGAGCCATGATTGTGCCACTGCACTCCAGCCTGGGCAATGAGTGAGACTGTCTCAAAAAACACAAAAACAAAAAAAGACTTGACTATTAAAAAGAAATCGAGGCAATGGGTAATGACTCATTTGGAATGGCTAAAAACGATGTGTCCCTACTAGTAAAACTCTTGCATCAATAATGAAAGGTAACATTCTCAACAACTAGTGAAAACAGGTGAAGTGCCTGCAGGGGTTCATCATGCTGTTCTTCTAGACATGTTGTGACATTGAAAAATTTCACAACAAAACGTTGTAAAGTTCATGAAGCAATTGGAAACATTTGAGCACTGATTGGATGGTCAATGCTGTTAAGGAAACATTGTTAATTTGTTTTGGGGGATAATGGGGGATAATGGTATCATGAGATGGTTTTCTTTTTTTTTTTCTTTTTTTCTTTTTTTTTTTTTTTTGAGATGGAGCCTCCCTGTGTCGCCCAGGCTGGAGTGCAGTGGTGCAATCTCAGCTCACCACAACCTCTGCCTCCTGGGTTCAAGCAATTCTCCTGCCTCAGCCTCCCGAGTAGCTGGGACTACAGGTGCCCACCACCACACCCAGGTAATTTTTGTATTTTTTTTTTTTTTTTTAGTAGATACAGGGTTTCGCCACGTTGGCCAGGCTGGTCTTGAGCTCTCGACCTCAGGCGATCCATCTGCCTCGGCCTCCCAAAGAGCTGCGATTACAGGCATGAGCCACCACACCCAGCCTTATGGGATGGTTTTCAAAAGCATCCTTTTTTAGAAGTAGATTCTGATATATAATCGGACGGTATGATATGATATCTGGGATTTTCAAAGTCTGGAATGTGGAGGGGAGGAGGCACAGGTACAGGTATGGATGAAACAAGCTCACCCATGAGTTGACAATTGCCAAAGGTAGGTGGTGAGGACATAAGGGTTCATTGTTTTATTCTCTTGGCTTCTGTATAATTTGAATTTTTCAATAACACAAATATTTCTAAAGCCAATGACTTCATTATTGTTCCAAGATGACATGATTACCTATATGGAAAATTACAAAGAATCAACACAGAAACTTCCTGGAACTAATAAGCGATTATAGCAAGGTTGCAGGATACAAAGTTAATTTACAAAGGTCAATTGCTCTCCTAAGTCCCAGCAATGAACAATTGGCCTTACATTTAAAACACAGGCCGGGCACAGTGGCTCACACCTGTAATCCCAGCTCTTTGGGAGGCTGAGGCGGTTGGATCACGAGGTCAGGAGATCGATACCATCTTGACGAACATGGTGAAACCCCGTCTCTACTAAAATACAAAAAATTAGCCTGGCGTGGTGACGTGTGCCTGTAATCCCAGCTACTTGGGAGGCTGAGGCAGGGGAATCGCTTGAACCCAGGAGGCGGAGGTTGTGGTGAGCTGAGATGGCACCTCTGCACTCCAGCCTGGCAACAGAGCAAGACACTGTCTCAAAAAAAAAAAAAGAAATTTAAAACACAGTACCATTTATATTAGCACCTCAGAACTGAAATACCTATGAAACTAACAAGATATATACAGGATTGATATGGGGAAAATTATAAAAGTCTGATGAAATAAATCAAAGAAGAACCAAATAAATGGAGAGATATTCCATGTTCATGGATAGGAAAACTTGATATTGTCAACATGTCAGCTCTTCCCTACTTGATCTATAGATTCAACACAATCCCAATCAAAATCCTAGCAAATTATTTTGTGGACAATGACAAACTGATTTTCAAGTTTATATGGAGAGACAAAAGAGCCAGAATAGCCAACATAATATTGAAGAAGAAAGTTGGAAGACTGATTTAATATTTACTATAAAACTACAGTAATCAAGGCAGAAGCCAGGCACAGTAGTGGACACCCGTGGTCCCAGCTATATGGGAAGCTGAGATGGGAGAATGGCATGGGCCCAGGAGTCCAAGGCTGCAGTGCACTACGATTGCACCTGTGAATAGCCACTGCACTCAAGCCTGGGTAATGCAGAGAGAGCCCATCTCTTAAAAAATAAAAATAAAAACAGGGCTGGGTGCAGTGGCTCACACCTATAATCCCAGCACTTTGGGAGGCCAAGGTGGGTGGATCACCTGAGGTCAGGAGTTCGAGGCCAGTCTGGCCAACATGGTGAAATCTTGTCTCTACTAAAAACACAAAAATTAGCTTGGCATGGTGGCAGGCGCATGTAATCCTGGCTACTCGGGAGGCTGAGGCAGGAGAATCACTTGAACCCGGGAGGCGGAGGTTGTGGTGAGCCGAGTTTGTGCCACTGCACTCCAGCCTGGGCGACAGAGCGAGACTCAGTCTCAAAAAATAAATAAATATACAAATAAATAAAAATAAAAAAGGAGGTGGGGGAACCAGTACCGTGGCTCGCACCTATAATGCCAGCATTTTGGGAGCCTAATATGGGAGGATGGCTTGAGGCCAGGAGTTTGAGACCAGCCTGGGAAACACAGCAAGACTCCATCTGTACAAAAATGAAAAATAAAAAATTAGCCAGGCACTATGGTACACACTTGTAGTCCCAGCTACTCAGGAAGCTGAGATAGGAGGATCCCTTGAGCCCAGGAGGTCAAGGCTGCAGTGAGCTATGATTGCACTATTGCACTCCAGCCTGGGCAACAGAGTGAGAACTGCTGTCTAAAAGATAAATAAATAAAGACCCTGTGGAATTGGCAAGCAAACAGAGATGGATCAATGGAGCAGAATAGAAAGCCCAGAAATAGACACACATAAATATAGCACATTCCTTTGGAAAACCATGCAGCATATCTTGAGCTCTCCAGCAGGTTTGCATCAGTAATGGGGAGAAACTCCTTTTATAAAAAAAAAAAAATTGCAGGTCAGGCGAGGTGGTTCATCCCTGTGATCCCAACACTTCTGGAGGCCAAGGTGGGCCCGTAATCCCACCACTTTGGAAGCTCAAGATGGGAGGATTACTTGAGCCCAAGAGTTCGAGACCAGCCTGGACAACACAGTGAGACCCCCATCTCTACATTTTTTTTTTTTTTGAGACAGAGTCTCGCTCTTTTGCCTAGGCCAGACTGCAGTGGTGCTATCTCGGCTAACTGCAAGCTCTGCCTCCCGGGTTCATGCCATTCTCCTGCCTCAGCCTCCCGAGTAGCTGGGACTACAGGTGCCCGCCGCCACGCCGGGCTAACTTTTTATATTTTTAGTAGAGATGGGGTTTCACTGTGTTAGCCAGGATGGTCTTGATCTCCTGACTTTGTGATCCACCCGCCTCAGCCTCCCAAAGTGCTGGGATTACAGGCATGAGCCACCGCGCCCGGCCTTATTATTATTATTTTTTTAATTAGCCAGGCATGGTGGTGCACGCCTGTGGTCTCAGCTACTCAGGGAGGCTGAGGCGGGAGGATCACCTGAGCCTGGGAGGTCGAGGCTGCAATGAGCCAAGATTGCACCACTGCACTCCAGCCTGAGAGACAGAGTGAGACTCTGTTATACGTATTTGCACAAAGAAGAAACAATAGACACCAGGGCCTACTTAAGGGTGGAGTTGGGGAGGAGGGTGAGGATCAAAAAAACTACCTGTCGGGTACTGTGCTTATTACCTGGGTGATAAAATAATCTGTACACCAAACTGCCATGACACAAAATTTACCCATGTAACAACCCTGCATGTGTGCCCTCAGTATCTAAAACAAGAGTTATTCCAGGCGCGGTGGCTCATGCCTATAATCCCAGCACTTTGGAAGGCCGAGGCAGGCAGATCACTTGAGGTCAGGAGTTCTAGACCAGCCTGGCCAACATAGTGAAACCCCGTCTGTACTAAAGAATACAAAAATCAGGCCAGGTGCGGTGGCTCATGCCTGTAATCGCAGCACTTTGGGAGGCCGAGGCGGGCAGATCACGAGATCAGGAGATTGAGACCATCCTGGCTAACACGGTGAAACCCCATCTCTACTAAAAATACAAAAAAAAAAAAAATTAGTCGAGCATGGTGGCAGGCACCTGTAGTCCCAGCTACTCAGGAGGCTGAGGCAGGAGAATGGCGTGAACCCAGGAGGCGGAGCTTGCAGTGAGCCGAGATTGCGCCACTGCACTCCAGCCTGGGAGACAGAGGGAGACTCCTCCTCAAAAAAAAAAAATCAGCCAGGCATGGTGACACGTGCCCATAATCCCAGCTACTGGGGAGGCTGAGGCAGGATAATAGTTTGAACCCAGGAGGTGGAGACTGCACTGAGCCGAGACGACGCCACTGCACTCCAGCCTGGGCAACAGAGGGAGACTCTGTCTCAAAAAAATAAAATAATTAAGTAAAATAAAATAAAAAATAAATTAATTAATTAAACATTTCATTTTAACAGGCTTTCCTATCTCATCACCAACTCAGGGCAGTTTCTCCAGGAACCTGGCAGGCCCCGCCACAGAGAGACCCTGCTTCAATCCGCCATGCCCAGCCCTTGCCTGGTGGCCACTCTCTGCAGCCCTCCCCAGGGGTCCCTGGCCCAGCTCCAGGCCTGCTCAATGCCCTGTTCCTAATGCTGACATCTCACAGCGACTGAGATCCGACCACAGTCCAGGCCCCACCGGAGATGCTTCACAGGAATCATTTCTGCCTCACAATGGCCCTTTGAGGAGGAGGCTTTTATTGTGCCCCTTGCAAATGAGGAAACTGAGGCATGGAGAGAGGTACTAACTCACACAATAGCAGGAGACCCTGGATGCAGCTGCAGGCAGTAGGCCCCCAGAGCCTGCTCATCTCAGGCCTGCCGGCTCCTCCACCTGCCTTTTCCAGTACCCTGGGAACCCCCCAAGGACAGGTGTCATCGGTTGCTTCATCTCACCATCCCTGGGCCCAGCACAGATCCAGGCACACAGTGGCTGCTCACGTAAGCTGAATGAAAGGAGTCATGGCTGCAGGGTGCCCTGGGCCTCCACCTTAGCTCCTGCTACAGAATGTCTCCAACACAAACATGCCTTTTTTTGTTTGTTTGTTTTGTTTTGAGACAGAGTCTTATTCTGTTGCCCAGGCTAGAGTGCTATGGTGCAATCTCAGCTCACAACAACCTGCATCTGCTGGGTTCAAGTGATTCTCCTGCCTCAGCCTCCCAAGTAGCTGGGATTGCAGGTGTGTGCCACCATGCCCCAGCTAATTTTGGTATTTTTAGTAGAGACGGGGTTTCGCCATGTTGGGCAGGCTGGTCTTGAGCTCCTGACCTCAGGTGCTGGGATTACAGGCATGAGCCGCCGCTCCCAGCCACAAACACGCCTCTTTATTATTATTATTATTATTTTTTGAGACGGAGTCTCACTCTGTCGCCAGGTTGGAGTGCAGTGGCGCGATCTCTGCTCACTGCAAGCTCTGCCTCCTGGGTTCATGCCATTCTCCTGCCTCAGCCTCCTGAGTAGCTGGGACTACAGGCGCCCGCCACCACACCCAGCTAATTTTTTGTATATTTAGTAGAGACGGGGTTTCACCGTGTTAGCCAGGATGGTCTCGATCTCCTGACCTTGTGATCCACCCGCCATGGCCTCCCAGAGTGTTGGGATTACAGGTGTGAGCCACCATGCCCAGCCTCCGAGACCCTTCTTAGCAGAAGTGATCTGGGAGCAGGAAGCCCCAGAAGGGGTGTGTCCCCAAAGCAACCCTGAAGCAAGCGTGCAGGCAACCTGAGAAGGGCTGTGGGTCTGGGCAAGGCTGTTCTTTAGGCAGCTGGAGCCTCGGTGGGCAAGAGGAACTCAACCCTCTTGGGAGCCCCTGGGCTGCTGTGGCTGTCCCAACCCAGGCACCAGGAACCCCGAGTTTATCCACCAGTCGCCACCCATCATGGGCGAGGGCCGCTCCTAGGGCCAGCCCCAGCTGTGCACCTGCACCGGGAATGCACTCAGGAGGAAGGTGACTGGCACCTGCAGGGGGACATGTTGGCTGGCACCCACCTTTTGGGGCAAGACAGGCTGAGGGGGCTGGGCGTAGTGGCTCACACCTATAGTCCCAGCACTTTGGGAGGCCGAGGCAGGAGGATCACTTGAGCCTAGGAGTTCAAGACCAGCCTGGCAACACAGTGAGGCTCCATCTCTACAAAAAACTAGCCAGACATAGTGGAATGCACCTGTGATCCCAGCTATGTGGGAGGCTGAGGCAGGAGGATCACTAGAACCCAGGAGTTGGAAGCTGCAGTGAGCTGAGATTGTGCCACTGCACTCCAGCCTGGGGGATGGAGCGAGACCCTGTCTCAGAAACAAAAACAAAACAAAAAAAAGGGCAGAGGGGAATCACGAGGTCAGGAGTTCGAGACCAGCTTGGCCAACATGGTGAAACCCTGTCTCTATTAAAAATACAAAAATTAGGCCAGGTGCAGTGGCTCACGCCTGTAATCCCAACACTTTGGGAGGCCAAGATGGGTGGATCACCTGAGGTCAGGAGTTAGAGACCAGCCTGGCCAACATGGTGAAACCCCATCTCTATTAAAAATACAAAAATTAGCCGGGCATGGTGGCAGGCACCTGTAGTCCAAGCTACTTGGGAGGCTGAGGCAGAAGAATCGCTTGAACCCAGGAGGCGGAGGTTGCAGTGAGCCGAGATCGTGCCACTGCACTCCAGCCTGGGCGACAGAGTGAGACTCCAGGGCAGAGGAGAAAAGAGAGGGAGAGAGGAAGGGTGGGGATCAGGATGAGGACAGGGAGAGAGACAAGCAGAGAGAGGAGAGGGCAATGTCACAGCAGCCACTAGAACCAAGACCTCCACTGTCCTGGTTCTGTCCTCCTTCCGGTCAGCAGCAACCTGCCATTGGTCATTCCCTGGCCACTTGTGCCCGGTACAAACAACATGTCTGCCCTCCCGAGGCTGGGCCTGCTTCCTAGAGTCTGGGAGTGGAAGACATCACTTGACCAGCTAGGACCCCCTCCGCCCACCACCGTGGTTCCCTGCTTGGGGCAGAGCTGAAACAACTCCCACCCAGCCACATATGCCTTGAATCTTCCCCACAGCTGCCAGGGCCATGGTATCCAGGAGGAGCGAGCATTCGGCCCTCACTGCACTCAGCCCTTCCTGCCTTGCCCAGGCCTATGAAGATGGCCTGTTTCTCCCTCCTTGATGGGGAACGAACCTGCTGGAGACGGGCGCACCTGCTCCCAAGTTCATTGAGAGTGCCAGCGAGGCAGGGGCTTGGACCCAGACCCCTGTGCGCCAGGCCTGCACCCCTCAAACGCAGGCTCTGAGCATGTAAGCTATTTTTGTACGCACAGCGAATGTTCATTTTCCTCCTCCGAGGCAGGGCTGTTGAACCTTCTCTTCAGGTCAGGGACCCCTTAGAGAGTCTCATAAGAGCCACTTCCCGGGAAAAATCACACTCGCTCGGCCAAGAGGGGCCCTGCACTCTGAGAGCCTGTGATTTCCTGAAGCGTGAAGTGTTTGGAGGAAGATTAGCCTCTCCCTCCTCCAGAGGCAGAGCTGGGAGGTGGAGGAACCCAGCAGCGGATTCAGGCCTGGGCTGTGGGAGCCCCTCGACCCCCGAATCTCCACCTCCTCCCCTCAGCCCTGCCTGGGTGACATCCTTCCGGGAACCAGGACAAATGGATCAGTCACAGGGTTCCCACTTGGCCTCCCTGATCATGAAACGACCCCACTCATTCTAATCTCCATCCTCCGGGCTTTTGGGAAGGTGAGAAATGTCTTCTGCCTCTGAAATCTCAGAAGAAATTATTTCCACTCCAGCAGCAGGAAACCCTTTGAGGGAAGAGACGGCTCCATCAGCAAAGAGGCCACAGGATGGAATTGGCCCTGGGGCGGGGGCCTGCCCAGACTCCTCCCAGGCCAGAGAGAGGTGGGCCGGAGGACAACGAGTCCACTCCACAGGGCCCCTGTACTGCATGAGCCGGTGAACAGGCTGCTCACAGACCAGGACCTTGTATCTGTGACCCAGCCAGCAAAGGGTCCCTCAGGGCCCACCCACAGCCATGCATGAGCCTGGGAAATAGGAGCTCCAGCCCAGACTAGGGGGACAGGGTCATCCCCTGGCCTCACCCCAGTTCAGATCACAGCCATATGTAGAGTAAACTTGGGGTACAGGCAAGGCCCTGAGCCCTTCCCAAAGCTGAGGGGAAGTAGGTTTGGCGAGGAGATGCAGGGAAGGTTCTGGAAACCTGGAAGCACACCTCTTGTGTCCTCTCCTTTGGAGACAGTTTGTGGAATCTCTCTGGTAATTTTTTTTTTTTTTTCTGAGACAGAGTCTCATTCTGTCATCCAGGCTGGAAGGCAGTGGCACGATCTTGGCTCACTGCAACCTCCGTCTCCCTGTTTCAAGCGATTCTCACGCCTTAGCCTCCCTAGTAGCTGGGATTACAGGTGCACACCCCATCACGACTGGCTAATTTTTGTATTTTTTAGTAGAGACAGAGTTTCACCACTTTGGCCAGGCTGGTCTTGAACTCCTGATCTCAGGTGATCCTCCCACCTTGGCCTCCCAAAGTGCTGGAATTACAGGCATGAGTCACCAAGCCCGGCCTCTTTTTTTGTGTGTTTTTTGTTTTTGTTTGTTTGAGACCAAGTCTTACTGTTGCCCAGGCTGGAGTGCAGTGGCAAGATCTTGGCTCACTGCAACCTCTGCCTCCCAGGTTCAAGCAATCCTCCTGCCTCAGCCTCCCAAGTAGCTGGGATTATGGGCATATGCCACCACGCCCTGCTAATTTTTGTATTTTTAGTAGAGATGAGGTTTCACCATGTTGGCCAGGCTGGTCTCAAACTCCTGACCTCAGGTGATCCACTTGCCTCGGCCTCCCAAAGTGCTGGGACTACAGGCTTGAGCCACCGCACCTGGCCAATTCTTTTTTTTTTCTTTTTTTTTTTTAAGAGTTGGGGTCTCGCTCTGTCACCCAGGCTGGAGTGCAGTGGTGCCATCATACCTCACTGCAGCCTAGATGTCCCAGGCTCAGGAGACCCTCCCCCCTCAGCCTCCCAAGTAGCTGGGACCACAGGTTCACCACCACCACACCTGGCTAATGCTAATTTTTAAAATTTTCTGTAGAGACAAGGTCTTGCTCTGTTGCCCAGGCTAGAGTGCAGTGGCATGATCACAGTTCACTGTTGTCTAGAACCCCTAGGCTTAAGCGATCCTCCCATGTCGGCCTCTCAAGTAGCTGGGACTACAGATGGGCACCACCATGCTCAGCTATAGCATGAACTCTGATGGTCAGAAGGGTGAGGAGCCAGAGGCAGGACCCTCCAGGCAGAGAGACCAGCCCAAGACACAAATCTGGGAAGCGTGAGGGACCAAGTCGTAGAGGGTGGGGGCCCTAAATTAGACCAGGGGACATACCCCACATCTTGCCCAAGAGCAGAAGAGTGCCAAAGGGCTGCCGACAGGCTGGTGGGCACACACCAGCTGTGGCCCTGGGGCTCTGGCAGCTGAACAGGTGTCTGTGCCAGCCCAGAGCCCAGACCCTAGGACCAAGCAGATGGTCACAGAGCACTCTCTCTTCTGTGCAAGGCCAAGCCACCACCGGGTACCAGGCTCCATGTGGGGGCACTCCCAAATGACCACCCATCCTTCCATCAGCCCTGGGTGGGCTTTTGCCATTTTACAAGAAATGGGAGGCTCACAGAGGTTGAGAAATGTGATCAAAGACACACAGCATAGCCAGGGGTTGAATCCAGGACTGCTGGGACACCAGGGGAGTGACAGTTTTCAGCAGAGCACACGTGTGTGTGTCTATTGTTGTGAGTGTCTGTGTGAGCCTGGCAGTGGCCACAGGTGTCAGAGCCGACTCCTCCCAGCTCCAAAGACGACTGTGTGCCCTGTCCCCAACTCTGACCTCATAATGATAGCTGGAATCCGGTGGGAATATTGACACCATGGAAATTAGCAACTGCTACAAGTCAGAACGCTGGGTGTGTTAAATACTGACCAGTCCAGCACTGACTGACAAGTGTGTGCATCTACGTGAGATTGAGTGTGTGTCTTTGTATGTGTGTGTCTGGGTCTGTCCATCTGTGCGGTGCCTTTATCTCCTGCTTTGCTCATCTGTCTATCCCTATCTGAATCTGTGTGCACGCCTCTGTGTGTCTGAATGTGTCTGTGTGTGTCTGTGGCTGAGTGTGCTTCAGTGTGTGTGTGTCTTGCATGCATGTGTATGTCTGTGTGTGTCTATGTGTGTGTCCAAGCACATATGCATTTCTGTGTGTGACAGTGTTTTGGGGGTGTTTGTGTGTGTGTGTGTGTCACTGTGTCTGTGTGTGTTCATGTGACTGTGTGGCCTCTCAAGCTGAAGATGATGGTTTCAACTGAAATTGAGGCTGACGCTCTCCACTACAAAGCTCAATTTGCTTGCAAATGTCCTTCAAGAGGCAGAGGAGACAGGAGCAGAGGGGGCGGGAGGCAGGAGCCAGACAGACGCAGCGACCGGCAGCAGAAATGACATCACCCGGCAGATTCCAAGAGCGCCCCAAGACCAGTGGGGTGTCACCCACCTGGAGGCACTGTGGATCCTAGAGGAGACTCTGGCAGGCCCCAAACACAGCCCTTGAGGAAGTAGTCATTTGGGAGGATTCGGAGTGATAAAAATATAGTTTGTTGCTTGCGAAAATCACTTGTGACTTAAAAGCGTCTCCCGTTGTCATGGAATTGACAATACCATTGAGGATCAAAGGGACAAGAATAGACGAGGAGCTCTGTTTCCCACTTAACTCCTGGAAGCCTTTTCTCCCAAGCTTCCCACTCTCTCCTCCCTCTGAAGAAGACTCTAGAGGCTGTAGTGCAACCCTCCATCACTCAAAAGCTGGGACGCTCTCTGTTCTGGACAGACACCCCTTGTCAGGAAGAGCCCCACCTCCCCAACCCCAGCCACATGGCTGCCGTCCTGCTGCCCCACCCTCCTGGCCCCGGGCAACCATGTGACCCAAGTTGGGCCAATCAGATTCTCCCCTGGGATTTTTCATATTGAAACCAAGGGAGAAGGGTTGGGCCCTCCTGGGAGATAAAAGTGGGTGGCTGTGTGGGTGGTGGCTGATGCCTGTAATCCCAGCACTTTGGAAGGGCGAAGTGGGAGGATCACTTGAAGTCAGGAGTTCGAGAACAGCCTGGACAACATGGCCCATCTCATAGACTTGATGGCCAAGGCCCCAAGAGGAGGCATGACTTGCCCAAGGCCATACAGTGCAGGGTGCCGGGCGATAAAGTCCCAGAGACACTCTCTTCCTCCTGCAGGTCAAAGCACCAGAATCCAAAGCGCCCTCCGCTCCTGATGGCTCAGAAGGGAGCCACCCCATCAATTATTAAATGTCCTTACAAGCCCAAGAAACTGAGATGGGACTGGATCAGAAGCCATCAGACCACTCACAACCTTTGGCTAAAAAGGAAAAATTAAGGCCAGGCGCAGTGGCTCACACCTGTATTTCCAACACTTTGGGAGGCTGAGGTGGGTGGATCACTTGAGGTCAGGAGTTCGAGACCAGCCTGGCCAACATAGCAAAACCCAGTCTCTACTAAAAATACAAAAATTAGCCAGGCGTGGTGGTGGGCACTTGTAATTCCAACTACTCGGGAGGCTGAGGCAGGAGAATTGCTTGAACCCGGGATGCAGAGGTTACAGTGAGCTGAGATCACACCACTGCACTCCAGCCTGGGCGACAAGAGCAAAACTCCATCTCAAAAAAAAAAAAAAAAAAAGGAAACATTAAGTTCATGGGGAGTTAATCCACGTATTGCAGAAGGCAGGAATTCTCAGTGTTTTGGCATCCCTGGGATAACGACAAACTTCGCTTAGAACAAGATGTTGGGAGCCACAGAGCAGTTTCCACGTAGTCCCTTTGACATCTTGGGGGAGTGGGGAGGGTCCTGTGAAATGTGACTCTCACACTCACCTCAGTTCCACAGGCAAGTGCTCCAAGACTTCACAGTTGAACTTTTAGCTAAGGACAGAGTTCTTTCCCAATCTCCCCCATATGCATATTTATTTCACCCAACAAAACCTGACTTTTACACACATTTCATAAAGCAACGCGCATTCTGCATTCCCACGGAATGTTATATTGTGTGCATTGCTTCATCTCACCAGGCTTCCTTTTTAAGAACTTCCCTCTGCCCGGGCGTGGGTGGCTCATGGCTATAATCACAGCACTTTGGGAGGCCAAGGCCGGAGGATGCTTACGTTCTTTATGTTATTTAGCTTGGGCAACATAGTGAGACCCCATCTCTACAAAAACAAAAAGTTAACCAGGCGTGGGGGTGCATGCCTGTTAGCTACTCAGGAGGCTGAGGCAGGAGGATAGCTTGAGTCCAAGAGGTCAAGGCTACAGTGCAGCGAGCTATGATCGCACCACTGCACTCCAGCCTGTGCAAAAGAGTGAGACCCTGACTCTTTTTTTTTTTTGGAGACAGAGTCTAGCTCTGTAGCCCAGCCTAGAATGCAGTGGCAAGACCTCAACTCACTGCAACCTCCACCTCTTGGGTTCAAGCAATTCTCATACCTCAGCCTCCCAAGTAGCTGGGATTACAGATGTGCACCACCACACCCAGCTAATTTTTATATTTTCAGTAAAGGTGGGGTTTCCCTACGTTGGCCAGGCTGGTCTTGAACTCCTGACCTCAAGTGATCTGCTCACCTCGGCCTCCCAAAGTGCTGGAATTACAGGTGTGAGCCACCATGCCCAGCCATACCCTGACTCTTAAAAATGAAATAAAATAAAGTTAATGTTGTAAACATGAAATATGCTGCTCTCAAGAATTGATGTTCAGGCCGGGCATGGTGGCTCATGCCTGTAATCCCAGCACTTTGGGATCCTCCCAGCAGGATGATCACTTGAGCGCAGGAGTTTGAGACTAGCCCAGGCAATATGGTGAAAGCCCATCTCTACAAACCCCACAACAATTAGCCGCGTGTGGTGGCATGGACCTGTGGTCCCAGATACTCGGGAGGCTGAGGTGGGAGGATCACTTGAGTCCAGGAGTTCGAGGCTGCAGTGAGCTATTATGGTACCACTGCATTCCAGCCTGGGAAACAGAGCAAGACCCTGCCTCAAGGCAAAAAAAAAAAAAAAAAAGGATGCTGTAGGAGTTAGGACCAGAGAGATGTTGTGCTGTTTTAGGTGAACTTTCGTGTTACTGATGATGAAGTAGAGTATCTAAGAGTGACTCTGCACACCCGAGAAATACCCTGAGTGTGTCCCGTCTCCTGGCAGCTCAGTACCCTTTCTGCTCCACCCCAGGGTCTACGTGGTCATCCCGGGGCCACCACGTTTTATTTGATCATAAAGTTTTTTGGTGGCTCTCGCCTCTCTGAGACCTCAACAGAAAACAGCAGATTGAGATCAGGGTAATTCAAGGAGGGTTATTTACAAAGGGATGGTTCACACGAGGGAGGACAGGGGGTCAGGAACCGCCTGGCACTATGGTGACCTGGGATAGCAGAAAAAAGAGCTGTGACCGGCTGGGCGCAGTGGCTCAAGCCTGTAATCCTAGCACTGTGGGAGGCCAAGGTGGGCGGATTGCCTGAGCTCAGGAGTTTGAGATCAGCCTGGGCAACATGGTGAAACCCCATCTGTACTAAAATACAAAAAAAACAAATTAGCCAGGCATGGCGGCATGCGCCTGTAATCCCAGCTACTCAGGAGGCTGAGGCAGGAGACTTGCTTGAACCAGGGAGGCAGAGGTTGCAGCGAGCCAAGATTGCACCACTGCACTCCAGCCTGGCAACAGAGCAAGACTCCATCTCAATTAAAAAAAAAAAAAAAGAGCTGTGGCTGCCCCTAAGCCCAAACCAGTAGGGAAGGACCAGACACCAGAATCTTTTTTTTTTTTTTTTGAGACGGAGCCTCACATTCTCACCCAGGCCGGAGTGCAGTGGCGTGATCTCGGCTCACTACAAGCTCCGCCTCCCAGGTTCACGCCATTCTCCTGCCTCAGCCTCCCGAGTAGCTGGGACTACAGGCGCCCGCCATCACACCCAGCTAATTTTTTGTATTTTCAGTAGAGATGGGGTTTCACCATGTTAGCCAGGATGGTCTCAATCTTCTGACCTTGTGATCCTCCCGCCTCAGCCTCCCAAAGTGCTGGGATTACAGGCATGAGCCACCACACCTGGCCTGCATTAGGCTATCTTTGTCTTTTGCTACAAGGAGCTCAGGAGGAGTGTTTTAGACTTTGCTTATTTTCATTACAAAATGTTAAATTATTTCTTCCTTTCAGATATTTCCTGTCGGTATTTTTTTTTTTTTGAGATGGCGTCTCGCTCTGTCACCCAGGTTGGAGTGCAGTGATGTGATCTCAGCTCACTGCAACCTCTGCCTCCCAGGTTTAAGCGATCCTCCTGACTTAGCCTCCCTAGTAGCTGGGATTATAGGCCTGCACCACCATGCCTGGCTAATTTTTGTATTTTTAGTAGAGACGGGTTTTGCCATGTTGGCCAGGCTGGTCTCAAACTCCTGAACTCAAGTGATCTGCCTGCCTTGGCCTCCCAAAGTGCTGGGAAATACAGGCGTGAGCCACCACGCCTGGCCCAAGACACCAGAATCTAGAATGAGAGAGAGGGGCCTTGGGAAGCCGTGACCTATGTCAAGGAACACTCTAGGCAGGGTGACCTCACGGGGAGGGAGTCAGGAGAAGATATGGTTAACTTCGAATCCCTTTCTCACTCCCTCCAACCCCCTGTTGGTGTCTTCCTTCCATTAGCCAAATCTCACTGGAAGACAGAGGCAGGGAGTCCATTGATGTGGCTCATACAGGGCAGCTCCCCAGGGCACTCAGCAGGGTGGAGAAGGGCAGGGGGAAAACAGAGGATGAAATTTGCAGTCTGGTGACGACCCCTCCCGGGTTATACTGGCCAGTGGCTGCTGAGAGATTTGAGCACCAGGAGCCAGAAGAAACCTCCCGCAGGGCTTGTCTTAGTCCATTTGCTACTGCTACAACTGAATACCTGATGCTGGGTAATTTTTAAAGAAAACGGCGGGGCGCGGTGGCTCATGCCTTTAATCCCAGCACTTTGGGAGGCTGAGGCGGGTGGATCACGAGGTCAAGAGATCGAGACCATCCTGGCTAACACAGTGAAACCCCGTCTCTACTAAAAATACAATAAATTAGCCAGGCGTGGTGGCGGGCGCCTGTAGTCCCAGCTACTCTGGAGGCTGAGGCAGGAGAATGGCATGAACCTGGGAGGCGGAGCTTGCAGTGAGCCCAGATTGTGCCACTGCACTCCAGCCTGGGTGACAGAGCGAGACTCCGTCTCAAAAAAAAAAAAAAAGAAAAAAGAAAACTATTTATTTCTTACAGTTCTAGAGGCTGGGAAGTCCAAGGCTGTGGGGCTGTGTCTGGTGAGGACCTTCTTGCTAGTGGGGACTCCTGTCTGCAGAGTCCCAGGGAGGCACAGGGCATCCCATGGTGAGAGGGCTGAGCATCCTATCTCAAATCTCTCTTCTTCTTATAAGGCCACCAATCCCACTCCCATAATAACCCATAATTAATGAATGGATTACTCCATTCGAGAGGGCAGAGCCCGCATGACCCAATCAGCTCTTAAAGGCCCCACCTCTCAATACTGACACATTGGGGATAAATTTCAACATGAGTGTCGGAGAAGACAAACATTCAAACCATAGCAGGGCTTCTTAGTCTTTGGGGGAATCAAGGAGAATTTGATGAAATCCATCGATTCCTCTTCCTGGAAACAGGTACATCCACACTCCTTCAGTTCCAAGTGGCAGAAACGCCACTCATACAGCTTTATGCTAAAAAGGGAATTTACTGGCCCACAGAGTAGGTGTCAGGTAAGGCTAGATCCAGGGTCTCAAGTAACGCTGCCAGGGCTCTGGCTTCATCTGCTGTTCTGTTTGTCTTCATGAACTTCATTCTGCACATAGGTGCTGGGCACATGGCGGACAGGTGTCTATGGCAGCTTGATCTTATCTCCCCAAATTGAGGTGCCATAAAATAAACCCATCCAGGAAGACCTCATAAAAGTTCTAAGGAAGGCTCTGACAGGCCAGGTTCGAGCCATATGCCCTTCCCTGACCAACCTCTGTGTTCCAATGGATACTGTCCCATGACTGGCCTCAGTGATGCTTTGGTGACTCACAGCCCTACCTCCCCCCAGGGCGGGTGGGGTGGAAGCTTCCCAAACCAATACACATTATAGCCACTTTGGGAGGCTGAAGCGGCAGATCACAAGGTCAAGAGATTGAGACCATCCTGGCCAACATGGTGAAACCGCCCCCCCTACTAAAAATACAAAAGTTAGCCAGGCGTGGTGGTGTGCACCTGTAGTCCCAGCTGTTGTGTGCAGCCCTCCCCTAAGACACACAACAGCACAGGGACCACAGGCCACCACTCACCCCTTTTCTTTGCAGGTAGAGAAACGGAGCCACAGATCAAGGTCACCCAGTGAGTGAGAAGCAAAGTCTGGAGCTGAGGCAAGTTTTTCAAATTCCTCTTCCAAGGCTTTCTCTTGGAAAGCCCAAAGCTTATTAAATCCTTAAAGGGCATTATCAACGGGACGTGCATTGAGTTTCCTTAATCCTGCAAGAGGATTAGGAGAATTCAGCCAAGATAAGCTCCTTCAGGGACAAACCAGCCGCCTCTCACCAACCCGTGCTCTTAGCGGGCTGGGACAAGCCCCCTCAAGGAGCCTCGACCTTGGGACGCATCCCCACCTCATCAGGCTCACAGCCCATAATTATAATAACCACAGCCGTGTTCAGACAGCCCAGGAAGGCTTCCAAGGGGACTGGTGTTTTTTAGAAGACAAAACAGCAGGAACAAAGATACATAGTCTGAGGCTGGGTGCAGTGTCTCCTGCCTGTAATCCCAGCACTTTGGAAGGCTGAGGCAGGAGGATCACTTGAGCTCAGGAGTTTGAGACAGGGCTGGGCAACATAGTAAGACCCTGTCTCTACAAAAAAATTTTTAAATTGTGTAGCTGGAACTACAGGCATCGTGGCATGTTCCTGTAGTCCCAGCTACTCAGGGAGGCTGAGGCAGGAGAATCACTTGAACCCACGAGTTTGAGGCTGCAGCGAGCTATGATTGTGCCACTGCAGTCCAGCCAGGGCCACAGAGCAAGAGCTTGTCTCTAAAAAGAAGATATGGAGGCTGGAACTTGAGGTCATACCTACCCCTAAATATACAAGGCCTGGGATGAGGGCCAAATTATGAAAGGCTCACACATCATACCTAAGAGTTATAAATCAAGCGGAAAAACTGCTAGGCAAATACATTCTGTCTCATACTTTTCTTTTTTTAATTTTTTTTTTAGAGACAGGGTCTTGCTATGTTGCCCAGGCTGGATTCAAACTCCTAGGCTCAAGCAATCTTCCCAACTCGGCCTTCACCTGAGTAGCTGGGACTAGAGGCAGGCACCCAGCTCCTGTTTCATATCTTTCTTTTTTTCTTTTTCTGTTTCTTTTTTTTTTAATTTGAGATAGGGTCTCGCTTTTGTCATTGGGGCCAGAGTGCAGTGGTACAATCTCAGCTCACTGCAGCCTCTGCCTCCCAGGCTCAAGCAATCCTCCCTCTTCAGCCTCCCAAGTAGCTGGGACTACAGGTGCACGCCACCACGCCCGGCTAACTTTCATATTTATTGTAGAGTTGGGGTTTCACCATGTTGCCCAGACTGTATTCAAATTCTTGGGTTCAAGCCATCCTCCCACCTCAGCTTCCTGAGGCTCTGGGATAAGAGGTGCAAACCACGGCACTGGTCCGTCCGTGGTGGATTTCAAGGTGCCAAGATGACATCACTGGACTTGGATTTGGGGAGAGAACGCAGCCGCATAGCACACTGTCATTTGGCGTTTCCATCCTACAGGGTACCAGGGATGGAAATAACCCGGAGAATGCAGACCCTAGTCACATAATTAGACAGTGATGAATTTTGAGTTTGTATTACCTTTGTATGTTTATTTCATTCCATTTTTAACAATGGCTGGCCAGGCGCGGTGGCTCATGCCTGTAATCCTAGCACTTTGGGAGGCTGAGGTGGGCAGATCACGTGGTCAAGAGATCGAGACCATCCTGGCCAACATGGCGAAACCCCGCCTGTACTAAAAATTCAAAAATTAGCCAGGCGTGGTGGTGCGCACCCGTAGTCCCAGCTACTCAGGAGGCTGAGGCAGGAGAATCACTTGAACCGGGGAGGCAGAGGTTTCAGTGAGCCGAGATCGCACCACTGCACTCCAGCCTGGCGACAGAGCGAGACTCCATCATAAAATAAAAAATAAATAAAATAAAATAAACAGTGGCTGAGTTTAACAACCTTCTCGCAATATTTCTTGAAAATGTGCTAATCGGCTCTCTGGAGCTGCTGGGAGCAGTTCCAGGACAGCACAGAGCTGTTCCCTCCAGCGAAGGAGCCCACGTCCATGTCCACGTCCACTCATGGACAAGGTGACATGCCCCAGCCTCACCAAGGGGCCCGGTGTGGCCAGCAAAGGCCCTGCGTGGGTCAATTTCCACCGAGCGGCCAGATACCCCAGGCGTTTTATTGATCCTATTGGCCACGGCAAATGGCCGCTGGACACCAATTCAGTGCCAGCCTAGGCTCAGGGACTGCCACACGTGGTCCATGTAACTCACAGTTATCCTGTGCCATGGTTACCCCACGTTACAGCTGAGGCCACTGATGCTCGGCAAGACGAAGGCGCTTGTCTTAGGTCACACGGTTAGGAGGCGGTAAGACTCAGACTAGAAACTCTTCTTCTGTCCTGACTAGGGAAGAAGGGCAAGGTGGGGGAAAGGACACCTGTCCCCAAGGAGCCACCCCTGAGGCCCAGCCTCCAGGGACACTGATGAGGAGCTGAAGAGTCCCAGGTGGGGAGGAGTAATCTCTTTTTCCCTGTCTCCCTCTCTTTCTGCCCCTCCACTTCTCTCTCCCTTTCGCTCCTGTCTCCCTCTGTCTCTCCCTCTCTCTCACACCCCCACTCTCTTTTCCTATCTCTCCCTCCCTCTCTCTCCCTCCCCCCCATCTACCTCTTTTTTTGTTTTTTTGAGACAGAGTCTTGCTTTGTCACCGAGGCTGGAGTACAATGGCGTGATCTCAGCTTACCCCAACCTCCGCCTCCCAGGTTCAAGGGATTCTCCTGCCTCAGCCTCCTGAGTAGCTTGGATTACAGGCACCTGCCACCACGCCCGACTAATTTTTGTATTTTTAGTAGAGATGGGGTTTCACCATGTTGGTCAGGCTGGTCTCGAACTCCTGACCTCAGGTGATCCGCCTACCTCGGCCTCCCAAAGTGCTGGGATTACGGGCACGAGCCAACACACCCAGCCCCCGCTGCCCCTTTTTATCTCTCTGTCTCTGAAATACCCCAGTCAAGGATCCCACCCTGTGTATGGCCCACTGTGTGACCAGCTGCTTGGCAGGGCCTGGGCCGCTGCTCTCAGGGACAGGTGCCCGGCATAGGCGGGGAGGCGCTCTCTCTCGGTTTACTTTTCTACAGCATACATTTCTGGATTGGTGAAATATTATCTTTGTCTTTAGAGGGAACAATAAAGCTATTTTCAGCTTGGGAACAAATGCGTCCAATGGTAAATAAACCCCCAATGCCGGTGCTGGGCAGGCGGGCGCTGTCGTCACGGTGGAGGCCGCCAGCCTTCCTTCCCAGGAAGGGCTTGGTCTCAGGGTGGGGGCACAGAAAGGATGTACGGAGCCCAGGAGCAGAGGGGCAGGAGGGGAAAGGAGACAGGGAGCATCCTGGAATCACGAGGCTGGACAGACCCGCAGGTTTTACGGATCCAGACACTGAGGCCCAGAGAGGGTGAGCACCCTGCCCCAGGACACACAGCCTGCAGGTGCCTGGTCCCACTTCCTGGAGCTCTGCCGGGCACCACGGCTCCAGGGAGTGCTCCGGTGTTTTCTCAGCACTTGGCAACAGATGGCTCCAACTCTCACCCACGGACGCCAAACATTTTCCCTGGTTACCCTGCTAATTTGCTCACAGCCTCCTCTTGTAAATAGAGAGTACAAAGGCTCCTCCGAGTAGTGTGTATGCCGGGCAGACGCTGATGCCACGGGGAGAGGCCTTAGAAGGAGCATAGGAAAGTCCCAGGTAAGAACTAGGTAAGGCCCAGGTAAGGCCAGGATCCTTGGCTGACCTGGGGTCGTGGGAAGGACAGTGGCTCGGGGCCCAGGCAGACCTGGTTCAGGTCTTGGCTCTGTGCTCCCTTGGAGCCCGGCTGGGAATCTTGCACTGGCCTCAGGCCCTCTGGCATCAGTTTTCTCATCTGTGAAATGGGCACGTTAATGCCAAAGGCGTAAAACAGGAGCTATTATGTAGGTGCTCAGGGACTGGATGAATCTGTGGGAATCTAGCCATCCTTCCTGCCTTCATCTGGGGTCAACAGGGTGGCGGCTGCACCCTGGGCAGCATCCCTGCCCCTCCGTCCCCAACAGTAGTCCCTTCACCCAGCCCTTTTGACAGAATTCTTTCAACAACACTTATCAGGTCCTCCTCGGTACCCAGCCCTGTCACGAGGCCCAGAGAGGAGCTGATTCAAGCTTCCACACTGGGTGGCCTTGGGCAGCTGCCTTCACTTCTCTGGGCCTCATTCCCTTGAGCCTCCCACAGAGGTCACAGGGAGGATTCCATGAGATGATGTGTGCTCAGGGTGCTCAGAGTCACTCCTACCATGCAGCAGTCAGGGAAGGCTTCCTGGAGGAGGCAACACTAGTCCTTACACCTTACAGATGCATGGGCATGATTGGGTATGGCTGGTGCTTCCAGTGGGGGTTGGGTGGGGAGGCACCTCATAGGCTCAGGCAGGGCCTGGGGTGCCCAGCTGCATGGAGGGGTTTGGAGCCGGCTGGAAAGGGGACTCCAGGCTGACCTCGGGTCCCTTGGGCCTCCCTTCCCCATAACCTCCTTCACAGCAGCCCAGCTGATAATGAAGTGCTCCTTCCAGCCGACAGCTCCTGGAGCTGGGCCAGGAGGCTCCTCCTGTCCTGGGCCTGCCTCCAGCTGCTGCCCACAGTCCCAGAAAGACTTTACCGCACCTCTCCGGCCTGGGGTGTCCTGGGGGATGAAGCTCCAGGAGGCCACCTATGGCTTGGGGCCCCAGTCCCAGAAGCCTGGCCTGGGGCGCACCTCTCTGGTCTTCAGGAAGAGGGGCCTGGAATGAGAGTGGGGGCGTCCAGTGGGGCAGCTTAACCGGGCAGGGCTGATGGGACCACGGGCTGGGGAGGGACCGGGGCCTGGGGAGGAACCAGAATCTGCCTGGCCTCACTGTGTGACTTGGGTGAGCTCCTCTACCTCTCTGAGCCTGGGCTTCCCATCTGTCTGGGATGTCTCCCCTCCTGTAGTCACTGTGAGGTTCTGAGCAGAGGACACTCTTAGCCCAGAGCCTGGTGCATAGCTGGTGCGGTGAGCGCCAGCCCCTCCCTGTTCCTGCAGAGCCCTGCCGTTCAGCGCACACAGGCTGCCTTGCCCTCTCCAGAGAGGATCATGGGGCTTAATTTGTTGATTGAATTTGCTTGTTTGGACCAGATGGTTGGGTCTCATTTTCTTTTTTTCTTTCTTTTTTTTGGAGACGGAGTCTTGCTCCATCACCTAGGCTGAAGTGCAGTGGCATGATCTCGGCTCACTGCAACCTCCGCCTCCTGTGTACAAGCGATTCTCCTGCCTCAGCCTCCCAAGTACCTGGGATTACAGGCACGCACCACCATGCCTGGCTAATTTTTGTATTTTTGGTAGGGATGGGGTTTCGCCACGTTGGCCAGGCTGGTCTCAAACTCCTGACCTCAGGTGATCCACCCACCTCGGCCTCCCAAAGTCCTGAGATTACAAGCATGAGCCACCACGCCTGGCCGTGGGTCTCGTTTTCTCTTGCAAGTTTGACTCCATGGTGCCTGAATGCAGGGGAAGCAGGTGGTGTCCTGTCCCGGCAAAGGCAGACATGGGGCTGACACAGAACGGCCCAGGGACTCTGATCCTGGGGCTCAGCGAGTTTGCAAGGGGTGTTTCTGTCCATGGTCAGGCTTGCCAGCCTTGGTCCTTGGGCCCACCATAAGGTGGCCCAGTCCTGACCCTGTCTTGGAATTGCTGAGAGCAGAAATGCAGTAATGTGTCACCATGATGATGTCTGGTGTCATGCTATCAGACCCACCATTCCTCAGTGGGACCCCTGCCTCACCACTCACCAGCTGGCTCCCTGGTCTGCAAAAGGTGGTTCACTGGTACCCAGGTCCCTGTGCGAATGAGAGGAGCTGACTTCTATGAAAGCCACTCCCTGCACCCAGGGAGACTAAGGAGGTGGGAGGCTCTCGTCCCCTCAAAGCCCAGCCAGCCAGCCCCCTCTCCTTCTGCCTCCCCAGGGAACCGTGTCCCGAGCAGGGCCCTTCACCCCATCTCTGTCTGATCTCCACTGCGTGTACGGATTGACGGGAAAGATTCTAATGGGCTTTAAGTTAACAAGCTGGGAACGAATTAAGTTTGATCTCTGCCAGAAGCAGATGGCATAGCTTCCTGGCCTGGAACAGCCCGGCTGGAGCAGTGGCAGGTGGCAAGGGCTGGGTGGGGGGTTGCCCCACTGGGCTCTCTATTTTTCTCTCCTTCCCCCAACTTTTTTTTTTTTTTTTTGAGACGGAGTCTTGCTCTGCCACTCAGGCTGGAGTAAAGAGGTATGATCTCGGCTCACAGCAACCTCTGCCTCCCGGGTTCAAGTGACTCTCCTGCCTCATGCTCCCAAGTAGCTGGGATTACAGGCACCCGCCACCACACCCTGCTGATTTTTGTATTTTTAGTAGAGGCGGGGTTTCACCATATGGGCTAGACTGGTCTGGAACTCCCGACCTCAGGTGATCCACCTGCCTTGGCCTCCCAAAGCGCTGGGATTACAGGCTGAGCCACTGTGCCCGGCCTCTCCTCCCCCCACACATTTTATTATGTTTTATTTTAAAGAGATGGGGTCTTGCTTTGTCTCCCAGGCTGGTGTGCAGTGGTGGGATCACAGCTTACTGCAGCCTCCGCCTCCTGGGCTCAAGCAATCCTCTCACCTCAGCTGCCTGAGTAGCTGGGACTACAGGAGTGGACCACCATGCCCAGATAATTTTTAAAAATTTTTTAGAGATAAGGGTCTCAGTATGTTGCCCAGGCTGGTCTCGAACTCCTGGCCTCAAGCAATCCTCCTGCCTCACCTTACTATGAAATTTTTAAACATAAAAAACAGTGGAAGCTGAGCATGGTGGCTCACACCTATAATCTTAGCATTTTGGGAAGCTGAGGCGGGAGGATCGCTTGGGGCCAGGAGCTTAAGACTAGTCTAGATTACATAGCAAGAACCCCATCTCTATTTTTAAAAAAAGGGCCGGGTGCAGTGGCTCGCACCTGTAATCCCAGTGCTTTGGGAGGCCGAGGTGGGTGGAACACCTGAGGTCAGGAGTTCGAGACCAGCTTGGCCAACATGGCAAAACCCCGTCTCTACTAAAAACACAAAAATTAGCCAGGTGTGGTGGCATGCACCTACAATCACAGCTATTCAGGAGGCTGAGGAAGGAGAATCGCTTGAACCCAGGAGGCGGAGGTTACAGTGAACCGAGATCGCACCACTGCACTCCAGCCTGGGTGACAGAGCAAGACTCCATCTAAAAAAAAAAAAAAGAAGAAGGCGGCCAGGAGGTGGCAGCTCACCCTGTAATCCCAGCACTTTGGGAGGCAGAGGCTGAGGTGTGAGGATCACTTGAGGCCAGGAGTTTGAGACCAGCCAGGGCAACACAGTGAGACCTCATCTCTATTTTTTAAAAAGTGGAAAGAATTATACAGTGAACACTCACGTGCTCACTGCCCGCATTCTGCTCTCTGCTTTTTCTGATCCCTACCTATCCATCTATCTAGCTCCCCATCTACCTGCCAATTCCAAATTTCCATGCATTTCAAAGTCAGTGGCAGACATTGGGGCACTTGGCCCTTAAACATGCATATCGTTAGCTAGAGGTCAAAATGTGGTATGGGCTTTGTTTAGTTTTGTTTTTAGGCAAAACTGATAAACAGTGAAATCCATAAATTTCTTTCTTTCTTTTTTTTTTTTTTTTTTTGAGACGGAGTCTCACTCTGTCTCCCAGGCTGGAGTGCAGTGGTAAGATCTCAGCTCAGTGCAACCTCCGCCTCCCAGGTTCAAGCAATTCTCCTGCCTCAGCCTCCTAAGCAGCTGGGATTACAGGCAAGCACCACCACGCCCAGCTAATTTTTGTATTTTTAGTAGAGACGGGGTTTCACTGTGTTGCCCAGGCTGGTCTCAAACTCCTGAGCTCAAAGTGATCCGCCCTCCTTGGCCTCCCAAAGTGCTGGGATTGCAGGTGTGAGCCACTGCGGCCAGCAGGAAAGTAGAAATTCTTTAACAAATTTCCCCATGCCCTTTCCATCGTTCTATTTAGATTTCTTTCTTTCTGATAACAGCATTTCTGCTTATTTATAGTTTACCAGAAAATCATTTTACCCAGTTTTTTCCTTTTTTTTTTTTATTTTGCACACAGTGGAAGGCATCTTTTGTATTTCCCTTTGCTGTTTCTGTATCCCCTAACGCTGTCATGCTGCCAGTTTTCCATCTTATTCTAAATCTTCTTAACTGCATAGCCTGGTGGTGACTTCAGATTTCTCTGCAGGGTTACATATTATTTCACTGATTGCTCTGGGTTTTTCAAATATAACAATCATGTCATCTGTTCCCCATGGCGAGCAACGTAAATCGGGGACTCGTCTTGGCCAAGGGGACCATTTGCAGTGTTTGGCTCTTATGACGAACGTCTTTGTATATAAAAACTTTTCTGCATTTAGAAATATTTCCTCAGGCCAGATTTTTCTGGACCAAAAGGTAAGCATGTCTTTTAAGCCAGTTTATGTTCCAAAAGGGTTGGTCCCATTTTCACTCCCACCAGCAACCCAGCAATGGGGAGACCTGGAAAAAAAAAAAAAGCCTTGTGGCGGGCGTGGTGGCTCACGCCTGTAATCCCAGCACTTTGGGAGACCAAGGCGGGCGGATCACCTGAGGTCAGGAGTTTGAGACCAGCAGTGAAACCCTGTCTCTACTAAAAATACAAAAATTAACTAGGCGTGGTGGTGGGTGCCTGTAATCCCAGCTACTCGGGAGGTTGAGGCAGGAGAATCGCTTGAACTGGGGAGGCATAGATTGCAGTGAGCTAAGATCGCACCACTGCACTCCAGCCTGGGTGACAGAGAGAGACTCTGTCTCAAAAAACAACAACAACAACAAAAAAGCATTGCTCCAGGGATTCCAACCCCTCACCATGGCCAACAAGACCCCCCCTTGGCTGTTTCCCTTCTCCAACCTCACCTCCCTTCTCCCCACTGCCCCTGTTCCCACAACAGTGGCCCTCCTTCTGTTCTTGAATTAAATGAGCTGTTTCCAGACTCAGCACTTTGCACTGGCTGTTCCCTATGCTGGGAACACCCTTCCCACTAACATTTCCATCATTCAAATCTCTCAATTCAGATATTGCCTTCTCAGACCACCTGGATACCAAAGCCCAGCCCTGTCCCCTAGTCACATGCTGGTGCCTGCTCCATCCCCATCTAGTCTTCCAAGCATTTGATGCTTCCGAAATTACTGTACTTGTTTATTGCCAGCACCCACCATTTAAGTGCAACTCCAGGGGAGCAGGGACCCTTGATGCGTCTCCTGCATCTAGAAAATGTCTCACATGCACCTAATAATGTTTTTATTATTGATTTACTTATTTATTTTTAGAGACAGGGCTTTGCTCTATTGTCCAGGCTGGGGTGCAGTGGCACGATCACAGCTCACTGCAGCCTCCACCTCCCAGGCTAACACAATCCTCCCGCCTCAGCCCCCCGAGTAGCTGGGATTACAGGCACACACCACCATGCCCGGCTTATTTTCGCTTTTTTTTCTTTTTTTGTAGAGATAGAGTCTCTCTGTGTTGCCTAGGCTGATCTCAAACTCCTGGGCTCAAGCCATCCTCTCGCCTTGGCCTCTCAAAGTGCTGGGCTTATAGGCGTGAGCCGCTGCACCTGGCCCACCAAATAATTCTTATCTGGAACCCCCCCCTCCACATCCAGGACAAGGCAAGAATCCCCGTTGAAAGCTCTAGGCTTACAGGAAGCACTGGAGCTCGTGAACTTTATTTTTATTATTTTATTTTATTTTTTCCAGATGGAGTTTCGCTCTTGTCACCCAGGCTGGAGTGCAGTGGAGCCATCTCGACTCACTGCAAGCTCCGCCTCCTGGGTTCAATCAATTCTCCCGCCTCAGCCTCCTGGGTAGCTGGGATTACAGGTGCCCACGACCACACCCAGCTAATTTTTGTATTTTTAGTAGAGACGGGGTTTCACCATGTTGGCCAGGCTGGTCTCGAGCTCCTGACCTCAGGTGATCAGCCCACCTTGGCCTCCCAATGTGCTGGGATTATAGGTGTGAGCCACCGCGCCCAGCCGTCATGAACTTTAAGATTAACTAGTTGCAGCAATGGACTGGGCCCCCCTGCAGTGGCACCCCCCACCTCCACCTAGACAGCAGCAGAGGAAGGAGAGGGGTGTCCTGCCCTAAAAGTGTGTCAGCAGCCCCCGCCACCAGGTGATTCCATTCACCTGGGAGAAAACGGAGGCTCCCAGGTGAATGGAGTCACTTCACTCAACACTTCCTTATTCAGCTCCCAATGCAGTCTGCCCTTCAAGCAAATATTTGGCTCCTGCTGTATGCCAGCCTCTGTATGCCTCACTGAGCACTGAGGATCCAAAGAGAATGAAAGCAGGTCTCTACTTTCAGGGGGCTCCCAGTCCTTTAGAAGGGATGGGCAAGGCCTGGAGCAAAGGTGCTGACCCCATTGGTGGTGGGGCAGAAGAAACCCTGGGGGCTCCCTGGAGCGCTGACAATGGAGATGTTGCTTAAGGGGGAGAAGGAGCTGATCTGGTGGAAAGTGAAGGAAGGGCCTCCGGTAGGAGTCTGGGCAGGCACCTGTATCCATCCCACCTGGTGGCTCGGACCTGGAGGGTCTCTCCTGATCCCCATAGACAGGCCCCCACAGGGACCCAGGACAGGTGTGATTCCCACCTGGTTCCTGATTTCACCTTGAGGCTGGACCCTTCTCCCAGCCAGTAACACTCGCAGCCCCCCAGGGCTGGCTGATGTTCTATGCCTGGGCCCCCTGGGCTCTGCTGTCTGCCCTAGAGCCAGGCTACAGGTGAGTAGAGGGAGAATAGGGCGGGGTCATGATTCCATTCACCTGGGAGAAAAACAGAGGCTTCCAGGCAAAGGGAGTCATGGGAAGCAACCTAGCCAGTTCTGATCCCAAGCTGGGAGGAGAAAGGGAGCGGGTGGAGGTAGGAACCAAGTGAGGGCAGGGCATGACTGAGGGTCGGCCACAGCCCCCACTCCTGGCTGGACTCGCTCTCTGCACCTTCTCCAGCATGTGAACTCCTACCCATCCTTCAAAACTTTCAATCTGGTCACCCAGTGGCCTCGTGACTGAACCTACCCACCCACTGGCGGCATTGCTGGCCTCCCAGGCGAGTGGACCTGTTTAGGGGGAGCGGCCTGGGCACCAAGGCTGAGGGGTGGGCAGCGGGGGTGGTGGGCTGGGTCAGCCGCAGGTCACCTGGGTCTCCCGGGGCCACCATGCCACACCCTGGTGTGTTGGGGATCCTGATTTCAGCCTCAGCCTGGGCCTGTCCCCTGCACAGCCCAGCTGGATGGAAGGGTGGGGGGAGGGAGAAAGGAAGAAAGGAGATGGGAGCAGAGGGGAGGAGGGGGAAGATGGAGGAGAGGGGAGGGAAGAGGAAGGGGAAGGAGAGGGAGGGAGGAGGGGGAGAAAAGAGGAGGATGGAGGAGGAGTGAGGCTGGTAGAAGGGAGGAGGGAGGGAAGAGAGAGGGAGGACTGAGTAGGAGAATGAGGAAAGCGGAGGAGGGAGGGAGAGGGAGGAGGGGAGAGACAGGAAGGGAGGAAGAGTAGGGAGGAGAAAGGGAGGAGGGTGGAGAGGAGGGGAGAAGGGAGGAGAGCAGGAGGAGGGTAATGGAGGACTTTGGAGGAGGGGAGGGGTGGGAGGAGGGAGAGGGAGGGGGAGGGAAGAGAAATGGGGAGGAGTGGGAGGGAGGAGGAGAGAAAGGGAAGGGGAAGAGAGGAGGAGGAGTGGGGAGAATGGAGAGGAAGGGGAGAGGAGGGAGAAGGGGTGGGAGGAGGAGGGAGAGGGAGGGGAAGAGGAGGAATGGGGAGGAGGGAGAGACACGAGAGAGGAGGTAGAAGGGGAGGGAGGAGGAGGGGGGAAGAGAGGAGGAGTGGGGAGGAGGGAGAAGAGGAGGGAGAGGGAGGAGAAGAGAGGAGAAGGAATGGAGAGGGAGGGGAAGAGAGGAGGAGGAATAGGGAGAAGGAGGAGGGAGGAGAGGAGGGTGAAGGGAGGAGGGAAGGGGGGAGGAAGGAGAGGGGAGAGGAGGGGTAGGGAGGAGGGAGGAGCGAGAGGGTTGAGGGAGGAGGAGGAAGGAGGAAGGCGGGGCGGGGCCGAGCGCGGGGAGGCGGGGCGTGGTGGCCTGGGCTGTGCTCGTCGCCGCGCTCCTGGACCGGGGCCGGGCGGACTCGGGGACCGGCGGAGGACGCCGGGCGCGCCCGGCCCGAGGCTGGGGGAGCGGGGCGCGGGCGCGCAGGGTCAGGCGCGGGGCGGCATGGCGGGCGCGCCGAGGACCCCAGGCCGGGCCGGGCCGAGGGAAGCGGTGGCCGCGGGACGCGGGGAGACGCCGGCGGGGACCTGTCGGAGCCTTTGTCTGCGGCGCGCGCGGCCCCCCACCCCCCCAACCGCCTGCCCGGGCGCTGCCCCCTCTCCCCAGCCCGCCCCTGTCCCGGGAACCCGAGGCCACCCCGGCCGCGTCCTGAGCGGCCCAGCCCCCCGCGCCCGGCGACAAGCGCCGACCCGGACCCCTGGGCCCTGGCCATGGAGGGGGTCGGCGCCACTGCCTCCCCGAGCACCGCGCGGGGGTCCTCCCGCACGAAGCTCCTCCCCGGACCCCCCCGCGCCACCCCATCGCTCCCCTGCCCCCGCCGGCCCCTTCCTCGTTCTCGGAAAAAGCGGCTGGGAGAGGTGGGGCCTGGGATCCAGGGTCACCTCGGGGCGGCCCAGGGGGTCTGTGCTTTGCCTGGGGGCACAGGTCCGCGAGCCAACTTTGCAGTTGATGAGGCCGGGCAGGCGTCAGAAAGGCGCGGCGACCCGGGCCGGGGAGGGCGGTGGGTCCGGGGGCCAGCCTGTGGCCCCTGCATGCATCGGTCCCCGGGGGGCTGCAGGAAGGGGGTGGCTGGAGGGGCTTGAAACCCACCCCCACAGGAGTTGGAGCAGCTTAGACCGCTGGGCTGCGGAAAGGGCAGCAGAGACATCGTTAGCCCCGGTTAACGGGGACCAGAGGTGTACCAGGCATCAACTAACCAGGGCTGGTGACTGAGCCAGGAGTGCGAGCCCAGGCCGGCTTTACAAGTGGAATTCGGTTCCCCTGGTCCTTCCTGGCTGGCCGGAGGAGCGCGGCCCCAGAGTGAGGCGACTGGCTTTGGGGTCCCGACGCCCAGTGCTTCCAGCTGCCCTGGGCCACTTTCAGGACCCCTGTGCACTTCAGGCCCCGTGGAAATGGGAGGAGCCGGAGGGGGTCACTGGGCCAGGCTCCAGTCTGAGCTGCATGACCCCCCTACCCCCGACTTGGCCTCTCTGTGCCTCAGTCGCCCTCCCTGCAAAGTGGTGAGGGGCCTTGGCCAGAAGCAGTGGCTCACTCCGGTAATCTCAGTTCTGGGAGGCCGGGGCTCAGGGATCACCTGAGGCCAGGAGTTCAAGACCAGCTTGGGCAACAGAGCAAGACCCCACCTCTACAAAAATATAAATTAAAAAAATAAATAAATGGGGGAGAGGGGTGGGAGCCCTGCCTTGCCCATAGCAGTGTTAAGTGGCAGCTTGTGCAACTGTTGAATGCCTACTGTGTGCAGCTGAGCCTACCCCACCAGCCACCCACCCAGTCCCTGTTTGTGACTTACTCTCACCTTCTTCCTCTACTGAGTTGTGAGGTGGGGAAACTGAGGCCTGAGGGGTGGCCTCAAGGCCAAAGAAATGACCTGTGTCTTCTCAACAGCCCCCTGGGGCGGGCATCGAGGGGTCACGGCAGCTCAGAGTGGAGGAGCAGGGCCAAGCCTCGTAAACACTGGGGTTATTAAGCCAATGTGCATGTCGTTAAATTTTAACTAACGGGGGACAGGGCAGGAGGCCCTGGGCTGCCTTCCCCGGGGGTGGGGGGGGGGCAGTAGGCTTGGACGTGGGGGGCCGGGAAGGACAGAGTTGGAGGCCTGTGGCCCAGGAGAGGTGGGGGCGAGCGGCTGCAGCAGGCTCCCCACCCCCTCCACCATGGGGACAGTAGCTGGCCAAGTCGGGCAGTGTGGGTGGCAGCTGCCCACTTTGCCGACTGAGCCAGAGGGGACAGCAGCCGCCTCCTGGCTGGATGCCGAGCACGTCCACCTTCCTGGGTGGCGTGGCCTCCGGGCAAGGCAGAAACCTCGGCTTTCTGGCCAGGAGTGTTTGGGGCACTGCACGTCCAGGGGAGCATCTCGGGGGCTCTTGCTGAACACAGACCAGGCCTTTCTGGGTTCAGATGTCCAGCTGGGCTGGCATCCTGAGCAGGTGGCAGGAGGAGCATTCGGTTGTTGTAGACTGTCACCCTGACACCATCCCCTTCCCTGGCTCTGCAGGCTGAAGAAGGGCCCCGGGTTCTCTAAGCCTTTGCTGACTCTCTGGCACCTCCCAACGACTCTCAAGCTCAGGCTCATGTGTCCACTTCACAGGGGAGACAGGTGTGCGGAGCCCACCCAGGGCCACCCTCCTTCAAGCCCAGCCCAGCTCTGCTCTAAGCCTTGGTCGGCCCCCACCCCCCCCCCACCCCACCCCCAACCCCTCAGCTCCAGATGTGGCAGGAGGGCCAGGGCTGATGAGGGGCAGTCAGGAGAGCCTTGAGCCTAGAAGGGGAGATACGCCGGGCTTCTCAGCCCCCAGAAGTCCGGGACCGCCTCTCCCCTGGTAGTGGGTACCAATTACCTGGGTTGGCCCCCAGCTGTCAGGGACTGAATCTTCCCAGCCCCCAAGACCTGGAAATGGGAAGGCTCTGGCTTCAAAGCCCCAGTGAGGCCCCAGGCCCCCTTTTAGGCCCCAGTTAAAATTCTGTAGTGAGCTAGAAGAGGGGGACATCGGGTCACAGGGAGGTGCTTGGTAACTGATCATCAAAACCTGCCTAGAGGCTGGGAAGGGAGTAAACTGAGGCAGGGGAGCTGGAGGAAATGAGACCCAGGAGATGGGACAAGAGCAGGCAGAGGTGACATGAGTCAGCCCCAGAGAAAATCAGGATGGGCTGAGGGCAGTGGCTCATGCCTATAATCCCAGCACTTTGGGAGGCCAAGGTGAGAAGATCACTTGAGCCCAGGAGTTCAAGACCACTATGGGCAACACAGTGAGATCCCATCTCTACAAAAAAGAAAAAAATTAGCCGGGCCTGGTGGCACACACCTGTTCCAGCTACTTAAGAGGCTGAGGTGGGAGGATCACTTCAGCCTGAGAGGCAGAGGTTTGCAGTGAGTTGTGATCGCGCCACTGCACTCCAAGCCTTGGCAACAAAGCAAGACTCTGTCTCAAAAAAAAAAAAAAAAAATCAAGGTTCCTCTGGGCCTGTGGGACCCCATGGGGTGGGCTTCTTCCAGCCTTTTCCATGGCTCTCCCACATATTGGGGAAACTGAGGCACTACATTCAGCGCTCAGTGCTGTGCTGTCCTCTCTTAGCCTCAAACTCCCTACGGCGAGCACAGATCCTTTCTGCATTCAGATAAATGAATACACATTATTAGAAAAAGAAATCATTGGCTGGACGTGGTGGCTCAGGCCTGTAATCCCAGCACTTTGGGAGGCTGAGGCGGGCAGATCACAAGGTCAAGAGGTCGAGACCATCCTGGCCAACATGGTGAAACCCCATCTCTACTAAAAATACAAAAATTAGCCGGGTGTGGTGGCAGGCACCTGTAGTCCCAGCTACTCAGGAGGCTGAGGCATGAGAATCGCTGGAACCCGGGAGACGGAGGTTGCAGTGAGCCAAGATTGCGCCACTGCACTCCAGCCTGGCGACAGAGCAAGACTGTCTCAAAAAAAAAAAAAAAAAGAAAAGAAAAATCATTTTAGGGGAAAAAGCTAGCCTGCCCCAGGCACACACAGGGCTGCCCACACAGTGCAAGCGTCTCCGTCACAGATGACTTAGCTCCTTCCTTTCTTTCCGAAGGTCAGGGCTGGCAGATCCAAATTGAAGCAAGAAGCACTAAGGCAAGATCACAGGAAGAACTTCCCGCCATGAGGGTGGTTGGCCCCAGGACCAAGGGCCATGGTGGCTCAGAGTGCCACACAGACCTGGGTTGGGGTCTGGGTTCTCCCACTTTCTGCCTGTGAGACCAAGGGTGTTCTCACTTTCCTCAGCTGAAAAATGAGTGATAAAGGCAGCTTCCTCCCAGAGGACACTGCAGCACGGTGCAGGCACGCATGAGGCTCGCTCATGTCACCTGTTATTTCCAACTGCTCCCCAAGTCCTGGCATCACACCGCCAGAGTATTCCTCCACTCCATCTATTTCTCACCGTGCCCGCTGCCACCATGCAGGCCACCTTGGTTGCTTCCTGGGGCAGCAGTCTCTGAGCCATTCTCCTCCCCTCTGACCCCTTCTCCCTAGATAGCAATGAGGATGAGCATCCTGAGACACACCAGGTGAGGGCTGGGCACAGTGGCTCAGTGGCTCACGCCTGTAACCCCTGCATTTTGGGAGGCCGAGGCAGGACTTGGAGTTGGAGACTAGCCTGGGCAATGTAGTGAGACCCCAACTCTACAAAAGAAATTTTTTTAAAATTAGCCAGGCATGGTGGTTCAAACCTGTGGTCCCAGCTACTTGGGAGGCTGAATCAGGAGGATCCCTTGAGCCTAGGAGGTCGAGGCTGAAATGAGTGATGGTTGCACCAGCATACTCCAACCTGGGTGACAGAGTGAGACCCTGTCTAAAAAAAAAAAAAAAGAAAAGACCAGGTGACATTGCTTATCTGCTTAAATTAATGTCCTATGGATGGACAGAAAGGATGGTCCCCCCAGGGGATACAGTCCCAGTCGCATGGCATCAATGTAGTGAAACTGAGGCTCAGAGAGGTTTAGGCCCTTGCCTAAGGTCACACAGCTGGGCTGAAAACCCAGGTCTTTGAACCTCACATCCAGTCCTGTTCAGGCACTTTCCTGGCTCCCTTGCAGTGAGGCATAGCTTGCTTTGGCCAATGAGTGTGACCAAAGTGACATGTGTCACTCCAGATAGAAGCTTTATGGGTCAGTGCATGAGCCATGGGTCCCTCACCCCAGAAGGGTGAAAAGACATGGAGTGTCTTCTCACCCTTCTTCCCTCACCTGCTCTCTCTGCTTTCTCCAAAGCACAGGCTGCCATGGGCTCTGTCGGGAGCCAGTGCCTTGAGGAGCCCAGTGTGGCAGGCACACCAGACCCGGGCATAGTGATGAGCGTCACCTTCGACAGTCACCAGCTGGAGGAGGCGGCGGAGGCGGCTCAGGGCCAGGGCCTTAGGGCCAGGGGCGTCCCAGCTTTCACGGATACCAGTAAGTAGGGGTGCGGGTAAGGTGCAGGTCTTGCCCCAAAGCAGGGTGGGCTGTGTGACCCCCGGTGAAGCCTTGTGGTATCGGGGAGCCATGGGTGGTCATGGAGGACTGGAGGTAGTGCCTGTCAGTGTGGATTAGACCTGCTGCATAACAAACACGCCCACCGTCTCAGTGTCTCCACCCTGATGCTGCGTGTCCCTGCTGGGGGCCCTGCCCACAGCCCCAGGCAGAGGAGGCTGTGTCTTAACATGGGCTTTTGTGCTCACTGGGTGGGTGAAGGGACCCATGGCTCATGCGCTGACCCATAAAGCTTCTTTTTTTTTGAGATGGAGTCTCGCTCTGTTGCCCGGCTGGAATGCAGTGGCGCAATCTCGGCTCACTACAAGCTCCGCCTCCCGGGTTCACACCATTCTCCTGCCTCAGCCTCCTGAGTAGCTGGGACCACAGGTGCCCGCCACCACGCCCAGCTAATTTTTTGTATTTTTAGTAGAGACGGGGTTTCACTGTGGTCTCGATCTCCTGACCTCGTGATCCGCCCGCCTCAGCCTCCCAAAGTGCTAGGATTACATGCTTGAGCCACCACGCCCAGCCGCTGACCCATAAAGCTTCTATCTGGAGTGACACATGTCACTTTGGTCACACTCGTTGGCCAAAGCAAGCTATGCCTCACTGCAGAGGAGCCAGGAAAGTGCCTGAACAGGATTGGATGTGAGGTTCAAAGACCTGGGTTTTCTGCCCAGTTGTGTGACCTTAGGCAAGGGCCTAAACCTCTCTGAGCCTCAGTTTCACTATGTTGAGGAACTGGGCCAACTGACTTTGAGATCAGACTTGCAGAGTGGACGGCCAACAGGCTTGGAGTCTGACAGGCTCGGGTTCAAGCCTGCCTCCCATCCTTTACCCACCAGGAGCCCCTGGTCAAGTCACTGTTCTTCTCTGACCCTCGGTCTCTTCCTTTGGAAGAGGGGGATGATACTGTGTCAATGTGGTTGCATCAGAATCCACAGAATCTTGCTTGGGCCTGTCCCTGGCACTCAGGAGGCACCCTGTAAGCTATAGTTCTTTTTTGGGGGAGCTGTTGTTTATGCTAGTACTTTAGGCTCAGAAACCTGGGCTAAGGCCGGGCACGGTGGCTCATGCCTATAATCCCAGCACTTTGGCAGGCTGAGGCTGGAAGATCGCTTGAGCCCAGCAGTTTGAGGCCAGCCTGAACAACCTGGTAAAATCTCATCTCTACAAAAAATACAAAAATTAGCCGGGCGTGGTGGCACACACCTGTAATCCCAGCTACTTTGGAGGCTGAGGCAGGAGAATCACTTGAGCCCAGGAGGGGGTGGTTGTAGTAAGCCAAGATCATGCCACTGCACTCCAGCCTGAGCAACAGCGAGACTCCATCTGAAAAAAAAAAAAAAAAGAAAAAAGCAATTGGCTGACTAAAGTGGGAGCTAGTTAAGCCAGGCAGGCAGTCAGGAAGGTCTTGGACAGTCTGGAACCCAGGGGCAGGAGCTTCTTGGAGTCTCTGAGCTCCAGGAAGGCTTCAAGTTCTCACCTGATTAGGTCAGACCCACCCGGGTCATTTCCCTTTTGATGAACTTAAAGTTAATGGAGAAGGGACTTTAATTGCAAAACGTCTTCACAGCAGCACCAGGGCTAGGGTTTGAACTGGGGACTGTACTTCAGCCTGTCAGGGTGACCATAAACAGACCATCACGGTCCCCCACTTGCCGATGTGGCTCCCATAGACATCTCCCTAAACCATGCCTCCTCTCCAGATAAAGGCAGTGACAAGGTCATACCGCCACTGAGCATGATACAAGAACCCTGTACAACCCCAGACATGCTGACCCCTTCCCCAGAAGGACAGGCAAAGGGTGTTCACTCTTCTTCCATATCCTATAATTTTATTTTTTATTTTTTTGAAAATAGAGTCTCGTGCTCTTGCCCAGGCTGGAGTGCAGTGGCGCAACCTTGGCTCACTGCAACCTCCACCTCCTGGGGTCAAATGATTCTCCTGCCTCAGCCTCCTGAGTAGCTGGGAATATAGGCGTGCACCACCATGCCCAGCTAATTTTTTTTTTTTTTTTTGAGACGGAGTCTCGCTCTGTCGCCCAGGTCGGAGTGCAGTGGTGCGATCTTGGCTCACTGCAAGTTCCGCCTCCTGGGTTCACGCCATTCTCCTGCCTCAGCCTCCTGAGTAGCTGGGACTACAGGCGCCCGCCACCATGCCCAGCTAATTTTTATTTTTTATTTATTTATTTTTTTTTTTGTATTTTTAGTAGAGATAGGGTTTCACCATGTTAGCCAGGATGGTCTCGATCTCCTGACCTCGCGATCCGCCTGTCTTGGCCTCCCAAAGTGCTGGGATTACAGGCGTGAGCCACCGCGCCTGGCCATTTTTTGTATTTTAGTAGAGATGGGGTTTCACTATGTTGGCCAGGCTGGTCTCGAACTCCTGAGTTCAGGTGATCTGCCCGCCTTGGCCTCCCAAAGTGCTGGGATTACAGGCATGAGCTGATTTCCTGTCCATCAAGCTGGTAGCTTCAGTGGCTGTGAGGGCGTGGGTGTGGTGGCCATAGCCACAGCATTTGGTGGCTTTGATAATGGCCAGATGACAGAGGTATCTGGAACAGAGGGGAGCAGGGGTCACAGCGATGGACAGTGGCCATGGTGATGGCGGCCGGGGTGGTGGACATCGCCCTGTGAGGTGGCCGTAGCCATGCATGGAGCGTGCCCTGTCTCACCTGGCGTCTCTTGCTTTAGCATTGGAGGAGCCAGTGCCCAATGACCGCTATCACGCCATCTACTTTGCGATGCTGCTGTCTGGCGTGGGCTTCCTGCTGCCATACAACAGCTTCATCACGGACGTGGACTACCTGCATCACAAGTACCCAGGTGGGTCCCTCCACGGTCATGCCCAGCCACTCAGCATACTCATCATGGCCTGGGGCCTCCCAGAAACCCCCGGCGGGGAGGGTCCTACCCAGAGACCTGTTTTATTCAGATCTCAGCTCCACTGTGAGCTGCTGAGTGACCTCAGGGCAGCCACTCACCCTCTGTGGGCAGCGAGCCCCTTCTGGGAGGTCGCACCCGACAGGAGTTAGTGCAGAGGGTGGGGCCTCCCTGAGCACCCGCTGTCTCTGGTCCTCTGCAGGGACTTCCATTGTGTTTGACATGAGCCTCACCTACATCTTGGTGGCGCTGGCAGCCGTGCTCCTGAACAACGTCCTGGTGGAGAGACTGACCCTGCACACCAGGATCACCGCAAGTGCGCTGGGCCCTGCCATGGGACACCTGCCTGTCATGGCTCCCACCTGCCTGGCCGGTCACCCACTCACCCAGTTTCCCTGAGCCTCACTCCCCTCGTCTGTAAAATGGGCACACTTCCTAGGGCTGCCCTGGGGTCTGGTCTAAGACACCGTGGTGGGGCCTCTGTACCCCACGTCATGTCCCTGGGCCCTGCCCAAGCTCTTCCCCACACCCAGTGTGTTCTTCCTTTCCCATTCCTCTGCACGGCAACATCCAGCTTCGAGGCCTGGCTCAAATGGTGCCTCCTACAGGAAGCCCTCCAGGTGCCCGTTAGACTTGTAAAGCATCCCTGGCCCTCCTTAAAGGGCAAGGGCAGAGAAAGCCTCAGACCGACTCTGCAGGAGGGGCGAGGAGGAGGGGGACCCCACCCAGTTGGCTCCACCACTCCCCTCACTGGCCTCTCCCCCAACAGGCTACCTCTTAGCCTTGGGCCCTCTCCTTTTTATCAGCATCTGTGACGTGTGGCTGCAGCTCTTCTCTCGGGACCAGGCCTACGCCATCAACCTGGCTGCTGTGGGCACCGTGGCCTTCGGCTGCACAGGTAGGAACTGGGGCCCAAGGGGGAGGCCCTGAGTGCCCACTTCCGACCCCATCCCACCCCAGCCCTTGTCTCCTGCTGGTGGCATGTGACATGACAGGAGCCGGGCTGGCTGAGTGCCAGGTGTGTGTCCACCTGCATGCCAGCGTGCACACCTGCACACCGGCTCACACCCACACAAGCCTGTGTATGCAGTGTATGCACAGCGTGTAGCCACAGAGACTCTGAGGCAGACCCTGGTTTCCCTGGTATAAACAGGGCTTCAAAGACTGTTCTGCCTTTGTCACCATGTCACTGTTTATCTTGGGCAATGGCTTTCATCTGACTTTGTCAGCCAGGCTAGAGTGCAGTGGCATGATCATAGCTCACTGCAGCCTCAACCTCCTGGACTCAAGCCATCCTCCCCCCTCAGCCTCCTGAGTAGCTAGGACCACAGGCACATGCCACCAAGCCTGGCTAATTTTAAAAATTGTTTGTAGAGACAAACAATGTTGCCCAGGCTAGTCTTGAACTCTTAGCCCCAAGCAATCCTCCCACCTCGGTCTTCCAACGTGCTGGTATTACAGGCATGAGCCATCGTGCCTGGCCTTTCAAACTTTTTTTGAAAACTACTTTTTATTTTGCAAAAATTTCAAACCTACAGAAAGCTTGCAAGAATGATACAGTGAAGTCCCATACGAGCACTCTCTCCCCCTCTCCCTCCACCCCTGTCTCTCTGTACTTAAATTTCTCCCTAAGTATATATAAATATGAAATACATATTTCCCTTGCACCATTTGAGAGTTAGTTGTAGATGTCATCACCTTTCTTGCCTAATTACTAATACTTCAGAGTGTATTTTCTACCAGCCAAGACGTTTCTTTCCTTTTTTTTTTTTCTTGAGACAGTCTCACTCTGTTGCCCAGGCTGGAGTGCAGTGGCGCCATCTCAACTCACTGCAACCTCCGCCTCCTGGGTTCAAGCGATTCTCCTGTCTCAGCCTCCCAAGTAACTGGGATTACAGGCACCTGCCACCATGCCAGGCTAATTTTTGTATTTTTAGTAGAGATGGGGTTTCACCATGTTCCTCAGGCTGGTTACGAACTCCTGACCTCAGGCGATCAGCCCACCTCAGCCTCCCAAAGTGCTGGGATTACAGGCATGAGCCACCGCGCCCGGCCCCGATAATGTTCTTTATAGCATTTTTTTTTTCCTGACCCAACATCCTCTCTAGATTCATACCTTTCCTTTAATCCAGGATGGTCCTTCACCCACCCCTGTGTTTCATGGCAGTGACATTTTGCAAGGGTCCAGGCCAGGCTTTGTAGACTTTCTTTTTTTTCTTTTATCTTTTTTTTTTTTTTTTGAGATGGAGTCTTTCTCTGTCACCCAGGCTGGAGTGCAATGGCACGATCTCGGCTCACTGCAACCTCCGTCTCCCAGGTTCAAGGGATTCTCCTGCCTCAGCCTCCCGAGTAGCTGGGACTACAGGCGCCCGCCACCACACCTGGCTAATTTTTGTATTTTTAGTAGAGATGGGGTTTCACCATATTGTCCAGGCTGGTCTCAAACTCCTGACCTTGTGATTTGCCTGCCTCAGCCTCCCAAAGTGCTAGGATTACAGGCGTGAGCCACTGTGCCTAGCCAGCTTGGTAGACTGTCAAACTCTTTTTGACCATGACTTCCAGGAAGAAAGAAATACATTTTATATTATAGCCCTGTAAACACGTGTGTGTATTTATAAATGACATCAAGCCTTCGTGATACTCCCAATACTACTGTTCTGTTTTGTTAAAAAACAAAAAAATGCTGTGACTAGATTTTATTTTTTTAGAGGCAGGGTCTCACTCTGTCGCCCAGGCTGGAGTGCAGTGGTGGGAACATGGTTCACTGCAGCCTCAACCTCCTGGGCTCAAGGGAGAGCCCAGGTCCCCCACGTAGCTGGGATTACATGCACAGGCCACTGCACCCAGCTAATTTTTAAAAAATTTTTGTTTCCATGCATGGTGGCTCATGCTTGTAATCCCAGCATTTTGGGAGGCTGAGGCAGACAGATCACAAGGTCAGGAGTTCGAGACCAATCTGGCCAACATAGTGAAACCCCGTCTGTACTAAAAAGACAAAAAATTAGCTGGGTATGGTGGTGTGCACCTGTAACCCCAGTTACTTGGGAGGCTGAGGCAGGAGAATCACATGAACCCAGGAGGCAGAGGTTGCAGTGAGCTGAGATCGCACCACTGCACTCCAGCCCAGACGACAGTGCGAGGCTCTATCTGGAAAAAAAAAAATCGTAAAGACAAGATCTCACTTTGTAGCCCAGGATGGTCTTGAACTCCTAGACTCAAGTGATCCTCCCTTCTTAGCCTCCCAAAGCACTGGGATTACAGGCGTGAGCCACCATGCCCAGCCTTGACCAGAAGATTTTAATTAGACAAAGACTGCCCCTGAGGCTACTTTCAGGCATGGATTTGCTAGACTCCAAGGTAGGGGCCTGTGCACTTTTATTTTCCCTAGATCCTGATGGATTTCTGGCTGTATTAGTTAGGATGAGAGGGGTTATTGCTGTATAACAAATTAGCCCAGAAATCTCAGTGGCTCCGTAGAACAAGCCTGACTTCTCGCTTTTGCTGCCTGTCCTCTCTGGAGGGTGAAGGGTGTTATGCTCCACACGGTCTCTCAGGGCCTCAGGCAGACAGTCCTCTCCCCACTCGGTAACACATGGCCTCTCCTGTCCCTGCCCATGGGAGAAAGAAGGGTTGAAAGTCCATGCAGACTTTTCACTGCCTTGCCCAGAAGTGACATGTCATTTCTGCAGACGTTTCATTTGCAAGAGCTTGTCCAGAGCTTGTCAATGACCCTGGCTGACCCCAAGGGCACACTGGCTGGTGTTCCTACTGCTCTGTGTCAAATCTCTCTGCCATTAATGATGTTAATGGCTGTTGACGCACCCTCGTCCACCAACACAGTTGTCTCAAGCTAGTGCATTTCACCCAAGTTGACAGGTGATAATGGTGCCTCTGGGTTTTTCCTCTCTCTCTCTCACTCCAAAACCCTCAAAGCTTGAGGGTTCTACATTTTTTTTTGAGATGAAGTCTCGCTGTGTCACCCAGGCTGGAGTGTGATGGCATGATCTCAGCTCACTGCAACCTCCACCTCCCAGGTTCAAGTGATTCTCCTGCCTCAGCCTCCCAAGTAGCTGGGGTTATAGGTGCCCTCCACCACGCTTGGCTAATTTTTGTATTTTTAGTAGATGGAGTTTCACCATGTTGGCCAGGCTCATCTCGAACTCCTGACCTCAAGTGATCCACCCGCCTCCGCCTCCCAAAGTGCTGGGATTACAGGCATGAGCCACCACTCCCGGCCCCACTTAGCAAAGTTTCTAAGTAAGGAAAACTAGAGAATCCGTGAAGAAGCCACTGCCTTCAAGGAAGGGTGTGGGATCCATAGAGTAGAAATGTGGCAGGGGATAGTATGAGATTAAAAGCCAAGATGATAAAAATAGCAACAAGCATTTCTATTCTCCTTGACTTTAAAAAACCCTTCCAAGTACATCTGCCATTCTGGCTGTTAACATCTATCTGAAAGGCTGTCTTGGGGAAGAAAGGTTAGCGTCTTCTCTCTGCCCACAGTGCAAAACCAGAATGAGCAGGTAAATGCTCCAGCACGGCAGATCATGGCTTAGACAGCAGGGAAGCCTGCCTGCAACAGGGCTGTTCAGAGGAAAAAGGTGCCGGCTGCCTTGCTCACCCCTGCTTCACTTGTTCCTTCACTCTGTCAGTAAAGTCATTTAAGGAGGTTAAGATGTGCTAGGCAGTGTTCTATCCCATCCTATGGGAGACAGAGATTCCTTCTGCTGCTCCCAAAAAGCTTAAGATGGGCCAATGCTTCCCTCCCCTACCTCCCTCAGGTAAATCCTGGTGGGGGTGTGCGGCAGGCTTCCTAGGGGATAAATGCCTACCTGAGATTTTTATATCACCATTGTTGTGAGTAGATAATATACGTGTACAATAAAAAAAAATTGTAAATGTATAAAAACGTTCACATTCAGCAAGATTGGACAATGCAAGATCAATATATGGGTGTACCTTGAAGATAATGCAGGTTTGCTTCCAGACCACCATAAGCAAGTAAAAACGGACCAGGTGCGGTGGCTCACACTTGTAATCCCACCACTTTGGGAGGCTGAGGAAGGTGGATCACCTGAGGTCAGGAGTTTGAGACTAGCCTGGCCACCATCGTGAAACCCTGTCTACTAAAAAAAAAAAAAAAAAAAAGCCGGGTATGGTGACACATACTTGTAATCCCAGCTACTCAGAAGGCTGAGGCATGAGAATCGCCTGAACCTGGGAGATGGAGGTTGCAGTGAGCCGAGGTTGCAGTGAGCCAAGATTGCACCACTGTACTCTAGCCTGAGTGACGGAGTGAGACTATTTCAAAAATAGAAAAAAAAAAAGGCAAATATGACAAAAAAAAAGCAAATATTGCAATGAATCAAGTCACATAATTTTTTTGGTTTTCCAGTGAATATAAAAGTTATGTTTATATCATAGTCTATTAAGTATGCAACAGCTGTATGTCTCAAAAATGTACATATCTTAATTAAAAATACTTTATTGCCAAAATGTGCTAACAATTATCTGAGCCTTCAGGGAGTTGTAATCTTTTTGCTGGTGGAGAGTCTTACTTCGATGTTGATGGCTGCTAGACTGATCAGGGTTGTGGTTACTGAAGGTTGGGGTGACTGTGGCAATTTCTTAAAATATGACAACAATGAAATTGTCTACATTAATTGACTCTTCCTTTAACAAAAGATTTCTCTGTATCATAAAATGCTGCTTGATAGCTTTTTACCCACAGTAGAACTTCTTTAAAAATGGGAGTCAATCCTCTCAAACCCTGCCACTGCTTTATCAGTTTGTGGAATATTCTAAATCCTTTGTTGTCATTTCAACAACATTCACAGCATCTTCACCAAGAGTAGTTTCCATCTCAACAAAGCACTTTTTTTGCTCATGATAAGAAGCAACCCCTCATCCATTCAAGTTTGAACATGAGGTTGCAGCAATTCAGTCACATCTTCAGGCTCCAATTCGAATTCTAGTTCTCTTGCTATCTCCACCACATCTGCAGTTCGTTCCTCCACTGAAGTCTTGAACCCCTCAAACTCATCCATGAGGGTTGGAATCCATTTCTTCCAAACTCCTGTTCATGATGCTATTTTCACCTCCTCCCATGAATCACAAATGTTCTTTATGGAATCGAAAATGGTGAATCCTTTCCAGAAGGAAAGGATTTCTATTTACTTTGCCTAGATCTATCAGAGGAATTACCATTTACAGCAGCTATAGCCGTATAAAATGTATTTTTTTTTTTTTAGATGAAGTCTCACCCTGTTGCCCAGGCTGGAATGTGATGGCGCAATCTCTGCTCACTGCAAGCTCCACCTCCTGGGTTCACGCCATTCTCCTGCCTCAGCCTCCTGAATAGCTGGGGCTACAGGCACCTGTCACCATGCCCGGCTAATTTTTTTTATATTTTCAGTAGAGATGGGGTTTCACTGGGTTAGCCAGGTTGGTCTGGATCTCCTGACCTCGTGATTCGCCCACCTTGGCCTCTCAAAGTGCTGGGATTACAGGCGTGAGCCACCATACCCGGCCCAAAATGTATTTCTTAAATAATAAGACTTGAATGTCAAAATTACTCCTTGATCCATGGGCTGTAGAATGCATGTTGTATTAGCAGGCATGAAAACAGTATTCATCTCCTTGTACATCTCCATCAGAGCTTTTGTTGACCAGGTGCACTGTCAATGAGCAGTAATATTTTGAAAAGAACCTTTTTTACGCCAGGCGCAGTAGCTCATGCCTGTAATCCCAGCACTTTGGGAGGCTGAGGTGGATGAATCACGAGGTCAGGAGTTTGAGACTAGTCTGGCCAACATAGCAAAAACCCGTCTTTACTAAAAATACAAAAATTAGCTGGGCATGGTGGTGGGAGCCTGTAATCCCAGCTACTCAGGAGGCTGAGGCAGGAGAATCATATGAACCTGGGAGGCGGAAGTTGCAGTGAGCCGAGATTGTGCCATTGCACTCCAGCCTGGGTGACAAGAGCAAGACTCCGTCTCATAAAAATAAAAAAAATTTAAAGAACTTTTTTTCTTCTGGGCAGTAGGTCTCAATAGTAATATTCAATAAACCATGCTGTAAAGAGATGCTGTGATCCAGGCTTTATTATTCCATTTCTAGAGCACAGGCAGAGTAGGTGTAGCTTAATTCTGAAGGGCCCTAGGATTTTTCAGAATGGTAAATGAGCAATGGCTTCAACTCCAAGTCGCCAGCTGCATTATGCCTTAACAATAACGAGAGTCAGCGTGCATTTGGAAGCTTCGAAGACAGACACTGACTTCTCTTTAGCTATCCAAGTCCTAGATTGTATCTTCTTCCAAGAGAAGGCTGTTTGCCTACACTGAAAATCTGTTGTGTAGTGCCATCACCTTCATTGATTGTCTTAGCTAGATCTTCTGGATAACTTGCTGCAGCTTCCAACAAAGCATTTGCTGCTTCACCTTGCACTTTTGTGTTATGGAGATGAATTCTTTCCTTAAACATCATGAACCAACCTCCGCTAGCTTCCAACTTTTCTTCTGTAGCTTCCCCACCTCCCTAAGCCTTCATAGAATTGAAGAGAGTCAGGGCCTTGGCTTGAGAGGATTAAGCCCCAATTAAGAGAATTAGGCTTTGGCTTAAGAAAATGTTGTCGCTGGTTTGATCTGCTATCCAGACCATCGAAACTTTCTCCCTATCAGAAATAAGGCTTTTTTTAAATCACTCATGTGTTCACTGGAGCAGCACTTTTCATTTCCTTCGTGAACTTGTCCTTTCCATTCACAACTTGGCTAACTGGTGCAAAAAAGTCTAGCTTTTAACCTATCTCAGCTTTTAACGTGCCTTCCTCGCTGAGCTTAATCATTTCTAGCTTTTGACTTAAAGTGAGAGACATGTGACTGCTCCTTTCACTTGATTACTTAAACAGGCCATTGTAGGATTATTAATTCACCTAATTTCAGTATTGCTGTGTCTCAAGAAATAGGGAAACCCAAAGACAGGAAGAGATGGGAAACAGCTGTTTGGTGGAGTAGTCAGAACACACACAATATTTATCAATTAAGTCGGCCATCTTATATGGGTCATAGTTTGTGGTGTCCCCAAACAATGGCAATAGTAACATCAAAGCTCCCTGACTGCACATCAACATATCAGACATAATAATAGTGAAAAATTAGAAATGTTGTGGGAATTACCAACATATGACAAAGAGACATGAAGTGAGCACCTGCAGTTGGAAAAATGTTGCTGACACACTTGTTTGACTCAAGGTTGCCATAAACTTCAATTTGTGAAAAAGCACAATATCTGTAAAGCATAATAAAGTAAAGCTCAATGCAACAAAGTATCCCTGTATAAAAATCAGTTGTCTTTCTATATGTTTGCAATAAATGATCTGAAAGTGAAAGTAAAAAAAAATCCATTTATAGTAGCATCAAAAAGAGAATAAAATGCTTAGGAATAAATTTCGCAAAAGAAACACAAAACTTGTGCCTAAAAACCATAAAACACTGCTGAAAGACACTAAACTAAACGGAAGGATGTCCAATGTTCATGGAGTGGACGACTTAATATTTTTAAGATGGCAGTAGTCACAAAGTGGATTTACACATTCAAGGTAACGCCTATCAAAATTCCAGCTCTTTCTTTTTTTTTGAGACAGGGTCTCACTCTGTCACCCAGGCTGGAGTGTAATGTCACAACCTCGGCTCACTGCAACCTCCAATTCCCAGGCTCAACTGATCCTCCTGTCACAGCCTCCTGAGTGATGGAGACTACAGGAATGCACCACCATGCTTGGCTAATCTTTAAATTTTTTCTTGTAGAGATGAGGTCTCATTATGTTGCCCAGGCTGTTCTCAAATTATTAGGCTCAAGTGATCCTCCCACCTTGGCCTCCCAAAGTGTTAGAATTACAGGCAAGAGCCACTGTGCCTAGACCCAGCAGGCTTCTTTGCAGAAATTGACAAGTTGATTCTAAGATTCATATGAAAATGCAAGTGACCCCAAATAACCAAAATAATTTTGAAAAAGAAAAACAAGGTTGGAGGAGTCTCACTTCCCAATTTCAAAACTAAATACAAAGCTACATTGACCAGAACTGGTAGTGGCATAAGGATAAACATACAGATCACTACAGCCTAGAAAGGAACCCTCATATTATGATCAACTGATTTTTGACAAGAGTGACAAGACAAATCAATGGCAAAATAACAGTGTTTCAACAAATGGTACTGAGACGATCGGATATCCACATGCAAAAGAGCAAAGTTTGATCCCTACCTCACCATATGCAAAAATTAACTGAAAATAAATCAAAGACCAAAATGTAAAAGCTAAAACTATAAAACCTCTTAAAAGAAAACATAGGGGTAAACCTTTATGACCTTGGATTAGGGAATGGTTTCTTAGGTATGATGCCAAAAGCACAAATAACAAAAGAAAAATCAATAAATTGGATTTCATCAAATGTAAAACTTCTGTGCCTCTAAAGACATTACCAAGAAAGTGAAAAGAGGCTGGGCACAATGGCTCATGCCTGTAATCCCAGCACTTTGGTAGGCTGAGGTGGGTGGATCACCTGAGGTCAGGAGTTCGGGACCAGCCTGGCCAATATGGCGAAACCCTGTCTCTACTAAAAATATAAAAACTAGCTGGGTGTGGTGGCACACACAACTGTGATCCCAGCTACTCAGGAGTCTGAGGCAGAAGAATGGCTTGAACCTGGGAGGCAGAGGTTTCAGTGAGCTGAGATCACACCACTGCACCCCACCCTGGGCAACAGGGTAAGACTCTGTCTCAAAAAAAAAAAAAAAGTGAAAAGACAACCTGCAGAATGGAAGTTTTGTTAAGGTACTCCAGAACATATAAAGCCCTCTTAAAACTCATTAAATGAAAAGACAATTAGCCAGGCACAGAAAGACAAACAGCTCATGTTCTCATGTATATGTGGGATATAAACATAAAAGCAATTTAACTCTTGGACATAGATAGTAGAAGGATGGTTGCCAGAGTCCTGGAGGGGTAGTGGGGCTGGAAACGGTATGGTTAATGGGTACCAAAAAAACCAGGAGGAATGAATTAAGACCTATTATATGATAGCACAACAGGGATGCGTACAGTCAATAACTTAATTGTTCATTTAAAAGTAATTAAAGAAGTATAATCGGATTGTTTGTAACACAAATGATAAATGCTTTAGGTGATGGATACCCCATTTTCCATAATGAGATTATTACACTTAACATGCCTGTATCAAAACATCTCATGTGCCCCACTCCATAAATACATACATACATACATATATATATGTGTGTGTGTATATATATATCCCCACAAAAATTAAAAAATTTAACAAAAGTAACTGAATTAGAATATGGGCAAAGGATCTGAATAGATATTTCTCCAAAGATACAAATTGCCAATAGGCACATAAAAGATGCTCAATGCCAATACTTATTAGAGAAATGCAAATCAAAACCACAATGAGATACCACCACAACACATCCACTGGGATGACTATCATCAAAAAGATAAATAATGGGGCCGGGCGCAGTTGCTCATACCTGTAATCCCAGCACTTTGGGGGGCTGAGGCAGGCAGATCACATGAGGTCAGGAGTTTGAGACCAGCCTGGCCAACATGGTGAAACCTCGTCTCCACTAAACATACAAAAAAATTAGTCGGGTGTGGTGGCACATGCCTGTAGTCCCAGCTACTCAGGAGACTGAGGCAGGAGAATCGCTTGAACCTGGGAGGTGGAGGTTGCAGTGAGCCAAGATCATGCCACTGCACTCCAGCCTGGGCAACAGAGCAAGACCCTGTCTCAAAAAAAAAAATGATGCTAAGTGTTAGAAAGGATGCAGCCACTTTGGAAAAGAGTTTGGCCACTCCTCAAAATGTTAAAAATAGAGTTACCCTATTAACCAGCAATTCTACTTCTAGGTACATAGGCAAGAATAAAAATGTTTAGCTGCACAAAAACTTGTATATGAATGTTCATAGAAGCATTATTCACAATAGCCAAAAAGAGGGGAAAAAAAACTCCAAATGGCCATCAGCTGATAATTGGATAAATAAAATATGGGACATCCATACAATGGAATATTATTCGGCCATAAAAAGAACGAAAGCAAGTACTGGTATATGCTAGAGCACAGATGAATATCAAAACATGGTTAAGTAAAAGAAGCCAGGAACAAAAAACTAATATTTTATTTGATTTCATTGATATGAAATGTTAAGAATGGCCAAATCTATAGAGACAGAAGGGGGAATCATGGTTGCCAAGGGTTGGGGTTGGGATGAATGAGGAGTGACTGCTAACAGGTAAGAGGTTTCTTTTTCTTTTCTTTTCTTTTTTTTTTTTTTTTGAGACAGTCTTGTTGCCCTGTCACCCAGGCTAGAGTGCAGTGCAACAATCTCAGCTCACTGCAACCTCCACCTCCCGGGTTCAAGCGATTCTCTTGCCTCAGCCTCCCGAGTAGCTGGGATTACAGGCGCCCACCACTGTGCCTGGCTAGTTTTTGTATTTTTAGTAGAGACAGGGTTTCACTAGCTTAGCTAGGCTGGTCTGGAACTCCTGACCTCGTGATCCACCTGCCTCAGCCTCCCAAACTGCTGGTATTACAGGCATGAGCCACTGCGCTTGGCTGCTTTCTTTTTTTTTTTTTTTTAGATGGAGTCTTGCTGTGTTGCCCAGGCTGGAGTGCAGTGGCATGATCTTGGCTCACTGCAAACTCTGCTTCCTGGGTTCAAGTGATTCTCCTGCCTTGGCCTCCCGAGTAGCTGGGATAACAGGTGCCCACCACTATGCTCAGCTAATTTTTTTGTACTTTTTTTTTTTAGTAGAGATGGGGTTTCGCCATGTTGGTCAGGCTGTTATTGAACTCCTGACCTCAAGTGATCTCCCCATTTCGGCCTCCCAAAGGGTTGGGATTACAAGCATGAGCCACCATGCCCAGCCAGTATGAGGTTTCTTTCTGAGCTGATGAAAATATTCTGGAATTAGGGTATTGGCTGCACGACTTGGTGAATACACTAATAGTCATTTAACTGTTAAAAGAAAAGCAAAAACAAAGTTGATAGTGAAAAGTAGGTCTTTCTCCCGTCCACATCCACCTGTCATCCAGCTGCCTAGCCTGGAGGTAAAGATGGCCTTGGGCATCCTCCCAGAGATATTAATGCATTTACAAGCATCTATAGACATGCACTGCTTTCATTTTTTTTTTTTTTTTTTTTTTTAGTCTTGCACTGTCACCTGGACTTGAGTGCAGTCGTGCAATCTTGGCTCACTGCAACCTTTGCCTCCCAGATTCAAATGATTCTCCTGCCTCTGATTCTCGTACCCTGAGTAGCTGGGACTACAGGGGCCTGCCACCATGCCCGGCTAATTTTCTGTATTTTAGTAAAGACGGGGTTTCCCCATGTTGGCCAGCCTTGTCTCAAACTCCTGAGCTCAGGTAATACGCCCGCCTCTGTTGGGGTGATCAGACCCAACACCAGGTCGTGGGGGCGACGAAGTCCAGTGGAGTCATAGGTATGAGAAAAAGACAGTTTGAGAGAGAAAGTGGGACCAGGGGGCCATCACGAGTGTGGAGGCTGCAAAGGCCCTGAGCTCTGGGAGCCCATGCTATTTATTGGTGCTCAAACAAACAAACAGGTGGTGAGGATGTGGGGATTGAAAGGAAACAGTGTATCAAATGAATAAGAAACATATGGCTGCTTGAGATAACATGAGTGCTAGAAGCAAGGAGCCAGCAAGTCTAGCAGACATGCAAGCCTCAGCTTCTCTCCCAACACTCAGCTTTTCTCCCAACACACCTCAGCCTCTCAAAGCGCTGGGATTACAGGCATGAGCCACCATGCCTGGCCCCATTTTTTTTTTTTCAAATACAAATGATAGGCTATTACAGACTGCATCCTGTGTTTTGCAAACTTATGGCAAGTTTTAAAGAAGACAAAGATCATCTTTATTCGTGGTGGGAGGGACAGGGCTTCAGTGGGGAAAAGAGGGCTATTTAAAGACACAGAGACATGTTCAAACAGAGTGGCCTGTTCAGAGAAGGGCAGGAACCTGCCATGCCTTGGAGCAGAGGAGGTGACTGGGGAGATGTGAGGTGAGGAGGCAGGCAGGGGCCAGCCTGTGGAGGGAGGTGCAGGGGACCACATCTGAGGGTGGCAGCTTAATGCTGAAGGAGAGTCCCTGAGGATGTCAACTGAGGAGGGGCATGAAGTGATCACTTAGGACTAGATGGCAACTGGTGGTAGACAGACCAGTCCAGGAAAGGGAGGAGGCTGATTCCAGCGAGGTTAGGGAAATAGAATTCACAGGGTCATAGCGGACTGTGGTGGCATGCACCTGTAGTCCCAGCTACTCGGGAGATTGAGGTGGGAAGATCAGTTGAACCCAGGAGTTCGAGGCTGCAATGAGCTATGATGGAACCAATGCACTCCAGCCTGGGCAGCAGAGCAAGAGCCCAACACAATAATAATAGTAAATAAGAAGAAGAAGAAGGAGAAGAAGAAGTCACAGGATCTAATACTGAGCATGGCTTCTCCCAGAGTTCTGGCCAGGGTGACTTAGGGGCTGGTTACCGCTCCTGAAATGGGGCATGCAGAGGTGCCCGTGTTTACATGAGAAGTGAAGATTATTAGGTGCCCAAAGGGAGGCCTGACGTTGGATGACAGGCCCAGGCCAGAGGCAAAAATTTGGAACTGCCAGCCCCAAATGGCCTAGATGAGGTTACTCTGGAGTGTGGATGGGACAGGGATACAGGGAGAGCCCCAGAAGGTTAAATCCTCGAAGAGTACAGCTATTGAAGTGGTTAAAGGACCTGGAGGGTTCTATGATCAATAACTAGCTACCAGCTCCTATCCAGCACTGCTTTTATACCATCATCTTTAAACATGTGCTTGTCTCTGCTCTGCAAGAGAGATTTCCTGTTATATGGATGGGATAGAGAAGTGGACACGTGATATTCAAAGTCACGGCTGGCAAATGATGATGTCAGAATTCAAATCCAGATCTGACTCCAAGATTGGCGATTTGTCGGTTTGGTTTTCTCTGCTCCTCTAAGCAGGAACCCAAGAGAAAATTCGGGAGACTGTGAAAAGAAAAGCAGTGTCTATACTCTGGGAGTCTGCTCCTATACCCATGGGGTGTCCTGGTCCACAGTGGCGGCTCCTCAGTAGGGATGGCAGGAATGCTCCCAGCCAGACTTCTGAGCCCTCCTTGTACCTGCACTGGGACAAGACTGTGTTCTTAGAGCGATGGCCCTTATCTGCTGATGTGTGCTCTGTGAGGTTGCCTGGTCCCACATCTCAGGGCCAGACTTGCTCTCCTAAGTCCTCAATTACCAAGGGGCTCCCCGAAAAGCAAAGCTGTTTCCCAGGGTAGGACTGCAGTCATTCCTCCCACAGCCCTAGGTTCTCTCCCTTCCTATGTACCCATGGATAATTTCATGGGTTTCTCTTTTTCTTTCCTTTTTTTTTCCTTTGGTAGAGATGAGGTCTTACTATTTTGCCCTGGCTGGACTCAAACTCCTGGGCTCAAGTGATCCTCCTGCCTCTGCCTCTCCAAGTGCTGGGATTACAGGTGTGAGCTACCGCACCCAGCTGGTTTCTCTTTTCTTGTTATGCTGGAAGACAGTGTAATGTCACAGGGTTCCCCTCTTCTCCTACTTCTAAAGCAATTCCAAGACACTTTTCAGGCTTTACAGAATAAGCATGGGGTTTGGAGTTCGACATCAGAGTCCAAGTTTCCACTCAACGCTGACAAGCTCCAAGGAAGTTACTTGATCTTTCTGGGCCAATTTACTCCTCTCCACTCTGGGCTGAGCTGCTGTGCAGATGAAATGAGATAATGTAAGTGAAGTTTCTGGCATGCAGCTGGAGCTGAGGGATGTTCTTCTTCTTGTCCTCCTTCATCTGCTCAAAGGGCTGCGCCAAGAGTCTGCTGTGTTTCAGGAAATTTCTCTGAGTGAGTCTCTATTTCTTACTAGCAGTGAACCACAGCAGGCCTTTCCCAGCTCCTGCCCCCAGTACTGTTCCCTCTAGGTCCTTGTAGGTGGTCCAGGAAAGGAGGCAGGGGACAAGGCCAAAGAACAGCAGCAAAGCAGGGAGAGGCCTATTCCGTCCCCCAGTGAGGAGAGATCTCGGTGACCTCCGGCCCACCTGGCTGGAACTTAGAAGGCTCAGGAAATTTATACTTAGAGGGGAACAGGTGAAACAGACATGGAGCTCAGGTTTGTTTGTTTGTTTGTTTTGTTTTTGAGACAGAGTCTCGCTCTGTCACCCAGGCTGAAACAGTCAACATTAGTGATTTTATGCCAAATTCCTTTTATTTATTTATTTTTGAGATGGAGTCTCACTCTGTTGCCCAGGCTGGAGTGCAGTAGTGCAATCTCAGTTCACTGCAACCTCTGCCTTCTGGATTCAAGTGATTCCCCTGCCTCAGCCTCCTGAGTAGCTGGGATGACAGGCATGTCCCACCATGCCCAGCTAATTTTTGTATTTTTAGTAGAGATGGGGTTTCACCATGTTGGCCAGGCTGGTCTCAAACTCCTGACCTCAGGTAATTTGCCTGCCTTGGCCTCCCAAATTGCTGGGATTACAGGCATAAGCCGTCGTGCCCAACTGATTTTTTTTATTTGATTAGTAGTGGTCATGTGCCCTTGTGTGCATGTATGTGTGTATGTGTATGTGAGAGAGTGGAAGGAATATTAGACAGAGTTCAAACACCTGGGTTCTATTACTACCACCCCTTCCAACGGAGTGACCCTGTTCAGTCTATTTCTGATCTCTCAGGGCTGTCCATGAGGCTTTTCTGTGCAGGGGACTGGACAAGCATGTGACCCCATCAGGCTAGGGACAGTTGTTGGAGGTGGTGGGAATACAGTGGCATGAGGGTGGCATATGCCTGGGCATAACAAGGTTCAAGGGAGCCAAAGATTTCAGGACAGGACCAGAAGAGGGTGGAGGGGAGGAGAGGCCGGAGCCTGGAGCTGGGAGCCCCTGCCTTGCCCCTTGGACTCTCTGCAACCCCTCTTGTTGGTAACTGAGAATGGCGATGATGCCCCCAGCACAGGGTGGTGAGGAAGAGTGAGTGAGATCATTGAAATGGTGCTTTGTGGATGTAAAATTCTGTGTAAAATATTATTAGCAAAGGGAGCTGTGACACCATTGGAAGAAAACTTGGGGAGGGACGAGACGTGGAATAGTCCACATCCAGCAACAAACTCCTCAGGGCTCTCAGCTGTTATCAAACTGCATCCTATGCTCCCTCCTCAGAACCACACACAGGAACGTGGGCTTCTTTCGGCCATCTGGTCCTTGGTGTCAGTTTCACTTAAGGAATGACTGTATTAAATTGATGGAACTTTAGTAAACTTAATTAACATCCACCATGCACCCTTCCTTGGCAGCCTGAACCCCAGGTCCAGAGCCCCATGTTCAGGAGCCATGCAGGCAGCTGGGTCCCTGGAGCAGGTCCCCCGGCAGAGACGCCAAATGACAGCTGGGAAGGCCCACCTTGCCTGAGTTCGAGCTGTAAACATCCAAGAAATCTACCAGCGGTTACTGAGAGGATGTTAAAAATAATTATCCACTGAAAATATTAGATTTGCTCTGGATTGTTCATTACATACAATGGCTTCATAGAACTTTTATCGAATTGTAATCGCTCCAGCTTGCCATTGTTTTCAAAGCTCCTAGTATATCACAAACATTTATTTCTGACCACAAAATTACATTTATTCAACAGAAAGCAGCTCTGGGTCTTTCAGAGGTTAACTTCTGGAGTGCTTGGCTGCGCTCCAGCCCGCATTGGAGGGGGCGCACGGGTGCAGTGGCACCAGGCAGTGGTGGCAGCACCGGGTGGGCAGCCATGATTAATAGAGTGCTGAGGGCACCCCTTTCCACAGGTGCATGGCTCCTGCCCCTGCTTCCATAGATCATGGACTTAGCCTCAACATATCTGACTGAAATTGAATTTGGCTTCTCTCTCAGCTGTTCAGTTCCTATATTATACAAGGTTAGATCCCTTTCTCTATGAGCAGAAGAACCAAACCATCTGCAGCTTCGGAGGAGAAAATGTGCTTTCAATTATGCACCTGGCCTGAATGTTGAGCCGCAGTTCGATGGGTCCCTAATTGAGCCATCATGGTGCGAACATACAGGGAGACACTGTGTGCATCAGGCCTGTGGGTTTTGCCCTAAGATAATGACAGTACAGCAGCCACATCACCACGGTGACCACCACAGCTGCCACCACTGTCACCTCCACCACCGCAGAAGGCCCAAGAGCCTGCAGACATACATGCTGGGTGAGAAGGAAGTTACCCAGCAAGGGTCCAGGGCAGCAGGCTGTGTTAGGGTCCCTGGAAAGCCTCCCTGTATCCTCCAGCCAGAATGCATCATCCTGTCCCCAGAGTGCCTGGCCTGCTCCACAGTCACCTGTCTGGCCCCAAACCCAAAGAAGACCCAGACAACCTCTCCCTACTCCCAGCAGGACACTGGCCTATTTTGCTTGTGGGCATCTAGAAACCAAACTAACCGAACTAGTTGCTCACATGCAGCACTCAATAAGTATTCATTTACAAGGAGAAGGCAAGAGGCAGGGGGATGTTCAGCTAAGAATGTTTTACATAACCAGTTCCATAAGGCAAAGAATAGATAAAGCATCTAAGACGAGATACAGGCCCTCAAAGCGTGTGCAATCTCATAGAAGAGTGGGCTGGAAAGAGGGGAAAAGATAACAATGCAATAACAAGAAAACAAGCACCCTGATTAGAAAATGGGCTAAGGTGGCCAGGTGTGGTGGCTCACACCTGTAATCCCAGCACTTTGGGAGGCCAAGGAAGGTGGCTCACTTGAGGTCAGGAGTTCGAGACCAGCCTGGCCAACCTGGTGAAACCCCGTCTCTACTAAAAATACAAAAATTAGCCTGGTGTGGTGGCACACACCTGTAATCCCAGCTACTTGGGAGGCTGAGGTAGGAGAATCACTAAAACCCGGGAGGTGGAGGTTGCAGTGAGCCAAAATTGCGCCACTGCACCTCACCTCTCCAGCCTGGGCAACAGAGCAAGACTCCATCTCAAAAAACAAAAAAGAAAAAAAAATGGAAAATGGATTTCAAAAGGATTTCAAAAGAAGACATATAATGCTTGGCACAGTGGCTCACACCTGTAATCTCAAAAATTTGGGGAGGCCTAGACAGGAGGATCACTTGAGGCCAGGAGTTCAAGGCTACAGTGAGCCATGATCACCCCACTGCCACCACTGTCACCTCCACCACCACAGAAGGCCCAAGAGCCTGCAGACAGACATGCTGGGTGAGAAGGAAGTTCCCCAGCAAGGGTGGCTTACACCTGTAATCTCAAAAACTTGGGGAGGCTGAGACAGGAGGATCACTTGAGGCCAGGATCAAGGCTACAGTGAGCCATGATCACACCACTGCACTCCAGCCTGCACAGCAGAGCGAGACCCTGTCTCTCTCTTAAAAAAAAAAAAAAAAGACACGCAACACACAAACAGCCAACGGATATATGAAAAGCTGCTCAACATCATTAATCATCTGGGAAATTCTACCCAAAACCATGATGAGCTATCACCTGATACCTGTTAGAAGGGCTATTACCAAAAAGACACATGAGTACTAGTGAGATGTGGAGAAAAGGGCACCCTTGCACATTGCTGGGGGGAAGGAGATTGGTACAGCCATTATGGGAAACAGTACGGAGGTTCCCCCCAAAATTAAAACGATCCAGCAATACCACAAAGGGACTTAAATCAGTATCGTGAAGAGTTTTCTGCACACCCACATACATTGCGGCACTATTTACAATAGCCAGATATGGAAACAGCCTAAGCGTCCAGCAACAAATAAACGGGTAATGAAACTGATTTTATATACACACGGTCATTCCTTGGTACACTTGGGGGATTGGTGCTAGCACCCCCTGCATATACCAAAATCTGCACATACTCCAGGTCCCCCAGTAAAGGGTAAATGTTTTACTTATACAATAAAAGTAAGTTTGGGGTACCTAAGGTACAGCATGGTGACTATAGTTAATAATCTTGTGATCATATATATGACATTTGCTAAGGCAGTAGATCTCAAGTGTTCTCAACACACACACACACACACACACACACACACAGACATGCAGTGACTGTGAGCTAATAGGTATGTTGTCAGTCTGATTGTGGAAATCACTTCATAATGCATGCATGTATCAAAACATCGCATTGCGCTGGGTGTGGTGGCTCACAACTGTAATCCCAGCAGTTTGGGAAGCCGAGGTGGGAAGATCGCTTGAGGTCAGGAGTTCAAGACCAGCCTGGCCAACATGGCAAAACCTCGTCTCTACTAAAAATACAAAACTTAGCCAGGCGTGTTGGCATGCACCCATAGTCCCTGCTAATCAGGAGGCTGAGGCTTGAACATGGGAGGTGGAGGTTGCAGTGAGCTGAGATTGTGCTGCTAGAGTTCAAGACCAGCCTGGGCAATGTAGCCAGACTTTGGCATTACTAAAATTAAAAAAATATAAAATTAGCTGGGCCAGGCGCCTATAGTCCCAACTACTTGGGAGGCTGAAGCAGGAAGATCACTTTAGCCCGGGAGGTGGAGGCTGCAATGAACCCTGATTGTGCCACTGCACTCTAGCCTGGGTGACAGGGAGATCCTGTATCAAAAAATAAAAACCCAAAACCATCACATTATGCACCATAAATATGTACAACTTTTCTTTTTAAATGATACTTTAATAAAGCTGAGGATAAAAAAAGAGGGAAAAAGTTAGAAATAGGTTGAGATGGTCAGGAAAATGGTCAAAGGAGACAGACTTTCGGTTCAGCTCTAAAGGATGGAAATGAGTTTTATAGGTAGGGAACAGCAAAAGGCTCTTAACAATAACAGAGGCTTCAGGAAATCAAAAAGTATGTTCAGGTGACTCATAATACACAGGCCAGTTCAGCCAGAGTAGAAGCCCAGGAATTTGAAGCTGGAAAAATATTTCAAAGGCAAGTCATGGAGCTCCTAACATACCAATCTAAGAAGCTTGAGTGGGCAGAACTAGTCACAGAACTTGATACCAGCAAAAAGAGCTCTTTCAGGGAACCAAGCCCAGTGGTTCCTATAACTAGCAGTGCATGAGCATCAGAGGTGGGCTTTGAAGAAGTACAGGTTCTAAGATTCCACCCCAGGCCTTCTACACCAGAATGTCAGGGTAGGAGCTGTATTTCTGGAAACACGTGAGCAATTTTCATAGGGCCAGTGCAGCACTGGTCTGATGCAGCAGCAGCTTTGGGAGCCACTGATCTAGTCCAACCTTCTCTAATCCTATTTCACCCATGACACTTAATGCAGTACTAGCTAAGTACTGTCAAGATGGGGATGGAAATAGGTGCAAAGACACATACACATACACACACACTCACACACACATTCACACACACACTCACACACACACACACACATACCCTCCCTTCTACATGTTAGAAGCATAAGGCCTTGGTAAGTAACTATAGGGGCAGAATGTCTTCAGGCTCAAAACCAAAAGGGAGAGGGAGTGCTGAATCCTAACCACTAGGCAGATCACTTGAGATCAGGAGTTTGAGACCAGCCTGGCCAACATGGTGAAACCCTGTCTCTACTAAAAATACAAAAAATTAGCCAGGCGTGGTGGTGTGCACCTGTAGTCCCAGCTACTTGAGAGGCTGAGGCAGGAGAATTGCTTGAACTCAGGGGCTGGAGGTTGCAGTAAGCCGAGATCATGCCACTGCCACTGTACTCCAGCCTGAGTGACAGAATGAGACTCTGTCTAAAAAAAAAAAAAAAAAAAAAAATTAAAAGGGAGGTATAAATGAAGCTGTCTCAGAGATCAGAAGAGGAAGAATCTGTTTCTGGCTATTTTGGGAAGACTTGGAGGATCTGGCATTTAGAAGGATGGATAAGGCAGGGCATGGTGGCTCACACTTGTAATCCCAGCACTTCAGGAGGCCAAGGCAGGTGGATCACTTGAGGCCAGGAGTTCAAGACCAGCCTGAACAACATGGTGAAACCCCATCTCTACTAAAAATACAAAATTAGCCGGATGTGGTGGCACACACCTGAAATCCCAGCTACTGGGGAGGCTAAGGCAGGAGAATCACTTGAACCCAGGAAGCAGAAGTTGCAGTGAGCTGAGACTGCACCACTGCACTCCAGCCTGGGTGACAGAGAGAGAGAGACTCTGTCTCAAAAAAAAAAAATAGATAAGAGGTGACAATCTCCCTGGCAGGTGGTCATCCAAGCAATTCTCCTGTTTCAGCCTCCCAGGTAGCTGGGACTACAGGCACCCACCACCACACCTGGCTAATTTTTTTTTTTTTTTTGTATTTTTAGTAGAGACGGGGTTTTACTATGTTGACCAGGCTGGTCTTGAACTCCTGACCTTGTGACCCACCCACCTCAGCCTCCCAAAGTGCTGGGATTACAGGCATGAGCTACCGTGCCTGGTCAGCTTACCCTATTTTTGAACATATCTACATTGCTGGAAAACATCCTCTTTGGTTCTGCTGGTGATAGTCAACCAAAGTACTGCTCCAGTGAGTCTCATGAGGTTTCAGAGCTATGGAGCTCCTTGGGGGAGGATCTGGGTAACCCACTTGTTTTACAGATGAGAAAATTCTGGCAGAAAGAGGCCCCAAGACTCACCCAAGGTCACAGAGGTGGTGGGCAGCAGCGCCTGGACCAGCTTCCTGTGAAATGCTCTTTGGAGTGAACCACATGGACACCTTGGCTTTATTCAGCAATATGCTTTAAATCTGAATGCTTAAATATGTTACTGCTCAGCAGATATGGGCTGCAAGATGGGAAGCAGACTTGTAGTTACTTTTAACTCAGTCATACACTGTTGTAGTTCACCCAACTTTCTCTATTTCCCCTATTATTTGATTAGACTCTGTCGAATCATCCTGCCAGTGCCCATGGGGTATTTGCTTTCTACTGTACCTGTTTGAAAGGGTCTAGTTCAAAGGGGAGACCAAAGGGTCTCCTTCAAAGAGACCTAAGGGTTCTGCCTACAAGGCCCTGTCATGACCCGGGCCTACTAACTTCCTTGGTATTGCTCCCTGACAGGCAAGCCCATCCCTGCAGAGCCCTGGCACTCGCTGCCCCCATCTTCCTGACGCTCTTGCCCAGCTCTGAGTGTGGTTGGTTCTCCTTGCTTCTTCCCTCTGATGTTCTGTTGTCCTCCCTGGAGAGGCCTCCCTGGATGACTGAAGAAGCCGCTACCATCTCTTCCCACTCTACCCCGAGACCTAGCATGTCTCCCTCACAGCACCTGGCACCATCTAACATTGCCTTTTGTGTTTATCATCAGTTTTCCTTCATTAGAATAGCAGGGTCCTATTCGATTGTATTCAACGTGACATCTTTAGCTACTGTTTGGCCCATAGCTGGAAGAAGGAGGCTCCCGAAAAGTTTGTGTTGAATGAAGACCAGAGAGTAAAACCCAGCCTCTGAGAGCACGTCCTGCATGCAGCTCTGAATGTGGCCCAGCACACTGCATGTAAGGGAGACATTCAGCACAAAGGGAAATTTCAGATCATTCCTTGGTCCCTCCCTCAGGCCATGCCAGCAGGTGATACTGTGATGAAATTCACAGTTAACCTGGGTCCCACTCCTTCCAACGATGCAGATCTTGGTTGTAGCAAAATGCATGGACACAGTTATGGATGTCCACATGAGACAATGCACCAAGCTCCAGAATTTATCTAGGAGGGGCTGGTTAGAAGGGAAGGGGGCTTCAGGGAGGGTTTGCAGAGCACTGTGCACAAGATGAACATCAATCTTTTTTTTTTTTAATAGAGACAGGGTCTCACTCTGTTGCCCAGGCTGGAGTGCAATAGTGTGATCATAGCTCACTGTAGCCTCAACCCCCTGGGCTCAAATGATCTTCCCACCTCAGCCTCCCAAGCAGCTGGGACTACAGGTGTGTGATACCACGCTTGGCTAATTTTTGCATTTTTTGGTAGAGACGGGGTTTCACTATGTTGCCCAGGCTGGTCTGGAGGTCCTGGGCTCAAGTGATCCACCTGCCTCAGCCTCTCAAATTGCCAATCAAAGACTGGAGAGGTTGGCTGAGATCAGGGAGGGGCTGAAGGCATTGCTTCCTCCCCACTCAAGCAGTATCAGAGCACATCAACGTTAGCACTTCTGGGATGCCAGATGGCCCCAGAATCGAGGCCCACTCCTGCCATTATGACCTGTGTGACTTGGGGTCCTCTCTCAGGCTTAGTCCTTTTATCTGTAAGATAAGGATGATGCTTCCATCCACCCACCCAATAAACACTTATTTAATGCTTATGAGGGAGAGGCACTGGGTATACAGAGCTCATAACATTCAGTAAATAAATCCATATGCTTTTCTGTTATTAATCTTTTGTTACAACAAAGTGTTATCATCATATTCTTTCTCCTGTTGATGGCTGCCTGGGTTGTCTTCATATGTTAACTATTTTCAAAATTTCTCAACTGGTTTTCCAGGGCAAACCAGTTTAAGTTTATTTATCTCTTTAATTTTCTTTTGAAATAGGATCTGGCTCTGTCCCTCAGGCTGGGGTGCAGTGGTGCCATCAAAGCTAACTGCATTAGCCTCCAACTCCCAGGCTCAAGTGATCCTCCTGCCTCAGCCTCCCGAGTAGCTGGGACTACAGGTATGTGCCACCAAGCTTGGGTAACTTTTAATTTTTTTTGTACAGATGGAGGTCTTACTATGTTGCTCAGCTGGTCTTGAACTTCTGGGCTCAAGCGCTGTCCCCACCTCTGCCTCTCAAAGTACTAGGATTACAGGCATGAGCCACCATGCCCCACATGCCTAAGTTTCTTTAGTGTATATATTTAAGAGTGAAATTGCCGCTTCAGGGTACAGGTGAGTCTTTAACTTTATCATCAGATGCAAAATTGGCTTTCAAAAAGGTTAAATCGACTTACGCTCCTATCATTTTTTTTTTTTTTTTTTTGAGACGGAGTCTCCCTTTGTCGCCCAGGCTGGAGTGCAGTGGCATGATCTCAGCTCACTGCAAGTTCTCCCTCCCGGGTTCACGCCATTCTCCTGCCTCAGCCTCCCGAGTAGCTGGGACTACAGACCCCCACCACCACGCCTGGCTAATTTTTTTTTTTTTTAATGTTTAGTAGAGATGGGGTTTCACTGTGTTAGCCAGGATGGTCTCGATCTCCTGACCTGGTGATCCACCCACCTCGGCCTCCCAAAGTGCTAGGATTACAGGCGTGAGCCACCACGCCCGGCCTACACTCCTGTCTTAACTTTTTAATTTTAGTGAACTTGGTAGGGAGGAATCACTTGCAAATTAGTTATTTTAATCTGCATATCCCTGGCTATTATGGAGCCTAAACGTCTTTTCATATAGCTACTGACCATTCCGATGTTCTCTTCTGACAATTATGCTCATGACTTGTACTCATTTTTTTATTGTTTTGTTTCCCCCATTGATATGCGAGCATTTTGAATATCTTGTGAACATTAATTGTTAATTACAGGTGTGACAACTACCTCCTCCAGATTTGTAAATCATGGCCAAGGTACAACTGTGGAATGCACAGCCCTAGAGGGCACCCTTCACATCCTGGATGTTTGAATCTTTATCACGGCAAACATGGAGGTAAGTATGAATCTTTATTATGGCAAGTTTCCAACAGGTGATGTGAAATGTCTTGAAAAAGGCAGACCTTTTTTCTACTTCACATGAATATACCATGGAGTTAGCAGTGCACTGTCTTGTCTTTCCACATTTTTTTTTTTGAGATGGAATCTCACTCTGTTGCCCAGGCTGGAGTGCAGTGCCATGATCTCGGCTCACTGCAGCCTCCATCTCCCAGGTTCTAGCGATTCTCGTGCCTCAGCCTCCTGAGTAGCTGAGAATACAGGCATGTGCCACCGCGCCCAGCTAAATGTTGTATTTTCAATAGAGACAGGGTTTCACCATGTTGCCCAGGCTGGTCTCAAACTCCTGACCTCAAGTGATCTGCCCACCTCAGTCTCCCAAAGTGCTGAGACTACAGACGTGAGCCACCACACCCAGCCATCTTTCCACTTTCTTTAGGGTATCTTTCCATGAAAAAAAAAGGCTCCTACTTTAAAATTTTAATGTAGTTCACTGCAACAATCTCTTCTTTTATGGTTTTCTGTTTAAAAAATTCTACCCAGCCCAGGGCCGGGTGCTGTGGCTCACACTTGTAATCCCAGCACTTTGGGAGGCCAAGGCGGGTGGATCACTTGAGGTCAGGAGTTCGAGACCAGCCTGATCAACATGGAGAAACCCCATCTCTACTAAAAATACAAAATTAGCTGGGTGTGGTGGCACATGCCTGTAATCCCAGCTACTTGGGAGGCTGAGGCAGGAGAATCATTTGAACCCAGGAGGCGGAGGTTGCAGTGAGCTGAGATCATGCCGTTGCACTCCAGCCTGGGCAACAAGAGCAAAACTCCATCTCAAAAAAAAAACAATTAAAAAATAAATAAAAGAAATTCTACCCAGCCAAAAGTCATCATCTTTTATATTTTCTTCTAAAAAGTTTAAAGCTTTGTCCTAAGACTTTCCTTGTAATTTGTGTTTCCACACAGTGTAAGGTAGGGCTCCAACTCTAGTTAATTGTTTTTCTGTCTGTTTGCTTGAGACAGGATCTTGCTCTGTCAGCCAGGCTGTAGTGCAGTGGCACGTGATCACAGCTCACTGCAGCCCCCAGCTCGTGGGCTCAAGCAATCATCCCACCTCAGCCTCCCAAGTGGCTGGGACTACAGGCATGTGCCATCAAACCCAGCTAATTTTTGTAATTTTTTGTACAGACAGTGTTTCGCCATGTTGCCCAGGTTAGTCTCTAACTCATGAGCTCAAGGAAACTGCCTGCTTCAGCCTTCCAAAGTGCTGGGATTACAGATAGGAGCCAATGTACCTGGCCTTAACTTCATTTAATCTATAAGGATTTGACAATTGTCAGGGGACCATGAAAAGTGCCCTCTTTCATCACTGATCCATACAATCTTTGCAATATATTCAGCTTCTATATATATTCATAGGTCAGATACTGGTTTCTTTTCTTTTTCTTTTCTTTTTTTTTTTTTTTTTGGAGACAGAGCCTCACTCTGTGACCCAGGCTGGACTGCAGTGGTGCGATCTTGGCTCACTGAAACTTCTGCTTCCTGGGTTCAAGCAATTCTCCTGCCTCAGCCTCCCAAGTACCTGGGACTACAGGAGCAAGTGACTGCATCAGGCTAATTTTTGTATTTTTAGTAGAGATGAAGTTTCACCATATTGATCAGGTTGGTATGGAACTCCTGACCTCAAGTGATCCTCCTGCCTTGGCCTCCTGGGATTACAGGTATGAGCCATCATGCTCTGCCAGATTCTGATTTTTTTTATTATGTTCCTTTGGTGTATTTATCTCACTTTGTGCCAACTACTGTAGCTTTAATAATCTGGTAGGGCAATTCCTCCAACTTGTACTGGTTCAATATTATCTTCACTTTTTTGTTTGTTTGTTTGTTTTGCTGGCTATCTCCAGTAGTATCCTTTTTAAAAATTACATTCTAAGTTTGCTGCTGATACAGAGGTATATAATTACTTTTGTATATTGATTTTGTATCTAGTAAACTGGTTAAATAATTGAGGCTCACTTGAAAAATGACAGTTTGATTTCTTCTGTTGCTGGGACTACAGGCAGGAGCCATCATACCAGCCTACTGTACTTTTATAAAGCTGATGCTTAGTTCATAGATTGCTAGTCTTTCATTTCTTCTCTGAGTACTCATGTTATTTCTTAAGAGGATTTTCTTCTCTGAGGACACTTTCTCCCCTACTACCAAGAGGTTCTCTGAGCCAGCTCCTCATCCCCTCAACCTTCCACACCATGACCCTTCTTAGGGAGAGAAGTAAGGATTGGCCAAACAAGGTAGGAAGACAGCATTTTCCTAGAGGGTGTGTGTATTACTTTGCTGAATGGATTGTCTAAATTATTGTTGGACTAGAATAAGCTTTAAATTGGACTGAATATTAAGGGTACACCTCCTCCACACCACCCATCAATTTGTTGGGCTTGTGAAACACCCAAAATTAGGTATCATAATCAATCAACTGATCATAAATAGCTCTAATTTCTGTGTGAGTTGCATTTTATGATTTTGTTATAATAATTATAAGTAATCATTAAATTATAATATCTCAAATTTTGTTTATTTATTTATTTATGTATTTAGGTGGAGTCTCACTCTGTCACCCAGGCTGGAGTGCAGTGGTGTGATCTCAGCTCACTGCAAACTCTACCTCCCGAGTTCAAGTGATTCTCATGCCTCAGCCTCCCGAGTAGCTGGGATTGCAGGCACACACCACCATGCCCAGCTAATTTTTGTATGTTTAGTAGAGACGGGGTTTCACCATGTTGGCCAGGCTGGTCTCGAACCTCTTGACCTCAGGTGATCCACCCACCTTGGCCTCCCAGAGTGCTGGGATTACAGGCTTGAGCCTGAGACGGGGTCTCACTATATTGGCCAGGCTGCTCTCTATCTCCTGGGGTCAAGCGATCCTCCTGCCTTGTCTTCCAAAGTGCTGGGATTACAGGCATGATCACCTTTTTAATAGCAACACATCATAATAAGAGGATGGAAGTAAAATATTTGAAAAACCACTTCCAGGCCAGGCATGATGACTTGAGCCTGGGATGTTGAGACAAGCCTAGGCAACATATTGAAACTGTGTCTCTACCAAAAATAAAAACAAATTAGCCGGAAGTGGTGGTGCACACATATAGTCCCAGCTATGGGGGGGGTGGGGGGGGCGGCACTGGGGAGTGCTAAGTCAAGAGGATTGCTGAGCCCAGGAAGTGGAGGCTGCAGCGAGCCATGATGGCACCATTGCACTGCAGCCTGGGTTACGGAGTGAGACCCTGTCTCAAAAAAAAAAAAAAAAAAAAAACTTTTTAAAATAGAAAATCATAAAACAGATGATGAATTGATAGACAGATCTATAGATAGACAGATTTCCAAATGTAATATGTGAACCTGATTGGACCCCAGTTGCAGGGAGGGCCGTTATAAAAGACATCTTAGGGATAATTGGAAAAATTTGATTTTAGATCAAATAGGAGATGACCTGGAATTACTGTGAATTTTCCCAGGTTTGATATTTGTGATTATTGAGGTAATGTCAGAGAATGTTAATGTTTCCTTAACTTTGGGAGCCTTCCATGTGCATTTGAGGGGCACAGTGCATACTTCTGCAACTTACTTCCAAATGTTCTGCAAAAGTGGTGGGTGGGAAGGGGAGGGGGTAAGGTACATGGGGTAAATGTTAAGGACTGTGGATCTGAGTAAAGAGCATACAGGATGGCCGGGCACGGTGGCTCACAGCTGTAATCCCAGCACTTTGGGACAGATCACTTGAGGTCAGGAGTTAGAGACCAGCCTGACCAATATGATGAAACCCTGTCTCTACTAAAAATACAAAAATCAGCTGGACGTGGTGGCGCATGCCTGTAATCCCAGCTACTTGGGAGGCTGAGGCAGGAAAATCACTTGAACCCGGGTGGCGGAGGTTGCAGTGAGCTGATATCGCACCATTGCACTCCAGCCTGGGCAACAAGAGCAAAACTTTGTCTCAAAAAAAAAAAAAAAGCATACGTGTGTTCACTGCACTAATCTTTCCATTTTTATACAGCTTTGAAATTTTTCAATAAGAAAGAAAAGCAAACACCCCAAAACCACACTGAACTCTTTGAGCTAGAGAACTAGGAAGCCAGTGGGTCTCTCAAAATCTACGGAATAGGTAACAGAACAGGTAAGAACAAATGTGGGTAGGTGTCAGGTAACAGTTTCACTCATCAAGTGCCAGCTTGGAGATGAAGTTCGAGAAAAAGACTGTTCAAGTCCATCCAAGCCCTGGGATGTGGGTGTCCTGCTGGCCGGACCAAGCTACCTGCATGGGGGCTGAATGAGGCAGGAAGAAGATAATAAGAGAGGAGCACTGTTCTACCCTCTAAAATTTCCAGCCATCACCAACCACTGTGTCTTCTTTCTAGGCTGGTCCCTTTTGAGGTCCTGAAATTGCCTCTCTGTCTCTGGCTACAATATCCCCAGCCTCCTTCATTTACTCACTCCCTGCTCTCGCTCCCAGCTGAAGAATTTCCCACATGGAAGCCTGACTGCTTGCCCTGGAGCTCTGGGCCCAGGAACCCAGCCTTCCATATAAGGCCCACATCACCTGTGTCCCAAAGGGAGCCTATTATATCTTGCCACAGTATCTCTCTTGCCCCTTCCCCTATTTGTTCCCTGTGACTTAGTAGTTGCAAGAAAATAAAATCCCTGCCAGGCACGGTGGCTCACATCTGTAATCCCAGCACTTTGGGAGGCCAAGTCGGGAGGATCACCTGAGGTCAGGAGGTTGAGACCAGCCTGGCCAACATGGTGAAACCCCGTTTCTACTAAAAATACAGAGATTAGCTGGGCATGATGGTGTGCACCTGTAATCTCACATACTCAGGAGGCTGAGACAGGAAAATTACTTGAACCCAGAAGGTGGAAGTTGCAGTGAGCCAAGATCACGCCACTGCACTGCCGCCTGGGCGACAATGCAAGACTCTGTCTCAAAAAAAAAAAAAAAAATCCTAAAACTGTACCAATATGGGCTCTTTCAGGGGCTTTGGAAATGTCTCCTTTCCTTTTCTTATCAGCTTGGTATGATTCCCCATTCTGTTTTTCCAACGGAGAAGGTAAAGAGGTGAGATTCAGTAAATCCTCAACAGTATAATTTCTGGTTTACTAAACATCACTCAATCTTTACGCAAAGGGCTGGCAAGAAGTGTCACCCACATGGAGCCCAGTCTCCTCTGTGGCTGCTGTTCCCACTAACAGGTAGCCAGGGCAGATATCCCAGGTGATTTGGCACCCACGTGCCATCTGCCAGATGGCTCCGTCCTTCTCTGGAAGGATCTGTTAGAAACCGCTTCCTTTTACCGAGCTCAGACTTCCTCCTTGTGGTTTCTGCCTGATGCTCTGGGTTTCAAGCCCGCGATCAAGTGGCATCCCTGTGCCCCCGCCAGCCTCTCACCAAAGCACCACACTTACAGCACACACTCATGGCAGTGGCAGTCCCAGACCAGCTCAGGGAACAAGGCAACTTCCTGGAGGGGACGTAAGGGCTCCTAAAGGCTGTGGCACAAACTACCTGCCCATTGCCACCACATGGGGTGCTTCTGCTTGGAATCCACCCACCTCTGTATATTCTGAGCATAGGTTCCTTTTCCAGGAGGGCTTTCACCAAGGACCCAATGGAAAATCACATCACAGAGCACAAAATCTGCACCATGCTAGGTTGGAGCAGCCGGGAAAGCACCATCCGGGCAGGGCAGCACCTTTTGCTTGGAGCATTTCTTTAACATGAATGAAAAGATGGATTAGCCACAAAGGGTGGCTCAGGATAGAAAATGAATAGAAAAGCTTACCTCCATGGAAGCTCTTCAGCAGTGGTGCTACCTGCTTGCGCAAATCCTGGAGCAGGAGGCGGAGGTCAGGAAGCAGCCATTTGAGAAGGAGAAAGAAGGGAAACATTGGTTAAGACCTCCTAAAAACAGCGTGGCAGTCAGTGCTGTTTATCATTATCTAAAGCAAGCCTGGGACCTTGCCTGTTCCTGCACTCCTAAAACATAGATAACGCCAACTGGCGCTCCAGGATTTAAACTTATTTAAGAATATGAGGTGGTTCTTTTTTGTTGTTGTTATTATTGTTTGAGACAGAGTCTCACTCTGTCGACCAGGCTGGACTGCAGTGGCACATTCCCGGCTCACTGCAATCTCTGCCTCCTGGGCTAGAGTCTTCCTCCCGCCTCAGCCTCCCAAGTAGCTGAGACTACAGGCATATGCCACCATGCCTGGCTAACTTTTGTATTTTTTTGTAGAGATGGGGTTTCATCATGTCATCCAGGCGAGGGTCAAACTCCTGGGCTTAAGAGATCTGCCCACCTTAGCATCCCAAAGTTCTGGGATTACAGGCATGAGCCACCCCACCCAGCCTACAAGGACGTTTTATTTCTACTAACTCCTGGTCACATATATCTCATTTTGAACATGCTACAGACTAAAGCTTTTGCTGATGTCAGTCTAAGTGAGAAAATTAATTTGCTTAGAATAAAATAGACAGGAATGGGGGTTTGACTGCTGTTTCTGTCTGAAATGGACCTGGACCACTGTGCTGCATTTTAGCTGCCTTATTTTATTTATTTATTTTTTTTTTTTTTGAGACAGAGTCTCGCTGTGTTGCCCAAGCTGGAGTGCAATGGCGCAATCAGAGCTAACTGCAACCTCTGCCTCCCGGGTTCAAGTGATTCTCTCACCTCAGATTCCTGAGTAGCTGGGACTACAGGCACCCGCCACCAAGCCCGGCTAATATTTGTATTTGTAGTAGAGATGGGGTTTCGCCATGTTGGCCAGGCTGGTCTCGAACTCCTGACCTCAGGTGATCCACCTGCCTTGGTCTCCCAAAGCGTTGGGATTGCAGGTATGAGCCACCACAGCTGGCCCTAGCTGCCATTTTAATGCACTGTTAGTGGGACATACAGCCTGTTTTGAATCCACGTCTGACAGAGTCACAATAAATTTTATCCCAAGCCACCAGTGCCCATTTTGAAACACCAGGACATCCCATAGGTGCTTGCGTATGATCTCATTCAGAGCATTTTATTTAAAATGAAGTAACTGAGAAAGTGCTTCAAATATTTTGAAAAGACTCAACTAAGATAATATCTTATTTACTGAAAATTTAGGCATTGAAACTGTATTTTGTTTTGTTTTTTTAAGACGGAGTCTCGCTCTGTTGCCCAGATGGGAGTGCGGTGGTGCAATCTTGGTGCATTGCAACCTCCACCTCCTGGGTTCAAGTGATTCTCCTGCCTCAGCCTCCTGAGTAGCTGGGACTACAGGTGCCCACCACCATGCCCAGCTAATTTTTGTATTTCTAGTAGAGGCAGGGTTTTGCAAGGCTGGTCTCAAACTCCTGACCACAGGTAACCTGCCCAACTCAGCCTCCTAAAGTGTTGGAATTACTGACATGAGCCACAACACTGGGCCTACATTGTGGTTCATGAAGCCTTCTGAGAATCTTGAGGAAAGCTACTGACCTTGCCCTCAGAAATAAAACTCTGCAAATTATTTTATCAGAGCCTTCCTAAGTACGACTTATCTCAAGAACCCAGGTGAAGAAGTCTTCTTATTCTATATCAACACATATAGCCATATGTGCTTATTTATATTTAAATACAACTTAGTTAAAATTAAGTAAATTTGGAAAATTCAGTTTCTGAGTTACCCTAGCCACATTTCAAGGATTCGGTAGCCACTTGGCACTGGGGGCTACTGCTTTCAACCATGCAAATACAGAACTTTTCCATCATCACAGAGGGACCTACAGGACAGACCTGTACTGCAAGTTTTTGTTTTCTTGAGACAGCGTCTTGCTCTGTCACCTAGGGTAGAGTGTAGTGGTATGATCATAGCTCACTGCAGCCTCAACCTTCTGGGTTCAAGCGATCCTCCCACCTCAGCCTCCTGAGTAGCTGGGACTACAGGAACCCACCATCAAGTCTTGCTAATTTTCTTATTGTTTTGTAGAGACAAGGGTCTTACTATGTTGCCCAGGCTGGTCTTGAATTCCTGGACTCAAGAGATCTGTCCATCTTGACCTCCCAAAGTGCTGGAATTACAGGTGTGAGCCACCACGCCTGGCCACTGTACCACAAGTTTTTTGACAAATATCACCAGCCCACATTATTTTGTATTGTGATCTCTTAGAAACATTTGGTCAAGAAGCATTGTAATTTCTCTGTTAACTATATACTGTTCTAAATGATGCATTTCTAAATGTGATACCATTATTTCCTTGGGGAAGTCAGTCCTTTTACTTCCTCCACTAGATGATTTTCTGTATTTTTACACCAAGTTAAATGACAAAAAGTCATCAGATTCTTTACCAATCTGGTTTTTTTTCCCCCTAAGACAGGGTCTGGCTCTGTCACCCAGGCTGGAGTGCAGTGGCATGATCTCGGCTCACTGTAACCTCCGCCTCCCGGGTTCAAGGGATCCTCTCACCTCAATCTCCCATGTAGCTGGGACCACAGGCACATGCCGCCACACCCAGCTAGTTTTTGTAGAGATAGTGTTTCACCATGTTGCCCAGGCTGGTCTCGAACTCCCAAGCTCAAGCGATATGCCTGCCTTGGCCTCCCAAAATGCTGGGGATTACAGGTGTGAGCCACCATGCCTGGTCACCAATCTCTTTTTATATAAATAAGGCTATCTCTGGTCAGCACCAATAATAGTTTTCCAGAGATAACCACATCCTCATAGCTGGCACTTGTGAATACGTTAGATTGCAATGGTAAAAGGGGCTTTTGCAGATGGGACTACATTAGGGATCATGAGTCAGGAGATGATCCTGGATTATCCAGGCGGGCCCGGTGTAATCCTAGTGCTCCTTGTAAGAGAAGGGCAGGAGGCTCAGAGTCAGAGACTTAAAAAAAATACAAAATTAGCCAGGCGTGGTGGCGCATGCCTATAATCCCAGCTACTCAGGAGGCTGAGGCAGGAGAATCACTTGAACCTGGAAGGTGGAGGTTGCAGTGAGCTGAGATTGCACCATTGGACTCCAGTGTGGGCAACAACAGTGAAACTCCATCTCAAAAACAAAAAACAAACAAAAAAACTATTTGGTGACTCACATATGTAATCCCAGCACTTTGGGAGGCCAAGGTGGGAGGATTGCTTGAGCCCAGGCATTCAGGACCAGCCTGGGCAACATGGTGAAACCTCATCTCTAGAAAAAATACAAAAATTAGCGAGCATGGTGGTGTAGGCTTGTAGTCCTATCTACTTTGGAGGCTGAGGTGGGAGAATGGCTTGAACCTAGGAGTTTGGGATGGCAGTGAGCTATGACCCTGCCACTGCACTCCAGCCTGGGTGATAGAGCAAGACCCTGTCTCTAAATTGAAAAAAAAAATCAGATAATCGAGATTTTTCTGAATGTTTTTTTCACTGTACAGTAACTTGGATGCTTTCTGGGAAATAAGCCCAACTGCATTTAAGAGGGGCAACATCTCTTGGTGGTACCCCATCCTCTCCAGTGACAGCTCAGGGGTGGGACCCTTTCTCCTTTGGTGACAATGTAGTCTTCCCAAGAGCACTGGGGCAGGGTGGGGTAGTGAAGGGCTGAATTGGGTCACTTCTGAAAGACTCGATTCTGACTCTCACAAGGTTGCTGCCAACCATGCTAGAGGCAGGGACCCTTAGGGACCTGGCCCTGTGGCTTGGCTTGTTCAGTTGTCACCTTCTGTTTCAGACCTCTCCTGCCTGGGGTGATGCCCTGATCTCTCCTCTCCCCTGGTCTTAGCTCACATTCTCTCTCTCTCTCTCTCTTTTTTTCTGATGGAGTTTCGTTCTTGTCACCAAGGCTGGAGTGCAGTGGCGTGATCTCAGCTTACTCCAACCTCCACATCCCTGGTTCAAGCAATTCTCCTGCCTCAGCTTCCCAAGTAGCTGGGATTACAGGTGCCCACCACCACACCTGGCTAATTTTTGTATTTTTAGTAGAGATGGGGTTTCACCATGTTGGCCAGGCTGGTCTTGAACTCCTGACCTTGAGGGATCCACCTGCCTCGGCCTCCCAAAGTGCTGGGATTACAGGCATGAGCCAATGTGCCCCACCCCAGAGTCTTTTTTTTTTTTTTTTGAGACGGAGTCTTGCTCTGTCGCCCAGGCCGGAATACAGTGGCGTGATCTCGGCTTACTGCAAGCTCCACCTCCCTGGTTCACGCCATTCTCCTGCCTCAGCCTCCTGCGTAGCTGGGACTACGGGCACCCGCCACCGCGCCCAGCTAATTTTCCAGTGTCTTTTTATAAGGCCCTGGTAGCACCAATGAGAGAACAGTAATTACTGGTGAAAAAAAGATGTTCATAGTATTTGTTTTCCTGGATGTCATGTAAGATAGCTGTAAGTTTCCCTTATCAATGTAAGAGCTTAGACCAAGTACAGAGTCTTTAAAAACAAGACAGTATATATTATGTGATATGCAGACTGTAGACCTCGACTTAAAATGCAGTTCAGTGAAAAACGAAGTTTCTTTTGTCCAGGATACCGAAACCGTCACTTCCCATCTCATCTGAAGATGTACCATATAGCCATCAGTGCGGCGTCGTTCCTCTGGTTACTTTTATAGATGAACACATATTCCTTCCAGTGCTTGTGATAGAAAATGGTAATTTTAAATGGCATTGAAACTGAAGTATTAAATAAAAAAATATCTTTCTATACAACAGGAGACAGTAAGTATGTCCTGGCAATTTCTCAAAGATTTTAGTTCACAGGTCTGAGAAAAATTCTATTAGCTTTAATTATTTATCAGCAGTCAATTTAGATTACTGTTCTTGACCTATTTTTACAGTGTATGGGCCACCCAGAAATGAAATAAATGAATAGTCTTTTTCTACAATGGCTGATTTTCTGAAATAATAGAAATCTGGTTTAAAGGAGGAATAAAACCCCAAACATGTAGTTACCACAATATATAACCCACCATGCTGTTTTTGTAGTTGGATAAAATGAACATCTATGTGAGTTTTTTGGTTATTAAATAAGAGTATCTTGAAAGGGATAAACTCACTCCTGCTGTAATTTCTTCCCATTTAAATGTCTTTGTGCTATTTAAGACACGTTCTGTGTCCTGGCAGAAAGTCTCCAATGCTGATGCTGTGGCTTTCACGTGGTGCCTGGTATAACTCCACAATGGGAAGGGCTGGTTTTGGGGGACTGGCAGTATCGGGAGCTGAGATGAGGGTGTGGGGTTTCAATACAGGGTGCCTGCTGGGAAGCAGCGAGGGGATACCCTGAAGCCACAGGCAGGGACCTCTTGAGTTCCCAAGCAACAGGGAATGTGCAAGACTTGTCTGATGATGAGACCGGGCATGGTGGCTCATGCCTGTAATCCCAGCACTTTGGGAGGCCGAGGCAGGTGGATCACCTGAGGTCAGGAGTTCAAGACCAGCCTGGCCAAAATGGTGAAACCCCATCTCTACTAAAAATAGAAAAAAATTAGCTGGGTGTGGTGGTGTGCACCTGGAATACTAGCTACTCGGGAGGCTGAGGCAGGAGAATCGCTTGAACCCGGGAGGTGGAGGGTGCAGTAAGCTGAGATCGCACCACTGCACTCCAGCCTGGGCAACAGAATGAAACTATGTCTCAAAAAAAAAAAAAAAAAGACTTTGATGATGAAAAATGGGAGTGAGGGTTTATCTAAGTTGTAATGCCCAAATGTGGACCGAGGAGGATAAAGGCTGAGGATGGTGCAAAGGACTTGGAAGAAAGGAAGATCTGAACTGCACAGAGGCCGCAATCTGGCAGCACATGGCCACGGCTCAGGAGCACTGGCGGAGCCTGGATGCCAATGCCTCTAAGCCAGTGATCCTCAAAGCAGGGTCTGGGGACTCCCAGCTCCCTAGATCCTTTCAAGGGCACACAAGGTCAAAACTACTCTTGTTACTTGCCTTTACCTCGCCTTCTTCCGCAAGTGTACCGTGGAGTTTTCTAGATGGCTGTGATGTGTGATGATAGCCTCACTCTGACACCAGTGACTCGTGTGTGTGTGTGTTCCTGTGCTTTGCAGACTCCTCAGCTTTCATGTCTAACACAGACAATACTGAGAGATACAACACACACACACACACACACACACACATACACACACACACACACACACAAGCTCTCCATAGTCACCAATTTTAAGAGACTGAAACTTTGAGAAATGTTTGCACTAAGGCTTCTTCTGGTCTCAGAGCTGAGAACTTTTCATTGTCAAGGGCAAGGCTGTTTGTCCACTCTGAGATCCTGTGTGTGGCCCCAGGGGCAGCTCAGACAGGACACTGGCATCTGGCATCTGGGGATCAGATATCCCACTGAGAGGGGCATGCAAGCACCAGCTCCAGTGCCTGGGCTGGCATCTGCCTGCCCGGTCTCCAAAGCCATGTGTCCTGGGCTAGCCCAACTGGCACAGGGATTTCCTGCAGGACTCCACGTGGCCAGGGGATCAGTGGTGGGAAATGGGAGAAGCCAAACTCAGGCTCCATTGGTTAATTCTCTTAAATAAGTCTAATTTGACTTTATGTCTGATTTCAAAATACTCTTCCAGATCCCTTTCTCAGTAACTGCTCATGTCAAAACCTCTGACTGGGCACAGCAGCTCACACCTGTAATCCCAGTATGTTGGGAGCACCAGACAGGAGGATTTCTTGAGGCCAGGAATTCAAGACCAGTCTAGGCAACATAGGGAGACTCCTGCTCTATAAAAAAAAAATTATAAAAAAATTACCCAGGCACGGCGGCAAGCGCCTATAGTCCAGCTACTCAGGAGGGTGAGGTGGGAGGATTGCTTGAGCACAGGAGGTTGAGGCTGCAGTGAGCCATGATCATGCCACTGCCCTCCAGCCTGGGTGACAAAGCAAACTTTATCTCAAAAATAAACAAATCTCTAGTTACATTTCAGAACTTTGAAAATACAGCTGTAATTTATTGAGGTATCTATACATCAATAGATTTGGAATTTGTCAAGGAGAGGAACCACATGTTACACATATTATATTTTATTTATTTTTATTTTTTATTTTCCTGAGATAGAGTCTCACTCTGTTGCCCAGGCTGGAGTGCAATGGTGAGATCTTGGCTCACTGCAACCTCCATCTCCCCAGCTCAAACAATTCTCGTGCCTCGGCCTCTGAGTAGCTGGGATTACAGGTGTGTGCCATGACACCTGGCTAATTTTTGTATTTTTTAGAAGAGACAGGGTTTCTCCATGTTGGCCCGGCTAGTCTCAAACTCCTGACCTCAGGTGATCCACCCATCTTGGCCTACCAAAGTGCTGGGATTACAGGCATGAGCCACTGTGCCTGCCCCATGTATTATGTTTTAATTTATTCAAAAACCATTTGAGCGTTTACTATGAGCAGTGAATGAGACAGTCACAGTCCCTGCCTTCAGAGAGCTATGTCTTAGCGAGAGTGGTGAGGTCTCCATTTCTAGGAGACACTTAAGGAGATGTACTTTTCTCCATTCTATTCCTGGGGCCATGGATGGTGCTAGGTTCAGGGCAGACCCTCAGTGAATACTTGCAGATTGAATGAATGAATAAAGAGATTCTCTTCCCAGACTCATCACCAAGCTAACTTCTTTTTTCTTTTTTTTGAGATGGAGTCTCCCCTTGTTGCCCAGGCTGGAGTGCAGTGGAGTGATCTCGGCTCACTGAAAATTCTGCCTCCTGTGTTCAAGTGATTCTCCTGCCTCAGCCTCTGGAGTAGCTAGGATTACAGGCACCCACAACCCTGCCCAGCTAATTTTTGTATTTTTAGTAGATGGGGTTTCACCATGTTAGCCAGGCTGGTCTCGAACTCCTGACCTCAGGTGATCCACCTACCTCGGCCTCCCAAAGTGCTGGGATTACAGGCGTGAGCTACCACACCCAGCCCAAGCTATATTTTTATGGACACTGCTGCAAAGGGGACTCCTGTGCTAGACAGGGATGGATCCCAAAGGCACCATTTCAGCCCAGGACTCTCTGAAACCAACCAGGAGGGGTGACTCTGACTTTTGCCACTGTGTCATTTATTCCAGATCTTAGGCCCTACTAACATTTAGACAAATGGGCTATTTAAAATCAGAATGCAGATGAATCCTTCCTCTTCATACTTTCAGGAGTCTATCCATAAGAATAATCAGAGATGTAGGCAGAGATTTATTCACAAGAATGTTCAGCATGTGTTTAGAACAGAGAAATCTAGAAACAATGTGGATTCTGACACCATGGGAGTACTTATTAGAGAATTCTACTAAAGCAATACAATCACATATTAGGTAGTCAATATAATTATTTTCTTTTTAAGAAACAAGGTCTTGCTCTGTCATCCAGGCTGGAGTGCAATGGCGTGATCATAGCTCACTGTAGCCTGGAGTCAGTATGATTACTTTTCGAAGAATAGCAAAGACTTGGAATGACGCATATGACTTCCATTTATTCGACAGATGTTTGTTGAGTGGCTATTTTGGGCCTTCTGGCCCTGTTTCAGGGGCTCTTTCAATCATGAGCAGAGACCACAGGCTACTGTGCCTCCTGGGCTTCTGTTGAGTGGCGGGTGAGACATGAGTCAAATCACCACCACACTTACCTGTGGCCGGTGTTGCAGAAGGGGCACATGGTGTGAAGGGAGTTTAAGAGGCAGACCTGGCCGGTCACAGGGGCATGAGCTTGTAATCCCAGCACTTTGGGAGGCTGAGGTGGGAGGATTGCTTGAGCTCTGGAGCTTGACACCAGCCTGGGCAATATAGCAAGACCCCATCTCTATTAAAAATCAAACAAATTAGCTGGGTGTGGTGACACGTGCCTGTAGTCCCAGCTACTTGGGAGGCTAAGGGAGGATCGCTTGAGCCTGGGAGGTAGAGACCAGCCTGGGCAACACAGCAAGATCCCATCTCTACAAAAAATTTTTAAAAAGTAGCCAGGGCTGGGCGCGGTGGCTCACGCCTGTAATCCCAGCACTTTGGTTGGCCAAGGTGTGTGGATCACCAGGTCAGGAGATCGAGACAACAGTGAAACCCCATCTCTACTAAAAATACAAAAAAATTAGCTGGGCATGGTGGCGGGCACCTGTAGTCCCAGCTACTCAGGAGGCTGAGGCAGGAGAATGGCGTGAACCCGGGAAGCAGAGCTTACAGTGAGCCGAGATCACACCACTGCACTCCAGCCTGGGCGACAGAGCAAGACTCTGTCTTAAAAAAAAAAAAAAAAAAAAATTAGCCAGGTATGGTGGCATGTGCCTATAATCCCAGCTACTTGGGAGTCTGAGGTGGGAGGACTGCTTGAGCCTGGGGGGTCAAGGCTGCAGAGAGTTGTGATCATGTCACTGCACTCCAGCCTGGTGACAGAGTGAGACCCTGCTTCCAAAAAAAGAAAGAGAAAGAAATAAAGAGGCAGACCTGTCCCTAAACAGCAGAGAAGCCTCCTTTGGGGAAGGGGCACCTGAGCTCAGATCCTATAAATGTCCCTCACATGCAGTGACATGTCCCTATGCACACAGACACACAATAAGTTAAATATGCACACACACATACAAACAAGTAACTGACGATGTCATCTCTACTACCTTCCTTCCCTTTCTGGGAAGATACAAGTGTGTATATCACCTGTTTGTTGCCTGATATAGAGGAGATGCCTGATCATGAATTCCATGATACAGTTTTAAGAGATGCTATGTATGGTTCACTCAGTGAATCTCACTTTCTTACATAAGCACATGTGCAAGTCATTTTTTTCTTTTTTTTTGAGAAGGAGTCTTCTTGCTCTGTCGCCCAGGCTGGAGTACAGTGGCATGATCTTGGGTCACTGCAACCTCCACCTCCGGGTTCAAGTGATTCTCCTGCTTCAGCCTCCTGAGTAGCTGGGGCTACAGGCATGCACCACCATGCCCGGCTAATTTTTTGTATTTTTAGTAGAGAAGGGTTTTCACCATGTTGGCCAGGCTGGTCTCGAACTCCTGACCTCAGGTGATCTGTCCACCCCAGCCTCCCAAAGTGCTGGGATTACAGGTGTGAGCCACCGCATCCAGCTGCACCTTGCTGTTTCATATCACAGAATCTAGCACTGGCAGCAAGGGAGGCTGCCCACCTCACTCTTTCTTTTTTAAGAAGTCCACTCTTCTGAGAGGTCAGAGCAACCTTTCGTTTGCAAGCTCCCCATGTGTCCTGGAGAGGCTGTCTTTATATTTTAACATGTACCAACCAGAGATTAAGAAGTGACGCATGCCAGTCATGAAGGCTTACTGAAATTATGCCTGCTAATATTTTAAATGGCAGGAACATTAGGCAGCACAAAAGGAATGTTAGTATTTCCAAAGCTTTTACCCAACTGAGGAGGTTTAAATTTACAGGAACATGTGCTAGAGATAAAGAAGTCCAAGGCAGTTGGCCAAGCTGTCTGCCACCCTGGTGTGCAGAAGGACAGGAGATCCTGTAATGAGAGAGAAGGAGTGGAAGCTGGAAGATGGACAGAGTGCCAGGGTTTGAGACCTGGCATGGGCCTGAACTCACTTGAATCATTTTACTTGTAGAAAGAGGCTACAGGTTGGGTGCAGTGGCTCATGCCTGGAATCTCAGCACTTTGGGTGGCCAAGGTGGGAGGATCACTTGAGGTCAGGAGTTTGAGAACAGTCTGAGCAACATAGCAAGATCCCACCTCTAAAAGAGAGGCTGGGCTCCCTGGTCTGGACTGAGCAATTTCTTTGGCGTTCTTAGAAATGAGCTACTTTGCAGCCCCATGCAGCCTTTCTTCAGTGCATACATTAGGGTGCTGTGCGGCCCAGGTGAGGGGTGTCACCTGGCTACATCCGTGGAGGGATCCTAACACCATCATTTGTGCGTCCAGTGTCATGACAGCCACTTCACTGTGCTTGTTTCTAGATGCTTCCAAACAGCCCTTCAGGTATGGAATCATCCCTGTCATGTAAATAGGAAATCTGGAACTCCCAGAGGTTGTACATTGCACCTGATGCCATTTGGCTACAATCCAAACTCTGGGAGCAGCTGGCACCAAAGCTACTATGCCACACTGCCTTCTAAGCTGCATTTCATCTGGAACCGCCATGGCTGGTGGGCCGAGCCTCTGAATGCTGCAATTCAGGTTAATCACACAGACCTGCTGGAGCATGTGGGGCTGAGGGTTCCCTGCACCTCCCTTCTCTCCCCTGCTGTCTGGATCTCTCACCTCGCTCCTGGTGGGCCTGAATTTGCCATGAGTGATCAAGAACCTGAGAGGCCTCTGATCTGCTCCACGCACATCTGTGCCAACCAGGAAAAACAAAAATCCTGATGAAAGACCTGAGGTGCGAGTCAGGATTCACCATAACCGTACTGTGATCTCACCTTCTGAAAAGCTATTTTGTTCATCATAAGTAGGCAGTTTGACAATTGCTCAATGTTTGGGTTCTACCCTGTATCCTGTACTAGTCAATGTCAGGGAAGGAAAGGTGCCTCGTCTCCAGGCATGTGGGCCCACAGCAGAGCAGAACAGGCTGGGGACTTGGGGTTCTTGGGCTCTTTCCGATGGGGGCTGAACACTGGTCATATTCTGACCTCTAGAGAGGGCAGAGGTGAACAGGCATGCACTCCGCACCTCAAGGCTTACATGAGGAGAATGAAGACACACACACGACTGAAATACCAGGCAGGAAATGAAATGTGCTGAAAGACAGGCACAGCTAGCCTACGATGGGAGCCTAAGGAATGAAAACCCCTCCTGGCTGGGTTGGGGGCACCTGAACTGGGTGATGTTTGCACACAGAGGGGTGAGTAGAGGTAAGGGGCTTTCCAGAAAGAGACAAGACACAAACAGAAAGAAAAAAGAGGAGATCCAGAGATATAAACAAGGTGAAGCTGATGGAGTAAGCCACGTGGGAGAGGGAGCCAGCTTGGCCAGGCTCCTGGACCACCGAGGCCCCTGGAGGAACACAGCCACAGCCTGAGAGGGGGTTGGATGGCCACCAACTATGCAAAAGGTGTACAGAGACCGGACCAGGGTCTGCTTTAGGAAGGTCATGCCTTATATTTTATATATTTATATTATATATATGTTATATATTTATATTTTATATATATGTTATATATATATAATATTTATAGTTTGTAGAGACAGGGGTCTCACTATGTTGCCCAGGGTTGTTCTGAACCCCTGGCCTCAAGTGATCCTCCCACCTTGGCCTCCCAAAGTGCAGGGATTACAGGCCCAGCCTAGAACTAAACATCTTGTAACATGAAGCGAACTGCTGACTGGGAGTATTCAAGGAGACGGTAATACTTAATATCCCACATCATGCTAAAACTGGGGTTGCAATGTAAGTTTCATGTAAGTGACATCTTGGCTGCCTTACTGCCTCACAAACACATCTCATTCAATGCCCATAGCAGGCCACGAGGCTGCAAACATGCCATCCCGGGGATGAGAAATCTGAGGCTGAAACTGCCTGGGGTGACCTAATGAAGTGGTGGGGCTGCACCAGAGCCCAGGCCCCTAACCCCGGGGAGAGCCCGAGTTCTATCCAAGGTGCAGGGGCCCCTTCCTACCTCCAGCTCAGACTCGAATCTGAGATCCCCTCTAATTCCAAGTGGCCTTGCAATAAAGCAAACAGTGAATGCCAGGCTGGCTCTCCAGCCCTGCTCTGGTCACCTTCTGAGCAGCTCCCTTTACTGAGTAACCTCCCTTTATTGTCATATTGTTTATGTACAAGAAAACAACACATTCTGACAACAGAACAGTGGGGTGGGTTGGGGGGGTGGTCAGCACCAGGTGCTGGGCCTGGTGGGATGGGCTGTGCCTTGCCAGAGACCCCTGCCCCTTGTGGGATCAAGGAGCCTCTCTCCAAGAGTCCCTCTGGGCCAGGCACGGTGACTCACACCTGTAATCCCAGCACTTTGGGAGGCTGAGGCAGGCAGATCACCTGAGGTCAGGAGTTTGAGATCAGCCTGGCCAACATGGTGAAATTGTGTCTCTACCAAAAATATAAAAATGAGCCGGGTGTGGTGGTGGGTGCCTGTAGTCCCAGCTACTCAGGTGGCAGAGGCAGGAGAATCACTTAAACCTAGAAGGCAGAGGTTGCAGTGAGCCAAGATCACGCTACTGCACTCCAGCCTGGGTGACAGAATAAGACTCCATCTCAAAAAAAAAAAAAAAAATCCCACAAAGAGATCCTCTGCAGACAGAAGCAGCTAAGATTCTCATTCCAAGGACTGGAAGGCTTCCACCCAAGGGGGAGGTCACAGCTTTAATCACACAGATACGGTGCTAGGGGTGGAGGTGGTGGGGCGGACCAGCACCGCTCGCAGATCTGCAGAGAGCACTCACTGCCGGGGTGGCCTAGAATTCCGCTGTGATGCTCTGACATCAAAGGACTCTGATCTGTAACTCCCAAGTGGGACCTTGCTTCAGACTTGAGCAAACAGGGGAGCTGGACTCTTGGAGTATTGTGGTCCAACAGCAAGGCAGCCTTGTACCAATGCCGGGGCAGGAAAGGGACTTGCCACTTGGAACTCTCGCTAGTAAGTTCCATATGGGACCTGAGAGCCCCAATCTCTACATAAAGCTCTAGTGGGGCAAAACCTATGAGAAAATACAGGGTGAAAAGTACTGTGGAGCAAAAAACCCACCCAAGTCCCAAAGCCATCCATGCAAGAAGTGACCAACCTCAGTTCCTCTCCCCTTGCCCAGAACTCCAGGTGATGTGCAAAAGTTGCAACCACACACTATATATTTTTTGTTTCTTTCTGAGACAGGGTCTCACTCTGATGCCCAGGCTGGAGTGCAGTGGTGCAACCACAGCTCACTGCAACCCCCACCTCCCGGGCTGAAGAGATCCTCCTGCCTCAGCCTCCCAAGTAGCTGGGACTACAGGCATGCACCACTACACTCAGCTTTTTTTTTTTTTTTTTAAATATTTTTGTAGAGATGGGGTCTCATTATGTTGCCCAGGCTGGTCCAGAACTCCTGAGCTCAAGCAACCTACCCGCCTCGGCTGGGATTACCAGCTTGAGCCACCACGCCCAGCTTACTGTCTTGCTTTACATAGAACAGTTCTCTAAACACCTTTTTAGTCACAGTTGTAAATCATTCATATTTTTCCAATGCTATGGCTAAAGGATGAACACTGATGTCTCCAATTTCAGTATCTTTGTGAAAACAGCTAATTAGCAACTAAGCACTTCTGAGCTGGGGCAAGCTCTTGCTGCTTTGAGTACACCTGTGATGAATGTGGCCAGAAGGAAGAAGTGAGTTTTGCTCAGCACACACTTATCAAGTGCCTGTTGTGTGTCCTGCACGTGCATGGCCAGAAGGAACATCCTCACCACCTGGTGCTGAAATTCTGCAAAAGAATAAGTGCAAATAATGGTAATAGGGCATTAAAAATGCCAAACAGGGCCGGGCGTGTTGGCTCATGCCTGTAATCCCAGCACTTTGGGAGGCTGAGGCGAGTGGATCACCTGGGGTCAGGAGTTCGAGACCAGCCTGGCCAACATGGTGTAACCCCGTGTCTACTAAAAATACAAAAAATTAGCTTGGTGTGGTGGCAGGCTCCTGTAGCACCAGCTGTTCTAGAGGCAGAGGCAGGAGAATCGCTGGAATCCGGGAGGCGGAGGTTGCAGTCAGCCAAGATCATGCCACTGCACTCCACCCTGGGCAACAGAGCGAGAGTCTGTCTCAAAAAAATAAAATTAAATTAAATAACAAATAAACAAGAGCTTTTCAGTTAAAAGACAAGGAACACAAAAATTCAACATAATTTTGGTTAAGAGAGGGAGGAATTGTAAGTCAGCCTGGGTTAATTAGGGCTATTGGGAATACCCAAGGATGCTCGTGGCAGGCCCTCCAGCCCATGTCTAGAAGGCAGATAGGTGGGCTTGGTTATTTTTAGAACACCAGGAGTGATCTAGGGTCTTTAATAAATGCAGGACACTAGTCAGAAGCAAATCAGGCCAGGCATGGTGACTCATGCCTGTAATCCTAATGCTTTGGGAGGCCAAGGTGAGATGATTACTTGAGGCCCATGAGTTCAAGACCAGCCTGGGCAACAAAGCAAGACCCCACCTCTACAAAAATAAAAATAAAAAGTATTAGCTGGACATGGTGATGTGCACCCACTGTAGTCCCATCTAATCAGGGAGGGTGAGGTGAGAGGGTCCCCTGAGCCCAAGAGTTTGAGGCTGCAGTGAGCTATGATTGCACCACTGCACTTCAGCCTAGGTGACAAAGTGAGATCCTAACTCTTAAAAACAAAACAAAACAAAAGAAAACAAAACAGGCCTTCCCTTAAATACTAACACTCACCCAACCCACCAGCATTCTTGCACATAAAACCCAACCAAATGAACATTTTACTGAGGGACCAACAATAGCATGAAGGCAAAAACCAGATGAGGTACACATTAAGCAATTCTGCACAATGGGCTGCAGCCTCAAGGTGCCCACAGGATCTGGTTATTTCTGGAGAAATCTAAAGCTGGGCCAGAGTGATTGATTAGACAAGAATGTTTTCCAATGTCAATGGACATAAAATATACACATTGGTCTGCAAGTATGAAATTGTTTAAAAATCTTTAGAACTCAAGATGCAATCTTCCTTCCACAGGAGGTGGGTGAGAAAGAAGCCTGGGTCAGACACATGCACTTGGGAAAACATTTGGAAGTGGTTTTGTGGACAAGTTGCCTGTGAGAGGCATGCAGAGTCTGATTGCTATTTTAGTGCTAGCATCCAGAAACAAGCCTAATGCAGGGCAGTTGCTTTCCAAAAGAGCTAAACTAGGGTCTCTCTCTCTCTCTTTTTTTTTTTTTGAGACAGAGTTTCACTCTTGTCAGCCAGGCTGGAGTGCAATGGTGCAATCTCGGCTCACTGCAACCTCTGCCTCCCAGGTTCAAGCGATTCTCCTGCCTCAGCCTTCCAAGTAGCTGGAATTACAGTTGCCTGCTACCACACCCAGCTAATTTTTGTATTTTTAGTAGACACAGGGTTTCACCATGTTGGCCAGGCTGGCCTTGAGCTCCTGACCTCAGGTGATCCTCCTGCCTCAGCCTCCCAAAATGCTGGGATTACAGATGTGAGCCATGGTGTCCGGCCACTAGGGTCTCTTTAGAACACACACACACACACACACACACACACACACACACACACGTGCACGCACCACTGACAAAACCAGGCCCTGGTTTGGGACAAAGGATTTCATTTTCTTCCTGAGCCCTCAAACTTTAAAACCTATATATTTTTAAATGAGATCCAATTCAGTACCTTCATCTGTAATCTTAAACCAGTGGCCCAACTGTGTACCGGGCAGTGCAGACCGCTTTGGAAAGGTTTAATCTTGGAAGCAATTGGGCTGCAAGTGGCCCTGCTGCAGACGAGCCCATCATCCTCTGACAGGGGGTCTTTTCAGGCAATTTGTCAACAGCCTCAGCAGAGCAGAAGCAGCACTCAGACACTCTAATCATAGGGTGCTTCAAGGAGTGGTGGCAATCCTGCTTTCTAGATGCAGCCAACATCAATCAAAGAAAAGTCCACTTAACCAAGCTAGTGTATTTGCCAGAGGACTCAGACTGCAAAGGAGTCTTTCCAAGCTCGCAGTCTATCAAGTTCAAAGGGCTATGCTTAGGCACAGCCTGCAGGCTCAGCTCATATGAAAAGGCTGGTAGGAAAGATAAAATTCAGCCAGGTGTACTGGCTCATGCCTGCAATCCCATCACTTTGGGAGGCTGAGGCAGGAGAATCACTTGAGCCTAGGAATTTGAGACCAGCCTGCGCAACATAGCAAGACCCTGTCTTAAAAAAGAAGGTTAAAAAAAAGTTTTTAAAAGAAAGACAAAAATCCCTAGAGAGAGGCGGCAAGAGCTGCTGCTTCTAGAAGCACAGCCCAGCCACAGCCATGTGGACTCCAGAGCTGGCCCCTCCTGCTCCAGTGATCAGATTGCTTCCCCTCCCCTCCTGCTGGCCTTGGGACAGGATCTGGTGGCATGGGGGAGGCCAGCATTCTTCCTGCTGTCTGTCCTCTGCAAGCCAGGCTCCTGCCCAAGGAGGGAAATGCTGCAGAGGCACCCTACAGAAGTGTGGCCTGAGGGCCAAGAGGAAACTCCTGCTTCAAAGCCCGGCCATGAAACTGAGCACTCAGGGGCCTGTTTCTTGCCTGCCCTTGGCATAACAGCTCCTACTTGACAAAGGGAGGAAGAGAGAACTGGACACCTATGTTTGGAGGGAGGAAGTGACTTCCCGCCCAACACAGCATAGCATCCTCTCCAGGATCCTCTGCCCCAGCCAGAGCCTGCTCTGGCACTGGAGGCCAAGGCCGCTTTCTTGGTCCAAAAAAAAAAAAAAAAACACCATTTTTTTCACCAGTGACAGGTTCACCTTCAGAAAGGAAACCAGAAAACCCAAAAGCCCCTCTTTCTCTTCTTCCTCAAATGCTATCAGCCTGAGTGGGGTGTGGAAATACTACTTCTCCCCAAAACAGGCTATGATGCTGGTGGACGAACATGACAGATGCCCTGCTGGCAGTCCTGCTGAAAAGCGATGGCTTGGAGAATCGCCCAGGCTGGGGAAGATGCCCAGGGTCTTAGATGGTTACCCCTGCCCGACCCTCAGGCAGGACAGGAACTGGCTGTCTCCTCTCTGAGTCTTGAAATCTACACTGCACACACCTGGCAAATGTGCACCTGCAGCTCAGGCACAGCCCTGCAATCCACACTGCACACACCTGGTAAATGTGTACCGGCAGCCCAGGCACAGCCCTGCCATCCACACTGTGCACACCCAGTACATGTGCAGCTGCGGCCCATGACAGCCCTGCCATTCACACTGCACGCACCTGGTAAATGTGTACCTGCAGCCTGGGCACAGTCCTGCCACCCACACTGCACAGACCTGGTAAATGTGTACCTGCAGCCCAGGCACAGCCCTGCCATCCACACTGCACACACCTGGTAAATGTGTGCCTGCATCCCGGGCACAGCCCTGCAATCTGCACTGCACACACCCAGCAAATGTGCGCCTGCAGCCCAGGCACAGTCCTGCCATCTGCACTGCGATGCCTACAGCAGTCTTTATGGAGGCTTATGATGGCACAGTACCCAGCTCTGTGCTAGATCCTGGGCTGTGGCAGGAGGGTACATAGCTCCACACTGGACTTTTGCTGAAGGTGCCCAGTTTAAGATACAGGCACTGAACCAAGTGACTGACACTTGGGGAGCTCATTCTCTGGTGGCACAGGAACCCCTGAGACTCAGGAATATGAGTCAGGCCAGCAAGGACTGCTCTGTCGGTGCCCACAGGGCCCAGCAACACTGGGGTGGAGTCTGGAGTCAGCCTCTGATCCAACAGTGAAAGCTCTCTGAGATCACAATCATGAGAAGACAGGATCCCAAGAGCTGTCGCGAAGACCCTGTCCCAGATGTTGTGCTCTGCACCTCATGGTTGGGTGGCTTCCAGCAGCTTCCTGAACCTGAGCCTGCTCTGCCATCTGTACAATGGGCACAACATCAGCCTCACATGGCTGAGATGAGGCCATGGGACACAAGTAGGTATTAGTGTTTATAAACTGAAAACTTAGCTGGGCGCTGTGGCTCATGCCTGTAATCCCAGCACTTTGGGAGGCTGAGGCAGGAGGATAATTTGAGTTCAGGAGTTTGAGACCAGGCTCACCAACCTGGTGAAACCCCGTCTGTACTAAAAATACAAAAATTAGCCAGGCTTGGTGGTGGGCACCTGTAATCCTAGCTACTCGAGAGGCTGGGGCAGGAGAATCTCTTGAACCCGGGAGGTGGAGGTTGCAGGGAGCCATGATTGTGCCACTGCACTCCAGCCTGGGTGACAGGGCAAGGCTCCATCTCAGAGAAAAAAAAAAAAAGAAAAGTTATGGAAATGTCCATAGAGACATGCAGCAGGCTCCGTGCCCGTACTCATTACACTGTCGTGGGGACCCCAGGGAGGCCCACACTACTGCTTTCCCCACTCTGGGGATGGGGAGAACCTGATTTGTCTTTGGTCCACAGGTAGTGAGCACAAGGGCCCAATTCAGGTCCAGATCGGGGTGCTGACAAGGACTGTGTTTGGGGCTGCTCCCATGCAGACACAGCCCCATGGACAGGCCCTGATAGGTGGTCAGAGGACACGAGACAAAAGCCAGGAAAGCAGCTCTAAGGGCTGGGATGGAGTGCACACGAGCACCAGGGAGCAATTCCCAGAAGGGCTGCCCTGCTAGGAGACTGCACAGGAATCTCCTAACAGAGGCCACGGTGCGCAGGAATACTGGAAGGGATGCGAGATTTCTATGGGCAGACACAGGGTGGAAGGGCATGTGTGTGGCCAGAGCAGAGGAGAAAGAGAAGACAGTCTGGAGCTGTATTTGACAAAGTTGCAAAATGAAAGAAGGTCAATAAAGGGTGGGAGGAAGAGAGGAAGGAAGGGAGGGAGGGAAGGAAAAGAGGGAGGGAAGGAAACGTGGGAAGGATGGATGGAGGGAGGGAGAGAGAGAAATGAGGGAGGGAGGGGAGTCAAGCATAATTAAGGTTTTGCATTTTAGATCATGAATTCATTTTCTCCCTTGGAAACAACTGTGCGCCTGCCTCTGCCTCAGTACCACCACCCCCAGGTCTGTTCAGTGTCCCCTCCATGGTCACACCATGTTGGGCACAGACAAACCAGAAAAACACAACTTGCTATAACATGCCTGCACAGGGGGCCCGGCCACCTGGAGACGTGGGCTGTTGTCCACTCCCAAAGACCAGTGGGTTGGGGGTTGCAGGATAGCCAGCTGGGTTTGAGACAGGATCAGACTCTGGGGAGCCTTCTGGCCTGTGCCTGTGACCAGTACCCACCTGGAGCAAAGGATAGCAACACAGGAAGTATCTGCAGTCACTCTCCTGCCATCCACATGTGCACGCCTTTCTGGGTCCGTGGGGGTGGGGTAAGACATTCTCTTGTAACGAAAGTAACATACGTAACATATCTCTTCTCCCAGAAGGACCCTTTCTGGGTCCGTGGGGGTGGGGTAAGACATTCTCTTGTAACAAATGTAACATATGTAACATATCTCTTCTCCCAGAAGGTCAGATATTATCACCAAAATGTACCATATGCAGATGGTCCTGCATCTCTTTTTTTGTTTGTTTTTAGATGGAGTTTCACTCTTTGTTGCCCAGGCTGGAGTGCAGTTGGTGTGATCTCAGCTCACTGCAACCTCCGCCGCCCGGGTTCAAGCGATTCTCCTGCCTTAGCCTCCTGAGTAGCTGGAACTACAGGTGTGCACCATCATGCCTGGCTAATTTTTGTATTTTTATTAGAGATGGAGTTTCACAATTTTGGTCAGGATGGTCTCGAACTCCTGACCTTGTGATCTGCCCACCTCAGCCTCCCAAAGTGCTGGGATGACTATCGTGAGCCACCATGGCCGGTTCTGCATCTCTTTGGTAAATATTAATAAGCATTGGTAAGCTTCCTGCAAACTGCCTACCACTCTGCTTAGTCCCCATACACACAACTCTCTGCTCACCAGGGTGCTGTGCTGATGCCCCGTGGGACATGGGCCAGCCAATGTTTGGACGCTTCCAAACACCAACAACAGTTTTGGGCGAGGAACTCTAATCCTTGACAACTACCATCTAAAAGATATGTTATAATGATCTGTGGGATTATTTGTTGCATTTGTTTCTCTATTTAGTGACCAAAATTTATTTCCCAAGTACATTGCTAAGTGAAGTTCCGACAATGTTTATTGTAAATTGCCCTTGCCTTGTAGACATTTGATGAAGGCCATTGAATCCAAAGGCATAAGTAAGACCAGAATTCAAGCCACGCAGTGTGAGAGGGTACTGTTTTATAAGAAGGAGAGATAGAGACACATTCATTTTTTTAAATGACAGAAAGAACAGGATGCACCTGGCATGCTTTGTGACTGGGAACAGTTTCTGTGGGTTTCTACCGAGACTCCTTTATGGAGTTCACGTGGCAGGGATAAGTGAGCCATGACTGCCTGGAGGGGACTCTCAGGAGAGTATGAGGAGGGTTCCTAAGGCAGCCAGGCAAAATGGCTGGAGTGGGGGGTGTGCCTGAGAGCCCATCAGCAGCAGTTCCCCACAATCACCCCCAGCCAGGTTTCCAAGCTGCCATGTTTCTGTTTCTCTCTCCCTTTTTAAATTTGGAGACAGGATCTTGTTCTGTTGCCCAGGCTGGAGTGCAGTGGCACTGTCACAGCTCACTGCACTTGACTTCCTGGGCTCAAATGATCCTCCCATCTCAGCCTTCTAAATAGCTGAGACTACAGGCATGTGCCACCATGCCTGGCTAATTTTTTTTTTTTTGAGATGAGATCTTGCTATGTTGTCCAAGCTGGTCTTGAACTCCTGGGCTCAAGTGATCCTCCTGCCTCAGCCTTCCAAAGTACTGAAATTACAGGTTTGAGCCACTGTGCCTGGCCTTAATATTTCTCTTCTAGACATGTGAGATGACTCTGAGTTCTTGAATGCCCTCCAGAAGATAAACCAAGACCTTCTGGAACATTCTTAGGAGGGAAGTAACAAGCAGGTTCCTGAAGGTGACGCCAGAGAGAGTAGAAGCCTTCAGCCCAGGTCGAGAGGCACGGATCTGAGAAGGGAGCTCAAATCTTCTTTTTTGTTGTTGTTGTTTGAGATGGAGTCTCACTCTGTCACCCAGGGTGGAGTGTGGTAGTGTGATCTTGGCTCACGGCAGCCTCTGCCTCCCAGGTTCAATTCTCTTGCCTCAGCCACCCGAGTAAGTGGGATTACAGGTGTGTGCTACCCCACCTGGCTAATTTTTGTATTTTTAGTAGAGAGGAGGTTTTACCATGTTGCCCAGGTAGGTCTCAAACTCCTAACCTCAGGGGATCTGCCTGCCTTGGCCTCCCAAAGTGTTGGGATTAGAGGCATAAGCCACCATGCCTGGTCTCAAATCTTAGTCTAGTTAAATGTGTGCAAAGCTGGCCAGGAGGTTCCAACGAAATGACTGTCCAAGTAACACCAGCTGAGGTCTAGGAGAGAAATAAAGGTGGCAACTGTGGTATGATGGGGAGAGAATGATGGAAGGTGAGGTCCTCAGGAGATGAAATTGGCAAGATGTGGTAATGTGTGAATGAGGAAGGGGAGATGGAGGAAGGGCTCCCATGTGGCTACTCTTGGGCTTGGCTGGGGTGGCCCAGTGGGCACTGCGGCCACCACCAGGAGTAGGAGGTAGGATGCCTGAGTGAGTGGAGACAGATGGGCTCTGAGAGTGCTACATCTGCAGCATGAATGGCAGCTGGGCAGGTGGATACACAGCTGGACGGGTTTGGGGTTGGGAGGACAGAGAGAGTAACAGGAGCTCTGGGAACAGCCCAGGAGCACCATGATGGGGAGAGGGGAGCTGAGGATGCCAGGGAAAAGCACAGAGGATGAAGGGGTGGCTCAAACACAGCCTGAGAATGTCCCAGTCTGCATCGGGAGGTGTAGTGTAGGAACAAGGGCTGATATTAAATGGAAGAGGCTGGGACAGAAGTCAGAGTGAGGGAAAGGAAAAAGCAGCCCTGTCAAACCTGCTCAGAGAGGCTAAAAACCCATGGACGCCACCTGGCTAGTTTGTGGAGGCCCTTTTGTTAATCTGCCATGCATGCGTAAAGGAAGAACGAATACATGAATGAATGAAAAAACGGCAGTCGCGTGGAGTGGCAGGCACTTTGCTTTATTCCTGCATCAGCAGTTCTGACATACTAGGAAATAAAAAGGTAAGTGCTCCCCTGGGAGGCCTGAGCCACCCCCAGAGGATCCTGCACACACCCACCTCCCTATCAGAGCAGCTGCAGCTCTCTCTGACTCCATTTCCCTGATGGCGCGGCTGCCACAGGCCTGTGGCCATCTCCAGCACACCTTGTTATCTTATTTATTTATTTGTTTATTTATGAGATGGAGTCTCACTCTGTTGCCCAGGCTAGAGTGCGGTGGTGCAATCTCGGCTCACTGCAACCTCTGCCTCCCAGGTTCAAGCAATTCTCCTGCCTCAGCCTCCCGAGTAGCTCGGATTACAGGAACCCACCACATGCCCAGCTAATTTTTGTATTTTTTAGTAAAGACGGGGTTTTGCTATGTTGGTCAGGCTGGTCTTGAACTCCCGACCTCAGGTGATCCACCTTCCTTGGCCTCCCAAAGTGCTGGGATTACAGGCATGAGCCACCATGCCTGGCCCAAGCCCTTCTTTTTATAAAGACAAAGAGTGGACCTCCCACCCAGGCCACCTAGCCAGCCACCCGGAGCTGGACATGACCAGCAGCAGGATGACCGGGCCCCCTCGGGGTGGCCAGAGGTTCCCCAGGTCTAGAGGCTGTGAGTGTCACAGACATATTATTCCCTATTGCAAATGGAACTAGATTGTTGTCTAATCATAGGTAATTACCATGAACAACAACAAAACAACTCCAAATAATACAAGTGTGGCAGGGGGAATCAAAGCTCTGGTGGTCTCACACCCCAAATTGCACCCCTGCTAATAGTATAGCACATTATCTTCCAGAATCCACCACAATGGCCAGACTTCTGCTCACTGGCACCTGAGCCTCTGTAGCCAAGCTGAAATAAGATCTAAATCAATATCGCCCTCTGGGTAATATGGCTGATTGGGAAGCATGTTTTTCTTTATCTTACAAACATGTACTGACCACACCCCCCTCCACTTGCTGGGCATGGGGCACATAGGGTGTGGCCCAGGCCTTGGGAGCTCCACCAGCCATGGGCAGGCATCTGTGGTGAGGTTACAGTTTCATTAGGTGACACTTCCCTTCTGTGCACACCAGTCTCCCAAATCAAAAAAGAAACAGAGTGGAGTTTAAGTTGGCCACTTTCAATCTTTTTTTGTAGTTTTAATTGCAGAAGGCCATTTTCAAATAAAATTTTACATGGATGCATGATACTGCTGAGCAGATACAAATGGGGTTGCTCTGGTTGAAGATGGGAGGGTGTGGGATTTAGGTCGCCCCCCAACCCTGTCCCACTTTCCCCTGAGCTTTAAGGAGCTCAGTAGGAAAGCTCTGGCTAGAAGTGTGCCCCTCTCCAAGCCTCTTTCTACCCTGACCTTCTGTGACTGTAGCCACACTTATCTGATTACACAGTCCACAACTCTAAGATGTGACTTTGGTTGCTTGGCCCATGTGACAACATCTGGATTAACCTACTGATACATATTTTTGAAATGGAATCTCACTATGTCACCCAGGTTTGCCTTGAACTCCTAGGCTCAAGAAATCCTCCTGCCTCCCGAGGATCTGGGACTACAGACATGTGCCACCATGCCCTGCTAATTTTTTATTTTTTGTAGAGATGAGGGCTTGCTATGTTGCCCAGGCTGGTCTTGAACTCCTGAACTCAAGTGATCCTCCAGCCTCCCAAGTGGCTGGGACTATAGGTATATGCCATGGTGCTTGGCTACTGATTGATTTTTTAAATTATTATTATTATTTTTTATTTGGACTCTCACTCTGCCACCCAGGCTAGAGTGCAGAAGCACGATCTCAGCTCACTGCAGCCTCTGGCTCCCAGTTCAAGTGATTCTCCTGCCTCAGCCTCCCAAGTAGCTGAGATTACAGGCACACACCACCATGCCCAGCTAATTTTTATATTTTTAGTAGACAGGGTTTGGCCATGTTGGCCAGGTTGGTCTTGAACTCCTGACCTCAAGTGATCCACCCACCTTGGCCCCAACTGATATTTTTAAAAGATGCAGACGTCACAGAAATAAAAATCCAATACATAGGCTAGATGGCTATGAATTCTAGCAGAAGTTGGTCAACAAAACAGAGAAACACACGTCTGCCATGAGCCCTGGTTTCTCTTGCACACATTTTAGCTGGTGTCCCAGAACCCATCTGCTATGCTGCCCATGATGGTGGTAGTGCAGGGGGACCTACAAAGCTTCGTTTCAAACACTGCTTGTGTTTTGACAGCCTTTTTCTTTTGTACGGTGTTTTTAAAGAAGTGAAACTAGAAGTACTGGGTCTCATAAGCCGCCTGAGGGAAGGGTTTCCCTTCTGAACCTGTGGGTCGGGGGCTAGGGAGAGATGCTGCCTCAGTAGCAGCCCCTGGCTGACCTGACAAGACTTCTGTGTCTATGGGCGCTGGTTCAAATCCCAGGGTAGGTTTAAAAAGCATTTACGAGGCTCCGTAAAGATGCAGAAATACATACTCGAGAGGAAAAGAGAATTTCAGAACTCTCCTGTGGCTTTTATCTTATCAGACTACAACTGGCCAACATCTGCCACTGCACTTTACCCCCAGGGATTTGAGCGGCGCTGTGAGGTGCAGATGCAAAGGGCTCAGAGCCAGGGGAGAATCACAGAAGACACATAGCCCAGTGGTCCTCCCTGACCATGGAAGGGGATGTAGGAGAATCCTGGGCTCATAGAACTGACATTTAGCAGCCACTGTAGGTTTTGGTCTTGTCTCACAAGTGTTTTCCCCATTTACCTCAGGTACTTTTTTGTTTTAAAGAGTTGGAGTCTGGGTCGGGCGCAGTGGCTCATGCCTGCAATCCCAGCACTTTGGGAGGCCAAGGTGAGTGCGTCACTTGAGGTCAGGAGTTCATGACCAGCCTGGCCAACATGGTGAAACCCCGTCTCTACTAAAAATACAGACATTAGCCAGGCGTGGTGGTGGGCACTTGTAATCCAAGCTACTCCAGAGGGTGAGGCAGGAGAATTGCTTGAACCTGGGAGAAGGAGGTTGCAGTGAACCTGGATCTCACCACTGCACTCCACCTGGGGGATGAGCGAGATTCCATCTCCAAAAAAAGAGATGGAGATGGGGTCTGGCTCTGTTGCCCAGGCTGGAATGCAGTGGCACAATCATAGCTCACTACTGCCTTCAACTCCTGGGCTCAAGCAATCCTCTCGCCTCAGCTTCCTGAGTAGCTTCCTCTACAGGGACTACCATGCCCTGCTAATTTAAACATTTTTTTTGTTTTGTTTTTTAGAGATGGGGTCTTACCATGTCATCCAGGCTGGTCTCAAACTCGTGGGCTCAAGCGATCCTCTTGCCTCTGCCTCTCAAGTAGCTGGGATTACAGGTGTGAGCCATTGCACCCGCCCATTGCCTGTCATTTGCATGCAGATGCTATTCTAACATGAAACCTTTTACTCAAATATTTATCTACAATGGAGTCTCTCCGGAGTCAAGCCATGTCTCCACCGTGGTGAGGCCATCAATTCATTTAAAGTGGTTTCCCAGAGCAAAAGCTGCACCTATGTGCAAGTGATGCCCACACTGAGTGTGTATGGACAGACTTCAGGTGTCTTCTATCAGGTGGGTTCCTGCTCCAGGCCCACCTTGTCCATGAGGCTAACAGGGGTGACCTTAGCATGTGCCCACCCCTCTGTACACCTAGAATCCAAGGGGTGGGATGGACAGGTGTAGGAGCAGGAAACAAGTGTGTGGTCCAGCTGGAGGAGACGGTCTTGGGGTCAGAACATCTGTACCGCCTTCAGAATTCTCCCCAACTCCCTGCAAAAGTCCCGGTGAGAACCTCACCAGTCTCAGCTTCCATCCAATGTCAGGGCTGAGCTCTCCACCTCCGTGGTGACTTCGAGCTCTTAAATGCCAGGACCTTAGGTTAAAATTCACACCAGATCACAGTGAAGCAGAGGAACGTTCCACTTGGGTTTGAATTTGGGCTCTGGGACCTTCCATGGGGGCTTAGAGACTTTCCTAACATTTTCCATCTGTGAAATCCAGGGATTATTAAGCTACCCCAGCGGGATGCTAGAGGCTGAGCTGAAATCATAGCTGACCAGTGCTGCCTACTGAGCCTCAGCACATGGTCAGGCATGCCTGCTATTTTGATTGCTAGCACTGGTCAGTGCAGACAACGTCCCAGGCGAGGTGCCAGTGGGGACACATGGAACCAGATACCACCAGAGCTCTCTGGTTCTGCAGTCATGTGGAAGATGGAGGCCTGCACGCTACATAGTTGGGCAGGACGAGGTGACACCAGTGCTGCGAAAACAGGAAGGAAGGGGGCTGAGGGCTGGGAAGTTTCTTGGAGAGGCAGGCCCCTTAGCCGAGCCTTGGAGGATGAGCAGAATATGATGGAATGAGGAAGCCTTGCTTCCCGTAGGGGGTTTGAGTGTCCTTCCCCCACAGTTTTATTATTATTTTTTCTTTTTTTGAGACAGAATCTCACCCTGTCTCCCAGGCTGGAATGGCGCAATTATAGCTCACTGCAGCCTCAACCTCCAGGACTCAAGCAATCCTCGCCTTTGCCTTCCGAGTAGCTGGGACCACAGGTGCACGCTACCACACTTGGCTAAATTTTATTTTTTACAGAGATGGAATCTCATTATGCTGCCGAGGCTGGCTCGAACTCCTGGCCTCAGGCAATCCTCCTGCCTCCAAGTTGGCGTGCAGTGGTATGATCTTGACTCACTACAGTCTCTGCCTCCTAGGCTCAAGTGATCCTCTCACCTCAGCCTCCCTAGTAGGAGGGACAACAGGTGTGTGCGACCACATCTGGCTAACCATCTCTATCAAAAAAAAAAAAAAATAGCGGCGCAGCACAGTGGTTCACACCTGTAATCTCAGCACTTTGGGAGGCTGAGGCAGGAGGATAACCTGAGGTCAGGAGTTCCAGACTAGCCTAGACAACATGGTGAAACTCCGTCTCCAATAAAAATACAAAAATTAGACGTCTGTGGTGGTAGGCACCGGTAGTCGCAGCTACTCGGGAGGCTGAGGCAGGAGAATCGCTTGAACCCAGGAGGTGGAGGTTGCAGTGATCGGAGATCATGCCACTGCACTGCAGCCTGGGTGACAAGAGTGAGACTTTCTCTCAAAAAAAAAAAAAAAAGCCCTAAACTAGGAGTCATAAGGCCTGAGAGCAGGCCTGTTAGTCATCAGCTCTGGGCAAATCACCTGTCTTTGCCTGTATTGATTCATCCACCATCCCCAAAAGCACAGAGGAAGATGGGGGAAAGTGTAAACCTTGTGGCAGCTCGCCGGCGCATGCGCGCTCCAGGAAGACCCAGCAGCCCCGCCTCGAGTTCCAATTGGCTGCGCGTGGCGGTCGGTCCGATGTGACGCCATAGGGGCGCGCCCTCGGTGACGTGTTAGGGCGCGACTTCGGTGACGCCTTAGGGCGCGACTTCGGTGACGTCTCAGAGGCGCGCCTTCGACAACGTCATACACGCTGGCCTTCCGCGACGCCACAGACGCGCGCTTTCAGCGACGTCACAGGGGCGGTATAGTACCTGGAGCTGGTCAGTCTCCTCAGAGTCGAGCCTGGTAACCGCGACCTCCTCTCCAGGTCCTGTGTATTCCTGGCTGGAGAAGGGTAGTTGACAAACTCCCACCCAGCACAGTGTGTATGTCCGTCAAAAATAGGAAACTGTGTCCGGTGGCGGCGGACGCGAGAGGATCCTTTCGGGCCAAGAGCAGCCTGTTAACCTGGCGCGACCCCATCTCTTTAGTCCCACCTCAGCTTCCCAGCTACTTGAACCCCGCAAGGTTCAAGGCTCCAATGAGCTATGATCCCACCACAACACTCCAGTCTGCGAGACTGAGGTAACCCCTGTCTAAAAAAGTAAAAAAGGAAACTATCCAAGTGTGCAACAGGGAGGGACTGCTTAAAGAAAACATGAGGCTAGTTGGGCCCACTTATCCCAGCACTTTGGGAGGCCGAGGCAGGAGGATGGCTTGGGCTCCGGCGTTCGAGACCAGCCTGGGCAACATGACAAAACCCCGTCTCTACAAAAGGTACAAAAATTAGCTGGGGGCGGTGCACACCTGGCCTGATTTTTGTATTTTTTTGTAGCGATGGGGGTCTCGCTGTGTTGCCCAGGCCAGTCTCAAACTCCGGGTTACTGATATTCTCACCTTGGCCTTTAGACTTGTAGGGATTACAGGCGTGAGCCACTGTGCCCTGCCTGGGTTATGCTATTTAATAGAATAAGAACGTGTTCGGCCTGGCGTGGTGGCTCACGCCTGTAATCCCAGCACTTTGGGAAGCCGAGGTGGGTGGATCAGCTGAGGTCAGGAGCTCGAGACCAGCCTGACCAACATGGAGAAACCCTGACTCTACTAAAAATGCAAAATTAGCCAGGTGTGGTGGTGCATGCCTGTAATCCCAGCTACTTGGGCCTGGTAATTGAACCCCTCAGACCTGAGGATGAGAAAGCTTGCCTCAGTTCTTCCCCAGGTGATCAGCCCAGGGGTAAGGAAGAAGAGGCCGGAAAAGAGAACCCATGAGAAGGGCCCCCTCCTGGAGTTTGAGGCCCACTCCCTCCTGCCCCGGCCTCTCCTCTGTCCCACTCCCTGCTCTGCCCCACTCCTGTAGCCATGGCAATGGGGGGCTGCATTTGAGTACAGGCCCCAGCAGCAGCCCTAAGCCAAAAGTGGGCAGGCTCACCTGCAGGGGATCAGAGTAACATGGCAGGAAGTAAGGGTGAAAGCTGCCCTGGAACCGTGCCTCTCTGCCCCATCACATCACTCGGGTGCACTCCTCCCTCACCTCACTCAGGCAGCAGCATCATGAGTTCAATGGGAGTGATGTCCTGCTCCCACTGCTGCCTCTTTTTAGTCTTGGGCTACCATAACACTTTCCCTTCCCCAGCCCTGCCAACCTGGTGGGCCATTGGGCTTCCCTCTCCCAGGGTCCTGGGGACAGACCTGTCCTGTATCATACTCACAGAGAGACCCTTTTTTTCCCCAGGGCTTGAGGATCAGCCAGGTTTAATGAGTTAAATGGAGATCTGAATCATATCAAGCTGAGATTGGGGTACACACTCTCCTCTACTGAAAAGTAGTGAGGGATTCCAACTTCGTGAGAGGGAGAGTGGGGCAGAACCAGGTGGGGTTTTTGTTGTTGTTGTTGAGATAGAGCCTCACTCTGTCACCTAGGCTGGGGTGCAGTGGCACAATCTTGGCTCACTGCAAACTCCGCCCCACCCTGGGTTCAAACAGTTCCCATGTCTCAGCCTCCTGAGTAGCTGAGATTATAGGCATGTGCCACCACCCCCAGCTAATTTTTGTATTTTTTTTAGAGACGGGGTTTTACCATGTTGGCAAGGCTGGTCTCCAATTCCTGACCTCAAGTGATCCACCCACCTGGGCCTCACAAAGTGCTGGGATTACGGGCATGAGCCACCATGCCCAGCCCCTTCAAGTGGGTGTTGAGGCTTCAGTACAATACTAGTTTCCGTGGCTACTGCAACAAATTACCACACAGTAACTGTCAGTGCTTTTTATAAGGTGAAACAGATTATCTTGTGGGGCTTTTGTTGTGATGGTGATTTGTTAGATTAGTTTAAAGACAGTAATGTGCAGGTGTTGAAAATTATAAAAACAATCTTCACATTTCATATTTTTTTTGAGACAAAGTTTTGCACTTGTTCAGGCTGGAGTTGCAATCTCAGCTCACCACAACGTCCGCCTCCCAGATTCAAGAGATTCTCCTGCCTCAGCCTCCCAAGTTGCTGGGACTACAGGGGTGCGTCCCACGCCCAGGTAATTTTTGTACTTCAGTAGAGATGGGGTTTCACCATGTTGGCCAGGATGGTCTTAATCTCTTGACGTTGTGATCTGCCTGCCTCGGACTCCCAAAGTGCTGGGATTACAGGTGTGAGCCACCCCTCAGCCCACATTTTATAACTTTAAAGCAGTATTAATGGTAATTGCCTTAGGGAAAGATACTTTTGTTGTGATATATAAGTATTATATTCAAGTATATTGTACAGCAAAGGATGTTAAACCTAAGTCAGCCTTAATGTATTATATGGTACACTTAAAACTTTAGTACAAATATTCGTGTTTAGCAAATTGACCTTAACACATAATGATAGCAAAAAAAATGGAGCTATTCTGATGATAGACCATTGGTTATGTCTGAATTTAATACTCTCCATGCTCTTGACTGTTTCATTTTTTTCATTGAAACAGAGTCTTGCTCTGTCACCCAGGCTGGAGTGCAGTGGTGCAATCATAGCTCACTGCAGCCTTCACCACTCAGGTTCAAGTGATCCTCCCATCACAGCCTCCCTAGTAGCTGGGACTACAAGTGATTACCACCATGCGTGGCTAATTTTTGTATTTTTAGTAGAGATGGGGTTTTACCATGTTGGCCAGGCTGGTCTCAAACTCCTGACCTCAGGTGATTCACCTGCCTCGGCCTCCCAAAGTGTTTGGGTTACAGGCATGAGCCACTGCGCCTGGGTGCCTCTTGACTTTTTATAGCTGTTATATTATTTTAATTTTAAGTAAATGTTAGCTGAAATGATACAGTTCAGGAGAATCTTCTTCTGTTACTGAAAAAAATCATATTTATAAGTCTAATAAGGTTATACACTAATGTATATGTTTGGAAAATATTACCTTTTCTGGCCAGGCATGGTGGCTCATGCCTGTAATCCCAGCACTTTGGGAGGCTGAGGTGGACGGAGCTCCTGAGGTCAGGAGTTCAGGACCAGCCTGACCAATACGATGAAACCCCGTCTCTACAAAAATACATAAATTAGGAAGGCATGGTGTCAGGTGCCTATAGTCCCAGCTAGTCGGGAGGCTGAGACAGGAGAATTGCTTGGACCTGGCAGGTCGAGGTTGCAGTGAGCCAAGATCCTGCCACTGCATTCCATCCTGGGTGACAGGGTGAGGCTCCATCTCAAAAAAAAAAAAAAATTAAAAGAAAATATTACCTCTTCCATTTAGTGCTATATGTATTAAATAATATTAGCTGGTATGTTTTTCTGGCTTTATAATGTGGTTCAGATTTCTGTAGAAATTCTGGCTGTATCTACATTGCCTTAAAGTAATGGGATATTTCTTTTGTTTTTTTTCTTCAGCTGGAGTTTTGCTCTTGTTGCCCATGCTGGAGTGCAATGGTGTGATCCTGGCTCACTGCAATCTCTGCCTCCCAGGTTCCAGCGATTCTCCTAGCTCAGCCTCCTGAGTAGCTGGGATGACAGGCACCTGCCACAACACCTGGCTAATTTTTGTATGTTTAGTAGAGACAGGGTTTCACCATATTGGCCAGGCTGGTCTTGAACTCCTGACTTCATGATCTGTCTGCCTCAGCCTTCCAAAGTGTTGGGATTACAGGAGTGAGCCACTGCACCTGGCACCTGTGACCAATATTATTTCTAAGATCTAGAATGCATTTATTACTGAAACAATGCTGACATACACTGCACCTAAAAAGGAAGAACTAGACATTCATTAAAGCTAGGAAAAAGCAGAATTCAGTGTGCTCAAGAACTGCTCCCATGGACAGGTACAATGGCTCATGCCTGTACTCCCAGCACTTTGGGAGGCTGAGGCGGGAGTATTCCTTGAGGCTGAGTTCAAGATCAGCCTGGGCAACACAGCAAGACCCCATATCTTTTTTATTTTTTAGACATGGTCTCACCTTGTCATCCAGGTTGGCGTGCAGTGGTATGATCTTGACTCACTACAGTCTGCAGGCCTCCTAGGCTCAAGTGATCCTCCCACCTCAGCCTCCCTAGTAGGAGGGACAACAGGTATGTGTCACCACATCTTGCTAACCATCTCTATTAAAAAAAAAAGTGGCCCAGCACAGTGGTTCACACCTGTAATCCCAGCACTTTCGGAGGCTGAGGTGGGAGGACCGCCTGAGGTCGAGAGTTTGAGACTAGCCTGGCTAACATGGTAAAACCCCGTCTCCAGTAAAAATACAAAAATTAGATGTGTGTGGTGGCAGGCGCCTGTAGTCCCAGCTACTCGGGAGGCTGAGGCAGGAGAATCACTTGAACACAGGAGGTGGAGGTTGCATGAGCCGAGATCGTGCCACCGCACTGCAGCCTCGGCAACAGAGTAAGACTTTCTCTCCAAAAATGACTAAACTAGGAGTCACACAGCCTGAGAGCAGGCTTCTACTGATCAGCTCTGGGCAAATCACCTATCTGTGCCTGTATTTATTCATCCACAATCCCCAAAAGCTCAGAGGAAGTTGAGGGAAAGTGTAAATCTCTAGATAAGGGCAGGACATGTCTGCTGCAGCCTTGAATCTGGGACTCCCCATGGGGTGAGGGGCCCCCTGAGGCCATCTGTCCTTTTCACTCCCAGGGGCATTAGCAGTATGGTCAGGTGCTGCATCCACAAGCCCACGAGCCAGGAGCCTGCTGTGAAGGTCATCGACGTCACCAGTGGAAGCAGCTTCACCCCCGAGGAGGTGCAGGAGCTGCAAGAAGCCACACTGAAGGAGGTTGACATCCTGCACAAGGTCTAAGGGCACCCCAGCATCAGTGAGTGAGGGCCCCAAGCTCCACGGTGGGGTGACCCCTGTGATTCTGCCCTGACATGACAGCCCAAGCCAGGGAATGTGGCCCCACCACACAGCCAGTTAGAACCACCCAGGCTCAAGGCTCCCAGCTGTAGCCTCACTGCTTTGACAGAAGGGGTCCCAGGCAGGGATGGTTGCAGGTGAGGGGATGGGGGTTTGATGTCCCTGGGCTGAATGAGCCAGGCGTGCTGGTGCATGCCTGTAATCCCAGCCACTCAGAAGGCTGAGGCAGGAGCATCACTGGAGCCCAGTAGTTTGAGGCTGCAGTGAGCTATGATTGCACTATTGCACTCCAGTGTGGGTGAGACCGTGAGACCTTGTCTCTAAAAATAATAACAATAATAATAATAAAGTTGCTTGAGGCTGAGTTCAAGATCAGCCTGGGCAACATAGCGAGACCCCATATCTTTTTTATTTTTTAGACACGGTCTCACCCTGTCATCCATGTCAGCATGCAGTGGTATGATCTTGACTCACTACACTCTCTGCCTCCTAGGCTCAAGTGATCTTCCCACCTCAGCCTCCCTAGTAGGAGGGACAACAGGTGTGTGCCACCACATCTTGCTAACCATCTCTACTAAAAAAAAAAAAAGTGGCCAAGCACAGTGGCTCACACCTGTAATCCTGGGCCTGCCCACACCCCGGGTTGACATCCTTTGAGCACCCTCCTGATTCCCGTGTCAGCTTTTGAAGTTAGCTGACAGCAGCCTCGGTCCCTGACCCCCGTGCCCCAGCTGCCCCTGCCCGGGCTCCCCTGCCACTTGAGATGAGCTAGCCATTTCCATTTCAGTACAGCTGAGGGACACTTATGAGACCAACAGTTTCTTCTTCCTGGGAGACTGAGGTGGGCAGATCACCTGAGGTCAGGAGTTCAACACCAGCCTGGCCAACATGGTGAAACCCTGTCTTTACTAAAAATACAAAAAATTAGCTGGGCATGGTTGCAGGCGCCTATAATTCCAGCTACTTGGGAGACTGAGGCAGGAGAATCGCTTGAACCTGGGAGGTGGAGGTTGCAGAGAGCCGAGATTGCACCACTGCACTCAAGCCTGGGGCATACTTTAGTCCCAGCTACTCGGGAGGGTAGTGTGTGAGGATAGCTTGAGCCCAGGAGGTTGAGGCAGCAGTAGCGGCAGTAAGCTATGATTGTTGCACTGCACTGCAGCCTGGGTAACAGAGCAAGACCCCGATCTCTACAAAGAAGCCTTTTTTTTTTTTTATGAGCTGGAGTCTTGCCATGTCTCCCAGGTTGGAGTGCAGTGACGCGATCTCCGCTCACTGCAACCTCTGCCTTCCAGGTTCAAGCAAATCTGCCTCAGCCTCTGAAGCAGCTGGGACTACAAGCATGTGCCAGCCACCATGTCCAGCTAATTTTTGTATTTTTAGTAGAGATAGGGTTTCACCATGTTGGCCAGGCTGGGCTCAAAATCCTGGCCTCAAGTGATCTGTCTGCCTCAGCCTCCCACAGTGCTGGGATTATAGGTGTGAGGCACCACGCCTGGCCTCAATTCACAAACGTTTATTTGGAACATTCACTGTAGGCCAGTGTGGTGCCAGGAGATGTAAGGGTGAGTGAGAAACAGTTCCAGGCCCCAAGAACAACCCCTGGGTCAGGAGGGCTGACAGCTTCTTTGTGTTCCACTCTCAGAGCCACCCAGAGTTCCCTTGCTGAGGATCTGAGCATGACCCGGGATGAGGCACTGCCGGACTCTCATTCCGCACAGGACTTCCATGACAATTATTAGCCCAACGAGATCCTGGGCAGGTAAGGCCCAAGCTTTCCCCATGAAGTGCTGTCCTAGGCTCTAGCAGGCCCTGTAGGCTATAGCCACCTCTGCAGCACACCAAGTACTGACCCCACTTTCATTCCCAAAGTGCTGTCCACTTGAAGAAACCCTTGGTTTGGGGTCCTGCCCTCCTGAAGCCAGGACAGATAAGAGAAACCACTCCCAGCAAAAAGTTCCCAGGGGTAGGTGCAACGGCTCATGCCGGTACTCCCAGCACTTTGGGAGGCTGAGGCAGGAGGATTGCTTGAGGCTGAGTTCAAGATCAGCCTAGGCAACATAGCAAGACCCCATATCTTTTCTATTTTTTAAACAGGGTCTCACCCTGTCATCCAGGTTGACATGCATTGGTATGATCTTGACTCACTACAGTCTCTGCCTCCTAGGCTCAAGTGATCCTCCCACCTCAGCCTCCCTAGTAGGAGGGACAACAGGTTTGTGCCACCACATCTGGCTAAACATCTCTATTTTGAAAAAAAAAAAAAAAAAAGCAGCCAAGCACAGTGGCTCACACCTGTAATCCCAGCACTTGGGAGGCTGAGGCAGGAGGACCACCTGAGGTCAAGAGTTTGAGACCAGCCTGGCTAACATAGTGAAACCCCATCTCCAATAAAAATACAAAAATTAGATATCTGTGATGGCAGGCACCTGTAGCCCCAGCTATTTGGGAGGCTGAGGCAGTAGAATCACTTGAACCCAGGAGGTGGAGGTTGCAGTGAGCCGAGATTGTGAGACTTTCTCTCCAAAAAAAAAAAAAAGAGTACTAATCTAGGAGTCACACGGCCTGAGAGCAGGCTTGTTACTCATCAGCTCTGGGTAGATCACCTGTCTGTGCCTCTATTTATTCATCCATCATCCCCAAAGCTCAGAGGACGATGGGGTAAATCGTAATTCTTGTGGCCGCTGGCCCATGTATGCGCACTCCAGGAAGACCCAGAAGCCCCGCCTTCACTTCCGATTGGCTGCGTATGAGAGTCGGTCCTCTGTGACGCCATAGGGGCGCGCCTTCATTGACGTCTCAGAGGCGCCCATTCGAAAAGTCCTATGAGCTGGTCTTTCGCGACGTCACAGGGGCGGTATAGTGCCTGGAGATGGTCAGTCTTCTGACAGTGGAGCCTGGTAACCGCCACCTCCTCTCCAGGTCCTCTGTATTGCTGGCTGCAGAAAGGTAGTTGATAAACTCCCACCCAGCACAGTGTGTATGTCCATCAAAAATAGGAAACTGTGTCCGGTGGCGGCCGAGGCCGGAGGATCCTTTCAGGCCAAGAGCAGCCTGTTAACCTGGCGCGACCCCATCTCTTTAGTCTCACCTCAGCTTCCCAGCTACTTGAACTCCCAAGGTTCAAGGCTCCAATGAGCTGTGATCCCACCACAGCACTCCAGCCTTCGAGACTGAGGTAACCCCTGTCTAAAAAAGTAAAAAAGGAAACTACCCAAGTGTGCAACAGGGAGGGACTGCTTAAGGAAAACATGAGGCTGGTTGGGCCCAGTTATCCCAGCACTTTGGGAGGCCGAGGCGGGAGGATGGCTTGGGCTCGGGAGTTCGAGACCCGCCTGGGCAGCAGGATGAAACCCCGTCCCTACAAAAGGTACAAAAATTAGCTGGGCGTGGTGCATGCCTAGCCTAATTTTTGTATTTTTTGTAGAGATGGGGGTCTTGCTATGTTGCCCAGGCCGGTTTCAAACTCCTGGGTTCACTGATATTCTCACTTTGGCCTTCAGACTTGTAGGGATTACAGGCATGAGCCACCGTGCCCTACCTGGGTTATGCTATTTAATAAAGTAAGAAAGTGTTTGGCCCTGCATGGTGGCTCACGCCTGTAATCTCAGCACTGTGGGAGGCCGAGGTGGGTGGATCACCTGAGGTCAGGAGTTCGAGACTAGCCTGGCCAACATGGAGAAACTCAGTCTCTACAAAAAATAACAAAAATTAGCCGGGTGTGGTGGCACATGCCTGTAGTCCCAGGTGCTCGGGAGGCTGATACTGGAGAATCACTTGAACTGGGAAGTGGAGGTTGCCGTGAGCCGAGATCACACCAAGCACCCCAGCCTGGGTGACACATCGAGACTCTAAAGTTTGAGACCAGCCCAGGCAATGTAGTGAAACCCTTTCTGTACAAAAAACAAAACAAAACAAAACAAAAAGCCGTGTGTAACTGTTCACCTGTGGCCGCAGCTACTTAGGAGGCTAAGGCAGGAGGATCACTTGCGGCCAGGAGCTCAAGGCTGCAGTGAGCTATAATCATCCTGCTGCTCTCCATCCTGAGCAATAGAATGAAACCATTTCTCTAGATAGATAGCTAGCTAGATAATTGATACGTAGTTTTCTTTTCTTTTCTTTTTTTTTTTTTTTTTGAGACAGAGTCTTGTCCTGTCACATAGGATGGGATGCAGTCGTGCGATCTTGGCTCACCTGCTCACTGCAACCTCTGCCTTCTGGGTTCAAGCAATTCTCCTGCCTGTCTGAGTAGCCGGGAATTACAGGCACACGCCACCATGCCTGGCTAATTTTTTATATTTTTAGTAGAGATGGGGTTTCACTGTGTTGGTCAGGCTGGTCTTGAACTCCTGACCTCATCATCCACCCGCCTCAGCCTCCCAAAGTGCTGGGATTACAGGCGTGAGCCACGGCGCCCAGCTGATTATGTAGTTTTCTATCAAATTTTTTTTCCTAGATTTGAACATGTTTTTCTAAAGTAGCATTCAACACATCAGCATTTTACAGTGTTATTAGTTGTTAATATGATTTTGTTTTTCTGAAATACAGTATCCTTTACAAAAAGTTTTGTCTTTCAAAGCACATAGATAGGTCCTCAAATGAATTTGTCTGATGTTGATTACCTTGGTACCATTTTGTCCACTTGATTGAAACAGTTAGTTGGTAATTTCAGGTCACTATTGGCCTTAGAGGAAGAGCCCAAAGGCAACAAGCAAGGGCACTGGTGTCCAGTTGCCTTCTAGAAGCATTTTCACCTTCCCTTAAGGTTTCCCTTGATGAATATAGAAGTACTGTATGTAGAATTGACCCAGTGCTGCCCTGGTAACTTTGTAGATTAGGCCAAATTTACATTTCTTACCTTTATGAGAGGCACCCTGGTAGACTAGTGGAGTTACACACAAAGTCTGATCTCAGCTGCACCGTCCAGAAATGCAACATGGTCGAATTGAATAACATTCTCTGAGCCAGTTTCTTTAGCTGTAAAATAAGAATAACAAGTATACTCATCTAAAAAGACAGCTTATTGTATCTGAGTGGTCTTCTATTTTCTACGAAACTGTCTTTAACACAGTAATTATTTTCATTGCCATACCACATTTTTTGTTTTATTTATTTATTTTGAGATGGAATCTGGTTTTGTTTTTGTTTTTGTTTGTGACGGAGTCTCACTGTTGTCACTTAGGCTGGAGTGCAGTGGCATGATCTCGGCTCATTGCAACCACTGCCTCCCAGGTTCAGGTGATTCTCCTGTCTCAGCCTCCTGAGATGCTGGGATTACAGGTGGCCACCATCACACCTGGCTAATTTATTTATTTATTTATTTATTTTAGTAGAGATGGGATTACATCATGTTGCCCAGGCTGGTCTCAAACTCCTGACCTCAAGTGATCCACCCACCTCGGCCTCCCAAAGTGCTGGGATTATAGGCATGAGCCACCGAGCCCAGCTCATTTTTAGAAAAGGATTGCTTGGCCAGTCTCAGTGGCTCGCACCTGTAATCCCAGCACTTTGGAAGGCAGAGGTGGGTGGATCAGCTGAGGTCAGGAGCTCGAGACCAGCCTGACCAACATGGAGAAACCCTGACTCTACTAAAAATGCAAAATTAGCCAGGTGTGGTGGTGCATGCCTGTAATCCCAGCTAGTTGGGCCCAGTAATTGAACCCCTCAGACCTGAGGATGAGAAAGCTTGCCTCAGTTCTTCCCCAGGTGATCAGCCCAGGGGTAAGGAAGAAGAGGCCGGAAAAGAGGACCTATGAGAAGGGCCCCCTCCTGGAGTTTGAGGCCCACTCCCTCCTGCCCCAGCCTCTCCTCTGTCTAGGACTCCTCCCTGCTCTGCCCCACTCATGGAGCCATGGCCATGGGGGGGCTGCGTTTGAGTACAGGCCCCAGCAGCAGCCCTAAGCCAAAAGTGGGCAGGCTCACCTGCAGGGGATCAGAGTAACATGGCAGGAAGTAAGGGTGAAAGCCGCCCTGGAACCGTGCCTCTCTGCCCCCTCATGTCACTCGGGTGCACTCCTCCCTCACCTCACTTAGGCAGCGGCATGAGTTCAATGGGAGTGATGTCCTGCTCCCTCTGCTGCCTCTTTTTCGTCTTGGGGCTACCATAACACTTTCCCTTCCCCAGCCCTGCCAACCTGGTGGGCCATTGGGCTTCCCTCTCCCAGGGTCCTGGGGACAGACCTGTCCTGTATCATACTCACAGAGAGACCCTTTTTTTTCTCCAGGGCTTGAGGATCAGCCAGATTTCATGAGTTAAATGCAGATCTGAATCATACCAAGCTGAGATTGGGGTACACACTCTCCTCTACTGAAAAGTAGTGACGGATTCCAACTTGGTGAGAGGGAGGGTGGGGCAGAACCAGACCAGACAAGGAGTGGTCACCTGGAAAAAGCCTGCCATCAAAGGCCTTGGTGAGTGCTGGGTGCGGTGGCTCACTCCTCAGCAGTTTTGGAGGCTGAGATAGGTGGATCACTTGAGGTGAGGAGGTTGAGTCCAGCCTGGGCAACATGGCAAAACCCCATCTCTGCTACAAATACAAAAACCTGCTGGACATGCTGTGCTCCTGTAATCCCAGCTACTCGGGAGGCTGAGGCAGGAGAATTGCTTGAATTGGGGAGGCAGAGGTCGAAGTGAGCTGAGATTGTGCCACTGCATTGCAGTCTGGGAGACGGAGTGAAACTGTGTCCCTCCATCAGAAAAAAAAAAAAAAAAAGAAAATGGCCTTGGCAGAAGGACCGGCCTGGCAGTGCCTTCCCTTGAGTTTCTCCTGGGTAGGCCTCTGCCATGAGGAGGTGCTTCCTTCTTCCTCTCCATGGCCCACAGCAAAAGACTGTGTGCTTCTAAGGGGTTGGGTGGGGGACTATTGAAAGAACTGGAAACCTTCAGGTGGGGTTTTGTGTTGTTTTGTTTTGTTTTGTTTTCTTATTGTCGACATGGAGCCCCACTCTATCACCCAGGCTGGGGTGCAGTGGCACAATCTTGGCTCACTGCAACCTCCGCCCCACCCTGGGTTCAAACAGTTCCCATGTCTCAGCCTCCTATGTAGCTGAGATTATAGGCATGTGTTACCACCCCCAGCTAATTTTTGTAATTTTTAGAGACAAGGTTTCACCATGTTGGAAGGCTGGTCTTGAATTTCTGACCTCAAGTGATCCACCCACCTGAGCCTCACAAAGTGCTGGGATTACAGGCATGAGCCACCATGCCCAGCCCCTTCAGGTGGGTGTTGAGGCTTCAGTACAATACTAGTTTCCCGTGGCTACTGCAACAAATTACCACACACTAAATGTCAGTGCTTTTTATAAGGTGAAACAAATTATCTTGTGGGGCTTTTGTTGTGATGGTGATTTATTAGATTTTTTAGTTTAAAGACAGTAATGCTCAGGTGTTGTAAAATTATAAAAGCAATTCTCACATTTTATAAATTTTTTTTGAGACAAAGTTTCACACTTGTTGTTCAGGCTGGAGTTGCAATCTCAGCTCACCACAACCTCTGCCTCCTGGATTCAAGAAATTCTCCTGCCTCAGCCTCCCAAGTAGCTGGGACTACAGGGGTGCGTCACCACACCCAGGTAATTTTTGTACTTTAGTAGAGATGGGGTTTCACCATGTTGGCCAGGATGGTCTTAATCTCTTGACGTTGTGATCTGCCTGCCTTGGACTCCCAAAGTGCTGGGATTACAGGTGTGAGCCACCCCTCAGCCCACATTTTATAACTTTAAAGCAGTATTAATGGTAATTGCCTTAGGGAAAGATGCTTTTGTTGTGATATATTAGTAAGATATTCAGGTATATTGTACGGCAAAGGACATTAAACCTAAGTCAGCAATAATGTGTTATATGGTATACTTAAAACTTTAGTACAAATATTCGTGTTTAGCAAATTGACCTTAACACATAATGATAGCAAAAAAATGGAGCTGTTCTGATGATAGACCATTGGTTTTGTCTGAATTTAATACTCTCCATGCTCTTGACTTTTTCTTTTTTTTTCTTTGAAACAGAGTGTTGCTCTGTCACCCAGGCTGGAGTGCAGTGGTGTGATCATAGCTCACTGCAGCCTCCACCACTCAGGTTCAAGTGATCCTCCCGTCACAGCCTCCCTAGTAGCTGGGACTACAGATGATTACCACCATGCCTGGCTAATTTTTGTATTTTTAGTAGAGATGGGGTTTCAACATTTTGGCCAGGCTGGTCTCAAACTCCTGACCTAAGGTGATTCACCTGCCTTGGTCTCTCAAAGTATTTGGGTTACAGGCATGAGCCACTGTGCCTGGCTACCTCTTGACTTTCTATAGCTGTTCTGTTATTTTAATCTTAAGTAAATAAATGTTAGCTGAAATGATACAGTTCAGGAGAATCTTCTGCTTCTGTTACTAAAAAAAATCATATTTATAAGTCTAACAAGGTTACACTAATGTATATGTTTGGAAAATATTACCTTTTCCGCAAGGCATGGTGGCTCATGCCTGTAATCCCAGCACTTTGGGAGGCTGAGGTGGACGGAGCTCCTGAGGTCAGGAGTTCAGGACCAGCCTGACCAATACGATGAAACCCCGTCTCTACAAAAATACATAAATTAGGAAGGCATGGTGTCAGGTGCCTATAGTCCCAGCTAGTCGGGAGGCTGAGACAGGAGAATTGCTTGGACCCGAGAGGCGGAGGTTGCAGTGAGCCGAGATCCTGCCACTGCACTCCATCCTGGGTGATAGAGCGAGACTCCGTCTCAAAAAAAAAAAAAAAAAAAGTAAAAGAAAATATTACCTCTTCCATTTAGTGCTATATGTATTAAATAATATTAGCTGTATGTTTTTCTGGCTTTATAATGTGGTTCAGACTTCTGTTGAAATTCTGGCTGTATCTACATTGCCTTAGAGTAATGGGATATTTCTTTCTTTTTTTTTTTTTCTCAGCTGGAGTTTCACTGTTGTCGCCCATGCTGGAGTGCAATGGTGTGTCCTGGCTCACTGCAATCTCTGCCTCTCAGGTTCAAGTGATTCTCCTAGGTCAGCCTCCTGAGTAGCTGGGATGACAGGCACCTGCCACAATGCCTGGATAATTTTTGTATGCTTAGTAGAGACGGGGTTTCACCTTGTTGGCCAGGCTGGTCTTGAATTCCTGACTTCCTGATCTGTCTGCCTCAGCCTTCCAAAGTGTTGGATTACAGGCATGAGCCACCGTGACCAGCCTGTCTTTTTTTTTTTTCAAAGCCACCCTTGGTTATGAAATGTAAAATATGCACCAGTGAATATTACTTTGCTGAATATTGCCTAGTGAATATTAAGTATTTATTCTCACCTTTCAGACATGAACTTGCGAATTCAACATGTGAAGACTTACAACTTGATAAACCAGCTTCAGGTGGTAGGTCTTCAGTCTTAAGTCAGATTAGAAGATTATGTGAAATAATTATTTAATGCTTAACAATGATTTTTTTAATGGTCCTTTCACATGAAATAATATTCCTCTTACTTTTAATTATGTTCCAGGACAGGAGAATTCATGTTGTCAAAATTCTAATACTCTCTAGAAAAATAAACTCATTTTCTTTTTATTAACCCATTATAAATACATGTAAGTATTGCGTTTATGGGTAGACAGAACTAAAAGAACAATATTTGTCCTACTTTTCAGATACAACATTTGTCTGACATTATGCACTGAACAGTTTATTATTGAAGTCTACACTAGCCAACTGAACAAGCATTCATCAAATGTCCACGATACCCAGGACATAAGAAAGTTCCTTTTAGAGCATGGAGCCATGCATATCATCTCTTAATTGTTAGATGTGTTTTGAAAGAAGTAGAAATATAATTGATTTTCTGGTTTTGGCTCTAGAGTGGAGTGCAGACAAAAAAGAATGGAATCACACTGTTTAGATTTACTAAAATGGAAGGATTGCCAGCAAGATCATATCCCTAGTCTCCCCATAGCAAATGGCACCTGCTAGCTGTTTGCTGTTCTCTTTTTTTTTTTTTTTTTTTTTTTTGAGGTGGAGTTTTCCTCTGTTGCCCATACTGGAGTGCAGTGGTGTGATCTCAGCTCATGCAAGCTCTACCTCCTGGGTTCCAGCAATTCTGTCTGCCTCAGCCTCCCAAGTAGCTGGGATTACAGGCACCTGCCACCACGCCAGCCTAATTTTTTATTTGCAGTAGAGTTTGGGTTTCACCATGTTGGCCAGGCTGGTCTGGAACTCCTGACCTCAGGTGATCTGCCCACCTCAGCCTCCCAAAGTACTGGCATTACAGGCATGAGACAACCTGTCCTGCCTGCTAGTGGTTCTTGAGCACACTGAGTTCTGCTTTTTCCTAGCTTTAATGAATGTCTGGTTCTTCCTTTTTTTTGTGCAGTGTATGTCAGCATTGTTTCAGTAATAAATACATTCTGGATCTTAGAAATAATATTAGTTACAGGTGCCAGGTGCGGTGGCTCATGCTTGTAATCCCAGCACTTTGGGACGATGAGGCGGGTGGAGCACGAGGTCAGGAGATCAAGACCATCCTGGCTAACACGGTGAAACACTGTCTCTACTAAAAATACAAAAAATTAGCCGGGCGTGGTAGCGGGTGCCTGTAGTCCCAGCTACTCAGGAGGCTGAGGCTGGAGAATGGCATGAACCTGGGAGGCGGAGCTTGCAGTGAGCCGAGATCATGCCACTGCACTCCAGTGTGTGCTACAGAGCGAGACTCCATCTCAAAAAAAAAAAAATAGTCACAGGAAAGAAAAATACTGCCTATTTTATAATAATATTTAATAACCCAAGTTATTAAATTCATTAGATTGAGAAAACTTGTATTCCTGTGATTTTGATGGGGAAGGAAGTATGGTATGCCAGAATCACTGAATTGTGGAAAATGATGGATCAGCTTTTTTGCAAAAAAATTTGATAAGTCTGTTTTTTCCCCTTCAACTAAATTATATTACTGAGTAGTGTTTTTTATAATGTTGTTTTATTTAGGAAAGTAAATACAATGAGTGGGACTCAGCTTCAGTTTTCTCTTACTGTTCTGTTTTTGAGACAGAGTTTCGCTCATGTTATGCAGGCTGGAGTGCAGTGGTGCGGTCTCAGATCACTGAAACCTCCACCTCCCAGGTTCAAGCGATTGTCCTGCTTCAGCCTCCCAAGTCGGTGGGATTACTGGCACCTGCCACTATGTCCAGCTAATTTTTGTATTTTTAGTAGAGATGGGGTTTCACCATGTTGGTCAGGCTGGTCTCGAACTCCTGACCTCAGGTGATCCACCCACCTCAGCCTCCCAACATGCTTGGATTGTAGGCATGAACCACAATACCCAACCTCTCATACTGTGTTGCTGTTTTTTTTTTTTTTTTTGAGATGGAGTCCAGGCTGGAGTGCAGTGGTGTGATCTTGGCTCACTGCAACCTCTGCCTCCTGGGTTCAAGCGATTCTCCTTCCTCAGCCTCCTGAATAGCTGGGATCACAGGCATGTACCACCACACCCAACTAATTTTTTTTGTATTTCTTGTAGAGATGGGGTTTCACCTTGTTGGCCGGGCTAGTCTTAAACTCCTGACCTCAGGTGATCCACCCACCTTGGCCTCCCAGAGTGCTGAGATTATAGGTGAGAGCCACTGCACATGGCCAGGAGTGGATTAATTTTATGGTTCACCTTTTAGACCATACAGAACAACTTTCTGACATTGCCATGGCATTTGTAAACTGCCATGGAGTTGATGGGTGTATTGCAGTGAGGATGAGCAGAGGTCACTCTCGTCATTATCTTGGTTTTGGCTGGCTTTTTTACTGCAGCCCATTTTATCAGCAAGGTCCTTATGACCTGTATATTGTGCTGACCTCCCTCACCCTGTGACTTAGCCTTAACCATCTGGGAATGCAGCTCAGTAAGTCTTAGCCTCATTTTACCCAGCTCCTACTTAAGATCGAGTTGCTCTCTTTCAAATGCTTCTGACAGTATTGCTGCTTTCTTTAAGGTTCCTGAAAGAGAGAGAGGAAATCTTGGATTTTTCATGGCTGTGAACCACTGCAAGTATTGAGGAAATGTTTACTACTTTCAGCCTCATAATCCTGCAGTCATTTGGCACCTGTGAGTCAGGTGCAGGGGAACTGCCCCATACAGTCTGGAGCATTCAATCTGGTGGGGAAATGTGTAGTAAGTAGGAGATATTTACAGTGTAAGGTGTTAAGGTCTGGGGTAGAATTAAGTAGAATAAGGGGATGAGGAGGCAGAGGGTGTGATTGGGGCAGCCTTGATGATATGTGATGAGCACATTCTGCAGTTGGCCTCACCTCTTTCTAAAACTTCCACTTTTTTCACTCTCACCTTCAACAATTGGTTCTTTTTTATTTTATAGAAAATTTGTTAGAATTAGGTTTATATATTTTCTTGAATTAACAGAATAATTTAATTTAACATCACTCTCTAGTGTGACTAAAAGCCTCTAATCCTTTACTGTTTTTTGTTTATGGGCATATTTGTTTTTACAGCTATAATAATTATTTCATTTTGTGTGGTTTCTCAAAAACACATGTTTCTTATATCAAAGAGTCTCTATACTAGAGTCCTTCAGATTTGGTGCTAATAACATTAAGAATTTAAGACAGGTCTTGAGATGTTAGAGGAAAGCCAGTCTAAGAACACAGAAATTAATTGTTAATTTATTTTGAGTTGACATTTAAGTTGAGGTGTGGAGGTGGAGGAGACAGTTGGATAAATGAGTTTGGAAGTAAGGAGAAAGATCTGGGAATAGATACAATTTTGGATTTTATAGTTGCGTTTTCATAGCAATTGTTGTTATTGCCAAAATAATTCATCAGTGAGCTCCCTGACAGCTCCCCAACCTTTCTTTTTAAAGAAACAGGATTGGCAGGGTGTGGTGGCCCATGTCTGTAATCCCAGCATTTTGGAAGGCAGATCACCTGAGGTCGGGAGTTCAAGACCAGCCTGACCAGCATGGAGAAACCCCATCTCTACTAAAAATACAAAATTAGCTGGGTGTGGTGGTGTGTGACTGTAATCTCAGCTACTTGGGAGGCTGAGGCAGGAGAATAACTTGAACCCGGGAGACAGAGGTTGCAGTGAGCTGAGATCCCACCATTGCACTCCAGCCTGGGTAACAAGAGTCAAACTCCATCTCAAAAAAAAAACAAAAAAAACCAGGGTCTTGTTATGTTGTCTGGGCTGGACTAGAACTCCTGTGCTCAAGTTATCCTCCTGCCTCAGTCTCCTAAGTAGCTGGGGCTACAGGCACATGCCAGCATGTCCAGCTTTGAGCCACTCCCACCCATCATGTTGTAAAATATTTAAATGTTACAGAGGTGTGAGGGAGATGTGTATATAAACAGCACAGTAAATTGCTTGAATCTTTTTTTAGAGTTCTGTTTGGATGTGGCTTCAGAGCAGGGATTAATCAATTTATTTATACTTTTTTCTTTTCTTTTTTTTTTTTTTTTGAGGTGGATTCTCACTCTGTCACCCAGGTTGCAGTGCAGTGGCGAAGTCTCAGCTCACTTCAGCCTCTGCTTCCTGGATTCAAGTGATTCTCTTGCCTCAGCCTCCTGAGTAGCTGGGACTACAGGTACCTGCCACCATACCTGGCTGACTTTTTTTTGTTTTTTGTATTTTTGGTAGAGACAGGCTTTCACCATGTTGACCAGGCTGGTCTCGAACTCCTGACTCATGTGATCCACCTGTCTCGGCCTCCCAAAGTGCTGGGATTACAGGTATGAGTCACTGCGCCTGGCTGTTTTATTTTACATTTTTAAATTACAATTTTTATACCTATTCAGAAGTAGAGAAAATAGTACAATGACCGCTAAAATACCCATTCCTCAATTTCTGTGATCTTTAAGATTGTCCCACATTTTGTTCTTCTGTTCTTTTACCTCCCTTTGCAGGAATATTGTAAAGCAAATCAGTCATCACATCATTTTATCTGTTCAGTGTGCATCCCCGAACAGCATTTATGTATTCCTACACAGCCACTATCTCATCACATCTGACAAAATGAACAATGATTTTTTTGGTATCAGCTCATATGCAGCCCTTAGCTGAGTCTCCTCACTCTTTTCTTTCTTTTTTTTTTTTTTTTTTTTTTTTTTTTGAGACAGAGTCTTGCACTGTCGCCCAGGCTGCAGTGCAATGTTCTAATCTCGGCTCACTGCAGCCTCTGCCCCCTGTGCTCCAACAATTCTCCTGCCTCAGCCTCCTGAGGAGCTGGGATTACAGGCGCATGCCACCACACCCGGTTAATTTTTGTATTTTTAGTAGAGACGGGGTTTCGCCATATTGGCCAGGCTGGTCTTGAACTCCTGACCTCAGGTGATCCTCCCACCTCGGCCTCCCAGAGTGCTGGGATTACAGGTGTGAGCCACTGCACCTAGCCAAGTTTCCTCACTCTTACCTGAACAGTATCTCATTTTCTCATTATCTGAAAAATTTTGCTTTAAATCTGGATCCAAACAATCTTCATGTGCTAACTTTGGTTGTTATGCCTCTTGTAATCTAAACAGGCCTCTGCTTACTTTTTAAATTTCCCATTCCATTAATTCTTTGTGCAAAGTTTTTTATTTTTATTTTTTTTAATAGCATGCTCACAAGGTTGAAGGGGTAGTAAAGAAGATCTTGTTGTTTCCGTGTAGATGAAAGTTTAGCCTGAAATGTGCCAGTTTGCAGCAACCAAAGGAGGAGGGTTATTACGGTCTTGAGCAGTTAGTAGCAAAGGGCTGCTTCCAAATAGTATTTGCAGGCCAGGTGCAGTGGCTCACGCCTATAATCCCAGCACTTTGGGAGGCTGAGGTGGGTGGATCACCTGAGGTAAGGAGTTCGAGACCAGCCTGGCCAACATGGTGAAACCCCATCTCTACTAAAAATACAAAAAATTAGCCAGGCATGGTGGCTGGCACCTGTAATCCCAGCTACTCGGGAGGCTGAAGCAGGAGAATCACTTGAAGCTGGGAGGCAGAGGCTGCTATGAACTGAGATCACAGCACTGCACTCCAGCCTGGGCAACAGAGTGAAACTCCGCAACAACAACAACAACAACAGTAAAAAAGTAAGTTCTATTTGCCACTGAAGTCATTTCTGGAATTAAAACAATAAAATGACATTTCTACTAAAATGTTTTTCTAGCTAGAGGTGACAAGTGTGGCCATAAGTCCTTCATGGAAAAGCCTGGCTCTGAGCTGCAGTCCTGGCACTTTCCATTGCCCCTGAAGTCCCCAATCCTGTACACAGCCATCTTCATCAGTGCAAGAATAGTGACCACTGCCTCCATGGTGTTTAGAGGCACCATGGTGGCTCACAGTACACCTAAGTACTTGAATGAAGTCTAATTTGCTGGATTTTATCTGCTCTGTTATTCCTGGGTCAGTCTTAAGAGTGACTAAATATTGATGATTGAGTTTCTTTTCTTTTCTTTTTTTTTGAGGCAGAGTTTTACTCTCGCTGCCCAGGCTAGAGTCCAGTGGTGTGATCTCCACTCACTGCAACCTCCACCTCCTGGGTTCAGGTGAGTCTCCTGCCTCAGCCTCCTGAGTAGCTGGGATTACAGAAATGCGCCACCATACCTGGCTAATTTTTGTGTTTTTAGCAGAGATGGGGTTTCACCAAGTTGGTCAGGCTGGTCTTGAACTCCTGAACTCAGGTGACCCACCCGCCTTGGCCTTTCAATGTGCTGGAATGACAGGCATGAGCCACCATACCCGGCCTGATGTGATGATTGAGTTTCCTACTATATCTGTGTTCCTGCAGAATTTTAGTGGCTGAAGAAAATACACTAGTGTTGATTTTCTTTTTCATGAAAGAAGTAATTTATTCTTCATATAATTACTTGCCAGTCATGGGAAGGAAATGTCAGGGTTTTTGTACACAATGATAGGAATTATTGTTACATTACAGGGTGACTCCGCGAACTCCTTTTGAAAAAACTCTCATCATATCAGGACTGTTTTACTAGCTGTTAGACCACCATTGTACTGGCTACTATAACATTTCTTGGTATTCTTTCTTGACTTGAACTAATTATTTCCTACTTGCCACACTAAAGGTAAGAGATTACATGTACTTCCTGTTATATTTCACTGCATTAAGACATTCTTTATCAGCATTTCTTAAAATCATAGAGAGTCATTGGCCAATATCTTTGTGGGACTTGCAGTTAGTTTCTTAGCTTTTTAAGTTATGTTATTTAATGGACCTCTTTTTCTTTTTTTTTTTTTTTTTTTTAAATTTCACTGGAAATGTCACATTTGCAATCCTACTTTATGCATGTTTCCATGGCTTTTTTGAGCCGCCTGTAGAGGACTACACTACAAGTTTAATTCTGCAGGTTTCTTCGAAAAGAGTCAAACTGTATGAATTTTAATACTCTACTCTTATAAAACATCTCCTTTTGTATTTTTTTCCTACAACATACTAAAGTAATTCTGTGCTTATTTTACAACTTTCAGTCCCCAAAAAGACCATGAAGGCCTGAGAGTAATGAAAATCTTCCTGAAATTGAGGTCACTGTGGAAGGTAAGGGCCAGTCATTGGCATGTTTCTGTTGATTCTTCAGTTTAATAGTTACGCTAATTCACTAGCTATGTGTTTATGCAGATGAAGTTAACCAAACTAGTTTTACATGTGAACAGCTGCCTTTGATAAAGCTAAATTTCTGAAAGTTTTTAATTCAAATTTTGAAAATCATTAGCAGAAAATAAATAACTTTGATCACATCATAAACTGCATTCAGGAAAATCTCCAAAATGCTTTTCCTTTATTACAACAAATAAGAATGGAGAGGGGCACGTGGAATGTTTCTTGATCTTTTGTCCTCTTTGTTTTTTCTGTACTTTTAAGGAAAGAAAGTTTAGGGGTAGTTTAAACAGCAGTGCCTGGAATGAAAATATTTCCTACAACACCCTCTAATGTACTTCCTTTTCTCCATGCCCACGGGGTCTCCAGGATTCTCATCTTTTCATGTTTACAATATTAAAATACTTCATACAGTGCCAAAGACAGTTCCCAGCCAACCATCAAATATGGGTATTTCTTCCATCTCCTCATGAATGCAAAAGGAAATAACTGCATTAGGATTTTTTTTTTTTTGAGACAGATTAGGGCTGTAGGAATAGTGTTACCAGGAATAACTTGTGGATTGTTTACTACTGCAGTCAGCTGTGATTTTCCAAATAGGGAGATGCCTGTTTTTCTCACATAAGAGTAATTGTGCTGGTAGGCTCAGGCTGACATTGGTTCAGTTGCTCAAACATGGTAAGACTGGCTTCCCTGTGCTTCTCTTCACTTTTCTTTCTGGTGCACGGTGATGGAGGGAGCTCCTGTCATCATGTCTCCATCCAAGCAGGACATAAATAAGTAAAGAAAATGCAGCATGAGCCCTGCCTGCAACCATGATCAGGAAAAGCAAGAGGCGTTTTTTGAATCCTAGCACAATTTTGCATAAGTCTCTTGGTTTTAAAAGAGATGAATTTTAAAATAGTAAAATAATATAAAGCACAAATTCTGAGGCCAAAGTGATAGGATTTAAATCTGTGCTCTGCCACTTAGGAAAATTACTTAAATTCTCTGTTATTTAGGTTGCACCCTGTAAAATGGGAGGAGGAAAATAATATTTGACTCATAGTTTTTAAAAATCGAGATTTTTTTTTTTTTTATTTCTGAGATGGAGTTTTGCTCTTGTTACTCAGGCTGGAGTGCAGTGGTGTGATCTCGGCTCACTGCAGCCTCTGCCTCCCAGGTTCAAGTGATTCTCCTGCCTCAGCCTCTCGAGTAGCTGGGATTAAGGTGCCCACCACCATACCCAGCTAAGTTTTTGTATTTTGAGTAGAGATGGGGGTTTCACCATGTTGGCCAGGCTGTTCTCCAACTCCTGACCTCAGGTGGTCTGCCCACCTCAGTCTCCCAAAGTGCTGGGATTACAGGCATGAGCCACCACACCTGGCCAAGATATTTCTTTAATAAACAACTGCTATCATTTCAGACCACTTGCTATTTAGGCACTTAGGAATTTTTTACTAGAAGGCATGTAAAGAAAGACGATGGGCATTTGTAATGGATTCAGCATTCATCATTTGACTGCATGACTGACCCCCAGAGATATGATTTTATTAAAGAATTTTTCAGAAGCCACTTAGCTAGTAACTGAGCCTAACCAGACACCCACCCTCACCATTCAGTGCTCTTTTGTTCTTCTCTGTTTCTCCTCAAACTTTATTACTCTCACAAAGTGATAAAAACTTGCATTTCTTTTCTTTCCTTTGTAGAGACAGGGTCTTGCTCTGTTACTCAGGCTGCAGTGCAGTGGTGTGATCATGGCTTGCTGTAGCGTCATATTCCTGGGATCAAGTAATACTCCCACCTCAGCTTCCCAAGGAGCTGGGACTATAGACGTACAACAGCATGCAAAGCTAAATTTTTTATTTTTTATTTTATTTGTTTATTTATTTTTATTTGTTTTTGAGATGGAGGTTTTTGTTTTTGTTTTTGTTTTGTTTTTTTTAATGACAGGGCCTCACTGTGCTTCCCAGGCTGGTCTCAAACTCCTGGCCTCAAGCAATCCTCCTGCCTTGGCTTCTGAAATTGCTGGAATTATAAGCAGGGGGTACAATGCCTGGCCTCCTATGTTCTCTAGCCTTCTCTTTGCTTTTTGGTAGCCAATCTCTCATTATGCTGTTGCCTTGTTATAATTAATACTTTTTTGTTTTGAATTTTACCACTTTAAATTTTCGAGTGGTTTGTGTCTCCTGATTGGACTCCTACAAATAAAGAATTGATGCTAGGAAGGGTACCAGGAGATGGACCCACACAGATGGGATTTGGGCATAGGTTTGGTTATCCAAGGGGCAGCGCTGAGCTCCTTGCCAATGGGATATGGGATGCTGGTCATTTCCAGGAAGTGACCTCACAATGACTCAAGCTACCACTTACTGTTGATTGTGATGAATTGCCAGCTGAGGCACATACCTTGGGAGCTAAGTAGTTGCTGCACTTGACCACTATGAAGATTGGTGTGGGAAGGGTCCTTTTGGATGCACTTGAGCAGGGGCCCCTAATCCCTGGGTCACAGGCCTGTATTGGGCCACACGGCAGGAGGTGAGCAGCGGGTGTGTGAGTGAAGCTTCATCTGTATTTACAGCCACTCCCCACATTACTGCCTGATCTCGGGCTCCTGTCAGATCAGTGGCAGCTTTAGATTCTCATAGGAGCACGAATCCTATTGTGAACTGTGCATGTGAGGGATCTACCTTGCTCCGTTCTTATGAGAATCTAATGCCTGATAATCTATGACTGTCTCACATCACCCCCAGATGGGACCATCTAGTTGCAGAAAAACAAGCTCAGGACTCCCACTGATTCTACATTATGGTGAGTTACATAATTATTTCATTACATACTACAATATAATAATAATAGAAATAACGTACACAATAAATGTAATTTACTTGAAATATTCCAAAACTGACCTGCTGCCCCCAGTCTGTGGAAAAATTGTCTTCCACAAAACCAGTCCCTGGTGCCAAAAAAATTGGGGACCGCTGCACTTGAGCACTTACAGAGAGAAAAACAAAAAGTTCAAGTCTTTACCTCTCAGCATAAGTTGCGGTCTAAGATCCAGAGAGCTTCCATGATAGCCCAAACACAATTCCTTATTTTTTGTATCCACAGGGCTGATATTGAAAATCAAACACAAACTTAAATGTGCGGGTTGCTGAATTGCAATGACAGTTGAATTCACCTACCCTCCAGCCACACGGAATGTCAGTTTCCTTCCGGGACTTTACTGGTCCTTGAGGAAACCCTCTCCCTACCCCCATCATCACTCTTTCACTCTCATCTTTGCTCATCTTTAGCCTCAGCTGAGATGTCTCACCTCACTCTCTATGATGCAACGAGAAGCCCCTTGGGAGCGTTTCAGTCCCACTCTATACTCCTGTCATTGTGCTCATCACAGTCTGGTAAGTGTTGACATACGATTCCTATATTAGTCCATTTTCCATTGCTATAAGGAAACACCTGAGGCTAGGTAGTTTATAAAGAAAAAAAGTTTATTTGGCTCACAGTTCTGCAGACTGTACAAGTAGCATGGTTCCAGGCTGGGCCATGGCCCACACCTGTAACCCCAGCACTTTGAGATGCTGAGGCAAAAGGATTGCTTGAGCCCAGAATTTTGAAACAAGCCTGGGAAACATGGTGAGACCTTGTTTCTACTAAAAATAAAAAAAATAGCCAGGTATGATGGTACACTAATGCATGCCTGTTGTCCCAGCCACCTTGGAGGCCAAGGTAAAAAGATCTGGGAAAGTGCTGGGATTATTGGCATGAGCGACCACATCTGGCCAGTTTATTTTCTATTACTGGCTCAATGTAAAGGCTGCATCTCAGGAACAGCCAATGAAAGAGATGCACAGGGTAAGGTAAGTGGGAAAAGGGGCACTTCCATGCCCTCTGTTGGGCACACTACCCTTCCAGCACCGCCTTGTGTTCAGCAAAACAGAAGCTCTCCAAACCGTATTGTTTAGGGTTTTCATGGAGGCATGATAAAATCATTGGCCATTGGTCGTTAAATCTCCAGACCCTTTTGCCTCCTGGAGTTCAGCGAGTGAGGCTGAAAGTTCCAAGCCTCAAAAAATGTGGTTGGGGCCAGATGCAGTGTCTCAGCCTGTAATCCCATAACTTTGGGAGGCCAAGGCGGTGGATCACTTGAGTTCAGGGGTTCAAGACCAACCTGAACAACGTAGTGAAACTCCGTCTCTACTGAAAAAACAAAAATTAGCTGGGCATGGTAGCGGGCACCTGTATGTAGTCCCAGCTACTCGGGAGGCTGAGGCAGGAGAATCATTTGAACCCAGGAGGTGGAAGTTTCAGTGAACCAAGATCACATCACTGTACTCCAGCCTGGGTGACAGCGAGACTCTGTCTCAAAAAAAAAAAAAAAAAAAGTTGAAAAAAATTAGCCAGGCGTGTCAGCTCCTAGGGAGGCCAAGGCAGGAGGATTGTTTAAGCCTGAGAGGTTGAGGTTGCTGTGAGCTGTGACTGCACCACTGTACTTTATCCTGGGCAATAGAGAAAGACCCTGTTTCAAAAAGAAAGAAATGAGCATGATGGAAATGGGGACAGATGGCAATGTTAAGTAGAGTGGTCAGGGTTGGCCTCATAAGTGAAAATTGAGCAAAAGTTTGAAGCAGGTGATGGAGCTGGCCAAGGTGCTGAGGGAAGAGCACTGCAGGCTGAATCAACAGGATAAAGGCATTGGGAGGAAACTCCCTGGTGTGTCTGAGGCTCTGGAAGGAGGCCAGTGGAGCAAACAGATAGAGGGAGAGAAGTAGGGGAGGAGCCAGGGAGTTGCTGGGCTGGGATCAGTACAGATCGTGTAAGCCCTGGGAGGCCATCGCTGGGGCTTTGGCTTTTACTCTGACTAAAATGGGAACTGTGGGGTGGTTCTGAGCAGAGAGGCAACATGATCTGTCTCCTGATTTAAAAGCACCCCCTGGCTGCTGAGTTGAGAAAGACTGTGGGAAGATTTGGGTAGAAGCACAGGGGCCAAGCTGTGGCAACATCCAGGTGGGAGATGATAGTGGTCCTGACCAGGGTCGTGGTGGTGAGAGATGGTCAGAGCCTGGATACATGTTGAAGTCAGTCAATAGGATTTCCTGACAGACTGGATGTGAACTGCGAGAGAAGGTGGGAGTCAAGCTTGAGTTTGATTCTAATTGAATTATTAATTAAAAAAAACACTACTACCTTTCTCAGTCCTACTAAGTAAAGGATGCAAGATTAAAGAAGTCTCAAGTCAGGCCAGATGCAGTGTCTCACACCTATAGTTCCAACAGCTTGAGAGGCAGAGATGGGAGTACGTTTTAAGGCCGTGAGTTTGAGAGCAGCCTGGGCAACATAGCAAGACCTCCTCTCTACAAAAATAAAAGAAATTTAATAAAATAAAATAAATATAGCTGGGCATGGTGGTGTGCACCTATAGCCTCAGTTACTCAGGAGGCTGAGGTAGGCAGATCTCTTGAAGCTAGGAGTTTGAGGCCAGCTTGGGCAATATAGCAAGACTTCTCTCTTTACAAAAATGAAAAAAATAGTGTGACATGGTGTTACTTGCCTGTATTCCCAGGTACTGGGGCAGCTGAGGCAGGAGCATCTCTGGAGCCCAGTTGGTGAAGGCTGTAGTGAGCTATGATTATACCACTGCACTCCAGCCTGGGTGACAGACTGGGACCCTGTCTCAAAATACAAATACAAATGAAATGAAATCTGAAGTCAGACCAGTCCCTTCTAGGCTATGCAGTCCTTACAACCGCATAGCCGTGTGATCGGGTTTTTGTGGCTGTGGATGAGGAGACCTCTTTCCAGTTGTTGTTGGCTATATAATCAGTTTATTTTTAAATATAGTAATCAAATACGTTTCCTCATACTTGATCATCTCAGATATGTGTGGGTTTTGAAATTCTCCTTGAAAGAAATTGTAACACCTTATTGGCTCCATCATTCCATAATTTTTTTATCTGATCAGTTTTTTAAAAGATCAGAATTGATATTAGACCACCAAGTCAGTTTTGATTAATGAGAAAATGAAATTGCATTGTTTGCACTTTATCCAAGATTGGTGTCATATTGGCTAAATCAAATCAAAACACAAAATTAGAACTTTTTTATCGTGAAACTATGTCATTCTTGAAGAAGATGCCATTTTTTTTTTTTTTGACAGAGTCTTGCTTTTGTCACCCAGGCTGGAGTGCAATGGCATGATTTTGGCTCACCGCAACCTCCCCCTGCTGGGCTCAACCAGTTCTCCTGCCTCAGGCTCCCAAGTAGCTGGGATTACAGCCACGTGTTACCACACCCAGCTAATTTTTGTATTTTTAGTAGAGACACGGTTTCACCATGTTGGCCAGGCTGGTCTCGAACTCTTGACCTCAGGTGAACTGCCTGCCTAGGCCTCCCAAAGTGTAGGGATTACAGGCATGAGCCACCATGCCCGGCCTCCATTTCTTTTTTGTAGTCTTTAGTAAACAGCTGCTATCATTGCAGACTTGCTATTCAGACACTTAGGAATTTTTCACTAGGAGGCATGTAAAGAAAGACCATGAGCATTTGTAATGAATTTAGCATTCATTCTTTGACTGCATGGCTATCCCCAGAGCTGTAACTTTACTAATGAATTTTTTAGAAGCTGATAAGCTAGCAACTGAGCCTAACCAGCCACTCACCTTCATTATTCAGTGCCCTTTTATTCTTGTCTATTTCTCCACCAACTTGGCTACACTCACAAAGTGGTAAAAACTTGCATTTCTTTTCTTTCCTTTTTAGAGACAGAGTCTTGCTCTGTTACCCAGGCTGCAGTACAGTGACATGATCATGGGTCACTGTAGCTTCAAACTCCTGGGCTCAAGCAATCCTCCCATGTCAGTCTCCCGGGTAGCTGGGACTACAGACATGTGCCACCATGCCCAGCTAATTTTTTTATTTTTTTTATCATAGAGACGGGATCTTGCTAGGTTGCTCAGACTGGGCTCAAACTTCTGACCTCAAGTGATCCTCCTGCCTCAGCCTCCCAAAGAGCTGGGATTACAGGCAGGCATGACTACCTGTGCCCAGCCCCTTATTATTATTATTTAAAATAATAGCTTTATTAAAATATAATTCACATACCATTCACTTTATTTATTGAAATCTGCAATTCAGTAGGTTTTAGAGTATTCCCAGAGCTGTACATCGATCACCACAGTCACTTTTAGAAACTTTCATTACTCTATAGAGAAATCCGCACCCCTTAGCCACTACCTCCTACTCCCCCGACCTGCCTTGGCCACCAGCCTTAGGCAACCATTGATCCATTTTTTTGTCACTATAGATTTGCCTAACCTGGACAAATAGAATTGTATAATATGTGGTCTTTTGTGGCTTTTTTTCCCTCTTAGCACAATGTTTTCAAAGTTCCTTTATGTCATAGTGTGTATCAATATTTCATTACTTCTATGGCTGAATAATATTCTGTGGTAGAGACACACTGCATTTTGTTTATCTGTTCATCAGTTGGTGGACATTTGGGTTTTTTCCATGTATTGGCCATTATGAATAATGGTGCTATGAAGATTGCTGGACAAGTTTTTGTGTGGACATATATTTTTATTTCTCTGGGATATATGCCTAGGAGTGAAATTGTTGCATTATACGACGACTGTACATTTAGCATTTTGAGACACTGCCAGACTGTTTTCTAAAGTGGCTACACCAATTGGGTGCAATGGCTCACAGCTGTAATCCTAGCTACTCAGGAGGCTCAGTTGTGAGGATGGCTTGAGCCCATGAGTTCAAGACAAGCCTGGGCAAGATAGTGAGACCCTGTCTTGATTTTTTTAAAAATCCAGTTAAAATGACAAGAAAAGAAATACCCAAGCAAAGTGGTTACATGATTTTATGTTCCCACCAGTAATGTATGTGGGGTTCCAATTCCTCCACATCTTCACTGACATTTTTTTTTTCTAGACAGGGGCTTGCTCTGTCTCTCAGGCTGCAGCACAGTAATGCCATCACAGTTCACTATAGCCTTGACCTCCCAGGCACAAGTGATTCCCTCATGTCAGCCTCCTGAGTAGCTGGGAATTATAGGTGCATGCCACCATGCCTGGCTAATTTTTATATTTTTTTGTAGTAATGGGGTTTGACTATGTTGATTAGGCTGGTCTCGTACTCCTGGCCTCAAGTGATCTGCCCACCTCAGCCTCCCAAAGTTCTGGAATTACAGGCTGAGCCACTGTGCCCGGCCTTCACCAACATTTGTTATTATCTTTTTTTTTCTTTATACCTTAAAGCAGTGTAAGAACAAGTATCTTCAATTATTCTAAACAAAAATTATAATCCCAGGGCATTGGGAGGGTGAGATAGGAAGATCTCTTGATGCCGGGGTTTTGTTTTTGTTTTTGTTTTGTTTGTTTGTTTGTTTGTATTTTTCTTTTTTTGAGACAGAGTCTCACTGTCGCCCAGGGTGGAGTGCGGTGGTGCGACCTCGGCTCACTGCAGCCTCCACCTCCCAGGTTCAAGTGATTCTTCTGCCTCAGCCTCCTAAGTAGCTGAGATTACAGGCACATGCCACTACTGCCCAGCTAATTTTTGTACTTTTAGTACAGATGGAGTTTCACCATGTTGGTCAGGCTGGTTTCTAACTCCTGACCTCAGGTGATCTGCCTGCCTTGGCCTCCCAAAGTGCTGGGATTACAGGCATGAGCCCTCATGCCCAGCCTGATTCCAGGAGTTTTAGACCAGCCTTGGCAACCTAGCAAGACCTCATCTCTGCAGAATATTTAAAAATTAGCCAGATGTGGTGGTGTGGTGGTGCCTGCCTTATAGTCTCTCTCTTTTTTTTTTTTTTTTTTACTTTTTGAGAAACTGTCTGTTTCTGTCACACAGGCTGGAGTGCAGTGGTGTGATCATGGCTCACTGCAGTCTGAAACTGCTGGGATCCAGTGATCAGTCCTCCCACCTCATCGTACCAAGTAGTGGGGACCACAGGTGCATGCCACCTGGGTCTCGCTATGTTGCCCAGACTGATCTTGAGCTCCTGGCCTCAAGCGATCTTCTCACCTTGGCCTCCCAAAGTGCAAGGATTACACGTATGAGCCACCATGCCTGACCCCTATCCTGCCTATTGAGAACCAAAAGAAGGATCCAAATTCTCCTTAGCTCAACTCGAGCCATTTCCCAATTGCTTCATCAGCAAGGAGCTGGTTATTGGGCTGTCCAGGCCTCCCAAACTGCACAGAAATGAGGTGAGGGAGTTTTTCTGCTGCTCCACTCTGTGAGGAGTTGGAGGATGATGTTTACTTGTTTGCAGAGAGAGATGCATTGTAGGCACCTTAGGATGGAGGGGACCCTGATTCCAATGTCCTTTTTTTTCTTTAGAAACAGGACCTTGCTGTGTCACTCAGGCTGGAGTTCAGTGGTCCTATCACGGCTCATTGTAGCCTCAAACTCCCAGGCTCAAGCGATCCTACCACTTCAACCTTCCCAGTAGCTGGGACTACAGGTAAGCACCATGGCACACAGTGATTATTATTATTCTTTTTTTAGTAGAGATGGGGCCTCTCACTATGTTGCCAGGGCTGGCCTTGAACTTCTGCACGCAAGGGAATTTCCTGGCTTGGCCTCCCAAAGTATTGTTATTACAGGGATAAGCCATTGTGCCCACCATCTCTGGTTCTTAACTTTCTGCCTCCCTCTTCCACATTTAAAGAACACTTGTAATTACATGGGCTCTTCTAGATACTCCAGGATAATATTATTTTAAGGTCAGCTGATTAGCAACATTAATTTCATCTGCACTCTTAATTCCCCCTTCCTATGTATTTGTGCAGTGTAACATAGGACATGAGCAATTGGTGGGGTCGGGGGGGTCATTACTTTGGCCACCACAGTAACTTTTTTGTGCCAGGTACTCAGCTAAGCCCTGGTGAATTAAGCATGAATAATACATACTCACTAATCTCCATCCATTCATGGGAGAAGCATTTCACCTCCCATGCTCCTGAGAATCTGGAGAGTCAAGGAAGGCTTCCAGGAGGAGGTGATGCCAAAGCGGACAAGTGACAGGAGCCAAAGCTAGCCAGGAAGAGAGTAGAGGTTTAAGGGGAAGTGTACTCTTTAAGCAGAGGGCATCACCTACTTCAGAGACTCCCAGAGGGGAAAGAGTGTGGATTCAGGATTCAGCTCCTTATGAGAATCTAATTCCTGATTCAGGGGGCAGATGAGACTCAGCTGGACTCCACAGCAGGTAAAATGGAGAGGGGCAAGCAGTGAGGCTGCTTTGCAAGGCAGGGCAGAGCAGGGGCTTTTAAGGAGTTTGGACTTAATCCCCGAGACAAGGAGAAGTGATGTAAATGGGGGAGTAATGTGATGAGATTCATGCATTAGAGACATGGCTCAGGCTGCTGTGTGGAGAAGGCACCACGGGGAGCAGATGGCTCAGTGGGTGTGCAGGAGACCTAAAGCAGGGGACACACTGAGTTTAGGGAGAGGTTTTTAAAATAGAAGAAGTTTGAGTAATTTAGATGATGGTGGGAAGGAGCTAAAAGAGGGGGATAGGTTAAAGATACAGGGAAGTGGGAGGAAGAACTGACAAGTGAGGTTCCAGAGAGGGCCGGAGAAGAGGAGATTCCCATAGGGGGATTAGCACTTTCTTTTCTTTTCATTTTCTTTCTAAGACAGGGTCTCTGTCGTCCAGGCTGGAGTGCAGTGGCAGGATCTTGGCTCACTGTAGCCTAGACTTCCCAGGCTCAAGGGACCCTCCCACCCTAGACTCCCAAGTAGCTGGAACTACAGGTGTGTACCACTACCACACCTGGCTAATTTTTCTCTTTTCTTGGTAGACCCAGGGTCTCATTATGTTTGCCAGACTGGTCTCCAACTCCTGGCCTCAAGTGATCCTCCTGCCTAGGCTTCCCAAATTGCTGGGATTACAGGCTTGAGTCACCATGCCTGGCCTCTGCTAGTTCTGTATTCTGTAGAGTTGTCTTTAATTTGTGCTAGTGTGTCCCTCATTATGCCGATCCTCTGTTAAAATTAATATTTTTTGTTTTGAGATGGAGTGTAGCTCTTATTGTACAGGCTGAAGTGCAATGGCACGATCTTGGCTCACCGCAACATCCGCCTGCCAGGTTCAAGCGATTTTCCTGCCTCAGCCTCCCAAGTAGCTGGGATTTACAGGTATGTGCCATCACACCTGGCTAATTTTATATTTTTAGTAGAAACGGGGTTTCTCCATGTTGGTCAGGCTGGTCTCAAACTCCTGACCTCAGGTGATCCACCTGCCTCTACCTCCCAAACTGCTGGGATTACAGACGTGAGCCACTGCACCTGGCCAAAATTAATAATTCTTATATTAAATTTACATATATTGTTTTTCTTCTTTTTTTTTTTTTTTTTTTTAATACCGGGTCTCATGCTATCACCCAGGCTGGAGTGCAGTGGCACAATCTCTGCTCACTGCAACCTCCACCTGCCAGGCTTAAGCAGTTCTCCTGCCTCAGCCTCCTGAGTAGGTGGGATTACAGATATATGCCACCACACCTGGCTAGTTTTTGTGTTTTTTGTAGAGATGGGGTTTCACCATGTTTCCCAGGCTGGTCTCAAACTCCTGAGCTCAAAGCGATCCACCCGCCTTGGCCTCCCAAAATGCTGGGATTATAGGTGTGAGCCACTTTGCTCATTCTAGTTTAAACTTTTGAGTGGTTTGTGTCTCCTGATTGGACTCCTACAAATACAGAATTGATGATAGGAAGGATTCCAGGAGATAGACGCACACAGATGGGATTTGGGCATAGGTTTGGTTATCCAAGGAGCAGTGCTCAGCTGCTTTCCAATGGGACATGGGATGCTGGTCATTTCCAGGAAGTGACCTCACAATGACTCAAGCTACCACTTACTGTTGATTGTGATGAAATGCCAGCTGAGCCATAGGCCCTGCGAGCTTAGGAGTGCTACACTTGAACACTGTGGCAGTAAATATGACTCTGAAGAAGGGCATGGGATGGATCCTTTCAGATGCACTTTAGCAGGGGTCTCCAACCACAGGGCCACAGAGCCGGAGGTGAACAGTAGGCGAGTGAGGGAAAACTTCATCTGTATTTCTAGCCCTCCCATCACTTGCATGACCACCTAAGCATGATGTCCTGTCATATCAGCAGCAGCATTAGATTCTCCTAGGAGCACGAACCCTGTTATGTGCATGTGAGGGATCTAGGTTTCATGCTCCTTATGAGAATCTAATGCCTGATGATCTAATGCCTGGGGTGACTGTCTCCCATCACCCCAGATGGACAGTCTAGTTGCAGGAAAACAAGCTCAGCGATCCCACTGATTCTACATTTTAGTGAGTTGTAGAATTATTTCATTATATATTACAATGTAATAATAATAGAAATAAAGTGCGCAATATACGTAATGCACTTGAATCATCCTGAAATCATTTCCTTCACCCCAGGTCTTTGGAAAAATTGTCTTCCACACATTCACTCTGTTATTTTTTGGTAGAGACAGGGCCTTAATATGTTTTCCAGGCTGATATCAAACTGCTGGCCTCGAGTAATATACCTCTCTCAGCCTCCCAAAGTGTTGAGATTACAGGCAGAAGCCACCACGCTCAACCAAGACTGAGTTTTTTAAACCAAATAAAAATTAAGTGAGATTACCTGAGCCCAGGTGGTCAAGGCTGCAGTGAGCCCTGATTGCAGCACTGCACTCCAACCTAGGTGACAGAATGAGATTCTGTCTCAAAAAATAAAATACAAATTAATCCTTTATGACATTCCCAGTAAGTTTCCCTCCTAAGTGTTCCCCAAAAGGCTATGAATTTAGTTAAAGTTTCACATACCCTTTAAAACATTTAAGAACTTACGTCTCTGTCTATGTCACCGTTCTATTTCAAAAGAATGTCTTTTTGTCACTTCCAGCTGGATCTACCATGAAAGACTTCAGAGTCCAGGAAGAGAGACTGACTGGGCAACATGTTATTCAGGTACAAAAAGACTTGGAATATAACTCAAAAATGATCAAATAATAGTTCATGCATCAAGTGCAATGGGAAGCTCTTCTGGAGGGTGAGAGAAGGTTCCAGTTAAGGTGACTTTTGAAGCCAAGTCCTGAAAGATGAGGAAGAGTTGTATGAGAATGGGGTGGGAAGGGGGAGGTGGAGGGGAATGGGCTGGGGTGGGATGGAGTGAGCTGCCCAGACAGGGAAACCAGCACTGTAACGACCTGAACAATGAAGATGGCACATTTTTTTTTTCAGGAAGTGGTGAATTAAGTGTGGCAGGAATACTTTGTAGCGACAGTAATTTGCTTGTATGGAATTTTGCCTGAGAGACCTCACTACAGTTTCTAATCTTTTGATGTTATCATCCATCCCTGTCCTTGTCAAATAGTTTGGAATAGGTATGATGATCACAATAACACCAAGCATAATATCTCATTAATTCTCACAAAATGACAGGTAGGTGCCACAGTTATCCTCATTTTATGAATGAAGTGATGAAGACTTAGGGATAATGAATGATTTGCCCAAGCTCACCTGGATATTAAGACTGAGTCAAATGTTGGGTCTGGTCTGACTTTAATGTTTGCTTTGTTCATGAGCACCACGTATTGCCTCTCCTATGCAGTTAAGCAGGTAGACAGGTCAAAGAAAAGCCTGTGTTTGTCTCTGCTCATGCACTTTTGACTGAACATGTGTGTGGAGTTTGTATACCAAGTTTTCCAGTGTTCTGGATATTAACTGGGTATCCCACAATTTTATTCTGACACTACGTGGAGTTAGCACAGACTCCACAGGTTAGGGGCTTAGTCCCACAAGACTATCCTCACTTCAGATGCCAGTGGCAAGTCCTAGGTTGTCACCTGTACTTTTGTCCAACCTGTTACAAATCAGGGTTTCCAATGACCCTCTTCTTGGGTTTAATGATTTGCTAGAATGGTTTACAGAACTCAGAAAAACAGTTTATTTTCTTTTTTCTGAGAAACAGGTTCTCATTTTGTTGCACAGGCTGGTGCGCAATGGTGCAGTCATAGCTCATTGCAGCATCAACTGCCAGGTCTCCAGTGGTCCTCCCACCTCAGCCTCCGTAGTAGCTGAGACTACATGCTTGCACCACCACATCTGGCTAATTTCTTTTATTTTTTTTTGTAGAGATGGGGTCTTGTTGTGTTGCCCAGGCTGGCCACAAATTCCTGGGCTCAAGTGATCCTCCCACCTCAGCCTCTTAAAGTGCTGGGATTACAGATGTGAGCCACCGTATCTGGCCAGTTCATTTCCTATTACTGGTTCATTGTAAAGGATACATCTCAGAAACAGCCAATGAAAGAGACGTACTTTCCGGATGCGGTGGCTCATGTCTGTAATTCCAGCACTTTGGGAGGCTGAGGTGGGAGGATTACTTAAACTCAGGAGTTTGAGATCAGCCTGGGCAACATGGTGAAAACCCATCTCTACAAAAAATTAGAAAAATAAAAATAAATAACCGGGTGCAGTGTTGTGCATCTGTTATTCCAGCTACTAGGGAAGGTGAGCCGAGAGGATGCCTTGAGCTGGGGACTGGGGAGGCTTAGGTTGCTGTGAGCTGAGATTGTGCCACTGCACTCCAGCCTGGACAAAAGAGCCAGACCCTGTCTCAAAAGAAAAGAAAGATGCCCAGGGCAAGGTAAGTTAGGAGGGGCACAGAGCTCCCATGTCCTCTGTTGAACATGCCACCTTGCCAACATCTCCTGTGTTCAGCAACCCCAGAAGCTCTGCAAACCCCATTCAGGGTGTTTATGGAGGCTTTATTATGCAAGCATGATTGGTAAAATCTTTGGCCGTTGGTGATTAAGTCAATCTTCAGCCCCTCTTCCTCCTGGAGTTCAGTGCATGAGGCTGAAAGTTCCAAGCCTCTAATCATGTGATTGCCCCCAAAGTTCTTAGAGGCTCTTGTGTTAGAAACCTGGGACCAAGACTAAATATTGAAAACAAAAGATGCTCCTATCATGTCTATCACTGAGGTCTTTGTAAGAGCTTTGGAAGCTCTGTGCCAGGAACCAGGGACAGAGATTAAATATGTATTTATTTTCTTTTTTTGAGACAGAATCTCCCTGTGTCATCCACACTGGAATGCAGTAATGTGATCATAGCTCACTATAGCTCTGACCTCCTGAGATCAAGCCATTCTCCCTCCTCAGCCTCCCAAGTAGCTGGGACTACACATGCATGTCACCCACACCCAGCTCGTTTTCGTAGAGATGAGATTTAGTTATGTCACCCAGGCCGATCTCAAACTCCTGGGCTAAACTGATCATCTCACCTCAGCCTCTCAAGTAGCTGGGACTACAGGTGCACACCACCATGTCCGGCTAATATTTATTTTAATTTTTTTCTAGAGGTGGGATCTCACTATGTTGTTCAGGCTACTTTCAAATTTTGGGCTTCAAGTGTTTCTCCTGCCTTGATCTCCCAGTGTTGGGATTATGGGTGGGAGCCACCATGCCCAGCAATCACAAGGATCTTTATGAAAGAAAGAGGGTAGGACAGTTAGAATTGGAGCAGGAGATGTGGTGATGGAAGCAGAGATCAGAGAGGGAGATTTGAAGATGCTTCACTTCTAGCTTTGAAGACGGAGTCAAGGGCCATGATCCAAGGAATGTCGGTGGCTTCTAGAAGCGGGAAAAGCTAAAGGAACACTATAGAGTCTCCAGAAGGAATGCAGCCCTGCTGACACCTTGACTTTAGCCTTAATAGACCTGTTTTGGGCTTCTGGGCCCCAGAACTGTAAAATGGTAGATTTGTGGTGTTTTAAGCCACTAAATGTAAGAAACTGCAAACTGTTGCAGCAGGAAGAAGAACATGAAGCCAGTCATGGTGGCTAATGCCAGCAATCCCAGCACTTCAGGAATTTAGACAGGAGGATCACATGAGGCCAGGAATTCAAGACCAACCTGGGCAACATGGTGAGACCTTGTCTCTATGAAAAATAAAACAATTGGCTGGGCACAGTGGCTCATGCCTGAAATTTCAGCACTTTGGGAGGCCGAGGTGGGTGAGTCACCTGAGGTCAGGAGTTCGAGACCAGCCTGGCCAACATTGCAAAACCTTGTCTCTACTAGAAATACAAAAATTAGCCAGGCATGGTGGCAAGCACCTGTAATCCCCACTACTTGGAAGGCTGAGGCAGGAGAATCACTTGAATCCAGGAGGTGGAAGTTGCAGTAAGCTGGGATTGCACCATTGCACTCCAGCCTGGGCAAGAAGAGTAAAACTCCATCTCAAAATTTAAAAAAAAATAAAATAGGTCTGGCAGCCAAGATGGCCGAATACGAACAGCTCCGGTCTACATCTCCCAGCATGAGCGACGCAGAAGACAGGTGATTTCTGCATTTCCATCTGAGGTACCAGGTTCATCTCACTAGGGAATGCCAGACAGTGGGCGCAGGACAGTGGGTGCAGTGCACCGTGCACGAGCCAAAGCAGGGCAAGGCATTGCCTCACTCAGGAAGCACAAGGGGTCAGGGAGTTCCCTTTCCTAGTCAAAGAAAGGGGTGACGGACGGCACCTGGAAAATCAGGTCACTCCCACCCTAATACTGCGCTTTTCTGATGGGCTTAAAAAACGGCGCACCAGGAGATTATATCCCGCACATGGCTTGGAGGGTCCTACGCCCACAGAGTCTCGCTGACTGCTAGCACAGCAGTCTGAGATCAAACTGCAAGGTGGCAGCGATGCTGGGGGAGGGGCGCCCGCCATTGCCCAGGCTTGCTTAGGTAAACAAAGCAGCAGGGAAGCTGGAAGTGGGTGGAGCCCACCACAGCTCAAGGAGGCCTGCCTGCCTCTGTAGGCTCCACCTCTGGGGGTAGGGCACAGACAAACAAAAAGACAGCAGTAACCTCTGCAGACTTAAATGTCCCTGTCTGACAGCTTTGAAGAGAGCAGTGGTTCTCCCAGCATGCAGCTGGAGATCTGAGAACGGGCAGACTGCCTCCTCAAGTGGGTCCCTGACCCCTGACCCCTGAGCAGCCTAACTGGGAGGAACCCCCCAGTAGGGGCAGACTGACACCTCACACGGCCGGGTACTCATCTGAGACAAAACTTCCAGAGGAACGATCAGACAGCAGCATTCGCGGTTCACAAAAATCCACTGTTCTGCAGCCACCGCTGCTGATACCCAGGCAAACAGGGTCTGGAGTGGACCTCTAGCAACCTCCAACAGACCTGCAACTGAGGGTCCTGTCTGTTAGAAGGAAAACTGACAAACAGAAAGGACATCCACACCAAAAACCCATCTGTACATCACCATCATCAAAGACCAAAAGTAGATAAAACCACAAAGATGGGGAAAAAACAGAGCAGAAAAACTGGAAACTCTAAAAAGCGGAGCACGTCTCCTCCTCCAAAGGAACGCAGTTCCTCACCAGCAATGGAACAAAGCTGGTTGGAGAATGACGAGTTGAGAGAAGAAGGCTTCAGATGATCAAACTACTCTGAGCTACAGGAGGAAATTCAAACCAAAGGCAAAGAAGTTAAAAACTTTGAAAAAAGTTTAGAAGAATGTATAACTAGAATAACCAATACAGAGAAGTGCTTAAAGGAGCTGATGGAGCTGAAAGCCAAGGCTCGAGAACTACGTGAAGAATGCAGAAGCCTTAGGAGCCGATGCGATCAACTGGAAGAAAGGGTATCAGTGATGGAAGATGAAATGAATGAAATGAAGCGAGAAGGGAAGTTTAGAGAAAAAAGAATAAAAATAAATGAACAAAGCCTCCAAGAAATATGGGACTATGTGAAAAGACCAAATCTACGTCTGATTGGTGTACCTGAAAGTGACAGGGAGAATGGAACCAAGTTGGAAAACACTCTGCAGGATATTATCCAGGAGAACTTCCCCAATCTAGCAAGGCAGGCCAACATTCAGATTCAGGAAATACAGAGAACGCCACAAAGATACTCCTCGAGAAGAGCAACTCCAAGACACATAATTGTCACATTCACCAAAGTTGAAATGAAGGAAAAAATGTTAATGGCAGCTAGAGAGAAAGGTCGGGTTACCCACAAAGGGAAGCCCATCAGACTAACAGTGGATCTCTCGGCAGAAACTCTACAAACCAGAAGAGAGTGGGGGCCAATATTCAACATTTTTAAAGAAAAGAATTTTCAACCCAGAATTTCATATCCAGCCAAACTAAGCTTCATAAGTGAAGGAGAAATAAAATCCTTTACAGACAAGCAAATGCTGAGAGATTTTGTCACCACCAGGCCTGCCCTAAAAGAGCTCCTGAAGGAAGCACTAAACATGGAAAGGAACAACCAGTACCAGCCACTGCAAAATCATGCCAAATTGTAAAGACCATCGAGGCTAGGAAGAAACTGCATCAACTAACGAGCAAAATAACCAGCTAACATCATAATGACAGGATCAAATTCACACATAACAATATTAACTTTAAATGTAAATGGACTAAATGCTCCAATTAAAAGACACAGACTAGCAAATTGCATAGTCAAGACCCATCAGTGAGCTGTATTCAGGAAACCCATTTCACGTGCAGAGACACACATAGGCTCAAAATAAAAGGATGGAGGAAGATCTACCAAGCAAATGGAAAACAAAAAAAAGGCAGGGTTGCAATCCTAGTCTCTAATAAAACAGACTTTAAACCAACAAAGATCAAAAGAGACAAAGAAGGCCATTACATAATGGTAAAGGGATCAATTCAACGAGAAGAGCTAACTATCCTAAATGTATATGCACCCGATACAAGAGCACCCAGATTCATAAAGCAAGTCCTGAGAGACCTACAAAGAGACTTAGACTCCCACACAACAATAATGGGAGATTTTAACACCCCACTGTCAACATTAGACAGATCAACGAGACAGAAAGTTAACAAGGATACCCAGGAATTGAACTCAGCTCTGCACCAAGCGGACCTAATAGACATCTACAGAACTCTACACTCCAAATCAACAGAATATACATTTTTTTCAGTACCACACCACATCTATTCCAAAATTGACCACATAGTTGGAAGTAAAGCTCTCCTCAGCAAATGTAAAAGAACAGAAATTATAACAAACTGTCTCTCAGACCACAGTGCAATCAAACTAGAACTCAGGATTAAGAAACTCACTCAAAACCACTCAACTACATGGAAACTGAACAACCTGCTCCTGAATGACTACTGGGTACATAACAAAATGAAGGCAGAAATAAAGATGTTCTTTGAAACCAACGAGAACAAAGGCACAACATACCAGAATCTCTGGGACACATTCAAAGCAGTGTGCAGAGGGAAATTTATAGCACTAAATGCCCACAAGAGAAAGCAGGAAAGATCCAAAATTGAAACCCTAACATCACAATTAAAAGAACTAGAAAAGCAAGAGCAAACACATTCAAAAGCCAGCAGAAGGCAATAAATAACTAAAATCAGAGCAGCACTGAAGGAAATAGAGACACAAAAAACCCTTCAAAAAATTAATGAATCCAGGAGGTGGTTTTTTGAAAGGATCAACAAAATTGATAGACTGCTAGCAAGACTAATAAAGAAGAAAAGAGAGAAGAATCAAATAAAGGGGATATCACCACCAATCCCACAGAAATACAAACTACCATCAGAGAATACTACAAACACCTCTATGCAAATAAACTAGAAAATCTAGAAGAAATGGATAAATTCCTCAACACTTACACCCTCCCAAGACGAAACCAGGAAGAAGTTGAATCTCTGAATAGACCAATAACAGGATCTGAAATTGTGGCAATAATCAATAGCTTACCAACCAAAAAGTCCAGGACCAGATGGATTCACAGCCAAATTCTACCAGAGGTACAAGGAGGAGCTGGTACCATTCCTTCTGAAACTATTCCAATCAATAGAAAGAGGGAATCCTCCCTAACTCATTTTCTGAGGCCAGCATCATCCTGATACCAAAGCTGGGCAGAGACACAACCAAAAAAGAGAATTTTAGACCAATATCCTTGATGAACATTGATGCAAAAATCCTCAAGAAAATACTGGCAGACTGAATCCAGCAACACATCAAAAAGCTTATCCACCATGATCAAGTGGGCTTCATCCCTGGGATGCAAGGCTGGTTCAGTATACACAAATCAATAAATGTAATCCAGCATATAAACAGAACCAAAGACAAAAACCACATGATTATCTCAATAGATGCAGAAAAGGCCTTTGACAAAATTCAACAACGCTTTATGCTAAAAACTCTCAATAAATTAGGTATTGATGGGACGTATCTCAAAATAGTAAGAGCTATCTATGACAAACCCACAGCCAATACCATACTGAATGGGCAAAAACTGGAAGCATTCCCTTTGAAAACTGGCACAAGACAGGGATGCCCTCTCTCACCACTCCTATTCAACATAGTGTTGGAAGTTCTGGCCAGGGCAATTAGGCAGGAGAAGGAAATAAAGGGTATTCAAGTAGGAAAAGAGGAAGTCAAATTGTCCCTGTTTACAGACGACATGATTGTATATCTAGAAAACTCCATTGTCTCAGCCCAAAATCTCCTTAAGCTGATAAGCAACTTCAGCAAAGTCTCAGGAAACAAAATCAATGTACAAAAATCACAAGCATTCTTATACACCAATAACAGAGAAACAGAGCCAAATCATGAGTGAACTCCCTTTCACAATTGCTTCAAAGAGAATAAAATACCTAGGAATCCAACTTACAAGGGATGTGAAGGACCTTTCAAGGAGAACTACAAACCACTGCTCAAGGAAATAAAAGAGGATACAAAGAAATGGAAGAACATTCCATGTTCACGGGTAGAAAGAATCAATATCGTGAAAATGGCCATACTGCCCAAGGTAATTCATAGATTCGATGCCATCCCCATCAAGCTACCAGTGACTTTCTTCACAGAATTGGAAAAAACTACTTTAAAGTTCATATGGAACCAAAAAAGAGCCCGCATCGCCAAGTCAATCCTAAGCCAAAAGAACAAAGCTGGAGGCATCACACTACCTGACTTCAAACTATACTACAAGGCTACAGTAACCAAAACAGCATGGTACTGGTACCAAAACAGAGAGATAGATCAGTGGAACAGAACAGAGCCCTCAGAAATAACACCACATATCTACAACTATCTGATCTTTGACAAACCTGAGAAAAACAAGCAATGGCGAAAGGATTCCCTATTTAATAAATGGTGCTGGGAAAACTGGCTAGCCATATGTAGAAAGCTGAAACTGGATCCCTTCCTTACACCTTATACACAAATTAATTCAAGATGGATTAAAGACTTAAACATTAGACCTAAAACCATAAAAACCCTAGAAGAAAACCTTTCAGGTTACCATTCAGGACATAGGCATGGGCAAGGACTTCATGTCTAAAACACCAAAAGCAATGGCAACAAAAGCCAAAATTGACAAATGGGATCTAATTAAACTAAAGAGCTTCTGCACAGCAAAAGAAACTACCATCAGAGTGAACAGGCAACCTAGAAAATGGGAGAAAATTTTCGTAACCTACTCATCTGACAAAGGGCTAATATCCAGAATCTACAATGAACTCAAATTTACAAGAAAAAGACAACCCCATCAAAAAGTGGGCAAAGGACATGAACAGACACTTCTCAAAAGAAGACATTTATGCAGCCAAAAAAACACATGAAAAAATGCTCACCATCACTGGCCATCAGAGAAATGCAAATCAAAACCACAATGAGATACCATCTCATACCAGTTAGAATGGCAATCATTAAAAAGTCAGGAAACAACAGGTGCTGGAGAGGATGTGGAGAAATAGGAACACTTTTACACTGTTGGTGGGACTGTAAACTAGTTCAACCATTGTGGAAGTCAGTGTGGCGATTCCTCAGGGATCTAGAACTAGAAATACCATTTGACCCAGCCGTCCCATTACTGGGTATATACCCAAAGGACTATAAATCATGCTGCTATAAAGACACATGCACACGTATGTTTATTGCGGCACTATTCACAATAGCAAAGACTTGGAACCAACCCAAATGTCCAACAATGATAGACTGGATTAAGAAAATGTGGCACATATACACCATGGAATACTATGCAGCCATAAAAAATGATGAGTTCATGTCCTTTGTAGGGACGTGGATGAAATTGTAAATCATCATTCTCAGTAAACTGTTGCAAGGACAAAAAACCAAACACTGCATATTCTCACTCATAGGTGGGAATTGAACAATGAGAACACATGAACACAGGAAGGGGAACATCACACTCTGGGGACTGTTGTGGGGTGGGGGGAGGGTGGAGGGATAGCATTAGGAGATATACCTAATGCTAAATGACGAGTTAATGGGTGTAGCACACCAGCATGGCACATGTATACATATGTAACTAACGTGCACATTGTGCACATGTACCCTAAAACTTAAAGTATAATAATAAAATAAAATATATATAAAAAATAAAATAAGTAAAATAAAATAAATAATAAAAAAAATGAGCCAGGGATGATAGCATATACCTGTAGTCCCAGCTACTAGGGAGGCTGAAGTGGGAGGACTGCTTGAGCCTGTGAATTTGAGGTTACAGTGAGCTGTGATTGCACCACTGCACTCCAGCCTTGGTGACAGAGTGAGATCTTGTGAAAGAGAGACCGAAAGAGAGAAGAAACAGAAAAAGAAAGAAAAAAGAGAAAGAAGACATGAGCATGGTGGGCATGGGGACAGATGGCAATGTTAAATAGAATGGTCAGGGGTGTCCTCCTAAGTGAAAATTGAGCAAAGACTTGAAGGAGGGGAAGGACTTGGCCAAGGTGCCGAGGGAAGAGGATTATAGGCAGAAAAACAGGATAAAGTGTCTGAGGTGTGTCTGAGGCTCTGGAAGGAGGCCAGTGGAGCAGAAAGATAGAAGGAATTAGGGGAAGGGATCAGTACATATCACATAAGCCCTGGGAGGTTATTGCTGGGGCTTGGGCTTTGGCTTTTATTCTGACTGAGATGGGAACTTTGGGAGGGTTCTGAGCAGAGAGGCGACATGATCTGTCTCCTGATTTGAAAGCATTCTCTGGCTGCTCATTTTAGAAAGGCTGTGGGAAGATTTGGGTAGAAGCATGGGGGCCAAGCTGTGGCAACATCCAGGCAGGAGATGTTAGTGGTCTTGACCAGGGTCGTGGTGGTGAGAGATGGTCAGAGGAGAGAAGTAGGGGAGGAGGCCAGGGAGTTGCTGGGTGGGAGTCCAGTACGTGGTGAAGACAGTCAACAGGATTTCCTGACAGACTGGATGTGGGGTGTGAGAGAAGGCAGGGGTCAAGGTTGAGTTTGATTCTCACTGAATTATTAAGTAATTTTAAAAAAACACTACTGCCTTTCTCAATCCTACCAAGTATGGGATGCTAGATTAAAGAAATCTCTTCATTTTCAGTGCAGTGGCTCATGCCTGTAGTCCCAGCTGTTTGGGAAGCAGAGATGGGAGTATCTTTTAAGGACAGGAGTTCAAGACCAGTGTGGGCAACATAGCAAGACCTCCTCTCTACAAAAATGTTTTTCAAAATTTAATAAAATAAATGCAGGTAGGCATGGTGATGTATACTTGTAGTCCCAGCTACTCAGGAGGCTGAGGTGGGCAGATCTCTTGAGGTCAGGAGTTTGAGGCCAGCTTGGGCAATATAGCAAGACCCCTCACTCTACAAAAAATTTAAAAAATAGCCAGATATGGTGGCACTCAACTGTAGTACCAGCTACTGGGGAGCTGAGACAGAAAGATGGCTTGAGCCCAGGAGATTGTGGCTGCAGTGAGCTCTAAGTACACAACTGCACTCCAGTCTAGGTGACAGAGCATGACCTGTCTCACAGTACAAATAGAAATACAAATAAAATAATGAAATCTCAAGTTAGAGCCTTTTGTCTCTGCAGCCCTTGCAACCCCGGAGCTGTGCAGTGGGGTTTGTCTCTGGGAATGAGGAGACCCCTGCCCAGTGTTGTTGCCTGACTAATCATAGTGTTTTTAAAAAATGTATTAATTGGGGTGGGTGCAGTCGTTCATGCCTGTAATCCCGGCACTTTGAGAGACCCAAGGGGATGGATCACCTGAGGTCAAGAGTTCGAGACCAGCCTGGCCAACATGGTGAAACCCCGTTTCTACTAAAAAAAACACAAAAATTAGCCGGGCATGGTGGTGGGCACCTGCCCAGCTACTTGAGAGGCAGAGGCAGGAGAATCACTTGAGCCTGGGGGCGGAGGTTGCAGTGAGCCGAGATCGCGCCACTTCACTCCAGCCTGGGTGAAAGAGCGAGACTCCATCTCCAAAAAAAAAAAAAGTATTAACATGTAATGATTTTATTATTAATATGTAATGTATAATAAATATTTTTAAAAACTTGTATTATATCAACATGTAATGGTTTTATTAATATGTGATAATATTTTTAAAATTTAGTCATTTTCTAATTTTAATATATTTATGTAAAGAAAAAGTCTTAAGAGATCTTCAATAAAGTTAAAAAATGTAAAAGGATGCTAGACCCCGAAAGATTGAGAACTTCTAGTTTAGAAATATTCCAAGTAAGCCACATACAACTTGCTACTTAATCTATTTTCTTTCTTTCTTTTTTCTTTTAGGAGATGGGGTCTCACCCTGTCACCCAGGCTGGAGTACAGTGGTGCCATCACAGCTTGCTGCAGCTTTGAACTCCTGGGCTAAGGATCCTCCTGCCTCAGCCTCCTGAGTAGCTGGGACTGTAGGTATACATGATGACACCTGGCTAATTTTTAAATTGTTTTGTAGACATGGGGTCTCACTTTATTGGCCAGGCTGTTGTCAAACTCCTGGCCTCAGGTGACCCTTCTACCCCTGCCTCCCATCCTAGAGGTATGAGCCACGACAACAAGCACTTGTTCAATTTTCTAAAAAAATAAAAAATGTCTAAAGGCTGTGGGATGATGGCAGGAAAAGTAGAAAAACAGAAAAGTTCAAATAACTTACGCATATTCTTTTGACAGCAAGGAGAACTTTTAGTATATATGTTCCTTACAAAAAAACAAAAGGCAAATAAACTGTTGTATAAGAACTTCAACACACACTGTACAATATTCCCACCTTGCTGACATCAGTTATGGAAATTCTTCATGGTTTACTTGACTATCGCTATCAGTATTTTGCTTCTCTGATCATTTTTATCAACTTCCTCATCGGTTAACTGCTCTCCAAGGTATATCGTATTGTGACATACTGCTGCTGCACAAACATGGCCAGCGTCTTCTTATTAAACATACACAATGCTTCCCTAATTTCTTTTTTTTACCATCTATCTCTGTGTTTTGCATTTTTCTTACCTTTATTGTCAGAGACTCCAAAAAGTCCGTTGTACTGATTTATCACAATTTGCTTCATTTATTTTTCGCTTATATGGAATTTTACCCAACAGATCTCATTAGAATTTCTAACCTGTTTTGTTTTTTTTTTCCCCCCCAAGACAAGGTCTTGCTCAGTTGTCCAGGCTGGAGTGTGGTGGTGCTATCACAGCTGTCTGCAGTCTCAACCTCCCAGGCTCAAGCAATCCTCCCACCTCAGCCTCCCAAGTTGCTGAGACTATAGGTGCTTGCCTCTATGCCCAACTCATATTTGGACTTTTTCTATATGTGGGTTCCAGAGGGATGACTGCGAAACGTGAGTATGCATGGATTTTGATATATGCAGAGATAGGTGGCTGGAACTAATTCTCTCTGTATACCAAGGGACAACTGTATGCGGTTTTACAATTATGCTGTGGGACACATATTGTCCCATAGCCTTTAAAATAATAATTTGTAATGACAAATAATTTTTAATAGAGTGGAATAATAATATTGATAAAAGTAGCAACTGGCCAAGTGTGGTGGCTCACACCATTAATCACAATACTTTGGGAGGCTGAGGCAGGAGGATGGCTTGAGGTCAAGAGTTTGAGACAGGTCTCGGAAAGAAAGGGAGTCACCATCTCTACAGAAAAATACATGAATTAGCCTAGTGTGGTGATGTGTCCTGTAGTCCCAGCTACTTGGGAGGCTGAGGTGGGAAGATCACTTGAGCCCAGGGAAGCTGAGACTGCAGTGAGTCATGATCAGGCCTCTGCACTCCAGTCTGGGTGACAGAGTGACACCCTGTCTCAAAAAAGTAGCAGCTAACATGAAGTGACCTTTTACCAGGTGCCTATAAATATCATAGTTTAATTTCTTATAACTGTTTATTCCATTTAACTACTCTGTCTTCAATTACTCCTAGATTTTCACTGTGTTTGTACAGTTGACCTTTTGTTTAGATTGAATTGTCTCCCCAAGGTATTTCCAGAAGTAAGATTACTGTGAGTAATGGTGAATGGACATTCTCATTGCCCTTGATGTAAAGTGACTAGGTTTTGGGTGCCTCCCAGCTATAATCCCAGCCCTTTGGAGGCTAAGACAGGACGATTGCTTGAGGCCAAGAGTTGGAGGAGGCAGTAAGGTGAGACCCTGTCTCTATTATTTTAAAAAATTGCCAAGCTTTACCCTGGAAGGCTATGTACTACTTAAACACTCCTCATAGTATAAGAAAGTGTCCATTTCACTGCACCTCTGCCAGCACAGGGTATTATAATTTAATAAGTTTTTTTCATTATTTTAAATAGATAAAAGACCTCATGTTACTTTGTCACATTTTAACATCTTTCCTTAGCTTATTAGCTCTATTTCTTTTCTGTCTGTAAATGGTTGTTGTTGTTTTGTTCTTTGAGACAGGGTCTTGCTCTGTCACCCAGGCTTGATGACTGTAATGGCATAATCATGACTCACTGCAGCCTTGACCTCCCATGCTCAAACTACCCTCCCATGTCAGCTTCCCAAGTAGCTGGGACTGCAAGTGTGCACCAGCACTCCCAGCTAATTTTTTTCTTTTTTTGGTTAGAGACAGGGTCTTGCTGTGCTGTCCAGGCCGGTCTCTAGCTCCTGGCCTCAAGCAATCCTCCTGCGTTGGCTTCTGAAATTGCTGGAATTTCAGGCATGAGCCATGATGTCTGGCCTGTGCTAGTCTTTTATTTTCCAGAGTTCTCTTTACTTTGTGCTAGCCAATCTCTCATTATGCTGTTCCCCTGTTATAATGAATAATTCTCTGTGTTAAATTTTACCACTTTAAACCTTTGAATGGTTTATGTCTCCTGATTGGACTCTAATATGCTAGGAAGGGTCCCAGGAGATAAACCCACACAGATGGGATTTGGGCATAGGTTTGGTTATCCAAGGGGCAGTGCTGAGCTCCTTGCCAATGGGAAATGGAATGCTGGTGATTTCCAGGAAGTGACCTCACAGTGACTCAAGCTACCACTTACTGTTGATTGTGATGAAATGCCAGCTGTGGCACATGCCTTGGGAGTTAAGTGGTTGCTGCACTTGACCACTATGAAGACTGCTGTGGGAAGGGTCCTTTTGGATGCACTTGAGCAGGGGTCCCCAACCCCTGAGCCATGGAGCTGTAAGGAGCCACACAGCAGGAGGTGAGTGGTGTCGAGTGAGGGAAGCTTCATCTGTATGTACAGCCACTCCCCTTTGCTCACATTCCTGCCTGAGCTCCTCCTCCTCTCAGATCAGCAGCAGCATTAGATTCTCATAGGAGCTCACACCCTATTTGTGAACTGTGCATGTGAGGGATCTAGGTTGCGCTGTCCCTGTGAGAATCTAATGCCTGATGATCTGTCACTTTCTCCCATCACACTGAGAGGATGGGACCATCTAGTCGCAGGAAAACAGGCTTAACACGGCCACTGATTCTACATTATGGTGAATTCTATAATTTCATTATATCTTACAACATAATAGGGGAAATAAAGTACCTAATAAATGTAATGTGCTTGGCTCTTTTGGCCCAGCTCCTGCCTCCCAGCAGCCTCTTCAGGCCCAGAACTTTCTCCACTCAGCCGCTACAGACCAAGCTCATGACTCACAATGGCCTATTTAGGCCCATACCATACCTCACGACAGTCTCCGCAGATGAGGCTACTGCCTCACAACAGCCTCCACAGGCACAGCTCCATCGTTACAATGGCCTCTTTAGACCCAGCTCCTGCCTCCCAGCCTTCTCTCCAGGCCCTGAACTTTCTCAAGTCGACCTCACCAGGCCCAGCTCCTGCCACTCATTGGCCTCCCAAGGGCCAGCTTTTGCTTCACGGCCACCTTCCAAGACCCAGCTCCTGTTTTACAGTGGCCTCTGGAGGCCCATCTTCTGACTCCTGGCAGCCTGTACAGGCCCAGCTCCTGCCTTACAATGGCCTCTTTAGTCCCAGCTCCTGCCTCTTTGCAGGAGGGCCAAATGTCCGCAAGTCCAGGCCACAAAATCCAGGGCCAAAATGTCCGCAAGTCAGCCTCTCAAGGCCCAGCTCCTGCCTTTCGTTGGCATCTCTAGGCCCAGCTGCTGCCCCCAGGTGGCCTCTACAGGCTGTGCTCTTTCTTCTGACTGTGTCTGGAGGTCCAACTCCTGCCTCAGAACAACCTCTTTTGGCTCAGCTCCTGCCCAGCTCCTACTGGCCTTTGTAGGCCCCAAACTGCCTCAAGTCAAGCTTTCCAGGCCCACCTTCTGCCTCCCAATGGCCTGGACAGGCCCAGCTCCTGCGTGACAATGGCCTCTCCAGGCCCAGCTTTTGCCTCACAGAGGCCTTCCCCAAACAAGGTCCTGCCTGCCTCCCAGCAGCTTCAACAGGCCCAGATCCTGCCTCACACTAATCTCATTAGGCCCAGCTCACGCCTCACGGTGGCCTCTCCAGGCCCAGCTCCTGCCCCCCGACAGGCTCTCCGTGCCGGAAACTTCCTCAAGTCGGCCTCTCCAGGCACAGCTCCTGCATCCCAGCAGCTTCTCTAGACCGAGAACTTTCTCAAGACTGCCATTCCAGGCCCAACTTGTGCCTTCCGTCAGCCTCTACAGGCTCAACGTCTGCCTCACAGCAGATTTTCCCAGCCCAGCATGTGCCTCACTGCAGCCCCCTAGGCCAAGCTCCTGCCTTTCAGCAGCCTCTACAGGCCCCACTCCTGCCTCAATGGCCTCTCTAGGGCAAGCTTATGCCTCACAGTGGCCATTCTGGCCCAGGTTTTGCCTTTTGGCAGCATCTCCAGACCCAGAACTTCCTCAAGTGGGCCTCTCCAGGCCCAGCTCTTCCTCCCGGCTGCATCTCCAGGCCCACCTCCTACCTCACAACAACCTCTTTCGGCTCAGCTCCTACCCAGCTCCTGGCAGCCTTTATAGGCCCAAAACTTTCTCACATCAAGTTTTCCAGCACAACCTTCTGCCTCCCGGCAGCTTGAATAGGCCCAGCTCCTGAAAGACAGTGGCCTCTCTAGGCTCAGCTCTTGCCTCACAGAGGTCATCCCTGGCCAAGTTCCTGCCTGCCTCCCAGCAGGCTCAACAGGCCCAGCTCCTGCCTCTGACAGTCTCTCCAGGCCAAAATCTTCCTCAAGTAGGCCTCTCTACAGGCTGATCTCTTGCCTCACACTGGCCTGTTTAGGCCCAGTTCATGCTTCTTGGCAGCCTCTCCAGGCCCAGCTCCTGCATCTTGGCCTCTCCAGGCCCAGCCTCTGCCTCCCGTCGGCCTCTACAGTCACAACATCTGCCTCACAGCAGATTCTTCAGGCCCAGTATCTGCCTCACTGTGGACCCCCCAAGCCAAGCTCCCAACCTTTCAGCAGCTTCTACACACCCAGCTCCTGCCACCCAGTAGCCTCTTTAGGCCAAGCTGATGCCTCACAGGGGCCTTTCCAGGCCCAACTTTTGTCTCATGGCAACCTTCCCTGGCCAGATTCCTGCCTGTCTCCCAGCAGCCTATACAGGCCCAGGTCTTGCCTCACACTGGCCTCTCTACATCCAACTCATGCCTCACGGTGGCCTCTCCAGGCCCAGCTCCTGTCCCAGGACGTCATCTCCAGGCCCAAAACTTCCTCAAGTCAGCCTCTCTAGTCCCAACTGCTGCCTCCTGGTGGCCTATGAAGGCCCAAAATCTCCTCAAGTTGACCTCTCCAGGCCCAGCTCCTGCCTCCTATCAGTGTCTACAGGCCCAACCTCTGTCTCATGGTGGCTTCTCCAGGCCCAACTCTTCCTCTTGGCTGAGTCTACAGGCACAACTGCTGCCTCATAACAGCTGCCTCACAACAGCCTTTTTTGGCCCAGTTCCTGTCCAGCTCACGGCAGCAAATGTAGGCCCAAAACTTCCTCAAGTAAAACTCTCCAGGCCCACCTTCTGCTTCCCGGTGGCATGAACAGGCCCAGCTTTGACTTGAGAACAGCCTCTGCAGGCCCTGCTCTTACCTCTCAGGGGCTTCTCCAGGCCCAGCTCTTGTCTCATGGCAGCTGCCCCAGGCCAAGTTTCTGCCTGCCTGCCAGCAGCCTCAACAGGCACAGCTCCTCCCTCACAGTGGCCCATTTAGGCCCAACTCATGACTGTCGGGCCATTTCCAGGCCTAGTGCCTGCCTCCTGGCTGACTCTTGAAGCCCAAAACTTCCTGAAATTAGCCTTTTGCTCAACTTCTGTCTACTGTTGGACTCTACAGGCCAGCCTCTGCCTCACAGTGGACCCTCCAGACCCAGATGGTGTCTCACTGTGGCATCCTCAGGCGGAGCTCCTGCCTTTCGGCAGCCTCTACGGGCCCAGCCCCTGCCTTGCAATGGCCTCTTTAGGCCAAGCTCATGCCCCATGGCGACTTTTCCAGGCACAGCTTTTGCCTTTTGCAGCCTGTCCAGGCCCAGAATGTGCTTAACTCGGCATCGCCAGGACAAGCTCATCCTCCCGGTGCGTCTACAGGCCCGTCTCCTGCCTCACAACAACCTCCTTTGGCCCAACTCCTGCTGAGCTGCTGGCAGCCTCTGTAGGCCACAGACTTCTTAAAGTAAAGCTTTCCAGGCCCACCTTCGGCCTCCCAGCAGCCTCAGCAATCAAACTATTCCCTCACTGCGGCCACCGAAAGCCAAGTTTCTCCCTGCCTCACGGCATCCTCCGAAAACTGAGCATTTGCCTCACGGTGGCCTCCCCAGGCCACGAATCTGCCTGCCTCCCAGGCAGCTGCTGCCTCACAATGGTCTCTTTAGGCCCAGCTCATGCTAGAAGACGGACTCTCCAGGCACAGCTCTTGCCTCCTGGCAGCCTCTGCAGGCCCAAATTCTCCAAAAGTTGGCCTCTCCTAACTCAGCTTCTGCCTCATGTCGGCCTACACAGGCCCAGACTCTTACCACACAGTAGACCCTCCAGCCCCACCACTTGCCTGAGCATAGCCTCCTAAGGCCAAGCTCCTGCCTTTCAGCAGCCTCTACAGGCCCAGCTCCTGCCTCGCAATTGCCTTTGTAGGCCAAGATTGTGCCGCGAAGTGGCCTTTCCTAGCCTAACTTTTGCTTTTTGACGCATACTCCCGTCCCAAAACTTCCTCCAGTCAGCCAGTCCAGGGTAAGCTCTTCCTCCCAAAGGCTTCTGCAGGCCAAAATCGTCCTGAAGTCACCCTCTGCAGGCCCAGCTCCTGCCTCCAAGTGCTGTGTAGGCCAAGCTAATGCCTCACAGCACACTTTCCAGGCTGAGCATTTCCTTTTGTGCATACTCTTCAAGCCCTGAACTTACTCTAGTTGGCCTCTCCAGGCCAAGCTCTCCTTTCCAGTGGCCTCTACAGGCCAAAATTGTTCTCAAATCAGCCTCTCCAGGGCCAACTCCTAGCTACCGGTGGCTTCTGCACGCCAAAATCGACCTCAAGTCAGCCTCTCCACACCCAGCTCTTGCCTCTAAGTGGTCTCTGCAGGAGCAAAACTTCAAGTCGGCCTCTCCAGGCCCAGCCTCCTGCTTCCCGAGGGCATGTACAGGCCCAGCCTCTGCCTCACAGCAGACTCTCCACGCCCAGCTCTTCCCTGTCTGTGGCCTCTCCAGTCCAAAGCTGTTACTGCCTTTCGGCAGCTTGTACAGGCCCAGCTCCTCCCTCACGGTGGTCTCTTTTGGCCCAACTCATGCCTCTTGCAACCTACCCAACTGTCACCTCCTGCCTCACACTGGCCTGTTGAAGCCCAGCTCATGCCTCTTGTGGCCTCAACGGGCGCAGCCCCTGCCTGACGGTGGCCTCTACAGGCCCGGACTCTACCTCACAGTGGGCTCTCCAGGCCCATCTCTTCCTAACTGTGGCCTCCTGGGGCAATGCTCCTCCCTGTCGGGAGCCTCTGCGGGCCCAGCTCCTGCCTCCCAGTGGCGTCTGTAGGCGAAGCCCGTGCCTCAGGGCAGCCTTTCCAGGCCTAGCGTTTGCTGCTTTGCATCCTCTCCAGGCCCTGGACTTCCTCCAGTCGGCCTCTCCAGGCCGAGCTCTTCCTCCCGGCGGCCTCTGCAGGCCCAGACTGTCAAGTCGGCCTGTCCAGAGCCAATTCCTGCCTCCTGGCAGCCTCTGCAGGCCCAAGTCATCCTAAAGTCGGCCTCCCTAGGCCTAGCTCCGGCCCCTCGGCAGCCTCTCCAGTTGCAAAAGTTCCTCGAGTCAGCCTCTACAGGCCCAGCTCCTCCTGTCTCCCAGTGGCCTCTTTCGGCCCAGCCCAGCTCATGCCTCCCGGCGGCCTTCCCAGGCCCCGCTTTTGACTTTCGGCGGCCTCTGCAGACCCCGAACTTGACGTCCAGTCAGCCTCTCCAGGCTCGGCCTCCTGCCTCCCAAAGGCTTGCACAGGCCCAGTCTCTGCCTCACAGTGGACTCTCCACGAACAGCTAGGTCTCGCCTCACTGCGGCCTCCCGAGTCCAAAGCTCCTGCCTCTCGGCCGCTTCGGCAGGCCCAGCTCCCGCCTGCCAGTGGTCTCTTCAGGCCCATGGGGCTCATTCCTCACAACGGCCTTTCCAGGCCCAGTTTTTCCCTTCCGGCGGCCTCTCCGGGCCCAGAAGCTCCTCAAGTCAGCCTCTCCAGACACACTTGCAGCCTCCCGGCGTCCTCTCCGGGCCCAGCTCTTCCTCCCGGCAGCCTCTGCAGGACCAGACTGTTGTCAAGTAGGCCTGTCCAGGGACAGCTCCTGCCTCCCGGTGGCCTCTGTAGGCCCAATTCGTCCTCCAGTCAGCCTCCCCAGGCCCAGCTCTGGCCTCTTGGCGGCCACTCCAAGTGCAAAACTTCCTCGAGACCGTCTCTCCAGGCCCAGCTCCTCCTGTCTCCCAGTGGCCTCTTTCAGCCCAGGCCAGCTCATGCCTCCCGGCTGCCTTCCCAGGCCCCGCTTTTGACTTTCCGCAGCCTCTGCAGGTCCCGAACTTGACCTCCAGTCGGCCTCTCCAGGCCCGGCCTCCTGCCTCCCGAAGGCTTGCACAGGCCCAGCCTCTGCCTCACAGCGGACTCTCCACGCCCAGCTCGCTCTCGCCTCACTGCGGCCTCCCGAGTCCAAAGCTCCGGCCTCTCCGCCGCTTCGGCAGGCTCAACTGCCGCCTGCCAGTGGCCTCTTCAGCCCCATGGGGCTCATTCCTCACAACGGCCTTTCCAGGCCCAGTTTTTCCCTTCCGGCGGCCTCTCCGGGCCCAGAAGCTCCTCAAGTCGGCCTCTCCAGACCCACTTGCAGCCTCCCGGCGTCCTCTTCGGGCCCAGCTCTTCCTCCTGGCTACATCTACAGGCCCGACTCCTGCCTCCCAACAACCTCTTTGGACTCAGTGCCTGCCCAGCTCCTGGTGGCCTTGGTCGGCCCACAGCTTCCTGAAGCCAAGCTCCCCGGGCCCAGCTCAGGCCTCACGGTGGCCTCTCCAGGCTCACCTCCTGCCCTCCGACGGCGTCTCCAGGCCCCAAATGGCCTCGGGTCGGTGGGCTTCTCCAGGCCCAGCTTGGGCCTCCCGGCGGCCTCTGCAGGCTCAAGTGGTCCTGAAGTCAGCCTCTCCAGGCCCAGCTCCGGCCTCCCAGCAAGCAAGCTCTTTTGGCTCAGCTCCTGCCCAGCTCCCGCCGGCTTTTGTAGACCCTGAACTTTCTCCAGCGAAGCTCCTCAGTCCCACCTCCTGCCTCCCGGTGGCCTGTACAGGCCCAGGTCTGGCTGGAGAACAGCCTCTGCAGGCCCCGCTCTTGCCTCGCAGGGGCATCTCCAGGCCCAGCTCTGGCCTCACGGCGGCCTCCCGGGACGAAGTCCCTGCCTGCCTCCCAGCGGCCTGTGTGCGGCCCAGCTCCTCCGTCACGGTGGCCTGTTGACGCCCAACTCATGCCTCTGGCACCCTTTCGAGAGGCGTGAGCCCCTGCCTCACACTGGCCTCTCTCACGCTGAGGGAGGTCAGCTTGAGCCCCTGCCTCACACTGGCCTCTCTCACGCTGAGGGAGGTCAGCGTGAGCCCCTGCCTCACACTGGCCTGTCTCACGCTGAGGGAGGTCAGCGTGTGGCCCTGCCTCACACTGGCCTCTCTCACGCTGAGGGAGGTCAGCGTGAGGCCCTGCCTCACACTGGCCTCTCTCACGCTGAGGGAGGTCAGCGTGAGGCCCTGCCTCACAGTGGCCTCTCTCACGCTGAGAGAAGTCCTCCCTCACGCTGGCCTGTTGAGGCCCAGTTCATGCCTCTGTTGGCTTCTCCAGGCCCAGCCCCTGCCTGTTGGCGCCCTCTAGAGGCCCAGCCTCTACCTCAAGAGTGGGCCCTCCACGCCCACCTCTTGCCTCGCCGTGGCCTCCTCGGACCAGGCTCCCGCCTTGGGGCGGCCCCCGCAGGCCCAGCTCCTGCCTCACGGCCCTCCGGAGGCCAAGCTCATGCGTCAGGGCGGCCTCTCCCGGCCTGGCGTTTGCTCCTTTGCATGGGCTCCAGGTCCTGCACTTCCTCCAGTCGGCCTCTCCAGGCCCAGCTCTTCCTCCCGGCAGCCTCTGCGGGACCAGACTGTCGTCAAGTAGGCCTGTCCAGGGACAGCTCCTGCCTCCCGGCAGACTCTGCAGGCCCAAGTCGTCCTCAAGTCAGCCTCCCCAGGCCCAGCTCCGGCCTCTCGGCGGCCTCTCCAGGTGCAAAACTTCCTCGAGTCCGTCTCTCCAGGTCCAGCTCCTCCTGTCTCCCAGTGGCCTCTTTCAGCCCAGCCCAGCTCATGCCTCCCGGCGGCCTTCCCAGGCCCCGCTTTTGACTTTCCGCGGCCTCTGCAGGCCCCGAACTTGACTTCCATTCGGCCTCTGCAGGCCTGGCCTCCTGCCTCCCGAAAGCTTGCACAGGCCCATCCTCTGCCTCACAGCGGACTCTCCACGCCCAGCTCGCTCTCGCCTGCGGCCTCCCGAGTCCAAAGCTCCGGCCTCTCCGCCGCTTCGGCAGGCCCAGCTCCCGCCTGCCAGTGGCCTCTTCAGGCCCATGGGGCTCATTCCTCACAACGGCCTTTCCAGGCCCAGTTTTTCCCTTCCGGCGGCCTCTCCGGGCCCAGAAGCTCCTCAAGTCGGCCTCTCCAGACCCACTTGTAGCCTCCCGGCGTCCTCTCCGGGCCCAGCTCTTCCTCCCGGCTGCATCTGCAGGCCCGACTCCTGCCTCCCAACAACCTCTTTGGACTCAGTGCCTGCCCAGCTCCTGGTGGCCTTGGTCGGCCCACAGCTTCCTCAAGCCAAGCTCCCCAGGCCCAGCTCAGGCCTCACGGTGGCCTCTCCAGGCTCAGCTCCTGCCCTCTGACGGCGTCTCCAAGCCCCAAATGGCCTCCGGTCGGTGGGCTTCTCCAGGCCCAGGTTGGGCCTCCCGGCGGCCTCTGCAGGCCCAAGTGGTCCTGAAGTCAGCCTCTCCAGGCCCAGCTCCGGCCTCCCAGCAAGCAAGCTCTTTTGGCTCAGCTCCTGCCCAGCTCCCGCCGGCTTTTGTAGACCCTGAACTTTCTCCAGCGAAGCTCCTCAGTCCCACCTCCTGCCTCCCGGTGGCCTGTACAGGCCCAGGTCTGGCTGGAGAACAGCCTCTGCAGGCCCCGCTCTTGCCTCCCAGGGGCGTCTCCAGGCCCAGCTCTGGCCTCACGGCGGCCTCCCGGGACCAAGTCCCTGCCTGCCTCCCAGCAGCCTGTGTGCGGCCCAGCTCCTCCGTCACGGTGGCCTGTTGAGGCCCAACTCATGCCTCTGGCACCCTTTCGAGAGGCGTGAGCCCCTGCCTCACATTGGCCTCTCTCACGCTGAGGGAGGTCATCGTGAGCCCCTGCCTCACAGTGGCCTCTCTAACGCTGAGGGAGGTCAGCGTGAGGCCCTGCCTCACACTGGCCTCTCTCACGCTGAGGGACGTCAGCGTGAGGCCCTGCCTCACAGTGGCCTCTCTCACGCTGAGGGAAGTCCTCCCTCACGCTGGCCTGTTGAGGCCCAGTTCATGCCTCTGTTGGCTTCTCCAGGCCCAGCCCCTGCCTGTTGGCGGCCTCTAGAGGCCCAGCCTCTACCTCAACAGTGGGCCCTCCACGCCCACCTGTTGCCTTGCCGTGGCGTCCTCGGGCCAGGCTCCCGCCTTGGGGCGGCCCCCGCAGGCCCAGCTCCTGCCTCACGGCCCTCCGGAGGCCAAGCTCATGCGTCAGAGCGGCCTCTCCCGGCCTGGCGTTTGCTCCTTTGCATGGGCTCCAGGTCCTGCACTTCCTCCAGTCGGCCTCTCCAGGCCCAGCGCTTCCTCCCGGCAGCCTCTGCAGGACCAGACTGTCGTCAAGTAGGCCTGTCCAGGGACAGCTCCTGCCTCCCGGCAGACTCTGCAGGCCCAAGTCGTCCTCAAGTCAGCCTCCCCAGGCCCAGCTCCGGCCTCTCGGCGGCCTCTCCAGGTGCAAAAGTTCCTCGAGTCCGTCTCTCCAGGTCCAGCTCCTCCTGTCTCCCAGTGGCCTCTTTCAGCCCAGCCCAGCTCATGCCTCCCGGCGACCTTCCCAGGCCCCGCTTTTGACTTTCCGCGACCTCTGCAGGCCCCGAAATTGACCTCCAGTCGGCCTCTGCAGGCCTGGTCTCCTGCCTCCCGAAAGCTTGCACAGGCCCATCCTCTGCCTCACAGCGGACTCTCCACGCCCAGCTCGCTCTCGCCTGCGGCCTCCCGAGTCCAAAGCTCCGGCCTCTCCGCCGCTTCGGCAGGCCCAGCTCCCGCCTGCCAGTGGCCTCTTCAGGCCCATGGGGCTCATTCCTCACAACGGCCTTTCCAGGCCCAGTTTTTCCCTTCCGGCGGCCTCTCCGGGCCCAGAAGCTCCTCAAGTCGGCCTCTCCAGACCCACTTGCAGCCTCCCGGCGTCCTCTCCGGGCCCAGCTCTTCCTCCCGGCTGCGTCTGCAGGCCCGACTCCTGCCTCCCAACAACCTCTTTGGACTCTGCCTGCCCAGCTCCTGGTGGCCTTGGTCGGCCCACAGCTTCCTGAAGCCAAGCTCCCCAGGCCCAGCTCAGGCCTCACGGTGGCCTCTCCAGGCTCAGCTCCTGCCCTCCGACGGCGTCTCCAGGCCCCAAATGGCCTCGGGTCGGTGGGCTTCTCCAGGCCCAGCTTGGGCCTCCCGGCGGCCTCTGCAGGCTCAAGTGGTCCTGAAGTCAGCCTCTCCAGGCCCAGTTCCGGCCTCCCAGCAAGCAAGCTCTTTTGGCTCAGCTCCTGCTCAGCTCCTGCCCAGCTCCCGCCGGCTTTTGTAGACCCTGAACTTTCTCCAGCGAAGCTCCTCAGTCCCACCTCCTGCCTCCCGGTGGCCTGTACAGGCCCAGGTCTGGCTGGAGAACAGCCTCTGCAGGCCCCGCTCTTGCCTCCCAGGGGCGTCTCCAGGCCCAGCTCTGGCCTCACGGCGGCCTCCCGGGACCAAGTCCCTGCCTGCCTCCCAGCAGCCTGTGTGCGGCCCAGCTCCTCCGTCACGGTGGCCTGTTCAGGCCCAACTCATGCCTCTGGCACCCTTTCGAGAGGCGTGAGCCCCTGCCTCACATTGGCCTCTCTCACGCTGAGGGAGGTCAGCGTGAGCCCCTGCCTCACACTGGCCTCTCTCACGCTGAGGCAGGTCAGCGTGTGGCCCTGCCTCACACTGGCCTCTCTCACGCTGAGGCAGGTCAGCGTGTGGCCCTGCCTCACACTGGCCTCTCTCACGCTGAGGGAGGTCAGCGTGAGGCCCTGCCTCACACTGGCCTCTCTAACGCTGAGGGAGGTCAGCGTGAGGCCCTGCCTCACACTGGCCTCTCTCACGCTGAGAGAAGTCCTCCCTCACGCTGGCCTGTTGAGGCCCAGTTCATGCCTCTGTTGGCTTCTCCAGGCCCAGCCCCTGCCTGTTGGCGGCCTCTAGAGGCCCAGCCTCTACCTCAACCGTGGGCCCTCCACGCCCACCTCTTGCCTCGCCGTGGCCTCCTCGGACCAGGCTCCCGCCTTGGGGCGGCCCCCGCAGGCCCAGCTCCTGCCTCACGGCCCTCCGGAGGCCAAGCTCATGTGTCAGGGCGGCCTCTCCCGGCCTGGCGTTTGCTCCTTTGCATGGGCTCCAGGTCCTGCACTTCCTGCAGTCGGCCTCTCCAGGCCCAGCTCTTCCTCCCGGCAGCCTCTGCGGGACCAGACTGTCGTCAAGTAGGCCTGTCCAGGGACAGCTCCTGCCTCCCGGCAGACTCTGCAGGCCCAAGTCGTCCTCAAGTCAGCCTCCCCAGGCCCAGCTCCGGCCTCTCGGTGGCCTCTCCAGGTGCAAAACTTCCTCGAGTCCGTCTCTCCAGGTCCAGCTCCTCCTGTCTCCCAGTGGCCTCTTTCAGCCCAGCCCAGCTCATGCCTCCCGGCGGCCTTCCCAGGCCCCGCTTTTGACTTTCCGCGGCCTCTGCAGGCCCCGAACTTGACCTCTAGTCGGCCTCTGCAGGCCTGGCCTCCTGCCTCCCGACAGCTTGCACAGGCCCAGCCTCTGCCTCACAGCGGACTCTCCACGCCCAGCTCGCTCTCGCCTGCGGCCTCCCTAGTCCAAAGCTCCGGCCTCTCCGCCGCTTCCGCAGGCCCAGCTCCCGCCTGCCAGTGGCCTCTTCAGGCCCATGGGGCTCATTCCTCACAACGGCCTTTCCAGGCCCAGTTTTTCCCTTCCGGCGGCCTCTCCGGGCCCAGAAGCTCCTCAAGTCGGCCTCTCCAGACCCACTTGCAGCCTCCCGGCGTCCTCTCCGGGCCCAGCTCTTCCTCCCGGCTGCGTCTACAGGCCCGACTCCTGCCTCCCAACAACCTCTTTGGACTCAGTGCCTACCCAGCTCCTGGTGGCCTTGGTCGTGCCACAGCTTCCTGAAGCCAAGCTCCCCGGGCCCAGCTCAGGCCTCACGGCGGCCTCTCCAAGCTCAGCTCCTGCCCTCCGACGGCGTCTCCAGGCCCCAAATGGCCTCGGGTCGGTGGGCTTCTCCAGGCCCAGCTTGGGCCTCCCGGCGGCCTCTGCAGGCTCAAGTGGTCCTGAAGTCAGCCTCTCCAGGCCCAGTTCTGGCCTCCCAGCAAGCAAGCTCTTTTGGCTCAGCTCCTGCCCAGCTCCCGCCGGCTTTTGTAGACCCTGAACTTTCTCCAGCGAAGCTCCTCAGTCCCACCTCCTGCCTCCCGGTGGCCTGTACAGGCCCAGGTCTGGCTGGAGAACAGCCTCTGCAGGCCCCGCTCTTGCCTCCCAGGGGCGTCTCCAGGCCCAGCTCTGGCCTCACGGCGGCCTCCCGGGACCAAGTCCCTGCCTGCCTCCCAGCAGCCTGTGTGCGGCCCAGCTCCTCCGTCACGGTGGCCTGTTGAGGCCCAACTCATGCCTCTGGCACCCTTTCAAGAGGCGTGAGCCCCTGCCTCACATTGGCCTCTCTCACGCTGAGGGAGGTCAGCGTGAGCCCCTGCCTCACACTGGCCTCTCTCACGCTGAGGGAGGTCAGCGTGAGCCCCTGCCTCACACTGGCCTCTCTCACGCTGAGGGAGGTCAGCGTGTGGCCCTGCCTCACACTGGCCTCTCTCACGCTGAGGGAGGTCAGCGTGAGGCCCTGCCTCACACTGGCCTCTCTAACGCTGAGGGAGGTCAGCGTGAGCCCCTGCCTCACACTGGCCTCTCTCACGCTGAGGCAGGTCAGCGTGTGGCCCTGCCTCACACTGGCCTCTCTCACGCTGAGGGAGGTCAGCGTGAGGCCCTGCCTCACACTGGCCTCTCTAACGCTGAGGGAGGTCAGCGTGAGGCCCTGCCTCACACTGGCCTCTCTCACGCTGAGAGAAGTCCTCCCTCACGCTGGCCTGTTGAGGCCCAGTTCATGCCTCTGTTGGCTTCTCCAGGCCCAGCCCCTGCCTGTTGGCGGCCTCTAGAGGCCCAGCCTCTACCTCAACCGTGGGCCCTCCACGCCCACCTCTTGCCTCGCCGTGGCCTCCTCGGACCAGGCTCCCGCCTTGGGGCGGCCCCCGCAGGCCCAGCTCCTGCCTCACGGCCCTCCGGAGGCCAAGCTCATGTGTCAGGGCGGCCTCTCCCGGCCTGGCGTTTGCTCCTTTGCATGGGCTCCAGGTCCTGCACTTCCTGCAGTCGGCCTCTCCAGGCCCAGCTCTTCCTCCCGGCAGCCTCTGCGGGACCAGACTGTCGTCAAGTAGGCCTGTCCAGGGACAGCTCCTGCCTCCCGGCAGACTCTGCAGGCCCAAGTCGTCCTCAAGTCAGCCTCCCCAGGCCCAGCTCCGGCCTCTCGGCGGCCTCTCCAGGTGCAAAAGTTCCTCGAGTCCGTCTCTCCAGGTCCAGCTCCTCCTGTCTCCCAGTGGCCTCTTTCAGCCCAGCCCAGCTCATGCCTCCCGGCGGCCTTCCCAGGCCCCGCTTTTGACTTTCCGCGGCCTCTGCAGGCCCCGAACTTGACCTCTAGTCGGCCTCTGCAGGCCTGGCCTCCTGCCTCCCGAAAGCTTGCACAGGCCCAGCCTCTGCCTCACAGCGGACTCTCCACGCCCAGCTCGCTCTCGCCTGCGGCCTCCCTAGTCCAAAGCTCCGGCCTCTCCGCCGCTTCCGCAGGCCCAGCTCCCGCCTGCCAGTGGCCTCTTCAGGCCCATGGGGCTCATTCCTCACAACGGCCTTTCCAGGCCCAGTTTTTCCCTTCCGGCGGCCTCTCCGGGCCCAGAAGCTCCTCAAGTCGGCCTCTCCAGACCCACTTGCAGCCTCCCGGCGTCCTCTCCGGGCCCAGCTCTTCCTCCCGGCTGCGTCTACAGGCCCGACTCCTGCCTCCCAACAACCTCTTTGGACTCAGTGCCTGCCCAGCTCCTGGTGGCCTTGGTCGGCCCACAGCTTCCTGAAGCCAAGCTCCCCGGGCCCAGCTCAGGCCTCACGGCGGCCTCTCCAGGCTCAGCTCCTGCCCTCCGACGGCGTCTCCAGGCCCCAAATGGCCTCGGGTCGGTGGGCTTCTCCAGGCCCAGCTTGGGCCTCCCGGCGGCCTCTGCAGGCTCAAGTGGTCCTGAAGTCAGCCTCTCCAGGCCCAGCTCCGGCCTCCCAGCAAGCAAGCTCTTTTGGCTCAGCTCCTGCCCAGCTCCCGCCGGCTTTTGTAGACCCTGAACTTTCTCCAGCGAAGCTCCTCAGTCCCACCTCCTGCCTCCCGGTGGCCTGTACAGGCCCAGGTCTGGCTGGAGAACAGCCTCTGCAGGCCCCGCTCTTGCCTCCCAGGGGCGTCTCCAGGCCCAGCTCTGGCCTCACGGCGGCCTCCCGGGACCAAGTCCCTGCCTGCCTCCCAGCAGCCTGTGTGCGGCCCAGCTCCTCCGTCACGGTGGCCTGTTGAGGCCCAACTCATGCCTCTGGCACCCTTTCGAGAGGCGTGAGCCCCTGCCTCACATTGGCCTCTCTCACGCTGAGGGAGGTCAGCGTGAGCCCCTGCCTCACACTGGCCTCTCTCACGCTGAGGGAGGTCAGCGTGAGCCCCTGCCTCACACTGGCCTCTCTCACGCTGAGGGAGGTCAGCGTGTGGCCCTGCCTCACACTGGCCTCTCTCACGCTGAGGGAGGTCAGCGTGAGGCCCTGCCTCACACTGGCCTCTCTAACGCTGAGGGAGGTCAGCGTGAGGCCCTGCCTCACACTGGCCTCTCTCACGCTGAGAGAAGTCCTCCCTCACGCTGGCCTGTTGAGGCCCAGTTCATGCCTCTGTTGGCTTCTCCAGGCCCAGCCCCTGCCTGTTGGCGGCCTCTAGAGGCCCAGCCTCTACCTCAACCGTGGGCCCTCCACGCCCACCTCTTGCCTCGCCGTGGCCTCCTCGGACCAGGCTCCCGCCTTGGGGCGGCCCCCGCAGGCCCAGCTCCTGCCTCACGGCCCTCCGGAGGCCAAGCTCATGTGTCAGGGCGGCCTCTCCCGGCCTGGCGTTTGCTCCTTTGCATGGGCTCCAGGTCCTGCACTTCCTGCAGTCGGCCTCTCCAGGCCCAGCTCTTCCTCCCGGCAGCCTCTGCGGGACCAGATTGTCGTCAAGTAGGCCTGTCCAGGGACAGCTCCTGCCTCCCGACAGACTCTGCAGGCCCAAGTCGTCCTCAAGTCAGCCTCCCCAGGCCCAGCTCCGGCCTCTCGGCGGCCTCTCCAGGTGCAAAAGTTCCTCGAGTCCGTCTCTCCAGGTCCAGCTCCTCCTGTCTCCCAGTGGCCTCCTTCAGCCCAGCCCAGCTCATGCCTCCCGGCGGCCTTCCCAGGCCCCGCTTTTGACTTTCCGCGGCCTCTGCAGGCCCCGAACTTGACCTCCAGTCGGCCTCTGCAGGCCTGGCCTCCTGCCTCCCGAAAGCTTGCACAGGCCCAGCCTCTGCCTCACAGCGGACTCTCCACGCCCAGCTCGCTCTCGCCTGCGGCCTCCCAAGTCCAAAGCTCCGGCCTCTCCGCCGCTTCGGCAGGCCCAGCTCCCGCCTGCCAGTGGCCTCTTCAGGCCCATGGGGCTCATTCCTCACAACGGCCTTTCCAGGCCCAGTTTTTCCCTTCCGGCGGCCTCTCCGGGCCCAGAAGCTCCTCAAGTCGGCCTCTCCAGACCCACTTGCAGCCTCCCGGCGTCCTCTCCGGGCCCAGCTCTTCCTCCCGGCTGCGTCTACAGGCCCGACTCCTGCCTCCCAACAACCTCTTTGGACTCAGTGCCTGCCCAGCTCCTGGTGGCCTTGGTCGGCCCACAGCTTCCTGAAGCCAAGCTCCCCGGGCCCAGCTCAGGCCTCACGGCGGCCTCTCCAGGCTCAGCTCCTGCCCTCCGACGGCGTCTCCAGGCCCCAAATGGCCTCGGGTCGGTGGGCTTCTCCAGGCCCAGCTTGGGCCTCCCGGCGGCCTCTGCAGGCTCAAGTGGTCCTGAAGTCAGCCTCTCCAGGCCCAGCTCCGGCCTCCGAGCAAGCAAGCTCTTTTGGCTCAGCTCCTGCCCAGCTCCCGCCGGCTTTTGTAGACCCTGAACTTTCTCCAGCGAAGCTCCTCAGTCCCACCTCCTGCCTCCCGGTGGCCTGTACAGGCCCAGGTCTGGCTGGAGAACAGCCTCTGCAGGCCCCGCTCTTGCCTCCCAGGGGCGTCTCCAGGCCCAGCTCTGGCCTCACGGCGGCCTCCCGGGACCAAGTCCCTGCCTGCCTCCCAGCAGCCAGTGTGCGGCCCAGCTCCTCCGTCACGGTGGCCTGTTGAGGCCCAACTCATGCCTCTGGCACCCTTTCGAGAGGCGTGAGCCCCTGCCTCACATTGGCCTCTCTCACGCTGAGGGAGGTCAGCGTGAGCCCCTGCCTCACACTGGCCTCTCTCACGCTGAGGGAGGTCAGCGTGAGCCCCTGCCTCACACTGGCCTCTCTCACGCTGAGGGAGGTCAGCGTGAGCCCCTGCCTCACACTGGCCTCTCTCACGCTGAGGGAGGTCAGCATGTGGCCCTGCCTCACACTGGCCTCTCTCACGCTGAGGGAGGTCAGCGTGAGGCCCTGCCTCACACTGGCCTCTCTAACGCTGAGGGAGGTCAGCGTGAGGCCCTGCCTCACACTGGCCTCTGTCACGCTGAGAGAAGTCCTCCCTCACGCTGGCCTGTTGAGGCCCAGTTCATGCCTCTGTTGGCTTCTCCAGGCCCAGCCCCTGCCTGTTGGCGGCCTCTAGAGGCCCAGCCTCTACCTCAACCGTGGGCCCTCCACGCCCACCTCTTGCCTCGCCGTGGCCTCCTCGGACCAGGCTCCCGCCTTGGGGCGGCCCCCGCAGGCCCAGCTCCTGCCTCACGGCCCTCCGGAGGCCAAGCTCATGTGTCAGGGCGGCCTCTCCCGGCCTGGCGTTTGCTCCTTTGCATGGGCTCCAGGTCCTGCACTTCCTGCAGTCGGCCTCTCCAGGCCCAGCTCTTCCTCCCGGCAGCCTCTGCGGGACCAGACTGTCGTCAAGTAGGCCTGTCCAGGGACAGCTCCTGCCTCCTGGCAGACTCTGCAGGCCCAAGTCGTCCTCAAGTCAGCCTCCCCAGGCCCAGCTCCGGCCTCTCGGCGGCCTCTCCAGGTGCAAAAGTTCCTCGAGTCCGTCTCTCCAGGTCCAGCTCCTCCTGTCTCCCAGTGGCCTCTTTCAGCCCAGCCCAGCTCATGCCTCCCGGCGGCCTTCCCAGGCCCCGCTTTTGACTTTCCGCGGCCTCTGCAGGCCCCGAACTTGACCTCCAGTCGGCCTCTGCAGGCCTGGCCTCCTGCCTCCCGAAAGCTTGCACAGGCCCAGCCTCTGCCTCACAGCGGACTCTCCACGCCCAGCTCGCTCTCGCCTGCGGCCTCCCGAGTCCAAAGCTCCGGCCTCTCCGCCGCTTCGGCAGGCCCAGCTCCCGCCTGCCAGTGGCCTCTTCAGGCCCATGGGGCTCATTCCTCACAACGGCCTTTCGAGGCCCAGTTTTTCCCTTCCGGCGGCCTCTCCGGGCCCAGAAGCTCTTCAAGTCGGCCTCTCCAGACCCACTTGCAGCCTCCCGGCATCCTCTCCGGGCCCAGCTCTTCCTCCCGGCTGCGTCTGCAGGCCCGACTCCTGCCTCCCAACAACCTCTTTGGACTCAGTGCCTGCCCAGCTCCTGGTGGCCTTGGTCGGCCCACAGCTTCCTGAAGCCAAGCTCCCCGGGCCCAGCTCAGGCCTCACGGTGGCCTCTCCAGGCTCAGCTCCTGCCCTCCGACGGCGTCTCCAGGCCCCAAATGGCCTCGGGTCGGTGGGCTTCTCCAGGCCCAGCTTGGGCCTCCCGGCGGCCTCTGCAGGCTCAAGTGGTCCTGAAGTCAGCCTCTCCAGGCCCAGCTCCGGCCTCCCAGCAAGCAAGCTCTTTTGGCTCAGCTCCTGCCCAGCTCCCGCCGGCTTTTGTAGACCCTGAACTTTCTCCAGCGAAGCTCCTCAGTCCCACCTCCTGCCTCCCGGTGGCCTGTACAGGCCCAGGTCTGGCTGGAGAACAGCCTCTGCAGGCCCGGCTCTTGCCTCCCAGGGGCGTCTCCAGGCCCAGCTCTGGCCTCACGGCGGCCTCCCGGGACCAAGTCCCTGCCTGCCTCCCAGCAGCCTGTGTGCGGCCCAGCTCCTCCGTCACGGTGGCCTGTTGAGGCCCAACTCATGCCTCTGGCACCCTTTCGAGAGGCGTGAGCCCCTGCCTCACATTGGCCTCTCTCACGCTGAGGGAGGTCAGCGTGAGCCCCTGCCTCACACTGGCCTCTCTCACGCTGAGGGAGGTCAGCGTGTGGCCCTGCCTCACACTGGCCTCTCTCACGCTGAGGGAGGTCAGCGTGAGGCCCTGCCTCACACTGGCCTCTCTAACGCTGAGGGAGGTCAGCGTGAGGCCCTGCCTCACACTGGCCTCTCTAACGCTGAGAGAAGTCCTCCCTCACGCTGGCCTGTTGAGGCCCAGTTCATGCCTCTGTTGGCTTCTCTAGGCCCAGCCCCTGCCTGTTTGCGGCCTCTAGAGGCCCAGCCTCTACCTCAACCGTGGGCCCTCCACGCCCACCTCTTGCCTCGCCGTGGCCTCCTCGGACCAGGCTCCCGCCTTGGGGCGGCCCCCGCAGGCCCAGCTCCTGCCTCACGGCCCTCCGGAGGCCAAGGTCATGCGTCAGGGCGGCCTCTCCCGGCCTGTCGTTTCCTCCTTTGCATGGGCTCCAGGTCCTGCACTTCCTGCAGTCGGCCTCTCCAGGCCCAGCTCTTCCTCCCGGCAGCCTCTGCGGGACCAGACTGTCGTCAAGTAGGCCTGTCCAGGGACAGCTCCTGCCTCCCGGCAGACTCTGCAGGCCCAAGTCGTCCTCAAGTCAGCCTCCCCAGGCCCAGCTCCGGCCTCTCGGCGGCCTCTCCAGGTGCAAAAGTTCCTCGAGTCCGTCTCTCCAGGTCCAGCTCCTCCTGTCTCCCAGTGGCCTCTTTCAGCCCAGCCCAGCTCATGCCTCCCAGCGGCCTTCCCAGGCCCCGCTTTTGACTTTCCGCGGCCTCTGCAGGCCCCGAACTTGACCTCCAGTCGGCCTCTGCAGGCCTGGCCTCCTGCCTCCCGAAAGCTTGCACAGGCCCAGCCTCTGCCTCACAGCGGTCTCTCCACGCCCAGCTCGCTCTCGCCTGCGGCCTCCCTAGTCCAAAGCTCCGGCCTCTCCGCCGCTTCGGCAGGCCCAGCTCCCACCTGCCAGTGGCCTCTTCAGGCCCATGGGGCTCATTCCTCACAACGGCCTTTCCAGGCCCAGTTTTTCCCTTCCGGCGGCCTCTCCGGGCCCAGAAGCTCCTCAAGTCGGCCTCTCCAGAACCACTTGCAGCCTCCCGGCGTCCTCTCCGGGCCCAGCTCTTCCTCCCGGCTGCGTCTACAGGCCCGACTCCTGCCTCCCAACAACCTCTTTGGACTCAGTGCCTGCCCAGCTCCTGGTGGCCTTGGTCGGCCCACAGCTTCCTGAAGCCAAGCTCACCGGGCCCACCTCAGGCCTCTCGGCGGCCTCTCCAGGCTCAGCTCCTGCCCTCCGACGGCGTCTCCAGGTCCCAAATGGCCTCGGGTCGGTGGGCTTCTCCAGGCCCAGCTTGGGCCTCCCGGCGGCCTCTGCAGGCCCAAGTGGTCCTGAAGTCAGCCTCTCCAGGCCCAGTTCCGGCCTCCCAGCAAGCAAGCTCTTTTGGCTCAGCTCCTGCCCAGCTCCCGCCGGCTTTTGTAGACCCTGAACTTTCTCCAGCGAAGCTCCTCAGTCCCACCTCCTGCCTCCCGGTGGCCTGTACAGGCCCAGGTCTGGCTGGAGAACAGCCTCTGCAGGCCCCGCTCTTGCCTCCCAGGGGCGTCTCCAGGCCCAGCTCTGGCCTCACGGCGGCCTCCCGGGACCAAGTCCCTGCCTGCCTCCCAGCAGCCTGTGTGCGGCCCAGCTCCTCCGTCACGGTGGCCTGTTGAGGCCCAACTCATGCCTCTGGCACCCTTTCGAGAGGCGTGAGCCCCTGCCTTACATTGGCCTCTCTCACGCTGAGGGAGGTCAGCGTGAGCCCCTGCCTCACACTGGCCTCTCTCACGCTGAGGGAGGTCAGCGTGAGCCCCTGCCTCACACTGGCCTCTCTAACGCTGAGGGAGGTCAGCGTGAGGCCCTGCCTCACTCTGGCCTCTCTCACGCTGAGAGAAGTCCTCCCTCACGCTGGCCTGTTGAGGCCCAGTTCATGCCTCTGTTGGCTTCTCCAGGCCCAGCCCCTGCCTGTTGGCGGCCTCTAGAGGCCCAGCCTCTACCTCAACAGTGGGCCCTCCACGCCCACCTCTTGCCTCGCCGTGGCCTCCTCGGACCAGGCTCCCACCTTGGGGCGGCCCCCGCAGGCCCAGCTCCTGCCTCACGGCCCTCCGGAGGCCAAGCTCATGTGTCAGGGCGGCCTCTCCCGGCCTGGCGTTTGCTCCTTTCCATGGGCTCCAGGTCCTGCACTTCCTGCAGTCGGCCTCTCCAGGCCCAGCTCTTCCTCCCGGCAGCCTCTGCGGGACCAGACTGTCGTCAAGTAGGCCTGTCCAGGGACAGCTCCTGCCTCCCGGCAGACTCTGCAGGCCCAAGTCGTCCTCAAGTCAGCCTCCCCAGGCCCAGCTCCGGCCTCTCGGCGGCCTCTCCAGGTGCAAATGTTCCTCGAGTCCGTCTCTCCAGGTCCAGCTCCTCCTGTCTCCCAGTGGCCTCTTTCAGCCCAGCCCAGCTCATGCCTCCCGGCGGCCTTCCCAGGCCCCGCTTTTGACTTTCCGCGGCCTCTGCAGGCCCCGAACTTGACCTCCAGTCGGCCTCTGCAGGCCTGGCCTCCTGCCTCCCGACAGCTTGCACAGGCCCAGCCTCTGCCTCACAGCGGACTCTCCACGCCCAGCTCGCTCTCGCCTGCGGCCTCCCGAGTCCAAAGCTCCGGCCTCTCCGCCGCTTCGGCAGGCCCAGCTCCCGCCTGCCAGTGGCCTTTTCAGGCCCATGGGGCTCATTCCTCACAACGGCCTTTCCAGGCCCAGTTTTTCCCTTCCGGCGGCCTCTCCGGGCCCAGAAGCTCCTCAAGTCGGCCTCTCCAGACCCACTTGCAGCCTCCCGGTATCCTCTCCGGGCCCAGCTCTTCCTCCCGGCTGCGTCTGCAGGCCCGACTCCTGCCTCCCAACAACCTCTTTGGACTCAGTGCCTGCCCAGCTCCTGGTGGCCTTGGTCGGCCCACAGCTTCCTGAAGCCAAGCTCCCCAGGCCCAGCTCGGGCCTCATGGTGGCCTCTCCTGGCTCAGCTCCTGCCCTCCGACGGCGTCTCCAGGCCCCAAATGGCCTCGGGTCGGTGGGCTTCTCCAGGCCCAGCTTGGGCCTCCCGGCGGCCTCTGCAGGCTCAAGTGGTCCTGAAGTCAGCCTCTCCAGGCCCAGCTCCGGCCTCCCAGCAAGCAAGCTCTTTTGGCTCAGCTCCTGCCCAGCTCCCGCCGGCTTTTGTAGACCCTGAACTTTCTCCAGCGATGCTCCTCAGTCCCACCTGCCTCCCGGTGGCCTGTACAGGCCCAGGTCTGGCTGGAGAACAGCCTCTGCAGGCCCCACTCTTGCCTCCTAGGGGCATCTCCAGGCCCAGCTCTGGCCTCACGGCGGCCTCCCGGGACCAAGTCCCTGCCTGCCTCCCAGCAGCCTGTGTGCGGCCCAGCTCCTCCGTCACGGTGGCCTGTTCAGGCCCAACTCATGCCTCTGGCACCCTTTCGAGAGGCGTGAGCCCCTGCCTCACATTGGCCTCTCTCACGCTGAGGGAGTTCAGCGTGGGCCCCTGTCTCACACTGGCCTCTCTCACGCTGAGGGAGGTCAGCATGAGCCCCTGCCTCACACTGGTCTCTCTCACGCTGAGAGCAATCCTCCCTCACGCTGGCCTGTTGAGACCCAGCTCATGCCTCTGTTGGCCTTTCCAGGCCCAGCCCCTGCCTGTTGGCGGCCTCTAGATGTCCAGCCTCTACCTCAACAGTGGGCCCTCCACGCCCACCTCTTGCCTGGCCGTGGCCTCTTCGGGCCAGGCTCCCGCCTTGGGGCAGCCCCCGCAGGCCCAGCTCCTGCCTCACGGCCCTCCGGAGGCCAAGCTCATGCGTCAGGGCAGCCTCTCCCAGCCTGGCGTTTGCTCCTTTGCATGGGCTCCAGGCCCTGGACTTCCTCCAGTCGGCCTCTCCAGGCCCAGCTCTTCCTCCCGGCAGCCTCTGCAGGACCAGACTGTCGTCAAGTAGGCCTGTCCAGGGACAGCTCCTTCCTCCCGGCGGCCTCTGTAGGCCCAGACTGTCATCAAGTAGGCCTGTCCAAGGACAGCTCCTGCCTCCCGGTGGCCTCTGTTGGCCCAAGTCGTCCTCAAGTCTGCCTCCCCAGGCCCAGCTCTGGCCTCTCGGCGGCCTCTCCAGGTGCAAAAGTTCCTCGAGTCCGTCTCTCCAGGCTCAGCTCCTCCTGTCTCCCAGTGGCCTCTTTCAGCCCAGCCCAGCTCATGCCTCCCGGTGGCCTTCCCAGGCCCTGCTTTTGACTTTCCGCGGCCTCTGCAGGCCCCGAACTTGACCACCAGTCGGCCTCTCCAGGCCTGGCCTCCTGCCTGTTGACAGCCACTAGAGGCCCAGCCTCTACCTCAACAGTGTGCCCTCCAGGCCCACCTCTTGCCTCGCCGTGGCCTCCTCGGGCCAGGCTCCCACCTCGGGACGGCCTCCGCAGGCCCAGCTCCTGCCTCACGGAGGCCCTCTGGAGGCCAAGCTCATGCGTCGTGGCGGCCTCTCCCGGCCTGGCGTTTGCTCCTTTGCATGGGCTCCAGGTCCTGCACTTCCTCCAGTCGGCCTCTCCAGGCCCAGCTCTTCCTCCCGGCAGCCTCTGCAGGACCAGACTGTCGTCAAGTAGGCCTGTCCAGGGACAGCTCCTGCTTCCCGGCGGCCTCTGTAGGCCCAGACTGTCATCAAGTAGGCCTGTCCAGGGACAGCTCCTGCCTCTCGGTGGCCTCTGCAGGCCCAAATCATCCTCCCCAGGCCCAGCTCCGGCCTCTCGGCGGCCTCTCCAGGTGCAAAAGTTTGAATCAGTATCTCCAGGCCCAGGTCCTCCTGTCTCCCAGTGGCCTCTTTTGGCCCAGCCCAGTTCATGCCTCCTGGTGGCCTTCCCAGGCCCCACTTTTGACTTTCCGCGGCCTCTGCAGATTCCGAACTTGACCTCCAGTCGGCCTCTCCTGGCCCGGCCTCCTGCCTTCCGAAGGCCTGCACAGGCCCAGTCTCTGCCTCACAGCGGACTCTCCACGCCCAGCTAGCTCTCGCCTCACTGCAGCCTCCCGAGTCCAAAGCTCCTGCCTCTTGGCCGCTTCGGCAGGCCCAGCTCCCACCTGCCAGTGGCCTCTTCTGGCCCATGGGGTTCATTCCTCACAACGGCCTTTCCAGGCCCATTTTTTCCCTTCCGACTGCCTCTCAGGACCCAGAACCTCTGGGCCCACTTGAGGAGATGCAGCCAGGAGGAACAGCTGGGCTTGCAGAGGCTGCCATGCGGGAGGCAGAGGCTGGGCCTCCTGAAGTCGGCCTCTCCAGACCCACTTGCAGACTCCCGGCATCCTCTCTGGGCTCAGCTCTTCCTCCCGGCTGCGTCTCCAGGCCCGACTCCGGCCTCCCAACAACCTCTTTGGACTCAGCTCCCGCCCAGCTCCCGGTGGCCCTGGTTGGCCCACAACTTCCTGAAGCCAAGCTCCCCAGCCCCAGCTCAGGCCTCACGGTGGCCTCTCCAGGCTCAGCTCCTGCCCTCTGACAGCGTCTCCAGGCCCCGAACGGCCTCCAGTCGGTGGATTCCTCTATGCCCAGCTTGGGCCTCCCGGCAGCCTCTGCTGGCCCAAATCGTCCTGAAGTCGCCCTCTCCAGGCCCAGCTCCGGCCTCCCGGCAGCCTCTCCAGGCGCAACGCGTCGTCAACGAGGGCCCCTCCGGGGTCAGCTCCTGCCTCTCATCAGCCTCTAGAGGCCAGTCTGGCGGCCTCTGCAGGCCCAGACTGCCCTTGAGTCAGGCTCTCCAGGGCCAGCTCCAGCCTCCTGGCAGACTCTGCAGGCCCAAGTCGTCCTCAAGTCGGCCTGGAAGTGGGCCTGGAAGAGCTGCATTTTGGCCTCCCCGGGCCCAGCTCCGTCCTCTCGGCGGCCTCTCCAGGTGCAAAACTTCCTCGAGTCAGCCTCTCCAGGTCCAGCTCCTCCTGCCTCCCAGTGGCCTCTTTCAGCCCAGCCCAGCTCGTGGCTGTAGGCAGCCTTCCCAGGCCCTGCTTTTGACTTTTGGCGGCCTCTTCAGGCCCAGAACTTGATCTCCAGTCAGCTTTTGCAGGCCCGGCATCCTGCCTCCCGAAGGCCTGCACGGGCCCGGCCTCGGAATCACAGCAGACTCTCCACGCCCAGCTAGCTCTCGCCTCACTGTGGCCTCCCCAGTCCAAAGCTCCTGCCTTTCGGCCGCTTCGGCAGGCCCAGCTCCCGCCTGCCAGTGGCCTCTTTAGGCCCAGCTCATTCCTCACATTGGCCTTTCCAGGCCCCGTTTTTCCCTTCCGGCAGCCTCTTGGCCTCTAATTTTTTTTATCTTTTGTGTATAAATCCCAAAATATGGAATTTTGGAACATTTCCACCATTATATAAATATTTTGGTAGGTAATTTATTTGGAGTGAGTTTCTGCACCAAGCCCGAATTTTTTATTTTATTTTCCTTATTATTTGGTGTTAAACAGGTTTAATGACAGTCATGGCAACTTTTTGGCACAATAGAAAATATCGCCCATGATCAATGTGTTCTGTTCTGGGGAAGGGGGCAAAGGCAGGGTGAATCACTTTCTTAAAAAGTACAACTCAAGTTGGGAGTGCAGAGGGAATTGGGAGAAAACCCTCCCGCTGCCTGTGTCAAAGTGCAGGAGCCCCCACCCCCATACTCACCTGAGTCCAGCCCCTCTGGAGAAAGAAGGGGTGCATGAACTCCCCCTATTCCACAGGCACCTCCCTGTGGCCCAAGGCCCTCTTCACACTCCATCTTGTAGCCCCAGCAGGAGCTATTTTCCGAAAAGTGAAAAGCTCTGAAGGTCCCACACTTCATGGTATGTACAGGGGCTCAGAGGAGGGAAACTGCCCAGCTTTCCCCCGGCACAGCTGCAGGGCTAGGGGGTATATATAAGAGGAGCAGGCCTTGGCCAGGCGTGGTGGCTCACACCTGTAATCGCAGCACTTTGGGAGGTGGAGGCCGGTGGATCACGATTTCAGGAGATCGAAATCAGCCTGGCCAAGATGGTGAAGCCCCGTCTGTACTAAAAATACAAAAATTAGCCGGACGTGGTAGCATGCACCTGTAATCCCAGCTACCCAGAAGGCTGAGGCAGGAGAATGGCGTGAACCCGGCAGTAAGAGGTTGCAGTGAGCCAAGATCTCACCACTGCACTCCAGCCTGGGTGACAGAGCAAGACTCCGTCTCAAAAGGAAAAAAAAAAAAAAAAAGCAGGCCTTATTCCTTCCCAAACTGAAAGGATTAAATGGCTTTACCCTGGAGAAGATAACCATCCTGCCCTCCATTGCTACCCCCACATAGTGTCCGTGTTCTCAGGGGGTATTGTGAGTCCTGGGATCTTCTTTGGGGTCGCCCACCTGCCTGTGGTAGTTATGGAGGGACCCAGGTGTTGAGGCAGGGCTGGGGTGTCCCCTTCCAGCCAGGCTGTCGAGGCCCCAGCTCTGGGGCAGAGGCAGTGGCAGGGCAGCCAGGGTTGCGCCAGAGCCTGAGCAGGGTGAGGTGGGGTCAGACAGGGCTGGGAGTCAGGGCAGGGGCAGCAGCAGTGGACCCACTATGCACACATCTTCTTCTCCAAGGTTTGTGTGCAGAGCATCCTGCCCATGCTGCCCCAGCAGCTTCAGTTGGCACCTGCCCCAGTCCAGCCTCTGGGACCCATGCAGCGGCTCCCAGCGGCCCTGCACCCACCACCAGCATCCGTTTCACCTGCAGTTGAAGATCCGTGAGGTGCCCAGAAGATTATGCAGTCATCAGTCCCACGGAGCAGCCCGCGAGGCTGAGGCTCCTCCCACTGGACCGCCCCCCAACTGGCACCATTGCTGCCCCTGCCCCTACTCTCAGCCTCACGTGACTCTTGGGCAGAGGCAGTGGTGGGGCAGCCAGGGCAGCGTCAGAGTCTGAGCCAGGTGAGGTGGGGACAGGACCCCCTCAGGGCTGGGAGTCAGGGCAGGGGCAGAACAAACCTTGGAGGGGAAGATGTGTGCATAGTGGGCCTGGAGAGCGGCTGTGGCCTAGTGGACAGGAAGAAGCAGTGGGCCTGGAAAAGCTGCACGATCAGGGCCGGCACTGGTCCAGGGCACGTGCAGTGAAGAGGACAGCGCCTTCTCGGTCTCCGGTTCCCTGAGCCCGTCCTTGGCTTCTCCACCTGTGCAGGCAAAGGGGAAGCTGTCCCCATCACACATGGCACACTTGGGGGTGTTGGGCTTTGGGCTGCAGATGGAGCATCTTCTCATCTTGCATTTGGGTGTGGTGGGGTCGTCCAGTGCGGGATCCATGTCCGTGGGGTTCCCTCTGCCCCAACCCCCAAAGCCCAGTTTCTCCTCTTCAGGCTCTGCCCCCTGGGTGGCTCAGCCCAGCTCCTGCCTAGGAAAGCCTTAGTGTTGGGAGGGACTGCGATGACTGAGGGGCCTGGTAGCTCCAGGTCGCCCACACTTTCAGGTCTCTTGCACCAGAAGGTGGAAGGATCCATTGGGAGGAAACAGGTCGCCTTGGAAGGCGTCCCTGGGCCCCCATCCCCAGGGGTAGGGGCCGTAGGGGGCCGGCTCTGCTGCCCTGACCAGACTCCTAGGCTTTGAAGGCTCCTGGGCCCAGTAAGAAGGAGGTGGGTGCCAAGGTTGAGGAGGAAGCATCCGAGTATGTGTAGGAGGAGGAGGGGGTGGGACCATGGACTTTGCCAAAAACTGCAGATGGATCGGGGGACCCTGGGGGCTCAGGATCCAGCAAGGGGCGGCAGGAGTAAAGGAGGAAGGAATGACAGGTGCAAATACCTTCCCACCAAAGCCCTTGTTGCCCTCTGTCTCCTCCCCAGAGCTGTCACCACTCTCAGTCGGTCACCCACTCCTTGAACTTGAGATCAGTGTCAGTGGTGCTAAAGCCATCATCAGCAATGACATTGTCACCCCCTCCTCCTCATGGATGACCATGTGCTCCTCATCACTCACTATGTCATCACTGGCCATGTGCTGGGAATGAGAAGCTCAGGTGGGCAGCAGCAGGGCTGCCCACTGGTCACCTCCCTCACCAGGGGCTGCAAAGTGGCCTGGAGCTCCATACTGAGTAGAAGGCTTTGGGCCAGAGTATGATGCAGTGCCAGACACCACTTCTGTCAGTTCCTGTAGTGCCTGACGGTCTATTTCCCTGCCGTCAAGGCTGTGTACACCCCTGTGGGAGAAGGCTTGGGCCAGGCTGAGCCAGGTTCCCTGTATGCAGCCGTTCTGCCCCACAGAAGCTGCTCCTTGGTATCCGAGCTCTGGAGTGTCTGGGCTGCAACTGACAGGAGTTCAGAGGACACCCCAGGGGCAGTGGCAGTGCTCATCTCTGATATACTCTGCTCCCACGAGCCCTTGTATACTCCTGCTAGCCCCTGGTTTGTGGGCTTAGCCTCTGAGCTGGACTTCTTTTGGTCCCTGTTGCAAGTGGGCCACCTTCACCTGGAAGGCCAGGTCATGGTACTTCTGCGTCTCATTGGGCCCCAGGGTGTACCACCGCTCGCTCAGGATCTGGCTGACGGTCCGGTTGTCCTGGTTGGGGTGACCCTGGTGCGCCCTGCCAGGGCCTGGTGCCGCTTGCTGAAGATCATGACCGCCACTCATGGGCCACCGGATGTGGTCCTTGTCCCATTTGTTGGGGCTGCATCCATCCTTCTCAGAAGATGAGTCCTGTTCCTTGTGCAGGGCACTGAGGGACTGGGCCTGACATCATCTGAGTGGTAGAGGCAACTGGGTGTCAGGAGACATGACGGAGAGGAAAGCATCATCGTGGTCATTCTCTGTCTCACTGTCCAGCAGGGACTCCCCTGAGGGGCCCAGGGCTCCTCCTCCATGGTGGGAGGTGGGCCCTTACCAGGTTCCACCACCCCCAAAGTGTGTGGGGTTCTGGGCCCTGGGCTTTCAGGGCAGGTGGCTCCAGGGGGCCACCCAGGGTCAACACTCCCTGTCCCACCTGGTGGATGCTCATGAGCAACAGCTGCCAACTTGGCAGGTTGTTTGCTCTGGTTGGAGGCCACTGAGTGACTGGCAGGTTGCTGGGCCTCGTGTGGCTCCAGGGAGGGGTCAGGAAGGGGACGGAGTACCAGGGGAACACGGCCACAGAGTGAGGTTCCACATTCCTCCACACGAACACGCTGACGCCACGGGAGGCCTCGCTGGACACAGTCCTGTGGGCCGAGTACTTGGTCCGGGCAGGGGGTTCCTGGCAGGGGCTCACACGTCCTCAGCCCCCTCCTCAGCCAAGGTGTCTTGGGCCCAGAGAAGGGGGTTTGGAGAGGAGCAGAAGGCCAGGCCTCAAGTTTTGTTTTTTGTTTTTGAAATGTAGTTTGACTCTTGTCACCCAGGTTGGAGTGCAATGGCACAATCTCAGTGGCCTTCATACCTGGCTAATTTTTTGTATTTTTATTAGAGGTGGGGTTTCACCATGTTGGCCAGGCTGGTCTTGACCTCCTGACCTCAGGTGATCCACCCACCTCAGCCTCCCAAAATGGGATTACAGGCATGAGCCACCGCTCCCAACTTCATTCATTTTTACTTGAAAAACTCCCTTAAGCATTTTTTTAAGGTAGACCTAGTGGTCCTGGTGGCCGCCGTGACGCATGAGCTTGGCCTCCGGAGGGCCTCCGCGAGGCACCAGCTGGGTGTGTGGAGGCAGCCCCGAGGTGGGGAGCCTGGCCCGAGGACGCCATGGCGAGGCAAGAGGTGGGCCTGGAGGGCCCACTGTTGAGGTAGAGGCTGGGCGTCTAGAGGCCGCCAACAGGCAGGGGCTGGACCTGGAGAGGCCAACAGAGGCATGAGCTGGGCCTCAACAGACCAGCGTGAGGGAGGACCTCTCTCAGCATGAGAGAGGCCAGTGTGAGGCAGGGGCTCACGCCTCTGGACAGGGTGCCAGAGACACGAGTTGGGCCTAAACAGGCCACCGTGAGGGAGGAGCTGGGCCGCTCGCGGGCTGCCGGGAGGCAGGCAGGGACTTGGCCCCAGGAGGCCACCGTGGGGCGAGAGCTGGGCCTGGAGAGGCCCCTGGGAGGCAAGAGCGGGGCCTGCAGAGGCTGTTCTCCTGCCAGAGCTGGGCCCGTACAGGCCACCGGGAGGCAGGAGGTAGGCCTGAAGAGCTTGGCTGGAGAAAGTTTGGGGCCTCCAAAGGCCAGCGGGAGCTGGGCAGGAGCTGAGCCAAAACAGATTGCTTGCTGGGAGGCAGGAGCTGGGCCGGGAGACGCAGCCAGGAGGAACAGCTGGGCCTGGAGAGGCCGCCAGGCGGGAGGCAGAGGCTGGGCCTCTAGAGGCCGATGGGAGGCAGGAGCTGGCCCTGGAGGGGCCCTCATTGAGGACGCGTTGCACCTGGAGAGGCCACCGGGAGGCCGGAGCTGGGCCTGGAGAGGCCGACTTCAGGACGACTTGGGTCTGCAGAGGCCGCTGGGAGGCCCAAGCTGGGCCTGGAGGAGCCCACCGACCGGAGGCCATTTGGGGCCTGGAGATGCCATCGGAGGGCAGGAGCTGAGCCTGGAGAGGCTACCGTGAGGCCTGAGCTGGGCCTGGGGAGCTTGGCTTGAGGAAGCTGTGGGCCTACCAAGGCCTCCAGGAGCTGGGCAGGAACTGAATCCAAAGAGGTTGTTGGGAGGCAGCAGTCGGGTCTGGAGACGCAGCTGGGAGGAACAGCTGGGCCCGGAGAGGCTGAATGGAGTAAATTCAGGGCCTGGAGAGGATGGGGCCCCACTCCTCTGACTGTGGCAGAGGAGCCTCTGCCTCCCTCCTGGCTGCCTCTCCAGGCCCAACTCTTCCTCCTGGCTATGTCTCCAGGCCCAAATCCTGCCTCACAACCAACGACCTCTTTTGGCTCAGCTCCTTCCAGCCTTTGTAGGGCCAAAACTTTCTCCAGTCAAGCTCTTTAGGCCCACCTCCTGCCTCGCGGTGGCCTGCACAGACCCAGCTCTGGCTTGAGAAGAGCCGCTGCAGGCCCCACTCCTGCCTCCCAGGGGACTGTCCAGGCCCAGCTCTTGCCTCACGGCGCCTTCCCAGGGCCCAGTTCCTGCCTGCCTCCCAGCAGCCCTGACAGGCTGAGCTCCTCCCTCATGGTGGCCTCTTTAGGTCCAACTCATGCTTCTTGCATCCCGCCCTGGTGTCAGCTCATGCCTCACACTGGCCTCTCTAGGCTGAGGTCCTCCCTTACGCTGGCCTGTTGAGGCCCAGATCATGCCTCTCGTGGCCTCTGCAGGCCCAGCTCCTGCCTGTCGGTGGCCTCTACAGGCCCGGCCTCTACCTCATGGTGGGCACCTCCAGGCCCAGCTCCTGCCCAGCTCCTGGCGGCCTTTGTAGGCCAAAAACTTCAAGCAAAGCTCTCGAGGCCCAGCTCGGGCCTCACTGTGGCCTCTCCAGGCTCGGCTCCTGCCCTCTGGTGGCATCTCCAGGCCCCAGACTTTCTCCAGTTAGCTTCTCGAGGCCCAGCTTGGGACTCCCGGCAGCCTCTGCAGGCTCAAATCGTCCTGAAGTCCTCTCCATTTCCAGCTCCGGCCTCCCCACGGCCTCTCCAGGTGCAGCACATCCTCCAAGTGGCCCCTTCAGGGCCATCTCCTGCCTCCTATTGGTCTCTACAGGCCCAGCCTCTGCCTCCCTCATGGCTGCCTCTCCAGGCCCAGCTCTTCCTCTCAGGTCCATCTACAGGCCCAACTCCTGCCTCACAACACACCTCTTTTGACTCAGCTCCTGTCCAGCTGTCCTAAGCCTTTGTAGGCCCAAAACTTTCTCCCGCCAAGCTATTTAGGCCCACCTTCTGCCTCGCAGTGGCCTGTACAGACCCAGCTGTGGCTTGAGAACAGCCTCTGCAGGCCCTGCTCTTGCCTCTGAGGGGCCTCTCCAGCTCCAGCTCTCACCTCACTGTGGCTTCCCAGGACCTAGTTCCTGCCTGCCTCCCGGCAGCCTCGACAGGCCCAGCTCCTCCCTCAGAGTGGCCTGTTCAGGCCCAACTTATGCCTCTGGCCACCTTCCCAGAGGTGTGAGCTCCTGCCTCACGCTGGCCTCTGTAGGCCGAGGTCCTCCCTTATGCTGGCCTGTCGAGGCCCAGCTCATGCCTCTCCTGGCCTCTCCAGGGCCAGCCCCTGCCTGTTGGTGGCGTCTAGAGGCCCAGCCTCTACCTCGCAGTGGGCCCTCCTGGCCCACCTCCTTCCTCACCGTGGCCTACTCAGGGCAAGCCTCCTGCCTTTCGGCAGCCTCTGCAGACCCAGCTCCTGCCTCCCAGTGGCCTCCATACACCAAGCTCATGCCTCACAGCAGCCTTTCCAGGCCTAGCGTTTGCTCCTTTGCATCCTCTCCAGGTCCTGAACTTCCTCTAGTCGGCATCTCCAGGCCCAGCTTTTCCTTCCAGCAGCCCCTGCAGGCACAAGTCATCCTCAAGTCGCCCACCCCGGGCCCAGCTCTTGCCTCTTGGCGGCCGCTCCAGGTGCACAACTTCATCAAGTCGGCCTCTCCAAGCTCAGCTTCTCCTGCCTCCCAATGGCCTCTTTAGGCCTAGCCCAGCTCATGCCTCTCGGCAGCCTTCCCAGGCCCAGCTTTTGACTTTTGTCTGCCTCTTCACGCCCAGAACTGGACTTCCTGTCGGCCTCTCCTGGCCCAGCCTCTTGCATCCTGAAGGCCCGTACAGACCCTGCCTCTGCCTCACAGCTGACTCTCCACACTGAGCTCTTGCCTCACTGTGACCTTCCCAGTCCAAATTCTTGCATTTCAGCAAGTTCGACAGGACCAGCTCCTGCCTTCAAATGGCCTCTTTAGGCTTACCTCATTCCTCTCAACAGCCACTCGAGGTCGAGTTTTTTCATTTTTGCAGCTTCTGTAGGCCCAGAACTTTCTCAAGTCTGCCTCTCCAGGTCCAGTTGCTGTCTCCAGGCATCCACTTCTTCCCCTTTTCTTCCTACATTTTGTGTCTAAAGGTTCAGCTTTTGCCTCACAACATCCTCTTTGGATTAGCTCCTGTGCAGCTCCTTGCCTTTGTAGACTCAAATCTTTCTCAAGTTGAGTCCTCCGGTTTCACTGCCTTCCTGGTGGCTCCCTGAACAGGCCCAGCTTTTGCCTGACAATTGCTTCTCCAGGCTGCCTCAACAGACCCAGCTCTTGCCTCACACTGGCCTCTCTAAGCCCAGCTGCTGCCTCTCACTGTCCTCACCTGGCTTATCTCTTTCCTCACATCTGCCTCCCAAGTCCCAGCTCCTGTCTCACAGTTGTCTCAGTTATACCAGCTCCTTTCTCATGATGGCCTCTTCTGGCCCATCTTCGGCCTCATAGTGGCCAGTCGAACCCATGATGGCCTCTTCTGGCCCATCTTTGGCCTCATAGTGGCCACTGGAACCCATCATCTGCCTCATCATGGCCTCTTCTGGCTTTGCTTTTGCTTCGCAGTCACCTTTTCCAGATCCCACTTTTTAGTCTTTAATGGTCAACAGCATCAAGGAGCCTAAAGCTTCCCTGGACTCTTATTTGTTGGTAACTTCACTGCACAGCAGAGTGCCTTAGCAAAACACCTGTCTCTTCTTTTAACCTTGACAGTGGATTTCTGACAAATTTATAATAAATTCTGCCTGTGTGGTTTCATAGTGATGTTTGTTTTATTTAGTGTCTCATAGTTTTTCTTGTCTTCTTTGGGTGGGAGTCAGAATGAGCCTCTGCTTGGGCCCTTTTTCTTTGCTCTGGACATGGTAGCTTCTCACTTCATGTTTTCTATATTTATATTTTTTTACAGTTATCTTTTTTTGTTTTGTTAGGGTCTTGCTCTGTCACCCAGGCTGGAGTGTAGTCGTGTGATCATGGCTCACTGCAGCCTTGGCCATTTGGCCTGAAGTGATTCTCCCAACTCAGCCTCTTGAGTAGCTGATGCTACAGGCACATGCCACAATGCCTGGCTAATTTCTAATTTTTTCTGAGAAGTTGGTTCTCACTTTGTTGCCCAGGCTGTTCCCAGACTTTCGGACACAAGCAATCATTTTGCCTGAGCCTCCCAAAGTGCTGTGATCACAAGCATGAGCCACCATGCCTGGCCTGCTATTTGCTTGTCATGAACTATTAAGAATTTACTTTTTCATTAATATACTATTTCTATATAGATTTATGTATATATAGATATTTTACATTTTTCATGGATACCAATTTTTTCCCTTTTTTTGAGGCAAGGTATGACTTTGTCATTAAGGATGGAGTGCAGTGGTATGACCCTGGCTCACTGCAACATCTTCTTTCTTGGCTTAAGTGATCCTCCCATCTCAGCCTCCTGAGTAACTTTGACCCCAGGTACAAGCCGCCATGCCCAGGTAATTTTTATATTTCTTGTAGAGAGGGGGTCTCACCATGTTTCCAAGGCTGGTTTCAAACTCCAAGTCTCAAGTGATCCTTCCCCCTCAGCCTCTTGCAGTGCTGGGATTACAGGTGGGAGCCACCACACCTGGCCTGCCATTTTCTTTTCATGTATCATTAAGAATTTACTTTATGCCAGCACGGTGACTCATGCCTGTAATCCCAGCACTTTAGGAGGATGAGGTGGGTGGATTACGAGGTCAGGAGTTCAAGACCAGCCTGGCCAAGATGGTGAAACCCCGTCTCTACCAAAAATACGAAAATTAGCCTAGTGTGCTGGCATGTGCCTGTAGTCCTAGCTACTCCAGAGGGTGAGGCAGGAGAATTGCTTGAACATGGGAGGCAGAGGTGGCAGTGAGCTGAGATCATGCCACTGTACTCCAGCCTGGGTGACAGAGTGAGACTCTATCTCAAAAGAAAAAAAAAGAATTTATTTTTTTATTAGTATAATGTAAATACATAAATGTGTGTATATATTCATATGTGAATATATGTGTGTATGTATCTTCACAGCATACACACACACACATACACACACACATACATTGTGAAAGATATATTTGAATACCTAGAAATTGATAAGCTTCTTCCAGGTTTTGAAACCACCCTTAGCACAAACACGAAAGAAGTACAAACTATCATTATTAATGACCATGGACCAAGATGACCATGAGTCAATAGTACTTTGTACCTCAACCACCTTCCAGCAGAGCATCTCAAAGGGCTGGATATATCTGAACATCACATGCTTTCACACAGACTAGGATGGTTTGTAATTATTACTTCTATTAAAAACTCAGTGTGATCCTTGTCAGGGTGAAATCAAACTATTTCTCAAATCATAGAGATACTGAATAACAGCTTTGGTCAGGAAATAGGTATTGCATTTGGTTTGTCATGACAAGCTCCTGGCCTAGGCAGATGGAATATAGCAGAAATGTGTGTGTGTGTGAACACTCTTGCGCACAGATGTGGGGGTGGAAGTGGGGGGATTGAATTTGATAAAACCAGCAGGGGGCAGGCTGCTGGAAAGGGGGAAATTGTTTTGGCAGCAGCTGTGTATCTCTAGAACCAGGAAATGCTTGTAATCCATATTTTTGTCTCCTGGAAAATAAAGATTATAAGGGCCAGGCGCGGTGGCGCATGCCTGTAATCCTAGCACTTTGGGAGGCCGAGGCAGGTGGATCATGAGTTCAGGAGATCGAGACTATCCTGGCTAACATGGTGAAACCCAGTCTCTATTAAAAATACAAAAATTGGCCGGGCGCGGTGGCTCACGCCTGTAATCCCGGCACTTTGGGAGGCAGAGGCGGGCGGATCACGAGGTCAGGAGATCGAGACTATCCTGGCTAACACGGTGAAACCCCGTTTCTACTAAACATACAAAAAATTAGCCAGGCGTGGTGGCGGGTGCCTTTAGTCCCAGCTACTCGGGAGGCTGAGGCAGGAGAGTGGCGTGAACCTGGGAGGCAGAGCTTGCAGTGAGCCAAGATTGCACCACTGCACTCCAGCCTGGGCGATGGAGCGAGACTCTGCCTCAAAAAAAAAAAAAAAAAAAAAAATTAGCCGGGCTTGGTGTCGGGCACCTGTAGTCCCAGCTACTCAGGAGGCTCAGACAGGAGAATAGCCTGAACCCGGGAGGTGAAGGTTGCAGTGAGCCGAGATCACGCCACTGCACTCCAGCCTGGGTGACAGAGCGAGACTCCATCTCAAAAATAAAACAGAATAAAAAAATAAATAAAGATTATAATTCCTGCCTTGATATGTGGACTATGTGATCCGCTATATGCAAAATATCTAGTATATAATAGGTGCTGAATTAATACTACTTTCTGTACCTCATTCTTAATCATTGCTTAATTTTAAAAAGTTTAGAGTGACTACTGCTTTTGTAAAAAATATTTTTAATTATTATATAAAATCTAAGTCCTGTAGAAAAGTACAAAGCAGGCCGTGTGCTATAGCTCACACCTGTAATCCCAGCACTTTGGGAAGGCAGGGTAGAAGGATTGCTCAAGGCCAGGAGTATGAGACCAGCATGAGGAACATAGCAAGATCCCATCTCTATAAAAAATTAAAAACCAGTTATAGTAATGTACACCTGTAGTCCCAGCTACTTGGGAGGCTGAGGCAGGTGGGTCACTAGAATCCAGGGGTTTGAGATCGCAACCTGGGTAACAGAGTGAGACCCTGTCAGAGAGGGAGAGCGAGAGAGAGAAGAGAAAGCAAAACAAGAAAAGTACAAAGAAGCAAGTAATAAATCATGAAATTTTCAACCACCAAAAAATAACTTAACATTATGTGATATGACCAGGCCTGGTAGCTCATGCCTGGCTGAGGCACGAGAATCGCTTAAGTCTCGGAGGCAGAGGTTGCAGTGAGCCAAGATTACACCATTCCACTCCAGCCTGGGCAACAGAGAGAGAGAGACTCTGTGTCGAAAAAAAAAAAAAAGTGATAATTCACACCTCTTTTTGTGCAAATAGGTAGTTAAGTAAGTAGATGTATTAATGGATTAAAAATAACTTTGCCTGGTGCAGTGGCTCACACCTGTAATCCCAGCACTTTCGGACGCTGAATTGGGCAGATCACGAGGTCAGGAGATCGAGACAATCCTGGCCAACATGTTGAAACCCTGTTTCTACTAAAAATAGAAAAATTAGCTGGGCATGGTGGCGGGTGCCTGTAATCCCGGCTACTTGGAAGGGTGAGGCAGGAGAATCACTTGAACCTGGGAGGCGTAGGTTGCAGTGAGCCAAAATTGCACCACTGCACTCCAGCCTGGCAACAGAGAGACACTGTCTCAAAAAAAAAAAGAAACTTTACATATTTTATATGTGTTTTAGTTCAAATATATATAATATTTATTTTGCTTGATACAACAGAAGCTGAAGAAACTAAGGTGGGAGAATTTCTGAACTTCAGATAAAAGTCTACGTGAAGGTCATATCTTTTTATTCAACATTCATTAAAATTATGAAAAAAGATACAAAAGTATCATGATTCTTTTTAACCTGCAGTTTCTATTTTCACCCACAGCTGCTGTATTTTTGGAATTGATGCATGTTTGAGAGTTTCTGTTTAATGCGTTTATACTTGAATAACTATTCTATTATTATTATTATTATTAGTTGAGACAGAGTCTTGCTCTGTCACCCAGGCTGGAGTGCAGTGGTGCTCACTGCAACTTCTGCCTCCCGGGTTCAAGTGATTCTCCTGCCTCAGCCTCCTGAATAGCTGGGATTATAGATGCACGCTACTATGCCCAGCTGATTTTTGTATTTTTAGTAGAGACAGAATTTCACCATTTTGGCCAGGCTGGTCTCGAACTCCTGACCTCAAGTGATCCACCCTCCTTGGCCTCCCAAAGTGCTGGGATTACAGGCGTGAGCCACCACAACTGGCCTGGGAGAATATTCTTGATTCATTTTCCTTTTCTTTGTTCTTCCTTTAAGTTCTGACTTTATTGTCATCTAGCTCTAGCTGGGGTTATGGGAAGCTCTGAGGCTGGCTGGAGGTTCTTCTCACATGTACTTATGTTTTCCTGCCCAAAGGCCAGTGGAGTACTTTCTTTATCATTGAAGCTCTGTAGCTTAGCCAGGGTTGGCTCGAGGCCAGTCATTCCTTACTAGATTTTCCAGACCTCAGCTCACACATCACCTTGGCAGAGAAATCCTCCCTCATCCTGTGGAGAGGGAGGATTCATTGCCTCATTCTGCCTGGTTCTCTCAAAGCAGATATCACACTCAAAAATCAGCTTGCTATTTATTGAATTGCTTGCCTACATATCCTCCTCCCAAACTCACACCAAATCAGAACAAAGGCTCCCTGCAGCAGGAGTCCCATCTTAGTCATTCTCAGAACCTAATATATACTTGGCACATAGTAGGCGCACACTAAATGTCATTAGAATGAATAAGTATCAAGGGCCCGGGTGCAGTGGCTCATGCCTGTAATCCCAGGACATTGGGAGGCCGAGGCAGGTGGATCACCTTTAGGTTAGGAGTTCCAGACCAGACTGGCCAACATGGTAAAACCTCGTCTCTGCTAAAAATACACAAATTACCTGGGCATGCTTGTACACACCTGTAATCCCAGCTACACGGGAGCCTGAGGCAGGAGAACCACTTGAATCTGGGAGGTGGAGGTTGTAGTGAGCCAAGATTGTGCCATCACACTCCAGCCTGGGTGACGGAGTGAGACTGCATCTCAAAAAATAAATAAAAAGAACAAAAAAAGAATGAATAAGTATCAAGGAAGGGAGATTTTGTGATTTGCCACCTTTACATGGAAATCCTGCTTAACATTGACATTTTCTATTTGATGGTATTTGTATAATAAGAAACTGAAACTGAGCTAATTAAAAGAGAATGAGGCTGGGCACAGTGATTCATGCCTCTAATCCCAGCACTTTGGGAGGCTGAAGGGAGAGGATCATTTGAGAGTAACATTTTGAGACCAGCCTGGGCAACATACAGAGATCCCTGTCTCTGCAAAAATAACATTTAAAAAAATGAACCAGGTGTGCCAGGTGCAGGGCTCATGCCTGTAATCTCAGCACTTTGGGAGGTTAAGGCAGGTGGATCACCTGAAGTCAGGAGTTCAAGACCAGTCTGGCCAACATGGTGAAACCCCATCCCTACTAAAAATACAAAAATTAGCCAGTGTGGTGGCGAATGCCTGTAGTCCCAGCTACTTGGGAGGCTGAGACAGGAGAATTGCTTGAACCTGGGAGGCAGATTTGTAGTGAGCTGAGATCAGGCCATTACACTCCAGCCTGGGTAGCAAGAGTAAACTTCATCAGATGTGGTGGCACATGCCTGTAGTCCTAGCTCCTCGGGAGGCTGAGGGGAGAGAATCTCTTGAGCCTAGGAGATAGAGGCTGCAATGAGCCATGATTGAACCACTGCACTCCAGCTTGAGAGTCAGAGCTAGACCTAATAGCTAAAAACAAAACAAAAAAACCGGGCGCAGTGGCTCATGCCTGTAATTCCAGGACTTTGGGAGGCCTAGGCGGGTGGATCACCTGAGGTCAGGAGTTCAAGTCCAGGTTGGCCAACATGATGAAACACCGTCTCTACTAAAAAATACAAAAATTAGCCGGGCATGGTGGCAGGTGCCTGTAATCCCAGCTAATCAGGAGGCTGAGGCACAAGAATTGCTTGAACCCGGGAGGTGGAGGTTACAGTGAGCAGAGATCACGCCACTGCACTCCATCCTGGGTGACAGAGCAAGACTCAAAGAAAACAAAGCAAAACAAAACAAAAACACTAAAAAGAACATTCCAGCTGCTTGTTAAGAGACTGGACATAGATGGACAATAAAGGGAGCAGGACACCTGGTGAGGAGCTGCCACGTCAACATCTTTTGATTACTCCAGGCCACATTTTGAGCAGGGCCTCTGCTAGAATGTGGCCCAGCTTCACATGCCTCAATTCTGACACTCAGTGCTGGTAGAGGCCCTGTGATGTCACACTGTGGAGGCTTCTTGGGAAAGTGTTGGCTCTTCAAAATCAACATCTTGGTTCATTCCTTTGATGCTGGAGACAATGACTTGTCTCTCCTCATATGTCTGATCAAGACAGTTAAAAACACAGTGGAATGTCTCTTTGTCCAGGAGCTTGGGCTGCTCTGGAGTTTGCACAAACACAAATAACCATCACATGCTGTCAGGCCATGTGTCTTGGTTATGACCGTTCAGCAGTGGACGTCTACGTAGTGGAATATCCCAAACATCTCTTTAAAAAAAAAAAAAGAGAGAGACAGAGAGAGACAGGGTCTCACTATGTTGCCCAGGCTGGTCTCGAACTCCTGGCCTCAAGAGATCCTCCTGCCTCAGCCTCCCCAAGTGCTGGGATTACAGGTGTGAGCCACTGAGCCTGGCCCTTTGTTGTTGTTTTTAGACAGGGTCTTGCTTTGTCATGCAGGCTGGAGTGCAGTGGCATGATTACAGCTCACTGCAGCTTCAAATTCCTGGGCTCAAGTGATCCTCCTCCCTCAGCCTCCTGAGAAGCTGGGACCACAGGCATGCACCACCAACCACATCTAGCTAAGTAAAAAAAAATTTTTTTTTCTACAGACAAGGTCTCGCTATATTGACCAGGCTGGTATTGAACTCCTGATCTAAAGCCATCTTCCTACCTCCATCTCCCTCCCACCTTGAACACCTCTTTTCCCAGGTTTGAAAATAAAATCTACTCTTTGAGAAGGCGAAAGAAATGAGTAAGACAGAAAACCAAGAAGCCAACCAGGCTTGCCTGGATAAACACTACATCCCTTAAATTGGTTTTCCTTCAATGATACAGTGATTAAGGGTTGTTTTTTTTTTTAAGTTCCTACTTGGCATGTGAATAGTTTCTTCCTCAGTAAATTTGAATCTCAAGTGTCTATTCTGTGATTGAATGAAGCAAATCTTTTACACATGGGAAACCATTATTAAATGATTTTGTTATAGAAAGGGGTGGATGGGGGCTGGGCATGGTGGCTCACGCCTGTAATCCTAGCACTTTGGGAGGCTGAGGTGGGTGGATCACCTGAGGTCAGGGGTTCAAAACCAGCCTGGCCAACATGGTGAAACCCCATCTCTACTAAAAATACAAAATTAGCCGGGTGTGCTGGTGCATGCCTGTAATCCCAGCTACTTGGGAAGCTGAGACAGGAGAATTGCTTGCACCTGGGAGGCAGAGGTTGCAGTGAGCTGAGATTGCGCCATTGCACTCCAGCGTGGGTAACAGGAGTGAAACTCCATCTCAAAAAAAAAAAAAAAGGGTGGATGGGATGGGGGCAAGACAGGGGCGGATGTCACTGTGTCTCTGTCCCTGTGCTCCCCACCCACCTTCTCTGTCCTTGCTCCCATGATGCCTGTCAAGGGGCACAGTGTGCTGAAGGAGGGGTTACCAGGTGGCATATCCAGAAGGCATAATACTCGGCTTCATGGAGTCCACTTACTTTGATCTAATTTGTTTACTCATAAAGTTCATTAAACATTCACATCAACAGCTTCTGAATATCTAAGCCAATTAAACATGGCGATGTTACTCGATTCTTAAAACAAGCTGGAGACCGGGCACAGTGGCTCACACCTGTAATCCTAACACTTTGGGAGGCTGAGGCAGGTGGATCACCTGAGGTCAGGAGTTCGAGACCAACCTGGCCAACATGGTGAAACCCCTGTCTTTACTAAAAAAAATACAAAAAAATTAGCCAGGCATGGTGGTCGGCACCTGTAATCCCAGCTGCTTGGGAGGCTGAGGCAGGAGAATGGCAGGAACCCTGGAGTCGGAGGTTGCAGTGAGCCAAGATCGCACCACCGCACTCCAGCCTGGGCAATAGAGCAAGACTCCATCTCAGAAAATAACAAAACAGAAACAAAATAAGCTGGTGAAGGGTTTGTTTTAGATTCATTTTGGAAATGTGAAGACACGGAGTGAGAGGGAGTGAGTTGTCCAAATTCAGGCAGCAAGCTAAAGACCATGTGGTCCCTGGCCCTTTGCAGCCAGAGTGTGTGGGCCAACTGTGTGGTGGTATGCACTCCCCCTCCATCTGCCGGCACTACCATATGCCGTATCTGGCCTTGTCACCTGGTGACCTGGAAGTCTTTGGTTTTCCCTGACCTTTGCCACCAGATCTGCTTACTTGCAAGTCCTGTTGGTTGTAACCTTCCCAGCCTTTCCCCGTCTTCCTCCTTTTTATCTTGTTTCATTGTTTTGTTTTCATTGTTTCAACCCAGCTATAATCATATCTGGCCAAGATTCCTCCAATAGTTCCTAGTTGGAGTCCTCCAAACTCTCTTTTTTAAACAAAGATGACTGAACAGGTAGCTCATGTCTGTAATCCAAGCACTTTGGGAGGCTGAGGCAGGAGGATCACTTGAGGCCAAGAGTTCAAGACCAGCGGGCAACAGAATGAGACCTCATCTCTACAAAAAAAATTTAAAATTAGCTGGGTGAAGGAAATAATGTATACAGTGGTCCATTTCCAAGACAAAGTGGCTTAAATCAGGTTAGGCCAGCAAACTACAAAAGAAACAGTACATACTAGGTTTCTGCTTGGACACTCAATGCCTGCTTGTCACCACCCCCACCTTTTTCGTTGCCCCCACCTGAACCAAAGAAGTTTAGTCTAAGATGAAACTTTACTAGCCCACAAAATAGCTGGTTTTGTCTGTTCTTATCAGCCTGCCTAGCTACTTGGGTCATAAGTCAAATACTTGAAGAGGCTCTAAGCTAACTAGGATTGCAATGCATTGTGGGCTGCAACAAAATGCAGCAGGACAACTGTAGGAAGTAGAAAAGTTCCTCTTCAAAGCTCATCTTGGTTTAAACATAAAATAATAGACACCAGGAATAATAGCTCCTTACTCTAAAGCCTCCTATCAACTATTAGTTCTTACACTTTAGCCCATTGAGTTGCTTGGCTTACTCAGGCATGTCTGGACAGGCCCAGGCAAGTCTTAGCTCATAGTTTATTTCCCTTCCTTATTTGGAAATGTTATTACTTCCTTAAGCCTTTCATAAGCAACTTCCTCTCTTTCTTTGTTCTTCCCTGCACTTACCTATTTAGGGAAGTTTTAGGCTATTAGCAAATCGGGTATCAGTTTAAGATTGTGAGGTTCAACTCCAGCCAGCGGATGCAGGACAAAGCAGTAAGGACGACCCAAATGCATAAGGGTAAATAGATCTGCTTTTCCTTTGCTCAGGTGTGCTCTTGCCATTGTTCCATCTGTGATTGAGCACCCTTTCCGCAGAAAGTAAAGATTGCCTTGCTGAGAGATCTTTTGTCTTCATGCTGACTTTACTTCATGGCACCAATTATATATTTCTAACAATTCTGGTATTTCTAACAACCCTAAAGAAAACACCTACAGCCCCTACCCAACAACCAATAGGCAACATCCAGGAAGATTGTGACCCCATAGTACTCAGCCTATGAGGAACCAGGGGAGGTACCTGCAGACGAAGGGATACATTGCTTGTTGAAACTGTGCTATGTGTGCCTGGTGCCAGACACCCGATCCTGCAAGACCATCATTAAAAGTCTCACTTTCTCTGTGCTCTGTCTGAGTCCATTCTTTGGGTTTGGACGGGTGCATTTGTTTCTCACACTGGGTGTGGTGGTGCATGCGTGTAATCTCAGCTACTCAGGAGGCTGAGGCAGGCAGATGGCTGGAGCCCAGGAATCTGAGGCAGCAGTGAGCTATGATCGTGCTGTGGTGTGATCTCTGCTCACTGCAACCTCCGCCTCTCAGGCTCAAGTGATACTCCTGCCTCAGCCTCATGAGTAGCTGGGATTACAAGCACCCACCGCCATATCCCGCTAATTTTTGTATTTTTAGTAGAGACCGGATTTAACTATGTTGGTTAGGCTGGTTTCAAACTCCTGCCCTCAAATAATCTGCCTGCCTCAGCATCCCCAAGTACTGGGATTACAGGCATGAGCCACTGTGCCTGGCCTCAAAAAACATTTTTTAATTAAAAAAATATAGTCTCAGCCAGGTGTGGTGGCTCACACCTTTAATCCCAGCACTTTGGGAGGCCGGATCACCTGAGGTCAGGAGTTCGAGACCAGCCTGGGCAACATGGTAAAACCCTGTCTCTACTAAAAATACAAAAATTAGCCAGGCATGGTGGCAGGCATCTGTAATCCCAGCTACTCAGGAGGCTAAGGCAGGAGAATCACTTGAACCCAGGAGACAGAGGTTGCAGTGAGCCGAAATCATGCCACTGCACTCCAGCCTGGGTGACAGAGCAGGACTCTGTCTCAAAAAAACAAATAAAAAATTAAAATAAATAAAATGTTTAAATTATTTTAGACAACTAAGAATAGGATGGCAGGGGTGTGAGAAGTCATGGGCTTCAGGGTTCCTGAATGTACCTGAGCTCTGAGACTAAGTTTAGGTTGGCAGCCAGGGTCTTGTTTATGCCTGTCTTAAATTATTTTCAGGGTCCCAGCACTGAGGTTCACAGAGCTTGGAGGGAGAGGACCCCAGTTGAGACACATCACAGGGGCCTTGGGATGGCAGTGTGCAGCGGAGTCTCTGCACACTTTAGGATTTAAGCCTAGGTCTAGCCTGCTACAGAGCACAGGGGAGCCCCCTCTGTTTCACCTTGAGGCAAGAAGAAGGGAACACCCTAGCCCTTGATTACACTGATAAAACAGAGGAAGTGGGTTGGGAAATATTCCATTCATTATATTCTGGGAAAGAACAGAGCCTCCACATCAAATTGAGTGGTGATTTATTAAAGGGAAGCCAAGGCCAGGCACGGTGGCTCATGCCTGTAATCCCAGGACTTTGGGAGGCCGAGGTGGGTGGATCATCTGAGGTCAGGAGCTCAAGACCAGTCTGGTCAACATGGTGAAACCCCATCTCTACTAAAAATACAAAAAATGGGCCCAGCGCCGTGGCTAGCGCCTGTAATCCCAGCACTTTTGGGAGGCTGAGGTGGGTGGATTGCCTGAGGTCAGGAGTTCGAGACCAGCCTGGCTAACATGGTGAAACCCTGTCTTTACTGAAAATGCAAAAATTAGCTGGGTGTGGTGGCGGGCGCCTGCAATCCCAGCTACTCGGCAGGCTGAGGTAGAAGAATTGCTTGAAAGCAGGAGATGGATGTTGCAGTGAGCCAATATTGGACCACTGCACTCTAGTCTGGGCAACAGAGCAAGACTCCATCTCAAAAAAAAAAAAAAATTAGCTGGACATGGTGGCAGGCACCTGTAATCCCAGCTACTCGGGTGCCTAAGGCAGGAGAATCGCTTGAACCCAGGACATGGAGGTTGCAGTGAGCCACAGCACCATTGCACTTGAGTCTGGACAACAAGAGTGAAACTCCACCTCAAAAAAAAAAAAATTAAAATAAGTACCAGGAAGCCACGTGGATGGGTGGAGAGGGAATACTAGCATCAGATGGGCTTTGGTGCTAACTGAAGCTCTACCTTTTACAGTAATTGGGCAAGTCACTCAACCCTCTCAGATTGACTTTTCTATGTAAAGTAGCTATTCCTGTGGATGGCTTAAGGGGAGTGGAAGCAAAGGTCATCAGAGTTGATGTATGACTCAACTCAGAGTTGAGGATGAAAAGTGGGGATAATAACACCTGCCTGTACCCTGGTACAGATCATAAGATGTTTATTTATTTGTGGAGACAGGGTCTCACCCTGTTGCCCAGGCTGGAGTGCAGTGGCACAATCATGGCTCACTGCAGCCTTGAACTCCCGGCCTCAAGCAATCCTCCCACCTTGATCTACAGGGATTTACAGGCATGAGTTACTGTGCCTGGCCAGATCTCATGAAGTTTAAATATGACATAGCATCTGGCAGGTAGACTTGCTCAGTGGGGGCCTCTTTTTTGCCTGGTGGGTCAGCAGGTCCTGTCTGTACAAATGATGTTTACTGGTCCACTCCTCCAGGTTTATAAAAATGAGCATTTTCTCTGTACTGACAATAATGAAATAAGGAAACTGAGGCTTGGAGAGGCAATATAGCCTGGCCCGAAATCACATGGGTAATAAGTCAGAGAACTAGAATTCAAACTCCAAGTCTACCTCCTGGACCCAAGCTCTTAACTTCTGTGCTATGAACTAATACCACATGGAGAATTTTGATTATTTTCTTAGCATTTACCACCATATAACTTAATATGTATTATACTTATTTATCTTGGGATGTCACTTCTGGGATTAGGTTTCAAAAAGGACTGTGAAACTGTCTCTCATTTTCTTTTTCTGTCTCTTCCTCTTTCCCCTCCCTAGCCCTGGGGTAAGCCAGCTGCTTCTTATGAAGAGGTGCAAGTGGACAAGAACTGATGTCTCCAGCCCACAGCCAGAGAGGACCTGAGGCCTGCCAGCAGCCGTCGAAGTGAGTTTCAAAGAGGATTCTGAAGCCTTGAGAGAGCTGCAGCCCTGGCTGACAGCCTGATTGTATCCTCGTGAGAGCCTGAGCCAGAGGACACAGCTAACCTCACCCAGATTCCTAGCCCATGGAAACTGTGAGGAAAAAAAAGTTTATTGTTTATAAAGCTGCTGAATTTGGGGCGATTTTTACCCAACAATAGATAACGAATACAAGGATATTGCTTATTACTCAACATCACTATATAAAGCCCCTGAAAAAATGGAAGCTGCAACCAGGGAAACACTGAAAATCCCCAAGAACACTGTGTTTCTTCTTAAAGACAGTGAGAAAAGCACATACATCTGTTTTCCTTTTAGTTTTGGCCACCAGGAAGCTCACAGCCAAATTTATGACACAATTTTCATAATTGTGTAAGTCCCTATGGCCTGCTTATCTGTGTTCTTATTCCTGGCCTTTCATTTTATTCTGACTTTTCATTTTCTTCGTCCTGATTATATTAGCTTATAATATTAGCTGGGGCTGGGGAGCGCGCGGTGGGAGCTCGGGCCTGGAGGCGGAGGGGACCGGGCCGCGGGGGAACTGACTGGGTCGGGGCTGGGCGGGAGGCGGCGGTCGGGCGCTCCTGCCCGGGGGCAACCCGAGCCCAGGTCGCGGGGAGGAGGTGGCGGGGCCGCGAGGTCGCCGGGGAAGAATGAGGTGGCCGAGTGCAGCCCGGAGGCTGGGGCAGATGGGGAGCGGTCGGGCGCGCTGGGGCTGGGCTGGGCAGGAGCGCGAGGGGGCTGTGGAGTGTGGGTCCCGGCCGGCTTGACAGGTTTCCTCGTTCTCGGGAGGCGGTCCGGGGGTGTGGGACCCTGTCCGCAGCACCCGCGAGACCAGCGGCCGCCTCTTGTCCCCACCATCGCTGCTGCTGAGTCTTTGGGGCGGGCTCAGACCCAGGGAGGGTTATATTTCCCACTGTCTTCCTGGTGCTAGGACAGGTGTTTCCGTGGTCAGGCCTCTTTGTACTCCAGCGCTAGTGAGAATTTGCAGACTTACTAGGACGGTGACATTTGCGGGCAAACACGAATTTGACCCTACTTTGGAAGAAGATACCGGCACTTAACATATCTGATTTCTTGGATTCCCCCTCGTATATTTCTGTGTGCCAGGAGGGGGAAATGGTCTGAGTTCGAGTCTAGTTTAAGCTTCATTGGAGTAAAGGACAAGTATGTTATGTAGATGGCGGTGTTATAGGCATTGGGATGAGTTTTAGACATTGTTGCTTATTAGCATAATACGATACCCACAACAGATTAAAAACACATGCTTTGCTAAACTGGAGTGATTGGTTTGTGTTACTGATCATTTTAGTTTTTTTTTTAATGTTGTAATTGATTTGTCTGTTACGTTTTATTTTAATGCATTGAATTTCCCTAGGCAACTTACTTTGAGAAAGGGAGAATTTACATTTTAAAAGTGGATGCGTGTTTTCTTTCTTTCTTTAATGGGGGGATTAAAAGCATAACAAAAGTCGAAGGAATGATTTCAAAATTGATAGGTTACGATTTTGATAGAGACTATGTCTGATATTTAGATGTTTGTTAACAGTAGTCACATTTGAGCGATTTCTTCCTCTCCTGTTGATTGGTAAATTTGTATGTATCAGAAATATATAGCTCACTAGTTTATTTCGACTCACATATTGTTGATTATATGAACAAGTAGCATTGGAATTTGTCTTGTTATTGGTTACAAACTTTAGGGAGCTGATCTTTCCACTTAGCCTTTTTCATGGATCAGATACTCTATCTCATTTGCTCTTAAACAAAAATCCTGTAGCTTTTTACAGGAGAAATAATTATCATAGGGCCAAATGGAACATTTTAAAAATGCATTTAAAATGTAGGTATCAGTTTACAGGGGAAAATACATAGATGTGACAAAAAGCTCACATTTGTTGTTGGTTATTCAGAACAAAGTTAATAGGCTGATTAGACTCTCAGATACACTTTGAGAACCATTGAGTGTCTTTTATGCAAACATTTTTATGTTATTTCCACTTTTGGAAAGGACTTTTAAACTTGCAAGTACCTTCCACCCAAAGTTAGTTGAATGAATAAATATATAAGGAAAACATGTAGCAGCACTTTTCAAGTATTTAAGAAACAAGAGGAACTAAAAATAACTTTTGATCCTAGTTTAATATGGAATTTAAGCAGAATTATTACCAGTTTTAGATTTTTATTTGAAACAAGTAGTCTATAATAGATGGACCTTTTAACATTGGGGCATGGAAAGAGTACTTCACTATATGCTTAAGTTGTTTTATTTTTTGAGATGGAGTCTTGCTTTTGTCACCCAGGCTGGAGTGCAATGGCGCGATCTTGGCTCGCTGCAACCTCTGCCTTCAGGATTCAAGTGATTCTCCTGCCTCAGCCTCCGGAGTAGCTGGGATTACAGACTCCCACCATCAAGCCCGACTAATTTTTGTATTTTTAGTAGAGACGGGGTTTCTCCATGTTGGCCAGGCTGGTCTCAAACTCCTGACCTCGGTTGATCTGCCTGCCTCGGCCTCCCAAAGTGCTGGGATTACAGCCGTGAACCACTGAGCACGGCCTGCTTAAGTTCTTAAAACTGACTTTTCTTGGCCGGGCGCGGTGGCTCACACCGCAATCCCAGCACTTTGGGAGGCCAGCACTTTGGGAGGCTGAGGCGGGCAGATCAACCGAGGTCAGGAGTTCGAGACCAGCCTTGCCAACATGGTGAAACCCATCTCTACTAAAAATACAAAAATTAGCCGGGCATGGTGGCACATGCCTGTAGCCCCAGCTACTCGGGAGGCTGAGGCAGGAGAATTGCTTGAACCCAGGAGGCAGAGGTTGCAGTGAGCCAAGATTGCACCATTGCACTCCAGCCTAGGCGACAAGAGTGAGACTCCATCTCAAAAAATAAAAAAAAATGGACTTTTCTTTTAAAAAGAGAGTTTTGAACCATTTAATAAGCATACACTCTAAATATTTTCATAGTTATGCATCCTGCAAGAGCTGCGTGTTTTTGCACCATAAAACATCAAGTAGTATATTAAAAATATATATAAGTACATGTAAGACTAAAGGTAACTGGATCTCTTTATAGTTTTAAATGTGAATTTAATATGTTGTGACTGAAAGTGATGTTTCATTGTGTAGCTGTGGACATAAAATAGTTTAACTTAGAAGCTTGCAAAAGGAGGGTGGGTAAAAATAAGATATGCCAATAAGAGTAAATAATTTATTTGCTATCTATACAGTGAAATTAAGACATTTGTTCAGTTTGATCAGCCTGTTTATAAACTACTTGCAAAAATCAAGTAGTTTATAAACTACTCATTTAATAAATGAATTTACAAATCAGCTTGTTTTGCAAGTAGTTTATAAACAGGCTATTCAATATCACATATGTACGTATACATATATAATCACATATATATGTACGGATATAGACTAATTTTCTTTTGGAAGTGGTAGACACAACATCATTGAAAGTTTTTGTTTTGTCAAGCTGAAAGAGACTTTAAATGAAAGCTGATTATTGGATGCCTCAAGTTAGTTTATTTTGATAGTGATTGCCATGTAGCAGTAATACTCAAAGATGTGACTGTTTTAGGAAAAGAAAGTTTGAGCCCAGAGGAAAGTTAACACATGAAAAAGATTCTGAAGAAAGCAATCTTCGAGGACCCAGAGTCAGCATGTGGTTTTGGATTGCTTAAATTCACTTTATTCTCATTTCACAATCCCTAAATGTCTTAATCCAAACAGAATAAGGTAGAGATTAATGAGAGAATCTTGAGGGGCATGTGTAATCTGTGTGTAAAGTCCTCTATTATTCTGGGGAGGCATAATGATGGAAAGTTCCAGACTTTTAGATTTCTAAAGAAATATTTCCCCCCAGTTAGGAGGCTACAATAGAAATGCTGATTTTTTACTTCTACCAGGTACAGCCAATAAAAACAGTAACACACCACTATCTCCTATCACCATCATTTCATTTAACAAAAGGATATTTCCATTCAAACAATTTGAAAGAACAGAATCTCTTAGAATAAAAGATCTTTAAATGGAATCAATTAGCTATGTGGAAGTTTACTTTCAGACCAGCCTGGCCAACATGCTGAAACCCCGTCTCTAGTAAAAATACAAAATTAGCTGGGTGTGGTGGCATACACCTGTAATCCCAGCTACTCTGGAGGCTGAGGCAGGAGAATCGCTTGAACCCGGGAGGCGAAGGTTGCATTAAGCTCGCACCATTGCATGCCAGCCTGGGTAACAGAGCGAGACTCCGTCTCAAAAAAAAAAAAAAAAAAAAAAGTTTACTTTCATGTTCTTACTATTCCCCATTTTCCCAAAAATCAGTGAAAACTCTGCTACAAACCTGCACCAGCCTGCCAGCTAACATTAAGTTAGCACTCCCTGCCCCCTTGGTTTGGTACACTGAACTCAAATTTAAGGAATCTGTGTGGGCTTCCAGCCCTCTGAGTTCTTAGCTTGTGGCCTTATCTTCATGATGCCTTAGTTTCTTATGTTAAATAGAGATTTTAACACCTACTTAGAGCCTGGTGCAGTGGCTCACACCTGTAATCTCAGCACTTTGGGAGTCTGACACCTGGCAGATCTCTTGAGCTTAGGTTTCAGACTAGCCTGGGCAACAGGGCAAAACCCTGTCTCTACAAAAAATACAAAAGTTAACTGGGCATGGTGGTGCCTGCCTGTATTTCCAGGTTCTTGGGAGGCTGAGGTGTGAGGATCACTTAAGCCTGGGAGGCTGAGGTCCACAGTGAGCCATGATGGTGCCACTGCCCTCCAGCCTGGGTGGTAGAGAGAGACCCTGTCTCAAAAAACAAACAAATAAACCAAAAAACCCTACTTTGCTAGATGAGTGTTAAGATGAAAAGTGATACATGTATGTTCCAGAAATAAAGTCTGTCCTCAGTTATAGCTGTTACCATTGATTGGAGATGTTCTTATTTTTTTCAGTGTTTGATAACAAGTGCCTTTAAGTATAAGTTTCTTGTATATACTTGTGTATATATTTGAATATTGTTTTAATGTAGTTTATTGCTGACCTAAAGACGTGTTCATTTAAAACAATTTTGAAGTTGTGCAAGATAAACTAATATGCAGAATTTTTTTTTTTTTTGAGATGAAGTCTTGCTCTGTCACCCAGGGTAGAGTGCAGTGGCACGATCACAGCTCACTGCAACCTCCGCCTCCTGGGTTCAAGCGATTCTCCTACCTCAACCTCCTGAATAGCTGGGATTACAGGCGCACGCCACCATGCCTGGTTAACTTTTGTATTTTTAGTAGAGACAGGGTCTCGCCATGTTGGCCAGGCTGGTCTTGAACTCCCGACCTCAGGTGATTTCGCCCGCCTCAGCCTCCCAAAGTGCTGAGATTATAGGCGTCAGCCACTGTGCCCAGCCCTAACATGCAGAATATTCTATGTAAGTATTTCCTATATATTAGACCCCCTCTAAGAAGGGTTTCTATGTAAGAATAGTACAAATGATCTGGATAGGCTAATAGGCTTGACAAATCTATGTTTCTTAAAACTGTAAAAATAGTCTGGTTGTCTTATGGTATATGTATAGGACATATGTATAGGACATATACCATAGGGGATTTGTTCCAGGACCCCTATTTCTACCAAAATCCTGGCATAGTCAAGTCCCCACCGTGGGCCCTGCAAAACCTGGATATATGAAAAGTTGGGCCTCCATATATGCAGGTTTCGGTCTGCATTTGGTTGAAAAAGATCCACATATAAGTGGGCCCACGCAGCTTAAACCTGTGTTGTTCAAGGGTCCACTGCATTTGAAAATCAAGTCCACGGTCGGGCACGGTGGCTCACACCTGCAATCCCAGCACTTTGGGAGTCCGAGGCGGGTGGATTACCTGAGGTCAGGAGATCAAGACTATCCTGGCTAACATGGCAAAACACCATCTGTACTAAAAAAAAAGAAATACAAAAAAATTAGCCAGGCGTGGTGGCAGATGCCTGTACTCCCAGCTACTAGGGAGGCTGAGGCAGGAGAATGGTGTGAAACCAGGAGACGAAGCTTGCAGTGAGCTGGGATCGCACCACTGCACTCCAGCCTGGGCGACAGAGTGAGACTCCGTCTCAAAAAAAAAAAAGAAGAAAATCAAGTCCACAAAAAAGTTGCCGTGTTTTACAAAATGTTGGATTACTACCTCCCCCATATCAAAATGTTGGATTACTACCTCCCCCATATCTTAAAAAAAAGTACAATCTATTTACTACCCCTCTGAGATAATGAAACTTTTAGAATTAGAATAGAACCTAGGGCCGGACATGGTGGTTCACGCCTGTAATCCCAGCACTTTGGGAGGCTGAGGTGGGTGGATCACTTAAGTTCAGGAGTTCCAGACCAGCCTGGCCAACATGGTGAAACCCCCTCGCTACTAAAAATGCAAAAAATTAGCTGGGTGTGGTGGTGAGTGCCTGTAATCCCAGCTACTCGGGAGGCTGAAGCAGGAGAATCGCTTGAATCCAGGACACAGAGGTTACAGTGAGCTGAGATCACGCCGCTCCACTCTAGCCTGGGCAACAAGAGCAAAACTCTGTCTTCCAAAAAAAATAAAAATAAAATTGCCGGGTATGGTGGCAGGCACCTGTAATCCCAGCTACTCAGGAAGCTGAGGCAGGAAGATCACTTGAACACGGGAGGCAGAGGCAGCGGTTAGCCAAGATTGCGCCATTGGGCTCCAGCCTGGACAACAAGAGAAAACTCGTCTCCAAAAAAAAAAAAAAAAAGAACCTAGAAGTATTTATTGCTCCTTGCTTTGTCTGAGATTCAGAGGTTAAGTGACTTGCCCAAGATAACACAGCTAGTAGTAAACTGAGACTTGACACCTGGCTTCCAGAGTACTTATTTAGAGTCCCTTTTTGCAGCCCCATTTTAAAAATTAAATTCTTGGCTGGATGCGGTGGCTCACGCCTGTAATCTCAGCACTTTGGGAGGCCAAGGCCGGTGGATCATGAGGTCGGGAGATCAAGACCATCCTGGCTAACATGGTGAAACAACTCTACTAAAAATACAAAAAAAGTTAGCTGGGTGTGGTGGCACATGCCTGTAGTCCCAGCTACTCAGGAGGTTGAGGCAGGAGAATCGCTTGAACCCGGGAGGCAGAGGTTGCTGTGAGCCAAGATCGCGCAACTGCACTCTAGCCTGGGTGACAGACTGAGACTCCATCTCAAAAAAAAAAAAAAAAATTTAAATTCTTGTCTAGATAACACGTTTGCTGCTTCAGATTTGAAAGATAACAAAGCATGTACAGTGAAGTTTCCTTCATATCCCTTCCACCAGACAGTTCTCCCTCTCAGTAGACCGCTTTGAAACTTTTCAGAGCCATTTGACGCATAGACAAACATCCATATGACCATATGATTCCTCCCTTTTTTTTAACATGGGAGTATCACATATGCATCCTGATTGATAGCCTGCTTTTTGCTTGGCATTTGTTCCATTACTCCCATACTTTAAATGCTTGTATTCATATTTAGTGAAATGTTAATAACTGCTAGTACATAAAAGAGAGTTTCTTCTAGTAATTTTGACTAACCAAGATGAATTTCAGAAATAAAATTCTTAACATTATCATTGTTTCTTGGTATGGAAATTTCAGAAGCAGGTTGAACTGAAAAAAGTCCAAGAGGAATAGAGAAATATCACAAGGAAGTGAATCCGGACTGTAGTAGAGATAAATGTTAATACTTACAGATAATGCTTACTATGTGCTAGGCAGTGTTCTAAATGTTTTACATATATTATTGAAGTCTCACAACAGTCCCATGAGGCAGGTAGCTTTTATCACCATTTTACACATGAGAAAACTGAGCAACGCAGACTAACACTTGATCCAGGTAGTACAGTGGCAGAGGCCTGATTCTAACCCAGGCAGTCTGGCTCAAGAGTCCAAGCTCTTTACCACCGCTCTTTCTGTCTTCCTTTCTTCTCTTCTTTTTTCTTTCTTTCCCTCCCTCCCTCCTTTCTTTCTTCTCTTCCTTTCTTTTCCTTCCCTCCCTCCCTCCCTCCTTTCTTTTTTTCTTTTCTTTCTCCTTCCTTTCCTTTTCTTTCTTTCATTTTTTTGAGACATTGGCTCACGCTGTCTACCCAGGCTGAGTGCAGTGGTGCAGTCACGGCTCACTGCAGCCTCAACCTCCCTGGGTCAAGTGATCCTCTCACCTCAGCTTCCTGAGTAGCTGGGTCTACAGGTGCACACCACCATGCCTGGCTAATTTTTTCTATTTTTCATAGTGACAAGGTCTCACTTTGTTGTCTGGGCTGGTCTCAAACTCCTGACCTCAAGCAATCCTCCCACCTTCACCTCCCAAAGTGCTGAGATTATAGGTGTGAGCCACCACACCCAGCCTTTTACCACTACTTTAAATTCCATTTAGATCTAATATTGATAGAATGATAACCATATCAACCAGATTTTTAAAATATGCAAACAATGGTGCCATTTTTTGTATCTGTACGACAAAAATATATAGAGTTTGTATTATAGCTTTTATCTGTTTAGAGCACTCTTGGGAAAGGCAGGGAAATTACTGTGAAGGTATTGTGGTATTTGAGAAGTAAGTTCCTGGAGTGTTTGCCTTCTAAGCCTGAAGGTGTGAGGACGTGGTTTGTCACACCCAGTTAACAAACAGATAGGCAGTGGAGTGAGCTATCCAGAGACTTAGCAGATTAGCCTAGGGAGAAAGAAGAAAGGGGATCTGGGCACCTGAAGGGAGGGGGAGGGAAAGGAGTTTGTTTGAATCTGTCCCAGGTTAGGGTAGCTCTTTCTGAGGGAGGCCTTTTCATGTGGACCTGCTGCATATAGAGACGGGAGAATTGGGCCTGAGGTGTGGTGCTAGCTAATGCACCACACAGATACGGGAATTTAAGCGGAGTTTATTTCCTCAATCATTAGAAAGAACTTGAAAGGGTAGCAAACTGTGGTCATTTGAGAAGAATAGCAAGTGGTCTATTTGAATGTAACGTACTCAACTGGGTTGGGAAAGAACCAGAATCTAGAGGTTGTCCATAAAAAGTGCAAAACCAGGTGTTCCTGTAAACCATGTAGTCTTGTAAACACTGATAATACACAGCACTGAGTCCTGGGCTTTTCTTCTGTAAAGTACTTGTACAGGCTGAGGATCTGAAAATGCAAAATCTGAAATGCCCCAGTGAGCATTTCTGTTGAGTGTCATATTGGCACTCAAAGTTTTGGATTTTGGAACATTTTGGATTTTGGACTTTCAGATTTGGGATGCTCAACTGGTATATAAAGCACATATTCCCAAATCTGAAAAATCCCAAATCCAAAGTATTTCTGCTTCAGAGCATTTCAGATAAAGAATACTCAACCTGTACTACATTGTACTAGACTTGCATTAGATTACCAGTTTTCAAAATTTGTACCTCAGAATCCTTGTTCTGTGTCAATGAAACAGGGATATCATACACCTTTGATTCACATTTTAATGTTTTAAACTTTAAAATATTATAAATGTTTATACACAGTCAAATGCATCTCATGCTACTTTTTAATGTATTAGACACAACTGGTTTGTACTACCCAGTTATCTCAAGAGAGTTATACTGAGTGAAAACCAGTGAGAACCCTAAAAGGTTACATACTGTTTGATTGCATTCATGTAACATTATTGAAATAACAAACCTGCAGAGATGGAGAACAGACTTAGTGGTTGCTAGGAGTTAGGGATGGGAGGTGAGAGGTGGTGTGGTTATAAAGTGGTAGCATGAGGGAGCTGTGTAGGGGTGGAACAGTTCTGTATCTCAGGTGTGATTATATAAAGCTGCAAATGTGATGAAATTTCATACAACCACACACACACATACTGCATACAAATCCTAGCATACTCAAGTCCCCCTTTGCTTACAAAACTGGTGAAACCTGAATAAACTCGGGATTGTACCAAGGTCAGTTTCCTGATGGTGACCATGTACTAGAGTTACGTCAATAACATTGGAGGAATTTGGGCGAGGGTACTTGGGACCTCCCTGTGTACTTTTTTGCAAATTCCTATGATTTATAATTACAGTAATTTTAAAATAAAAAGTTGGCCAGGTGCAGTGGCTCACACCTGTAATCCCAGCACTTTGGGAGGCCAAGGTGGATGGATGACCTGAGATTAGGAGTTCAAGGCCAGCCTGGCAACATGGTGAACCACCATCTCTACTAAAAATACAAAAATTAGCCAGGTGTGGTGGTGGGTGCCTGTAGTCTTAATTACCTGGGAAGCTGAGGCATGAGAATCGCTTGAACCTGGGAGGCAGAGGTTGCACTAAGCTGAGATCACGCCACTGCACTCCAGCCTGGACAACAGAGCAAAATTCCATCAAAAAAAAAAAAATAGCAATGCATTTAGAATATTTGAGAGAAAAGAGAAAATAAGCGAAAGGAAGAAAATGTAAATTATCTGTAATGCCCATACCCAGGACAACAATCCTTGGAACAGTGTCTCACTTTGTGTATAGACTTGAAACTTTTAAAATACTATTTTATTTTTTAATTAAAAATTTCTCTTTTCTTCTTTTTCCCTCCTCAGAGTTAGAAAGGATAAAAATGTTATTGATCAGTGAGACTGTAGCTTTATGTTGATATTTTGAAATTTTAGGCTGGTGCTTGTTTTTTCATGTAACATTATGTAAGCACAGTCAGTACTATTAGAACTAATTGCATTAGGCAATAATGTGACTGCCTTATGCATATAGCAAGACTAGTACATATTGTAAAGTTGTTATTTTTTACCAAAAAGTTTATGACTACCAAGTATTCATTCCTTAACACTATTACAGAATTAATTTAGAAATGTTCTACTTTTAAAACTTCTGGACAGATGTAATTAAATCCTTAGATAGTGTTAATGTACTATTTAAAAAAACACACAAAACATTATCATTTGTAAAATATGCTTTATCATCTATTCATGTTTGTGAATCAGGTTTTTCTTGATACCATGCAATCAAAACAAAACAAATTTAACATAAGACTGCCCAATCATCCATAATTTAAAGTTTGTGTTCATCAGAATAATTTTATTGTTCTCATTATACATGTTGTACATTTGAGTTTGTTTTTTTTTTTTTTTTTTTTTTAAGATAGAGTCTCGCTCTGTCGCCCAGGCTAGAATGCAGTGGTGCAATCTCAGCTCACTGCAACCTCCATCTCCCAGCTTCAAGCGATTCTCCTGTCTCAGCCTCCCAAGTAGCTGGAACCACAGGCATGTGCCACCATTCCCGGCTAATTTTTGTGTTTGTGTGTATTTTTAGTAGAGATGGGGTTTCACCATGTTGGTCAGGCTGGTCTTGAACTCCTGACCTCAAATGATCCACCCACCTTGGCCTCCCAAAGTGCTGAGATTACAGGGGCGACCCACTGCACCTGGCCACATTTGAGCTTCAAAATACATTGATATAATACTGCTTTAATCTGTTTCTTTTTGAGACTGAGTTTCACTCTTTCACCCAGGCTGGAGTGCGGTGGCCGGATCTCGGCTCACTGCAACCTCTGCCTTCCGGTTTCAAGCGATTCTCCTGCCTCAGTCTCCCAAGTAGCTGGGATTACAGGCGCACACCACCATGACCGGCTAATTTTTGTATTTTTAGTAGAGATGGGTGGGGTTTCACCATGTTGGCCAAGCTGGTCTCGAACTCCTGACCTCGTGCTCTGCCCGCCTCGGCCTCCCAAAGTGCTGGGATTACAGGCGTGAGCCACCACGCCCTTATCTGTTTCTTATGTTATAGATCCACATAAAATTTCGTTGAGAAAAATGTTCCTGTGCTAAAATATTTAAAGCAATTGGATTATGATTTATAAGTTTTATTTTGTAGTTAGCATCTCTAGGAAAATTTCAGGGACACTGTTGCTGTCTTGTGATTATTGATCCTTTTAAAAATTCATTGTATTTGAGAAGTAAAGTAGTAGAAAATCTATGACAAAATAGGGAATTAAAGTAGACAGTATACTCAACTCCACTGTGTTTAAAGAGTTTGATTAATTCCTGTACATTGTGTTAGTGGTTAAGGTCTGGAACTCTAGAGTCAACCTGAGTTGAAATCTTGGCTCCATCACTTGATCTCTTGTTGTCTCAGTTTCTTTCTCCATAAAATGAGGGTAATAATAATGTTAACTCATAGGATTATTGTGAATATGAAGTGGGCCAGTACATGTAAACAGACCTGATGCCTGGTATAAAGGTACTCATAAAACATAGTTATTATTGTTTTAGAACATGGATGAGATCTTAATGTATGTTTAATATGTCTTTTCCTCACTTAACATATCACGGCTGAGCGCGGTGGCCATAATCCCTGCACTTTGGGAGGCTGAGGCAGGTGGATCATCTGAGGTCAGGAGTTTGAGACCAGCTTGGCCAACATGATGAAACCCTGTCTCTACTCAAAATACAAAAATTAGCCAGGCGTGATGATGCACACCCATAGTCCCAGCTACTTGGGAGGCTGAGGCAGGAGAATTGCTTGAGCTGGGGAGGTGGAGGTTGCAGTGAGCCAAGATCATGCCATTGTGCTCCAGCCTGGGTGACAGAGTGAGAATCTGTCTCAAAAAAACCAAAAACCAAAAACATATCACAACTGTTTTCCCATGTTATTAAAAATTCCACCAGTAATGGAAGAGAATATTGGGTTCCCTGTGCCCTTGCCAATATTGGGCATTCTCATTTTTTAGATATTTGCCAATATGATATATGAAAACTGTCCTGTTATTGTTTTGATTTGCATTTTTCCCAAGCATCAGCAAGATTTAATGGTTTTCACATTTAAAAAATTCATTTTTTAATTTATAATCACCTTGTTTGATAATGAGGTTTTCATGTTTTTATTAACTGCGTTTCTTTTCCTGCCTGGATAAATCTTAGAATATTTCACATTGGTTTAGACAAATGCTAGTACCGAGGTTTTTTTTTTAAGTCTGTGACAATTTTAATGATTTTTCTTGGTAATTTTTTCTGTAGATTCAAGTTCAGATGGGCATTTCCCATTCTGATATCGTGTAAATATGTGCAATTTGTTAGTTTTGAAAAACATGACTTCTTTAATTCCCTAGAATGTAGTATACTAGGTGTTACATGAGTCTACAATATAATTTTTGTACAGGCAAAAATTTTGCATTTCTTCTGGATATTGCCTGTTTATACCTTTGCCCATTTTTTCCCCTTCTGGGTTGTTTACCTTTTCTTCTTCTTGCTTTATAGGAGCTTTTTTAGATATCACAATGGTTAATCTTTTGTTATATGTGTTACACATATTTTTCTCCTCATTTGTTACTTGTCTTTTAATTTTGTTTATAGTGTCTTTATATAGAGGTTTTAACTTACGTGGTCAGATCTTTCACATAAAAAAATTCTTCATCCCAAGATTATCTTTTAAAAATTTTCATGTATTTTATGTGAAAATTTTTTTTCACACTGAGCTCTGTAGGTTTGTTTGGAATTTCCTTTTGTGTCTAGTGTAAGGGTAGGGATCTAAATTTTTCCTAAATGCATAGACTTTTGCCTCTCTCAGTTCACTCACTTGTTCATATTTCAAATGCCACAGGCTTTCCTGCATACATAAGGCCTTTTCTTGTATTCTCCGTTCTGTTCCAGTGACAGGTCTGTCTGTGTTTATTCTATTACCTCCTCTCCCCCATGGCTTTTTATAGATGTTTGATATCTGGTAGGGCAAATATGCTCATTTTCAAATTTTTCTTAGCTATTCTCATGAATTTACTGTTTCTGGTGAATTTTAGAATTATTCTAATGAGTTCTAAGACACACCCCATTGAGATTTTGATTACAACTGTGCTAAATTTATAGATGAATATGAGAAAGTCAGTTCTCACTAGCAGGTCTTTCCATCAAGGGGCATATTGTATCTGCTTATTCTGGAGTTGCCTCTCTGATAAACAGTTTTAACCTCGATGCTCATTTTGGCATTGTTTTGTTCTAAACACATGTGTTACAAAGATAGTGTTAGAGTAAATTAGTTGAGGGAAAAGCTTCCTATCATCTATGTCTGTTTTTATTTCTCTTTTCATCTTTAATTTTGGTCTAAGGAGACTTTATCATGGTATATGGTATATGTATACTCAGGCTCTTGTAATAATTGGCAGTATGTTATCTCTTTTTCTTATAGTCATTAATTTAATAATTAAGGACCATTTAATCAAGCTGATAACTGTAATTAACTCTTATTGTTAGATATGAAGGATGTTTCCAGTTTCTGAGAGTACACATTAAGATAGTGCTTTTACTCTTGTTTTATTTGAAAAATGTGGCTGGGCACAGTGCCTCATGCCTGTAATCCCAGCACTTTGGGTGGCCAAGGCAGGCAGATCATGAGGTCAGGAGATTGAGACCATCCTGGCTAACATGGTGAAACCTTGTCTCTACTAAAAATACAAAAAATTAGCTGGGTGTGGTGGCGGGCGCCTGTAGTCCCAGCTACTCAGGAGGCTGAGGCAGGAGAATGGCGTGAACCTGGGAGGTGGAACTTGCAGTGAGCCGAAATCACTCCACTGTGCTCCAGCCTGGGCAACAGAGCAAGACTCTGTCTCAAAAAAAAAAAAAAAGAATGTTGCAGGAGGGGTTGTTTTTTTTTTTTTGAAAAACCTCTTTGAGGTAATGTGTAATTGTTGTGAAAATTTCATGCAATATTGCAGCATATAAAGAAGAAAGTGCCTTTTGAGAAGGTGAGAGTTTTGTTCTCTAAACTTTCAGTCACTGGAGTGCCTCCTTGTTACTTTTGCCATATGTTTGTATCATCTGTACTGTTAATTCATAACAGTTTTCTTAAAATTTACGAAAGAAATCCAAAAATCCTTAGTGATAAGAGCTGAGAACTCATACATTGATATATATTAGATAAATACATAACATTGATATTATGTACATTGCTGTATATTAAAGAAATATAACACTGATGTGTATTAAATAATTTTTTCAAAAGTATGTATGCTTTATGACACACTGGCACAGTGAGTGGAAGTGTAGTTTCTGAAATCAAGGTTGGATGGTTTTAAATCCTAATTCTGCTATGTCCTCCCTCAGTGATACTAGATAATAAACTTAAGCCTCCACTTCTGTTTTATGTGTTAAATGAGGTTAGTATGCCACCTGCATTGTAAGGTTATTGTAAAGTTAAACAGCAGTTGTACAAGCAGTCAGCACAGCCCTAGTACACAGGTGTTCGACAAATACTAGCTATCACTCAATAGAATAATTTGTAAATACTTTTCATCTCCTTCAAAGTTGGTTCTCACACAAGCATCTCATTTTTAAAGTGTTTACATAGTATTCTTTTTTTTTTTTTTGAGACAGAGTCTCGCTCTGTCACCCAGGCTGGAGTGCAGTGGTGCAATCTTGGCTCGCTGCAAGCTCTGACTCCTGGGTCCACGCCATTCTCCTGCCTCAGCCTCCCAAGTAGCTGGGGCTAGAGGCGCCCGCCACCAAGCCCGGCTAATTTTTTTGTATTTTTTTAGTAAGGAGACGGGGTTTCACCATGTTAGCCAGGATGGTCTCGATCTCCTGACATCGTAATCTGCCCGCCTCGGCCTCCCAAAGTGCTGGGATTACAGGCGTGAGCCACTGCACCTGGACCATAGTGTTAATTTTAAGAATGTACTATGATTTACAAAACTTAGCCTTTTTTAAATTTTGGGTTTTTTTCTGTCATAAAAAAGAAAAGCAACAAATAACAGGATTGGTTCCTAATATGTATCACCAGATTTCCCTCCCAAAGGACCGTACTAATTTGCTGTTCTGTCAGTTTAGACTTTATCCTTTAAATATTTGGTGGGAGGTGATAGTGGATTTAAAAATAAAAATTGTTTTTGTTTTAGTTAACATTTATTATTCACCAGCCGTTAAGGAACACATTGATTACTATTTATTGTTTCTTGTTGAATCTGCGCAATTTTCTGAGAGGTAGGTAAGCCTGCTTGTGTATGTGTGTGTGTGTATGTGTGTGTGTGTGAGAGAGAGATGCAATTTATGTGTGTGGTGCTAGAAATTGAGAACTTACAGTAATTTCTTATTCTGTTCAGGGATCCCTGGAATATCAGAATTGTCTCCAATCTATAGCCACTCTTTTCAAGTCTACAGGGTCCCTGGGAGAAAGATTTGTATGAAATATTTGCACTGACAAATGGAAAACAAAAGGACTCTACATTTTATTCTTAACTAGGACTCAGGCACCAAACTCCAGTGTAGAGGACTGGAATGAACCCAGCTGGTTCAGGTCTAAATACTGTTTTTTTGGAATCTAGTTAAGCTTAAATTGTTTCAAACTAAAGCAGGCCATGAGATGAAGCCTTTTCATCTCCCCAGTTCTCAAACACACTGAGATCTTCCCCACATTTCACTCCTTTCTGTCAGTTGCCCCAAGTCACGTAACCAGAGTGAGCCCATTTGCCCTGGCTGACTGCTGATCTGGCCTTGGACACCTGCCCTGGCTTCTTCTGCCCAAGCTGTAGGTTTGGCCTTGGCTGTCCCTTACTGTGAGGGTATAAGGGGTGCAGGGCGGGGAGTACAGCCTTCTCAACCACTTCAGTCACATGGAAGCACAAAAAGTGAGCTCACATCTGTGTGCTGACTTTTAACAGTGATGCTGCCCAGTAGCACACAGACCCAATCAGTGTTCTCACATCTGCCTTCCTCCTTCTTGAGAATCAGGAGAAGGAAGAGCTCAGCCTTGACTTCTCACCACGGAAGACAGCACATAAAAACTTGCAGCCATTCTCAGAAGTATTGGTTTTCTGTTGGGTTGTTGATTGTGTCAAGTCAGCCAGAAAGAGGTGGAGTAAAACCTGGCCTGCTGAGTAGTACACATAATTCATGTCCTTCCCCCTTAACTACGCATCAACCTGCAGAGAGTGACTTCTTACTCTTGAGACGCTCTTTCCTCTTGCTTAATGGTTCATGACAATTCTTCATTTTCCTCCTATTACTCTGTTTTTTTATTTTTTTATTTTATTTTATTTTATTTTTTTACTGGCTTATTCTCCTGTATCTGGCCATTAAATATTGATGTTCCACCAATCAGCCCTAGGGCCTTCTGTCATTCTTCTTTCCCTAAACAGTCACAGCCATGTCCGTGGCCTCACTCATGGGTGAATCCAACATGTATCTCTACCCCAACCTCTGCTGTTGAGTACTCCATCTGCTAATATCTAATTGCCTACTGGACGTCTCTACTTGGATGTCTCAAAAGTATTCTAAATTCAGCACTTCCAAGATATATTTCATACTCTTCCTCCAAAAATGCTGTTTGCTATCTCAGTGAAAGGCATCACCATCCAAGCAGTTGTGCAAGTCAGAAACCTGGGACTTGTCCATGATTCTTTCTCTCTCCTCCCCTCCCCCACCAAATTCAATCAACCACCAGGTATCAGTGTTTGTTTTTAACCTTCTTTTATTGTGAGCTATAACATACACACAGAAAAATCATTGAGCGGTGCATCTTTTTGTTGTTGTAATCCACAAAGCATAACCCTGTCACGAACATTCAGGTCATTAAATAGACCAATTCCAGCATTCCAGAAAGCCCTCCCTTAACTTCCCCCAATCAACTATATGCATCCTCCTTCTCAAAAGTGACATCTGTCCTGACTTTTATGAGAATCATTTTCTTACTTTTCTAACATCGCACCCAAACTTGGTAGTTTAGTTTTGCTATTTGAACTTCGTATAAATGGAACCATTTAGTTTGTTTTCTTTACTCAGCTGCTTTCACTCAGTGTCATTTTGTGAGATTCACCTGTGTTTTGTTTTGTTTTTTTTGAGACAGGCTGGAGTGCAGTGGCGCAATCTCGGCTCACTGCAAGCTCCACCTCCCAGGTTCACGACATTCTCCTGCCTCAGCCTCCCAAGTATCTGGGACCACAGGTGCCTGCCACCATGCCCGGCTAAGTTTTTGTATTTTTAGTAGAGATGGGGTTTCACCGTGTTAGCCAGGATGGTCTCGATCTCCTGACCTTGTGATCCACCCACCTCGGCCTCCCAAAGTGGCTGGGATTACAGGTGTGAGCCACTGTGCCTGGTCTCACCTGTGTTTTATGGAGCTGTAGTTTGTACATTAGTCATTGCTGAATGATACTCTATTATGAATATAACACAATTGATGTATTCACTCTCTTTTTTTTGGAGACTGAGTTTCACTATTGTCACCCAGGCTGGAGTGCAATGGCGTGATCTCAGCTCACTGCAACCTCCGCCTCCCAGGTTCAAGTGATCCTCCTGCCTCAGCCTCCCAAGTAGCTGGGACTACAGGTGCGCACCACCATGTCCAGCTAATTACTGTATTTTTAGTAGAGATGGGGTTTCACCATGTTGGCCAGGCTGGTCTCAAACTCCTCACTTCAGGTGATCCACCTGCCTCAGCCTCCCAAAGTGCTGGGATTACAAAAGTGAGCCATCACGCCCAGCCTTCATTCTCTTTTTGATGGATATTTGTCTCCAGTTTGCAGCAATTATGAATACTGCTGCTATAAACATTTTTGTGTATCTTCAGTTTTACTCAGTAATGCCAGATTATTTTCCAAAGTGGTTGCACTAGTTTAAATTCCTACCAACAATATGTGAGCATTCCTGTTTATCCACCTCTTTGCCAAGGCTTAGAATTGTCAATCAGTTAAATTTTATTAACCATTCTGGTAGGTACATAATGGGTTTTTGGGTGTAATTGAGGTAGGTATCATACACAATAAAATGTAAAAATGTATAGCCTGAAAAATATTTTACATATAAATATCTAATCACTACCCAGATGAAGATATAGAATATTTCCATCACTCCAGAGAGTTCTCTCATGTTCCTTTCCAGAAAGAAGCTGCTATTCTAACCACACTGTTTTGACTTCGGCCACTATACATGCATTTTGCCTGTTTTTGAACTTCATATAATTGGGCTCAGAGAGTATGGAGCCCAATTATATGTCTGGCTTCTTTTGCCCAGCATAAATTTTTTTTTTTTGCACTTTATCCAAGTTGTTGGCTGTATCTGTTACTCTTTTTTTCTTGCTGAGTTCTGTTGTGTGATTTTATTACTCTTTGTTTATTCATTTTCTTACTGATTGTTTCTAGGTTTTGGCTATTGTGAATTAAGCTGCTATGAACATTCTCATATATACTCATTTCTCTTGGGTATATATCTAGGAGTGGATTTTTGGGTCTTGGGGTAGGTGAGTGTTTATTAGAAATGTCAACAGTTTCCCAAAGTGGTTGTACTAGTTAACACTCCACTTTGGTTTTAAGCACTTCCCTGGTTACTAATGAGGTTGAGCAGCCTTTTATATGTTTTTTGGCCATTTGGATGTCTTCTGTATGAAGAGCTCATTTAAGTCTTTTGGCTAATTTTCTGGTAGGTGTTCTTTGTTTTATTGGTTTGTATAAGGGATAAATATATTGATCCCCTCCCCTCCCTGCCACATACTGTGTTGCAGATACCTATCACTAGCTAGTGGCTAGCCTTTCCTTTTTATTCTCTTAGAGGTATCTCTTCACTAACAGAAAACTTTTTTAAATTTTTATTTGTAATTATTATAGTTACACAATAGACATACATATTTATGGGGTAGATGTGATTTTGATGCAAGCATACAATGCATAATTATCAAATTAGGGTAGATTACCCCACCACCTGAAGCATTTATCTTTTTTTTTTTTTTTTTTTTTTTGAGATGGAGTTTCGCTCTTGTTGCCCAGGCTGGAGAGCAATGGTGCAATCTTGGCTCACCACAACCTCTGTCTCCCAGGTTCAAGCTATTTTCCTGCCTCAGCCTCCCAAGTAGCTGGGATTACAAGCGCGCACCACCACGCCTGGCTAATATTGTATTTTTAGTAGAGATGGGGTTTCTCCGTGTTGGTCAGACTGGTCTCGAACATCCGACCTCAGGTGATCTGCTTGCCTCAGCCTCTTAAAGTGCTGGGATTACAGATGTGAGCCACCATGCCCAGCCAGCATTTATCATTTCTTCATGTTAGGGATATTCTAATTCTAGTCTTTTAGTCATTTTGAAATATAAAATTATTGTTAACTATAGTTGCCCTATTGTGCTGCTGAACACTAGACTTACTCATTTTTTTAAACTATATTTTTGTACCCATTCACCAATCACTCTTTTTTTCCCACTTCTCTTCCCACTTCCTTTCCTGTCCTCTATCTACATGGGTTCAATTTTTTTTCTTTAGCTTCCACATATGGGTGAGAACATGCAATGTTTGTCTTTCTGTGTCTGGCTTATTTCACTTAACATAATGTCCTCCAGTTTTATCCATGTTGTTGCAAATGACAGGACTGCATTCATTTTGATGGCTGAATAGTACTGCATTGTGTGTAAGTGCCACATTTTCTTTATCCATTCATCTGTTGATGGACATTTAGGTGAATTCCATATTTTGGCTATTGTGAATAGTGCTGCAATAAACATAGGAGTGCAGAAATGTCTTTGATACACTGATTTCCTTTCTTTTTGGTGTGTACCCAGCAGTGGGATTGCTGGATCACATGGTAGTTCTATTTTTAGTTTTCTTGAGGACCCTCCACATAGTGATTGTACTAATTTACATTCCCAACAACAGTGTACGAGGGTTCCCCTTTTTCCACATCCTTGCCGTCATCTGTCATTACCAGTCTTTTTGTTTGTTTGCTTGTTTGTTTTTGAGATGGTGTCTCGCTCTGTCACCGGGCTGGAGTGCAGTGGCGTGATCTTGGCTTACTGCAACCTTCCTCTCCTGGGTTCAAGAGATTCTCCTGCCTCAGCCCCTCCCAAGGAGCTGGGACTACAGGCACCCACCACCATGCTCAGCTAATTTTTGTACTTTTAGTAGAGACGGGGTTTCACCATTTTGGCCAGGATGGTCTCGATCTCTTGACCTCATGATCCACCCGCCTCAGCCTCCCAAGGAACTGGGACTACAGGCGCCCACCACCACACTCAGCTAATTTTTGTACTTTAATAGAGATGGGGTTTCACTATTTTGGCCAGGATGGTCCTGCTCTCTTGACCTCGTGATCCACCCATCTCAGCCTCCCAAAATGCATTACCTGTCTTTTTGATAAAAGCCATTTAAACTGGAGTGAGATGATATCTCATTGTAGTTTTGGTTTGCATTTCTCTGGTTAACAGAAATTCTTAATTTTAATGTAGTTGAATGTTTCTGTCTTTTCCTTTGTAATTAGACGTTTTTGTATCCTGGTGTGAAGATAATCTATATTATTTTCTGTTACTGTTTTGCCTTTCACATTTAGATCAACAATCTCTGGAATTTTTGTGTGTGTTGTGAGATGGGGTCAGTTTGTTTTCCTAGATGACACGATGGTGATGATGTTTAGTTCCATTTATTGAAAAGGCCGTCTCCTCCTGCTCAGTAGAGCTACCTTGGTCATAAATCAGGTGATTGTGTATACAAGGATTTGCCTGTATTTGCCTGGATCTTCTATTCCTGTCTTCTATTTGTCTGTCCTTTGCCAGTGACCCACTGTCTTAAGTACTGTATTTAACAGTTCTCAAAGTGTGGTCACAGGACTATGGGGGTTTCCTGAGACCCTCTCAGAGTGGGGTCTTGGCCAGTCAAAACTATTTTTATAGTAACACTTGGTTGTTTTTTGCCTCACACTCATTCTCTCACAGGTGTACAATTTTTCCAGAGGCCACATGAAATGCAGTGTTGCAACAGATTGAATATAGAAGTAGATAAGAGAACCCAGCTGTCTCCCATCAAGCCAGACATTAAGGAGATTTCCAAAAATGTCAAACAGTGCTACTCTTCTCACTCATTTTTTAAATTTGTTTTGCAAAACAGTTATTTTTCATTAAAGTGTTATGTTGGCATATAATAGATTTCTTGTTATTTTTAAATGAATGAATTAATATTTAAAACTTTCCTGTTTTGGCCGGGCACAGTGGCTCATACCTGTAATCCCAGCACTTTGGGAGGCTGAGGCAGGTGGATCACCTGAGGTCAGGAGTTCGAGACCAGCCTGGGCAACATAGTGAAACCCCGTCTCTACTAAAAATACAAAATTAGCCAAATGCGGTGGCGCATGCCTGTAATCCCAGCTACTTGGGAGGCTGAGGCAGGATAATCACTTGAAACTGAGAGGCAGAGGTTGCAGTCAGCTGAGATCATGCCACTGCACTCCAGCCTGGGTGACAGAGGGAGACTCTATCTCAAAAAATAAATAAATAATTCCTGTTTTAATTTCTCATGTAATAAATATAATAGCTATTACCCATGTTAACAAAAGCATTTTAGAATCTCAGTATTTTCCAGGAATGTCAAACCAAAAAGTTTGAGAATCACTCATCTAGTTTTATGTCTTGATATCCTGGGCCCTGTCCATTTCCACATATATTTTAGAATCAGCTGTGATGTTCCACAAGAATACCTGTTAGGATTTTGATTGGAATTGTGTTGAATCGGTCTGGGAAGAATTGATTTTTTTTTTTTTTTGCTACACCTACTATAATGGGAATTTGAAATCTTTACACCATTGAATCCTCTGATTATAAACATTATTTCTCCATGTGTTTTTGTCTTTAATTTTTTTCTCAATATTGTTATATAATTTTCTGTATAAATTATATTTGCATATTTTCCAAACAGAATTTTTGAAGGAAAAAATTCTACTTAGAAGTAAACTGGTCAGGCACAGTGGCTCATGCCTGTAATCCCAGCACGTTGGGAGGCCAAGGCAGGAGGATCACTTGAGCCCAGGAGTTTGAGACCAGCTTGGGCAACATGGTGAGACCCTATCTCTACAAAGAAAAAGTAAGAGAAACTTAAGAATTAGCAAGAAAATGAAAGATATTCCTGAAAAATATTGCAAAACTTCACTGAAGCTCATAAAAGAATTTAAAAAATGCTAAAACATATTTTGTTCTTCAGTAGGATAACAATCACATTTATAAATGTCAGTATTCCCTTGAAGTTGCCGTATTTTATATTGTTAGAAAGACACTTTTTTTTAATCTTTTATGATTTCTAAAGGTAAGTATGCCTTAAAACTGATGACATCTTCTTGGTACTTCTGGCCATGTGGTAATTATGAAGTTAGATTAGGAGCATCTTTACCAATTTATTTTACATAACTTTCCTTTCATTATGAGCACAAGTCAGATGTGATATGAAAACAGAAGCGTTTAAGTTTTAAGCTCTTTCAATTGGCCTAAAATATCTGTGCATCTTACATTGAAAATGTCTTAAATTTAGTGAAACAGGCCAGGCAGAGTGGCTCATGCCTATAATTCAGCACTTTGGGAGGCCAAGGTGGGAGGATCACTTGAGGCCAGGAGTTGGAGACCAGCCTGGGCAATATAGTGAGAAGCCATCTCTGAAAAAAAAAAAAAAATATATATATATATACATACACACACACACACACACACACACACACACACACAATTTGTGAATTTAAAGTAATCCCAATTAATATCTCAATAGGCTTTTCAAAACTTGATTCTTAAGTTTATATGAAAGAGCAAAAATGAAATTTTTCACCAAAATTATGAAAATCTGTTCATGAAGGGGGTATTAGTGCTGTCAAATATTAAAGTGTATGTTGAAGGCAAACCAATTTGAGCCTCAGATCACTGACACAGAATTGAGAGCACTGAAGTAGCCTCATCTATAGAAATGTTTTGTGTGGTAAACAGTGTTATATGTGATGAAAATAGGGAATTCTTCAGTAAACAGTATTGGATGAACTCTGTGGCTATTTAGGAAAATGGGAAAAAAGAGAACCAGCTTGCTATCTCACTTCTTTTTTTTTTTATTTTTTGAGATGGAGTCTCCCTCTGTCACCCAGGCTGGAGTACAATGGCATGACCTTGGCTCACTGCAACCTCTGCCTCCCGGGTTCCACGATTCTCCTGTTAGCCTCCCAAGTAGCTGGGATTACAGGTGGCTGCCACCAAGCTCGGCTAATTTTGTTTTGTTTGTTTGTCTTTTTAGTAGATACGAGGGTTTCACCATGTTGGCCAGGCGGGTTTTGAACTACTGACCTCAAGTGATCCGCCCACCTCGGCCTCCTAAAGTGCTAGGATTACAGATGTGAGCCACCGCACCCAGTCACTATCTCACTTCTTTTGCTTAACATGTCTATGAGATTTATTTATGTTGTATATTGCAATTCTTTTTTATTGTGTAGGATTATGTTGTGTTAAATTATCACATTTTATCTGTTTTACTGTTGATGGAAATTTTGGTTGTTTCTGTATTTTGGCTAAAATGAATAAAACTGCTAAAAACATTTTGTACATGTTTGGTGGACATACTCATTTTCTGTTGGAATTGAGTGGAACTGCTGGGTCATAGGATGTATATTTGTTTTGTTTTGGTATATATTGCATTTTCCGGAATGATTGTAACAGCTTACACTCCTATCAGCAGTATAATAGGTTCCTCTCCTATCTTCCTTCCTTCCTCCCTCCCTCCCTCTCTCTCATGATTCTTCATCATTCAACTTGAGCCCTTGCATACAGAAAAAATGTTGATGAATTTGCATAAAAACCGACAAGCTGCTGGGCTTGGTGGCTCACGCCTGTAATCCCAGCACTTTGAGAGGCTGAGGCAGGTGGATCACTTGAGGCCAGGAGTTCGAGACCAGCCTGGCCAACATGGTGAAACTCCATCTCTACTAAAAATACCAAAATTAGCTGGGTGTGGTGGTACATGCCTGTAATCCCAGCTACTTGGGAGGCTGAGGCAGGAGAATCGCTTGAACCTGGGAGGCGGAGGTTGCAGTGAGCCGAGATCATGCCACTGCACTGCACTGCACTAAAGCCTGGGTGACAGAGTGAGACTCCTCATCTCAAAAAAACAAAAACAAAAACATAAGCCAGACAACCTAGACTTGGCAAAAACTAGTATAAACAAAATTGGGACTCCATTGACAAACTGGGAAAAAATAGTTGCCATGCAGCATGTTCAAAGGGCTAATTTCCTTTAAAAAGCAGGATCACTTGCTGATAGAAAAGACCAACAACTCAGTAGACAAGTGGGCACATTCAGAGACAGTTTAAAGGAATGACAGGTGGCTCCTAAATGTATGAAATGGTTCTCTTTCAGTCGGTATAAGAGAAAAGCAAATTGAAACTATACTGAAAGCATTTAAAAAATATCCAATTAACCAAGATGAAGAAGTTTGATTAGCTGTTGGCTAAGGTGTAGGAAAATAGCTACTTCCGTATATTAATGGTAAGATTCTAAACTCTATGGAGAGCAATTGGATAATATCCATTAAAATTTAATAATGCACATATTTTGTGTAGTATAGATAAGTTTAGATAAGATGTGATGTATTTACACAATGGGATATTATAGAGCAATAGGAATGAATGAATTCCAATTCACCTAATATGAATGACTCACAAACATAATGTTGGGTAAAAGAGCCATGCACAAAAATATAAGTATAAAAACAGACAAAATTGTGATGTTAGAAGTCAGGGTAGTATTACTCTTGGGGAGCTCACACTGGATTGAGACAAGGGGCTTTTGGAGGCTTATAATCTTGTGTGTTGTTTTTTTTTTAAATCTGTGTGTTAGGTAGGATTATATTGGGAAAATTCATCAAGCTATGAACTTTAGAATTATGTACTGTTCTGAATGTATGCTATACATCAATACACATTTTTATGTAAATAAAAATAGTGTACATACATGCAGTCACACATAAAGAATGCACTTAATTTCCGTTTTAACAGTTTCATCCTAGGCATATAACATATATATATATATATATACACACACACACACACACACACACACACACGTATATATATACACACACACACACACTCTTGTCTATGTGGCCGTTAAAAATAGCACAAAGGTATTCATCACTGTGTTTATAAGCACAAAAGTTCATATAAAACTTAATTACCCATAAGTAGGGAACTGGTAAAATAATCGATATAGTCATACAGTGAATTAGTAGCGCTCTTGAAACGAGTAAGGCAGTTGTATATGAAGTAATTTAGAAAAGGCTCTAAGATATATTAAATGAAAAGACCAAAGTGCATGAACAGTATGTGTAGTATGTCACTATTTGTGTATGGGTGTGTTTTATCTCAAAAGGCATATATTTGCAAGCATATATATGCCTTTTGAGATAAAGTTAGAGTATATTAGATACAGTTAGAATATATTTGGAAAGATGGGAAGATATACTAACACTGGCTGTCTCTGAGGAGTGGAACTGAGTGGCCAGAAGGCAGAATTGGGTGATACTTTCTATACTAATTTGTGACTTAAAATTTTTTAAAATTTTAAATTGTGATAAAATACTTACCGTCTTAAACATATTTAAGGGTACAGTTCAGTAGTGTTAAGTATATTCATATTGTTGTACAAACAGCCTCCAGAACTTTTTCATAGACATTAGACAAGTACTTAATACTTCCCCTACCCTTGGTGGTCACCATTCTACTTTCTGTTTCTATGAATTTGACTACTCTGGATAGCTAATGCAAGTGGAATCATATAGTGTTTGTCCTTTTGTAACTGGTTTGTTTCATTTAGCAGAATGTTCTCAAGGTCCATACTATTTTGTGACTTTTTAATTCTGTTCTTTCTTTGTTTTTTACCCTTTTTCTTTTTTTTTTTTCTTGTTTCATGATTTTATAATTTAACAGGCTTATAAATATTTTTATTACTTTTTTTAAATTTTATTGTTATTATATTTTTTAGGGTACATGTGCACAATGTGCCAATTTGTTACATATGTATACTAAAGAGCATTAAAGTAAAAAAAAGACCTTATTCCAAGCTGGTTAATTACATGGTAAAAAGTTGATGGCTGGCGTGTCTTATTCATTTCAACCAATATTAAATGCCAGTTTGGGCAGCAAAACAACTTTCTGCCAAAGCGCCATTTGAAGCCTGGTTTATGACATGTTTCTCCTTTTGTCATCTTTGGGTGCCACTCAAAATGCAGGCTCAAGTCCCCAGCCTCTTGACTCTGCTCCACAGTTTCCCCCCTTGGCTTATTGTCCAACTTTGGCCTACTCTTCCAAATCCACCTCTTTATCCCAGGAATAAGCTGCTTCTATGCCAAGGGCATGGCTTCCTCTTTGCAGAGTGTCCTCACATCTCTGACCTGGAAAAAAGGGGGTTTTTCATTCTGCTAGCTTCTTAGTGCTGCTTTGAGATTATTATTCTAGAGCCTTCTGCAGTAATGTTGTTTCTCATGGATTGAAATTCATTGTTTCCAGTAGGCTTTTTGACAAGATGTGGGAACAGAAGAACAAGTTGAAATGACTCTGAAGCTTATGGGAGGACTGGGTATCATTAACTGGCACAGAGGGAGAAAGGCAGGCTCTAGGCAGAAGATATGTGACTTGCTTTGAAAATAATGTGACATTCTGGCCTGTGAAAACAGCTGGAGTTATGAGCTAGAAATGGGGACTTAAAAAATAGCTTCGTGTGTGTGTGTGTGTGTGTGTGTGTATTGAAAATACAGGAAAGTGTTACCCATAAAATAGATCATCATTCTTAACATTTTAAGTGAATTAACTTTTGTTTTTTCCTCTGGTTGTATGTGTATAAAAGTACATATATAGCTGGGTGTGTTGGCTCATGCCTGTAATCCCAGCACTTTGGGAGGCTGAGGCTGGCAGATCACTTAAGGTGAGGAGTTTGAGACCAGCCTGGCCAACAGGTGAAACCCCTTCTCCACTAAAAATACAAAAATTAGAGCTGGGTGTGGTGGTACATGCCTGTAGTCCCAGCTACTCAGGAGGCTGAGGCACAAGAATCGCTTGAACCCCGGAGGCAGAGGTTGCAGTGAGCCAAGATTGTGCCACTGAACTCCGGCCTGGGTGACAGAGCAAGACTCTGCTAAAAAAAAAAAAAAAAAAAAAAAAAAAAAAAGTACATTTATAAACTTTAAAATGTGGTAGAAATTACATTTGGTATTCACCTTTTTTCCCTTCTGTGAATGAAGAAGTCCAGTGCCAGTCACATAGTACTTCTGTTAAGAGTTAGCAGCAAAAGAGGTCATGAATGAATTTGTGGGACTTGTTGAAATTATACAGGGTGAGATCCTACACAGATGGAGAAGAAAATGTGGCAAGAATAAGATTTTGGAAACTTGCCTAAACTTGCCTAGAACTTTCAGGATTCAAGAATCAGAAATCATACTCAAAGAGGTAGGAAAATTAAGAGTTTAGTGTCAAACTAAGAAGAGCAAATTCTAAGAAAAAAGGAAGAAAAATATTGTCTGCTATTATAAAGAGGTAGAGCTGAATGAAGACTAAGCCTTTAGATACTAAATTGAGGGCGTAGTGGCTGGCAAATGCCTGTAATCTCAGCGCTTTGGGAGGCCTATGTGGGAGGATGCCTTGAGCCCAGGAGTTTGAGGCTGCAGTGAGTTATGAGCCACTGCACTCCAGCCTGGGTGAGAGTGAGACCCTGTCTCAAAACAGTGATAACAATAAGATACAAAATTGAGAAACTGTTACTTGATTTACAGTATATATTCTGTCCAGCAGTGATGGAATAACAAGGACTGGATTTACCTTGCTATTTTAAGCAACTAGAAAACTGGACAATATACGAAATACCAATTTGTAGGAATTAGGTAACAGGCAATGCAAGACTGTGGTCACTGAAAGGTGGGAAACAAACTTACTGAGCTCTGTTTCCCCAATTTATTATCTGGAGCTGCTTTTCAGGCTACAGAGCGGGGATGGGGAAGCCAAATAGAGCCTGGTATCTTAGAATTGAGAGGACAAGGTGGGGGTTGGCGGGGAGGGAAGGTCACCATCATTTGTGGCGCAGAGTACCAGAGAGGCAGGAGTTGTACACAGAACTCCAGAGATAGGTGGTGGAGTCTCCCGAAGTCTGGTTGAGTCCTGATCTACACATGCATGAGAAGAGAGCACCTGAGGCCAGAGAAAGAACCCTCAGCCTTACTTTTAGATATCTAAAGAGCCCAGTCTGCCCTAAATAAAAACTTCCTTATTTTTTATTCCAGATATTGATGAATTGAATGTAATTCAAATAGCTACCTTCCTTGCTACCAGCTCAGGATGGATGGATCCAGGGGTGCCACTCATACATTGCTTCTTCCCTGCTACTTTCTGTCCTTTTTCTCTACATTTTTTTTTTTTTTTTTGGAGACAGAGTCTCGCTCTGTCACCCAGGTCGAAGTGCAGTGGTGCGATCTTGGCTCACTGCAGCCTCCGCCTCTCAGGATCAAGTGATTCTCCTGCCTCAGCCGCCCAACTAGCTGGGATTACAGGTGCCCACGACCACACCTGGCTACTTTTTATATTTTCAGTAGAGACAATTTCGTCATGTTTGCCAGGCTGGTCTCAAACTCCTGACCTTGAATGATCTGCTCCACTCAGCCTCCCAAAGTGCTGAGATTACAGACATGAGCCACTGTGCCCAGCCCTGTCTCTACTTTTTAAGAAGCATAGCTCTTCCAGGGTTGCAGAGGGGAGTGTATTAGTTCCCTGTGGCTGCTGTAACAAGTGACCACAAACTTAGTAGCTTAAAACAACAGAAATGAATTTTCTAACAGTTCTAGAGTCTAGAAGTCTGAATTCGGTAGCACTGGGCAGAAATCAATGTGTCAGCAGGGCTGAGCTCCTTCCGGTGCTCTGGAGATTATCCATTCCTGGCCTCTTCCAGCTTCTGTGGCTGCAGGCTTTCCTTGGCTTGTGGCTGCATCACTCAATCTCTGCTCCTGTTGGTCACACTGACTCTGTCTCTTCTGTGTGTAATTGTCCCTCTGTTTTCTTCTGATAAGGACACTTGTGATTGCATTTAGGCCATACCTGGCTAACCCAGGACAATCTCCTTATCTCAAACAACCTTAAATTAATCATATCTGCAAAGACTTTTTTTTTTTCTTTTTGTCTGAGACAGTGTCTCTCTTTGTCACCCAGGCTGGAGTCCAATGGCATGATCGGAGCTCATGGCAGCCTCAAACTTCCAGGCTCAAGTCACCCTTCCACCTCAGCCTCCCAAGTAGCTGGGACTACAGGCATGCACTATCATGTCCAGCTAATACATACATACATACATACATACATATATATATATAAAATATAATACATATACATAATATATGTATTTATATATAATACATGTATTGTATATGTATTTATATATAATACATGTATTGTATATGTATTTATATATAATACATGTATTATATATGTATTTATATATGTATTATATATGTATTTATATATGTATCATATATGTATTTATATATAATATGTATTATATCATATATGTATTTATATATGTGTATTATATCATATATGTATTTATATATTATATGTATTATATCACATATGTATTTATGTATAATGTATGTATCATATATGTATATATATGTGTGTGTATATATATATGTATTTTTTTTTTTTGTAGATGAGGTCTCACTATGTTGCCCAGGCTGGTCTTGAAACCCTGGGCTCAAGCAATCCTCCCACTTCAGCCTCTCAAAGTGCTGGGATTACAGCTGTGTGCCACTGTGACCAGCCACACTTTTTTCAAATAAGATAACATTTGCAGGTCGGACACGGTGGCTCACTCCTGTAATCCCAACACTTTGGGAGGCTGAGGTGGGCAGATCACTTGAGGTCAGGAGATCAAGACTGTCCTGGCCAACATGGTGAAACCCTGTCTTTACTAAAAATACAAAAATTAGCTGAGTGCGGTGGTGCACGCCTGTAGACCCAACTACTTGAGGGGCTGAGACATGAGAATCACTTTAACCCAGAGGCGGAGGTTGCAGTGAGCCAAGATCGTGCCACTGCACTCCAGCCTGAGTGACAGAGTGAGATTCCATCTCGAAAAATAAATAAATAAATAAATAAATAACATTTGCAAGTTCCAGGGAACAGGACCCAGATCTTTTTGAGAGGTGAGAGATATTTTTCAGACTACCATGGAGAGGAAGAAGAAAGAATAGTGCTGATGTTTCTGCTATTGTGCTCTTCAGAGAGCAGATGCCTAGACTCCAGTTCTTCCTCAGTGATATTAGGATTGAGATGGGAGTTTATTAGAGAAATTCCAGCATTGAACCCTCATCTGATGTGGGCCATGCTCTCTAGGGCATTCTGTTCATCTCTTAGGCTCCTGCTCTCATGAGGCACTCACACAGCCTCTCTCTGATGTGGCTCCACTTCCTCTACCAGGCAGACCTTCTGGGATACTCAGAATGTCTAGTATGTCTTTTTTTTTTTTTTGAGGTGGAGTTTTGCTCTTGTTTCCCAGGCTGGAGTGCAATGGCACAATCTCACCTCACTGCAACCTCTGCCTCCCGGGTTCAAGCAATTCTCCTGCCTCAGGCTCCCGAGTAGCTGGAATTACAGGCATGCGCCACCACATCTGGCTAATTTTGTATTTTTAGTAGACATGGGGTTTCTCCATGTTGGTCAGGCTGGTCTTGAACTCCCAACCTCAGGTGATCTGCCCACTTTGGCTAAGTGCTGGCATTACAGGTGTAAGCCATCGTGCCCGGCTTAGTATGAGCTTAAGGCTCCCCTAGGTAATTCTATTATATAGCCGGGGTTGATAGATACTGGATTCAACAAGTAAGAGGTGATGATCTTGCCTAGAGATCTTTAGGGAGCAATGGAACAATGAGTCTTGGGTATTTCAGATGGACTGATGGGAGTAGGGCACATAGACGGCTCTGTCAAGTGATGGGCTGAGAGGCCATGTGCCATTTCTCATTGTGGGTGTTGTCAGTCCTCAGAGCAGTTGTTCACTGTCTGCTCTGAGCACCCCCATATCTCCTCTACAGCACTCAACATTTTATTTTAGTTTTGCTATCTATATAGATATGTGTCTGTCTATCTCCTGACCATCTCACTATCTCTCCATCTGTCTATCATCTCTGTATCTCTCCTGTTGATTTTGTTTCACTGGACAACACTGATAATACACAGCCAATCCATAAACTGAGACAAAAAAAGCTCGGGCTGGATGCCATAGCTTGAGCCTGTAATTCCAGCATTTTTGGGAGGCTGAGACGAGAGGATCACTTGAGGCCAGGAGTTTGAGACCAGTCTGGACAACATAGCAAGAAATAAAATATCTCCAAGAAAATAAAAATAAAAATTAGCCAAGCCCGGTAGTGCATGCCTGTAGTCCCAGATACTCAGAAGGCTGAGGTGGGAAGATTGCTGGTGTCCAGGAGTTTGAGGTTGCAGTGAGCTGTGATTGCACTACAGCACTCCAGCCTAGGTGACAGAGAAAGACCCAATCTCTAAAAAATAAAATTACAAAGAAAGGTTTGTTCACACCTCTAACATAATCTTGTAAAGATTTATATGCTCTTTGTTCTCCTCACTTAATAAAGTACAGGTTACCCTTCCACCCTCTCTATTCAAACTTAACAAAACCCATTTTTTTAAATAAAACATTTATGATATTAGTCTTGACATGGAGTAGGCATGCAGATTGGGATATAGAACAAAGAGGGAGGATAAAAATAAAATAAGCCAATGTTTCCATTCTCAAAGAGTTAGTGGGAAAAATGGTTATGTTTTCAAATATCTATATGGCAGATTGTATTTTTCAAAAATAGCAGCAACAGTATTTCCTTTCCCATATGTTCTCCTGTAATGTGACTTTATCATTTTCTCAACAAGAAGTGGAGTTTAATTTTCCTTCCTATAAATCTGGTTGACCTTAGTTACTTGCTTAACCAATGCAATTCAGTGAATGTGACACTCTGGGCCTTCCAAAAATAGGTCAAAATAAACCTTGCAGATTCTGCCGGGGTCTCTTTGAAAGCTTGCTTGTAGGTTGTTCACTTTGGGAAGCCAGCTGCAATGCTGTGAGAAGCCCAAGCCATGTGGAAAGGCAATATGTAAGCACACTGGGCAGTGGCTCTTGTTGAACTCTCAACCAATGGCCAGTGTCAATTGCCAGCCATGTGAGTGTGCCATCTTGGATGTCCACCTCAGCTCAGATGACTACAGCCCCAGCACATGAGAAAACTAAGTGAGAGTCCCCATTTGAGCCCTGTCAACCCAGAGAACCATGAACAATCAATAAATTGTTTTGTTTTGTTTTTTGAGATGGAGTCTCCCTCTGTCACCCAGGCTGGAGTGCAATGGTGTGATCTCAGCTTACTGCAACCTCCGCCTCCCGGGTTCAAGTGATTCTCCTGTCTCAGCCTCCCGAGTAGCTGGGATTACACGTGCCCACCACCACGCCCAGCTAATTTTTGTATTTTTAGTAGAGACAGGTTTTCACCATGTTGTTCAGGCTGGTCTCGATCTCCTGACCTTGTGATCTGCCTACCTCAGCCTCCCAAAGTGCTGGGATTACAGGTGTAAGCCACTGCGCTCGGCCAATAAAATTTTTTTTTTTAAGACAGAGTCTTGCTCTGTCACCAGGCTGGAGTGCAGTGGCACAATCTCAGCTAACTGTAGCCTACACCCCCCAGGTTCAAGCGATTCTCCTGCCTCAGCCTCCCAAGTAGCTGGGACTACAGGCATGTGCCACCAACCCAGCTAATTTTTGTATTTTTAGTAGAGACGGGGTTTTACCATACTGTCCAGAATGGTCTTGATCTCTTAACCTCGTGATCCACCCGCCTTGGCCTCCCAAAGTGCTGGGATTACAGGCGTGAGCCACTGTGCCTGGCCAAATTGTTGTTTTAAACCACATATTTTGGGGGTGATGTTTTTAGGTTTTTAGACTGTGATAGAGAATCAGAGCAATGTATAAAGAAGGCAGAAAATGGCAAGTATACAATAATTTCTAATTTTATAGGGACCTTAATTAAGACATAGAATGAGTTACCAGGATGTCAGGGGTGGGAGTTAGCTGCTCTGTCTTATTTTACCAAGCAGAGCCTGACCCTGGCAGGTGAATGGTTCTAAAAGGCGAACAGTGGCAGCACCGGAGGAGACACTGGGCTTCCTGATCCCAGTGCAGAGCTCTTATACTGACACACGCAAAGGAAAGTGAGCCAATAGCAGCCATCCACTCACTGAATTTAGCCCCTATCTCCTTCAACCCTTCTGACAAGCAGATACCTCCTGCTGTATTAGTCTGTTTTCATGCTGCTAATAAAGACATACCCAAGACTGGGTAATTTACAAAGGAAAGAGGTTTAATGAACTCAGTTCTACATGGCTGGGGTGGCTTCACAATCATGGCAGAAGACAAAGGACGAGCAAGGGGACGTCTTACATGGTGGCAGACAAGAGAGAGCGTGTGTGGGGGAACTCCCATTTGTAAAACTATCAGATCTCATGACACTTATTCAGTACCATGAGAACAGTATGGGGGAAACCACCCCCATGATTCAATTATCTCCACATGGCCCCACTCTTGACACCTGGGGATTATTACAATTCAAGATGAGATTTGGGTGGAGACACAGGGAAACCATATCACCTACCATCCATCCCTTCCTCTCCAGTTTCATTATGCCACTGCCTCAGTTCAGGTTATTGCCATTTCTTGCATGGACTATTGCAGTAGCTTCCTAATCTGTCTGCCTGATTCCAATCTGCATCTCTTCCAACTCAACTTTCAACTTACCAGGCAGCCAGGTTGAAGGCTCTAAAATGGAAATCAGGTCACATTTCTCTCCTAATAACAGTTGTCAAAGCCTCCTCTTATAGGAAGGTGTTCAAATCTCCTAAATTAGCACCAAGATCTTCCTGTGGTCTAGCAGCTGCCTTCTTCCCAGCCTCAGTTCCCACTCCAGCCATAGCGGGACACTACATCCCAGGCTTCCCTTTCAGAATGCCTTTTCCCACTTCATCTTATTCTCTTCTAATGATACCTCAAAACTCCTCTCCATCATCTCCTTCCTGGGGAAATTTGATTTTATATTTGTTTTCAAAACAAATGCCTTGGCTGGGCTCAGTGGCTCATGCCTGTAATTCCAGCATTTTGGGATGCCAAGGCGAGTGGATCACCTGAGGTTGGGAGTTCGAGGCCAGCTGGCCAACATGGTGAAACCCCATCTCTACTAAAAACACAAAAATATGCCAGGCATGGTGGTGGGCACCTGTAATCCCAGCTACTTGGGAGGGTGAGGCAGGAGAATCGCTTGAGCCCAGGAGGTGGAGGTTGCAGTGAGCTGAGATTGAGATTGTGCCACTGCACTCCAGCCTGGGCGACAAGAGTGAAACTCCATCTCAAAAAACAAGCAAACAAACAAAAACTGTCTTTACTTTCTGACATTTTTTCCTCTTTAAAATAAAGCAATGAGAGAACATGACTAATTCTGTGGTTGAATTTGTAAAATATGCAGTTCATCTGAAGGATGTTTCCCTAAATGTAAAGTTATATGGTTGGAATGCACTTATGCAAAACATATCTGCAATTCTAATGTTAAGAACATCATATTTCTTCATCATGAGCAGGAGGCTTTGGTGAAGCTTTCTGCCCTGCTGTTTAGGAACATGCTCGCACTTCTGGCTTAATCTGATGCAGAGTCATTGTGAGACAGCTTGGTAAGAAAATGCAACACCAATTAGCCCTTTCTCACATTTCCAGGTCTGAAATAAAGTTAATTAGATTTGCTCACAAATCTAAGAGTCCACAACAGTGTTTCCCAAAGGCCATTTGATAGAACACTGGTTTTAAGTGAAATAAGCGTCAAGAGTTCTATGATATAAATTGAGGAAGTATAGAGTTACGCAAGATTAAGTGATTTTTTTTTCCCTTGCAGAAAAATCTCAGAGGCTTTACTCTGTTATTATGCGTTGACTATCTCCTACAGGGCACTATGGTATGCAGAGTATCTGTACTTACTTGACCACCAGTGCCTTCTATTAGAGACCACCTTGCATCTCTCATGGTCTGTGGAATGTATTTTCAGAAAAACATGTTGTCTACTGAGATGGAAGGGATTGCTGCAAATACTGTGGTTATGACCTCATCCTTAAGGAAAAATAGATTTAGCTTCTATAAATGGGGAGGAAACACATACCCTCTTCATTACCGTTTGCCACAAATTCTGTCTTTTCAGAGAGCTACAGTGGCTGAAATCCTACGGGATGGCTGAACATAATTTACTGTGCATCATGTCTGTCTCTGAGTCAGGATACTTTATTCCAAGGAAGTATGTGGTGGGGATGTGCTCACAGGCTCTTGCTGTCTTTTGCTGGAACATTTTACTGGAGAGGCGACAAGAGAAGCATGAATGCTATGTAGGTACTTTGTGTATAGATGTGAGTGTATTCAGTGGGCCAGAAACACAGGTGTGGGCTGATGGATGCCTGGACATGGCCCATGGTGTATGACAAAACCACATCTGAAATGCCTGACCTAGATACACTGGCTGACCAAAAAAGCCCAGAAAATCCTAAGGTCAAACACTTGGAATAAAAATTTTTTGGCTGGGTGCAGTGGCTCACAGTTGTAATCCCACCACTTTGGGAGGCCAAGGTGGGTGGATCACGAGGTCAGGAGTTCAAGACCAGCCTAGCCAAGATGGTGAAACCCCGTCTCTACTAAATATACAAAAAATTAGCTGGGTGTGGTGGCTGGCACCTATAATCTCAGCTACTCAGGGGGCTGAGGCCCAAGAATCGCTTGAACTGGGATGTGGAGGTTGCATTGAGCTGAGATTGCGCCATTGCACTCCAGCCCCGGTGACACAGGAGTCTCACTGCCTCAGCCTCCAGAGTAGCTGGGACTACAGGCGTATGCCACCACATCCAGCTAATTTTTGTATTTTTAGTAGACATGAGGTTTCACCATGTTGGCCAGGCTGGTCTTGAACTCCTAGCCTCAGGTGATCCTCCTAGCCTCAGCCTCCCAAAGTGCTGGGATCACAGGCGTGAGTCGCCGCACCCAGCCATAAAATTTTAAAACAAAAAGAAGGTAGCATTTCTCCCCTTTAATGTTCCCTCAACCTTACTCTTGACTATGTCTGTAAAGGAGAAGCTTTCCTTAAAGTGATAAAGAGGAGGGGGAAAAACCCCACATACATTCATACTACAGAGTTTGTATGTATATTTTCTCTTTTTCCTAAGATTTAAAAAAAATAGAATGCCTAGGGGAAAATATTTGAGCTAAGACTATTTTCATCATACGCTTGACATTGGCATATGCAGTTCTAAGGCTCCTGGGAAGTCACCCAGCAAACTCCGGGGAACAATGTCAAAGCAGAGGAACCTGGCTGTTCCATTAAGTAGGGGCCATCCCCTACTGAGTTTTTTATACTTTGACATTTTAAACTCACACAATAAAGCCAAAACAAGCATTACAGAACAATGTAACATAAACATAGGATGTAAGTTTTGCCCTTAATCTTGAGTGCGCACATGTGTCCTTGTCAGTTTATGAGCTTGCCTTGGCCAGAAAAATACCAAATATAGGGATCCTCCTCCTTCAGGGAAGACATTTGTTTTAGGAAACCTTGAATGTTTATTAATGCGAGCACCTTTTTATATTCAGATAATGTTTTGTAGTTGACAAAGTGCTTTCAACATGTCATCTCATTTCCTTCCGACCACAATACCATGAGGCTTAAGGAAACCACTAATATACATTAGTATATTCATTATAGCATTCTTAGAAAAGAATGGCTTTAAAGAGTACTTATTTGATAATATAACACATATTTGTTGGCAGTCATAATATGAATGAGCCCTGTACCAAGCTCTTGGTACTTCATAGCATAGAAGTTACACACATTTACAAGACTGAAGGAGAAAAAAAAAAGATAAATATGTAAAATATATGTTTTACATAGTGATAATAGGGAAGCAATAAAAATTGTGTAATGGCTGGAGAAAGATGGTGATAAAGTGGGAGCAACCTTAGATGGGTGTGTCAGTGAAGACTTCTCTAAAGAGAGTGGAGACTGAGCATGGTGACTCACATTTGTAATCCCAGCACTTTGGGACACTGAGGCAAGAGGATCGGTTGAGCCCAGGAGTTCAAGACTAGCCTGAGCAACACAGAGAGACCCCACCTCTACAAAAGATTAAAACAATTAGCAAGGCATGGTGGCACGTGCCAGTAGTCCCAGCTACTCAGGAGGCTGAGATGAGAGGATCACTTGAGCCCAGGAATTGGAGGATGTAGTGAGGTATGATCATGCCGTTGCACTCCAGCCTGGGTGACAGAGTAGGGCCCTGTCTCATAAATAAAAAATATAAAAATTTATAAGAGAGCTGAGACCAAAATAATGAGAGAAAACTAACCATCCTTTGGGTGGTAGCTGGAGGGAGATTTGTGTCAAGGGACATCTATTTGAACAAGGACATATTTACATGTCAATGGCTTGTACCCTTGTCCTGCAATGGTAGCAGTAGAGGTGGTGGGAAGAGGTCAGAACTGGAATACATTTTGAAGGTGGATGTGACAAGATTTACTGATGTGGGGTGTGAGAAAGAAAGAAGCCAAAGATGATATCAAGGTTTTTAGGCTAAGCATCAGACAATCGAGTTGCCACTTACTGAAATATGGAAAATTAGGAGTTTGACCTGAGATGTCCATGAGAGACTTAAGTGAAGATATCGCAAAGGTAGATATGTGCAGCTGAAATTCCAGGGAGAGGCCCAGGATGCAGATGGAAATTATAGATCAGTATGCAGATTGTATGTAAGCCACATGGCTGGATAAATTCACCAAGGGAATGAATGAAGATCACTGGAGAAGGAGAGAGGCCCATTGAGCCCCAGGCCCTCCATGGTTTAGAGGTTTCCCTAAACCTTGGAATGGTGTTTCAAGGAGGAAAGAGGAATCGATTTTGTCAGTGCTGCCCATCATCAAGTCAGAATAAGACTGAGAATTGGTCCATGCATTTAGCAACGTGGAGGTCAGTAATGATATTGACACAAATAGCATTTGTGGAAGAGTGGGAATGAAAATATGATGGAGCAGTGGGATGTATTAGTCTGCTCTCACACTGCTGATAAAGACATACCTAAGACTGGGTAATTTATATATATATAAAAAAAGAAGTTTAATGGACTTACAGTTGCACGTGGCTGGAGAGACCTCACAATCATGGAGGAAGGTGAAAGGCACATCTTACATGGCAGCAGGGAAAGAAGGAATGAAAGAGCCAAGCAAAAGGGGAAATCCCTTATAAAATCATCAGCTCTTGTGAGACTTGTTCACTACCATGAGAACAGTGTAAGAGAAATCACCCCCACAATTCAATTATCTCCCACTGGGTCCCTCCCACAAAACGTGGGAAATATGGGAGCTGCAATTGAAGATGAAATTTGGGTGGGAACACAACCAAACCTTAACCATGGGGTTGAGATGAAAAAAAATCAGAGACTATAAGTAAAGACCCCTCTTTTCAGGAGTTTTGTTATAAAAAAGAAAAAACACTGGTATATTTATTTCTTCAATAACTGTTGGGTGAGGAATGAGTGGTGAAGTCACCTTTTGGCCAGATTTCAGGCACCACAGAGAAGGCCCTGGGTGGACTGCTTTTATGACAAGACTGGTTGGCCTTAGAGGGAAGTTCCCTTAGAGGGAAGTCACAGGGAGATGAGGTTACATTAGAAACCAAGAAATATACATAGTATTAAGGGAACAACAAGGTCTATTGTTGCACTGGGGAAGTAGCAGCAGTGGGAAGCCACCATCCCCGGCAGCCTGAGAGAGAAAGAGAGGAAGCCCAGTGAGAGTTGGAGACAGGAATCAGAAAAGAAAATCCTCTACAAATATACTGAAAGGCATCTAATGAAGTAATTATTTATAGAGTAGTAAGGAGGGTTACAAGAACCAATAAGAGGTGCTAAGGCATCCTAGGGCTACCTTATTTATTGAGTTGGTGCCCAATAAACCATTAAGAGAATTTCTGGAACACTGTACTGAAACCTGTCATTTTGGATCAAGGTCCAAGCAGGGTCTCTCCTAGCCCCTTTATCCCAATTCTAACCATAGCAGGTGTGTGAGAGTAAGGGATTGGAATGACCTCTGTTGAGGACTGGCTTGGAGCTTATAAAGGCCGTACGCTTGCACTAACTTTGAATCTGGCTTCATGGGAGAACAGAGGGAACAGAGAAATTGAACCCAAGAAAGAAGAGCCCAGAAAGGTTGATGATGGAGTTGACTGGAGAGGAAGAGGCAAGCCCAGACATCACTTTTATTGTCTGTTATTTTGCAAACATAGCAATTTTGTCAGAGGCATTCGAATCAGAGTGACTTCATCTTGAGTGAGGGCTAGAAAAAAATGAGACTGGGACTTGCTGGACTGCATTCCCAGAAAGTTAGGTATTCCTGGCCAGGCATGTGGGTCATGCCTGTAATCCCAGCACTTTGGGAGGCCGAGGTGGGCAGATTACAAGGTCAGCAGTTGGAGACCAGCCTGGCCAACATGGAGAAACTCTGTCTCTACTAAAAATACAAAAATTAGCCGGGCGTTGTGGCAGGTGCCTGTAGTCCCAGCTGCTCGGGAGGCTGAGGAAGGAGAACTGCTTGAACCCAGGAGGCGGAGGTTGCAGTGAGCCAAGACTGCACCACTGCACTCCAGCCTGGGTGACAGAGCGAGACTCCGTCTCTGAAAAACAAAAACAACAACAAAAAGTTAAGCATTCCTAGCCTCTAGATGTTCATGGTTAAGGGAACAGATTGATAATGTTTACTAAACAGACCCAGACATAAGGGTGTCCTGATATCCCGCTGTCTTGAGAACAGAAGCATTCCTAATTTTGCTTTAAGGATAATAATATCAATTCTTGCAAAATATAATCATTAAGAAAATTAATCCATTACCACAAACCCTTGTAGCAGAGCACATCTCCCCATAATCTTTAAAAAATTTTTTTTATCCTGTGTATAAGCAAGTATTGTACCTAGGGTGGATGCGTTCCTCTTCTTACTTTCGGGAACACCCTACTCTGTATATGGAGTAGCCATTCTTTTATTTCTTTACTTCCTTAATAACTTGCTTTCATTTTACTCTATGGACTCATCCTGAATTCTTTGTGTGTGAAATCCAAGAATGCTTTCTTGGGGTATGTATGGATCCGGACCCCTTTCCGGAAACAATTTTGCCTTCTAAACATGACCCAGTTAGAGTTCTGGAACTTTGCCTAGGGCTTAGAGTTAAATAGGATTTCACTATTCACTTAAATTTACATAACATATTAGCATTTTAAAGAGACTTGAACTTAAGTGATTATATTTGATGACCCACATAACTCTGTACATTAGTGAGAGAGGGATCTGTCATCCCATTTCACATATGAGGATGTATTCCTTTCCTCAATAGATTGCCATAGAGTACCTATTAAGAGCCTTGGCTGGGCGCTGTGGCTCAAGCCTGTAATCCCAGCACTTTGGGAGGCCAGGGTGGGCAGATCACCTGAAGTCAGGAGTTTGAGAACAACCTGGCCAACATGGTAAAACCCTGTCTCTACTAAAAATAAAAAAATTAGCCAGGGGTGAGGGCAGGTGCCTGTAATCTTAGCTACTTAGGAGGCTGAGGCAGGAGAATCACTTGAACCTGCGAGGCGGAGGTTGCAGTGAGCCGAGATCACACCAGTGCACTCCACCCTGGGCGATAGAACGAGACTTCTTAAAAAAAAAAAAAAAAAACGCCTCACACAGTTTTAGGTGCTATTAATACAGTAAGAAACAAATACACAAAGCTCATTGCCCTTGATGGACTTTAAAAAATGATCCAAGTATATGCTGTCTGTAAAAGATACACCCTAGACTCAAAGACACAAATAAGCAAGTCAAAGGATGAAAAAGATAGACTATATGAACACTAGCCAAAGAGGTCTGGAATGGCTACACTAATAGCAGACAAAACAGACTTTAAGGCTGGGGTCAGTGGCTCACGCTTGTAATCCCAGCATGTTGGGAGCCCGAGGTAGGCGGGTCACCTGAGGTCATCAGGAGTTCAAGACCAGCCTGGCCAACATGGTGAAACCCTGTCTCCACTAAAAATACAAAAAAAAAATTAGCCAGGTGTGGTGGCATGCACCTGTAATCCCAGCTACTCAGGAGGCTGAGGCAGGAGAATCGCTTGAACCTGGGAGTCAGATGTTGCAGTGAGCTGAGATCGTGCCACTGCACTCCAGCCCAGGTAACAGAGCAAGACTCCATCTCAAAAAAAAAAAAAAAAAAAGACTTTAAGACAAAAGTTGTTACTAGGGCAAATAAGGACATTTTACGATGATAAAAGGATCAATTCATCAAGAAGATATGGCAATTATAAACACTTAGGCACCTAATAACAGAGTTCTGAAATACCTGAGGCAAAAAACTGAGAAAATATAGGAGAAAAATAGATTTACCAATAAAAGTGGGAGATGTGATTACCCACTTTCAATAATGAATAGAACAACCAGGCAGAAGATCAAAGAAGCAAAGAAATAGGAACTGGAACAGCATCGCAAACCACCTAAAACTCTCTACCCAGCAATACCAGAACACACATTCTTCTCAAGTACACATTCTCAGGAGAGGCCATACATTAACACATAAAGAAGTCTCCATAATTTTTAAAAGATTAAAATCATGCACAGTATGTTATCCAACCACATGGAGGTCAAGGCTACAGTGAGCCCTGATTGCACCATTGCACTCTGGTCTGGGTGACAGAGCAAGACCTTGTCTCAGAGAAAGAAAAAAAAAGTGAAAAGGTGGCCATATAATAGAAAAATATAACTGCAAATTATATATCTGGTAAGGGACTTGTATCCAGTATGTATGAAGAATTCTTATAACTTCCCAATAAAAGACAATCCATTTAAAACATAGGTAGAGGACTTGAATAGAGATTTCTCCAAAGAAGATATACAAATGGCTAATAAGCACATGAGAAGATACTCAGCTAGTCTGGCCAACATGGTGAAACCCTATCTCTATTAAAAATACAAAAGAGGCCAAGTGCAGTTGCTCTTGCCATGAATCCCAGCACTTTGGGAGACTGAGGCGGGCAGATCACCTGAGGTCGGGAGTTCAAGACCATCCTGATCAACATGGAGAAACTCCACCTCTACTCAAAATACAAAATTAGCTGGGCATGGTGGCACATGCCTGTAATTCCAGCTACTTGGGAGGCTGAGGCAGGAGAATTGCTTGAACCCGGGAGGTGGAGGTTGCAGTGAGCCAAGATTGCACCATTGCACTCCAGCCTGGGCTACAAGAGCAAAACTCTGTCTAAAAAAAATAATAATAATAAAACCATAAAAATACAAAAAAAATTAGCCGGGCATGGTTATGACGCCTGTAATCCCAGCTACTCCGAAGGCTGAGGCAGGAGAATTGCTTGAATGCAGGAGACAGAGGTTCAAAACCAGCCTGGCCAACGTAGTGAAACTCGGTCTCTACTAAAAATACAAAAATTAGTTGGGTGTCGTGGCAGGTGCCTGTAATCCCAGCAACTCAGGAGGCTGAGGCAGGAGAATCTCTTGAACCTGGAAGGAAGAGGTTGCAGTGAGCCGGGATCGTGCCATTGCACTCCAGCCTGGGCAACAAGAGAGAAACTCCATCTCAAAAAAAAAAAGTAAAAAAAGAAAAGTTTGACAGCCCTTCAAATACTGCCAGGTTCCATGATGGCCCTGGATCTTGCATTGAAGAAACCATATGGGCAGATCCCAAGCCATCACAAACAACATATAATGCACAAGAAGGAAACCTCTGTTGCTGTAAGCCAATGAGATTTCAGGGTTGTTGCTGCAACATAACCTGGTGAAAGCTGACCAACAGCCCAGAGAAAGATGCTCAATCCATTTCAAAGCATAGAGAAGTTCCTGGATCATAATAAGGGTTCAACAGTGTTTATCACTGCAATTATACTCTGACTTTCAACATATTAGGTTGGTGCAAAAGTAATTTCAGCCTATTAGGTTGGTGCATTAAAAGCAATGGCAAAAACCGCAATTACTTTTGCACCAACCTAATAACTTCTCAATTTGCGCTCACTCAATTTAAATGAAAAGCCTTTTCCTTGGATCCTTGAAAACATTCTGTCCTAGAACATCATCAGGCTAAGGATCGGAAGGCACGTGTTTCTGCCCTAGCTCTGCCCCATGACTCTGGTCACAAGGCTTGCTTTTTCTGGGGCTCTGTTTCCTCGTAGACAATTAGCAAGGTTCCTTCCAGCTCAAAGAAGCTTCTGAGTCTACAGACAAACAACTACTAGAATCTTCCATGTCAGTCAACAAATGTTAGCACCATCAGTCATGAAGCTGGGTGATTTGGGGACCTCAGCTTCTTCATCCTTTTTTCCCTTTACAGGATTTATGTCAGGCTTTACCCACTGTCCATTTTCAAGGCAATGGCATTTTTTTTAATAGGTTCCTACAGCAAAGCACAGTGTTTTTATTTTTGTTTTTCTAAAATTAAGTTGGGTCACAAAACTGTTAGAGGAAAAAAAAGTGGTTTTCTAGAGAAGGGAGAATGCTTTATGGGGGTTATAAAAATCTTTGGCAGCTTGGCACGGTGGCTCAGGCCTGTAATCCCAGCACTTTGGGAGGCCGAGGTGAGCAGATCACCTGAGGTCGGCGGTTCGAGACCAGCCTGACCAACATGGAGAAACCCCATCTCTACTAAAAATACAAAATTAGCGGCCAGGCACGGTGGCTCATGCCTGTAATCACAGCACTTTGGGAGGCCGAGGCGGGCGAATAACGAGGTCGGGAGATCAAGACCATCCTGGCTAACATGGTGAAACCCCGCCTCTACTAAAAATACAAAAAATTAGCCGGGCATGGTGGCGGGCGCCTGTAGTCCCAGCAACTCGGGAGACTGAGGCAGGAGAATGGCATGAACCCAGGAGGCAGAGCTTGCAGTGAGCCGAGATCACACTACTGCACTCCAGCCTGGGCGACAGAGCAAGACTCCGTCTCAAAAAAAAAAAAAATTAGCTGGGCATGATGGCACATGCCTGTAATCCCAGCTATTCAGGAGGCTGAGGCAGGAGAATCACTTGAACCTGGGAGGCGGAGGTTGTGGTGAGCCAAGATCACACCATTGCACTCCAGCCTGGGGAAAAAGAGTGAAACTTCATCTCAAAAAAAAAAAAACGAAAGAAAAAGAAAAAAGAAAAAAGAAAAATTGGCTAACCAAATATATCTTTAACTTATAGGACTAAATAAAAAACCAGGGCATCATCAAAGTAGAAATCTGAAATGCTGTGGTTGGCAGAGCTCTGGACTGAGAACTAAAGTCCTGGATTCCAGCTCAGTTTTTTTGTCATTAGTCAGCCAGGTGACCTTGGGCAATCACTCAATTTCTCTAGGTTTCAATTTCCCTGTGTGGGAGCAATGAAGGATCTCCAAAGTCCAGTCAATCAATCAAACAATCAAATTAGATAGTGGTGATGATAACATGACTCTGTTATGATACTCAAAGCTGTGGAATTGTGTACTGTGAGAGGGTAAATATTATGGTATGTAAATTATATCTCAATAAAGTTGTTCATACAAAACCATCACGTCAAAGAGCTTACAGTCATGTGAGCATGGAAGAAACTATGCTAAACGAGTCAGTAAGGCCACGTGCAGTGGCTCACGCCTGCAATCCCAGCACTCTGGGAGGCTGAGGCAGGCGGATTACAAGGTCAGGAGTTTGAGACCAGCCTGACCAACATGGTGAAACCCCGTCTCTACTAATAATACAAATATTAGCCAGGCGTGATGGTGTACACCTGTAATCTCAGCTACTCAGGAGGCTGAGGCAGGAGACTTGCTTAAACCCAGGTGGCGGAGGTTGCAGTGAGCTGAGATCATGCCATTGCACTCCAGCCTGTGTGACAGAGTGAGACTCCGTCTCAGAAGGAAAAAAAAAGGGGGTCAGTAAATTACTCAGCATATTAGGTGGCAATAAGTGCTTTCTGGGGAAAAGTGGAGCAAGGAATGGGGACATGGAATGACAGCTAAGTGGGAGACAGTTATTAAAAGATGGTGGTCAGGGAAGTCCTCACTGAAGTGACATTTGGGTAAAGACTGGAAGGAGATGAGGGAGTGAGTCAGGAATATGCAGGGAACAGCATTCCAAGCAGAGGGAACAGCAAATGAAAAGACGGAGGCAGGAGAGAGCCTGGAGTCCTTAATGAGGAACAAGAATGTGTGGCTGCATAGAGTGAAATATGGGAAAGGAATAGAAGATGAGATTGGAGGATGACGTGGGGTAGAAGGAAGAGTGGGAGGACCATGTGGGAAGTTGCAGGAACTAACTTCAGCTTTATTCTCAGCGGAAAGCAACAGTGGGTTTTGACCTGAGAGCCAATTTGATCAGAGGTTTTTATTTTTTGTTTTTTTTTATTTTTAGTTTTTTTTTAGAGTTGGGGTCTTGCTCTGTCACCCAGGATGGAGTGCAGTGGTGCAATTACAGCTCATTGCAGCCTCCAACTTCTGGGCTCCAGTGATCATCCCACTTCAGCCTCCCAAGTAGCTGGGAATACAGGTGACTGCATGTATGTCGGCTCACTGCAACCTCCGTCTACTGGGTTCAAGTGATTCTCCTGTCTCAGCCTCTCGAGTAGCTGGGATTACAGGCACGTGCCACCACACCCGGTAAATTTTTTGAATTTTTAGTAGAGACGAGGTTTCACCATGTTGGGCAGGCTGGTCTCGAACTCCTGACCTCAGGTGATCCACTGCCTTGGCCTCCCAAAGTGCTGGGATTACAGGCGTGAGCCACCACGCCAGGCCAATACACTGGCCTTTTTGTTCCCTTCCCTTCAAATATACAGAGCACTAAAGATAATCAAACACTTGAGGAAGATGTCTAATATGAAAGATATAATATTTTTTATTTTTTATTTATTCATTTTATTTTATTTATTTATTTTTTCTGAGATGGAGTCTCACTCTGTTGCCCAGGCTGGAGTGCAGTGGCGAGATCTTGGCTCACTGCAAGCTCCACCTCCCGGGTTCACGCCATTCTCCTGCCTCAGCCTCCTGAGTAGCTGGGACTACAGGCTCCCATCACTACGCTCAGCTAATTTTTTTTTTTTTTTTGTATTTTTAGTAGAGACAGGGTTTCACCGTGTTAGCCAGGATGGTCTTGATCTCCTGACCTTGTGATCCAGCCGCCTCAGCCTCCCAAAGTGCTGGGATTACAGATGTGAGCCACCACACCTGGCCATGAAAGATATAATAAACCCATGCGTAGAAAAATAGAAATTGGAGGAAACAGGAGCTATGTAGGAAGAAGATAACTTAAAAACAAATCAGTAACAACGACAACAAAATCAACTATCATTTCAACTGGCCAAAACCAAAACAATTTAAGCAACAAAATAAAAAGCTTGTATACCTTGATTTACAATCCAAGGTGTAAAATAAGTAGCTATGTGTTCATAATGATAAAAATAAGTGATTGTGGCCAGGAGCAGTGGCTCACACCTGTAATCCCAGCACTTTGGGAGGCCGAGGCAGGCGGATCACGAGGTCAGGATTTCGAGACCAGCCTGGCCAATATGGTGAAACTCCATTTCTACTAAAAATACAAAAATCAGCCAGGCGTGGTGGCATGCGCCTGTAGTCCCAGCTACTCAGGAGGCTGAGGCAGAAGAATCACTTGAACCCAGGAGGTGGAGGTTGCAGTGAGCTGAGATCATGCCACTGCACTCCTGCCTGGGCAAAAGAGTAAGATTCCATCTCAAAAAAAAAAAAAAAGTGGTGGTAGGGTGGATGGGGACCGTGGGGCCTGTAACTTACTAGGAGAGAGGACAGGATGCTTTCATATGGCTATACTTATATTCTTTTTGAAACACATTTCAAAAGGAGAACCACATCATGAATGAATCACATTTATTCATGATCTTGATTTGCATGGCTTAGTGATACTCAAATTTAGTACCATTGCCTAGAACATATTAAATGCTCAATAAGTACCCCTTGCTGAAAAACACTATTATTAACATTCACACTGTCAATGTTTTTTGAGCACATACTAAATGCTGGAGCTGCTATGGTAAATAAGACCAATGTGGGCCAGGCACCATGGTACATGCCTGTGATCCTCGCACTTAGGGAGGCCAAGGTGGGAAGATGGCTTGAGCTCAGGAGTTTGATACCACCCTGGCTAATATGGTGAAATCCTGTCTCTACAAAAATTAGTCGGGCATGATGGCTTGTGCCTATAGTCCCAGCTACTTGGGAGGCTGAGGTGGGAGGACTCTTGAGCCTAGGAAGTCGAGTCTGCAGTGAGCAGTGATTGAGACCATGTCTCCAACAACGACAACGAAAAAGATCAATGTGAGACCTCAAGGAGATTAAATGCTGCTGAGAGAAACAGGCAAAAAAATAAAGACAAATGAATAAATGACAGATTGCAGTTACGTGCTTTAAAGGAAATAAGCAAAATTGCTGAGGTGATGAAGGAAAACATCTAGGGAAAGTTTCTTAATATGAGAACTGTTCCCTTCATTTATAAATTGTTTTTTATCGAATCTATTTATTTATTTATTTGAGACAGAGTCTCACTCTGTTGCTCAGGCTGGAGTGCAGTGGCAAAATCTTGTCTCACTGAAACCCCCACACCTGGGTTCAAATGATTCTCATGCCTCAGCCTACTGAGTAATTGGGATTACACACATGTGCCACCATGCCCAGCTAATTTTTTTGTATTTTTAGTAGAGACGAGGTTTTGCCATGCTGGCCAGGCTGGTCTCAAACTCCTGGCCTCAAGTGATCCACCCACCTCAGCCTCCCCAAATGTTGGGATTACAGGCGTGAGCCACCATGCCCAGCCTATAAATTATTTTTATATATACTAGACCAGTGCTGGTTTAAAGGACTAAATCATACTCTGGTTATGTTTGTTTGTTGTTTGTTGAATTTAGGTCTTGCTGTGCTGCCTAGGCTGGTTTTCAATTCCAGGGCTCAAACTACTGTCCTTTCTCATTATCCTGAGCAGCTGGGATTACAGCCACCCTCTCCTGCCAAAATTACTAAATTAGATACAATTGAGTTATCTGTTTATTTTAAAATCCATTAAGCTATAAATAGGCCAGGTGCGGTGGCTCACGTCTGTAATCCCAGCACTTTGAGAGGCAGAGACGAGAGGATCACTTGAGGTCAGGAGTTCAAGACCAGTGTGGCCAAGATGGTGAAACCCCCGTCTCTACTAAAAATACAAATAGTAGCGAGGTGTGGTGGCAGGTGGTGTAATCGCAGCTACTTGGGAGGAGGCTGAGGCAGGAAAACTGTTTGAACCTGGGAGGCAGAGGTGGCAGTGAGCTGAGATTGGGTCACTGCTCTCCAGCCTTGGTTACACAGGGAGACTCCCTTTCAAACAAACAAAAAACCCTATAAATGAAAGATGACATAGTTGCTAAAATTTTCTTCTGCTTATTTATCTATAATTTTGTTTCAGTTAGTAAGATAAATCATTGGTAATTTCTTTAAAGTTTTTAAACAGATGGTTATAATGCAACATTCCATTACTTGTAGCAACATGTTGCAAATGTTGCTAGATCAAATACTAAGCTTGACCATCCTTCAGGAAAAAAAAAAAAAGCCATGCAATTTTGATAGTTCCTGTATAATCCCAGCAACTAATCCCAGACTTCTGGATTTAATGGGCCAGTGAGGAAAAAATTCAGAGTGGGAGTTGAAAGTATTCACAAAGGGATACCAGCTTTAATTTTTAAAAATGGGAAGAAGATAATATCAGAACACAGGAAGGTCATATAAATTCAATAATTTAGTTTTATGACAGCACATGGTCTTTATTGAACTCATTTTGTCATAAACTGGCAAAAACTGTTAAGGACGTGTGCACATCCATCAGTGTTTATTCATACAATCAAAGACACATGTGGGCTTCTGGTTTGTATACCCAGAAACTGTAATACAGCATTTTGCCTGGAGATGATCAGACTGGATTTCAGGGCTGAGTTCTCACTAAGCCAGCTCATACGCAGGCATTCGTTTATCACTGGAACGTGTATATTTACAGTGAGTCAAGACTCATATCCATTCTGTGATTTCTAGGAATGTTCCCAAACAGAGAATCAGAGTGAATAAAAGCCAAATGGAGTTAGAGGGGTTTAAGGAAAATTTCATGCAGGCTATTAAAAAAAAAAAGTCTTGAATTTTTCCTAGTCCACAAAAGAACATATGCCTTGTGTCTTGAATACTTAGGCTTATCTGATACAGTGTTTGTGTTTTGACAGTGCCGGATTCATACCATTTCTGAGTTGTACTTTCCTTACTGTATAGCTCCCCATTTACTGACTAGAATATATTCTCACGAGCCAGATAAAAAGAGACAACTAATAACTTTATTTAATTTTTGTTTGGATCTTAATTCTTTTTTTTTTTAAGACAGGTCTCACTCTGTCCCCAAGGCTGGTGTACAGTGGCACAGTCTCGGCTCATTGCAACCTTTGCCTCCTGGTTCAAGCGATTCCACAGCCTCAGCCTCCCAAGTAGCAGAGATCATAGGCACATGCTATCATGCCCAGCTAATTTTTGTATTTTTTGTAGAGATGGGGTTTCGCTCGCCATGTTGGCCAGGCTGGTCTAGAACCCCTGAGCTCAAAGCGACCCATTCTTCTCAGCCTCCCAAAGAACAGGCATAAGCTGCTGCACCTGGCCTTCTTAATTCATTTTTAAGTGATAATGATTTTAATAATGGAATGTCTTTCAATGTCCAAAATATATGTGTGTGTACACACACAAACACACACACACACACATATATATGTAAAAGATTGGATGGTAAGATTTACCAGCCAAAATGGCCTATGGAAGAGAATGTGGGTAACAGAGGTAACAGTGGCCTATTTATTTATTTATTTACTTATTTATTTACTTTTGAGGCAGAGTCTTACTTTGTCACCCAGGCAGTAGTGCAGTGGTGCGATCTCGGCTCACTGTGACTTCTGTCTCCTGGGTTCAAGTGATTCTCCTGCCTCAGCCTCCTGAGTAGCTGGGACTACAGGTGCGTGCCACCACACCCAGCTAATTTTTTGTAGTTTTAGTAGAGACAGGGTTTCACCATGTTGGCCAGGCTGGTTACCAACTCTTGACCTCAGGTGATCCGCCTACCTTAGCCTCCCAAAGTGTTGGGATTACAGGCACGAGCCACCGTGCCCGGCCATATTTATTTTTTAATTTAAAAAATTTGTTTTTTAATATAAAGGAGGGGTCTTGAAATGTTTCCCAGGGTGGTTTCCACCTCCTGGGTTCAAGTGATCCTCCTGCCTCGGCCTCCAAAACTGTTGGGATTGCAGGCATGAGCAACCGTTCCTGGTCCGTAGTTTTGTTTCTTTGTTTGTTTATATTTTTTTGTGACAGGGTCTCACTCTTTCACCCAGGCTGGAGTGCAGCAGCTGCTCACTGCAGCCAAAACCTACTGGGCTCATGTGATCCTCCCACCTCAGTCTCCTGAGTGCCACCAATTGTGTGCCACCAAGCCTGACTAATTTTAAAAATTTTTTGAAGAGACCAGGTTTCACTGTGTTGCTCAGGGTGATCTTGAACTTCTGGGCTCAAGCAATCCTCCTGCCTTAGCCTCCTCAAATGTTGGCCCGTAGTTTTAAGTAGTAACTCCTTTTCTGTACTTCTGAAGTTTTTATCATCGTATGTAAAATTTAGTGATGTCACATGAATTTGCTTAAAGTATAGATTATTTTCATAATTCTAGGAAACCAGATATTAAGCACTAAACTTATTCTAGGAGTTTCGTTATTATATATATATATATATATATATATATATATATATATATATATATATGACAAAGCCCCATCTCTATATATTTATAAAACACAAAGGCCATGGGTGGGGAATGGATGGCAGGCACCATGTCTGGCAGCAAAGGTGGCAAGAAGAAGGCCCTGAAACAGCCCAAGAAGCAGGCCAAGGAGAAGGACGAGGAAGATAAGGCTTTCAAGCAGAAACAAAAAGAGGAGCAGAAGAAACTCGAGGAGCTAAACATGAAGGCCGTGGGGAAGTGGCCCCTGGCCACAGGTGGAATTAAGAAATTTGCCAAAAAGTGAGCTGTTGCTTGTGCCTGAGGAAATGGTAACCCTTTATTTCATCCATATTGAAACATCTGTATTCCCTGCCATAACACCTTTTGCCACCTATAGCTGGAATTAAGTGTTGTCTTGGAGCTGTTGTACATTTAAGAATAAACTTTTGTAAAATAAATAAATAAATAAATGCCAGGCGCAGTGGCTCATGCCTGTAATCTCAGTACTTTGGGATGCCGAGGTGGTGGATCACTTGAGATCAGGAGTTCAACCAGCCTGGCCAACATGGTGAAACCCCATCTGTCCTAAAAAAAAAAAAAATGCAAAAATTAGCTGGGCATGATGGTGGTCACCTGTACTTCCAGCTACTCAGGAGGCTGAGGTGGGAGAATTGCTTGAACCCAGGGGGCGGAGGTTGCAGTGAGCCGAGATGCCCACTGTACTCCAGCCTCGGCGACTCCTTCTCAAAAAATAAAAAACACAAAAGTGGCCGGGTGCCGTGGCTCACGCCTGTAATCCCTGCACTTTGGGAGGCAGAGGCGGGCGGATCACGAGGTCAGGAGATCGAGACCATCCTGGCTAACATGGTGAAACCCCGTCTCTACTGAAAATACAAAAAAATTAGCCAGGCATGGTGGTGGGCGCCTGTAGTCCCAGCTACTTGGGAGGCTGAGGCGCGAGAATGGTGAGAACCTGGGAGGCAGAGCTTGCAGTGAGCCGAGATTGTGCCACTGCACTCCAGCCTGGGAGACAGTGAGACTCTGTCTCAAAAAAACAAACAAAAAACAACAACAAAAATAAACCCCCACAAAAGTAAAAAATATGTTGGTCCGAGTGCAGTGGCTCATGCCTGTAATCCCAGCACTTTGGGAGGCCGAGGCAGGTGGATCATGAGGTGAGGAGATCAAGACCATCCTGGCCAACATGGTGAAACCCTGTCTCTACTAAAAATACAAAAATTAGCTGGGCGTGGTGGTGCACGCCTGTAGTCCCAGCTACTCGGGAGGCTGAGGCAGGAGAATTGCTTGAACCCGGGGGACGGAGGTTGCAGTGAGCTGAGATCACACCACCACACTCCAGCCTGTGCAACAGAGCAAGACTCTGTCTCAAAAAAAAAAAAAAAAAAGAAATGTTAACTGTTTAGAACAGCTTGGCATACTGTGTTTTGTTTTTACTTTTTTTTTTTTTTTCTTTGAGACAAGGTCTCGCTTGGTCACCCAGGCTGGAGTGTACTGGTGTGATCATGGCTCACTACAGCCTTGACCTCCCAGATCAATTGATCTTTTACCTCGGCCCCCCAAATAGCTGGGACCACAGGTGTGCACCTCCAAACCTGCCTAATTTTTATATTTTTGGTAGAGATGAGATGTCGCCATGTTACTCAGGCTGGTGTCAAACTCCTGAGCTCAAGCAAACCCAAAGTACTGGCACTACAGGCATGAGCTCCCTGCCTGTCTAGTAATTTTTGTTTGGTTGGGTTTTTTTTTTGTTTTGTTTTGTTTTTGAGACAGAGCCTCACCCTGTCGCCCAGGCTGAAGTGCAATGGTGCGATCTCGGCTCACTGCAACCTCTGTCTGCCAGGTTCAAACGATTCTCCTGCCTCAGCCTCCTGAGTAGCTGGGATTACAGGTGCCCGCCACCATGCCCAGCTAATTTCTGTAATTTTAGTACAGACAGGGTTTCACCATGTTGGCCAGGCTGGGCTTGAACTCCTGACGTTGTGATCCGCCCACCTTGGCCTCCCAAAGTGCTGAGGTGTGAGCCACTGCACCCAGCCCTGGCTAGTAATTTTTTAATAGTGATTATAATTACAAGCAAAGGTGTAATATATGTTTGTAAAACTATTAAGTGAACTAGGCTGGGCGTGGTGGTTCATGCCTGTAATCCCAGCACTTTGGGAGGCTGAGGTGGGCGTATCACGAGGTCAGGAGTTTGAGACCAGCCTGGCCAGCATGGTGAAACCCCATCTCTACTAAAAATACACAAATTAGCCAGGCATTGTGGTGTGTGCCTGTAATCCCAGCTACTTGGGAGGCTAAAGTAGGAGGTGGAGGTTGCAGTGAGCCGAGATCGTGCCACTGCACTGCAGCCTAGTCGACAGAATGAGACTCCGTCTGAAAAATATATATACATTTATTAAGTGAACTTTCCAAAAAAAGTGGATTTCAGCCAAGTGCAGTAGCACACTCATGTAGTCCTAGCTACTAAGAAGGCTAAAACCTTCACTTGATAGCCTTATTGAGAAATATAAGCCTATATTCAAAAGAGACTTTTCATTCCTTTTTAAAATGTCACTTCTGTTTTTATTAACTTGTGATGAGGCATATCTTGTTGTTGTTTTCTTTGTTTTATTATTATTTTTTTTTGAGACAGAGTCTCACTCTCTCACTTTGTTGCCCAGGCTAAAGTGCAGTGGCACGATCTTGGCTCACTGCAAACTCTGCCTCCTAGGTTCAAGTGATTCTCCTGTCTCAGTCTCCCGACTAGCTGGGACGACAGGCGCACACCACCACGCCCGGCTAAGTTTTGTATTTTTGGTATAGATGAGATTTCACCATGTTGGCCAGGCTGGTCTTGAACTCCTGAGCTCAGGTGATCCACATGCCTCAGCCTCCCAAAGTGGTGGGATTACAGGTGTGAACCACTATGCCTGGCCTTGATGAAGCATATCTTAAATAAAAGGTGTGGAGTGTTTTGTTTTTTTTTTTTTTAGAGACAGGGTCTCACTCTGTGGCCCAGGCTGGAATGCAGTGGCATGATAAAGCTCACTGCAGCCTCAAACTCCTGGGCTTAAGCAATCTTCCTACCTTAACCTCCTGTACTGTACCTGGCTCACTTTTAAATTTTGTAGAAACCGGGTCTCGCTCTGTTTCCCAGGCTAGTTTCGAAATCATAGCCTCAAGCATTCCTCCTGCTTCGGCTTCCCAAACTACTGAGATTACAGGTGTGAGCCACATGCTCAGCCTTAAATAAGATTTTAAATCTTGAAAATAACAAAATTTCTCTTTCCTCTTTCATGTATAAAGTACATCATTTCTAGAATTAAGGATTTTGTTATAAAGACCAGAATATCATCAATATGAAAAATAATTTCCCAGTTGATAGTTCATTTGAATTGTAGAACTCAGTTGCAAAGATAAAGGTAGACAGGGCAGCTGGGTGCGGTGGCTCACGCCTGTAATCCCAGCCGTTTGGGAGGCCAAGGTGGGCGAATTACCTGAGTGGTGTTTGAGACCAGCCTGACCAACATGGAGAAACCCTGTGTCTACTAAAAATACAAAAAAATTAGCTGGGTGTATTGGGGCGTGCCTGTAATTCCAGCTATTCAGGAGGCTGAGGCAGGAGAATCACTTGAACCTGGGAGGCGGAGGTTGTGGTGAGCCGAGATCGCACCATTGGACTCCAGCCTGGGAAACAAGAGTGACTCTGTCTCAGAAAAAAAAAAGGGTAGATAGGGATGAACACATATTTGAAACTGGATATGTTTAATGGTGATGTTGCAAGTTATGTATCTTCAGAATGATTTCTTCCAGATAAAAAACACATAAGATTTTACTAGGTTATAAAAATCTTAAATACCTGGGCTTTTATTTTTTTTTGTATTTTTGAAAGAAGAAACATTTTTTACCTGATCATTTTTATTTATTTAATTTTATTTTTTATTTTTTGACAGAGTTTCGCATTTGTTGCCCAGGCTGGAGTGCAATGGTTTGATGTCGGCTCACCACAACCTCCGCCTCCCGAATTCAAGCAGTTCTCCTGCCTCAGCCTCCCTAGTAGCTGGGATTACAGGCATGCGCCACCATGCCTGGCTAATTTTTGTATTTTTAGTAGAGACAGGGTTTCTTCCTGTTGGTCAGGCTGGTCCGGAACTCTTGACCTCAGGTGATCCACCTGCCTCGGCCTCCCAAAGTGCTGGGATTACAGGCATGAGCCACTGCGCTGTGCCTTTATTTAAAAATTTTAACTGTTTCTCCTTGTGGTGTTAGCATCACCAGTGGAAGCAGCATGACCTTTAATGTCACACAGTCCTAGGTTTAAGCTCTGCTCCTTCCATTTACTCACTGTGACCTCAGGAAATTTAGTTGAACTCTCTGAGAATTATTTTCATAATTTGTAAAATGGGAACAATAACCCAAAGTTTGTTTGGTAGATTACACAATTTATAATTGACTGAATTTATCCCACATATAGTGGATGTTCAATAAATGGTAGCTATAATTGTTATTGTTTTTGTTATGATTATAAATCCACCAGTCTGGAAAACATGGTGAAACCCCATCTCTACAAAAAAATACAAAGCTTAGCCAGGTGTGGTGGCGTGTGCCTGTAGTTCCAGCTACGCAGGAGGCTGAGGTGGGAGAATGGATTGAGTCCTGGAGTTCAAAGCTGCAGTGAGTCACGATTATACCACTGCACTGCAGCCTGCTTGACAGAGAAAAGATCCTGCCTCAAAAAATAGTAATAAAATTAAATTAAAAACTGACTGTATGTGGTGGTTCACACCTATAATCCCAGCAGTTTGGGAGGCTAAGGTTGGAGAATCCACTGATCCCTGGAGTTTGAGACCAGCATGGGCAACTTGGTGAGATCCTGTCTCAAAACTAAAAAATAAAATAAAGTCCTTTATAGCCTGTTAATTTGGTTAGGTTTTTAGTTGCCTTTATTATTCTATGTGTGTGTCTTTTTTGTTTTTTTTGTTTATGAGACAGAGTCTGACATTGTCACTCAGGCTGGAGTGCAGTGGCGTGATCTCGGCTCGCTGCAGCCTCACCTCCCAGGCTCAAGTGATCCTCCCACCTCAGTCTCCCAAGTAGCTGGGACTACAGGTGCACACCACCATGCCCAGCTAATTTTTATATTTTTCACAGAGACAGGGTTTCTCCATGTTGCCCAGGCTGGTCCCAAACTCTTGAGCTCAACTGATCTGTCCACCTTAGACCAGAATTTAGGCATGACCCACCGCTCCCGGCTGCTTTTATTATTTGTTACAAATCATTTAAGGGTTGAGTAGTATTCACCTTTTTGTTCTCCACAGTGTCTAACAGAATATCTTGTGTTACAACTCAATACATTTATCTCTTTAATGAATAATTGAATTCATACACATTATACCTTAACTTTAGTTAAGTCAGAACTACAAAATTTGTGTGATGACATCTTGGTATAAAGGAAAAACTACTTTCTCAAATTATTGGGCCAGCCTTGATGTTCTCTGTAATTAATTGCTATGGCAAATCAAGATACATATTTAATACATTTATTTTAATTTGATTAATTTTTCTCTGACATTTTACACTTAAAAGAACCCAAACCTACAGAAAAGTTATCTTTCTTTTTGATGATGATTGCATAGACTACTTGTTCCATTTTTTAATAAAATGTTTTGATTTGAAGGTCAATTGATTTGGGTAACTGACACTAAATTTCAGTAAGTTTCAAGTAGGTTGTCCAATCTATGTTTAACTGTTGGAGTCTTTGTTGGAGACTGTCCAAAGCTCCTAATTGGAGGAGATTAGCAGATTGGAAAAAATATTGCAGTTGGGTAAACTCAGAGGTTAAATTGATCTGCTGCATCCACCCCAGGTGGTATCAGGGAATGAAAGAAAAAAGAATGCCTTAATCATTGGCTCATTGCAAAAACAACAAGAAAAAAAAAGTAGTGGTATAATAGAGCAATGGGGAAGCGTTCAAAAAACATTACTGGGTTGAAGTATTTTGGTGAACCTTATTTGAAGGTTATTTGCTGATTAAGATAAGTAGAAGCTATTTCAAAATGTTAATTTTGTCCCTCCACCCATGAAATCTGGTTTATGCTCTCACTTAAAGAATAGTGTAAAATAGCTGAACTGAAGATTGGAACATTCCATCAGAAATCTAATCCACCTGTTCAGGGTTTATTTAAAGCCTCTGATGTTTGATCACTTCACTAAAACAACTTAGGACCATGCTGACCATGCTGATTTAGTTGGGCCACATTTTCTAAGATGCTATACATGATCACAAATGATACCATTATACTACAAGTTCTAACAGCTCATTTCTGCTCAATAGAATTTCTAGGGGGAAATAATGAAGATTAATTCATGTTGTATTCATGGTCAGAAATAAGACAGTATAAGTACTGTGTTTTCCTTCAAAAGTGGAGAAAGGAAAAAATGTATTTATTTCTGTCCTGACTTTTCAGGAAACTCAGTCAAGTTCACTGCCCAAGAAATGTGATTTGCTGAATTCTGAAATGAAAAAGCATCCTTTCTTCTCACTTATTTATTTATTTTTTGGAGACAAGAGTCTTGCCCTGTCACCCAGGGTGGAGTGCAGTGTCACAATCTCAGCTCTCTGCAATATAACCTTCACCTCCCAGGTTCAAGCGATTCTTGTGCCTCAGCCACCTGAGTAGAGGACTACAGGCATGCTCACTGCATTCTCCACCTCCCAGGTTCAAGCAATTCTTGTGCCTGAGCCTCCCGAGTAGCTGGGATTACAGGCACGTGCCACCACACCTGGCTAATTTTAGTATATTTTGTAGAGACAGGGTTTTGTCATGTTGCCCAGGATGGTCTCGAACTCCTGAGCTCAAGCAATCCACCCACCTTGCCTCCTAAACTCCTGGGCTTACAGGCGTGAGCCATCGCATCCAGCCGTTCTTACTTTTTTCTTGTGTTTCATAAACAATTTAACATTTTTATGGCATAATTTTTTTGTTTGTTTGTTTGTTTTGAGTTTTACTCTTTTGCCCATGCTAGAGTGAAGTGGTGCGATCTCGGCTCACCGCAACATCCACCTCCCGGGTTCAAGCAATTCTCCTGCCTCAGCCTCCTGAGTAGCTGGCATTATAGGCATGGGCCACCACACCTGGCTCATTTTTGTATTTTTAGTAGAGTCTGAGTTTCACCATGTTGGCCAGGCTGGTCTCAAACTCCTGACCTACTGATCTGCCCACCTCAGCCTCCTGAAGTGCTGGGATTACAGGGGTGAGCCAACGTGCCCAGCCTGGCATAATTTTTAAACAATAGGAAAGCTGTACAGATAGTACACAGCCTTATACCCTTCCCTCAGGGTTATTTTTTTCTCTCTCTCTCCACACATAGTTTTTATCCTGAATTCTTTGAGAGTAAGTTTCAGAATGGTGATTTTTTTTTTTTTTTTGAGATAAAGTCTCGCTCTATCCCCCAGGCTGGAGTACAGTGGCATGATCTCGGCTCACTGCAACCTCTGCCTCCCAGGTTCAAGAGATTATACTGCCTCTCACGAGGTCAGGAGTTCAAGACCAGCCTGGCCAAGATGGTGAAACCCCGTCTCTACTAAAAATACAAAAGTTAGCCGGCGCGGTGGCAGGCACCTGTAATCCCAGCTACTCAGGAGGCTGAGGCAGGAGAATTGGTTGAACCTGGGTGGCAGAGGTTGCAGTGAGGCAAGATTGTGCCACTACACTCCAGCCTGGGTGATAGAGTGAGACTCTATCTCAAAAAAAAAAAAAAAAAAAAAAAAGAGATTATCCTGCCTCAGCCTCCTGAGTAGCTGGGACTACAGGTGGCGCCACCACACCCAGCTAATTTTTGTATTTTTAGTAGAGATGGGGTTTCACCATGTTGGCCAGGCTGGTCTTGAACTCCTGACCTCATGATCCACCCGCCTCAGCCTCCCAAAGTGCTGGGATTACAGGTGTGAGGCACCGTACCCGGCCCAAGAACAGTGTTTCTTAAACTCCTTGCTAGAGTATTTCCTGTAAATAAGGACATCTTACTTAACTTACTGTACAATCATCAAATTAAGGAAATGAACATTGACACGATGATATTATTATCTAATGTACTGATAAGGAAATTAACATTGATACAATGCTATTATTAATCTCCTGATAAGGAAATTAACATTAATACAATGCTGTTATCTAATTTACTCATCAGAACCTATTCAGATTTCACCAATTGTCCTAATACCTTATACATCAGATGCTCATTATGCATTGCATTCAGTTGCTATGTCTCTTTAGTCTTTTCAACCTGATATTTTCCAAGAGTACAGGTCAGCTATTTTTTGTAGAATTTCCCTCAAATTGAGTTTTGCATTTGCTGATGATTACATTCAAGTTATGCGTTGTCACAAGAATACCACAGAAGTGAGTTTGTGATCACTGCAGCATCTTGTCTGGAGACACATAAGTCAATTTGTGACCTTAACAGATCACTTGGTTAAGGTGGTATCTGCCAGGTTTCTCCAGTACTAAGTTAGTCTTTCATTTTGTAACTAAGCAATCTTTTGAGAAGTTTTTTTTTTTTTTTTAATGAGACATGGTCTCACTCTCACCCTGGCTGTAGTGCAGTAGCTCAATGACAGCTCATTGCAGTCTCAAACACTCGGGCTCACATGATCCTCTCGATTCAGCCTCCCAAATTGCTGGGATTACAGGTGCATGTCACCATGCCCAGATAATTTTTAAACTTTTTTACAGAGATGGAGTCTGGTTATATTGCCCCGTCTGGTCTCGAACTTCCAGCCTCAAGCGATCCTTCTGCCTCAGCCTCCCAAAGTGCTGGGGATTCAAGGACACCCTACCAAGCCCAGCCTGAGAAGATAGATTAAGACTATGCCAATATACTGTTAATTCTGATTGGTTTTTAGCATCCACTGAGGATCTTTTTTTTTTTTTTTTTTTTTTTTGAGACAGAGTCTCACTCTTGTTGCCCAGGCTGTAGTGCAATGGCACGATGTCAGCTTACCACAACCTCCACCTCCGAGGTTCAAGTGATTCTTCTGCCTCAGCCTCCTCAGTAGCTGGGACTATAGGCATGCGAGTAGTGCAATTATGGCTCACTGCAGCCTCAAACTCCTGGGCCCAAGTGATCCTCTTGAGGCATTGGGATTACAGGCATTAGTTACCATACCCGGCTTTGAATTTTGGGGTTGGGGGTGCATAGAAATGGTACCTCTTGAGTTTTTAAGAGTAAAGGAGTAAAACCTTTTAAGTAATAGTGAAAAATGCTTATGGCTTCTTGTGTCACTCTACTCATAAAATCTAGTTTATACTCTCACTTAAACTAGATCAATGTCCTATTGCACAGTGAAGTAAAATGGTTAATTTTGGTTTGAGAAAGTTGGAGTCGGGTTACTGTATGGTAAAATGTGGCTGTGGTAACTGGGATGTTGGAAAAATAAATAGGTATTAGGGACTGCGGCTAACTCGGCATAGAATTCCAAGGGAATGTGACATAGACTTCATTCCTTCTTTATCTTGCTTTTCCTGCTCTTGTCTTCCACACAACTTTATCTTACCAGGACCTTAATACAAATAAAAGAAGCCCAATGCTGAAACTCCATGGAGATAAAGTAAAATAGAAGATAACCAATTAACGCATGACAACCGAATCCCCTAATCTGGGACCACCTAGCTGTGAACAAAAGAAAAAAGATTTATGTACCAGATATGAAACAGCAGAAAATGCCCTTCAGGGAAGGTACAAACACAAAAATTACCTCTAAGTGAAACTTTTAGCTTATGGTAATAGCAGAAGTATATTACAATCCTATGTACAACTGATGATCCAAGGGCAATGTGCCAAAGTGTAGTCAAAATTAATTTGTTATGAAGGAAAATGCAAATTAATCAGAATGATTTAAAAGGAAATCTGGACCCGGCCTGGTAGCTCACGGTGTAATCTCAGCACTTTCAGAGATTGAGCTGGGAGGATCACTTGAGCTCAGGATTTCAAGGCTGTAATGAGCTATGATCTTGCCACTTCATGCCAGCTTGGGTGACAGAGCTAGACCCTGTCTCTTAAAAAGCAAATAAATAATTAAGTACAAGGAAATTCAGTGAATTTATTTAAAAATAGTTATAGGGCTGGGCGCAGTGGCTCACACCTGTAATCCCAGCACTTTGGGAGGCCGAGGTGGGCGGATCACCTAAGGTCAGGAGTTTGACAGCAGCCCGGCCAACATGGCGAAACCCTGTCTCTATTAAAAATACAAAAAACTAGCCGGGCATGGTGGCAGGCGCCTGTAATCCCAGCTACTTGGGAGGCTGAGACAGGAGAATTGCTTGAATCCAGGAGGCAGAGGTTGCAGTGAGCCAAGATCACGCCACTGCACTCCAGTATGGGTGCAATAGAGCAAGACTCCGTCTCAAAATAAATAAATAAATAAATAAATAAACAAATAGCTATAAATTGGCCGGGTGCAGTGGCTCATGCCTGTAATCCCAGAACTTTGGGAGGCCAAAGTGGGCAGATCATGAGGTCGGGAGATCGAAACCATCCTGGCAAACATGGTAAAACACCGCCTCCACTAAAAATATAAAAATTAGCCAGGTGTGGTGATGCATGCCCACCATCCCAGCTACTTGGGAAGCTGAGGCACGAGAATTGCTTGAACCCAGGAGGTGGAAGTTGCAGTGAGCTGAGATCGTGCCACTGCACTCCCGCCTGGTGATAGAGTGAGACTCTGTCTCAAAAAAAGTTATAAATTGTGAAAAACACTGTTGAAAGAAATTAAAGGTACAAAGGAAAAGGAAGTGTTCCCCTGTATACTTGTTCCTCCCTTCTTTCAACCTTAGTTTCATATATCAGAGGTGCATAGTCTTGATAGTTTTGTGGGTATGCTTCTAGGTATAGTCTATATAAATGCAAGTATCTCTATAGTTACATATGTGTAGTATATACACGTGTCCACCCCTTTCATTTTTCTCTTTTTTTGAGCCGGAGTCTCACTCTGTCACCCAGGCTGGAGTGCAGTGGTACAAGCTCAGCTCACTGTAACTTCCACCTCCTGGGCTTAAGTGATCCTCCCACCTCAGCCTCCCAAGTACCTGGGAACACAGATGCTCTCCACCATGCCTGGCTAATTTTTTATAGTTTTTCTAGAGACAGGGGGGTCTCACATTTTTGCTCAGGCTGGTCTCAAACTCCTGAGTTAAAGTGATCTGCCAGCCTTGGCCTCCCAAAATGCTGGGGTTACAGGTGTGAGCCACTGCACCCAACCATACCCATTCATTTTGAATGGCAGAATTATTTTTAAAGTTTATTTTTATTGTAAATTGACAAACAATAGTTGTGTATATTTATGGGGTACAAAACAACATTGCATTTTCATGAATACAATGTGGAAAGTTTAATTTACATATTTATCACCTCAAATAACTTTTGTGGTGAGAACACTTGAAATTTATTCTCTCAGCAAGTTTGCAGTGCACAATACAATACACTATTATTAGCTGTATTTACCATGCTGTGCAAGTGGCATTAATTTTTTTTATTTGTTTGTTTTTTGGAGATGGAGTGTCACTCTGTCACCCAGGCTGGAGTGCAATGGTACCATGTTAGCTCACTGCAACATTTGTCTCCTGGGTTCAAGCAATTCTCCTGCCTCATCCTGGCGAATAGCTGGGATTACAGGTGCCCACTACCACGCCTGGCTATTTTTATATTTTTTAGTAGACACGGGGTTTCACCATGTTGGCCAGGCTGGTCTCGAACTCCTGACCTCAGGTGATCCACCTGCCTCAGCCTCCCGAAGTGCTGGGATTACAGGTGTGAGCCACCATGCCTAGCCTTGCGGCATTAGTTTTTGAAGTGTATTTTACATATTGTGAAATACTCAGATCACAAGTATATTATTCAATGAGTTTTGATGACTGGCTCCCCTAGTCTCATTGAGATATGATTTGTATACTATACAATTCACTCTTTTTTTTTTTTGAGACGGAGTCTTGCTCTGTCACCAGGCTGGAGTGCGGTGGCTCAATCTCGGCTCACTGCAACCTCCGCCTCCCAGATTCAAGCGATTCTGCCTTCCTGCCACAGCCTCAGGGAGAATTGCTTGAACCTGGGAGGCGGAGGTTGCAGTGAGCCGAGGTCATGCCACTGGACTCCAGCCTGGGCGACAGAGCGAGACTTTGTCTCAAAAAAAAAATAAACAAACAAACAAACATAGTGAGACTTTATCTCAATAAATAAATAAATAAATAAAATAAAATGTACAATTCCATGGCTTTTAGTTCATTCACCAATGTGCATCTATCATGACAATAAATTTTAGAACATTTTCTAAATGTTCTATGGTAATACCATAAGAAGTAACCCTGTTCTCCTTAGCTGTCATTTCCCAATCCCTCCATTCACCCCAGCCCTTGGCAACCACTAGTGTACTTCCTGTCTCTGGATTTGCCTATTCCAGACATTTCAAACAGTGGCATCATATAGTACATGATACTTTGTGACGGACTTCTTTCACTTAGCATAATCTTTTCCAAGTTTATCCCTGTTGCAGCATATATCACTACTTTTCTTGAGTAATGTTTCAATGTATGTATATAGCTCATTTTATTTCTATATCCTCCAGTTGTTTGCCATTTGTCACCACCCCTCCTCACTTTTTTACTACTATGAAGAATCATGCTATAGTCATTTATGTAGAAGTTTTTGTGTGGACGTGTTTTCACTCTTCTTGGGTACATACCAAGCAATGGAACTACTGGTTCCAATGTGAACTCTATGCTTCACTTTAAAAGGAACTGCCAGAGCTTTCCAAAGCAGCTTCATCCTTTTACATTCCCAGTACCAATGGATGAAAGGTCCAGTTTCTCTCTTTTTGTGAGGTCTCTCTCTCACACACACAAGGAGCTGCACTTCTCTCTCCTTCCTTCTGTCTATTAAACTTTCCACTCCTTAACCCACGCACATGTGTCTGCGTCCTGAATTCTTTCTAAGCTCATCCAGGATCAGGATCAGAACAGAAGGTGGTTACACTCCTCAGAGTGTAACTCAGAGAGGAGCAAGAGAGGTTGGAATAAAGCCAAGCAGGAGGAGAGCAAATGATCCAGTTTCCGCCAGTCACAAGCATGAGAGGCCCTCAAGTGAATACACATGGAGGAAGAAAGATGCACATGGAGAAAGGCTGAGATTCCAGGGGTTGGCATATTGGGATTAAATACAAGTCCTTGGCCAGAAAGTGGTACAAGAAATGCTACCCCAAAGTATGGCAGCTTGGCAATTGAGAAAACAGCAAAAGCAGAAAGGTCTCTGACCTTCCCCTTCTCTTCTCCCCTGAAGACCTTCCTGTGACAGGTGGTGTGCCCCACACTTGGAGGGAAGGAATATCACACAGGGACACCAAGAAGAATCTGAACAAACAGGACTTGCTAAGTTCCCCCATTTATTACCATTAGATTATGCCCTGTTTTCTTCCAGTTGTAATTCTTCTGCATAATTATCCATTTTTCATCAAACTTAAGCATAAATATACACAGTTTTCCCCGAAAAAAAAAAAAAAGAAAGGTCCAGTTTCTCTACATCCTGGTCAATGCTTGTTAATGTCCATCTTAAAAATTTTATCCCTCCTAGTTGGTGGTAAACCGGTATCTTGATGGCTAATGATATTTATCTTCTTTTCATGTGCCTCTTGGCCATTTGTATGTTTTCTTTGGAGAACTGTCTATTCATATTTAAATTAAGCCATTTGACTGTTTATTATTGAATTATAATAGTACTTTACGTGTACTACACACAATTCCTTTATCAAATGTATGGTTTGCAAATATTTTATTCTGTTAGTTATGGTCTCATAATTTTGGTTGTGTTCAGTTTATCTTTTTCTTTGGGTACTTATGCTTTTCGTGTTAAAAACCGTTAGCCAGGCATGGTGGCTCTTGCTTGTATTCTCAGCACTTTGGGAAGCCGAGGTGGGAGGACTGCTTGAACCCAGGTTTCTTATTTTTAGTTTTTTAACAGACAGGGTCTGGCTCTGTCACCCAGGCCAGAGTGCAGTGGCATATCCTCATCTCACTGCAACCTCTGCCTCTTGAGTTCAAGTAATTCTCATGCCTCAGCCTCAGGAGTAGCGGGTATTGCAGGCGCACACTACCACACCTGGCTAATATTTTTGTATTTTAAATAGAGAGAGGGTTTCTCCATGTGGGCCTGGGTGGTCTCGAACTTTTGACCTCAGGGGATCTGCCTGCCTTGGCCTCCCAAAGTGCTGGGATTACAGGTGTGAGCCACTGCACCCGGCCAGGTTCATGTACTTGAGTGAACGGTGATTTTAAAAAAATATCGAACTTTGGGAGGCCAAGGTGGGTGGATTGCCTGAGCTCAGGAGTTAGAGACCAGCCTGGGCAACACGGTGAAACCCCATCTCTACTAAAAATACAAAATTTAGCCAGGCGTGGTGGTGTGTGCCTATAATCCCAGCTACTCGGGAGGCTGAGACAGGAAAATTGCTTGAACCCGGGAGGCGGAGGTTGCAGTCAGCCGAGATCAGGCCATTGCACTCCAGCCTTGGTGACAGATTGGGACTCCGTCTCAAGAAAAAAAAAAAAAAGATAATTGGGCCAGGTGCTGTGGTTCATGCCTGTAATCCTAGCACTTTGGAAAGGCCGAGTAGGGTGGATTGCTTGAGCCCAGGAATTCAAGACCAGCCTGGGCAACATGGTTAAACCCCTTCTTTACTAAAAATACAAAAATTTGCCAGGTGTAGTGGCACGCACCTATAATCCCAGCTACTCAGGAGGCACAAGAATCACTTGAACCCAGGAGGCAAAGGTTACAGAGAGCTGAGATCCTGAGACTGCACTCCAGCCTGGGCAACAGAGCAAGACACCATCTCAAAAAAAAAAAAGGCTGGACTCTGTGACTCACACTTGTAATCCCAGCACCTTAGGAGACTGAGGCAGGCAGATCACCTGAGCTCAGGAGTTTGAGACTAGCCTAGGCAACATGCTGAAACCCCGTATCTACTAAAAATACAAAAATTAACTGAGCATGGTGGCGTGTGCCTGTAGTTCCAGCTACTCTGGAGGCTGAGGCAGGAGAATAGCTTGAACCCCAGAGGCGGAGGTTACAGTGAGCCAAGATTGCACCACTGCACTCCAGCCTGGGTGACAGAGCGAGACTCCATCTCAAAAAAATAAATAAAATAAAATAAAAAGGAATCTGGCTAATTACATACTAGTTTCCCCTGAGTAGATGATTTGGGGTGTTTCTTCTGGTTTTTCTTCTCTACATCTGTTGCATTTTCAATTTTTTTCTGTAGTGAGGCTTTAATAAAATCAAAGAAATTTCAAATTATAATGAAGAACACAAAGGCTAACCTTAGGATTAAAGAACTGAGTGATCAGGCTGGGTGCGGTGGCTCACACCTGTAATCCCAGTACTTTGGGAGGCTGAGCGGGGTGGATCATGAGGTCAGGAGTTTGAGACCAGTCTGGCCATCATGGTGAAACCCTCTCTCTATTAAAAATACAAAAATGAGCCAGGTGTGGTGGCGTGCACCTGTAATCCCAGCTACTCGGGAGGATGAGGCAGGAGACTTGCTTGAACCAGGGAGGCAGAGGTTGCAGCGAGCAGAGATCAGGCCACTGCACTCCAGCCTGGGCAACAGAGACTCCATCTCAAAAAAAAAAAGAACTGAGTGATCAACATTGTTAACATTGTGAAATCCATTCCCTATCTATAAAAGTTCTATTTAAAGTTGAGCCTTGGCCGGGCGTGGTGGCTCATGCCTGTAATCTCGCACTTTGGGAGGCCAAGGCGGGTAGATCACGAGGTCAAGAGATCGAGACCATCCTGGCCAATATGGTGAAACCCCGTCTCTACTAAAAATACAAAAATTAGCCGGGTGTGGTGGCACGCACCTGTAGTCCCAGCTACTCAGGAGGCTGAGGCAGAAGAATTGCTTGAATCCGAGAGGTGGAGATTGCAGTGAGCTGAGATTGTGCCACTGCACTCCAGCCTGCCAATGGAGCAAGACTCTGTCTCAAAAAAAAGATAAATAAATAAATAAAGTTGAGCCTTGAGGGAGAAAAAGAGTCTTGGGAACAGGAGTATAGGCTCTAAGCTGCGATAGTTACATGTTTGTCTCTTTTTTATTTGGATATCATTTGATATTTACAAAATGATTGCAAAAATAATACAAAGAATTCTCTTATACCCTTTGCCCAACATCCCCAAATGTTATCTTTCATAACCTTAGTATCATAATCAAAACCAGGATGTTAACAGTAACACAGTGTTATTAACTATGTTGAAGATGTAACTCAAATTTGGCCAATTTTCCCACTAATGTCCTTTTTTGGGTGCCAGATTCAATGTAGGATACCTCACTGCATTTCTGTTCCTTTCTCTATCCCTCCCTCCCTCCCTTCTTTCCTTCCTTCCTTCCCTCCCTCCTTCTTTCAACAGGGCCTTGTTCTGTTGCCCAGACTGGATGCAGTGCAGTGGCATGATCTTGGCTCACTGCAGTCTGTACCTCCCAGGTTCTAACAATTCTCCTGCCTCAGCCTCCTGAGTACCTGGGATTACGGTGACTGCCACCAGGCCCAGCTAATTTTTGTATTTTTTTTTTTTTTTTAGTAGAGACAGTTTTGCCATGTTGGCCAGGCTGGTCTTGAACTCCTAACCTCAGGTGATCTGCCTGCCTCGCCTCCCAAAGTGCTGGGATTATAGGCGTGAGCCACCGTGCCTGGCCCCTCATTGCCTTTAGTTGTCATTTCTCCTTGATCTCCACAGAGTTCTACACGGTTCCTCAGTGTTGAACGGTTCCACAGTTCTCTCTCAACATAGTTTCTCAGTGCTTGCCTTTCATGACATTGGCAGTTTTAAAGAATCCTGGTCCATTATTTTGTAGAATGTCCCTGAAATTAGTTTTTAAGAAAATTTTTGTAGAGACAGGGCCTCACTGTGTTGCCCAGATTGGTCTCAAACTCTGCCTCAAGGGACCCTCCCACCCTAGCCTCCCAGGGTGCTAGGATTATAGGCGTGAGCACCTGGCTACTGAAATTGGGCTTGTTTGGTGCTTCCTCATAATTAAATTTAGGGTATGTGTTTTTGGCAATAATCCACAGGAGTTAGGTGCCCTGCTCTGTGTATGATGTCAGAAAAATCACATTATCTGGGATAACTTTGATCTCTTGGCTTAAGGGTTTTATAGAGATCCTTGGCCAGGTTTCACCTCTGTAAAATTGCTGTTTCCCTTTGTAATTAACAAATATTAATATATTGTGGGGAGATACTTGGAGACTATGTAAGTCTTTTAATTGTATTTAGCATCTACTTTGCCTCCAACACTTATTAATGTAGTGTTTACCAAATGGTCATTTTCTGTTTCTACCATTCCTTTTACATCTACTAATGGAAATTCTACTGTAAAAAAAAAAAGTGCTGTCATTTTTCTCCCATTTCTTTATTCATTCAATTATTTGTTATATTAGTATGAATGTACAGCTATTTATTTTATTCTGTGGGCTATAAACTATTACTGACAGATATATGAAAGGTTAAAGAAGAGTGTTTTTGACTCGACATCTCAGGTTCTAAGGTATAAAAATAGAACTGTTGGATAGAGGGGAGGAGGAAACAGCCTACCACATACATAAGTAGCTCAAAGCGACTTTTCCTTGGCATATATAAAGAAGATTATTTCATTTTCTGGTGTTGTTTTCTAATACCAGCTACACTGCTGTGTGATGTGTTGCCTGCTGCCACCCTAAATCCTTTTCTAGCACTTTTTCCTTTGAATTTCAGCCTTGGATTATTACCCCCCAGACATTTCCGTATTTTTCACCTGACTTGTGTACATGTTCCCTGCCTCCCCCATTTGTGAAATATTTTCATGAAGCAATATAATATAATAGTTTTAACACACGTATTTTGTGGGGTTTTTTTTTTTTTTGAGAAGGAGTCTTGCTCTATTGCCCAGGCTGGAGTGCAGTGGTGCGATCTTGGGTTACCGCAACCTCCGCCTCCCAGGTTCAAGTGATTCTCCTGCCTCAGCCTTCCGAGTAGCTGGGATTACAGGCATTCACCACCACACCAGGCTAATTTTATATTTTTAGTAGAGACAGGATTTCTCCATGTTGGTCAGGCTGGTCTTGAACTCCCGACCTCAGGTTATCCGCCTGCCTCGGCATCCCAAAGTGCTGGGATTACAGGCGTGAGCCACCATGCCCAGCTTAGTTCTTGTATTTTTAGTAGAGACAGGGTTTCGCCATTTTGGCCAGGCTAGCCTCGAGCTCCTGACCTCAGATGATCCGCCCGTGTTGGCCTCCCAAAGTGCTGGGATTACAGGCATGAGCCACTGTGCCCGGCCTTATTTTCTTTTTCTTACTGTATGTTCTCTTACAACGTCAGTTAAATTTTCTTCCCTTTTAGTAGACTGTAGTTATTGATCTCGTTTATTATTGGCCCAACACTTGGATTTTACTTATTTTCAATTAATTGTTAAATTTAGAAGTTCTCAGTTTTTATTTGAATTTCTACTAGCCAAGTGTGTCCACTCCTGGCAAGGGTCCTTTGTTGACTATATTTTATCCAGTATCTAGTCCCCATGATTGCACTGTCTCAAGCAGATTTGTTTGAAACAGTTTTGCAAAGAAAATACCAAGAAGCCTTGCAGAAATGGCTTTTTTATTAAGGTCCACATGTAGAATGCCTGCCGAGGCTTCACACACAGGAGACTTGTGTTCTCAAAAGTCCCATTAGTTTTTGCTGCTGCCATCTCATTTGTTAGCAGGCATCAAAGTCGCTTAAAAGCAGGTCACAAAAGGCTACTTGTAAACGTTCCACAGAGGCATAGATTAGAGATATTTGAGGGTCAGGTTGTGACTTTAACAGAAAAACTTCAGTGTTCACAGATCAGGAGATCACATGGTTTTCTGGTGTGATTTTTATTTATTTTCATAAAATGCCTTACACTGAGCTGTGTTGGTCTTTACAACCTTCCTTGATTGTATGATTGTAAAATTCACTGTTGTTTTTAGTTGTGTAACACCAATCTTTTTGGACCTATGGAATTCATAATATTGAAGTAATGCAGTCCCAGATTTGAATTTACCTGTTTATAACTGTTGAAGAAATACTTAAATGGGTCCAAGTGTAGTGGCTCACACCTGTAATCCCAGCACTTTGGGAGGCTGAGACAGGTGGATCGCTTGAGCCCAGGAGTTTGTGACCAGCCTCGGAAACATGAGGAGACCCCGTGCCTACAAAATACAAAAGAGCCCGGCTTGGTGTCTACATGCCTGCAGTCCCATCTACTCAGAAGACTGAGGTGGGAGGATCACTGCGTCCAGGAGGCCCAGAGTGAAGTGAAACGAGATGGCGCCACTGCATTCCAGCCTGGGCAACAGAGTGAGAGTGAGATGGCCGGGCACGGTGGCTCACGCCTGTAATCCCAGCACTTTGGGAGGCCGAGGTGGGTGGATCACCTAAGGTCAGGAGTTTGAGACCAGCCTGACCAACAAGGTGAAACCCTGTCTCTACTAAAAATGCAAAAATTAGCCAGCCGTGGTGGCAGACACCTGTAGTCCCAGCTACTCAGGAGGCTGAGACAGGAGAATTGCTTGAAGGCATTCACCACCACACCTGGCTAATTTTATATTTTTAGTAGAGACGGGGTTTCTCCAAGCTGATCAGGTAAACCTCCCGGGAGGCAGAGGTTGCAGTGAGCTGAGATTGTACCACTGCACTCCAGCCTAGGCAACAGAGCGGGACTCCATCTCAAAAAAAAAAAAAAAAAAAAGAAAAAGAGAGTGAGACCCTATCTCAAACAAAACAAAACAAAACAAGCAAAACTGAAAATGGGAGGAAAAATGCTGTGTCCTTTTCTGTATGGTTGTAATTACTTCTAATATCTTTTTAAAATGCTTTCTTTTTTACTTTCTCTCTGTCTCTGTCTCTCTTTTTTCTTTCTTTCTTTCTTTCTTTTTTTGTTTTTGTTTTTGTTTTATTTTGACACAGAATCTTATTCTGTTGCCCAGGCTGGAGTACAGTGGCATGAGCAGCTGGGACCTAGATACTATTTGTTTGTTCGTTTATGTAGATACAGAGTCTCCCTGTTTCCCAGGCTGGTCTCCAACTCCTGGCCTCAAGGGATCCTCCTGCCTCAGCCTCCCAAAGTGCTGGATAACAGGTGTGAGCCACTGCACTGGGCCTAGACATTTATTATTAAGTGTCTTTTTCTTTTTTTTTTAATTTGTTTTATTATTTTATTATTATTATTTTGCTTTTGAGATGGAGTCTTGCTCTGTCACCAGGCTGGAGTGCAGTGGTGACAATTTCGGCTCACTGCAACCTCTGTCTCCTGGGTTCAAGCAATTCTCCTGCCTCAGTGTCTCGAGTAGCTGGGATTACAGGCACATGCCACCACGCCCAGCTAATTTTTTATATTTTTGGTAGAGACGGTGTTTCACCATGTTTGTCAGGCTGGTCTCAAACTCCCGAACTCAAGTGATCTGCCTGCCTCAGCCTCCCAAAGTGCTGGGATTACAGATGTGAGCCACTGTGCCTGGCCCCTTATTATTTTATTATTTTTTATTTATTTTGAGATAGTCTCACTCTATTGCCCAGGCTTAAACTTTAGGTTGTGAAATATTCATGTAAGTCTGTCTATAAGACATTTGTGCAGTTAAGAATTATTAGAAAAAGAACACTTGGATGGGTGTATTGGCTCACGACTGTAATCCCAACACTTCGGGAGGCCAAGGCAGGTGGATCACCTGAGGTCAGGCGTTCGAGACCAGCCTGACCAACATGATAAAACCTCATCTGTATTAAAAATACAAAAATTAGGCCAGGCACGGTGGCTCACGCCTGTAATCCCAGCACTTTGGGAGGCCAAGGCGGGCTGATCACGAGGTCAGGAGATCGAGACCATCCTGGCTAACAGGGTGAAACCCCGTCTCTACTAAAAATACAAAAAAATTAACCATGCATGGCAGTGGGCACCTGTAGTCCCAGCTACTCTGGAGGCTGAGGCAGGAGAATGGCATGAACCCAGGAGGCATAGCTTGTAGTGAGCCGAGATTGCACCATTGCATTCCAGCCTGGGTGACACAGCGAGATGCCATCTCAAAAAAAAAAAAAAAACAAAACCAACAAAAATTAGTCTGGGCGCAGTGGCTTATGCCTATAATCCCAGCACTTTGGGATACCAAGGTGGGCGGATCACCTGAGGTCAGGAATTCAATACCAGCCTGGCCAGCGTGGTGAAATCCCATCTCTACTAAAAAAAACAATACAAAAATTAGCCGGGCGTGGTGGTAGGTGCCTGTAATCCTAGCTACTTGGGAGGCTGAGACAAGAGAACGAACCCAGGATGCAGAGGTTGCAGTGGCCGAGATCACACCACTGTACTCCAGCCTGGGTGACAGAGCAAGACTCTGTCTCCAAAAAAATTAAATTAAATTAAATTAAACTAAAATACAAAAATTAGTCGGGTGTGGTGCTGGACGCCTGTAATCCCAGCTACTCAGGAGACTGAGGTAGGAGAATTGCTTGAACCCAGGAGGCAGAGGCTGTAGTGAGCCAAGATTGCACCACTGCACTCCAGCCTGGGGGACAAAGCAAGACTCTGTCTCCAACAACAATAACAAAAAATAAAATAAAATAAGAATACAAACATTAGCTGGACACCTGTAATCCCAGCTACTCAGGAGGCTGAGATGGAGAATCACTTGAACCCATGAGGCAGAGGTTGCAGTGAGCCAAGAAAGCGCTACTGCACTCTGGCTTGGGTGATAGAGCAAGACGTCTCAAAAAAAAGTAAAAAGAACACTCAATCACCGTGCAGTTAAGAAATAAAGCATTGCCAGCCGGGTGTGGTGGCACATGCCTGTAGTCCCAGCTACTCTGGAGCCTGAGGTGGGAGGATTGCTTGAGCCCAGGAGGTTGAGGTTGCATTGAGCTGTGATCAGTGGTCAGGCCGCTGCAATCCACCCAGGTTCACAGAGTGAGACCCTGTGTTAAAACAAACAAAAAACAAAACATACACACAGAAGAAATAGAACATTGCCAATATTGTTGAATCCTCTATGTATGTCTCCGTCCCATATTGTCTTCCTCCTAATCCATAAGAAACTTCTTTTTTTTTTTTTTTTGAGACAGAGTCTCACTCTGTCACTCAGGTTGGAGTGCAGTGGTGTGATCTTTGCTCACTGCATCCTCTGCCTCCCGGGTTCAAGCTATTCTCCTGCCTCAGCCTCCCGAGTAGCTGGGACTACAGGCATACACCACCCCATGCCTGGCTAATTTTTGTATTTTTAGTAGAAACAGGGGTTTCACCATGTTGGCCAGGCTGATCTCAAACTCCTGACCTCGTGATCCACCTTCCTTGCCTCCCAAAGTCCTGGGATTACAGGTGTGAGCCACAATGCCTGGCCTCCATTTCATTACTCCTTCTATATAACATTTTACCATTTCTTTTTTTTTTTTTTTTTTGAGATGGAGTCTCGCTCTGTTGCCCAGGCTGGAGTGCCGTGGTGCGATCTTGGCTCACTGCAAGCTCTGCCTCCTGGGTTCATGCCATTCTCCTGCCTCAGCCTCCCGAGTAACTGGGACTACAGGCGCCTGCCACCACGCCCAGCTAATTTTTTGTATTTTTTAGTAGAGACGGGGTTTCACCGTGTTAGCCAGGATGGTCTCGATCTCCTGACCTCGTGATCCGCCCGCCTCGGCCTTCCAAAGTGCTGGGATTACAGTTGTGCCACCACGCCCAGTAACGTTTTACCATTTCTGCATGGATGCTTGATAATGTAGTTCTTAAGTATTATAATTTATTTGGGCTAAATTCCCAGAGGAAAGATTCCTAGGCATGAGCATGCAGTTAGAACAAAAAGTTTTTGCAGAAAATTTGTATTTGATTTTATCTGATTACAAAATTAATCAGGTTTATTATAAAATTATTTAGGGTCATTACAAATGAATTAAACACCATCAAAATATATAATGTAGAAAGTAAAAGTTCCTGGTAATTGCTCCACTGCCAAGTAACATACATTTGGTAATGTTCTTGTGAGTATACAAACATTTATTATCATTATTTTTACTATTATTATTTTTGGGGGGGGGTGGAGTCTTACTCTGTTGCCCAGGCTGGAGTGCAGTGGCAGGATCTCTGCTCACTGCAACCTTCGCCTCCCAGGTTCTCCCGCCTCAGCCTCCCGAGTAGCTGGGACTACAGGTATGTGCCACCACGCCCGGCTAATTTTGTATTTTTAGGGTTTCTCCATGTTGGTCAGGCTGGTCTCAAACTCCCAACCTCAAGTTATCTGCCCACCTCGGCCTCCCAAAGTGCTTGGATTACAGGCATGAGCCACTGTGCCTGGCCAACATATAACTTTTTAAATGACTTTTTTTTTTTGAGATGAAGTTTTGCTCTTGTTGCCCAGGCTGGAGTGCAGTGGCTCAATCTCAGCTCACTGCAACCTCCGCCTCCTGGGTTCAAGTGATTCTCCTGTCTCAGCCTCCCAAGTAGCTGGAATTACAGGCGCCCACCAGCATGCCCAGCTAATTTTTTGTATTTTTAGTAGAGACAGGGTTTCGCCATGTTGGCCAGGCTGGTCTCGAACTCCTGACCTCAGGTGATCGGCCTGCCTCGGCCTCCCGAAGTGTTGGGGTTACAGGCATGAGCCACTGCACCCGGCGGAAATGACAGTTTTTTTTTTTTTAACATGAAACAAATTGAGAGAAGAATGCAATAAAGGCCACTATACTTGTTATCTCAACAAAACAAGTCTTTTTCTCTGTGTGAATGACTGGAAGATGTCATCATTAAGGTTAAATCTCTTAATGATCAGAGTTTTCTACATGATTATGCCAGTATTACAATTCCTTTATATTACCCAAGTTCATCCTTAGATTTCTCCAGTTGTTTCCCAAATAAAACAATTTTGAGCCTGGGGGACAAGCACCAAGATCTGTCCTTGAAGTCCAGGAAAGGATAGCATTGCAATCAAATCAGTAAGTACAATCAATGGATTTGACAGAGAGCTGTGTAGAGATAGTAAAGGGAGAGGTGCTTAGTTTTATCTAACTGAAGCTGGTTAAGAAATGCATAGTTTACTGTCACCTTTGTCCAGTTCTTGAGAGATGAATGGATGATTTGGGTCTATTGGATGGGGGAAGGGTCGAATGACAAGGGCATTCTAGGACTTGAAGCAAGGCTGCTTGAAATAGCACTTAGCAAGGCTCCAGACCTAAGGAAATCATGTAGAGGCTGCGGTTTCTAAAACCCCCCAGGTGATGTTGATGTGTAGCCAGGTGCAGAATGCAGCCTGAAGGAATGAGAGTTTCATATTAGAAGGAGCCCCTTAAAACTACACTAATATTTGAAATTTGGGTAGGGCAACTAAGAAACTGACGTTGTGATTTCATTTCAATTAATTTACATTTGAAAACTGAAGCAATACAAAGTATTTTTCCCTGAAATAGAAGTTCATCATTTTGGTACCACTACATTTTACTTTAGTCATTAAAAATTTAGCATGTAGGCGGGGTGCTGTGGCTTACACCTGGAATCTCAGATTATGGGAGGCCTGAACTGGGGGATCACCTGTGGTCAGGAGTTTGAGATCAGCCTGAGCAACCTGTCCCTACTAAACCCTGTCCCTACTAAAACTACAAAAATTATCTTGTTGTGGTGGCAGGTGCCTGTAATCCAGCTACTTGGGAGGCTGAGGCAGGAGAATCGCTGGAACCTGGTAGACAGGGGTTGCAGTGAGCCGAGAGAGTGCCACTGTACTCCAGCCTGGGCAACAGAGAAAGACCTTGTTTCAAAAAAAAAAAAAAAAAAACAAAAAATTAATTAAATTAAAATTTAGCATCTGGCCAGGCGCGGTGGCTCACACCTGTAATCCCAGCACTTTGGGAGGCCGAGTTGGGTAGATCACATGAGGCCGGAGTTCGAGACCAGCCTAACCAACATGGAGAAACTCCATCTCCATTAAAAAAAAAAAAAAAAAAAAACATACAAAATTAGCCAGGCGTGGTGGTGCATGCATGTAATCCCAGCTACTCAGGAAGCTGAGGCAGGAGAATCGCTTGAACTTGGGAGGTGGAGGTTGCGGTGAGCCGATATCATGCCATTGCACTCCAGCCTGGGCAACAAGAGCAAAACTCCATCCCCCACCAAAAAAAATTTAGCATCTAAATTGAGATGTATTAATTGTAACTTATACTTTGTATTTCATAGATATATTTTTAAAAATTGTAAATATTTTTGAAATGTTGAGATAATATTTTTGATATTACCTTAAATCAAATTATATTATTATTATTATATATATTTTTTTGAGATGGTGTCTCATTCTGTTGCCAGGCTGGAGTGCAGTGGCCTGATCTCAGCTCACTGCAACCTCTGCCTCCCGAGTTCATGCAATTCTCCTGCCTCAGCCTCCCAAGTAGCTGGGACCCACCACCACGCCAGCTAATTTTTTGTATTTTAGTAGAGACTGGGTTTCACCACGTTAGCCAGGATGGTCTTGATCTCCTGACCTTGTGATCCACCCACCTCAGCCTCCCAAAGTGCTGGGATTACAGGTATGAGCCACTGTGCCCGGCCAAAAGTATATTATTAATATTAATTCCATCTGATTCTTTTGGACAGTGCTTACTTAGAACAATATGAAGGATTTGAAGTGCTACATACTTAAAGTTACCCTCAATTCTCTCCTTTTTTTTTTTTTGAGACAAAGTCTTGCTCTGTCGCCCAGGCTGGAGTGCAGTGGTGCAATTGCAGCTCACTGCAACCTCCGCCTCTCAGGTTCAAGCAATTCTCCTGCCTCAGCCTCCCAGGTAGCTACGATTACAAGCGTGTGCCACCATGCCTGGCTAATTTTTGTATTTTTAGTAGAGACGGGGTTTCACCATGTTGATCAGGCTGGTCTTGAACTCCTGACCTCAGGAAGCCACCATCAATTCTGAGACTAATTCTGTAAGGATGTGAGTTGATACAAGATTAGGTTCTGAAAATGTTTGTCAGAACAATCATTAGAGTGTAATCTCCATAAATCTGGTATCTTTTTTATTTTCTTAACCATTCCTAGAGCATGTTTTAGGTACTCTATAAATATTTGTTGAGTGAAGGCACTGAGACAGAAGGAGTATGAGTAAAGGACACGGGCTGGCTGGAAGAGGTGCTAAGTAGATCGACTGCTGAAGTTGGTGGCTGAATTTGGGTCTTGAACATAGGGATATTTTGAGAGGAGTCGTGGGTTATTATTAAATGGGTATTGGGATTAAAGCCGGTATGGGGAAGAGGTTACTCATAACTTTTAGACATGGTTGAGTTTTGCTGTTTCTTTTGACAATGAGTGTTGCTCTGTTGCCCAAGCTGGAGGGCAGTGGCTCACTGCAACCTCCGCCTCCCATGTTCAAGATATTCTCCTGCCTCACCATCCTGAGTAGCTGGAATTATAGGCATCTGCCACCATGACCAGCTCATTTTTGTATTATTAGTAGAGATGGGGTTTCACCATGTTGCCCAGGCTGGTCTTGAACTCCTGACCTCAGGTGATTCATTTGCCTCGGCCTCCCAAAGTGCTGGGATTACAGGCATGAGCCATTGTGCCTAGCCTAGATGTGGCTGACTTTTGTCTGGTGAAGATATCCAGCTGGTGGTTGACTGAGTTTGGAATTCAGGAGAAAGATCTTGTCTTGATAGGGGAGTTATCAGCAAATAAGTGTAGGTTGATGCCAAATGTGTGGACAAGTGGAGAGATTGGACAGAGAGCAAAAGGGAACACCATCATTTATAGGTGGGCATGGGAACCAGCAAAGGTAAGAGAAATAAACAGTGGAGAATTGAAGCGAGAATCCTAAAGAAGTGAGTAATAGTATCGAAAGATATTCTAGTCAGGTGCAGGGGCTCAGCCTTTTATCCCAACACTTTGGGAGGCTGAGCCAGAAGAAAAGATATTCTAGTCAGGTGCAGCAGAGGCTCAGCCTTTTATCCCAACACTTTGGGAGGCTGAGCCAGGAGGATCCCTGGAGCCCAGGAGTTTGCGACCAGAGTGGGCAACATAATGAGACCTTGTCTCTACAAAAAATTTAAAAATTAGCCAGGCATGATGGTGCATGCCTGCATTCCCAGCTACTTTGGAGGCTGAGGCAGGAGGAGGCTCCAACCCAGGAATTTGATGGTGCAGTCAGTTGTGATCCTGCCACTGAACTCTAGCCTGGGCAATAAACTTTGTCTCCAAAAAAAAAATGTGTGTATATATATGTGTGTGTGTGTGTGTATATATATATATATATATATATATATATATATTTTAAAGATGATTCTGGAATTCCATTGAATTTGGCAATGGCGACTACGTTGGGTTGGTGAATCTTGAATAGTTTCAAGGTAGTGGTGGAAACAAAAACTTAAATTGTAGTAGATGGAATAGTGCATGTTAGACAAACAGTGATTGCAGACAATTATTTGGAGGACTTTGGTTGTAAAATAGTGCAGTGTGGCAGGGTAGGAGCTAACTACACTTGGAAGGTTTTGTTTTCTTTCTGTCTTTCTCTCTCTCTCTCTCTCTCGGATCATGAGGTCAGGAGATCGAGACCATCCTGGCTAACATGGTGAAACCCCATCTCTACTAAAAATACAAAAAAATTAGCCAGGCGTGGTGGTGGGCGCCTGTACTCCCAGCTACTTGGGAGGCTGAGGCAGGAGAATGGCGTGAACCTGGGAGGCAGAGCTTGCAGTGAGCCAAGATTGTGCCACTGCACTCCAGCCTGGGCAACAGAGCGAGACTCTGTCTCACACACACACACACACACACACACACACACACAAAAGCCTAAACATTGATTGGTGCCTTGTCAGATCATGAATTAACTAGTTTTCTGATGGCCTTCCATGGAGTTAGGCAAGGTCCTTGAAAATTATCTTTGATCATGGGGGAGCATTCCACATATTGCACTCTAAATATAAACCCAAATTTTAAATCAAAAGTATACCTGAATAAGGGACAGAAAACCAACAGAAGTAAACACGCATGAGACCAAACCCAAAAAGTCTTTTATGGCTTTAACCAGGGTCTCCAAAGAGAGCAGAATGTGTTACCTCATTCATAATCAAAACCTCTCCCAAAGACAGCTTACTACAAGTGGGGTGCAATCATGCCTGCAGGCCCTATCTTCTAGAGTCTTTGCTTCTCTGCTGACCACAAAGGCCAGACAGAAGACTAAAAGAGACAGTAAAATAGGAAAACAAGGCTGGGCACAGTGGCTCACACCTGTAATCCCAGCACTTCGAGAGGCCAAGGCGGGCAGATCACAAGGTCAAGAGATTGAGACCATCCTGGCCAACATGGTGAAACCCCGTCTCTACTAAAAATACAAAAATTAGCTGGGCGTAGTGGCATGTGCCCATAATCCCAGCTATTTGGGAGGCTGAGGCAGGAGAATCGTTTGAACCCAGGAGGGGGAGGTTTCAGTGAGCTGAGATCACGCCACTGCACTCCAGCCTGATGACAGAGAGAGACTCTGTCTCAAAAAAGAAAAAAACAAAAACAAAAACAAAAACAGGAAAACAAATGACAAACGCTGTTAGTGGGGTTAGAGAAGATCACAAATGAGTACTCCAAAGACATGGTAAGTCTCCAAGGGATATATTATAAATTTTTCTGCAAAGTCAAACAGACTGTTTGAGCTTAAGGATTTTCTTGAGGGAGTGAAAGAAGAGCAGTTTAAAAAAATCAAATCTCTTATGACAATCCAGAAGTGGCTAAGTGCGGTGATGCCTGCAATTCTAGCACTTTGGGAGGCCGAGGTGGGTGGATCACCTGAGGTCAGGAGTTCAAGACCAGTTTGGCCAACATGGTGAAACCCCGTCTCTACTAAAAATACAAAAATGAGCCAGGTATGGTGGCGGGCACCTGTAATCCCAACTACTTGGGAGGCGGAGGCAGGAGAATTGCTTGTACTCAGTAGACAGTCTGCAGTGAACCGAGATTGCTACACTGCACTCCAGCCTGGGCAACGGAGCAAGACTCTGTCTAAAAAAAAAAAAAAAAAAAAAAAAAAAAAAAAAAAAATCAAGCCAGAAAAAACAAAGTGGAAAGTGGCCCTTTCATTAAATTTTGTTTAAAACCTGGTTTCAATTATGGATGCAAATGCATTAGTAATTTAGAAATTTCAGAAGATCTCCATTTTGGCCATTGTATTTTGGGGTTATCTCAAGCCATGTGGGCCCATTTAGCTAGACATTTGCAAGACTGAGTCCTGTAGGTATTATACATAACTCCAGCTACTGTTTCCAAGGGGAGTTGCCCCAGAAGGGAAGCCTCAGTTTTGATGAGCAGCTTCTCATAATTTAGGAACTTCTCAAAAGTGATTGAAGCCAGAATAGTGTACCAGGTCAAAATGTGCAGTTTATGAGCATCATTCCTCAAGCTGTCACCCAAGAGTTGTGAATCACGGGCCAACCCTTAGGTGCACCTTCCAGTTGAGCTAAAAGTCCCAGCAGGTGAGAGGAGTGGGGACTTCTTGTGGGGAGGCCCTATGAGACTTGTACACGTTATTGAGAAATGGTATGCATCATTGAAAAGTGTCCCAGCACCTCTGCTAAATCTCTAGTTGCCTAGGGCACCCAAATGGGTCAGACGGAGCAATTGCCTCTTCTATTTGGAGTGAGAGCGTTCACCCTCATGCACCTTTTGGTATAAAACTAACAGGAATTGGTCACAAATGAGAAAACAAGTTCAAATTACACGGACTAGGGAGCAGTTGCAATTTTAAAAGCATGTTACGTGATTTTAGTCCAAAAAAAGAAAAATTAGGTCGGGTGCAGTGGCTCACACCTGTAATCCCAACACTCTGGGAGGCTAAGGCTGCCCGCCTGATCATCTAAGGTCAGGCGTTTGAGACCAGCCTGGCCAACATGGCAAAACCCCGTCTCTACTAAAAATACAAAAATTAGACGGGCATGGTGGCAGATGCCTGTAATCCCAGCTACTCAGGAGGCTGAGGCAGGAGAATCGCCTGAACCTGGGAGACGGAGGTTGCGGTGAGCCGAGATCACACCGCTGCACTCCAGCCTGGGTAACAGAGTGAGACTCCATCTCAAGAAAAAAGTAAAAGTGAAACTAGCAGTGTTAGACTGCCAGTATCATACCCTAGACCTCCTATCATGAGGCAGTGAAAGAAATTTTCTTTTCTTTCTTTTTTCTTTTTTTAAATTTTGAAACCCAAATCTCCTGCCTGTGGCTGGAGATGGAAATATCTTTTCTAGAAAGGGAGGGTTGAAAAGAACAGTTCAGGTAAAGTCTAGGCCTCACCAACCAATAAGGAGTTCTAAATTCAGGAGGACTCACCCCTTACACTCAACAGTGTACGTGGAGCCATAGGAACACAAGAGGTTCTGGTCGGCCAGGCACCAAGTCTGGGAGTGTTGGTTGGTTGGGGGGAGGGAATAGAGTCTCTGAATCCTGCAGTCCTGCTCACCACACCAGAAATGTTGACCTAACGAAATAAGCTAAGGCACAAAATGTAATTTTTTTATTTTTGAGACAGAGTTTTACTCTTGTTGCCCAGGCTGGAGTGCAGTGGCATCTCAGCTCACTGCAACCTCCACCTCCCGGGTTCATGTGATTCTCCCATCTCAGCCTCCTGAGTAGATGGGATTACAGGCCCCCGCCACCACGCCTGGCTAATTTTTGTATTTTTTGTAAAGATGGGGTTTCATCATGTTGGCCAGGCTGGTCTTGAACTCCTGGCCTCAGGTAGTCTGCCTGCCTAGGCCTCCCAAAGTGCTGGGATTACAGGCGTGAGCCAACCGCACCCAGCCTCAAAATATAATTTTAAAGAATTTGCTTCAGGCCAAGGTGAGGACGACTGCTTGGGAGACTCAGACTCAAATAACCTCAAATAGGAACCACATTTGGCATTTGTTACAAGGTTTATAAAGATAAAAGAATAGGAAGTGGGCTGATACAATGTTGTCAGAAATTTGCACTGGTTTACATATGTACTGGTACACAAAAGGCTTGGCCCATGATTCACAGCTCTTGGGTGACTCCTTGCGGAATGATGCTCATGAACTGCACAAGAAAAAACACTGATAGTGATTGAATATACATTCTTGAACTATAGGGTAGGGGTTTTGTTGTCCAGCATGTGGAATTTTAGGTTCATTTCTAGCCACTTGTCGCATCAGTCAGCCCAGATTCCACAGAGCAAGCAGCTTCACAAAGTGATTACATAGCTCAAGGGGGGAAGTGAGACATAACTGATGCCTAATTTCTGTGCCTGTGTGGGCCTAATAATTTAAAAGTAGTTCACATTCCTCAGATTTAAAAATTTCTCTGTGGTACAGTGGCTTATGCCTGTAATTCCAGAACTTTGTGAGGCCAAGGCGGGTGGATCACCTGAGGTCAGGAGTTTGAGACCAGCCTGGCCAACATGGTGAAACCCCATCTCTACTAAAAATACAAAAAAATTAGCTGGGCATGGTGGCAGCTGTCTGTAATCCCAGCTACTCAGGAGGCTGAGGCAGGAGAACTGCTTGAAACTGGGAGGCAGAGGTTGCATTGAGCCAAGATTGAACCATTGCACTCCAGCCGGGGCAATAAAAGCGAAACTCTGTCTCAAAAAAATAAAGTATTCTATTCTTTCTCATTGTTAACTGATTTTGTGTCCCCAGTACGGAAGTGCGGGTGTAGGGGGAGAACACTGTCCTGGAATGCCCACTTGGGCATAAATACTCCAACTATGAGCTGCCAGGCTCAGTGGAGGAGGCAGATGAACAACACGGCTCAGCATGGGCAGAGACTCATTCAGGAAATAGCTATTTGGGGGCTGGTTTCTGCTTGCAAATTCTGCTATGCATGGGCATAACCTGGATGCTTGGGCAGCCTTCTCTCCACACACACCAGTACAATGAAGCACGCCTCGGTTTCTGTTGGTTTATGCTCTGAGAGGAAAACTCTTCTTGAGGTTTGCCTTCAGCGGAAGAGGAAGATGAGGTTGCCTAGAACCTCAGGAACTGAGATTGCAGATTGGGTTAAGAGTGAGCTCTTTTATTAAGGATGGCATGCGTGGAAAAGTCATGGAGCCATTTCAGAAGGATACAGAAATGTGTCCCTCATGGTTATTTGGGGAAGTGAGACCACAGTAGGGAAGATTTTCATTTGTTTGCCTTTTTAAAAATAGTTATTTTATTTTACCATATAATGCACTATTCACTGGGCACGGTGACTCACCTGTAATCCCAACACTTTGGGAGGCCAAGGCAGGCAGATCATCTGAGGTCAGGAGTTCAAGACCAGCCTGGCCCAACATGGTGAAACCCTGTGCCTACTAAAAATACAAAAATTAACCAGGTGTGGTGGCGCACACCTGAAATCCCAGCTACTCGGGAGGCTGAGGCAGGAGAATCACTTGAACCCGGGAGGTGGAGGTTGTAGTGAGCCAAGGGTTGAGTGTCTCCAGTGAATGATATGAGAGGAGTCAAGGACACATGGATGCCTGTGAATCACCCAGCATGGGTCAGGCAGGCCCTGGGCTGGAGGGAGACTCCAAGTGTCTTCAAGAATCAAGGCTCTGTTCTCCTGCACACAGGCTGTCACATTGTAAATTGTCCTGTGATCTCATGTCTCTCCCAGGGTCAGTGAGGACTGGAGACACAGAGGGAATAAGTTCTGAGGGCATATCCCTCCCCCATTCAGATGTCACCATATAATTCTGCCCACTCGCACACACGCATACGTAGGTAATGATGTGGCCATTTAACCAGACCCAAGTTCAGCTGCTCACCACTTGAAAGCCAGAACACAAGAGGTGAGGGTTGACAGGAGGAAAAGCAGGTTTAATTAGAGAGCCAGACAACCAAGAAGATGGTGAGCTAGTGTTATAAAGTACCGTCTTACATTTTAAAATTCACTATAGGAGTTTTAAAGGGAAGCTTGGTGTGAGAGGCATGTGGGCGTGGTGCAGGGTGCAGTGTGCAGGTCTGTGGATCTTCTTCCGGTGGCTCTCTTGGGGATTTGCCCTTCTGGAGGTCTGGTTGGTGATTACCTGACTTTGGGCTGATGGTGGTGAACTAATTGTGCCCGACACCCCCCTAAGTGGGAAAATTCCACAGGGGCTCCCTGCCTGGTTTGTTTCAAGATTAGTCTCTGATTTTTATTTATTTATTTATTTATTTTTTTAGACAGGGTCTCATTCTGTCACCCAGGTTGGAGTGCAGTGGTGCAGTCATAGCTCGCTGAAGCCTCGACCTCCTGGGCTGAAGCAATCCTCCCGCCTCAGCCTCCTGAGTAGCTGGGACCACAAGCATGTGCCACCATGCCTGGCTAATTTTTAAATTTTTTTGTAGAGATGAGGTCTCCCTATGTTGCCCAGGCTGGTCTTGAACTCCTGGGCTCATGCAGTTCTCCTGCTTTGGCCTCCCAAAGTGCTGGGCTCATAGGTGTGAGCCACTGCACCCAGCCTGGAATGTTTTAAGCGCATAATTGGATAAGCAGGCATTGCCAGAGGGGAGTATCTAGAGAGGTTAGGAGTAAAGTGGTCAGAAGGGAGGGAAGGAAGAAAAATAGAGGGTGATTTAAATAACCGAGGCCCCTGGTTGCAAACTCCCCACTGTCAAGTTTCATTCTGTCTCTATGGAAAACGGGCAAGTGGTTCATTCTGGCTACTTCCTATTGAAAAGGGGCATAGTCAGGGGGCCGCGGAATGAACCTATCCACCCGGGGTTGAAAGTGCTCAAGAGTCCCTGGACTTAGAGAAGAGATCCGCTGGAGCATCATGGGGAGTGTGTAACAGCAATACAGTCCACAGCAGAAGAATAATCCTATCCCTGTAATCATGAGCAACTTTTTCCATCAGAAGGGGCTGGATACGAATCATGAGGCGAGCCATTGATTTAAAGACACTGTGGGATCAGACATAGCATTAGTTTGCTTGTGCATGTCTTGTAGGGCTGAGGATGTTTCCAGAATTATCCTGGAAGTACACAGCATTCAATCTTTTTTTTTTGAGACAGAGACTCATTCTGTGGCCCAGGCTGGAGTGTAGTAGTGTGATCTCAGCTCACTGCAACCTCTGCCTCCTGGGTTCAAGCAACTCTCGTGCCTCAGCCTCCTGAGTAGCTGGGATTACAGGTGTGCACCACCATGCCTGGCTAAGGTTTTTAAAATTTTTAGTAGAGATGGGGTTTCACCATGTTGGCCAGGCTGGTCTCGAACTCCTGGCCTCATGTGAGCCACCTGCCTCAGCCTCCCAAAGTGCTGGGATTACATGTGTGAACCACCGTGCCCAGCCAGCATTCAATCTTAACTATTAAATTGATTAATAATTAAGTTCTGCACTATCAGTTGTACCCGCAGCTTCTATGGTGATCTGATAGCAGAATGGTTAAACATATTTAACAGGTTACAGGAGGAGCTGTGAATATTCATGAAGGTGGCCCTGACACATGTGTATTGAACAAATAAATATGCATGTAATATATGACCCATGTTCATTTTGGGATGGAGACTTAACATTTAAATGTACAGTTAGACCCTATCTGTCAAAAGGTCTTTTCAGGATACAAAGGCATGCAGATGTGTAATTTCTTTTTTCTTTTCTTTTCTTTTTTTTTTTAGTTGGAGCCTCGCTCTGTTGCCCAGGCTGGAGTGCAATGGCAAGATCGTGGCTCACTGCAACCTCCACCCGCCGGGTTCATGCGATTGTCATGACTCAGCCTCCCAAGTAGCTGGGATTACAGGTGCATGCCACCACACCCAGCTAATTTTTTTGCATTTTTAGTAGAGACAGGATTTTGCCATGTTGGCCAGGCTGATCTCGAACCCCTTACCTCAGGTGATCTGCCTGCCTTGGCCTCCCAAAGTGCTGGGATTACTGGCATGAGTCACCAAACCTGGCCCATAAATGGTTTTAATATTACTTATCTTGAGGCCAGTACTTCTTTGGCTTCTAGAGGAAAAAAAAAAATCCTGTGGCAGTTAGAATCTAGTTAACTTTTTAAGTGTAGAAGTGTGTGACTTAACCCTTGCCAGGCATGGTGTTGGGTCTTGTTTATAATTTGGTATCTTATTGTTTCAAAGAGTCTGTATTGTCAGTCTTATGATATCAGTTTTAATGTTAATGCTGGTCAGTTTTTCCTAAACTCCAAAGTGGGGAGGGTATGAAGAGGCACGTCCAACCCTCCTTCCCTTCATGGCTTGAACTAGTTTTTCAGGTTTCTTTGGGATCCCCTTGGCCAATTTTAATTACACACAAATTTTTTTACATAAATTTTCTTATCACATCTTACAGAGACCATCTATAGCATGCTAAATAACTTTTAAATAACCTCCAAGTTATATAAAATTATCTTTTTCTTAATAAGAACACAACTTACGGAATTAAATACTAACTAGAATTCTTATTCTTAGAAACTTTAAATTTTAGTGAAAACCTAAGAAGCAAGTAACCCAGAGCTGTCTATCAGATGTTAGTATTTTATAGATGAAACCATTCCACAAGTTTTAGAAACATGTTTCCCCATATTGTAAACTTTTTCATAATTGGAAATGACCCGGATATCCAACTAGCATCTGTTATTTAATTCAAAATAATTTTAATATATTATTTTTATTTTATCTTATATATGTATGTATGTATGTATGTATTTAGAGACAGGGTCTCACTCTGTCACCCAGGCTGGAGTGCAGTGGTGCAATCTCGGCTTATGCATCCTTGACCTCCTGGGCTCAAGCGATCTGCACATCTCATCCTCCTAAGTAACTGGAACTGTAGGCATGTGCCACCATGCCTGGCTAATTTTAATATTACTTTAATTAATTAATGTATTTATTTTTGAGACAGGATCTCACTCTATCACCCAGGCTGGAGAACAGTGGTGCAATCTCGGTTCACTGCGACCTCCTGCCCACGGGCTCAAGCAATCCTCCCACGTCAGCCTCCCGAGTAGCTGGGACCATAAGCATGCACCACCATGCCCGGCTATCTTTTTGTATTTTCAGTAGAGACAGGGTTTTACCACGTTGGCTAGGCTGGTCTTGAAATGTGGTCTGAGAAGCTCTGCTCCAATGGAAGTAGTTTTTGAGAAGCCTGGGTTTGTTTCTCTTGCTTTCGCGTGGGAACATCTATTTCATGCTCTTGAATTCTCTAAGTAATCTACTTCCCCTTCAGTAATGTTCTTTGAGTTTACAGTGACAATAAGTCTTCTCCATGGCCTGTAAGAGATGGTGTGATTTCACTGCTTTTCCATTGCTTTTGAGGACAGAAATATCTGCATATTACTGAGAAATTATATGTTAAACCATTTTTTCATTTCTCTGTTTGCACCATGTCTGAAATGTGTGAGAGTAGTGCTGAATTGGGATGGGTTCATCAATTCCAGAAACACCACAGACAGATGTTGTGTGTTTTCCGCTTTATGATTTCCTATCCAGTGGAGGTTTCAAATGTGATTTTGCAGAAATTCATACTTAGTAATTTTTATTAGAACACAAAGCATCTCCCTAAATATTTGAAAGTCTAATGCTATTTTACTTCAAAATAATATTACAAATGTTTTTAGTGTAAACTGAAATTGGTAATTTAAACTCTGTATGCCCAAATTCTTCAACTGCAATACAGTTCAATGTATCTTCTTCATACATTTCTCAAATATACTCTGTTACTGGGGAGCTTAAAACATTGCTGAGCATATATTAAACTCCCACTTGTTACTTTCTTTTTAAATAACTGTCATTTTATAATTTTCTCCTGTTTGGTATCAAATTTACCAGGACTGTCATATAAATACATTTATATATATACACATATGCATATATATGTATGTGTGTGTATGTATATGTATATATGCATTTACATGTGTATATGTGTATCTGTGTGTGTAATGTGGATTTTTTTCACAAATAATTGGGTAATTGTATTCATTGTGTACAGTGTAATGATTTTATATGTGCATAGATTGTGAAGTGACTAACACAATCAAGTTAATGAGGACACACACGTATCACCTCACATGGTTACCTTTTTTTGTAGTGAGAACACTTAAGGTCTACTGTCTTAGCACATTCAAAGTATACATAACATTATTAACTATAGTCATGAAGCTATACATTAGATCTCCAAAACTTATTTATGTTATTGCTGAAAATTTGTACCCTTTGAATATCTTCCATCTTCTCCACTTCTGAGCCCTGGCAACTGCTTTCATACTCTGCTTCTGTGAGTTCAACCTTTTTATATTCTTCATAGAAGTGAGATCATACTGTATTTGTCTTTCTGTTTTTGGCTATTTCACTTAGCATAATGTCCTCTAGGTCCATCCATCTTGTTGAAATGACAGGATGTCATTTTTTATGGCTGTATAATATTGTACTATGCATATATACCACATTCTCTTCATCCATTCAGCATCCACAAACATTTAGATTGTTTTCACATCTTGGCAATTGTGAATGATGCTGCAATGAACATGATGTTGCTGATATTTCTTTGAGATGCTGATTTTATTTCTTTAGTTATATATGCAGAAGTGGGATTGCTGGGTTGTTTAGTAGTACTATTAAAAAGAATTTTTTAAAATAAAAACTCTTTTATACTGGTTTTCATAATGACCCTACCAAGTTACAACTTACCAAGAGTACAGAATTTCTTTTTCTTCACATTCTTGTCAACACTTGTTATCTCTCTTCTTTTTGATATTAGCCATCCTAACAAGTGGAAAGTGATGTCTCAACATAGTTTTAATTTGCAGGTGCATGATGATTGGTGATGTTGAGCACCTTTGCATACACCTGTTATCCATCTGTATGTCTTTACTGGAAAAATATCTATTCAGTCTTTGGCTTATTTTTCAATCAGATTATTATTACCATTATTATTATTGTTTTTGCCTTTGATTTGTATGATTTCCTTACCTACTTTTGACATCAACCATCTATCAGATATATGGTTTGCAGATTTTCTTATTTTATTGCTTTATGGTTTGCAGATTTTCTTATTTTATTGTTTTCTTGGCTGTGCAGAAGCCTTTTAGTTTGGTGCAGTCCAACTTGTTTATATTTGCTTCTGTTTGCTGTTGTATTCAGAAATTCATTGGCAAGACAAATTTCAAGGTGTTTTTTAAATGTGTTTTCTTTTAAGATTTTTGAGTATTTATGTCTTACGTGTAAGTCTTTATTTTCAGTTAATCATCAGGTGTGATGTAAGATTAATGGTCTAATTTTGTTGTTTTGCTTGTGGGTATTCAGCTTTCCCAGCACCAAGTATGGAAGAGACTATACTTTTTTCATTGTGTATTCTGAGTGCCCCTGTCAAAGATTAGTTGGCCTTATATGCTTGGAGTTGTTTCTGGGTTCTCCAATTTTTTTTGTCCATTTTTGTGCACATACCATATGGTTTTTATTATAATAGTCTTCAAATATAGATAGAAATCAGAAAGTATAATGCTTTCAGCTTTGTTCTTATTCCTCAAGATTGCTTTGGTTATTCAGAGTATTTTGTAGTTCTATATAAATTTTAGGATTGTATTTTCTTTTCTTTTTTCTTTTTTTTCTTTTTCTTTTTTTTTTTTTTTTGAGACAGAGTCTAACTCTGTTGCCCAGGCTGGAGTGCAGTGGTGTGATCTTTGTTCACTGCAACCTCCACCTCCTGGGTTCAAGCAGTTCTCCTGCTTCAGCCTCCTGAGTAGCTGGAGTTACAGGCATGTGCCACCATGCCTGGCTAATTTTTTTGTGTTTTTAGTAGAGACAGGGTTTCACCATATTGGCCAGGCTGGTATCCTCCCAAAGTGCTGAGATTACAGGTGTGAGCCACCATGCCCAGCCAGGATCATATTTTCTATTACTGTGAAAAATGCCATTGGAATTTTGATAGGGATTTCATTGAATCTATACATCACTTTAAGTAATAAGGCATTTTAATAGTATTTATTCTTCCAGTAAATGAACATGGAATATTTTTGCATTTATTTGTGTCTTCTTCAGCTTCTTCCATCAGTATCTAATATGTTTCAGTGTAAAAATCTTTTGCCTTGGGACATGAGGTTTGTACCAAGAAATTTCTCTCTCTGCCTGCCCAGTACCCACTACCCATTGATTCACCTTATCCAAAGCAGTTTACTTTGAACTGGCAAGTTCTATATTCATTAGATCATTGCCTCCTTCCTAACTTTTCCCGTTTACCAAGAGCATTGGGAAACTAATCCTTTTAGTTAGTAGCTTTTTGATGCTCAAAACATCACATTTAAATTTAGTTTAAAAATGCTTTAACTTTTGTGTCAAAAAGGAGGAGTTGAGGAGGATTCATACACAGTCCCATTTTATAGAAAACATCAGTTTGATTCAGGCATTTGTCACATTTCAGGTTTGACTTGTTCTTTTCAGAAGGTTAAAGGCAGAGGAATGGGGGCTGGGCCACTCTCTTGGAGCTCTCAGATCTATAGACAAGCTGTGTGAACACAGATGTAATCTTGCAGCAAATACTAATATACTGGGGATGTGGTTTATGTGACCATCAGGTTCCTCCAAAAAGTTTTTCTTCCTCTCTTCAGAGCCAGAATAAAAGCAAACTATGCTGTTTGGGAAAAGTCACAATTAGATGCTCTCAGTTTGACCCAGCTGGTTTTGCTTATGGTCAAGTTGCAATCTGTTGAGACAATAGGGATCAAGTTTTAAATCCTCCTCTCTCCCTGTTTCTGGAATCTTGATGGCTAGAGTTTTCCTTTTTATCCTGCTTGCTACCCTTTTGTGGTACTGAAAAGTGACTTAAACCCGAGACTGACTTAAACCTGAGACTCACTTAAACCCTTCCTTGACCTTCTTGGTGTCTGTTCACTTTTGTGCCAAGGAAATAGCTGCCCCCATGTCTATGTCTTGCCTTCTCTGACTCATTGTTGGCAGAGCAGAGAGATGCATTGAGCAGTCACAGCTGCTTTTCATTCATCTCTTCTGTCTTCTCCCCAAGACCTGACAGAAGCGGATTACTTCTGAAATTAGCACCTGTGATCGTTGGGGTGTGGATGGAAGTGCATGAGAGAGAGAGAATGCAAGAGTGAGTGTGAGTGCATGCATAGGTGCTAAGGCATTGCGGTTGCCCCATGTTCTGACTTATGGCAATTGGACTCTGAACTTGGGGGTCTGTCTGTGGAGTTACTTATGTCATTGTATCAACTGTGACAGTTTAATCAAATGTGTGAATAAATACATACAGATTGGTCCAAAGAAAATAATTTGCCTTAAAGTTACTCCTAAAAGTTTATGATTTTGTTGCTATTGTAACTGAGTTTTTCTCTTTTTATTTAATAGTTTTCTATTAGTGTATGAAAACACCGCTGATAATTGTATGTTAATTTTATATTCTGCGAATTTACTGAGTGTGCTTATTTTCTGAAACACTATTTTGGTATATTGTTTATGGTTTTCTAATACAAGATCATGTCATCTACAAACAGCAACATTTTTACTTCTTTTCAATGTAGATGGCTTTAAGAAAGTGTTCTAGCCTAATTGTTCTGTCTGGGATTTCCAGTAGTGTGTAAAAATAGAAGCATTAAAAATGGACAAAATGCAGCCTTATATGGGTATCTGCGAATCTGAAGGAGCAAACACCTCTTCCAATTGTTATAAACTGGTGTCAACAGGTAAAGCTCTTCTCTTGTGGGGTCCTGAGGCTGATGGGACCCCTTTTGGGCTTGCAGTGGAGATGGGTGGTAAGTGGGTCATAATCATAAGGCTTCTGTTTGGGTCTGGCTTTAATGGGTTTGGTACCAGTAGCCTGGGTGGTTATTAATCTTGTCTTACTCCTGAGCAGGCTGAATTGCCTTCAGGACTTTGATCTCTAGGGCTGGCACTAGGGCACGGTTCTACAGTCGGGTCTCCCTATGGTGGGCCTAATACCAGGTTTGTGGATCAGTATGGCTCCCACTTAGTACCTGGCAGGATTTCCCCAGGTCACTGTATGGGTCCTTAGGTGGACAGAACTGGCCATAGACTGTGGCTACAAGGGCTGAAACTGAGTACAACTGAAGTGCCCGCCTCTCTGGGCATGAATGGGCATCTCTTCCCAGGTCTCTGGATGGGCAGAACAACTTCTGGACCATGGCTGGGAGGAGTTGGAGATGGGTAGAGTCACTTTTGAATTGTAAGTGGGATCAAGTTGAGTGGACCTGGTGTGTAGCCAAAGCCAGAGGTCCTCAACTTTGCCACCTAAATGAGAGTCAGTCTTCTTGAAATGACTCCCATTGGTCTTAGGCTTGAACAGGGTTCACCACCTTCTTTCTGAATCTCAAAATTGTTATAAAGGCTATTTTTTTGAGACATGGTCTCACTATAATTACCCAGGCTGGTCTCAAACTCCTGGCATGAAGTGATCCTTGTGCCTCAGACTACCAAGTAGCTGGGATTACAGGTGTGAGCCAGAATGTCTGTCAATATAATGGACTCCCTGTATCATTTCTTCTAGGTGTGTTCTAGAGGTGGCAGACACCTTCAACTTTTGTATTTTAGAAAGTCTTTATGTTTTATTTTTGAAGTACATTTTTCCCAGATCAAGTACTTTTGTTTGATAGTATTTTATTTTTAATCACTTTGAGATTTTGGGAGTTCTTAGTCCCTTTTTTCTTCAAATAACCCCTCTACCATGTTTCCTCCAATAAGTCCCACATTCTATCTTCACGTTTCTCCATTTATTAAAAGTTTATTTCTACAGCTTAATATTGATAAATGATACATCTTTCTGATTCTTTTTTCTGCTTTATTAAGTCTGCTGTTTTGACTCTAGTAAATTTTTCAACTATTGTTTTATTCTTCAGCTCCACAATTTCAATTGGGTTTTTTTTCATAGTTTTTAGCTCTTTGTTGTTATCTCATTTCTTTTGCATCTTTATTTTGTTCATCTATGTTCTAATTTTGCTTATTGAGCATATTTAATATAATTATTTTGAAGTCTTTGTCAGAGAGTGCAAAGTTTTGGTCCTTCAAGAGGAGCATGTTTCCTGCCTTCTCTTTATGTCCTGAGTCCTTTGATGAGATTTGGAAATTTATAAGCAGCCATCTAAGTAGTATTTAAAGCTAGGCCTACCACAGGGGTGTACTGACAGCAGTCAATCAGGCTATAGATTCTGGGGGCTTCAGAAACATGTTCCCAGATGTATCTTCTCTGGACTTGTGTGTATATTTTCTAAGTTAAAGAGATTTTTCCTCATTTCATTTCCAGATTCTGTAGTCTTTTGCTTCCCTGGTTGACTGTGGCACTGAAATTTCTCTAGTGTTGTAATAAGCTTCCACTTTTCTTCTCAACAGCTACAAGCTGTTATCCTATTACCCCATCATTTCCTTTAGCAATCCATGTTAGGGGGGACAGAATGTAGTCACCAGACAGTTCTTTAAAATGCCAAAACTTTGAATGTGTGTTTCACTCTTCTAGGTCACTCCTGAGGGAGACTCTGGGAGTTGTTTGTTTTTTCCTGGACCTAATTGCTATTCTGGGAAAGAAGAAGGGATGTGATGAACAGCCTTTAAGCATGCAGCAAAGGAAGTATCCCTGGAATGTAAAAGGGAGAAGACAATAGCTGTACACCCAGATTGGCGGGAACGTATGAGCAGAGGAGATAACACATGTGAGAGGCCCAAAGGTCAAAGAGGAAACCAGAGTTCAAAATGTGGTTTTGCAAGCTCTGCTTCAACGGAATTGTTTTTTTTTTTTTTGACAAGCCTAGATTTCTTTTTTTACTGTCACAGAGGGCAATTTCCTGCACTATGCTTATTATGCTTTTAAATTCTCTAAGACTTCTCCTGTCCATCAGTGATCTACCAGTGCATTCACAGTAAGAGCTGAACTCTTCCCTTTATGCTGTGGGGGACCTGTGTGATCTGACTGCTCGTCCATTGCTTTGAGGATTCTGGATAAATTTGTGCACATTTTTGGAGACCTCTATGGTAGGCTATTTTTAAAGATCTGTTTGTGCCTTATGTCAGAAGTCTGTGATGGGAGTACTGGAGACATTGGGATTTGGTTCAGAAATTCCAGACACACCACAAACAGATGTCATATGTTTTTTGCTTTATAATTTCCAGTCCCATGGAGGTTTCATACATGATCCTACAGAAAATGAGACTGAGAAATTCCATCAGAGCATAAAGCATCTCATTAAATATGAAAAAAATCTGTTTTACTTTAAGATTTTCTTTTTCTTAGCAGGAGCTAAGTTTACAAATCTAAACTCTGTATGTCAAATTCCTCTACTGTAGAATAGTTTATTGTATCTACTCACCTCATAAAAACTTTAAAAACACAAATATCATAGAGAAACTTAGAACACTGCCCAGCATGTAGCAAATTTTAAATTGTTACCTACTTCTTATTAACTATCATCTTAGAATTCTGTCTTTAGCATAGAAATTACCAGGACTGTATCCTAGGTGTTTTTACTTTCTGATTGATCACATGCCAAATTTGCCTGTAATTTTAGTTTCAAAGTTCTGAAATAACATGCTTGATTTTGTTATATAAAAAGAAAATTAGATAATTAGGAGGCACTCCACTTTTATTTAAATGTTTGGTTTCTATGTTTAAGTTTACTCTTTGTAAAAAGTTGTCATTAGCGAGGTGCATGCCTCCCGGGTTCAAGTGATTCTCCTGCCTCAGCTTTTTGAGTAGCTGGGACTACAGGCACCCGCCTTCGTGCCTAGCTAATTTTTGTATTTTTGTAGAGACGGGATTTCACCATGTTGGCCATGTTGGTCTCAAACTCCTGACCTCAGGTGATCCATCCACCTTGACCTCCCAAAGTGCTGGGATTATAGGCATGAGCCTCGCTAATGAAAATGCAGTGGCTCATGCCTATAATCCCAGCATGTTGGGAGGCCAAGGTGGGCAGATCATGAGGTCAGGAGTTGGGGACCAGCCTGGCCAACATGGTGAAACCCTGTCTCTACTAAAATTACAAAAATTAACTGGATGTGGTGTCACATGCCTATAGTCCCAGCTACTTGGGAGGCTGAGGCAGGAGAATCACTTTAGCCCAGGAGGCAGAGGCTGCAGTGAGCCAAGACTGTGCCACTGCACTCCAGCCTGGGTGAGAGAGCAAGATTCTGTCTCAAAAAAAAAAAGTTATCATTAGCATTTTCATCCATTTTCTTAACATTTATCTTAATGATAAGATAATTTATCCCTAGCTGTTCACTTTATACATCAATGTTTACCATTATATTTATCGTTTATAAATATATTTTAAGCATTATATTTAGATATTTATAAGCTGGAATCTGGCTTTGCTTCTAAAAGCCAGATTATACCTTTTACATTTTGTATATGAAGAGCAGCAATATACTAATAACATAATACAGAACTTTCTCAGAAGCATTTCTCATAATACGCAATATATTAATAACATAATACAATATATTAATAACATAGTACAGAAGGAATAAGAAAATGCTTGTTTCTTAAAATTTTCTCATCAAAGCTTTTAATATGCATTTTCTGTGAAATTTATTGCTCTCACTTTATACTCATGATTCAAAATTTATGCTCTTCAATAGCAAAGACAGAATCAAGCTAGGTGCCCATAAATGGTGGATTGCATAAAGAAAATGTGGTCCATGTATACCATGGAATACTATGCAGCCATAACAAAAAGAACAAAATTGACCAGGCACAGTGGCTCACACCTGTAATCCCAGCACTTTTTGAGGTTGAGGCAAGTGGATTGCTTGAGCCCGGGAGTTCGAGTCAAACCTGGACAATGTATTGAAACCCTGTCTGTACTAAAAATACAAAAATTAGCTGTATGTGGTAGTGCATGCCTGTAGTCCCGGCTACTCAGGAGGCTGAGGCAGGAGAATTGCTTGAACCTGGGAGGTCAAGGCTGCAGTAAGTTGTGATTATGCCACATAAAGATGGGAACAGCAGACACTGGAGACCACTGGGTTGGGCGGGGAGTGGGCCAAGGGTTGAGAAACTACCTGTTGGGTACTATGCTCACTGCTTGGCTGATGGGATCAATCCTACCCTAAACCTCAACATCACGCAATACACCCATGTAACAAATCTGCACATGTAACCCTTGAACCTACAAGTTGAAGTTTTAATAAAATCAAATGTTTGCTCTTTATGGATGCCCAGTCATAGTTGAACATTGTAGGTATCTAGAAGGGTTCCATAGTGAACTATGTTTATTCAAGACTTTTTGGGTTAATGTGTTTTTAAATTTTTGTTTTGCAATTTTATATGTCAATATCTCATGGTTTAGGCTAGGCTACCTCATTTTAGTGAATTGTATTTTTGTTTTAATTTATATATTATAATTCTTTATGACAATATTCAACTTCATACATTTTAAGCCAGGGTACAGCAAAAGTCAAATATGAATCAGCCATACATCTATTACCACTATAATTATCTTTGTGTTTGTTTGCCTGTATAAATATTACTCACACTTTAAAAATATAATTGTTATTTTGGTTGGTGATAGATGGTTATTTTCTCTTGTGTCAGTGAATAGTCATGGAAATTGTCTTAATTTCCACATCTGTTTATTGGTGAATATGTATGATCTTGGTGTGAGAGAAACATTTTGTGATTTGGAGGTAAGTTTTGAAAAGCTTCGTAACTCTATCTATTGTAAGTTTATTTTTATTTGTGAAAAATACACACCAAAATGCACAATCTTAAATACTTCAAATTATGTAGTTCAGGTTATGTTACATATATTGACACTGTTAGCCACATATCTGTAGAATGTTTTCTATTTGTATGTTATTTCATTGAGACAGAGTCTCACTCTGTCACCCAGGCTGGAGTTCAGTGGCCCAATCTTGGCTCACTGCAAACCTCCATCTCCCAGGTTCTAGCAATTCTCCTGGCTCAGGCTACTGAGTAGCTGGGATTACAGGATCATGCCACCATGCCTGGTTAGTTTTTGTATTTTTAGTAGAGACAGGGTTTCACCATGTTGGGTAGGCTGGTCTTGAATTCCCAAACTCATGTGATGTGCCTGCCTTGGCCTCCCAAAGTGCTGGGATTACAGGCGTGAGCCACCTTGCCCAGTCTAGAATGTTTGTATCTTGTGAAACTATACACAGTCCACATGAATCCTATTTCCCATTGCCTGGCCCTTTCCAAACATTATCTTATTTTCCCTTTTTAATAGTGTAACTACTTTAGATATCACATATAAATGTACTCATATAGAATTTGTCTTTTTTTGGCTGGCTTATTAAATTTAACATAATGTTATCAAGATTTTTGTTTATGGTAGATGTTAGAAGATTTCTTGTTTTTTTTTTTTTTTTTTTTTGCTTAGTAATATTCCATTATTCTTATATTCCAAATTATATTTATCTATTTATTTGGTGAGGGAAGTTTGGATTGCTTTTACCTATTGGCTTTTGTGAATAATGCCACAATAAATGGTGTTAATAACTCATATGACCATACATGTGACAGTTTTTATCTGTTCTGCATTCTGTTTTGTTGGTGTAGGGTTTTATTTTTATACCAGTACCAAAGTGCTTTCCTTTGATTACCCTACCTTCATTTTGTATTTTGAAACCAAAAAGCGTGATGCTGCCAATATTGTTTTTCTTTTTTAAATAATCAGGCTCTTTGTGGTTTCTTGATATTCCATATGATTTGGGGGTTTTTTTCCTATTTTTGGAGAAGTGAAATTTGGAATTTGAAAGGGATTGTATTGAATGTGTAGATAGATCACTTTGGTCAGCATGGCCATCTTCACAGTATTCAATCTTCCAACCTTTGAACAAGAGCATGCTTAAGAGTATATTGTTTAATTTTCATATTTTGTGAATTTTTTTGGTTTTCCTTCTGTTAGTGATTTTTAGTTTCATTTAATTCTGGCCAAAAATAACAGTGTGTAAGATTCAAGTTTAAAAAATGGATTAAGACTTGTTTTGTGAGATAATAGGTTTGTATCCAGGAGAATTTTCTTATGAGCTATTGAAAAGATTGTGGATTCTGCTGTTGTGTGGTGCGTTCCATATATGACTTTGAGGTGTAATTGTTTTACATTGCTTTCAAGTCCTTTGTTGCCTTATTAATGTTCTGTCATGCTTTATTATTCATTACTGAAAGTATTGAAGTATTCTCCCACTGTTATATTACTTGATTTCTGTCAATGCTTATGGTATATATTTGGGAACCCTGATAGGAGATATAAATAGGTTCCCAGCGAATGAACCATTTTATTATAATTTAATGTCCTTGTTTATCTCCTGTGAGTTTTGACTTAAACTATATTTTATAAAGTATGACAGCTTTTGACTTAATATAATTAGTTCTCCACTTCTCATTTGGTTAATATTTGCTTGGAATGTCTTTTTCCATCCTGCCACTTTCAGTCTATTTTCATCGTTAGATCTGAGGTGAGTCTCTTGGAGACATGACATACGTGGATTTTGTTTTCTAAATTAAAATGTAATATTTGCCTTTTGATTGGGAAGTTTAGTCCATGAATATTTTAATACTTTTCTGAAAGGAAGTGACTTATAATTACCATTTTATTGTTTATTTGACTCTTGTAGCTATTTTGTCCCTATTTACTTTGTGTTTTTTTGTGTCTTGTTGATATTTGCAGTGATATGCTTTGCTTTTTTATTTTCTATTGCGTATCTGCATTTTCTTTATGGTTACCATGTAAATTACATAAAATCTCTTAAAGTTACAACTGTATATTTTAAACTGGTAACAACTTGCACTCAGTTGCATACAAAAATTCATGCTCATTACATCTGCCCTCAACTTATGATGTCACTAAGTATATCATATACTAACGGGTGATTTAATTTTCATGATGTCTTTCAAATTTTAAAGCACAATTGTTTTCTGCTTAATTATTGTAATACTATAAAGTTTTATTTTTGTGTGCATGCATATCTTTCCCAGAGAGCTGTGTATTTTTATGTGACTTGGTTTGTTTTCTATCATTTTAAATTTTCAATGGGAAAAACTTCTTTTTGCATTTCTTGCAGGACAGTAATACTGGTGATGTATTTTCTCAGCATTTAGTTATCTTGGAAAATCTTTATTTTTAAAAATTTTGTAGGACAGTTTTGCTAAAAGTTTTTGTTCCTTCAGGACTTGGATTATATAACCCAACTCGCCTCTTGTCTGCAGGGTTTTTGTTCAAAAATTCATTGGTAATCTTGCAGGAGCATGCATATAGATGATACATCTCTTTTGTCTTTCTGCATTCAAGATTACCTTCTTTTCTGTGACTTTCAAAACTTTGCTTATATTGTGTCTTGTTATGGGTCTCTTTATCTGAGTTGAAGTTTGTTGAGCTTCAGTTTTTAATATTTTTTTCATACATTAGATAATTTCTCAGTCATTTTTTGTATACTTCTCTAAAATTTGTTTCTTTTGGTCATTTTGTAGATATTCTTATTTTCCTGATTATGCTTAGTTTTCTATGTTCCTGTGTTAAACATTGAGCATAATTGAGATGGTTATTTTGATTTTTTAAAGATAATTTATACATCTTCATTTCTTTAGGGTTGATATTTGCATACTTGTTTCTTTGATTGGGCCATGTTAGTCTGATACTTTGTATATATTTTGTTGACATATGTACATTAAAAAAAAGCCACCCATCACAGTCTGTATAAAGTGGCTTTTTTCCCTGCAGTGTCTGACACCAATTTACCAGGCTAGATATTGAGAATTTCTCAAACCTGTTCTTAAGATGTCTCTTCACTAGATTTGTGTTCCCTTTATTTAGTTATGTGGGTTTGCCCATGTTTCTGCTTAAGAGACTGTACACCTGCTGTTTCTCTGTGATCCTGAAATCTCTCTGCTGCTGTAACAATTATTTACCTTTTGTCTCACAGACACTAACCTGACATTCAAAGTATAGCACCATTTCTTTCAGCACTCTGTGTCATGGTAGACAGAAAAAAAGTCTTTGGAAAGACCCCTCAAAGCCAGAAGTATGGACACATGTGCCACTGTTTTTTTTTTTCACTTTTGAGAGAGAAGCCAGGAGTTGAGTGTTTACACTTAAAGGCATTATTTTGTATTGGGGAGGAGATATGGCTGTGGTGGGTAAATGTAACAAATGTTCTTTTGTCTTCTATGGGGCTCTTGGCATCATTCTCATCTATGGCACTGCAATCTCTTAACTGAGTTTTAGAGCTCTTACAAAGGCATTTTGGTCGATATATTTTTGTTAAGTTTACATGTCTATTAAGGAATTTCGGCTTGTAGTATTATGCCATTTTATTGTGCTTGGTATAATTTTATATTTTGTATTTGTAAAGTATATTCATCTGAGTCTAATAAGTTGTATAATTTATTTTTATTCTTTTAGCTGTGTTCTCTCATTTTACTCCAGACCTTTTGCCTGAGCAGAGCATAAAACATTTATTCCCAAAAGTGATACTGAGAAGATATGAAAGCTATAGCATTGAAAATTTAAACTTAAGAAAAGACTGGAAAAGTGTGGGTTACTGTAAGGGACAGAAAAAAAGTTATAATGGACTTAACCAATATTTATCAACTACCCTTAGCAAAATCTTTCTTTCCTTTTTTTTTTTTTTTTTTTTTGAGACAGAGTCTTGCTCTGTCACCCAGGCTGGAGTGCAATGGCATGACCTCGGCTCACTGCAAACTCCACCTCCCGGGTTCATGCCATTCTCCTGCCTCAGCCTCCCGAGTAGCTGGGACCACAGGCACCCACCACCACGCCCAGCTAATTTGTTGTATTTTTAGTACAGATGGGGTTTCACCATGTTAGCCAGGATGGTCTCGATCTCCTGACCTCGTGATCCACCCACCTTGGCCTCCCAAACTATTGGGATTACAGGCGTGAGCCACCGCACCTGGCCAGCAAAATCTTTCAATGCGATGAATGTGGCAAAGCTTTTAACTGGTGCTCAATCCTTATTCAACATGACAGAATTCATACAAGAGAGAAACCATACAAGAGAGCCTTTAACTGGTTCTCAAACCTTATTCAAAATAAGAGAATTTGTACTGTAGAGAAACCCTACAAATGTGAAGAATGTGGCAAAGCATTTAACCAGTGCTCACACCTGATTGGACATAAGAGAATTCATACTGGAGAGAAAACTTACAAATGTGAAGAATGTGGCAAAGCCTTCAACCAGGGCTTACATCTCACCGGACACAAGAGAACTCATACTGGAAGAAAACCCTACACATGTGAAGAATGTGGTAAAACTTTTAACTGATTCTCATACTTTTCTCATCATAAGAGAATTCATACTAGGGAGAAACCCTACAATGGCGAAGAATGTGGAAAAGCTTTTATGCGTGGCTCAATCCTTACTAAACCTAAGAGAATTCATACTGGAGAGAAACCCTAGAAATGTAAAGAATGTCGTAAGTCTTTGACCAGTGCTCAATCCTTACTGAATAAGATAATTCACATGATAGAGAACCCCTACAATTGTAAGGAATGTAGCAAAGGTTTTAATTTGTGCTCAACTTTTACTGTAAGTGAGTTCATTCTGGAGAGAAATGCGAAGAATGTGGCAAAGTCCAGCCCTCAGGCCTTATAATACACAAAATTATTTATGCTGGAAAAAATCACTACACGTGTGGAGAATGTGGCCAGGCCTTTGACCAGTTCCAAACCTTTCTTATACATGAGAGAATTGATATTGGACAAAAATCTTATACATGTAAAAAAATGTAACAAAGCCTTTAACCAGCCCTCAAAACTTAATGAACCTAAGAGAATTTATTTTTAAAAACAATTGTTTTTTAAGATAGAGTCTCACTTTTTCACCCAGGTGGGAGTGCAGTGGCACTATCTCAGCTCACTGCAACCTCTGCCTGCATGATTCAATTGATTCTCCTGCCTCAGTCTCCGGAGTAGCTGGGATTGCAGGTGCATGCCACCACACTGGCTGATTTTTGTATTTTTGGTAGAGATGGGGTTTCAACGTATTGACCAGGCTGGTCTCGAACTCCTGACCTCAGGTGATCCATCTGTCTCAGCCTCCCAAAGCCTAAGAGAATTTGTAGTAGAGAGACCCTACAAGGGTTAAAAATGGGACAAAACCTTTAAGCACATCTCAGGCCTTACACAATATCTGATCATTCATTCTAGAGAGAAACCCTACAAAAGCAAAGAATGTGGTAAAGCTTTTAACTAGTCTTGAACCCTTATTATACGTAAGAGAATTAATATGAAGAGAAACCCTATAATAAGGAATATGGAAATGTCTTTAAAAAGTCCTCAAACCTGAATAAATGTAAGATAATTGATACTGGAGAGAACCCCTGCAATTGTAGAAAAAAATGTGGCAAAGTCTTTAACTGGTTCTCCATCCTTGTTAATTAAACAATTTTATACTGGAGAGAAACTCCACATACGTAAAAAATGTGACGGAGCATTTAACCACACCTCAATCTTTTCTACAAACCATACTGGTGAGAAACTCTAGAAATGTGTTAAATGTGTTAAATGTGGCAAGGCCTTTAAATGGTAGTCACATGTTTATGGTAGGCAAGATAATTTATACTGAAGAAAACCCCTACAAATATGAAGAATGTGGCAAAACATTTAACAAATTCTCACACCTTATTGCACCAGAAAGCATTTATGCTAGAGAAAAATTGTACAAATACAAGAATGTGAAAAGCCATTAATATCTGCTCACATCTTACTCAATATCAGAAAGTTCATACTTAATAAAAGCATCATAGGCCGGGTGTGGTAGCTCACACCTACAATTCCAGCACTTTGTGAGGCCAAGTGGGTGGATCACGAGGTTAGGAGTTCAAGACCAGCCTGGCCAACAAGGTGAAACCCCATCTCTATTGATAATACAAAAATTAGCTGGGTGTGGTGGTGTTTGCCTGTAGTCCCAGCTACTCAGGAGGCTGAGGCAGGAGAGTTGCTTGAATCTGGGAGGCAGAGGTTGCAGTGAGCCGAGATCAAGCCACTACACAGCAGCCTGGGTGACAGAGGAAGACTCCATCCAAAAAAAAAAAAAAGGCATTATAAATGTGATTACTGTAAAAAGACCTTTCAGAAAATATAGGCCTTTAAAGACTATTTATTCTGAAGACAAACATACAAACATAAAATGGATTGTTATACCTTTACTTGCATTACAGATGTTATTGTACACATTTTATATTAAAGGAAAACCCTGAAGCAGATGCTCAAACTTTGTTGAACATCAGAGACTTTATATTGGAGAGAAAGTCTAAAAATGTAATTAATGTGAAAAAACATTTGTTCAAAAACTACAGCTTAGAAAACACAATTTTATTCTAAATATTTTTGCAGATCCAGTAAATGGGGAAAATATATATAATCAAAAATTAAGTCTATATAAACATTTGAGGATTCACAGTAGAAAGAATGAAGGCACTGAAACTTCAGACATTACACTAAATGAGAGTATTGAGTATAAAAAAGGTCCAAAGGTAGCACTATATACAATTTAAAGAAGTAGATTAGAGATTTTATAGCTACATTCGAGGTATGCTTCTTTTTCTGTGAAAAACATTAGATTTTCTGAAAAGCAAATAATAATGTATCTCAAGTCTCAGATTACTTCATGCTGATTCTTCTCCTTGTTTGTGAAAGTATTTGATCAATGTTGCATCACAGACATGACAGATAGTTTTTTTATTAGGTGTCCATTATTTATGAACTTTTCTATGGAAGAGTAAGGACATTAAGTTGTAAGATGCATAATAAAAATGTAAATAGATAGGCTTTTTGTTGTTGACTTTTTGTTTTTGTGATGTATAAGGCCGGTGTTCAGAGTAATATTCTGAATTCTAGTGAGAGGAAAATGTTTGAATATTAGTATAAATTATTTTATCAATTGTAATTTTATGTAAATAAAATGCGATAAATTCAAAAATTTTTTTAAAGTTTATGTGTGAACATAATTTTTTCATTAAACAAAGTTGTTTTTAATGTGTTAAAACTATAGTGCTTTGAACAAAGTGTTAATTTGCATCAGCTTTAATGTGTCCCATCTTATTTAAGGTTCTAAGTAAAAGATGGTAACAATATAGTATTTATTAATGTAGGGGAATGACATCTCTAGTAATATCTTTCTTGCCAGTGTTTGTTTGTTTGTTTGTTTGTTTTGAGATGGATTCTTGCTCTGTTGCCCAGGCTGGAGTGCAGTGGCGTGATCTTGGCTCACTGCAACCTCCACCTCCTGGGTCCAAGTGATTCTCCTGCCTCAGCCTCCCAAGTAGCTGGGACTACAGGCACGCGCCACCATGCCTGGCTAATTTTTGTATTTTTACTAGAGATGGGGTTTCACCATGTTGGCCAGGCTGGTCTCAAACTCCTGACCTCAAGTGATCCACCTGCCTTGGTGTCCCAAACTTCTGGGATTACAGGTGTGAGCCACCATGCCTGGCCTGCCGGTGGTTTTTAACTGCCCTAAGTTAAAGAATTTCTTTCTCCCCATAGGTCAAATTTGTATTCAGGCAGAAGTCTTTTACAGGGGCAGAGCCGTCATGGAGAACTTGTGCTAGGGCAATGCAGAAGGGAAATGTGGGGTTGGAGCCCTCATGCAGAGTCCCCATTGAAGCTGCGAACTGGAGTTGTGAGAAGGCCACTATACTCCATGAGCTTGCACTATGCCCCTGGAAAAGCCACAGACACTCAATTCCAGTCCATGAAGGAGCTGCCCAAGGCATGAGGGCCCACCCCTTGCATCAGCATGGCCCACATGTGAGACATGGAGTCAAATGATATCATCTCAGAGCTTTAAGATTTAATGACTGACCTGTCGAAATTCAAACTTGCATAGGGCCTGTAGCTCCTTGGTTTTGGCCAATTTCTCCCATTTGAAATGGGAGAATTTATCTAATGCCTGTACCCCCATTGTATCTTGGAAGTAACTAACTTGCTTTTGATTTACAGGCTCATAGGTAGCAGGGACTTGCCTCGTCTCAGATGAGACTTTGGACGTAGACTTTTGGGTTAATGCTAAAATGAGTTAAGACGTTGGGGGACTGTTGGGAAAGCATGTTTGCTTTTGAAATATAAGAAGAGCATTAGATTTTGAACGGGCCAGGAGCAGAATGATACCCATGGTGTTCTCATGATAGTGGGTGAGTTCTCATGAGATTGGATGGTTTTATAAGTGGTAATTTTTCCTGCTCTCCCTCTCTCCTGCCACCTAGTGAAGAAGATACCTGCTTCTCCTTCACTTTCTCCCATTATTGTAAGGTTCTTGAGGCCTCCCCAGCCATGTGGAACTGTGAGTCAATTAAACTTCCTTTCATCATAAATTATCCAGGCTTGGGTAGTATCTTTACAGCAGTGTAAAAAGAGACTAATGCACAAATATAAGATAGGGCTATGTCTGTCCTAGATGCTTCGTAATCAGCCATAATTATTCCTGCTTGAGTTTTTTTGTAACTCTCAGCCACTGATGGAAAATATTCATGGTGAAAATATAACATTGATTCTGCATGTGCAGAGGACATCTGTTCCCAGGCTGCAGAACGGCCTCTCTGAATTTAAATAAAAATTCTGCTTTTTTAATTTTCTGATTATCTTTTGTTTTGTGTCTGTTTATGTCTATCCAAATGATGTGTCCATCACAGCCCTTCCCCTTTTTTCTGTGCTATGGCTACAGCTTTCTCACTGCTCTCTCTGTACAATGTCATTTCACACAGTACTTTGTAGATTCTGATGAGAAGTTTGGAATTTTTTAATATGGTGAAAAACTGTGTTAAACTTGGGAGTTTGAGCTTATTTATAGCTTCTCGATGTAACTTCCAGATCAGTTAATTGAGATAGGAGGCATACACTGTCCACAGGTGAGAAGATTAAATCAAGTAGCACTGTTTGTCTTAGTAAAATTTTTTTATTAGATTCTAAGACAAAGTGTAGCATATACAAAATTAGTTAGAAAATATAGCTTAGAAATTAAACTTATTGGAGAGTTAATATTAAGGGATAATTATTAAATGTAATTTTTATGATATATTTATAGCACAACTTATGTTTTCATGCAGAATCATGTATTTTTGAGTGTGAATGTTAAATATTGCAAATAAAATGAGTTCTGTGGATTTAAAATTTGGAATAATATTTCTTTTTCATATTAATGTTACAATCTTGAGAGATTTTTCCATTACTTTATGATTATTTTGACTGGGTGAGATTCACAGTCTACAGTTTTCACTCTTAGTCACCTAAGCATAGCCAACATTTTGGTCATTTTTCTGGGAAAATTTTGGAGATTATGGCAGCTTTTGGGTTAAAACATTTACTCAGTTGTTTTCATGCAAAGATGTTTATTGTGTCACACAGTGACCAGTCATGTGACAGAGGGTAACAGCTGATTTTTAGTGCCCTCCGTTACATTGCCATCAGCACCAGAAACTAAAGGTCCCCAAGCTGAAAGTAAAAGCCCTGAAGTATATTGGCTCCTCCCATGTGCTGCTGGACCCAGAATATGCTGTAAATATCAGAGTTTCTATTGCTATTGCTGACAAGTTAAATAACAAACAGCACAGAAAAACTGAGGAAAATGCATTGATACATTTTTTAGTTCTTTATAGTTTATAGAACTTTCTAGTTTCTAAATTATTATAAGTTGAAGCAATTTCAACATGCAGATATCTATAAGTTCTATCTAGATGATGATATTAATATTGTAATCACTGATAATTTTGAGCAACAATTGCCTCATTTGGTTTACTGCAAAATAATTATTTCTCTTCTAAATGTAAGTAGTGAATAGGGTTTATATAATTGTAAGCATACAAGGCCTTTTAAGATGATCACTAAGATTAAAATAAAATTCACACCTATTTAGTAACATAAATTTTAATTATTTTCTAACAGAAGTGAAGAAGCAATAGAAATAAGTTGTTAAAATGAGCTCAAAGAAACTACACATGTGGTCATTAAATAACATTTAAAACCACATTGTAAGTGACTGATTAGTAATTCTAATTTGTTTCATTTTAGTCACTGAGAAAACAATATTCTTTAATCATTCCATATAAAAAAGTGTTCATTTATTAGTGTTTTCAAAACTTTCAGAAACTTTAGACCACTCAATGAATAAGGTTGTACATTTAGATCACAAATTTTAAATAAAATAATAGGTTTATTCTAGCTTTTTTTTTTTTCAGACGGAGTTTTGCTCTTTTGCCCAGGCTGGAGTGCAGTGGCATGATATCAGCTCACTGCAACCTCTGCCTCCCGGGTTCAAGTGATTCTTCTGCCTCAGCCTCCCAAGTAGCTGGGATTACAGTCACTGCTACCACACCAGGTAATTTTTGTGTTTTTAGTAGAGATGGAGTTTCACTGTGTTGGCCAACCTGGTTTCAAACTCCTGACCTCAAGTGATCCACCTGCCTAGGCCTCCCAAAATGCTAGGATTATAGGTTTGAGCCACTGCATCCAGCCTCATTGTAGCTTTTAATGTAAAGGCTATTTTTCAAAAGTACCATTGATGACTCTTTTAAGTAATGAGAGGAACAAGGTTGTTAGAAACCATTTACCAACCAAAGCATTTGTGTTAGGCTTTGTTATGAGTTCTTTGAATGCAAAATGAAGTTCTCCATACTATCTAAGGGTCAAAAAGTTGTTTTTAAATTCTGCTTAATCTCTACTAAATTAGAAAATTCAAAGCAAAAATGTTAAATAAAAAAATGGAAAAAAAACATTGAGTGAGAGGGGGCTGGCCATAATGGTTAATATTAAAGCTCAGTATCTGGTGGTTCCTGATTGCATCCCGGTTCTGTCACTATGGGCTGTGTGACCTGGAAACAGTTTCTTGACATCTCTGTGCTTCAGTTGTACAGTAAGGATAATACTGCCTAAATCCTAGGGTTTTGGTAAAATTAAAGCAATTAATACAAATAAAGGTGTCAGAAGAGGGCCCAGCATAGAACGAATGTACAGAAAATTTATTAGCTCTGGTGATTTGTATAGTTTTTTAGATCAGGACCAATGTTAAGCCTGGGAACAACAAGGTGGCCACACCAGGGGGTTGTAATCCATGTTCATTTTAATTGGTCAGTTTGGGAATGTAACAGTCGATGGATATTTTTAATACTATCTTTGGCAAATTCTCATATGTTTTCATACAGCATGATATAAATACTAAAGAGAGATCCCTCATCTTGTACTGCTTTTTACCACTCTAGTAACACTAGAGAATAAGCACTTAAATGCTGAGTGTTGTCAGTTTTAAATTAGAGAAACAGGCAAATTGTTTTCTGATCTACTTGGTTAATAAATTTTTTTTGCCAACTAATTTTTAAGTTCACTTGGTAAATTTAAAGGTAGTTTAAAATGTATATTTAAATAACTTTTCTCTATAAGTGAAGAAAATCATTTATCTTGAGATAATTTTACTTTAAACAGTTGCTTTAGAGTCTTTCTTGGAAAGTATTCTATTATCAAATAAAGCCGGGTGCAGTGGCTCATGCCTGTAATCCCGGCACTTTGAGAGGCCAAGGCAGGCAGATTACCTGAGGTCGGGAGTTTGAGACCAGGCTGACCAACATGGAGAAGCCCCATCTCTACTAAAAATACAAAATTAGCCGGGCGTGGTGGCGCATGCCTGTAATCCCAGCTACTCAGGAGGCTGAGACAGGAGAATCGCTTGAACCCAGGAGGTGGAGGTTGCGGTGAGCTGAAATCGCACCATTGCACTCCAGCCTGAGCCACAAAAGCGAAACTCCGTCTCAAAAAAAAAAAAAAGAAAAGAAAAGATAAGAAAGAATTACATTGTTCTGAACAATGATAATTAACATATTTTATTATTGAGTGATAGGTTCACACTATTCATGATATCAAAAGTACCAACATCACTAGGTAACCAAGCTGTGTGTAATTAGAAATATATACATATCTTTCCTGACATTATAAGATAGAAAGAAACATTTATTTCTCTGGCCCAATTTTTTAAAGTTAAGTTTTACAAAAAAAATACTTGTATTACTACCAGTATATTTGACTGACAAATCAAAATTGGGTACATTTATGGGGTACAGTGTAATATTTTGTATATGTATAAAATATGAAATAAGTCAAGTTAACTAATATATCTATCACCTCATTTACCGATCATTTTTTGCAGTGAGACATTAAAACTTACTGTTAGTTATTTTGAAATATAGATACATTATCATTGACTATAATCACCCTACTGTGCAATAGATCTCAAAGCCTCTTTATTCTGTCTGTAAAACTGCATTCTTTTGTCAACATCTGCCTCTGGTAACCAATTATTCCACATTTTACTTTGTTATTAAAACTTCATTAGATTCTACATGTAAGTGAAATCATGCAGTACTTTTCTTTGTGTGTCTGGCTTATTGTACCTAGCAAAGTATCCTGTAAATGTATCCATATTTTTTCAATTGACAATATTCCCCCCTTTTTAAGGCTACATAATATTCCATTCTGTTTACTATTATTCTAAATATATACACCACATTTACAATAAAATTGTAATTTAAATATATATTCATCTAATGGTTGGAAAAATCATGTGTAATGTAAAAATATTTGTGTGAAAGCATATATTAACATAATTCAGCATATAAATATCTAGTTAATAATAGCTAATTTGTACTGAGCACTAACCATAACACTGTACACGTGTTAATAAATTTTGTTGTCACATTGTTGTAGTCTGGCTGTGTCTGCACCCAAATCTCATTTTGAATTGTAGTTCCCATAATCCCTATGTGTCATGGGAGACATCTGGTGGGAGGTAATTGAATCATGTGGTCAGTTACTCTCATTCTGTTCTCATGATAGTTAGTGAGTTCACATAAGATCTGATGGTTTTCTAAGGGGCTTTTCTCCCTTTTGCTCAGCACATTTTCTCTTCTTGTCACCATATGAAAAAGGACATATTTGTTTCCCCTTTTATTATGATTGTAAGTCTCCTGAGGCCTTTCCAGCCATGCTGAACTGTGAGTCAAATTAACCTCTTTCCTTTATAATTTACCTAGTCTTGGGTACATCCCTATAAAAGTGTGAGAATGGACTAATAGACACAGTAACTTAATAACATATTATTATTATCCTCAATTTACAAAGAAGAAAACAGAGCCAGAGAGAGAAATAACTTGCTTACAATAGCAGATCCAGTATTAAAACACAAGCAACTTTGACTCCAGAGATAATACTCTTGAATACAACAGTAAAAACCCTTTCAAACAGAAAAGAAGTTATTTTTAACACCCATTCTTAAAAATTTAACAAAAATTTAAAATGGATACATTTTTATCGTTATATATGTATGTATGTGAATGTATAATATAAATGAGAAACACTTCATATAAGCCAGGAAAAGCTAATAATTATTTTAATAAAATTAAAAAGCAGTTCAATGAATTATTATTTGCAGATGGTATCTTAGTTTACTTAGAAAGACAACAAAAGCAACTGAAAGGTGATTTTAGAAATCTATTCAGGTGGGTAGGCAAAATTCTCAGATGACCCTAAGGTTCCCACTTCAGTGCACACCTGCTGTGTAATCGTTTTCTCTTGAGTGAGAAAATGTGTGACTGTGGTGGGACATTATTCATGTAATTAGGTTACTAATGTATTGGCTTCCTGTTTATCATAAGAGAGATTATCTTGATTAGACTAAACTTAATCAGAGTTGCCTTTAAGAGAAAGAGCACATCATAGAAAAACATCCCTGCTTCCCTGAAATTAATCAAACTTCTTGGTAAGCCATGTCGTAAAGTGTTTATGGTGGCCACATGGCAAGGGATATATTTGTATATTGTCTCTATTTCTACCTTCCACATGTTGCTTTCAGTAGAGAGAATAGGAGGATCTCATGGCAGAGAAAAAAGAAGGAATCTCATTTATGCAAGAAATAATCACCCCTCATCTGGGACAGCTTAAGAAAAACAGAGACCAGAACATGACCACATCGATGGGAAACAAAGGCAACTTGGTTGAAAGGGCTCACTGGCATTAGGAAGCAATGTCTACACGACTGAAGTAAATGATCAGCCACTGGGATACCAACAGTCTACCAACACGGCTGAATTCATTCTTATTCTGATTAAATTAGCATTTCTGCACCATTCTGGTAATTCAGTTTTACATAATTTATGACAAAAATACCATGCAGATCATTGAGTACCCTCCTAGAACTGAACTTACGAAAAAGCATACCCAATTCTTTAATTTCAACATTGGAAAATGTTGAAAAAATAATGAATTTATTAATAATAATCTGACTTTCTAATTTTAGAGAATTCTACTCTTTTGTAATACAATACTGAACTTCAAACACCTTAACATGAATATTTCTTGAATGCATAAATTGTTATATAGATAGTTTCTCTTTTAGATTAATGCAATAAGACTAACAATTAGAGAAAACATTTGAAATAAAATAAAAGTCATCAGAATCACATCTTTCAATGGCTTGGCATAATTGCCATGCTCTTTAATATGGTCAAGAAGCAAAGACAAGATTTTGGCTTTGCCCAATTATTAAGTCCTTGACCTTTTGAAATCTAATATCCTGGCTAAAAAATTAGGATGGAATATATTTTAGGTGGCTGCCTAGAGTGGCAAAGGCAATATGAGAAGAATTTTGATAGCTGGGCAAGAAAATGCATACCACATACACACATTACTCTTCTCTGATTTGCTTTAACTTTGAAATGTTGGAAATTGCAAATCTAGTCCCTAAATTTAGGGTAAATTAACAAAAGATTCATGTTTCAGCTGAGCAAGTTATTGTATGAAACTTATAGGTAACAGATGTCATTAGCTGCAAAAACCAAAATAGTATGACTACATTCAGTAACTATCTAGCCATGCAAATGATAGACCAATTAGATTAAGATCCTAACTGGTGCATGTAGAAAGCATTTATGCACAATGTTTTGACCCTCCCCCAAACATCTTTTTCTGTCTCCTTACAGAGATACCAAATTTTCCTGAATACCTCAAGGTGAATACTGGGAACTGAGAGGCTCAGTGTTCAGAGTTGACTACTGGGAACAGAGTTAACACATTTCTTCTATATTATAAAGAAATTTTATGAATCTTGCTCTGCCTCAGAAAGGCTTTTAGTAAAAGATTGTTCATGTGTAACACTCTATTTGGATTCATGAAAATTTTCAATATTCCATTTAAGTCAGACACACTGAAATGTCAACCAAATTTCATAAAACATATTTGAATGAGATCAAGCCTTTCTTAGCTAAGAATTTTATTTCAGCAGTAAATTTAGAGGAAAATAAGAAATGTGTGTACTTTGGGCCAAATAACAGTGTTGGCCACTTGGGAACAATTCAGACAAGTGCTCTTCATCATTACTCTTAAAGTAGCAATAGCACCACATCCATTTCCTGGCACCAGCCGGCCTGCTTTTCACTGATATGAAGTGCAGAAGGCATTGAAACAGTTAAGAAGGGTGAAATAAATGGAATACTTATATGAAGTACAATTGTTAATAAAAAGTAGCATTTGATATTGTACAACTATAGATAAGATGACAAGTGTGAGATAATATTTTTACTTTAATTGACAATAACTTTATTCACAATATTTCTATTTCAAATAATTTTTTTGCTTTTCATCCAATATTACCTGAGCTCAATAGGAATCAATAAAATGAATCTTTATTTCACCACAAGAATTTTATTCATGCATATGCTTAATTTGCTGAAAATATGTGAGCCTTCCATGAAAGATTTATACTTTGAGTGTGTCATTTTTTGCTGAGAAGTGGCTCTCCTGCCAGAAAACTGCTATTCTCAACTCTGCTCACATTGACTCTGGTCAGCATAGTGATGGGAAGTGATGAGTGAATAAAAAGCAAATGTGTCTTCCTTGAATCTTTTTTCATCTATTGGCTGAAGAAACAGAGAATGCAGATAGAAATTTTTTTTAAAAATCTAATCTCTGAATAATCACAAAGAAGTTTTCTTAACCAGAAATAAACCAAAGGGGATGGTGATTTAAGCAGAAAATGCATTATTTTGCTAAGCCTTTGAAATTTTAGAGCTTATTAGTATGACAATCTGCATTGCTTTAACAAATGTATTGGTCTTTCAGTTTTAATTCTTCCGGATATGATTCAATTTCCTGATGAATCTGAACTGAGAGGAGAATAACTTATTTGTTAAAATTAAAGACGCAGGAAAAAATATGTTGCCTAAAATAAGATAGCCAAAAAGAGACAGACAAAACAGAAAGTAAAATGATGTTCTTCAGAAGCAGAAAAGAGAGAAGGAGAAGACAGTTTATTGGATATTAAATTGCACTTTTTTTTTTTTTTTGAGACGGAGTAACGCTCTTGTTGCCCAGGCTGGAGTCCAGTGGTGCGATCTTGGCTCACTGCAACCTCAGCCTCCCAGGTTCAAGCAATTCTCGTGCCTCAGCCTCCCAAGTAGCTGGGATTACAGGCGCCTGCCACCATGCCCAGCTAATTTGTTGTATTTTTAGTAGAGTGAGGGTTTCACTATGTTGGCCAGGCTGGTCTTGAACTCCTGACCTCAGGCGATCCACCTGCCTTGGCCTCCCAAAGTGCTGGGATTACAGGTGTGAGCCACCGCGCCCAGCCAAATTGTACCTTTTAAAGATAAAATTGATCTAGAAATTTGTTTCAAAATAATAGAAGTATACTTAAAAGCACTCAACATATAGTTTAAGTATACAGCTTTAAAATGTTTAAGATGGTAATTTTATCTTTTTAATCACAAATATTTACATCTCTCAAAAAAGTTACATTTTTAAAAATTGCTTTAAATAACAAGTGTTTTTCTCACACAATAACATATATTCAGACAATAAATAGACGGTAATTTTAGGCTGACTTTTTGACTACTCATCTATACAATAAAACACTGACAACCACCCGAGAAAAGAAATAGATAATTAATAAACAAAATGGGGCAATACTTACACAGGTAAATATCACATAAGTAACTTTTATAGGCAACAGAAGTGTCTGACTTATGGGGCTGGGCGCAGTGGCTCATGCCTGTAATCCCAGCCCTTTGGGAGGCCGAGGCGGGCAGATCACCTGAGATCAGGAGTTATAGACCAGCCTGGCCAACAGGGAGAAACCCATCTGTACTAAAAATACAAAATTAGCCAGGAGTGGTTGGCGCATGCCTGTAATCCCAGCTACTCAGAAGGTTGAGGCAGGAGAATCGCTTGAACCTGGGAAGCAGAGGTTGTGGTGATCTGAGATCGTGCCATTGCACTCCAGCCTGGGCAACAAGAGCAAAACTTTGTCTCAAACAAAAAAAGAAAGGAAGGAAGGAAGGAAGGAAGGAAGGAAGGAAGGAAGGAAGGAAGGAAAAGGAATCAAAGCATATAACAGCAACGAAAACAAAAAAAATTCAACCAAACACAAGTGAAGACAGCATGAAAAGAAAAAGATATTATTAAGTTGGTGCAAAAGTAATTGCAGTTTTTGCCATTAAAAGTAATGGCAAAAATACTAAAGCGTAATACTAAATTGTCAGACAAAAATTAACAAAATGGCAGTAGAAAGTACTTACCTATCAATAATTGTTTAAGTATCAAATAAATTATCTAATAAAAACACATTGCTATGGTTTGAATCTCCCCTTCAAATTTCATGTGGGAATTTAACTGCTATTGTTATAAAATTATAAAGTTAGACGTTTAAGAAGATAATAGGTCCTGAGGGACCTACTCTCGTGAATGAATTAATGTCATTATTTCCAGAGTGGGTTAGTCGGCAGGAAAGTGGGTCTATTATAAAAGTACGCTCTCTGGTGTGCACCTTCAGTCATCCTCATGCCTTTGGCCATTTTGTGATGTGGAAATACGATTCTCATCAGATGTCAATGGGATGCTCTTGGACATCCATAATCTAAAATTGTGAGCTAAGTAAACTCCTATTTTTTAGAAAATACCAACTCTAAGGCCGGGCGCGGTGGCTCACACCTGTAATCCCAGCACTTTGGGAGGCCGAGGCGGGTGGATCACCTGATGTTAGGAGTTTAAGACCAGCCTGGCCAACGTGGTGAAACTCCATCTCTACTAAAAATACAAAAATTAGCTGGGTGTGGTGATAGGTGCCTGTAATCCCAGCTACTTGGGAGGCTGAGGCAGGGGAATCACTTAAACCCAGGAGGCAGAGGTTGCAGTGAGCCGAGATTGTGCCATTGCACTCCAGGCTGGGCAACAGGAGTAAAACTCTGTTCAAATAAATAAATAAACGAATTTAAAAAAAAAACAATTCTAGGATATTCTGTTATTAAAGCAGAAAATAAAATAAAAGATTCGCAGAATGTCTAATTAGATTTTTTAAATTAACAGTATGCTTCACACAAGTGACATATTTTAGATTTAAGGGCATACATATGTTAATGGTTAAAGAATTTTAAAAACCCATACCAATAATAATTGAAAGAGTGTAAGAGTGGCTATATTTATATCAGACAAAATAGACTTTTAGAAAAAAAATCTGTCCCAACAGACAAAGAAGATCACTCTCTAATAATAAGAGGATAATTTGTCAAAAGAATCTAACAATTAAAAAATATATGAACCCAACATTGGAGCACATAAATATATAAACATATATAAACAGAACTTTAAAAAAGACAAATATGACAATAACAGAGGACTTTCTTATTCTACTGAAAACAATAGATTATTCAGACAGAAAGCTAGAAAGAAAACAATGTGCTTGGATAGTGCTGAAGAACAACTGTACCCCCCGGGCTTATGTAGACTATTTCATGTAACAGTATGAGAATACACATTCTTATCAAGCACAAATGGAACATTATCCAAGATAGATCATATGTTGGACCAACAAAAACAACAAACTCTTTTCAAATTTAGAGATTAAAATTATATCAACTTTTTTTGTTTTTGCTTTTGAGACAGAGTTGCACTCTGTCACCCAGGCTGAAGTGCAATGGCATGATCTCAGGTCACTGCAACCTCCGCCTCCTGGGTTCAAGCAATTCTCCTGACTCAGCCTCCCAAGTAGCTGAGATTACAGGCGTGCACCATCATGCCCAGTTAATTTCGTATTTTTAGTAAACACAGGGTTTCACCATGTTGGTCAGGCTGGTCTCAAACTCCTAACCTCAGGTAATCTACCCTCCTCGGACTCCCAAACTGCTGGGATTACAGGCATGAGCACTGCACCTGGCTGTATCAACTTTTAAAATTACAGTTTAATAAAACTAGAAAATAATAGTCAAATAAAAATTTTAAAACTCACAAATATGGGGACAGTAAACAACATGTTCTTGGACAACCAATGGGTCAAAGAGAAAAAGCAAAGGGAAATCAGAAAGTGTATTGAGAAAAAAGAAAATAGAAACACAACATACAATAACTCCTGGGATACAAAAAAAAAACAAACAAACCACAAAACAGTTCTAAATCACAAGTTTATAGTGCTGTTTTTGTATGTTAAGAAAAAGGAAAAGATGTCAAATAAAAAACATAACTTTAATCCACAAAATACTTGAAAAAGGACAACTAAATAATTGCAAAGTTAGCAGAATGAAGTAAATGATAGGTCGGGCGTGGTGGCTCACGCCTGTAATCTCAGCACTTTGGGAGGCTGATGTGGGTGGATCATCTGAGGTCTAGAACAGGCTGGCCAACATGGCGAAACCTCATCTCTACCAAAAATACAAAAATTAGCCAGATGTGGTGGCGGGCGCCTGTAATTCCAGCTACTCTGTAGGCTGAGGCAGAAGTATGGCTTGAACCCAGAAGGCGGAGGTGGCCGTGAGCCGAGATGGCACCACTGCACTCCAGCCTGGGCAACAAGAGCGAAACTCTGTCCAAAACAAAACGAAACAAAACAATACAAAAAAATGAAAGAAAGAAAAAAAGAAAAAAGAAAAAATAATAAAAATTACAAAAGAAATAGACTTCATACATACTGAAAGGACAACAAAAAATATTAAAAGCAGAGAAAGAATTTACATATAAAAGGTATCTAAATAAAACTTTTTTAAAAAAAAAGAGGAGTTAATTCCTTTTATTGTTTTGAAGTTGAATGATTGTCTTATTTTTATTTTGTATTTATGCTTACAATAAGCAGGTCAAAAAAATTTATCCTGAACTCATGGACATTTGATTTCCAGTAGGGTTTGTATTAAGGCACACAGGTGTGGACTTGGGTTTGTGAAAGAGTGTTTGTGGAAAATAAAAAGGCAGAATAAGAGAATGTGTTATAAAAAGCCTATGGGGGCTGGGCACGGTGGCTCATGCCTGTAACCCCAGCACTTTGTGGAGACCGAGGCTGGTGGATCACCTGAGTTCAAGAGTTCCAAACCAGCTGACCAACATGGTGAAACCCAGTTTCTACTAAAAATACAAAAATTAGCCAGGCATGGTGGCAGGCACCTGTAATCCCAGCTACTTGGGAGGCTGAGGCAAGAGAATCTCTTGAACCTGGGAGGCGGAGGTTGCAGTGAGCCGAGATCCCACCACTACACTCCAGCACTCCAGCCTGGGCAACAAGAGTGAAACTAGGTCTCAAAAAAAAAAAAAAAAGAAAAGAAAAGAAAAGAAAAAAGAAAAGAAAAGAAAAAAAAATAAAGAAAAAAAACCTATGGGTAGAAAACAGTACCCAGTTGGTGAAAAGACTGGTTAGTGCTACAGATACTGGTCCAGGCAGGGTAGCTCTGATTTACAGGCGCCCGCCACCACATCCAGCTAATTTTTTGTATTCTTAATAGAGACAGGGTTTCATCATGTTGGCCAGCCTAGTCTTGAACTCTTGACCTCAAGTGATCCACCCTCCTTCGCCCCTCAAAATGCTGGGATTACAGGCGTGAACCACTGTGCCCGGCCACAACATTACTTTAGAATAAAGTTGCTTCTTACCTACATCTAAATTTATTTTATTTGACAATATCTAAAAACAGCCCCAAAACAATAATTACATCCTGACAGAGGACATCATAACCCTCTTCCCATCTCAACTCTCATTGCACCTGCCCGTGCACCCCCACAGTTAAGATGGTGACATATACTTTGACCCAGCTTATAGGCATTATGATAACTCTTACACATAGGCCCAGCAAAAGAGAGAGATTTTGACTCTCATAGATAGGACTAGGGCCATGAGTAAGGTCCTGTGTCTTCTACTTGTATGAAAATCACAGAGAATTATGACACCCATGCATATTGAATAAACCCCGTGGGTGGTACAGAGAGTCTAATAACAGGGCCCAGAACACAGGTGAGATTGAGAGTCTTGTATGAACACACAGCCAAAAGTAGAAATTGTCACATGCCCAAGTGTACACAGGTCACAATTGAGGTTCTGAATCTCACACCCAAGGGCAGTCAAGAGTTGTTGCTACAATCCCAAATGTAGGATCATGCCCATTGCCCTAAGCCCAGGCATGAGAGTCGACATCTCTCCTCTTATATACAGATCCAGTCCACAGGTGAAGTGGGAACTCTCCAACCAGGATTCAGCACACCATTGATGTTGCGACTCCTCTACTGGAACACAGCTTGGAGAAGGGATTGGGGCTCTCATGGCAGGATGCAATCCACTGTTGAGATTGTGACTCATGCACTTGAACCTAAGTCTCAGGAGTTGTTGACTCTTACACCTGGAGTGGGGAAATGTGTGGAATTGGGAGTCTCATTCCTGGGCCTCCCTGCAGGTTGAACTGTGACATGCACTTCTACCTAGAACCTTAGTAATTTCATTGTCCTTCTGGGCTCAACACACAGTTATCTTGTGACTTTTACCTGGGCCAAGCACCTAGGTGATGTGATTATATTGCCTGGCTACTTCCCTCAAAGGAATGGTAATATATGCTTTACTGAGCACCTAAGTGATGTAAACCTTCTCTCTTGCCTGGACTCTGCCCACAGGTAAGGTTATGACATATCACCAAGCCTAGCACTTAATGGCATGACTGTCCTATCATGTTTGTGCCCTGCCCTGAAGAAGCACTGTGACATTACTGGCCTAAGTAAAAAGGTAATTCGAGTCTTCTGCCTGGGACATGTGCACAGGGGAGATTGTGAAATATCTCTTGGCTTATCAACATGATGATGTGATTCTCCTCTGTTGCCTGGTACCTTTTTCCAGTTGGGATTGCAACATATTGCTGGGCCCAGCACCGGGTGATGTTATTCTTCTCCCAGGGCCCAGCCCACAAATGGCGTTGTGGCATCTCTCTGGGTCCATCACCTAGGTGCTGTGACTCTGCTCTTCTAACTGGGCACTTTCCACAAAAGGAATTGTGACACATAGCTGGACCCAGCTCCCTGGTCATGGAGCTGTCTTGTCTTGGTCCTGTGCAAAGGGGTCATTGTGATATATTGCTTGGCCAAGCAGCTAGGTGATATGACTCTCCTGAATGGGCCCTGCTCTCAGAGAGGATTTTCACCCATCACTGGGCCAGTCATATAGGTGATGTGTCTCTCCTCTGTTGCCTGGACCCTGCCCAAGTAAGAATTGTGACATCACTTACCCAGCACCCAGGTGATAGGACTCTCATGTCTGGTTCCTGCCCACAGGTGAAATTGTGACATATACATGGTCACAGCTCACAGGTGAGGTGATAACTCACATACCTGGATCCAGCTAAGAGAACAGATTTTGACTCTGATATCTAGGCTTAGAGCAACAGGCAAGGTCCTTGGTCTCCTACTTAAATAAAGGTCATAGTGTATTATGATACCAAGGCATACTGTGTAAAGTCCTCAAATAATACAGTGTCATAACAGGACCCAGAACAAAGGTGAGATTGTGACTCTTATATGCACATCCAGCTGAATAGAATTGTCACCCTCACATATAGACAGTGCTCACTGGTGAGGCCTAAATCTCACATGCAAATGCAATCCAGACTTGGAACTGTGACTGTCATATGTAGGTGCAGTCACAGGTGAGAAAGTGACTCATTTTTGAACCCAGATCACAGGAACAGCAATGGAACTCAGACCTGGACCCAGTCAGTAGCAGAAATTCACAATCAGGGACATTTTCCAGGACATAGCTAGAGGTATAAAAGTCGACACTTCCTGTGGGTTGAGTTCAAGTATTCAAGTCAGTCACAACAGTGGACTAAATCAATGCACAAGAGCCCAAATCTCACCAACAGACTGTTTTGATAGGGGAAGCACAGCCCCCCGGTGTTCTAAATCCAGGACTTGGTGTCATCACCTCATCTGTCGATTGGATTGATGCATGAGATTCACAATTCCAACTCCATTGCCTCTTGGTGTGTGATTCGGAACCTCAACAGTGGGTTCTGTTAATGTGGAAGGCTGATAATCCTCACTTTGATCTGAGTTTGCATACAACAGCCACGATTTTCCCTGTGTGCTGGGCTCTATTTTGGCACTCTGTAGCACTTGAGAGCTTCATACAATGTGCATGCAACTCATAATAGTCTCTGGCCATCCTACAAGTTGAAGACCCAGAACCTTAGTTTTTGCTCTAAGACTAACTACAAGAGTCATATCTTCAGGTATGAGTCATCATTCCACCTGTAAGCTGTGCCCATGTGTTTTTCCCAATTCCAACTGTGGAGACAGACCAGGCACAAGGGTTGCATCACCTGGGTGCTGGCCAGAGATATGTCACAATTGCCACTTTGGGCAGGGTCAAAATCTCCCCTTAGTGCAGGGGCAATTCAGGAGGGTCATATCACCTAGGTGGTGGGCCCAGCGATATGTCACAATGCCCCCCATGGGCAGGGCCAAAGCAGGACAGTTATATCATCTGGAAGCTGGGCCCAGTGATATGTCACAATGCCTTTTGGGGGCAGGGTTCAGGAAGGAAAGAAGAGTCACATCACCTAGGTGATGGGTCTAGAGATATTTCACAATGCCTTCTGTAATTAGAACCCAGGAAAAAGAGTTATATCATTTGGGTTAAAGGTCTGGTGATATGTCACAATCCCAACTAAGGGCAAGACCCAGGCAGAAAAAGAGACTCACTTCACTTTGACAATTGGCCCACAGTATAATTTAATTTCTCCTGAGGACAGGGCTCATGTAGAAGAAAAACATAAATTAAGTGCATAGCCCAGGTATATGTTACAATCTCAACTGTACACTGGGCCCAGGCAATTGAATAAAATTAATCAGATGCTGGGAAAAAGTATATGTCACAATCACACCTGCAGAAAGGTTTAAAGATAAGATTTAAAACCCCACAAATGTGCTGGCTTCACTTATGACAGTCAACATATCTTGTGAGATGTGTTCAAGTATTCAAGTCACAACCTCAACAGTGCACTGGCTCTGTGCATGAGAGCCCAAACCCCACTTGCAGACAGTGTCCCAGTAGGAAAGTCACAGTCTCACAGGAGTGCTGGATCTTGGTGTGAGAGTCACCGCCCTACCTGTGGACTGCATTCACGTATGAGAGTCACAATTCCAACTTTTGACTGCCTCTGAGTGTGAGATTCAAGACGTTGTAAGGAGGCTGTGTTCAGGTGGGAGGGTGAGAATCCTTATTGTCAGCCAGGTGTGCATATGACAGTCACAGTCTCACCTGTTTGCTGGTCCCTGTTATGACACTCTCTGTACCACCTGAGGGTTTTATATGGCACATGTGAGACTCACAATCTGCTTTGAGACCTTTGTGCTTGCCCAGGTGTTTGTTACAATCTCAAAAGTAGGATCACGCCCATTGCCCTAAGCCCAGGCATGAGAGTCAACATCTATCCTGTTTTTGGGTCCAGGTAAGAGAGTCATTTTTGTTCCTATAATCTGGTTCCAGAAATTGGTCAACATCCCTCCTGTGGCTCAATCCACATGTGACAGGCATGATCCCAACTGTGGACTGTATCTGTCAGTGAGATTCAGGAACTCACCATTTTGCTCTCTCCCTATGTAAAGGTGACAATTTTAACAGTCAGCTGAGTGTGCATACAATAGTCACAGCCTCAGTGTTGTGCTGGGTTCTGACACTCTCTGTCCCATCTGAGGGCATTACACAATATGCATGTGTGTTGTAATCACCTGTGATTTTTTTTTTTTAAGTAGAAAAGCCAGAATTTTATTTTTTGGCCTAAACCCAGCTATGCGAGTCAACACCTCTCCTATTAGCAGAGTTCAGGTATAAGAGTCATCGCTGTGCCTGTAAGCTGGGTCCAGCTATGACTTACCACCTGACCTTTGGCCAGATCCACATGGGATGGTCAATATTCTAACTGTGTATTGTGTCCTTATATGAGAGTCAGGACCTCACCAGTAAGTTTTGTCAGTGTGTGAGGGAGACAATTTTAATTGTCAGCTGGGTGTGCCTATAAGATTCACAATTTTACTTCTTTACTGGACCCTGATATGGCACTCTTTATATCATGCAAAGACTTTATAGAATATGCATAAGTAATATATTGTGTGATCTTTCTACATGTAGAAGGCCCATAACCCTTACCTGTTTGTCTAAGCCTAGCTAGAAGAGTTAAAATCTCTTCTATTGGCTGGGTTCACATATGCGAGTCTTCATTATACCTGTGAGCAGGGCCTAATGTGTGACCATCCCACCTGTGGGCAAAGACTAGCGGGGAGAGTCGTATCAACTAGGTGCTGGGCCAGCGATATGTCAATATTTTTACTATGGGCAGGGTCCTGGCAGTAAAAGTCACATCTCCTGGGTGCTAGGAAAAGCAATATGTCACAATCCACCCTGTAAACATGTTCCAGGTAGAAGACAGCCACATCATCTAGGTGATGGGCCCAGTGATATGTAACCATTTCTCCTGTAAACAAATTCAAGGCAAAAAAGAATCACATAACATAGGTGATGGGCCTAAAGATATCTCACAGTATCCCCTGTGGACTGGCCCAGGCAGAAAGGGAGAGACACATCGCCTAGGTGATCGGCCCAGTAATGTGTCACAATACCCAGGAGGGCAGAGCCCAGCAGGAAAGTCACATTATCTAGATACTTAACCTAGTTATATTTCACAATCTAAACTGTGGGTGGGGCCTAGGAAAAAGGGAAAAATCAGTCAGATACTAAGCGATGATATATGTCACAATCACACCTGTGAAAAAGTTCAGAGATAAAATTTACAATCTCTCACACACCCCCGCTTCAGGGTCAGAGTCAATACCTCCTGTGAGTTTCACCCAAAAGGCAAGTAACAACCTCAACAGTGGACTGGATCCATGCATGAGAGCCCCAACTCCACCCGCAGAGAGTGTCCCAGTCAAAAAGTCAAAATATCACAGTGGTGCTGATTCTTGGTGCAAAAATCACCATGTTACCTGTGTTTAGAATCCATATATAAAAGTAAAAATGCCAACTTTTGACTGCCTCTAGGTGTGAGATTCAGAACCTTTACAGTGCACTGTGTTCATTTGGAAAGTAACCATACTGTTGGCTGGTTGTGCATATGAGAGTAACAATTTCACCGGTTTTGGGCCCTTTTATAATGCTCTCTGTAGTACCTGATGGCATTATAAGGTATGCACCAGAGTCACAATAATCTGTGAGATTTGCATGCTTGTGTGGACACACAATCTTACCTATTACTTTAAGCCCAGAGTCAACATCTCTCCTATTTTCTGTGTCCAGGAATGAGATTTATCACTGTGCCTGTGAGTGGGGTCCAGAAATGAGTCACCATCCCATCTGTGGCCAGATCCACATACGACAGTCACAATATCAACCGTGAGCTGCATCCATGAGAGATTTAGGACCTCAGCAGTGGGCACTGTCTGTGTGTGAGGCTGACAATCTTAACTTTTGACTAGATGTCTATATGAGAGTCACAATCTCAACTGTGTGCTGGGCCCTGTTTTGACATACTCTGTACCACCTGAGGGAATTCTACCATATGTTAGAGTTTCATAGGCCCCTGTGACCTCTGTAGAGGTAGGAAACAGACGACCTTACCCATGGACCTATGTCTATCTATGAGTCAGTATCTGTCCTATTGACTTGGTCTGAGCATGAGATTCACCACCATGCTTGTAAGCTGGATCTAGAAATTAGTCACCATCCAGCCTGAGGCCAGATCCACATATGACAGTCAGAATTCCAACTCTGGACTGCATCCATGTGTGAGATTCAGAATCTCATCAATGGGTTCTGTCCATTTGTGAAGGTGACGGTTCCACTTGTTGGCTACTGAGAGCCACGATCTCACCTGTGTGCTCGGCCCTGTTTTATTTATAAAGCCCAAGGGCTTTATAAAATACATGTGTGTGTCATAATCTTTTGTGACCTTTTTATAATTAGTAGACCAAGGTTTTTAGTTGTTGCCCTAAGCATAGCTATTAAAGTCCAAATTTCTCCTATTGGCTAGGTCCATGTAAGAAAGCCATCAAATGACTGTTGCCTGGGCCTAGGTATAGGTCATAATCCCACATGTGGGCAGAACCAGGGAGGAAAGTCACATCACCTGAATGCTGGGCTGGGGAAATATCAATATCCCTCCATGGGCAGGACCCACGCAGGAAAGCCATATCACCTTTATGCTAGGTTTAGTAATATGTCACAAAGCCCACTTTAGGAAGAACCTAGTCAAGAGCCAGATCACCTTGGTGCTTGGCCCAGCAATATGTCACAATCCCTTGTGTACGTAGGGCCCATGCAGGAAAGGGGAGTCACATCATCTAGGTGCTGGGCCCAGTAATATGTCACAATCCACCCTGTTAACAGGGCCCAGTCATGAGAGGAGAGTCATATCACCTAGATAACATGCCCAGATTATATGTCACAAATTTTACTGGAGAAAGGGATAGTCAGGAAAGTAGAGTCTCATCACCTAGGTGAGGGTCTCAGAGATAACATTACAATGCTCCTTGTGGGCAGGGCCCAGGCAGGACAGTCATATCACCTAGGTGTTTGGGCCAGGTATATGTCACAATCCCAACTGTTAGCTGAGCTCAGGCAAGAGAGTAAAGTCAATCAGGTGCTGAGAAAAAATTATGTCAGAGTCACACCTGCAGAAGGTCCAGGGATGAGAGTCACAGTCCCACACATTTCCTGGCTCAAGTTATAAGAGAAAACTCCTTTTGTGAATTGTGTTTAAGTACACAAATTACAATCTCAATTGTGGACAGAATTCATGCATAACAGCTCCAAACTCACCTGCAAACACTGTCTAATTAGGGCAGTCTCAGCCTCACAGGTGTGCTGAGTATAAAAGTCACCATTCTACCTGTGAACTGGATCCATGTATGAAATTCAACTTTCAACTGATCTGGGAGTGATACTCAGAACTTCAACAATGGGCTGTGTCCATATAGTATAATGACATTCCTCACTGTATGTTATGTGTGCACAGAAGAATCACAGTGTCATCTGTGTGCTGGGTCTTTGTAGGACACCTTCTGTGCCACTCAAGAGCTTCATACAGTATGCATGAGAATGAAAACCTGCTCTGAGACCTTCATGCTGGTATGAACTCATGATCCTACATATTGCCCCAAGTTCAGGTATGAGAGTTATCATTTCTCTTATTTGTTGGGTCCAGGTATAAGAGTCATCAGTATGTAAGCTGGGTCCAGAAATTAGTCACCATCCCATTTGTGGATGGATCCATATATGACAGTCACAATTCCAACTGTGAACTGTTTCTGTGAGTGACATCCAGGACCTCATGAGTATACTCTGTTCTGATTTAATAGTTACAATCCAAACTGTGGCCTGTGTACACATGAGTCACAATCTCAATTTTGACATGGGCCCTGTTTTGACACTTTTTGTACCACCTGAGGGCATTATACAATATGCATGAGTGTTGCTATTCTCTGAGACCTCTGTAAAAGTAGGAAATCCAGGACCTTATCTTTTGCCCTAAGCCTAGATACAAGAGTCAAGATCTCTTCTATTAACTGGAACCAGGTATGAGAGTCATTGACATGCCTATGAGCTGGGTCCAGAAACAAGTCACCTGACCTGTGGCCAGATCCACATATGACAGTCCCAAATTCAACTGTGGACTGTTGAACCCTCACCAGTGGGCTTTGTCCAGGTGTGAGAGTGACAATCCTAATTTTTGGATAGTGTGCCTCATATGAGAGGCACAATTTTACCTCTGTAATGAGCTCTGATATGATGCAAGTATTTTATAGAATATTTATGAATGTCAAAATCCTCTGTAACTGTGATACAATTAGGAGACCTAGAAGCTTACTGATTGTTCTAAGCTCAGCTATGAGAGTCAGAATCTCGTCTATTGGCTGGGCTCTCACATGACAGTCATTATTATTCCTGTAATCCGAACCTAGGTATATGCCAGAATCCCACCTGTGGGCAGAACCAGGCAGGAGAGTCACATCACCTGAATACTCAGCCAGGGGTGTATTAGTATCCCCTCTGTGAGTTGAGTGCTGGTAGGAAATTCACATCACTATGGTGCTGGGACGAGTGATTTGTCACAATGCCTCCTGTGGGCAGAACCCTGGCTGAAAGATTACATCACATGATTCCTGGCTCAGCAATATGTCACAATCCCCTTTATGAACCGGGCCCAGGCAGGAGATGACAATCACATCATCTGGGAATGAGACCAGAGGTATATCACAATGCCACCTGTGAGAAGGGACTAGGCAGGAGGGTCACCTTACTGAGGCTTTTGGCTTAGGCATATGTCACAACCCACACTGTGGGCTTTATTCAGGCAGTATAGTCAAATCAGTCAAATTCTGGCTGGGCAAAGTTATATGTCACAATCACACCTGTGGGAAGGTTGAGGAATGGAATTTACATTTCTGCACATGTTCTGGGTCCAGGTATAAAAGTACACACCTCTTGAAATTTAACCATGTGTCCAAGAATGCAAATCACCATTTTCTTTCTTCCCTTTCTTTCCCTTTCTTTCTTTCTTTTTCTTTCTTTCTTTCTTTCTTTCTTTCTTTCTTTCTTTCTTTCTTTCTTTCTTTCTTTTTCTTTCTTTCTTTCTTTTTATTCCTTTCTCTTTCTCTCTCTTTCTTTCTCTCTCTCTCTTTCTTTCTTTAGTTTGACAGAGTTGCACTCTTGTCACCCAGGCTGGAGTGCAGTGGTGTGATCTTAGCCCACTGCAACCTCTGCCTCCAGGGTTCATGTGATTCTCCTTCCTCAGGCTCCCAAGCAGCTGGGATTACAAGTGCGTGCCACCACACCCAGATAATTTTTGTATTTTTAGTAGAGACCAGGTTTCACCATGTTGGCCAGGCTGGCCTCAAACTCCTGACCTCAGGTGATCCACCTGCCTTGGCCTCCCCAAGTACTGGGATTACAGGCGTGAGCCACCACACCGAGCTGCAAGTCACAATTTCAACAGCAAATTGAACCCATGCATGAGAGCCAAACCTCAGACAGCACCTATTAGGAGAGTTAAAGCCTAATATTGGTGCTGAATCTTGGTCAGAGACTCAGGCTGGATCCACATATTAGAGTAACAATACCAACTTCTGACTGCTTTTGGGTGTGAGAATCAGAACCTCAACAGTGGGCTGTGTCTATGTGGGAGTGTGACAATCTTTACTGTTGGCAGTGTATGCATATGAGAGTCAAAATCTCAACAGTGTACTGGGCCTTGTTATATTATTACTCTTTGCACCATCTGCGGCGGTAGATAATATGTGTAAGACTTGCAATGCACTCCAAAACATTTGTGCCTATATGAACCCATGATCTTACTCATTTCTCCAAGTCTAGGGATGAGATTCACCATCTCTTCTATTGACTGGTTTAGATATAAGAGTCATTACCATGCCTGTGAGCTAGGTCCAGCAATAAGTCACCATTTTACCTGTGGCCAGATCCACATATGACAGTCAAAATTCCAACTGTAAACTGTGTCTACTAGTGACATTCAGGACCTTAACTGTGGGCTCTATGTGTGAGATTGACAATTTTAACTGTTGGCTATGTGCTGGGCTCCGGAATGACATGCTCTGTACCACCAAAGGGCATTATAGAATATGCATAAGCTTGCTCATACTTTGCCATCTTACCGGAAGCAGGAGGCTGAAGACATTATACATTGTCATAAATCCAGCTAAAAGAGTCAAAATCTCTTCTATTGGTTGTGTCCATGTATGATAGTCATCAGCATGCCTATGAACTGGACCCAATTATATGTCACAATACCACCTGCAAGCAGGGACTAGGAAGGAAAGCCACATCACCTGAATACTGAGCCTGAGTAGGTCAATGTCCCTTCTGTTGGAAGAGTCCTGGCAGGAAAGTCGTATCACCTAGCTGCTGAGCCCACTCAATGTCACAATGCCCTCTGTGGGAAGGGCCAAGGCAGGAGAGTCAAATGACCTGGGTGCTGGGTCCAGCAGTATGTCACAAATTACCCTGTGGACAGAGCCCAGGAAAAAAAGGAGAGTCACATGACCTAGGTGATGGGCACAAAGATATATCACAATGTTCTCTGAGAAAAGTGTCCAGAAAGAAGAGTTACATTACCCAGATGCTTGACCCAGGTTTATGTCACTATTCCAACTATAGGAATTGCTAAGACAGAAGAGCCACGTCACCGGGATGCTTGGCCCACTGATTTGTCACAATCCTTTCTGTAGGCAGGATCCAGGTAAAAAATAGACAGTAACATCTACTAGGTGATGGGCCCAGTAATCTGTCACAATTCCCCATGCAAGCAGGTCCAAGGCAAAAGAGGAGATTCATATCACCTAGGTGATAGGCCTGGGGATATGTCAAAATTCCAAACAGGGGTTTGGCCCAGGCAGAAGGGGAGAGTCATGTCACCTAGGTGATAGACCCAGTAATATGTCACAGTGCCCGTTATGGGCTGATCCCAGGCAGGAGAAGAGAGTCATATTATCTAGGTGATTGGTGAATAAAATATTTCAAAACCACCTCTGAGAGATTGGCCTGGGCAGGAGAGTCCCATCACCTATGTGCTTGGCCTAGGTATATGTCACAATCCCACATTTAGACTGGACCAAGGCAGAAAAGTAAAATCAATCCGGTGCTGGGCACCTCTTGTGAGTTCTGTCCAAGTACCTAAGTCACAGTCTCAACAATGGACAGGATCTGTGCATGACAGCCCCAACCTCATTTGCAAGCAGTGTCCTAATAGGGGACACACAGCCTCACAAGGGTGTTTGATCTTGATTCAAAAATCACCGTCTTACCCGTGATCTGGATCCATGTATGAGAATCACACATCCAACTTTCAATTGCCTCCAGCTGTAAGATTCAGAACATTTTGTAAATTTTGTTTATCTTTTCAAAAAAACTAACTTTTCATTATGTTTATCTTTTCATATTTTGTTTTATATTCATTTATTTCTGTGATAATTTTTATTTTCTTCTAATTTTGGGTTTGGTTTGCTCTTTTCTAGTTGTATATGATACATCAATAGTTTATTTGGAGATTTTTTTAAAACTGTTTTTGATGTAGGCACTTATTGCTATAAACCTTCTAAGTGATTCTTTCACTCTATTCATAGTTGCGTTATGTTTTTATTTTCATTTTGTTCAAGAACATTTTAATTTTTTCTTTCAGTATGGGCCCACCAGTCACTCAGGAGCATATTTCAATTTCTATGTGTTTGTATAGTTTCCAGAGTTTTTTCTGTTAGTGATTTCTAGTTTTATTCTATTATCATCAGAGAAAATACTTGATATAATTTTATTTTGGGGGGAGATTATTTTAAGAGTTATTTTGTGACCTAACATGTGGTCTATCCTTGAAAATAACCCAGGGGCTGAGGTGTAGAATTTGTATTCTGTAGCTTCTTGATGAAACGCTTTGTAAATATCTATTAGGTCTGTTTGGTTTACAGTGCAGATTAAGTCCAATGTTTATTTGTTGATTTTACTATCTGGATGATCTGTCCACTGCTGAAAGTGGGTTGTTGAAGTCTCTAGCTATTATTGTATTGGGGTTTGATCTCTCTTTATCTCTAATATTTACTTCATATATCTGAGTTTTCCAGTGTTAGGTGCATATGCATATTAATTTTCAATTGTTATATTCTCTTGCTGAATTGACCACTTTATTATAATATAATAACTTTTGTTGTCTCTTTTTATGGTTTTTTTCTTGAAATCTGTTTTGTTTAATGTAAGTGTAGCTATTCCTGCTTTTTTGATTTCTGTTTGCATGGAATATCTTTTTCTATCCCTTCATTTTCAGTCTGTCTTTGTCTTTATAGGTGAAGTGTGTGTCTTGTAGGAAACAGATTGTTGGGTCTTGTTTTTATTTTTACCCACTTGGCCAATCTATGTCTTTTGATTGGGGAGTTAAATTAATTTATATTCAGTGTTAGTAAGTAAAGACTTATGTCAGCCATTCTGGTATCTGATTTCTTGTTGTTTTGTGGTATTTTCTCTTTCTCTCTCCCATTCATCCTGTCTTTCTTTTAGTAAAGATGATTTTATCTACTGGTATGTTTTCATTTTTGATTTTATGTATGTGTGTCTATTGTAAGTTTTTTATTTGAGGTTACCATAAGGCTTGCAAATAACATCTTATAACCCATTATTTTAAACTGATGGCAACTTAACACTTACTGTAAAAATGAGCAAACGAGCAAAGAGAAAAACTAATAAAAAATACAGTTTAACTTTTTCTCCCAACTTTTTAACATTTTGTTGTTTCTATTTATATCTTATTATACTGTCTATGTCTTAAACTTGTTTTAATTAGTATTTTGGATAACTATGACAGTTATCTAAAAAGTCAAAATATGAGTTATGGCCTTAAAAAGGAGGTAGAGAGTTATTATTTTTAATAATTTTAAGTATAGGCAAATCTTTTAGTCTTCTCAAAATATGAATAGTTTACACGCCACATTTACGGTGCTAGAAAATTTTGTGTTTGTCTGTGTGCTTCATATTACCAGTGAGTTTGGTACCAGATGTTTTCTTGTTGCTCATTAATGTTCTATTCTTTTAGACTGAAGAACTGCCTTTAGCATTTTTTGTAGGACAGGTCTGGGGCTGTTAATAAAATCTCTCATCTTGTTTGTTAGTTGTTTTTTTTTAATAGTTGAAGTATATTTTTGCTGGGTGTATTCTAGGATAAAAGTTTTTTCCTTCAGTATGTTAAGTATGTCATGTCACCATCTCCTGGCCTGTAGGATTTTCACTGAAGAGTCCACTGTCAAACATATTGGTACTTGTTTGAATGTTGTTTTTTTTCTATTGCTGTTTTCAGAATCCTTTATCTTTGACCTTTGAGAATTTTATTATTAAAGACATTCAGGTGGTCATATTTAAGTGAATTGTGCTTAGTATTCTACAACCTTCTTATACTTGAATATTAATTTTTTAGGTATGGGAAGTTCTCATTATACCTTTGAATAAACTTTCTACCCAGAACTTTTTTTCTACCTCCTCTTGAAGGCCATAACTCTTAGCCCTTTTGAGGCTTTTTTTTAAATCTCATCTGACTGTATCTTTTCAAATAACCTGTGTTCAAACTCACTGATTCTTTCTTCTGCTTGATCAGTTCTGCTGTTGAGAGACTCTGATGCGTTCTTCAATATCATTTAAATTTTCAGAACCAGAATTTTTGCTTGATTCTTCAAAATGATTTTAATCAATTTGTTAAGTTTATTGGATCAGATTCTGAATTTCTTTTTTTTTGTTGTTATTTTGAATTTTGCTGAGCTTTTTCAAAACAGCTGTTTTGAATTTCCTGTCTGAAAGGTTACATATCTCTGTCTCTCAGGATTTGTACACTAGTGCCTTATTTGGTTTTAATGAGGTTATGTTTTCCTGAATAGTCTTAATTTTTGTGGATGTTCATTAATGTCTGGGCATTAATAAGTCAGGCATTTATTTTAGTCTTTGCATTCTGGGCTTTTTAATACTTGTCTTTCTTAGAAAGGCTTCCCAGGTATTCAAAGGGAATCGAGTGTTGTAATCTAAGTCTTTGATCATTGCAGTCATATCTGCATTAGGGGACACCCCAACCTGAATAACACTGTGATGCTTGCAGACTTGTAGAGGTACCACCTTGGTGGTCTTAGGTAAGAACCAAGAGAGTCTCTGGGTTACCAGGCAGACTCTTTTTCTGTTTTTTTACATTCTGTCAAATAAGTGGAATTTTCTCTCCATACTGAGCTGCCGGGGGCTAGGGTCAGTGAAACACAAGCACCCCTGTGGCCACCATCACTAGGACTACACTAAGTCAGACCCAAAGCCAGCACAGGACTGGCTCTCACATAAGGTCCACAGTGACCACTACCTAGGTACTGCTGATGTTCACTCAAGATCCAAGTTCTCTTCAGTCAGTAGGTGGTGAATCCAGCCAGGCTTATGTCCTTGCCTTCAGGGCAGTGAGCTCTGTTACTCATCCTGGGCTGGGGATAGCAAAATGCCATTTGGTAGGAAGAACATGGAGTCAGAAGCCTTAGGAATCTACTTGTTGCCCTATTCTGCTGTGGCTTAGCTGGCACTGAAGCCATGAGACAACATCCTTCCTACTCTTTTCTCTCCTTTCTCAAGCATAAGAAGCCACTCCCCATGGTCACCACCACCCAGAGCCCACAGTAAGTACTTCCAGGCTACTGCTGATATCCAGTGAGGACCCAAGGATCTTGCGTCAGCTTGTGGTGAACTCTGCTGGGCCTGCTTCTTTTGCTTCAGGGCAGTGGGTTCTTTTCTGGCCCAGGGTGGTTCCAGAAATGTCATCCAGGAGCCAAGGCCTGAAATCAGTGACCTCAGGAGCTATCTTGTTACTGCTACCTCACTATGGCTGAGCTGGTAATCAAGCTTCAAGACAAAGCCTCTTTTACTCTTCCCTCTCTTTTCCTCAAGCAGAAGTCTCTCCACATGGCTGCCACAGCTTGGATTGCACTGCACTGGGTCTCACACCCCAGGGGCTGCAGCAAGTACTACTTGGTTACTGCTGATGTTTATTCATGGCCAAAGGTGATGAATCCTGCCAGAACTGGTACCTTCCCTTCAAGGCAGTGTGTTCTCTTCTGGCCCAGGCTATGTCTAGAACTGTCACCCAGGAACTAAGTCCTAGAATGGGGGCCTCAGGGCTTTTTCTGGTGCTGTATTCTACTGTGGCTGAGATGATGTCCAAGTTGCAGGACAAAGTCTTCTTTACACTTCTCTCCCCTTTCCTCAAGTAGAAAGAAAGATTTTCTCCTGGAGCTGTGAACTACACTGCCTGTGCCTGGGGTAAGGATGATGCAGGCACTTTCTTGGCCATCCCAGTTGGCATCTCACAGAGCACCAGGATTTGCCCAGAAATTGCAGTCCCAGTGGCTTACACTGCCTTTCAGGTTTATTTAGAACCCCAGAGCGCTTTAGCCTATGGTGATGGGGCTACCTGAAACTCAGGTTTTGATTACTGAAATGGACACTTCCTCTCTGACTATGGCTAGTCTGAGTGCTCCGTCTGTAGGCTCTGGCTGAATTCTGCCCCATGTTGCTTTCTGCTATGACAGGCAGCTCTGAGTTTTACTGCACAGTCTCATAATCACTGCACTCTCCCTTCTGTAAGCACATGGATTTTCTCTCTCTGCCAAGCTGCACTGCCAGGGAATGGAGGAGGGCTGCTGTTGGCAATTAACAGCTTTCTTGTTTACCCTCCTCAGTCCCTCTTTCATGTGATGCTAAAACTAGGTCCTGTGATCGCTCCCCAGAGTTTTGGTTCTTATGAAGATGCTTCTTATTTGGATAGTCATTCTATTTGGTGTTTTATTCGGGGGATGGTTGCTGGAGGGTGCTATTAAGTCATCTTGCTCCTCTTCTCCCCTGCAGCCATGTTGTTTGAATTAAGTGCCACATGTGAGGCTAAGGTGAGCCCAGCGTCAACCACAAGTGTTTTCAGATACATTCACGAGAGGTGAGTTTAGTTTTAGTCCCAGATAAAGATCATAGAGACTGCTCTGCTTGGGTTTGGTAGGGGCAGGTCAGTGCGGCCCGTATTCCCATTGCTGCAGTAGAAATTGCTGGCATCTGTGGCAGAGAAGGGCAACGAGTACTGGAAAGGGGAAACTCACATTTTGTTTTTATGTAGGAGTTTACTGGTTCTGAACCTCTCCTGTGATAAAGGACAAAGAAAGGCAGACTTTATCTGCAATTCTAGGTCCTTCTGCCTGTGGGTGTGGCGGTTTCAAGGGAAGGAGTTTCACTGATGCTTCAAAGGCGTATTCTCAAGAAACAGGTTTAATTTGTGCAGTTAGTCACACCTGGAAGGGATCACAGATCCATCTTTATTCTCTACATCCCAGCTCTTAATAAGCCATGAAAAAATTGTCACCATGAATTTATAACCTGCAACATTACAAATGTTCCTTTTGTGGCTGTAGAACATAGAAAGATGTGGATGCCCAAGATTCTTGTTTGAGATGGGATCAGGTGCTTGGTTATCAGTGAAGGAGACCATGTACTGTTTAGCTTCCATTAAATCTATGCAAAACTGCTTGTAAAAACACACATTTAATGAGAATGGTCTTTATTGCCCAGGATAACTCAGAAAGTTCTAAATAAAAAATAATTAGAAGAGACTTCTTCTCTAGGATGCTAAAGCAAGGAAATAAGAGAGGATACAAACAAATGGAAAAAAATTCCATGCTCATGGATAGGAAAAATCAATATCATGAAAATGACCATACTGTCCAAAGTAATTTATAGATTCAATGCTATTCCCATCAAGCTACCATTGATTTTCTTTACAGAATTAGAAAAAAACCACTTTAAATTTCATATAGAACCAAAAAAGTGCATATAGCCAACACAATCCTAAGCAAAAAGAACAAAGCTGGAGGCATCATGCTACCTGACTTCAAACTATACTACAAGGCTACAGTACCTAAAAGAGCATGGTACTTGTACCAAAACAGATAATGTAGACCAATGGAACAGAACAGAGGCCTCAGAAATAATACCACACATCTACAACCATCTGATCTTCGACAAACCTGACAAAAACAAGCAATGGGAAAAGGATTCCCTATGTAATAAATGGTACTGGGAAAACTGGCTAGCCATATGCAGAAAACAAACCGGACCCCTTCCTTACACCTTATACAAAAATTAAGTCAAGATGGATTAAAGACTTAAATGTAAAACCATAAAAACCCTAGAAGAAAACCTAGGCTTCAGGACATAGACATGGGCAGAGACTTCATGACTAAAACACCAAAAGCCAAAATTGACAAATGGGATCTAATTAAACTAAAGAGCTTCTGCACAGCAAAAGAAACTATCATCAGAGTGAACATGCAGCCTAAAGAATGAGAGAAAATTTTTGCAATCTATCCATCTGATAAAGGGCTAATATCCAGAATCTAGAAGGAACTTAAACAAATTTACAAGAAAAAAAAAACAACCCCATCAAAAAGTGGGCAAAGGATATGAACAGACACTTCTCAAAAGAAGACCTTTATGCAGCCAACAAAGATGAAAAAAAGCTCATCATCACTGGTCATTAGAGAAATGCAAATCAAAACCACAATGAGATAGTATCTCATGCCAGTTAGAATGGTGATCATTAAAAAGTCAGGAAACAGATGATGGCTTGGATGTGGAGATACAAGAACACTTTTACACTATTCTTGGGAGTGTAAATTAGTTCAACCATTGTGGATGACAGTGTGGCAATTCCTCAAGGATCTAGAATCAGAAATACCATTTGACCCAGCAATCCCATGACTGGGTTATAAATCATTCTATAAAGACACATACACTTGTATGTTTATTGCAGCACTATTTACAATAGCAAAGACTTGGAGCCAGCCCACATGCCTATCAATGATAGACTGGATAAAGAAAATGTGGCACATAAACACTATGGAATACCATGCAGCCATAAAAAAGAATGTTCTTTGCTTGGATATGGATGAAGCTGGAAACCATCATTCTCAGCAAACTAACACAGGAACAGAAAACCAAACACTGCATGTTCTCACTCATAAGCGGGAGGTGAACAATGAGAACACATGAACACATGGAAGGGGAACATCACACACTGATGGCTGTCGGGATTGGGGGCAAGGGGAGGGAGAACATTAGGACAAATACCTAACACATGTGGAGCTTAAAACCTAGATGACAGGTTGATAGGTGCAGCAAACCACCTTGACACATGTATACCTATGTAACAAAACCACACGTTCTGCACATGCATCCCAGAACTTAAAGTTAAAAAAAAAAGTTTAACCAAAAAAAAGAAAGACTTATTTATATACACCATTAGAGATTACAGAACATGGAAGATATTTGTAGCTTAAATTTTTGCTCAAAACTGATGTTTCTTCATGACTAGACTCAGATTAAGTTCACCCTTTTTTGTGTTAATGTTAATAATAGCACAGTAGTGTCATATCCTTCTTTGTTAATCAGCACCTGATACAAATTTCTTTTAATGTAGTTGATCTTCATTTATTTACTTGGTAAATATGCTCTTTGACATATTTTTTTCACTCTAGAGTTACTTATTTTACTCTTTATTTTTAATAGGTACCTTGGGGAGTTTTATCAAGTGATGTGCAAAAACAAGATTAAACCACATTTAATCTGAGAGCTCTTCTTCTTACCTTCTCTTTGCATATCGCTTCCTATGGAAAGTGAAGGCTCTCGTCTTTCTTTACTGGTCAAATAAACTAAAAACCTAGGCTGTGCCACTTACTGAATTTTTGACAAAATATTCTCCTTGGGCCAGAAGCAGTGATACCACTGGCAAACTATCAATTCAAAAACTCAAGCTTTACCCTAGATCTTCAGAGTCAAAATCTACATTTTAACAAGATCTCCTGTTAATTGATTTGAGAATAAGATGTGAGAAGTATGCTTTTAACTCACCATGAAGTTTCCATATGGGAAGTATAGACAACTCATCTTATATTATGTAAATATAGCATTAAGAAATGTACATACCTGTGTTAATGTCCTTTATTTAAACTGTATCATCAAGAAAAGTATTGCACATACACTGGTTTCATGATCTTATGCCACCTTTTCTCAGAGTTAAAAATACATTAGAGAATATCTCTGTGCTGGAAAGTATCCTATTGGATAACTTCAGTAACTCATGTAAGTCAGAACCAGCTCTCTTTACTCTCATTTTACCTGACGTCAAATCAGGAGTTCTTTCTATGGTCACTTGGTAAATATGTTTTGTTTTCCAGGGAGTGTTGACATTCAGGGATGTGGCTGTAGAATTCTCCCCAGAAGAGTGGGAATGCCTGGACTCTGCTCAGCAGCGTTTGTATAGGGATGTGATGTTGGAGAACTACAGAAATCTGGTCTCCTTGGGTGAGAATAACTTCAATATACAACTCATATTCTACATTAAATATTTTATTCTGGTTTTTTTTTTGGAAGTTCTGCTTTGCATAAGTGAGTTCCAGAATCCTGCTTCAAAAAGAAAAAATTGGGTATCTGTTCAGGTAGAAAATATAATCTTTAAGATGTTTCATCTTAACATTAATCTTTCCCTTTTTTGAGCTCATCTGTGTAGAGTCTAAATTAGTGGTAATATCAGAAATTTAATGCATAAAATATTGTTACCCACACCTAAAAATGCAATTTTCACAACTGACTTTTGATTCAGTATCACTGGGTAATAGAGCTAAGAACCCACAAATTTAAAATACTTTCTAAATATTCTAAAGTTTATGTTAGTAAACAGTAGATTGGAATTAATTTTCTAGAGTCTTCTATAATGTTCTTTCTTCTCTACTGAGCATAGTACTAGATTAGTAATCGGATTATCCTAGCAAGAGTCATGTTATTTTTTTCTAATAAAACAGGTCTTGCTATCTTTAAGCCAGACTTGATGACCTGTCTGGAGCAAAGAAAAGAGCCCTGGAATGTGAAGAGACAGGAGGCAGTAGCCAAACACCCAGGTAGGTGGGAGTGAATGAAGCAAATGACACAAAAGACGGATCCCAATGTCAAGGAGGAAGCCAGACCTTTAAACGTGCTTCCAGAAGCTCTGCTCCAGTGGAAATCATTTCTGGGAAGCCTTCATTTCTTTCTCTTGCTTTAACATAGGGACATTTTTTGTCCCATTCTTGTGAATTTTCCAAGCACTGTACTTCACCTTCAGTAATGTATTTTGTTGTTGTTCTTGCTGGTTTTTTTTCTTTAAGTTTACAGTGATAATGAAAGTTGTTTTCATGGCTTAAAAGAAAATGTGTGATTTGACTGCTTTTCCATTGCTTGGGAGAAACAGCAATATCTGTATTTTTGAGAAACTCTATATTAAACCATTTTTTAAGTTCTCTTTTCGGATAATGTCTAAATATATAAGTTTTGGTGATGTTGCAGTTTGGATCAGAAATCCCAGGAACACCACAAAAAGATGTGTGCTTCCTGCTTTATAATTTTCTATTCTATGGAGGCTTCAAATGTGATTTTATGGGAATTTATACTCAGTAATTATATCAAAACACTAAGCATCTCCCTAAATGAAACAAACTCTAAAATTGTGTTACTTCAAATGTTATTCTTTTCATATAAACAAATGTTCGTAAATGTGGCCAAATTCCTCAACTGTAATATAGTTCAGTGTATCTACTTCATACATTTATTAAATATACTATGTCATTGGAGAGCTTGAAACATTGCTGAGTACATATTAAACTCTCAATTTTAACTTTATTTTAAATGACATCATTTTGTGATTTTATTTAGTATAAAGCTTACTGTGACTGTCATTCATATGTGTGTATATATATAAACACGTGTATATATGTATGTGTATGACACACATATATAATCTCAGTAACAAATGTTTTTCACAAATTGAATACCTATATAGTGTATACAGTGTATTGATTTTATATCTGTATACATAATGAAATGATTAATGCAATCAAATTAGTGAACAAACACATTTATGACCTTACTTACTTACCTTTTTTGTAGTGAGAACAATTAAGATCTCAGCAAATTTTCAGCATGCCTAACAGTATTACTTTCTATAGTCATAAAGCTGTACCTTAGGCTACCATAACTTATTTGTCTTTTAACTGAACATTTGTACCATTTGAACAACATATCCCACTTTCCCCACCTCCACGGCCTAGCACTCATCTCTGTACTCTCTTCTTCTAGGAGTCCAACCTTATTATATTCTCCATAGAAGTGAGATTATACTTTCTGTTTCTTTCATGTTTCACTTAGCATAATGTCATCTAGGTCCATCCATGTTGTAGAAACGGCAGGGTTTTATTACTTTTTATGGCTGAATAATATTCTGTTTTGTATATATACCATGTTTTCTTTGTGCAGTCAGTTTCCACAAACACTTTAGATTGCTTTTGTATCTTGACAATTGTGAAAAATGTTCAATGAACATGGAGGTGCAGGTATTTCTTTGAGATAGTAAATTTATTGTAAATGCAGATGTGAGATAGCTAAATTGTACAGTAGTACTATTAAAAAAATTTTTAAAGAACCTTCATACTGGTTTTCATAATGTCTCAAAAAATTACACATCACCAAGAACGTAAAGCATTTCTTTTCTTTAATATATTCTTGTCAACACTTGCTATAAATCTTCTTTTTGATATTAGCAATCCTAACAGGTATAAGTAATATCTCACCATGAATTTAATTTGCATCTGCCAGATTGGTGACATTGATCACCTTTCTATATACCCGTTGCCCAATTAAATGTTTTCATTAATAAACATTTATTTAGTCCTTGGCTTATCTTTTAAATCTTGTTATTATTACTATTAGTATAGTTGTTACCTTTTATTTGTATGAGTTTCTTATATATTTTTGATTCTAACCACTTACCAGGTATGGTTTTCTTATTCTGTTTTTTCTTGGTTATGCAGAAGTGTTTTAGTTTGATGCAGTTTAATTTGTCTATATTTGCTTTTATTGCTGTACTTTTGCTGTCGTATCCCAAAATTTATTTCGAAGAGCAATATTAAGGTCTTTTAATATGTTTTCTTTTAAGATTATTAAGAATTTTGTTAAACGGATGCTTGAAGGCAGCATACTCGTTAAGAGTCATCACCACTCCCTAATCTCAAGTACCCAGGGACACAAACACTGCGGAAGGCCACAGGGTCCTCTGCCTAGGAAAACCAGAGGCCCTTGTTCACTTGTTTATCTGCTGACCTTCCCTCCACTATTGTCCTATGACCCTGCCAAATCCCCCTCTGCGAGAAATACCCAAGAATGATCAATAAATACTAAAAAAAAAAAACGAGATTTTTGTCATACATTAGAGTCCTTATTTTATATTTAGTTAATTTTAAATACAGTGTAAGAAAAGTGGTCTAATATTATTCTTTTACTTGTGGGTATTCCCTTTTCCCAGCCCCAAGCATGGAAGAGACTGTACTTTCTGCATTGTGTATTCTTAGTGCCTCAGTGTCAAAGATGAGTTGATCTCGCATGAATGGATTTGTTTCTGGGCTCTCCATTCTGCTCCACTGATATCGGTGTGCATTTTTATCCACAGAGCATCCTGTTTTTATTACAATAGCCTTCAAACGTAGTTTAAAATTAGAAAGTATAATGCCCCAGCTTTGTTTTTAATTCTCAAAACTGCTTTGGCTATTCAAAGTTTCTTGTAATTTCATATAAATTTTAAGATTGCATTTTCTATTACTTTGAAAAATTTTACTAAAATTTTAATAGGGGATTTATTGAATCTAAATTTTCCAATTTTATAGTCTGATTTCAGCAGACAAAAATCTTCTCTTGGGTCAATTAGCTGGTAGAATCCTTTTTGGGTATGCAGTGGAGAGGGGTTATACGTGGGTCACATGGCTGCTTCTTGGTCTGTTATGGAGTTTGCGTTTTGTGGGTTTGTTACCAGGAGCCTGGGTAGTTGTTAATCCTGTCTTATTTCTTGGCAGATTGAATTGCCTTTAGGACTTTGATCTGTAGGGCTAGCTCTAGGGCAGTGTTGTGCATTAGGGTTGGTATATGGTGGGCCTGATGTGTGTTTCTTACTGAGTATGTGGCAGGATTTCCCCAGTTCACTCTCTGGGTACTTAGGTTGGTAGAACTGGCCACAAACTGTGACTATCAGTGCTGAAACTGAGTCTCTGAACTGTTTCAGAGAGCACAGTAAAGGCCAAGGTCTGCAGACCTACCACTGTAACCACAAATAGGCATCTTACTCTGGGTCCCTGGATGTGCAGAACCACTCCTAGACTATGGCTGGGAGGAGCTGGAGATGGTTATGGAGTCACTGCAAAATTTTAAGTGGGGTCAAAATAGGTGAACCATTTCTTGGTCTGTAGCCAAGACCAAGGGTTTTCAAGTTTGCCACCTGAATGAGGGCCTGCCTTTTCAAAATGACTCCAATCAATCTTTAGCCCTAGCAGGTTTTAAAACCCTCTCCCTGAAAAACAAAATTATTATAATGGTCTCTTCTTTGAGAAGGGGTCTCACCATATCACCTAGGCTGGTCTCAAACTCCTGGCCTAAAATGATGCTGCTTCTGCCTCAACCTACAAAGTTGCTAGGATTACAGGTGTGAACCACGATGTCTGTCAACATAATGGACTCCATGTAGTATTTCTTATAAGACTGTTCTAGGGGTAATGAACACCCTTACCTTTTGTTCATATTAGAAAGTCTTTATTTTTTTCTTATTTTTAAAGTAAATTTCTCCCAGATTAAGTATCCTTGGTTGGTAGCATTTTTTTTTCATCACCTTGAAATTTGGGAAGTTCTTAGTCCCTTTTTTCTTCAAATAACCTCTCTACCTATGACTTTTCCCCTGCATTCTTCTTCAAAGGATCCTTTCATGAATATATTGGTCTCCTTAATGGTATCTAATAAGTTACATATTCCATGTTGATGTTTTTCAATTTTTTTTTCATGACTCCATATTTATAAATAACATGTCTTTAGTTTTCTGATTTTTGTCTTCTGGTCAGTTATTCTGTTGTGATTCTACAAAATTTTTCAACAATTATTTTTCTGTTCCACAATTTCTTCTGGGTTCTTTTTTTGTTTTTGTTCTTATTGAGCATACTTAGTATCATTATTTTGACATCTTTGTCAGATAATGCAAAGATCTTCTTAAGGATTGAGTTTTGGAAATTTATTTCTTCAAGTGGGGTATGTTTTCTTTTTATGTCATGTGATCCTTTTATGAAATTTGGAAACTTAAAAACAGCCTTCTAATCTAATATTTAAGGATTTGCTTAAAGACTGGCTACAGCAGTGAGCCAGGCTATAGATTTTCAGTGCTTCACAAACATGTTCTCAGTTGTGTCTTTGGACTTTTGTGTGTAATTTCTAAGTTAAAGAGATTTTTTTCTCATTTTCTTTTCAGATTCTATAATTTTTTGCTTCCCTAGTTGACTGTGGCATTGCAGTTCCTCTACTATTGCAACATTCACCTTTCATCTAGTACATACAAACTATAATTCTCATTACTCCATCATTTTCATGTTGAGGGAGACAGACTCTATTAATTAGACCATCTCGTATAATTTCAGAACTTTAAACAGACCCACTCTTCTAGATCTCTCCTGAGGGTAATACTGGGAGTTGATTGTGCTTTACTTAGCCCAGTTGCAGTTGAGTGAAAGAAAGGTTGTGTTGGAAAGTCTTTTAAGCTAGACCTGGTTACCTTCTGCAGTATAGAAAATATTACCAGAATGTGAGAAGAGTGGAGAGAATAGCCATACACTCAGATAGGTATGAATGATTTAGCAGATAACATATGTGAAATGTCCAAAGGTGAAGGAGAAAACAAGAGCTTAAAATGTGGATTGGGAAGCTGTTCTCCAATGGAATTGATTCTTGAAAAGCCTCTTACTGTCATGGAAGAAAATTTTTTGGTGTATGCTTATTAGGCTTTTGAATTCTCTGTCTTCAGTTCATTTAATAATCTGCTGGTGCATTCACAGTGAGAGACAAACTCCTCTTTTTATGTTGTGAGGTTCTAAATAATCTAACTGCTCTTCTGTTTCTTTGAGGGATCTGGAAAATTTGTGCAGATTTTTGGAGACCACTATGTTAAGCTGTTTTTAAAAATCTGTTTGTGCCTTATGTTAGACATCTGTGAGAGGACTAGGGAGACATTCAGATTTGGTCAAGAGATTTGAGAGAGGCTAGGGACAGATGTCATGTGTCTTCTGCTTTATAATTTCCAGTCAATTCTTTATACAGAAAATGAAAGTGAGAACTTTTATCAGAGCACAAAGCTTCTGATTACAAGAAAATCTAAACATCTATTTCACTTCGAAAGTATCTTTTTTTAAGCAGGAACTAAGCTTAGAAATTTAAATGCTGTATGGCAAATACCTCTACTGTGGAATAGTTGATTTTATCTACCCAGCTCACAGAATTCCTAAAAACAGTAATACCATAGGTTACTTAGAACACTGTCCAGCATATAATTTCCAAATCATTATCTATTTCTTAATAACTATTATTTTTAAATTTTATCTTCTTTACTATGAATTTTACTAGGGCTCTGTCCTATGTATATTTTTTTCTTTCTGGTTTGCTGTATACCAACTATGCCTGTAATTTCACAAGTTCTGAGCTAATGTGCTCAAATGTATGTTATATAAAAAGTGAATTAGATAATAGGCACACCACATGTATTAAAATCTTTTTTATATGTTTATGTTTACTACATACAAAATTATCAGCATTTTCATCAACTTTTCTCAAACTTTGTCTACGTAATTGTATAAATTTATTGCTAATTCATTTTATTTTATATCGTATTGTACTATATTTATATTTATATTATTTAGTAATGTAATGCTTTGCTTTGCTTCCAAAGGTTGCCTTATTGCCTTTACATTTTGTGCTAAAATAGCAGCTATATATTAATGACATAATAGATATGTCCAGTATTATTTAAGGGCCTATTTCTTCATATTTTTAATCAAAGTTTTTTATCAATGATTATAATGCATTTTCTTTAAAATGTTATTGCTATCACTGTATTCTAGTTATTCAAACTTTGTTGTCTTCAATAGCAATGACACAAAATCAATCTAGTTGCCCATCAGTGGTGGATTGGATAAATTTGTGGTACCTATACACTATGAAATACTACACAGCCAAAAAAAATTACGTTCTTTGTAATAACATTGATGCAGCTGAAAGCCATTATCTGAAGTAAATTAAAACAAAAACAGAAAACCAAATACTGCATGTTCTTACTTATAAGTGAGAGCTAAATATTGGTATACATTGGATATAAAGATGGAAACAATAGATGCTGGAGACCACTAGCGGAGGAAGGGAGGAAAGAGACAAGGCCTGAAAAGCTACCTATTGGGTGCTGTGCTATCTACCTGAGTAGTAGTAGCAATATCCCACAACTTAGCAATACATAATATACCAGTATGAATCAGTCATATGTATATTGCCAGTATAATTATTTCTGTGTTTGTTTGCCTGTGTAAAATGTTGCCCCTATTTTATGACTTGTATATTTGCTTTTTGTTGTTGTTGTTATTAGTCAATGATTGTTTTATTGTTAATTGTAAAAAATACAAGGGCCAGGCATGGTGGCTCACACCTGTAATCCCTGTACTTTGGTAGGTCAAGGTGGGCAGATCACCCGAGGTCAGAAGTTCAAGACCAGCCTGGCCAACATGGTGAAACCCCATCTCTAGTAAAAATACAAAATTAGCCAGGTGTGGTGGTGCGTGCCTGTAATCCCAGCTACTCTGGAGGCCGAGGCAGGAGAATCGCCTGAACCCGGGAGGCAGAGGTTGCAGTTAGCCGAGATTGTGCCACTGTACTCCAGCCTAGGCATCAAAAGTAAAACTTAATCTTTTAAAACAAACAAACAAACAAAAAATATATATATATATATAAAATATAGCAACATTTATAATCTTTAATGTTTTCAATTATATAGTTCAGCTTTGTTAAGTATATTGAGATGGTTAGCAACATATCTTTAGAACATTTTTATTTTTATAAAAGAAATGTGGTATACACATGAATCTACTACTCATTTTTCCCATTGTCTGGCCCTTAAGAAACATCATTCTATTTTCTGTTTTTAAGGATGTAACTATTTTAGATATTCCATGTAAGTAGATTCATAGAGTATTTGTGTGTGTGTGTGTGTCTGGCTTATTAAATTTAGCATGATGTCTTCAAAATTTGTCTTTATAATAGATATTGGAAGATTTCCTGCTTTTTAAAAGCTAATTAATATTCCATTTTTTTGTATCTTAAATTATATTTATCCATTTGGTAAGGAAAGTTTAAATTGATTTTACCTCTTGGCTTTCATGAATAATGCTTCAGTATGGTGTGCAAATAACTTACTTGACCATATGTTCCAGAGTTTATATCTGTGCTGCATTTTGTTTCATTACTTTGGTGTTCTACCTTTATACCAATACCAAAGTGCTTTGATTACTGTAGGTTTGTTTTGTGTTTGAAAATTATTAAATTGAAAAGGGGTGTGTTGAATGTGTGGGTCACTTTAAGCTGCATGGACATCTTCACATTATGTCTTCCAGCCCTTGAAAAAGAGCATGCTCAAAAGTGTGTTGTTGGCTGGGTGTGGTGGCTCACGCCTGTAATCCCAGCACTTTGGGAGGCCGGTGGGAAGAGTACAAGATTGAGACCATCGTGGCCAACATGGTGAAACCCTGTTGCTAAAATACAAAAAATCAGCTGGGCATGGGGGTGCATGTCTGTAGTCCCAGCTACTTGGGAGGCTGGGGCAGGGGAATCACTTGAACCTGGGAGGTGGAGGTTGCAGTGAGCCGAGATCATGCCACTGCACCTCCAGCCTGGTGGCAGAGTGAGACTCCATCTCAAAAAAAAAAAAGAAAAAAAAAACCACAAAAGAGTGTGTGGTTAATTTTTATATATTTTTAAATGTTTCAGCTTTTCTTCTGTTACTGACTTCTAGTTTCATTCCACTTGGGCCATAAAGAATTGTAAAATTTCAATTAAAAAAAATTGTTAAGATTTCTTTCGTGGTGTCACAGGTGGTCTATCTAGGAAAATGTTTCATGAGTTATTGAAAAGAATGTGTATTTTGCTGTCTGTATACATTTGTTAGGTATAATTATTTTATAGTGCATTGAAGTTTTTTGTTCCCTTATTGATATTCTGTCTTCATTATTTATTACTGAAAGTGGGATATTGATGTATCCTTCCATTATTATATTGCTGTCTAATTTTGCTTAAATTCTGTCAATGTTTGCTCTATGTGTCTGTGAAAACTGTCAGATATATTTACAGATTCTCAGCGAATGAACCCTCTTGCTATAATTGAATGTCCTACTTTCTCTCTTGTGAGTTTTGACTTAAATTATATGAAATATGAGAGTTTTTGATGTAATAAATTGTTACCTCTTCTCATTTGGTTGACACTTGCATGGAATGTATTTCTCATCCTGCCATTTTCAGTCTATTTTTTTTTATTGGCTCTGAAGTGAGTCTCTTGAAGACATGACATATTTAGGTCTTGATATAGATCATAATATGGTTAGATTTTTTTTTTCATTTTGAAGGATACTTTTGCTGGATATAGTATTCTTGCTTAGACTTTTTTGTTGTAATCTTAGGTTCTAATTTGTATAATAAAAAGCCACATGTCAAGATCTTTATTAAGTGGTTTTTGTCTGGGGGAATATGATACCAATTTTTTAGGCTGGAGATTCTTGGAGTCTCTCAAGCTGGTTCTATGGATATTTTCTCTGGGAATGTGTTTTTTAGTTTAAAAAGATTTCTTTTTTTTTTCCAGTCAGAGTTTCACTCTTGTTGCCCAGGCTGGAGTGCAATGGCGTGATTTTGGCTAACTGCAACCTACACCTCCCGAGTTAAAGTGATTCTCCTGCCTCAGCCTCCTGAGTAGCTGGGATTACAGGCACCTGCCACCACACCCGGCTAGTTTTTGTATTTTTAGTAGAGATGGGTTTCACCATGTTGACCTGGCTGGTCTTGAATTTCTGACCTCAGGTGATCTGCCCACCTCAGCCTCCCAAAGTGCTGGGATTACAGGCATGAGCCACTACTCCTTGCCATCCCTCATGTTTCTTATTGAGACCCTGTAATCACTTGCTATACCCATTCTCTGTCTGTGATGCTGAAGTCTTTCTTCTCTTGTAACAGTCATTTACCTTTGGTCTCCGCTGTCCGAAACTGTCAAACTATACCACCTTTCCTTTCAACACTGTCATGGAATACAGAAATTAGTCTTTGGTAAGGTCTTAAAAAGTCAGAAGCATGGACATATGTACCACTATTTTATTTATTTTTGGAGGGGGAAGACAGGAGTCTATATTTAAGTCATCATGGGATGAAGAATGGCTGTGGTGGGCAAATATGAAATACTTTTATTACACTTCTATATGGTTCTTGGCATTTTGCTCACTTGGGGTGCTGCAAATGCTTAACTGGTTCTTAACACTTCTCACAAAGGCATTTTGGTCAGTATATTTCTGTTAAGTTTATATGTCTATAAAGGAATTAGAGCCTGTGGTATTTTATTGTGTCACCTTGTTAATGTGCTTTGTATAATTATATATTTGTAAAGTATATTCACCTGAGTGTAATGAGGGAGACATTTTGTTCTTTTTTTTTTTCACCTTGCTGTTTTCATTTTACTGCGGAGGTATTGCCAGAGCATGACATAAAAGATTCATTTCAAAAGGTGATTCTTAGAAAATATGGAAGCAGTGACCTTAATACTTTACATTTAAAGAAAGACTACCAAAGTGTGGGTAATTGCAAGGGGCAGAAAAGCAGATACAATGGCCTTCATCAATGTTTGTCAACTACCCGTAGCAAAACCAGTCAATGTAATAAATGTGGTAAAGCTTTTGGGTTGTGCTCAATCTTCACTGAACATAAGGAAATTTTTAGCAAAGAGAAATGCTACAAATGTGAGGAATGTGGCAAAGACTGTAGGTTGTTCTCAGATTTTACTCTACAGAAGAGAATCCATACTGCAGAGAGATGCTACAAATGTGAAGATTGTGCCAAAGTTTTTAAAAAGTTCTCAAACCTTACTGAACATAATAGAGTTCATCCTGGAGAGAAACCCTACAAATGTGAAGAATGTGGCAAAACCTTTACCTGTTCCTCAACCCTTATTAAACACAAGAGAAATCATTCTGGAGACAGACCCGGCAAATGTGAAGAATGTAACAAAGCGTACAGGTGGTTCTCACACCTTGCTAAACATAAGAGAATTCATACTGGAGAGAAATCCTACAAATGTAATGAATGTGGAAAAGCTTTTACATGGATCTCGGTCCTTAGTCATCATAAGAAAATTCATACTAGAGAGAAACCCTACATCTGTGAAGGATGTGGCAAAGCCTTTACCCGCTCCTCAACCCTGATTAGCCACAAGAGAATTCATATGGAAGAGAGACCCTACAAATGTGAAGAATGTAACAAAGCCTACAAGTGGTTCTCAAACCTTGCTTGACATAAGATAATGCATACTGGACAGAAACCCTACAAATGTAATGAATGTGGAAAAGCTTTTACGTGGATTTTTTCCCTTAGTCAACATAAGAGAATTCATACTGGAGAGAAACCCTACAAATGTAATGAATGTGGAAAGGCTTTTACGTGTATCTTGGCCCTTAGTCAACATAAAATAATTCATGTTGGAGAGAAACCCTACATCTGTGAAGAATGTGGCAAAGCCTTTACCCGCTCCTCAACCCTTACTAACCACAAGAGAATTCATATGGAAGAGAGGCCTTACAAATGTGAAGAATGCAGCAAAACATTTAAGTGCTTCTCAGACCTCACTAATTATAAGAGAATTCACACTGGAGAGAAACCCTACAAATGAGAAGAATGTGGAAAAGCATCGAGCTCGTTCTCACACTTCATTAGACATAAGAGGATTCATACTAGAGAGAAGCTCCACAAGTGTTAAAAATGTGGAGAAGCCTTTAACAAGTTGTCATATTGTGTTCAACATCAGAGACAATACTGAACAAATAAAGTATAAATTTAATGACTGTTGAAGAACATTCAACATCTTGGAGGGTCTCTAAGAACTTGTTTTATAATCTGGGTGCTTTTGTGTTGGGTGCATATATAGCCTTTTACTATTTTGTAATGCCCTTGTCTTTTTTTGTTTTTTTTTTAATCTGTGTTGATTTAAAGTCTCTTTTTCCAGAAACTAGGATTGCAATCCCTGCTCTTCTTCTGTTTTCTATTTGCTTGGTAGATTTTTCTTTTTCCCTGTATTTTGAGCTTATTTGAGAAGGGTGTCTCGATTACAGCATACCGTTAGATCTTGATTCTTTATTCAGCTTGCTACTCTATTTTTAATCGGAGCATTTAGCCCATTTGCATTTAGGGTTAATATTCATATGTGTGGATTTGATTCTGTCAGTATGATCTTAGCTGGCTGTTTTGCACATTTTTTTATGTGGTGGCTTTATCGTGTCAGCAGTTTGTGTACTTCAGTATGTTTTTGTAGTGACTGGTAATCGTCTTTTTCTTGTTTAGTGCCTTCTTCAAGAGCTCTTGTAAGGCAGGTCTTGTGGTAACAGATTTCCTCAGCATTTGGTTTTCTGAATAGGATCATATTTATTTTTTGCTTCCGAAGGTTACTTTGGCCGGATATGAACTTCTGAGTTAGAATTATTTTTTAAGAATGTTGAATATTGGCCCTTAATCTCTTCTGACTTGTAGGATTTCGGTTGAAAGTTTTGTTGTTTGTCTGATGGGCTTCTTTTTAGAAGTGACCTGGCCTTTCTCTCTAGCTGCCTTTAACATATTTTTTCTTTTATTTTGACCTTGAAGAACCTCATGATTATGTATCTTGGGGATGACCACCTTATGGGGTATCTCACTGGGGTTCTCCACATTTTCTGCCTTTGAAATGTTGGCCTCTGTATCTAGGTTAGGGAAGTTCTCATGGATGTTATCCTGAAATATGTGTTTCAAGTTGTTTTCTTACTCCTATTGCTTTCAGGCACTCTCTTTAATCATAGATTTGGTTTCTTCACAGGTTTCTTTACATAATCCCATATTTCTCAGAGGTTTTGTTAATTCTGCTTTATTCTTTCTTCAGTATTCTTGTCTGTCTTATTTCAGAAAGTCAGTCTTGAGGCTCTGAGATTCTTCCCCCTGCCTGGTGTATTCTTCTATTAATACTTGTGGTTACATTATAAAGGTTTTGTATTGTGTTTTTCAGCTCTATTAATTTGGCCATATTTTTCTCTAGACTGGTTGTTTTTTTTCTGTCAGTTCCTGCAATTTTGTCCTTCCTTGCATTTGTCCTTCCTTGCAACTTACTTTTGTAACTCAATGAACTTTGTCTCTATCCATATTCTGAATTTTGCTTCTGTCATTAAGCTTAGGCCATACTGGAAATGTAATTTGGTCATTTGGATGAAATAAGTCACTCTGGCTTTTTGTGTTTTCAACATTTTTGCACTGATTTTCTCTCATCTCTGTGGGCATATCTTTGAAGTTGCTGAACCTTGAATGGGGTTTTGGATTTTTGGATCCTATTTGATGGTCTTGAGTATTTGATTGTGGTAAAAGGTGGATTCAGCCAACAAGCTTTGTTCCTGGGAGATTTTTTTTTTTTTTTTTTTTTTTTTTGGTGACGGAGAGGAGGTAATGCTCAGCTCACAACTCAGAGTCTGTATACTCTAACTCTGGGGGACTTGTATTGAGCCCCAACTGTGTTCTGTGGCTCCTTGTGATTTGGAGTCCACCACTCTATGGGACTAACGTGCCACAGCTGTAGCAGAGTGCTAGTGGATATGGGGTTTCTGCCTGTCTTTGGGTATTCACCTCAGTGGCAGGAGCAAAGCCGCTGGTGGGGGAGTAGGGGCTACCTGCTGGAGACTGTGTGCTGTTGCACTAAAGGTATTGTTGGCTTGGGGCAGGATACTGGCCAGTGAAGGTTCTGATGCCTTCTCTGTGTCCCCCAAGAAGGAGTGATTGTTCAGAGTGTGGGAGGATACCCTGTTCTCCCCACAGTGTTACCACAAAGGCCAGGGTGGGGCTTTCTGGCTGTCTACCCACCAAAGCTTCATCTACAATGGCAATTGCTTGGGGGTGGCAGGGTCATACTGCATTTCCATTTGATGGTGGAGCAAGCAAAGCCAAACTCACCTTTGCAGGCATATGCCAGCAAAGTAATTTGGGGAGTTGTCATGGTCTCAGGGGAAGCTGTAGTATGGAGAAGAAACATGTGGGCTGGTCCATTCATAGACGCTACCTTGCTGGAGCTCTTCATGGGTCAGGCATGGCCCACCAGTGCATATGCTCTGATATGGGCTCCTAATGTACCTGAGACTGCCCTGTAAGCAGCTGTGGTCAGACTGAGTTCCTGGGAGAGGCCAGCAGACCAAGGAGTGCTCAGTTGGACCAGCTTCTTCTGATTTGCAAGACCATCCTGCAGAAATTAGGTCCAACAGTTCCCCTAAGGATAAAGTCTCTTATGGGAGAAAGTTGAGCCTAGAGAAATGGCCATCAATGGCCACACTTTATTACAGATGCTCTTGAGCTCAACCCTCTGGGCACCACATGAGCTGGCTTGCTGCCCCACCTCTTTGCTTGTCTTCTGGGGGCTGCATCTCAGAGACGTTTAGGCCAGTAATCACTCAGTGCAGTCTGCCCAGGATGGAGGATCTGTGCTTTTGGCCAAGTTAGTTGTTCACTGTCTGGTGATAAGCAGTGTGTAGTTTGTGGGACCCATGGAGGATGGACTGGCCTCCTCTCCTTGGGTAAACTGCAGCTTGTTTGAGGTGTGAATAAGGCACTTAGGGTTTTGGATTTTTCATTAGTCTGACAGTAGCAAGGACAGTTCTACTGCAGAAGCAGAGGCAGAAATATTTTCAGTTGTCCCTGGAGGCTCTGGCCAGGGAGTTTCTAAGTTGCTACTGGCTGAATAGCTCTGGAAGAAATTGGCTAGTGGCCCAGGCCTGGAGAACCTGACCAGTGAGAATATATGAGAAAAGGCACTCATGTAACAGTCTGGCCACTTTACTGAAGGGCTGCTGCAGTATGCTGGGTGTCCACTGCAGTTTCTAGTCACCTCAGATTTTCCAGCATCTGACTTTTAACACCGCTGAATGCTGCAAAACAGCAACAATGACAACATGCCCTTTTCTCTAAGGGCTCCATCCCAGGGAGGTACAGGCCTGTTTCCAGCCCCAAAGCACCTGTAGAAGGTACCTGGAAACCCCTGTTGAAAAGTCTTAGCCAGTGAGGAGAACATGATTGGGGACCCACCTAAGAAAGTAGTGTAGGCTGGGTGCAGTACCTAGCACTTTGTGAGGCCAAGGTAGGTGGATTGCCTGAGCTCAGGAGTTCTAGACTAGCCTGGGCAACATGGTGAAATCCTGTCTCTACTAAAATACAAAAGAAGAAAATTAGCTGGGTGTGGTGGCGCGCACCTGTAATCTTATCTACTCGGGAGGCTGAGGCAGGAGAATTGCTTGAACCCAGGAGGCAGAGGATTCAGTGAGCCAAGATTGTGCCACTTCATTCCAGCCTGGCGACAGTGAGACTCTGTCCCAAAAAAAAAGCAGTCTAGCCACATTTTTATAGGATAGCTCTGTTGTGCTGAAGTACCACTTCCACCCCCAGTTTATTTGGACTCTCCAAAGCCAGAAGGCTGGAACAGCTAAGTCACACAAACATCAAAAATGGCAGCTCACTCTTCCCTCTAGGAACTGTATCCCAAAGAGGATTCAAAACTCCACTGATCAAAGAGCACCAGTGGTGGTAGCTGGAGACCCTGGTTGGGAAGTAGTTTGCAGTTAGGAGGAACTAGATTGGGGACCTGCTTTAACAGATAGTCTGGCCATGTCTTTTTAGAGCACCTGTACTGTGCTAGGAGATGCTTTCTGCCCCCAGTCAGCTTGGGCTCTTCAAAGCATGAAGGCTGGAATGGCTAAGTTGCCCAAGAAGCAAAGATGATGGCCCATTCCTCTTTCTGGTAGCTCCATCCCTGGGGGGTGCAGTGCTGCTACCAGTGGTTGGCTGTAATTCTAAGCCAGTAGGTGTTACCCTGTGAGGCACTGTGGAAGTGGGTCCTACAGACCATCACTGCTCAGCCACTTGGGTCCCGCCTCTTTCTCATGGGTATGTACAGAGGTGTAATGCCCTACTTTGCTAGAGTTGCAGCTACTTTTTCTGGGAAGCCTGGAAAGCCAGAGTATCTAAGACTCTTGAATCTCTATGCAGGCCTCAGTGGCTGCTCTGCTGAGACTCCGTGTAGCTCTGTGTGTTAAACTGAAGGCCTTGGTGAAGTGGGTTCATGAGGGTATCTCCTCACCTGAAGGTTGCAAAGGTCTGTGGGAGAATCATGGGTTTCTAGGGTCACACATGCACTCACTGCCTTACTGGGTGGGGAGGTTCCCTTGGCTCCATGTTGTTCCCGGGTGGCCCATTGTCCTGCCTTGCTTTACTCCATTCTCCGTAAGTTAAGTTGTTTCTTTCATTAGTTCCAATGCAAGTACCTGGATGTTTCAGTTGAAGGTGCTGTATCTACACACACCTTGCATTCCTCTCTATGAAGCTACACAGTCTAGCTCCTTCTACTTTTTTATTTTAAAAGAATTTAATATATTTTCAAAAGCAAGTATTCACATAATTTAACTCTTACATTTGATGCTATGTCTTCATTCTAGAATTTATGTGAAAGAACATGGTCAATGGTTGCTGCACCAGAGTTAGGAGAAGTTCTTCCATATTAGATAAAAAGATTTATGTACTTTCCCATGGAAGATTAAGGAAACTGAAATCTAAGATACATGAAGAAATTCTAAGTGGAAAGGCCACTTAGTGGTTGGCTTACAGCAGTATTATAAGTGACAGGGTGATAGAAGTGTGGTAAGTGATTAGGATAATATTCTGCATAGTAAGAGAAACAATTTGAATTTTAGGAGAAAATTGCTTTACCATTTGCAAACTAAGGTAATTAAAATACAGTGAATTTCAAAATGCCTTTTTAATGACAATGTGTGAACTTGTTTTAATAAACCAAAATTGTTGTTATTGAGTTAAGGCTATTTTACACCTAATGTGTGTCTTGCCACTGATGTTAATTATCTCATCTTACCCAAGGTTGTAGGTCAACAGATGGTAACAATATACTATTGTGTGACTGTGGAATAACATCTCTAGTGATTTCTTTGTCAGTGGTCTTTAACTTAACATAATTTGGAGAATATGATTCCTACAAATTAACATTTTTGTTTTTCTTGTAACTACAGGTTATTATGATGGTTGTAATGAAGATTATATGAGTATAATGGAGCTATATGTTTCTGAATTCTGAACAACTAGTTACAAAATATTCTTTTTTCTGTTGAACATGTGACGTATCTGGTCTGTTAAACATAGAGACCTTTAGTTTTGATATATATAGATTTAAATATACAGACGTGTAATGTAAAATAAACTTTAGTTGTAACAGATTTATAGAGAAAGTAATCATTTGTTTATGTTTGTATACCTATTTTGAAAAGAAAAATATTAGAATGAAACAGATAATTTTACAAGTGTTGATATCTTACCAGCAAACCAGAAATTTCAAAGATTTTGAAAGCAAATCTATTTTCTCTGCTTTGTATGAAATTCATTTATCTAAAATGTTATTGCTTCTGGCTTAGAATTATTTTGTGCAAATTCTCTTTTTCTTTTTTTGGTTTGTCTGTTTGCCTGTTGCTCACCATAGACATAATATATACTTTTCTATTCATCTAATTTCATAAAACATTCTTTGTATAATCCCCTCAGAGATTATGACAGTGACTGACAAAATTTAATGGTGTTCACAGAATAATTTTCACATGTGAGTAATTTCACACTGAGTTTATTATTGTGTGTTATTTATTCAGTACATTTTCTGTTTTGTTTAGAGAATGCTATTTAATCCAATTTTCATTTAGTTATTGATCATTTTACTTTATAAAATTGATATACTTTATTAAATATATTGGGTCAATTTATTCAAGTAAACAGTTGAACATTTAATATTGGCATATACATGAAGTTAACCAACAAAAACAATACTAGCTATGTAGTAGAAGCTACGTAATTAGAAATCAATATTCTCTTTGAAATTAGTTTGTGGTCTCAGGTGAAAAACTGAAAATATTTATAGTAGTGACATTAGTTCTGCATATGAAGAGAGCATAATTGTACCTATGGTGCACAATTGGCTCTCCCAATTAAAACAAGACGAAGAGATGGACATTTTAGCAAAACTAAGTGAAAACCTTGTAAAGTTTTTGGATTGTGTTTCTACATTTGAACATCTATTGAGGGAGTTAGAGGGGAAGTCTTTGCTGTCAAATCTGGAATTGCTGACACATGTTAAGAGTATGCTCCACCAGTTTTGAAACTGAAAATGCCCTGAACTCTTTTCATTTAGATTAACAAAATAGGGTTTTAGTCTTCCTTGTCTATGTTCTGGCTTAGACAGAATTATCAAGCCATTTCAAGTAGAATTTATTCTAGATTTTTTTTTTTTTCTTTCTGAAATGGAGTCTCGCTCTGTCGCCCAGGCTGGAGTTCCATGGCACAATCTTGGCTCACTGCAACTTCCACCTCCCAGTTTCAAGCAATTCTTTTGCTTCAGCCTCCCGAGTAGCTGGGACTACAGGCAACCCCCCCACCGTGCTTGACTAATTTTTTGTACTTTTAGTAGGGATGGGTTTTCACTGTGTTAGCCAGGATGGCCTTGATCTCCTAACCTCATGATCTGCCCCGCTCAGATTCCCAAAGTAATGGGAATACAGGCATGAGCCATTGCACCCAGCCTTGGTTCTAGATCTTGACACAGCACATCTTCAACTTACTGTCTCCGAGATGAGAAAACCTGTGTGATATGGAAGAACAAAACCAAACGTGTTATAACCCAAGGAGATTTTATTTCTGCCCTGCTATCCTGGGCTCTCAGAAGTGTAGTTCTGGCAGACATTACTGGAAGGTAGAAGTGGGAAACAAGGCTAAATGAAAATTGGGCATGTTTTAAGACTGTCTTCTTAGGAACTGACAGGATCGGCCTTCAGTTTTGGGTAGATTTTGGGCAATTGAGTGATATATAAAGAGTGGTTTTGTTGCATCAGATCCTAAGATAACCCAGCTTCTGCTAGTAGTAAAACCCAGTAAGATTGGTATTTTTTTTTTGGACTATGAATTGGGCAATTTTTCAAAATAATAGTAATTTTAAAAATCTGTCAATTTTGAATTGCATACCTAGCCAAAATTTTTTAAGATTGAAGATAAGATGTAAAATAATTCATACAAGTAATATAAGCTGTTTTCTTAAATTATTTACTTATTTAAGAAATCTAATTACATTTTAAATAAATTGCTGTCAACTGTTAGTATTTGTGAGGCTTTTTTTTTTTAAGATTTTTGCCTCTAAAACAGGTGACAATTTGAACAAAGAGGAAAACAGAAATTCAATGACTGGCATGAAAATTCATGAAAACAAAAGGTTTGTATGACGACCTAATTAAAATAAAGGATCAACATCTTAATTTTTGTTTTTACACATTATTGGATAAAAGTAGCCCTGAGATAGTAATGTGCAGAAAATACTATTAATCATATTCTTGAGACTCTCTTACTGACTTTGGCACTTTGAGAACCCCCAGCACAGGCCCAGGATTCCCTGGGCATTTCTTTTAAGAGAACATCACATGGAAATGAAGCAGAAGGCCATGTCCACAAAGAGAAATGGATGCTCACCTCCTAGAGACCAGTGGGTGCAGGTTGCAGAAAGAGTAGGCCCTTCTTGGAGGTCCAGGAAGGGGCTATTGGAACCATCCTAGAAAAGGCCTGGAGCTCCACTGAGCCCTTCTGCCTGCAAGGGCTTCAGAGGGCCCTGGGGGAGGCCAGCCAAGGTGCTCTTTTCTATCCCTGGCCCTTGAGTCCTGCCTCACCTGCTAGCTTTTTCCACCAAGAAATCAGGATGGTAACCCCCAATGCAGCCCCACTAGCGGTAGGAGAGTGTCAAGGCCCGCACCCATCTTGGCACATTAAGTGACTTATTGAAGAACTAGTCAATAAGTTAGAGCAGAATGTGCTACTGTGACCGCCTGAGATTACATTCTAGGAGGAAACCCGGGTGGCACCTACCTGAGGCTGTGCATTGGAGGAAGGATGGACAGGTCAACTGGGCTTCAGTGAACATGTGCCCCTAGCCAACCCAGGGAGACGTGGGCTTGCCAAGAGCAGGCAATAAGGGTGTCATACTGCAGGCATGGTGAGCTGTCAGGTGGGCACAGAGGGGTAGGTATGGGGGGGTCCATGAGTAGGAGAACCCTCTCACGGCCCTGAACTCACCCCAGAGATCCCCCAGCCTTTTGAAGCAGAGGCTGTACCTGAAGCTGCAGGGTGGACACTGCGCAGTGGACTGGTAAAAGTGGGGTAAGCATCCAGTCACTGAGGGGCTTTGATTGCCCATTTTTCTGATGAGCAATTTGAGCCCCCAAAGCCACAAGCCAGCAGGGGCAAAAGCACTGGGCTGAGGCATCACCTTTTTTCTTCACTGGCTCCCATAAGCCTCAGACCTCCCTGGCATGCCTTGAGGATGAAGATCTTTCTTCTTTGTGAGTGTAGGCACAAAAGCAACCAGTTGTGTTTGCTAAGCCCACCCACAATCACTTTTGCGGGCCTTCTCAGTCCACTGGCCTGTGAAACCCAACTGGAATTCCAGGGTCCAGAATTCACATTTTGTTTTAGAACCAGAGTTCAGCACCCAGGCCAGAGCAGAAGTGGGCCTGTTAATTCCACGGCACAAGGCCCAAATCGGAAAACTCGCTTGACTATTCAGCTGCACCCAGGCAGTGTGTGTACTGTTCCAAGCAGGTCCCATTCTCTTCCTGGCTCCAATTATTTCACCTGCAACTTGTTATTTCTGCCAGCTTTTTCTCTACCCCCCACATCCTATGGTTTTTGAAATTCCTCTGAAGACCGCATGAGCTAAGCTTTAAGGGTCACAGTGCTCTAGCCTACTCAGGTTGTGCCAGGAGGAGAGATGTCTCAACCTACCTTGACTGTTAAGAGTCATGTATAAATAGTACCAACTCTAGCAGGAAGCCTGTCACATACTCAAGACTCTTTTTCTGGTCTCCATACCAAAAGATACATTAGAATGACAAGGCAAATAAGACAGACCTAGCAGTTCTGCCTTTTAAAGGGCAACCTCAGCCTGGTCACCCTGAATCACAATTTCAGGGTCTGTTTTAGCACGTCCCACCTTGGAAAATAGTGGAACTGAAGCCCCAGAATAGTCAAGGTCCAGTGAAAAAGTGGAGAAGGGGCACCTCAGCAGCCTGTCACCCTGTAACAGAAACAGACCCTATCAACTAAGAAACCATCTCATAAACTTAGACAACTGTACCAACAATGTGCACACACATCAGGCCTTTTAGTAAACTGTCAACCCAACGATTGAAGAAAAAGCAAAAGCTTTTTTGAATCGAGTCTCAGGAAGAACCTCCACTGCCTGAACCAGCCTGTATAATGGATGCAACTGACAGTGTTCACTTGACTTGGGCATACCTGGAGACTGACCCTGTATTAAAAAATGCTTCTGAGTGTTCAGAGTTCCAAGCTAAAAACTCTAGTAGAGGCCAATCTGGAGATTATTTTGTATCTATGAGGAACATCTGAGCCCCTGGTCTGTCCCATTCTGTGGAATGGAATACAGGCCATACGAGATTGAGGCCATTCCTTTTTTGTTAAATGAAGGCTGATAGGTGGAAGGTTGTTCAGAAAAAAATGTGCTAAATAAAAATGCTATACAAACTACACACTTTTTGCAAGTGGGTGTGGTTATCCTGCTAAGCCCACAGACACTGGACATTCTCCCCTCTATGTAAAAGTCCCCAGTAAAACTCCACATCTCATTCACTGGTTCTGAGTTTCTTCTTTGACATCTTGAACATGGTGCCATTTCCATGGGAGTCGAATTTGACACAACTTACCCCATAGTGAGGAAGGATTTCAGACTGCTCAATGTGCTTCAAAGCTCACCAAGGCATCAGCTGTGGAAGGATGCAGTTGTTGTCTTTACCGCTCTCATCCAGTCGTCTTAGGTGCACAATCAGTGGAACACCAAAAAACATGACTAAGAAACACATCGTAGTCAGAAGCAAGATTAATGCCAGAATAAGCAGTGACCACTTGGAAAGAAAAGGGAGCATTTTGCTTTCTCCTCTGGCAGCCCTCAACTTCTGTCATCACGTTCTGGCTTCATTGATGGTTTTTAAGCTCATCCTGCCTCTGGAGGAACCATGGGCCCTGGGTGGTAAACAACTTCACTTAATCTTCGTGCAACAAAGCTTTCTCTTGACAAATATGACCTCTGTGATCATGAGCTTCTAAGCAATCTGAACAATGCACAACCTGAAAACCTATGAAAGGGAGATGAGTAGGTCTGAGGGAAACTATTTTCCACTTTTTCCTTTGGCTATTCTAAAAGTTGTGATGGTAGACAAATGTGCAGAAGAGGACAGCATAGTATAACTCCTCATCATGTGAGTTTACAACCAAGAGGTTTTAATCCCAGCTGTGAGAGCTCCAAATGAAAACCAGAAGTTACTTCACTGCATCTATCAATGATTGATTGTGCACATCATTTTGTCTATCACACTGAGGAGTCTTCACTGAGGATTTTCCCAATGAAAATATAAAGACAGGAAAAGGTAAAATAGCAACTCCATGAAATCATTAGATAAAATGTAGAAATGCTCGTCTTCTTACATCATTAGCATTTTTGCACATATTTGCATGTATATCTACCCATAAAGTTGACATTTTCATAATCAGTTATATGTCAAGTTAAAATAAAAAAATTTTTGACCAGGTGTGGTGGCTCATACCTGTAATCCCAGCACTTTGGGAGACTGAGGCTTGTGGATCACTTGAGGATAGGAGTTTGAAACCAGCCTGGCAAACATGGTGAAACCCCGTTTCTACTAAAAATACAGAAAAAATGGCAGGCACCTGTAATCCCAGCAACTTGGGAGGCTGAGGCAGGAGAATTACTTGAACCCGGGAGGCAGACATTGCAGTGAGCTGAGATCGTGTCACTGCACTCCAGCCTGGGCGACAGAGCAAGACTCCATCTCAAAAAAAAAAATTGTTTTTTCAGAACAAAAAGAGACACGTATGGTCCAGGCATGCCCTGTGGAGTGGAGTGTGTGTGGCCCTGTCCTTGAAAAGAAGGAAGAACAGTCAGTGCCATGCATTATGTGTGGGGGATTCATTAGGACACAAATAAAGAGTCAGTCAGGGCCTCGGCCTAGAAACACTGAGGCTTAAAGGGGGCTTCTGAAAGCAGCAGAAATGGCCCATGGCACTGAATGCTAGGTGGGCCTGTAATAATAAAAGATCTGTGAAGGGATCTTAGCAATCCTGCTTGAAGGCCCTGACTATACCCTGGATTGGAGACTCCTGGGGTAGCGTGGCTGCCAGACAGCCTCAGCAAACAAGTCTTGACCAGTGTGGCTGGGCTAATCTAAAATAGCTCATCTCTTCTGTTTTACAAAGCAAAATATAGAAAAATAAAGTGAGAAAAAATGAAATCAAGAGAAATATAAAAATTTAAAGTAATTGAAAAATAGGACAAATAAACTGAAATAAAATAGAGAAAAATAAAGAGAAATGTAATTAAGATCAGTGAAAATAAAATGAAGATGAAGAAATACAATAAAATTAAGAGAAATAAATGAAATAATTTGCAATAAAATAAAATTTTAAGAATGAGATAAAAAATAAAAAAAATTTGGAGAAAAAATAATATGAAGGGATATGAATGGAAATAAAAGAAACTAAAAGAAATTTTAAAATGTTACAAGCAAGATAAATCTAGAAAATTTGAAATGAAGGAAATGTAATGAAAATTAAAAAAAAAAATTAATAGAAAAAAGAAAGTAAATAAAGAGAAACAAAATAACGATAAAGACAAATATGCAGAGAAATACAGGTTAAAAAGAAAAATAAGACCTGAGGATAATCTACAAAACATTTGACCCAACAATAACATAATACATAATATTTCTAATAGCATATGGAACGTTTTCTAAGATAGGCAAACTTCTAAGACAGAATGCAAGGTTTAGCATATTTAAACAGATGGTAAGCACAACAAATATTATTTCTGACTGCAATAAAACATAACTTGAAGTTAAAAACCAAAAGAAAACTAGCATGTCTGCATATGTATGAAAACTAGACAAATTCTTGAACATACTCTTTTTCAAGATGTAGAACATGCATGTTTCTTTAGATGTTAATGGTATTTGAAATGATCTACAGATGAATGAGATATCTTTAACAAAAATCCAATGGTACGTTTTGCAGAAGTACTAAAATATTCTAAAATGTCTGAGTCAATATCTAGCTGTGTCACCTAGGCTGGAGTGCAGTGTTGTAATCATGGCTCACTGTAACCTTGACCTCTCAAGCTCATTTTATCCTCCCACTTGAGCCTCACAAGTGGTTTGTACTGCAGTTGCATGTTACCTTGCTCAGCAAGTTTTTGTAATTTTTGTAGAGACAGGGTTTCACCATATTGCCCAGGCTGGTCTCAAACTGCTGGGCTCAAGCAATTCACTTGCCTTGGTTTCACAAAGTTCTGGGATCACAGGAGTGAGCCATCAAATATTGCCCTATAATTTCTATATAAACTCAAAAAACCACAAGCAGCCAAACAACCTGGAAGAAAAGAATAAACTCGGGCATCATTCTTTTTTATTTCAAAACATATTGCAAAGTTACAGTAATCAAAACAGTGTGGTGCTGGCATACAGACAGAAAAATACACGTTGAAACAGATAAGAGAAGCCAGAAAGACACCTACATGCATATCCTCAGCTTATTCTAAACGAGGGTTCCAAATCCTCATGTTGCAGAACTTTAGCAAAATTGGGTTCTTGTCACATGACAAGGAAAGATTAGGTCAGGGACACTCTGAAGGATGAAAAGTAAAGTCGATTGGGTAAAAAGAAAAAAAAGAAGTAAAGAAAAAATTTGTTTACAGGCCCCCACCTCCCAGATTGCTGAACACCAGACCATCATACAAGAACTGAAGTGGCCAGATTCCTCCTCCCTGCACAAGGTGTGAACTTCCCATGGCTCCAGTCCCTTCCCCCAGTGTGCAAGTGGACATTATTCAGACATAATCAGTTGGAAAAAGCCAGGCCTCATCTGGGACCAGCAGTCTGATTTTTCAGCCTTCAGGAGGTTTTAGGCTTGAAGGTGGGGTTTCACCCAGGACCCTTGGCTGTTTCCTAACTGTGTTATTTCCCCCTCTAAAGAAATACATCTAACTGAAGTTAGAATAAGGATAAGGATGAGAACAAAAACCACTTTTAAGTGCTTCCTGCTGACAGGGGTCACTGTTTTGGAAAACCAACAGTTAGATCTCCCTAAGAGGCCTATCTAAGTGTCCGCAGTGAAAGGGGCCATTGTTCAAAGTTCTGGCTGCATGACTGTTTAAAGTTTGGTAGCCTGAAGGTGAGAAGAATCAAACTGGGTTATTAAAAAACATGTATTAAAACGAAACAAGGGGAAGGTGTCAAGGACAGCTAAAAAATTCCTATGTCCTTTATCAGTTTGCATAGGGAGAGGGAAGCCAAAAGCCCAACTGGAAAAGTATATTTTTGACCTTTTGCCAGCATGTCAAGCTTCCAGGTGCTTTTGCCCTGAGTTCAATCTTAAGCCAACCAGTCTAAGGCTTGGGAAATTAACTCTTCCAAGTTTGGAGGATGCATCTGAGGGGATGTATGTAGACATCAATCATGTATGAAGACATGATTACCTATCTGTAAAGGGAGGACAGAGGAGAAAAAAGGAAAAAAGCATTTTTTCAAAGGAGTCCCAAGAGTCCAGGATGCATTCAAAAGTGGTATAGACTAAAGATTAATGGCTACTCATTTATGAAGAAAGGAGCAGGTGTCCCTGATTTCTTTCTCTTCATAGCAAATACCCAGGGTATGTTGAGGGATAGAAGAAAGAATGTTCTCTTTCCCACTTCCATTCTTGTATCCCCAAGTCCCAGTGATTGTGACAGGGTGCCACCCATGGGTGTCAAAGCAGCTTTCACCCATGTTAACAGGGAGGCCTGGGGGGTGGAAATATCTGCTGTTACCCATATATGCCCTATCTCCCCTGCTGCCAGTAGTTCTGGAGTTCACTAGACCTCATTTATGCCACAGATCCTAGCATGATCTTTATCCATGAAATAGGAGGCTTGGCTTAATCAGCTGGAATTAGTCATGCTCACCTTCACTGTGCCTTTTAGCCTCCATTATCATCTGCCTCTGAGTTTCTCAGATCCAGTATTCTTTCCTAGGGCTTCAACCTGAAGCTTGGAATTGAGGTTGGGATAAAAATGTGTGTCAGAGTATTGCATGGACTACTTATCATGAGCTGAATGCTAAGATGAAGCTGTTGAATTGAGTCCTCTTTCCACGAGGGAGAGAGAAGAAACGTCTTGTGACACACCCAGATAACTAGTGGCTATATTTATGCTTGCTAAGATTTGGGTGGGCACCTGATTCATTCCCACCATTCTACAGGATTTGCAGGATAATTGCCCAGAATTGGAATATTAATCCAGATTTTTACATTACCTGTCCTTTTTTGTTTCTTCTGAGCTGCAGTTGAAGATAACTAGTTGGTTCACAGGAATAAGCAGGGTTGGTCTAAAATGTAGGCAAAAATTCAAAACTAGTAAGTTAAGAATTTAATGACAAATGTATAATTTTGAAACATAATCTTTTCTGTCAAGTTCTCTTTTTTGTTAAAAATAAATCATGATAGTACTGGGTTGTTTGTAAAATAAACTTTAGTCTTATACTTGGCCTGATTATTTCCATAAAGTGCAGCAAGAATATTTCTACATAGGTCTTTTACATTGGCTTTGATGGAACTCTGTTCCACAAGAAATTTCAAATAGGACTTTCTAAAGTCAAGCCCAGCCAGGGGTTTGTGCCATCAAATATTTGTAGTGTGATCCTCTCCTCTTATGATCCCAAGATAACCTTGGAGCTCCTGGGCCTGTCAGAAAGTGTCATTCTTTACTTACCACAGATCAGGAACCCTGCACAAGGACTGCATAGATAAGGTATGAGGCCAGTTTTTCCCAAGGGGTGCTTACTGGCTCTGCAAGTTGAGATTGACTCCTTAAAGGGAAGCATACCCTTTCAGTCAAGGCCTTGGTAAAACAACCAGTTTCTCCAATTGTGTCCTGTTGCAAAAGAAAATGGATTATTATTACACTGATGCAAACAGCTATATTGCCATAAGTTAAGAATACTCACAACTATTTCTCAAACTCTGGAGAAGCAATGCAGAGAGAGACAAACAAGCTCCAAATCTTGTTCATAGGAGTACAGCTTAGTCAAATATTAAAGGCTGTAAATAGCTCATAATAAGTTTCCTTGACTCTGGTAAACAATACAAGGATCAGTAATGTTATAAGCGAAAGTCAGATTACCTCAGTTTTCTACTAGTCCAGTCCATTCAGTTAACTCTTTTATGTTTGATATTCATGAACATTTTAGCTTTTCGTGAGTCCTGTACATTTATCCTGTATTCCAAATATCACAGGCTCCAAAGTTATCAGAAGCCTGCATTTGAGAATACCTGTCAAAGTTCTATAGCTGATTAAAAAACATTTTTTGAAAAAATCAAAACAGGACAATTGTCTGTGTATAACAAAATGTCTAGAGTAGTTACAGTCAAAAACATGATTGACAAAAATTTAACATAAAACTTAACATACAAAAGCTTAACATAAAATCCTTAATTGTGGTTGACAGCATATACTTCAGAAATTAGAATTTTAGAAATCCCATACAATTTTGGAACATATATTAGTGTTATTCACCAAAATATCATCTAAAGAATATTAAACACCATTTTGGCAATTCCATGTAACTAAACATGTCATATAATCCTGTTTACCTCTCTTGTGGATACTCCAAGGGCCCTCTTTAGCATCCAAAAGCCGGGAATTAGGAAAGACAATTTTGTAACTAAACTTTGATTTTGAGAAGGATGTTACATGTTAGGGGTTTAAAATACTTCATGTTATGAAATAAAATTCCAGATTGCCATAAATTACTTATTTAACCAAAATGATGACTTAGAAATGTAAAAAGCAAAAGCCTTTTATAATTCTTTACAAATTTTGCTAAAGAGCAGATTAGTGCCTTAAGAGTACCTTGTTGCGCATTTATTTCAATGCTCAATTTTACAAAAAAAACCATATAATACCTTTTTGAATTTAATTAATGTTCACACACGTAATTTCTTTGGCAAGATTTATTTTTTGCAATCCTTCCACAACTTGTTTGAATGTTCAGCTTTGTCTTATCTAACTCAAAACAATTATTTGACCCTAGGCAATAATTTATATTTCCAAGCTTTCTTATAATCTTTTATTATAAACACATTTTACTGTTCTTACACACCTTGTATGTAAATCTACTTCCAATGGTTTCAGTTACATGTTACAATGGTAACTTCTAGCAATTTTAACTGTAATGTAAAACCAGGTAAATTGTTTTAATTATGTGCTAGGTGCAGCCAAGGGTTTGACACTTTCAGCATAATTAAGGGTGTGGTTAATTCCATTTGTCCTTCAGGTCTTTCCAGTTGTGAAGCAAAGTTTAACTGTTCTCAAAAACTTAAAAAGCAGTTTATAACCTTAAAACATATAGCAAACCTAGTGTCTGACCTGCATAATTTAGTTCACCTACTCATATATTGATGACATTTGTGTTTTACCCATAATATTTAAGGCTGCTTTTATTTCTCAAAGATTAAAGTCATGTGAACTAAAAGGTACATAGCTTTTATCTTCATTTAAAAAATATTTGATCCAAGTTCTCATCATTCTTTAAGTAAATTTATTAGAGCTTTTTTTTATAGTCACTACACACACAACACATACATAACTACACAGACAGGCAGAAGAAAACCCTGTAACCATAAGATTTTTTATTTGCCAATTTCCTGATTGAATTACTGGCCTCTCATGCATGCATTAGAGTGGCAAGACAAAATGAAGAAAAAGAATTCAACTGGCTGAGAAAAAACCTTTTCCCAGCAAAACAAGATCCCAGAAGAGAAAAAACATAAAGGTCTTTTAAATATACCTATAATTTGGATATCCACTTTTAATTAAGTTGAGCACTCTTTAAGAAAATCCTGTTAAATTCTTTATTTCTTGACTCTAGCAGTGCCAAGCAGCCAGTATTTCTGGCTTGCAAACTTTACCAAAGGTAGCTTACCAGGTGCTCAGAGGAAAAAAAAAAAAATTAAGGCAGTTTGGGAAGGGGAAGAGAATCCGCAAACGGCAAAAGTTACAAACTGATATGAAACCAGAAGGGATTCATTCCCGAAGCCAGGATTAAACCTGGGCCACCATTGTAAAATGGCAGAGACCAAAACAGAACATTGCCACGTGGTGACAAGTCCTGCTCCTAAAAACATAAAACAAGATGGAGGCCTGCAGCAAAATTTCCTAACAACCTTAGAGAATGACATACAAAGCACACCAGATTGGCCACAGGTCAAGACTAACCTCACAAATACCCTTTCACAATTAAAACTCTACAGAGAATATAAACAGTGAACGTTGGGGTCCAAACCCAGCAAAACATTTTCTAAGAAGAAGAAAAAAGCCTTTTGCTTAAAAGTAAACTGCTGAGAGGGTGAAGAAAAGAAAAAAAAAAGGCTTAAGCGTAGGGCAGGGAAGAAAATTTTCATTCTTACGCAAATGGGTTTCTTCAACAGAGAGAAAAACTTAATTGTTGTTGGATGAGGCTGGATTCCTTGGCAGGTGAAGGGTAGGACACCATGAATGCCTGGCATTTTCCAGCCCAGAGGACATGGGGATGAGGAGCCGCCATTCACCTGTCCATCCCGCATGTGCCTGGGGCTGTTGGGGTAGGGTGGTGCAGTTTCCTCTACCCCCGGGAGAAGTCCAAGGATGAAAAGGCTTACAAACAAAAGAGAAAATGATTTTTTGGTTTACATCTTATCCTTCCTGAAGCCCCACATCTAGTCACTGAAATGTTCCAGAACTTTTTCCTTAGTTCAGCTAAAACCAGCATCTTGTCACATGACCATGAACGAATAGGCTATCGGACACACTGAAGGGTGAGGAGTAAAGTTTATTGGGCAAAAAGGAAAAGGAAAAAGAGAAAAACTGTCAGCAAAGTGAGAGGGATTCCTGTTAACAGACGCCCACCTCACATATTGATGAACACCAGGTCACCACATAGCAACTGAAGAGTCCAGGCTCCTCCCCTGCCAAGAGGTGTGAATTTCCCTGGCTCCACCTCCTTTTCCCAGTGCACAGGTGGGTATTACTCAGAGAGAAACAGTCAGGAAAGGGCAAGCTTCATCTGAAACCAGCCATCTGGTTTTTCAGCCTTCTTGCTGTTTTAGGCTTGAAGGCGGAGTTTCACCCAGGACCGTAGACTGTCTCCGGTCTCTATCACTCAAAATGAGAAAAGGTCCCTTGGCTATCTCCTGTCTGTGTCACTCAAAATGATAAAGGAACAGTCTTTTTAACAAATGGATTGGAGAATACTGAATATCCAAATGATAAAAAATAAAGTTGAACCTTAGCACAAGCATGAACTTAAAATGAAGTAAGACTTATTTTTTATAGCTGTTGTAAATAATTTTTTCTTGAATTTCTATTTCAGATGGCTTATTCTTGGCATGTAAAAATGCTCCTAGTAATTTTTGTATGTTAATTTGGTATTCTGCCACTTTACTGAATTTCTTTATTAATTCTCAAGATTTTTAGTATAGTATTTAAGTTTTGCTATATAGACAATTACGTGATCTGCAAACACAGACAATTTGACTTTCTCCTCCTTTATTTGGATGTCTTTTATGTCTTTGGATGTCTTTTATGGCTTTCTCTTTCATGTATGATCTGGCTGGGACTTCCAGTACTCTGTTGAATAAAAGTGATAAAAGCAGATATCACTGTCTTCTTTCAGGTCTTAAATAAAAAGCTATAAAGACACATGCACACTTATGTTTATTGCGGCATTATTCACAATAGCAAAGACTTGGAACCAACCCAAATGTCCAACAATGATAGACTGGATTAAGAAAATGTGGCACATATACACCATGGAATACTATGCAGCCATAAAAAATGATGAGTTCATGTCCTTTGTAGGGACATGGATGAAATTGGAAATCATCATTCTCAGTAAACTATCACAAGAACAAAAAACCAAACACCACATATTCTCACTCATAGGTGGGAATTGAACAACAAGATCACATGGACACAGGAAGGGGAATATCACACTCTGGGGACTGTTGTGGGGTGGGGGGAGGGGGGAGGGATAGCATCGGGAGATATACCTAATGCTAGATGACGAGTTAGTGGGTGCAGCGCACCAGCATGGCACATGTATACATATGTAACTAACCTGCACAATGTGCAAATGTACCCTAAAACTTAAAGTATAATAAAAAATAAAATAAAAAAATAAAAAGAGAAAATACATAAAAGCATGAATTAGGAAATGAGGTTTACAACTGCAATTTCAAAGAGGTTTGCTTCCCTGTGTTTACTAGTTTTAGGGAAAATAAAGCTTGCATTAAATGTTTTACTTCCTGAAGCAACTCAGGAAAAAAAAAAAAAAAGCTTTCTTCTTTTTCGGTTCAGTGTGATATCAGCTATTGATTTGTCATATTTTGCCTTAACTGCGTTGAGGTACATATCATCTAGACCTAATTTGTTTTGTTCAGTTGTTTTAATCACAAAAGCATTTTAAATTTTTCCAAATACTTTTTCTGCATCTAGAATAAAAAGTAAACGTGTCTAGCAGTAAACTTAATTAAAAAGATAAACACTGTCTACACTATAAATTATAAAACATTGATGAAGAAACTGAAAACATAAAAAATTTGAGAGTTTTTTGCTCATGAGTTATAAAAAATTTTGTTACAATGGCTATGCTACTCAAGGTAATTTACAGATTCAATGCAAACTCTAAAAATACCAATGACATTTTTTCACAGAAATGGAAAAAACAGGCCTAAAATTTATGGGGAACCAAAAAAAAAAAACAAAACACCTTCCCAAATAGTCAAAGTAATCTTGTGAAAAAATAACAAAACTGAAAGTATCAAACTGTCTGACTTCAAAATATACTGCAAAGCTATAACAAGCAAAACAGCATGATACTGGCATAGAAAACAGACACAGAGACCAAAGTATTCAGTGATACCAGTAATAAATTCATAAACATAGAGACAAATAATTTTTAAGTTGTTTAGAACACATGTAAAAAAGACAACATTTTCAATGAATGGTGCTAGGAAAATTGATTTTTTTTAAATACAGAGGAATACAACTAGGTGCCTACCTGTTACCATATTAAAACAACTTAATTAAAAATAAATAGAAGATTTGAATGTAAAACTTAAACTCATAAAACTATTTGAATAAAACAGAAAAATTCTTTCTCCAATAGGACAGGGAAAAAAAATTTAAATAAGACCTCAAAAGCACAGGCAACAAAAGCAAAAGCAGAGAAGTGAAATTACCAGAATTAAAAAAAAAAATACATAGCAAAAATAACAGAGTGAAGAGGCAACTTACAGTGTGAGAGAATATATTTGCAAAATATATGACAAGGGATAAACATACAGAACATATAACTTAACAGCAAAAATAACACACAATTTAGTAATACGCAAGAGACCTTAAGTGACATTTCTCCAAAGAAGACATACAAATGGCCAAGTACTGCAAAGATGCTCAAGATTATTATTAGAAAAATGCAAATCAGTCACAATAAGATACCAAACCACTCCAGTTAAAATGACTATAATCAGAAATGATACGTGCCTGGCCCTTTCAACAGAAGGCATTGTGACATATCTCTGGTCCTATCATTTATGTGACATGACTCTCCTCTTCTGCCTGGACACTGCCCACAAGGGGCATTGTGCCATACAGTTGGGCATAGCCCCGAAGTTATGTTACTTTTCTGCCAGGAACTTGCCTACAAGGAGAACATCAGAACATTTCTGCCTCAGCATATAGGTTATATGGCTGTCATGCCTTTCATTACCACAGAGTAAGTTTTGACATTTACCTAGGCACAGCTCACAGGCATGATAATGACTCTCATATGTGGACCCCACAAGTAGGAGTAATTTTGACTCTTGTAACTTGCTTTAGAAACATAAGTGATGTCTTAGATCTCTTTCTGGCGAAAAGGTCACAGAAGATTATAACAGCCTCAGATAATTTGCAGCCCTTGGCTTGTACAGAGAGTGTCAGAACAGAACCCAGCAGAAAGGAGAAATTGTGAGTCTCATATGTACACCCAGCTGACTGTAAGGACTGTCACCATCTTACATACATGAAGCCAACTGTCACACATGAAAAGAGGACATGTGTGGTATTGTAAATCTCATCTCGAATATTCTCTCAGTGTGACTGTGATATAAATCTTTGCCAAGCATCTGTGTGATTTGACTCTCCAAACTGGTTCCAGCCCATATATACGGGATTGTGATCTCTACCTGGGCCAACCTCTAGATAATGTGACTCTCCTGCCTGGGCCCTTCTCTCAGTAAGGGTTGTGACATATCACTGGATCTAACACCCAAGTGATGTTACATTCTTGCCTGGACCATGCACAGAGACATCATTGTGACATATCACTGTGTCCACCACTTAGGTGATGTAACTCTCCTCTCTGGAATGGACCCTGAATACGGAGTGGTAGTGACATCTTCCTAGGCCAGACACACAGGTGTTGGTACTCTTTTTCCAGGGCTATGTTTCAAGGAGGGCATTGTGACATATCTCTGGACCTATCACCGAGGTGATATGATTCAACGCTTGGGCCTCACCGACGTAGAACATTGTGACATAAAAGTTAAACCTGCACCAAAGGTGTTGTAACTCTTTCACCTTGGTCCTGTCCTAAGGGAGCCCTGCAACATATCTCAGGACCCAGCACTCAGGTGATGTGACTCTTCTGCCTGGTTTCTGCCCATGTGTTAGACTGTGACATATACCTAAAGAAGTGCCTAGGTGATATGACTCTCCTATTCTTCCTGAGTCCTGCCTACTGGGGACATTGGAATATGTCTCTGAGCCCATGGCCTAAGTTATAGGACTCTCTTCTTCTGCCAGGGCCTTTAAAATGGTGGGGTTTTGACATATTCCTGAGCCCAGCATTTAGGTCATCTGACTCTACTCTTTTATCTGAACCATGTCAAAGGGAAATTTTGACCTATTGCACCCAGATGATGTTACTCTTCTGCCAGAGTCCTGAATAAAGAGGGAATTTTTGCATACTGGTGGGCCCAGCACCATGATGATGGTACTGTCCTGCCTGTGCCAGAGCCATAGAGAGTATTTTGAAATATCTTTGGCCCATTCTGTAGGTGTTTTGGCTCTCATCACTTGGCTAAGTTTTTCCACATGTGGAATTGTGTCATATTGTTGGGTCCAGCACACAGTTAATGTGACCCTCCTTCTTAGGTTCTGCCTAGAGAGGGCATTGTGACACGTTGCTTGCCACATCACCTAAGTGATGTTACTCTTTTTCTTAATTTTTTGCCCACAAATGGGATTATGACATATACCTTGCTTCAGTCCATAGGCATGATGGTCAAACTTATACTGGGATGCAGCCAATAGAAGGTATTTTGCCTCTCATTGCTAGGCTTAGGGCAATAGGTAAAATCCTCGGTTGCATATTTGTGCAAAGCTCACAGAAGTTTACAACACTGATTCATATTGTATAAACTCCTTAGGTGGTACAGAGAGCTTCATAACAAGGCCCAGCAAAAAGTTAAGATTATGACTGTCAATTACACACTCAAGTGAAAGTAACAGTTGTCACCATCCCACATTTAAAAAGCCCACTGTTGAGGTACTGAGTCTAACAATTGAAAAGAGTACAAAGATGGAATTGTGACTCTCATATGTGGATCTGGCCACAGGTGCAATCGTGACTCTTTTTTGAACCCAGCTCACAGGGATAAAAATGGGTCTCATTCCTGAACTCAGCCTGAATGAGAGATGTTGACTATCATGCCTGTGTTTAAGGCAATATATAAGATTGTGAGTCCATATGAGCATGTGGGCCTTAGAGTAGTTTGCAACTCTCATGCATGCCGTATAAAGCCCTCAGATGTTGTAGAGGATGTCATATGATGGCCCAGCACACACGTGACATTGTGACTCTCATATACCCACCTAGCTAACAGTTAAAGGTGTCACCCTCAAAGATGAGGAGATTGTGTCATATCGCTGGGCCTAGTACCCAGCTGTGAAAACTTTTGCTTAAATTGTTTCCCATGTGTGCATTGGGACATATTGTTGGGTCAGAATCATAATAATGTGACTCTTCTGCCTGGGCCCTGCCAACAAGGGATATTATCACATATCTCTGAGCCTATCAGCTATGTGATTTGCCTACTTTTCCTGTGCTTTGCCCCCAAGGAACATTGTGACATCGTTGGACATAGCATCTAGGAAATGTGACTCTTCTCTCCTGCCTAGGTCCTGCCCACTAAAGGAATTGTGACATACCACTGAGTGCAAAACCTAGGTAATGCAACTCTCCTCTTTATTCTGGAGTCTGCCAAAAGAGGGGATTGTTACATATTGCTGAGCCCAGCAGCTAGGTGATGTGACTCTCCTCTTCTTCTTCAGCCCTGTCTACAGTGGACATGGTACCACATGACTTGAGGCTGTATCCAGGTGATGTGACTCTTCTGACTTGGCCCTGCCTGCAAAGGAAATTATAATATATCCTGAGCTCAGAATCCAGGCGATGAGACTCTCCTGCCTCTTTTCTGCCCACAAGTGAAATTGTGACTTATACCTGCGTTCAGCTCACATGCACAAATATAACTATTATACCTGGACCCAGAAAGGAGAGATATTTGGACTCTTATAGCCAGTCCTATGGCCATAAGTAAAGTAAAGGGTCCCCTGTTTGTATAAAGCTCACAGAGGATTATGACACTCAGGCACATCATATAAAGCCTGAGTGGTACAAAGAGTGTCATAGCAGGGAACAGCAACCAGGTGCGATTGTGACTCTTGGATGCTCACCCAGCTGACCCGATTGTCATTCTCTCACAAGAACAGGGCCTACATACAAGGTACTAAAACTCACACAAAAGAGCAATTGAAGGTTGAAATTGTTCCTCTCGTACACAGATCTGACCCACAGGTGGTTTGGTGATGCATATTCAGCACACCTGTGAGGTTGGGGCTCCCCTACTGGAACACAATCTTCAGGTGGGATTGGGCATCTTATACATGGATCTTGCCCACTGTTGAGATTGTGACTCTGCTTTGACCCAACTCACAGGAGGTGTTGACTCACATACATGAAGCCAGGACCTGAGTGGGACTGTGAAACTTACTTCTGAATATTTCCAAGTGTGTGATTAGGACATAAAAGTTAGCCCAGCTCCTGAATAATTTGACTCTCCTTTTTAGGCCATGACCATAGATGAAATTTTGACATACGTGGACCATACACCTAAGCGAAGGTGCCTGGGCCTGCCTACAAAGGGCACTTTTACGTATTACTAGGACCAGCACGCAGGTAATGTGAATTATTTGCCTGAGCCCTGCTTATAAAAAGTATTGTGGCTTATATCTAGGTCCATCATGTAAGTGATGTGACTCCCTTCTACTGCCTTGTCCCTGCACTTATGCTGCATTGTGACGCATAACTGGGTACTGCACCCAGGTGATGTGACTCTCCTTTTTGGGTTCTTCCAACAGGAAGCTTTGTAACCTAGGTGATGTTTCTCCACTTTTGCCTGGGCCTTGACCACAGGGAAGATTTTGACACATTGCTGGGCCCAGCACCAATGTGAGGTCACCCTCCTGCCTCAGTACTGCACATAAGGGCCATTGTGACATATATCTAGACCAATTGCCTAGGTGAGGTGTCTCCTCTCTTGCCTAAGTCCTGAACAAAGTGGGGATTTAGATGTATCACTGGAAGCAGCATCCAGGTGATGGATTCTTCTGCCAGGTTCCTGCCCATAAAGAGGATTGTGACATCTCACTGGACCCACACCCACCCAGGCGATGTGACTTTTCTGCTTTCTCCTTGCCCACAGGTGATATTGCACCATAAACCTGAGACCAGTATTCATGCCTGAAGCCAGGACATGTTCAGAATGGTGACTCTCATCTCTGGGCCTTTCCACAGGTGTTTTTGTGACATATACCTTTGCCCAGCTCCTGAGTGATTTAATAACTCTTCTTAGGTCTAGCACACACATGAGATTTTGACATATACCAGGGCCAGGCTCCTTAGTGATTTGACTCTCTTGTTTTAACAGTGTCCTCAGCGGGGGATTGTAGCATACCTTTATACCCAGCATCTAGGTTACATGATTCTCCTCTCCTGCCTGAACCCTGCTTCCTGTGGAGATTGTAGCATTTCTAAGCACTGCTTCCAAATGATATGACTTTCTTACCTGAACCCTGTTCGCATGAGGCATTGTGACGTATCTCTGGGCCCATAATTTAAGTGACATGAATTTCCTATCCTGCCTGGACACTGCCCACAAGAGGCATTGTGCCTCAGAGCTGGGCCTAGCACCCATGTTATGCGAATTTTCTGCCAGGGCCTTGCCTACAAGGATAATATTGGAATATTTCTGGCCCAGCATTTAGGTGATGTGGCTGTCCTTTCTGTCTCAAAACCACAGAGGGGATTGTGACATATACCTAGGCACAGCTCACAGGCATGATAATGACTGTCATATGTGGACCCAGCCAGTAGGAAAATTTGGACTCTCATAACTAGGTTTAGGGACAGGAGTGATATCCTGGATCTTTTTCTGGTAAAAAGGTCACAGAAGACTATAATACCCACACATATTTTATAAAGCTTTTGGATTGTATAGAGTGTCATAACATGGCCCAGTACACAGGTGAAATTGTGAGTCTCGTATGCACACCCAGCTCACAGTAAAGACTGTTACTCTCTCACATGAATGAAGCCAACTGTCATATATAAAAACAGGATGTGTATGGTATAGTAAATCTTTTTCCTGAAATTTTCTGCCGTGTGATTGTCATATAAGTTTTTGCCAAGCGCTTGTGTGATTTGACTCTGCAGACTAATTCCAGCCCACATAAGGGATTGTGATATCTACCTGCACCAGCCTTTACGTGATGTAACTCTTTTTCCTGGACCCTTCTGTCAGTAGGGATTGTGACATATCACTGGATCTAGCACCCAGGTGATGTTACATTCTTGCCTGCACCATGATGACTGAAATCATTGTGACATATCACTGTGTCCACCACTTAGGTGATGTACCTCTCCTCTCTCGAATAAGCCCTGCACACAGGGAGAATAATGACATCTAACTAGATGAGGCAAAGAAATGATGGTATTCTTTTGCCTGGGCCATTCCCCAAGGAGGGTGTTGTGACATATCTCTGAGCATATTACCTAGGTGATGTGACACCCTGCTTGGGCCATGTCCGCATGGAGCATTGTGACATAAGGGTGGAACCTGAAGTTAGGTGATGTAACTCTCTTGCCTGGGTCTTGTCCTAAGGTAGCCTGTGACATACCTCAAGACCCAGCACCCAGGTGATGTGACTCTTCTGCCTGGTTTCTGCCCACATGTTACATTGTGACATACATCTAGAGAAGCACCTAGGTGATACAACTTCCCTTTTCTGCCTGAGCCCTGCCTACTGGGGACATTGGGACATATCTCTGAGCCTATGAGCTAAGTGATGTGACTCTCTTCTTCCACCTGGGCCTTTACAATGGGGCGATTGTGACATATTGCTGAGTCCAGCACTTAGGTAATGTGACTCTCCTCTTTCCTGAACCATGCCCACAAAAAGGGAATTTTAACATATTGCTGGGCCCAGCACCCAGATGATGTCACTCTTCTGCCTGGGTCCTGCATAAAGAGGGAATTATGACATATTGCTAGTCCCAGCACCCTGATGATGTGACTCTCCTGCATGTGCTGGAGCCACAGAAGGTATTTTGACATATCTTGGGCCCATTCTGTAGGTTTTTTGTCTTTTATCTCTTGGCTGGGTTTTTTCCACATGTGGAATTGTGTCCTATTGCTAGGTCCAGCACCCAGTTAATGTTACCCTCCTTCCTAGGGCCTGCCTAGAGAGGGCATTGTAACATGTTGCTTGGGACAACACCTAAAGGATATTACCCCCCTGCCTAGTATTTTGCCCACAAATGGGATAATGACATATACCGCGCTTCAGTTCCCAGGATTGATGACTAAACTTATACTGAGATTCAACCAACAGGAGATATTTGCCTCTCATAGCTAGGCTTAGGGCAATAGGTAAGGTTCTGAGTTGCATATTTGTACAAAGCTCACACAGTTTAAAACATGAAAGTGTATTGTATAAACTTTTTGGGTGGTATAGAGAGTTTCATAACAGGGCCCAGCTAAATGTTAAGATTGTGACTTTCACCACCTCTTATGATAGTGTTTGTTTTTCTTGTGCATTTGATTCACATCTTTAACCATTGTTTTCAGAACTCCTGCTTGCTTTCAGATGGAGGCTACTCAGAGACAGTACGTTCCTCCCATGGGCCCAGGCTTTACTCACCTGCACAGTGAGGCTAAAGACAAAAGTGCTACAGAGCTCAGAGGCTGCTTTTAGAGAGGGTTTATATGCACAAAACCGAGTCTTGTTGTGTGGATTGATCTAAATTACATTTTGAATTTATTTTCCCTCTCAATACTTGTAAACCTGGTGTTTGTAAAATAATATCTGTGCCTTTTTTGGTGGTGGCCATACATTCCAGAAAGTTTGTATTTCTTTCCATATAGATTTTCAGAGTTGCTATTGCTTGCTTTGGTTGCAATGATCTAACATGTGAAGGTGAGCTTTTGTTATTGGTGATTTGGTGTTGTGTTTTAACTAATTTCAATTCTCACAGTGTTAATCATAATTCCAAGAAGACTATGTTATGATAATATTTATGGACTTTGAAAATCTAACAAAAAGTCCCCTTTTCAGCAGCAAGTAAACATTAATTTTTAAAGGTTAATGGTTTTAGAAACTTGGACTAAACAACAGTCTGATTATTGTTGTTGAAATATATCCCAAGTATTATTATTATAGCAGCTGTCCATGCTCAGTTTTGTGTCTATATAATCATATCTTTATGTAATATTTTTATCTATAACTTTAAGATTTTTTCTTATATTTTTCTCATTTTTCCAAACAGTGCAGGCATATTTTTGGGTATATTACACAAAATGTATGACAAAATTCTAAATATTTAAAAGAAGAGGTTGGCTTCCTGACCATTGTAAGTTTGTATTTATTATCTCCATTTTAAATTGAATTATACATTTCCGGGTAAAGTCCTGTAATTATTTTTTAAAAATATTTGCAATGTTTTTGTCAGATAAATAAAAACTAATAGTTCGGGTATCAGATTTCCTTCCTACAGTTTAAGTTGTGTAATGTCCTGTACAGTAAATAGCATCTTTTTAAAGAATACAGTTTGCTGACTTTTACACACAGATACAGCAATGAAAGCACCACCATATTCCAGATTCAAGATAATAAACACATCCCTCCTTCTCCAAGCTTTTCTCCTCCCCCTTTCTAATTCATCTGTCCTCCCTCCATTCTATTATCCTTACCCTGAGCTGCCATTTCATGTAATGCAATCATACAGGACAGGTATTTTTGTTGTTGTGGATTCTGTAAAGTCAGCAGAATCATTTTCGCATTGATCCACATTGTTTTAAATATTAATAGTTTGTTCTTTTTTATTACTAAGTAAAATTCTTTTGCATGGTCACGTGACAGTGTGTCTGTCCTCTACCTTAGAAAGAGACATGAGGCTTAATTTTTCCTTTTGGTCTTTGTCCTGAAAACCAAAACCCAGAAAGCAGCACCTCTGCAAGATTTCTCTGTGTCTCCTTGCATTTTGCAACTCCATGATCAATTGACAGGGAAAATATCCAATTGATATTGTGTTTAAAATTGTTCAAACATGTAGAACATTAATAATAATTATTTTGGAACTCATGTTAAAAGGAAAAATTACTGACATGAGACAAGTGAGTTTTGCAATTACCGTCAACATTTTATTATAAAAATGTTCATACATACAGCATTGATTTGTTAACATTTTAATGAACATGACTTAACACATATCTACCCATCTTTCCATTCCTCCATCCACTCATCACCCCATCTTATTTTAGATATATTTCCAACTAAATTGGAGACATCAACATACTTCATGCTGAATAGTTTAGCAAGACTAATGTTAACTGGAATTCAGTATTTTTTTTAAATAAAATTTTCTTCTAAGGAACAGTGACACAAAAGAAAATATACAAATCTTAAGTGTGAGTTTACTAACTTTGAAACCAGCATACCTTCACCCCCTTTCTAGATCTACAATATTATGTCACCCCAGAAAGTAAACTCTCCTCTTCCCAGCCAATCCCTTTCTCATCATAGGTTAATTTTGCTTAATCTGGAATTTCACGTATATAGATGCAGGCCATGACACAGATACTCTTTTCTGTCTACCTTATTCTGCTCAACACAATGTTTCTGAAATTATTCCCATTGTTGCATGTATTTCTAATTCTTTCAATTTAGGACTCAGCATATGTTTAGTCCTACCTATTGAATGGCTATCTCTGTTTAATTCACCATCTTGAAAGAAATATTTAAAATTAAGGTGTTTCCAAGGACATACAATTAAATCCTGAGCAAACCGTGTAAGAATCTTATCAGAAGCCATTATCATTATGAATATTGGGTTTTTTAAAAAAAAATCAGGGAAAAGATTTATTAGCATAAGAATTATTAAAAAACTGCCATTAACATTATGAAAATTAAATAGGTTGGTGTTCATTTAATAGAATGTCAACAGAGTTTTTGGTTAAAAATAAGTTTTTTTCCTTTGTGTTCTTTATCAGAAATGAAGTATGAAGTTTCACCACTTAAATAGAAAATTATTTCTAAACTTTTCTGCCTTATAGTTCTATAGTATGGGTGGAAGGAAAGCTTCTACTCTCTTCTCTAAAGGTTCACTGCAGTAATAAACTGACAGCAGACAGCTTAACAGGAGAAGAAAAACATACAACCTTATTAATAGGCATAAACATAGGAGCCAGCCAAAAAATGAGACTGCAAGAAGAGCCAGATTCTTGATACTTAAAGAGCACCCTCTTCTCAGGGGAGAGGGAGATGAAGATATAGGTAACTTAGAGGAGCACCACTTGATTTTTTAGGGGAAATGAAAGAACTCAAGGAACAAACAATTGGCCTGAGACAAAGTTCCTCTGAGATTGTAGGGAAGAGGCGACAAACTGCAGGAAGGTAAAAAAAGAACTGCATTGCATCTCATGAGGAAGAGAAAACCCTCCAAATAATAACTAAGGAGTGTGTCTGGACAGGGTAATAAGTGATCATTTCAAATGACATTATTCAAAGTGCATGTTCCCGGTTGCAATTGGAGAGAGATCAGTATGTCAAAAGTCTGTACTTGGTAAGAATTTGGCTGCTAAGTTGTGCCATAATTTGGCTTTTAAGCCTTTTGTTTATTGGATAAACTGAGCTCTACATTTTCTCTTGCTGTTCATTATAGTAAGAATGTCTGGGTGTCTGGGGGCTGAACCTTCTTCTGAACAATGATCTATAAAAATATACTAATACCACAGTGATTTTTTATATTCAAGGGAAGAGGAAGTATGTTTTATATTTACAACCCAGATAATTGCACATCATTTAGCACTGCCCCTCAAGATATGTAGAAAACAGAAAATATGTAAGTTATAAAGATATCTACGCACATTAAACAGTCTCTACCCCACTTACTTCTGAACAGAGAATTTTCACTGTAAATTGGAGAAAGTTTTTTATTGTACCACTTTTTAAATATTCCATTAAGAAAAGTTCAGTCGAGCAGTTTGACTTGGACATCTTTGCACCTTCTCATCTTTCTCCTTGTCATCTAGTCATCTATCCCATTATCTTCTAAGCAGGGACGTTGTGGGTGACTCACAATGTTTCATCACTTCTCATTTCTTCATGTGTTTGACATTTCTCCTAGCTCTGAAGTGGGCCAGCTACTTTTCCCATGAAACCAAGCAGTGGCTGTGGGATAGATGTGGTTGCTCTTTCATCTTTTTAGATCACCCATTGTTTCTATCAAAATCCTAGTACAGTTTTTGTTTCTATTCTGTGTGCAGAAATCAGAAAAAAATTTCTACAAAGAACTTGAAAGATGCTATTTCAATAAATAGCTCAGGAATTTCAGAGGTATATAACCTACATCTGTGATAGGATTTACATTGCATCTTGCCTATGATGAAAACAAATATTTCATGTCTTAGAAGATTAAGATCATACAATATCTATATGGAATTCCTTGTGGGAATTCATTAATTAGTGAGAATGTTTTGTGTTAGGTTTAAACCAGCCTCAGTGAAGCTGGTTGTCAGGGAAGGGAAAGTGGACTCTGAGCAGAGCGGAAACAGAAGATGCTCTGCTGCAGACCAGGAAAAAGCAGGGGGTGAAATGTTACAAATTCTAGAAATCAGGGAGCTGAAGGTAATTACTTCCTTTTCAAATTACCATCTAATTGAGGTAATTCTTTTCTTCCTACTCAGAGAACTGAAGGTAATCACTTCCTTTTCAAATTACCATCTGATGATCCAATTGAGGTCAGATCTAATGGTGGGAACTGCAGTCACTCAGCCACAAATTTTAAATGCAATGGGAATAATTGGATCCCGAGGTGGCAGGGACCAAGTGGTGACACTCAGCCATCAAAGGCAGGGTGGGTGTAGTTACCATAATGGACAGCAGAGGCAAAATGGCAGTCAGAATAGTCTGACTTGTGTAGAGCTCCGGCATTGGCTAATTAAACACCGTGTTCCTAGAAGTGAAACTGATAAGAAGCCTACTGCATTCTTACTTAATTTATATAAGGAGAAAACTTCTAGGGCAAATGGACAAATGACTAATTTGAATTATAAAATCAGAGAATCATGGCGCCTCAATCAATTTCCAGACTTTAGCCAGTTTACAGACCCAGAACCTCTTGAATGAAAGGGAGGCCGGGTTGTCTTGAGGGGGGACTCCACTACATTACCGACAATTTAAGCAGTGAATCTTTCTCCCATCCTTCTCCAAGGAGACCTCCGGCCCTTTACCAGGGTAACTGTGCATTTGGGAAAGGAAAATGTCCAGACATTTTGGGGACTACTGGACACTGGCTCTGAGCTGATGTTAATTCCAGGGGATCCAAAACGTCATTGTGGCCTTCAGTTAAAATAGGGGCTTCTGGCCTCCCAGAATACTAGGGTGAATTTATATTTTTTTGTAGGATTCGATGGTGCAAGTCTTGTAGGGCAGAAACATCTTCCTGACGCTACTCCCCACCTTCTGTCCTGGCATCCTTCCCCCTGTGGAAGGAGGAACTTTTCTCTTATGTTCTTTCCAGTCCCTCCCTGACAGGGAAGCCTGGAGACTAGGGTGTCTGCTTTCCACTGCAGCCACAAAGTATCGGGGTGCCAGCTAGGAGGCGGCCTCCTGGGGTGCTCTTGCGAAGGTGCTTGGTAGGAGCATCTGCTGTGCTCTGCTCTGTGGACTTTGATCCTCCTGGGCAGAGGACATTGGCGGCGCCAAGGGGGCAGCAGGCAGCCCTGCATCCTGGCCCTGTCCTGGCTGGCAGTTGTGGTGTGACTGACTACCACCTAAGGTACCCAGGAAAGAAGGGGGGCCAGGGCCTGGTCATGGGGTCACCTATTGTTCTTTGAACTTCCATTGGCAGGGTGCATGTTTTACTGAAAACTGTTGGTGTGGAGTGCACCTTCCTTGCATGAGGTGGGGGGCTAGGTGCTGGGTGCCATGGTGAACCCGGAAAAAAGGCAGGTGTCCTTCTCCCACTGTTCATTTTTTTTTTCTTTTTAGGAGGAGTGTCACTCTGTCACCCAGGCTGGAGTGCAGTGGTGTGGTCTTGGTTCCCTGCAACCTCTGCCTCCCGGGTTCCAGCGATTCTCCTGCCTCAGCCTCCTGAGTAGCTGAGACTACCGGCGCATGCCACCATGCCTGGCTAATTTTTGTATTTTTAGTAGAGAGGGGTTTCACCATGTTGGCCAGGCTGGTCTCCAACTCTTGACCTCAAGTGGCCCGCCCACCTCAGCCTCCCAAAGTGCTGAGATTACAGGCTTGAGCCACCGCCCCCGCCACGCTGGAACAATTTGTCGCTGGTTGCGGGGCTTCCCTTCCTCCTCTCATACCGGCCCACAGTCTAGTGTCGCTACCTCTGCCCCTAGCAACAGCCTTTGCCGGGCGGGGGGGGGGGGGCCTCGCCCCCTCCCCACTGTTAGAAAACTGCGACCCTAATGTTTGCTAAGAAGCAGGGGTGAGGTCCTTCCCGTCGCCGACTCCCTCCCTGGGAAGCGGCATGTTTTCTGAGCCAAGAACGCATTGAGGATGTGACCCACTACCTGGCCAACTGTGAGGCCGGGGCTTGGCGGCGGATCCCACTGCTCAGCGGGGCGCTATCCTTTCCAGGAAGGGAGGAGACTTACCCAGCACGGAACACACTTGCCAGCGGGCCGCTTGGCAGGTGCCATGTGCTGCTGGCGACCCTTGTCAGCTTTGCATTAGTCAGGTTATGTAGAGAAGGAAAGAAAATTTCCTGCTTAGCCGATTTGTCCTCCCTCTCTGCTTATTGCTTAGGAGATAGAACCGAAATCCAGATCCGCCGTAGCAATTCACATTCCATTACAAAACTCTGCACAGCTTCCGAGCTAGCACCAGCACATACTTGGGGAACATCGGAGGGATTTTCTTCTTCTTTTGTGGGTGGTGATGATCGTGGTTGCAGAGAGAGATAGAAGGGTGAATTAAAAATATAACTATTTGATAGGTTGAAAAACCTGTCCGGGATTTTTATTAATAGAAAATTGATCTCTCGTTTTTAAGAGTTTAAATTTAAGCTTAGCCCTTTCAAAGTCAATGGAAACAAACTGCCCGTTGAATAAGGATGCTGAAAATAGTGAGAAATTTCTGTCTTAACTTAAAATGATTTCTGCAAAGGCAGAGTTTTCAGTGCACTCACATATATTTGAGAGGGTTTTTGTTGTTGTTGTTGTTGTTGTTGTTGTTGTTTTGACAGAGTTGCGCTCTGTCGCCCAGGCTGGAGTGCAGTGGTGCGATCTCGACTCACTGCAATCTCTGCCTCCCGGGTTCAAGTGATTCTCCTGCCTTAGCATCCCAAGTAGCTGGGATTACAGGTGCATGAGAGGGCTCCCCCCCGCCCCCACCCGGATACATACTTGTCTCTAAATCTGTGCACGATTATTCTGAAGGAAGTTTAATAGAAGTGGAAGGTGAGGGAAAGAGAACTGCAAAGAGAAGGATGTGATTGTGTTTCATTTTTTCACACTCGTCAAAAGCATCCTCTAGATTTGGTGCTTTTGAAAAAGCACTTGAAATTAGGCAGGTACAGTTTTGAAGCCATAGTTTAATTAGGGAGTCTGAGGTTAGAGACCAAAGTCTTGGCTGAAACCTCTTTGAAAAAACAAAAATCACTTAGTTCAGTGCTACATTCAAGATTCCACAGAACTTCTGCAGGAATGGGTATGAATTCCTTCGAAAGGATCCTGTGCTCCATTTCAGGTACATGAAGTTACACTGTCTTATCATTCTTAAAAATATGGCTAAACTGGTTGCATATTAGGGTGTCTTGTTTTTTAAAGGATTTGCTGGATGTGTGATACTTTAAAAAATGCCACCGATGCTATATATACTGGTATATAGAATGTCATTCTCTGAGGTTTTCTTTTCTTTTTTATTTTTATTCTAGATATTAATTTTAATTACTTTGCAGCAACATAATTTAGTACCAAATGTTGAACAAGTACCCATTATAATGGCTAAACTGTGAAGTCAAAGTCACTATTATTTGTATCTGACCAGCTATACAAAACTCATTAATTTTTCTCTTGACAAAATGTAGTAAAAATCGGAAACAATAAAGAAGATACTACTCATTAAAAGTCATGTTTACTAATCTAACACCATAATTCCAGTCTTAGAACCTCCCATGCAGTTAGAAAGGGAGTATGGGAAGAGGTGAGTATGTTGGAAATGTAGGGTAGTTCTCAAATTGGGGCCCCATTTTGCTTGCGCTAAAGCAAAAAACACAGAGTCTAGCAAAGAAGAGGAGCACTGAGGCTGGAGATAAAAACAAAAACTTTTAGTTCAGATGGTAAAGGAGGCCCTCAAGAGCAGTAGAATCAGCATATCCCGAAGGCAGTGCTGGAGGCAGTCTCATGAACTAGGGAGTTTCTTCTTGGCATCCAAGTCCTTTTTAATTTCTTCAAGTTTTTTAGCCAGGTTTGGTATGTCATAGTTCTGAGCCAGATATATTCCAACCACATTGCCCAATGTAAATCCAAGCAGGAACTGGAGCATGATGTCAGTGGGGAGGGCGAGGAGGGCGCTAAGGACTGCTGCAGCTCCGCGGGCCCGGCCGAGCCTGCCTCCCCATGAGCCAGGGGAGGAACCCTCTCTGGGGTTTTCTAGATACCATTTTATTTCTCATCAGAAATTCACACTCTAAGCCCTTATGGCAGACACGTGTTTGTTATGTGATGGGAACATGAATCTCACTGAGCTGGTACAGGTGCTGCACCCATTCCTAACTTGTTACACCATCCAACAAGTAACCTTTTGATGAAAGGATCTTTTATTTTAAGTTTCTTCAGGCAGACTCCTGAGGTCTTATTTGCATCTGACACAGGTACACCATGTGGCCTTTATCTAAAGCATTTTTTTCTTTTTTAAGAGAAAAAATAAGTCTTACCGTATTAGTCCTGCATTTGATCAATAGCTGTTTATTGGCTACCTGGTGTATGCCAGGCACTATACAACATAGGTGCACTGGTAATAAATGCAACTGCCCTACATCAGGGGTCTCCAACCCCTGGGCCACAGACTGGTATAAAGATAAGACAGTTGCTAGTCTCATAGATGATATGTCACATTGAAAGAGACTCATCCAGCCATGAAGAGGTTATTTATATCTGTGTTAACTGCTAAAAGTTAAGTATGTGCTGGGATGCAGGTGAAGGAAGGCATCCCGTGGAAGTGACATTTTAACTAATATCTGAGGGATGGGTGACAGGAGGTAAAGAATGCTTCCGAGAACAGCTGGTACAGAAGCCCTAAGGTTGAAAAGGTGGACGTGTCCAGGGAAGTGAGAGAAGTACAGTGTGTTTGGAACAAGAAAAAAACACTGAATGAAGTAAATGACAGGAATGGTGAAGAAGGTAGGGACTAGAGCAGGCTTGTAAGAACTCTGGAAAGCTGTGAAAAGTGTTGGGCCAAAAAGCAGCATGATTATCAGCCAGGTGCGGTGGCTTAAGCCTGTAATCCCAGCACTTTGAGAGGCCGAGGCAGACGGATCAGCTGATGTCAGGAGTTTGAGACCAGCCTGACCAACATAGAAAAACCCCATCACTACTAAAAATACAAAATTAGCCAGGCATGGTGGCGCATGCTTGTAATCCCAGCTACTTAGGAGACTGAGGCAGGAGAATCACTTGAACCCGGGAGGCAGAAGTTGCAGTGAGCCAAGATCATGCCATCGCACTCCAGCCTGGGCAACAAGAGGGAAATTGCACCTAAAAAAAAAAAAAAAAAAAAAAAAAGCAGCATGATGAGATTTACATGTTAAGGACTATTTTTACCCAGAGTAGAAAATGGACCTTGTAAGAGGAAATAATAATTGGCCTTCTCTTTGGAAGATCAGTTAGAAGGCTAGTTTATGAAAACTTTGAAAAGCAGTGGTGGCTTAGAGTATTGAGGCAGTAAAGATGGGAGGTCAGATGGATTTGATAGAAGAGGTAGGAAAAACTTGCTAATGGAATGGTGTTGAGAAGTGCTGGATGACTTTCTGATCTTGGCTTTTATAGCTGGGTGGATGCTGATGCCTCACTGATATTGGAATGCTGGATTAAGCAATGTTTATGAACAGGGCATGTTCCCTACCCTTTAAAGAGTTATGTACATGTTTTTTATGTTTTTAGCTTTTTCTTTACTTGTAATGTGTTTTAGTTGGTTAAAAATTATGTACCTGGCATGGATGAAGCATGAAAAGTTCTTATGTAACAGAGAAAAATCAATGTTATTATCTTACCTGTTAAAATAATTAAATGGTTTCCTCCTACCCACTTCTTTTTCTCCTTTCTTTTTAATTTCTTGATACTAAGAGGCAAAGAAAAGATTTCTTATAGATTGCCTGAGCTTTTGAATAGTTTTCTTTTCTTTTTTTTTGGCACCTAAATGATGAAAAACTTTATCCTGCGTCAAGGTATCTGGAAAATGAAGCTGCATTTGGGGCACATTATAGATGAGGAATGATCCATATATGATGAGTACAAAACTCAATTATAGAATTATTTCTTAGCTAGTACCAGATACTCCAAATTACAAATGCTTAAGTAAAAGTAAAATATCATTTGCCATACTAAAAGGCTATAAGTGAAATATAATAGAATTTAAACCAGCAGATATAAATGCAGCAACTATGTGTATATTTTTTTAAAATCAAATATTGGGGGAAAAAATCAAATATTGAGAAAAGCTCTGGCCTTAAACACATCTCACCTGAAATCCAACCAGAAAGCCAGTCCATGATTTTAGTAATTTTAATTCATTGTATGAAAAAAAATTATGAATGCTAGGTGAATCCAGTGACAAAAAGGGCACTTTTTTGATTAAAACTACAAAAGAAACTTGTTTTCTGAGAACATTAAGGAAAACATTTTAAATCATTTTCAAAATGTCTAATTGATATGATCTTCAGAAAAACATATCTAGTCTGTATAGAAATTCATCTTGAAATAAGAATGAGGCAGAGTGATTTTTTTAAAGGGATATATATCCTTCAGGTCAGTGTAACATGACTGTGATCATCTTACAAACAAAACTCAAAGTCAATTCAGAGAGTAGTGTGGCCTTGGAGACCACCCACACCCAACACAATTGTACATACTGGACTTTGCTGTCCAGTTAAGGAGTGAGCAAATGAGTTCAGTATCAAAGGTCATGTTTTCACAGTCATTCCAATTATATCCCAAAAACTTTTCTTGTATTCTCTACCTTTTGACTTTTTTAAAAAAAGAACTGATTGCAGAGTATACAGAAATCCTGCTATACTTTATATACTACTTTAGGCAGAGTCTAATTTTTTTAAAATTTATCATTGCTTAAAAATCTTCAAAATAGTTTAGTGAGGCTCATGACAGTGCCAGCCACATGGAGATGTGCCTTTTGTTGCCTTTAAACACTGTCACACCATCTATGACTGTCCCATTGGTCTGAAGTGTACTGGCAAACTAAGCAACCTGTAAGACAAGCTAAAGCTTGCTTTTTGCCAATCAGTTGAAAGTCCTGCATCTCTTCAATGATGCACTTTCTCTAGGTATTAAGGGTCAAAAACACACAGCATTTATTATGCATTCAATCATGTAGCTAAACAAAAAACTGAAGTCTCCTAAAGCCATTTAAACCAGCCGTTCCAAAGCCTCCTGCCACCACTTTGTTAGTACCATCAACAACGTTTTCAACTATAAATGAAAGAATAAATGGTATTGCTGCTCTCCAGATATTAGGCACTGCTCCATATCTTTGAACATTTGATTTTTTAATAACTGTGTCAAAAGCCTCAAAAAACCCTGAAATTAATTTTCCAGCTTTACTGTCATCAGCCAGAAGTAAAATTCTTAATTTGCCTGTTAGCTGATTCTGTTACATTTTAAATTTATTTTTTAAAAAATGATTGGACTTCTATCATTATAAAGTATATAAAATTTTCAAAAATTAAGGAACTGTTGCCGGAAGTCAGGGACCCCAGATGGAGGGACCGGCTGAAACCATGCAGAAGAACATAAATTGTGAAGATTTCATGGACATTTATTAGTTCCCCAAATTAATACTTTTATAATTTCTTATGCCTGTCTTTACTGCAATCTCTGAACATAAATTTTGAAGATTTCATGGACACTTATCACTTCCCCAATCAATACCCTTGTGATTTCCTATGTCTTTAATCTCTTAATCTCATCATCTTCATAAGCTGAGGAGGATGTATGTCACCTCAGGACCCTGTGATGATTGTGTTAACTGCACAAATTGTTTGTACAGCATGTGTGTTTGAACAATATGAAATCTGGGCACCTTGAAAAAAGAACAGGATAACAGCAATGTTCAGGGAACAAGAGAGATAACCTTAAACTCTGACTGCTGGTGAGCTGGGTGGAACAGAGCCATATTTCTCTTCTTTCAAAGCAAATGGGAGAAATACCACTGAATTCTTTTTCTCAGCAAGGAACATCCCTGAGAAAGAAAATGTGTCCCTGAGGGCTTTGGAGGCGGCTGTCTTTTATGGTCGTAGCTGTAGGGATGAAATAAGCCCCAGTCTCCCGTAGCATTCCCAGGCTTATTAGGACGAGGCAACTCCCGCCTAATAAATTTTGGTCGGACCGGTTGTCTGCTCTCAAACCCTGTTTCCTGATAAGATGTTATCAATGACAATGCCTGCCTGAAACTTCATTAGCAATTTTAATTTCGCCCCAGTCCTGTGGTCCTGTGATCTCGCCCTGCCTCCATTTACCTTGTGATATCTTATTACCTTGTGAAGCATGTGATCTCTGTGACCCACACCCTATTCATACACTCCCTCCCCTTTTGAAAATCACTAATAAAAAATTGTTGGTTTTACAGCTCGGGGCATCACAGAACCTGCTGACATGTGATGTCTCCCCCGGGCACCTAGCTTTAAAATTTCTCTCTTTTGTACTCTGTCCCTTTATTTCTCAGACCAGCTGACACTTAGGGAAAATAGAAAACAACCTACATGAAATATCGGGGATGAATTTCGCCCAATAGGGACAATTTTGCTTTTCATTGTATTACTGAATACCTGAGGTAGTTGAATAAAAATGCATGTTTAATACACCTGCCAACACCATTCAGCACTTCCCTTAGGTTACTCATGTCAGTGTTAGGTAAAAATAAAACTGAGAACAGTTTTTCTATGCTAATGACTTAACATTTAAGTTCTTGTGATAATTATTCTGATCCAATTTTAACAATTGAATTTAGGAGCAATCTACTTGAATTTAGTGAAAGCATCAGTAAGCCAATTTCTGGAATTATGGGGGAATATTAAGAATTAGAATATTTGTTATACTGTGAGACTACAACAAAGGGAAGTGCAGAGCTCTTCTCTTTCCCTCCCTCCCCCACCCTCTTTTTGTTTTGTTTTAAAGCTGGGTGTCATACATTTCGGAGAGCATAAAGTATACATTCTCACAGAGACAGGAGTTCAAAAGTTGCCTGGTCCTCAGAAACAACTGGCTAGGTAAAAACTTGTGCATGTGATTCTGGATAGGGGGTCAGCGCCTGTCTGTTGGTTAAGCAATCTGTCTTTTGTTTGCCATCTGCCTCTGTGGTGGGCTGTTTCCTGAGTCTTTACTTCCATCTTGACTGAGGTGGTCCACTTTGCAGAGCCTTCTGCTGTTGTGCTGTTTTACCTCAGTCAGAATTGCCTGAATTTTTCTCTGAGCAACCTGGCAAGCATAGAAGTGACCAGTTATTTTGACAACCACTTGGTCATTCTCATCAGGTGTCTGGTCATGAGGGACAGCAACTTCTGCACTTGACAAATTCTGAAGTTTATTCACCGTTTTGCCTCCTTTTCCAATAACTCCGCCAGCAACAAAGGATGACACTGTGATATAAGCTTCAAGTTTAACCTCTTCTTTAGGACTAACAAAATTTTCTTCTTTAGTTTTTCCATAAATTCTTCCCTGAGCCTTGAAGTGAGCCTCTGGTGGTCCAGTGATCATTACCATCCTCACTTTAGCATCTGGTGCTTCTGCTGGAGCAATGTTAATTGAAGCTCCGGCAAAGCGAGAAAGCTGCTTGATGTGCTTGGCCCTGCTTGCCGATGATGACACCGACTGATAGAGCCTGGATAAACAGATGAACAGTCTCCGTTTCTGATTGCTCAAACTGCGGGTAGGTAGGAGTCATGGCTGAAGGCTGCCCTGAGGTGGGAGGTGGCATCCCTGAAGTGGGTGGGAACAGACCCAAGGCGTTCAGATTTAATCCAGGAATTAAATGTGCTTGAAGATCCATAGAAGCAATATCATTTTCATATGACTCCCTTATTTGCTTCATGATCTCTTCCTCAGCTTTGGCACATGCCTCAACATTGCCTTTAACTGTAATGGTGCGTTCTGGATTATACAGCGTCAATTCCTGAAAGCACCTTGATGGCCTTGAGGGCCCAGCTCTCCTCTGGGCAGTCCATGAACGCATAGCCAGTCTTCACCAGGAAGGATCCCAACACTGGGATCTTGGCGTCCTTGAAGATACTTTCTAGGTCCAAGGGGACGGCGTTCTCGTGGAGGTTTCCGATATACAGTTTGTTCATTGTGAAGAATGGTTGTTTAAAAAAATTAACGAGAAGAACGAGAAATTAAAACCACCCATGGTGATGGATGGATCCAGCTGGTTTTGTTGCTCTCATCTTCTCACCTTTAAAATACACAAACACAGAAAGAACCAAGCACAAGAACAAGGAGTGAAAAATCAGATCCGAGGCTTGTTTTTCCTTGTCCTAGATATGTTTTAAAAGAGAAAGAAAAGAAAAAGCCTAGCTACAACCCAAATGCATCAACCAGTCTTCCTAAGTCTCGCTTTTGAATAATTTTCAAATGAGATGTACACCTAAATTTTAAGAGTGTTTGAGTTTGTGTTTGCTTTAGTGGTGCTTTATATCTGTCTGATTGTAAGCATAATGTTCATGGAAAGAGACTTTTGGTAGGAATCAAACTGGGACTCTTACAATGGCTTAAGTCCATCAGAATAGTTCTGATGCTACTTAGGAGCATCAGAACTCCTTTCTTTGCCTGATTTTTCAACTTATTTCTTAATTGGAACCCCATAAAGAACATGAATGGTCTTCTGATATCCTTAATGTCTTAGAGTTATATCAATATTTTGCTTACCAGTAATCTGTATGAAAATAAAGTTTATTTAGTAAACAAAAGTTGCTGTGTATCTACTGTATGCTAAGATCTTCACTAGATCTGTGGGTGCCAAAGAAAAAGATTTACCCCTTTTACAAAGAGTGAAACTTATTCCCACAGTGTGATTGTCTAGCCAGCATTTAAATACTTCTGGTGATGGCAGACTTACTACCTACCCTTAGACAGTCCTTGGGTTCCTACTATATTCATTCACTTTTTTTTTTTTTTTTTTTGAGACAGAGTCTTGCTCTGTCACCCAGGCTAGAGTGCAGTGGTGTGATCTTAGCTCACTGCAACCTCTGCCTCCTGGGTTCAAGTGATTCTTCTGCCTCAGCCTCCTGAGTAGCTGGAATTACAGGCACCCACCACCACGCCCAGCTAATTTTTGTATTTTCAGTAAAGACGGGGTTTCAACCATGTTGGCCAGGCTGATCTCGAACTCCTGACCTCATGATCCGCCTGCCTCGGCCTCCCAAAGTGCTGGGATTACAGGCGTGAGCCACCGCACCTGGCCTAATTCACTTTTTTTTCCCCCGGCAAATAAGATCTTTCTGGAATGAGATAGACAATGATGTGTTTTCTGCCGAGTTGGTAAATGCTAGAAGCTGGAGTGCAGACATGTTGTTCTGTGCTTTATGCAACTCAAGAGACAGTGTGCAATCTGACCCCCAGAGAGTTCCATCAGGGCGTGCTTCAACTACTCAGCAAGTGGCCATCTTTTACATGAAGATTTCTGCTCCTGAGAGAAGATATCTGTCTCCCTGGGCTGCACAGCCATCCTCTTATGTGTGAACTGGGCCACAATCCTCTAAGACAATCTCACATGGAAGTCTTAACGTGACTCTCATTTGGGGTAATGCTTGTCTCTGATGTCATCCAAATGACTCACCAAAACCTCAAGTAAGCCCCACTGTGCTCCAAAGAAAGTTCTCTTTTATGGTGTCAATCCTGACAGATGCAACCTGAACATCCCTTTGGGCCCCAGTGAGCACTAGTCTCTCCATTTTAGGGAAAATTGTGTATTTGTACTGTTCTAGTGTTGGCTTCCTCAAGGCCCTGGTGTGTTGAGTTTTCTATGCTTTGGGTATGGGCACACCTTATATACTCTGTCTTCTAAATATGTTAGATCATCTATTGCGGTAAGATTAAATGAATGAAAGTTGAATATGTTTTCCGTAAAGTCCCTGAGAAAATTAATGAAATAAGTTGCTAAAGAAATATATGTTTTCAAATTTTAGTGAGTTTACTTTAGAGAAATTAAAAATTGTATCAGGTAAGCCAGGCCATGTAATGTGTCTTAAGCATGTCTGTGATATGCTCATTCTTTGCACACTCAAAACCACTGTTGGTTAGGTGCGGTGGCTCATGCCTGTAATCTCAGCACTTTGGGAGGCAGAGGCAGGTGAATCACTTGAGGTCAGGAGTTCAAGACCAGCCTGACTAACATGGCGAAACCCCATCTCTACTAAAAATACAAAAAATTAGCCAGGCATGGTGGTGCACACCTGCAATCCCAGCTACTCGTGAGGCTGAGGCAGGAGAATCAATTGAACATGGGAGGCAGAGGTTGCAGTAAGCGGAGATCACACCCCTGCACTCCAGTCTGGGTGACAGACTGAGACTCCATTTCAAAAAAAAACAAAAACAAAAACAAACAAAAAAACCCACTGTCATCTTGCTAAGAATGTGGCATTGGGATATATGCTCAAGAAAAAGGGAGAAGTATATGTATATTGGGAAAGTGGAGTGGTTAGCACTGATCAAATTATTATGTTTATAGATTCTGATTTATTACATTACTATCTTTACAGTAAGTGATTTTTTTTTTTTTGAGACAGAGTCTCATTCTGTCGCCCAGGCTGGAGTGCAGTGGGGTGATCTTGGCTCACAGCAACCTCCGCCTCCTGGGTTCAAGCGATTCTCCTGCCTCAGTCTCCCAAGCAGCTGGGATTACAGGCATCCACCACCACGCCTAGCTAAGTTTTGTATTTTTAGTAGAGATGGGGTTTCACCATGTTGGCCAGGCTGATTTCAAACTCCTAAACTCAGGTGATCCACCTGCTTCGGCCTCCCAAAGTGCTGGGATTACAGACATGAGCCACCATGCCCAGCAGTAAATGAAATTGTGTAAAAGCTCATTGGACCAGCTTGTCTCTAGGAGGTCTGATAGTAGCTAGTGCTGTCTTTTGTGTCTCTTCAGAAAACTAAAAAAAACCAGAAATCCTGGCCAGGCACAGTGGCTCACACTTGTAATCCCAGAACTCTGGGAGGCCGAGGCAGGTGGATCACCTGAGGTCAAGAGTTCAAGACCAGCCTGGCCAACGTGACAAAACCCCATCTCTACTAAAAATACAAAAATTACCTAGATGTGGCGGCAGGTGCCTGTAATCCCAGCTACTCAGGAGGCTGAGGCAGAAGAATTACTTGAACCCAGGAGGCAGAGGTTGCAGTGAGCCGAGATCATGCCACTGTACTCCAGCCTGGGTGACAGAGTGAGGCTCCATCTCAAAAATCAATAATTGGACAAACAAACAGAAATCCAGTCCTAAACGCCAGAAACTATGACATGCTTATATTACAAATGAATCTGTCTAGACTACTTTTAAATAAGTTTAACCTACAACATCCTAGTTACAGACAAACTTTGATGAAAAGCATTTTTTAACCAGACCTGCCTGTATTTGCTTTAAATCAGATAAACCAGAAATAAAGTATTTCATTTTCTCTTCTTCCTGTGCTAGACTTATTACCCCAGTAGGTCTCCAGTTTGACAAGTCAAGAATCTAAACTCATACTTTAATTTTTACCCTTTGTTTGTTGTTAGCTTTTTTTATGTAGAAACACACTCAGCATGATAGCAGTAGGAGCAGAAGTCAGAAGATCTAATGATTATTGAGTGCTAGCTACCAGCATCCTAATTTTTTTTCATGCATCATCTCATTCATTCACCACAACAACTCCTTAACACAGAGATGTAGATGTAATTATTATCCTCAGGATTCAGATGAGGAAAGAGACCCAGAGAGGCAGCCAGCTATTAGAACTCAAACTGTTAAGTGTGTCTCCAGGGTTGTGCTTCTGACCCTTTCCAGACTACCCGCCATAGAGTCATGATCCATTCACCAAGCAAACACTAACTGATAACCTCCTGTGTGCAGAGTCCTCCCTATGAGGCACATCAAGGGAAAAGATGGACACACCAAGAGAGAAAAAGAAGTGTGCCAGCACAGGGTTCTGGCTTCCAGAAATAGATTACAGCACATTCTACTAGTATTTGAAAACATAAGTTAGACCTTTACTTCTGTGATGGTCAGGAAGTGAGAGGGATGTTTTGTGGAGTGAGGGGCTTGCAGAGGTGGTGTTAGTACATGAAAGAACTGACTGGGATTTGTGTGCCCTTAGAAATGGGGAGGTCAACAAGATACTAAAGCAGAAGGCTGGCAGAGTGAGATCCAGTGGCAAACTAGAGTGAAACCTTGGACAAGTCCTGCCAAAGACTGAATTTTTACCCTGCTCTGATTGGAAAGGCTAGAGTGTGGAATGGAGATGGTCTTTCACATGGTGGGAGATGTCCTAGAAGTGGAGAAGTGGGCGTGGACTCTAACATTCTAATGGTCTTCTGTGTGGTGGATAGTGGGGGACTCTCCTTGTCTTTCAAAACCTTCCCTGTGGACACTGACTTTTAACCTCACTGAAAGTGCTCAGCCCTGTTCAAAGACTCATATATAGCCTACTTTTGAAGAGATTTGAAGCTGTAAACTTTATAAGTGTGTGGGAAATTTAGTTTTGTTTGGGTAGGGCCAATGCCTTGAGAACAGGTCCATTGTTTTATGTTATAAGAGGTTATTGTGATCTTACATAATAAGAAACTCAAAGTTTTGCCTCAGAATTTGTATTGGGATGATCCCAAGAGGTTTATAACATGTGATATGGGTCAAGTAAGGGCAACAACTGTATTGACCTAATTACTAATCAAATCTAAAAATTTGTCCAAGTTCAAGTGTGATAGCCTCTGGGAGATATTATTTTGTTGTTGTTTTTGAAGCAGGAGGAGTCACGTATAGTGGAGGACAGTGAGAGGAAGACCTTCTATCTCTCTTAGAGTGTGTCTGAGATGGGGGTCACCAGTGTGCCTCGTTTATTTTATGAACATGCCTGAACAAGTTTTAGAATTGGAAGAGTTTGCATTGTGATAGGCACTTGAGGGTCTGTTTCCTGTTTTTTCCTATCTGTGGATAAGGACTATTTTGAAACTAGCAGTAAATAGAGAATTTAAGTCATGCATGCTACCAGCTCAGTTATAACTGACTTATCTTGTGTATTTAGTACTAGTATCATTATTATCATTGTTATTTTGCTGATGACAATGGGGGAGTTTTAGCAAAATAATAGTGAAAAGCAATCTGGATTAGTAGACAGGCATTCTGGCTCATTTTCTCATCTGTTGAATATCACCATCAGCAAGCTTGCATTGGGAACCATTTTTTGACAATTACCCCTGGTGCAAGGCTCTAGAACTGCAAAGATGGATAAAATATGGTTCTAGTTCTAAAACTCACCAGTGCCTCACAACCAGCAAGAACAAGTGGAGACCATTCAAGTGGAAAGAGAAAGTGATGCCCTCAAATGTGCAGGGTTTGCCATGTGGAGGAGAAAGATGTGGGACAGGGAAAATGTACATTTAGGAAAAAAAAAACAGTTTAAGTATAGGCCTTGGAGTATAAAAATATGAGGCTTATTCGAGGACAGAGTAGGACAAGAAGTGGAGTGTGAGTAGAGAGTAGAGTTTGGAAATATTGTATAGAGTTGTGATAGTAAGAGGTGTTGACCTTGGAAAAATGAATGGGGGATCGGTTGTGTTGGCTGCTATAAGCCATCAAATGTTTTGGAACAAGGCCGTGATGTGAGCAGCTCTGTGTTTCAGAGAGAACACAGCCAACACAAAGGCAATGTGTTTAGCAAAGTGCAGTGTGAACTTGGAATTTGGTACCCTCTTTGACAGAATACATTTTCCCTTTTTTAAAAGAGAAATTTATCAGCCCAGAATGTATGGGCTCCTTTCTATACATGGTTAAATAATAATGGAAAGGTGAGAACATTTATTTTCCACAAATAAAGTTCAATTAGACAATGTTTAAACTTCCCTAATTGTGTTTTAGTAATTGGTAATTATTTAAGCTCTTTAGAGAGTGGAAATCTTTAGAAGGGAGGAACTCCTTTTCTCTCAAAAACATTGAGAATGAACACTGGAATCCAATGGAGATATATATATATATATAATTTTGGACAAGTGGTTACTATAATGGGGAGCTCATATGAATCAGTAAAACGTTAAATAATTGAATAGCAAAATAAGCAGAAGACATGATTAGGCAATTCAAAAAGTAGTACACTAAACATATATAAAACCAAGTTAACTAAATAGTTACTAAAATGCATATCAAATTAATGAGATGCCAGTTTTTTACATACCAAAATGAAACATGTTTCTAAAAATAACATATTTCATTAAACTATTCATAAATGGTAAGTGTAAGGAAACAAGAGTTTTGTAATACTCTTTTTTTTTTTTTTTTTGAGAAGAAGTCTCGCTCTATCACCTAGGCTGGAGTGGTGTGATCTCAACTCACTGCATCCTCTGCCTCCTGGGTTCAAGTGATTCTCTTGACTCACCCTTACAGGGTTAAAGGAGTGTGCCACCATGCCCACTAATATAAATGTTTTTTTTCTACTAAAAAAAAAAGTTTGTATTTTTAGTAGAAATGGGGTTTTGCCATTTGGGTCAGGCTGATCTCAAACTCCTGACTTCAAGTGATCCACCTGCCCCCGGGATCCTAAAGTGCTGGCATTACAGGCGTGAGCCACTGCACCTGAGCTCCTAGTATAAATTGGTGTCATACTTGTATATGGCAGTTATTGCACTGTGCATCAGCAGCCTTAAAATGTGCTATATTTCTTTTTTTTTTTTATTATACTTTAAGTTTTAGGGTACATGTGCACATTGTGCAGGTTAGTTACATATGTATACATGTGCCATGCTGGTGCGCTGCACCCACTAACTCGTCATCTAGCATTAGGTATATCTCCCAATGCTACCCCTCCCCCTTCCCCCCACCCCACCACAGTCCCCAGAGTGTGATATTCCCCTTCCTGTGACCATGTGATCTCATTGTTCAATTCCCACCTATGAGTGAGAATATGCGGTGTTTGGTTTTTTGTTCTTGCGATAGTTTACTGAGAATGATGGTTTCCAATTTCATCCATGTCCCTACAAAGGACATGAACTCATCATTTTTTATGGCTGCATAGTATTCCATGGTGTATATGTGCCACATTTTCTTAATCCAGTCTATCATTGTTGGACATTTGGCTTGGTTCCAAGTCTTTGCTATTGTGAATAATGCCACAATAAACATAAGTGTGCATGTGTCTTTATAGCAGCATGATTTATAGTCATTTGGGTATATACCCAGTAATGGGATGGCTGGGTCAAATGGTATTTCTAGTTCTAGATCCCTGAGGAATCGCCACACTGACTTCCACAATGGTTGAACTAGTTTACAGTCCCACCAACAGTGTAAAAGTGTTCCTATTTCTCCACATCCTCTCCAGCACCTGTTGTTTCCTGACTTTTTAATGATTGCCATTCTAACTGGTGTGAGATGGTATCTCATAGTGGTTTTGATTTGCATTTCTCTGATGGCCAGTGATGATGAGCATTTTTTCATGTATTTTTTGGCTGCATAAATGTCTTCTTTTGAGAAGTGTCTGTTCATGTCCTTCGCCCACTTTTTGATGGGGTTGTTTGTTTTTTTCTTGTAAATTTGTTTGAGTTCATTGTAGATTCTGGATATTAGCCCTTTGTCAGATGAGTAGGTTGCGAAAATTTTCTCCCATGTTGTAGGTTGCCTGTTCACTCTGATGGTAGTTTCTTTTGCTGTGCAGAAGCTCTTTAGTTTAATTAGGTCCCATTTGTCAATTTTGGCTTTTGTTGCCATTGCTTTTGGTGTTTTGGAAATGAAGTCCTTGCCCACGCCTATGTCCTGAATGGTAATGCCTAGGTTTTCTTCTAGGGTTTTTATGGTTTTAGGTCTAACGTTTAAATCTTTAATCCATCTTGAATTGATTTTTGTATAAGGTGTAAGGAAGGGATCCAGTTTCAGCTTTCTACATATGGCTAGCCAGTTTTCCCAGCACCATTTATTAAATAGGGAATCCTTTCCCCATTGCTTGTTTTTCTCAGGTTTGTCAAAGATCAGATAGTTGTAGGTATGCGGCGTTATTTCTGAGGGCTCTGTTCTGTTCCATTGATCTATATCTCTGTTTTGGTATCAGTACCATGCTGTTTTGGTTACTGTAGCCTTGTAGTATAGTTTGAAGTCAGGTAGTGTGATGCCTCCAGCTTTGTTCTTTTGGCTTAGGATTGACTTGGCGATGCGGGCTCTTTTTTGGTTCCATATGAACTTTAAAGTAGTTTTTTCCAATTCTGTGAAGAAAGTCATTGGTAGCTTGATGGGGATGGCATTGAATCTGTAAATTACCTTGGGCAGTATGGCCATTTTCACGATATTGATTCTTCCTACCCATGAGCATGGAATGTTCTTCCATTTGTTTGTATCCTCTTTTATTTCCTTGAGCAGTGGTTTGTAGTTCTCCTTGAAGAGGTCCTTCACATCCCTTGTAAGTTGGATTCCTAGGTATTTTATTCTCTTTGAAGCAATTGTGAATGGGAGTTCACTCATGATTTGGCTCTCTGTTTGTCTGTTGTTGGTGTATAAGAATGCTTGTGATTTTTGTACATTGATTTTGTATCCTGAGACTTTGCTGAAGTTGCTTATCAGCTTAAGGAGATTTTGGGCTGAGACGATGGGGTTTTCTAGATAAACAATCATGTCGTCTGCAAACAGGGACAATTTGACTTCCTCTTTTCCTAATTGAATACCCTTTATTTCCCTCTCCTGCCTGATTGCCCTGGCCAGAACTTCCAACACTATGTTGAATAGGAGCGGTGAGAGAGGGCATCCCTGTCTTGTGCCAGTTTTCAAAGGGAATGCTTCCAGTTTTTGCCCATTCAGTATGATATTGGCTGTGGGTTTGTCATAGATAGCTCTTATTATTTTGAAATACGTCCCATCAATACCTAATTTATCGAGAGTTTTTAGCATGAAGGGTTGTTGAATTTTGTCAAAGGCTTTTTCTGCATCTATTGAGATAATCATGTGGTTTTTGTCTTTGGCTCTGTTTATATGCTGGATTACATTTATTGATTTGCGTATATTGAACCAGCCTTGCATCCCAGGGATGAAGCCCACTTGATCATGGTGGATAAGCTTTTTGATGTGCTGCTGGATTCGGTTTGCCAGTATTTTATTGAGGATTTTTGCATCAATGTTCATCAAGGATATTGGTCTAAAATTCTCTTTTTTGGTTGTGTCTCTGCCCGGCTTTGGTATCAGAATGATGCTGGCCTCATAAAATGAGTTAGGGAGGATTCCCTCTTTTTCTATTGATTGGAATAGTTTCAGAAGGAATGGTACCAGTTCCTCCTTGTACCTCTGATAGAATTCAGCTGTGAATCCATCTGGTCCTGGACTCTTTTTGGTTGGTAAACTATTGATTATTGCCACAATTTCAGCTCCTGTTATTGGCCTACTCAGAGATTCAACTTCTTCCTGGTTTAGTCTTGGGAGAGTGTATGTGTCAAGGAATGTATCCATTTCTTCTAGATTTTCTAGTTTATTTGCGTAGAGGTGTTTGTAGTATTCTCTGATGGTAGTTTGTATTTCTGTGGGATCGGTGGTGATATCCCCTTTATCATTTTTTATTGTGTCTATTTGATTCTCCTCTCTTTTTTTCTTTATTAGTCTTGCTAGCGGTCTATCAATTTTGTTGATCCTTTCAAAAAAACCAGCTCCTGGATTCATTGATTTTTTGAAGGGTTTTTTGTGTCTCTATTTCCTTCAGTTCTGCTCTGATTTTAGTTATTTCTTGCCTTCTGCTAGCTTTTGAATGTGTTTGCTCTTGCTTCTCTAGTTCTTTTAATTGTGATGTTAGGGTGTCAATTTTGGATCTTTCCTGCTTTCTCTTGTGGGCATTTAGTGCTATAAATTTCCCTCTACACACTGCTTTGAATGCGTCCCAGAGATTCTGGTATGTTGTGTCTTTGTTCTCGTTGGTTTCAAAGAACATCTTTATTTCTGCCTTCATTTCGTTATGTACCCAGTAGTCATTCAGGAGCAGGTTGTTCAGTTTCCATGTAGTTGAGCGGCTTTGAGTGAGATTCTTAATCCTGAGTTCTAGTTTGACTGCACTGTGGTCTGAGAGATAGTTTGTTATAATTTCTGTTCTTTTACATTTGCTGAGGAGAGCTTTACTTCCAACTATGTGGTCAATTTTAGAATAGGTGTGGTGTGGTGCTGAAAAAAACGTATATTCTGTTGATTTGGGGTGGAGAGTTCTGTAGATGTCTATTAGGTCCGCTTGGTGCAGAGATGAGTTCAATTGCTGGGTATCCTTGTTGACTTTCTGTCTCGTTGATCTGTCTAATGTTGACAGTGGGGTGTTAAAGTCTCCCATTATTAATGTGTGGGAGTCTAAGTCTCTTTGTGGGTCACTCAGGACTTGCTTTATGAATCTGGGTGCTCCTGTATTGGGTGCATATATATTTAGGATAGTTAGCTCCTCTTGTTGAATTGATCCCTTTACCATTATGTAATGGCCTTCTTTGTCTCTTTTGATCTTTGTTGGTTTAAAGTCTGTTTTATCAGAGACTAGGATTGCAACCCCTGCCTTTTTTTGTTTTCCATTTGCTTGGTAGATCTTCCTCCATCCTTTTATTTTCAGCCTATGTGTGTCTCTGCACGTGAGATGGGTTTCCTGAATACAGCACACTGATGGGTCTTGACTCTTTATCCAACTTGCCAGTCTGTGTCTTTTAATTGGAGAATTTAGTCCATTTACATTTAAAGTTAATATTGTTATGTGTGAATTTGATCCTGTCATTATGATGTTAGCTGGTGATTTTGCTCGTTAGTTGATGCAGTTTCTTCCTAGTCTCGATGGTCTTTACATTTTGGCATGATTTTGCAGCGGCTGGTACCGGTTGTTCCTTTCCATGTTTAGCGCTTCCTTCAGGAGCTCTTTTAGGGCAGGCCTGGTGGTGACAAAATCTCTCAACATTTGCTTGTCTGTAAAGTATTTTATTTCTCCTTCACTTATGAAGCTTAGTTTGGCTGGATATGAAATTCTGGGTTGAAAATTCTTTTCTTTAAGAATGTTGAATATTGGCCCCCACTCTCTTCTGGCTTATAGGGTTTCTGCCGAGAGATCCGCTGTTAGTCTGATGGGCTTCCCTTTGAGGGTAACCCGACCTTTCTCTCTGGCTGCCCTTAACATTTTTTCCTTCATTTCAACTTTGGTGAATCTGACAATTACGTGTCTTGGAGTTGCTCTTCTCGAGGAGTATCTTTGTGGCGTTCTCTATATTTCCTGAATCTGAACATTGGCCTGCCTTGCTAGATTGGGGAAGTTCTCCTGGGTAATATCCTGCAGAGTGTTTTCCAACTTGGTTCCATTCTCCGCATCACTTTCAGGTACACCAATCAGACGTAGATTTGGTCTTTTTCACATAGTCCCATATTTCTTGGAGGCTTTGCTCATTTCTTTTTATTCTTTTTTCTCTAAACTTCCCGTCTCACTTCATTTCATTCATTTCATCTTCCATTGCTGATACCCTTTCTTCCAGTTGATCACATCGGCTCCTGAGGCTTCTGCATTCTTCACGTAGTTCTCGAGCCTTGGTTTTCAGCTCCATCAGCTTCTTTAAGCACTTCTCTGTATTGGTTATTCTAGTTATACATTTTTCTAAATTTTTTTCAAAGTTTTCAACTTCTTTGCCTTTGGTTTGAATGTCCTCCCGTAGCTCAGAGTAATTTGATCGTCTGAAACCTTCTTCTCTCAGCTCGTCAAAGTCATTCTCCATCCAGCTTTGTTCCGTTGCTGGTGAGGAACTGTGTTCCTTTGGAGGAGGAGAGGCGCTCTGCATCTTAGAGTTTCCAGTTTTTCTGTTCTGTTTTTTCCCCATCTTTGTGGTTTTATCTACTTTTGGTCTTTGATGATGGTGATGTACAGATGGGTTTTCGGCGTGGATGTCCTGTTTGTTAGTTTTCCTTCTAACAGACAGGACCCTCAGCTGCAGGTCTGTTGGAATACCCTGCCGTGTGAGGTGTCAGTGTGCCCCTGCTGGGGGGTGCCTCCCAGTTAGGCTGCTCGGGGGTCAGGGGTCAGGGACCCACTTGAGGAGGTAGTCTGCCCGTTCTCAGATCTCCAGCTGCGTGCTGGGAGAACCACTGCTCTCTTCAAAGCTGTCAGACAGGGACATTTAAGTCTGCAGAGGTTACTGCTGTCTTTTTGTTTGTCTGTGCCCTGCCCCCAGAGGTGGAGCCTACAGAGGCAGGCAGGCCTCCTTGAGCTGTGGTGGGCTCCACCCAGTTCGAGCTTCCTGACTGCTTTGTTTACCTAAGCAAGCCTGGGCAATGGCAGGCTCCCCTCCCCCAGCCTCGCTGCTGCCTTGCAGTTTGATCTCAGACTGCTGTGCTAGCAATCAGCGAGATTCCATGGGCATAGGACCCTCTGAGCCAGGTGTGGGATATAGTCTCGTGGTGCGCCGTTTTTTAAGCCAGTCTGAAAAGCGCAGTATTCGGGTGGGAGTGACCCGATTTTCCAGGTGCGTCCGTCACCCCTTTCTTTGACTCGGAAAGGGAACTCCCTGACCCCTTGCACTTCCCAGGTGAGGCAATGCCTCGCCCTGCTTCGGCTCGCGCACGGTGCGCACACCCACTGGCCTGCGCCCACTGTCTGGCACTCCCTAGTGAGATGAACCCGGTACCTCAGATGGAAATGCAGAAATCACCCGTCTTCTGCGTTGCTCACGCTGGGAGCTGTAGACCGGAGCTGTTCCTATTCGGCCATCTTGGCTCCTCCCCTATATTTCTTAACATAGCAATTTTAACTAATAAATTAATCACTTACAACATAATGAAGCGGTGTCGTTTGGGGTAAATACTTGAGTTTTGTTGTCTCATGCCAAGGAAATTGAGTATGTGGACATGCAGGAAGTGGGTTTAGAAGTGGAGCTTTAATAGGCAAAAGAAAGAGAAAGGAGAATAGCTCTCTCTACTGGGAGGGAGAGGGTTGCCCGAGTGGACTTCCGGCCTGCAGCAAAGTGCACCAGATTTTATAGACTGGCTTGAGGAGGCAGTGTCTGATTTACATAGGGCCCAAAGATTGGTTGGGCCAGGTGTGATGTTTACACAGTGCACGAGAAAGCTGGCTGCCCCCACCACTCTTCTATTATGCAAATGGGGTCTTTGCCTGGCTGATGCCATGTTGCCTGCCACCATGTTGCCTGCTTCTTACTGTACGCATGGTTTACAAAGGAAAGGGAAGATAGAGCCACCCTTTTGAACATGCCTAGTCCCCAGGTGGCACCTTTTCCTATTGGCACAGCTGCCGGCATTTATTTGTACAAGCTTCCATCTTGCTTATGTATGTGTGCAGCTCAATTTTACAGGCTGCTCTACGTTAGAAAAGAAATAATTTGGGGGTTGCTTTTGATTAAAATTAAAATTTCTTTTTAACTCCTGTATCAGTAATAGTTAATGTCATGGGAAACATCCATAATGTATTTGTATTTATGAACAAGCAAGATAGCAAACTCTAATAGTTCTTTTTAAGTTATTTATACAAGTGTATGTGGTACAAGTGTAATTCAATTACATGCATATATTCCATAGTGGTGAGGTCAGGGCTTGTAGGGCATGCATCAGTCAAATAATGTACATCATAACCATTAAGTAATTTCTCATCTTCCACCCCCATCCTAACTGCTCACCCTATTAAGTCAGGTGTCATAGTATGCTGGACCTCAATGACCTCAATGACCAACACAACAAAGATACATTAATTGTTTTCTGAGATGCAGTTTTGAAAATCAACCTAAGATAACAGATGACTCCTAAGCCAATAAAACATTGCATTTGTGTGTGTGTTTGTGTATTTGTTTATACTCAAGAAACGTATACAGAGTCTTTCCCACTGCACAAACTTAAAAGTAAAGCCAAATGGCCCTATGCAATAAACATCATGGTAATAACTTCAAAAAATAAGCTTCGTCCAGTGAATGTAAATTCAAAATAAAAAGAAGAAACTGTTACTCCAGATGTGCAGGAATCAATATAAAGACACAGGAAGCATGAAAAAGCAAGATTTATGACATGTTCAAAAGAACACAATAATTCTCCGGTACTCTAACAAAAAAAAATTCATTGAAATGTCAGACTTTAAAAGACTTAAAAAAAAAAGATTTTAAAGAAGCTCAAAGAGATGCAAGAGAAATCTGAAAACCAATACAATAATAAATAAATACAGAGAATGAATGAGAAATATATCAAGGAGATAGATATCTTTTAAAAGAAATCTAAAAAATTATGGAGGTTTATTGAAGGAAAAAAATACATTTAAAGATTCAATAATAGATGAGAAGAGGAATAAAATGAATTTTCAGAACTTGAAAACAGATCTTTCAAAATGGTCTACTCAGACAGAAATCAGGCAAAAAGAATAAAGAATGAACAAAGACTTTGAGATGTTTGGGACTAAATATAATGACTAAAGTTACAAATTATCAGTGTTTTTGAGGGGTAAAAAAATCAGCATTTTAGAAAACTTATTTAAGAAAATAATTGGAAACAAAGTTTAAGAAAACTTCCCAAGTCTAGCAACAGAGTTAGACATCCATATACAGGAAGCCCAGCAATCACCAGAAAAATACATTGCAAAAGGGGTTCGTCATGGCATATGATAATCAGAATATCTAAAGTCAAAGTGAAAGAAATAATTCTAAAATCAGCAAAAAAATAGCATCTAGTCATTTATAAAGGAAACCACATCAGACTAACAGCAGACCTCTCAACAGAAACTTCACTGGCCAGAAGAGAATGGGATGGCACTTTTAAAGTTGAAAGAAAAAGAAACTGCCTGCCAAAAATTTTACATTAAGCTAGATTAACCTTCAAAAATGAAGAAGAAATAAAGTCTTACCCTGACAAATAAATGCTGGGGAAACTGATTACCACTAGACTGAGCCTGCAAGAGATGTTCAAGGGATTTCTAATATAAGAACAAAAGACTGATATTCACCATCATTAAAACATATCAAAGTATAAAACGTCTTAAAAAAACAGAAAAAGAAAAAAATCAAATCACAACATGACAGAATTTTATCAAACCACAAATATAAATAGATAAAAGAAAAAATAAAACAACTAGAAAACACATTATGACAGAAACAAAACCTTACATATCAATATTAACCTTGAATACAAATCAGTTAAATTCTGCATAATGTATAGATTTAGGAAACGGATAAGAAAAGTTGATCCAATAGTATGTTGCCTGCAAGAATCTCACCTTACTTGTAAGACACATATAGACTAAAAGTGAAGGGAGGAATATATTAACACAAACAGAAACCAAAAGCAAACAGGTGTATCTATATATATATCAACCAAAACAGACTTTAAACAAAAAACAGTAACACAAAGAATAAAGAAGGTAATCATTCAATAATAAAGAATCAATTCAGCAAGAGGACATAACAATTCTAAATATATATGCACCCAACATCAAAGCACCCAGATTTAAAGAATAAATATTACTAAACCTATAGAAAGAGATAGACAGTAATACAATTAATAGTGGAGAAAATAAAATTCTACTCACAGCATTGGAGAGATCATTGAAATAGAAAAGTTGGCAAATAAATATTGGACTTCAATTGGACTTTAGACCCAATGGACCTAAAAGACATCTACAGAACATGTTTCTCACTCAACCATAAAATATACACCCCTGTCATCAAAACATAGAACATTCTGCAGCATAGACCATGTGGTAGGCAATAAAACAAGTCTCAACAAAGTACCCTCAAAAATCAAAATTATATCAACTACCTTTTAGGCCACAGTAGAATAAAACTACAAATCAATATCAAGAGGAATTTCAGAAACTATAAGATTACAAAGAAATTAACATACTCTTAAACAGTCACCGTGTCAATTAAGAAATTAAGATGGTCAGCCAGGGGTGGTGGCTCACACCTGTAACCCCAGCACTTTGGGAGGCTGAGGCAGGTGGATCACCTGAAGTCAGGAGTTTGAGACTAGGCTGGGAAACATGGCAAAACTCTGTGTCTACCAAAAATACAAAACAATAACTAGGTGTGGTGGTGTACACCTGTGGTCCCAGCTACTCAGGAGGCCGAGGATGGAGGATTGCTTGAGCCTGGGAGGTGAAGGTTGCAGTGAGCCAAGATTGTGCCACTGCACTCCAGCCTGGGTGACAGAGTGAGACCCCATCTCAAGTAAAAAATTAAGATGAAAAGTAAAAATTTGTAGGAACAAATTGGAAATAGAAACACAATACAATAAAACCTGTGAGATACCGCAAAAATAGTACTAAGACAGCAGTTTATAGCACTAAATGCCTGCATCAAAAAAGTAGAAAGCTTACATATTAAGGACCTAATATCACACTTCAAGAAACTAGAAAATTAATAACAAATCAGATTCCAAGTTAGAAGAAGAAAAAAATAACAAAGAACAGAATCAAATGAAATAAAGACCAAAAACAATACAAATGATCAACAGAATAAAGAGTTAGTTCTTCAAAAAGACAAAATTGATAAATTGCTAGCTAGACTAACTGCAAAAATAAGAGAGATCTAAATAAACAAAATCAGAAATAATAGACATTACAATGGATACAACAGTAATAAAAAAGATCACTGTGTTTCTATACGCAAACAATGATCCAACTGAGAACCAAATCAAGAAGGCAATCTCCTTTACAATAGCTACAAAAAAACAATAAAATACATAGGAACATATGAGAGATCTCTACAGGTAAATTACAAAACATTGACTAGACAAAATGTAAATGCCACAAAAAGGAAAACATCTCATGCTCATGGATCGAAAGAATTAATATTGGTAAAATAACCATACTGCCCAAAGCAATCTACAGATTTACTGCAATCTCCATCAAAATATCTGCATTATGTTTTACAGAATTAGATAAAAATTACCATAAAATTTATAAGAAAGGGGCCCAAAGAGGCAAAACAATCCTAAGCAAAAAGAACAAAGCTGGAGGCATCACTTACCTGACTTCAAATTATACTGCAACACAATAGTAAACAAAGAAGCATGGTACTGGTATAGAAACAGACATGTAGATTAAGCAAACAGAATAGAAAACCCAGAAATAAAGTCACATGTCTTCAGTCAACTGATATTTGACTAAACTGATCAGAACATACACCAGAGGAAGAATACCCTGTTTAATAAATAGTGCTGAGAAAATTGGATTACCATATACAGAAGAATAAAAACAGACCCCTATCACTCACCATATACAAAAATCAACTCAAGATGAATTAAAGAATTAAAAGTAAGACCCGAAGCTATAAAAGTACTAAAAGAAGATATAAGAAAAACTCTTCTGGGCATTGGTTTATGCAAAGTATTCATGACTAAAGCCTCAAACATGCAATAAAAAAAAGTACAGGAAAATAGACAAATGGGACTCAAACTAAAAAAAATTTGGCACAGCAAAAAAAAAAAAAAACTCAACAGGTTAAACAGGCAACCTACAGAATAAAAGAACATATTTGCAAATTATGTGCCAACATGGAACTAATATTCAGAATTTACAAATGACTCAAATCATCATAGTAATAAAAACAAAGAATTGCATTAAAAAATGGGCAAATAACTAGGCATTTTTCAAAAAAGACATACACAGCCAACATGCATATTTTTAAAGTGATCAATATCACTAATTAGCAGAGAAACAAAGTAATACCACAATGAGATATTACATTAGCCATAGTGGCTACTATTAAAAAGAAAAAAACATAATAAACATTGGCAAAGATGTGGAGAAAGGGGAACACTCTATACACTGTCAGCAGAAACATATAAATTAATGAAACTTCTATAAAAAAATGGAAATTTTTCAAATAACTAAGGATAGAACTACCATTTGATTCAGAAATCTCATCACTGGGGATCTACCCCCAAAAAGAATTTATTATATTAAAATGATAGATACATTTGCATGTTTATTGTTTCACACTCACAAGAGCAAACCATATATACAATACATTTAATATTCAAAATATATAAGAAATTCAAAGCAAAGGCAAATATAATAATAATGATGAAATCCAACTGAAAAATAGACAGAAGACTGACAAAATATTTTGTCAACAAATATATACAAATAGGTATATGAAAGAATGCTCAATATCACCTACCATCAGGCAGTTGCAAATGAAAACAATGATGAGCGATCACTTCAAATCTGTTAGGATTGCAAAAATCAGAAAGAAAAAAATAGAGAAATAACAAGCAACTTTTGTCATTGATGTTTCTAAGATTCCTGAAACAAATCTTAATATCAGCACTGCTCTCACACGTTTCAGACATGATGGAAAAAGAAAACTTTAAAAATGATCTAATATGCAGTTCCTTAAAAATAAAGATATTCTTGTATCCCCCCAAAGCAATGGAAGAACAGGCATATCATGCAGTACCTTATAAGCCATAAAGGAGACTCTGGCTCTCATGGTAATCCCAAAGGAAAATCACAGAATGGGAAGTAGAGTCCTTAGAGAATTTAAGGGTATGGGACAGAAGATACTCCTATTTGAGAGCAAGAGGGAAAAAGGCTTTTTAGGAAACATTTCCATTGAAGCAGTGTCCCATATCACATTTAAAGGTCTGGCATTCTTTTTGACCTTTGTACCTCTGGTCTGTGTTATCTGCTTCATTCATGCTTACCTATCTTAGTATTTGACTACTGTCTCACGTCTCCTCACATTCCAGGGCTCTTTTATTTGCTTAAGGCAGCAGATCAGATGAGGGTTAGAGACAGCAAGACCGGTTTTGTTAGAAAAAGTAACATGACTTGCTGGGATTCTCCAATTACCAACCTAGTACTATGTTCAGTAGAGAGGAGAGAATATTATGAAAGATTCTAGAAAATTAATTTCAAAATAGTGTTTTCTGACAGAACCTTTAGAATATTTAAAATATATTTTACATTTCTGGGTCCACAGCTCTACTATCCAACACTATTGAATTTAAAATTGGTGATGAATATTGGATTTCAATATTTGGGCAACAATATTTTATGCCACTGAATTTCTAGATTTCTACTAATCTAGAGTGAAGGATACAGATTAGCTCAAGAAAGGGGAAGGTTTCTGTTAAGATAACGTATCTTGAAGACTTCTTTTATTCCAAAAAACCTTCAAGTTTTCCTTAAAAGTACTGACCTAGGCCGGGCGCGATGGCTCACGCCTGTAATCCCAGCACTTTGGCAGGGCTACGCGGGCGGATCACGAGGTCAGAAGATCGAGACGATCGTGGCTAACACGGTGAAACCCCGTCTCTACTAAAAATACAAAAAATTAGCCAGGCGTAGTGGCGGGCGCCTGTAGTCCCAGCTACTCGGGAGGCTGAATCAAGAGGATGGCGTGAACCCGGGAGGCGGAGCTTGCAGTGAGCCGAGATCGCGCCACTGCACTCCAGTCTGCACGTCACAGCGAGACTCCGTCTCAAAAAAAAAAAAAAAAAATTACTGACCTAAAAATAATTTAAGCAGACCAAAAACTCCCAAAACCGTTCTACTAAGGGAGAAAATAGAAACCTTAGGGTGTATTAGGAATTCTGGGGAAAAATTATTCTCACCTAGGGAAACCAGGTTTCTGTAGTTTTCTAACATCACATCCCTATACAAATTCCACTGAGCAGGATTCAGACATTCCCACTCCTTCTAAGATAATTCTATGGCCGCATCCTTCAATGTTCGCAGTTTCTAAAAACACAGACACACACACATATTTAGCAAGTGGCCGTGGGCAGAATTCCTAATTTGACTCTAGGTGTTTGAGAGTTAAGAGAGTTGGCTCTGTTTTACACGAGAGACTTGAATTATCCAATAAGATACTGTTTAATACAGAATGATTCTCTAATGTATTCCCTCATTCTGAGGAAAGAGAATGAAATAAGATCCACAAAACCAGTGTAGGTACTATAGTTTTCTGAATGATGCAGCATACAATTCATGGCATAAACACAAGCATATACAATTTTGAGTGCTATATTTACATTATACAGAGTAAGTTGTATATAGTTCCCATATGGAGAAGTCACATTAAGTTAGAAGGTACTGCTCATTTGTTAATGTGTACATCAATAAACTGGAGATTTTGTTAAAATGCATATTCTAATTCAAGAGACCTGGGATGAGACTTGAGTTTCTGCATTGCTAACAACTCATCAATGATGCCAATGATTCTAGCTAAGAAAAATATTTTGTAAAACATCTAGTAAGTGACAGAACCTGGGTTTTATCCCAGTGTATAAGACCAGTAAACAATGCTGACAAGCTTCATTTTCTGAAGCAAGATATAAACAAAGAGAAACTAATAAGAAAGGGACACTTCTAGATTAAATGTGATTGTTTATGCACATTAATCAGAAAGTCTCTCCAAGATAACTGCTAATGACAGAGTTCAAAGAAAAAGTAACTTTATGGTGGAGGAATCCTTTAGAGAGCACCTTAACCAAGTGAATAAAATTAATGGGACAAATGGGTATCAGGTGCTGATACATACGGGAGGATTCAACATGACTTCTGCAAGATTACTGGCCAAAAATCATACACCATAATCTGAATCTAATCATTAAAAACATCAGTTTTATGTAAAGTTCAAGCCATATATGTTTCCCATGTTTTGTAATTTCTAATAGTGTATTTAAATGCTCTCTCTTTAGCATCCTAGAAGGCACATTTGTAAAAATTAATCCCTTTTCCTATCTTCCAAATTATCCTAGGCAATTAATTCCATCCTTTTTAAGTGTTCATTTAAAAGTTATGTTCTTCATAGAGCTGATGGAGCATCCAGATGGAACATAAACAGTGGACTTTTCTCACTCACTGATATCTGAGGACCCAGCACCATCCCCCAAAAGAATGTTTTATATCCCCACCTGCCCAGACTGATCTGTCAACACAGGGAATACTGTCAATATTTCAGAGTATAAATTCAAGGTAAGAATTATTTGTGATATGTAAGAAGCCTGGATGGAGAGAATGAAGATAAGGCTCTGGTATAGAGGGGAGAATTATTTAAAAGAGGTCCTTTCACTGTCATGAGAAGAAAAGGAAAAAAGTAGTTCAAATAATCTTGTTAGGCAGGAACATCAGAAGTAGAAATGGAAATGATTGCAATTCTAGGTACATGACATCCTAGAAGAAAAAGTGGACACATTTTTTGACCTGGGACACTTATCTGAGAATCACCCATTTTTTCTCTTTTCTCTGATTCCTTCTCAGGAGAGATTAACTGAACAAATCTCACCTTCATCTTGAGAATGTGTCCTTGAAGGCATCAGGACAAACTTTTTACCTGGTACCACCACACCCACAGGCAGAAGGACTTTAAAGTGCAGAAAATGTTCTCTCCTTCTGGCCTTTGTTGTAGAATTCAGAAACAATGACCTGCTAAATAAAGATGAAACTGTGACTTACTCATTTTTCTGCCCTGTGGTACTCTCCCTTGCCACAGACTCCAGTGGTTTCTGTTACAGCAATGGGAATATGGGCTAAACTGACCTGCTCCCTACCAAACGCAAGCAGAGCAGCCTCTGTGATCTCCCTTCAGGGAAAAAGCTTAACTCAACTCTCCTGAAAGGATTTGGGAGCCTGTGTGCTTTACCCTGGCCTCACCTTGGAATCACATGGGGCAATTAATTAGAACAACATGAACGATTCCACCCAGAACAATAGGTAGAAGCAGTGGCGAGGGCACAGGGGATGGCATTTCTTCAAACTGGCCACACGCTCTTAAATGGAAGTTTAGGGTGAGAGCCACTTAGCTAAGCATTGCCTTTCAAGCTTTCATGTGCATATAAATTATTTGGTATTCCAGATCTCACTCACTGTAAGAAAATGCGATTCTGTTGGTTTGGAAGGGAGCTCATTAGTTAGCTTTTTTTTTTTTTTTTTTTTGAGACGGAGTCTTGCTGTGACGTGCAGACTGGAGTGCAGTGGTGCGATTTCGGTTCACTGCAACCTTCGCCTCCAGGGTTCAAGTGATTCTCCTGCCTTAGCCTCCTGAGTAACTGGAATTACAGGTGCCCGCCACTACGCCCGTCTAATAGTTTTGTGTGTGTGTGTGTGTGTGTGTGTGTCTATACATACATACATACATACATATATATATATATATATATATATATATATTTTTTTTTTTTTTTTTTTGTCTGAGACGGAGTCTCACTCTGTGGCCCAGGCTGGAGTGCAGTGGCGCCATGTTGGCTCGCTGCAAGCTCCGCCTCCCGGGTTCACGCCATTCTCCTGCCTCAGCCTCCCGAGGAGCTGGGACTACAGGTGCCCGCCACCACGCCCAGCTAATTTTTTTTGTATTTTTAGTAGAGACGGGGCGTAGGCGGGCGGATGACGAGGTCAGGAAATATTTGTATTTTTAGTAGAGACGGAGTTTCACCATATTGGCCAGGCTGGTCTCGAACTCTGCCCGCCTCAGCCTCCCAAAGTCCTGGGATTACAGGCATGAGCCACTGCACCCAGCCTTAGTTAGCTTTTTTAAAGTCCCCTGTTAATTCTGGTGTTTTCCCTCTAAACCCATTTTCATTACTACTCAGCTAGAGAAAGGCAGAGCACACAGAGTCCTCTACAACCAACTATCTTAACACAAGCTCTGTTGGTTCTCAGTGAAGACCACAGATCTTCAGCATTGAATGACCTTGACTTTTTTTTTTTTTTTTTTTTTTTGAGATGGAGTCGTGCTCTGTCGCCCAGGCTGGAGTGCAGTGGCACAATCTCGGTTCACTGCAACCTCTGCCTCCCGGGTTCAAGCGATTCTCCTGCCTCAGCTTCCCGAGTAGCTGGGATTACAGGTGCCCGCCACCACGCCCAGCTGGTTTTTGTATTTTTAGTAGAGACGTGTTTCACCATGTTGGTCGGGCTGGTCTCGATCTCCTGACCTCGTGATCCACCCGCCTCGGCCTCCCAAAGTGCTGGGATTACAGACATAAGCCACCGTGCCCAGACCTTTGACTTTTTTTTTTAAGCCTAGGCTTGAAGGCCATGCTGCCAGTCGGGTTGCAGTCACCACTCACAGCTCAAGATGCTCACCTGCCCCAACTTCCTGTGGCAGTAGTAGAGACTGTGCCTGCAGTGGTGTGCGAAGGGGGAAGAGGGGTCTCATTCTGTGTGCCTGAGCCGCTGCACAGAGGTTGTGCAGCTGGTGGGAGGGCATTTCACTCTTTATTTGCAGAGCTGAAGACAGTTTTCGCACCTGTTGAGAGCAAAATTACTTTTCACAGTCCCCAAGCAGGCAGCTCTTGGACTCTGAAAGTACAATGCTTTCATTTTTGTCCCAGTTTTGCCTTCTCGGTTCACTGAACTCTCCTCTTTCCCAGGAGCAGCACTCTGTAAGGGCCAAACTTCTGGGGAACTGCGTCATTCCTGGGTCCAGCCAGCTCTGTGCCACTGCAGCCCTCCAAGCTGGCACTGGCCAATGTCAGCGGCAGCTCCTGAGATGCAGAGATAGGGGAACTGAAGTTCACAGGGCTGGAGTCAGTCCCCTGATACCTGCATTTTCCCAGTGGCATCCTGACACAACCACTTGCATCTTGGTGGAATGTGAGTAGCACAGTATAAGTCCCCAGTCTGGTGCTATGCTCTCAAGAGTTCTTGAAATCAACAACCATGCTAGTGTCAGGGTTTATGAGAACAAAGGAGCTCTCCCACAGTTCAGACTCTGGCAGTCCACAGGAGAAATGTAGGCTGCGGAAACATTTCCCACGTACCCATCCTCAGCAATGCTGAGTCCCTCCAGGTTCCTAGCAGCTCTCTGCTGAGTTGGCCTCTTGCTTCCTTTTCCTTCGGTTCCTCAGGTTTTCTCCGTGAGTTCTCAGTTAGGTTCTAGTGTTCTTTCCTTGATATTCTGTTTGAGGTAAAATTACCAGTTCACAATATTTATTGTTCTTTCTAAGGAGAATTGGCATCCAATGTCACTAGTTTACCATCTTGAGCCCCTTTTCTTTTTTAAATATTTAATCTACATGTATGTTTTCACAACTACCATGCAATGTAACAATTATTTGATGTCAAGTTGTACAGATGTGCTATAATTTTTGTTACAGTTGTTACTGAATAATCTGATTTTGTTTCCTTTTTTGCACATTATTTAAAATATTAGATAGTGGATGAGATACTATCTCACACCAGTTATAAAGTTCAAAGGTAACAGATGCTGCTGCCAGGCATGGTGGTTCACACCTGTAATCCCAACACTTTGGGAGGCCGAGGCAGGTAGATCATAAGGTCAGGAGATTGAGACCATCCTGGCCAACATGGTGAAACCCCATCTCTACTAAAAATACAAAAATCAGCTGGGCGTGGTGGTGCACACCTGTAGTCCCAGCTACTAGGGAGGCTGAGGCAGGAGAATCACTTGAACTCTGGAGGCGGAGGTTGCAGTGAGCCGCCGAGATCGTGCCACTGGTTGCACTCCCGCCTGACACTCCAGCATGGCAACAGAGTGAGACTTCGTCTCAAAAAAAAAAAAAAAAAAAAAAAAAAAAAGAGCTGGTGTGGTGGCTTATGCCTGTAATCTCAGCACTTTGGGAGGCTGAGGTGGGCAGATCACCTGAGGTCGGGATTTCAAGACCAGCCTGGCCAGCATGGTGAAACCCCGTCTCTACTAAAAATACAAAATTAGCCAGGCATGGTGGCGGGCACCTGTAATTTCGGTTACTCAGGAGGCTGAGGCAGGAGAATTGCTTGAACCTGGGAGGCAGAGGATGCAGTGAGCCAAGATTGTGTCATTGCACTCCAGCCTGGGCAACAAGAGTGAAATTCGGTCTCAAAAAAACAAAAAGGTAACAGATGCTGCAAAGGTTGTGGTGGAAGTGGAATGCTTGTACACTGCTGATGGGAATGTAAATTAGTCCAGACATTGTGGAAAGCACTGTGGTGATTTCTCAAAGAACTACAAACAGAAGCACCATTTGACTGAGCAATTTCATTATTGGGTACATAACCAAAGAAATATAAATTATTTTATCATAAAGACACATGTATACACATATTCATTGCACCATTATTCGCAACAGCAATATCATGGAATCAACCTAAATGCACATCAACAGAAGACCAGATAAAGAGGTACATAGAACACCAGATAATGTGGTACATACACCATGGAATACTACATAATCATAAAGAAGAATGAGATCCAGTAATTTGCAACAACATGAGCTGCAGGTCATTATGATAAGTGAAATAAGCCAGGAAAGAAATGCAAACATTACATGTTCTCAATTATTTGTGGAAGCTAAAAATTAAACTCATGGAAATAGAGTAGAAGGATGGTTACTACAGGCTGGAGGGTGGTGGTGGGGGTTGGGAAGAAGCGGGGATAGTTAATGAATACAAAAAGTAGTTAGAACAAATGAAAAAGACCTAGTATTTGATAACACAACAAGGTGACTATAGTCAATAATAATTTAATTGTACATTTTATTATATCTAAGAGTATAATTGGATTATTTGTAACACAAAGAATAAATGCTTGAGAGGTGGATACTTCATTCCCCATGATATAATTATATATTGCATGTCTGTATCGACATCTCATGTATCCCATAAATATACACACAAATATAAATTTTAAAATATTTTTGGCCAGGTGCAGTGGCTCACGCTTGTAACTCCAGCACTTTGGGAGGCCAAGGCAGGCAGATTATGAGGTCAGGAGTTAGAGACCATCCTGACTAACACGGTGAAACCCCATCTCTACTAAAAATACAAAAAATTAGCCGGGCATGGTGGCACGCACCTGTAATCCCAGCTACTTGGGAGGCTGAGGCAGGAGAATCCCTTGAACCTGGGAGACGGAGGTTGCAGTGAGCAGAGATCATGCCACTGCACTCCAGCCTGGGCAACAGAGCAAGACTCTGTCTCAAAAAAGGAAAAATTATGAGGAATCATAATAATATTTTCATTGTTACAGCTACAAAATTTCTACAAATTTAACAATACAGATTCTTATATTTACTTTAACATTTTACCAAAATATGGAGTTAATAATTGAAAATGAAAGACAAAATAATGGCTGGAGCCTTGTGATGGGTACTCATGAATTTTTGTATAATTTCCATATCTTTGTTTACATTTTTAATTTCCATAATGAGTTGTAAATAAAAAATTTAAGTTATTTTTAATAAAAACCTTCAAACACTGAACATTAGCCATGTTACATAATTTAAAAAATAGGCAGATATCTTCTCATAAATTGTAGTAATAAATTTAGAGATTAGTATCAGATTTGGGTATTGAGATTGGTTTTGAAGAAGTGATGAATGTGCAGCAATAGGCTACTCTAACTGTAGAGACGGGTGCCATCAACCAACTTTATATTAGATTGCATCTCTGAATATTTTTAATTAATTAATTTTAATGATTTTTTAATTTAAAAATTTAATTAATTTTTAATTTTTAAAATGAATTGTTTTAATTCTATGATGACATAACTTGTTTCTAACCATCTGTGAGTTACAGTAGTCTTCTGTGAATGACTTCACTTTTCTAGTCTAGTAAAACCAGATGGTTCCTGTTCATAAATACTCCTTACAAACTGTTTTCTTTTTGCTTACGTAACCTCTATAATGTTTTTGGTTGCACTTGTGTCCTTTTGTGATATTTAAAGTATCTTCTTCTTTCTTTAATATTTATTAAATCAGCAGAAATAACTTTGGTGTTAAAAGTCTGTTACTTGGATTTCTTAAAGTCAGAAACTATTTTAATACTTTTGGCATGTTTATTTTTGATAGGCTTTAATGGGATATAATTTATATAATACAATGACATTGTAATTGTACAATATCAATGTATTTATTTATTTATTTATTTATTTAAGACAGAGTCTTGCTCTGTTGCCCAGTCTGGAGTGCAGTGGTGGGATCTTGGCTCACTGTAACTTCTGCCTCCTGGGTTCAAGCAATTCTCCTGCCTCAACCTCCCGAGTAGCTGGGACTACAGGCATGCGTTACTACGTCAGCCTAATTTTTTTGTACTTTTAGTATAGATGGAAGTCTCATCATGTTGGTCAGGCTGGTCTCAAAATCTTGGTCTCAAATGATCCACCCGCCTCAGCCTCCCAAAGTGCTGGGATTATAGGCATGAGCCACCGCACCCAGCCTGTTTTTAATATTTTAACAGAGTTACATACTAATAGTCACAACTAACTTTAAAATATGTTCATCATCTCAGAGTAAAATCTATCTTGTTTTCATTCACTCTCCACCATCACCCAGGCCTTAGACATCTATTAATTTATTTTCTATCAATGAGCTTTTTATGGACTCTTTTTATATATGGAATTATACATTACATAATCTTTTTGAAACCTAGTTTGTTTCACTTAGTTTACTATTTTTGAGGTTTATTTCCAATGTAGCATGGATTATTGCTTAATTCCCTTTGAATGCTGAGGATTTTATTGCATAAATATGACACATATTTTTTCACTAGCTGGTGGACATTTGGATGGTATTCCCCTTTGGCTCTTATAAACATTGCTGCTGTGAACATTCACATGCAAGTCTTTGTGTGACTTAGATTTTCATTTCCTTTGCATACATATGTGGAGAAAAATTTCTGGGCCATGTGGCAATTCTGTGTTTAAAATTTTGAAGAACTGCCAAATTGTTTTACAAAATGACTACATTATTTTACCTTTCCAGCTGCAATGCATAGAAATTCCATACTTTCCAGATTTGCTGACACTTGTTATTGTCTCTTTGTCATAGCCAATATAGTGTGTTCATTGTTATCTCATTGTCATTTGATTTTTATTTTCCTAGTAGGAAATTATATTGAGCATATTTTTATGTTCATATTAGCAATTTGCCTATCTTCTTTGGTAAAACATATATTCAAGCCCCTTGACCATTTTTAATTGGTAATTTGTCCTTTTATTTGACATATAAGAGTTTTGTTTTGGTTTTGTTTATATTCCGGATACTAGAGCCTAAGAAGATATATAATTTGAAATATTTTCTCTCATTATGCAGCTTAGATTATATATTCTTCTTGGTGTTTGAAAAAAATGTTTCTCAATTTGATGAAGTTTATCAGTTTCTTCTTGATTATGCTTTTTTGTGGTATTATTTAAGAAATCCTTAGTTGCCAGGGAGCGGTTGCCATAGAGCTGAGCAGTTGTCCGCGTGCGCAGGTGGAAGTCCCAGATTGAGATGCCACCATTTTTGCTGCCCGGACATGGAACCAGAGGCTGAGAGAGTCAGAGACACTATCTGCTTCCGTCCGTCGCACAGACCCTGTGGGAGCCTCTGCCACTATGGGTGATCAAGAGGATCTGGTGGCTGGGCGCGGTGGCTCATGCCTGCAATCCCACCACTTTGGGAGGCCAAAACAGGCGGATCACGAGGTCAGGAGACCATCCTGGCTAACACGGTGAAACCCCGTCTCTACTAAAAATACAAAAAATTAGCGGGGAGCGGTGGCGGGTGCCTGTAGTCCCAGCTGCTCGGGAGGCTGAGGCAGGAGAATGGCGTGTACCTGGGAGGCAGGGCTTGCAGTGAGCCGGCGCCATGCACTCCAGCCTGGGCGACAGAGCGAGACCATCTCCAAAAAAAAAAAAAAAAAAATAGAGGATCTGCTACCAGGCAAAGCAGGCCAGCAGGCTGAGCAATACAACGTGCTTTGGAAGTGAACCCGCAGTATCTTCCAAGAAATAGTGTAGTCAATGAAGAAAGTAGCAGGGATGGATGTGGAGCTGACAGTTGAAGAAAGAAACCTCCTATCTGTTTCATATAACAATGTGATTGAAGCTAGAAGAGCCTTCTGGAGAATAATCAGCATTGAACAGAAAGAAGAAAACAAGGGAGAAGACAAGCTAAAAATGATTTGGGAATATCAGCAAATGGTTGAGACTGAGCTAAATTTAATCTGTTGTCACTTTCTGTATGTACTGGACAAAACCTCATTCCAGCAGCTAACACTGGTGAGTCCAAGGTTTTCTATTATAAAATGAAAGGGGACTACCACAGGTATCTGGCAGAATTTGCCACAGGAAATGACAGGAAGGAGGCTGTGGAGAACAGCCTAGTGGGTTATAAAGCTGCTAGTGATATTGCTATGACAGAACTTCCACCTGCGCATCCTATTCGCTTAAGTCTTGCTCTCAATTTTTCCTTATTCTACTACGAAATTCTTTGTTTTTCTGTTTGTTTGTTTGTGTGTTTTGTTTTGTTTTGAGAGGGAGTCTTGCTCTTTCACCCAGGCTGGAGAGCAGTGGCGCTATCTCGGCTCACTGCAAGCTCCGCCTCCCAGGTTCACGCCATTCTCTTGCCTCAGCCTCCCGAGTAGCTGGGACTACTGGCGCCCACCACCGCTCCCGGCTAATTTTTTGTATTTTTAGTAGAGACGGGGTTTCACCGTGTTAGCCAGGATGATCTCGATCTCCTGACCTCGTGATCCACCCGCCTCGGCCTCCCAAAGTGCTCTACTATGAAATTCTTAAGTCCCCTGACCATGCCTGCAGGTTGGCAAAAGCAGCTTTTGATGATGCAATTGCAGAACTGGATACGCTGAGTGAAGGAAGCTATAATGACACTATGGACTTCAGGCATGCAGGGTGATGGTGAAGAACAGAATAAAGAAGCGCTGCAGGACGTGGAAGATGAAAATCAGTGAGACATAAAAGCCAACAAGAGAAACCATCCCTGACCCCCCCACTCTTCCCCATCCCACCCACCCCTTGGAAAGTCCCCATTGTCACTAAGAACCACCAAATCTGACTTTTACATTTGGCCTCAGAATTTAGGTTCCTGCCCTGTTGTTGTTTTTTGTGGGATTTGTGTGTGTGTGTGTGTGTGTGTGTGTGTGTGTGTGTGTTTTGTTTGTTTGTTTGTTTTTTAACAGTTTTCAAAAGTTCTTAAAGTCAAGAAGTGAATTTCTGTGGATTTTACTGGTCCCAGCTTTTAGGTTCTTTAAGACACTAACAGGACCGCAGAGGCTTTTTCAGCATTACTGTATTGTCTCCGTGCCAGATGTGGCAAGATTACCATTAGAAATGGAAATTACGTTTGAAAGCCATTAAGACTTCTAGGTGATGCAAGCATCTAAGGGAGATGTTAATCACACTATAGAGGCATTAAGTGGTATCATTTTTCAGTTTTTCTAATTGTTTGAACCGTATTTTATACCAAATGTTTCAAAGTAATTGGGTGTTAGCTTGAGATGGTTAAACGTTGTTTGCGGAGGGAGGAGTTGTAATGGTTTTGCTGTAAAAAGTGTTTCAAACTCTGCTGAAATATTACTAGAAAGCATGGTGCTGGTAACAGTTCAACAATCGTGGCTGCTCATTCTTGCCTACTTTTACTTCACTCCTCCCCTCTACTAGCTCAATCTCTTTTGTTCAGTATATGTAACTGGAAGCTAATTTGTACTACTGGATATCTGACTGGAGCCACAGACACAGAATCTGTATCATTCTTACTGAAACACAGTATGGAATTAACATTAAATAAAACAAACCTAAATGTAAAAAACAAACAAAAGAAATTAATACAAGATTATAAAAATTTACTTCTATGTTTCTTGTGAGAAATTTGTCATTTTAGCTCTTACATTTAGCCTTACAGCTTACATTAAGTACTTCTGTATGTTTGATTTGAGATAGGGGTCTAACTTTTTATTTTAAATGTTTATAGCCAATGTTCTTAGAAAAATTCCCAGAAAAGATGTTTCTTCCACATTTAAATTTTTTGGAACTATTGTGAATATTAATTTGCCATAAATCAATGTGTTTTTTAATGGATTTTTTTTGAGATAGTCATTTTTTTTTTTGATACGGTCGCTCTGTTGCCCAGGCTGGAGTGCAATGGTGCAATCGCGGTTCACTGCAACCTCTGACTCCCGGGTTCAAGCGATTCTCCTGCCTCAGCCTTCCGAGTAGCTGGGATTACAAGCATATGCCACCACACCTGGCTAATTTTTTTGTATTTGTAGTAGAGATGGCATTTCACTATGTTGGCCAGGCTGGTCTTGAACTCCTGACCCCAGTGATCCACCTGCCTCGGCCTCCGAGAGTGCTGGGATTTCAGACATGAGCCACCGCGCCCAGCTGGATCTTCAAATATATTCTATTAATTATGTGAATCTATCTTTGATAATAAGAATTTATATCAAAAAGTATAAATTGTTTTTAAAGACTTTTGTGTATTTGGTATTCTGTGCACATTTATATTGTTTTTTAAAATCATTTTTTAGAGACAGGGTCTCACTCTGCCACTCAGACTGGAGTGAGGTGGATCAATCAAAGCTCACTGTTACCTCAAACTCCTGTGCTCAAGCAATTCCACCACCTCAGCCTCCCAAGTAGGTGGGACTATACGCATGCACTACCATATCCAGCTAATTTTATTTTTTTATCATTGTAGACACAGTACCTTCCTATGTTGCCCAGGCTCTTTTTCAACTACAGGCCTCAAGCAGTCCTCCAACCTCAGCCTCCCAAAGCCGCCAAGCCCAGCTTATCTATATTTGTTTTTTGGAAGAACTTGTCAATTTCCACTAGAACTAGTTAAAAATTTGAAGAGATTTTATTGAATCTGTAGATCTGTGAGATATTATAATCTTAAAAATGGTAATTGATTATTTAATGTATGTTAATGTATTCAGTTCTATGATTTTTCTGAATTAAGAAATCGAGTGTAATACATTTGTACTTCTTTTTAAAACTTTGTTAATATTTCTGTTTATTGCTATTATAAATGATTTTTTTCTTTATTTCATTTTCATTGATTTATTTCATCTATAACTGCAACTTAATTTTGTTTTCTGATCTTTCATTTTGTGACATTAATTAACTTTATAGTTTTAGGGATATTTTATTGAACCCCTTATATATTTTTATATAGAAAATTATATCATCTGCAAAAAAAGACAGTTTTGTTATTTTTCAATCTGGAGAATTTTTTTCATTTTTGTCATATATTTTGTTGTATAATAACTCTAGTGTTGTGAGTTAGAAAGTATAAATTTCTTTTCAGTTTTTGAAAGTTTTTTTAAACAATTGATATTATTTATTAAATGTTCATTGAATTTGACACATAAGATATCAGGCTGTAAACTTTTCTTTGTGGAAATATTTTTAATTAATACTTTACTTGTTACATGATTATATATACATATATTCATATCTACTTTCTTTTTTATTTTTAATTGTTACAGATACATAATAGTTGTGTATCTTTATGTAATACGTGTGATAGTCTGATACAAGCATATAATATGTAATAATCAAATCAGGGGAATTAGAATATGCATCACCTAAAACATACTTCATTTATTTTTGTTACAGACATTCTCTGGGAAGCATATCTTGTTTCTTAATTTTACTTTCATAATTTGTGACTACCAATTTATTCCTATTTTGTGGCATTCTATGTGTAATAAACGTTTAGGTAAGTAACATAAAAATAGAAATAATAATATAGAATAAGTCTTTTGTCCAATAAATAACCCAAAGATTGCTTTGTTGTAAGATGAAGAACATAACTGTATTTTTATCCTTAATGCTTATACTTATTATTTGAGGCAATAAAAATCTCAATCAAATCCAAATTAGTAAAACTGACATGTAACTTTGGCTTTTATCAAGAGGGCAGATTGAATTGGCCCCATAAATTTCATAAAAATTTTTTAAAGACAGGAAATTAATTTTAATAATAATAAATGCAAAACAATATTGTATTTGAATGATAATATGGAAAAGATAATTTGATAAATTACAGAGGTTACTACTTAGCATAGATGAATATATGAAGAAACTAATATCTGTAATTTATCTTTAATAAAGATGAAAATTCCGCCTTTTTCAACAACATTGATGAACCATGAAGACATTATGTTAAGTGAAATAAGTCAGATACAGAAAGACAAGTACTGCATGATTTCACATTTATGTGAAATCTTTAAAAACTCCAACTCATAGAAACAAGAATAATGATTACTATAGGCTAGGATGTGGGAGGAAATGACAAGGTATCAGTCTAAAGATACATACTTACAGCTATAAAATAAATAAATGTTGAGAATGCAACATACAGACTGGTGACTATAGTTAATAATACTGTATACTTAAAATTTTTTCAAAATCAAATCTCAAGTAATCTTACCACTCATATCCACTCACACACAGACACACAAAGTAACTATGTAAAGTGATAAATATGTTAACTAGCTTAACCGAGGTAATTAAAAAATATATAAACATGTCTCAAAACATCATATTCTACATCCTAAATATATATACTTTTAGTTTGTCAATTATACCTCAATAAATGTAAAAAAAAGTTAAAGGTAACAAGTACTATCTAGCCACGGGTAAACTCCACTTAAAACCTTTTTCAACATCTTCTGGATTAAATAAAAAATCTAAATCCAACTACGTTTTTGATATCAGGGAAGTGCTGTGAGAAATAATAGTAATTGTAGAAAAAAAATCTGAATTAAGGTAAATAACCCATATTAGCTTTCTATGATATAAAACAGTAATTCTGGCTATATATTCGTTGGAGTGTTTCTGAAATTTGTGCATAATACGTATACAATACATACATAATAGTAAAAAGTAATCACACTTCACAAATTACTACAATATGATGTATTGGGAAGGAGGTCTTCTACATCAAGAGACTTGAGATTTCACACGAGATGATGTTTTATGTCATAGACTATGCCACATTTTACTAATGTATGCAACTGTTGCTATTTATGCTTTTCAGGAAAATAATATATATTTTTTAAACATTTAATACAATTAAAATTGTCAGGAAGTTAAAACAATCCATATTATGCTAAATATAGTTGAAGAAAAATATAAATTCCCAGGACCAGAAGTAAATGAAGGGAATAATCCCAGTGGAGTAGTCAACCTAAGAAGCACGTGCTCTATTCAGACAGGACTAATCACAAGAACGTCAGATTCATGTGGGTTGTTCAACTTCCAACAAGGCAAATGGAATCAGCGAATAAATATACAGACTGGTGACAATCCAAGTATGACATCTTCCATATGTGAAAACTAAGTTATGCATTATGTTGCACACAATTAGATAAACCACCATGATGAAGGGTCGAAAGAAATTATATGGTACATAAACATCAGATATTTAGCTTATGTTTAAATATTTGTCAATACAATGAAAAAACAGCCAAAGTAATGGGCAAAGAAAAAAAAAACGATAAGCTTCTCAAGTCATATCTGAAAAAAAAAAACAAATTGAAAGTAAGCTATTACAAATGTGGTGAAACAGTGTAATGTACAACATATGGGTTACATATTAAAATACACTGAGCTGACGAGAGGCCAATAAAATCGAATACTAAGCAAAATTGATATAGTTACATATTTTACAGAAGGCAAGTTAATAGAGAATGAAATTATTCATATATGAAGATTGGATTGAGAAGAAATGAACATCTAATTCCTTTACTAGACTATATAAACAAAAAATATTTAAAGAATTGGTGATTAAATAGTTTCTAAAACTGAAAATCTTTAAATCCTTTAGAAGTTTACAAGTGTAATGTGTCAAAAGAGATGAAAAAATCTTAAGTGAAGTAATAGTTTGGCTAGCATGATTAGTGCTGCAATAAACAGCCTCTTTGACATACTGATTTTATTTCCTTTTGAAATACATTGATTGAAATTGCCAGTATTGAAACTGCTGAATCATAGGGTAGTTCTATTTTTAAGTTTTAGAAGAATCTCCATACTGTTTTTGCTAAAACAGGATAATAACCTGTCATTTGCAGCAACATGGATGTACCTGGAGGACATTATGTTAATTAAAATATGCCAAGCATAGAAAGACAAACATCACATGATATCATTTTTGTGTAAAATTTAAAGCTGATCTCATGGAAGCAGAGTAAAATGGTGGTTACCAGAGGCTGGAAATGATGTGGAGAGGAAGGGATGAGAACAGGTTTGCCAATGAATGCAACTTACCATTTAACAGAAAGAATAGGCTGGGCGAGGTGGCTCACACCTATAATCCTAGCACTTTGGGAGGCCGAGGCAGGTGGATCACTTGAGGCCAGGAGTTCGAGACCAGCCTGGCCAACATGGTGAAACCCCATCTCTACTAAAAATACAAAATTTAGCTGGTCATGGTGGTAAATGCCTGTAATCCCAGCTACATGGAAGGCTGCGAGACAAGAATTGCTTGAACCCAGGAGGCGGAGGTTGCCGTGAGTCGAGATTGCACAACTGCACTCCAGCCTCAGTAACAAGGCGAGACTCTGTCTCAAAAATAAATAAATAAATAAATTTTTGTGTTATATTACACAGTAGCTTGACTATAACTAATAATAATATATTATTACATGGGTTAAGTTAGCTAGAAGAGAGAATTTTGTGTGTTATCAGCACAGAGAAATAACAAATGTTGAAAACAATGGATATGTTAATTATTCTAGTTATATCATTATACAATGAATAAATGCACTGAAATATCACACTGTATCTATAAATGTGTACAATTATATGTCAATTTTAAATAAAATAAACCTTAATTTTAAAAAGGTCAAACTTCATAACACCAACATGAAAAAAAAAGCTCATAAAAGCAGTGAGAGCAAAATGTCTCACCTTTGTATAAAACCAGAAAACAGAAAAAAAGTTAATAAAATATTAATAAAAGTTTCTACATGGCATAGAAAACCATTAACAGAGTGAAAAGACAAACTACAGGCCAGGCGTGGTGGCTCACGCCTGTAATCCCAGCACTTTGGGAGTCCAAGGCGGGCAGATTACTTGAGGTCAGGAGTTCGTGACCAGTCTGGCCACCATGGTGAAACCCCATCTCTACTAAAAATACAAAAAATTAGCCGGACATGGTGGCAGGTGCCTGTAATCCCAGCTACTCCGGAGGCCGAGGTGGGAGAATCGCTTGAGCCTGCCCGGGAGGCAGAGGTTGCAGTGAGCTGAGATCGTGCCACTGCACTCCAGCATGGGCAACAAGAACGAGACTCTGTCTCAAAAAAAAAAAAAAAAAAAAGAGAAGAGAAGAAAAAAGACAAACTACAGAATGGGAGAAAACATGTGCAAACGACAAGGGGTTAATATCCAAAATATGTAAAGGGCTCAAATAACTCAACAGCAGAAATAATAATCATAATCACCCAGTTTTAAGATGAGCAAAAACCTGAATAGATATTTCTCAAAACAAGATATATATATAGTCGACAGGTGTATGAAAAAATGCTCAATATCACTAGACATCAGGGAAATGTAAATTAAAGTAATAGAGTTGTTAAATTAGCGTGGTCATTATAAAAAAGACAAAAGATAACAAGTGTTGGTAATACGTGGAGAAAAGGAAACCCTCATGCACTGTTGGTTTGAATGCCGATTAATACAGCCATTACGTAAAAAAGTAGAGGTTTCCCAAACTAAAAATAAAACTACTGTATGAACCAGCAATTCCACTACTGGGAGTATATACAAAGGAAATAAAACCAGTATGTTAAAGAGATATCTTCATTCCCATATTTATCACAGCACTAATGACAATAGCCAAGATATGGAATAATCATAGTGTCCATCGAGGGACAAACAGATAAAGAAAACATGGCATAGAAACCCAAATGAAATGCTATTTATCTACATAAATAATGAAATCCTGCCATTGAAAACAACATATATGGGCTGGGCATGGTAGCTCACGCCTGTAATCCCAACACTTTGGGAGGCTGAGGTGGGCAGATCACCTGAGGTCAGGAGTTCGAGACCAGCCTGGCCAACATGGTGAAACCCCATCTCTACTAAAAATACAAAAATTAGCCAGGTGTGGTGGCAGGAACCTGTAATCCCAGCTACTTAGGAGGCTGAGGCAGGTGAATCACTTGAACTCGGGAGGCAGAGGTTGCAGTGAGCAGAAGTCACACCTTTGTACTCCTGACTGGGCAACAAGAGTGAAACTCCATCTCAAAAAAAAAAAAAGAAAGAAAAATTAGTGTTTCCTGTATAAAGGTAAAATTAAGAAGTGAGAGACATGCTTGGGGAATATTAAATCATGGGGGAAACTGAACTGAGGACACCAAACTGAGGACACCATGTAGTTCTTAGCACCAGGAAATTTTAAAAATATTGAGATAGGCTGGACATAGTGGTTCACACCTGTAATTCCAGCAGTTTGGGAGGCCGAGGTGGGCTGATCACTTGAGGTCAGGAGTTCAAGAACAGCCTAGCAAACATGGCGAAACCCTGTCTTTACTAAAAATACCAAAAAAAAAAAAGAAAGAAAAGCTGAGCATGGTGGCACATGCCTGTAGTCCCAGCTACTCGAGAGGTTGAAGCAGGAGAATTGCTTGAACCCGGGAGGCGGAGGCCGTAAGGAGCCGAGATCACACCACTGCACTCTAGCCTGGATGACAGAGTGAGACTCCATCTCAAAAAAAAAAAAAATTAGATATTACAAAAGTGCAATTCCACATGTTTTATTTAAATCAGATAGCAAATTTTGTTTTTGAATAATTTAATTGATGACGACAAAATAAATATCACCAACTTGTTAAAAATGGATGGCACTTCCAATGAACCTTTGGCAGAATACTGATGATTCTTTTATCAGATCTGATTAGCACCATAGGACTGACAGTGGCATAGGCATTGACCATAAACTTGTGGACACTGTAGATGACAGGACTGAATACCCATAACAACATTGTGGAGGATGAGACAAGTCCAATGAGTACATAACCAGAAAGAAACTCACCAGCAGCAAGATGGTTTTGGTGGCCCTTTTCTCTGGGGAGGTTCTTAATAAAAAGCTAGTGCTGTGAAGGTGCTGGGAGCGCCTCTGATGCCTGGACAAGAGAATCACCATGTAGGCACTTGAGAGCAGCATGATTCCTACAAGGAAGACATCTCTGGATAACGACAGAGTAACAAACAGCCTTCTGATGATGACATTTATTGGGGAAAGTGAGCAGTATTTATTGACATTCAGTATTATCTGGGTCACATTGGAAAAACCTACAATGTAACTTATCATGTCACTGTTGAAAGACAAATTGAGGGACCAAAAAAAGAGTAAACCCAGGATATTGTGTTTTGTGATTTTATGTTTAAATCTCACCAACCAGGAAGTGCTGGGGCTAATGGTGATGGCCTGAAGCATGCTCAGGAGAGAGGTGTTGCAGATAGAGAGGACCCTAATTGTATGTGTAGAACACAGCCTTACATCTGAAGTTATTCTGAAATTTCAGTGATTCAAACACGTCTGGAGACAATAACTCTGCTGCAATGACTAGCATCACTATGTGGGCAAAGGCCAAGTGACAGATGATCAGGTCATGGTTTTTAGGCTTGTGATCCTTAAAGAATGTGAAAATGTGCCAGAGAGGAAGAAAGATGTTGGCTGAGATTCCAATGCCAGCTTGAAAATAAAAGGCCTTTTTGAAAGATAACATGTGAAATGTGTGTTCATCCTAATGACATAGAAGAAACGTTTTGAAGACCTGAAAAAAATAGATCTGTGTCATCAGTGTTCTTTTGTCAGCGTTCAAAATGATTACCATTATCATTATTTTTATTTTACTCTCATTTTCTTGATAACCCCATCTTATATAAATTCTTGATAATGTGTCTCCTGTACTATTTTCTAAACCAAATAAATGTATACATATATAATGATTATGAATCTCTATATATAATAAATACGTTTTCAATTTTGCCTGTCTAAGGTGCATACTATCTATGTTCCTCATGTACCTTGGCATTCATCTGAATAATCATATCCTTATTCTATGTTCTCTCATTTAATATTTAGCACTTCAGTTGGGCATATAAAATGAATAGTATTTGTACAGTTGAATTGAATTAAATGAATGTTAATGTGAAAAGACTCACTACAACAATTAAAAATACATTCGAGTCTTTCTCACGATCTATCATTTGATACAATTTATTCGTCATCACTCTTCCATGATTTTTGACCCTTGTGATTTTACTGGACTCACCATGATAAATACATGATATTTCATCAGCATAATAGCAATTTTCATCCTGTCTGCACCCTTATATTCTCTTTGTCATGAATTGTAATGTGTAATGTGATATCTTGGAATTCAAATGTCAATATCCTTATAGGGATTGGGGGACATTATTCTGCTTAATCAAACCCTAATTTACTACATATAATATAGAAATGGTTCTGGCTATCTCAGTTTAGTTCACATCCCAGAGATTTATTATGTGATCTCTCTTTTCTCAGAACATATTTTTTAATATTTTCCTCTCAGGTACCAACAAAATAAACACACCCTTTTTTTTTTTTGAGACAGAGTCTTACTCTGTCACCCAGGCTGGAGTGCAGTGGCATGATCTCTCCTCACTGCAAACTCTGCCTCCTGGGTTCAAGTAATTCTCCTGCCTTAGCCTCCCAAGTGGCGCTCACCACTACACCAGCTAATTTTTGTATTTTAGTAGAGAAGATTTTACCATGTTGACCAGGCTGGTCTCAAACTTCTGACCTCCTAAAGTGCTAGGATGACAGGCGTGGGCCATGGAGCAGCCACCGAGCCTGGCCACTACTTTTAATTACTTTGTTTCACCATAAAGTTGCATCAGAATGTCACATGTTGGTCTTCTTCCTGAGATTTCACTTAATACAGAGGTACTCTACCATGCCTAGAAAAATACTTAAGTCTTAGTCTGAGTATTCAATAAGAATACTAAGTCTTCGGTTAGACTTAGTATTCAATAAGATAAAAAATACTTCAATAAGATCTTCAATAAGATCAAAATACTTAGTCTTCAATGAGAAAGATAATTCTGCTCAAGTTTTCTTGGGATAACTTCAATAATATAACACCTTGTAAAATTTTGCGGAACAATTTTGCAGTCACCATTTCATGTTACTTTGCCAAGATTCAGAAGTCATTTATCATTTTACTTTAATCCAGGGCTAAGAACAATTTAGCTTCATGACATTAAAAAAGTGAAACACCATTAAATTCACTCGGATTTGTTTTAAATGAAAGTGTGTCTGATTCCAGGTCACTTATCATTATACAATTCCATAAATAAAAATATATGAGATGATGCAAAAATATTGACATTGAGAATCCTTAGTTAATAATAAAAAATTAGTGACTGAGAAAAAGTTGCTCTAAAACCACCAGATATGTTTGATTTTATAAAGGAAACATCTAGTTGATTAAATGGTTATTACTCTTTCTACAAAACATTAATAAGTAAATGCATTTATCTTAGAAACAATGAAAGATTTCCACCAGCACACATCTACACCATCAGCGCAGTTCAGTTCTCCTGTCAAGTTAACATCAGGAAAAAAAAAATGAAGTAATTTTAAATTAAAGGCTTAATGGTATCCAAATTTTAAGGATCACATTTTAGTACTAGAAAAATATATTTGAACATGAGACAATAATATATGTATAATGAGTTATTAACTATATATCTGTATAGTTTTATTAATATAACCCACATATTATGAACCACACACCAAAATAAGATATAGGACAAATAGATTAAATAACATAGATAAGAATTTTAATACTTTATTTTTTCACCCTAAAAAACATCCAGCTTATGCTCTCTAATTCATTCTCCTTACTCTGTAAATAACCTAAACACACTGAAACAGAATAATCTTCTGCTTGATCAGATGGTGCATCTTCCCACTGAGGCTCTTGAGAGCATTGATGCTGATCCCAGACGAGATCAGCAATCTTGGTTGTCACAATCTTGGTTGTCATAAATTAGAGGACACAGATAGAGTATGATTAAATTGATTATATCTTCAAAAATTTTTCTCACCTGCCAGAGCTAAACAATTGTTAATTGCCTTTAACATATTGCAGAAGTCATTTTTAATTCAAATATTAAATTCAGCTGTACTCTATATTGTTATTTCATAAGTCTGGCAACTATACCATAGAAGAATTATGGAATTTGCATTAATATGATGCCAAAGTAGATGAAACAAAATAGGGTAAAAATTCATAGATGCTACTTTTAGGTTGTTCAGAGTGCAAAGAAAAATTTTGTTCCATGTGACCCATTAAAAATTTCAAAATCTAAATGTACAGCTTAGCTCTTGGCATTAGAAGTGACAACCTAAGGCCGCTGGGGCTGAGGGTGAAGCTCCTGAGCACTCTCCATAAACACATAATGCAGCTCAAGTTTATTCTCATTATACTGCCTTTCACTTTAGTGTATTTCAATTCTTAAGTCCCAAAGTGTAAAAATAATAATGTATAATAGGGGAATAACACACCATTATACTGACCAGGAATGAAAATCTGATCATAAAAAACAGAAGCTTAGATCAGACATCTGAACCAAAGATAAAGGGTATATAAAAGGAAAAAGCCACTTAACAGGAATCCAAAAGCTGTTTTGCATATGATGGATATGTTATTTGTAGAAAAAGAAGTTTGATAAAATAACTTCCTCATCTTTATTATAAAATATAGTTGTTTAGTATTGTTATTTTATTAATAATATTATTTGAATAGTGATGTTTGCACTGTCCCTTGTGTAGTTTTAAAATATAATCTATATAAATCTAAAATGTTTTTATTATATTAATAAAAAATGTCATTTTTATCGTACATTTCACAACATTCATTGAGCAGCCTTGTTGGACCTAAAAAATTTAGGTGCCAGGGAGAAGGGGTTTGTTGTTAAGTGGCAATAAATGGCAAACTGAAAAATACAGCTGGCAAATTTAGAAAAGAAAAAATGTTTGCACCAAGATTAGGCCTGTTAAAAGAAGTTTTATAAAATACACAGAGACTAAAATAATAAATATGGTAAGTATCAGATGCATTGAATGATTGTAATGCATCTGCCACTCTTTGGAAGTTGAAATTAGTGTAGACTGCAGCTAGAAGCACAATGCTTGCTGACACGGTATTTATAATTTTAAGACATTTAATTCCCAGCTAGCTCGAAGGAAAAAATAAGTAGGAAAGTTATTACTTTAAATGTAGGCAATAGAAAAATACTGGAGGGTCTTGATCACAAATTCTACACTACCAATTTGGAAAAAGCCTAAAATCCTTTTGGAAGAGTGTTTCTTTGTGATTATTTCAACTGAGGAGATATCAGCTAAGTGTAATGCTCATTTTTTTTTTAATTTGAAAGGTCTTGTACAATCATGCCACTGTGCATCACAGTATAGATAAGAGTCTTACCAAATGTGTCAAATATTGAAATTGGAGGAATATTTCCAAGTTGAAAATTGCAATTTGGAAAACCGCATCTTCTATTCATCATGTACACTTACTATGAGCAGTTGAGGTCCTTCCTCCCTAAATACATAAAATGCAGATATTTGAAGCACTTAGAAATGCTATTTTTTTCCTAATGTTCAGAGACATAGTGATTTTGTGCTATTATATTTTCTTGAGGGCTTCGTGCCCTTTGAGCCACAATTAGACAACCATTATTATTATCTTTTTCTTTTCTGACTTCTCCTTACTCCTTTCTTTTATATGTTAAAAATCACAGAACTAGAAAACATTATTTCCTAATAAAGTTAGACAAAATTAACATGTATTTTAACAGCAAAATTAAAATTTACTGGCCACACTCATGAATGCATTTTTAACATGTACATTGTAAATTTGAAACTTACAGAAAAACTGTAAGAATGCAAAACTTGGACAATTTTTTATAATAAGGAGATGCTATTTTGTTCAAATTTCGAAGTTTATTATTCTCTCATTATTTAAAATGTTACCCAAACTTATAGAACATTTTATAAGTTTTAGCTTATTAATAAAATAACATTATATTAGCTATTTATATTAATAAAATATAATACACTAAAGCTGAATTTGTTTTACAAATTTGTAATTATGCTTAGTATTACAAGCTTTTAAATGTGTAATGTAGTGATTAACTCTACAAAATGTGATAAAAGACAAAAGGAGATATTTGTTTACAGTTTCATGGTAACCAGAACCAAATCCTGTATGTGCAATAACCACACCACAATAAAACAAAATAATTTTATGGTCATTCACTGAAAGCTAATTAATGTAAAATATTAAGTAGTAATCAAGCTTTGAGATGACTCTAAACATTATAATATATTTAAGTGTTTTCAAATTTAAAAGAACAAAGAAGTATGACTAAATTCTTATGAATTAGTTCAGGTTTCTTGTGTTTGAAAATATAAAATTTTACCTAGGTATATACAGTAAGTTAAACTGAGAAAAAGCTAGTATAATAACAAAATACAATTACAATTCAAATACAATATTAAAAAATTGTCAAAGTATAAGATCGATATATTATGGCCTCAGTATTCATAAAGTTGCTTTTTTCATTTGGAATCACCTATTGTACTTAGATATGATTCACTGAGACATGACTGAAATTAGGAAAAGACAATGATCCTAGCTCTTCATTGAGAAAGTTCTGCCTCATCTGAGGCAGAACTCACCTGAGTCTTGAGCTTTCACTGTTAATAATGCTGACAAACAGTCAGTCACCCAGCTGAGTCTTTGGAGTGAGTCCATGTTTGTAAGATGAGGCTCACAATATGTGGTTATAAGGCAGCAATGCCATCAGCCCATCCCCTCAAGGCCTATAATTTTCATGTCAAATATAAAGATAGTACAAGCTCTGGTTTTGTGATTTTAAGAAAGGGAACCACCAAGGGAAAATGAAACTTTTTGATTCCTAGAAAATACATTAGAAACAGCTGTGCTCCAACTTTTCCATGTGTAAGCTTACTTCCCCAGGTATATTCAGCCAAGTGGGTTGTACGGTGTCTGTTCTTATAAACGAAACAGTGATCTCCCAATTACCCAACCTTCAAAACTAGTAAAACACAATGTCAGATTTTCCACTGCATTAATACTGGTTCAAGTAATTCATGGTTGCCCTCACTAATGTTCCCTACTAATCTCTGATTTTCACGGTAAGAAGTAGACCAAAATCACCTTTGTGAGAATCAGAAAAATGCCACCTCTATCAGACCTAAATGGGCAAAGTGCTCCATTTTCCTGAGGACACAGTTCTGAGTCAGGGCACTAGACATGGGAGCAAAATGTAGGCTGCTTTATACCTCTCACTACTTTGTCCAGGTACATTTATAGAGTATAGAAATGCACATCTATTTCAAGCAATGAGTGTTTGGATACAAACTGTCCATGCCAAGAGATTTTTTTTTAGATATGAAGTATCAAAGGGTTATTCTACCACCCTGACCCTCAGGTTTCTTTGTGGCTTCCACTCACAGGAGTGTTTTACACACTCAGTAGTAGAGCACACATTTTATAGCAAAGGCCATTTTTTTTGGCTTCTGTGACACCCATCAAATACGATTCTATTAAAACTAAAGTTAACATTAATCATAATTATCACTGCCTACTTGCTTTCTTAGTCTAATAGTGTATGTTAAATTGTTGTATGTTAAAATAGTGACTTCTATTTCAATAAATCTGTGGAACTTAGCACAGTGCAGGCACTCAGCCTCTTTAAGCATGGCTGTGCTCTCATGAAACATCTTTAATTCTCTAAAAAGCATGCCCTTCATTTGGCCTAAGTCAGAACCAAACAACTCACAGATTTCTGTTGTCCATAGTTTAATTCTTTCTGGTGTCTGCATCCCAGTCCAACATATCATCAGCTGCCATAAATATAATTTTATTTTCAATTCAATTTAAAAACAATTTCATTTCCATTTTCTAGACCACAGTTTAGTTGCCCTTTCTAAGTCTTTCAACTCCATTTAAATCTTTGTGTCTACTCATCGAAGAAAAACTGTCAAGAAGTAATTATCTAAATGGGAAAGCTATCAATAAAAAATAAAGGCAACATAAGGCCTTTCCAGGTAAACAAAAACTGAGTTGATTTCAACTAGACAAAAATACAAAAATTAGCTGGGTGCGGTGGCGGGCGCCTGTAGTACTGGCTACTCAGGAGGTGGAGGCAGGAGAATCGCTTGAATCCGGGAAGTAGAGATTGCAGTGAGCTGGGATTGTGCCACTGCACTCCAGCCGGGGTGACAGAGGGAGACTCCGTTTCAAAAAAAGAAAGAAAGAAAGAAAGAAGAAAGAACGAAAGAGGGAAGGAAGGAAGGAAGGAGGGAGGCAGGGAGGGAGGGAGGGAGGGAGATCTAGCAGGGGAGGGGAGGGGAAGAGAGGGAAGGAGGGACGGAGGGAGGGAGGGAAGGAAGGAAGGAAGGAAGGAATCAAATAACCAAAGAGAATAATTTGAATCTACATGAAATGACAAGAGCACCAGTAAAGATAATCATGTCATTATAAAAGACATCATGCATACATTTTTAAATTTCTTATATTATTTTAAAAAATGAATGCATAACAATATAAATAAAAATGTATTGTTGGACCAAGTACAAATACGTGTAATATACTCACCAATAATGGAACAAACAGGTGAGTGATAACATGTTTTGCAGTAAAAATTAGCTGAATATTCTGGAACAACTGAGAAAATTCAGAAATGGGAAATAAAAAGGTTGATATCAAACGATTTGTAGCTATATCTTTGCTCTTTTTTTTCTCATCTTGTTTTTATTTTTATGTTTTTGTTTGTTTGTTTGTTTTTGAGATGGAATTTCGCTCTTGTTGCCCGGGCTGGAGTGTAATGGCATGATCTCCGCTCACCGCAATTTCTGCCTCCCAGGTTCAAGTGATTCTCCTGCTTCAGCCTCCCAAGTAGCTGGAATTACAGGCATGTGCCACCATGCCCAGCTAATTTTGTATTTTTTTTAGTACAGACGGGGTTTCTCCATGTTGGTTAGGCTGGTCTTGAACTACTGACCTCAGGTGATCTGCCTGCCTCAGCCTCCCAAAGTACTGGGATTACAGGCGTGAGCCACCGCGCCTGGTCATTTCTTATATTATTTTAAAAAATGAATGCATAACAATATAAATAAAAATATATTGTTGGACCAATTACAAATACGTGTAATATACTCACCAATAACTGAACAAAACAGGTGAATGATAACATGTTTTGCAATAAAAATTAGCTGAATATTCTGGAACAACTGAGAAAATTCAGAAATGGGAAATAAAAAGGTTAATATCAATCGATTTGTAGCTATACCTTTGCTCTTTTTTCTTTTCTCATCTTATTTTTAAAAATAAAATTATATACAATAAGTGTAAAATATTGTTTATAGTATATATAGATATAAGTGTAAAATTTATGTCACAAAATAAGAAGCAGAAATAGAAATACATAGAACTAACATTTGTGTAACTTATCAGTATTGTTATTATAAATGTAAAACAGATTCTGATGAAGATGTATATCAGAAGCCCTCAAAGAACAAGAGATAGCTCCAAATATATATTAAAAATTATTTTTAAAATTGCAATATTACATAAAAATGCTTTCTTAATGCAAAAGAAGGCAAAATAGAAAAAAAATAAAATACACATGATATGTAGAAAAAAATACAGAAAAATAAATCCAACTATATAAATAATACTAAATATAATAAGATTATTAAATAAGAAAAACTGAGATTATTAGACAGAATATAAAAATATGATACAAATATATGCTGTCTGCAGCACAATTGCTTTGGATCCGAATAAACAAATTGTGTAGAAGTGAAAGAATAGAAGCTTGCAAAGAGCAGCTATAATAAAGTTGTAGTTGCAATTACACAATTAAAAAAGAATTTAGGCCGGGCGCGGTGGCTCACGCCTGTAATCCCAGCACTTTGGGAGGCCAAGGCGGGCAGATCACCTGAGGTCAGGAGTTCGAGACCAGCCTGACTAACACGGAGAAACCCCGTCTCTACTAAAAATACAAAATTAGCCGGGGGTGGTGGTGCATACTTGTAATCCCAGCTACTTGGGAAGCTGAGGCAGGAGAACTGCTTGAATCGGGGAGGCAAAGGTAGCAGTGAGCCAAGATTGCACCATTGCACTCCAGCCTGGGCAACAAGAGTGAAACTTCATCTCAAAAAAAAAAAAGAGAATTTAACACAAACAAAAAGAAAAACACACGCTTAGGTGTAAAGTGAGACATTCAATATTGACCAAAAAAGTCAATTTCTTAGGAAGATGTAACAACCATAAACCAATATGCAAATAAGAAAAGAGAAAGAAAATACATGAGGCAAAGACTGACAAAAATAAAGCAAGCAAGAGATAATCGAAAAATAACAGAGATTTAAATACTTCACTCTCAATAATGAATTAAAAAACAGTCAAGAGGTAAAAGAGTAAATAGACTTGAAGAAAACAAAACCACTGAGCTCTAGCAGACAGGTACTGTCTGTTCCACCTAACAGGAATAGGCTAGGCATTTTTAGTAAGTGCACATGGAATGTTCTTTGGAATAAACTATATTCTAGGTGATTAAATACACAATAAAATTAAAAGAATTGTGTAAATGCAAAGAATTTTCTCTGACTGCAACAGAATAAAATTAAAAATTAATGACATTAGGAAATTTCGGTAAGTGACAGTTACGTGAAAATTAAGCAATGAAATTCTAAATAGCCAATGTGTCAAATAAAAACTTAAGAATTGGAAAATATTTCACATGAATAAAAATGTTTACTCAACACAACAAAGCATGCAAACTACAGAAAATTTATAGCAGTCAGTTTCTTCATGAAAAAAAGGATTTCAAATCAATAACCTTGGGCAAAGGAATTTCTTTGGGACAAAAAGTAATCATACTGAAATGCCTAACAGGAAAGAATGGAGAGTCAATGCTTTGGGAATAAAATCTTTGAGAATTGTCCAGATAGTTAAGACAATCTAGCAGTCAATGTACAGGATTAGGGCCAGGTGCTGGCTCAGAAAAACCTAGAAAGACCCTAATTTCTGATGTCTATTTGATCTTCAATCTCTGGACAAGCAGAAAATAAAGGGAAAGGCCAAGTTGAAAACATTCTGATAAAGTGGAAAAGCTATTCTACAAGAGACACAGAGAACACAGCTTCAGGAACTTGGAATTTTTTGCATTGGTAAACTTACTTATTTAAGTTAGTGAGTTATCCTATAACTGACACATAATTTCATTTTTTTTTTTCTTGAGACGGAGTCTTGCTCTGTCTCCAGGCTGGAGTGCAGTGGTGTTATCCTGGCTCACTGCAACCTCTGCCTCGTGGGTTCAAGTGATTCTCCTGCCTCAGCCTCCGGAGTAGCTGGGACTACAGGCACGTGCAACTATGCCCAGCTAATTTTTGTTTTTTTAGTAGAGACAGGGTTTCACCATGTTGGCCAGGATGGTCTCAATCTCCTGACCTCGTGATCTGCCCGCCTCGGCCTCTCAAAGTGCTGGGATTACATGCGTGAGCCACCATGCCAGGCCCTAATTTCTCTCTTTTTTTTTTTTTTAAATGGAGCCTCACTCTATCGCCCAGTCTGGAGTGCAGTGGCCGGATCTCCGGTCACTGCAAGCACCGCCCCCGGGGTTCCTGCCGTTCTCCTGCCTCAGCCTCCAGAGTAGCTGGGACTACAGGCACCCGCCACCATGCCCGGCTAATTTTTTTGTATTTTTAGTAGAGACGGGGTTTCAAGGTGTTCACCAGGATGGTCTCGATCTCCTGACCTCGTGATCCGCTCGCCTCGGCCTCCCAAAGTGCTGGGATTACAGGCGTGAGGCACCATGCCTGGCCCCTAATTTCAAATATTTATAGGGTATAGTGTAATGTTTTAAAACATATGTATGTTGTGTTATAATAAAATTAGGATAATTAGCATGTTCATCATCTCAAGCCATTATCATTTCTTTATAGTGATAACTTTCAAGTTACTGTTTTCTAGCTATTGTAAAATACATGTTGTTGTTATACCATAATTGTTAGTCACCCAACTGTGTAATAGAACACCAGAACTTATTTCTTCTGTCTTATTTCTTCTATATAACTGTAACTGTAAATGCACCCAGTGAATGACCTCCCTTAATCTTTTTCTTCCCAGACCCTTCCCCAGACTCTGGTAGCCACCAGTCTATGCTTAACTTCTGCAAGATCAGCTTTCCTATATTCCACTTATTAGTGAGCTCATGCAATATTTGTCTTTCAGTCTATGGTTTATTTCATTGAACATTATATTATCTAGGTTCACACATATTGCCGCAAATGACAGTATTTTGTTCCTTTCCGTAGTCAAATGGTATTCCATTGTGTATATATACCACATTTTCTTTATCTATTTATTTACTGATGAACACGTTTTGATTTCATCTCTTGGCTACCGTGAATAGAGCTGAAATAAACATCATAGTGCAAATATCTTTTTGACATACTGATTTTAATTACTTTGGCTGTGTACCAGTAGTCAATAATGAACCATATGTTAGCTCTATTTTTAACTTTTTGAGAACTCACCATACTATCTTTTATAGTGATTATACTAAGCTACATTCCCACCAACAGTGTCAAAGAGTTTTCCTCTCACTACATCCTCATATGTATTTGTTACATTTTCTCTTCTTGATACTAGCCTTGTTACTAGGGTGGGATGGTATCTCATAGCTTCAATTTTCATTTCCCTTATAGTTAGTAATGTTGAGCATTTTGTTATAAACCTGCCAGTCATTTGTACACTTTTTTCTTGGAAAACTGCCTATTAAGGTATTTTGTCATTTTTAAATTGGATTATTTGTTTTGTTGTGTTGTTTGTTTGCTTGCTGGTTAGTTGTTTGAATCCTTTATATACTCAGGATATTTGTATAGTTTGCAAATGTTTGTTCCCATTCTGTAACTTGTCTCTTCACTATGTTGATTGTTTTGTTTGCTTTGCACCTTTTTAGTTTGATATAACCTATTTACTTGTATTTTCTTGTGTTGCCTATGCTCTGAGGTCCTATGCAAAAACTCCATTTAAAGATCAATGTCGTAGAGAATTCCCCATGTTTTCTTCAAGTAGTATTATAGTTTTGGGTTCTATACTTAAGTTCTTAATGCATTTAAGTGAATTTTTGAATATAGTAAGAAATAAGGATCTGGTTTTGTTAGCCTGCATGTAGATATACAGTTTTTTTCAACATCACTTATTGAAGAGACTATTTTTCTCCAATGTGTGTTCTTGTCACCTTTGTCAAAAAATCATCTGTCTTTTTAGTGTGGATTTATTTCTGGGTTCTCTAATCTGTCCCACTGGTCTAAGTGTCTGTTGTTATTGCCAGTACTATGTTGTTTTGTTACCATAGATTTGTAGTATGTCTTGAAGTCATGTGATGCGATATGTCCAGCTTTGTGTGTGTTCTTTCTCTCAAGATTACTTTGGCTATTTTTGGTATTTTTTTGTTTCATTTGAATTTTATTATTTTTTTCTATTTCTGTGAAGAATTTCATAGACATTTTGATGAAAATTGTCATAAATATGTGATCATTTTGGAAAGTGCAAACATATTTATTATTCTTCAAATATGAAGGCAGAATATCCTTTTTTGGTATCTTTAATTTTATCACCAGTGTTTTATATTACTGTTTACGTTACTGTTAATGGCAAAAACTGCAATTACTTTTGCACCAACCTAATAATTATTGTAGATCTCTTACACCTCCTTGGTTACATTTATTCATAGATACTTTATTTTATTCTTTAGCAATTATATGATTGCTTTCTTAATTTCTTTTTCAGATACTTTGTTATTGACATATAGAAATGATACTTATTTTGTATGTTGATTTTGTATCCTGCCACTTTACTAAGTTAATGTATTAGTTCTAATAGTTTCTTAATGGAATCAAGATTTTCTATATACATAATCATGTCATCAGTGAACAAAAACAACTTCACTTTCTTTTTACCAATTTAGATGTCCCTTTTTTCTTTCTCTTGCATAGTTGCTCTGGCTGGGACTTCCAGTACTATCTTGGAAAAAAATGGTAGAAGTGGGCTTACTTGCTTTGTTACATATCTTGGGGAAGGGCTTTTAATTTTCCCCCATTTAGTATGATGTTAGCTATTGGTTTTTCATATGTGGCTTTTTATTTTGTGGAGGTATGTTCCCCCAATATCTAAATTGTAGACAGTTTTTATCTACAGAACTGTTTATGAATGATGCTAAATTTTACTGAATACATGTTTTTGGATATGTTGAAATGACTATACAGTTTTTTACTTTGATTATATTGTGATGAATCTTGTTTATTGATATGACTATATTGAACCATTTTTGCATCTTTGGGATAAACTCCTCTTGCTCATGGTAAATAATCTTTTTAAAATGTTGTTGAGTTCAAATTCCTGACATTTTTTCAAGTATTTTTGCATCTGTGTTCATGAGTGATATTGGTCCGTCGTTTTACTTTTCGTTGTGATTTTGGTATCATGGTAATACTGGCCTTGTAGAATGAGTTTGCAGTAATTTCCTCCTCTTTCATATTTTGTAGAGATTTGAGAAGTATTGGTATTAATTCTTCTTTAAATATTTTCAGACTTTAACAGTAAAGCCTTTAGTCCCTGGGCTTTTCTTTGAGAGGAGAGTATTTCCAGTTTGACCTTGTTACTAATTATTTGTCTTTTTATATTTGCTATTTTTTTCATGATTTAATCTTGGTAGGTTGCATGTAGATGCACCTTGGTAGATAGACAGATTTATCTATTTTTTTCTGTTTTTCATTTTATTGACATACAGTTGATCTTAATAGACTCTTGTGATCCTTTCTATGTCTGTGGTAGCAGTTGTGATTTCTCCCTTTTTATTTCTACTTTTATTTATTTGACTCTTCTCTGTTACTTTCTTAGTCTACTAGGAAGTGTTGAGTTTATTATTTCAAAAAACCAACTTCATCATTCATATTTTCTATTTTTAATTCTCTTTTTTATTTATTTTTACTTTGATTTTTGTTATTTCTTCCCTTCTACTTTTCAACATTTGTTTCTTCTTGTTTTGCTGGTTCTTTGAGATGTAATATTAGGTTGTTTATTTGAAATATCTCTTCTTTTTCATGTAGGTGTTTATTGTTATAAGCTTTTCTTTTATAATTGCTTTTGCTGTATCTCGAATTTTTTTGATATGTGTTATTTTCATTTTCATTTGTCTCAAGAAACTTACCACTTTTCAATTTTTTCACTTACCTACTCATTGTTCTAGAGCATGTCATTTAATTTCTATAAATTTGTGTAGATTTCACCACCCCTTCTATTATTCATTTTTAGTTTTCTTACATTTTGGTCAGAAAATATAGTTAATAAAATTTCAATCTTTATAAATTTATTAAGACCTTTATTGTGACTTAACATATGGTCTATCCTAAAGAATATCCCATGTCCTGCCAGAAAATTTTATATTTTGCTGATGCTGGAGGAAATGCTCAGTAAATGTCCCTTAGGTACATTTGGCATAGAGTGCAGTTTAACTCTATTTTTGTGTTGACGTTTCCTATTATTATTGTATTATAGTTAATTTCTCCCTGTAAGCCTATTAATATTTATTTAGATACTTTGATGCCTCCGTGTTTAGTACATATTTATTTACAATTGTTACAAACTCTTGTAGTATTGACCTCTTTATTATTTTATAATGGCATTTTACCATTCTGATTTAAAGTCAATTTTATTTAATATAACTCTTGCTCTTTCTGGGTTTTCACTTCATGGTATACCCTTTTCCATCACTTTAAGTCTATGGGTTTTTGTAGATTGACATTTTTGTAGACAGCATATATTTGGTCTTTTTAAAATCCATTCAGCCATGCTTCGTTTGTTTACTTGAATAGTGTAATCCATTTACATTCAAGGTTATTATTTATAGGTAATTGTTTTCTACTACCATTTTGTTACTTCTTTTCTGGTTGTTTTGTAAATCTTTTTTTCTTTCTTCCTCTCTTACTGTCTTCCTTTGTGGTTAAGTGATTTTCTCTAGTAGCGTGTTATGATTTTATCCTATGTCTTTTAATGTATCTATTATAGATTTTTGTTTTGCAGATAACATAATGACTGCTTAACAAAAACTTCTATGGTTATAACATGTTCTAAACTAATAACAACTTAACTTTAATTACAAATAAAAGTAATATAAAACACTCTACACTTTAACACCATCCCCCTGACACTCTTACTTTTTGATATTTTAAATTACATCTTCTTATATTACCTATCTCTTAACCAATTGTCATAATTCTTGTGGCTAGAACTTTTGTATTATGTCCATATTTATAATATAAGCAGTTTACCTACCACAATTATGGTATTATTCAGAGTTTTTCTGTATTCCTATTAATACTTCTACCTGTGAGTTTTATAACTTTAGGTGTTTCTTTCTTACATGTCAGTGTCCATTCCTTTTAAAGAATTGTCCTTAGCATTTTCTGTAAGACACATCTGGTGTCAAGAAATTCCTTCAGCTTTCATTTGCCTGGGAAAGTCTTTATTTTTTGTGTTTGAAGGCTAGCTTTGGTGGGTACAGTATTCTCTTTTTTATTTTTGAGACAGAATGTCTCTCTGTCATCTAGGATAAAGTGCAGCAGCAAGATCACAGGTAATTGCAGCATTGAATTCTTGGTCCCAAGTGATCCTTCCACCTCAGCCTTCCAAGTACCTGGGACTACACAGTTGTTTTAAATTATTCATAAAGCGAGACATAAATCTGTTTGTCTTTGAGCTTGTTTTCTGAAGGCTTATTTTGTTTCTATTCAGCCACATTTTCCTGTTTTATATGCCTTATAATCGTTTTATGAGAGTTAAGAATTTGCAGACAAAAAAAAACCCAAGCACTTTATTCACTGTTATAGACAGGTGTACTGCAGGAATAAACTGTCACTAATCAGTGTGGTGTAGAGATGCTAGGAATTCACAAAAGCTTCCTGGGCTTTTAGTGTATGTTTTTATTCCAGTTTCTGATAAATATGTTTCTCATGTCTCCCTTCAGGAGAGGGTCTAGGTTTGGGGCTGGGCATCAGGCCAGGAGGGGTCTCCTTGGAGGGGTCTGTTTCTGTCCTGGGCACCTTGCACTGGGCAGTGCTGGGTCCTTTCTGGACACCCCTGGGGTCCAGTTCTGCACAGGAGGCCACGGATCGGGGAGGCCCAGGCAGGGAAGAGCTCACCACACTCCTGTCTTTAATCTGAGTTGTGTCAGGGGTGGGTTCAGTTTCCAAGAGGACTCGTGGTGCCCCGTCCAGCCCACCAGGCCTGGCTTGGTTTGACCCTCCCTCTGGGCTAAAGCAGACGGTCCTGTGGACAGTGTGAGCAGTGTGGCAGTGTGAGTGCTGAGGTACTTTTCCTGCACTCACCTCTGTGCTGTTATTGGCAAATACATTAAATTTATATATCTGATAGCCATGAAGATACAAACAGTATTACACAGTTGCTTTTGACAGTCAGTTAATATAAGAAATATTCTCTTATATTGCCTTATAAATTATGTGACATTTACTAGATTTGGGAGGCCAAGGAGGGTGGATCACCTGAGGTCAGGAGTTCAAGACCAGCCTGGCCAACATGTTGAAACCTCGTCTCTACTAAAAATACAAAAATTAGCTGGGCATGGTGGCGGGCGCCTGTAATCTCAGCTACTCACGAGGCTGAGGCAGGAGAATCACTTGAACCCAGGAGGCGGAGGTTGGCCAGGCCGGGATGCCAGTGGACATGGGGCAGGAAGATTTTTGATCTGGAAAGTCATCAGCTCCAAATTCTTCAGTGTCTTCTGCCTCCCACGCCCCCAACCCAGCAATCTCAACTCGGGGATAGGTTTTGTTATTAGAAGGGTCTCTCTGAGGAAGCCCATGTCTCCATGGCTATGACCCATCCCTTTCCCAGTATCAGCACTCCTCCCCTAGATGCCCTGCAGGTCCAGCCCATGGTGTCAGTGTTAGGCCAGTGTTGAGTGGCCCATTGTGGGAACCCAGAGAAACGGTGGGAATAGAGATATGGCTGGACCAACCCCCTGGGTTCTCAGCAGTGCAGTCTCTAAGTCAACAAAGGAGGAGGGGGCCAGCCTGAGGGTCCAGCCCTGTTCCTTGGAGCCAGCCCTGGAAATTTGCAGGGTGTGGCCACAGGGTGGGGGGATGCTTGGCATGGCCTGTGGGCAGTTGTCCAGCAGGTCTCTGAGGGCTAAAGGAGACCAGTTCTGCCACCCCACAGGGAAGGGTACAAGGGTACAGGGGCAGGAAAAGCTGTGGCCCTGGGAGGAGAAGATGGTCAGGGCCCTGGCATGGGCATCTCAGAGAGAAAGCAAAGAGGCAGCAGAGCTTGCTGCTAAGGTAACCTGACCAAGCGTCTCATGCTGAGAGGGGATCTGAAATCTGGTGGGAAAAACCCAGTATGGAGTCTGTGCCTGCAGAGGTCATTGGGAAAGTTGGGGTGGGGGTGACCCAAAGGAACTGATGACTTTGGGATGCATCTGGATGGAGCCAGCCTGGGGTGGAGTGGATGGATCTGGGGACGACAGTAAATGGGGTGGGGTCGGGGCAGCGACTCACCTGGGACCCCTCAGCAGAGAGGCTTCGGTCGGTCCCCAAAGCACCCTCTGGAGACTCAGCTCCCTGCTGACTTGGTCAACACCATGATCAGAGGACAGATGGGCGAGGCTGAGTCAGAGAAAAATGGGAGGACAGCCAGGTGCCCTGTGCCAGGGCTGCTGCAGTGAAAGGGAGGAGGCTGCTGACTGAAAGCCCCAAGCACCACCTGAGGCTGGGGACTGGGTACAGGACCATCCCAGGTGCCTGTGAAACCCTCAGTCACCCTCATGGCCCCTGGTGCCCCCAAGCAGTGCTGAGCAGCCCAGTTAAAGAGTGGACAAGGCAGGTATGTGGATCTGGGTGTTCTTGCTTAGAGGTTTTGACAGCGTAAGGATAAAAGAAGAGCCAGAGTGGCTGAAAAGACAGTCCTGGTCTTTGGGTTAGACAGGCTGGGAAAGTGAGGAAGCAGGAAGAGTCAGTGGCTCGTGTTCAGTGAGAGGCAGGTGGATGCTATATGGTCAGACCCTGCAATGGCTGTGGGGCCATCAGGCAGGACAGGCTCCAGATGCATCCTCAGTTCACGGAGCAGTTTTCAGGCCAAGATCCTTGCATCACAGCCTGGCAATGTCATCACTTCTGTCCAGGCACACACCCCTGGCCAGCACTGGCCCATCTCAAGATTGGAGTTTCTCAGTTCCCAAAGAGGATGCTGCCTCCAGCCCAGGAGGGGCAGCTCCACTGTGTAGCCGGAAGTCCCATGAATCTCAAGCAGCATATGCCCAGCTCTGTGCTTCCTCTGCTCCCGTTTCCCAGCCTTTTCTGTGTATCAGCCAACAGGGAGGCTGAGACCTGGGGTGGCTGGAGGTGGAGCTGGTCCTCCCCTGGGGCCTGCTTGGGAAGGAGGATGGCCCCCAGCCTGGTGCAGGTCCTCAGCTCTCCTCACTGCCTTCCAGTGAGACAGAGCTGCGCCTCTCAGTGCTCTAGAGGCAAAGGTAAGAGCCTGTCCCTGCTGCATGGAAGGCTGGTCCATCCATGGGTGACCTGATGGGTGGTCAGTGATGCAGTGTGTGTGGCCTGTGGGCATTAATGGTGGTGAGTGGGGGCGACATGCCCTCAATGGAAGCGGCCACAATTCCTGCTGAATGGCCCCAAACCCTGTCCTGCAGTCGTTTTACCAAAGCCACCACCAAGATTCATGATAGTGGCTCAGGGGTCACTGCCCACTGACCACAAGGACACCACCTGGAGGCTGAGGGTTAGGGGGCCAGTAGCACATCCTGGGCACAGAGAGTAACATGGTCACCACAGGTGAACTGAACTCTGGTGACCTTCCCTGGTTTCAGATACAAGCAAAAGAAAAAAAAATTTCTGCAGAGAAAAAGCCTCTTTTCTTTCCACCAGCACCGACTGTTACACATTGCTCTTTGTGGCAGTGAGTCTTGTGTCTGTTCCAAAGCTGGTTCCTTCTCTTGGTCCTGCCCTTCAGAAAATGAAAAAGAAAAACTTGCAGAGAAAGATGTCCTCGGGGAAAATGAACTAGACTGACCTGGACATGAACCACATTTTGAGAAGCCATTTCATATTCTGGGAGTGCTACAGCATCAAGTAAGGCCTTTGGGGAACAGAGGGTCCTAGAGGAAGTGGGGAATCTAGAAGGATGGAGGCATCTGAGGGGCAATGGGGAGACATCAGGGCAAAGGTAGGGGTCTTAAAGAAGAGAGTGACAGCCCAGGACATTTCCTGGAGTTCTAACTTTGGGAAGGGTCTGCAGTGAGGCCTGAAATAGGGAGTTTTTCAGGAGAGCCCAGGGGGCTCTGAACACCTCTGCTCCTTCCATGAGGACAAGAAGACACTGCACCCAGATTTCTACCTTAAAGCACTGCTCACAGTGCTTGACTGATGGGACAAGGATGCAGAGGGAGATCCCAGGCCAGGGATCCTGCTGCCTGACACTGCCTGGCTTCCCTGGCCCAAGGTTCTGGCTCCCACAGAAAAACTCAGCTCCTTCCAGCAGGAGGCACAGGCAGGTCCCTGCAGAACACACCAACCATGCCCTGCCTGAGAGGTGGTGTCCCATGGCAGAGGCTGAGGCTCAGGGCCAGGATTGTGGGCAGACTGGGCCAAGACTTATCTTGCAAGAGCCCAGGAAAGCCCCAAATTCTTAGGGGACCCCTTCTTCCAGAGGCCATATTCTGCTGAGATGAGTCCAACCCTATGAGGAGCTGAAGGATCTTGTCTAATCCAGCCTCATGTGTGTGGGGGGAGTCTCACTCTATGCAGAGGGGTCCCTGGCACTACAGACTGAGCTCCCAGTAGGACACTGGCTTCCAGCCTTGAAGGGCCAGGTCCTTTCGTGTCTGCTGTCCCCACAGACCCCCTTCGGGCTTATCCTGAGGCTCTGGGACATCTGTCTTCTGGAGGATGAGCATATACTCACAGCCAGGACATACATGGTATTCAAGGTGCACAGAATCTTGCCCCGTGTGCCTGAGGGAGCTGTGGGGAACATGCGGGACAGATCCCGACTGTCCTGAGGGTAGCGCTCACACTGGGGTTCAGCCTTGCAAGAACCAGATGGGCTGGGTGGAAAAGCTGACCAAGTCTGCTTGCCTTTCAGCCAAATCTGTGGCGTTCCCCAGGAAGGCCCCTTGCCTGGAGCAAGTGTCCCTGGTGCCCAGGACTCTGCGGGCATCCATCAGCACAAAGACCCTCTCCAAGGGGGATGGGCTGGCCCTCTCAGGACCACCAGCCGGTGGGTCATCCCCCCCTCACCCAGAACCCAGGGCAGAACCTAGGCACAGAACCCAGGGGAGTAGGCTGCTCTCTGGTGGCCCCAGGGTCTCAGGGTCTGGCCAGTCTGTCCCTGGCTCAGGACACATGCCTGGGAATCAGGGTTACTCCTCTGCTCTTGCATCTCCTGGGTAAACCAATAATGGCCCCCGGCCCACCCCCGCCACCCCGCTCATGCCTCAACTTTCACATCCACGGAAAAGGTGCTGGTGAGGGTGACCTTTCCAGGAAGCCACAGCCCATGCCCACCCCTGCAAAGCTCCGAAGTCGTGCGCCGGCGGGCCAGGCAGCAGATACTCCCAAGAGCGGCTGAACTGCGCTCCGGTTGGAGAGGGCAGAGGGCAGCAGCACAATGGACAGCGTCTGGACCTCAGGCCAGTTCCCACAGCAGCTTAAGAAAGCAGGCGGCTCCCTGGGCTGAAGGAGGCGCGATGCTCTGGAAAGACCCCGGGTGCAGGTGGGAGAGGAAACCGAGCTGAGGAGCAGGAGGTGGGGTGAGGATGAGACCTGCCCGATTTGGGCAAAGGCGAGGTGCACTTCGCAGCCACCCTTCTCACTGCCCAGCCCAGACCTGCCCCTCAAGTCCCTCTGCGGACTCGCTCCCCTCAGCCAGGGTTGGCGCAGAATCAGTGTCCAGCATGGCTTTGGAAGCGGAGCGGTGCACACGGCCCTGCCCCTCCCTCCGGGGCTGCGCACCACCAGGCACATGCTAGGATTCTAGTCCGGTAGCCCCGAGACCAACAGCCAGAAGTGGTTAAGAAACTATTACACCCCGCCGAGCGCGGTGGCTCACGCCTGTAATCCTACCACTTTGAGAGGTCCTTAGGTCAAGAGTTCGAGACTAGCCTGGCCAACATGGTGAAACCCCGTCTGTACTAAAAATAAAAAACTTAGCCGGGCGTGGTGGCGGGCAGTTGTAATCCCAGCTACTCAGGAGGCTGAGGTGAGAGAATCGCTTGAAGCCGGTAGGCAGAGGTTGCAGTGAGCCGAGATCGCGCCATTACACTACAGCCTGGGCGACAAGAGCAAAACTCCATCTCAAAAAAAAAGAAAAAAAGAAAAGAAAAAAAAAAAACAAAAAGCAAAAACACTGCTACTCCCAGTATGCCTGGTGAGGAGCGCACCGCACTGCCCCTCCCTGAAGGTACCAACTCCATCCGCAATCCCCAATCCCAATGCATGCTTGGGATTGTAGTCCGGCAACCTGTGACCAACGGCCGGAAGTGGCTAGGAGACTACTCCTCCCAGCATGCCTGGCGAGGCGCGCACCGCGCTGGCCCTCTCTCCTGGGACACGCACCGCCTCCAATCCTGGTTTATGCTGGGATTGTAGTCAGGCAGCCCTGTGAGCAAGTAAGAGACTACAGCTGCGAGCGAATAAGAGACTACAGCTCTCAGATACAGATACATCGAGCAGAGGTCCCTCCTCCTCCGCGTCCCTCCAGGCGTCCCGTGTCGTTTGGCGGTGGGTGGGGGAGCTTGGCTGTTTCCAAACCTTTCCTGCCTGTCAGGAGACAGCTTGAGCAGGGCCGCTGGTCTCACCTGGTAATTGTGACATCTCGTTCCCCAGCATTCCTGCTTCAGGACTTGTTTTGAAAGCTCGATTTCCCGCAGACCAGCAAGTGGTCGCCTCTATTCAGTCTATTCAGTAGGGTTGCCATAGTAACGCTTGTCCTCCCGGAACTTGGCGCACCCCTACTTTCCCTTCCTGCCTCTCCCCTCGGCCCTGCGCTTTCTTCTCGCCCATCCGTTTCTATGCCCCTTCGGACGTGCTCAGTGCAGCCCTTCCCTATGGCTGGGACTTAAGGCCCACGGGCCTGGCAGTTCTCTGGCGTCTTTCGATCCCGTGTGGGATTCTCTCTCCTGAGTGTCTGAAACGATCAGTTCACTGCCTGACGTGAAAACACCTAGTCCCTGGTAACCTGACACTTCTATTTCAAGGTCACCTAAATTTAGCTCTATCTCTCCAAGCTGTCACAAATCAACCTATGCTCCCCAGGACGCCCCTTGGACCTCGGGTTGGCTGCATGGCCCACACCTGGGTCACGACCCTCACAGGGACGCTCCTGCCGCTGTAATAAAAAGAAGAAAATGTCACAGGGAAAAGGCCTGACCCTGCTGCATCCAGTCAGGAAACAGCCACCAGGAAGGGAGCCCCTAAGTCGCTTTGGGAGCAACATCCACCACTTCTCTGCCCCCACCCAGGCTGGTTCCCAGGCCTTCGGGTCCTAGTGTGGACCTCCCGGCCGTAATTAATGCAGGTGCAGGACCAGAGGGCCCCTTGGTCCCTCCCAACACATGAGGGAAGTTTGTGTGGTGAGGTCATGAAAAATGTTCTGCGTACATGTTAATGTAAAAGACAAAGCAAACCTCAACATTAAGTCATGGGCTAGGATTCTACAAATGAGAAAACTCTTTTATTAATCCTTTTTAAGTATCCCTTTGGACCACTTTTAATAATTTGCTGGTGGAACTTAACCGTGGTAATTCCCTTAATTCATTTTTCCTTTTAGTTTTTCAGATTAACTCTTAAGTACTCCACGGCTACATGCTCCTGAAGCTGTTATAGGCCCAGCCTCAGATCTGTGCAGGGCGGATGCACAAGAGCAGAATCTCCGTGGACATCTTTCTGGAGCATCAATTTTACTGCAAGATTTTGAAGAAACACATTTAATTGATTTTCAAGGTGAGAAATTAAACCTCGAAAACTAGACTGGAAAGTCATCTACGCCTGAACTATCAGACTTTCTTCAGAAGAAAACTCTAAGGAGAACATATTTTCCATTATTATAAATATTACAAATGAGAAATCATAGCAAGTTACCTGAAAATGCTGCCCTGGCAGTTTCCTAAATCACAACATGTCCTGGGTATGGTTTTAGGTGTATTTTCTTTTTGGGGTGTGTTCACCTTTTGGATATAAAAATTGGGGTTTTTGACCACATCTTGTAAGTTTTCTGCTATTAGTAGTTTCTTTACTTTTGTACCATATTTAATTTTTCTGTGTCTTCCTCTTCTTCTCAGACTCAGTCACTCCACAAGTCTCTAAAGGCTCTGTTCATTTTCTTCAAACATGTTTCATGTTGGATGATTTCTATTGCTGTCTTCTGTTTCTACTCTGTGGATAAGCTCAAGGGTGTGTGTGCGTGTGTGTGTGTGCGTGTTTTCCATTTCATTATTTTTCTATTTGGTTCTTCTTATAATTTTCATTTCTCTGCTGAGGTTCCACATCAGTTAATTCATTATGAGAATATTTTCCTTTACTCTCATGAACATACTCATAAGAGCTGATTTTAAATCCTTGTCTGCTGATCTGATTACATCATGTTGCTTTTTATCTTGTGTATACATTACATTTTCATCTTTCTTCACACATTTCATGAATTTTAATGTGTTCTATGAGTTTCTGGTGGTTATAGAGACTCTAAATTCTGCTGTATTCTTTTGAAGAGCATTGTTATTATTTGAAGAAGGGGTTAATTTGGCTGGATTCAAACTGCAATACCTGTCTCTCCTGCAGTGGGCACAGCTGAAATCCTCATTCAGTTCTTATGCACATATATGTATTTTATATAGATGTGTGATTCTATGTAACTGTATATACTATGCAGATTTTGTCACAGTTACATGTGAGAGTGTTAGTTCAACAATACTCCAGTACTACTGGAAGCCAGAACCTTAGTTTTGTTTGCTTACTGGATTTTATATAAATGAAATAATATAGTATGGATACTTTTACACCTACTTTCTTTTACATGTCATTATGTTTGTGATATTCATCTTTGCTGTTGCAGATTGCTATAATTTGTACACTTTAAAAAGCATTGTTTACACTGTGGTAAAATATACATAAAATTAACCACTTTAACCATTTTTAAGTGTGAAGTGTGCAGGAATTAAATACATTCACATTGTTTTGCAACCACCATCCCCATCTATAGGGAACATTTTTTATCTTGCAAAACTGAGTCTCTGTGCTGATTAAGCAACAGCTCCCAGTTACCCTCCCTCTAGCCCATAGGAACCACTCTTCTACTTTGTGTTTCTATGAATTTAATTACCCTAAATACCTCACGTGAGTGGAATCATACAGTGTTTGTCATTTTGTGACTGGTTTATTGTACTTAGCACAATGTCCTTAAGGTTTATCTATGTTGTAGCATGTATCAGAATTTTCTTACTTTTGCTAAGTGAATAATATTCCACTGCATGTAAAAACACATTTTGTTTACCTACGTATTTATTGATGTTGATGATTCAAGGAAAGCTTTGATTGTTTCACCTTTTAGCTATTGTGAATAATGCTGCTAGGAACCTAGGTGTATGTATATCTCTTTGTGTGCCTGCTTTCATATCTTTTTGAGTATATCCCAGAAGCAAGATTGCTGGATTATAAGGTAATTATAAGTGTAATTGTATTTGTTTGTTTGTTTGTTTTTCTGAGATGGAGTCTTGCTCTGTTGCTCAGGCTGGAGTGCAGTGGTGTGATCTCAGCTCACTGCAACCTCCGCCTCCTGTGTTCAAGTGATTCTTCTGCCTCAGCCTCCTGAGTAGCTGGGATTACAGGCGTGCACCACCATGCCTGGCTAATTTTTTTGTATTTTTATTAGAGACGGGGTTTCACCATGTTGGCCAGGCTGGTCTCAAACTCCTGAACTCGTGATCCACCCACCTCGGTCTCCCAAAGTGCTGGGATTACAGATGTAAGCCACTGCGCTTGGTGATTCTCATGGCAGGTGCGACATTGTACTTGCCCACCAATAGCTTACTAGGTTTCTAATCACTCCACATCCTCATCAACACTGTTATTTTCTGTTTTTTGATAGTGGCTATCCTAATGGATGTGAAGAGATAGCTCATTGTAGGCTTGATTTGCATTTTGCTAATAATTAGTTCTCTCGAGTATATTTTCATATGCTTTTTGGCCATTTTACACCATCTTTAAGAAATGTCTGTTCAAGTCCTTTGCCCATTTTTGAATGAGGTAGTTTTTTTTTGTTGTTGTTTAGTTATAGCAGTTCTTTATATATTCCAGGTATTAATCTCTTATCAGATGTATGATGTGCAAATATTTTCCCATGCTGTGCATTGCTTTGCAATATTGTTGATAATATCCTTTAATGTGTAAAAGTTTTATTTTATTTTCATAAAGTCCAATTTGTCTTTATTTTTCTCTTGTTGCTTGTGCTTTGGGTGTCCTATCCTAGAAATCATTGCCAAACACAATGTCAAGATGTTTTCTACCTGTATTTTCTTCAAAAATTTTGTAGTTTAAGCTCTTACATTTAGGTCTTTGATCCATTTTTATTTGTTTATGGTGTAGGGTAAAGAACCAAATGCATAATTTTGCATGTATGGATATCCAACTTCCCCAGCACCAATTGTTGTAAAGACAGTCCTTTCCCATTCAATGATCTTTACATCCCCATCAAATATCATTTGACCATATAAATGAGGGGTTATTTATAAGCTGTTTGCTATTCTGTTTGTCCATATGTGTGTCTCTATGCCAGTACCACACTATTTTGGAACTCTGTAGTAGGTTTTGAAATGAGTAAGTATGAATTTTTTAACAGCGCTCTTCTTTTTCAAGATTGTTTTGACTATTCAGGGTCCCTTGAGATTCCATATGAAATTTAGGCAGGATTTCTCTATTACTGCAAAAGAGTCTTTGGGATTTTTACCTTCTTGGTTACTTCTAAGGATTTTATTCTTTTGGATGCTATTGTAAGTGGGATTGTTTGCTTAGTTTCTTTTTCAGATTATTCATTATTACTGTGTAGAAACACAAGCGATTTTTGTATGTCGATTTTGTATGCTGCTACTCTGCTGAATTTATTAGTTGTAATATGTTTTGTGTGAATGCGTTAAATCTCTAGAGTTTTCCGCATAAAATTATATTATCAGTAAGCAGGGTTAATTTTACCTCTACCATTCCAATTTGGATGCGGTTTATTTCTTTTTAATTCTTAATTGCTCTAACTAGAACTTTTAATACTATGGAGAATAGAAATGGCAAAAGAAGGCACATTTGCCTTGTTCCTGAGCTTAGAGGAAAAGCTTTCTGTCTTTTTTTATTAATCTCAATCTCTATAACATTTATTTATTACATTTTCTTGTTTAATTGCATTAGGTCTTTTACCCTGAAGGACATTGTTTGCTGTTGGTTTTTAATATGTGGATTTCACGATGATAGTGTTTTTTTTTATCCTAATTTGTTGAGTGTTTTCACCATGAAAAAATTTTGAATTTTACAAAATCCTTTTTTTCTGTATCCAGAAGGTGATCATTTTTTCCTTTCTTTTTTTAATGTGTATGTGTTGACCAATTTTTGTATGTTAAAAACATTCATATGCCAAAACAGGCTTGCATTCCAAGAATAAACCCCACTTGGTCCTAGTGTATAATCTTTCTAATATGCTGCTGAATTTTGTTTGCTATAATTTTGCTGAGGAATTTTGCATCAGCGTTTCTTTAGGAACAAATAATCTGTAGTTTTCTGTAGTATCTTTGTCTGGCTTTGGTATAGGGTAGTGCTGGCATCATGGAATGGGATTAAAACTGATCTCTCTCTCTTTTTTTTTAATTTTTTTATTTGACAGAGTCTCGGTCTGTTACCCAGGCTGGAGTGCAGTGTCGTGATCTTGGCTCACTGCAACCTCCACCTCCCGGGTTCAAGCAATTCTCCTGCTTCAACCTCCCAAGTAGCTGAGATTACAGGTGCCTGCCACCACGCCTGGCTAATTTTTGTATTTTTAGTAGAGATGGGGTTTCACCATGTTGGCCAGGCTTGTCTTGAACTCCTGACCTCAGGTGATCCACCTGCCTCAGCCTCTCAAAGTGCAGAGATTACAGACATGAGCCACTGCTTTTCTTTTTCTTTTTCTTTTCTGTTGACTTCTACCACTTTGCTATTTGTGTTTGGTATACCTTACAGCTTTTTACTTGATATTTTCTACATTACTTTCTTCTTTTGTGTTTGTTTGGTTTCTTTTAGTGAAACATTTTAACCTTTATTTTTCTTTGTGTATATTCTGTAGCTTTTCTTTGTGATTACCGTAATGGAGATGACATTTAACATCTGAATTTATTTATTTTAATTGCTACATGATACTATATTCAATTATGTAAACATAGTATAATTTTTAATTCTGTTCTACATTTGATAGTCCTCATTGGGATACTTAATATATTTTGTTTTTTAGATAAGTATTAAAATTACATAAACATTGAGTGGAAAGTACAGAGTTTCCATGTATTCTCTCCCCCACCCAGCTTCTCCTCTATTATTAACATCTCGCATCAGTGTTGTGCATTTGTTTACTGTTAATGAACTAATATAGAGAAGTTATTATTGGGTGGGAAGTGGGTGAGGAATAAAAGACTATAAAGTGGATGCAGTGTATACAGCTTGGGTGATGGGTGCACCAAAATCTCACAAGTCACCACTAAAAACGTACATCTCCAAACACCACCTGTTTTCCAATCACCTATGGAAATAAATTTTAAAGAAGAAAAGTACTATTAACTAAAATTCATAGTTTGCATTAGGATTCATGTCTTCTGTTTTACATTCTGTGGATTTTGACAAAAGCATAATGACATAACACGTATTCACCATCACTGCATTATAAAGAATAGTTTTATTGTCTTAAAATATTCGCTGTCCTCCACCTATTCGCCACTCCCTTCTTCCTCTCAAACTTCTGGTAACCACAGATCTGTTTTCTCTCTGCATGGTTTTGCCTTGCACAGAATGTCAAATGGTTGGAATCATATAGTATGTAGCCTTTTCAGACTGGCTTCTTTTACTTAGCCATGTGCATTTAAGGTTCTTCATGTCTTTTCAAGGCTGGACGCTCATTTCTTTATCAGTGAATGATGTTCTGTTGTATGGTTGCGCCAGAGTTAGTTTATTCATTCACCTATTGAAAGGGATCTTAGTCTGTTGCATGTTTTGGCAATTACATATGAAGCTGCTCTATATTCATTTATGGATTTTTGTGTAGATGCAAATTTTCACCTCTTTTGAATGAAGGCCAGTAAGTATGATTGCTGGATTGTATGTAAGTGTATATTTAGCTCTGTAAGAAACTGGCAAACTGTCTTCCAAACTGGTCACAGCACTTTGCATATTCACCAGCAATAAATGAGAGCTCTTGTTACTCTACATCATCACCAGCATTTAGTGTAGTGAGTGTTTGGGATTTTAGCTATACCAATATGTGTGTGACAGTATGTCATTGCTATTTTAAATTTTAATGCCCTAATGGTATATGGTGCTGAGCATCTTTTTGCATGCTTATTTGCCATGCTTATATGTTCTTTAGAAAGGTATATTTTTGGACCTTTTGCTATTTTATATTGGGTTGTTAATTTCTTATTCTTGAGTTTTAAGAGCATTTTTTTTCTTTTTGCATATTTTGGATACCAGTCTTTTATTAGTTATGTGTTTTGCAAATCGTTTCTCCCATTCTGTGACTTGTCTTTTTATTCTTTTAACAGTGTCTTTTGTAGTGAAGAAATGTTATTTTTAATATAGTCCAACTTAGCAGTTTTTTTCTTTCATCAATTATGTTTTTGGTGTTGTATTAAAGGAGGCAAACCCAAGGTAATTGAGATTCTGCTCTATGTTATCTTCCAGGAGTGTTGTAGTTCTTCATTTTATATAGGTCTGTGATCCATTTTGAGTAATCTTTGTAAAAGTTGTAAAGTCTGGGTTTGGGGATTTTTTTCCCCATTTTTTCCATCATGTATGTGGATGTCCAGTTTTTCCAGGACTGCTTGTTGAAAAATCATTTTTTCTCAATCAAATTCCCTTTGCTCTTTCCTCAAAGATAAGCTGACTATATTAGTGTGGGTCAATTTCTGAGCTTTCTCTTTTTTTTCCATTGATCTGTTTCTCTACTCTTTGACCATTATCACATTGCTTTCATTACTGTAGCTTTACAGTAGTTCTTAAAGTTGGATAGTGTCATTCCTTTAACTGTTCTTTTAAATATTTTCTTGACTATTCTTGGTCCTTTGCCTTTCCATTTAAACTGTATAGTCAGTGTGTCAATATACACAAACTAACTTTGTGTAATTTTGATTGGGATTGCATTGAATATGCTGATGAAGTTGGGAAATACTGATATTTTAACAAGGTTTAATCTTTCTGTTCTTGATTGTGGATTATCACTCTAGTTATTTAGATCTTTGACATTTTAAAACACAGTTTTCTTCATATAGATCTTACATTAATTTTGTTAGATTTGTAACTAAGTGTTTTATTGTTATTGGTGCTAGTGTAAACGCCATTGTGTTAATTAAAAATTCTAATTATATTACTAATATGTAGAAAAGCAACTGATGGTTTTATATTAATCTTGCATTCTGCAAAGTTGCTATAATTGCTGATTATAGTTGGTTATTCTAAGAGTTTTGTTTTGTGATCCTTTGGGATTTCTGCATAGGCAATTATATCATCTGTGAAAAAAGGCAGTTTTATTTTTTCTTTTCCAATCTATGTACCTTTTCTTTTCTTGTCTTATTGCATTAACTAGGCCTTATAGTATGATGTTATATAAAAATGGTGACAGGAAACATATTTGCCTTGCTCCTGATCTTAGCAGGAAGGCAGCTAATGTTTCAACATTTAGTATGAGCATAGATGCAGGGTTTTTGTAGATATTCTTTGTTAAATAAAAGAAGCTTCCCTCTATTTCTAGTTTTCAGAGAGTTTTTCTGATGAATAGGTTTTGATTTTGTCAAATGATTTTTCTGCATGTACAAATAAGGTCATATAATTTTTCTTTAACATATTAATATGATGAACTAATTAATTTCTTTTCTTTTGTAAATATAAACAGAATCTTGCTACGTTGCCCAGGCTTGTCTTGAACTTCTTTCCTCAAGTGATTTTCCTGCCTTGGCCTTCTAATAGACTGGGGTTGCAAGTATGAGCCACCACACCCAGCCTAATTTATTTTCAAATGTTGTACCCACCTTGTTTGCCTGTAATGAATCTCACTGGGTTGTGTTATATAATTCTTTTTATACATTTTTAGGTTTGGTTTCCTATTTTATTGAGGGTTTTCACATCTTTGTTCATGTGAAATATTGTTCTGTTTTCTTCTTCTTCTTGTAATACCTTTGTCTAGATTTGGTATTATGGTACTGACAGCCTCAGAGAATGAGTTTGAAAGTATTAACTCTGCATCTGTTTTCTGAAGAGACTGTAGATAATTGGGACAATTTCTTCCTTAAATGTTTGGTATACTTTACTAGTGGTTCATAGTATTTCCTTATTTTTATTTAATCGTTCCTAGGATCAGTAATGATAACTCCTCTTTCACTTCTGGCATTAACATTGTGTCTTCTCTCTTCTTCAACCAAAATTAATAAGAAACATTTTTAAAAGTAAAGGCCAGTTTTGATAAATTATCTAATTTCTCATTATATGCAATTGTAGGTACATAGGAAGTACATGGAATCAGATGTTTGCCATAGCTTGCTAACGAATTCTCTCCTGCATCAAGATGGCATGCCTCTCAACAGGACACTCTTAGGAGGCTGGAATGTGTTAAAATTAGTATGTGATCTGTTTTTGGTGAAGAGCCATCTGACTCTCAACTGTACATGGTAGCCTTAATGCACATCTTGGTAGAAAAGGGCTGCATCTCAGAGGCTGCCAGCCAAGCCATACAGGCCAAGGGAAGTCTGAGTCCATTATTCATTTTATCAATCTGTTGTAGTGAACAGCTAGATTATTATGAACATTGTACACATTTTACCATATTCCTTTGCTCTTCCTAGGGCATTTGTTCCAGGATTCTTCTTGGATACCAAAATGCATGGATGCATAAGCTCCTTTTATAAAGTGGCATAGTATTTACATATAACCAATGCATATACTCCTGCATACTTTAAATAATCTCTAGATTACTTGTAATACCTAAATTGTTATGCTTTATTGTTTAAGAAATAACATAAAGAAAAAAGTCTGTACATGTTTAGTAGAGATGCTTTATAAGAAATATTTTTGATTTACATCTTTTGAATCCAGGATTGCAGAAACCGTGAATGAGGAGGGCTGACTCTATCTATGTTTGGAGTCTGTGAATATGAACTCTTCCTATGTTGGTAAATGGAAATTTCTTTCACCAAATGGCTGAACTGCTTTTTCACTGGCATGTTCAAAAAACTTACAAGAAGAAGGACAAGAACTGAGAAAGAGAAAGGATAAGAACTGAACATTGGTGGGAGGCTGAGACAGGTGAATCACTTGAGGTCAGGAGAGCGAGACCAGCCTGGCCAACGTGGTGAAACCCCGTCTCTACTAAAAGTACAAAAATTAGCTGGGCATGGCAGTGGGCACCTGTAATCCCAGCTACTGGGGAGGCTTAGGCAGGAGAATCACTTGAATTCGGAAGGTGGACGTTGCAGTGAGCCGAGGTGGCACCACTGCACTCTAGCTCGGGCGACAGAGGGAGACTCCATCCAAAAAACAAAACAAAAAAAACGAAACAAAAAACATTGGCAAGTGGCACATTTTCACAAACTAGAAGAGTGGACTTGTAACAAGCACTCTGATAGAAAGTCATGGTTCTTTCCTGCAACTGTCTTTTAAAAATACTGTGATTTTCAGAAAAGAAAAAAAAAAGATATAATAGGTTATAAATTCATTAGAGAAGAGAGAAAATAAATAATCCCCAGAAGTAAATTGTCAGCCAGTTTCAAGGTAAAATGTAGACACATTATCCTTGATCTTTCTGAATAATTTTACAGCTTAGGGTATAGGAGCTTCTATCACTGCAGAACCAGGGTCACCTGTGGAAAGTCCCTGGTGAAGTCCGCTCCCTTCCAGCCTGTTCCTCAGGCCCAGCAGTAATGAGTTGTTCTTCCTCCAAGTCATTCCGTTCATTGGCAGCAAACCCTGATATTTTGGATAGTAGTTGCTTTTGATCTTAGATTTTAACAGAAAGTTTGATGAAAAGTCTTCAAGACTTACAAGCATGACCCTCACTTCAGTCAGTCAGTCTGCCCCAGAGGTCCTTGATTCAACATATAGAGATGGGCATTTTGAGCATGTCCTTAAGGCTGAGGTGCAGCCCTATGGCACAGACTCATTCTGAAAGAAGCCCAAGTCCCACCCTGAGCTCTCTGTCTCCCATGTGTGGGCTTATCAGGGAAGACAGAAGCCCAGAGACCCCTGCACTTGGGGATCGGCCATAGGAGCTGCTTCCTGGGTGGGGAGATGGGAGCTAGCAGCTCAGAATGGGGCCATAAGGTAAGTTCCAAACAGCTGTGTCACAGAGTATGTCAGCAGAACTTTGTGACATCAGTTGCAAAGAGAGGGAGCATGTGAAGGACAAAGCCCTGAGTGATGACATAGCCCATTCCGGGGAAGGGAAGAAATTAGCATCCTAAGGTTATAATATAGATAACCAATGTGCAACAACTACAATAACAAAAATTTAACTGCCAAAGAAAATTAGGAATATAGAGCATCTCAGAAAAAACTCGGTTTATGTTAGCTACTTCTACAAAACCATATATATAATAATTTTTTGTTTTGTTTTGTTTTTTGAGATGGAGTCTTGCTCTGTCGCTCAGGCTGGAGTGCAGTGGTGCGATCTCAGCTCACTGCAACCTCCGCCTCCCGGGTTCAAGCAATTCTCTGCCATAGCCTCCCGAGTAGCTGGGATTACAGGCACCCACCACCACACCTGGCTAATTTTTGTATTTTCAGTAGAGATGGGGTTTCACCATCTTGGCCAGGTTGGTCTTGAACTCCTGACTTCATGATCCACCTGCCTCAGCCTCCCAAACTGCTGGGATTACAGGCATGAGCCACCACACCCGACCAGAACCATATTTTTTAAAGTAAATATTAACATCAATTTTGGAAACATAACAATTGTAATGAAACTTGGAAAATCTTTTTTTTTTTTTTTTTTTGAGACGGAGTCTCGCTCTGTCGCCCAGGCCGGACTGCGGACTGCAGTGGCGCAATCTCGGCTCACTGCAAGCTCCGCTTCCCGGGTTCACGCCATTCTCCTGCCTCAGCCTCCCGAGTAGCTGGGACTACAGGCGCCCGCCACCGCGCCCGGCTAATTTTTTGTATTTTTAGTAGAGACGGGGTTTCACCTTGTTAGCCAGGATGGTCTCGATCTCCTGACCTCATGATCCACCCGCCTCGGCCTCCCAAAGTGCTGGGATTACAGGCGTGAGCCACCGCGCCCGGCCGGAAAATCTTTAACCAAGGTCAAATTCTAGTAAACATTAAAGTACTAACTTTCCAGGGAATCATTACCAATGTGAGAGATGTGGGAAAGTCTTTTGCCAATGTGGAAACTTTATTATCCATCAGAGTATACATATTCAACAGGGGCCTTACAAATGCAATTAATGTGGTGAAACTTTGAGCCAGTCCTCAAAACTTACTCAACAGCAGAGAAGTCATGTTGGAAAAAATCGCATACAGATGCAAAATATGTGGGAAAATATTCAGTCAGTCATCAAATATAAATAGACATAAGATAATTCTTATTGGAGAGGAACGATTGAAACATAAAACATATGCCAAAGCCTTTCACTGTTACTCAAACTTTACATAACACCAGAGAATCCATACATGAAGAGAAATTCTACAAATGTAATAAGTGTGACAAAGCATTTAACTGATGCTTGTGTCTTACTCAACATCAGAAAATTAATACTGGAGAGAAACCCTAAAAATGTAAAGAATGTGGCAAATTTTTAATGTGGGCTCAAACCTTACCACACACACACACAAGATTTATGCTAGAGAGACATGCTGCAAGTGTAAAAAATGAGGCAGAACCTTTAACTGGTGTTCACAACTTACCCAACATCAGAGAATTAATACTGGATAGAAACCTTATACATGTAAGGAATTTGGAAAGAACTTTGTCCATATACCTTAGAGAACACTACAGTATTTGCACTGGAGAAACACTTTACAAATGTTGGTAAAATGAATAGTTGGTAGTAAAACCATTAATGTTTTCTCACATCTTAGCAGAGAATTTGTATAGGAGAGAACCCCTACAAATGTAATAAACATGAAAAAATTTTGTCTAAAATGTACATCTAGGAAACATCAGAGAGTTCATACAGAAAAAAAATCTACAGATGCAATAAATGTGGAAAAGTATTCAGTCAAAAATCAAGTCTAAATTAAAATAAGAGGAATCACCCAGCCGGTTGCAGTGGCTCATGCCTGTATTCCCAGCACTTTGGGAGGCCAAGGCAGGCGGATCACCAGGTCAGGAGATTGAGACCATCCTGGCTAACACGGTGAAACCCCGTCTCTGCTAAAAAAAATAATATTAAAAAATTAGCCAGGTGTGGTGGCAGGTGCCTGTAGTCCCAGCTACTCGGAAGGCTGAGGCAGGAGAATGGCATGAACCCGGGAGGCGGAGCTTGCAGTGAGCCGAGATCGCACCACTGCACTGCAGCCTGGGCGACAGAGTGAGACTCCGTCTCAAAAAAAAAAAAAAAAAAAAAAGGAATCACCCTAGGAAGAACAACGGTATTAACACTTTCACAATTTCCTTGAGCCTTGTGTTTTGGAGTGGCCAGTATGTCAATAGCACAAGAATCATAAAACGGAATTGTAGAATCAGGATCTCCTCTACCCTTCCCTGGGGGCCTCTGACATATGACAGGTAACTGGGCTAAAGAATAGAAGCTAACTGGTGTGGTGGCTCACACCTGTAGTCCCAGCTACTTGGGAGGCTGAGGCAGGAGACTCACTTGAGGCCAGGAGTTTAAGACCATAAGACCTCATCTCTTAAAAAAGTTTTTTTAATTAGCCAGGTGTGGTGGTGCACACCTGTAGTCCCAACTACTTGGGAGGCAGAATCAAAAGAACAGTTTGAGGCCAGGAGTTTGAGACCAACCTGGGCAATATAGTAAGACTCCATCCCTAAAAATTTTTTTAATTAGCCAGGTGTGGTGGTACACACCTAGAGTCCCAGCTACTCAGGAGGCTGAGGCAGGAGAACCACTTGAGGTCAGTAGTTCGAGACCAGCCTGGGCAATAGTGAGACCCCACCTCTAAACATTTTTTTTAATTACCCAGGGGTGGTGGTGTTCACATCTGTAGTCCTAGCTACCTAGGAGGCTAAGAAGGGGAGGATCACTTGAGTCTAGGAGGTCAGGGCTGCACTGGGCTATGATTGCACCACTAAACTCCAGACAGAGTTACAGAAGGAAACCCTGTCTCTAAAAGAAATATTTTTTTGAAAAAAGATAAACATAGAATAGGAGTCAGTAAGGGAACCTGAGGACCAATGATAGATGATACCAGGGGCTTCAAGAGCTGTGATCATAGGAACAATCAGCATCTGTCACATTCCACGTACACACTGGGACACATCACATTTAAAAAAAAATTTTGCCGGACGCAGTTGCTCATACCTGCAATCCCAGCACTTTGGGAGGCTGAGGCACGTGGATCACCTGAGGTCAGGAGTTCAAAACCAGCCTGGCCGACATGGTGAAACCTTGTCTCTACTAAAAATACAAAAATTAGCTGGACATGGTGGCATGTGCCTGTAGTCCCAACTACATGGGAAGCTGAAACAGGAAAATTGCTTGAACTCAGGAGGTGAAGTTTGCAGTGAGCTTAGATTGTGCCACTGCACTCCAGCCTGGGCAACAGAGCGAGGCTCCATCTGAAAAAACAATTTTTTTTTAATCAAAATATTTTGTTTTGGTTTGGTTTGGTTTGGTTTTGAGACAGGGTCTCATTCTGTCACCCAGGCTGGAGTACAGTGGTGCAATCATAGTTCACTGCCATCTCCAACCCCTCAACACAAGTGATCCTCTTGCCCCAGCCTCCCAAGTAGTTGAGGCTACAGGGGCGTACCACCACATGTGGCTAAGTCACATGTTTTGAGCCTACCCACTGTGCTCCATTTCTTAGCATTCTTAACCTACAAAACAGCTTTCACACTTGTTATCTCAGCATGACCTCATGATAAATCTGACACCAACCCTATGAAACAGAGAAAAAGGTACCACTGTCCTTTTTCTGATGAACCAATAGAGGCCTAGAAGAAAAAAGTGACTTATGACCCTAACAGTTAAAACCGCTATTTAAGCTGCTGTTGATGTTGTAGGTCAGAAAGTCTCGGCTGATGGTGCATCTCTGCTCTCCATGTCACAAGCTGGGCAGGAGAGGACTGGAGGACCCGCTTCCAAGAGGGCTTCCTCACCCTCATGTATGGTGCCTTAGTACTCCTTGGCCTCCATCACTCTACAGGTGCCACATCTTCCAGGCCTCTCCACGTGGCTTGGACTTTTTACTACACAGAGACCTAATGGTGAACACACTTCTAAGGCAGATGGCTTCCAAGAGGCAGGAACTGGAAGCTGCCAGGCCAGCAAAAAGCTATGTCTGAACTGACCCAGAGTCATTTTTTCTGTGCCCTCTTTATTAAAGTAGTCACAAGGCCTGCTTGGGTCAAAGGGATGGACACTCTCCACTTCCTGATAAGGTAAAGTCAGGCTGAGAGATTATTCTGGTTACCTTTGTTCCATGTCCAGACTTTGATTTCCAAAATCCCATTTTCTAGTGCTTCCCGACAAATGACTTTGTTTTTTTTAATACTGGGGTCTTGCTCTGTCATCCAGACTGAATTGCGGTGGCTCACACCTATAATCCCAGCACTTTGGGAGGCTGAGGTGGGTGAATCACCTGGGGTCAGGAGTTTGAGACCAGCCTGGTCAACATGGCGAAACCTGTCATCATAGTTCACTACAGCCTCGATCTCCTGGGCTCAAGTGGTCCTCCAGCCTCTGCCCCCTGAGTAGTTGGGACTACAGGTGTGTGCCACCACACCTGGCTAGTTTTTTTGTGTTGTAGAGACGAGGTCTTGCTATGTTGCCCAGCTGGTCTCCAACTCTTGGCCTCAAGCAATCCTTCCACCTTGGCCTCCCAAACTGCTGGAATTGCAGGCATGAGCCACCACACCTGGCCAGATAACACTTCTTGTTTATGTACCAAATGTAAATGATGCACATATATTTACCTTAGCAGAACATAAGTGCTTCAGTCATCCCTTGTCTAAGATTTTCCCCAAGAAAACAATTCAAATTTAACCCAATTTTTGGCAATTATATATTCACAAGTAGATGGTAAATTTTTGTAAGCCAATAAAAGACACATCCAGAATCAGCTCTTCTGAAATTAGTAGCGATTTTAGAAATATGTTTGCAAATGAAATGATCAATTCTAACAAAATCGGAAAAGGGATGTTGAATCTACCTAAGAAAATTAACTGGCCGGGCGTGGTGGCTCACACCTATAATCCCAGCACTTTGGGAGGCCAAGGCAGGTGGATCACGAGGTTAGAGATTGAGACCATCCTGGCTAACATGGTGAAACCCCATCTCTACTAAAAATACAAAAAATTAGCCAGGCGTGGTGGCAGGTGCCTGTAATCCCAGCTGCTCAGGAGGCTGAGGCAGGAGAATGGTGTGAACTCAGGAGGCGGAGCTTGCAGTGAGCCGAGATTGCGCCACTGCACTCCAGCCTGGGAGACAGAGCGAGACTCTGTCTCAAAAAAAAAAAAAAAAATGAAAGAAAATTAACTCTGGATACTTGACAATCACATTATCAGCATCATTTGCATGTAAACATTCTACTCTTATCAAAGATTCTTATCTAGTCATTAAAGTAGGCCTTGTACTTGGCTAAATGCTTGTCATAATTTCACAATTTTCACTCACTAGGGCTGGCCACCTCCAAGATATTCCAATTAAGAGTTTATTACTTGGGCTGGGCACGGTGGCTCATGCCTGAAATCCTAGCACTTTGGGAGGCCGAGGTGGGTGGATCACAAGGTCAGGAGTTCGAGACCAGCCTGGCCAACATAGTGAAACCCCCTCTCTACTAAAAATACAAAAAATTAGCCAGATGTGGTGGCGGGTGCCTGTAATCCCAGCTACTTGGGATGCTGAGGCAGGAGAATTGCTTGAACCCAGCAGGCAGAGGTTGCAGTGAGCTGAGATCACGCCATTGCACTCCAGCCCGGGTGACAGTGCGAGATTCTGTCTCAAAAAAAAAGAGTTTATTACTCTGTCACACTTTCAGGACGCTGAGTAGACATATGGTTAAATTCTGTCTAAAGGACATATCCCAGGCTATAGCTGCTCTGCCTCTGTGTGATTATTATTTTTTTGCCTTGTGTTTCTAATGAAAATAATCTATTGATCCTGTTCAAAAGAGGAACACACAGCTCCAAATCATTACCTCCTGGCAGTAACTGATTTTTGAGTCCTATCTGCTTCACCACACTCCTTTAATGGCAGTTGAATAAATATCTAAAATGCAGACTTTTCAGTCCTTTCTGAAGGATAGTGTTTTCCAAGAGGGGGGCAAAAATCAATAAAACTAACAAATATTTGCTGCGCATCAAACTATGTGTTCAGTGCCAAGCTAGACACCCTCAGGGTCTTTGTCCTTAAGGAGGTTACACACAGCAGTGGAAACAAGATAAGGTCAAAAGGGTAATTCTGAACTGCCTGAAAGGGACCTCTAACCTGCCATTTGACCTTCCCTTGCTCCTGCTCAAATAACAGCTCAGGGGACCAGGGAGGGACATGTGACCAAAGCCAGCCAGTGTAAGCCATTGCTTGTGTGTGGCCCGGCTCAGGGAGACAAACTGGTACAATCCAATTCTCACAAGAATTTGAGCTAAAAGGCATAGAAGTTTTTGCCAACAGGGGTGGTGAGCACTAGAGCTGAAAGGTCGTATCGATTTAGGGAAGAGGGCAAACTATTTTCAACAACAAAAAGAGGGCTAATCTGCACAAAGAGATGAATTGCACAAACCCACAGCACACAATCAGAAAGAGAAAGAGAAGACAGGCTTCAGTTTGTCATGCCCAGACACATTCCCCAGAGACTGCTTGTATTTTGATTTCTTTCCTCGGATTCTGTGAGATCTCTTTACAAGGCAACAGCTCCTTTTTGGGCCTGAAATGATTTGACTATGTTCTGTGCCTTAGAACCCAAAAGCCCAAAAGAATCTCATGCACTTATGTACTAAATGCTGCATTGGCCGGGCGCGGTGGCTCACACCTGTAATCTCAGCACTTTGGGAGGCCAACATGGGTGAATCACCTGAGGCCAGGAGTTCGAGACCAGCTGGTCAACATGACAAAACCCTGTATCTACTAAAAATACAAACACTAGCCAGGCGTGGTGGCAGGCACCTGTAATCCCAGCTACTTGGGAGGTTGAGGCAGGAGAGTCGCTTGAACCAAGTAGGTGGAGGTTGCAGTGAGCCTAGATTGCGCCATTGCACTCCAGCCTGGACAACAAGAGTGAAACTCTATCTCAAAATAAATAAATAAATGTCACATGGGCAGTGTTGACAATTCTTGCAACCAGTGTTCACTTGACACAGTGCTGGCTTTGGGCTGCAGTTGAGGACTAGAATTTTAAAACTGAGCACAACTCGAAATGATGCAGATAATACTGGCTCTTTCTAAGCCCAGAGACCTTTTAGTTGTTGGCAAATAGCATATAACAAAAACTCCTAACAAAAACTGCTAAATTGTCTTAGAATAAAGAACTGGTTTGCCAGGGGGCAGGGGTGAGCAGGAGACTTAATTGGGGCTACATACCTTTTTGTGTCTTTTGGAATTTTGTTAACATATGCATATTCAAAAAATAAATAAGCAATTTATTTTTTCACAGACAGCACACTTGGGCATGAACAAAACATGTAGCAATGCTACGTTTTCATGAAAACAACATCTCGCCCTAGAAAAACATTTTGTTATTTGACCTGGTTACTGGGTCTACCACGGTCTGGTTCAAAGGAATTTACTCAATCCTGCTGCCAGCTGCCCACCTTCCAGAACATTCCATTCCAGCCACTCTGGTCTGATAAAAAAAGTTGCCTTTTTCCTGTATTTTAAAAATAATAGTACTCTCTTGCAGATCTACCAATATAATAAGTCCATTTAGAGTCAATAAGTAAATATTTCAAGAAACTAAAAATCCAAAACAAACTTATACATAAAAAAAATTGTCTTCCGGACGGGCACGGTGGCTCACGCCTGTAATCCCAGCACTTTGGGAGGCCAAGGCAAGTGGATCACGAGGTCAGGAGTTCGAGACCATCCTGGCTAACACAGTGAAACTCCATCTCTACTAAAAATGCAAAAAAATTAGCCAGTCGTGGTGGCACGTGCCTGTGGTCCCAGCTACTCAGGAGGCTTAGGCAGGAGAATCGCTTGAACCTGGGAGGTGGAGGTTGCAGTGAGCCGAGATCACACCACTGCACTCCAGCCCAGGCAACAAAGGAAAAAAAAACTGTCTTCTACTTTCTTCACTCTGAGGTTTTGCTTTTGAGGTTCTACTCAGGAATGCTCTTCTCACCCCAATCCCTCGCCCCCATGTGTCTCACTCCTCCACCCCCTGGTGCTACCACCTGCTCTTCAGGCTGTGAAGAATTTTCCTCTTGAAGCCCTCCCAGATCCGACCAACCCATTTTTCTACCTCATCTATAGTTTGTTCAGGCCATTTGTCAATTTCTCATGTCTCTTCCAATCAGGCACTGTACACTCTATAACCCTAAAATAAATATTAGTTTTTTCTTGGCTTAAACCATTGTATTGAGTGGCTACTGACATTGTATTGCTGTATAATCTGTCACAGGTAGACCCTGCTTCCCTAGAGATCAGGGACTATGGCCTACTTCAAATTCCCTAACTGAATATAGAAGATTCCCAGTAAATATGAATTAATTGAAAACTGTATGCTAAAACCTTTTATTAGCGCACACACATAAAAAATCAGAAGATCTGGGCTGGGCGTGATGGCTCAGGCCTGTAATCCCAGCACATTGGGAGGTCGATGTGGGTAAATCACCTGAGGCCAGGAGTTGGAGACCAGCCAACATGGTGAAACCCCTGTCTCTACTAAAAATACAAAAATTAGCTAGGTATGGTGGCAGGTGTCTGTAATCCCAGCTACTTGGGAGGCTGAGACAGGAGAATCACTTGAACCCAGAAGGTGGAGGTTGCAGTGAGCCGAGATCACGCCACTGCACTCCACCCTGGGTGACAGTGAGATCCCATCTCGGAAACATAAAAAATAAAAATAAAAAAATCAGAAGACCCACGTTCCCAATTCACCCAGCTGCATACGTTGTTCACCGTGTTTCCATAATCTTCTCAAAGAGCTACTATAGTCAATTTCCAATTACTTGTGTCACTGGGGAACACAAATAGTCTGAAAAATGAAACCCACAAATAATCCGTACATTTAATTTTAGTGGATGCTTCCAGCCAGTATGAAAATTTCCCACTGTGAATGTCACTGTTGTTCCTGCGCCTCCTCTCTGGCAGGGGCAAACATTGCCAAAAAAGTCATCTTAGCAGGAAGAAAGGAAAACCAGGGTTCGAAGGATCTGGGGACTGGCTAATCACAGCTAATCAGGCTGCAAGTAATGCAGCTTGACCGTGAGTCACAGGAGGCATTGCCCAGTGCGGTGGCAAAGGACAGAGTGGATTTGTAGGACCCCACCCTGAATTCCAACTCATAACAGCACTCTGACCCCTTAGGTCACCAGCTATGTGTAACCCTCGGCTAAATCAGCCAACTGTGCTGCCATTTCTTCATTCTGGGCTCTGCAGCAAAGATGCATATGGAAAATAGTACAAGAGGCTGGGTGCAGTGGCTCACACATGTAATTCCAGCACTTTGGGAGGCCAAGGCAGGCAAATCACCTGAGGTCAGGAGTTTGAGAACAGCCTGGACAATATGGTGAAACTCTGTCTCTACTAAAAATACAAACATTAGCCGGGCATGGTGGCACACACCTGTAATCCCAGCTACTCGGGAGACAGAGGCACAAGAATCGCTTGAACCCAGGAGGTGGAAGTTGCAGTGAGCCAAGATCATGCCACTGTACTCCAGCCTGGGCAACAGAGCAAGACTCCATGTGCTAATTATACATATATATGTATATATGTATGTGTGTACTGATAGAAGATGTGTACATGTTATACATACATACAAAGCAAACACTGTGCCTTGGAAATATTAGATATGCTCAAAATGAAATGGGACTGATTTAAGCAGCATTCCATGGGGAAACTATCTATCAGAGCCTTGAATGCAAATGGCACTTGGGTCTACTCATTTCTGATGACTTTTAAAAATAACTAAAAGGCAGGGCTTGTTTTGTTTTTGTTTCTGTTTTTAGAGTTGGGTTCTCACTCTGTCACCCAGGCTGGAGTGCAGTGACTCTACCATAGCTCAGTACAATCTTGAACTACTGGGCTCAAAGTGATCCTCCCACTTCAGCCTCCCCAGTAGCTGGGACTACAGGCATGTGCCACCACGTCCAGCTAATTTATTTTTATTTTTATTTTTTGTAGAGATGGGATCATACTATGTTGCCCAGACTGGTCAACAGTCTCAAGTGATCTTCCCTCTTCAGCCTCCCAAAGTACTGGGATTACAGGCATGAGCCACTGCACTCAGCCATTTGTTTTTTTAAATCCAGGCTGCCAAGTTAATATGCTTTATATTTTAAACATATTACATATGTTTATAAGTTTAAACATATAACAACTAATTTATTTCCTCTAGTCACCTCTGAGTTGGGACTGTGTTAAATGTTGCCAACAACTTGCCTGAGGGCTGGCTCTATCCATAGAAGTGTTTGAGTGTTTGGCTCACCCAACGTGGTAGTCTCCAGTTCACCAGCACCTGCTCCCTGCCTACCTTTTTTTTTTTTTTCTTGAGACAGAGTTTCACTCTGTCACCCAGGCTGGAGTACAATGGTGTGAACTCAACTCACCGCAACCTCCACCTCCTGGGTTCAAGTGATTCTCCTGCCTCAGCCTCCCAAGTAACTGGGACTACAGGCATGCACCACCATGCCCGGCTAATTTTTTTGGATTTTTAGTAGAGACAGAATTTCACCATCTTGGCCAGGCTGGTCTCGAACCCCTGGCCTCAAGTCATCCGCCCACCTCAGCCTTCCAAAGTGCTGGGATTACAGGCAGGAGCCACCACACCCAGCCCTCCCCACCTACTTCTCCCAGGGCATGGAGGGCACATGTCAATTGTTCTCATCACTTGACACCTGACCTCCCTACCAATTTTCATTCTCTACCTGGCTTCTCTAGGCATTAACATCTCCATTCTGCAGCCTACTGTACTTTCTAAATTGTAGCAAAAATATCTCCCATCCCACAGTTCTTCTTACAATGGTACTTCGATACTCTTTCCATCAAGATATAGAGGTCTAACTTCCTTTCTCTTGCATTTGGACATGTCTATGGACTACAGTACAAGTGACACTATGTGACCTCCAAGGCTAGGGCAGTTTCCACCCAGTGAGGTGCTGGAGATTATACCAGCTCTTGAAAGCTAATTGTATACATCTCTTCCCAATTCTATGTTCAGTAGTTTGAAATTAGCCATGTTGGGATTATTTACTCCCTGGAAATTAGCAAACACTGCAAATTAGGGCTTTTTCTACCCCAGGAAGCCAATTGTTCAACATTGGCTAGCACTCTGCTTCACCTGCTTCTTTTGTGAGCTCACTCTCAGAACTAAGCCACCATGTTGTAAGGAAGCCTGAGCAGCTTGTGGAGAGGCCGAGAGGGAGGAAAACCAAGACCCCTGGCCCTCATCCCCCCCTGAGCTCCCAGCTCACTTCCAGAACCAACTTGCCAACCATATGAGAGAGCTGTCCTAAAGTAGATTCTCCAGCTCCCAGCTAATGCCACAAAGAGCAAAGACCAGCCTTCCCAAGGAACCCTGTCCAGTTGCAGATTCATGCAGAAAATTGCAAATTCATGAGAATCTGTTGAGGTTAGGGATGACTTGTTCAGCAGCAATAGTGACCAGAACATAGTTCCTGGTAGCTTGGAGTAGTTCAGCTCTGCCTTGCATAGGCCCTTTCACCTTTAATCCACCAGCTTTGCTCTTGTTTTCTGGTTCCACAATATTTCACATCCAACGCAAATTCAAGTGCACTTGGCCATTTCTTTGGATCAAGGCTGACATCCTCCCCTCCAATAATTCCAGGATCTCTATCCCTAGCTGCTCACAGTTCAGCACCCAGTGATTTGAGCTGGAGTTTGTCTGCTTCTGTTTTCCTGAATCTCTTGCTCCAGGTATTCCTGACTTGAAAGTGCACACTTCTGACAAAGCAGAAACCTAGAGAGTTCCACTCCTCTGTACCCACTGCTGTCGTTTGGAATGCTTTCTCTCTGGCTATTGCAAGGTACCTGACATTTTGGACAGAAAGAGGAAACATCCTTATTTAGCATTACCTGAAAAGTTTCCCTCTCTGTCATAAATTACTGAAGCTACCTTACTTCCCATAACTCACTTTCAGACATGACATCTGCCACAGTTTAAGTTTGTCCCCACCAAAACTCTTGTTGAAATTTGATCCCCAATGTGGCAGTGTTGGGGGGTGGGGCCTAGTGGGAGGTGTTTGTTTCCTGGGGGTGGGCTCCTCATGAATGTCTTTGTACGTTCTCCTGGTAGTGACTTCTCACTCTGGCAAGACCGGGTTAGTTCCCTCAAGTGCAGGTGGGTATAAAGCCAGGATGCCCCTTGCATTTTATCCCCTTGCACATGTCTGCTTTCCCTTTGACCTTCTCTGCCATGTTGTGATTCAGCACAGAATCCCATGCCAGAAGCCAGGGCCATGCCTTGAACTTACCAGCCTGCAGAACTAGGAGCTAAATAAACCTCTTTTCTTTATAAATTACCCAGTCTCAAGTATTCTGTTATGGCAACACAAAATGGACTAAGACACCACCTTATGTGGCAGAACATGATTTTCTACTCACTTGTTTCATTTGTACCCATGTGTGAGTAGCATGAATAAGATTCTGTCCTTGTCTTCAAGGATTACCATCTACTGTGTATATATGCACTGAGGGAACTGGGGAAGACTTCTCTCTCTCCATCTGGGTTTTAATTTTTGAATAAAAGTGCAGTTGACAGGGAAGAAGGAAATAAGGAAGGAAGGGAGGGAGGGAGGGAGGGGAAGGAGTGAGGGAAGGAGGGGAAGGAGTGAGGGAAGGAGGGGAAGGAGTGAGGGAAGGAGGGAGGGAGGGAAGGAGGGAGGGAGGGAAGGAGGGACGGAGGGAAGGAGGGAAGGAGGAAGAAAGAAGGGAGAGGGAAGGAGTGAGGGAAGGAGGGAGGGAGGGAAGGACAGAGGGAGGGAAGGAGGGAAGGAGGAAGAAAGAAGGGAGAGAGAAGGAAGGAAGAAAGGAAGGAAGGAAGAAGAAAGGGAAAGAAGGGAGAGAGAAGAGGAAGGAAGAAAGGAAGGAAGGAAGAAGAAAGGGAAAGAAGGGAGAGAGAGAAGGAAGGAAGTAAGGAAGGAAGGAAGAAGAAAGGGAAAGAAGGGAGAGAGAGAAGGAAGGAAGGAAAGTAGAGAAGGAAGGAAGGAAAGTAGAGAAGGAAGGAAGGAAGGAGGAAGGGGGAGGGAGGGAGGGAAGGAAATATTCATTGCTTCTAGGCAGAAGGAAAAATATGGATAGGTTTGGAAAAGAGCAAGAATTTGGATATATTTAGAGCAAAAGGTACACAGAGAGTTCAGAAGATGGCTTGGTGTCAGATTAAGTTTGACCTTTATTCTACGGGCAATGTAGTTACTGAAAATAAGACAAAATGACATGATCTGATCTGCATTTTTCTAAAAATAACTCTCTCAGAGGCAGATTGGAAAATGGCTCAAAAGGGAACTTAATTGCAGGAAAGGAGGACAATCTGAAGGCCATTGTTTGGCTAGAGGCATTGAGGACTAGAAATTAGGTGGTGACCATTGGAATGGAGGAGAGATGGGACTTGTGGGTTAAACATCAGAAGATTGGGGAGTGCTTGCATCTGGAGGCTGCAGGGAGGCTTGAAGGGATTGGACTGTATGGAGGAGGAAGAGGAGGAGCAGGAAGAGTTATGTAATGGTAGCAGAAGTAGCTTCAGCAGCAAACACATATATGACACTATATACCAAGCATTATTTTAAGGGCTTTACTATATCATTATTTAATTCTCACAGCAATCCTGTGAAGTATATTTTATTATTATTATTATCTCAATTTCACAGATGAAGAAACTGAGACACAGGGAGATGAAGTCACATACACGAAGTCACAGAGCTGGGATATTTAAATCGGGTTCTTAATGATTTCCCAGAACTGCCTCTCCAGGGAATTAACATGAGGCAAAGAATGCATAGGGTGGCAATCAGACTATGAAGCAGTGGACTTAGCTCCTAGAGTGGGTGCCATGAAGATGAGAAGGAAAGGCCTTTTGACAGAAGAAACAGAGCTGGGTAAGAGTAAGATCTGAGGGACTACCAACCTCTACTTCCTTTCCCACCTCAGCCTTCCTAGCTTTTCATGACCAATGGCCTCCAAAACTCCCAGATAAAGGTTGACACTCTTGTTGAGTGTCATGACACCTATCAGCAACCATAGTTCTGCTGCTCTGGGATCCTGGCATGATCGCAAACTTTGGACCCAGTGTCTCAGCCCCACGTCCTCCATTGATGCCAAGTATACCTGGAGTCAATAGTATGGGGAAGCCCCCAAGAACAGCTTCCTTTCCTTCTTCTCCCACTGACCCTGCTGTGGAGCCAGTTGACAGCCCTGTCCTTGGCTCCATCACACGCTCTGCCAAGCTGCGCACTGTGTCTCTGGGCTGGGCACCGTGGTTCATGACTATAATCCAAGCACTTTGGGAGGCCAAGGTGGGAGGCTTGCTTGAGTCCAAGATGAGCTTGGGCAACACAGCAAGATCCCATCTCTACAACAAATAAAAAATAATTAGCCAAGGGGTGGTTCCAAGATGGCTGAATAGGAACAGCTCCAGTCTACAGCTCCCCACATGAGTGACACAGAAGACGGGTGATTTCTGCATTTCCAACTGAGGTACCAGGTTCATCTCACTGGGGCTCGTCGGACAGTGGGGACAGGACAGTGGATGCAGCCCACCAAGTGTGAGCCAAAGCAGGGCGAGACATCACCTCACCTGGGAAGTGCAAGGGGTCAGGGAATTCCCTTTCCTAGCCAAGGGAAGGGGTGACAGATGGCACCTGGAAAATCGGGTCACTACCACCCTAATACTGCACTTTTCCAACAGTCTTAGCAAACGGCACACCAGGAAATTATATCCCTCGCCTTCCTCAGAGGGTCCCACCCCCACGGAGCCTCACTCATTGCTAGCACAGCAGGCTGAGATCAAACTACAAGGTGACAGCGAGGCTAGGGGAGGGGAGCCCACTGCTGCTAAGGCTTGAGTAGGTACACAAAGCAGCCGGGAAGCTCGAACTGGGTGGAGCCCAACACAGCTCAAGGAGGCCTGCCTGCCTCTGTAGACTCCACCTCTGGGGGCAGGGCATAGCTGAACAAAATGCAGCAGAAACCTCTGCAGACTTAAATGTCCCTGTCTGACAGCTTTGAAGAGAGTAGTGGTTCTCCCAGCACGGAGTTTGAGATCTGAGAATGGACAGACTGCCTCCTCAAGTGGGTCCCTGACCCCTAAGTAGCCTAACTGGGAGGCACCCCCCAGTAGGGGCAGACTGACACCTCACACGGCCGGGTACCCCTCTGAGATAAAGCTTCCAGAGGAACGATCAGGCAGCAACATTTGCTGTTCAGCAATATTCGCTGTTCTGCAGCCTCCACTGCTGATACCCAGGCAAATAGGGTCTGGAGTGGACCTCCAGCAAACTCCAACAGACCTGCAGCTGAGGGTCCTGACTGTTAGAAGGAAAACTAACAAGCAGAAAGGACACACACACCAAAACCCCATCTGTACGTCACCATCATCAGAGACCAAAGGTAGATTAAACCACAAAGATAGGGAGAAAACAGAGCAGAAAAGCTGAAAAATTTAAAAATCAGAGCACCTCTCCCCCTCCAAAGGAACACAGCTCCTCGCCAGCAATGGAACAAAGGTGGATGGAGAATCACTTTGATGGGTTGAGAGAAGAAGGCTTCAGACGATCAAACTTCTCCGAGCTAAAGGAGGAAGTTCGAACCCAACACAAAGAAGCTAAAAACCTTGAAAAAAGATTAGACAAATGGCTAACTAGAATAACCAATGTAGAGAAGTCCTTAAATGATCTGATGGAGCTGAAAACCATGGCACAAGAACTACGTGATGAATGCACAAGCTTCAGTAGCTGATTTGAACAACTGGAAGAAAGGGTAGCAGTGATTGAAGATCAAATGAATGAAATGAAGCGAGAAGAGAAGTTTAGAGAAAAAAGAGTAAAAAGAAATGAACAAAGCCTCCAAGAAATATGGGACTATGTGAAAAGACCAAATCTACGTCTGATTGCTGTACCTGAAAGTGACGGGGAGAATGGAACCAAGTTGGAAAACACTCTGCAGGATATTATCCAGGAGAACTTCCCCAATCTAGCAAGGCAGGCCAACATTCAAATTCAGAAAATACAGAGAATGTCACAAAGATACTCCTCGAGAAGAGCAACTCCCAGACACATAATTGTCAGATTCACCAAAGTTGAAATGAAGGAAAAAATGTTAAGGGCAGCTAGAGGGAAAGGTCGGGTTACCCACAAAGGGAAGCCCATCAGACTAACAGCTGATCTCTCAGCAGAAACTCTACAAGCCAGAAGAGAGTGGGGGCCAATATTCAACATTCTTACAGAAAAGAATTTTCAACCCAGAATTTCATATCCAGCCAAACTAAGCTTCATAAGTGAAGGAGAAATAAAATCCTTTATAGACAGGCAAATGCTGAGAGATTTTGTCACCACCAGGCCTGCCCTAAAAGAGCTCCTGAAGGAAGCACTAAACATGGAAAGGAACAACCAGTACCAGCCACTGCAAAAACATGCCAAATTGTAAAGACCATCGAGGCTGGGAAGAAACTGCATCAACTAACGAGCAAAATAACCAGCTAACATCATAATGACAGGATCAAATTCACACATAACACTATTAACCTGAAATGTAAATGGACTAAATTCTCCAATTAAAAGACACAGACTGGCAAATTGGATAAAGAGTCAAGACCCATCAGTGTGCTGTATTCAGGAGACCCATCTCATGTGCAGAGACATACATAGGCTCAAAATAAAGGAATGGAGGAAGATCTACCAAGCAAATGGAAAACAAAAAAAGGCAAGGGTTGCAATCCTAGTCTCTGATAAAACAGATTTTAAACCAACAAAGATCAAAAGAGACAAAGAAGGCCATTACATAATGGTAAAGGGATCAATTCAACAAGAAGGGCTAACTATTCTAAATATATATGCACCCAATACAGGAGCACCCAGATTCATGAAGCAAATCCTTAGAGATCTACAAAAAGATTTAGACTCCCACACAGTAATAATGGGAGACTTTACACCCAACTATCAACATTACACAGATCATGAGACAGAAAGTTAACAAGGATATCCAGGAATTGAACTCAGCTCTGCACCAAGCGGACCTAATAGACATCTACAGAACTCTCCACCCCAAATCAACAGAATATACATTCTTCTCAGCACCACACCACACTTATTCCAAAATTGACCACATAGTTGGAAGTAAAGCACTCCTCAGCAAATGTAAAAGAACAGAAATTATAACAAACTGTCTCTCAGACCACAGTGCAATCAAACTAGAACCCAGATTAAGAAACTCACTCAAAACCGCTCAACTACATGGAAACTGAACAACCTGCTCCTGAATGACTACTGGATACATAACGAAATGAAGGCAGAAATAAAGATGTTCTTTGAAACCAATAAGAACGAAGACACAACACACCAGAATCTCTGGGACACATTTAAAGTAGTGTGTAGAGGAAAATTTATAGCACTAAATGCCCACAAGAGAAAGCAGGAAAGATCTAAAACTGACACCCTAACATCACAATTAAAAGAACTAGAGAAGCAAGAGCAAACACATTCAAAAGCTAGCAGAAGGCAAGAAATAACTAAGATCAGAGCACAACTGAAGGAGACAGAGACACAAAAAACTCTTCAAAAAATAAATGAATCCAGTAGCTGGTTTTTTGGAAAGATCAACAAAACTGATAGACCACTAGCAATACTAATAAAGAAGAAAAGAGAGAAGAATCAAATAAAGGGGATATCACCACTGATCCCACAGAAATACAAACTACCATCAGAGACTACTATAAACACCTCTATGCAAATAAACTAGAAAATCTACAAGAAATGAATAAATTCCTGGAACACACACCCTCCCAAGACTAAACCAGGAAGAAGTTAAGTCTCTGAATAGGCCAATAACAGGCTCTGAAATTGAGGCAATAATTAATAGCTTACCAACCAAAAAAGTCCAGGACCAGATGGATTCACAGCTGAATTCTACCAGAGGTACAAGGAGGAGCTGGTACCATTCCTTCTGAAACTATTCCAATCAATAGAAAAACTATTCCAATCAATAGAAAAACTCCCTAACTCATTTTATGAGGCCAGGATCATCCTGATACCAAAGCCTGGCAGAGACACAACCAAAAAAGAGAATTTTAGACCAATATCCCTGATGAACATCGATGCAAAAATCCTCATTAAAATACTGGCAAACCGAATCCAGCAGCACATCAAAAAGCTTATCCACCACAGTCAAGTGGGCTTCATCCCTGGGATGCAAGGCTGGTTCAACATATGCAAATCAATAAATGTAATCCAGCATATAAACAGAACCAATGACAAAAACCATATAATTGTCTCAATAGATGCAGAAAAATCCTTTGACAAAATTCAACAACCTTCATGCTAAAAAACTCTCAATAAATTAGGTATTGATGGGACATATCTCAAAATAATGAGAGCTATCTATGACAAACCCACAGCCAATATCATACTGAATGGGCAAAAACTGGAAGCATTCCCTTTGAAAACTGGCACAAGACAGGGATGCCCTCTCTCACCACTCCTATTCAACATAGTGTTGGAAATTCTGGCCAGGGCAATCAGGCAGGAGAAGGAAATAAAGGATATTCAATTAGGAAAAGATGAAGTCAAATTGTCCCTGTTTGCAGATGACATGATTGTATATCTAGAAAACCCCATCATCTCAGCCCAAAATCTCCTTAAGCTGATAGGCAACTTCAGCAAAGTCTCAGGATACAAAATCAATGTGCAAAAATCACAAGCATTCTTATACACCAATAACAGACAAACAGAGAGCCAAATAATGAGTGAACTCCCATTCACAATTGCTTCAAAGAGAATAAAATACCTAGGAATCCAACTTACAAGGGACATGAAGGACCTCTTCAAGGAGAACTACAAACCACTGCTCAATGAAATAAAAGAGGATACAAACAAATGGAAGAACATTCCATGCTCATGGGTAGGAAGAATCAATATCGTGAAAATGGCCATACTGCCCAAGGTAATTTATAGATTCAATGCCATCCCCATAAGCTACGAATGACTTTCTTCACAGAATTGGAAAAAACTACTTTAAAGTTCATATAGAACCAAAACAGGGCCCACGTTGCCAAGACAATCCTAAGCCAAAAGAACAAATCTGGAGGCATCACGCTACCCGACTTCAAACTATACTACAAGGCTACAGTAACCAAAACAACATGGTACTGGTACCAAAACAGAGATATAGACCAATGGAACAGAACAGAGCCCTCAGAAATAATACCACACATCTACAACCATCTGATCTTTGACAAACCTGACAAAAACAAGAAATGGGGAAAGGATTCCCTATTTAATAAATGGGGCTGGGGAAACTGGCTAGCCATATGTAGAAAGCTGAAACTGAATCCCTTCCTTACACCTTATACAAAAATTAATTCAAGATGGATTAAAGACTTAAATGTTAGGCCTAAAACCATAAAAACCCTAGAATAAAACCTAGGCAATACCATTCAGGACATAGGCATGGGCAAGGACTTCATGACTAAAACACCAAAAGCAATGGCAACAAAAGCCAAAATAGACAAATGGGATCTAATTAAACTAAAGAGCTTCTGCACAGCAGAAGAAACTACCATCAGAGTGAACAGGCAACCTACAGAAGGGGAGAAAATTTTTGCAATCTACTCATCTGACAAATGGCTAATATCCAGAATCTACAATGAACTCAAACAAATTTACAAGAAAAAAAACAAACAACCCCATCAAAAAGTGGGTGAAGGATGTGAACAGACACTTCTCAAAAGAAGACATTTATGCAGCCAACAGATACATGAAAAAATGCTCATCACCACTGACCATCAGAGAAATGCAAATCAAAACCACAATGAGATACCATCTCACACCAGTTAGAATGGCGATCATTAAAAAGTCAGGAAACAACAGGTGCTGGAGAAGATGTGGAGAAATAGGAACACTTTTACACTGTTGGTGGGACTGTAAACTAGTTCAACCATTGTGGAAGACAGTGTGGCGATTCCTCGAGGATCTAGAACTAGAAATACTATGTGACCCAGCCATCCCATTACTGGGTATATACCCAAAAGATTATGTATCATGCTGCTATAAAGACACATGCACACGTATGTTTATTGCGGCATTATTCACAGTAGCAAAGACTTGGAACCAACCCAAATGTCCAACAATGATAGACTGGATTAAGAAAATGTGGCACATATACACCATGGAATACTATGCAGCCATAAAAAAGATGAGTTCATGTCCTTTGTAGGGACATGGATGAAACTGGAAACCATCATTCTCAGCAAACTATCGCAAGGACAAAAAACCAAACACTGCATGTTCTCACTCATAGGTGGGAATTGAACAATGAGAACACATGGACACAGGAAGGGGAACATCACACACTGGGGCCTGTTGTGGGGTGGGGGGAGTGGGGAGGGATAGCATTAGGAGATATTCCTAATGTTAAATGATGAGTTAATGGATGCATCACACCAACATGGCACATGTATACATATGTAACTAACCTGCACGTTGTGCACATGTACCCTAAAACTTAAAGTATAATAATAAAAAAAAATAGAAAATCTGTTTACTTGTTTGATTGTTATTTATGGCCTTATAATAAAACTTATCAAGCACATTACAATAATAAAAATGTTATCAAATATACCATCTGCTACTCGGTTGTCATATGAATTTTCTATTGTATTTGATAAAATAGTGAATAAATTATCATTTGTTTTCCATTAGAAAATTGTGATACTTAATAAGTGCAAGAGGTTGATTTGGGAGGTGATCCCAGGAAGTACAAAGAGGACAGGGAGAGAAGTGAGACAGAAAAGAGTGAAAAGTCAATGAAGGCTATATCTTCAATCGAATTGATTTTTATTTATATTTTTTTGAGTGTTGAGTCAAAACTCCAAAATTGCCACATGCCTGTGGTATATTCCTTGTATAATTTGTTAACTCAGGGATGAGCTATTACTTCATTCCTGCAGAAGTTGTTCAATTTAGTGTGCATCTGGATCACTTGGAGGGTTTGAAATATCACAGATTACTGGGCCTCTCCTTAATGTCTTGCTCTACAGTTCTTGTCCGTGGCTCAAGAATATTCTTTTATTTTTTTTTTTTTTACAAGTTCTCATGTGTTTCCAATGCTGCTTATTCAGGTAAATGACTTGGAGAACCAATATCTGGGTGCATATTGTGTGTCTTCTCCAGCAAGGATATTGGCCCACAGAAGATGCAGTCAGAGACACAGGTGTCTGAATGGTTTTAAGTAGGCTTTGGTGTTGGTTATCCAAATGTGAAAGTGGGGTCGTGTGTGTTGGAGTTCTCCTGTGGTTTCACCTTAGAAGCCTGAGGACTGTTCCTGCTCCATAGCAATCAGTTCACTATACACTCAGAGCATAAGTGTGCAACCTGGGTTGGAATCTAAACTTTAATGTCTCAGACAATGGATGTCTGCTCTGTGTGAAAATAACTGAATGGGCCGGGTGTGGTGGCTCATGCCTGTAATCCCAGCATTTTGGGAGGCTGAGGCAGGCGGATCACCTGAGTTAAGAAGTTCAAGACCAGCCTGGCCAACATAGTGAAACCTCATTTCTACTAAAAATACAAAAAATTAGCCAGGCGTGGTGGCACGCACCTGTAATCCCAGCTACTGGAGAGGCTGAGGCAGGAGAATCGCTTGAACCTGGGACGTGGAGGCTGCAGTGAGCCAAGATCACACCACTGCATTCCAGCCTGGGCAACAGAGTGAGGCCCTGTCTCAAAAAAAAAAAAAAGGAAAAGAAAAGAAAATAGCTGCATGAACCATTGAGAGTCTAAGAGAAGAGACAATTCAAGGACAGGGCCTTTCAGAAGAGATAATTGACTAGAATTCCTCCTGTTGCTGTGGGGACTTCATGGGGGAGATGTGGAAAAGATGATGGTGGTTGCACTGGAGGTTAGAGGTATGAGGTCAAATCCAGGCCTATGAGAGAGGCTTCATTTTTCTGGACACTGCTTTTCACATCCAGGTGAGCCTCCTTATGGTAATTTCCTTGATTAGCAAAATCTCACCCAGGGGGCTAGATTTGTTTTGCCATTTCAGGGAAAGCTGTGGGTTGTAGCATTGGCTCCTTGGGACCACTTTTTGTTCTCCCCTATTTTACCAACTTTGACATTTTCTTTCAATGGATGCCTTCAGAAATATTTAATCTTTATGCAGAGTGCAGCAGCTTATGCCTGTAATCTCAGCCCTTTGGGAGGCTGAGGTTGGCAGATCACTTGAGGCCAGGAGTTCAAGACCAGCGTGGCCAACATGGCAAAACCCATCTCTATGGAAAAGAAAATGCAAAAATTAGCCTGATGTGGTGGTGCACACCAGTAGTTGCAGCTATTTGGGAAGCTTAGGCACAAGAATCACTTGAACTTGGGAGGCTGAGGTTTCAGTGAGCTGAGATCATGCCACCGCACTTCAGCCTGGGTGACAGAGCAAGAACCTGCCTCAAAAAATTAATTTTTACTGCCTATGTATTGGGTAAAATTATTTAAATAGATTTCTCATCTCACATCCAATCACCTTTCTCAAATTATGAATAGGTTTGAGAACTTTTATTTTTAGGCAATATTTGTTTGTGTTTAAAATAATTTGCCCACTTTTGTTAGTTTTGTTTTGTTGGAGTTTTTATTAAAATAAATTATCTGCTTACAGAATACACTGTAATTCATTATATAGTCTCTAATTAATTTTCACTTTGTTGCTGTTTAAACTTTTAGAAAAAATAACATTGAAATGTATTAATCTTATCCTAAATTACTTTGATGTTTTATTTTATACTTACAGAAGCCTTCCCAAGTAGCACATAAAATTCTCATGCTTAAGTTTATTTTTCTCATGTTATTTGTGTTTGAATCAATCATCTATCAGTTAGTAATATTTTTTAAAATATTATTTAAGAACTGTGTGTATTCTTACACAATGATAATTAATTACTTTCTATTTTTTGGTTTATAGTATTTGCCTATTATTATACTAAAGCTGACAACTTCCCTTTTTAAAATAGTGGTGAAACACACATACTATAAAATTTACCATTGTATCTATTTTAAGTGTACATTTTAGAAGTAATAAATGTATTCACATTACTGTACAATCATCATAACCATCCACCTCCAGAACATTTTTTATCTTGGAAAAGTGTAACTCTGTACCCATTAAACAACAATCTCCATTTTCCCTTCCCCCTGTCCTTGGCAACCACTATTGTACTTTCTGTCTTCATGCATTTACCTATGCCAGGTACCTCATAAAAGCTGAACCACTTAGAATTTGTTGTTTTGTGACTGGTTTATTTTACTTGACATAATGTCCTTAAGGTTAATGCATGTTGTAGCATGTGTTAAATTTTTTGGTGTTTTTTTTTTGTTTTTTTGTTTTTTTGTTTTTTTTGAGACAGACTCTCCCTCTGTCGCCTAGGCTAGAGTGCAGTGGTACAATTTCGGCTCACTTCTTTCTCTGTTTCCCGGGTTCAAGCGGTTCTCCTGCCTCAGATTCCCGAGTAACTGGGACTACAGGCACCCGCCACCACACCTGGCTAATTTTTGTATTTTCAGTAGAGATGGGGTTTCACTAAATTGGCCAGGCTGGTCTTGAACTCCTGACCTCGTGATCTGCCTGCCTCGGCCTCCCAAAGTGCTGGGATTACAGGTATGAGCCACCATGCCCAGCCTATTTTTTTTTAAGATAAACTATATCCCATTCTATGTGTGAGAATGGAAGGTCCTGACCTAAGCAATTTTGGAAAACAGTACTTTAACTGGATACTGTAAAACTCAAGAACTATACAAAAACACTGTATTCTAGTTGAACAATTTGCTTCCCAAAAGGGTATGGACTAGCAATTCTGAGTCTACTTTACACGTTTGTGTATGTCTACAGACACACACACACACACACATACACACACACACACTTGTTCCAATATGCAAGGATAAAGTTGTCTGTCTCCAAAACTGGTACAAAGCCTGGGAAATATGAACCAGATTTGTGTGTGTATCTGAGTAACCAGTGCCATTCACCTCACTGATCCAAACATCCTACAAGTTGCAGATATTGATGGGAGTACTTTCTGGAGTCACCCTTTCAATAGTTTATGTCACCCCAAACAGCTAGAGGAGTTTATTGTGATGGAACGCAGCATAGTCCGAGATATAAAATGTGGTGCAGATGCTGGAATGATGTAAAAAAGCATACCCTCAGGGAAGTCTGGGTACAGAAGACATCTGAAATGAATACAGATAAACAGTATTTTTGTCGTACTCATTTGGGACATCTTCTAAATCCTGGAGAGCTGGTGTTAGGGTTTGATTTGGCCAGCTGTAATTTAAATGATGAGCATGTCAATAAAATGAACTCAGATAGAGTTCCAGATGTGGTATGAATCAAGAAGGACTAAGACTGGACCAAACATCAGTGATGTAGAAACTGGAAATTGAAGGAGCTTGCGAGAGAGAGAACATGGATACAGATGATGAAAGGTAATACCAAGATTTTCTTGAAGATCTTGAAAAAGATGAGGCAATTAGAAAAAATGTCAACATTTACAGAGAGTCAACCATCCCTGTGGAAAGCGATGATGATGAAGAGCACCTCGAATTAGTCTGGCTGAGATGCCTGAAGACCTTCATATTTCCCATGATGCCACTGGTGAAGAAGGTGCATCAATGACGATATAATGAAACGTTGTAGACTGTTTCCACATACGTGGGCTTAAGAAGTTGGACAAGATGACCTTAAGTGTCTCTTCCATCTCTGCCTCCAGATTTCAAGAGGAGAAATTAAGTTTTAAACCTGAATAAACACGATTGTTTTGATTGCTCACTCAAAGCACTGAAAAACATGGAGGGCTTTGAAGTTTTAGATAATAAACGATTGTGGAGAATGTAATTATTATTGTTATTTAGGCTATTTTACATGTGAAATTTTATCACTGTGCTTTTTTATATGAGGCACTATAGTATTTTCACATGGTATAGTACCCTGGATGTAAAAGCTAAAAAATTGTGATTCCTTGGACATTCACTAAATCTTCAAGCAAAAACATTTTTACATTCTTTTTACATTGATTACTTTAGTGAAAGACAATATGAAAAATCATTTTTAATATTGTTAATATTGTTACATACTTTGGTCCACTTTACATCATTTTTATGTTCTTGAGGTAGGGAAATTAGGGTTCAGTTTATCACTGGATATTCGGGAGGCAAGTCAATCTTTTTTATTTCCTTATAAAATTAACATCTTCAAAAGCTGTTAAACAGAGGGTTGTCTTTTAATTTTTATTGCAGTAGAAGGAAATATATTTAAAATATTTATAGATTTGTAGCAAATAGAGACTCATTATTTAAAGATTAAATAACAATTTTTTCTTTTGTTATTTTTGCCAATTTAAGGCAGTAGCTGCATATGTCATATAAATGTCTTCCTACTACGTCAAAAATGTTGCTTTTAAAATGTTTGTTTATAAATTGAGAAGGAAGGAATTTTCTCTCTGTAAGTTTCTATCATTGAACACGCCACCATCAAAAAGAACATTAGAATCCAGCATGAAGATAATGACTAGTAAAAATGAGGTACATACATTATAAAACCATTAATCAGATTTGAATGAGGAATGCTTTCCACATCCTTGAAAGAAAAACTGTGGCTTAGGTTTTAAAGTGTTCTGAGAATGAAGTATTAAGATCTTATTTCTATAGGCAAGATCAGACTTACTAAGTATGCCACAACTAACAGCTGATTCATTCATTCTATGTGTGCCACTAAATAAAGAGATTGAGCAAGTAAAAAAAAAAAAAGTCTCCCCAAGAGTCTCTCCAGAAAAAAAGGACCGCCAAGACCATCTTGCTGTTGGTGAGTTTCTTTGTGGTCACGTACTGGATGGATTTGAGTCTCTCATCCTACTCGATCCCGATATCAACCTATGACCCAGTCATCCTGGGTGTCCAGAGGCGTGTGACCAGTGCCTATGCCACTGTGAACCCTTTGGTGCTAATAAGGTCTGAAAAAAGGATAATTGATATTCTGCAAATGATGAGACAGAAGTATCACATATTTTTTCTTTGAAAATAATTATCTGAAAAAGATATTCTAACACCAGTTAAATTATTGAAGTATCGGCCGGGCGCGGTGGCTCACGCTTGTAATCCCAGCAATTTAGGAGGCCGAGGCGGGAGGATCATGAGGTCAGGAGATCGAGACCACGGTGAAACCCCGTCTCTACTAAAAATACAAAAAAATTATCCGGGTTTGGTGGCGGGCGCCTCTAGTCCCAGCTACTCGGAGAGGCTGAGGCAGGAGAATGACGTGAACCCGGGAGGCGGAGCTTGCAGTGAGTCGAGATCGCGCCACTGCACTCCAGCCTGGGTGACAGAGCGAGACTCCGTCTCAAAAAAAAAAAAAAAAATTATTGAAGTATCAGAAAATTTGATATTTTATTTCATTACATTATATAGAGTTTAACACTGTTATTTTATGTTAATCATTTGAAAACTGATGCTGCCAAAGACTTGAGGGATCCTTTAGTTCATTGTCCACCATGATTTGATAGCCCAATATGTTTGCAGTTTCTTGCATTTCATTTTGATTCCTTGAACTTCATTTTAAATTTTTTTCTTTTTGAAGTGTATTCTTAATAAGCTCATGTTGGTAATAAGATTCCTCATTTTTTTGCCTTTGGAAATCATTTAGTGCATCCTCACTTATTCAAAATATGTTAGTGAAGTATCTAATTATTGGTTGAACAGTAACCTCTCAGCACTCTTACTTATTTCTCTGTTTTCTAGCTGAACACAGGCTGTGGAGACTTTGCTCTCACCTTCATTGATTCTCCCTGCTTTTCTCTCTCATGGTTTTAAATATTTTTTTCTTTTCTTTCATGTTACGCAGTTTGACTTTTATTTCTGTTGAGTATTTTTAGTTGGTGGTCACTTTTAATCACAATACACTTCAGCATTCAAGGGTTCCTATCTGATATTCAGTTTCAGAAATGTATAAATATTTGTTATTAGTGTGATTTGTTATTTGTATGTAAGCTAGTGAAACCAATGTGTTTGATTTCATCTCATTTTATTCTTTGTACATGTACAATCATATTTGTATTGTGATCATTTTGTTTTTCTGTAGTTCTTTTATTTATTCATCTCAGTATTCTAGTTCACTAATCCTGTTGTTATTAACTTGGTTTAATAATTAAACCATACATTGTATATTAAATTTATTTAAGTTTCCGTTGTTCAATTTCTATTTGAGTCTTTGCAAAACATGCCTGTTTTGTGTGTGTGTGTGTGTGTGTGTGTGTGTGTGTGTGTGTTTGAGACAGAATCTCTCTGTCATCCAGGCTTGAGTTCAGTGCTGATCATAGCTCACTGCAACCTCAAATTCCTCGTCTCAAGAGATCCTCTCACCTCCACCTCCCCAGTACCTAACACTACAGGCACACACCACTGTGCCTGGCTTATTTTTTTTATATCTATTTATTGTAGAGACAGCTTTTGCTTTGTTGCCCAAGCTGGTCTCAAACTCCTGGCCTCAAGTGATCTTCTTGCCTTGGCTGCCGCAAAGTGCTTGGGAGTACAGGCATGAGCCACAGCCCCCAGTGCCCGCTTTAGAACTTCATGTGTTTTCAAAATTATTTTGATATTCTCTTTCCCCATTTGTGTTACTGAATTATTTTAAATATGTTTCCAATCTATGAAGTTTATGTGATGTATAATTTCTTCTTTCCCTTTTTTGGGTAGCTTATTTTGTGTGCTTCATAATTTACAATTTAGTTCTTACCTTGCAGTCTCACATTTGGGATGGCCCTGGTTAGCAATTTTCTCTGTTATTCCAAGGGGCAGAGTGGACGATCCTCACAGGTTTAAGGTCTGTGTAATCAGCCCTGCAATCAGAGCTGTCTCTGAAGGCGGCTCTAACTTCTCGCTTTCATGACTGTTAATTTGCCTCCTGATTCACTTCTAGTCGTGGGAAGTTCCCATATTTTTCTATCCGTTCTGCTGGGCAGTTTTAGAATTCTTGTAAAATTTAAAGATTTTTAAGTTACTACATTAAATGACCTTTGAGAATATGTTATTCTGTACTAAAACATCAAATGTACACACGTGTTATGAGTAAAAATGTTTACATAAATATTTTGTGTAGAACAGTGCCACATGAGAAATTTTAATTTTTCTTATTCAATGCCCATGTATTATACACTAACATTATCTGTGAAGTTTAAATATTTTCTTAATACTTGGAAGAATTTTTATGTTTCAGACAAATGTCTGAAGTGATCATGCTCCACTTTAATGCATAACTCCTGTACGTGGGCAGAATTGCTGTTCTTTTATAAAATAAAGAATGTTAGTTAGTAGAGTCAAATATATAAATTCAGGTCTTTTGGTTTCAGTCATGAAGCTTCCTCCTTAGCATTTCTCTAGTGCTGTAAAAGTAATCTCAGTTTGAATGTTCGGTTTAATCTAGATGTCATTTAAAACAATCTTAGGGATAAAAGACTATGCATTGAGTACACTGTACACTGCTTGGGTGATGGGTGCACCAATATCTCAGAAATCACCACTGAAAAACTTATCCCTGTAACCAAACACAACCTCTTCCCCAAAAACCTGTTGAAATAAAAATTCACCTAAAATAAAAAAAAAAAAAATACAACAATCTGAAAGGAAATTTGCATGTGGCTACATGTTACTTGTTACTTTAATTTTTATTGTCATTTTACAGTGTTCAAGAAACATTGCTTATAGGATTTCTGCCTTTGTGAAGTTAAAGACACTAATTTAGATTTAAAACCTTGCAATATTAAATGATTTTCTTGGTATTAGAAAATTTTGTCCATCCTGTGTTTAGTGCTCCAAAATGCTGATCACTTTTCCACTTGATTAACTTTCTAATAAAGTTTCGAACTTTATTTGTTTGTTTATTTATTTATTTATTTATTTATTTATTTATTTATTTATTTTGAGACAAAGTCTAGCTCTGTCACCAGGCTGGAGTGCAGTGGTGCAATCTTGGCTCACTGCAACCTCTGCCTCCCAGGTTCAAGCAATTCTCCTGCCTCAGCCTCCCGAGTATCTAAGACTACAGGCACGCACCACCATGCCCAGCTAATTTTTGTATTTTTAGTAGAGACTGGGTTTCGCTATGTTGGCCAGGATGGTCTCGATCTTCCGACCTCATGATCTGCCTGCCTCGGCCTCCCAAATTGCTGGGATTACAGGCATAAGTCATCGCCCCTGGCTTTTTTTTTTTTTTTTTAGTTTCAAACTTTCTAATAATTACTTAACACTCCTTATTTTTTCTATACCAGACAGTTGATTTCTGTGATCATTTTAAAATCGATTAATATCATTGTAAATGTATCAATTTTTCATTTAATTAATCTCTGTGTACACAGTGAACTCTTTGGTATTAAATCTACATGTATATGTCTTGAAATTATACCTAACACATCATTAATTATATCTAAGAATTAACCACTCTGATTAATCAGATTTTCATCTCTTTCCACCATTTTGCATTTACTGCATCATTTTGTGTGTATTAAAATTTATAATTCCTTTTCTGTAAACATATTTCCAATATATGAAATTTATGTGATGTACAAATATTAATACTTAGGAGGTACCTTCAGTTTGTCATTTAGGCAAAATCAAGTCTAATGACACAGTTTTCCAGTTAACTTTATTCTTTGTCACCTATTTATAATATTTAAATTTAATGAGCCCATAATTATATTCATATATACATATACATGTAAATGATTACTACAGTAAAGCAATTTAACACATGCATGAACTCATGTAGTTTTCTTTTGGTGTCAAAACACCTAAAGTTTACCCTATTCAAAAATTACTAGTATATCATATAAAAATAGTAACTATAACCTTTAAACTGTACGTTAGTACTCCAGTTTCATTTATTTTATGTAACTGAGGTGCATCCTCAGTGTACTGGGCACTTCTCAGCCTTCCTGGAACTGAGCCTGGTGATGTGGTCACTTTTGGGGAGACTGTTGTCAGGGCCCAGCCACACACCCCTGGGCAGCACTGTCCCATCTCAGGATTGGACTTTCTCAGCTCCCATAGGGGATGCTGCCTGCAGCCCAGGAAGGGCAGCCCCCTTGTGCACCCTGAGCTCCCATGGATCCTCAGCAGCCCCTGCCTGGCCCTGCGCTCCCTCTGCTCTCTTGCCCCAGCCCCTCCTGAGTGTCAGCCAGTAAGGAGGCCCTGTCTGTCCTTTCTTCCCTATGCAGGCTCCTGGGCTAAGACCTAGGTCAGATGGGAATGGGGCTGGTCCTTCCCTGAGGCCTGCTCGGGAAAGGGGATGGCCCCTAGCCTGGTCTGGGCCCTCAACTCTCCTCATTGCCTTACAGTGAGACAGAGCTCCCCCTGTCTGTGCCCTGGAGGTGGAGGTAAGAGCCTGACCCTGCCGTATGGGAGCTGCTCCATAGATGGGCAACTTGGTGGGGGGTTTGTGATGTGGAGGCCGTGGCCTGTGGGCATGCGTGCTGGGAGTGGGAGTGACATACTGTCACTAGGAGAGGCCACAGTTACTGCTGAATCTCACCCCAAACTCTAGCCCTGCAGGTTTTTTACCACAGCCACCACCAAGAATCACAGTAGTGTCTCAGGAGTTGCTGCCCGCTGCCCAACAGGGCCCTACCTGGAGGCCAAGACCCAACCAAAGCCCAGGGTGTCTGTGCCCTGGGAACAGTGTGTCCTGTGGTCATGAGGCCAGGCCACCAGTGCCCACTAATCAGGGGCTTGGTTCTGTCCTATTCTGGTTCCTTCCAGTTCAGTCCCATCAGGGCCCCTAACCACGTGACCCAGCATCCAAGAATCACTCCAGGAAGCCTGGCAGCTCAGCTCACTCCATCACTTCTTACCTACAGCAAAAACGTCAGGGCATCAGACACACAGATAAATGCCTATAAATGCTTAACTGGAATAAATCTAGGAACAGCAAGAAGGCACAGCTGTGAGTGAGGGTCCCCCATGACTGCTCTTCAGGGTTTAGGACAGGAGCCCATTTTTGCCTCCTGGTGCTGCCTGCCTCTCAGACAGGGCAGGACACACTTTCCTCACTGAAAGGACAACAGGCCTGGTCCCTAGCCCTCCTGCCCATCCCTGCAAGCATCACCTTGCTGGGAGGAATCTGATGCCTTGGCATGGTCTGCTTCTAAGCCAGGAACAGGAACACCTTCTGGACATCCCATAGGAAGGAATAAATCCAGATCAGAGTTCACAACCTGAGCTCTTGCCCACTCTTCGTGAAAAGGGAGGCCCAGTCCTAGGCAGACTGAACCTCTCCTGAGGAACTGTGGAGCCAAAGACTGGAAACTTCCAGAATCCTTAGGCTCAGATCCCCTTTAGAGTCACCCTAAGGTCTGTCTCACCAGAGCATCTTCTGTCCACAAATGTCTCATTGGGTCTAAAAAGGAATCCTCACAGAGGTCTGGGGCCCAGCACGGTCACTCCTACTGAATGTCGAGAAGACAAAGGCCAAGAACCCAGGGAAACACCAGGTCTGGCCCTTCCACTCCCAGCTAGAGCAGGATGCATAGGCCAGACTGTGTCAGAAGCCCAGCTACCCAGATGGAGGGAAAGTCAACCCCAAAGGGGCGGAAGGGGTCAGTCACACATCCTGGGCAGACAGTGGCATGGGCAACACAGGTGAGCTGTGTGCTGATGACTTTCCTGGCTTTGGAAATGAAGTATCTGCAGAAAAAGACTCCTTCCCTTCCAGAATGTCTGTTTTATGACAGCAGTTTTGACAGTGACTCTTGTGTCTGTTCTGAGGCTTGGCCCTGCTCTATAGAAAATGGAGCAGGCCAAGATGTCCTCTGAACATGCACCAGAATGACCTAGATGTGAGCCACACCTTCACAAGCCATGCCATGTTCAGAGAGCGCTGCAGCATCAAGTAAGGCGTGTGGGGCATGGAGGGTGCCAGGGGAGGTGGGCAATCCGCAGGGATGGGGCATCTGAGGGGCAGTGGGGAGGTCTCAGGACAGGGGTAGGGTCTCAGAGAAGAGGGTGACAGCCCAGCCTACTGCCTAGAGATCTGGCCTTGGGAAGGGTCTGCAGAGGGGCCTGGAAGAGTGAGGTTTTCAGGGCAGTCCAGGGGATTCTGAACACCTCTGCTCCTTCCTTGAAGACAAGCAAATGTTGTGCACCCAGATTGCCACCTTAAACTGACTCCTACAGTGCTTGCTTGATGGGACAAGTGTGCACAGGAGACCCAGTCCAGGGACCCTGCCCAGGAGTCTGGCTCCTCCAGAAGGACCCAGCTCCCCTCCTCTGCACAGGAGGCAGAGGCAGATCCCTGCAGGGCACACAAACCATGCCCTGCCTGAGAGGGGGCATCACACGGCTGGGGCTGGGACTCAGGGCCAGCATCCTGGGCAGACTGGGCCAGGACTCATCTTGGGAGAGCACTCAGGGAGCCCCCTCTTTCAGGGGTCACATTTGATGGATATGAGAACACCCCCATAAGGAGCTGCAGGACCTTATCTGATCCAGCCTCCTGGGGGAGGTCTCATCCCATGCAGAGGGGGCCCCCAGCACCACAGACTGAGGCCCCAGTAGGCCCTGCTCAGGCCACCAGCCCTCCACCGTGAAGGGCCAGGTCCTCCCATGCCTGCTGTTCCCACAAACCCCTACGTCAAGCTCATCACAAGCTCATCCTCAGGCTCTGGTACATCTGCCTTCTGCAGGGCAAGTGCATGCTCATAGCCAGGGCACATGCGGCATTGAAAGTGCACAGAACCCTGTCCCCATGTGCCCAAGGGTGCTGGGGAAGCACACAAGCACACCAAACCTGGCCCGAAGGCAGTGCTCACACTGTCCACAGGACCCTCTGCTTTAACCCAGAGGGACGGCCAAACCAAGCCAGGCCTGGTGGACTGGACAGGGCACCATGAGTCCTCCTGGAAACCGAACCTACCCCTGACACAACTCAGATGAAAGGCAGGAGTGTGGCAAGCTCTTCCCTGACTGGAACTTCCCCCATTAGTGGCCTCCTGTGCAGAGCTGGACCCCAGGGGTATCTAGAAAGGACCCAGCACTGCCTAGTGTGAGGTGCCCATGGCGGAAATAAGGTGAAGTCACAGACCCCTCCCAGGAGACCCCTCCTGGCCTGATGCCCAGCCCCAAACCTAGACCCTCTCCTGAAGCTCTCCTGTTTGTCCTGTGGGAGCTTTCCTAAGATGCACTGTCCCATACCTGGGCTATGGACGATGATGTGATTGTGAAGCACTTTGAGGCCTCCATGGCTGAGCTCAGAAAGATGCACTATGACCACTGACCCCAAGGTGGTCTCTAGCACCAGGTCCCCTCCTGAGTCACCATCTAAGACAGTAAATAGTGGGGAGTGCCCAGGACCCTCCATCCCTGCTCCCCAGGCCTTCCTTCTCCTTCTCCTCTTCCTTCTCTAAGAAGCTTCTAAAAACAGGCCAGCTGGGCCCCAGGGCAGGTGCTGGACTCACCCCAGTAACAGGGCAGGGGATGAGGGCAAGACCCCTCCAAGCCCCCCACCACACCCTTCCCCTCCTGCCCTACAAGAACCCTGGAAGCCCCTGGAGGGCTCGGTCCTGTCTGTGCCAGCCCACACCCATAGCTGCGAGCACCAACAGGGACAGAGTGCAGCAGGGGTCCCCACTCACAAGTTCCCATACCCCAGGCAGGAAACACCCCTCACTGTGGGATCAGCAGGGACCCTCATTCACGAGCGCCCATACCCCAGGTGGCACACACCCCTCACTGTGGGATCAGCAGCCTGTAGGTGTTTCCTCAGTGTCAGACCAGGTGGGTTACTAGAGACCCCAAAACTCCAAGGACCCAGATACCTGGGGCCCAGCCGTACAAAGGTCAGATGGGCTTGGGGGAGAAGTGGACCAAGTTTGCTTTCCATTCAGCTAAACATACAAAGATCCCTAGGAAGGCCCTGGTCCTGGAGAGAGGGTCTCTCGCACCCAGGCCTCTGCGGGCATCCCTCAGCATGGAGGCCCTCCCCAAGGGGGACGGGTTGGCCCTCCCTGGTCCACTAGCCCAGCTCCAGAAGCCCAGAAGCTGACCTGAGGCCAAGTCCCAGCAGCACAAGAAGAATTCCACGGAGCCCAGGGCAACAGGCCACTCTCTGGGGGCCCAGCGGCTCAAGATGTGGCAAGCCTGTTCCTATCTCAGGATAGACCATGGGATTTTTGGCGATTTCTGTGTTGGAATTCTCTCCCAAACTCCCCATGGACCTGGACATCCGGGGCTCATGGTGTCCACAATGCAGCTTTGAGCAGGGATTCCAAACCCCTGTTCTTTCTACATCTTCCCTGGACACCCCCAGGACAATAGGACAGGCCCTGGCCCCGAACCCCCTCAGGGCCCCAACAACCAGGCCTTGCCCAGCCCACTGAAAACCCAGCAGTAGGGCCGTAGACACTCCCCTTCCATGGTGGCACCTGGATCTGACCTTTCTCAGGGGCCACTGAGCAGCACAGCCTTAAAGGAGTCAAGACAGCACCCAGACAACCCCAGACAGCTCCTGAGCTGGGTGAAATCAGTGTCAATGCGGAAGCTGGACTCAGAGGCTGCTGGAGGGGAGGGGGATTGTGGCATCTGCAGAGCCCCAGCCAGCCAGCAGCCTGTCACATGTCCCCATGCCTGCCCACTTGCGTGACAGAGCCTCCCTCACAGGGCAAACATCCTAGACCTACAGATGCCAAGCTCAGCCCAAGCCCTGGGAGAAAAGGGACCCATGGGAGCCATGGGTGCCAGAGAAATAGCCAAGATAACAAAAGAGGGGACTGAGCTTCCTGGGGCACTGGCCAAAACTAGAATTTGGCCCAGGGAAGGGCAAGCCCCTTAAAGCAGTGTGTGGGTACACAGGGCCCCCACAAGGCAGGGCATGCCTGGCAGGGCCAAGCCAGTGATGTTACCAGGCTCAAAGAGCAACCATCCACATCGCTGAGGGCAGGACAGGAGCAAGTGGACCAGCCTCCAACCTCTTCAACTCAAGGAAGCAGCGATGGCTGGACTCCAGCACCCTGTGGCCACCATCCAACCATCAGTGGGGCACAGGCCAGAGACCATTGATCTATCGGGTTGTCCTGGGGCCCTGTTTCCACTGCACAAGAATGACTTCAAATTGCACGATCAAGTAGAAGCTGGTGAAGAATGGGCCCAGGAGCCCGGGTCCCTGGGGCTGCTGTCCTCGGCAGGTCCAAAGGACAGAAATAGTCAGAAAAGGTGTCTATGGTCAGAAAAAGTCAGAAAGGTAGTCTCACTCCTTCGAAGGAGGCTCCAAGGTGGGGACCAGAGCTGCAGCAGGAGGAGGACCTCCTGGCGGCCCTGAAATAGGCTCTGGCAGGATCCCAGAGTCTGCCGTTCTGTGCTTCTCTTTCTCCTTTTCCTTGAGGGCTTGGAATCTTCCCCCATTTGACGGTGAGTCTGCAGCCATGGACAATCAATTTACAAAAGGACTTCTCAGTGGCCATTTCCATAGCCTGCCCTGTGGAAAGCTGATGAGAGCACACTGCTGTCTCTGCACAACAGTGACCATCCGGATCTCGCCAACAGGTAGAGACCATTTCTTAAATCTGTCTCAGAAATGGTATCCCCCAGACCATCAACATAGATGGCGGGCACACTTCTCTTCCAGTGGGTCCAGATGAAGCATGGTTGAAGCCTGCTCTAGAAGCTTATCTGCTATGGGGTCATTGTTTCCGCATATCGATTTTTAATATTCTGATCAGCAAGGGGGTCATCTGGATCTGCAGGCTTCTCATGTCTGTGCAGACACTCCTCTCCTCTCTCACCCTCTCCCTTTACCCATAAAGAGCAAATGTGGGGCTTATTCATTAGGCAGTAGAGTGTGGTCTGGGCCAGTTTAGGCAGCACATCACTGGTGCATGCGGCTTTCCCCAGCGGGACAGCTGGTCATATTCTATTAGGGTTAGAAATCCCTCTCTCCATATCTGCTGTGGCCTTTTAAAGACAGTTCTGCATCATGAACCTGGATGGGCAGTCATACTCCAGGTGTGAGAGGCAGGTCTGACAGACATTTTCTGCAGGCTCAGCACCCTTCAGTCTTGGAATGCATGTGCACCACACAGCCCTAGCCAGACACTGAATGACCTGGCACAGATTTTGCATTTTTTCTCATCGTTTTCTTTGGTCATTTAGATACACAGGTTTTCTCTAGGACATGTGTGACACAGAAGAGAGAACCATCCTCCCAGTTTTGTCTGTTTTAGGTGCTGGAGCCCAGAGGGGTCTCCTCTTCAGAGGGTCAGCAGGCAGTAGTAGCTTTTTAGGTGGGAGAGAGGACCCCCACAATCCCAGCAGCCCCAGCTCCTCTTTCTGGCTCTTTTCTTGAGACCCTGGACAACTGCCTTTGACCACATGTGATTCATCTTTCTTTACTCAAGGCAAACATCGCTCCCAAGGAATCTCCATTCTTGGAGGAAACTCTTGGCTTCCTGGTCTCTCCAAGACCTGGCCTGGAAGAGACAGAGAAACGTGAACGCACCTTGAAATACAGTGTATACTCGATGATTTTCAAAGACCCTCCCTCTACACTCACAGGGCTTAAGGAGACCTTGTGTCTGCTGCTGGGAGATGACAAAACCTTAAGTGAGAAGGTCAAGAACCAGGATCACTAGAAAAAGAAAGGTCCAATCTCTAAACGCATAGACATGTTGGGAAACATCTGTGTGTCTGGATATTTATTGTGTCCAATGATGGATAAAGACTCAAAAACTCACCGGGCATGGTGGCTAATGCCCTTAATCCCAGTACTTTGGGAGGCCAAGGCAGGCAGATCACCTGAGGTCAGGAGTTCAAGACCAGCCTGGCCAACATGGCAAACCCCAACATGGCAAAACCCCATACAAAAATTATTGGGGCATGGTGGTGTGAACCTGTAAACCCAGCTACTTGAGAGGCTGAGGCAAGAGAGTCATTTGAACCCTGCAGGCAGAGGTTGCAGTGAGCCAAGATCACCCCACTGCACTCCAGCCTGGGCAACAGAGTGAGACCCTGTCTCAAAAAACAACAACAACAACAACCACAACAACAAAAAATCAACAAAAAGAAACCTCAAAAGCAAAAAGATTTTGGCAAAGTACTCCTGGCCTGGAAAGGCTCTTTGTTTTACATGCAGATGATTTGTCCTGAAAAGAGGCCTCCTGGTCACAAAGTCTTACTTGGTAAGAGCTCCAAGTACACAGAGCCACAGGCCATCATCCATGGAGCTGCCTCTGCTGACCAGGATGGAAACTCAGGGTAAAGGTGACTGAGGCTAGCACAAAAAGATTAGAGAAAAATAAAGAAAACTAATTTGAAAAAAATTAAAGAAAAATATAGTAACCTGAAGTAATTTTTATTAAAGCCTTGTCTGTGAATAAGTTAAATATGGCTAATCACAGTACTGTACATAATAATCTAAAATTTTAACTATTGGCCAAGCACAGTGGCTCATGCCTATAATCCCAGGGCTTTGGGAGGCCAAGTTGGGAGAACTGCATGAACCTAGGAATTGGAAACTAGCCTGGGCCACAGAGTGAGACCATGCCTCTGCCAAACAATAAAACATTAGCTGCGCATGGTGGCATGGCCTGTAAAACAATAAATAGAAATGAAATTATAACTACCACAAACTAAGCTACAATATTTATGTCATCACAAATTAATAGTCAATTTATTTCAGTCCAAAAGAGATAACCAAGAATTGATTTCAAAATCAATTCAGAGCTTTGCCCTCTCTGTATGGTGGAAGAGCAAGAAACAGACTCCCTCTGGCACCAAACACACAGGAAGCCAGACCAACCACATGAGCCAGATGTCTCCAAACACTAGAAGCATCTGCAAGGAGCACAGAACTGAGGTCTAGAGGCTGAAATCAAGAGAGGGGACTGTGTTGCTGCCCCAGCTTAGAGCCTGCAGAGCCTACTGGCAGTGCAGGGTGGGAGGATATAGGAAGAGCATGGAAGTCCACATGTTAAGGAGACAGGGTTGAGAATGTGAGGAGAGAAAAACATATGGCTGAGTACCAGAAAGTAGGGAGGAGTGGCTGAAGTAGGGGTAAGATTGGCGAGTAGAAGACGGGCGCTCACTGAACCATTGGCAGGTATATGGGTAAATACCAATCAAGATAAATAATATTACCCAGTACAAAAGGGAAAAGGGCACTCTACACCTTTTTTTTTTTTTTTTTTTGAGACGGAGTCTTGCTATGTCACCCAGGCTATGGTGCAGTGGCGCAATCTCGGCTCACTGCAACCTCTGTCTCCTGGGTTCAAGTGATTCTCCTGCCTCAGCCTCCTGAGTAGCTGGGATTACAGGCACGCACCACCATCCCCGGCTAATTTTTGTATTTTTAGTAGAGACAGGGTTTCACTATGTCAGTCAGGCTGGTCACGAACTCCTGACCTTGTGATCCGCCTGCCTTGGCCTCCCAAAGTGCTGGAATTACAGGTGTGAGCCACCATGACTGGCCCACCCTACATTTTTTTCAGAACATTTTCACAAGAAAACTTGTCATTATGAGTTTAATATTGTCCAAAAGTAGAAGAGGGAACATTTCCCAATATATTTTAGGAAGCTAGTATTACTCTCCAATAGAATCAGAGAAAGGAAGTACCAAAAAAAAAAAAAAAAAAAAAAAAACCCTGTAAAATAGTATGCCTCATGAAACTCAATGTGGAAATCCCCAACAAAACTTTATTCAACAGAGCCACATGCTTCACCCATGGGTGAATTTCTTCTAGGAATCATAAAGATTTGGGGAAATCAAAGGAAATCTTTTATTAAGAATTAAAGTTGTAGACTCCTATCTTGAGTTGATTACTTTGAATTTTTGGTCCCAAAATATATACAGAACCAGATCTAATTCTATAATCTTTATCAGATGCAGCCAGATGCCAAAGAGAAATAGATATAACAGCAATATGGGAGTTGCCCTCTCTAAAGCCCAACTGAAAAAACCCAGAGTCAGAAGTTTTACAAATAGAAAAACAACATACTTACTCTGAACCAGGGAAGGAGAGGTAATTCAAACATTTAAATTTAAATTGCTATGAGATTACTGACTTGTTAGAAACTGAAGGAGCGAGCAATGCTTCTGAACTCCACGCTTTTCCATCAGAAAACGGAGATAGACAACCTCGAATTTATCCAGTCATAACATTAATTTCCCTATGAAACAAATCATAAAATAAATATTAAACTCATGACATATTCTCTGACTAAAAGAAGGCAAGATAAACTGAACAGTTAATTATCAGTGTAATAAATTATGTACAAGAATCTTATTGCTGCATTTTTTAACAATGATGAAACTAGAAACAATGTAAATTTCTATCAAAAAATAAACAGTGAAACAAATATTGTATACCCATTCTTTGGAATACATTAGAAATAGAGAGTTAGAATCTCATGCACTTATTTGGAATAATGTAAGTGATACATTGCTTGTGAAACAGCAAAATAAAAACAATATAGTATAATATAATATGTGTTCAAAAACTGTACATGTATTTATCTCTTTTTTTTTTTTTTCTGGAGGCAGGGTCTCACTCTGTCACCCAGATGGGAGTGCAGTGGCGTGATCACAGCTCACTGCAGCCTCAAACTCCTGAACTCAAGGGACCCTCCCCACTCAGCCTCCCAAAGTGTTGGGATTACCGGCCTGAGCCACTGTACCCGGCCAACTTTATATGTATTTATAAATTTATAGAAAACATCCAGAAGAATAAAAACCAAGCTATAATAATTTCTTCTAAGAAGGGAGTGAGTTTGGAAGGAAGAGGAAGACATGGGAGACTTTCACTACATAAATATCTTTATGATCTGACATTCTTAAAATAGCATGCATTTATTTTATAATTAGAAAAAGAGGAAAAATATAAGCATTGTTACCATTTGGTAGGAGGGCAATAGTTTTGTTTTCATCAGTATTTGTATTGCATGTTAGTACATAGCACAAACCTGGAAGAGAAGGCCCAGAGGAATAATTAGAACAAAAAAAATCACACCTCATAAAGAGAGTGGGTGTTATCTTTACATATCAACAAGCGTTCCAGGTGAGTGCTGGTCAGGATCTACCGCTGCTCCAGCTCCCTCAAATCACCTCAAATCAAATCTACGCCCTGACAGGAGGAAGGCAGAGGACAGGGAAGGCCAAGTGCCAGCAAGTGCTCTCCCCAACCAAAGGCCTGTTTCTGCAAGTTTCCTGTCATTAAGAAGAAAATGGAGTCCTAATGAGATGTGGACCCCTTCGGGATGCTGGCAGAGAAACACAAACTGGAATATGCCATAATCATACCTTAGAGGAAGACTTCTAGGTTGAGACTTGAAATTCATGAAAAGCTTGTGTGAAGTAAATAAAGCTACTCTACCTCTCTGAGTGTCAGTTTCCTCACTTATAAAATGGGGATCGCATGCCAACATCAGGAAGTTGATGCCAGAGTTAAATTCACAAAGATATCTAAAAGTGACTGTTAATGCAAGAATCCACTTTATTTAAAAACAAACAGGCCGGGTGCGGTGGCTCACACCTGTAATCCCAGCACTTTAGGAGGCCGAGGTGGGCAGATAATGAGGTCAAGAGATCGAGACCATCCTGGCTAACACGGTGAAACCCCGTCTCTACTAAAAATACAAAAAATTAGCTGGGCGTGGTGGTGGGCGCCTGTAGTCCCAGCTACTCGGGATGCTGAGGCAGGAGGATGGCGTGAACCTGGGAGGCGGAGCTTGCAGTGAGCCGAGATTCCACCACTGCACCCTAGCCTGGGCGACAGAGCGAGACTCTGTCTCAAACAAACAAACAAACAAAAAACAAAACAAAACAAAAAACAGCATCAGACTTCAAAATACACAAAAGAAATAATGTTCATGTGTCCAAAGAGGAGATGATCAGCTTTCTAAGCAGCCTGAGCACGTGAGAATGAGATCTATCCCCAACTAGAACTCTTCACAGCTCCACTGAAGAGGACACATACAAGAAGCTAAGTGCATGGCCAGTGTAGAGTGACTGGTGTAGTGAGGGTGGAATCCCCAAAGACCCTCTGAAATGCAGTTACACAACAGGCTCCCAGGAAACACTGGAACAAACCAGGCAGCTGAGCAGATACTACCAGGAACGGAGTGAGCAGAGGAGGGTCAGAGCCACAAATCTCAGCAGAATACACCAAACTGCAAGGAGCTCCTGGCTGTGTGAACAGCAGCTGTGGCTGCATCAGGACCAATCTTGTGAGGCAGCTGCTGGGGACAGCTGAGATCACGTGTATTTGCAGCCACACACCCAACAGCAGTGCCTCTTGAACACAAATCACAAAATCCTCTCCCTTCACCTTTAAGGTGACGGATGATGGATGCCCTCACGTTACAACATCCCCACCAACACTTGCAGACAAGTGTATTTAGAAACTCCCACCTAACGAGGGAACACTCAGGAGTAGAATGAGAATATTGAGGGATGGGGGAGGAATGCAGGTACTTGACCCCACAGACTCTACTGAAAACAAGGGAAGCGCTGATGTGCTGTGGTCTCCCTATACTTCATCTTGCCACGTCCATAGATGCCGCAAGGTTCTTGTTCCTTTATTTACAAAGGTGCTGATGAGCCCATGTGTAATTGATCCTGAAGGAGTAAATTATTCACAAAGTACAATAACAGTGTCAATATCCATGCCCAGGGTTTTTAGGGGTTTTTATTTATAGTAACCCTCACTCAGGAATCACAAATGAAGCCTGTTGGAATGTGCTATATGAACAAGGTCTTATTTTCATGTAGATTAACACCTTGGTTTTTACGGATTAGACATAAAAGCATAAAAGCTGGCGCCATTCCAGAATCAAAGCAACTGTCCCTGAGGACATATGGAATTTAGGGACATCAATTATTAGGAAGGTACACGAAACTAGAAGTGCTTCCGGAAGTTTCCATTGTCTAGACAGAAAAATTCAACAGATCAGCCCGAGAGAGTAAAGGTACTGCCGTGAGTGCCGGGGGTGATCAGCTTTCTATTCACAGCAAAGATGTTGAAGCCTAAGGAATTTCAAAGACTCCCCAAGTGGTCCACACCTTGAAAGTCGCTCCCACAAAGCTGGAGCACTATCTGTTCTTGAATATCAGGTTGCCATCTGTGTCTTTGAGACACTGCCCAGTCAGGCCTCAGTTGAGATGAGGCCAATGACGTGCCAATGAAAATGCCTAAACCGTCTTTATCTTTAGGTAGCCATTTGGTGGACTTTCCACCAAATGGGTTGGTGAAAAATGGCGCACCAGAGACACACGCCTGGGAAGTGAAATTTTCTCCTCGGATTTTAGCATCTCCTGCGTAAACCAATAATGACCTTCTCTGCCGCCTCAACATCCGTGAAAAAGGTGCTGGTGAGGGTGACATTTTCACGAAGCCACAGGCCATGTCACCCCCTGCGAAGCTTTGAACTTGTGCACTGGCGGGCCAGGCGGCGGATTTCTCCCCATAGTGGCTGCACTGCGCTCTCGCTGGAGAGAAAAGAGGGCAGCGGCACAATGGACAGCGCCTGGACCTCAGGCCAGTTCCCATAGCAGCTTCCCAAAGCAGGCGGCTCCCTGGGCTGGAGGAGGCGCGATGCCCAGAAAGAACCCAGGTGCAGGTGGGAGAGGGAACCCAGCCTAGCAGCGGGAAGTGGGGTGAGGACCACACTCGTCCGAGTTGGACAAGGGCGAGGTGCACTTCGCGGCGTCATGCCCTCCTCACTGCCCAGCCTGGACCTGCCCCTCCTGTCCCCCTCCCGACTCACTTCCCATGGCAAGGAGGTGCCTGCGATCAGTAGCCAGCATCGCTGTGGAAGCGGCGAGGTCCACACTGCCCTGCCCAACCCTCCTGGGCTGCCCTCCTCCTCGCATGTCGCCTGCTGGGATTCCAGTCCAGCTGCCTTGCCACCAACGGGCTGAGAACCGTTAAGAGCTACCGTTTCCAGCGTGCCTGGCCAGGCGCGCGCCGCTTCGCTCCTCCCCCCGAGAACTTCACCAGGCTCCCGAGCCTGGGGCATGCTAGGATTGTAGTCCCGAAGCTCTTGAAAGGGCGGGAGCGGTGAAGAGACTACATACAGCTCCCAGCATGCACAGCAAGGCCGGCACAACCGGACTTCGCCTTCAGGACTGCGCGCCGCCTCCTGTTCATGCTGGCTGGGATTGTAATCCATTCGCCCAGTGATGAAAAAACTGGAAGCTAATCAAAGACGACAACTCCCAGTATGCCAGGCTTAGCTCCCGCCCACCAATCCACACCTCCCTGTGTCCAGAGCAGTTCTGCCATGCCAAGGAGAGCCTGGTTGTTCCCAAACCTCTCCTGCCTGCCAGGCGACAGCGGGACCAGGGTGGCTGATCGTATCTTGTAATTATGTCACTACCTCCCCCTAAGATGCTGGCTTCATGCTTCGTCAGTGCCAGAAGTTTGATTCCTCACGGAGCAGCAGGAGACAGGGAGCTGCTCACAAACCTGTCAAGGTTCCCATAGTAACGCTCCTCCTCCTGGAGCTGGACTCGCCCCGCCTCTTCCCTCGGCTCTGCCCCTTCTCCTCGCCCCGCCCCTTCCCTCGGCACCGTCTCTGCATCGGAACGGTACCTCCTCCTCGCCCCACCCCTGACACGCCCCTTCGGACATGCGCAGTGTAGCCCCTGCGTAGGAATGTGGTTAACGGCCAGATGTCTGACAGTTCTCCGACTTCTGGGCATTCCACGTAGGACGCTTTCTCATGAGTGTCTGAAACCGTCAGTTCACTGCCAGAAATGGAGATACATGTTTCCTGATAAACTGGCACTTGCCTTTTCAAAGCCACCATTTCCTCTATCCTCTGGGCTGTCACAAATCCTCCTCTGCACCTCAGGAGTGCCCCTTGGAGCCACGTTCACCACTTCTCTGCCCCTGACCCAGGCTGGTTCCCAGGCCTTGGGGTCCTAGCGTGGACCTCCTGGAAGTAATTAATGCAGGTGCAGGACCAGAGAGCCCCTTGGTCCCTCCCAACACATGAAGGAAGTTTCTGTAGTGAGGTCACGAACAGTGTCTGTGTTTCTGCTGTAAATAGGGCTTTCTTGGTAACACTTAATTTCCCTTTTTAAATATTCCTTTGGAACCACGTTTAGTAATTTGCTGGTGGAACTTAACAGTGATAATTCTTTGAATCCATTTTTCTTTTTCGTTTTTTGAGATGGAGTCTCTCTCTGTAGCCCAGGTTGTAGTGCGGTGACTGAATCCAGGCTCACTGCAACCTCCGCCTCCCGTGTTCAAGAGATTCTCCTGCCTCACCCTTCCCAGTAGCTGAAATTACAGGCACCTGCCACCACACCTGGCTAATTTTTGTATTTTTAGTACAGATGGGGTTTTGCCATTTTTGCCAGTCTGGTCTCGAACTCCTGACCTCAAGTGATCCACCCACCTCGGCCTCCCAAAGTGCTGGGATTACAGGCGTGAGCTACCGCGCCAGGCCTGAATCCATGTTAACATTTAGTTTTCCAGATTAACTCGAAGTACCCCACGACTAAACGCTAATGAAACTAGAGGAGGCACAGCTTCAGCTCCGTGCAGGATGGATGCACAAGAGCAGAATCTCCATGGGACGCCTTTCTGGAGCATCAGTATTACTGCAGGATTTGGAAGAAACAAATTCAAATAATTTCCAAAGTAAGACACTGGAAATTTAAGAGGAAGCTGGAAACTCATCTGCCTTTAATACTTTTTTTTCTCCAAGAAAAAAAAAGAAACTCTAAGGAGAACCTATTTTTCACTCTTCTAAGTAGTTAAAATTAGAAATCACAGCAAGTCAATAGAAAGCTCTGCCTTGCCAGTCTCCTAAATCACAATATGGCCTTGGTATGGTTTTATTTATATTTTTTGGACGGGTTTGTTGACATGTTGGGTATAAAAACTGGGGGGTTTGACCAATTTTTGGAAGTTTTTAGCTATTAGTTGGTGATTTACTTTGTACCTCATTTAATTTTTCTGTCCCCTCTCCAACTTGGACTCAATCACTCTACAGGTCTCTAAGACTCTTCATTTTCTTTAAGCTTTTTCTCTCTTTTATTCAGAATGGGCAATTTCTATTGCTCTGTCTTCTGTTTCTAATCTTTGAATAAGCTCAAAAGTATTTCTTTTAATTTCCTTATCTTCCTATTGTTTCATAATTTCCATTTCTTTGCTTAGGTTCCACATCTCTTAAAATATTTTCCTTTACCCCCATGAACAGATTTATAATAGCTGCCTTTAAACATCCTGAATTAGAACACCTTGAATATCTTAGGATCACTTCTACTGCCTGCTTTTTAAATTGTGTATGGATCTCATTTTCGTGTTTCCTCACACGTCTCATGAATTTTAAAGTTGTGTACTAAAACTGTAAAGAATCATTATAGAGACTCTCAATTCCGTTGTGTAGCTTTGAAGAGCGATGTTACTGTTTACAAACCGTTTTAATTGGGCTGGATTCAAACTTCAATACCTATCTCCCCTACAGTGGGCACAGCTGAAATCCTCATTCAGTTCTTACCCACACATAGGTCATATTTGTATCATACAGATGTGTTTCTATAACAATATATAATATAGGCAGGGCACGGTGGCTCACGCCTGTAATCCCAGCACTTTGGGAGGCTGAGGTGGGCGGATCATGAGGTCATGAGTTCAAGACCAGACTGGCCTACATGGTGAAACCCCATCTCTACTAAAAATACAAAAATTAGCCAGGCATGGTGGCGTGCGCCTGTAGTCCCAGCTACTTGGGAGGCTGAGGCAGGAGAATCGCTTGAACCCAGGAGGCAGAGGTTGCAGTGAGCTGAGATCACACCACTGCACTCTTGCCTGTGTGACAGAGTGAGACTTCATTAAAAAAATATATATATATATATAAAAAATATATTATTCAGGTGTCTTCATTATAATCTGTGTTAATTCAACAAGCTACTCCAGTATTACTGAAAACCAGGACCTCAGTTTTTTCTGCTTATTGGATTTTGTATAAAATTATATAGTACGTATATTTTTATATCTACTTACTTTTATACATTATATTTGTGATATTCATTCATGCCATTGCAGATAGCTATAGTCTGTTTTTTTTGTTGTTGCTGGGATTTCTGTTTCTTTTTTTGAGACAGAGTCTTGCTCTGTTTCTCAGGCTGGAGTGCAGTGGTGCAATGTTGGTTCACTGCAACCTTCACCTCCTAGGTTCAAGCAATTCTTCTGCCTCAGCCTCCCGAGTAGCTGGGATTAGAGACATGCACCACCATAGCTGGCTAATTTTTGTATCCTTACTAGAGACGGGGCTTCACCATGTTGGCCAGGCTAGTCTTGCACTCCTGACCTCAGGTGATCTGCCCACCTCCGCCTCCCTAAGTGCTAGGATTACAGGCGTGAGCCACTGCACCTGGTCAACAATTTTTTTTTTCATTTTAACAATTTTTAAGAGTGCAGGTCAAAGGAATTAAGCACATTCACACGGTTTTACGAGCATCCTCCACATTTATAGGGGGTGTTTTTCCTCTTGCAAAACTAAAACTCTGTACCCATTAAACACCTCACCTACCTTCCTGTAGCCCCGGGAACCACTCTTCTACTTTGTGTTTCTGTAAACTTGACTATTCTAAGTACCTCGTATGAGTGGAGTCATACACTATAGTGAAGAAATCATGAGGAAGTACAATACACACTATTTAACATATGTTTATTCATTTGAACACAATCACTAACAGATCAGTAGTACATGGCGATTATAGAGGAAGAGAGATAAAAAGAGAAAAGGATTGGACAGACACATTAATTATATGACAATGATGCTCAAGTACCACAGGAGTGAGTCCCCTGCCCCAGTTACAGGGCTGGTCATGGTGGAGCTGGGAGCCCTGTGCAGCTAGCTGTCTGGCTCCCAGAGCACACACTCAGCCCAAACTTCCCTGAGCCCTGAGGCACTCTGCCCCTGCCACCCGGGCATTCAGTGGGCCTGAGATTCTTCATGGCTTGGTCTTCTTGGCCTTGAGGGCGTGGCTGGCCTACTGGGATGGGGCTCAGCAGCAGGACAGGCTGTAGCTGTAGGACAGAGCAACAGCTGTGAGGTTCCAGGAGCCACACCTCAGGCCTCCCTCACAGTGCCTGCCCAGTGCTCCCATTCAACAGGGCCTGCTGCTGACCAGGGACCCGTGGCCACAGGCTGTCTGAAAGTGACCACAAGACAGAGTCTCTGCCCACCCTCTGTCAATCCGCTAGGTCAACCTGCTAGGCTCTCACCTCTCAAAAGAACTGTGGAGCTCCATGGACTTGAAACAAACCCCATATTTCTCCTGAGTCTGAAGATCATAATTCCCTCTTGTCAGGGAAGTGTGATGGGAACCACACCATCCTCACAGGGCCTCCTGAGGACTCGGTTTCATGTGGCTCTCAGCATTGCTGTCACCATCATCCTTCATGAGAAGAGCCAGGCACAAGCACCCTCAAATTCCCATCCTCCCCGAACCCCATCATGACCCTGTGAGGCCTGCACAACAGGCTCATGATTTGTACATTTGCCAGATGAGGAAACAGAGGCCCAAAGAGGGCAGGGACTTGCCCAGGGCCTCACAGGAGAGGCTGGCTCCTCCCACACCTGAAGGCCCTGTCCCAGCTGCCTTCACCCCACACCCCAGGACCACCACTGACCAGGGTCCCATCCTCTGGAGTCTATGAGGTGTCCACATTCCCATCCAGGCTCAGCTATGGTGGGAGGGGGACAAGGTGTATTTGGAGGCCTGGTTGAGCAGCACCTGCTTGTCCCAGCCCCACTCGAATCTCTGCTCCACACACCAGGCTTTATGCCAGACCAAAGGCATCACTTACCCCATGATCCACCAAGGAAGCTCCCTGCACAGGACCCTCTCTTCCTCCACTCAGGGAGTGGTCACCCAAGATGCCATCTCTGACTGACAGGGCAGGGTCTTCCTAAGGTACTGGGTGGTGACATGCCACTTCCTCATTTCCAGGCAAGATTCTAAGATCTGGTCAGGAAGGATCCACAGGGAATGCAAGAGTCTCCAGATACTTATAAACCATCTGGAGCTTTTGGTGGTGCTCACTGGGCACTGGGGTGAGAATTCTGTGACTGACTGATTAGCAGTGTCTGCAAATGACAGAGTGGGGAGCCACAGGAAACACATATATGTTCACCCCCCGTTTACCCATTGCGACCCACCTGGCCTGTGGGATTCCTCTGCTTTTCCCATCCTTGGTGCAGACAGGATGACTCTCCCTGTAGAGGTGCAGAAAGAAGGGTAGCAGAGGTCTGGCTTCCTGGGGAATTGCTGGGCTAGTCTGGGGAAGGAAGGAAGCCCCACCTACCACACCCACCCCACAGCCTGGAGGTGGCTCCATGCCAGCAGGATGGACAAGCCTGGGAACCAGAGCCCTGCTCCTTCTGCAGCTCATCCCGCCTGCCCAACAGCCCAGCTGCCATCACCGCATCCCATTCCAGGGTCTCCTGCCCCCAAGCACCCCACCTGCCCATGGGCAAACACACATCTTTCTATTAATCCAGGCTAGAGAGGGCTGGAGTTTTTCAAGTAGAAATGTTACACACCACACACACGCACACACCACACACACACACACAGGTGTACACACCCGCACAAGTGGCCCAGTACCCCTTCCAGCCTAGTCTTTTTCTCTACCCCCCAAAACACTTGACTCTCATCTCCTGTCTCTACTTTTTCTTGATGTGCAAATCTTGCTCAGTGTACTGTCTTTTCTGAAAAGATTTTTAAATTTTCTGGAACTTTTTCTGTGGAGAGGGAAAAGAAGGAAAGATTTGAGAAATAATAAGGTGAAAGAAGAAATTATTTGAGAATAATAAGCAGATGTGTACACTCAGTTCCCTTTCGAGAACCAAAAGGAAGAAACTGCCTGGATGAGAATTTCTACGCTGGTCCTCTAAACCCTAAGGGCTCCACGGGTCTGGGGAAGGAGCCTGTGGAGGCTAAAGCAGCTCCATCTTGGATGCGAATCCACCATGTTGACTTTGGATTAACCCGATTTCTGGGAATGCCTTTAAGATTTCTACTTGATCTACTGTTTCTTGTGTAAGAGCACATACTTACTGTAAATCTTCTCCTTAGGTCAAAGCAACCTATATGTCATCATACAAACTACAGGCTACGATGAGCACCTCATTTTCTTTCTGGAAGGCTGACCTTAAATGTCCTGCACATTCCTATAGTGCATATTTACCCTTTTCCTATACTAAGTAAGCCCTAAATCTTGGCAGTAACAGCCTGGGGAACTACCTGTCTTGCTACCACTCAAGACCATGCTTCTGTCCACAAATTCCCCCCAATAAATTACCCTTTACTGACAAACTGGATTTGTCTGTCTCATTCTTTGGTTTCCTGCCTCCTTCTGTGTTGCGGATCCCTTTGCAGATACAGCCGTTTCATAAAACAAGGTATATTAGTCCATTCTCACACTGCTGGCCTTAGGGAGCTTAAAATCATGGTGGAAGGGGAAGAGGAAGCAGGCAGGCACATCTTACATGACTGGAACAGGAACAAGAGAGAGAGGAGAGAGATGCTACATACTTTTTTTTTGAAATGGAGTCTCACTCTGTTGCCCAGGCTGGAGTGCAATGGTGCGATCTCGGCTCACTGCAACTTTCACCTCCCGGGTTCAAGTGATTCTCCTGACTTGGTCTCCCAAGTAGCTGGGACTACAGGCACGTGCCACGACGCCCAGCTAATTTTTGTATTTTTAGTAGAGATGGGGTTTCACCATGTTAGCCAGGATTGTCTCGATCTCCTGACCTCGTTATCTGCCTGCCTCGGCCTCCCAAAGTGCTGAGATTACATGCGTGAGCCACCGCACCCGGCCTGCACACTTTTAAACAACTAGATCTTGTGAGAGCTCTCACTATCACAAGAACAGCGCAGAGGGGATAGTGCTCAGCCATTCATGAGGGACCACCTCCATGATCCAATCACCTCCCACCAGGCCTCACCTCCAACACTGCAGATTACAGTTAGATTTGAGATTCAGGCAGGGACACAGATCCAAACTATACAGAGGCCTGTGGGTATGTCTGGATTTTGATGGTCACAGCTGTTGGCAAAACCTTGGTCTTACTTAACCTGACCATGCCCAGTAATGTTATGGTGCCGCCTGGTCCCTGGACTTTCTGTGCATGACTGGCCCATCCTCTGGATTGTAAATACTCTAGGAGTTTCTGGGGAGGTTTCTGCAAAAGACTTCAATCTGTAGAGATTAGAATAACATTATCCATATTGTTTTCCCAGAGAATGTTGGGCACATCACTCCAAAATGTCTCACATCACTCTAAACCATGTCAGATAGTTGGGCTGTGTAAATTTCTCTGGGAGCAACCAAAAGGCACATTGTTAGTCCTCTCAGTTGAAGGCAAAATGGTCCTGGGACTTTGGGTCTAAGTGTATGCTGCCAAAAGCATTTGCCAAATGCAGGACAGTATGCCATGGACCTGAGCAAGTATTTAGTTTTTCCAGGATTTGAGCCATTTGGGGGACAACAGCATGCATGGCCAGAGTCACCTTATTCAGTTCCCAATAATCAATGATCAACTGTCATAATACCCCAAGAATCAACTGTCATACTCCAGGTACCATCAGGCTTTGGCACCAACCACACAAAGCTGTTTTATGGGCTCTGTGCAGACATGCAATCCCCATCCTCTCCAAGTCCTGAAAAGAAGCCATGATCTCAGGTCAGGGACAGTGGCTTATGCCTGTAATCCCAGTGCTTTGGGAAGCTGAGGTGGGTGGATCACTTGAGGTCAGGAAGTCTAGACCAGCCTGGTCAATATGGTGAAACCCCATCTCTACTAAAAATACAAAAATTACCCAACGTCATGGTGCTTGGCTGTAATCCCAGCTACTCAGGAGTCTGAGGCAAGATAATCTCTTGAACCTGAGAAGCAGAGGTTGCAGTGAGCCAAGATTGTGCCACTACACTACAGTCTGGGTGACAGAGCGAGACTCTGTAAAAAAAAAAAAAAAAAAAAAAAAAAAAAAAAAAAAAAAAGCTATGATGCCCTGTGCCCTCCTGGGAAGCGACATTGTTTGATACACACCAGTCCTCTTGTGCGGGATAATGTCACTGGCTTCCATTTGGCTTCCCCTCAAAGCATGGGTTTTGAGACCCCCACCTAGAGACAGAACTTGTCTAAGGTTGTCTCAAGGACAGTTCCCAGGAGAGTGTTTGTCCCAGCATGTACTAGAGGATTGGGAAGATGTAGACCCCTCAGAGCCAAAACTTGTTGCTTGCTCTGAAGGGACCGGTGACTCATTCTAGCCACATGGGGCCTCTGGTGCCCTTCAATGGCCAAACATTGAAAGAAATATTGGCCGTCCTGTCATGGTAGGGGCTGTGGTGCTAGCTCCACTCTTGGGAGATGGAAGAGGTGGTGGTACCAGCCTGCTCCTCACACTGGCACCCACACTCCATTCCCAGCCCCAAAAATTCCACTCCTGTCCTGTACAGGTCCAAGTATCAGCCAGGCCTGCTGTCTACACGAAAACAGCCACTGCTGCAGCACCCCTCAGCCCTGCCCCTCAAGACCTAGCATGGTCCAGCTACCACCACAGATCACCTAGAGCCCCAGTGAGCTTGAGGTGACTGTGGGGCAGGCGGGGCAGCTTCTCTTTCCTCTTTTTTTCTCTGTCTGCCAAAGAAAATGGGACCCAGAGCACCTGCTGCCACTACCATCCAAAGCCACCCTCAGAAGCAGGCCTGAGGCTGCAGACTCCCCTGGCACCTCTCCACAGAGCCTTTCTTCCATTTAACCTCCACAGGGGTAACTGACAGAGTGGGCAGCAGCAGGCCTTCCTCTAGGTGCATTCCTCCTCCTCTAACTTGGGGACTTTGCTCTTGGTCCCCAGCAGAGCCTTTGTTCCCTGGTGGACTGCCGTGGCAGAGGCCAGCCTAACGCCTCTCTGCCCGATGAGCTCCAGGATCCTTGGAAATTTCAACACCCCCATCAGCCTCCTCTAGCCTGCTGGAGCTTTCACAGCATCTTGGCACTCACAGGGCAGCCTGCAGGCATCAGGCAGTGGGTGACAGAGCCTCACATAGGCGCTTGCAGTCATCCTGGGATCTCCCCAGCAGGGTCCTGTTTTCTCTAGGCCATTCTCTCTTTTTTTTTTTTTTGATACAGAGTCTTGCTCTGTCGCCCAGGCTGGAGTGCAGTGACACGATCTGGGCTCACTGCAACCTCTACCTCCAAGGTTCAAGTGATTCTCCTATCACAGCCTCCCAAGTAGCTGAGATTACAGGCACCCGCCACCATGCCCGGCTAATTTTTGTATTTTTAGTAGACTCCAGGTTTCACCAGGTTGGCCAGGCTGCTCTTGAACTCCTGACCTCGTGATCCACCCACCTTGGCCTCCCAAAGGGCTGGGATTACAGGTGTAAGCCCCTGCACCCGGCCTCCCAGCACATTCTTTAGAGTAATGCCGACTACACCAGTTCTTTCCTCAGGCTGAATCAGTGGCTGGAGTTGCCCTAAAAGTGACAGCAGGGGAGTTTCCACAAGGGACTGCCCCAAACCATCCTGAAATGGGGCAGATGGAATTCCAAAGAAAGAAGCCTCGAAGCCCAGAGTGGTCTGTTCAAAGCATGCATTAAAGGAACAGACACAAAGAGGGGATGGCAGTGTATCCTTGCAAGGGTCAAAACACAGATGTTCTACCCCGGTATGTCTGCAATGAGTGGATCTGTTTATGGAGCTTATATAAAGGTTAAGAAATTTGACTTAGGGCCAGGGCTAATTTCTATCAATGCTGTGGGCAACATCCTAAACATTTTTATCAGTGCCTGGGAATGTTTGAGACCCTGGCTTGGGTTTAAGCCTGCAGGGAAAAACCTGCAGCTGGCTGTATCACAGAGAGGTCAAATTACCCCATAGTTCTAAGTCTGGACAGAGAAAAAAATGGGGAGGAAGTGGGGTAATAGATATTATTCTTTGCTGTAAGAATTTTTTTTAGATGGAGTCCCACTCTATCGCCCAGGCTAGAGTGCATTGGTGTGATCTCAGCTCACTGCAACCTCCACTTCCCGGGTTCAAGCAATTCTCCTGCCTCAGCCTCCCAAGTAGCAGGGGTTACAGGCGCCTGCCACCATGCCTGGCTAATTTTGTTTTTTGCTTTTTGTTTTTTTCAGTACAGACAGGGTTTCACCATGTTGGCCAGGTTGGTCTTGAACCTGACCTTAAGTGATCCGCCCCCCTCGGCCTCCCAAAATGCTGGAATTACAGGTGTGAGCCACTGCACCCAGCCTGCAGTAAGAATTTGTATTGGGAAATGGAAGTCAATTGTTCTTCAAGATTGTTTCATGCTTTTGGTTTCCTGTGCATATCTATATCAGTTTTGGTGTAGGAAGAGTTGTCATTTTAAACAACAACAAAAAATAGCTGTGAATTTGAAGGGATTATTTTGAATTTCTCAGTCCATTTGTGGGATATTGTTATCTTGGAAATATTAAGCATTTTTATTCTTGAAAATTAGACACCTTTAAATTATTTCAGATCTTGATTTCTTTCAGCATTAAAAAAAAAAATTAAGTGTAGGCCAGGCATGGTGGCTCCCACCTATAATCCCAACACTTTAGTAGGCAGAAGCAGGCAGACTGCTTGAGCCCAGTTGGAGAACAGCCTAGGAAACATGGAGAAACCCAGTCTCTACAAGAAATACAAAAATTAGTCAGGCATGGTGGCACACACCTGTAGTCCCAGCTATTGAGGAGGCTGAAGCAGGTGGATCAATTGAGCCCAGGAGGTCGAGGCTGCAGTGAGCTGTGATCACACCACTGCACTACAGCCTGGGTGACAGAGCAAGACCTTGTCTCAAAAAAATAATAATAATAAGTGTAAAATTTTTGCACTTCTATTACTTTTTCTAAATATTTTTGAAGCATTATAAATCAAATTTATACATTTTATTTTTATTGTTGGTTGCTTTAAGTAAAATTTTGTATGTGTATCTTGTATCTTGTGACACTGATCAACTTATTAATTCTAATGGTATTTGAGTGAAAGTCTTACACATTTTGCTATAAAGGATTATGTCATGTGCAATTAAGGCAGTTCTAGAAGTTGACACGGGGAAGGAGGGTGAGCAGTCAGGACCCCAGCAGGGCCTGTGGGCAGCTCACACTGAAAGAAGGGGCCCAGGTCATGGAACCTTCAAGTAACCTCACTTTCTTGGTGTCAGACCCTCCAGAACTTAAAACTCTGGTAACCAGAAACCCTTATTCTAGACACAGCCCTGTATCAAGCTAATTTCATGGAGATGCTCAAGAGCAAGATGTTCTATTGCTATATCTTGACTTCCTGAGGCTCTCATCTGTGGAAGGCTTGAAGTGAGGGCATCTTCCAATGATGCAGACGTTGGCTCAGCTCTCATCCACAAATCCTCAGGTCGCTTGGCAGGGGACACACATAGGTAACACAGGGCAGCTCAGGGCAGACCCATCCAGGCCAGGCCTCACCTGTGATCCCATCTGGGCAACCCCACATCCCTGCCCATCACCATGTGTTGGGGGAATAAGAGTTGAGGGTGCCTTCCCTGGACAGGAGCAGGTGGTAAGGTGTTTGGAGCCTGATAGGTCTGCCAGGATCATATCCCAAGTCATGGCTGACAGGATAAGAAGTTGAGTGTTGGAGAACAAGTTTGTCTACTCAGATGTTAACCCCAAGACTTCACACTGTAATCTGGTTTTCTCTCTGGCTGGGAGTCTATGCAGATGCTCACAGGTACCTGATCTGGAGAACAGAATTTCTAATTGGACTTTCCCCACTGCAGAGATAGCCAGGCAGGTCACTGATGCCTCTTGGCCCAGCTTCTGGGCACTCTCCTTGCAGAGCTTCATGCAGATCAGTAGAAATGAGTAATAGGTTCAACCACCCCATCTCCTTGGACAAAGGGCAGGAGCACCACGCCACCAACCATGGCCAGCGCTGGTCTGGGGTGACAGTAGGAACAGAGGGACCACCTCAGACAGGAATCCAAGAAGATCAGGGCAGGCCCAGGACCCAGACTCAAATATGGAGACTCCATTGCCCCTGTCAAAGGGCTTTGACATCTAAATGACCCACAGTCTCCTCCCAAAAGAATTGGACCTCCATTCATCACCAACAGAAACTTGGTTTGGTGCTAAGTTCTTGCTCACATAGTTGTAGAAAAAGGAGAAAAATAGTTTTGTATTGTTTACACTAGGCCATGAGTATCTTTGCATGTTGCTACTATTTATATTGGCTTTTTTTTGTTTTTTTTGAGACAGAGTCTTAGTCTGTCACCCAGGCTGGAGTGCTGCGGCCTGATCTTGGCTCAGTGCAACCTACGCCTCCCAGGTTCCAGTGATTCTACTGCCTCAGCCTCCCAGGTAGCTGAGATTTCAGGCACGTGCCACCATGCCTGGCTAATTTTTGCATTTTTAGTAGAGACGGGGTTTCACCATGTTAGTCAGGCTGGTCTTGAACTCCTGACCTCAGGTGATCCACCTGCCTCAGCCTCCCAAAGTGCTAGGACTACAGGCATTAGCCACAGTGCCCAGCCTATTTATATTGTTTTAAACACCCACCCAAGGTATTTCCTATAGCAGGCAACTACACTGCCCTGCCAGACCTTTAAGATTTAAAAGCCCACACTTTAACTAGGGAGGTTTTTACACAAAAAGGGGTGCTGAAAAGGGGAGGGTGGATGTTTAGGCTACTCTATGTATGGGCTATCCCACAGAATTCGTTCCTGTAGCCCCATCAGGGCTGGATCTGCAACCTCACATGTCTTCATAATATTCCATAAAGGAGGCCATTTTCCTCAGCAGTTCAGCCTTGCAATGCAGGTGGAGCCTGAACATGATCGTCTTCTATTTCCATTTCAGCCACTTCTCAGGAAACATCCTATGTGTGCCCTAATAGTCTATAACCATCTGGTAGAGCATCCATACAAACCACTGCAGACTGAAGGACTTTAACAGCAGAAACTTAGTTTTCTACAATTCTGGAGGCTAGAAATCCAACGACAAGCTGTTAGCTGGAATGGTTTCTCTGAGAACTCTCTCCTTGGCTTGTAGATGGCTGAACTTCTATCTCTGCATCCTTAACGCCTCTTCTAATAAGGACTCCAGTCATATTGGATTTGGGTCCACTCTAATGAACTCAAAACCTGTAACCTCTTTGGAGACCATATGTCCAAATACAGTCACATTCTGAGGCACTGAGTGTTAGAACATGAACTTTGGGGAGGGGACACCGCTCAGCCCATTGGATATATTATTTCCTTGTAGATGACAAACTCCCCAGGAGATTACTTGGTGGAAGGATATGCATATGTAAAATTTTAATAGCTATAGACCGATCACTTTCCAAAAGGGCTTAGGAAGGTACATTGCCACCAGCAATTTCTGAATGTAGCTGCTTCCCTGAATCCAGATTCTCCTGGATGTTAACTTTCTTTTAATGTTTTGCCAATCTGGTATCCATGTGGCAAATAAAATCATGTTGATTCATGTTGATTTCCAGTTTTCTGACTGAAATTTTCAAGTCATCCTTCAATTGCTTAATACAAATGTGTTTTCCCTGAGTCATCTGCTCAGATTCTTGGCCCTTTAAGTGGGCTTTCTCCCCTCCTGGACTCTCCCAGCATTTGCCCCCTTGTCACGTCTGTAATTGTATCTGTTTGGCAAGGTTCTTTTTAATGTTAAAAAATTGTGTTGCTTAAAGTCAAAAAAGTATTCCTAGGCTGTCTTGCCCTGTGCACTGTCTCTAAAATAGAAAATGAGGCTCCTTGAGGTCCTTTCCATCCATGTGAGGAGCAGATAGAGCCTCCAACAGCTTGAAGGAAATTTCTTGCAGCCCTTGCTGTTTACAGTTCTCAGTTCTGATCCATGCGCTGTTCAGCAGACATTTGACATTACAAAGCCTGTGTTTTCCCAACTTTACAAGAAGGACATTTTTTGAGGACTCACTGGGATAATTCTCTTCATACAGGCTATTAATGTAGATGGGTGCTGTTGCTCTACAGATGACAAAGTATCATGAAGATGCCTTGAAGGTGTTAATGGCTTAATTATTCTCCACCTCCACATAAAACTTTCTTGTCGCTGTTTGTTTGTTTTTCAGATGGAGTTTCACTCTTGTCACCTAGGCTGGAGTGCAATGGTATGATCTTGGTTCACTGCAACCTCCACCTCCTAGGTTCAAGCAATTATCCTGCCTCAGCCTCCTGAGTAGCTGGGATTACAGGCACCTGCCGCCAAACCTGCCGCCTCACCTGGCTAATTTTTTGTATTAATAGTAGAGACAAGGTTTCACCATGTTGGCCAGGCTGATCTTGATCTCCTGACCTCAGGTGATCCAGCCACCTCGGCCTACCAAAGTGCTGGGATTACAGGCATGAGCCACTGCACCTGGCCCACATAAAACTTTGGAAGCCTTGAACCTTCACCATGGACACCTGTGTACTCCACATGCACAAGTCTCTGAAGAATGGGAGCTTCCTAGTATAAGCCCCAGCCCCCAACCTGCCAGTGGTTCACAGTGCTGTCATTGACCATATGTCTCTTCTTGTTCCCCTCCATAAAAAAATAAGTCTACTCTGGCTGGGTGCAGTGGCTCACGCCTGTAAACCCAGCACTTTGGGAGGCTGAGGCGGGCGTATCATGAGGTCAGGAGATTGAGACCATCCTGGCTAACACAGTGAAACCCCGTCTCTACTAAAAATACAAAAAAATTAGCCAGGTGTGGTGGCGGGCACCTGTAGTACCAGCTACTCAGGAGGCTGAGGCAGGACAATGGCGTGAACCTTGGAGGCAGAGCTTGCAGTGAGCTGAGAGCACGCCACTGCACTCCAGCCTGGGCGACAGAGCGAGACTCCATCTCAAAATAGATAAATAAATAAAACTCTACCTTAAACCTTGAGATGGGAATTATGCAGATACTCCCAGCCATGTACAAGGGAGAAGCTGCATGAGCCTCTTGTACCAGACTTCCAAGTTGAGCCATCTTCTCCTTTACCACCTTCCTGGGCTCCTACCAGGACTTCACCACCAATCCACAGTTCCTGGGCCAGCTATTTAGTAGGTATCTGTCTCCTCCAAGACACAGTGTTGACTCTGCAGGCTACTAGGTGGGTACTAAGGATATTACTGCAGCTCTCTGAGCCTGTCTATGCCTCTGAAAACAGTCTTAACACATAAAAAACAATTTTATTCCATTAAAATAAATTAAGTTCAAACATTGTCTCAAAAAGTATTTTAAACTCCACGCATTTCATTATTTTAACGTGTAACTGGTAAAACAAATTACTTCTAAGATTCAAAATGCTTCTTTTCTACTACAATGCAAAATAATATTACCCTTAACACCTGCCGCATGAATCACTTACAACACTGTTATAAAAGGCCTCTCCACTTAGATTTTCTTCATGTGTCTTACATTTAAATGTCCTTAGTGTTCCATGGAAAAGTGTGTTAATGGTGCCTACCTAATAGTGAAACATGTCTCAGAGGACTGATGCAGAAACCACATGCTTTCACATAAGCACTAGAAATGAAGATATAACATCAAGAAATTTGTGTTTAATTTACATAAATATTTGCTTTTCAAAATAACTAAAATTATTTCAATTCCAAAAAGTATAATTTGAATGTAATTATAACTGTCCAAAAAAGAAAAAATTAATCTCCTTCTCCATTTAAACTTAGGTACAAGTAAGCAACCTATTTTAAATTATTCTCTATAATCAACATGGATTTAGAGTAATGTCTTAAACTGTTACTGCCTTAGTGCTTTCTACTGTCAATCTATGATATTTCTTTGGCTTGATTTCTAATTTACATTTTCACATTATCTAAATCTGTATAATATATTCTGGTAGAAACTCTCCAGTGTTTTCTAAGGTATATGTATGGAACAAAAGTTTTTCCAATTAATTACATCCATAGGGTTTCTCCCCAGTATAAAGTTTGAGGAACTCCTGGAGAGTTTCCCTTCAGTATACATTTTCCAGTGTACAATAAAATCTGTGGTATAAGTAAGGTATTGTGCCTTTCTTTATATTTGTAATGTTTTTGTTCGGTAAAATAATCCTGTGCACTTTAAGGGTTATATTTTGTGAAAGACCCTTCAACAGTCATTACATTTATACCAATTTTATTTAGTATGAAATCACTGATGTAGATTGTGATGTCAACATTCATTAATGGTTTTGCCACATTCTTTACTTTGGTAAAATTTCTCTCCAGAATGAATTCACTTATAGTAAAAGTTGAGCACAAAATAAAACCTTTGCTATGTTCCTTACAATTATAGGGGCTCTCTATCATGTGAATTATCTTATATTCAGTAAGGATTGACCATTGATCAAATACTTACCACATTCTTCACATTTCTAGGATTTCTCTCCAGTATGAATTCCCTTATATTTAGTAAGGTTTGAAACCCAGTTAAAGGCTTTGCCACGTTTTTCACATTTGTAGCATTGCTCTCCAGTATGAATTCTCTTGTGTCCAATAAGATGTGAGCTCTGGTTAAAGGTTTTGCCACATTCTTCACATTTGTAGCATTTCTCTCCAGTATGAATTCTCCTATTTTTAGTCAGGATTGAGCCATGCATAAAAGCTTTTCCACATTCTTCACAATTGTAGGGTTTCTCTCCAGTATGAATTCTCTTATGTTGAGAAAAGTATGAGAACCAGTTAAAAGTTTTGCCACATTCTTCACGTGTAGGGTTTCCTTTCAGTATGAATTCTCTTATGTCCAATAAGGTGTGAGCTCTGGTTAAAGGTTTTCCACATTCTTCACATTTGTAGCATTTCTCTCCAGTATGAATTCTCTTATTTTTAGTAAGGATTGAGCCATGCATAAAAGCTTTTCCACATTTTTCACAATTGTAGGATTTCCTTCCCATATGAATTCTCTTGTGTCCAATAAGATGTGAGCTCTGGTTAAAGGTTTTGCCACATTCTTCACATTTGTAGCATTTCTCTCCAGTATGAATTATCTTATTTTTAGTAAGAATTCAGCCATGCATAAAAGCTTTTCCACATTTTTTATAATTGTAGTGTTTCTCTCCAGTATGAATTCTCTTATGTTGAGAAAAGTATGACAACCAGTTAAAAGTTTTGCCACATTCTTCACATGTGTATTGTTTCCTTCCAGTATGAGTTCTCTTGTGTCCAGTGAGATGTAAGCCCTGGTTGAAGGCTTTGCCACATTCTTCACATTTGTAAGATTTCTCTCCAGTATGAATTCTCTCATGTCCAATAAGGTGTGAGCACTGGTTCAAGGCTTTGTCACATTCTTGACATTTGTAGGGCTTCTCTACACTATGAATTCTCTTATTTTGAATAAGGTTTGAGAACCAGTTAACGGCTTTGCCACATTCCTTACATTTGTATGGTTTCTTTCCTGCATGAATTATCTTATGTTGAGTAAGGATTAAGCACCGGTCAAAAGCTTTGCCACATTCATCACACTGAAAGATTTTGCTAAGGTAGTTGATAAACATTGGTTAAGTCCATTATAATTTTTTTGTGTGTGTTCCTTACACTCACCCACACTTTTCCAGTCTTAAGTTTAAATTTTCAGTGTCATAGCTTTCATATCTTCTCAGTATCACTTTTGGGAGTAAATGTTTTATGCTTTGCTCAGGCAAAAGATCTGGAGTGAAATGAGAGGACACAGCTAAAAAAAATAAAAATAAATTATACCACTTATTAGACTCAGGTGAGTATACCCTACAAATACAAAATATAAAATTATACCAAGCACAATAAGATAGCATAATACCACAAGCCCAAATTCCTTAATAGACTTGTAAACTTAACAAAAATATATTGACCACAGTGCCTTTGTAAGAGTTCTAAAAAGCAGTTAAGAGATTGCAGTGCCACAGATGAAAACGATGCCAACAGCCACATAGAAAAAAAAGGAGCATTTGTTACATTTACCCACCACAGCCATACTTCCTCCTCAATACAAAATAATGCCTTTAAGTGAAAACTCTCAACTCCCGGCTTCTCTCTCAAAAGTGAAAAAAAAATAGTGGCACATGTGTCCATAATTCTGGCTTTGAGGGATCTTTCCAAAGACTGGTTTCTGTCTACCATGACAAAGAGTGCTGAAAGAAATGGTGCTACTCTTTGAATGACAGGTTAGTGTCTGCGAGACAAAAGGTAAATGATTGTTATAGCAGCAGAGAGACTGTAGGACCACAGAGAAACAGCAGGTATACCAACTAATTACAAGCTGTAAAGCAGAAACTTGGGCAAAACCACATAACTCAATAAAGAGAACACAAAAATATAGGGAAGAGACATCTTAAGAACAGGTTTGAGAAATTCTCAATATCTAGCCTGGTAAATTGGTGTCAGACACTGCAGGGAAGAGAGCCACTTTATACAGACTGTGACAGGTTACTTTTTTAAATGCCCGTATCTCAACCAAATGTTACAAAATATACAAATATCAGACTAACATGGCCCAATCAAAGAAACAAGTATGCAGAAATCAACCCTAAAGAAATGATGATGTATAAATTGCCTTAAAAATCAAAATAACCACCTCAATTATTCTCAATGTGTAACATAGAAACACAGAAAACTTAGTTTAATCAGGAAAATAAGAATATCAACACAATGACAAAGAGAAACAAATTGTAGAGCAGAAGCATAAAAAAAGACTGAGAAATTATCCATTATAAGAAAAAACATACTAAAAACTGAAGCTCAACAAACTTCAACTCAGATAAAGAGACCCATAACAAGACACAATATAAGCAAAGTTTTGAAAGTCACAGAAAAGAAGATAATCTTGAATGCAGAAAGACAAAAGAGATGTATCATCTATATGCATGCTCCTGCAAGATTACCAGTGAATTTTTGAATGAAAACCCCGCCAACAAGAGGGGTCTTTAGTTATACAGTCCAAGCGCTAAAGGAAACAAAACTTTTAACAAAACTGTCCTACAAAATTTGAAAAAATAAATATTTTCCAAGTAACTAAATGCTGAGAATGTACATCACCAGTATAACTGTCCTACAAGAAATGCAAAAAGAAGTCTTTCCCATTGAAAATTTAAAATGACAGAAAACAAACCAAATCATACAAAAATACACAATTTGTCAGGGCACGGTGGCTCATGCCTGTAATCTCAACACTTTGGGAGGCCGAGGCAGGTGGATCGCGAGGTCAGGAGATTGAGACCATCCTGGCTAATGCGGTGAAACCCTGTCTCTACTAAAAATACAAAAAATTAGCTGGACATGGTGGCAGGTGCTTGTAGTCCCAGCTACTCGGGAGGCTGAGGCAAGAGAATGGCGTGAACCCGGGAGGCAGAGCTTGCAGTGAGTCAAGATCACACCACTGCACTCCAGCCTGGGTGAGAGAGCTAGACTCCATCTCAAAAAAAAAAAAAAATACACGACTCTCTGGGAAAGATATGCATATACACAAAAATAAAACTTAGTAGTATTATAATAATTAGGCAGAAAACAATTGTGCTTTAAAATTTGAAAGACATCATGAAAATTAAAACCCATTAATATTTGATATACTCAGTGACATTATAATTTGAGGGCAGATGTAATGAGCAAGGATTTTTGTATGCAACTGAGTGCAAGTTGTTACCAGTTTAAAATATACAGTTGTAACTTTAAGAGATTTTATGTAATTTAAATGGTAACCATAAAGAAAATGCAGATACGCAACAGAAAATAAAAAAGCAAAGCATGAGTCATTACAAATATCAACAAGACATAAAGGAATACAAAGTAAATAGGGACAAAATAGCTATAAGACTTAACTAAAACAATAAAATGGTAAGTGCCAGTCATTTTCTTTCAGAAAAGTATTGAAATATTCATGGACTAAACTTCCCAATCAAAAGAAATACATTAAATAAAGGAATTGTTTTTAATTTAGAAAACAAAATCTACCTATGTCATGTCTCCAAGAGACTCACCTAAGATCTAATGGTGAAAATAGACTGAAAGTGGCAGGATGGAAAAAGACATTCTGTGCAAATGTTAACCAAATGAGAGGTGGAGAACTAATTATATTAAGTAAAAAGCTGTCATATTTTATAAAACATAGTTTAAGTCAAAACTCACAAGAGACAAACAAGGACATTATATTAATATAAAATGGTTCATTCACTGGGAACCTATTTGTATCTCCTATCAGGTTTCCCAAATATATAAAGCAAGCATTAACAGAAATGAAGTAATATAACAGTGGGAGAGTACTTCAATACTTTCAGTAATGAATAATAAAGCATGACAGAATATTAATAAGGGAACAAAGGACTTGAAAGCAATGTAAAACAATTAAACCTAAAAGACATATACAGAACACACCACACAACAGCAGAATCCACAATCTTTTCAATAGCTCATAAGAAAATTCTCCTGGATACACCTCTTATCTTACAAAACAAGTCTTAATCCATTTTTTAAACTTGAATATTACATGCTATTATTTTTGGCCAAATTGAATGAAACTACAAATCACTAACAGAAGGAAAGCCAAAAAAACCCACAAAATATGAAAATTAAACAATACACACTTAAGCATGCTCTTGTTCAAAGGTTGGAAGACTTAATACTGTGAAGATGGCCATACTGGACCAAAGTGATCTATCTACACATTCAATACAATCCCTTTCAAATTCCAAATTTCTCTTTTCCAAAAATAGGAAAACAACTCCCAAATCATATGAAATATCAAGAAACCACAAAGAGCCTGACTATTTAAAAAAAGAAAACAATATTGGAGACATCATGCTTAATGATTTCAAAATACAAAACAAAGGTAAGGTAATCAAAGCACTTTGGTACTGGCGTAAAAGAAAACCCTACACCAACAAAACAGAATACAGCACAGATAAAAATTCTCATATGTATGGCCAAATGAGTTATTAACACCATTTATTGTGGCATTATTCACAAAAGCCAATAGGTAAAAGCAACCCAAACTTCCCTCACCAAATGAATGGATAAATATAATTTGGAATATAAAAATAATGGAATACAACTCAGCTTTAAAAGCAAACGAGAAGTCTTCTAACATCTACCATAAACATAAATCTTGATGACATTATGTTAAATTTAATAAGCCAGCTGAAAAAAGACAAATACTATATGAATCCACTTATATGGGATATCTAAAGTAGATACACTATTAAAAAGAGAAAATAGAATAATGTTTGGAAAGGGCCAGGCAATGGGAAATAGGATTCACATGGATTGTGTATTAGTTTCACAAGATACTAACATTCTAGGCTGGGCACGGTGGCTCACGCCTGTAATCCCAGCATTTTGGGAGGCCAAGGCAGGCAGATCACATGAGGTTGGGAGTTCAAGACCAGCCTAACCAACATGGTAAAATCCCATCTCTACTAAAACTACAAAAATTAGCCAGGCATGGTGGCACATACCTGTAATCCCAGCTACTCAGGAGGCTGAGCCAGGAGAATTGCTTGAACCTGGGAGACCGGGGTGAGCCACGATTCCACCAGTGTACTCCAGCCTGGGTGACAGAGTGAGACTCTGTCTCAATGAAATAACATAAAAATAGAAAACATTCTACATATATGTTGCTAACAGTGTCAATATATGTAATATAAACTGAACTACATAATTTGAAGTATTTAAGATTGTACATTTTGGTGTGTATTTTTCACAAAAATAAACATACAATCAATAGAGTTAAGAAGCTTTTCAAAACATACCTCCAAATCACAAAATGTTTCTCTCACTCCAAGATAATACATATTCAACAATAAACAGGTGTAGAAATTAAGACAATTTCCATGACTACTCACCGACACATGAGAAAATAACCACCTATCACTAATCAAAATAACAGTTATATACAAATTATTTTTAAAATGTGGGTAATATTTATACAGGCAAACAAACACGAAGATAATTATAGTGGCAATAGACGTATGACTCATTCATATTTGACTTTTGCTGTACACTGGCTTGAAATGTGTGACGTTGAATATTGCCATGCAGAACTATAAATATATAAATCAAAACAAAACACAATTAACTAAAATGAGGTAACCTATCCTGGCGGGGCGTGGTGGCTCATGCCTGTAATCCCAGCACTTTGGGAGGCCAAGGCGGGCAGATCATGAGGTCAGGAGATCGAGACCATCCTGGCTAGCATGGTGAAACCCCATCTCTACTGAAAATACAAAAAAATTAGCCAGGCTTGGTGGCGAGCACCCATAGTCCCAGCTACTCGGGAGGCTGAGGAAGGAGAATGGCCTGAACCCGGGAGATGGAGCTTGCAGTGAACCGAGGTCACACCACTGCACTCCAGCCTGGGTGACAGAGCAAGACTCTGTCTCAAAAAAAACAAAACAAAACAAAACAAAAAACTAAAATGAGGTAGCCTATCCTAAACCATGAGATATTGACATATAAAATTGCAAAATAAAACTTTAAAAACACATTAACCTAAAAAGTCTTGAATAAACATAGTTCACTATGGAATCCTTCTAGATACCTACAGTGTTCAACTATGACTGGGCATCCATAAAGAGGAAATATTAGATTTTATTAAAACTTCAACTTGTAGGTTCAAGGGTTACATGTGCAGGTTTGTTACATGGGTGTATTGCATGATGTCGAGGTTTAGGGTAGGATTGATCCCATCAGCCAAGCAGTGAGCATATACCCAACAGGTAGGTTTTCAACACTTGGCCCACTCCCTCCCCCAGCCCAGGGGTCTCCAGTGTCTGCTGTTCCCATCTTTATGTGGCACCATCACAGCTTACTGCAGTCTTGACCTCCTGGGTTCAAGCGATCTTCCTGCCTCAGCATCCTGAGTAGCTAGGACTACAGGCATGCACTACCACATATAGCTAATTTTTGTATTTTTAGTAGAGACAGGGTTTTGATACATTGTCCAAGTTTGCCGCGAACTCCTGGGCTCAAGCAATCCACTTGCCTCGGCCTCCCAAAGTTCTGGGATTACAGGCATGAGCCACTGCACCCGGCAGAAATTTTTTAATCTGAGGAATGTAAACTACCTCTAAGTTATTAGGTCCACACAGGCACAGGAACTAGGCAGCAGTTATGTCTCACTTCCCCCCTTGAGCTTTGTAACCATTTCTTGAAGCTGCTTGCTCTGTGGAATCTGGACTGACTGATGTAAAAAGTGGCTAGAAATTAACCTCCGCCTCCCAGGTTCAAGCGATTCTCCTGCCTCAGCCTCCCAAGTAGCTGGGATTACAGGTGCCTGCCACCATGCCCGGCTAATTTTTTGTATCTTTAGTAGAGATGGAGTTTCACCATGTTGGCCAGGCTTGTCTTGAACTCCTGACCTCGTGATCCACCTTCCTCAGCCTCCCAAAGTGCTGGGATTGCAGGTGTGAGGCACTGTGCCTGGCTAGATTTTCAACCAGGAAAATAAAACTCTTATACTTAAATTAAGAAATAAAATTCTTAAATACTTGGGCAAACTGGAATTACATTGCAGCAAGATTTTTATAAAGAAAACAAAGCCAGGCGTGTTACTCATGCCTGTAATCCCAACACTTTGGAAGGCCAAGGCAGGTGGATCACCTGTGGTCAGGAGTTTGAAACTAGCCTGGCCAACATGGTGAAACCCCATCTCTCCTAAAAATACAAAAATCAGCCAGGTGTGGTCGCGGGCACCTGTAATCCCAGCTACTCGGGAGGCTGAGGCAGGAGAATTGCCTGAATCCGGGAGGCAGAGCTTGCAGTGAGCAGAGATCACCCCACTGCACTCCAGCCTGGGCAAGAATTCAAGACTCTGTCTCAAAAAAAAAGAAAAAGAAAAAGAAAACAAAACAAAAAGGGAAACAGCCTGTTTCATCCACAGTTCATAAGGAACCCCATACTCTAGATTAAACACAGGCCCAAGCTTAGTAACCACTCTGACCTTGGAGATGGAGCCCAGGGTGGTTCATTTCTAAGTGGTGAGGGAGAGAAACCTGATTCTCACCACTAGCCAAACTCACCTGGAGTCAGTTTAAGGTTCTCACCTGTGATGTCTTTCTTTCCTTTTTTTTTTTTTTTTTTTTTTTTTGAAACAAGGTCTCCCTCTGTCACCCAGGCTGGAATGTAGTGGTGCAATCTGGACTCCCTGCAACTTCTGCTTCCCAGACTCAAGCAATCCTCCCACCTCAGCCTCCAGAGTAGCTGGGACCACAGCCACTCTATTTTTAATAAAAATGGGGTTTCCCGTGTTGCCCAGGCTGGTCTAAGACTCCTGAGCTCAAGCCATCCACTTGTCTTTGCCTCCCAAAGTGCTGGGATTACAAGTGTGAGGCACCACACCCATCCTGTGATGTCTTTTATCTGACAACACTTCTGACAGCAAATGTGTGTAGCTTGCTGAATACAAACCAATTCTCCAACACAAACTAGTTCTCCAACAATTCAATTCTGTCACCACCCAGAGTTAGCACAGATCTCACAAGTTCAGGGCTCGGAACCACCAACTGCCCCCCACTGCCCATGCCAGTCACAATCTCTGGAGCCCATCTACACTGAGCAACTGTCTATAAATCAGGGGCTCCCATAAGCCCTCATGTCCAATAATTTGACAGAACTTCTCAGAGTACTCAGGGAAACATTTTACTTAAGTTTACCAGTTTATTATAAAGCATACAACTCAGAGGCTGGGTGCGACGGCTCATGCCTGTAATCCCAGTGCTTTGGGCGGCCAAGCTGGGCAGATCACCTGAGGTCAGGAGTTCAAGACCAGCCTGGCCAACATGGTGAAACCCTATATCTACTAAAGCTATAAAAATTAGCCTGGTGTGGTGGTGAGTGCCTGTAATCCCAGCTACTCGGGAGTCTGAGGCAGGAGAATCACTTGAACCCGGGAGGCTGAGACTGCAGTGAGCCAAGATCACACCATTGCACTCCAGCATGGGGGACACAGCAAGACTCCATCTCAAAATATACAAGTAGATAAATGAGTCTAACTGTACTACAAATGTATACATTTGTAGTACAGCCACCCTTAAAAGGGTGGAGATAAAGAGTCTTGACCTAAGTAACTTTGGAAAGCAGTGTTTTGATTGAATGCTGTTAAGACTCAAGTTTGTATACAAACACTGGAATCTAGTTGGTAAATTTGTTTCCTGCAAGAATATGGGTTAGTAATTCTGAAACTACTTTATATGTTAGAATATATTTTGTAGATGATTAGTGCCCATTTCTCAGTATAGTCATAAAACAATTACACATAAACAAAGGAATCATGTTAGAATAAACTAGCGGTTCTGGACTGGAGTTGGAAATGTCAGAATGAAGCCATGTCCATACATTCAGGATGGATGAATGGATGGGTGGATGGATGGATGGATGGATAGATAGATCTATTGATAGATAGATAGATGTGGGCATATTTGAGTTTATATTTATATACACAGTTTCAAAGTCCGTCTGCTGAGAGGCCCAAAAGCAGTTATATCCCAGTGTCTATGAGCACACCTAGCTCTCTAGATCTTGATTTCTAATATAATTCTTTAATAAAAGGAAACAAAGCTTGTAAAAATGGATAATTCTAGGGCTGAAAATGGAAAATAAAAGTTGAGTAGAGTTTCTTGTAGAGCCAGAAAGCTGAAAAGTGCTTTTCATAAAAGAGAGATGTCAAAACAAGATAACTTGGCAGACCTCCCAATGGCCCAAGCTGGAACAATGTGAACAATGAAATCATGATAGCATTGAACTCCAACTCACAGAATAAAATAAATACCCATGAGTCCATATTGATAGAAAAAGATTAGGTAAATAAAGAAGGAAAGAATAAAGGATGGAAGGAAGGAAGGAAGTTTAAATTTTTCCTAAATTAGTATTTAGAATTCCAAAATACTAATCAATATAGGTAGATAATTCAGATATAAAATTACCACTAGAACACCACAGTAGTAATTATCATAAGCAAGATTCACTGAACAATTCAAAAATGGTGACTAAAGAGTTATAGGAACTGTGTGCATGCGTACAGTTCCAAAGTATCTGCCTCCAAATATCTGGCAGATATTTAATTTTTCTTTTAATTTTGTGAAAAGACTTATGACTTTTTTTGTTGTTGTTTTTCTGGACACAGAGTCTCACTCGGTCACCCAGGCTAAAGTGCAGTGGCATGATCTCAGCTCACTGCAACCTCTGCCTCCCGGGTTCAAGCGATTCTCTCACCTCAGTTTCCCGAGTAGCTGGGATTACAGGCATGCGCCATGATACTCAGCTATTTTTTTGTATTTTTAGTAGAGACAGGGTTTCACCATATTGGCCAGGCTGGTCTCAAACTCCCGACCTTAGGTGATCTGCCCGCCTTGGCCTCCCAAAGTGCTGGGATTACAGGCATGAGCCACCTTGCTCAGCCAACCTGTGACTATTTAAAGCAAAAATTATAACATTGTAACGTGGAATTTAAATCATGAAGATGTTAAATTTATAATGGTAGCATGATAAATAGAGTTTAATAAAATTGTTTCATAGCAAGGTTTTTATAATGTACATTGATTAAAATTGCACAGTATTAACTCTACATAGATTGTGGTATGTTAAAAGTGCATATTGCGGCCGGGTGCAGTGGCTCACACCTGTAATCCCAGCACTTTGGGGGGCCAAGGTGGGCAGCGGATCACAAGGTCAGGAGATCGAGGCCATCCTGGCTAACACAGTGAAACCCTGTCTCTGCTAAAAATACAAAAAATCATTTGGGCGTGGTGGCAGGCACCTGTAGTCCCAGCTACTTGGGAGGGTGAAGTAGGAGAATGGCGTGAACCCGGGAGGTGGAGCTTGCAGTGAGCCGAGATTGTGCCACTGCACTCCACCCTGGGTGACAGAGTGAGACTCCATCTCAAAAGAAAAAAAAAAGTGCATATTGCAATCCCTGGAGCAACCGCTAAAAAATGCAAAGAGGTGTCACTTAAATGCTAATAAAGAAATTAAATATTAGAAATTACATAAGGTTGTTCATAGACATTTTAGTCATAATAGCCCAAAGTAGAAAACCACATGGATGAATGAATTGCAGGGCATTTATACAACAGGATACTATTCAGCAGTACAAAGGAACAAACTACTGAAGCATGGACCCGGGATGACTCTCCTAACCCTGCAAAATGAGACAGGCTGGACATAAAATAATGCAGCTGTATGAGTCCAGGCAAAAGTAACATATGTTGAAAAAAAAATCAGAGCAGAGATAGCCTCTTGGGAGAAAACAAAAATTGCCTAGGAAAAAACAAAAGGGAATTTCTGAGGATGATGAAAACATTAACATTCTATTCTTTTTAATTTATTTATTTATTTATTTTGGAGACGGAGTCTCGCTCTGTCACCCACGTTGAAGTGCAATGGTGCGATCTCAGCTCACTGCAACCTCTGCCTCCCGAGTTCAAGCGATTCTCCTGGTTCAGCCTCCCAAGCAGCTGGGATTTCAGGCACTTGCCACCACACCTGGCTAATTTTTGTATTTTTAGCAGAGATGGCATTTTGCCATGTTGGCCAGACTGGTCTGGAACTCCTGACCTCAAGTGATCTACCCATCTCAGCCCCCCAAAGTGCTGGAATTATAGGCATGAGCCACTGCACTGGGCCAAAAACATTCTATTCTTAAAGTAGGTGAAGATTACATGGGGGAGTGTATTTATTTCTTAAAACTGTAAAGTTTGGTGGGATGTGGTTGCTCATGCCTGTAATCCCAGGACATTGGGAGGCTGAGGCAGGCAGATTGCTTGAGGTCAGGAGTTCGAGACCAGTCTGGCCAACATGGTGAAACCCCATCTCTACTAAAAATACAAATATTAGCCGAGCATGGTGGTGGGCACATATAGTCCCAACTACTCAGGAGGCTGAGGCAGGGGAATCACTGGAACCCAGGGGGCAGATGTTGCAGTGAACCAAGATAGTGCCACTGCACTCCAGCCTGGGTGACAGAGCGAAACTCATTCTCAAAAATAAATAAATAAATAAATAAATAAATAAATAAATAAATAAAATGTTCCATAGTAAAACAATTGTATAAAAAGACAAAATCCATCTACAATACTAATGTCTAAGATATTGGTGACCTTTGTTGCGGAAGGGAAGGAGAAAGAAAATGATTGTTGGGGACATACATGAGGGTGGTTCTATTTCTTGGTTATAAAACTATATTCGCTTTGTAATAATTCATTGAGCTTTACATGAATGCTTTGTGCACACATTTCTGTATGCATGTTATACATCAATAAATATTTTTTTGAGACAGAATCTCACTCTGTTGCCCAGGCTGGAGTGCAGTGGCAACATTTCAGCTCTCTGCAGCCTTCACCTCCTGGGCTCACTGGATCCTCCCACCTCAGCTTTCTGAGTGGCTGGGACTACAGGCACACGTGCCACCACATCCCACTTTTTTGTATTTTTTGTAGAGAGAGGGTTTCGCCATGTTGCTCAGGCTGGTTTTCCACTCCTGGGCTCAAGAAATCCACCCATTTCAGTCTCCCAATGTGCTGAGATTACAGGCATCAGCCACCACATCTGCCCCACCAATAAAATTTTTAAATATTACATATTTGCATAAAAACCCTAACTCGGTACCTCAGAATAATGGCAGCATTTTGTTTATTCATTTGTTTTGTTTTAAAGTGGAACACATTTGCTCAGGTAACCACGAGATGGATTTTAATATTTTCAAGTATCTATTAATGTTCTAACATTCAAGTGACCTCCTGGGTCTTTCCATTTTTGCCTGCATTTGGTAAGTGGTATGGTGTTGATTTTGGGGGATGCATTTCTCCCCAGCAAAGTCCTCTCCAATAATGATGCTCACCAAGGTTAGGGAATCTAGTACAGTGCCCTGTGCATACAGTAAGGTGCTTGTGGAACTTGGTTGAATCCAAAACAAAACAAGTAGTAGAAGTCAATTCCAACCAAGGTACTAAGTAGGTAATGCAGGTATGGCTGGAAAACCAAATTCCAACAGTCAACATTTTTGCATTAATTTGAGAAAACATTTACAACTAGTTCACCAGAAGATGTTGGTGTAAGGCAACGTTTTGGGGACTTGGTTGCATACTGTAATCATCTGGAGAATTTTAAAAACACTGTTGCCTGGTGGTGGCAGGCACCTGTAATCCCAGCTACTCGGGAGGCTGAGGCAGGAGAATCGCTTGAACTCAGGATGCAGAGGTTGCAATGAGCCTTGATCACACCATTGCACTCCAGCCTGGGAAACACACACACACACACACACACACACACACACACACACACACACACACACACAAAGAAAAGAAAAAGAAAAAAGAAAAAAAATTGTTGCCTGGGACTCACTCAGAGATTCTGATTTACTGGTCTTTTGCAACTTGGCCTTGGGAGATTTTTGGCCCACCTATCACCCTCTGGCAATTCTGATGTTAAACCAAGGGTAATGTTCATTGGTTCGGTGTGAAGGATGAATTAAATATATGTGTTTTCCATGTGGACTGCTGGTATTTGCCCCCATGGATGCTCCTGAGTTTTGGCTTTTGGAAAACAGTTCTGCCCTGTTAAAATCAAAAGATGGGCCAGGCACTGTGGCTCATGCCTGTAATCCCTGCACTTTGGGATCACCTGCGGTCGGGAGTTCGAGACCAGCCTGGCCAACATTGTGAAACCCTGTCTTTACTAAAACTACAAAAATTAGTTGGGTGTGGTGGTGCGTACCTGTAATCCCAGCTACTCTGGAGGCCGAGGCAGGAGAATCACTTGAACCCGGGAGGCAGAGGTTGCAGTGAGCCAAAATTGTACCACTGTGCTCCAGCCTGGGTAACAGAGTGAGACTCCACCTCAAAAAAAAAAAAAAAAAAAAAAAGATGACTTGAAGATGTACTCAGCAGTTGTCTGGGCTAAACTGCAGCAAGGGAAAATGTCCTCTTGGCAGCTCTATTTTTATGTCACTTGTTTTCAGAGTAACAGATTGTTTCTGTTACGGTATTTTGATTTAGTCTGTATTGAAAGTCGTAAATAGCCTACAGATACCACAAAGGGATGACAAGAATTTGCAGACACATAGAGTGCATTATACATGCTTTTAAATTTTTCCTATGGTGGTGAAAGAGGAAGTCAAATTGTGCCTGTTTGCAGATGACATGATTGTATATTTAGAAAACCCCATCATCTCAGCCCAAAATTTCCTTAAACTGATAAGCAACTTCAGCAAAGTCTTAGGATACAAAATCAATGTGCAAAAATCACAAGCATTCCTGTACACCAATAACAGACGAACAGAGAGATAAATCATGAGTGAAGTCCCATTCACAATTGCTACAAAGGGAATAAAATACCTAGGAATCGAACTTACAAGGGATGTGAAGGACCTCTTCAAGGAGAACTACAAACCACTGCCCAGTGAAATAAAAGAAGACACAAACAAATGGAAGAACATTCCATGCTCATGGGTAGGAAGAATCAATATTGTGAAAATGGCCATACTGCCCAAGGTAATTTATAGATTCAATGCCATCCCCATCAAGCTACCAATGACTTTCTTCACAGAATTGGAAAAAACTACTTTAAAGTTCATATGGAACCAAAAAAGAGCTCGCATTACCAAGATGATCATAAGCAAAAAGAACAAAGCTGGAGGCATCACGCTACCTGACTCCAAACTATACTACAAGGCTACAGTAACCAAAACAGCATGGTACTGGTACCAAAACAGATATGTAGACCAATAGAACAGAACAGAAGTCTCAGAAATAACACCACACATCTACAACTATCTGATCTTTGACAAACCTGACAAAAACAAGAAATGGGGAAATGATTCTCTATTTAATAAATGGTGCTGGGAAAACTGGCTAGCCATATGTAGAAAGCTGAAACTGGATCCCTTCCTTACACCTTATACAAAAATTAATTCAAGATGGATTAAAGACTTAAATGTTAGACCTAAAACCATAAAAATCCTAGAATAAAACCTAGGTAATACCATTCAGGACATAGGCATGTGCAAGGACTTCATGACTAAAACACCAAAAGCAATGGCAACAAAAGCCAAAATAGACAAATGGGATCTAATTAAACTAAAGAGCTTCTGCACAGCAGAAGAAACTACCATCAGAGTGAACAGGCAAGCTACAGAATGGGAGAAAATTTTTGCAATCTACCCATCTGACAAAGGGCTAATATCCAGAATCTACAAAGAACTTAAACAAATTTACAAGAAAAAAACAACCTTAAGAACTTAAAAAGTGGGCAAAGGATATGAAAAGACATCTCTCAAAAAAAGATATTTATGCAGCCAACAGACACATGAACAAATGCTCATCATCACTGGTCATCAGAGAAATGCAAATCAAAACCACAATGAGATACCATCTCACACCAGTTAGAATGGCGATCATTAAAAAGTCAGGAAACAACAGATGCTGGAGAGGATGTGGAGCAATAAGAATGCTTTTACACTGTTAGTGGGAGTGTAAATTAGTTCAACCATTGTGGAAGACAGTGTGGCGATTCCTCAAGGATCTAGAACTAGATATACCATTTGACCCAGCGATCCCATTACTGGGTATATACCCAAAGGATTATAAATCATGCTACTATAAAGACACATGAACACATATGTTTATTGTGGTAGTATTCACAGTAGCAAAGACTTGGAACCAACCCAAATGTCCATCAATGATAGACTGGATTAAGAAAATGTGGCACATATACACCATGGAATACTATGCAGCCATAAAAAACAATGAGTTCGTGTCCTTTGCAGGGATATGGATGAAGCTGGATACCATCATTCTCAGCAAAATATCACAAGGACAGAAAACCAAACACCGCATGTTCTCACTCATAGGTGGGAACTGAACAACAAGAACACTTGGACACGGGGCAGGGAACATCACACACCAGGGCCTGCCAGTGGGTGGGGTGCTGGGGTAAGGATGGCATTAGGAGAAATACCTAATGTAAATGATAAGTTGATGGGTGCTGCAAACCAACATGGCACACATATACCTATGTAACAAACCTGCACGTTGTGAACATGTACCCTAGAACTTAAAGTATAAGAATACATAAATAAATAATAAATAAATAAATAAATTTCTCCTATGGTGAGAAATGAAAAATATAATATTGAGCCTTGATTTCCTAAACTCAGCCTTTTCCCCAGATTATTTCAAGTCCTTTCAAGGGTCTTCAGAAGTATTTTCTGGAGGGGATTATTCCCAGGAGCGAAGGGTACTAGATGCATGAGAATCTCAATGGAATCCCGCTTCTTTTTCAGAAGACTCACTATCTAGAACCTTGAGAGCCCGGGGATGCTGCATAAGTAGCATGGCCTATGGAGGTGCATGAGCTTTGAAATTAGGTGAGGGTGATCCTAAGTCCCAGCCCAGCAGTTTAGTAGTTGTGCAGTTTTGGACAAGTCTCTTGACTTGGAACATGTATATAAACGTTGTCTACAAGAAAAGGCAAAGTGATACTGATTGCAAAAATGACAGCTATTATTCATCCTTCGCTATATCTACGCCCTTTGGAATGTGCCTTTTCAGCTACTCCCATCAATAGGTAAAGTGTGTTTCTCAAAACTTAAATCTGTCCATCCTTATTTGTTCTGGCCAATAGAAAGCTGTGAATATGACAATGTACCACCTTTGGGCCTAGGCTGAAAAGATTTTAAATACTTCTGCCTTTTCTTTTGGAATCCTGCCATTACCATGAGAAGAGGCCCACAATGGAGGATGAGATACCAAGGGAAGGAGTAGAATCAAGGTGTCCCCATTGACAGCCAGCTCACTCTCAGAAAGAGAGCTGCCTCGTCAACCAGCAGCTGACCACATATGCCTGAAAGATCCCAGATGAAACCAGAAGAATGGCCCAGCTGAATTCAGCCTAAATGGCTTAGCAGCTGAAATATAAACTAAAACAAATTTGGTTGTTTTTTTTTTTGAGATGGAGTCTTGCTCTGTTGCCCAGGCTGGAGTGCAGTGGCATGATCTCGGCTCACTGCAATCTCCATCTCCCAGGTTCAAGCAATTCTCCTGCCTCAGCCTCCTGGTTATCTGGGGCTACAGGTGTGTGCCACCATGCCTGGCTAATTTTTTGTATTTTTAGTAGACACGGGGTTTCACTGTGTTAGCCAGGATGGTCTCGATCTCCTGATCTTGTGATCCGCCCCGGCCTCCCAGAGTGCTGGCGTTACGGGCATGAGCCACAGCGCCCAGGCTTGGGTTTTTTTTTATTATTATTTAGTTTTTTTCGAGACGGAGTTTCATTCTTGTTGCCCAGGCTTGAGTGCAATGGCGTGGTCTCCGCTCACTGAAACCTCCACCTCCTGGGTTCAAGAGATTATCCTGCCTCAGCTTCCCAAGTAGCCAGGATTACAGGCACCCGCCACCACACCCAGCTAATTTTGTTTTTTTGCATTTTTAGTAGAGACAAGGTTTCACCATGTTGGCCAGGCTGGTCTCGAACTCCTGACCTCAGGTGATCCGCCAGCCTTAGCCTCCTAAAGTGCTGGGATTACAGGTGTGAACACCACGCCCAGCCTTGGGGTGTTTTTTGTTTTTTGTTTTTTTTTAAATGTAGGGATAGTTAACTAATACATACCCTCATTACAGATGGGATGCCAGGATTCAAGAACAGGTTGATTACAAGTTCCCTGACAAACAGCACATTACATGTACTGATTTTCTATATCACTTATTTATGCGGTGGTATGCACCTGTGGTCCCAGCTACTTGAGAGGCTGAGATGGGAGGATCGTTTGAACCTGGAAGGTTGAGTCTGCAGTGAGCCATGATTGTGCCAGGGCACTCCAGCCTGGGTGACAGATTGAGACCTGCCTCCAAAAAACAAGGGGAAGGGAAGAGAAGGGGAGGGAAGGGGGGGGAGGGGAGGGAAGGGGAGGGGAGGGGAGGGGAGGGGAGGGAGAAGAAAGAAAGAAAGAAATTTGTCTTTAATCTATTCCCTCCACATCTAAACCCTGGAGGTCAGGGCTGTGGACACATCTGAAGACATGGGGTTTCATCCTCCTGAGGCCTCATCATTCTTTTTTTACTGTCTGGTTTCTAGAAGGAGGATGCCCCACCCCACCCTCAAGCAGCAGGTGGGTAACAGTTGTTTACCTGTGGACACTTTCTGCTTGTGAGCCCCCTGCTCTCTTTCAGGGCACCACCTCTCCCACCTATCAGCCTGAGGGGAGATGCTGGTAGGAAGGGGGTGTTCCTTTGCCCGTGGCAGAAAAGGAGAGAGTTCAGGCCTTCACTTCCCCTGAAGTCAGGGGAGCCAATGCTCCCAGAGCTCCACTTCAATGTGGCAGCCGCTGACCATGTAGGGCACCTGGAATGTGGCTGGTCTTAAGTGAGATGTGCTGGAAGCTTAAAATATAGAGTGAGTTTCTAAGATTTCCTACCAAAGGCCCCCTTCAGTGGCTCACGCCTGTAATCCCAGCACTTTGGGAGGCCAAGGCCGGAGCTTCCCTTGAAGCAGGAGTTGGACACCAGCCTGGGCAAGACGGTGACACGTCTCTACAAACATAAAAATATTAGCTGGGCATGGTGGTGCCCACCTGTAGTCCCAGCTACTCGAGAGGCTGGAGAGGGAGGGTCACTTGAACCCAGGAGTCCCAGGTTGCAGTGAGCTATGCTCACCTCACTGCGCTACAGCCTGGGCGATAGAGAGAGACTCTGTCTCTATTTTTAAAATGAATAATAATAATAATAATTTTATGTAGATCACAAATCAAAATAATATTTTGGATCTATTGAGTAAAATCAGTTATTGCAGTCAATTTCACCTTTTTGGTTTTTTTTTTTTTATTTAGATGGATTCTCGCTTTGTTGCCCAGGCTGGAGTGCAATGGTGGGATGTTGGCTCACTGCAACCTCCACTTCCCGGGTTCAAGCGATTCTCCTGCCTCAGCCTCCCGAGTAGCTGGGATTACAGGCGCCTGCCACCACGCTGGGCTACTTTTTGTATTTTTAGTAGAGACCGGGTTTTGCCATGTTGGTCAGGCTAGTCTCGAACTCCTGACCTCAGGTGATCCACCTGCCTCGGCCTCCCAAACGCTAGGATTACAGGCGTGAGCCACCATGTCCAGCCTGTTTCCTTTTCCTTTAAGCAGCTACTAGAAAAATTTAAATGACACGCATGGCTCACATTTTTTTTCTTTCTATTGGAAATGGCTGCCTTAAAGCACTGCCTCTCTTGTGAAAGCTCAGGCTGCCGCCTCAAAAATCCAAAGGTCAGAAAGAACTCAGGAAGTGCAGGAGGCCAACAGTGGAACACTGGAAAGGCACAACCAAGTTCTGCTTAAATGCAGATGTTCCCCTGGAGGGGCCACGTGCCAGCACCGCAAGGAAGCCCTGAAGCAAAGGGCTGAGCCAGCCAAACACACGTCCTTCGGGCCGCCTGTCCCAGGCAGGAACACAGCTTCTGTCAATCAGGGCCCTGCAGGGCGGGGTCAGGATCCCTAGCCAATCAGAGGCGCTTGTGTGGAACTGTCCAATCAGGTGCCAGCCTCGGAGGAAGGGGCGGCCTTCCACCACCTGGCTGGGTGTTTGTTTCCGGACCCGCGGAGCTCAGTGTTGTGTGTCCGTTGCGTGTTTGGTGTCCATTGCTCTGTCCGGTTTTCTCCGCGAGGCTCCAAGTGACTCCGCCATTGCCTCCATGGCCCTGGGACCTGCAGGTACTGGAAGGTCCATTGGGAAGATGTCGGGACACCACAGAAGACAAGAACCAGTGAGTGTGCGGAAAGACTGTCCTGGGGGGTAGACCTGTGGTTGGAACGAGCTCTGGGGGGACCCGGGCCTTCTCGCGGTCCGCTGCAGGGACCAGGATTTGAGTCTCCGCCGGCGCAGCTCGGCTCTCAGTCTCCTTCGGCGCAGGGTGGGGCTGGGCGGCAGCCGGGAGCCTGGGCATCCCATCTCTACCCGTGCCTGCTCGGTGACTTCGGCTTGGCTCTAGCCCTCCTGGGGCAGCTCCACGCCCGCAACCATGCATTTCCTCAGGTTGTGCGGTGACCTCCTGGGGATCTTCAGTGGAGAATCCCGCCTCGGGGTGCCGCGTTCCTGGGTGGGAGGAGCTGTGGTCCGTGGGGTCCTCAGTCCCTCCTTTTTCCTGTGGAAAAAATAAACTGGGACGGGCGCGGTGGCTCACGCCTGTAAACTCAGCATTTTGGGAGGCCGAGGCGGGCGGATCACCTGAGGTCGGGAGTTCGAGACCAGCCTGACCAACAAGGAGAAACCCCGTCTCTACTAAAAATACAAAATTAGCCGGGGGTGGTGGCGCGCGTCTGTAATCCCAGCTGCTCCGGAGGCTGAGGCAGGAGAATCGCTTGAACCTGGGAGGCGGAGGTTGCAGTGAGCCGAGATCACACCATTGCACTCCAGCCTGGGCAACCAGAGCGAAACTCTGTCTCAAAAAAAAAAAAAAAAAAAAAAAAAGGTTGTGAATTCTACCTTTGTTGAGTGTAATGCTTTCTATGTGTCTATTAGGTGTAATTGTTTTATAGTGCTTTCAAGTCCTTTGTTCCCTTGTTTATATTTGGTTTTGCTTTGTTATTCATTACTGAAAGTAGAGTATTGAAGTATCCTGCTATTATTATATTACTGTCTATTTCTTAAATTCTGTCAGTGTTTGCTTTATATATGAGGGAACCCTGATTTTTATTTGTTTACCTATGTACGTCTGTATGTTTCATAGGTTCCCAGTGAATAGAAACCTTTTATTATTATTTAATGTTCTTTGTCTCTTCTGACAGTTTTGACGTAAGGTATATTTTACTACAAATAGTAATTTTTTACTTAAAAGGTATTTTGCCTAATATAATTGTGATCTCTCCTGCTCTCGTTTGGTTCATATTTGCATGTCATATCTTTTCCATCCTGCAACTGTGGACAGTTATGGCTAATCCTAGTAGATTGTCTTCCCTTCTTTTAACATCTTGGGTGAATTTGGGTCACACTAATTGTTATGTGAAGATGGATGTTGAATTGTGTAGAATTTGACGGCAGTATCGACCTGAGGAGAAGAAGATGGAAAGGAGTCTAGCAACTTAAGAATCTCACAGCATTCTCTGTGAGGTGACCTTTTTTCCTGTTGGTGGCTCAGTTTCCTTAGGCCATAAAGAAGATACTGAGGTCTGTGACAGCCTGTGACAGTATCAAGTTGTATCTGAACTTATTGAACTGTTTCCCCCCTTCCTTATTCGTTATTCATAGTTTGCTTTTCATGTGCATAAGTTGACTCATTTGTTTCCTGTTAGCATTTGGAACACCATATGGCCACCATAAGTCCTGACGAAATGACTTCTAATGAGGAGGGGGAAGGTCCATGTCCCACCTTCCTATGAAATTTTGGCCTATTCACAAATCTACCCCCACATAAGAGAAGTAATTATGTTCTGTAAAGAAGAGGTTGCTAAAAACCTTTAGCACGGTGTTTTGTGACTTAGAAGTTTTAAGTAGTCGTTCTTATATCTAAGCATTTATTAATTTTGGTAAGAACATTACTATATATTTCTGATGTCACTTTTACTGTTAAGAGGTTCCAGGCATCTGGCAGCCTGCCACTTCAGGATTTGAGTGAATCAGACCATCTAAATATAAATTAGAGACTTGTACTTGTATTTCCTGATTAAAAACATACTAACCTCTGTTTCACTATTGAAGAGTACTTTATAATGAATACAAAAAAATGTATATTAAATATCCAGTAGAGCATGCTAAAGTGAAAAAAAATAGTAATTTTTTACTTGCAAGGTATTTTGCCTAATATAATTGTGACCTCTCCTGCTCTTGTTTCATTCATATTTGCATGTAATGTCTTCCATCCTGCCAGTTTGTCTATTTTTGGTATTGGATCTAACGTGTTTGTCTTAGAGACAGGATATAGTTTCCTCGAGTTTTTATTTTTTAATCTCTATTTAATATATGTCCTTTGATAGGAAAGTTTAGTCCATGAATATTTAAATAATTTCCTGAAAGGGAAGGCCTTACTGTTGCCATTTTCTTACTTCTTTTATTTAATTTTTGTACCCAGTTTGTCCCTCTTCTGTCTTTGCATCTTGTTCATCTTTGTAGTGACATGCTTTGACTCCTTTCTTATTTTATATCTGAGTATTTTATTCATGGTTGCCATGGGGGTTATCTTAAACCTTTTTTTCTTTTTTTTTTTTGAGACAGAGTTTTGCTCTTGTTGCCCAGGCTGGAGGGCAATGGTGTGATCTTGGCTCACCGCACCCTCTGCCTCCCAGGTTCAGGCGATTCTCCTGCCTCAGCCTCCCCAGTAGGTGGGGTTACAGGCATGCACAACCATGCCCGGCTAATTTTGTATTTTTAGTAGAGATGGCTTTCTTCATGTTGGTCAGGCTGGTCTCGAACTCCCAACCTCAGGCCATCCGCCCACCTCGGCCTCCCAAAGTGCTGGGATTACAGGCATGAGTCACCGCGCCCGGCTATATTAAACTTCTTAATGTTATAGCAGTGCATCTTAAGCTGATAACATCTTAACTTAACTTCAGTTGTATACAAATAGTTTTTCTCATTATTTTCTACCCTCAACTTTGTTATTATTGTCACTAATTACAACTTTCTATTTTATATTTACATTAACAGATGTTTATTTCTATTTTTATGCTTTTGACGTACAACTTTTAGAGCATAATTAAAAGTGTTTTCTGCAGTATTATTATCCTACAAAATTTTATTTTTGTGTATGTGCCTATCTTTCCTGAGAGTCACCTATTTTTATCTGATTTTGTGTTGTTTTGTAGCATCATTTCATTTTCAATGGAAGAGACTCCCTTTAGCATTTCTTGTAGGGCAAGTCTATTAGTGATATACTTTTTAATCTCTGTTAGCCTTAGAAAATCTGTATTTTTCCCTCATTTGGAGGACGGTATTGCTGGTTATAGTATTCTTGCTTGGAAGTTTTTCTTCTTTCAGCTCTTTGATTATATTATCCAACTCTTTTCTAGCCTGTGAGGATTCTGTTCAGAAATCTACGAGTAATCTTACTGAAGCACTCTTACAGATAATTTATCACCTTTCTCTTGCTTCTTTCAAGATTCTCTCTTTGTGGCTTTTGAAACTTGGCTTATGATGTTTCTCATAGTGGGTTTCTTTGTGTTTAGTTGGAGTTTGTTGAGTTCTTTAAGTTTTAAGGTCTTTTTCCTTCCTTAAGTTTGATAATTTCTCAATCATTTTTGTATTCTGCAGCTCTACAATTTGTTTGCCTTATAGTTTCTATCTTTGTTGATCATTTCATTTTCCTGATTTTATTTTGTTGTCTATGTTGTGATTTACTCATCAAGTGCCATTAAGATGGTTACTTTAAATTTTTTCAGGCAATTTATACATTTTTTTTTTTTTGAGACAGGGTCTCACTGCTATCACCCAGGCTGGAGTTCAGTGGCATGATCACGGCTCACTGTAGCCTCAACTTCCCAGTCTCAGCTGTTTCTCCTACCACAGCCTCCTGAGTAGCTGAGACTACAGGCATGCCCCACCATGCCTAGCCAATTTTTTGTATTTTTAGTAGAGACAGGATTTTGCTATTTTGCCCAGGCTGGTCTCAAATTCCCAGGATTCAAGGGATGTGCCTGACTTGACCTCCCAAAGTGTTGGGCTTACAGGCGTGAACCACCCACAGCACCCAGCCATATCTTGGTTTCTTTGGGTTTGATTTCTGGATGTTTGTTTTCTTTTATTGATTGGGTCATGCTACCCTGATGCTTTGTATACATTTTAATCTTTGGTTGAGATGTAGGCATGTCCAAAAAAAAAAACCCGACACTTTTTGCAGTGTTATTAGTGTCCAGTCTTGTAAATTGACACCAGTTTTCTTTTTTTTAATTTTTATAGTTACATAGTAGGTGTATATATATATATATTTATGGAATATATGACATATTTTGATATGGGCATAGTTTGTGTAATAATCACCATCAGGGTAAATGTGGTATCTATGACCACAAAGATTTATCCTTTGTGTTACAAACAATCCACTTAACACTCTTTATTTTTAAATGTACAACTAAATAATTATTGATTATACTCACCCTGTTACACTATCAAATATTAGATCCTATTTTTTCTATTTTTTGTATCCATTACCTATCCTCACTCCCCTGACACACACTCACAGTACCCTTCCCAGTCTCTAGTAACTATCATTTTACTCTCTATGTTCATAAGTTCAATTGTTTTCATTTTTAGCTCCCACAAATAAGTGAGAACATATGATGTTTGTCTTTCTGTACCTGCCTTATTTCACTGAACATGATGACCTCCAGTTCCATCTATGCTGCTGGAAATTACAGGATCTCATTCTTTCTCATAACTAAATAGTACCCCATTGTGTATGCTTGCCACATCCTGTTTATCCATTTGTTTCTTGATGGACACATAGGTTGCTTCCAAATCTTTGCTATTATGAATAGTGCTGTAATAAACATGAGAGTGCAGATATCTCTTTGATATAATAATTTCCTTTTTTGGGGGGTGGTATATATCTAGCAGTGGGATTGCTGGATCATATGGTAGCTCTATTTTTAGTTCTTTGAAGAAGCTGCAAACTGTTCTTCATAGTGGTTGTACTAATTTACATTCCCACTAACAGTGTACAGGGGTTCCCTCTTCTTCACTTGCATGTCAGCATTTATTGCCTGTCTTTTGGATAAAAGCTATTTTAACTGGGGTGAGATGATATCTCATTGTAGTTTTGATTTGCATTTCTCTTATGATCAATGATATTGATTGAGCACCTTTTTATATATGTGTTTGCTATTTGTACATCTTCTTTGGAGAAATAGCCATTCAGATCTTTGGCCCATTTTTTAATTGGATTATTAGATTTCCCTATAGAGTTGTTTGAGCTCCTTATATATTCTGGTTATTAATCCCTTATCAGATGGATAGTTTGCAAAGACTTTTCCCATTCTGTGGATTGTCTTTTCACTTTTTTGCTGTGCAGAAGCTTTTTAACTTGATGTGATCTCATTTGTCCATTTTTACTTTGGTTGCCCCTGCTTATTGGGTATTGATTGCTCAAGAAATCTTTGCCCAGTGCGGTGTCCTAGAGAGTTTCTGCAAGTTTTTCATGTAGTAGGTTTATAGTTTGAAGACTTAGATTTAAGTCTTTAACCCATTTTTATTTGATTGTTGAATATGGCAAGAAACAGGGATCTAGTTTCATTCTTTTGCATGTGGATGTCCAGTTTTCTTAGCACCACTTATTGAAGAGGCTGTCCTTTCTCCAGTATATATTGTTGACACCTTTGTTGAAAATGAGTTTACTGTAGGTGCATGGATTTGTTTCTGGGTTCTCTATTCTGCTTCACTCGTCTATATGCCTGTTTTTATGCCAGTACCATGCTGTTTCGGTTACCATAGCTCTGTAGTATAATTTGAGGTCAGGTAATGTGATTCCTCCAGTTATTTTGCTTAGGAAATCTTTAGCTATTCTGAGTTTTTTGTGGTTCCATATACATTTTAGGATTATATTTTCTGTTTCTTTTCTTTTCTTTTTTGAGATGTAGTTTCACTCTTGTTGCCCAGGCTGGAGTGCAATGGCATGATCTCGGCTCAGTGCAACCTCTGCCTCCCAGGTTCAAGTGATTCTCCCGCCTCAGCCTCCCAAATAGCTGGGATTATAGGCATGAGCCACCACACTCGGCTAATTTTGTATTTTTAGTAGAGACTGGGTTTCTCCATGTTGGTCAGGCTGGTCTCGAGCTCCCAACCTCAGGTGATCCGCCCACCTCAGCCTCCCAAAGTGCTGAGATTACAGGCGTTAGCCACCATGCCCAGCCTATATTTTCTATTTCTATGAAGAATATCATTGGTATTTTGATAGGGACTGCATTGAATCCATAGTTTTGGGTGTAATATATACATTTTAATGATACTGATTCTTCCAGTATGTAAACATGAAATCTCCATTTTTTGTGTGTGCCCTCTTCAATTGCTTGTATCAATGTTTTTTCTTCTTCTTCTTCTTCTTTTTTTTTTTTTTGAGACGGAGTCTCTATCGCCAGGCTGGAGTGCAGTGGCATAATCTCGGTTCACTGCAATCTCCGCCTCCCAGGTTCAAGGCGGATCCTTCTGCCTCAGCCTGCCGAGTAGCTGGGATTACAGGCACACGCCACCACACCCAGCTAATTTTTTTGTATTTTTAGTAGAGACGGGGTTTCACCATGTTGACTAGGATGGTCTTGATCTCCTGACCTTGTGATCTGCACACCTCGGCCTCCCAAGGTGCTGGGATTACAGGCATGAGCCACCACGCCCAGTCTGCTTGTATCAGTGTTTTATATTTTCATTGTAGAGGTCTTTCACTTGGTTAATTTCTGGGTATTTTATTTTATTTGAAACTGTTGTAACTGGGATTACTTTCTTGATTTTTCAGATTGTGTGCTGTTGGCATATAGAAATGCTACAGATATTTGTAGGTTGATTTTGTATCCTGCAATTTTACTGAATTTGTCAGTCCTAATAGATTTTTGGTGGAGTTGTTAGGATTTTTCCAAATATAAGATTATATCATCAGCAAACAAGGATAATTTGACTTCTTTTCCAATTTGGATGCCCTTTATTTCTTTCTCTTATCTGATTGCTCTAGCTAAAACTTCCAGTACTATGCTGAATAACAGTAGTGAAAGTGGGCATCCTTGTCGTGTTCCAGATCTTAGAGGAAAGGCTTTCAGTGTTTCCTCATTCAGTATGATACTAGCTGTGGGTTTGTCACATACAGCTCTTATTGTGCTGAGGTATATTCTTTCTATCTCCAGTTTTTTGAGGGTTTGTATCATGAAGTAATGTTAAATTCCATCGAATGTTTTTTTCAGCATCAATTTAAATGATCATATGGTTCTTGTCCTTCATTCAGCTGATAATGATTACACATTGATTTGCATGTATTCAACCATCCTTGGGTCCCAGGGATAAGTCCCACTTGGTCACGATGAGTGATCTTTTAAATCTAATTTTGCATTTGGTTTGCTAGTATTTTGTGGAGGAGTTTAGCATCAATGTTCATCAGGGATATTGGCCTGTAATTGTCTTTTTTTTTGTTGTGCTTTTGTCTACTTTTGGTATCAGGGTAAGATGGGCCTTGTAGAACGAGTTTGGAAGTATTCCCTCCTCCTCTGTTTTTCAGAATAGTTTGAGAAGGATTGGTACAAATTCTTCTTTAAATGGCTGGCAAAATTCAGCAGTGAAGCTGTGGGGTCCCAGACTTTCCTTTGCTGGGAGACTTTTTATTACAGCTTCCATCTCATCATTTGTTATTGGTCTATTCAGGTTTTGGATTTCTTCATGGTTCAATCTTGGTAGGTTATATGTATCTAAGAATTTGTTCATTTCTTCTAGATTTCCCAGCTTTATTGGACTATAGTTGCTCATAGTAACCTCTAATGATTCTTTGAATTTCTGTGGTATCAGTTATAATGCGTCCTTTTTCATCTTTCATTTTATTCATTTGGATTTTCTCTTTTTCTTATTTACCCTGGCTAAACATTTTTCAATTTTCTTTATATTATCCAGAAACCAACTTTTGTTTTATTGACTTTTTGTATTTTCTTTATTTCAATTTCATTTATTGCTGCTCTGACTGTTGTTATTTCTTTTCTTCTACTAACTCTGTGTCTGGTGTGCTCTTGCTTTTCAGTTTTTTTTTTTAGACGGAGTCTTGCTCTGTCACCCAGGCATTGGCGCAATCTTGGCTCCACCTCAAGCAATTCTCCTGCCTCAACCTCCCGAACAGCTGGGATTAGAGGCACACACCACTACACCCAGCTAATTTTTGCATTTTTTATAGAGACAGGGTTTCACGATGTTGCCCAGGCTGGTCTTGAACTCCTGACCTCAGGTGATCCACCCACCTCAGCTTCCCAAAGTGCTGGGATTACAGGCATGAGCCACCGTGCCCAGCCACTTTTTAGTTCTTTAAGGTACAGCATTATGTTATTTATTTGAAGTTTTTCTACTTTTTTGACGTAGAAGCTCATGGGTATAAACTTGCCTGTTAGTACTGCTCTCACTGTATCTCATTTGTTTGATATATTGTGTTTCCATTATCATTTGTTTCAAGAAAGTTTAAAATTTCCTTCTTAATTTCTTCATTGACCCACTGTTGAAGTTAGTTTCTTTTTTTTTTTTTTTTTTAAGACAGAGTCTCGCTCTGTTCCCCAGGCTGGAGTGCAGTGGCACAATCTCAGCTCACTGCAACATCTGCCTCCTGGGTTCAAGCGATTCTCCTTTTGCAGCCTCCCGAGTAGCTTGGGACTACACGCCCAGCCAATTTTTGTTTGCTGACAGAGGACGTTTCACCATGTTGGCTAGGCTGGTCTTGAACTCCTGACCTCAAGTGATTTGCCCGCCTTAGCCTCTCAAAGTGCTGGGATTACACGTGTGAGCACCTGCACCCAGCCAATTCTGTCTTGAAATCTATTTTGTCTGATACAAGTATAGCTACTTCAGCCCATTTTTGGTTTCCATTTGCACAGAATGCCTTTTTCCATCCCTTAATTCTCAAACTGTGTGTGTCTTTACAGGTGAAGTGTGTTATTTGTAGGCAACAATTGGGCCTTTTTTTTCTTTTTCAGTTCAGTTACTCTATGTCTTTTGATTGGAGAGTTTAGTCCATTTATAGTCAAAGTTATTGATAAGTAAGGACTTGTTCCTGCATTTTGTTTGTTTTCTGGTTTGCGGTCTTTCTTCCTTAATTCCCTCCTTCCTGTCTTCCTTTTAGTGAAGGTGATTTCTCCAGTGGTATGTTTTAATTTCTTGCTTTTTATTTTTTGCATATCTATTGTATGTTTTCATATATAAGGTTACCATGAGGCTTGCAAACAATATCTTATAACCCATTATTTTAAACTGTTGACAACACTGATTGCATAAACAAGCAAAAAGAAAAGTAATGAAGTCTCTACATTTTAACTTTATTCTTCTGCTTCTTAACTTTTTGTTTCTATTATATCTGATTGTACTATGTCTTGAAAAGTTATCGTTATTATTTTTGGTCAGTTCATCCTATCATCTTTTGTCTTTTCTTTCTTCTCTTTCTCGATGGAGTCGCTCTGTCATCGGGCAGGAGTGCGATGGCACAATCTCAGCTCACTGCAGCCTCTGCCTCCCAGGTTTAAGCAATTCTCCTGCCTCAGCCTCCCGAGTAGCTGGGACTACAGGCACACACCACCACACCCAGCTAATTTTTGTATTTTTAGTAGAGACGGAGTTTCACCATGTTGGCTAGGATGGTCTCCATCTCTTGACCTTGTGATCCGTCCACCTCGGCCTCCCAAAGTGCTGGGATTACAGGTGTGAGTCACCGCGCCCAGCCCCCTTCAGCACTTTGACTATGCTGTGCCGCTCTCGTGGCCTGTAGGGTTTCCACTGAAAAGTCTGCTGCCAGACATATTAGAGCTCCATTGTATGTTGTTTCTTTTCTCTTGCTGCTTTTAGGATCTTTTCTTTATCTTTGACCTTTGCGTGTGTGATTATTAAATGCCTTGAGGTTGGATACTGATATATTTTTCTAGGTTTGGGGCATTATCTGGTATTATCCCTTTGAATAAACTTTTTTTTTTTTTTTTTTTTTTTTGGAAATGGAGTCTCACTCTTTCACCAAGGCCCGGACTGCAGTGGCGCTATCTCAGCTCACTGCAAGCTCCACCTCCCGGGTTCACGCCATTCTCCTGCCTCAGCCTCCCGAGTAGCTGGGACTACAGGTGCCCGCTACCGCGCCCAGCTAATTTTTTGTATTTTTATTAGAGGTGGGGTTTCACCGTGTTAGCCAGGATAGTTTCGATCTCCTGACCTCGTGATCCGCCCGCCTCAGCCTCCCAAAGTGCTGGGATTACAGGCGTGAGCCACCGCGCCCAGCCTGAATAAACTTTCTACCCCATCCTTGTCTCTGCCTCTTCTTTAAGGTTAATAACTCTTAGATTTGCCCTTTTGAGGCTGCTTTCTAGATCTTGTAGGTATGCTTAATTTCCTTTTTTGTTTTCTTGCCTTCTCTGACTATTTTCAAATGGCCTGTCTTCAAGCTTACTAATTCTTCCTTCTGCTTAATCAATTCTCCTATTAAGAGACTGAGGTATTCTTCTGTATGTCAATTGCATTTTTCAAATCCAGATTTTCTCCCTGATTCTTACTATTTCAATTTCTTTCTGAAATTTATCTGATAGAATTCTGAATTCTTTGTGTGTGTGTTATCTTGAATTTCTTTGAGTTTCCTCAAAACAGCTATTTTGAATTATCTGAAAGGTCACATAGCTCTGTTTATCTGGGATTGATCTCTCATGCTTTATTTAGTTCATTTGGTGAAGTCATGTTTTTGTGGACAGTCTTGTGGATGTTCATTTGTGTCTGGACATTGAAAAGAATGGGTATTTATTGTAGTCTTCTCAGTTTATGCTTGCTTATACCCATCTTCCTTAGGAAGATTTTCCAAGTATTTGAAAGGACTGGGGTGTTGTGATCTGCTTTTGGTCACTGCAGGTATATCTGCATGGTTGGGCACTCCAAGCCTAGTAACACTGTATTTTTGGCAGACTCATAGAGGCATGGTAGTCTTGAATAAGATCTGGAAGGATGCTCTGGATCAGCAAGCACAGACTCTTGTTGTCTTCCATTATTTTTCCAAAGAAATGGAGTCTCTCTCTCTCTCTGTGCTGAGCTTCCTGGAGCTATTGGATGGGTAACACAAGGACCCCTAGGACCCCTACCACTGGGACTATGCTGGGTCAGACCTAAAGCCAGCACAGCACTGGGTCTCACCCAAGAACTGCTGTAACCACTACCTGGCTACTGCCTATGTTTATTCAAGTCCCTAGGGTCATACAGTCCACAGGTGGTGAAGCCAGCCAAGCTTGTGTCCTTCACTTCAGAGGAGCAAGTTCCCCTAGGTCCCGATTTAGTCCAGAGATGCCTTCTGGGAACCAAGGCCTAGAGTTGGAAACATTAGAAATCTACTTGGTGCTGTATTCTACTGTGGCTGAGCTGGCATCCAAACCACAAGACAATGTCCTTCCTACTCTTCCCTCCCCTTTCCACAGGCAGAAGAGTCTCTCATATTCAGCACTCACAGGCCCACGGGAATACTATCAGGCTACCACCAATGTTCATGTAAAGCCCAAGGGCTCCTCAGTCAGCTTGTGGTGAATGCTGCTGGGCCTGGAACTCACCCTTCAGAGTGTGGGCTCCTCTTTACCTAGGGCAGGTCCAGAAATGCCACTGACGAGACCCCAAGAGCCTGCTAGGTGCTTTACCCCACTGTGGTTGAACTGGTACCTAAGCTGCGAGACCAAGTCCTTTTAACCCTTCCTCTGCCTTTCTGAAGCAGGAATCTCTGCTAGTAGCCACCCTAGCTGGGAGTGTGCTGGGTCACACTTGAGCCAGCTCATCTCAGCATCTCTTCCAAGCCCCATGGCATGTAATTTTTTTTTTTTTTTTTGAGACGGAGTCTCGCTCTTTCGCCCAGGCTGGAGTGCAGTGGTGCTGTCTCGGCTCACTGCAAGCTCCGCCTCCTGGATTCACGCCATTCTCCTGCCTCAGCCTCCCAAGTAGCTGGGACTACAGGCGCCCGCCACAGCGCCTGGCTAATTTTTTATATTTTTAGTAGAGATGGTGTTTCACCGTGTGAGCCAGGATGGTCTCGATCTCCTGACCTCGTGATCCGCCCGCCTTGGCCTCCCAAAGTGCTGGGATTACAGGCGTGAGCCACTGCGCTCGGCCTACTGCTACTAATTATTCAGGGCCCAAGAGGTCTTTAGTCACCAGGTGGTGAATCCTGCCAGGACTGGGTCTTTCCATTCAAGGGAGTGGGATTTCTTCTGGCCCTGGTTGTGTCTAGAAATGTCATACAGGATCCAGGACCTGGAATGGGGACCTCACGACTCTGCCCAGTGCCCTATCCTACCGTGGCTGAGCTTGTATCCATGTTGCAAGACAAAGTTCTCTTTTTCTCTCTATTCTCAAGTGGAAGGAAGTAGTCTCTTTCAGAGTGGTAGGCTGCACTGTCTGGGGTTAGGGGAGGGGTAGCACAAGTACTCCCTTAGCTGGTGTCTCAATAGGTCACATGATCCCATATTTACTGGCTCTGAGCCCAGCACAGCGCCAGGACTTGCCTAGTAGTTGCAGTCCTTATGGCCTAGACTTACTGTCGGGTTTATTTATTACTGATTTCTAATTTGATTGCTCTGTGGTCAGGGACCATACTTTGTATGACTTAAATCCTTTTGACTTAATTCTTTTATGAAGATTTACTGTATGGCCTAGAATATGATCTGTTTTGCTAAGTGTTCCATGGGTCCTTGAGAAGCATAGTGCTCTTCAAGTCTACTCTAGTCTTACTGATTTTCTGCCTCCTTGTTCTGTCATGTATTGAGTAAGCGATATTGAAATCTCAGACTATACCTGTGAATTTGTCAATTTCTTCTATCAGTTTTTGCCTCATGTATTTTGAAGCTGTTACGTTAGTAGGTACATAAACATTTAGGATTATGTGCTCTTGATTAATTGAACCATTTATCATTATGAAATAATTTTGTTGATAGCTAGTAATATTTTTTGCTCTGAAATCTACTTTGGTATTAATATAACCATTTCTGCTAGGCTTTATTTGTTAACTGTTAGCATGGTGTATATTTTTCCATCCTTTTAACTAATTTGCATCTTTACATTTAAAGTATTATTATTATTATTTTTTTTTTTTGAGATGGAGTCTCACTCTGTCACCCAGGCTTGAGTGCAGTGGCGGGATCTTGGCTCATTGGAAGCTCTGCCTCCTGGGTTCACGCCATTCTCCTGCCTCAGCCTCCTGAGTAGCTGGGACTACAGGCACCTGCCACCACGCCCAGCTAATTTTTTGTATTTTCAGTAGAGACAGGGTTTCACCGTGTTAGTCAGGATGATTTCAATCTCCTGACCTCGTGATCCGTCTGCCTCAGCCTCCCAAAGTGCTGGGATTACAGGCGTGAGCCACTGCACCTGGCCTACATTTAAAGTATTTCTTATAGGTAGCAGGGAGTAGGATCTTGCTTTTTTATACAGTTTGACAATCTGCCTTTTAATTTAGGTTATTAGGCTGGTTTCATTTATAATGTGATTACTGATATAGTTAAGTTTATCTGTTATCATACAGTTTCATTTCCATTAGTCCCAGCTGTTCTTTGTTTTCTTTTCTTCTTTTTCTGCTTTCTTTTCAATTAGCCATGTTTTTTTTTTTTTTGAGATGCAGTCTCACTCTGCCACCCAGGCTGCAGTGCAACGGCATGATCTCTGTTCACTGCAACCTCGGCCTCCTGGGTTCAAGCGATTCTCCTGCCTCAGCCTCCCAAGTAGCTGGAATTACAGACGCCTGTCACCACACCTGGCTAATTTTTTGTATTTTTAGTAGAGATGGGTTTTCACCACATTGGCCAGGCTGGTCTCGAACGCCTGACCTCAGGTGATCTGCCCCCACTTGGCCTCCCGAAGTGCTGGGATTACAGGCGTGAGCCACTGCACCTGGCCAGTCATGTAATTTTATGATTGTTTTATCTCTCTCTTTTGGCTTATTAGCTATAAGTCTGTTTTTGCTATCTTTGTGATTTCATTACAATTTGTACTATATGATTTTATCTTATCACAGTCCACCTTCAGGCAGTATTATACCATATCGTATATGGCATAAGAAAATTAGAATAGTATAATTTCATTTCCTCTTTCCCAGCCAGATCCTTCCTGGATTTGTGGGATTATAGTTTTCATTAAGTTTAGAAAATTTCTGGCCACCTGCTCTCTATATTTTGTCTGTCTCTCTCCCTTTCTCTTTGGGGACCTGTATATTACTGCTTAAAGTTTTCTCGTAGTTCTCTGATGTCTCAAATTTATGAATCTTCTCTTTTGTGATGTCTAGTCTGTATTCATTTCCATCCAGTATAGTTTTCATTTCTGACATTTTAATTTGAATCTCTACACATACAGTTTGCTTTCAGAAAATATCTCCCATGTCTCTGCTTGAGATTTATTTTGGGACACAGTTGAGTTACTTATACACAGCTTGATATTTCTGGTCTTGCTTTATGGTTTGGTCTAATTTTCCACTTCTGAGGCAAGGTGTTTCCAATAACTCTGTTCATTGCCCTGTGAAGCCCGAGTTTTTCCAGTATTGCTCATAGGAATGGACACTCTTCCTTACACATTGTGAGCAACAGGCACTATTTTTCACTGTTTCTAATTTTTTAAAGATTTTTTTCCCCTGGTCTCAGGTAGTTTCCTAGCACACATGTACTGTTCATCACTCTGCTATTGGTTTTTTGTGCTTCATCATTCCAACTCAGAGAATCTGGTGGACTCTACCTCAGTTTTTTTTCTCCCTGTGTCATGGCATGGAAACTTTGTCAAGTCAGGGAGCTGGGTTGTTTGTAAGGCTTACTTCATTTGTTTTCTCTTACAGGGATCATTATCTTTGTTACCTGAAGTCACTTTCTTTTTTTCTGGAGAGTCTTGCTCTGTTGCCCAGGCTGGAATGCAGCGGCACGATCTCGGCTCACTACAACCTTCACCTCCTGGGTTCAAGTGATCCTTCTGCCTCAGCCTCCCGAGCAACTGGGACTATGGGTTTGCGCCACTACACCCAGCTAATTTTTGTATTTTTAGTAGATATGGGGTTTCACCATGTTGGCCAGGATAGTCTCGAACTCCTGACCTCAGGTGATCCGCCTGCCTCGGCCTTCCAAAGTGTACCTGAACTCCACTTTCTTGAAAATCATTGTATAATATATTTTGTCTTTTTTGTTTTTGATTGTTTCAGACAAGAAGGTAAATCAGTACCTGTTTCTCCATCATGGCCAGAAGCAGATTGCAGGAGAGCTTCAGCACTTACCACAGACTGGCTAGAATGCTCTTCTACCCCCTTTACTTAACTGCTTCCTTCTCATCCTTTATTTCTCAGTGTAGCCGTCTTTTCATCAAGGAAATCTTCCCTGAGCCCAGTATACATCAGATTGTATGTACCATAGAACTGTTTTCTTCCAGTATCTATCTGAATTTGTAATTTTCACTTTTATTGTCTTTGTTCTTCACTACACTGAAAGCTGAGCAAGAGCAGAGGTATTGTCTGTTGTATCTGCAAAGCTCAGCAGACCACATGTTAGGAACTTAGTCCATATTTGTTAGGTGTATGGATGGGTGACTTAAAATGCACAGTCCTTTTTATGCAAAAAGTACTCATATTTTATTTCCACCCTGTTTTCTCCCTCATGTAGATTCTGTTAGCCTATCGAAAATGCAAGATGCAGTTCTTTCATGGGAACACTTATTAGAACTTAAGAATAATCATTGTGAACAACTTACAGTAAATATTAAACAAATGGAAAATATGGTTGGTGTACTACAAAAGGAGCTATGTGAAGCAAAAGAAACACAATTACAGTTAGAGCATGAAAAAGGTCAATGGGAACAAGAACGCTACAGTTTGAGGTATGACATTTGAGTTTTAAATAAATATTTTAACTGTCTATACTAAAGATATGTAAGAATTTTTGCAATTGCTGACTCTCTGGGGCTTAATGGGGAGAAAATGTCTTGCACTTGTGGAATATGAAATTCTTGGAAATAAGGTAACAAATTTTTAACTGTGAATTCTTCTAATAATTGTATATTTTAAATCGTGATTTTAATGGCTGTATGGAAGTCTACCATATGGGAACCTCAATATTTAACAAATTGAATTTGGGGTTTGAAATTATTTTGTGTTAGAATTAATGCTGTGAGGAACATCTTTTATTCTTACTATTTTTAGACACAGGGTTTTGCTCTGTCGCTGAGGCTGGAGTGCAGTAGTGTGATCATAGCTCACTGCAACTTTGAACTTTTGTGCTCAAGGGATCCTGCCTCAACCTCCTAAGTAGCTGGCACTACAGACACACGCCCCCATGCCCTACTAACTTTTTAAGTTTTTCATTGAGACAAGGTCTCACTGTCTTGTCCAGGATGATCTCTAAGTCATGGCTTCAAATAATCCTCCTGCTTCGGCCTCCCAAAACATTGGGATTACAGGCGTGAGCCATGATATACAGCCCAGAACGTCTTTTATCTAAGTCACTTTCTACATTTCTAATTATTTACTTTGAATCAAGTCTTCAATACAGAATATTTTGGTTAAAATACAAGAACTTTTTTATAAAAGGCCTTGGATTAATATTTCTAAATTGTCCTCAAGGATGTTTGTATTATTTTACAGTTCAACCAACAGAGCATAAAATGGCCACTTGTCTCAACCCAGAATACTTTTTAAAAACGTTATACAGTTTTATTCTTCTTTTTACTCTCCCTTTAATTTTTTTTATTTCAATACCTTTAGGAGTACAAGTGGTTTTTGGTTACATGGATGAATTGTGTACTGGTGAAGTCTGAGATTTTAGTGTACCCATCACCCAAATAGTATACATTGTAGCCCAATAGGTAGTTTTTGTCTCTCAATGCTCTTATGCTTTTCTCCCTTCTGAGCCTCCAATGTCATTATACCACTCTGTCAGCTTTCACATATGCGTAGCATAGCTCCCACTTGTAAGTGAGAACACGTGGTATTTGTTGTTCCGTTCCTGAGTTACTTCACTTAGAATAATGGCCTCCAGCTCCATCAAGTTGCTGCAAAAGACATTCTTTCATTCTTTTTTGTGGCTGAGTAATATTCTGTGATATATATATGTATATATATTCCACTCATCAGCTAATGCACACAGGTTGATTCCACATCTTTGCATATTGTGAATTGTCCTGCAATAAACATATGCATGCAGGTGTTTTTTTGACATAATGGTTTCTTTTCCTTTGAGTAGATACCCAGAAGTGGGAATGCTGAATTGAATAGTAGGATCTACTTTTAGTTCTTTGAGAAATCTCCATACTGTTTTCCATAGAGGTTGTACTAATTTGCATTCTCACCACCACTGTATAAGTGTTCTCTTTTCACCACATCCACACCAACATCTATTGCTTCTGATTTTTAATAATGGCCATTCTAGCTGCAGTGAGGTGATATATCATTGTTGTTTTATTTTGCATTTCCCTGATGATTAGTGATATTGACCATATTTTTATATGCTTGTTGACCATTTGTACATCTTCTTTTGAGAAATGTCTATTCATGTCATTTGCCCACTTTTTAATGGAATTATTTGTATTTTCCTGCTTATTTGTTTGAGTTTCTTGTAGATTCTAGATATTAGTCCTTTATCTAGTTCGTGATTTGCAAATATTTCCCCCCATTCTATAGGTTGTTAGTTTACTCAGATGATTATTTCTTTTGCTGTGCAGAAACTTTTCAGTTTAATTATTAATTAATTAGTTAAATTATTTGTCACATTTGCTTTTAGATTCTTCATCGTAAATCTTTTGCTTAGGCCAATGTTTTCAGGTATCAGATTTAGGCCTTTAGTCCATCTTGAATTAATTTTTATTTTATATATGGTGAGAGATAGGGATCTAGTTTCATTCTTCTACATGTGGCTATCCTATTTTCCCAGCACCATTTATTGAATAAGGTGTCCTTTCTCCAGTTCATGTTTTTGTATACTTTGTCAAAGAATATTTGGTTGTAAATGGCTTTATCTGTGGGTTGTCTATTCTGTTCCATTGATGTATGTATCTACTCTTATACTAGTACCATGCTGTTTTTGTTACTGTGGCCTTATAGTATAATTTGAAGTCAGGTAATTTGATGCCTCCAGACTTTTCGTTGTTGTTGTTGTTGTTTTGCTTAGTATGTCTTTTGCTGTTCAGGCTCTTTTGTGGTTTTACATGAATTTCAGCATTTTTTTTTTCTAATTCTGTAAAGAGTGACATCGGTATTATGATGGGAAATGCCTTGAATCTGTAGGCTCCTTTGGGCATTAGGGTCATTTTCACAATATCAATTCTTGCAGTCCATGATCATAGGATGTATTTCACTTCGTGTCATCTGTGATTTCCTTCAGCAGTGTTTTCTAGTTATCTTTATATAGATCATTCATCTCCTTCATTAGTATATTTCTAGGTATTTTACATTTTTGCAGCCATTGTAAAAGGGATTGGGTTCTTGATTTGACTCTCAGCTTGGTCATAGTTGGTGTATATGGGTGCTACTGATTTGGATTCATTGATTTTGTAACCTCAGACTTCACTGCATTCATTTATCAAATCTAGGAGTGTTTTGTAGGCATCTTTAGGGCTTTCTAGGTATAAGATCGTGTCATTGGCAGAGATAGCTTAACTTTCTCCTTTCCAATTTGGAATTCCTTTATTTCTCTTGCCCAATTGCTCTGCCTAGGATTTCCAAGTTTTATTTTTTATTTTATTTTTTTATTATTATTATTTTTGAGATGGAGCCTCACTGTGTCACCCAGGCTGGAGTGCAGTGGCGTGATCGCAGCTCGCTGCAACCTCCGCCTTCTGGGTTCAAGCGATTCTCCTGCCTCAGCCTCCCTGGCAGCTGGGGACACAGCTGCGTGCCACCATGCCTGGCTAATTTTTTGTATTTCTTTTTTAGTAGAGATGGGGTTTCACTGTGTTAGCCAGGATGGTCTCGATCTCCTGACCTTGTGATCTACCCGACTTGGCCTCCCAAAGTGCTGGGATTACAGGTGTGAGCCACCATGCCCAGCTGGGACTTCCCAGTTTTATTAATATACGTGAAATAAAAACTAAAACGGAAAGTGAGTAATGATTAGTTTATTTCACATCTCTCTCTCCTATACAGATACAATTAATTCAAAGTTCTATGTTGAAAACACATGTTGGCTGGGCGCGGTGGCTCACGCCTGTAATCCCAGCACTTTGGGAGGCCAAGGTGGGCGGATCACGAGGTCAGGAGATTGAGACCATCCTGGCTAACACGGTGAAACCCCGTCTCTACTAGAAATATAAAAAATTAGCCAGGCATGGTGGCAGGTGCCTGTGGTCCCAGCTACTCAGGAGGCTGAGGCAGGAGAATGGCGTGAACCCGGGAGGCGGAGCTTGCAGTGAGCCGAGATCGCGCCACTGCACTCCAGCCTGGGCGACAGAGGGAGACTCAGTCTCAAAAAAAACAACAACAAAAAAAAAACACGTTATTCTTTATTGTTTAAATATTAGATCCTATCTTGTCACAAAAGGAATTTTAAAATTGTTTATAAAATACATAAGAATCAAGAAGATAAGTGGAAAGTGTTACCAAAAAATAAACATAAAAAGTATTGGTTAACACAAGGGTCCCCAACCCCCAGGCCACGGACCAGTACCAGTCCATGGCCTATTAGGAACCAGGCCACACAGCAGGAGGTGAGCGGCAAGTGAGCAAGCAAAGCTTCATCTGTATTTACAGCCGCCCCCCATCACTTACATTACCACCTGACCTCTGCCTCCTGTTAGGTCAGCAGCACCATTAGATTCTCATAGGAGCGTGAACCAAATCCTACTGTAAGCTGCACACATTGGAGATCTAGGTTGTGCTCTCCTTATGAGAATCTAATGCCTGATGATATGTCCCTGTCTCCCATCACCCCCAGATGGAGCTGTCTAGTTGAAGGAAAACAAGCTCAGGACTTTCACTGATTCTACATCATGTGAGTTATATAATTAATTATTTCATTATATGTTACAATGTAATAATAATATAAATAAAGTGCACAATAAATGTAATGTGCTTGAATCATCCCTAAACCAGCCCCCTCTCCCCCAGGTCCATGGAAAAATTGTCTTCCACAAAATCAGTCCCTGGTGCCAAAAAGACCGGGGACAGCTGGGTTAACAGATATTAGACCCCATTGCCTTGTATTGGATTATAGTAATCTGCAGATATATATTGTGTGACTGACATCCGTTGGTGCCATCTTTTTTTTTTTTTTTTTGAGACGGAGTCTCACTCAGTCACCCAGGCTGCCTGAGTGCAGCAGCCTGATCTCGGCTCACTGCAACCTCCACCTCCCAGGTTCAAGCAATTCACCTGTCTCAGCCTCCCAAGTAACTGTGACTACAGATGCCTGCCACCAGCCCTGGCTAATTTTTGTATTTTTAGTAATGATGGGGTTTCACCTTGTTGGTCAGGCTGGTCTCGAACTCCTGACCTTGGGTGATCTACCCGCCTTGGCTTCCCAAAGTGCTGGGATTACAGGCTTGAGCCACCGCGCCCGGCCCGATGGAGCCATCTTGCACTGTAAATCATTTTAGGGATACCTGCAGTATTTCATGAAAATTAAAATTTATTTCTAGTGAATTTACAAAGTTGTTTATAAGTAGTATGTTCTTTTTAATTAGTTAATTTGAAATGATCTGTCCTAATTGAGTTATTATGACTATGTGAAAAATAGGTAATTTTCTTTTTCTTTTTTTTTTTTTTTTTTTTTTGAGAGGGAGTCTCGCTCTGTCGTCCAGGCTGGAGTGCATTGGTGCCATCTCAGCTCACTGCAAGCTCCGCCTCCCAGGTTCACGCCATTCTCCTGCCTCAGCCTGCCGAGTAGCTGGGATCACAGGCACCCTCCACCACACCCAGCTAATTTTTTTTTGTATTTTTAGTAGAGATGAGGTTTCACCGTGTTAGCCAGGATGGTCCCAATCTCCTGACCCTGTGATCCGCCCACCTCAGCCTCCCAAAGTGCTGAGATTACAGGCGTGAGCCACGGCGCCCTGCCAAAAAGAAGTAATTTGCAACGTGTAACTATACTAAATAATTTCCAATATTCTTTTCCATAACATTTATCAGAATTGCTAATAACAGAAACTCACCAATTAGCAGGATGTTTTTTCTTCACTACCTTTCAAGTATATTTATCCCTTGGAAGAGACTGAAGTGAGAAATTAAAAACATGAGAACTAGAAAGGAAAAATAGTCAAGAACATAGAAATTTTATTTGAATAATAAACACTGCGTAGGAAGAGCCAGATAACAAAATAAACTTTTTATTTTTTAAGAAAACAAATTTTAATATGTTTTACTGTAGAATGACCTTAAAAGAAGAAGAAAAGGGAAGAAATGCTGATATATTGCCTAAAAAAGACAGTGAACAGTTAAAAAGAAAAGAAAAGGAATGTGGGAAAGAAGTTGAAACAACAACTCAAACAGACTCTGAAATCACTGGTCACAGAATTGAGGACATTAGGAAAGAATTTGGATCAGGTAAATTAATTTTTGGTGAAAACTTTATATTTCTAACTTTATATTTCATCAGTATTACTTATAATATTCCTTTGATGTAATGTATATAATTTAGTTTCAAAACATACCAAGACTTATTTAATCTTAAAAAGGAAGTATGACATTTATAGCTATTTATTGTAAACCTTGGCATCTCTGCCTGTGATGTTCGGTCTTAGATGCTCAAACTATCTCTTATGTTTTCTGGATGAAGGAATGGAGGATAAATTGAGTTTAATCACATAAATATTTGTGTATTTTTTATGTTAAAATACAGGCTCTATAGCTTTGAGACTATAACAAAGCTAGTTAAATGTTTTGAAAGAAATTTTATTACACAATACTGTATTTTTCTGTAGGTAAGAACTGTTTTTCCTCTTTGAGAAATTTAGCTGTCATGTATGCAATTAAAGTTTGAGTAATTCCTGAGGGATAAAAGTCCTTGTGTTTTAATAGGCTACTTTTTTTTTTTTAACAGTTTTACAAAAAAGGTTCTGTTCTTTTAGATTTTCTTTTTCAATGCTATTAGACCAAAAATGTAATGTATGTCTAGGTTGTGCAGAAGCGAAGCGATACCCACAAGCAACTTTCTGAAGAGCAGAATGCCAGAATATTACAAGATGAGATTCTGACCAGTAAGCAAAAGGAGGTCGAAGGGGCTCAAAAGAAAATGAATTCTGAGGTATTTTCTTTAGTCATTTTCAAATATGTTTTTGTATGTGTATATATTTGAAAAACCAACTCTATGTACCTTGGAAAATATAAAGTATTTTTAAATTATATATATATATATATATACACACACACACACACACACACACACATCCTATGTGTTTGTGTATCTATATATAGAATATACACTTGTGTGTGTGTGTGTAGGATAAAGCCATATTCTTAATTCAGCTCCATTAGTCTGCAGCAGTGAAGTAGTGACATTCACAATGGCCTCAATCCAAAGAAGAAGCATTTGATATTTTTTATAAGAATTGATGATCTTTCCATAATCTCAAAATTTTTGGTACTAACAACAGACATTCTAGTTTTTGGACATTGTTTTATCTTCTCAAAATATTAATGGAGAAGTCAGTTTATTATTTTCACTGATAGATAAGGAGGAAATGTATAGCCAGTTTAGAGGCCATATTATGGATGTCATTCTTCTTACTTTTGAAGAACTTAAAAGTTTTCTCCAAGTAGTATCTAATTTCAATGCAAAGGGCTTTGAAAACAATGATGTAGAATAATATACATTTAGTGATAATTTATTGGTAAGTGTTTTGTTTCTGGAAAAATAGTTCAGTGTATTTCCCCCTATTTCACACATTACTGTTTCAAACATTATAAAGAGGAAATAAAAGTTATTACAATAGCAAATAATCTCATGATTTTTTAAGAAGATCTCTATAAATTTTACCATTGGTATTTTTATATAAGAGGCTTCTTTTGTATTTATATATTTACACCACAGAAGTAACTGCAATTTGATGGAGGAGGACTAGAAGTAGAATCAGAAGACCTGGGGAAAATCCTGCATCTTGCATATATTTCAGTCTCTCCTCTTCAGAATTGCGACCTTAAATGAGTTCAGTAATGTATGTAAAAGTGCAATGCTTAGATGTAGAAGTGTAAAATGTAGAAATGTACAATGCTTAGATTTAACATTTATGAATAAGTGTAATCTTTATAACTTACAATAAAATTGTTAGAAAAGTAGAATATCTATAGAACATTATCAGGAAAAAGGAACTTAGAGAACTTTGAGAAATTTCTTCAGTCCAAATAAATGCAGAACTAAGAGTCTTACAATGGGGTGGTGTATAGGTTAGATATCAGATTTTAAAATTTTTAAATTTTAAAAATGTAGTCAAATGTATCAATCTCATATTTTATGCCGCTGGGTTTTTTGTAATTCAGAGAAAGGCTTTGTCAATTCTGAGAGTCTTAAAAATCCTCTAGTGGTTTATTTTTTACTTTTATTGATTCATTGTCTTCAAATAGATTTTTTTAACTTTTGGGAATTTACACTCTGAGGTTTGAAATTTTGATTTAATATTTTTTTCAGTTAAATATCCACTTATGGGAATCCTTTCATTGTACAAATATACAGGTTATTCTTTAATTTCAGAAGAAACCATGATATGTCATTCTATTGAGTGCTAAGTTTCCTTTGTTTACTTAGATTTCTCAAAGCCATGAGAAAGAAGAAGACCTGTTGCATAAAAATAGTATGTTGCAGGAAGAAATTGCCATGCTAAGACTGGAACTAGACACAATAAAACATCAGAACCAGCTGAAAGAAAAGAAATATTTGAAGGATGTTGAAAGTGTGAAATAAAAGAATGACAACCTTCAAAATATGATAAAACTGAATGAGGAAACATCAACAAAAATAGTATTTCAGTACAGTGGACAGCTTAGCATTTTGACAGCTAAGAATAAAACTCAGTTCTCAACTTGAGAATGTAAAACACAACATGGAAAGACTGGAAATGGAAATTCAGTCATATCGATGCAGGCTGGCTGCTGCCGTACATGATTGTGATCAAAGTCAGACAGCATAAGAAAACCTAGAACTTGCTTTCCAGAGAACAGGACATGAATGGGTTCATTTACAGGAGAAAATGAATTCTGATATGTCTAACCTAAAAGATAACAGATTGTTTCTGAAAAAACTCTCTAATGCTGACAGTAAAATTAACAGCCTAAAAATTAAGTTTCATCATGCAAGAGAAACACTCAGAGAAAAGACGTCAGTTTTAGAATGTTTCCAAAGAGACCTTGGCCAAACACAGTGTCAAAAGAAAGAAATTGAACGAATGTATAAAAATGAACAAAGCAAAGTAAATAAATACGCTGAAGAAGCAGGAATCTATAGAGGACAGATGTGCTCAACTACAAAGTGAAAATAGGTTGCTTCAACAGCAACTGGATGATGCCCACAAGAAAGCTGACAATCAAGAAAAGACAATCAGTACTATCCAAGACCAAATCCATGCCGTTGTAAAAAAATCTAGCTGGGAGTGAAATGCAGAGTCTTCTGCTAGAAGAGAAAAACAAAGACTTAATCAATGTATGTAATAATTTGAAAGAAAGAATATATCAATGTGAAAAAGAGAAAGAAAAAAAAGTAAGTACCAAGAAAGATATTTTTCAAACTGAAAGAAAGAAAATTTAAAGTAATATTTGGTTATGCTAAATGTTATATATAGTTGAATATAAAAGTATGTAGAATAGGCTGGGTGCAGTGGCTCATGCCTGTAATCCCAGCACTTTGGGAGGCCAAGGCGGGCGGATCACCTGAGGTCGGGAGTTCGAGACCAGCCTGACCAACATGGAGAAACCCCATCTCAACTAAAAATACAAAATCAGCCGGGCGCAGTGGCGGGTACCTGTAATCCCAGCTACTCAGGAGGCTGAGGCAGGAGAATCACTTGAACCCGGGAGGCGGAGGTTGCATTGAGCCGAGATCGCGCCATTACACTCCAGCTTGGGCAACAAAAGCTAAACTCCGTCTCAAAAAAATAAAAAAGTATGTACAAATAAACTTAGAATAAAAGTGTATTTGCTGTGTTAGCCTAGAAACATACCAGCAAAAGAAAGACCTGAAGTACACTTTACTTTGAGTAAATAAATTATATCACCTTTGAAATTTTAAGAGGTTAAGTTACAAGTTGTTAGTAGATATAGACTAATATTTATGATGTAGACATACTGCTAAAATAATTTTAATATTTGTATGTGGCCACATTTTAAGACCATGATGAAGCAGATAAATAGAAATGCCTTATATCTGAAATAAGTCTTTTGAAATTAAGATTCGATTAGGTGGGTTACTTTTGACTGTTAATTCAAGATTTCCCAGGTGAACTGAAGTATACTGTTGTATCTCAATACTTTTCCTTCAGGGGCTTTTTATGTATTTACATTTGTATAATTTTATTTTTATTTGTATCAATTAGACTTTAATCTGAGACTATTTCAATATCACAGTGTTGTTATGACATCTCAATTATTTAAAAGCATTTACTTTTTATTAAATCATAATTTGGGACAGATGTGAATTTCCAGCAAAACCATATTTGATTAATCTTACCACTGATATTTATACTTTGAATGTTCTTAAAAATAATTTGCCCATAATTTTTATTTCAAGGCTCAGTGGCTATCATTTGGATATGACTTTGTCCCACACAAAGATAATTGTGGCTATCTGCAATTGCTTTGTTTGACATTAGGTCCCCATTTTCAATCTAATGGGAGGTGGTAGGATTCACATACAGTGAGAAAGCAGTGAGTAGGAAAGAGATTTGTAGGAGCTGAGGTCAGGGAGGGAGGTGAAGGCCAGGTGGTTACCTAGGGCCTGGAAGGCAATTGGAATTTTACTTGTATTCTGAGATAGAAATCTATTGGAAGGATCTGAGCAGGCAATTGAGGATGTCAGGAGTGGTGGGGTTTCTTTGAGCTTCTAATAAAAAAGAGGAAAAACATTTTACAATGTTGCATTTTCTACCACCAGTCCCACCCACATATGGATTTGTTTTTGTGACTTAAGTAGGAAGTTAAGCATTGCAAATGTATCAGGGGTGAGTGAATAGTGAACTGAATGTAAGCGGAATACTGACTTGGCAGGAAAATAATACCTTCTGTGTCCTTAACTGAATTCAGTAATAAACAAGCATGTATACACATAGGAAAAGAAGGTAAATTCATGTATGTGGTACTATTTTTCAAAGTACATGTTAAATCTTATTACCATGATTTACTAATAAGGTAACATGTAAAATCAGTAACAAAAATATCTGAACAGGTAGTTATGAGACAACTTCAACAAGAACTGGCTGATACCCTAAAAATGCAACCTATGTCAGAGCCTTACCTAGAGGCTACACCACATTGTCATATTAATTTAGAAGAGACCCAAGATTCAAAGAAGGAATTAGGTAAAATCGGAAGTCAAGTATATATGAAACATAACATGTCAATGGTTAATCTATAGGTAGTGGAATAATATCTAATGTTTTAGGATACTAATTGCATTGGATAGTTTTTTATTTTTATTATAATTAATTTTATTATCTTTATCATGCAGTTATTTCTTAACCTCTGACTTTCATTCTGTCATGTTTTTCTCATAAGTATATACATTTTAAAAATAATATTTACCTTTATGAAATTTGGGAATTATACCTCATTCCTCACAGCAGTTGAGAGAGTTTTTTCTGCAAACCATTATTTTTTAGCTATTTCTCTACTGTCATGGTAAGGCAAGCCAGATTAAATCAGAGGATAATGTTTAATATAGTGTTCCAAAGAAGTGTCTTATTTCTTGTCTTTACTTTCATGAATGGGTATAGAATGTGTGTCTGTTTATTGCATGAATTTCAGGATAACTTGTATGGAAAGGCCATTAAACTCTTCTCCAAAATGCAAATGTTTTAGATTAATTTACAAAGTACTTGAAATGTTAGGCATTTCCTTCATTTTCATTTCATTTTAAGTATATTGTAAAAGCATGGAAATACTCAGATCCTGTAGAGTATATACATCCAAAGTAGAGAATTAAGAAATGTATCTAGATCCTGCCACTGGATTTTTTAAAGCAACTGTGTTGGTATATAATTTGCATAACATACAGTTCACCCATTGAAAATGTACAAGTCTCTTAGTATATTCATGGAGTTGTGTAGTCATCAGCAACATCAATTTGAGAACATCTTCACGACCCTGAAAAGAAACCCTGCATCATTTAGCCATCATCCGTCAGTTTGCCCTTCCTCAGCTCTAGGGAACCACCAGCCTACTTTGTTTCTATAGAGTTGCCCATTCTGGACATTTCATATCAATTGAATCACAAAACATGTGGTGGTCTTTTGTGATTGGCTTCTTTCACTTAGCATAACATTTTTAAGGCTCATCCGCATTGTAACATGTATCAGTACTCAACTTCCTCTAATTGCTGAGTAACATTCCCCTCTGTGGATATACCAGTCATTTTATTTGCCCATTCATCAGTTATGGACCTTTGGGTTGTTTCCATGTTTTGGCTATTAATCATACTGCTATGAAGTTTTATGTACAAGTTTTTGTGTTTGCATATGTTTTCATTTCTCATGGGTGTATACTTAGAAGTGGAATTGCTGGTGTATACTTACAAGTGGAATTTGAGGAGCTGCCAGTCTGTTTTCCAAAGTGGCTACACCATTTTACATTTCTGTCAGAATTGTATGGGGATTCTAATTTCTCTGTATCTTTCCAACATCTTTCACATTTTTGATTGAAGATTCCATCCTAGTGGTGTGAAGTGATACCTCATTCTTTTTTTTTTTTTTTTTTTTTTTTTTTGAGATGGAGTCTCGCTCTGTCGCCCAGGCTGGAGTGCAGTGGCACAATCTCGGCTCACTGCAACCTCCCCTGCACCAGGTTCAAGCCGTTCTCCTGCCTCAGCCTCCCAGGTAGCTGGGGTTACAGGCACCCACCACCATGCCCAACTAATTTTTTGTATCTTTGTAGAGACGGGGTTTCACCGTGTTAGCCAGGGTGGTCTTGATCTCCTAACCTCGTGATCCACCCGCCTTGGCCTCCCAAAGTGCTGGGATTGCAGGCGTGAGCCACCGCGCCCCGTAAAGCGATACTTCATTTTTGTTTTGATTTGCGTTTCCCTAATGAGTAATGATGTTAAGCATCTTTTTATGTGCTTATGAGCCACTTGTGTATCTTTGGGAAAATGTCTATTTAAATTCTATGCCCATTTTAAAATCACCTTCCCTTTTTTTTCTGAATTTTAAGTTTTTTATAAATCTTAGGTGTAAGACCCTTAACAGATATGATTTTCAAATATTTTATTTCACTCAGTGGCTTTTATTTTTACCTTATTGATGATGTCTTTTCAAGTGCAGACATTTCAAATTTTGATAAAAGAATTTTATAGTTTTAGCTCTTATAGTTAGCAGTTCTATTTTGAGTTAATTTTAGATGTGGCGTATGTTAGGAGTCCATCTTTATTCTTTTGCATGTGGATATCCAGTTGCCCCATTACCATTTGTTGAAAAGGCTATTCTTTTTAACAAATTAATAGTCTCAGTTGTTGTTTTTTTACCCTTGTTGAAAATCAATTGACCATAAATATGTGGGTTTATTTTGGGATTCTCAATTCTAATATGTTGATCTATGTCTATCATCATGCCAGTACCGAATCTAATTTTAGGATACTTATTTTTCAGTCATGTTGCTTATTATTCCCAATTGTCCTAAGTAAGAATAGAAATTCAGGTAGTAGGATGCCTTTAATTTCACTGTTTGCTTCCTGAAGGAACATGTGGCCAGCTTATATTAATATCTTGCTGACTCCTGTGACACAATGGGAAGTCAGGCTTACAAAGACAGAGCGTATTCATTTCTTTTTCTCCGTTCAAACCATTTTTCTCTCACTCAGTCCCTACCTCTTCACTCCGATTTTCATCAAATCTTGGTTAGAGGATCTGCTGACTCAGTCTACTATTTACTGCATTATATTTACTAACTCATAATAAGTCATAGAATTGTGTAGATTTTTGCCATGTAGGAAGGAGAAGATTAAGTCTGGGCTGTTGCTTTCCTCTTTGGAAATTGAGCTAATTCATCATCTTACAGCTCACAAATAGATCCTCTGTTGACCTGGTACCTGGTTCTTTGTATAACACTGGAGCTGATCCTTTTCTTGGCACAGATCCTACATTCTCAGAAATTACAGTTTTCTGTATTTAACTGCTTTTACTTAACAGAGGTGCCTAGCTATGCTTTATAGCTCAGTACATAATCAAATTAGTAGTTCAACCCATTCAAATAAAAATTTTCAGGCATGCAGCACCTAAAAATCAGGTGATGTCCAGGTATTTATCAGAGACAAATAGTCAAATTAGTTGTATGAATTTCAAAATTTCAGAGCCAATTTGTATGATATGGAGCAGCATTTTGGTACAATGTAAAGATGAGATGGTCTTACCTTCTCAGCTTGAAGGGAAATTGTATTTAATTTTTTAACATGTAAAGGACACTACATTTGTTTTACTACAGAGAAGGTTAAAACTGATTCCCTAGTATTCTCTTTATTTTCTCATTGAGGAAATGGAAATGAAGATCAAATACTAGATTGATTAATAATTACTCAGCTGCTTATCACTTTTAGAATTTCAGTTCATTGAAATCAGGTAAAATGTCTGATTTGGGTTATATCAAATACTTCTGTTTTTTTTCAACTTTCATACTTCAAATTATATATCCTTCCTTCCTCATCTTCCTTATCCCATAACTTGAGGGGCAAATGCTAAAGAGCCTCATTTGCTTAGTTATGAGAATTTGTAACTGAAGGGAACTTTTTCTAAACATCCTCCTCAATAGTTCATACGTCTGTCTCCTGGTTGTCTGCTGCTTCTCATTAGCATTGTTTGTCATTAATAAATTAACCTCAACATTTAGTAGATCCTACTTTAAAGGAGACTAATTACTACTGTGTAAGCTATTATATTTCTTACTGTCTTTTTGTTTAAGTCCATTTTCCTGTTTATTTTTCCCTAACAAGCTACCCAAAGGTGAGTGGCTTAACAGCAGCATGTATTTAGTTCACCAATCTGTGGTTTGGAAAATCCTTGTCCAGGACAACCTTCTCTGCTCCCCTCAGCTTCACTTGCAGTCAATCAAATGTTAGGGGACTGGAATCATCTGAAGGTCTGGTCACTGATATGTCTGGTTGTTGACAGTGGCTGTTGATTGGAACTTTAGTTGGGGCAGGCAGCCCAAATACTTGCACTGGAACTCCTGTGTGCTTTTTGTGACCTGAGCTTCCTCACAACATGGGGGCTCGGTTCTAAGGGCAAGCAGTCTGAGGTAGAGAGCCTCTTCTAACCTAATGTTGGAGGCCACACGGTATCACTTGTACCACATTCTATTCATTAGAAGGAAGTCACTAAGTGTGGCCCATAGTCTATTTATAGGATGAATTGTTTGTTTGTTTATTTATTTATTTATTTTTGATTGATAGTGTCCCACTCACTACATTGCCCACGCTGACCTTGTACTCTTGGGCTCAAGGGGTCCTCCTGCCTCAGCCTCGTGAATAGCTGGGACTACAGGTGTATTACATCATACCCAATTTCCTTTTTATTTTTGTGGACATGTATAATTGTACATATTTATGGGATTCACAGTGATATTTTGATAAGTGTAGCCAGTGTATAATGGTCAAATCAGGCTATTAGCAAAGCCATCACCTCAAACATTTACTATTTCTTTGTGCTTTGAACATTGAAAATCCTCTCCTCTACCTTTTTAAAAATACACTATAAATCATAATCATAGTGACCCTACAATGCCACGGAACACTAGAGTTAATTCCTCCTATGTAGCTGTAATTTTGTATCCATTAACCAACCTCTCCCCATCCTCCACTCCCCCTACCTTTCCCACCCTGTAATACCCACAGTTCTACTCTCTACTTCCATGACCTCAAATTTTTTACTTTAGTTCCCATGAGTGAGAACATGCAGTACTTACGGTTTCATGCCTTATTTCACTTAACATAATGTCCTCCAGGCTCATTCATGTTGTTGCAAATGACATGAATTTATTTTTTGGCTAAATAGTATTCCACTGTGTATGTATGCCCTATTTTCTTTATTCATCAACCACAATCATCTGTTGATAAACATTAAGGTTAATTCCACATCTTAGTTATTGTGAATGGGGGTGCTGGTGTCCTTTGATACATTGATTTTCTTTCTTTTGGATAAATACTCAATAGTAGGATTGCTGGATCATACCACAGTTCTGTTTTTAGTTTTTACAGAAGCTTCCACACTGTTTTTCATAACGGTTATAGTAATTTGCTATTTCCTACACCAGTGCATAAGAGTTCCCTTTTTCTCCCCAACCTCACCAGCATTTTTTACTTTTTGTCTTCCTGATAGTAGCCATTCTAACTGTGGTGAGATGATATTGAGTACTTTTTCATATATTGGCCATTTGTATGTCTTCCTTTGAGAAATAATCTACTCAGAGCCTTTACCTACTTATTAGTTGGACTACTAACTTTTTCACTGTTAAGGTGTTTGCTTTCCCATATGTTCTGGATTTAGACCTTTGTCAGGTGAACAGCTTGCAAGTATTTTCTCTCATTCTATGGATTTTCTTCACTCCATTTGGTTGTTTTCCTTGCTGTAATGAAACTTTTAATATATATAGTCTCATTTATCTATTTTTGATCTTTCTTTTTATTTTTTACCTGTTTTTTTTTTGATGTCTTAGCCATAAAATCATTGCTTAGACCAATGTCTTGAAGTATTTTCCCTATATTTTCTTCTAGTAGTTTCATAATTTGGGGTCTTATGTTTAAGTCTTTAATGGATTTTGAGTTGATTTTATGGTGAAAGATAAGGATCTGCTTTCATTCTTCATCCTACTGATATCCAGTTTCCCCAGCCCAATTTGTTGAAGAGAGTGTTCTTTGCCAATGTTATGTTGTTGACACCTTTGACACCTTTGTCAAGAATCATGTGCCTGTAAATATGTAGATTTATTTCTGGGTTCTCTATTCTGTTCCATTGGTCTGTGTATCTGTTTTTATAACAATCCATGTTTTAGTCACTATACCTTGTAATTTTTTGTTATTGTTGTTGTTGTTGTTGAGAGGGAGTCTCGCTCTGTCACCCGGGCTGGAGTGCAGTGGCGCGATCTCTGCTTACTGAGTGCAAGCTCCGCCTCCCGGGTTCACGCCATTCTCCTGCCTCAGACTCCCGAGTAGCTGGGACTATGGGCGCCCGCCACCACGCCCGGCTAATTTTTTTGTATTTTAATAGAGACAGGGTTTCACCGTGTTAGCCAAGATGGCCTCGATCTCCTGACCTCGTGATCTGCCCGCCTTGGCCTCCCACAGTACTGGGATTACAGGTGTGAGCCACCGCACCCGGCCCCTCCTAATGTATTTTGAAGTCAGGTAGAAGTGATGCCTCCAGCTTTGCTCTTTTTCCTCATGAGTAGGCGGACTAGTCTGGGTTTTTTTTTTTTTTTTTTTTGCTTCCATGTGAATTTTAGGATTGTTTTTCTATTTTTTGGCAAGTTTTTTTTTTGTTTGTTTTGCTTTGGAAACGGAGCCTCTCTGTGTTGCCTAGGCTGGAGTGCAGTGGCGCGATCTCCGCTCACTGCAAGCTCCACCTGCCGGATTCACGCCATTCTCCTGCCTCAGCCTCCCGAGTAGTTGGGACTACAGGCGCCCGCCACCACTCCTGGCTAACTTTTTTGTATTTTTAATAGAGACAGGGTTTCACCGTGTTAGCCAGGATGGTCTCAATGTCCTGACCTCGTGATCCGCCCGCCCCGCCTCCCAAAGTGCTGGGATTACAGAAGTGTGCCACTGCGCCCGGCTTCTTTGGCAAGTTTTAAAAAGCATTTTGTTTATTCTTTTTCTTTCTTTTATTTTAGATTCAGGGGGTACATGTGCAGATGTTTTTACAAAGGTATATTGCATAATGCTGAGGTTTGGGGTATGATTGACCCTGTCACCCAGGTAGCAAGTATTTACTACTCAATAGGTCATTTTTGACACTGGTTCGCCTCCCATCCTTCCCCTTCTTGTAGTCTTCAGTGTCTGCTGTTCTCATCTTTTTGTCCATGTGTACCCAGTGGTTGGCTCCCAGTTCTAAGTGAGAACATGTAGTATTTGGTTTTCTGTTCCTGCATTAGTTTGTGTAGGATAATGGCTTCCAGCTAAATCCATGTTGCTGCGAAGTACATGATTTTGTTCTTTTTGTGGCTATATAGTGTAACATGGTGTGAACGTACCATGTTTCCTTTATCCAATCCACCTTTGATGGGCTCCTGGTTGACTCCATGTCTTTGCTATTGTGAATAGTGTGGCGATAAACATACAAGTGCATGTGTCTTTTTGGTAGAATGATTTATATTCCTTTGGGTATATACCCAATATTGAGATTTCTGGGTAGAATGGTAGTTCAGTTTTAAGTTGTTTGGGAAATCACCAAACGTCTTTTCACAGTGGCTGAACTAATTTACATTCCCACCAGCAGTGTATAAGTGTTCCCTTTTCTGTACAACCTCACCAGCATCTGTTACTAAATATTTTTGACTAATTGCCATTCCAACTGGTGTGGGTTAGTCTCTCATGGTTTTGATTTGCATTTCTCTAATGATTAATGATAGGAATCTTTTTTAAAAATGTGCTTACTAGATGCATGTATGTCTTCTTTTGAGGAATATCTGTTCATGTCCTTGGCCCACTGTTTTATGGGGTTGTTTTTTTCTTGTAAATTTGTTTGTTCCTTATCATTAGTCCTTTGTCAGAGGCATACTTTGCAAAAATCTCCCATCTGTAGGTTGTCTTTTTATTCTGTTAATAGTTTCTTTTGATGTACAGAAGCTCTTTAATTAAGTTCCATTTGTCAATTTTAGCTTTGTGTTTTGTTTTGTTTTTTGAGACAGGGTCTTACTTTGTTTCTCAGGCTAGAGTGCAGTGGTGCAAACACAACTCACTGCAGCCTCAACCTCTTGGGCTCAAGTGATCCTCCTGCCTCAGCCCCCCAAGTAGCTGGGACAACATGTGTATGCTAGCACGCCTAGCTAATTTTTGTATTTTTTTGTAGAGACAGGGTTTTGCCATGTTGTCCAGGTGGTCTCCAACTCCTGAATTAGGGAGGGGTCCCTCCTCGTCAATATTTTGGAAGAGTTTCCATAGGATTGAGAACAGCTTTGGTTCTGATTCAGCTGTGAATCCATCTGGTCCAGGCCTTATTTTGGTTAGTAGGTTTTTTATTATTGCTTCAATTTCAGAACTTGTTACTGGTCTGTTCATGATTTCAGTTTCTTCCTGGTTCAGTCTTGAAAATTTTTGTGTTTCCAGGAATTTATCTGTTTTCCTGTAGAAATTCTAATTTGTGTGCATGGAGGTGTTCATAAAAGTCTCTGAGGATCTATTTTATTTCTGTTGGATCGGTTGTAATGTCATCTGTGTCATATCTGATGGTGCTTATTTAAATATTCTCACTTTTGGTTAATCCAATTAGAAGTCTATCAATCTTTTTTATTCTTTCAAGGAATCAATTTTTGTTTATCCTTTGTGTGGGTTTTGGGGTTTCAGTGTCATTCATTTCTGCTCTGATTTTAGTTAATTCTTTTCCTCTGCTAGCTTTGGGGTTATTTTCTTGTTTTTTGGTTCCTCCAAGCGTAATGTCAGATTGTTAATTTCAGATCATTCTAACTTATTGGCATGTGCACTTAACACTGTAAACTTTCCTCTTAACACTGCTTTTGCAATATCCCAGAGGTTTTGATATGTTGTGTCTCTGTTTTTATTTATTTTGAAGATTTTTTGTTTCTGATTTAATTTCATTGTTTACCCAAAAGTCATTCAGGAGCACATTTTTTAACTTCCATGTAATTCTGTAGTTTTGAGATATCTCAGTATTGATATGTTTTTATTGCAGTGTAATCCAAGAGTGTGCTTGGTATGATTTTATTTTATTTTTAAATTTATGGAGACTTGCTTATGGCCAAGCATGTGGTTGACCTTAGAGTATGTTCCATGTGCACATGAGAAGAAAGTATGTTCTGTGATTTTGGGATAGAGTATTCTATAGATGTCTATTAGGCCTGATTGATCAAGAGTCAAATTTAAGTCCAGAATTTCTTTGTAGGTTTTGTCTCAGTGGTTTGTCTAATGCTGTCAGCGAGGTGTTGAAGTTGCCTATTATTATGTGGCTGTCTAAACTTTTTCATGGGTCTAGAAGTACTGTTTTATGAATCTGAGTGCTCCAATGTTGGGTGTGTATATATTTAAGATAATGAAGTCTTCCTGTTGAATTGAGTCTTTTATCATTATGTAATGCTCGTCTTTGTCTTTTTTTACTGTTGTTGATTTAAAGTCTGTTTTATCTGATATAAGAATAGCGGCTGGGCTTGGTGGCTCACGCCTGTAATCCCAGCACTTTGGGAGGCCGAGGTGGGCGGATCGTGAGGTCAGGAGATTGAGACCATCCTGGCTAACACGGTGAAAGCCCGTCTCTACTAAAAATACAAAAAGTAGCTACTTGGGAGGCTGAGGCAGGAGAATCACTTGAACCCGGAGGCAGAGCTTACAGTGAGCCGAGATCACACCGCTGCACTCCAGCCTGGGCGACAGAGCAAGACTGCATCTCAAAAAAAAGAAAGAAAGAAAGAAGAAAAGAATGGCAACCTTTACTCTTCCATTTTATTTGCATGATGGATCCTTCTTCATTCCTTTACACTGAGCCTTTGCATGGTATTACATGTGAGATGGGTTTTGAAGACAAGCAGTGGCTGGTTTTCGTTTTTGTATTCAACTTAACCACCCTGACTTCTGAGTGGAGCATTTAGACCATTTAATTTGAGATTAACACTGGTATATGAGATTTTGATCCTGTCGCGATATTGTTAGCTGGTTGCTCTGTGTTCTCCATTGTGTAATTGCTGTGTAGGATCTGTGGGCTATGGACTTAAATCTGGTTTTGTGATAGCAGCTATTCTTTCCTTCATTTTTGTGTTTGTAACTCCCTTAAGAATTTTTTTTTTTTTTTTTTTTTTTTTTGAGACAGAGCCTTGCTCTGTTGCCCAGGCTGGAGTGCAGTGGCACGATCTCGGCTCACCGCAACCTCAGCCTCCCGGGTCCTGAGCACCTGGAATTACAGGCGCCAGCCACCACGCCTGGCTGATTTTTATATTTTCAGTAGAGACAGGGTATCACGATCTTGGCCAGGCTGGTCTTGAACTCCTGACCTCCTGATCCACCCGCCTTGGCCTCCCAAAGTGCTGAGATTACAGGCGTGAGCCACTGTGCCTGGCCAAATATTATTTTTTTTAATGAATTGTTTCTCTTAGTCTGCTTTGTTAAATTTGGAATTCGTTGGACCCAGATAAATTAAAAAGTGGAAGATAAAAATACTTAAAATACGCTGGGTGCAGTGGCTCACGCCTGTAATCCCAGCACTTTGGGAGGCCGAGGCAGGCAGATATCTAGGTCGGGGGTTCGAGACCAGCCTGACCAACATGGAGAAACCCCATCTCTACTAAAAATACAAAATTAGACGGGCATGGTGGCGCATGTCTGTAATCCCAGCTACTCGGGAGGCTGAGGCAGGAGAATCACTTGAACTTGGGAGGCAGAGGTTGCAGTGAGCCGAGATTGCACCATTGCACTCTAGCTTGGGCAAAAAGAGCAAAACTCCATCTCAAAATAAATAAATAAATAAATAAATAAAAATTCAGTGCACCAAGGTGCCCCTGTCGTCTCTACTTTTATCTTGATGCATTACTGAGTTGACGTTAGATTTCAAATTCATCATTGCCCTTATACTATTCTGTCCTTAAGCCACCTTTATATAATGATGAAAGAAATTAGCAATTTGTTATTATCCTTTGTCTATTGGTATATATCAAATGCTCACCTAAAAAGAGCAACAACCAGTGGAAAACATCATGTGTTTTACTGTTTTTATTTGGATGACTATTTACTTGTAACCTACTAGCAAACTATAAAATTGTATGATTTGCAGAATTTTAACTGAATTGCTTTAAGTGAACGTTTAAGCATGATAAACCATATTGAACATTTTTTCTTCATCATGAGTAATATAACCTACTCCTCAGTGAAAATCTAGAATTAAATTTGCTAATGAATTCAATAACATTTCCATAATATTTTTAGTAATGTGCTTAAGGTTCTCTTAGTGTTTCTCCCACTTTTTAATAGCTTATGCCTTTTTCGCCTTTGGTTCTTTTTGTTTTATTTTAAAGCAAAAATCTCACAACATGTGATAACTGGAAACACTGTAACCTAGTGGTAAGACTGTAGGCCCTGGGGACACAGGTTGGCCATGTCTCTTCTCATGTCTGAACTTTAGTGTCCTCTTTTGTGGTCAGGAGAACTGAAGATCTATCCCGAAGATTTGATAAGATAGTAAAGTGCTTCACGTAATACTGGGCATATAAATACACAGTAAATGCTTTCTCCTTATATTTTTATTGATTGATTGGTTGATTGATTGATTGATTGAGACAGAATCTTGCTCTTTCGCCCAGGCTGGAATGCAGTGGCGTGATTGTGGTTTCTGCAACCTCCACCTCCTGGATTTAGGCAATTCTCCTGCCTCAGCCTCCTGAGTAGCTGGGATTACAGGTGCCTGCCACCATGCCTGGCTAATTTTTCTATTTTTGGTAGAGACAGGCTTTCACCATGTTGGCCAGGCTGGCCTCGAACTCCTGACCTCGTAATCTGCCTGCCTCGGCCTTCCAAAGTGCTGGGATTAAAGGTGTCAGCCACCGTGCCCAGCCTGTCTTTTCTTAGCACAACCACCCTTGGTGATGAAATGTTAAATATGTACTAGTAGATATTATTTGGTGAATATTGCCTAGTGAATATTAAGTATTCTCACCTTTCAGACATGAACTTGTGAATTCAACAGGTGAAAATTTACAACTTGATGAAACAGCTTCAGGAGATAGGTCTTCAGTCTTAAGTCAGATTAGAAGATTATGTGAAATAATTATTTAAGGTTTAACATTGAATTCTTTTAATGGTACCCTCCACATGAAATAATATACCTCTAAGTGTTAATTATGTGCCAGGACAGGAGAATTCATGTTTTCAAATTCTCATACTCTCTAGAACAATAAACTCATTTTCTTTTTATTAACCTATTATAAATACATGTAAATATTGCATTTTGGGTAGACAAAACTGAAAGAACAATATTTGTCCTACTTTTGAGACGCAAGATTTATCTGGCATAATGCATCGAACAGGTTATTATTGAAGTCTACACCAGTCAACTGAACAAGTATTCATCAAATGTCCATGATACGCAGGACGTAAGTTTTCTTTTAGAGTATGGAGCCATGCATATTGTCTTTTAATTAGATGATTTAGTTAGATATGTTTTTAAAGAAATATAAACATAATTGATTTTCTTGTTTTGGCTCTGGAGTGGAGTGGGGATGAAACAGAATGGATTCACACTGTTTAGATTTACTAAAATGGAAGGATTGCAACAAGATCATATCACTCCTAGTCTCCCCATAGCAAATGTCACCTACTAGCTGTTCTTTTTTTTTTTTTTTTTTTTTTGGTAAGATGGAGTTTTGTTCTGTCGCCCACACTGGAGTGCAGGTGTGATCTCAGCTCATGGCAAGCTTACCTCCTGGGTTCAAAGCAATTCTCCCTGCCTCAGCCTCCTAAGTAGCTGGGATTACAGGCCCCTGCCACCACGCCTGCCTAATTTTTGTATTTGTAGTAGATTGGGGTTTCACCATGTTGACCAGGCTGGCCTCGAACTCCTGACCTCAGGAGATTCACCTGCCTCAGCCTCCCCAAAGTGCTGGGATTATGGGTGTGAGTCACTGCACTTGGATTTAATGGGATATTTCACTACAGACTTTGATAAACAGAATATTAGCATTTTTGGTGTTCTACTTCACTCATACTATTTTTCTTTGCACTCAATTACAATAACAGAATTAAAGATCAAAGCGTAAAAGTTAAAGACCAATAATTATTCTTTTCTATATATTGTGGTTAAATGATATCCCTTTTTCTTTTTGTTCTTACAGCTCCAGCTGTAAAAGCCAAAGGTCCAGGGATGGTCCCATACCCTTTTTTCCAGTCTCATGTTGAAGATTTTTACGTAGAAGCTCTTCCCAAAGGAGGTTGTTTTTTTTGTTTTGTTTTTTTTGTTTTGTTTTTTTTTTGAGACAGAGTTTTTACTCTTGTCGCCCAGGCTGGAGTGCAATGGCACGACCTTGGCTCACTGCAACCTCTGCCTCCTGGGTTCAAGCGATTCTCCTGCCTTAGCCTCCCAGGTTGCTGGGATTATAGGTGCCCACCACCACATCAGGCTAATTTTTGTATTTTTAGTGGAGATGGGGTTTCACCATGTTGGCCAGGCTGGTCTCGAACTCCTGACCTCAGGTGATCCTCCTGCCTCACCTTCCCAAAGTACTGGGATTACAAGTGTGAACCCATGCCCGGCCAGGAATTTTTTTTTTAAGAAGGCTGTCTACTAATGGAATTCCTGGCCTTAAGAGGATATTACTTTCAAAGGAAAGGATTTATTTCGTTATTTAAAGGTAAGATTCTTGGATTCTTATTGGACTCTTAATCTCTGTTCTGAGTAATCCATCTTTTTTTACTGTTGACCAATAGTCATTTGCCACTAGGGTTGTATTTAATGAAGTCTGAGTTATTTTATGTTTTTTTTTTTTTTTTGACTGAATTTTGCTGTCATTGCCCTGGCTTGAGGGCAATGGCGTGATCTCAGGTCATCACATTCTCTCTGCCTTCCGGGTTCAAGCTATTCTCCTGCTCAGCCTCCCGAGTAGCTGGATTTACAGGCATGCGCCACCATGCCCAGCTAATTTTTTGTATTTTTAGTAGAGATGGTGTTTCACCATGTTGACCAGGCTTGTCTCGAACTCCTGACCTTGGGTGATCCACCCGCCTCGACCTCCCAAAGTGCTAGGATTACAGGCGTGAGCCACCACGCCCGGCCTGGGCCTGCTTCTTTCTCTTTTTCTTTTTTTTCATTAGCAGCTTAAAATTTATGCCTTATTCAGACACAAGCAAAAGGATGTTAGTCCAGCTTTGGAAATAGGTGTGAGCCCACATATGATTTTCCTAGTTTCTCCTCCCGCTTCTCTTTCTACTGTCTTGTTAGTATGTTAATTGTTTTCTCTCTCTCAATCTTTTTTCCCCATTTCTTTGGTAGACGTTTTTACTTGTCTTGGAAGAGTAGGTGAAGAGTTGTTTTTAGGACTCTTTAAAAGGGTACAGTATGGATGACAGTCTTGGCTAATGGTAACCAGATCCAGGGAGCCAGGGTCAGCGTGAGTTGGAATCAGTTCAAATTAGCAAAGCACTGGCACTCAGTGGCAGGAATACAAGCGACCACAAAGTGTTAAACACATCTGGAAAGGGATACTGACATCATCCTCAGAATCTGTGGGGAATACACAACACCTGTAAGACCCATTACTCTTTGACCCTATAAAGATTCTTTAAAGAATAATACCCTTAGTGGTTTTCTAGCCAGCTTGCCTGCTCATTTATCTTTGAGGACAACATGCCTCGTGGAGCTCCACAGGCCCCAGAGGTGTATGGATTCTGTATTTGAAAGTGCTGAAGCTGAGAGACTGGGTCTTATTGGACCCCAAGAGGTCTGCTTTTCCTCTACTCATTGTTCCTTTTTTTCCCAGCTGCTGACATTGCTGTTTAAATGGGTTGTTATTTGCTGTTTAAGTTGTTTCATAGTGGTGTGTCAGGATTTGGGTTTTCTGAATATTTTCCCAGCTGGTGACTTGAGTGGTGGTTAGGGAGGAGCTGTTTTAGGGCTGTTCTGGAGCTGTTGAGGTCAGGTGTCTGGGTACTCCTCAACAGTCTGTTGAGGAGAATGCTGTTCTCATTGTACTGCCTTTGGTAGTGCTGTGTGTGGCCCTTTAGACGTGGGTGGAGGTGAGTTGGGGGAGTTAATGAGATCCTTTTTAGGTGCTTTTGATGAAGTAGCCTGCACTACAGGATTCATTGTGACTTTTTTCCTTAACCTGCACGTATTTCTCTGCCAGCATTTGTTGTCTTTCTCATGCCTTTGATTTTCCCAGCTCCTCTTGGTTGAATTAACATAAGTGCTCTGCTATGGTTTAAATGTGTCCCCCAAAGTTTATGTGCTGGAAACTCAGTCCTCAATGCAACAGTTGGGATGTGAGGCCTAATAAGAGAGCCCTCATGAATGAGTTAATGTTGTTATTGTGGTAACAGATTAGTAATCACAGAGTGGGCTTATTATAAAAGAGAGTTCAGCCCCTTTTGCCCTCTTGCTTTCTTGCACTCTCTTGTCCTGCCTTCTGTCGTGAGATGATGTGTAGAGGAAGATAGTCTTCCTCTACACAGCAAGAAGATCCCTGCCAGATGCAGGCCTCTCAACCTTGGACTTCCTAACATCCAGAACTGTAAGAAATAAAATTTGTTCCTTACCTTTTCTTTTCTTTCCTTTCCTTTTCTTCCTCCTTTCCCTGCTCCTCCCTTCCCTTCCCCTCCCTCCCTCTCTCTCTCCCTACCTCCTTCCCTCCCTTCCTCCTTCCCTCTTTCCCTCTTTCCCTTCCTTCCCTTCCTTCCTTCCTTTCCTTCCCTTCCTTCCATTCATTCCCTTCCTTTCCTCCTACCCTCCTTCCCTCCTTCCTTTTTTCTTTCTTGTAAATTATGCAGTCTGCAGCATTCTTTTATAGCAGCATGAAATGGACAAAGACAGGCTCCATTTTCAAGAGCAAGCACTTTTGTAGTTTCTGAGTGAATTATGACTGCAAAGGAAGTTCTGTAGGTAGCCTCAGATCCACCATCTAGGAAGCATACTACCAAGCAGACCTAGGATCTAGGATTTGATCAAGTGCTGGGCAACATGATACCTCTGCAATTTAGCACCTCCTTATATACCTCCAGTTGGCTCAGCCCATCAGGGCTAAAACTACCCCTCATATCCTAGTGTCTCTTGTAGGCAGAAGCCTTGCCTAAACCCTAAGCTGCTTGGCTCACATTCTGTCTTGTGCTTTTTTTTTGTAGGGAGTTCAAATATACACAAAAGAAATATGATGAACCTTCATGTACCCAACCCGCAGATTAAGCAGTTATCTCCATTTTTCCAGATTTGTTTCATCTGCTTCAATCTCCCTAAAAATTTATGTTTGTACAGAAAAAACTGAATAAATAGCTAATTCTCCACCTTACCTCTCATTTTAAGTCACTTTTCAGAGTAATAAGTTGGTGACCTACTAACCTTCATTCTAGTGACCAATAGTTTTTTTTTTCTGAATGCCATTATGAACTCATAGATTATTGTTTGCATTTGATGTATTTCAGGCCATTGCAGTCTTTATTGTTTTGGATGCTTACGTTGTCTCATCTAGGTTAATAATTATCTCTTCAAGTTGACTCTTACGTCTTTTTGATGTGATCCTGTTGGACTTTGATGGCTTCCTTGCTTTCTGGCAAAAAAGATGTTCCAGGATCAATATACTGTACCATACATGGAGTCAGCCATTTCTCTAGGGGACCTTGATTCCTTTTAGTAGAGAACGCAGTTTGGGATCTTGGACTGAATGACTTTTGTGAACCTTCTCTCCTGAAACTACAGCCTGCATCCCTGCATATAGCCTGTTTGGAGCTCTTGCTGGGCACCAACAGATCTCCTAAAACTGCTATATAGTTTGCTTCACTCTTACAAAGATTCATCTCTTCAGAGTTTTGTGCTCTACCCCCAGATGTGGTCTTCCTGGTTCTGAAGCTTTTGTTTCAGTCACCCTGAATTTCACCAGCCCTATGCATGCTATACCTTGGATTGCCAACCCGCCCTCAGTGGAGCCTCTTTGGTTAGAATAGTTGTCACAACCCATGCCTAATACTCTAGTAAACAAGGTTCTACCTAGGCTTAAGTTAACTTTTGCTCCTTTGAGCCCTGTGTTCTACCAGCATTCCATTTATCTGAAACTCTCCTTCACCTCAAGAACTTATCTGTTCTTTAATGGTTTACTGCTGCTTTCTGGGTTCGCAAGAACCCGGTTCAAGAGTTTCTGTTTTAGTTTGAGATCTTATAGGCCTGTCTCATCAGGTTGGTGTCAGCCTAGCTAGGATTAGGCAGAATTGGGTGGGGGTTGTAGTGCATTTTTGGCACAGCATGTACCTGCCTGACTAATTCTCTTTCCTGTTGCAATTCATGGGTCTTAGCATCTTCTGAATGGTGTTTAGTAGGTCATCCTGTTGATTTCCTGCTAGGGAGTAGCATACTCTGGCTCTGTGCCACTGGCCAAGGGATTTAAGGATGGGTGACAGGCTGCAGTTTTGTTAAACAGAACAATATGAAGAGATGGCATTGTTAAAAAAAAAAAAAAAAAAAGGCTTGGCAGCAGGGCCCATTTGAGTGGTTGGTCCTTGGCTCCCGTGTTGATATAGGCAGATCCTTGATGGGAATTTGGAATGATCCCAAATATTGTAGATCACTGGTACATCAAGTCATCCTCATGGTTGTCTGTGTAACAGTCTTGAATGATATTTTGTGAATCTTTGGAGATTCTCTGCATAGGGTTTAATCATTTAGTTATTTCAGTTGAGCCTGTTTAGTTTCTTTGCAAGGAGACAAGAAATGTGAAAGAGATGCAGACATTAGGAAATGCCAGGAGCCTTGTTTCCCCACCCTCTACTTGGGTTCTGGAACTGGACTCATCGGTGAGTAGTGAGCAGCTGGGCCCAAGAGCATTAATCCTAGATCTAGCTCTGCTTTGCGCTCACTCCAGTTCTTGTATCAAATTCACTTCAAGCCACCCAGAGTAGTATGTAGAGGAGTCATTCAGGACTGTGCTTATACTTCATTATATCAAATGGGAGATCCAGTAATTTATAGCTTATTATTTCTGGAGTCTGGAGATGGCTCTGCATAAGCTTTGCTGAAGCAGATTTTATTACATTAGAAGAGAACCTAGCTGGCTGCATCCTATACTGGAAGCTTTTAGGTGCTAATAAGGAGGTCATGTAAAGGTCACAAAATGACTCTGGAATCCATTCCCCCCGAAAAAAGAATAATGACATTCTAGATTGGCCTCTTTTCATTTCCCTTTGATTTTGAGTAATAAATTCTCTCCTCACTTCCCAGCTGAACAGTTTGGGAGTCTCTATTCCCTAGAAAGACTCTGGTCACATACCCATCAGATTAAATTAGGTGAAAACTCTTTGGCCTTAATGAATGTTGAAGGATTTCAAATGGCTAATGGAAATTCTTCTAGAAGTAACTGCAATCTCTGCCTTCCAGATTCAAGCAATTTTCCTGCCTCAGCCTCCCAAGTAGCTGGGATTACAGGCGTCCACCACCACGCCCAGCTAATTTTTGTATTTTTAGTAGAGACGGGGTTTCACCATGTTGGCCAGGTTTGACCTCTGGTGATCCACCTGCCTCGGCCTCCCAAAGTGCTGGGATTACAGGCGTGATCCACTGTGCCCAGTTAAACTCCAGTTTTTCATGTTCCCTGCATAGGTCAGGGTCTTAGGGAGTGATTCATTCTAGCAGAACTCCCCGGATTTTAAGGCAAGTGTTCCATTTATTAATTGACAAAGGAGGCATATTTCTCTTCTGGTAACCTAAAGATTTAGGTCGTTTTCCCAGGGACTCTGTTTCCACTATGAGGGTTCTTGGAAAACTAAGCAAAGGATGAGGAAAAGTCTGTGAACAAGCTTGCTGGTCTCTCCCTGTCCTACAAAAGAGCATACCTCTTCTGTAACCAGAAGACCCTTTTGATTAGTCAAGGCTGGACAGACTGAGATGAGGGTGTGTGTGGGTGTGTGTATGTTGAGACAGGGTCTCACTCTGTCACCCAGGCTGGAGTGCAGTGGTGAGATCAGAGCTCACTGCAGCTTCCACTTCCTGGGCTCAAGCGATCCTCCTATTGCAGACTCCAGAGTAGCTGGGACTATAGGAATGTGTTACCACACCCAGCTCATTTTCTAATTTTTTGTAGAGATTTTTTGAGGTTTCACTGTGTTGCCCAGGCTGGTCTGGAACTCCTGGCCTCAGGGGATCCTCCTGCCTTAGTCTCCCAGTGGGCTGGGATTATAGGTATGAGCCACCTCAACTGACCTGCGATGATTTTTCAACAGTGTAATTTCTCTTTTACAGAGTCACCTAAGCTGAAGATTCCCTTGAGAACAAGTACTGTACTGTGGTTTCATGGCCTTTCTTCCATTTGTGGTTCTTGCCAAGTGGAATTTAAATGACATCTTATCAAGATGGATAAACCCTAGTTTCCCAGTGCTGGAATATATAAAATGGATAGACAAGTAAGTCCCACTCAGCACCCATAGCCCAGGCATGGGGACCTCAACACATCTGAGCCCCAGAGATCACCTTTCATTGTGAGTAGCTCTGAGATGACACTTCTGGTTGGTAAGTGCCCACTGGCAATAGTTTATATAACAGCAAGTGAAGGAATAAATAGTCAGCAAAACATTTTCTGTCCCTAATTCCAGCATTAATTGGATTAGACAGTTATTTTATGAAGAATTTTCGTATGCCACAGTCCTGACCATATCTTCAAGTGAACAGAAAAATTTGATTAAAAAGTCAACCTTCTGTCTCACTCTGTTCCCCAGACTGGACTGCAGTGGTGCAGTTATGGCTCACTGCAGCCTCAACCTCCTGGGCTCAAGCAGTCCTCCTTCCTCAGCCTCACAAGTAGCTGGGACTACAGGTACTTGTCACCACACCTCACTAATTTTCGCATTTTTTTTTACATGTGGATTCCACAGGACTGACTTCAAAAACTTGAGTATGCGTGGATTTTGGTATACACAGAAATGGGGGAGCTGGAATTAATCCCCCCATATACCAAGGGACAAATTGTATCTATTTTTACAATTATACTGTAGGATACATTACATTCCATGACAATGGTAGCTTTTAAAAACAATTTTTAATTTAGTGAAATTACCATAAAAATAACAATAGTAGCAGCTAATATTTACTGAGCTGTTACTAGGTGCCTATAAATACCATAGATTTTTAAATTCTCTGTAACTCTTCCTTATTTCACTTAACCACTCTATCTTAAATTACTCATGCTTGCTCCAGTAGCACACATACTTAAGTTGGAACAATAGAGAGATTGGCATGGCCTCTCTGAAAGAATGACATGCAAATTTGTGAAGCATTCCATATTTTTTTTAAAAAGAGAAAAAAATTACTCCCAGATTTTCACTGTATTTGTGCATATGACCTTTTGTTTAGGTTGAATTATATCCAAAGATGATATTTTCAGAAGTGAGATTACTGTGAGTCGCAGGGTATGAGCATTCTTACTACCCTTGATGTAAATTGCCGAGCTTTCAGGCATGGTGGCTGTCAGCCTGTAATTCCAGCACTTTGGGAGGCTGAGGTGGGAGGATTGCTTGAGGCCAGGAGGTGGAGGAGGCAGTATAATCAGTCACTGTCTGTGTTATTTAAAAAAAATTTCCAAGCTTTATCCTGGAAGGCTTGTATACAATTTAAACACCACTAATACTACAAGAAAATGGCCATTTCACTGCACCTTCGCTGGCACAGGTATTATAATTTAACAAGTTATTTTCTGTGTGATAAATAAAAGACCTCATATTACTTTGTCACTTTTTTTTTTTCCTTTTTGAGAGACAGTCTCGCTGTGTCACCCAGGCTGGAGTGCAGTGGTGTGATCTCAGCTTACTGCAACCTCTGCCTCCCAGGTTCAAGTGATTCTCCTGCCTCAGCCTCCTGAGTAGCTGGGATTACAGGTGCACAGCACCACGCCCAGCTAATTTTTTTTTTTTATACTTTAAGTTTTAGGGTACATGTGCACAATGTGCAGGTTTGTTAACATATGTATATGTGTGCCATGTTGGTGTGCTGCACCCATTAACTTGTCATTTAGCATTAGGTATATCTCCTAATGGTATCCCTCCCCCTTCCCCAACCCCACAACAGTCCCCGGTGTGTGATGTTCTCCTTCCTGTGTCCATGTGTTCTCATTGTTCAATTCCCACCTATGAGTGAGAACATGAAGTGTTTGGTTTTTTGTCCTTGCAATAGTTTGCTGAGAATGATGGTTTCCAGCTTCATCCATGTCCCTACAAAGGACATGAACTCATCATTTTTTATGGCTGCATAGTATTCCATGGTGTATATGTGCCACATTTTCTTAATCCAGTCTGTCATTGTTGGACATTTGGGTTGGTTCCAAGTCTTTGCTATTGTGAATAGTGCCACAGTAAACATACATGTGCATATGTCTTTATAGCAGCATGCTAATTTTTGTATTTTTAGTACAGACGGGGTTTCACCATGTTGATCAGGCTGGTCTCGAACTCCTGACCTCGTGATCTACCCACCTCAGCCTCCCAAAGTGCTGGATTACAAGCGTGAGCCACGCGCCCGGCCTATTTGTCACATGTTTTATCTTTCCTTATGTTAGCTTATTAGCTTTATTTCTTTATTGTCTTTTTTTTTTTTTTTTTTTTTGAGATGAAGTCTCGCTCTGTCTCCCAGGCTTGAGTGTAGTGGCACAGTCTCAACTCACTGCAGCCTTGACCTCCTGGGCTCAGGTGATCCTTCCACCTCAGTAGTTGGGACTATAGGCATATGCCACCATGCCTGGCCAATATTTTTTTAATTTTTAGTAGAGACGAGGTCTTGCTTTGTTTCTTAGGCTGGTCTGGAACTCCTGGCCTCAAGCAATCCCCCCAACGCCCCGTCCCAAAGTACTGGTATTATAAGCGTGAGCCACCATGCCTGGGCTGTCCGTGTCTTTTCCATTTATTTATAGAGTTAATTTGTGCTAATTCAATGATCTGTTTAGTCTTTTATTAAATTATAAAAATAGTAAATACTTTTAAATAAAGAAGTGAAAAATTTCCTTCACTCTTTAGACCCATAATCTTATCTCAGGAAATAATTGCTATTGAGAAAACGGGTCATATCCTTCAAGATACATACAGGCTGATTGAACATCACTTCACATTTTCATATTTCGTGGACATTTGTGCCAATACCTATTGATCTATCTTAATCCTTTTCATGGTTACATAGTATTTGATTATATGGATGTATCACAATTTACCAGTTAGCTGCTGTAGGCATTTAGGCTCCTTCTAATATTTGCTTTGAGCTCTTTATAATTAAAAATTAACCCCCTCAGCCAGGTGTGGCAGCTCACACCTGTAATCCCAGCACTTTGGAAGGCTGAGGTGGGAGAACTGCCTGAGTGTAGGAGATCACCACCAGCCTGGTCAACATAGCGACACTTCGTCTCTACTAAAAATTAAAAAATAAAAAGAGCTACACATTGCAGTGCACACCTGTAGTCCCAGCTACTGGGGAGGCTAAGACTGAAGGATCACTTGAGCCTAGAAGGTTGAGGCTGCAGTAAGCTATGATCATACTACTGCACTTTAGCTTTGGTAAGAGCAAGACTGTGTTTCTTAAATAAAATAAACATTAGATGGGAATATTGCTCGAGCCCTGGAGGTTGAGGCTGCAGTTAACTGTGATTGCACCACTGCAGTCCAGCCTAGGCGATAGAGCAAGACCCTTTCTCTAAAAATAAAATAAAATAAAATTTAACCTTCCATCATATTTCCCAGTAGCACCTTCCCTCCTACGTTTCTCCTAGAAGCCCTTGAATTTTGTTTGTTTTTCACATACCATTTAAAACTTTCAAGTACTGACGTCTGTCTGTGTCAACCCTCTTTTTTTTTTTTCTTTTAAAGAATGTCTTTTTGTCACTTCCGGCTCGATCTACCATGAAAGATTTCTGAATCCAGGAAGAGAGACTGACTGGGCAACATGTTATTCAGGTACGAAAAGACTTGGACTATAACTCAAAAATGATCAAATAATACTGCATGCATCAAGTGCAGTGGAAGCTCTTCTGGAGAGTGAGAGAAGCTTCCAGTTAAAGTGACATTGAAACCAGGTCCTGAAAGATGAGGAAGAGTTGTATGAGAGTGGGGAGGGAAAGAGGAGGTGGAGGGATGGGCAATGGGCTGGGATGGGATGGAGTGAGCTGCCCAGGCAGGGAAACCAGCACTGTACAGACCCGAACAATGAAGATGGCACATTTTGTTCAGGGAATGGTGAATTAAGTGTGGCAAGAATGCTTTGGAGAGACGGTCATTTGCTTGTATGGAATTTTGCCCAAGAGACCTCATTACAGTTTCTAATTTTTTGATGTTATCATGCATCACTGCCCTTGTCAAATAGTATGATGATCACGATAACATCAAGCATATTATTTCATTGATTCTCACAAAAACAGGTGGGGGCCACAGTTATCCCCGTTATATGCACAAAATGATGAAGACTTGGGGTTAATGAGCGATTTGCCCAACCTCACCTGGGTATTAAGACTGAGTCACATGTTAGGTCTGGTCTGACTTTAATGCTTGCCTTGTTCATGAGCACCATACATTGCCTTTCCTATGCAGTTAAGCAGGTAGACAGGTGAGAGAAGAACTCATGTTTCTCTCTACTCACACACTACTGACCAAATATGTGTGTGGAGTTTCTACACCAATTCTCCAACTGTCTGGATACCAACTGCGTATCCCACAAGTCCATTCTGACAATACCTGGAGTTAGTGCAGACCCCACAGATTAGGGGCTCAGTCCCACAAGACCACCCTCACTTCAGATGCCAATTGGAAGTCCTAGGTTGTCACTTGTATTTTGACCAACCAGTTAGAAATCAGGGTTTCCCATGACCCTCTTCTTGAGTTTAATTATTTACTAGAACAACTCACAGAACTTAGAAAAACAGGTTTTTTTCTTTTCTTTTAAGAGACAGGGCCTCACTCTGTTGTCCAGGCTGGTGTGCAGTGGTGCAGTCATAGCTCATTGAAGCCTCAGCCTCCAGGGCTCAAGTGATTCTCCTGCTTCAGCCTCTCAAGTAGCTGGAATTACAGGGTTCCCACCACCACATCTGGCTAATTTCTTTTAATTTTTGTATAGATGGGGTCTTCTTATGTTGCCCAGGATGGTCTCAAATTCCTAGGCTCAAGTGATTCCGCCCACCTCTGCCTCCCAAAGTGCTGGGATTACAGGCATGAGCCACCGCATCTGGCCAGCTTATTTTCTATTACTGGCTCAATGTAAAGGCTCCATCTCAGGAACAGCCAATGAAAGAGATGCACAGGACGAGGTAAGTGGGGAGGGGCACAGAGCTTCCATGCCCTCTGTTGGGCACGCTACCCTCCCAGCACCTCCTTGTGTTCAGCAACACAAGGGTTCTCCAAACCCTGTTATTTGGGTTTTTATGGAGGCATGATTGATTGGCCATTGGTAGTTAAGTCAATCTCCAGTACCTTTTGCCTCCTGGAGTTCAGCAGGTGAGGCTGAAAGTTCCAAGCCTCAAAAAATGTGGTTGGGGCCGGGCGCGGTGGCTCATGCCTGTAATCCTAGCACTTCGGGAGGCCGAGGCATGTGGATCACTTGAGGTCAGGAGTTTGAGACCAGCCTGACCAACATGGTGAAACCCCGTCTCTACTAAAAATAACAAAAACTAGCTGGGCATTGTGGTGCATCCCTATAATTCCAGCTACTCAGGAGGCGGAGGCAGGAGAATTGCTTGAACATGGGAGGCGGAGGTTGCAGTGAGCTGAGATTGTGCCATTGCACTCCAGCTTGGGCTACAAGAGCCAAACTCCATTTAAAAAAAATGTGGTTGGTTCCTCTGGCAGCCAGCCTTCCTCCTGAAGCAGTCTAGGAGCTTGCAGCCACCCTGTCAGCTCAACAGCATCCCACTTGCATTCTTACCATGCTACAGATCTGAAAGACCTTAGAGGCCCTTGTGTCAGGAACCTGGGACTAAGACTAAATATTAAAACAGAAAGTGCTCGTATTACCTTTGTCACTAAGGACTTCATAAGAGCTTTAGAAGCTCTATGCCAGGAACCAGGGGCAGAGACCAAATGTGTATTTCTTTTCTTATATTTGAGACAGAGTCTCACTCTGCCACCAAGGCTGGAGTGCCGTGATGTGATCATAGCTCACTGCAGCCTTGACCTCCTAGGCTAAAGTGATCCTCCCACCTTAGCCTCTCCAGTAGCTGGAACTACAGGCTTGCATCACCATGTCCAGCTGATTTTAATTTTAATTTTGTAAAGGCGGGGTCTTCCTATGTTCCCCAGGCTGATCTCTAACTCTTGGCCTCAAGCAATCCTTCATTTTTGGCCTCCCAAAGTGTTGGGATTACAGATGGGAGCCCCCATGCCCACCAATCACAAGGATCTTTATAAGAGAAACAAGGAGGTAAGAGAGTCAGAATTAGAGAAGGAGATGTGGTGAAGGAAGAAGAGGTCAGAGAGGGAGATTTGAAGATGCTGCACTTCTGGCCTCGAATATGGAGTCAGGGGCCATCTTCAAGGTGAGTCAAGGAATGGGGGTGGCTTCTAGAAGCTGGAAAAGGCAAAGGAGCTCATTCTCTCTAGAGTTTCCAGAAGGAATGCAGCCCCTCTGACACCTTGACTTTAGCCTTAATAGACCTAGTTAGGCTTCTGGCCCCTAGAACTGTAAGGTGGTAGATTTATGGTGTTTCAAGCCACTAAATGTAGGGTAGTTTGTTGTAGCAGCAAGTAAAAAATGAACATGAAGCCAGGGCTTCATGTTAACAGTTGCTCATGCCTGTAATCCCAGGACTTTAGGAGGCTGAGGTAGGAGGATTGCTTGAGCCCAGGAGCTTAAGGCCAGCCTGGGCAACATAATGAGACGTCATGTCTAAAAGAATTTTTTTAAAAAGGCCGGGCGCAGTGGCTAACATTTGTAATCCCAGCACTTTGGGAGGCGGAGGCAGGTGGATCACGAGGTCAGAAGTTCAAGACCAGCCTGGTCAAGATGGTGAAACCCCATCTCTACTAAAAATACAAAAATTAGCCAGGTGTGGTGGTGGGTGTAATCCCAGCTACTCGGGAGGGTGAGGCAGAGAATCACTTGAACCTGAAAGGCAGACATTGCAGTGAGCTGAGATCGTGCTGTTGCACTTCAGCCTGGGCGACCGAGACTCTGTCTCAAAAAAAAAAAAAAAAAATTAGCCAGGTGTTGTGGCATGCAGCTGTAGTCTCAGTTCCTAGGGAAGCTGAGGTGGGAGAATTGTTTAAGCCTGGGAGGTTGAAGTTGCTGTGAGCTATGATTGCACCACTGTACTCCAGCCTGGGCAATAGAGCAAGACCTTGTTTCAAAAAGAAAGAAAGAAATGAGCATGGTGGGAATGGGGACAGATGGCAATGTTAAGTAGAGTGGTCAGGGTTGGCCTCATAAGTGAATATTGAGCAAAAGTTTGAAGCAGGTGATGGAGCTGGCCAAAGTGCTGAGGGAAAAGCATTGTAGGCTGAGTCAACAGGATAAAGGCATTAGGAGGAAATTCCCTGGTGTGTCTGAGGCTCTGGAAGGAGGCCAGTGGAGCAAAGAGATAGAGGGAGCGAAGTCGGTGAGGAGGCCAGGGAGTTGCTGGGCTGGGATCGGTACAGATCATGTAAGCCCTGGGACACTGTTGCTGGGGCTTTGGCTTTTACTCTGACTAAAATGGGAACCACCGAGGGCTTCTGAGCCGAGAGGCGACATGATCTGTCTCCTGATTTAAAAGCACGCCCTGGCTGCCAAGTTGAGAAGACTATGGGAAGATTTGGGTAGAAGCCTGGGGGCCAAGCTGTGGCAACATCCCGGTGGGAGAGGATAGTGATCCTGACCGGGTGCACGGTGGTGGTGAGAGATGGTCAGAGCCTGGATAGATATTGAAGTCAGTCAGTAGGATTTCCTGACATTACCCAAAGCTGTGAGAGAAGGCAGGGGTCAAGGTTGAGTTTGATTCTAATTGAATGATTAAGTAATTTTAAAAAACACTACTGCCTTTCCCAATCCTACCAAGTAAAGGATGCTAGATAAAAGAAATCTCAAGTCAGGCCAGGTGCAGTCGCTCACACCTATAGTTCCAACAGTTTGAGAGGCAGAGATGGGAGTATGTTTTAAGGCCATGAGTTTGAGAGCAGCCTGGGCAACATAGCAAGACCGCTCTACAAAAATAAAAGAAATAAATTTAATAAAATATAGCCAGGCATGATGGTGTGTATCTGTGGCCCCAGTTACTCAGGAGGCTGAGATGGGCAGATCTCTTGATTCTAGGAGTTTGAGGCCAGCTTGGGCAACATATCAAGACTTCTCTCTATACAAAAATTGAAAAAAAAAAAAAAGCCTGACATGGTGGTACTTGCCTGTATTCCCAGGTATTGGGGCGGCTGAGGCAGGAGCATCTCTTGAGCCCAGTTGGTCAAGGCTGCAGTGAGCTATGATTATACCACTGCAGTCCATCCTGGGTGACAGAGTGGGACCCTGTCTCAAAATACAAATACAAATGGAATGAATTCTCAAGTCAGACCAGTCCCTTCTAGGCTATGTAGGCCTTGCAACCACATAGCTGCGTGATCGGGTTTGTGTGGCTGTGGATGAGGAGACCCCTGCCAATTGTTATTGGCTATATAATCAGTTTATTTTTCAATATAGTAATCAAATATATTTCATCATATTTGATGGTCTCAAATATGTGTGGGTTTTGGAATTCCCCTTGGAACAGGTTGTAACATCTTATTGGCTCCATCATTCCATAATTTTTTTAATCTGATCAGTTTTTAATAAGGTCAGAATTGATATTAGACTACCTAATCAGTTTTTAGTGAGAAAATGAAATTGTGTTGTTTGCGCTTTATCCAAGATTGGTGTCATATTGGCTAAATCTAATCAATACTTGAACAAATGCAAAATTAGAGCTTCTTTATCATGAAACACTATGTCATTCTTTAAGAAGATGCCTTTTTTTTTTTTTTTTTTTTAAGATAGAGTCTTGCTCTTGTCGCCCAGGCTGGAGTGCAGTGGTGCGATTTTGGCTCACTGCAACCCTTGCCTTCTGGGTTCAAACAATTCTCCTGCCTCAGCCTCCTGAGTAGCTGGGATTACAGGTGCCCGCCACCCAGATGATTTTTGTATTTTTAGTAGAGATGGGGTTTCACCATGTTGGCCAGGCTCATCTCGAACTCCTGAACTCAAGTGATCTGCCTGCCTCAGCCTCCCAAAGTGCAGGGATTACAGACATGAGCCACCACTCCGGGCCTCCATTTCTTTTTTGTAGTCTTTAATAAACAGCTGCTATCGTTGCAGACTTGCTATTTAGGCACTTAGGAATTTTTCACTAGAAGGCATGTAAAGAAAGACCACGGGCCTTTGTAATGAATTTAGCATTCATTCTTTGACTACATGACTGTCCCCAGAGCTATAACTTTACTAATGAATTTTTTAGAAGCCACTTAGCTAGCAACTGAGCCTAATCAGCCACTCACCCTCGTTATTCAGTGCTCTTTTATTCTTGTCTATTTCTCCTCCAACTTGGCTACACTCACAAGTGGTAAAAACTTGCATTTGTTTTCTTTCCTTTTCAGAGACAGGGTCTTGCTCTGTTGCTCAGGCTGCAGTACAGTGACACGATCATGGTTCACTGAGCCTCAAACTCCTGAGCTCAAGCAGTTCTCCCACTTCAGTCTCCCAAGTAGCTGGGACTACAGACGTGTGCCACCATGTCCAGCTAATTTTTTCATTTTTTATCATAGAGACAGGATCTTGCCAGGTTGCTCAGACTGGGCTCAAAACTCCTGACTTCAAGTGATCCTCCTGCCTCAGCCTCCCAAAGTGCTGGGATTACAGGCAGGCATGACCACCTGTGCCCAGCCCCCCATTATTATTATTTTAAATAATAGCTTTATTAAAATATGATTCACATACCATTCACTTTATTTATTGAAATCTGCAATTCAGTAGGTTTTAGAATATTCACAGAGCTGTGCATCAATCACCACAGTCACTTTTAGAACCTTTCATTACCCTGTAGAGAAATCCATATCCATACCCCTTAGCCACTACCTCCTACTCCCCCAACCTGCCTTGGCCCCCAGCCTTAGGCAGCCATTGATTGATTTTTCGTCACTATATATTTGCCTAATCTGGACAAATAGAATTGTACAATATGTGATCTTTTGTGGCTTTTTTTCCCTCTTAGCACAGTGTTTTCAAAGTTCCTTTATGTCATAGTGTGTATCAATATTTCATTCCTTCTATGGCAATATTCCGTGGCAGAGACACACTGTGTTTTATCTGTTCAACAGTTGGTGGACATTTGGGTTGTTTCCATGTATTGGCCATTATGAATAATGCTGCTATGAAGACTGTTGTACAAGTTTTTGTGTGGACATATATTTTTATTTCTCTGGGATATATGCCTAGGAGTGAAATTGTTGCATTATATGATGACTGTACATTTAGCCTTTTGAGAAACTGCCACACTGTTTTCTAAAGTGGCTACACCAGTTGGGTGCAATGGCTCACACCTATAATCCCAGCTACTCAGGAGGCTCAGTTGGGAGGAATTGAGCCCATGAATTCAAGACCAGCCTGGGCAAGATAGTGAAACCCTGTCTTGATTTAAAAAAAAAAAATCCAATTAAAATGACAAGAACAGAACTACCCAAAGTGGTTACACGATTTAATGTTCCCATCAGTAATGTATGTGAGTTCCAACTCCTCCACATCTTCACTGACATTTTTTTTTTTTCTAGATAGGGGCTTGCTCTGTCTCTCAGGCTGCAGCACAGTGATGCCATCACAGTTCATTGCAGCCCTGACCTCCCAGGCACAAGTGATTCTCTCATCTCAGCCTCCTGAGTAGCTGAAAATTACAGGTGTATGCCACCATGCTTGGCTAATTTTTATAGATGGGATTTTACCATGTTGCCCAGGCTGGTCTCATACTCCTGGCCTCAAGTGATCTGCCCACTTCAGCCTTCCAAAGTTCTGGAATTACAGGCTGAGCCACCATGCCCGGCCTTCACCAACATTTGTCAATATGGTTTTTTTTTCTTTATACCTTAAAGCAGTATAAGAACGAGTGTCTTCAATTATAGGAAACAATATAATCCCAGGGCATTGGGAAGCTAAGACAGGAAGATGTCTTGATGCCAGGAGTTTTTTTGTTTTTTGTTTTGTTGTGTTTTGTTTTGTTTTTAAGACAGAGTCTCACTCTGTTGCCCAGGGTGGAGTGCAGTGGTGCGATCTTGGCCCACTGCAACCTCTGCCTCAGCCTCCTGAGTAGCTTAGACTACAGGTACATGCCACTACTGCCCGGCTTATTTTTATATTTTTAGTAGAGTCAGAGTTTCACCATGTTGGCCAGGCTGGTCTTGAACTCCTGACTTCAGGTGATTTGCCTGCCTCAGCCTCCCAAAGTGCTGGGATAACAAGCATGAGCCACCATGCCCAGCCTGATGCCAGGAGTTTTAGACCAGCCTGGGCAACCTAGCAAGACCTTCTCTCTACAGAATATTTAAAAATTAGCCAAATATGGGGGTACCTGCCTATAGTCTCTCTCCCTCTCTCTCTCTCTTTTTTTTTTTTTTTTTTTTACTTTTTGAGACATGGTCTGGCTCTGTCACCCAGGCTGAAGTGCAGTGGTGTGATCATGGCTCACTGCAGCCTGAAACTCCTGGGATCAAGTGATCAATCCTTCTACCTCATCCTACCAAGTAGTAGGGACCACAGGTGTATGCCACCCAGGTCTTGCTATGTTGCCCAGGCTGGTCTTGAGCTGGCCTCAAGCAGTCCTCTCACCTTGGCCCCCCACAGTGCAAGGATTACAGGTATGAGCCACCATGCCTGGCCCCTACCCTGCCTATTGAGAACCAAAAGAAGGATCCAAATTCTCCTTAGCTCAACTCGAGCCATTTCCTAATTGTTTCATCAGCAAGGTGCTGGTTATTGGGTGTCCAGGCCTCCCAAGTAGCACAGAAATGAGGTGAGGGAGTTTTCCTGCTGCTTCACTCTGTGAGGAGTTGGAGGATGATGTTTACTCATTTGCAGAGAGAGATGCCTTGTAGCCACCTTAGGATGGAGGGGACCCTGATTCCAATGTCCTTTTTTTCTTTAGGAACAGGACCTTGCCCTGTCACTCAGGATGGAGTTCAGTTGTCCAATCATGGCTCATTGTAGCCTCAAACTCCCAGGCTCAAGCAATCCTACCATGTCAGCCTTCCCAGTAGCTGGTAAGCACCATGACACTCAGTGAATCTTGTTTTTATTTTTTTGTAGAAATGGGGCCACAGTATGTTGCCATGGCTGACCTTGAACTCCTGCACTCAAGGGATTTTCCTGCCTTGGCCTCCCAAAGTATTGGTATTACAGGCATGAGTCGTTGTGCCCACTGTCTCTGGTTCTTAACCTTCTGCCTCCCTCTTCCACTTTTAAAGAATGCTTGTAATTACATGGGCTCTCCTAGATACTCCAGGATAATCTTGTTTTAAGGTCAGCTGATGAGCAACGTTAATTTTATCTGCACTCTTAATTCCCCCTTCCTATGTAATTGTGCTGTGTAACAGAGGACGTGAGCAATTAGTTGGCAGGGTGGGGGGTTATTACTTTGGCCACCACAGTAACTTGTGCCAGGTACTGAGCTAAGCACTGGTGAATTAAGCATGAATAACACACACTCTGTAATCTCCATCCATTCATGGGAGGAGCACCTCACCTGCCATGCTCCTGAGAATCTGAGGAGTCAAGGAAGTCTTCCATGAGGAGGTGATGCCAAAGCGGACAAGTGACAGAGGAGCCGAAGCTAGCCAGGAAGAGAGTAGAGGTTTAAGGGGAAGCATATTATAAGCAGAGGATATCACCCACTTCAGAGACTCCCAGAGGAGAAAGAGTGTGCATTCAGGGGGTAGATGAGGCTCAGTTGGACTCCATAGCAGGTGAAATGGAGAGGGGCAAGCAGTGAGGCTGCCTTGCAAGGCAGGGCAGAGCGGGGGCTGTTAAGGAGTTTGGACTTAATCCCCGAGGCAAGGAGAAGTGATGTAAATGGGGGAGTAACATGATGAGATTCATGCATTAGAGACATGGCTCAGGCTTCTGTAGAGAAGTCACCAGGGGGAGCAGGTGGTTCAGTGGGTGTGCAGGAGACCTCTCACTGAGTTGAGGGAGAGGTTTTTAAAACAGAAGAAGTTTGAGTAATTTAAATGATGGTGGGAAGGCGCTAAAAGTGGGGGATAGGTTAAAGATACAGGAAAGTGGGAGGAAGAACTGACAAGTGAGGTTCCAGAGAGGGAAGGATAAGAGGAGATTCCCTTAGGGGGATTAACACTTTCTTTTCTTTTTCTTTCTAAGACAGGGTCTCACTCTGTCGCCCAGGCTGGAGTGCAGTGGCATGATCTTGGCTCACTGTAGTGTAGACTTCCCAGCCTCAAGGGATCCTCCCACCCCAGACTCCCAAGTAGCTGGAATTACAGGTGTGCACCACCACCACGCCTGGCTAATATTTTTCTTTTTTTTGGTAGACATATAGTCTCATTATGTTGCGCTGACAGGTCTCCAACTCCTGGCCTCAAGTGATCCTCCTGCCTAGGCTTCCCAAATTGCTGGGATTACAGGCATGAGCCACAGTGCCTGGCCTCTGCTAGTTCTGTATTCTCTAGAGTTGTCTTTACTTGGTGCTAGTGTGTCCCTCGTTATGCTGATCCTCTGCTAAAATTAATACTTTTTTTTTTTTTGAGATGGAGTTTCACTCTTGTTTCCCAGGCTGGATTGCCCAGGCTGGAGTGCAGTGGCGCTATCTTGGCTCACCGCAACCTCCGCCTGCCGGATTCAAGCGATTCTCCTGCCTCAGCCTCCCGAGTAGGTCTGATTACAGGCATGTGCCACCATGCCAAGCTAATTTTGTATTTTTAGTAGAGATGGGGTTTCTCCATGTTGGTCAGGCTGGTCTTGAACTTCTGACCTCAGGTGATCCGCCTGCCTTGGCCTCCCAAAGTGCTGAGATTACAGGCATGAGCCATGGTGCCTGGCCAAAATTAATACTTTCTATATTAAATTTACATATATATATATATTTTTTTTCTTTTTGATACCGGGTCTCACACTGTCACTCAGGCTGGAGTACAGTGGCACAACCTCTGCTCACTGCAGCCTCCACCTGCCAGGCTCAAGCAATTCTCCTGACTTAGCCTCCCGAGTAGCTGGGATTACCGGTAAGTGCCACCACACCGAGCTAATTTTTGTGTTTTTTGTAGAGATGGGGTTTTGCCATGTTTCCCAGACTGGTCTCAAACTCCTGAGCTCAAAGCAATTCACCCACCTTGGCCTCCCAAAGTGCTGGGATTACAGGTGTGAGCCACCTTGCTCATTCTAGTTTAAACTTTTGAGTGGTTTCTGTCTCCTGATTGGACTCCTACAAATACAGAATTGATGGTAGGAAGGGTACCAGGAGATAGACCCACACAGATGGGATTTGGGAATAAGTTTGGTTATCCAAGGAGCAGTGCTGAGCTCCTTGCCAGTGGGATATGGGATGCTGGTGATTTCCAGGAAGTGACCTCACAATGACTCAAGCTACCACTTACTGTTGATTGTGATGAAACACCAGGTGAAGGCCGGGTGCAGCGGCTCACCCCTGTAATCCCAGCACTTTGGGAGGCCAAGGTGGGCGGATCACGAGGTCAGAAGATCAAGACCATCCTGGCTAACACGGTGAAACCCCGTCTCTACTAAAAATACACAAAATTAGCCGGGCGTGGTGGCGGGCACCTATAGTCCCAGCTACTCGGGAGGCTGAGGCAGGAGAATGACGGGAACCTGGGAGGCGGAGCTTGCAGTGAGCTGAGATCGTGCCACTGCACTCCAGCCTGGGCGACAGAGTGAGACTCCGTCTCAAAAAAAAAAAAAAAAAGAAATACCAGGTGAAGCATATGCCCTGCAAGCTTAGGGGTGCTGCAGTTGACCACTGCAGCAGTAAAGATGACTGAAGAATGGCATGGGATGGATCCTTTCGAATGCACTTGAGCAGCAGTCTCCCAACCACAGGGCCACAGAGCCAGAGGTGAGCAGCAGGCGAGTGAAGGGAAACTTCATCTGTATTTCTAGCCCCTCCCATCGCTTGCATGACCACCCTAGCTCCATGTCCTGTCAGATCAGCAGCAGCATTAGATTCTCATAGGAGCACGAACCCTGTTGTGAAGTGTGCATGCGAGGGATCTAGGTTGTGCGCTCCTTACGAGAATCTGATGCCTGATGTTCTGTCACTGTCTCCCATCACCGCAGATGGACAGTCTAGTTGCAGGAAAACAAGCTCAGAGATCCCACTGATTCTACATTATAGTGAGTTGTAGAATTACTTCATTATATATTACAATGTAATAATAATGGAAATAAAGTGCACAGTATTTGTAATGCACTTGAATCATCCTGAAATTATTCCCTCCACTCCCAGTCTGTGGAAAAATTGTCTTCCACACATTCACTCTGTTTTTTGGTAGAGACAAGGTCTTAATATATTGCCCAGACTGATCTCAAACTCCTGGCCTCAAGTAATATACCTCTTTCAGCCTCCCAAAGTGCTGAGATTACAGGCATAAGCCACCACCCTCAACCAAGACTGTTTCTTAAACCAAATAAAAATTAAGTGAGATTACTTGAGCCCAGGTGGTCGAGGCTGCAGTGAGCCCTGATTGCACCACTGCACTTCAGCCTAGGTGACAGAAAATAAAAAATCAAATAAAAATAATGTCTCAAAAAATAAAATACAAATTAACCCTTTATGACATTCCCAGTAACTTTCCAAGTATTCCCACAAGTCTTTGAATTTTGTTTAATTTTCACATACCATTTAAGACGTTTAAGAACTTATGTCTGTTTGTGTCATCCCTTTATTTCAAAAGAATGTATTTGTCACTTCCAGCTGGATCTACCATGAAAGACTTCTGAATCCAGGAAAAGAGACTGACTGGGTAACATGTTATTCAGGTACAAAAAGACTTGGACTATAACTCAGAAATGATCAAATAATAGTGCATGCATCAAATGCAATGGGAAGCTCTTTTGGAGGCTGAGAGAAGTTTCCAGTTAAGGTGACATTGAAGCTAAGTCCTGAAAGATGAGGAAGAGTTGTATGAGAGTGGGGAGGGAAGGGGGAGGTGGAGGGATGGGGAATGGGCTGGAATGGGCTGGAGTGAGCTGTGCAGGCAGGGAAACCAGCACTGCACAGACCTGGACAATGAAGAGGGCACATTTTGTTCAGGGAATGGTGAATTAGGTGTGGCAGGAATGCTTTGTGGAGACAGTAATTTGCTTGTATGGAATTTTGCCTGAGAGATCTCACTACAGTTTCTAATTTTTTGATGTTGTCATCCATCACTGTCCTTGTCAAATAGTTTGGAATAGGTATAATGATCACAATAACACCAAGCATAATATTTCGTTAATTCTCACAGAATCACAGGTAGGTGCCACAGTTATCCCCATTTTACGAATGAAGTGATGAAGACTTAGCAATAATGAGTGATTTGCCCAAGCTCACCTGGATATTAAGACTGAGTCGAATGTCTGGTCTGACTTTAATGCTTGCTTTGTTCATGAGCACCACGTATTGCCTCTCCTATGCAGTTAAGCAGGTAGACAGGTGAAAGAAAAGCCCGTGTCTGTCTCTGCTCACACACTTCCGACTGAATGTATGTATGGAGTTTCTACACCAAATTCTCCAGTGCTCTGGATATTAACTGGGTATCCCATGATTTTATTCTGACACTGCCTGGAGTTAGCACAGACCCCACAAGTTAGGGGCTCAGTCCCACGAGACCATCCTCACTTCAGATGCCAATGGCAAGTCCTAGGTTGTCACCTGTACTTTTGACCAACCTGTTACAAATCGGGGGTTCCCATAACTCCATTCTTGGGTTTAATTATTTGCTAGAACAGTTTACAGAACTCAGAAGAACAGTTTATTTTCTTTTTTTCTGAGAGAGAGGGTCTTATTTTTTTGCCCAGGCTGGTGTGCAATGGTGCAGTCATAGCTCACTGCAGGCTTGACTGCCTGGGCTCCAGTGGTTCTCCCACCTCATCCTCCCTAGTAGCTGAGACTACATGCCTGCACCACCACATCTGGCTAATTTATTTTTTGTATAGATGGGGTCTTGTTGTGTTGCCCAGGCTGGCCACAAATTCCTGGTCTCAAGTGATCCTCCCACCTCTGCCTCTTAAAGTGCTAGGATTACAGATGTCAGCCACCACATCTGGCCAGTTCATCTCCTATTGCTGGTTCATTGCAAAGGATACATTTCAGAAACAGCCAATGAAAGAGACGTACATGCTGGATGCAGTGGCTCACGCCTGTAATCTCAGAACTTTGGGAGGCCAAGGTGGGAGCATCGCTTAAACTGAGGAGTTTGAGACCAGCCTGGGCAACATGGTGAAAACCTGTCTCTACAAAAAACAAAAAAATAATAATAACCGGGTGTGGTGGTGTGCACCTAGAGTTCCAACTACTAGGGATGCTGAGGTGAGAGGACACCTTGAGCTGGGGACTGGGGAGGCTTAGGTTACAGTGAGCTGAGATTGTGCCACTCCACTCTAGCTTGGACTAAAGAGCCAGACCCTATCTCAAAAAAAAGAAAGATGCCCAGGGCAAGGTAAGTTAGGAGGGGCACAGAGTTCCCATGCCCTCTGTTGAACATGCCACCCTCCCAGCATCTCCTGTGTTCAGCAACCCCAGAAGCTCCGCAAACCCTGTTCAGGGTGTTTATGGAGGCTTTATTATGCAAGCATGATTGATAAAATCTTTGGCCATTAGTGATTAAGGCAGTCTCCAGCCCCTCTTCCTCCTGGAGTTGAGTGCATGAGGCTGAAAGTTCCAAGCGTCTAATCATGTGGTTGCTTCCATTGGCAATCAGCCCTCCTCCTGAAGAAATCTAGGAGCTTGCAGTCACCCAGTCATCTCAACAACATCCCCAAATGCATTCTTACCGTGCTGGAGATTCCAAAATTCTTAGAGGCTCTTGTGTTAGAAACCTGGGACCAAGACCAAATACTAAAACAAAAGATGTTCCTGTCACATCTATCACTGAGGTCTTTGTAAGAGCTTTAGAAGCTCTGTGCCAGGAACCAGGGACAGAGATGAAATATATATTTCTTTTCTTTTTTTTGAGACAGAATCTCCCTGTGTCATCCAGGCTGGAGTGCAGTGATGTGATCATAGCTCACTATAGCTTTGGCCTTCTGAGATCAAGTGATCCTCCCATCTCAACCTCCCAAGTAGCTAGGACTACACATGCATGTCATCCATGCCCAGCTCATTTTTGTAGAGTCGGAGTTTCACCATGTTGGCCAGATGGGGTCTTCTTTTGTTGCCCAGGCTGGCCACAAATTCCTGGGCTCAAGTGATCATCCCACCTCATCCTTGTAGAGATGAGATTTAGTTATGTCATCCAGGCTGATCTCAAACTCCTGGGCTAAATCGATTGTCTCACCTCAGCCTCTCAAGTAGCTGGGACTACAGGCGCATACCACCATGTTGGGCTAATATTTATTTTTATTTTTTTCTAGAGGCGGGGGTCTCACTATGTTGTTCATGCTAGTTTCAAACTTCGGGCCTCAAGTGTTCCTCCTGCCTTGACCTCCCAAAGTGTTGGGATTCTGGGTGGGAGCCCCCATGCCCAGCAATTACAAGGGTCTTTATAAAAGAAAGAGAGTAGGAGATTCAGAATTGGAGCAGGAGATGTAGTGATGAAAGCAGAGGTAAGAGAGGGAGATTTGAAGATGCTTCATTTCTGGCTTTGAAGATGGAGTCAGGGGCCATGATCCAAGGAATGGGGGTGGCTTCTAGAAGCTAGAAAAGCCAAGGGAACACTTTAGAGTCTCTAGAAGGAATGCCGCCCTGCTGACACCTTGACTTTAGCCTTAATAGACCTAGTTTGGGTTTCTGGCCCCTAGAACTGTAAGATGGTAGATTTGTGGTGTTTTAAGCCACTAAATGTAGGAAACTGCAAACTATGTTGCAGCAGCAAGAAGAAATGAACATGAAGCCAGGCATGATGGCTCATGCCGGTAATCCCAGCACTTTAGGAATTTAGGCAGGAGGATCACTTGAGGCCAGGAGTTCAAGACCAGTCTGGGCAACATAGTAAGACCTTGTCTCTACAAAAAATGAAAAAATTGGCCAGGCATCGTGGCTCACGCCTGTAATTCCAGCACTTTGGGAGGCCGAAGCGGGCAGATTACCTGAGGTCAGGAGTTCGAGACCAGCCTGGCCAACATTGCAAAACCCCGGCTCTACTAAAAATAGAAAAATTAGCTGGGCGTGGGGGCACGCACCTGTAATCCCAGCTACTTGGAAGGCTGAGGCAGGAGAATCACTTGAATCTGGGAGGTGGAGGTTGCAGTGAGCTGGGATTGCACCATTACACTACAGCCTGGGCAAGAAGAGTGAAACTCTGTCTCAAAATAAAATAAAATAAAATACTAAAAAATTTAGCCAGGCATGATGGCATGAACCTGGAGTCCCAGCTACTCGGGAGGCTGAGGTGGGAGGATCGCTTGAGCCTGGAAATTTGAGGTTGCAGTGAGCTGTGATTGCGCCACTGCACTCCAGCCTTGGTGACAGTGAGATCTTGAAAAAAAGAAAGAAGAAAGTAAAGAAAGAAGAAATGAGCATGGTGGGCATGGGGACAGATGGCAATGTTAAATAGAATGGTCAGGGGTGGCCTCCTAAGTGAAAATTGAGTAAAGACTTGAAGGAGGGGAAGGAGCTGGCCAAGGTGCTGAGGGAAGAGGATTGTAGGCAGAAACAATAGAATAAAGTGTCTGAGGTGTGTCTGAGGCTCTGGAAGGAGGCCCATGGAGCAGACAGAGAGAGGGAGAGAATTAGGGGAGGGGGCCAGGGAGTTGCTGGGTGGGGATCAGTACAGATCACATAAGCCCTGGGAGGTTATTGCTGGGGCTTTGGCTTTTACTCTGACTCAGATGGGAACTGCGGGAAGGTTCTGAGCAGAGAGGCGACATGATCTGTCTCCCATTTTAAAAGCGTTCTCTGGCTGCTGAGTTGAGAAAGACTATGGGAAGATGTGGGTAGAAGCATGGGGGCCAAGCTTTGGCAGCATCCAGGCGGGAGATGATGGTGGTCCTGACCAGGGTCGTGGTGGTGTTGAGAGATGGTCAGAGGGGAGAAGTAGGGGAGGAGGCCAGGGAGTTGCTGGGTGGGGATCTTTAGTACATGTCGAAGACAGTCAACAGGATTTCCTGACAGACTGGATATGGGGTGTGAGAGAAGGCAGGGGTCAAGGTTGAGTTTGATTGTTACTGAAATTATTAAGTAATTTTAAAAAACACTACTGCCTTTCCCAATCCTACCAAGTATGGGATGCTAGATTAAAGAAATCTCTTCAGGCTCATTGCAGTGGCTCATGCCTGTAGTCCCAGCTGTTTGGTAAGCAGAGGTGGGAGTATCTTTTAAGGGCAGGTGTTCAAGACCAGCCTGGACAACACAGCAAGATCTGCTCTTTACAAAAATATTTTTCAAAATGAAATAAATGTAGCTAGGCATGGTGATGTGTACTTGTAGTTTCAGCTACTCAGGAGGCTGAAGTGGGCAGATCTCTTGAGGTCAGGAGTTTGAGGCCAGCTTGGGCAACATAGCAAGACCCCTCACTCTACAAAAAAAATTAAAAAAATAACCAGGCATGGTGGCACTCAACTGTACTACCAGCTACTGGGGAGCTGAGGCAGGAAGATGGCTTGAGCCCAGGAGGTCGAGGCTGCAGTGAGCTTTAAGTGCACAGCTGCACTCCAGTCTGGGTGACAGAGCAGGACCTGTCTCACAATACAAATAAAAATACAAGTAAAATAATGACATCTCAAGTCAGAGCCTTTTGTCTCTGCAGCCCTTGCAACCCCTCAGCCGTGCAGTGGGGTTTGTGTCGCTGGGAATGAGGAGACCCCTGCCCGGTGTTGTTGCCTGTCTAATCAGTGTTTTAAAACATATATTAATCGGGGTGGGCGCGGTGGCTCACACCTGTAATCCCAGCACTTAGGGAGACCCAGGTGGGTGGATCACCTGAGGTCAAGAGTTCAAGACCAGCCTTCTCTACTAAGAAAATACAATAATTAGCCGGACATGGTAGTGGGCGCCTGTAATCCCAGCTATTTGGGAGGCTGAGGTTGGAGAATCGCTTGAACCTGCGGGGTGGAGGTTGCAATGAGCTGAGATTGCGCCACTTCACTCCAGCCTGGGCAAAAGAACAAGACTTTGTCTCAAAGAAAAAAACAAAAGTATTATATCAACATGTAATGGTTTTATTATTAATATGTGATGAATATTAAATATTTTTAAAATCTTGTATTATATCAACATGTAATGGCTTTAATATGTGATGAATAATATTTAAAAATTTTTATTTTCTAGTTTTAATATAATTATTTACAGAAAGAAATAGTCTTAGAGATCTTCAATAAAGTTAAAAAATGTAAAGGGATGTTAGACCCCAAAAGATTGAGAATTTCTAGTTTAGAAATATTCAGAGTAAGCCACATACAACTTGCTACTTGAACTATTTTTTTTCTTTGTTTTTTATTTTAGGAGATGGGGTCTCACCCTGTCACCCAGGCTTGAGTACAGTAGTGCTATCACAGCTCACTGCAGCCTTGAACTCCTGGGCTAAGGATCCTCCTACTTGAGCCTCCTGAGTAGCTGGGACTGTAGGTATACATGACGATACTTGGCTAATTTTTAAATTGTTTTGTAGACATGGGGTCTCACTTTGTTAGCCAGGCTGGTGTCAAACTCATGGCCTCAAGTGACCCTTCCACCCCTGCCTCCCATCCTAGAGGTATGTGCCACCACAAGGAGCACTTGTTCAATTTTCTAAAAAAAAAATTTCTAAAGTAAGGCTGTGGGATGATGGCAGGAAGATAAAAGAAAAACAGAAGCATAAGTTAAAATGACTTATTCACACATATTCTTTTGACAGCAAGAAGAACTTTTAGTATATACATTCCTTACAAACAAACAAAAGGCAGATAAACAATGTTGTATAGGAACTTCAACACACACTGTACAATATTCCCACTTTGCTGACATAAGTTATGGAAATTTCGTGGTTTACTTGAGTGTCGCTACCAGTATTTTGCTTCTCTGATCATTTTTATCAACTTCCTCATCTGTTAACTTCTCTCCAAGGTATGTCATATCATGACATACTGCCGCTGCACGAACATGGCCAGTGTCTTCCTATTAAACATGTAGAATGCTTTCCTAATTTCTCTTTTTACTCTCTGTCTTTGTGTTTTGCATTTTCCTTACTTTTATTGTCAGAAACTCCAGAAAGTCAATCGTACTAATTTATCACCATTTGCTTTATTAATTTATACTTTGCTTATATGGAATTTTGCCCAACAGACCTCATTACAATTTCTAACCTGTTTTATTTTGTTTTTTTTTTTTTCTGAGACAGGGTCTCCCTCTCTTTTCCAAGGCTGGAGTGTAGTAGTGCTATCACAGCTGACTGCAGCCTCAACCTTCCAGGCTGAAGCGATCCTCCCATCTCAACCTCCCACGTGGCTGAGACTATAGGTGCTTGCCACTATGCCCAACTAATATTTGGAATTTTCCTATACATGGATTCCAGAGGGGTGACAGCAAAACGTGAGTAAGCATGGATTTTGGTATATGCAGAGATGGGGGGCTGGAACTAATTCTGTATACTGAGGGACGACGGTATATGTTTTTACAATTACGCTGTAGGATACATACTGTTGCATAGCCTTGAAAATAATAATTTTTAATTGAGTGGAATAATAATAATGATAAAAGTAGCAGCTGGCCAGGTGTGGTGGCTCACACTGGTAATCGCAACACTTTGGGAGGCTGAGGCAGGAGGATGGCTTGAGGCCAAGAGTTTGCGATAGGCCTTGGAAACAAAGGGAGTCACCATCCCTACAGAAAAATACATGAATTAGCCTAGTGTGGTGGCATGTTCCTGTAGTCCCAGCTACTTGGGAGGCTGAGCTGGGAGGATCACTTGAGCCCAGGGAGGCTGAGACTGCAGTGAGTCATGATCAGGCCTCTGCACTCCAGCCTCAGTGACAGAGTGAGACCCTGTCTCAGAACAACAAAAAAGTAGCAGCTAACATCAACTGACCTTTTACCAGGTGCCTATTGATACCATAGTTTAATTTCTTATAACTGTTTCTTATTTCACTTACCAACTCTGTCTTCAGTTACTCCCCAGATTTTTACTGTGTTTGTACAGATGACCTTTTGTTGAGATTGAATTGTCTCCCCAGAAGTAAGATTACTGTGAGTCATGGTGAATAGACATTCTCCTTACCCTTGATGTAAATGGTCAAGGTTTTGGGTGCCTCCCAGCTATAATCTTAGCACTTTGGGAGGCTAAGACAGGAGGATTGCTTGAGGCCAAGAGTTGGAGGAGGCAGTATGGCAGTACGGTGAGACCCTGTCTCTATTATTTTAAAAAATTGACAAGCTTTACCCTGGAAGGCTTATACACAATTTAAACACCCCTCATAGTATAAGAAAGTGCCCATTTCACTGCACCTTTGCCAGCACAGGGTATTATAATTTAGTAAGTCATTTTTTGTTTGATTATTTTAAATAGATAAAAGACCTCATATTACTTTACTTGTCACATTTCAACATCTTCCCTTAGCTTATTAGCTCTGTTTCTTTTCTGTCTGTAAATGGTTGTTGTTGTTTTGTTCTTTGAGACAGGGTCTTGCTCTGTCACCAGGCTGGACTGTAGTGGCATAATCATGCCTCACCGCAGCCTTGACCTCCCAGGCTCAAACTTCAGCATTCCGAGTAGCTGGGACTACAAGTGTGCACCACCACTCCCAGCTAATTTTTTTCTTTTTTTGGATAGAGACAGGGTCTCACTGTGTTGCCCAGACCGGTCTCTAGCTCCTGGCCTTAAGCAATCCTCCTGCATTAGCTTCTCAAATTGCTGGAATTTCAGGCATGAGCCACCATGCCTGGCCTGGGCTAGTCCTATATTCTCTAGAGTTCTCTTTACTTTGTGCTAGCCAATCTCTCATTATGCTGTTTACCTGTTATAATGAATAATTCTCTGTATTAAATTTTACCACTTTAAACTTTTGAGCGGTTTATGCTTCCTGATTGGACTCTGACTAATATGTTAGGAAGGGTCCCAGGAGATAAACCCACACAGATGGGATTTGGGCATAGGTTTGGTTTCCCAGGGGGCAGTGCTGAGCTCTTTGCCAGTGGGAAATGGGATGCTGGTGATTTCCAGGAAGTGACCTCACAATGACTCAAGCTACCACTTACTGTTGATTGTGACGAAATGCCAGCTGAGGCACATGCCTTGGGAGCTAAGTGGTTGCTGCACTTGACCACTGTGAAGACTGGTGTGGGAAGGGTCGTTTTGGATGCACTTGAGCAGGGGTCCCCAACCCCTGAGCCATGGAGCCGTAAGGAGCCACACAGCAGGAGGTGAGTGGTGTCGAGTGAGGGAGTGAGGGAAGCTTCGTCTGTATTTACAGCCACTCCCCTTTGCTCACATTCCCGCCTGAGCTCCACCTTCTCAGATGAGCAGCAGCATTAGATTCTCATAGGAGAACGCACCCTGTTGTGAACCGTGCATGTGAGGGATCTAGGTTGCGCTGTCCTTATGAGAATCTAAACCTATTGATCTGTCACTTTCTCCCATCACGCTCAGGTGGGACCATCCAGTTGCAGGAAAACAAGCTTAACACGCCCACTGATTCTACATTATGGTGAGTTGTATAATTATTTTATTATATATTACAGTGTAATAATGGAAATAAAGTGCCTAATAAATGTAATGTGCTTAAATCTTTTGGCCCAGCTCCTACCTCCCGGCAGCCTCTCCAGGCCCAGAACTTTCTCCAGTCAGCCTCCGCAGACCAAGCTCATGACTCACAATGGCCTATTTAGGCCCATACCCTACCTCACGGCAGTCTCCGCAGATGAGGCTACTGCCTCACAACAGCCTCCACAGGCACAGCTCCACCGTTACAATGGCCTCTTTAGACCCAGCTCCTGCCTCCCAGCCTTCTCTCCAGGCCCTGAACTTCCTCAAGTCGACCTCACCAGGCCCAGCTCATGCTTCTTGGCAGCCTCTCCAGGCCCAGCTCCTGCATCTTGGCAGCCTCTCCAGGCCCAGCCTCTGCCTCCCGTCAGCCTCTACAGTCCCAACATCTGCCTCACAGCAGATTCTTCAGGCCCAGCATCTGCCTCACTGTGGACCACCCAAGCCAAGCTCCCAACCTTTCAGCAGCTTCTACACACCCAGCTCCTGCCACCCAGTGGCCTCTTTAGGCCAAGCTCATGCCTCACAAGGGCCTTTCCAGGCCCAACTTTTGTCTCATGGCAACCTTCCCTGGCCAGATTCCTGCCTGTCTCCCAGCAGCCTAGACAGGCCCAGGTCTTGCCTCACACTGGCCTGTCTACATCCAGCTCTTGCCTCACGGTGGCCTCTCCAGGCCCAGCTCCTGTCCCAGGACGTCATCTCCAGGCCCAAAACTTCCTCAAGTCAGCCTCTCTAGTCCCAACTGCTGCCTCCTGGTGGCCTATGAAGGCCCAAAATCTCCTCAAGTTGACCTCTCCAGGCCCAGCTCCTGCCTCCTGTCAGCATCTACAGGCCCAACCTCTGCCTCATGGGGGCTTCTCCAGGCCCAGCTCTTCCTCTGGGCTGAGTCTACAGGCACAACTGCTGCTTCACAACAGCCTTTTTTGGCCCAGTTCCTGTCCAGCTCACAGCGGCCAATGTAGGCCCAAAACTTCCTCAAGTCAAACTCCCCAGGCCCGCCTTCTGCTTCCCGGTGGCATGAACAGGCCCAGCTTTGACTTGAGAACAGCCTCTGCAGGCCGTGCTCTTGCCTCCCAGGGGCTTCTCCAGGCCCAGCTCTTGCCTCATGGCGGCTGCCCCAGGCCAAGTTTCTGCCTGCCTGCCAGCAGCCTCAACAGGCACAGCTCCTCCCTCACAGTGGCCCATTTAGGCCCAACTCATGACTGTCGGGCCATTTCCAGGCCTAGTGCCTGCCTCCTGGCTGACTCTTGAAGCCCAAAACTTCCTCAAATCAGCCTTTTGCCCAACTTCTGTCTACTGTCGGACTCTACAGGCCAGCCTCTGCCTCACAGTGGACCCTCCAGACCCAGATGGTGTCTCACTGTGGCATCCTCAGGCGAAGCTCCTGCCTTTTGGCAGCCTCTACGGGCCCAGCTCCTGCCTTGCAATGGCCTCTTTAGGCCAAGCTCATGCCCCACGGTGACTTTTCCAGGCACAGCTTTTGCCTTTTGCAGCCTGTCCAGGCCCAGAATGTCCTTAACTCGGCATCTCCAGGACGAGCTCATCCTCCCAGTGCGTCTACAGGCCCGTCTCCTGCCTCACAACAACCTCCTTTGGCCCAACTCCTGCTGAGCTGCTTGGCAGCCTCTGTAGGCCACAGAGTTCTTAAAGTAAAGCTTTCCAGGCCCACCTTCGGCCTCCCAGCAGCCTCAGCAATCAAACTATTCCCTTACTGCGGCCACCGAAAGCCAAGTTTCTCCCTGCCTCACGGCATCCTCCGAAAACTGAGCATTTGCCTCACGGTGGCCTCCCCAGGCCACGAATCTGCCTGCCTCCCAGGCAGCTGCTGTCTCACAATGGTCTCTTTAGGCCCAGCTCATGCTAAAAGACAGACTCTCCAGGCACAGCTCTTGCCTCCTGGCAGCCTCTGCAGGCCCAAATTCTCCAAAAGTTGGCCTCTCCTAACTCAGCTTCTGCCTCATGTCGGCCTACACAGGCCCAGACTCTTACCACACAGTAGACCCTCCAGGCCCACCACTTGCCTGAGCATAGCCTCCTAAGGCCAAGCTCCTGCCTTTTGGCAGCTTCTACAGGCCCAGCTTCTGCCTCGCAATTGCCTTTGTAGGCCAAGATCATGCCGCGAAGTGGCCTTTCCTAGCCTAACTTTTGCTTTTTGACGCATACTCCTGTCCCAAAACTTCCTCCAGTCAGCCGGTCCAGGCCAAGCTCTTCCTCCCAAAGGCTTCTGCAGGCCAAAATCGTCCTGAAGTCACCCTCTGCAGGCCCAGCTCCTGCCTCCAAGTGCTGTGTAGGCCAAGCTAATGCCTCACAGCACACTTTCCAGGCTGAGCGTTTCCTTTTGTGCATCCTCTCCAAGCCCTGAACTTACTCCAGTTGGCCTCTCCAGACCAAGCTCTCCCTCCCAGTGGCCTCTACAGGCCAAAACTGTCCTCAAGTCAGCCTCTCCAGGGCCAACTCCTAGCTACCGGTGGCTTCTGTAGGCCAAAATCGACCTCAAGTCAGCCTCTTCACACCCAGCTCTTGTCTCTAAGTGGCCTTTCCAGGAGCAAAACTTCCTCAAGTCGGCCTCTCCAGGCCCAGCCTCCTGCTTCCCGAGGGCATGTACAGGCCCAGCCTCTGCCTCACAGCAGACTCTCCACGCCCAGCTCTTCCCTGTCTGCTGCCTCTCCAGTCCAAAGCTGCTCCTGCCTTTCGGCAACTTGTACAGGCCCAACTCCTCCCTCACGGTGGCCTCTTTTCGCCCAACTCATGCCTCTTGCAACCTGCCCAAGTGTCAGCTCCTGCCTCACACTGGCCTGTTGAGGCCCAGCTCATGCCTCTCGTGGCCTCAACGGGCCCAGCCCCTGCCTGTCGGCGGCCTCTACAGGCCCGGCCTCTACCTCACAGTGGGCTCTCCAGGCCCACATCTTTCTCACCGTGGCCTCCTGGGGCAATGCTCCCCGCTCTCGGGAACCTCTGCGGGCCCAGCTCCTGCCTCCCAGTGGCCTCTCTAGGCCAAGCCCGTGCCTCAGGGCAGCCTTTCCAGGCCTAGTGTTTGCTGCTTTGCATCCTCTTCAGGCTCTGGACTTCCTCCAGTCGGCCTCTCCAGGCCCAGCTCTTCCTCCCGGCGGCCTCTCCAGGCCCAGACTGTCATCAAGTCGGCCTGTCCAGGGCCAGCTCCTGCCTCGCAAAGGCCTGCACAGGCCCACCATCGGCCTCACAGCGGACTCTCCACGCCCAGCTACCTCTCGCCTCACTGCGGCCTCCCGAGTCCAAAACTCCTGCCTCTCCGCCACTTCCGCAGGCCCAGCTCCCAACTGCCAGTGGCCTCTTCAGGCCCATGGGGCTCATTCCTCAAAACGGCCTTTCCAGGCCCAGTTTTTCCCTTCCGGCGGCCTCTCCGGGCCCAGAACCTCCTCAAGTCGGCCTCTAAAGACCCACTTGCAGCCTCCCGGCGTCCTCTCCGGGCCCAGCTCTTCCTCCCGGCTGCGTCTCCAGGCCCGACTGCTGCCTCCCAACAACCTCTTTGGACTCAGCGCCTGCCCATCTCCTGGCGGCCTTGGTCGGCCCACAGCTTCCTCAAGCCAAGCTCCCCAGGCCCAGGTCAGGCCTCACGGTGGCCTCCAGGATCACCTCCTGCCCTCCAATGGCGTCTCCAGACCCGAAATGGTCTCCGGTCGGTGGGCTCCTCCACGCCCAGCTTGGGCCTCCCGGCGACCTCTGCAGGCCCAAGTCGTCCTGAAGTCGGCGTCGCCCGGCCCTGCCTCCCAGCAAGTAAGCAAGCTCTTTGGGCTCAACTCCTGCCCAGCTCCCAGCCGCCTTTGTAGGCCCCGAACTTTCTCGAGCCAAGCTCTTCGCGCCCGCCTACTGCCTCTCGGTGGCCTGTACAGGCCCAGCTCTGGCGGTAGAACAGCCTCTGCAGGTCCCGCTCTTGCCTCCCAGGGGCCTCTCCAGGCCCAGCTCTCGCCCCCACGGCGGCCTCCCGGCAGCCCGCGTGCGGCCCAGTTCCTCCCTCACGGTGGCCTGTTGATGCCCAACTCATGCCGCTGGCACCCTGCGCAGAGGCGTGAGTCCCTGCCTCACACTGGCTCCTCCCACGCTGAGAGAGGTCGGCGTGAGCCCCTTGCCTCACACCGGCCCCTCCCACACTGACCCCTTGGCTCACACCGGCCCCTCCCACGCAGAGAGAGGTCAGCGTGAGCCCCTTGCCTCACACCGGCCCCTCTCACGCCGAGAGAGGTCAGCGTGAGCCCCTTGCCTCTCACCGGCCCCTCCCACGCCGAGAGAGGTCAGCGTGAGCCCTTGCCTCACACCGGCCCCTCCCACGCCGAGAGAGGTCAGCGTGAGCCCCTGCCTCAACAGGCCACCGTGAGGGAGGAGCAGGCCGTACGCAGGCTGCCGGGAGCAGGCAGGGACTTGGCCGCGGGAGGCCGTGGTGGGGCGAGAGCTGGGCCTGGAGACGCCCCTGGGAGGCAACAGCGGGGCCTGCTGACGCTCTTCTGCTGCCAGAGCTGGGACTGTACAGGCCACCGGGAGGCAGGATGTGGGCCTGAAGAGCTTGGCTGCAGAAACTTCGGGGTCTACAAACGCTGGAGGGAGCTGAGCCAAAAGAGCTTGCCTGCTGGGAGGCAGGAGCTGAGCCGAGAGATGCAGCCAGGAGGAACAGCTGGGCCTGCAGAGGCCGCCATGAGGGAGGCAGAGGCCGGGCCTCCTCAAGTCGGCCTCTCCAGACCCACATGCAGCCTCCCGGCGTCCTCTCCGGGCCCAGCTCTTCCTCCCGGCTGCGTCTCCAGGCCCGACTGCTGCCTCCCAACAACCTCTTTGGACTCAGCGCCTGCCCATCTCCTGGCGGCCTTGGTCGGCCCACAGCTTCCTCAAGCCAAGCTCCCCAGGCCCAGGTCAGGCCTCACGGTGGCCTCTCCAGGATCAGCTCCTGCCCTCCGATGGCGTCTCCAGGCCCCAAACGGTCTCCGGTCGGTGGGCTCCTCCGCGCCCAGCTTGGGCCTCCTGGCGACCTCTGCAGGCCCAAGTCGTCCTGAAGTCAGCGTCTCCCGGCCCTGCCTCCCAGCAAGTAAGCAAGCTCTTTGGGCTCAACTCCTGCCCAGCTCAAAACCGCCTTTGTAGGCCCCGAACTTTCTCGAGCCAAGCTCTTCGCGCCCGCCTACTGCCTCTCGGTGGCCTGTACAGGCCCAGCTCTGGCGGAAGAACAGCCTCTGCAGGTCCCGCTCTTGCCTCCCAGGGGCCTCTCCAGGCCCAGCTCTCGCCCCCACGGCGGCCTCCCGGCAGCCCGCGTGCGGACCAGTTCCTCCCTCACGGGGGCCTGTTGATGCCCAAGCATGCCGCTGGCACCCTGCGCAGAGGCGTGAGTCCTGCCTCACACTGGCTCCTCCACGCTGAGAGAGTCGGCGTGAGCCCCTTGCCTCACACCGGCCCCTCCCACACTGACCCCTTGGCTCACACCGGCCCCTCCCACGCAGAGAGAGGTCACCGTGAGCCCCTTGCCTCACACCGGCCCCTCTCACGCCGAGAGAGGTCAGCGTGAGCCCCTTGCCTCACACCGGCCCCTCCCACGCCGAGAGAGGTCAGCGTGAGCCCTTGCCTCACACCGGCCCCTCCCACGCCGAGAGAGGTCAGCGTGAGCCCCTGCCTCAACAGGCCACCGTGAGGGAGGAGCAGGGCCGTACGCAGGCTGCCGGGAGCAGGCAGGGACTTGGCCGCGGGAGGCCGTGGTGGGGCGAGAGCTGGGCCTGGAGACGCCCCTGGGAGGCAACAGCGGGGCCTGCTGACGCTCTTCTGCTGCCAGAGCTGGGACTGTACAGGCCACCGGGAGGCAGGATGTGGGCCTGAAGAGCTTGGCTGCAGAAACTTCGGGGTCTACAAACGCTGGAGGGAGCTGAGCCAAAAGAGCTTGCCTGCTGGGAGGCAGGAGCTGGGCCGAGAGATGCAGCCAGGAGGAACAGCTGGGCCTGCAGAGGCCGCCATGAGGGAGGCAGAGGCCGGGCCTCCTCAAGTCGGCCTCTCCAGACCCACATGCAGCCTCCCGGCGTCCTCTCCGGGCCCAGCTCTTCCTCCCGGCTGCGTCTCCAGGCCCGACTGCTGCCTCCCAACAACCTCTTTGGACTCAGCGCCTGCCCATCTCCTGGCGGCCTTGGTCGGCCCACAGCTTCCTCAAGCCAAGCTCCCCAGGCCCAGGTCAGGCCTCACGGTGGCCTCTCCAGGATCAGCTCCTGCCCTCCGATGGCGTCTCCAGGCCCCAAACGGTCTCCGGTCGGTGGGCTCCTCCGCGCCCAGCTTGGGCCTCCTGGCGACCTCTGCAGGCCCAAGTCGTCCTGAAGTCGGCGTCTCCCGGCCCTGCCTCCCAGCAAGTAAGCAAGCTCTTTGGGCTCAACTCCTGCCCAGCTCAAAACCGCCTTTGTAGGCCCCGAACTTTCTCGAGCCAAGCTCTTCGCGCCCGCCTACTGCCTCTCGGTGGCCTGTACAGGCCCAGCTCTGGCGGTAGAACAGCCTCTGCAGGTCCCGCTCTTGCCTCCCAGGGGCCTCTCCAGGCCCAGCTCTCGCCCCCACGGCGGCCTCCCGGCAGCCCGCGTGCGGCCCAGTGCCTCCCTCACGGTGGCCTGTTGATGCCCAACTCATGCCGCTGGCACCCTGCGCAGAGGCGTGAGTCCCTGCCTCACACTGGCTCCTCCCACGCTGAGAGAGGTCGGCGTGAGCCCCTTGCCTCACACCGGCCCCTCCCACACTGACCCCTTGGCTCACACCGGCCCCTCCCACGCAGAGAGAGGTCAGCGTGAGCCCCTTGCCTCACACCGGCCCCTCTCACGCCGAGAGAGGTCAGCGTGAGCCCCTTGCCTCACACCGGCCCCTCCCACGCCGAGAGAGGTCAGCGTGAGCCCTTGCCTCACACCGGCCCCTCCCACGCCGAGAGAGGTCAGCGTGAGCCCCTGCCTCAACAGGCCACCGTGAGGGAGGAGCAGGGCCGTACGCAGGCTGCCGGGAGCAGGCAGGGACTTGGCCGCGGGAGGCCGTGGTGGGGCGAGAGCTGGGCCTGGAGACGCCCCTGGGAGGCAACAGCGGGGCCTGCTGACGCTCTTCTGCTGCCAGAGCTGGGACTGTACAGGCCACCGGGAGGCAGGATGTGGGCCTGAAGAGCTTGGCTGCAGAAACTTCGGGGTCTACAAACGCTGGAGGGAGCTGAGCCAAAAGAGCTTGCCTGCTGGGAGGCAGGAGCTGGGCCGAGAGATGCAGCCAGGAGGAACAGCTGGGCCTGCAGAGGCCGCCATGAGGGAGGCAGAGGCCGGGCCTCCTCAAGTCGGCCTCTCCAGACCCACATGCAGCCTCCCGGCGTCCTCTCCGGGCCCAGCTCTTCCTCCCGGCTGCGTCTCCAGGCCCGACTGCTGCCTCCCAACAACCTCTTTGGACTCAGCGCCTGCCCATCTCCTGGCGGCCTTGGTCGGCCCACAGCTTCCTCAAGCCAAGCTCCCCAGGCCCAGGTCAGGCCTCACGGTGGCCTCTCCAGGATCAGCTCCTGCCCTCCGATGGCGTCTCCAGGCCCCAAACGGTCTCCGGTCGGTGGGCTCCTCCGCGCCCAGCTTGGGCCTCCTGGCGACCTCTGCAGGCCCAAGTCGTCCTGAAGTCGGCGTCTCCCGGCCCTGCCTCCCAGCAAGTAAGCAAGCTCTTTGGGCTCAACTCCTGCCCAGCTCAAAACCGCCTTTGTAGGCCCCGAACTTTCTCGAGCCAAGCTCTTCGCGCCCGCCTACTGCCTCTCGGTGGCCTGTACAGGCCCAGCTCTGGCGGTAGAACAGCCTCTGCAGGTCCCGCTCTTGCCTCCCAGGGGCCTCTCCAGGCCCAGCTCTCGCCCCCACGGCGGCCTCCCGGCAGCCCGCGTGCGGCCCAGTTCCTCCCTCACGGTGGCCTGTTGATGCCCAACTCATGCCGCTGGCACCCTGCGCAGAGGCGTGAGTCCCTGCCTCACACTGGCTCCTCCCACGCTGAGAGAGGTCGGCGTGAGCCCCTTGCCTCACACCGGCCCCTCCCACACTGACCCCTTGGCTCACACCGGCCCCTCCCACGCAGAGAGAGGTCAGCGTGAGCCCCTTGCCTCACACCGGCCCCTCTCACGCCGAGAGAGGTCAGCGTGAGCCCCTTGCCTCACACTGGCCCCTCCCACGCCGAGAGAGGTCAGCGTGAGCCCCTGCCTCAACAGGCCACCGTGAGGGAGAAGCAGGGCCGTACGCAGGCTGCCGGGAGCAGGCAGGGACTTGGCCGCGGGAGGCCGTGGTGGGGCGAGAGCTGGGCCTGGAGACGCCCCTGGGAGGCAACAGCGGGGCCTGCTGACGCTCTTCTGCTGCCAGAGCTGGGACTCTGGGTGCAGGCCACTGGGAGGCAGGATGTGGGCCTGAAGAGCTTTGCTGCAGAAACTTCGGGGTCTACAAACGCCGGCGGGAGCTGAGCCAAAAGTGCTTGCTTGCTGGGAGGCAGGAGGAACAGCTGGGCCTGCAGAGGCCGCCATGCTTGAGGCAGAGGCCGGGCCTCCTCAAGTCGGCCTCTCCAGAACCACTTGCAGCCTCCCGGTGTCCTCGCCGGGCCCAGCTCTTCCTCCCGGCTCCGTCTCCAGGCCCGACTGCTGCCTCCCAACAACCTCTTTGGACTCAGCGCCTGCCCATCTCCTGGCGGCCTTGGTCCGCCCACAGCTTCCTCAAGCCAAGCTCCCCAGGCCCAGGTCAGGCCTCACGGTGGCCTCTCCAGGATCAGCTCCTGCCCTCCGATGGCGTCTCCAGGCCCCAAATGGTCTCTGGTCGGTGGGCTCCTCCACTCCCAGCTTGGGCCTCCTGGCGACCTCTGCAGGCCCAAGTCGTCCTGAAGTCAGCTTCTCCCGGCCCTGCCTCCCAGCAAGTAAGCAAGCTCTTTTGGCTCAACTCCTGCCCAGCTCCCAGCCGCCTTTGTAGGCCCCGAACTTTCTCAAGCCAAGCTCTTCGGGCCCACCTACTGCCTCTCGGTGGCCTGTACAGGCCCAGCTCTGGCTGTAGAACAGCCTCTGCAGGACCCGCTCTTGCCTCCCAGGGGCCTCTCCAGGCCCATCTCTCACCCCCACGGCGGCCTCCTGGGGCCAAATCCCTGCCTGCCTCCCGGCAGCCCGCGTGCGGGCCACTTCCTCCCTCACGGTGGCCTGTTGATGCCCAACTCATGCCTCTGGCACCCTGCCCAGAGGCGCGAGTCGCTACCTCACACTGGCTCCTCCCACGCTGAGTGAGGTCGGCATGAGCCCTTGCCTCACACCGGCCCCTCCCACACTGAGAGAGGTCGGCGTGAGCCCCTTGCCTCACACTGGCCCCTCCCACGCTGATCCCTTGCCTCACACCGGCCCCTCCCACGCCGAGAGAGGTCAGCATGAGCCCTTGCCTCCCAGTGGCCCCTCCCACGCTGAGAGAGGTCAGCGTGAGCCCTTGCCTCACACTGGCCCCTGCCACGCTGAGAGACGTTGGCGTGAGCCCCTTGCCTCACACCGGCCCCTCCCACGCCGAGAGGTCAGCGTGAGCCCCTTGCCTCACACAGGCCCCTCCCACGCTGAGAGAGGTCGCCATGAGCCCCTTGCCTCACACTGGCCCCTCCCATGCTGAGAGAGGTCGGCGTGAGCCCCTTGCCTCACACTGGCCCCTCCCACCCTGAGAGAGGAAGGTGTGAGCCCCTTCCCTCACACTGTCCCCTCCCACGCTGACCCCTTGGCTCACGCCGGCACATCCCACGCAGAGAGAGGTCAGCGTGACCCCGTGCCTCACACCGGCCCCTCCCATGCTGAGAGGTCGGCGTGAGCCCCTTGACTCACACCGTCCCCTCCCACGCTGAGAGAGGGCCGCATGAGCCCCTTGCCTCACACCGGCCCCTCTCACGCTGAGAGAGGTCAGCGTGAGCCCTTGCCTCACACTGGCCCCTGCCACGCTGAGAGACGTCGGCGTGAGCCCCTTGCCTCACACCGGCCCCTCTCACGCTGAGAGAGGCCCGCATGAGCCCCTTGCCTCACACTGGCCCCTCCCACCCTGACAGAGGTTGGTGTGAGCCCCTTGCCTCACACCAGCCCCTCCCATGCTGACCCCTTGCCTCACACCGGACCCTCCCACACTGAGAGAGGTCCGCATGAGCCCTTTGCCTCACACTGGCCACTCCCACGCTGACAGAGGTTGGTGTGAGCCCCTTGCCTCACACCGGCCCCTCCCACGCTGACCCCTTGCCTCACACCGGCCCCTCCCAGGCCGAGAGAGGTCAGCGTGAGCCCTTGCCTCACACCGGCCCCTCCCACGCAGAGAGGTCAGCGTGAGCCCCTTGCCTCACACTGGCCCCTCCCATGCTGAGAGAGGTCGGCATGAGCCCCTTGCCTCACACTGGCCCCTCCCTCCCTGACAGAGGTGGGTGTGAGCCCCTTGCCTCACACTGGTCCCTCCCACGCTGACCCCTTGGCTCACACCGGCCCCTCCCACGCAGAGAGGTCAGCGTGTCCCCTTGCCTCACACCTGCCGCTCCCACGCTGAGAGGTCGGCGTGAGCCCCTTGCCTCACACTGGCCCCTCCCACGCTGACCCCTTGCCTCACACCGGCCCCTCCCACGCAGAGAGAGGTCAGCGTGAGCCCCTTGCCTCACACTGGCCCCTCCCACGCCGAGAGGTCAGCGTGAGCCCCTTGCCTCACACTGGCCCCTCCCACGCTGAGAAATGTCGGCATGAGCCCCTTGCCTCACACTGGCCCCTCCCACGCTGAGAGAGGTCGGCGTCAGCCCCTTGCCTCACACTGGCCCCTCCCACCCTGAGAGAGGTCGGTGTGAGCCCCTTGCCTCACACTGGCCCCTCCCACGCTGACCCCTTGGCTCACGCCGGCGCCTCCCATGCAGAGAGAGGTCAGCGTGACCCCTTGCCTCACACCGGCCCCTCCCATGCTGAGAGGTCGGTGTGAGCCCCTTGCCTCACACCGGCCCCTCCCACGCCGAGAGAGGTCAGCGTGAGCCCCTTGCCTCACACCGGCCCCTCCCACGCCGAGAGAGGTCCGCGTGAGCCCCTGCCTCAACAGGCCCCCGTGAGGGAGGAGCAGGGCCGCACGCAGGCTGCCGGGAGCAGGCAGGGACTTGGCCCCGGGAGGCCGCAGTGGGGGGAGAGCTGGGCCTGGATATGCCCCTGGGAGGCCACAGCGGGGCTTGCAGACGCTCTTCTGCTGCCAGAGCTGGGACTGTACAGGCCACCGGGAGGCAGGATGTGGGCCTGAAGAGCTTGGCTGCAGAAACTTCAGGGTCTACAAACGCCGGTGGGAGCTGAGCCAAAAGAGCTTGCTTGCTGTGAGGCAGGATGTGGGCCGAGAGATGCAGCCAGGAGGAACAGCTGGGCCTGCAGAGGCCGCCATGCGGGAGGCAGAGGCCGGGCCTCCTCAAGTCGGCCTCTCCAGACCCACTTGCAGCCTCCCGGCATCCTCTCCGGGCCCAGCTCTTCCTCCCAGCTGCGTCTCCACGCCCGACTCCGGCCTCCCAACAACTTCTTTGGACTCAGCTCCCGCCCAGCTCCCAGTGGCCCTGGTAGGCCCACAACTTCCTGAAGCCAAGCTCCCCAGGCCCAGGTCAGGCCTCACGGTGGCCTCTCCAGGCTCAGCTCCTGCCCTCCGACGGCGTCTCCAGGCCCCCAACGGCCTCCGGTCGGTGGGTTCCTCTAGGCCCATCTTGCGCCTCCCGGCGGCCTCTGCAGGCCCAAATCGTCCTGAAGTCGGCCTCTCCAGGCCCAGCTCCAGCCTCCCGGCGGCCTCTGCATGCCTAAGTCGTACTCAAGTCATCCTGGAAGTGGGCCTGGAAGAGCTGCAAGTTGGCCTCCCCGGGCCCAGCTCCGTCCTCTCGGCGGCCTCTCCAGGTGCAAAACTTCCTCGAGTCAGCCTCTCCAGGCCCAGCCTCTCCTGCCTCCCAGTGGCCTCTTTCGGCCCAGCCCAGCTCATGGCTCTCAGCGGCCTTCCTAGGCCCCGCTTTTGACTTTTGGTGGCCTCTTCAGGCCCAGAACTTGACCTCCAGTCGGCCTTTGCAGGCCCGGCTTCCTGCCTCTTGAAGGCCTGCACGTGCCCGGCCTCGGCTTCACAGTGGACTCTCCACGCCCAGCTAGCTCTCGCCTCACTGTAGCCTCCCCAGTCCAAAGCTCCTGCCTTTCGGTGGCTTTGGCAGTCCCAGCTCCTGCCTGCCAGTGGCCTCTTTAGGCCCAGCTCATTCCTCACAATGGCCTTTCCAGGCCCCGTTTTTCCCTTCTGGCAGCCTCTTGGCCTCTAATTTGTTTATCTTTTGTGTATAAATCCCAAAATATGGAATTTTGGAATATTTCTACCATTATATAAATATTTTCGAAGGTAATTTATTTGGAGTGAGTTTCTGCACCAAGTTCGAATTTTTTATTTATTTTCCTTATTATTTGGTGTTAAAACAGGTTTAATGATGGTCATGGCAACTTTTTGGCACAATGAAAAATACCGCCCATGATCAACGTGTTCTGTTCTGGGGAAGGGAGCAAAGGCAGGGTGAATCACTTTCTTAAAAAGTACAGCTCAAGTTGGGAGTGCAGAGGGAATGGTGAGAAAACCCTCCCGCTGCCTGTGTCGAAGTGCAGGAGCCCCCACCCCCATACTCACCTGAGTCCAGCCCCTCTGGGGAAAGAAGGGGTACATGAACTCCCCCTAGTCCACAGGCACCTCCCTGTGGCCCAAGGCCCTCCTCACACTCCATCTTGTAGCCCCAGCAGGAGCTATTTTCCAAAAAGTGAAAAGCTCTGAAGGTCCCACACTTCATGGTATGTACAGGGGCTCGGAGGAGGGAAACTGCCCAGCTTTCCCCCGGCACAGCTGCAGGGCTAGGGGGTATATATAAGAGGAGCAGGCTTTGGCCAGGTGTGGTGGCTCACGCCTGTAATCCCAGCACTTTGGGAGGTGGAGGCAGGTGGATCACGATGTCAGGAGATCGAAATCAGCCTGGCCAAGATGATGAAGCCCCGTCTGTACTAAAAATACAAAAATTAGCCGGACGTGGTAGCATGCACCTGTAATCCCAGCTACCCGGAAGGCTGAGGCAGGAGAATGGCGTGAACCCGGCAGGAATAGGTTGCAGTGAGCCAAGATTGCACCACTGCACTCCAGCCTGGGCGACAGAGCAAGACTCCGTCTCAAAAGAAAAAAGAGAGGCAGGCCTTATTCCGTCCCAAACTGAAAGGATTAAATGGCTTTACCCAGGAGAAGATAACCATCCTGCCCTCCATTGCTACCCCCACATAGTGTCCATGTTCTCAGGGGGTACTGTGAGTCCTGGGATCTTCTTTGGGGTCGCTCACCTGCCTGTCGTAGTTATGGAGACCCCCAGGTGTTGAGGCAGGGCTGGGGTGTCCCCTTCCAGCCAGGCTGTCAAGGTCCCAACTCTGGGGCAGAGGCAGTGGCAGGGCAGCCAGGGTTGCACCAGAGCCTGAGCAGGGTGAGGTGGGGTCAGACAGGGCTGGGAGTCAGGGCAGGGGCAGCAGCAGTGGACCCGCTATGCACACATCTTCTCCAAGGTTTGTGTGTAGAACATCCTGCTCATGCTGCCCCAACAGCTTCAGTTGGCCCCTGCCCCAGTCTAGCCTCTGGGACCCATGCAGCGGCTCCCAGCGGCCCTGCACCCACCACCAGCATCCGTTTCACCTGCAGTTGAAGATCCGTGAGGTGCCCAGAAGATCATGCAGTCATCAGTCCCACGGAGCAGCCTGCGAGGCTGAGGCTCCTCCCACTGGACTGCCCCCCAACTGGCACCACTGCTGCCCCTGCCCCTACTCTCAGCCTCACGTGACTCTCGGGCAGAGGCAGTGGTGGGGCATCCAGGGCAGCGTCAGAGTCTGAGCCAGGTGAGGTGGGGTCAGGACCCCCACAGGGCTGGGAGTCAGGGCAGGGGCAGAAGAAACCTTGGAGGGGAGGATGTGTGCATAGTGGGCCTGGAGGGCGGCTGTGGCCTAGTGGACAGGAAGAAGCAGTGGGCCTGGAAGAGCTGCATGATCAGGGCCGGCACTGGTCCAGGGCACATGCAGTGAAGAGGACACCGCCTTCTCGGTCTCCAGTTCCCTGAGCCCGTCCTCAGCTTCTCCCACCTGTACAGGCAAAGGGGAAGCTGTTCCCATCACACATGGCACACTTGGGGGTGTTGGGCTTTGGGCTGCAGCTGGAGCATCTTCTCATCTTGCATTTGAGCGTGGTGGGGTCCTCCAGTGCGGGATCCATGTCCGTGGGGTTCCCTCTGCCCCGACCCCCAAAGCCCAGTCAGTTTCTCCTCTTCAGGCTCTGCCCCCTGGGTGGCTCAGCCCAGCTCCTGCCTAGGAAAGCCTTAGTGTTGGGAGGGACCGTGATGACTGAGGGGCCTGGTAGCTCCAGGTCGCCCACACTTTCAGGTCTCTTGCACCAGAAGGTGGCAGGATCCATTGGGAGGAAACAGGTCGCCTTGGAAGGCATCCCTGGGCCCCCGTCCCCAGGGGTAGGGGCCACAGGGGGCCGGCTCTGCTGCCCTGACCAGACTCCTGGGCTTTGAAGGCTCCTGGGCCCAGTAAGGAGGTGGGTGCCAAGGTTGAGGAGGAAGCATAGGAGTGTGTAGGAGGAGGACGGGGTGGGACCATAGACTTTGCCAAAAACTGCAGGTGGATCGGGGGACCCTGGGGGCTCAGGATCCAGCAAGGGGCGGCAGGAGTAAAGGAAGAAGGAATGACAGGTGCAGATACCTTCCCACCAAAGCCCTTGTTGCCCTCTGGCTCCTCCCCAGAGTCGTCCCCACTCTCAGTCGGTCACCCACTCCTTGAACTTGAGATCAGTGTCAGTGGTGCTAAAGCCATCATCAGCAATGACATCGTCACCCCCTCCTCCTCATGGATGACCATGGGCTCCTCGTCACTCGCTGTGTCCTCACTGGCCATGTGCTGGGAATGAGCAGCTCAGGTGGGCAGCAGCAGGGCTGCCCACTGGTCACCTCCCTCACCAGGGGCTGCAAAGTGGCCTGGAGCTCCATGCTGAGTAGAAGGCTTTGGGCCAGAGTATGATGCAGTGCCAGACACCACTTGTGTCAGTTCCTGTAGTGCCTGATGGTCTATTTCCCTGCCGTCCAGGCTGTGTACCCCCCGTGGGAGAAGGCTTGGGCCAGGCTGAGCCAGGTTCCCTGACTGTGTGCAGCTGTCCTGCCCCACAGAAGCTGCTCCTTGGTATCCGAGCTCTGGAATGTCTGGGCTGCAACTGACAGGAGTTCAGAGGACACCCCAGGGGCAGTGGCAGTGCCCGTCTCTGATATGCTCCGCTCCCACGAGCCCTTGTACAGTCCTGCTAGCCCCTGGCTTGTGGGCTTGGCCTCTGAGCTGGACTTCTTTCGGTCCTTGTTGCAAGTGGGCCACCTTCACTTGGAAGGCCAGGTCGTGGTACTTCTGTGTCTCATTGGGCCCCAGGGTGTACCACCGCTTGCTCAGGATCTGGCTGACGGTCCAGTTATCCTGGTTGGGGTGACCCTGGTGCGCTCTGCCAGAGCCTGGTGCCGCTTGCTGAAGCTCATGACCACCACTCATGGGCCACCGGATGTGGTCCTTGTCCCATTTGTTGGGGCTGTGTCCATCCTTCTTAGAAGATGAGTCCTGTTCCTTGCGCAGTGCACTGAGGGACTGGGCCTGACATCATCTGAGTGGTAGAGGCAACTGGGTGTCAGGAGACATGACGGAGAGGAAAGCATCATCGTGGTCATTCTCTGTCTCACTGTCCAGCAGGGACTCCCCTTAGGGGCCCAGGGCTCCTCCTCCATGGTGGGAGGTGGGCTTTTACCAGGTTCCACCACCCCCAAAGTGTGTGGGGTTCCGGGCCCTGGGCTTTCAGGGCAGGTGGCTCCAGGGGGCCGCCCAGGGTCAACACTCCCTGTCCCACCTGGTGGACGCTCATGAGCAACAGCTGCCAACTTGGCAGGTTGTTTGCTCTGGTTGGAGGCCACTGAGTGACTGGCAGGTTGCCGGGCCTCGTGTGGCTGCAGGGAGGGGTCAGGAAGGGGACAGAGTACCAGGGGAACACAGCCACAGAGCGAGGTTCCACATTCCTCCACATGAACATGCTGACGCCACGGGAGGCCTCGCTGGACGCAGGCCTGTGGGCCAAGTACTTGGTCTGGGCAGGGGGTTCCTGGCAGGGGCTCACACCTCCTCAGCCCCCTCCTCAGCCAAGGTGGCTTGGGCCCAGAGAAGGAAGGGTTGGAGAGGAGCAGAAGGCCAGGCCTCATGTTTTGTTTTTTTTTTGTTGTTTTGTTTTTTGTTTTTGAAATGTAGTTGGACTTTTGTCACCCAGGCTGGAGTGCAGTGGCATGATCTCAGTGGCCTTCATAACTGGCTAATTTTTTGTATTTTTACTAGAGGTGGGGTTTCACCATGTAGGCCAGGCTGGTCTTGACCTCCTGACCTCAAGTGATCCACCCACCTCGGCCTCCCAAAATGGGATTACAGGCATGAGCCACCACTCCCAACTTCATTCATTTTTACTTGAAAAACTCCCTTAAGCATTTTTTTAAAGTAGACCTAGTGGTCCTGAATGCCCTCAGCTTTGTTTGTCGAGGAAACACGTTATTTCTTCTTTCTTTCTGAAGGACAGCTTTGTCAGACATAGTATTAGTTGCTGGCAGTTTTTTTCTTTCAGCACTTTGAATGTATTATTCGATTCTGTCCTGACCTGCAAAGTTTCTTTAACTTTTGACTATTTGATTATATTGTGACTTGTTGAGTATCTATTTGGTTTGAACCTCTTTAGGAATCTTTAAGCTTCATGGATTTAGATGTCTAAATCTTTCCCATGGTTTAGGCAGTTTTCAGCCATTCTTTAAATAAGCTTTCTTCTCCTTTCTCTACTTTCCTTCTCAAACTCCCATAACCTGACAATGGTTTGCCTAATGGTATCTTGTTGGCTTTCTTTTCTCTTTCTCTTTTTTTTTTCTTTCTTTCTTTTTTTTTTTTTTTTTTTTTTTTGAGACAGAGTCGTGCTCTGTCACCCAGGCTGTAGTGCAATGTGTGGTCTCGGCTCACATTGCACTCCAACCTCCGCCTCCTGGGTTCAAGTGATTCTCCTGCCTCAGCCTCCCAGGTAGCTGGGACTAAAGGTGTGTGCCACCACACCCGGCTAATTTTTGTATTTTTTGTAGAGATGGGGTTTTGTCGTGTTGACCAGGCTGGTCTTGAACTCCTGACCTCTTAATCTGCCTGCCTTGGCCTCCCAAAGTGTTGAGATTACAGGCTTGAGCCACCACGTCCAGCCTTCTTTTCTCTTTTTTATTCTTTTTTTTTTTTTTTGTCCTCTGACTAGATAATTTCAGAAGATCTATATTCAAGCTTACAGATTCTCTCTCCTGTTGAAGTTTACTGTTGTGTTATATCACCCAGTCTGGTCTTGAACTCCTGGGCTCAAGCGATCCTCCCACCTTGGCCTCCCAAAGTGCTGAGTTTACAAGCATGAGCCACTGCATCCAGTCAGTCCCAGCACTTTGGGAAGCTGAGGTGGGAGGATCACTTGAGCTCAGGAGTTTGAGACCAGCCTGGGCAACATACTGAGACCTTGTCTCTATATTTAAAAAAAAAAAAAAAGTCTTTGGGAGGCCAAAGCGGGAGGATCACCTGAGGTCAGGATTTTGAGAGCAGCCTGGCCAACATGGCAAAACCCCATCTCTACTAAAAATACAAAAATTAGCCAGGTGTGGTGGCACATGCCTGTAGTGGTGGTGCATGCCTGTAGTCCCAGCTACTCAAGAGGCTGAGGCAGGAGAATCACTTGAACTGGGAGATGGAGGTTGCAGTGAGCCGAGATCACACCAGTGCACTCCAGCCTGGGCAACAGAGTGAGACTCCATCTTATAAAAGGAAAAAAAGAAAAGAAAAGTTCCATATCTGAGTGTTTACTCCTGAGTTTTTGAGATTGTTATTAAGATCATGCTCTACTGTGATGATTTGGGTTTGTTTGATAATCAGAAAAAAAGCATATTCTTTTGGGTGTTCAACCACACTGTGCTTTGGTGTCACAACTGCACATTGGTTTCACAGCTGCAGGACAAGTTCGAGCATCTTAAAATGATTCAACAGGAGGAGATAAGGGAGCTCGAGGAAGAGAAAAAACAACTGGAAGGAGAAATCATAGATTTTTATAAAATGAAATCTGCCTCTGAAGCACTGCAGACTCAGCTGAGCACTGATACAAAGAAAGACAGACATCGTAAGAAGCAATAGTTTCTCTTACTATTCTGAAAGCCTTATCATTCTACATCCCATCTTCCTGTGAGATTGTCTTTGTAGCATTTAACTCTAATTGCAGTTGTCATTTTAAAAATTGGCTTGCTTATTGTATATTTTCCCCAACTAAAGCGTGAACTCCTAGCAGGGTGTGGTGGCTCATGCCTGTAATCTCAGCACTGTGGGAGGCCGAGGTGGGTCGACTACCTGAGGTTAGGAGTTTGAGACCAGCCTGACCAACATGATGAAATGCTGTCTCTACTAAAAATACAAAAATTAGCCAGGCGTGGTGGCCGGGACCTGTAATCCCAGCTACTTGGGAGGCTGAGGCAGGAGAATCACTTGAACCCCAGAGGTGGAGGTTGCAGTGAGCTGAGATCTCACCATTACACTCCAGCCTGGGCAACAAGAGCAAAACTCCATCTCAAAAAGAAAAAAAAAAAAGGGTGAACTCCTTGAAGGCAGGTCCTGTGTCCATCTTTTCAGATTCTGTATCCCAGCACTTAGGACATAGACAAACACGAAGATGACAATCAATATTTGCCAAAATGAAAAAACAAAAGAAACATGTAACATCATGTAAAAGGAGCTGGTTAGGTGGAGAAATTTCTTTACCATAGTCTTGCTTGTGGATCCAGTAATGACTTTTACATTTTATATCTAAATAGAAGCTGGAGGCTTTGTTGGGGACTCATAGGCATAAAATATTATGTTATTTATTATAGAGTTAAATGCCACAAAGACAAATCTAATTAATAGGCCTATTTTCCTTTTTAAATTCTACTCATAATTTCTTCATAAATTTTATGATAAAATGTTGGATTTTGATTAGAACTCCCATGCTTTTGTGTCAGAATTAAAACTGATATTAGAATAAATAATTCAAAAGCTAGAGAACGAGTACAGTGAGAAGCCATGAGTTGCATTTGAATTATAATATTATGTCTTACAGATTTGGGATATATGCTAAAGTTATCAAAGTTGTAGAAAATAAGTCCGGTCATTGTGGCTCACATCTGTAATTCCAGCACTTTGGGAGGCCGAGGTGGGCAGATCTTTTGAGGTCAGGAGTTTGAGACCAGCCCGGCCAACATGGTGAAACTCCGTTTGTACTAATAGTACAAAAATTAGCCAGGCGTGACGGTGTGCACCTGTAGTCCTTGCTACTCAGAAAGCTGAGGCAGGAGAATCGCTTGTACCCAGGAGGCAGAGGTTGCAGTGAGCAGAGATTGCGCCACTGCACGCCAGCCTGTGTGACAGAGTGCTGTGAGTCACCACACCTGGTATGAGCCACCGTGCCTGACCCACAATGACTTTTATACGTGTTGTTAAATCATCTTACAGATTTTATAATTTGGGGGAAGAAAAGTTTTACTAAATGGTGTTTTAATGGAAACTCTACAAGAACCAGAATCTTTGCTTTGTTCACTTATGTATCCATTCCTAGGCCTAGAAAAATGTCTGACACATAGCAGCAATTATTCATTGAATAAATGGACCCAGTGATAGAACATTAGCTATGCTATATGCATACATTAAAGATGTAGATTATTGACTTTCAAAAGATAATTAATGTAACTTCTTACTGCTTCTGAACATGTTTGTGAGTTATATTGCTGAGGGACCTTTATCTTCTCATTCTTTCATCTTAACCCAATGTTATAAAATTGAAATCACCAATATTATTCCATATCTAAAATTAATATCTACCTTGTAAAAAATATCACTCTGCTGAATTTGAGAATAGACTTTTTAGGTAATAATGATGCAATCCATAGGGTTTTTTGGGGGCACAGAAGGAGTCATGCTAACAGAACATTTTATTTTCTATTTTCCCAGAGCTGTAAAACATGAAATTATGATAGTATAAGGCATATTTTTACTCTTTTTATAATTTTTTCTAAAAAAATATTAGTGTTTGTTCCCTATATAACTTTTAACTTTATAGGTAAATATTTGTCTCTTTCAGCTCCAGTTTTATGTGAAATAGAGTTTTCAGATTTATGTAGCATGGAAAGTTTTAATACGTCAGAGTTACTGATTTTTGCCAATCATTTTCTCAATTATTTATTTCTTTTTTATCTTTAGTTGATTTTTTTGTAGTGACACATTTTGTTTCTAGTCTCATTTCCTTTTGTTTATATTCTATGTATATTTCATTTTTGGTTACTATGAGAATTATATATAACATCCTAGAGTTATAACATTTTAATTTGAATTTATTTCAACTTAAGTTCAATCACATACCAAAATTATACTGCTATATATATAGCTCTACTCTTTTTATGTTATTGATGTAACAAATTATATCTTTATTCATTGTATACCAGCTAACAGATTTACAATTACATTTTATGCATTTGCCTTTTAAATTATGTAGAAAATAAAAAAGCAGAGTTACAAACCAAAATTACAATAGGACTGTTTTTATGTTTGTTTATGTATTTACCTTTACCAGAGAGCTTTGTATATTCATACAGCTTGCTTAGTTACTTATATAGTTATTGCCTAGAGTTCATTTATTTCAACTTGAAGGACTTAACATTTCTTGAATGGCAAATTCAGGGATAAATGGATTTTTTTCAGTTTTTAAAAAAAAATCTGGAAATGTCTTAATTTCTCCCTCATTTTTGAAGGATAAGTTTTCCAGCTGTAGATTTCTCAATTGACAGGTTTCTTCATTATTTTAAATATATAATCCACTGCCTACTGGCCTTCAAGGTTTCTGCCAAGAAATCAGCTGCTAATGTTATCTGGATCCCTATCTGTGAGAGTTGCTCTTCTCTCTGAGTTTTCAACATTCTCACATTGTCTTTTTGTTTGTTTGTTTTTTGAGACAAAGTCCTGCCCTGTCACCCAGGCTGGAGTGCAGTGGTGTGATCTCAGCTCACTGAAACCTCTGTCTCCTGGGTTCAAGTGATTCTCCCATCTAAGCCTCCCAAGTAGCTGGGGCTACAGGCATGTGCCACCATGCCCAGCTAATTTCTTTGTATTTTTAGTAGAGATGGGGTTTTGTCATGTTGCCCAGGCTGGTCACAAACTCCTGGCCTCAAGGAATCTGCCCAGGATTACCATTTACCCAGCAATCTCATTACTTGATATAGACCCAAAAGAAAATAAATCATTTTACCAAAAATGCACATGCACTTGTATGTTTATCACAGCACTGTTCACAATAGTAAAGACATGGAGTCAACTTAGATGCCCATCAATGGTGGACTGGATAAAGAAAATGTGGTACATATACACTGTAAAATACTACACAGCCATAAAAAAGAATGTGACTTTTGCAGCAACATGGACGCAGCTAGAGGCCATGATCCTAAGAGAATTAACATAGAAACAGAAAACCAAATGCTGCATGTTCTTACTTACAAGTGGGACATATGGACATACATTGGGTACATATGGACATAAAGACGGGGACAGCAGACACAAGGTACTACTGGAGGGGGCAGAGGGAACAGAGGGGGAAGGCAAGGGCAGAAAAGCCACCTATTGGGTACTATGCTCACTATCTGGGTGATGGGATCATTCATACCCCCAACCTCAGCATCACATGATACACTCATGTAACAAACCTGCACATGTACTCTCTTTATCCAGTCTCTGCTCTGTCCCCACATTGCCTTCTCTTTGTTTTTGTTTGTTTGTTTGTTTGTTTTTTGAGATGGAGTTTCGCTCTTGTTGCACAGGCCAGAGTGCAATGGCACGATCTCAGCCCATGGCAACCTCTGCCTCCCGAGTTCAAGCGATTCTCCTGCCTCAGCCTCTGGAGTAGCTGGGATTACAGGCATGTGCCACCACGCCCGGCTAATTTTGTATTTTTAGTAGAGATGGAATTTCTCCATATTGGTCAGGCTGGTCTTGACCTCCCGACCTTAGATTATCCTCCCACCTCGGCCTCCCAAAGTGCTGGGATTACAGACGTGAGCCACTGCACCCAGCCTTAATCAGATTTTTCTAAAAACCAAGTGGGAAATCTGGGGTCCCCAAGGTAGATTCGGCCCCTGGACCATATCTTGTGGTTTTCAGAATGAGAGGCTGGAGGGGGTCCTCAGCCTGTCTCTTCAGCAGCAACAGTGCTCTCAGCCACAAAAGGGGGATATGTGCTCAGGAACATCATCCCCAAAACTGGAAATCTCAGCCCTGGCACCTGGTGCTGGCAGCTCTCACTCAGATCACCCTTAGTCACTCCTAGCTTTATTGCTTACTGCTCAGCGTGCCTCTTGGAAACCTTGGTTCATGAGGGAAAAAAAAGAACTCACATGCTCACTCTTGCACCATTCTGCCCAAATTTGTCTACCCTCATGTTGCAGCCTTGGGCTTTGCAGGTCATCGCCGCCAGCCTCACACCCTTCACCAATGTCCCATCATTGCCCAGGACCCATAAGGCCTGTCGGGCCCAGGATGTCCTGGTCCAGCTTCCGGCCTCCTTCCCTGTCACCTGCCACCCCACACTCTCTGTTTTTGGACAGCAGTGGCCTTATGTCAGGTGCAATTGCGATCACTCACCTCAGCCACCGGCAGAACTTCCTGCATGCTGCTTTTTTCCTTTTTTTTTTTTTTTTCTTTTTTTTTTTTGAGATAGAGTCTTGCTCTGTTGCCCAGGCTGGAGTGCAGTGGTGCGATCTTAACTCATGGCAACCTCCGCCTCCCGGGTTCAAGCGATTCTCGTTCCTCAGCCTCCCAAGTAGCTGGGACTACAGGCACCCACCACCATGCCCGGACAGTTTTTTGTGTTTTTAGCAGAGACAAGGTTTCACCATGTTGGCCAGGCTGGTCTTGAACTCCTGATCTCAGGTGATCCACCAAGCCTCGGCTTCCCAAAGTGCTGGGATTACAGGCATGAGCCACCACACCCGGCCTGAATTTGGTGAACCTTTGGACAGCTCTCCCCTTGTGTTGTAGCCTCAGGCTTCGCAGGTCATCTCCCCCAGCTTCATGCTCTTCACTGGTTTCCCATCATTGCCCAGGACCCAGTTGTGAACTCCTTATAAGGCCTGTCAGGCCCCGAGGCCCTGGCCCTGCTTCTGGCCTTTTTCCCTGCCACAGTCACCCCCACATGCTGTTACCAGACAGCACTGGGCTCATGTCAGCTGCAATTGCTATCACTCATCTCTGCCACCAGCAGACCCTCCTGTATGCACCTTTCTGGAAGGGTCTTTATAGCATTTCTTTATTTTTTTTATTTTTTTTATTTTTTGAGATGGAGTCTCACTCTGTGGCCCAGGCTAGAGTGCAGTGGCATGATCTTGGCTCACTGCAACCTCCACCTCCTGGGTTCAAGAGATTCTCCTGCCTCAGCCTCCCAGGTAGCTGGGATTACAGGCACACGACACCACACCCAGCTAATTTTTATATTTTTAGTAGAGACGGGGTTCCCCCATGTTGGCCAGGCTGGTTTCAATCTCTTGACCTTGTGATCCTCCCACCTCAGCCTCCCAAAGTGTTGGTATTACAGGTGTGAGCCACTGCGCCCAGCCTTCCCAGTATTTCATAAACAGTTACCTCTTCCCAGAAGTCTTCCTCCACCCTGTGAGTCTGTGTAATTCTCTGAGCTTCTCATTGGGCCCAATGAGCCCGTCACACCACTTAGCACACTGGAGTGTCTGCCTGCCTTCTCAGATGGGAGCTCCATGAGGGTGAGCACGTGTCAGCCTCATGCACACATATGCCCAGCACCTCGATACCGTGCTTTGCACACCACAGGGCTCAGTAAGGATTTTACTAAATATGGCCAGGTACAGTGGCTCTTACCTGTAATCTCAGCAATTTGGGAGGCCAAGGTGGGAGGATCACTTGAAACCAAAAGTTTGAGACCAGCCTGGGCAGCATACTGAGACCCCATCTCTTCAAAATATTAAAAGCTTGGCCAAGTGTGGTGGCGTGCACCTGTAGTCCCAGCTACTCAGGAGGCCAAGGTGGGATAGTCGCTTGAACCCAGGAGCTCAAGGGTGCAGTGAGCAATGATTGTGCCACTGCACTCCAGCCAGGCTGGCAGAATGAGATCCTGTCTCTAAAAAAAATTGACTAAATGTGTGAATGAAGGAATGAATGAGTGTGTTCTTCCCTGTTCCCTGAGAGGGGTCTGCAAAAGCCAGTGCACTTCCTTCCATCCCCTTCCCTACCTGTTCACCAGGTGCCTCTCATTGTCTCCCAAGCCTCTGCAGACACATCCCAAGGAACAGTGCTGCTGAAGGACTAGTTCTGTTCCTTGTGATGGTGGAAAGAAATGGGATTTGGGCTGGGCGCAGTGGCTCACACCTGTAATCCCAGCACTTTGGGAGGCCAAGGCAAGAGGATTGTTTGAGGCCAGCCTGGGCAACATAGTAAGACCCCCATCTCTAGAAAAAACAAAGATTAGCCAGGTGTGGTGGTGCATGCCTGTAATCCCAGCTGCTCGGGAGGCTGAGGCAGGATGATAGCTTGAGCCCAGAAGCTTGAGGCTGCAGTGAGCCATGATCACGCCGGTGCACTACAGCCTGGGTGACAGGTGTACCCTGTCTCTAAAAAATAAAAAAAAGAGGCCAGGCATGGTGGCTCACATCTGTAATTCCAGCACTTTGGGAGGCCAAGGCGGGTGGATCACCTCAGGTCAGGGGTTTGAGACCAGCCTGGCTAACATGGTGAAACCCCATCTCTACTAAAAATACAAAAATTAGCCGGGCATAGCGGGCGGGTGACTTAGCTGTGCTGGTAAAACGTATGGGGATTCCCACCCCATGCAGCACACCATCCCATTTGCCGAGTGGGGTGGCTCACGCCTGTAATCCCAACACTTTGGGAGGCCGAAGCGGGCAGATCACCTGAGGTTGAGAGTTTGAGATCAGCCTGGCTAACATGGTGAAACCTCTAGCTTTGCTTAGAGAAGCCAGAAAGAGGTGCAATGGCTCAGGCCTATGTAATCCCAGCACTTTGGGGGGCCGAAGTGGGCAGACCACGAGGTCAGGAGTTCAAGACCAGCCCAACATGGTGAAACCCTGTCTCTACTAAAAATACAAAAATTAGCCAGGTGTGGTGGCCCGCACCTGTAATCCCAGCTACTCGGGAGGCTGAGGCAGGAGAATCGCTTGAACCCAGAAGGTGGAGGTTGCAGTGAGCCGAGATAGTGCCACTGCACTCTAACCTGAGTGACAGAGCAAGACTCTGTCTCAGAAAAAAATAAAAATAAAAATAAATAAATAAAAGAAATGGGATCTGGAGGAAGGCTGACCCAGCCTCAGAACTGGCTCTACCACTTACCAGCTGTGCACGTACCTTATTTTCTCCATTTGCAAAGTGAGAAAACGGGACCAAGCTTGCAGGGTTGCTGTGACACATTGCTCGCCAGCCTGACACATTGCTCGCCAGCCTGACACATGGTAGGCAGTCATTAGATCAGGGTCTTCCTCCCTCTTTCCCAGTGCCCCTGCCTAAGCTCCCTCACCTCTGGAGCCTTGGGACACACACACACTCCTGTAATCTCAAGTAGCAGCCGCTACTTCCTGACCCACCTCTGTCCTCCCCAAGGTTGCCCTTTCCTCTATCCCCTGACAAAGAGTAGTGCCAGGCACGGAATAGATGCTCCAAAGATATGAAAAGAATGAAGGAAGGAATGAAGCAGCCATCACAGTATCCCCTGGGGGCATGTTCCCCAGTGGCCACCAGCCTCCTTTTTTTTTTTTTTTTTTTTTTTTGTGAGCCAGAGTTACTCTGTCACCCAGGCCAGAATGCAGTAGTGTGATCTCGGCTCACTGCAACCTCCGCTTCTGCCTCCTGGGTTCAAGTGATTCTCCTGCCTCAGCCTCCCAAGTAGCTGGGATTACAGGCACCCACCACCATGTCTGGGTTTTTTTGTTTTGTTTTTTGAGACGGAGCCTCACTCCATCACCAGGCTGGAGTGCAGTGGTGCAATCCCAGTTCACTGCAACCTCCAACTCCCTGGTTCAAGTGATTCTCCTGCCTCAGCCTCCTTAATAGCTGGGATTACAGGCGTGCACCACCATGCCCAGCTAATTTTTGTATTTTTAGTAGAGATGGGGTTTCGCTATGTTGGGCAGGCTGGTCTTGATCTCCTGACCTCAGGCAATCTGCCCACCTTGGCCTCCCAAAGTGCTGGGATTACAGGGGTGAGCCACTGTGTCTGGCCTGCCACCAGCCTCTTGATAGGCCAGGCAGAGCACATGTGAACACACAGGTGCCAGGACACCCTCCCAAGGCAACGACAAGGAACAGAAAAATTGACATTGGACTTTACCAAAGGACAAAGAGGAAGGAGGAGGGAAGATAAAGAAAATGTATAGCTCTGTGGGAAAAGGAAACTTTGAGAACTGCTGGGCTGGATTCTTGTGCATGGCATAAGGGCATCCCTGCAAGTCACCCCAAGGATCACACGTGCACAATTGTGTCCTCTGAGCAAACTCCTGTGAAGGGTATCTGCGTTCCCCACAGCCATTCCTGGTTCTAAGAGGACAAGTTCCAAAAAAAGCTTTTAAAAATTTTTTATTATTTTTTATTTTTGGTAGAGATGGAGTCTTGCTATGTTGCTAAGGTTTGTCTTGAACTCCTGGCCTCAAGTGATTCCCCTCCCCCTGCCCCACCTCAGCCTCCCATAGTGCTGGGATTACAGGTGCAAGCCACTGTGCCCGGCCCGAAATCACTTTCTAAGTTTTCCCCTTTCATCTGAAATGTTTTCCTCCTGTGAACATTTTATGTCACGTGTACCCTTAGGCCCCCCCGACAGCCCTCCTCAGGCCCCTTCTGCAGCCTCCTTTGTTATATGTGATTGGAGCATCCCGAGAGCTTCATCATCCATGACGAGCACCTGCCTTCTCTCCAGTTGGAACCATTGGCTGATGAGTAAGGGCTGATTTCTTCTAAAATGATTACCACCCCCAATTCATTACATTGCAAAGACTGAGCTCAGAATGGCTTGTCTGATGCTTGATGCAGTTGCACTTTTTTGGAACGCCATTCATTGAGGATGCAAGTTCTCTCCCATGTGACGCTTTCAGGTGCAGGCTGTGACATGGTTCCACACGCTTCTGTGCTTTGTCCTCCCCTGTGATTTTCGCATCTCCAATAACAGCTCGCCTCCGTCTGAGGATTTTCCTCCACTGGTGCCATTCACTGGGAGTCTCTCTAGTATGAATTATGAGATGAATGGAAATTTTCCCTCATTCATAATATTTGAAGCTTTCCTCTGCCCTGTGAGTTCTTTGATATTCTACTGCAAATCCTGACCAAGTGTTTTGCCATGTGTATCAGGCCAGTAGAGTTTAGGCTTAGAGTCTGCAATTTCCCCAAAGTGGTACCTTTTTTTTTTTTTTTGAAGAGGTGGGGTCTTGCTCTGCATTTCTAGGCTGGAATGCAGTGGCATGATTATAGCTTACTGCAGCCTTGACCTCCTGGGCTCAAGTGATCCTCCCACCTCAGCTTTCTGAGTAGCTGGGACTACAGGCACACACCAGCATACCTGGCTAATTTTTAAATTTTTTATAGAGATGAGGTCTCACTGTGTTGTCCCAGCTGGTCTCGAACTCCTGGGCTCTAGCAGTCCTCCCATCTCAGCCTCCCAAAGCACTGGGATTACTGGCATGAGCCACCGTGCTTAGCCCAAACTCTATTCTGAGTGCCATGTCATTGCTGATGGTCAGCACCCCCTGGAATGCAGTGGGGTGCCCACCCCTGCCACTCCGCATTCTGCCCATCCTTTAAGCCTGGCCCAAAGCCCACCTGTTCCCTGAAGCCTTCCTGGGATGCTGTGAGCCTGGAGCCCTGCTCCCCTACTTCCCTTCATGAGAATGCACTGCCTGTGAAACCCGTTTAACACTCATGCCACACTTAGCCCTTCATTATCTTTTGATGACTTTTTCTTCCCAAGCAGACTGAGAGATCTTTGAAGAGGGGCCACTCCTTGTCCTCTGGATGGTCCAATAATCCTTTGAACCCTGAGACACTCAGGGTGGCTTGGCGGACTGTGTGGACAGGCAGACTGCTTATAACTGTGATGATGTCATCTAGGCAGATGGGTTTGTGGTTCAGGTCATTTACCTTCCACTGAAGATGTAGCCCGCCTTCTTCAGGGTGGTTGCCCCTTGAAGGTCACACAGGGAGGAAGGTGATCTTATACTTACTGCCACCTCTTCCTCCCCTCCCAACCTCCAGCCCCAGGCAGGCCAGCCGCATTAGCCAAGGTGGTTGATGCTTGGTCTCCACAGCTTCAGCTCTGCCTGAGAGGTGTTGCTAGTTGCCCTGCATTACACTAGGCCCTGGGAACGATTTTGGGGATGGAAAGGCAAGGAACAAGCAAGAAGTCAGTGTTGTTGGCCAGGTGCAGTGGTAGCTTACACCTGCAATCCCAGCACTTTGGGAGGCCAAGTTGGGCAGATCACCTGAGGTCAGGAGTTCAAGACCAGCCTGGCCAACATGGTGAAACCCCATCTCCATTAAAAATACAAAAAAATAGCCAGGCATGGTGGTGCACACCTGTAATCCCAGCTACTCAGGAGACTGAGGCACTAGAATCGCTTGAACCCGGGAGGTGGAGATTGCAGTGAGCTGAGAGCATTCTACTGCACTCCAGCCTGGGTAACAGAGAAAGAATGCTCTCAAAAAAAAAAAAAAAATAGAAGTCACCATTGCTGCAGAGCTGTGCATTCACAGTCCTAGTTAAGTATGACCAGCTCAGGGACCACCGTCGATGTGAACTTGGGGCTCTCTGAAAGCAAGGCTATGCCTTAGGCCTGTCTCTGTGTCCACAGTGCCCAGCTTAGCATCTGGCTTGTAGTAGGTATGCACTCAGTATCTGTTGAATGAATGTTGCACTCTGGTTCCCACGCAGCCAAGGAGTTCTTGGAGGTAGCGAGGAGAACAGACCTTAAGGACTGTGCTGAAATGTCCCACCTGGGTCTGCTCCTGCCCCTGGGGAGGACATCATCCCATTGGTATATGGCTAAGTTCTGGGTCTCAAGGACACAGGACAGAAAAGGCCTCTCACCTTTTGTTGGTGGTGAAATGTCAATCTCCCCTGAAAGGGAACAAATTTGTGTACAAGTCCAGAGTTTTTTTTGTTTTTGTTTTGTGAGATGGAGTCTTGCTCTGTTGCCAAGGCTGGAGTGCAGTGGCGTGATCTCAGCTCACTGCAACCTCTGCCTCCTGGATTCAAGCAATTCTCCTGACTCAGCCTCTCGAGTAAACTGGGATTACAGGTGAGTGCCACCATGCCCGGCTAATTTTTGTATTTTTAGTGGAGACAGGGTTTCACCAGGTTGACCAGGCTGGTCTCAAACTCCTTACCTCATGATCCACCTGCCTCGGCCTCCCAAAGTGCTGGGATTACAGGCGTGACCCACTGCGCCCAGCCAAATCCAGAGTTTTATATAGCCTTGGAGCTCTCTTCTAACTTTAAAAGTTACTAGCCAGGCACGGTGGCTCACACCTGTAATCCCAGCACTTTGGGAGGCCGAGGCAGGCAGATCACCTGAGGTCAGGAGTTGGACACTAGCCTGGCCAACATGGTAAAACCCCAACTCTACTGAAAATACATAAATTAGCTGGGTGTGGTAGCACACACCTGTTATCCCCACTACTTGGGAAGCTGCGGCAGAAGAACTGCTTGAACCTAGGAGGTGGAGGTTGCGGTGAGCCAAGATCACACCACTGCACTCCAGCCTGGGTGACAGAGCAAGACTTCGTACAAAAAAACAAAAAAACCTAGTAAGTTAAAATTGTTGGTATCTTGATACAGATAGTAAGAACTAGTTCTTAGTGTTGGTGCTGCCTGTGAGAACTGCATTTCCTAGAAAGCCAAGTCTTCCACACTGCTGAACTTTGACTTGCCGAACTTGTCAGCAGGTCATTGAGCATTCAGGAGAGAAGGAAAGGGAGTTCCCTGGCCAGCTGCCTCTCCGTCTGCTTACCAGAGGCTCGTGTATTTACCCAGTTCTCTACAGGCCACAGGAGACAGCCGGTTGCTGGCTTCATTGCTCAAGTCCTGGAATTGTATAGCTGGAATGCCATTTACAGTGAGCCTCCAGAATATCCTCAGCCAGGCGCGGAGGCTCATGCCTGTAATCCCAGCACTTTGGGAGGCCAAGGTGGACAGATTGCTTGAGCCCAGGAGTTTGAGACCAGCCTGGGCAACATGGTGAAACCCTGTCTCTACTAAAAACACAAAAATTAGCCAGGCATGCTGGTGCGCACCTGTAATTCCAGCTACTCGGGAGGCTGAGGCAGGAGAATCACTTGAACCCGGAAGGCAGAGGTTGCACTGAGCCGAGATTGTGCCACTGCACTCCAGCTTGAGCAACAGAGTGAGACTCGATCTCAAATTTAAAAAAAAGAATACCCTCTCAAATCCCTCCTCTGATGATGATCCCCTGGCCAAATTGGATAAGAAATTACAAAAACAGGTGGAGGTGGTGGAGATTGACATTAATAACCCGGCTGGACATGGTGGCTCATACCTGTAATCCCAGCACTTAGGGAGGCCACACCAGGAGGATCACTTGAGTCCAGGAGTTCTGGACCAGCCTGGGCAACATAGCAAGACCCTGTCTCTGCAAACAATAATATTTAAAAATTAGCCAGGTGTAGTGGAGCATGCCTGTAATCCCAGCAACTCAGGAGGCTGAGGTAGGAGGATTGCTTGAGCCCAGGAGTTCGAGGTGGCAGTGAGCTGTGATACCACTGCACTCCAGCCTGGGTGACAGAGCAAGACCCTGAGAGAAAGAGAGAGAGAGAGAGAAGGAGAGAAAGAGGAGGAATAAAGAGAGGAGGAATAAAGAGAGGAGGAAGAAAGACCGGTGAAGGCTATTGGAGAAGCTAGGCATCCCCATGGGGGTAGCAAAGGCCATTCTAAAGAGAATGAGAGAGCCAGGCACGGTGGCTCATGCCTGTAATCCCAGCACTTTGGGAGGCCGAGGTGGGTGGATCACCTGAGGTTGGGAGTTTGAGACCAGCCTGGCTAACACAGTGAAACCTGGTCTCTATTAAATATGCAAAATTAGCTGGATGTCGTGGCACATGCCTGTAATCCCAGCTACTTCGGAGGATGAGGCAGGAGAATCGCTTGAACCTGTAAGCGGAGGTTACAGTGAGCCGAGATCATGCTACTGCACTCCAGCCTGGGTGATAGGGAGAGACTCTGTCTCAACAACAACAACAACAAAACAAAAACATATGGGGAGATGGCTGGGACCATCTTGAGACCACAAGGCAACAAGACCAAGGGGAAAAGCCCACATACTGAGGATGGCAGAGCCTATGTCCTCCATGACAGTGTTGAGCCACCATATCTATCCTGGAACCCCCACTTCCAGTCTTACTGATCTGTAAGTCATGTGTCTTTATTTTCTAGGCAGATTTCTGCTACCTGCAGCCTAAAGCATCCCTCACCCCTTCTCAGAACCCCGTGACTGTTGCTGTAACTCCCAATGGAAAATCAACCTAAGTTTAGACATTAGAAATCAAATTATTGCTCATATGGAGGGAATAAGAATCAGGATTGGTCTTAGCCTACAGAGGAATCCCAGCTCAGAGTCCTAACCCCAAGGCCTAGGGGACATAGACAAGGAAAGAAAGAGATATTCATGCAAGTTCCAGACATCTTCTTTTTTTATTTTGAGACTGAGTTGCTCTGTTGCCAGACTGGAGTGCAGTGGTGCGATCTCGGCTCATTGCAACCTCTGACTCCCTGGTTCAAGCAATCCTCTTGCCTCAGGGTCCCAAGTAGCTGAGATTACAGGCAAGTGCCACCATGCCCAGCTAACTTTTTTTTTTTTTGTATTCTTAGTAGAGACAGGGTTTCACCATGTTGGCCAGGATGGTCTCCATCTCCTGACCTCATGATCCACCCACCTTGGCCTCCCAAAGTGCTAGGATTACAGGCATCAGCTACCTTGCCCGGCCTTAGACATCTTCTAAAACAGGACTCGATGAATTGTGGTAACTCAGTGGGGCTTTAATGCCTGAGATTTTGAGTGTGAGCAAGGGAACTAACTGGAAAAAGTTGATGGCAACTGGAACTAAACTGGCCTAGTGGGAACTAGGTCTTTCAGTTACTCTCTAGCCATCAACCTTAGTGCCACCTTAGTTCTCAGGAATAAGGTGTCCTCAGTTGCCATTCTCTATGTGCATAGCCACCGCCCCCCCCGCCCCCCGCAACTTTGTTCATTCCTCATCTCCCCTGCCTCTCCTCTTTTTTCCTACATTTTCTTTCTGGCTTCTCTCTTTTTTTTTTTTTTCTTGGGATGGAGTCTCACTCTGCCTCCCAGGCTGGAGTGCAGTGGTGCAATCTTGGCTCACTGCAACCTGCGCATCCCAGGTTCAAGCGATTCTCCTTCCTCAGCCTCCCCAGTAGGTGGGATTACAGGCGTATGCCACCACACCTGGCTAATTTTTGTATTTTTAGTAGAGATGGGGTTTCACCATGTTGGCCAGGCTGGTGTTGAACTCCTGACCTCGTGATCTGCCTGCCTTGGCCTCCCAAAGTGCTGGGATTCTAGGTGTGAGCCACTGCGCCTCTTTCTGGCTTCTCTAAGCAAAGCTAGGAGCCAAAAATCTACAAAACCTAACTCACTTCTATTAAGAACTCAATGGGCCGGGCATGATGGCTCACGCCTGTAATACCAGCACTTTGGGAGGCCGAGGTGGGTGGATCACGAGGTCAGGAGTTCGAGACCAGCCTGACCAACATACTGAAACCCTGTCTCTACTAAAATTACAAAAATTAGCCTGGCGTGTTGGCACATGCCTGTAGTCCCAGCTACTTGGGAGGCTGGGGCAGGAGAATTGCTTGAACCTGGGAGGCAGAAGTTGTAGTGAGCCGAGATTGTGCCACTGCACTCCAGCCTAGCTACAGAGCAAGAATCCTTCTCAAAAAACTAACAAAAACAGAACTCAATGGGAGAGTTACTGTAGGGAGAGACAAGGATGTATTGGAAGACTTAGAATGCTGGTTCAAGGCCAAGGAATGAGGTTGGTAGGAGAGAAGCTTTCTTCTGGTCTGACTTTTGCCAAACAACTGTGTGTGTGTGTGTGTGTGTGTGTGTGTGTGTGTGTGTGTGTGTGTGTGTGTGTGTTGCTTCAACACAAGAAATACGCCTGATTCTTCCCTTATGGGATAAGAAACTGAACATAAGAGCTCTAGCCCGTCCTCTTTAAATCTCTGTTTTTGAAAATATGAAACAAAGAGAAACTGGCATCCTCCTAATGTATCTTAGAAATACCCACTATTTCATTTTCTCAGACCTGGAGAAAAAGCACCCCCAGCCGCATTTTCCCATCTACAAATAATCTTCAGCATTTGTAGAGATGTGGCCCTGGAAGTTCATCAGATATATGGGGCCCACCTATGAGTGTGTTGTGATGATATTAGAATTTGCAACTGCCAGATTCTGGTACCAAACCCAGCACCTCTCAATGCTGTCCTTCTGCACCCCACATATTGTGTGATGTTTTGAAAGGCAAAGCCAGTGCACCACTGATTTTTGCCTGTTGCTTCATTCCCTCAACAGAGACATAAGGAATGAAAACTCTGATTGGGGTGAAAGAAGCAAAAAAGTTTAAACTCCTACTTTAATGGGATTAATGCTTTAATGTGAATCTTAATAAACCCTGAATTCCTCCAGCAAGTTTCCCTATATGTCACTGAGGATTCTCTGAAATCCAATAAGGAAAAAACTGGAAGACTTTTTCCCCTTCTTTATCATCAGGGTTTTTCTCCGGGATGAATTAGCCTGATTGGTGCCTGGAAGTTCTCCCATGATCCGTCCAAGCTCATTCCTTTTTTTGTGTGAATTCTCCAATGATGAGAAAGCTAAGCTTGTCCCCAAGTGATTTTCCACACTCATTGTACTCCTAAGACTTCTCTCCAGTGTGGATGATCTCACATTCCGTATTCCCCATGCTTCCCCGAGTTTTCCGTCTTCATTACGTATGACCATTTTAAGTCCCACCTGAATTAGCTGATATTGTCTAAGTATGGAACTCTGATTGAAGGTTCTTCCTCATCCATTATACTCACAAGGCCCCTCTCTGCTACAAAATCCCAGATATCTGATTAGCTCTGGGCACCATCTCAAGCATTTTTACGTCCATTACACACATACGATTTTCCTCCATTGTGAATTCTCTGATGTTGAATGAGCTATACTTTTCCAAAAGCTCTTGCACATTTCTGCATTGATAGACTCTTTGTTGCATGTGAATTAGCTGATGCTGCATTGGAATGTTGACGATGCCTCCCCCATCTCCACGGATTCTCTCCAAAATAAATGTTACAGTGTTCAATAGCATGTGAGCCCCAGGGAAAATTGCCTGTATAAATGACAAAGATGTTCTCTGTGATATAAACACTGTAATATTGAATAAATTCTGAATTCTGTTGCACAACCTGACCATATCATATTTGGAGTTTCTCTCACTTCTAAAACATGTAAATAGAATCACGATTTTTTCTGTATTCATGGCACTCAATAGGATGTGGTCTCTAAAATGGTCCTCTACAATATCCCCATGTTTGTAATGGCCCAAGGGGTTCTTCCTGACTACCACACAAACAAAATCCACTGAAGACCATGGCATTAAAGAGTTTCATTGATGCGAAGCCAGCTATGCCACGTGGGAGATGGAGTTATTACTCACATCAATCTTGCTAACATCTTGGAGATTAGGGATTTTTCCAAGATAGTGTTGTGGGCAAGGGGCTAGGATAGGGGGCCTGCTGATTGGTTGGGTGCAGGAGATGAAATCACAGAGAATTAAAGCTGTCCTCTTGGGCTGAGTCAGTTCCTGAGTGGGGGCCACAGGACTGGTTGGCAGGTGGGGACATCCAGTTGTCAGAAATGCAAAAATTTGAAAAGCTTTTTTTCTTTTTCTTTTGAGATGGAGTTTCACTCTTTTTGCCTAGGCTGGAGTGCAATGGTGCAATCTTGGTTCACCACAACATCCACCTCCCAGGTTCAAGTGATTCTCTTGCCTCAGCCTTCCCTAGTAGCTGGGATTACAGGCATGTGCCACCATGCCCGGCTAATTTTGTATTTTTAGTAGAGACAGGATTTCTCCATGTTGGTCAGTTTGGTCTTGAACTCCTAAACTCAGGTTATCCACCTACTTCAGCCTCCCAAAGTGCTGGGATTACAGGCGTGAGCCACCGCACCCAGCCCTGGAAAGCATTTTTTTTTAAGAATACATATAGATTTTCCCCATTCATCAGATGTTTCTTTTCCTTTCTTTTTTTTGTTTAATTTTTATTTTGAGACAGAGTCTTGCTCTGTCACCCAGGCTGGAGTGCGATGGTGAGATCTTGGCTCACTGCAAACTCTGCCTCCCAGATTGTTCAAGTGATTCTCCTGCCTCAGCCTCCTGAGTAGCTGGGATTATAGGCACCTGCCACCATGCCCAGCTAATTTTTGTATTTTTAATAGAGTCGGGGTTTCACCATGTTGTCCAGGCTGGTCTTGAACTCCTGACCTGAGCTGATCCACCCACCTTGGCCCCCCAAAGTGCTGGGATTACAGGCATGAGCCACTGCACCTGGCCTACTCTGCTTTTTCAAAATGCTTGTGGTAAAAACAAGATAGATATGTTGGAGTTAGTGTTCATTTAGAGATTTAAAAATGTCTTCAAGAGGGGTTAAGTGTGGTCAGTTGTGTCTTTATGGCCAAGCACTTAGATAAATTGAAAAAAAGATGAAAATCATGTAACATAATCACAAAAGATTGTGTTCACAATGATGTCGGGGATCTCACGAAGGTTCCTTAATATAGACAACATTTTAACCATAGCCATATTTTAAGCAGTCATCTTTTTTCTCTACAATGTATTCCTGGACTGCTTTGTTAAAAAGTCACATTTTCTTTTAATAATTACTGATATCCTGAAGCGGCATCAAACAAATTCTAATTCCAATGAATATCTCATAAAAGCAAAAACATGGCCAGGTGCAGTGGCTCACGCCTATAATCCCAGCACTTTGGGAGGCCGAGGCAGGCGGATCACCTGAGGTCAGGAGTTTGAGACCAGCCTGGCCAACATGATGAAACCTCGTCTCTACTAAAAATACAAAAATTAGCTGGGCGTGGTGGCGGGTGCCTGTAATCCTAGCTACTCGAGAGGCTGAGGCAGGAGAATAGCTTGAAACTGGAAGGTGGAGGTTGCAGTGAGTCAAGATCATGCCACTGCACTCCAGCCTGGGCAACAAGAGCAAAACTCCATCTCGAGTTAATGGGTGCAGCACACGAACATGGCACATGTATACATATGTAACAAACCTGCACGTTGTGCACATGTACCCTAAAACTTAAAGTATAATAATAATAAAATGTAAAAAAAAATTCTAGTCCAATAACATTCAAAAGAGATTTACTTAGCCAAAAAATCCTAAACAACCCTTTTGTCAATCAAGAGGAGAATAAATAAACTGTGGTATGTTCAGACCAAAACCTCTACTCAACTATAAAAAGGAACCTACTGATGCATGCAGTGTGCGTGAATCTCACATTTTGCTCAGTGAGACGTGTTAAACACAAAAGGGCACATACTGCGTGATTTTAATTACATGAAATTCTAGAACAGGCAAAGTTGACCTATAGAGAGAGCCATCAGATGAGTGGTTGCCTGGAGTGGGGAGTGAAAGGGAGATTGACTGTAAAGGGGAATGAAGGAGGTGAAAATGTTTTATACCTTTGATAAAAGTCACCTACTTGATATTTCAAATATGTAGAACTTATTGTCCGTAAATTATGTCTCAGTAAAGCCAGTTTATAAAAAAAAGGCAAAAACATAACAATGGGGTAGTCTTTAGTAATATACAAGGGTTATACTATGCTTGGAATGCTGTGACTTTGGATACAGATGTTTAACAAGATTGGTTATTTTACAGCCTTCAATGCACTCTGAAGTCCACACAAAACACAAACTATTCTGCTTTTCTGTCCAGTCCAAAAATAGCCCTAGGAAAAAAACTTTTAACATTAACAATGTGCTTCCCTTTTTAGAATTCTGGAGAATCATGGGGAAATTATGTATCAGATATAGGGCTCTTTTCAAAATCAGCTTTTCAGAGAAAACTGAAATATCCTTTCTCTTTCTTCTGATAAATTTCCCTGAAAGAAACAGAAACACACCAAGTAATCCCATTGATCTTTTTTTTTCTTTTTTTTTTTTTCTGAGATGCAATCTTGCTCTGTCATTTCAGCTGTTGTGCAGTGACACGATCCCGGCTCCACTGCAACCTCCGCCTCCCAGGTTCAAGTGATTCTCCTGCCTCAGCCTCCTGAGTAGCTGGAATTACAGGCAGTCAACACCAAGCCTGGCTAATTTTTGTATTTTTAGTAGAGACAGGGTTCCACCATGCTGGCCAGGCTGCTCTCAAACTCATGACCTCAGGTGATCCACCCACCTTGGCCTCCCAAAGTGCTGGGATTACAGACATGAGCCACCACGCCCGGCCTCAGTTTCAGCACTTTTTTTTTTTTTTTTTTTTTGTGATGGAGTTTTGCTCTTGTTGCCCAGGCTGGAGTGCCATGGCACGATCTCAGCTCACTGCAACCTCTGCCTCCCGGGTTGAAGCAATTTCCCGCCTCAGCCTCCTGAGTAGCTGGGATTACAGGCGTGTGCCACCATGCCTGGCTAATTTTGTATTTTTAGTAGAGACGGGGCTTTGCCGTGTTGGCCAGGCTGGTCTTGAACTCTGACCTCAAATGATCCACCACCTCAGCCTCCCAAAGTGCTGGGATTGCAGGCATGAGCCACCTTGACTGGCCAGTTTGAGTGCTTTCTATCAATCCATGTTTGTCTACTGACTCTTCCTCACCTTCATATTGTTAATTGAGTCCATCTAGTGAGTTTTAAATTTTTGTTATTGTATTTTTGTTTTAAAATTTCCATTTGAGGCTAGGTGTTGTGGCTCATACCTGTAATCCCAGCACTCTGGGAGGCCCGAGGTGGTCGAATCACTTCAATTCAGGAGTTTGCGACCAGCCTGGGTGACATGGCAAGACCCTATCTCTATAAAAAATACAAAAATTGTGCACGCTTTGGTAGCACGTATACTAAAATTGGAAAGATACAGAGAAGATTAGCATGGCCTCTGCACAAAGATGACGTGCAAATTTGTGTTGCGTTCCATATTCGCTTGAACCTGGGACAAGGAGGTTGCAGTGAGCCGAGATCGTGCCAGGGCACTCCAGCCTGGGCAACAAGAGCGAAACTCCATCTCAAAACCTCAAAACAAAACAAAACAACAAAACAAGGCCGGGTGTAGTGGCTGATGCCTGTAATCCCGGCACTTTGGGAGGCGGAGGCAGGTGGATCACCTGAGGTAAGGGGTTCAAGACCAGCCTGGGCAACATGGTGAAACCCCCGTCTCTACTAAAAATACAAAAATTAGGCCAGGCATGGTGGCTCATGCCTGTATTCCCAGCACTTTGGGAGGCCGAGGTGGGCAGATCACAAGGTCAGGAGATCGAGACCATCCTGGCTAACACGGTGAAACCTTGTCTCTACTAAAAATACAAAAAATTTGCTGGGCATGGTTGTGGGTGCCTGTAGTGCCAGCTACTCAGGAGGCTGAGGCAGGAGAATTGCTTGAACCCAGGAGGTGGAGGTTGCAGTGAGCTGAGATCAGGTCACTGCACTCCAGCCTGGGCGACAGAGCAAGACTCTGTCTCAAAAGAAAAAAAAAAAAGAAAAATTAGCCAGGCGTGGTGGCGGGCGCCTGTAATCCCAGGTACTTGGAAGGCCAAGGCACTAGAATCACTTGAACCAGGGAGGCAGAGGTTGCAGTGAACTAAGATTGTGCCATTGCACTCTAGCCTGGGTGACAGAGTTAGACCCCGTCTCAAAAAACAAAACAAAACTAACAAAAGGATAATAAGGGAATACTAAGCAACTCTACCCATATAAATCCAACAAGTTGGATGAAATGGACCAATTCCTTGAAAACTACAAACTACCAAAAAACACTCAATATGAAACATAATTTTTAAAATCTTGTAACAATTTTAAAAATTGAACTCATGGTTTTTTATTTTTATTTTATTTTATTGTGACACTGCATCTCACTCTGTCACCCATACTGGAGTGCAGTGGCACAATCACGGCTCACCGCAGCCTTGACTTCCTGGGCTCAGGTGATCCTCCCACCTCAGCCTCCTGAGTAGTTAGGACTATGGGCGCCCGCCACCACACACAGCTAGTTTTTTATTTTTTGTAGAGACGGGGTTTTGCCAAGTTGCCCAGGCTGGTCTTCAACTACTGGGGCTCAAGCAATCCACCTGCCTCAGCCTCCCAAAGTGTTAAGATTACAGGCATGAGCCACTAGGCCCAGCTGAATCCTTTTTTTTTTTTTTTTTTTTTTGAGATGGTGTCTCAGTCTGTCACCCAGGCTGGAGTGCAGTGGCACAATCTTGGCTCACTGCAACCTTTGCCTCCTGGGTTCAAGCAATTCTTTTGCCTCAGCCTCCCAAGTAGCTGGGACTACAGGTGCCCACCACCACACCCGGCTAATTTTTTGTATTTTCAGAAGAGACAGAGTTTTACTATGTTGGCCAGGCTGGTCTCGAACTCCCGACCTCATGCGATCCACCCACCTCAACCTCCCAAAGTGTTAGGATTACAGGCGTGAGCCACCATGCCTGTCCTTGAATTCATAGTTTTAATAAAATAATTTCTTGTCTTCGTGGTGGCATACAACTAGTTTGGTGATTCCCTGGAAGGACCCATGTGACTCTAGATCAAGTTATACTCTAGGTGAAGGTTTATTACAGTGGAGGATACAATACAAAGACAGCAGGAAAAAGGATATTAATAGATGAAGGCTGGAAGGTCAAATGCATACTTATCCTCTGCAGGGACAGCACAGACTTATCTTTTCCAGGAGCAAACTGCAAGGACTTGTGTGAGATGTCCTTGCCCAGGAAATCCCACTTGAGTTCTGGAGTCAAAATTTGTGTGGTTAGGCCAGGCACAGTGGCTCACCCCTGTAATCCCAGCACTTTGGGAGGCCGAGATGGGAGAATTGCTTGAGTCCAGGAGTTTGAGACCAGCCTGGGCAGCACGGTGAGATCTCGTCTTTATTTAAAAAAAAAAAAAAAGGCTGGGCGTGGTGGCTCATGCCTGTCATCCCAGCACTTTGGGAGACCAAGGCGGGCGGATCACCTGAGGTCAGGAGTTCAAGACCAGCCTAGGCAACATGGTGAAACCCCGTCTCTACCAAAAATACAAAAATATTAGCTGGGCATGTTGGCAGGCACCTGTAATCCCAGCTACTCTGGAGGCTGAGGCAGGAGAATCGCATGAACCCGGGAGGCGGAGGTTGCAGTGAGCCTAGGTCATGCCACTGCACTCCAGCCTAGGAGACAAGAGCAAGACTCCATCTGGCTCATGGCTGTAATCCTAGCACTTTGGGAGGCTGACGGGGGCGGATCACCTGCGGTCAGGAGGTCAAGAGCAGCCTGGCCAACATGGTAAAACCCCATCTCTACTAAAAATGTAAAAAAATTAGCCGGCTATGGTGGCACACACCTGCAATCCCAGCTACTTGGGAGGCTGAGGCAGGAGGATCACTTGAACCCAGGAGGCGGAGGTTGCAGTGAGCTGAGATCACACCATTGCACTCCAGCCTGGGTGACATTCCTGCCATGTGACCAAACACAGCCCTAAACCACCAGGTTGGGCATCATGAATCTTTTATTCTTTTTTTTTTTTCAAAAATGGGGTCTTACTATGTTGCCTAGGCTGGAGTGCAGTGGCATGATCATAGCTCACTGTGGCTTTTTTTTTTTTTGAGACAGAGTCTCATTCTGTCACCCAGGCTGGAGTGCAGTGGTGTGATCTTGGCTCACTGCGACCTCTGTCTCCTGGGTTCACATGATCCTCCTGCCTCAGCCTCCCAAGTAGCTGAGATTACAGGCACTCACCACCACATCCAGCTAATTTTTTGTATTTTCAGTAGAGACAGGTTTTTGCCATGCTGGCCAGGCTGATCTTGAACTCCTGACCTCAAGCGATTCCGCCTGCCTTGGCCTCGCCAAATTCTGGGATTACAGGCGTGAGCCACTGTGCCTGGCCAAGCATCATGAATCTGTATGTTTACTTTAAACCTGCTGACAGCCTGGTTCATCTGGGCTCACTGTTTTGGACGTGGAGAATAACATCTGACCTGGTAGCTATGTGAATATTCCAGGAGTTTGGTTTTCAGAGTTTGACCAATGGCCACGCTTTGGCTACAGAAATAAGTGAGAAATGAGTGAATCAGACCTGTTGTGTTAACTCTTTCCTCCCACTCTTGAAAAAGGTATCTCCAGACCCAGATAGTTTCACTGGAGAAGTCTGCTCATAGCTAAAGAAATAGCAACACCAATTACACGTAATCTCCAGAAAACAGAAGAAGGGGCACTTCCAGACTGACGAGGCCAGTACAGTTGACCCTTATAACTGCAGGTTCCCCATCCATGGATTCAGCCAACCACAGATCGAAAATATTCCAAAATATGGACTCTAGGCACGGTGGCTCACACCTGTAATCCCGAGAATCACTTGAACCCAGGAGGTGGAGGTTGCAGTGAGCTGAGATCATGCCACTGCACCACTGCACCACTGCACTCCAACCTGGATGACAAGAGTGAAACTCCATCTCAAAAAGAAAAAGATCACTCTGGGTGGGCATGGTGGCTCGCACCTGTAATCTCAACATTGTGGGAGGCCAAGGAGAAAGGATTGCTTGAGCCCAAGAGTTTGAGACCAGCCTGGGCAAATAGCAAGACCCTGTCTCTACAAAAAAATTTAAAAATTAGCTGGGCATGGTGGTGCATCTCTACTGTAATCCCAGGTACTTGGGAGGCTGAGATGGGAGGATCACATGAGCCCAGGAGTTCCAGGCTGCAGTGATCTATGATTGCAACACTGCACTCCAGCCTCGGGAACACAGCAAGATCCTGTCTCAAAAACAAACAAAAAAACAAAAACAGAAAAAAACTCAATTCTGAAAACTTTGCCTTAACTTGTAGTCTAGAGTTGAAGACCCCTCCGCTAAGCTCCGGTGAGAGGCTAACTGAATAAGAACACTTTGACCATCATATTATAATAATTGCTTTCTCTCTCTCTTTCTTTCTTTCTTTCCCTCTCTCTCTTTTTTCTCCCCTGCCTTCCTCCCTCCCTTCCTTCCTCCCTTCTTTCCTTCCTTCCTTCCTTCTTTCCTTCCTTCCTCCCTCCCTCCCACCCCCCCCCCCTTTGTTTCTTTCTTTCTTTCATCTTGCTCTGTCCCCCAGGCTGGAGTGCAGTGGCACGATCACAATTCACTGCAATCTCAACCTCCCAGGCTCAAGAAATTCTCCACCCCAGCCTCCTCGGTAGCTGGGACTACAGGCATGCACCATCACACCCGGCTAATTTTATAATTTTTTTTTCTGTATTTTGTTTTGTTTTGTTTTGTTTGAGACGGAGTCTCGCTCGGTTGCACAGGTTGGAGTGCAGTGGCGCAATCTCGGCTCACTGCAAGCTCCGCCTCCCGGATTCACACCATTCTCCTGCCTCAGCCTCCCGAGTAGCCGGGACTACTAATTTTTTGTATTTTTAGTAGAGATGGGGTTTCACCATGTTAGCCAGGATGCTCTCGGTCTCCTGATCTTGTGATCCGCCCACCTCAGCCTCCAAAGTGCTGGGATTACAGGCAAGAGCCACCACACCCTGCAAATTTTATATATTTTTTTATAAAGAGGGGCATTGGCCAGGCACCCTGGCTTACGCCGGTAATCTCAGCACTTTGGGGGGCCGAGGCGGGTGAATCACCTAAGGTCAGGAGTTCCAGACCAGCCTGGACAACATGGTGAAACCCCATTTCTACTAAAAATACAAAAATTAGCTGGGCATGGTGCCACATGCCTATAATCCCAGCTACTCAGGAGGCTGCGGCAGGAGAATCGCTTGAATTCAGGAGGCGGTTGCAGTGAGCCGAGATCGTGCGGTTGCACTCCAGTCTGCGAAACGAGCGAAACTTTGTCTCAAAAAAGTAAATAAATAAAAAATAATAAAATAAAGAGGGGTGTCTTGTCATGTTGCCTAGGCTAGTCTAGTATTTCTGGGCTCAAGTGATCCACCCGCCTCAGCCTCCCAAAGTGCTGGGATTACAGGCATGAGAGCCACTGTGCCCGGCCAGAGCTGGGCTACGTATCTCTATTAAGCTTTTCATCAGGGTCAACTGGGCCCTGGCTCCTGCCCCACCCATCCTATGAGGCTGCAGTGTGTATGGCCCCAATAAAGATTCTTCCCCGAACCCCCTACCCCCAGACCTTCCTGCAAGGTTGGCAGAGCTGGATGTTCTGAAAGCTAAGGGCATGTGGGCCAACCGGCGCCCGGCCAGAGAAAGGGAGGAAAACATGTGAGGGCTCACAGGTCTGGAGTTTAGCGCGTCACTGAACACAGAACAGCCACCCCCGCGTGCAGTTGCAGGGCGAGGAAAGTCAGCTCTTGCCCCCTTCTCAACCCTCCTCCCAAACACCAAGCAGGTTTCTGAGAAGAGTAAAAGGCCAGCAGACCCATCTTCAGGGCCTCTGTGATCAGAAATGTGCAAATACCTTTTTCTTTTTTCTTTCTTTTTTTTTTTTTTGAGACAGTCTCACTCTGTCGCCCAGGCTGTATTGCAGTGGTGTGATCTCTGCTCACTGCAACCTCCGCCTCCTGGGTTCCAGAGATTCTCCTGCCTCAGCCTCCCAAATAGCTGGGATTACAGGCACCCACCATCATGCCAGGCTAATTCTTGTATTTTTAGTAGAGACGAAGTTTTGCCATGTTGGCCAGGTTGGTCTCGAACTTTTGACCTCAAGTGATCCACCTGCCTCAGCCTCCCAAAGTGCTGGGATTACAGGTGTGAGCCACTGCGCCTGGCCCAAAGACCTTTTTCTTCATGCCTTTGGGAGTTAATTAAGCACCAGTATCTAAAAAGCTGTTTCTGCATCCCACACTCAGAGTGAATGGCAGAAACAGAGTACAGGAATGCACAAGGCTGGGATTCAGATTCAGCAAGTTCTGGGATAGAAAAACTGAACCTAAAGGAAAATTGTATTGTGCACTCACCAGTACTTTGAAAGAGTGTTTCAGTACATTATAAAAAGAGGCTGGGCGTGGTGGCTCATGCCTGTAATCCCAGCAATTTGGGAGGCTGAGGCAGGAGGATTGTTTGAGGCCAGGAGCTGGAGACCAGCCTAGGAAACATGAAGAGACCCCATCTCTACAAAAAATATAAAAATTAGCCAGGCATGGTGGTGCATGCCTGTGGACCCAGCTACTCTGGAGGCTGAGATGGGAGGATCCCTTGAACCCAGGAGGTCAAGGCTGCAGTAAACTATGATTGTACCACTGCCCTCCAAACTGATCAACAGAACAAGACCCTGTCTCAAAAATAAAAATAAAAAGACATGAGCTAGCTGACTTTTTTTTTGAGATGGAGTTTCACTCTTGTTGCCCAGGCTGGAGTGCAATGGCATGATCTCCACCTCCCGGGTTCAAGCGATTCTCCTGCCTCAGCCTCCCAAGTAGCTGGGATTACAGGCATGCGCCAGGACACCCGGCTAATTTTGTATTTTTAGTAGAGACGGGGTTTCTCCATGTTAGGCTGGTCTCGAACTCCCGACCTCAGGTGATCTGCCTGCCTTGGCCTCTCAAATTGCTGGGATTACAGGCATGAGCCACCATGCATGGCCCCATCTCCCCTTCTTATAAGGACACCAGTCAGATTGGGTTGGGGCCCACCCCAATGACCTCATTCTAACTTAACTTCTTTAAAGACCCTATCTCTAAATATAGTCACATTCTAAGGTCCTGGAGGTTAGGACTTTAACATACAAATTTGGGAGACGCAATTCATGACACACATACGTCTCCAGTAATTCAACACCTAACAAAAGTGTGATTTCTTCATGTTTTCCACCGCTTTCTCTTCTCAGTTGTTAATATAAGTCTCTGAGTTTTAAAAATACCTTAGCAATTTTGACATTTAGGAAGGTTCATAGCTCTCAGATTTGCCCAGCTTGACATGATGTTATTTTTCAGAGGGAGCAGCCTCTATTCAGCTCCTAGTCACAGCCGGCCTTTTGGAACATTCTTTCTAGCATTTGAAGGTTTCTAAGAGGTGGGAGGGGGTATCTTTTATACTGGGACCCTTTGAGTAATCTAGCTCATGCAAGGCATTCCTCTTCATGAAGGACTGAGCTACCTGACTTCTGACCAGAAACAAACGATTTTTTTTTTTCCTTTTTTGACCAGAAACAGATGGTCTGCTTGAGCCCAGGAGTTCCAGGCTGCATTGAGCTATCATCGTGCCACTGCACTCCTGCCTGGGCGACAGAGCGAGACCCTGTCTCAACAAAAAAATAAAAATAAAACATAAGCAGCAGTTAAACCAGGAGAGAATGGAGTGGGTGGGGGCATAAGGTCATTTTTTTTAAGCATATAAAAGCTTTAAAGGACTGTTATTGTTTCAACTTAATACCCTGACAAATTTCTGCTCTTGGCATGCCACCATGCCCAGCTAATTAAAAAAACATTTTTGTCTTGAGAGACAGGGTCTCGCTTTGTCGCCCAAGCTGGAGTGCAGTGGCATGAACACAGCTCACTGCAGCATCAACCTGGGTTCAAGGGATCCTCCTGCCTCAGCTTCCTAAGTAGCTGGGACTACAGATGTAGGCCACCATGCCTAATTAAAAAAAAAATTTATAGACACAGAGTCTCGCTATGTTGCTCAGGCTGATCTTGAACTTGTGGGCTCAAGTGATCAATTTTCCACCTCAGCCTCCCAAAGTGTTGGCATTATAGGTACGAGCCACTATACCCAGACTTTAAAAAATTTTTTGTAGAGATGGGGTCTTGCTATATTGCCCAAGCTGTTCTCAAACTGTCCTCAAGCTCCTGGCCTCAAGTGATTTTGTACCTTGGCCTCCCAAAGTGCTGGAATTAAAGGCGTGGCCTGTGTGGTTCTTTTGGCACTTACACGTGGTCTTGTCTGGCCGGTTGTCTGGTCCTGTCTGTTTCTACCTTTCCTGTTTCTCCAGGGAAAACCTAAGCTTTCCTTGTTTGTCCTCATTTGTGTTTTTCTGGGTCTATGGGCAGAGTAGAGTTCTGGAACGGTTTCCTAAAGCAGCCAAGCCCTACCCATTGATTTCTAAGTGCATTTAGAAAAACACATATAAGGCCTGGCGTGGTGGCTCATGCTTGCAATCCCAGCACTTTGGGAGGCCGAGATGGGTGGATCTTGAGGTCAGGAGTTCAAGATCAGCCTGACTAACATGGTGAAACCCCGTCTCTATTAAAAATACAAAAATTAGGCCGGGCACGGTGGCTCACACCTGTAATCCCAGGACTTTGGGAGGCCGAGGTGGGAGGATCACCTGAGGTCAGGAGTTTGAGACCAGCCTGGCCAACATGGTGAAACCCCAACTCTGCAAAAAAAAAAAAGAAAAAAAAAATATATATATATATACAAAAATACAAAAATCAGCTGGGTGTGTTGGCACATGCCTTTAGTCCCAGCTACTTGGGAGGCTGAAGCAGGAGAATCACTTGAAGCTGGGAGGCAGAGGCTATAGTGAGCTGAGATCTCGCCACTGCATTTCCAGCCTGGGTGACAGAGTGAGACTTTGTCTTAAAAAAAAATGGTGGAGACTTTAGAAGGGAGAATTTTGTTAACGGATTACTGAACTATAGCTGCCCTTGGGGAAGCCTCCTGTCCCCTCTCTGGTCCATAGCGGTGCCACAGCTGTTATGTTATCTCAGATCTCCAGTTATATCAAGGAGTGCAAGGAGTGACTGATAGTAATATTCTTTTTTTTTTTTTTTTTTTTTTGGAGATAGCATCTGTGGCTGGAGTGCAGTGGCTTGCTCTCGGCTCACTGCAACCTCTGCCACCCGGGTTCAAGCAATTCTCCTGCCTCAACCTCTCGAGTAGCTGGGATTACAGGCACCCACCACCACACCTGGCTAATTTTTGTATTTTTTAAGTAGATTCAGGGTTTCACCATGTTCGTCAGGCTGGCGTTGAACTCCTGACCTCAGGTGATCCGCCCACCGCAGTCTCCCAAAGTGCTGGGATTACAGGCGTGAGCCACTGTGCCTGGCCAAGGGGGCTGATATTCTTAAAACCAAATATTTAAAAAATGTAAATATGTTAATAGAATATTCTTGAATGTTCCCAACTGTAGTTCCCAACTACAGAGCCAGTCCTCTACCTTCTAGTGAAAGCTTCCGGTGGACAAGAAAAGCTTGGGAAAGCCAGAAGGAATAGGAAGCACAGCTCAGGGTGGTCCGCGGCTTCATCAATCAAAAGGATAATTCTTTTTTTTTTTTTTTTTTTAAGAGATAAGGTCTCACTCCATCGCCCAGGCTGGTGTGCAGTGACCCAATCACAGCTCACTGCAGCCTTGAACTCCTGGGCTCAAGCGATCCTCCCAGCTCCTCCTGAGTAGCTGGGACCACAGGTGCACACCACCATGGCTTGCTAACTTTTATTTTTATTTTTTTTAATTTTTTGAGATGCAGTCTTGCTCTGTCACCCACGCTGGAGTGCAATGGCATGATCTCGGTCCACTGCAACCTCTGCCTCCCGAGTTCAAGTGATCCTTTTGCCTCAGCCTCCCAAGTAGCTGGAATTACAGACACATGCCACCAGGCCCTGCTACTTTTTGTATTTTTGTAGAGACAGGGATTCACCATGTTGGCCAGGCTGGTCTTGAACTCCTGACCTCAGGTGATCCGCCTGCATCAGCCTCTCAAAGTGCTAGGATTACAGGCGGGAGCCACCGCACCCAGACCCTTGCTAATTTTTAAACTTTTTGTAGAGATAGAGTCTCACTATGTTGCCCAGGCTGGTCTCAAGCCCTTGGCCTCAAGCAGTCCTCTCACCTCAGCCGCCCAAAGTGCTAGGATTACAGGCATGAGCCACCATGCCCAGCCCCAGAAGGGCAATTATTACACAGTGACAGTGGAAGGAACAGAGACACAGTCGGTGGGTGGTGGGAAGATAAGAATATTCACTCTGGGCCAGGCGCGGTCCACGCCTGTAATCCCAGCACTTTGGGAGGCCAAGGTGGGCGGATCACGAGGTCAGGATATTGAGACCATCCTGGCTAACACAGTGAAACCCCGTCTCTACTAAAAATACAAAAAATTAGCCGGGCATGGTGGCGGGCGCCTGTAGTTCCAGCTACTAGGGAGGCTGAGGCAGGAGAATGGCGTGAACCCAGGAGGCGGAGCTTGGAGGGAGATTGCACCACTGCACTCCAGCCTGGGTGACAGAGCAAGACTTTGTCTCAAAAAAGAGAAAAAAAAAAGAGTATTCATTCTGATGGCTTCTAATAACGTTAGAGAAGTGAGCATCAGCTGAGCAGAAGAGAGGGAGGGAAGGAAGCACAGGAGGTTTGAGGAGAGAGAGAGGAAGTATGAAATCACTGTTGCAAACCTCCTGGGGGAATGTAAAGGGGTTGCCAGGCAGCCCACTTGAAATCTGTGAATTTAAAGTGAAAGTCTGGCCAGGCCGAGCTCAGTGGCTTACTCCTGTAATCCCAGCACTTTGAGAGGCCGAGGTAGGTGGATCACCTGAGGCCAGGAATTTGAGACCAGCCTGACCAACATGGTGAAACCCCATCTCTACTTAAAATATAAAAGCTGGCCAGGCATGGTTGTGGGCACCTGTAATCCCAGCTACTCAGAAGGCTGAGGTGGGAGAATCGCTTGAACCCAGGAGGCAGAGATTGCAGTGAGCCGAGATCGCTCCACTGCACTCCAGCCTGGGCAGTACAGCCAGACATGGTGGCTCACACCTGTAATCCCGGCACATTGAGGGGTTGAGGTGAGGAGGATTGCTTGAGGCCAGGAGCTCAACAGCAGCCTGGGCAACATGATGAGACCTCATCTCTACAGAAAATTAGAAAGTCAGCTGGGCATGGTGTGGTGCACGTCTATAATCCCAGCTCCCAGGGAGGCTGAGGTGGGAGGATCGCTTGAGCCCAGGAGGTGGAGGCTCCAGCGAGCTCTGATCACACCATCGCACTCCAGCCTGTGTGACAGAGTGAGAAGCTGTCTCTAAAATAAATAAATGAATAAATAGATGAATAAATAAAGTAAAAGTTCAGCTGAGTGTGTGCTTTCCCAGTGATGCTTGGCTGTCCAGGTGCAGACGCAAGACATCTAGCCCGTTCATGTCACCCTTGTTGAGGGGAACAATGTCAGGAGAGAGAGAGACAAAGGAGTTGATTTTTTTTTTTTTTGAGATGGAGTCTCCCTCTGTCACCCAGGCTGGAGGGCAGTGGTGTGATCTCAGCTCACTGCAACCTCTACCTCCCGGATTCAAGTGATTCTCCTGCCTCAGCCTCCCCAGTAGCTGGGATTACAGGTGCCCACCGCCACACCTGGCTAATTTTTGTATTTTCAGTAGAGATGGGTGTTTCGCCATGTTGGCCAGGCTGATCTCAAACTCCTGACCTCAAGTGATCCGTCCACTTCGGCCTCCCAAAGTGCTGGGATTACAGGCGTGAACCACCTCGCCCTGCAGGAGTTGATTTTAATTATGAACGATGATTAAGGAAGGCAGTGGACACATAGAGAGTGACAGTGAGGTGATGAGGCCAAATGGAGAGTTCTGGAACGAGAGAGGAGAGGTCAGTGGGGAACTGTCTGAAGTCTCCTTTCTGGGTGATGGAGGGTCCCAGGTGTGACCACAGGCAGGGAGAAGTGGCTGAGAGGCACACTCGAAAAGGTCACTGGAGCTGCAGCAGTCCTGGTGCCCAGAGAGACAGGGAGTAGCCTGGCCTGTCCACGTGGGTGACGTCACCCTCAGGGAGTAGCCTGGCCTGTCCACGTGGGTGATGACGCCCTCAGGGAGTAGCCTGGCATGTCCACGTGGGTGACAATGCCAACGTCTTGTATGAAATCACTGTTGCAAACCTCCTGGGGAATGTAGACGGGTTGCCAGGCAGCAACCCCTCTAACGAGATGACAAGAATGATGGAGAACACTGTCAACTGACAGCCCAAGTCCTCAGTGGATGAGGAGGTGTAAGCGGAAGACCAGCAGACAGCAGTCACCGAGAGGGACAGCAGGTGACTCTGCTGCCTTTGGAAGAGAAATGTCTTGGACGCAACCACAGGAAGCATGGAGGATACAGACCCTACTTTAGATTCTGCAGTATGTGGGGTATAGGAGAAAAAAAAGACTCCCTGCACCAGACGGTGCCAGCGGAATTGGGGTCCTGAACAGAGTCTCTGTCCTTTGAAGGTCACTGAACCAACAGGGGAAGGTGAGGCATGACGAAAACAGCCGTGGATGTCCAGCCGCAGTGGCTTACACCTGTCATCCCAGCACTTTGGGAGGCCAAGGAGGGTGGATCACCTGAGGTCGGGAGTTCAAGATTAGCCTGGCCAACATGGGGAAGCCCCATCTCTACTAAAAATACAAAAATTAGCTGGGCATGATGGCGGGCACCTGTAATCCCAGCTACCTGGGAGGCTGAGGCAGGAGAATCACTTAAACCCAGGAGGCAGTGGTTGCAGTGAGCCGAGAGCACGCCACAGCACTCCAGCCTGGGCAACAAGAGCGAAACTCTGTCGGGAAGGGGAGAAGAGGGGAGGGGAGAGGAGGGGAGAAGGAAGGAAGGATAGAAGGAAAGACGGAAAGCAGGAAGGAAGGGAGTGAGAGAGAGAGAAAGAAGAAAGAGAGAGAAGAAAGAAAGAAAAAGAAAGAAAAAGAAAAAGGAAGAAAAAAGAAAGAAAGGAGAAGAAAAGAAGGGAGAAAGAAAGAAAGAAGGAAAGAAAGAAAGAAAAGAAAGAAAGAAAGAAAGAAAGAAAGAAAGAAAGAAAGAAAGGAAGGAAGGAAGGAAGGAAGGAAGAAGGAAGGAAGGAAGGAAGGAAGGAAAGAAAAGAAAAAGAAAATAACCGTGGATGACCTCAGACGGCTGCAGGTGACATTTCAAGCTGTGAGTTTGAAGAGTGTGGATGCTCCAGGCAACTGTGGGGTAACTGCGCCCACTGGTGGCCATATATGGCTAAAGCAAGTACAAGTCCAGACACACCTGGAGAACAGGTGCCATCACCTGAAAGCAACAGTAACCACGACAACAAGGCCAGGTGCAGAACCCAGGTCTCCCCTCATTATTAGAACCTGTGGAGAGATCATGAACGTATTCCCCGATAAGTTCATTTTCAGGGGTAAAAAAGCTCAACAATCTCCCACAGTGTCACTTCTCCCAGGAATATGTGTATGTTGCCCTTGACAAACTGTTGCCCTTGATGAAGAAATGTACCAGTTTCCAATGGCAGCATATTTAATTGAGGAAAGATCTCATTAACAGATGTAAGTCCAGGGTCTCAGCATCAGAATTTCTCTTCAGTGTTTCATTATAAAAACGTTTGGGGTGTGGGGCTTACACCTGTAATCCTAACACTTTGGGAGGCCGAGGTGGGAGGATCACTTGAGGACAAGAGTTTGAGACCAGCCTGGGTAATTAGCCAAATGCAGTGAAGTGCACTTGTAGTTTCAGCTTCTTGGGAGGCTGAGAAGGGAGCGTCCCTTGAGCCCAGGAGTTGGAGGCTGCAGTGAGCTAGGATCACATCACTGCACTCCAGCCCGGGAAACAAAGCAAGACCCTGTCTCTAAAAAATAAATGAATTAACACTTATAAGAAATGTTCAAACTTAATGAAAAGTTGAAAGAATTTTTCAGTGAACAACCATACCCACCTCTGAAGTCTACAATTATCATTTCATTATGCTCAGTTTATCATAAAATCTATTCAACTATCCATCCCTCAAACCATCCTATTTGGAGGCATTTCAAAATGAATTGCGGCATTAGTACATTTCACCCCTAAACACTTCAGCACACATAACAAGACTCTCATATTTATTTATAGTCCTTTTTTCTTTGGACATAAAATACGCATATAGGTCAGGCGCTGTGGCTCAAGCCTGTAATCCCAGCACTTTGGGAGGCCGAGGTGGGTGGATCCCTTGAGCTCAGGAGTTTAAGATCAGCCTGGGCAATATGGTGAAACCCCATTTCTACTAAAAATACAAAAATTAGCTGGGTATGGTGGCACATGCCTGTAATCCCAGCTACTCGGGAGGCTGAGGTGGGAGAATCACTTGAACCCGGGAGGCAGAGGTTGAAGTGAGCTGAGATGGGCTGAAATCTGCTTCCTGGGAACACTTATCTTGTTGATTCGGCACCATGCGCCACATGAAGTGAGTTCTGATTCCTCTTCCTTATGAAAGCTCTTAAACTGTCCAAAGATGGCCATTCTGTCCCTTTGAGTCACTTCATCTGATACAGAATCTCCAGTTTCTCTACCTGTTCATGCCCAGGCAAAGCTTCCAGCACTCAGCACTTCACTGGCTAGGCTTTCATGTTTGCAAGGGCGCTGACGCATCTCATCTTTCTATGTCAGTGGAAGAAAATAGACGGTTCAGAGCTGGCCTGCAGTGACAAAGAGAAACAAGGCCTGTTTGCGGTGGATATGATTGGATGGCCAGGACAGGAAGCCAGGACCTGGAAGGAGAGCAAACAAAATGAGTTTTTCAAAAAGCTAGATGACAGTGAAACCATGCAGAGATCAAAAACGGTGCAACAGGAAACTAGGAAAGCAGAAAACAGAAATAGTGTAATTTTGTAACATTAACAGGGGTAAGTAACATGACATTAGTGATATTTCACAGGGGATATTGGTCAGTGCCTGCAGCAAAATGTTTGAATGCCTTTTAATTGCAAAATTAATGCTTGCATAAGTTTTCTTTGTTAAAAAATGAAAACAATTCAGATAAGTCTAAAATGTCCCTGTCCCTACTGTCCTTCCTTCCCTACCCAATTCCAGAAGTGTGTGTGTATGAGCAGGTGCATGGGTGAGCATTTGCATGTGTGTGTGTGTGTATATATATGTGTGTGCATATATATACACATATATGTATATGTGTGTATATATGATGTACACATGTATACATGTGTATATGCATGTATATGTACACATGTATACATGCATCTGTGTATATATGCATATATACATATATGTGTACATGCATCTGTGTATATATGCATATATACATATATGTGTACATACACATGCATATGTGTACATAAATATATGTAGGTATGCATAGATACGTGTGCATATACATATGTGCAAATATATATCTATATACACATATCTATGTACACATACATATCTATGTACACATATCTATGTATACATATATTTATGTATATATACATACACGTATATATCTATACACGTGTATGCATATATATATAGAGAGAGAGAGAGAAAATGAAAGAGAGAGAATAGAGATTTATTGTAAGGAATTGGTAAGGAATAGGTATGTATACATAGGTTTATGTATATATACATAAGTGTATATATCTATATATATTTGTGTGTGTGTGTATATATATATATATATAGAGAGAGAGAGAGAGAGAGAGAGACAGAAAGAGAGAGAAGAGAGATTTATTATAAGGAATTGGGTCACACAATTGTGGAAGCTGGCAAGTCCAAAATATGCAGACAGGGTAACTCCAGCCATCAGTGTGGAGACCCAGGGAAGAAGTGATGTTGCACCCTGAGTCCAAAGAAAGCCTGGAGGCGTAATTCCTTCTTCCTTGGGGGAGGTCAGCCTTATTTCTTTTAAGGCCTTCAACTGATTAAGTGAGGCCCATCCCGCTATGGAGAGTAATCTGTTTTATTCAAAGTACACTGATCTAAATGTTAATCTTACCTAAATAATACCTTTACAAAAACATCTAAGATACTCTTCGGCCATGCCTAGCCATGCGGTATTTAAAATTAACTGTCGCAATATGGAATGCATATAAACATTCCTATATAATTAAAATATGCTATATTTTGTGTGCATTATTTAAATGTTATTATAGCATACGACCTGCTTTTATCACTCAAAGTTATGATTAGAGTTCTTTCTTTAATAGGAAATAAAGGAATACCTCATTCTTTCTCAATGTTATGCTTAGAGTTATTTTCTTAAGAAGAAATAAAGAAATACTTCATCCTCGCTTTCTACATCATATTCTGTTCTATGGCTATATCCTGATTTATTTAGCCATTACTCTAAGAATTGGCATTATATTATTCCCAGCTGGTGAGCTGCTTGATCATGAATTCAAGCAAACTTCTTGAATTCTTTTAAAATGGAGGTCAATATTCTGTTCCTGGGCAGGTGCGGTGGCTCATGCCTGTAATCCCAGCACTTTGGGAGGCCAAGGTGTAAGGCTCACTTTAGGCCAGGAGTTTGAGACCGGACTAGGCAATGTGGTGAAATCCTGTTACTACAAAAAATACACAAATTAGCTGGGCATGGTGGCATGCATCTGTAGTCCCAGCTACTGGGAGGCTGAGTTTGGAGGATCACTTGAGCTGAAGAGGTGAAGGCTGCAGTGAGCCATGTTCAGTGCACTGCACTTCAGCCTGGACACTGGAGTGAGAGGAAGGAAGGAAGGAAGGAAGGAAGGAAGGAAGGAAGGAAGGAAGGAAGGAAAGAAGGAAAGAAGGAAGGAAGGAAGGAGGGAAATAAAGAAAGAAGGAAGGATGGAAGGGAAGGAAGGAAGGAAGGGAAGGAAAGAAGGAAAGGAAGGAAGGGGAAGAAAGAAAAATGAAAGAAAGAGAGAAAGAGAAAGAAAGAGAGAGAGAGAAAAAGAAAAAAGAGAGAAAGAGAAAGAGAGAGAAAAAGAAAGAAAGAAAAAAGAAAGAAAGAAAGAAAGAAAAAGAAAGAAAGAAAGAAAGAAAGAAAGAAAGAAAGAAAGAAAGAAAGAAAGAAAGAAAAAGAGAAAAAGAGAAAAAGAAAGAATTTTGTCCCAGGAAGAGGGCCGGCTTGATGTGGTTCCAGCAAACTGACACAGGCCAAAGTGTGCATGTTACAGAGAAGATCAGGAGGGTGTCAGGACTTCCAAACACCCTGGAGCAAATTCTGGAGGCCCACCTGTTGCCGTTGATGTGGCGGATCCCAGCATACGAGGAGCAAAGGAGAGAGGACCTTCTTCTGGCTCTGAGAGTCCATAACCCTTTGAGGAAGATTAAGCAACAGGCACATTCTCACATTTATTTAATCTTTAACACCCCTACTGGCTAGGTATTGTTAACTGAATATCACAGATGAAGGACCCAAGGCCAGACAACTAAAGGCTATGCCTGGCCTAATACATTTTCCACTACAGTGCTCCCTGATGGTGGACTTTCATATCAAAAAAGCACAAGCAGTTACAAGCAGTAGCAGTAATAGAAGTAAAAATGATGGCAATAATGCCATGCAATAGAATGCTTATTATATGCCCAGCTGGGTTCTCAGTGTTTGGCGTGTAGCAACTCAATGAATTTCTGCAACAGCGTCATAAAGTAAGTACTATTATTAATTCTATCTTGCAGATTAAGAAACTAAGTGTGGCTGAGAATATAGATGGCAGACATTTCCTTCAGATCTTACAACTTAGAAGGGCTCTGGATAATTTGCAATTGCTAGTACCTGTGTCTCTTTTTCTGGAGGCCTTTTTCTGATGCCAGGAAGGTCCGCTGTACTTGCTTTCAAGGCAAAGAGAAGTGCCGAGACCAGCTCAGTCAGGGAGACCCTAACCGAGTGGTGCTAGAGGAATTAAAGACACACACACAGAAATATAGAGGTGTAAAGTGGGAAATCAGGGGTCTCACAGCCTTCAGAGCTGAGAGCCCCGAACAGAGATTTACCCATGTATTTATTAACAGCAAACCAGTCATTAGCATTGTTTCTATAGATATTCAATTAACTAAAAGTATCCCTTATGGGAAATGAAGGGATGGCCCGAAATAAAGGGATGGGTCTGGCTAGTTATCTGCAGCAGGAACATGCCCTTAAGGCACAGATCACTCATGCTATTGTTTATGGTTTAAGAATGCCTTTAAGTGGTTTTCTGTCCTGGGCAGGCCAGGTGTTCCTTGCTTTCATTCCAGTAAACTCACAACCTTCCAGCATGGGCGTTATGGCCATCATGAGCATGTCACAGTGCTGCAGAGATTTTGTTTATGGCCAGTTTTGGGGCCAGTTTATGGCCAGATTTTGGGGGGCCTGCTCCCAATATGTCCCCATTCTTTGATTTGCAAATCAATACAAGCAAAGGCAGCTTTGTCATGGTGAGCTACTTCTCTCAGGAGTCAGGATCCACATCTGCAGACTACACAAAGACAAACAACACAGATTAAAAGCACAATCATCATTGAAATCACAGAGCTTCCAAGTGTTTTTATCCATTTTAATGGGTTACTAGCTGCTAATCTGTCTGCAGCTCCTTTAAGCACTCCAGTTCCTGGCATTAAGGTCAGGTGTGCCTGGGATGCTTTAAATATTTGTTCTTTTAATTTTGCAATATCCAAAAACAAATTCATAGAGTGTCTTTCTAGATGCTTTTTTATTCTTTCCCAAATTTTGATCTTATTAAGAGCTATTAATAGTTTCCACAAATCCTTAATGTTTAGCTCCTACAGTGGGCCATATCATTTGAGGTTGAGGTGCCACTATACTGCCACGGTTCCAGATAATAGGAACTCTTGCCATACTTATTATATCTACCATCTGATCATTTTGTTCAGATCAGCTGAATATAGTGTGGCTGTGGCACATGGACTGAGAGGTGCAATTTAAGCTAAACATCCCCTTAGGGGATCAATTAATAATGATTCCATAGGAATCATTGTGCAGCATCTCTGCATGTTCTGCAATGCAATCTTCCTAAACAAGTACGTTCATTTTCTCTGGCCAGGTCCAGTTCTGTTTACGGATAGGTTTTTGAGGGCGGTATGCCTCAATTATAGGAGCAGATTTGTTATGGTAAATACTGAGATCAGAAAACATGTGTAACTGCATCATAGAGTGATTACATCCAGGCATTATTGCCAGCGAAGATTGATAAATATGCCCAATAAGTATAATTGTTCCCTGTGTCAGCCCTTATTGAAGGAATACTCACAGCAGTGGTGATAACCGCTATCATAGCTACCATTAAATTACTCATTGTGACTGGTTGTCCTGCTTTCTTCAGGTTTTCTTCTGCCATCTGTGGCAGCTTCTTGGTCTGTCCCCAGGTGGGTGGCTGTGTTTGTTGGGTGTTGCTCGTGACAGTTGGGGTCCTCCTCAGCATCAGCCTTAACATGGCTGCAACCAGGGGGGTCCTCAGGATCCTTCCAGAATCTCTTCCTTGGCATCTGGTTCATGATAAGGTTTCAGGTGTCTTGATGGTCTCCAAATCAGCTGCTGGTTCTGGCCTGGAGAAACACAAGCATAGCCTGTACCCCAAGTTATTATTTTACCTATTTCCCAACTTTTTGTTATCGGATCTCTCCACCAAACCAGTTGTTCTGCTTCTGTCTTTGCAGCTGGTTTCTGTAGATGCTGTTCAGCTGCTGATAACATCTGGCTTTTCGGCAGGCTCAAAAAATTTAAAGTTAATAATGCTAGATTCAGTTGTGTATGGGCTGTCCTGTAATCCCTGTTTCTCCCCCTTTTTTGTTTTTGTCATCAGTTATTCATCTGTTTGACATTGTAACTGAGCATTTTTAATTAACTGTGTGGAATGAACCACATATGAAGAATCAGAAATCACATTAATAGGTATATTAAAAGCAGTCAATACCTCAATTACAGCTACAAGCTCCGCTTTTTGAGCTGAAGTATAGGGCATCTGGAAAACTTTAGTTTTTGTTCCAGAATAAGAAGCTTTACCATTACTAGACCCATCTGTAAAAACATTCTCAGCACCTTCAATTGGTTTAAATTTAGTTATTTTAGGGAGAATCCAATTAGCTAATTTCAAAAACTGAAACAGTTTCATTTTAGGAAAATGATTATCAAGAATACCCAGAAAGTCAGCTAAATGGGTTTGCCAAATAAGACTACTTATAAAAGCTTGCTGTATTTGTGCCTTTGTGAGAGGGACAATAATTTTTCCAGGATCATATCCATGTAATTTAACAATCCGAGTTCTCCCAATCCCTATCATAGTAGCGATTTTATCTAAATAAGGAGTTAGAGTCCGTGAATTATTATATGGAAGAAAAAGCCACTCTACTAAGTCCTGTTCTTGGACAATAACACCAGTAGATGAATGCTGAGTTGAAAAAAATTAGCAAATCTAGAGCCTTCTCTGGATCTATTCCATTTATCTGAGCTTTATGGACTTGCTTCTCAATTAGTTGTAACTCTGCCTCAGCCTCCTTTGTTAATTGCTGAGGGCTAGTGAGACTAGGATTTCCTCTAAGGATAGAAAACAGATTACTCATGGCATAGGTAGGAATGCCTAGAGCAGATCATATCCAATTAATGTCCCCTAGTAATTTTTGAAAGTCATTTAATGTTTTCAATTGATCCCTACACATGGTTACTTTCTGTGGCACAATGGTAGTGTCATTTACTAAGGTCCCCAAGTAGGAGTAAGGAGTAGTAGTCTGAATTTTGTCAGGAGCTACAATTAAACCAGCATGAGAAATAGAATTTTGCAAGTGATCATAACATTGGAGTAATATTTCTCGAGTGGGGACAACACAAAATATATCATCCATATAATGAATAATGTAACACTGAAAATTTTTTATGAGTAGGTTCAATTGCTTGCCCTACATATGTCTGGCAAATTGTTGGACTGTTTGACATGCCTCGTGGCAATACTTTCCAGTGATAATGCTTAGTAGGCTGCAGGTTATTTACTGCAGGAATTGTAAATGCAAACCGTTCACAGTCTTACTCAGCTAAAGGGATAGTAAATAAACAGTCTTTTAAATCTATGACTATTAAAGGCCAATTTTTGGAATTATAGCAGAAGGTAATCCTGGCTGTAATGCTCCCATACGTTGTATAACTGAATTGATGGCTCTTAAGTCAGTTAACGTTCTCCATTTACCTGATTTTTTCTTAATTATGAAAACTGGAGAATTCCAAGGGGAAAATGTTGGAGTTATGTGCCCATTTTCTAATTGTTCAGTAACTAATTCCTCTAAAGCCTCCAGTTTCTCTTTACTTAGTGGCCATTGTTCTATCCAAATTGGCTTATCTGTTAACCATTTTAAAGGTATAGGTTCTGGAGGCTTAACAATGACCACCATCAAAAATCATATCCTAATCTTTGGCGGGAACTTTGTCTTTTCACTTGAAGAGGTTTTTTCTAACCTTGGAAATTTTTTTCTAGTCCCATACCAGGGACATACCCCATTTCATGCATTGTATGTTGACTTTGAGGGCTATATAATTGTTCTGGAATTAGAACTTGTGCTCTCCATTGTTATAATAAATCTCTTCCCTATAAATTTATAGGTACAGAAGTTATAATTGGTTGAATAGTCCCAGGTTGTCCATTGGGCCCTTCACAATGCAAAATATAACTACTTTGATATACTTCAGGGGCTTTACCAACTCCAACTATGTTAAATTGAGTGGGTTGAATTGGCCACGTGGACAACCAGTGCTGTAGAGAAATGATTGAAAGGTCCGCTCCTGTATCCACCAAACCTTTAAATTTCTTTCCTTGAATAGTTATTTCACAGGTAGGACGTTTATCAGTAATTCGATTCACCCAATAAGCTGCTTTGCCTTGTTTATTTGTGCTTCCAAATCCTCCTGTTCGTTTAATTTCACTTTTTCCCATTCCTACATACGGCACAATCAGGAGCTGTGCTATGCACTCTCCTGGCTCTGCTTTCCAGGGAACAGAACTAGGTACAACAATTTGAATTTCCCCATTGTAATCTGAATCAATGACTCCTGTATGTATTTGCACCCCTTTTAAATTTAAACTAGACCTTCCTAGAAGTAATCCTATTGTCCCTGCTGGCAAGGGTCCACAGACTCCTGTTGGGACCTTTTGTGGGGATTCCCCAGGCAGAAGGCTCACAGCTTTTGTGCAGCATAAATCTACTGTGGCACTACTGGCTGTGGCAGAGGACAGACATTGTACAGGGGTGAGGGAACGGCCTGAGCCGGAAATGCCTCGGTTTGGAATGGGGCCCACGACAGGCCCCTCATGGCATTTCTCGAAATGGGGTTCCCATCTTTATCAAACTTAGAGTGGCATTGATTAGCTCAGTGTTTTCCTTTTTTACATTTTGGACATATTTCTGGCTCAGCAGTTTTCTTTTTTCCCCTATCTGGTGGCCTGACTCGCTGATTTTTTCTACGTTCTTTTTTAGTATGACCATGCTTCCCACAGTTAAAACAAGCTCCAGGAAATGGAGTATTTCCTTCATCCACTCTCAGTCCTGCCATTGCCTGTGCCAACAAGGTAGCTTTATGCAGATTACCTCCGATACCATCACAGGCCTTGATATAATCAACTAAATGTGCTTTCTCAAATTTAAAAGGAAAAGGCTCAAATGTAGCTATAATATTTCCCTGTTGATCTGGGGGGCGTATTTTAACAGGGAACTGCCAAGCCTCTAAATCACTCTCTCATCTAGCTTGCTGAATTCCTGCCTGAATAGAACTGAGAGTGGTCGCTCAACGCGCTGCTCAGTCAGTCACTGGGGCAACTATTTTCGCCCAGCGTCCTCCGGAAAAGAAAGATCTGGAGGGCCTTTTTCTTCAAAATAATAATGAGGTGGTGCAGAAGGGTAGATATGAACCTCTCCCCCCTTTGCCGCTTTAGCTTTAGATGGCAAATAAACCTGCTCTGTAACCTCTTCTGTTACTTCATTATACTCTCCTTCCTCCTCATCATCAGTGTGAAAAAGTTCCAGCGTGGAACGAACCAGACCCCACACTTGTCCCATTGTTACCCTGATGCTTCCGAGCTCCCCTTCTTACTCACCACAGGGATTGCTTTAAGAGTACTCGGGGGTCCTCCAGCTAGTTCCACATTCTCCAACTGTTGCTCTGGTGACCCTTCAACCTGGATTCGAGCCCCCACGATGGACGCCACTTGCCAAGACCATCTCAGTCGGGGAGACCCTAACCCAGCGGCACTAGAGGAATTAAAGACACACACAGAAATATAGAGGTGTAAAGTGGGAAATCAGGGGTCTCACAGCCTTCAGAGCTGAGAGCCCCGAACAGAGATTTACCCACGTATTTATGAACAGCAAGCCAGTCATTAGCATTGTTTCTATAGATATTCGATTAACTAAAAGTATCCCTTATGAGAAACAAAGGGATGGGCTGAAATAAAGGGGTAGGTCTGGCTAGTTATCTGCAGAGGAACATGCTCTTAAGGCACAGATCACTCATGCTATTGTTTGTGGTTTAAGAACACCTTTAAGCGGCTTTCTGCCCTGATGGGCCAGGTGTTCCTTGCCCTCATTCCGGTAAACCCACAACCTTCCAGCATGGGCTTTATGGCCATCATGAACATGTCACAGTGCTGCAGAGATTTTGTTTATGGCCAATTTTGGGGCCAGTTTATGGCCAGATTTTGGGGGGCTTGTATCCAGAAGTACACGCCACTGACTCAAGGATTGTTACTATCCATGTTCCTTCCTCATAAGAACTGACCTGACCTGAGTGGTTATTCAGCTCTATATTCACTCAGACAGGTACTCATCTACTAAACATTATTTAACACAGCATTAATACCAATGTCATAAGACTGTAAGCAGGGTATTTGGGTTTTCGCCTGATCCCACTGTATAAAAATTTTTTGCCTTCACTATGCCTCAGTTTTCTATCTGTAAAATGGGCATGATCAACCCTCAGTGAGTTAAACTGATGATTAAAACAGATAATAGGGTAGGTGCGGTGGCTCACGCCTGTAATCCCAGCATTTTGGGAGGCCGAGGCGGGTGGATCATCTGAGGTTAGGAGTTCCAGACCAGCCTTGCCAACATGGCGAAGCCCTATCCATACTGAATACATAAAAATTAGCTGGGCATGGTGTCATGTGCCTATAATCTCAGCTACTTGAGAGGCAGAGGCAGGAGAATTGCTTGAACCCGGGAGGTAGAGGTTGTGGTGAGCTGAGATCACTCCACAGCACTCCAGCCTAGGAGACAGAGTGAGATCCATCTCAAAATAATAATAATAATAATAAAACAGATAATAATTTAAGGTGTATGGTTTAGTTCATGGATATTACAAGCCACTCCCACACTTAGTGACTTAAAGCAAGGTTTGCAAGTTGTTTTTGTGAAGAGAGAGAGAGGCAATATTTTAAGCTTTGCAGGCCATACGGTGTTTGCTGCAACTATTCAACTCTGTTATCATATGAAAGCAGCTATAGATAATACATAAAGGAAGGAGTGAGGCTGTGTTCCAACAAAATAATATTCACAAAACAGGAGACAGACCAGATTTGGTCCACAGGCCGTAGTTTGCCAACTCCTGACTTAAAACAACTATTTATTTGCCTTTTGTTGGTTTATAATTTGGATGAGGCTCAGCTAGGCTTGCTTATGTGTCTGAAGTCAGCTGCTGGGCCAGCTGGTTTGGTTAATCTAAGATGACCTCAGCTGGGAGGACATGACTAGGCTCCATGTTTCTTTCATCCTCCAGCAGGCTAGTTCGGGCTTGCTAAAATGGAGACCAGACAGGGCTCCAGGAAACTGTGTAGAAATATGCTAGGTTTCAGGGCTAGGCATGGTGGCTCATGCCTGTAATCCCAGCACTTTGGGAGGCCGAGGCAGGTGGATCACCTGAGATCAGGAGTTCGAGACCAGCCTGGCCAACATGGTGAAACCCCGTCTCTACTAAAAATATAAAAAATTAGCCAGGCAGGGTGGTGGGCACCTGTAATCTCAGCTACTGGGGAGGCCGAGGCAGGAGAATTTCTTGTACCTGGGAGGCAGAGTTTGCAGTGAACTGAGATAGCACAACCACACTCCAACCTGGGCAAGAAGAGCTTAACTCCATCTCAAAAAAAAAAAAAAAGAAAGAAAAGAAAAAGAAAATAAATATGCAAGGATTCTTGAGGTCTAGGCATAATGTCTGTCACATGCTCTTGGTCAGACTAAGCCACAAGGCCAGCCTAGATGCCATGGTTGGGGAAACTGACTCCATTACTTGAGGAAAACACTGTAGATTCATACTGCAAAGGAAAATGCATACAGGGAGGGAAATTAGCACAACCATGTTTGCAAACCACTTGCACATTAGCACATAAGAAGTGCTCCCTAAATGTTAACTAGTAGCCTGGACCTACTCTGCAGCTTGTTCTGTGGTAGAAATAGAAGAGATGATAAAGCTATAAAATCTAAGCTTTGAGATGCTTACAGTCCAAAATGTTAAATAAGCTTTGTGCACAAATAACTATAACAAAGAATAAAAATAAGAAATGATTCTTCAGCTTGGGATTCAGAGCTCAAGAAATATCAGCAACTAGGAGGTAGGAGATAAAAAGTTCTGATAAGTTTGCTGAGAATGATGGCTTCCAGCTTCATCCATGTCCCTGTAAAGGACATGAACTCAGAAAACCAAACACTGCATGTTCTTACTCATAAGTGGGAGTTGAACAATGAGAACACATGGACACAGGGAGAGGAACATCATTCATCAGGGCCTGTTGGGGGGTGGGAGGCAAGGTGAGGGAGAGCATTAGGACAAATACCTAATGCATGCAGGGCTTAAAACCTAGATGATGGGTTGATAGGTGCAGCAAACCACCATGGCACATGTATACCTATGTAACACACCTGCATGTTCCACACATGTATCCCAGAACTTAGAGTAAAATAAATTTAAAAAAACTTCTGGAGCAGGGGAGGAGCCAAGAAGGCCAAATAGGAACAGCTCCAGTCTACAGTTCCCAGCATGAGTGACACACAAGACAGGTGATTTCTGCATTTCCAACTGAGGTACCAGGTTCATCTCACTGGGGAGTGCCGGACAGTGGGTGCAGGACAGTGGGTGCAGCGCAACATGTGTGAGCTGAAGCAGGGTGAGGCATCGCTTCACCAGGGAAGCTCAAGGAGTCAGGGAATTCCCTTTCCTACTCAAAGAAAGGGGTGACAGACAGCACCTGGAAAATAGGGTCACTCCCACCCTAATACTGCGCTTTTCCAACGGGCTTAACAAACAGCACGCCAGGAGATTATATCCCGCATCTGGTCCTATGCCCACAGTCTCGCTCATTGCTAGCACAGCAGTCTGAGATCAAACTGCAAGGCGGCAGCGAGGCTTGGGGAGGGGTGCCCGCCATTGCTGAGGCTTGAGTAGGTAAACAAAGCGGCCGGGAATCTCGAACTGGGTGGAGCCCACCACAGCTCAAGGAGGCCTGCCTGCCTCTGTAGGCTCCACCTCTGGGGACAGGGCACAGACAAACAAAAGGCAGCAGTAACCTCTGCAGACTTAAATGTACCTGTCTGACAGCTTTAAAGAGAGTAGTGGTTCTCCCAGCACGCAGCTTGAGATCTGAGAATGGGCAGACTGCCTCCTCAAGTGGGTCCCTGACCCCCAAGTAGCCTAACTGGGAGGCACCCCTAGTAGGGGCAGACTGACACCTCACATGCCTGGGAACTCCTCTGAGACAAAACTTCCAGAGGAACGATCAGGCAGCAGCATTTGTGGTTCACCAATATCCGCAGTTCTGCAGCCACCACTGCTGATACCCAGGCAAACAGGGTCTGGAGTGGACCTCCAGCAAACTCGAACAGAGCTGCAGTGGAGGGTCCTGACTGTTAGAAGGAAAACTAACAAACAGAAAGGACATCCACACCAACACCCCATCTGTACGTCACCATCATCAAAGACCAAAGGTAGATAAAACCACAAAGATGGGGAAAAAACAGAGCAGAAAAACTGGAAACTCTAAAAATCAGAGCGCCTCTCCTCCTCCAAAGGAATGCAGCTCCTCACCAGCAATGCAACAAAGCTGGATGGAGAATGACTTTGATGAGTTGAGAGAAGAAGTCTTCAGATGATCAAACTACGCTGAGCTAAAGGAGGAAGTTCGAACCCATGGCAAAGAAGTTTAAAACCTTGAAAAAAAATTAGACGAATGGCTAACTAGAATAACTAATGCAGAGAAGTTCTTAAAGGACCTGATGGAGCTGAAAACCATGGCACGAGAACTACGTGACGAATGCACAAACCTCAGTAGCCGATTTGATCAACTGGAAGAAAGGGTAGCAGTGATGGAAGATCAAATGAATGAAATGAAGCAAGAAGAGAAGTTTAGAGAAAAAAGAATAAAAAGAAATGAACAAAGCCTCCAAGAAATATGGGACTATGTGAAAAGACCAATTCTATGTCTGACTGGTGTACCTGAAAGTGACAGGAGAATGGAACCAAGTTGGAAAACACTCCACAGGATATTATCCATGAGAACTTCCCCAATCTAGCAAGGCAGGCCAACATTCAGATTCAGGAAATACAGAGAACGCCATGAAGATACTCCTAGAGAACAGCAACTCCAAGACACATAATTGTCAGATTCACCAAAGTTGAAATGAAGGAAAAAATGTTAAGGGCAGCCAGAGAGAAAGGTCGGGTTACCCACAAACGGAAGCCCATCAGACTAACAGGTGATCTCTCGGCAGAAACTCTTCAAGCCAGAAGAGAGTGGGGGCCAATATTCAACATTCTTAAAGAAAAGAATTTTCAACCCAGAATTTCATATCCAGTCAAACTAAGCTTCATAAGTGAAGGAGAAATAAAATCCTTTACAGACAAACAAATGCTGAGAGATTTTGTCACCACCAGGCCTGCCCTAAAAGAGCTCCTGAAGGAAGCACTAAACATGGAAAGGAACAACCGGTACCAGTCACTGCAAAAACATGCCAAATTATAAAGACCACTGAGGCTAGGAAGAAACTGCATCAACTAATGAGCAAAATAACCAGCTAACATCATAATGACAGGATCACATTCACACATAACAATATTAACTTTAAATGTAAATGGGCTAAATGCTCCAATTAAAAGACACAGACTGGTAAATTGGATAAAGAGTCAAGACCCATCAGTGTGCTGTATTCAGGAAACCCATCTCAAGTGCAGAGACACACATAGGCTCAAAATAAAGGGACAGAGGAAGATCTACCAAGCAAATGGAAAACAAAAAAAGGCAAGGGTTGCAATCCTAGTCTCTGATAAAACAGATTTTAAACCAACAAAGATCAAAAGAGACAAAGCCATTACATAATGGTAAAGGGATCAATTCAACAAGAAGAGCTAACTATTCTAAATATGTATGCACCCACTACAGGAGCACCCAGATTCATAAAGCAAGTCCTCAGTGACCTACAAAGAGACTTAGACTCCCACACAATAATAATGGGAGATTTAACACCCCACTGTCAACATTAGACAGATCAACGAGACAGAAAGTTAACAAGGATATCCAGGAATTGAACTCAACTCTGCACCAAGTGGACCTAATAGACATCTACAGAACTCTCCAGCCCAAATCAACAGAATATACATTCTTTTTAGCACCACACCACACCTATTCCAAAATTGACCACATAGTTGGAAGTAAAGCACTCCTCAGCAAATGTAAAAGAACAGAAGTTATAACAAATTGTCTCTCAGACCACAGTGCAATCAAACTAGAACTCAGGTTTAAGAAACTCACTCAAAACCGCTCAACTACATGGAAACTGAACAACCTGCTCCTGAATGACTACTGACTACATAAAGAAATGAAGGCAGAAATAAAGATGTTCTTTGAAACCAATGAGAACAAAGACACAACATACCAGAATCTCTGGGACACATTCAAAGCAGTGTGTAGAGGGAAATTTATAGCACTAAATGCCCACAAGAGAAAGCAGGAAAGATCTAAAATTGACACCTTAACATCACAATTAAAAGAACTAGAGAAGCAAGAGCAAACACATTCAAAAGCTAGCAGAAGGCAAGAAATAACTAAGATCAGAGCAGAACTGAAGGAAATAGAGACACAAAAAACCCTTCAAAAAATCAATGAATCCAGGAGCTGGTTTTTTGAAAAGATCAACAAAATTCATAGACCACTAGCAAGACTAATAAAGAAGAAAAGAGAGAAGAATCAAATAGATGCAATAAAAAATGATAAAGGGGATATCACCACTGATCCCACAGAAATACAAACTACCATCAGAGAATACTATAAACACCTCTACACAAATAAACTAGAAAATCTAGAAGAAATGGATAAATTCCTCGATACATACACCCTCCCAAGACTAAACCAGGAAGAAGTTGAATCTCTGAATAGACCAATAACAGGCTCTGAAATTGAGGTAATAATTAATAGCTTACCAACCAAAAAAAGTCCAGGGCCAGATGGATTCACAGCTGAATTCTACCAGAGGTACAAGGAGGAGCTGGTACCATTCCTTCTGAAACTATTCCAATCAATAGAAAAAGAGGGAATCCTCCCTAACTCATTTTATGAGGCCAGCATCATCCTGATACCAAAGCCTGGCAGAGACACAACCAAAAAAGAGAATTTTAGACCAATATCCTTGATGAACATTGATGCAAAAATCCTCAATAAAATACTGGCAAACTGAATCCAGCAGCACATCAAAAAGCTTATCCACCATGATCAAGTGGGCTTCATCCCTGGGATGCAAGGCTGGTTCAACATACGCAAATCAATAAACGTAATCCAGCATATAAACAGAACCAAAGACAAAAACCACATGATTATCTCAATAGATGCAGAAAAGGCCTTTGACAAAATTCAACAACCTTCATGCTAAAAACTCTCAATAAATTGATGGGACGTATCTCAAAATAATAAGAGCTATCCATGACAAACCCACAGCCAATATCATACTGAATGGGCAAAAACTGGAAGCATTCCCTTTGAAAACTGGCACAAGACAGGGATGCCCTCTCTCACCACTCCTATTCAACATAGTGTTGGAAGTTCTGGCCAGGGCAGTCAGGCAGGAGAAGGAAATAAAGGGTATTCAATTAGGAAAAGAGGAAGTCAAATTGTCCCTGTTTGCAGATGACATGATTGTGTATCTAGAAAACCCCAGCATCTCAGCCCAAAATCTCCTTAAGCTGATAAGCAACTTCAGCAAAGTCTCAGGATACAAAATCAATGAGCAAAAATCACAAGAATTCTTATACACCAATAACAGACAAACAGAGAGCCAAATCATGAGTGAACTCCCATTCACAATTGCTTCAAAGAGAATAAAATACCTAGGAATCCAACTTACAAGGGATGTGAAGGACCTCTTCAAGGAGAACTACAAACCACTGCTCAAGGAAATAAAAGAGGATACAAACAAATGGAAGAACATTCCATGCTCATGGGTAGGAAGAATCAATATCGTGAAAATGGCCATACTTCCCAAGGTAATTTATAGATTCAATGCCATCCCCATCAAGCTAACAATGACTTTCTTCACAGAATTGGAAAAAACTACTTGAAAGTTCATATGGAACCAAAAAAGAGCCCACATCGCCAAGTCAATCCTAAGCCAAAAGAACAAAGCTGGAGGCATCATGCTACCTGACTTCAAACTATACTACAAGGCCACAGTAAGCAAAACAGCATGGTACTGGTACCAAAACAGAGATATAGACCAATGGAACAGAACAGAGCCCTCAGAAATAATGCCACATATCTACAACTGTCTGATCTTTGACAAACCTGACAAAAACAAGAAATGGGGAAAGGATTCCCTACTTAATAAATGGTGCTAGGAAAACTGGCTAGCCATATATAGAAAACTGAAACTGGATCCCTTCCTTACACTTTATACACAAATTAATTCAAGATGGATTAAAGACTTACATGTTAGACCTAAAACCATAAAAACCCTAGAAGAAAACCTAGGCAATACCATTCAGGACATAGGCATGGGCAAGGACTTCATGACTAAAACACCAAAAGCAATGGCAACAAAAGCCAAAATTGACAAATGGGATCTAATTAAACTAAAGAGCTTCTGCACAGCAAAAGAAACTACCATCAGAGTGAACAGGCAACCTACAGAAGGGGAGAAAATTTTTGCAATCTACTCATCTGACAATGGGTTGATATCCAGAATCTACAATGAACTCAAACAAATTTACAAGAGAAAAACAAACAACCCCATCAAAAAGTGAGTGAAGGATATGAACAGACACTTCTCAAAAGAAGACATTTATGCAGCCAAAAGACACATGAAAAAATGCTCATCATCACTGGCCATCAGAGAAATGCAAATCAAAACCACAGTAAGATACCATCTCACACCAGTTAGAATGGCGATCATTCAAAGGTCAGGAAACAACAGGTGCTGGAGAGGATGTGGAGAAAGAGGAACACTTTTACACTGTTGGTGGGACTGTAAACTAGTTCAACCATTGTGGAAGTCAGTGTGGTGATTCCTCAGGGATCTAGAACTAGAAATACCATTTGACCCAGCAACCCCATTACTGGGTATATACCCAAAGGATTATAAATCATGCTGCTATAAAGACACATGAACACGTATGTTTATTGCGGCACTATTCACAGTAGCAAAGACTTGGAACCAACCCAAATGTCCAACAATGATAGACTGGATTAAGAAAATGTGACACATATACACCATGGAATACTATGCAGCCATAAAAAAAGATGAGTTCTTGTCCTTTGTAGGGACATGGATGAAGCTGGAAACCATCATTCTCAGCAAACTATCGCAAGGACAAAAAACCAAACACCGCATATTCTCACTCATAGGTGAGAACTGAACAATGAGAACACATGGACACAGGAAGGGGAACATCACACACCAGGGTCTGTTGTGGTGTAGGGGGAAGGGGGGAGGGATAGCATTAGGAGATATACCTAATGTTAAATGATGAGTTAATGGGTGCAGCACACCAACATGGCACATGTATACATATGTAACAAAGCTGCAGGTTGTGCACATGTACCTTAAAACTTAAAGTATAATAATAATAAAATAAAAAAATTAAAAACTTCTGGGCTGGGTGCAGTGGCTCATGCCTGTAATCCCAGCCCTTTGGGAGGCCGAGGCGAGCAGATCACGAGGTCATGAGATCGAGATCATCCTGGCCAAAATGATGAAACCTTGTCTCTACTAAAAAAAAAAAAAAAAAAAAAAAAAACACGAAAATCAGCCAGGCATGGTGGTGCGTGCCTGTAATCCCACCTACTTGGGAGGCTGAGGCAGGAGAATCGCTTGAACCGGGAAGGCAGAGATTGCAGTGAGCTGAGATTGCACCACTGCACTCCAGCCTGGCAACAGAGTGAGACTCCATCTCGAAAAAAAAAAAAAAAGTTCTGTTAAGTTTATGGACCACATAGGGACTATATCTCAAAACTCTTCATGACAAAATAGACTTATATAGTATTCTAGGCCCCAGATGCCTCAATGGATAGTGTTATGGCCCTCATTCTCATGATGGCAGACTCCCCACCAGGGTTGCCTTCCACAGTCACCCCTGTTTTATTCCATTTGACTGTTATACCAAAGTATCATAGACCGGGTGGTTTACAAACAAGGGAAATTTATTTCTTACAGTGTTGGAAGCTTGAAGTCCAAGATCAAGGTGCCTGGCCTCTCTTCTGATTTATTCAAAAGAAATCAAGAATTTCTTTTTGGCATAGCTGTTAAAGTATATGGTAAGAGTGAGATCTGGTGGTGCTGAGATCTTTGAGGCTGGTGATGCCATTGGAGATAGGGTAGACTAGGGAAGGAGTTAAGTTTGGGGAAAGAAATCAAGAATTTACTTTTGGCATAAGATACCTGTTAATGTAAGTGGTAAGGTGAGATCTGGTGTCTAGTGACAGCCCATTCCTGATTTATATTAATAGATAACTGTATTTTTGCTATGTACTCACATGGCAGAAGGAATGAGGGGATACTTCGCATTTTATTAAAAATTTCTTTTTATTTTTAATTTTTGTAGGTACATAGTAGGTATATATATTTATGGGGTACATGAGATGTTTTGATTCAGGCATGCAATTGTAATAATTACATCATGGAGAACGGGGTATTCATCCCTTCAAGCATTTTTCTTTTTTTCTTTTTTATTGTTTTTTGAGATAGAGTCTTGCTCTTGTCACCCAGGCTGGAGTGCAATGCCACAATCTTGGCTCACTGCAACCTCCACCTCCTTGGTTCAAGCAATTCTCCTGCCTCAGACTCCTGAGTAGCTGGGATTACAGGCAAGCACCATTACACCTGGCTACTTTTTGTATTTTTAGTAGAGACACGGTTTCACCATGTTGGCCAGGCTGGTCTCAAACTCCTGACCTCAAGTGATCTGCCCGTCTCGGCCTCTCAAAGTTCTGGGATTACAGGCATGAACCACCACACCTGGCCCCCTCAAGCATTTTTGATAAAGGCACTTATCCCACTCACTACAGCTCCACCTTCATGACCTAATCAGTTCCCAAAGGCCCTGCCTCCAAATATTATCCCCTTGGGGATTCGGTTTCTACCTATGAATTTTGGGGAGACAGAAACATCAGTCTTTGGCACCTCCCCATATTTGGAGGAGAGCCCCAGCATTCTGTCTGCCATTAATTGTCTTATCTCAACTACAGCAGAAGGAAGGAAGGGTGTCCAAGGGAGAGAATACAGTTATGGGTTCTTAGTTTCTGTTTCTGGTGGGGTCACTAAAGCCCCTTCCTTATCCCTTTTTTCCACTTATCACTAGAGACAGAAACTAAAAATCATGGCTTCAGGCTGCCAAAAGCCTAAAACAAAACAAAACAGAACGACAACAACAAAATAAGGAGGGTTGGACAAGCTTGGCAAGGAAGCCGTAAGGTGAGAACCATGAAAGTGGAAGTGATCACCTGAAACTTGACAGCATTTCAGATAGAGAGGTGCATTTCAAAGACCTCGAGGTGGATGAATGCTTGGCTTGTCCCAGGAACAATTAAGATATGAGTGCAGCTGGACCAGAGTGAGAGAGTAGGACAGCAGTGACAGATGCAGTTAGAGAATAGATGGGACCAGATCATGCAATGAGGGATAGACTATGGGAAGACAGGAGTAAAAGCAGGAAGACCAATTAAAAGAGGTGCTAGGCCGGGTGCGGTGGCTCACAACTATAACCCCAGCACTTTGGGAGGCTGAGGCAGGTAGATTATGAGGTCAAGAGATCGAGAACAACCCAGCCAACATGGTGAAACCCCATCTCTGCTAAAAATACAAAAATCAGCTGGGCGTGGTGGCACGTGCCTGTAGTCCCAGCTACTTGGGAAGCTGAGGCCAGAGAATCACTTGAACCCAGGAGGCAGAGGTTTCAGTGAGCCGAGATAGTGCCACTGCACTCCAGCCTGGTGACAGAGTGAGACTCTGTCTCAAAAAAAAAAAAAAAAAAAAAAGATGCTGATGGCTTGGTCTAGGATGGTTGCTTGAGATGGGATGGGGAGATATTGTTGGATTCTGGATACATTTCACATGTAATAATAGGTGGGATTTGCTGATGCATTTGTTCTACAGAGTGAGACAGAAGAATTCAGAGCATCTCCAAGGTTGGTCTGAGAAACTTTGAGGCTGGAGGTGCCATTAAAGATAAGATAGACTAGGGCAGGAGTTCAGTTTGGGGAAAGAAATCAAGAATTTATTTTTGGCATAAGATACCTGTTAATGGGCCGGGTGCAGTGGCTCACCCCTGTAATCCCAGTGCTTTGGGAGACCGAGGCAGGCGGATCACGAGGTCAGGAGTTCGAGACCAGCCTGGCTAACATAGTGAAACCCCATCTCTATTAAAAATACAGCACTGGTGTTTGGAATATCAGTAGGTAGCATAGTGCAGTGGTTGAGATCATGGACTTTTGGCCTCAACTGCTGGGGTTCAAATTCTAGCTTTACCACCTATTAGCTGTGAGACCATGGGCACGTCACTTAACCCTTATGTGCCGCAGTTTCCTCTTCTGTAAAAGGGGGACAGAATTACCTCATCAGGAGGATTAATATGGAGATTGCTTGGAAAATTGCCTGATGATCACACTTCTGGAGCTATTTGACAGCGAAGACCCTCGGGAACGGGACTACTTTAAAACAGTCTTACACAGAATTTATGGCAAGTTTCTCGGTCTTAGAGCATTTATCCAAAAACAGATTAACAATAGTTTTCTAAGGTTTGTTTATGAAACAGAACGCTTCAATGGTGTAGCTGAACTTCTGGAAACATTAGGAAGTATTATCAATGGCTTTGCTTTACCTCTTAAGGCAGAACACATTTTCTGGTGAAGGTATTGATCCCCTTACACACTGTCAGGAGCTTATCACTTTTCCATGCACAGCTGGCATATTGTACAGTACAGTTTCTGGAGAAAGATCCTTCACTCACAGAACGAGTATTAGGGGGTTAATGAAATTTTGGCCTAAAACATGTAGTCAAAAAGAGGTCACGTTTCTTGGGGAACTGGAAGAAATATTGGATGTGATTGAACCTTCACAATTTGTTAAAATCCAAGAACCTTTGTTTAAACAAATCGCCAAGTGTGTATCTAGCCCCCATTTTCAGGTGGCAGAAAGAGCACTCTATTATTGGAATAATGAATACATCATGAGTTTGATAGAAGAAAACTCTAACGTCATCCTTCCCATCAAGTTTTCCAGCCTTTATATGATTTCAAAAGAACATTGGAATCCGGCTATTGTGGCGTTGGTGTACAACGTGTTGAAGGCATTTATAGAAATGAACAGCACCATGTTTAACGAGGTGACAGCCACACACAAGTCAGATCGTCAGCATGAGAAAAAGAAAGAAAAGGAGTGTGAAGAATTTGGAAAAAATTGGAGGATCTGGAGTTAAAGAGAGGTCTTAGATGTGATGGAATAATTCCAACTTAACAAAAACAATGACAACAACATTACTAACCTGTGGAGTCACACATTTATGTAGTAGAAGATGGAGCAACAGTTTTCCATATTGTGCAGCTTTACAGTAGATTTCACATTTGTTTCATTATTACAACAGCACTGTATATACCTGTCTCTAAGTAAAGGAAAAAAAATAAGGACTTCAGTCCAAAGTTTGGACAGCAGATGGACTTCTCAGGACTTTGCAAACATAATCATTGTTCTAACCCTCTTTTTGAAAAAAATCAGTCCTCAAAGTTCTGTTGATGAAATTGCTATGTTAAAATTCCATTATCGGGAGTTCCTTATTTATCACTAGCAGAGAGTATGATACAATTTTCAAATGTGAACAATCTTAAATTTAGCTTGTCTTTCTGCTAAGCTGTTAAATGTATTTATAGTAAAGGAAGAAAAAAAGACTCATTTCCTTATAAGTTTGTGTAACATCCTCCTCTGGATAACTTGACTGTAATTTGACATCTTTTCTTTTGCACATCTTCCTGAGTTGAATGTCCATGTGGAATGGGGTCATGACAGAACTGATAAAAGTTCTGTTTACTGGGATGAACATCTTTCTAGTAACCAGGTAGTCCTGGTACTCCTTTAGTTTTAAAACTAGGAGTTAAAAGAGAACAGGTGATAAACATAGTAAGGAAGGGAATTTTGGATTCATGCATCAGTTTATGGTGAATCCAAATCAATGTCTTGAATCCTTTGAAAACAGGCACTGGGACATCACAGGCTTCAGTACCTGACCAGTATTAGTTGCATATATCATTGAACACACATACCACAGATGTTTTAGAAATGCAAGAAAAACATCCTTTTGGACCATTTGAAATAAGAAAGACAAACACTAAACAATACAACCATGAAATTGATCGCCGGGATTGCAAATAAATCTAATTGGGAAAAGAGTTGAGCAAACAGCTTGGACTGTTTGGAGTTGTTGCCTTACTTTTTAATGTATATTTATAAAGTATTCCAGCAAAAGAGGATGTAGCCTCTGGGAAAAAACAAACATGTTACAGTGTTTTTTGTAGATTCTCATTCTATATCTCATCACAGCACCAGCCCTCTTTTTTGCCGGAAAGGATTCAGGATAAGTATTATTATGCATTCTGAATTGGATGCATATTCCTAACTACTGTATTGGTTACCAAAAGTGGTTCTACAAAGGCTACTGAAAAAAATCTGGAAATTCCTAATGTCTTGAGTATTAATAATAAAGTTTAAAAATGGTTTTATATCAAAGGTGCATCGTGATCAAATTGTTTAAGAAAAAAACAAAAAACAAAATCTAGGGCTGTATTATATATATGTATATATATGTGTGTGTATATATATATATATCTTATTGACTCTTCGCTTTGTATTTAAATGAAGAATCTTACATCTTGGGTAGGTAAACTGCTGATAAAACTTGTGTACAGTATGTACTTACCTAATGCAGTTGCATTATTATGTACTGAAAGATATGTGTTTGGGGGTTTATTTCCAGGATGATTTTGCTTGTTATGGACATGGCAGCAGTGAGTTGGTAATCCTAAACCATCACTTCCAGCAGTATTCGTGCTATAGAGCTGATTCTGTGTTCATGCATTGAATTGTGATAGTAGCAAACATGAACATATGAACTATTGTTGCTCTTAATAGAAATACAATATAAATACGGGCTTGTATATTTTCTTCCTTACATTTAAATATAAAGTAGAATATACAGTTTTATTGTTTTCAAGAAAAAGGAAAAAAAGCTGCTGACCTTTCTCCTCCATGAAGTTTTTCAGGATTATCAGGTCACAGTGTGTATGTAAGAGTCAGCTAATTATGGATATTGTTATCTCAGTAACTTTGTAAAAAAACAAGAACAAAACTGGCATTGTTAATTAAAAAAAAAAACCCGCAGTAAAAAAAAAGTCATATGCAACACCAGACACAACATGGTTTAATGGAATTAATAGTATTTTTTTTTTAAAAAAAAGAACATTGATGAGGATTCACTGTAAAGTTGGTAGAGGCTGCCAAAGACAAAACAACTGACTTTAAAAATGCTGGAACAAAGTGATAAAAATAAATTTGTTACAAATCTCTTTTTTAGCCCTCGTCATTTTAGCCCTTTAGTTTCAACTCTACGTTATATTTATTTTTGATGATATAAACTTTTGTTTTCCATTAATTCATCTTTTTAGGTAGAGGATATTAAAATCACAGGTTTATGAAGAATCTCTGCCCATTGGAATGAAATGCAGTCATTTGAAACGAGCAAGGCCAGGATCCTTTTTCGCACCTTACCCTGTCTTCAAGAGTAAAGGTGAAAACTTACAGCTCTCCTCCTTGATGTCAATTTTGTATGTTGATCATTCCAAACTGAGAAGAATAAAGCCACATTTTAGACATATTTAAAGTATCAATTAAAGCTATATGTCTAAAATTCATAGGGCAACTTCTGAGAAGAAACGCTGTCTTTTTCTTTTTTAATGGAAAGTGACAATGTGACATTAGTCATGTTGTGTGCGGTGACGGAGAGTAACTGAGGTAATCTGACCGTTGCACTGTGTGACATATTTCAGGACATACTTGCTGCATTTGCAGCAGCCCTCTGTCCCTGTCCCTTCCCACAATTCTGCTGTTGCTGCAACTTGAGTTAATTGTGACAAATGAAACTTTGTGTTATATTTTGTTTGCTTCATAATTTCCAGAACTATAGATAAATATATTTTTTAAATAGCAAATATTGTAGTTAGTAAGTGATGATGACTCCAACCTTATCCTTACCATATTGATTTCAGGGATGTGATTAAAAGTGTCTTTGGAAGAGAAAAATATACACAACCCTGTGGTTTAGAATGATGCTGAGGCCTTAGGCTGTGGGCCTAGAACAGCTATGTGAGTGAATTCCCCCATCTCATACTTGGAATCAAGCATGCGTCCCTGTTTTTCATTGTGCAAGTATCCCCAGTTGTTTTCCTTCAGTGTTGAGTTTTTGTCCTTTTAAATTTTATTATATGTTGCTCTCCCTAATATTTGACTGTTCTTTATAAAAGAAAAGAAAAAATAAGAAATAAATAATACCCTCAATGCCGCTGGATACTCACAAGCAGGGTTATGTAGATCTTGGGCTTGTTTGCCTAAATGAAAGGGTTTAATTTATTTTGTACCTCCTATGTGTGGGATAGTCCAGGATGCAGAGCCAGGACTTGCTTGTAATTGCACCTGCTATACTTAAATGTATAGCCTTAGGCTCAATCACACTGTGGAAAGAAACAAAAATATTATATTTAGAGCTTTAAAAGCATTTTTATTTTTTTGTGGGGATGAAGGTGGGATGGGAAAGTGATGTATGGATGTTATTGGAATTTTTAAGTGTTTAGAGTTTTTTGGGGTTTGGGGTTTTTTTCCTTGTTTTCCTTTTTTCCTTTTAATTGGATGCACTGACCTGCCCAGGAAATGAAGAGATTCTCTTTTGATGCTCTTACCAATGTTATCATAAGGTGACAGTCACCTGCAACAAAAGGGTGGCACCAGACATGATCACTGATGTTTTATTTGCACATCAATATTTTTATTTTTGTACTCTGGCTCAGCTGCTTCTCTGAGTGGAGTTAAGGAATGAGCCACAAGGGATTTTTTGTAGTAGGCATATTGGCATTGCATTTTATATTCCTCTATATTTAATTTTGAAAATCTAAAAGGATCGTGCATCTTGAGAGAAAGTTGAGCAAATTGTGTTCTAGCGGAATGTGAATTTGTAGTGCTTCTTGTGCATGACAGCAGCAGTAGTATCTCTCTTGGAAATAAATATCCTATATTATGATGTCTATGAATATAGGTTTCCTTTTCTTCCGTCCCTCCCTCCTTTCTTCTCCCACCTTTCTCTTTTTTCTCTTTCTCTGAGCCTCTCTTTTCCTCCCTCCCTCTTCCCTTCCTCTTTCTTTACTTTTTTTGAAATCACTTATTGTAAATAAGTTGTAATCCAAACCTCATGTATAAATGGGGAACTTTCAAATATAAATATTACCAATGCGTTTTCTGGTTGTTGTCTGATTTTTGATTGAAGTATAATGAGAATGACATGTCTGTTACTTTTGGTTTGAGGACTTCGCTTTAGCTTCATAAATCTTTTGGTATTTTAGTATTTCATTGTTTTAGCAGAGAGGGCAGCAAAAGTTCATTTTCCCTGTTAGTAATGCTGTGGTTCATGATCAGTTTTAAATTTAGCTGTGTGTGTTTTTTTAAACAGCATCTTTGTGAGTACAGTAAAAATGAAACATTTTTGATACGAAAAGTTGCATATGAAAATTATAGACTGGTTCGGCCGGGTGCAGTGGCTCACGCCTGTAATCCCAGCACTTTGGGAGGCCGAGGCGGGCGGATCACGAGGTCAGGAGATCGAGACCATCCTGACTAACACAGTGAAACCCTGTCTCTACTGAAAATACAAAAAAAAAAAATTAGCTAGGCGTGGTGGTGGGCACCTGTAGTCCCAGCTAGTCGGGAGGCTGAGGCAGGAGAATGGCCTGAACCTGGGAGGTGGAGCTTGCAGTGAGCGGAGATTGCGCCACTGCACTCCAGCCTGGGTGACAGAGCAAGACTCCGTTTCAAAAAAAAAAAAAGAAAAAGAAAAAAAAGAAAATTATAGACTGGTTCAACCAGACAGTGAAGACTTCTGATCCACATCAAACTTAAAATGCCACAAAACAATCTTCCACCTCTGGCTAAAACATGCTACTTTCTTTTCAAACACAACAAAATGCAAGCTGAGTCTTAAATACTTGGAATTTAAAATGTTTTCCTTTGGAAATGATTTGCTTTCTTCAAAGTTGTAACAGAAACAAAAATGAAGGTGCTCCCCAAAAAGAAATGTAACCTTCCCCTTTCATGGATGTGTGAGAGGTTCTGTACTGTGGGTGCATCATAATAAAGAAGCAGTGAAGAGTCAAAAAAAATGCAAAAATTAGCAGGGCGTGGTGGTGTGCACCTATAGTCCCAGATACTTGGGAGACTGAGGCAGGAGAATCGCTTGAATCTGGGAGGTGGAGGTTGCAGTGAGCCGAGATCACGTCACTGTATTCCAGCTTGGGCGAGAGAGCGAGACTTTGTCTCAAAAAAAAAAAATACCTGTTAATATAAGTGGTAACATTAAGTACTTGGAGTTTAGGGGAGAGGTTGGGTATTAATTTAGAATCCATCAATGCATATATGACATTGAAAGCCTTAGGGTGTATGAGATCTCCTGTGTGGAAGTGTATATAAAAGAGAGAAGGCAGGTGGGGACTGAGCCCTGGGCACTATGGTGTTGAAAAATCTGAAGAGGCCAGGCAAGGTGGCTCACACCTGTAATCCTAGCACTTTGGGAGGCTGAGGTGGGTGTATCACTTGGGCTCAGGAGTTTGAGACCAGCCTGGACAAGATGGCAAACCCCATCTCTACAAAAAATATAAAAATTAGCCTGGTGCAGTGGTGCACGTCTGTAGTCCCAGCTACTTGGGACGCTTGAGCCTAGGAGGTCGAGGCTGCAGTAAGCCAAGATTGTGCCACGTCATTCTAGCTTGGACAACAGACCAAGACCCTATCTCAAAAAAAAAAAGAAAATCAGGAAGACTACAAGAATGTAACAAAAAGTCTAAGAAGGAGTAGCCTCCGAATTAGGTAGGAGGGGGAGAACTGAGAAAGCGGTATTCTGGAATCCAAGGGAGAAAAGTTAAGAAAGAGAGAGGGATCAGCTACATCAAACATTGTCAAATAAGATGAGAACTGAGAATTCTATTACATTTAGCAATGTGTAGCCACTGTTGACCTTGACAATAGAAGTTTCGCTCCAGTTGTGGAGAAGAAAGTCCGCACGGTGAGTCCAAGAGAGACTAATATGGAGACTAATTGGAGGTACACAGAAAGTTATTGAGGATTTTGCTCTAAAGGAAAAGCAGAGAAATTAGTTGGCAGCTAAATAAATATGTGAGATCAAGTGAGGAGTTTCCCCAAAGAGGATATATTCCAGCATGTTTAGGAGAAAAAAACAAAAGGGCAATTGCAAAAGCACAGTTCTTATCTTATAGGCAAGAAGGGGTAAGACAAATGCACTGGAAGATTGGCCGTGAGTTGGAGCAGAGATCCACCACCATTGTAATAAGGGAGAAGGTGGGTGGATAAAGATGATGAGTACACTTGGTAGTAGGAAGATGAAGTGGTCCTTTTCAGTTTGTTTCTAATTCCCCAATGAAATGTGAGGTCAGGTTAGTGCAGTGTTCTCAAAGTGTGGTCCTCAGACCAGCAGCAACAGCATCACCTGAGAATTTGTTAGAAATACAAATTCCTGGGCCCCACCCCAGGTATACCCAACCACAACCTGGAGATGGGGTCCAGCAATTGGCATTTGAATGAGCCTTCCAAGGCCAGGCGCCATGGCTCACGCCTGTAATCCCAGCACTTTGGGAGGCTGGGGCGGGAGGATCACCTGAGGACAGGAGTTGGAGACCAGCCTAGCCAACATGGTGAAACCCCCGGTCTACTAAAAATACAAAATTAGCCAAGTGTGGTGGCAGGCGCCTGTAATGCCAGCTCCCAGAGACACAGAATCATTTGAACCTGGGAGGCAGAGGTTGAAGTGAGCTGAGATCCCACCACTGCACTCCAGCCTGGGGAAGACAGAGCAAAATTCCATCTCCAAAAAAAAAAAAAGACAAAAGAATGAGCCTTCCAGGTGATGATGACATGTGCTCAAGCTAGAGAACCACCGGATTAGTGTGAAGAGGGAGAGAGCAGGGAATCAGAGGTTTGAGAAAATACAAGAAGAAATAGTTTCTCTAGCTCATGGAGGAGTGGGATGACTAGGGAATTGTTATGGGATTGCTAAGCAGGGTTGAGGACTCACTTTTGTGGTCATTAATTTAAAAAATGAGACCAACTAGCAAGATTGGTTTTGTTTACTCTTTCTATATTCAGCTTTTCAGGGGCAAGAGTGGAGTATGCAGAGCTGGATTTTCACCAGGGTTGGTGTTTTGCTGGACAATTGTGACAAAGGGAAGGAGAGCAAAAAGGTGGAACACGTGAGCCTGAAAGTTGAGAGTGCAAGCAAGAGAGTGTCTCTGAAGATGAGCCAGAGAACACAAGGAGAGTGGTCTGTGTGTGAGGATCAGTGGGTTGGATTTCTGGGTGGAGTAGAAGGACTCTTGGAGGGCTGGTTTTAGAAGGAATGGGGCAAAAAGGTGGGATGTGGTTGTCGGACCCAGATTTTGGAGAATTACAGTGAGTGACAATGGCATCTTGGCTATGCCTGAGGCTGCGAGTTGCACAGGTGGGTCAAAAGCAACCATCAGAGATGAGAAACCCAAGGAACTGTAAGGTCAGATGATTAGAAGGATCATTTGCATAGTTGCAGAAATAACCAAAAAACGCAATGGGAATATTGGTGGAGAGGAAGGTGTCAATCCAGAAACTAAACTCTTCCAAGAACGAAGAAGGAGGGAAGCCTGCAGAGCTGTAGATGGTCACAACAAGGGTGTGGTATTATAGAATAAGCTCCCCAAAAGATGGAGACTTTATGGAGAGGCTAAAAGGAGTAGCCTAGAAGCAGTGATCATGATTGGGTACAGCCGGGCGCGGTGGCTCATGCCTGTAATCCCAGCACTTTGAGAGGCCGAAGTGGGCAGATCACTTGAGGTCAGGAGTTCAAGATCAGCCTGGCCAACATGGTGAAACCACGTCTCTACTAAAAATACAAAAATTAGCTGAGCGTAGTGGCATGTGCCTATAATCCCAGCTATCCAGAGGCTGAGGCAGGAGAATCACTGGGACCTGGGAGGCAGAGGCTGCAGTGAGCTGAGATCGCGCTGCTCCATTCCAGCCTGGGCGATGGAGCAAGACTCTGTCTCAAAATAATAATAATAATAATAATAATAATAGTAATAATAATTGGGTAGGATGTTGGGTGGGGAGAAAGCATTGTTGTTTGATAGGGTTGCACAGGCATCTCTCAGGCCATGGCTTAAATTTAGTAAGACCAAGAGGCTAAGAAAAACACTGGGGCACAGCTTTAACATGAAGGGGTTTTGGCTGATGCCACACTGTTTCAGGGAAAACAGTGGAAGGACTTGGAAGGTCAGGGGTACGTAGGGGTTTGCATCACATAAAGAGATGAGAGGCCGAGGCTGGCTCATGCCTGTAATCCCAGCACTTTGGGAGGCCGAGGTGGGTGGATCACAAGGTCAGGAGATTGAGACCATCCTTGTTAACACGGTGAAACCCTGTCTCTACTAAAAATACAAAAAATTAGCCAGTCTTGATGGCATGCGCCTATAATCCCAGCTACTTGGGAGGCTGAGGCAGGAGAATTGCTTGAACCCTGGAGGCATAGGTTGCAGTGAGCTGAGATCACACCATTGCACTCCAGCCTGCGCCAGAGAGCAAGATTCCATCTCCAAAAAAAAAGAGAGATGAGAGTCTGCTGCTGATATTGACATGGATGTCTTGGATTCTTCTAGTGGCAAAAGTAAACAGAGAAGAAAGACATGATAACATGGATCCTGATGATATTGGTATCTTAGGAATAAAGAATTGATTCTAATATAGCCTTCTTCCTGAGATTAGTTGTTTAGGCATATTGTGGGATTAAGATTCAGGGGTGCCCTGGTCAAAACAGCTCCCCCTGTGCATTTCCTCTCTGGCACTTTCCATAGTGTGTCCTTATCTCTTCAGCTAATTATTTTCTCTTCTGTCTCTTCCATACCAAAATAATCTCCAAGACAGTAGGAACCATGTTTACTCTTTAATCATTGTATGCTCACTAAATATTTGCTGAACAAGTGAACAAAAAACCTGGTGGTGGGGAAATTAGACTAATTCTTAATGTCACCAGGAGGTGCAGGTAAGTTGAAAGAATAGAATGGACCTAAGAAGAGGGCCGGGCACAGTGGCTCACGCGTGTAATCCCAGCACTTTGGGAGGCCGAGGTGGGTGGATGACGAGCTCAGGAGATCGAGACCATAGTGACTAACACGGTGAAACCCCGTCTCTACTAAAAAATACAAAAAATTAGCCGGGTGTGGTGGTGGGCGCCTGTAATCCCAGCTACTCAGGAGCCTGAGGCAGGAGAATGGCGTGAACCTGGGAGGCGGAGCTTGCAATGAGCCGAGATCGAGCCACTGCACTCCAGCCTGGGCGACAGACCTAGACTCCATCAAAAAAAAAGAAAAAAAGAAAAGAATTGACCTAAGAAGAACTTGCTAATCATTACACTGGTATAGTCACAGGACTGTCTGCCTCCTAGGGAATGAGCTGTCACTTTGCCACAGTTTTAAACTAGAGCTGTGTGGCCTGGCGCGGTGGCTCACGCTTGTAATCCCAGCACTTTGGGAGGCTGAGGCGGGCGGATCACGAGTTCAGGAGATCGAAACCACGGTGAAACCCCGTCTCTACTAAAAATACAAAAAAATTAGCCGGGTGTGGTGGCAGGCACCTGTAGTCCCAGCCACCCGGAGAGCCTGAAGCAGGAGAATGGCGTGAACCCGGGAGGCGGAGGTTGCAGTGAGCCGAGATCGTGCCACCGCACTCCAGCCTGGGCGACAGAGCTAGACTCCGTCTCAAAAAAAAAAAAAAAGAAGTTAAACTAGAGCTGTGTGTTCAGCCTGCTGGTCATGTGATTTCCTGCATTGAGCCAAAAGTTGGGTAAGATGAATCATCAAAGGCCTTGACAGTTCTAGAATTCAATGAAACTAAAGCATTCACGTGTCACTTGTGAGTGGTGTCATATCTTTGTTCTTCATGAAAAAATCCAGTGAAATACTCATTCCCTGGTGTTACTCCCAAGAGCTTGAATTCAATCATTCATCCACCATACATCCATTCATCCATCCTCCTTCATCCATCCACCATTCATCCATTCATCCATCCTCCTTCATCCATCCATTCACCATCCATCCATCCACTATCCATCCATTCATCTATCCACCATCCATCCACCACTCATCCATTCATCCATCCACCACTCATCCATTCATCCATCCTCTTTCATCCATCCATCCACAATCCATCCATCAACCATCCATCCATTCATCCATCCTCCTTCAACCATCCATCCACCAGTCATCCATTCATCCATCCTCCTTCATTCGTTCATACTCCTTTATCCATCTGTCTCTCCATTCATCTGTCCATCTATCCATCCATTCAACCATCCATCCATTCATCTATTCATCCATGCATCCATTCATCCATCCAACCATCATCAAAAAACATTAATACATCACTCTTCAAAGCCACGCCGGGTCCTATGGAACCACAGATAAAACATATGTGGTCTTTGAAGAACCCACATATCAATGGGGGAGAAATACATGCTAATAGAAATAATAACAATAATATCCAATACCAGGTTTCTATATGAGAACACCTGTCATATAGTACTTTCTAAGTGTTCTACAAATATTAATTCATCTGTCTCCAGAAGAACCCTAAGAGGTAGGTACTATTATTGTTGTCAATTCATATGTGAGAAAAGTGTGGTTAGAATTTTCACTCCATTTAGAATTTGGGATGCTATAAAAACAGCCCTGGTTTAGCCTACGTCATGTGGATCTGAAACAAATACTTTTAAGAATGAACTTGTTGCTGTGGTGGAGGTGGCTGTTTTGAGTGACAATATCCTTTCCAGTCATCATTGTAGAGAGGAAAGAATATTGTTCTGAAATTCAAGAATCTGGATGTTAGTCTGGTTCTGTGGTTAGCTGTGTGGCTTTGAACAACTTGCTTTCCTCCTCTAGGCCTTACTTTCCTCCTCTGTAAAAGGATCCTAAATCTGTGTGTGAGGAAGGGCAAGTGTGGTAATGGCTGGGTTCAGCAGAATCCCTGCATACAGTTGTATAAGGTGCATATTGCCCAATCCCAGGAGCCACCACATACATAGGCTAAATGTGAATGGAGCCACCTGGAATTGTTCCACATGGTGACCTGCCTCTCAGGTGCCTTCTGCCTCTAATGATTTTGCAATTCACTGATGGTTTTCTTTTATCCAGACATGAAACACTATTCTTTGTATGAAGGATGGAACCACATTTACCTCCCCAATATTTTCTAGTCTATCTGGTTTTGAGTACAACTTAATTGCACCCAAAACTGTCCATGTAAAAAACAATCTTCTCCAAACTCCTCTAGCATCTCCACTTGCTTTCAGCGTCTCCATAGAGAACCCTCCCTCCTGTGGCGATGTCTGTGCGTAAGCAAGCGAATCTGAAATTCTGTGTCTTCACAGATGGATAATTTCAAGACAAGCCCAAAGTACATTAACAGAGGAATGGGGAAGAAATCTACAAGGAAGCCATATAAGCAGCCTTAAGCAAGAGAAAAGTAGGTGATTCTGATAATGCTACAAGTTCCAGGAACCCAGAAAGGATAAGAATGAATAAAAGTATATATTTTAATCAAATTGAGTTTTTCCTATTATGAAAGTCTGATATGCTCATTATAAAAATAAAAGTTTTAACATAGTGTATTTCACCTCCTTTTGACTTTTCCATTCTTCTTTAATTTTTTTTTTTTTTTGGAGATGGAGTCTCGCTCTGTTGCCCAGGCTGGAGTGCAGTGGCCCAATCTCAGCTCACTGCAACCTCTGCCCCCAGGGTTCAAGCTATTCTCCTGCCTCAGCCTCTGGAGTAGCTGGGATTACAGGCACCTGCCACTGTACCCGGCAATTTTTTGTATTTTTAGTAGAGACAGGGTTTCACCATCTTGGCCAGGCTGGTCTGGAACTCCTGACCTCGTGATCCACCTGCCTCAGCCTCCCAAAGTGCTGGGATTACAGGCTTGAGCCACCGCGCCCGGCCTATTCCTTTAATTTTATGTTTGTTGTTGTTGTTGTTGTTGTTTTTTGTTGTTGTTGTTGTTGTTGTTGTTTGAGATGGAGTTTCGCTCTTGTTGCCTAGGCTGGAGTGCAATGGCACAATCTCGGCTCACTGCAACAACGTCCGCCTCCTGGGTTCAAGCGGTTCTCCTGCCTCAGCCTCCCAAGTAGCTGGGATTATAGGCACCTGCCACCATGCCCAGCTAATTTTTTGTATTTTTAGTAGAGACAGGGTTTCAGCATGTTGGCCAAGGTAGTCTTGAACTCTTGACCTCAGGTGATCCACCTGCCTCAGCCTCCCAAAGTGCTGGGATTACAGGAGTGAGCCACTGTGCCCTGCCTAATTTTACATTTTATACCCTTTTTATTTTGTTTTATTTGAATCCGTTTAATGTAAGTATAATAATGCTGTAGGTAAATTTCATGAATATTTTAGCTTTTTAAGCTTACGGCTATTTAACAAACAATTTATCTCATACTATCACAACCACTTTATAAACATAATGTTTAGTTAAGTTTTTTTGGCCAGGTGCGGTGGCTGACGCCTGTAATCCCAGCACTTTGGGAGGCCAACGTGGGTGGATTGTGAGGTCAGGAGGTCCAGACCAGCCTGGCTAATATGGTGAAACCCCGTCTCTACTGAAAATACAAAAAATTAGCCGGGCGTGGTGGCACGCGCCTGTAGTCCCAGCTACTTGGGAGGCTGAGTCAGGAGAATCACTTGAACCCAGGAGGTGGAGGTTGCAGTGAGCCAAGATGGCACCATTGCACTCCAGCCTGGGCGACAGAATGAGACTCCCTCTCAAAAAAAAAAAAAAGTTTTGTTTTTTGTTTTAGTTTTTGTTTTTTTTAGATTTCACTATGTAAAATTTATTTATATATATATATTTTAAAAAGTATAACACTGGAGCCTAAAACCATTCTCTTTTGTAGAATACATATTGGCATTGAAACAGTTTAAAGAAATGAAATGGCTATCTACAAAAAGTTAGTTTTGATTGTTGTATTCCCCCCATACTTTATGTGTCTTCACACATAAAGAAAATTTTCAAACATTTTATATTCAGCAATTTTTTAAAAAGTGTACTGTTTTCTACTGCTATAGTCTTTATAAAGGACTTGACTTAAAACTTCAAATAAAAAAGAATTAAGGTTCTAGGATAACTCTGTGTCTTTTAAGAGCATCTTTATACAGAACAATTTGGACCGGCATGCAGGCAACATCTTTTGTTGTTACATACCTGTATTAGGAAAATTACACCCATTTCACATAAAAATCCCAAAACATATACTGCAATAAGCTCAAAACAATGTGAAAAAGACCAGTGTGAATGGCACACACAAATCGCTTCTTTATAAATTAACTGGAATTCCTGATCATGAAGTAGGCACAGGGAAATCCAGTCAATAGGGCTTTGCTCTCTGGAAGAACACCTTTAAGTAATTTTTTAAAACTTTAGCATCAGGCTGCTGAAGCGCTTGACAAAACTCCTGAATTATTTCTGGAGCTACTTGCAAGGAGGGCAGGTATTCTTGTTGAAGATACTGAACACATTCTGGGCCCCATTTGAGATGAATTGTTTTCAGTGTCACTGCACACTCAGATAAAGCCAATACTGTTTGTGCATCTGCCAGGTCAAAGGTTTGTTTTAAAGGTGCTAGGAAACATGAGGGGACAATGTGCTTATAAACAAAATCAGCAAATCCCACTGGTCCATCTTTACCTCTCCAGAGTTCCACCAACTTTGAGAGGATGATAAAACATGTTTTCTGTGCAATTGGATCTGGATATTCAACTGCTCCTTGGGTAACAGTAACCAGCACTCTACATTTTGTGCAGCTTGATTTGCTATAACTTCACTCATCCCACTGCCTGTGACTGTTTGCAGGAAAGCAAAGTAACTCCTCCACAACATCTGCTTCTCTAAAGCAGCAGACTAGTCATTTTCTTCCGCTGGCTGGAGCAGCACTTCAAAAATTGCATGAAGCAGGGGCATGAACATCTGTTGTAAAAACGGAGATACCTGTCTCTTGAATTTGGCCGTAATCTGGTTGATAAGAAGAATGAACTCCTGGAGGTCTTCTGCTTCACAATCTTTGAGCATACGTTCTGAAGCAGCTGGGATGAACGGAAAAACTTCTTCCCCCAGGCAAATAACCATTCGATGAAGGAAAGTACGGACTCCACTTCTGAGAATATCCTTTTGTAAGGGACAACTGAGGGCTGGCAGGAATGTCTGTAAACAGTCCAGACAAACTTCAGAACAGCCACATTGTTTTATAGTCTGCTTGTTGCTGAAAGCTTTACTGGTTGGACTTGCAAATCCAACAGCATGGTTGAGACAGTCTGCTAGAGAGGCTTGCCTATCTTCATCTTGTGCCAGCATCAACTATTCTAACAGAATTTTAAACTTCTCCATTAGTGGAGTCAACAGATTCCTCACCAAGGCTTGTTTCCTTTCTGCCAGGTATTCACTATTAACAGTCAGCACTCCAGCTGTCTCATAAATAAAAAGTTGATCATCGCTGCCCAGTAAAGACTGGTGGCCATTCTCAGGTGGAGAAAGCTCTAATAAATCTTGTATTCTATTCAAAATATCCTCAGTGAGAGGATTCATTTGCTTATTGAGAGATTTGACAAATCTAGAAAACAGGTAAGCCATCCTGCTCCGAACTTTTGCACTGGAATGCCGCAGACTTCTGTGATCTAAGAAAGCCATTAGTACACGTGGAATGTGCTGAGGTTCAACTGTGAAAAACTTTTCATATCTAACAACATTTTTGAAGAACTCCAACGTCACAGATGTATGCTGATAGGAACTGACTCTTGATGTTACCAGAATTCTCATCATATCCTGCAAAGCACTGGCTTTTGAAACATCACCTGCAAATGGAACACCGTGAGATACTAGAAGAGCTTCTGCCAACATATACAGCAATTTTTTTTTTTTTTTTTTTTTTTTTTTGAGATGGAGTCTCGCTCTGTCTGAGTGCAGTGGCGCGATCTCGGCTCACTGCAAGCTCCACCTCCCGGGTTCACGCCTTTCCTCTGCCTCAGTCTACGGAGTAGCTGGGACTACAGGCACTCGCTACCACGCCCGGCTAATTTTTTGTATTTTTTTAGTAGAGACAGGGTTTCACCGTGTTAGCCAGGATGGTCTCCATCTCCTGACCTCGTGATCCGCCTGCCTCGGGCTCCCAAAGTGCTGGGATTACAGGCATGAGCCACCGCGCCCGGCCATATACAGCAATCTTATTGCTACTTCAACTTCCATAAACCATGTAGTCTGCCAATCCTGCAGTGTAGAACTAAAAACGCTGTGAACAGAGGCCACCAGTAACTCTGGTGAAACTTGAGCAAGCCTGTCCAACAGTAACTTCAGTTGTTTTCTATATTCTACAAACATGGCTTCATCTTCACCCTCATTTTCGAAGTTATATTCTTCATCGTAAGTCAATTTTTTCATAACGGCCAACATGATTGCCTCTACATTAGCTTTTTGCTGATCCAAGAGCACTGTAAGCTGTTTCCAAATATGAAGATAATAATAACAAAATCCTATAATATTAGGAGAAATATCATCTTCCTCATGAATTAGTAGCTGCAACATCAGTGCCACTTTTGTTTCAATAGCTTGTAGTGCCTCTTGAGCATTCTTAATATCCGCATTCTTAATTAATTTACTCCAACTATCAATCAATTACTGTCCCATTCCATTTACCAGCTTAGAAAATCTGGCCAGGAAGTCAACATCTTCTTCCTGGTCAATGCTGAAAGACCCAGCAGACTGTAATCCTTGGCACAAAGATTCTACTAGTTTCATTTTATCGACAGGGTCCATTCCTTTATTTACAACTTCAAATAAACAGTCACATGCTTCTTCCCGTAGAACTCCTATTGACATATGACCTAGCAGCACACTTATAAACCTATCATTGGCTATAAGGGGTAAGTCTATCCAAGAGACGTAAGCCCCAACTACTTCAAAGCACTGACGGTCACTTCAGAATTAGTATACTGATAATTTTGTAATATTTGGTACCATCATTCCACCAGATTTGGAATGCACTGTTCCCTCATGGTATCTTTAATGAGAGTATTCCTACGAGCCTCCTCTGACGTATGCACCACATCACGATCCACCAACTCTGAATCGATAGCCATGAGGATTCGCAGGCACACATCTACTCCCCTTGGATTTAGGTCCACTACTGAGAGAATGTAAACAAAAATACTTGGGCCACTTAGTGAGATATTCTGTAACAAAAAGCAAGGCGAAGACTTGGGCGGCTTTATTTCGTATAAAGGTCTTCTCTGGTTGGGGATTCAGCATCTGAGCTTGCAGCCATGATATGCGCGTCTCCCTAATTAGTTGTTGTTGAACCGTGGTTAGTTCTGAGTATTTGTATTTAACTTAATGTTCCAGCACTTGAAAGCAGAAAAACTTTACATGTTCATCACTATATGTCCTCTGGGCTACAGCCTCTGTGCACACACCTGCCAGGTATCTGGGGAAATCTTTAACCGCTCAAAATAGGCCAGGGCCCTTTGTCTAAAGTCTGAATCAGCATTTGATTTTGGCCCTAATACAGCCTGTTCACCCATCCTTGCTGCCATACTTGGAGTTTTCTGGTTACAATTGGCGTGCCCTCTGATCCCACAGAGGAATTTATAAACATCTTCCCTATCACTCCATCCCGCCTCCCAGCCTGCACTCCAGATGGTCAGACGGCAGAGCGCAGCGGCGCGGCACGCAGAGAGCTGGGAGAGCGGCCCTAGTCGTCGCCGTAGTCCTCCGTCACGGCTGCAGCGCCAACGCCAGAGACGGAGCTGTCCGGGACCGCGCGCCTCTCGTCGCTCCGCGTCCCCTGGCACCTTCTCTTGCATGGCGCCAGGCAGGCAGGCAGGCAGGCAAGCAAGCAAGCGGGCGGGGTCGGCGCCCCAGGAAGGGAAACAGCTCGAGCGCCGGCTAACGCCGCCGCCGTCGCCGCTGTGTCAGCGCCAAGCGCGCTCCCCGCGTCTGTGCCGCGCGGGCGGGCGCCGGCGCCCAAAAAAAAGTTTTTGTTTTTTTTTTACTTACGCCTGTAATCCTAGCAGTTTGGGAGGCCGAGGCAGGCAGATCACCTGAGGTCAGGAGCTCGAGACCAGCCTGGCCAACATGGTGAAACCCTGTCTTTACTAAAAATAGCAAAATTAGCTGGGCATGGTGGTTGGTGTGTGCCTGTAACCATAGCTACCTGGGAGGCTGAGGCAGGACAATCACTGGAACCGGGGAGGCAGAGGCTGCAGTGAGCTGCGACTGTGCCACTGCACTCCAGCCTGGGTGATAGAGCGAGACTCTGTCTCAAAAACAAACAAACAAACAAAAACCTTTGTTGATATAATTACAGATTCACGTGCAGTTCTAAGAAAAATTAGAGCACTCTATATTCAGTTTTCCCAATGGTGACATCTTGAAAAACTACAGTACAATATTACACACAGGATGACATTGATATAAGCAGTTGATCTTTTTCAGGTTTCCCCAATTTTATGTATAACTCATTTGTGTCCGTGTGCATGTACATTTAATTTTATACAAAGATATCGTATCTGAAGCTTTCTTTATCCACCACCATCAAGATATTGAACAACACCATTGCCAGGAGGACATCTCATGTCAGTCTTTCATAACTGCACCCACCTTCCTTTTCGCTCCCACCCCTAACCTTTGGTAATCTTGTTTTTTCTAAAATTTTGTTATTTCAAAAATATTCTATAAATAAAATCATATAGCAATATGTAACACTTCGGGGCTGGCTTTTTTCACTTAGGATAAATTCCCTGGAGACTCATCCAAGTTTTTTTATTTAAAAAATCAATAATTTATTCTCTTTTTATTGCTGCATAGTACCCATGGTATGCATCTACCACAGTTTGTTTAATCATTCACCAGGTGAAATACACTGGGCTTTTTCCAATTTCAGACTGCTACTAATAAAGCTACTGTTTTCAGAATTTTAAGTGAACATAAGTTTCCCATTTCTCTGAGATAAATGATCAAGTACACAATTTCTGGATTGTGTAACATTGTGTATTTAACTTTATAAGAAACTGCCAAACTGTTTTACAGAGTGACTGTGCCATTTTACATTTCTGCCAACAGTGACTGAGCGATTCAGTTTCTGCATATCCTCACTAGCATTTAGGGTTCTTACTATTTTTTGTTTTGGTTATTTTGCTAGGTGTGTAGAAATATCTCATTGTAGTTTAATTTGGGGAGGCTTTTAAGTTACAAATTCAATTTTTGAATCATTTTGGGGCAGATCAGGTGATCCACTTCATTTTTGTTGAGTTTTGGCAGTATGTGGCTTTGAGGAATTGGTCCATTTCTCCTAAGTTGTGATTTTTGGTATTCTCTTAATGTTTTAATGGCTACAGAATCTGCAGCAATATCCCAGAATATAGTATTAATATATCCTATATGTAGGTGTTATATTTTTGATATTGATGATTTGTGTCATCTATTTTTGTCAGTTTTCTTTTTTTTTTTTTTTTTCTTTTTTTTTTGAGACGGAGTCTCGCTCTGTCGCCCAGGCTGGAGTGCAGTGGCGCAATCTCGGCTCACTGCAAGCTCCGCCTCCCGGGTTCACGCCATTCTCCTGCCTCAGCCTCCCAAGTAGCTGGGACTACAGGCGCCCGCCACTACGCCCGGCTAATTTTTTGTATTTTTAGTAGAGACGGGGTTTCACCGTTTTAGCCGGGATGGTCTCGATCTCCTGACCTCGTGATCCGCCCGCCTCGGCCTCCCAAAGTGCTGGGATTACAGGCGTGAGCCACCGCGCCCGGCCTATTTTTGTCAGTTTTCTAAAGGTTTATCAAGTGTACTATTTTGAAGAACCAGCTTCTTATTTCATTGATTTTTCTCTATTGTTTTTCTTTCCTTAATTTAATTCCTGGTGTAATTTTTATTATTTCCTTCCTTATGCTTGGTTTAGATTTATTTAAAAAAAAATTTTTTTTTTTTTGAGACGGAGTCTCACTCTGTTGCCCAAGCTGGAGTGCAGTGGCATGATCTCGGCTCACTGCAACCTCTGCCTCCCGGGTTCAAGCAATTCTCCTGCCTCAGCCTCCCGAGTAGCTGGGACTACAGGTGCACGCCACCACGCCCAACTGATTTTTTGTATTTTTTTTTTAGTAGAGACGGGGCTTCAGCATGTTGGCCAGGATGGTCTCGATCTCTTGACCTCATGATCCGCCCACCTCAGCCTCCCAAAGTGCTGGGATTACAGGCGTGAGCCACCGCGCCCAGCCAGATTTATTTATTTATTTATTTATTTTGAGACGGACTCTCGCTCTTTAGCCCAGGCCAGACTGCAGTGGCGCTATCTCGGCTCACTGCAAGCTCCGCCTCCCATGTTCACGCCATTCTCCTTCCTCAGCCTCCTGAGTAGCTGGGACTGCAGGTGCCTGCCACCGCACCGGGCTAATTTTTTGTATTTTTAGTAGAGACGGGGTTTCACCGTGTTAGCCAGGATGGTCTCGATCTCCTGACCTCGTGATCCGCCCGCCTCGGCCTCCCAAAGTGCTGGGATTACAGACGTGAGCCACCGCGCCCGGCCGCCAGATTTATTTTTATATTTTTGATTTCCTGAGGCATAGGAACTTAGATTACTTATTGAGATCTTTCCTTTTTCCTTATATAAGCATTTAGTTTTACAAATTTTCGTCTCATAATGTCTTTAGCTACATCCCAATATTTTGTTATGTTTTATTCTTGTTTGCTTGTATGCATTTTTACTTGTTTTGAAGCTTCCTATTTGGCCAGTGGACTATATAGGAGTGTGTCGTTTAATTTTTCCAGTTTAGTTTTGTTGTTTTTGTCTTATTGGTTTCTAGTTTGAATCCATGACCAGAGCACACACTGTATATAATTTCAATTTTTAAAAATTTGTTGAAGTGTATTTTGTGGTTCAGGATATAGTCTATCTTAGAATATGTTCCATGGGCACTGGGGAAAAAATAGCGTATTATTTTACTGTTGTTTGCTGTGTTCTATGTATGTCAATTAGAACCTGTTGGTTGATTATATGATTCCAATCTTCTGTATCTTCACCAGTTTCTACCTAGTAGTTATATTAGTAGTTGGGAGAGAACTGTTAAATTCTTGAACCCTGATTTTGGATTTGTCTAGTTATCCTTACCGCTCTATTGATTTTTGCTTCATGGATTTTGATGCTGTGTTCTTTGGTCCATACACATTTGGGATCAGTAGGTCTTTCTGGAGAATTGATGTGTTTATCATATATAATAATGGTATGTCTCTCTTTGTAGTAATTTCCTTTGCTATGAGTCTACTTTAACAGATATTATTATAGCCACCCTTGATTTTCTTTTATTATAGTATTCCTGATGTATATTTTCCATCATTTTACTTTTGACCTACCTATGTCTGGATTTGATGTGAGTTTCTTGTAAACATCATATAGTTGTGTCATAATGTTTTTATCTACCCTACCAATGTCTACATTTTTGTTGATGATATATTAAGACCACTTTCAGTGAAAGTAATTATTGACTCATTAGTGCTTAAATATATCTTTTTTCCCTGATTGTCCCCTCTGTTTTTCTTTTCGTGTCTTACTTTCCTGAGGACCACTTGAATGTTTTTTAAATATACCATCTCAGTTAATTTATAATGTTTTTGACTGTATTTCTTTGTATAGTGTTTTTGTTTGTTTGTTTTGATGGAGTCTCACTCTCACCAGGCTGGAGTGTAGTGGTGCAAGCTCAGCTCATTGCAACCTCCAACTCCCTGGTTCAAGCGATTCTCCTGCCTCAGCCTCCCGAGTAGCTGGGATTATAGGCACACACCACCACATCCAGCTAATTTTTGTATTTACAGTAGAGACGGGGTTTCACCATGTTGGCCAGGGTGATCTCCATCTCCTGACCTCATGTTCCACTCACCTCGGCCTCCCAAAGTGCTGGGATTACAGGTGTGAGCCACTGCACTCAGCTGTGTATAGTATTTTTAGTGGTTGCTATGGAAATTAAAATATATATAATGTGACTTATCATCGTCTAAGGGTACCAGAATTTCACTACTTTGAGTGAAGGATGAAAATCTCATTTCCAGTTGGGTCCCTTTACCTTCTCTACCTTTTAACATGTCAGTCCTGAGTATCAGATGTTTTCATAATTTTTGTTGCAGTCATCAAATATGACTTACAAAACTCATGAGGAAAACAATAGTCTGTTGTATGTACCCAGATTTGCTCTTTCCATTGTTCTTTTTTCCATCCTGATGCTCTAAGATTTCTTCTTTTATCATTTTCTTTTGTATGAAGAACTTCTTTAACCAGTTCTTTAAGTCAGGGACTATTTTAAAAAGTTTTCTTTACTATGAGAATGTTGTTTCTCCTTCCTTGCCAAAGGATACTTTTGCTGGATATAGAATTTTTGACTGTTACTTCTTTTCTTTCAGCACTCAAAAAATATTCTGCCACTTTTTTCTGGCCTCCAGGGGTTCTGATGTGAAATTCAGTTATTATAGTTGGCATTCCCTTATAGGTAATGTGTTGTTTCTATCAGGCTTTTTTCAAGATATTTTGTCTTTAGTTTGCAGAGATTAATTATGACGTGTCTTGGCATGATTTTTTGTATGTGTGTATTTATGCTGTTTGGGGTTTTCTCATTTCCATGAATCTGTAAGTTTTTCTTTGTGCCAGATTTTGAAAGTTTTTATTCATTGTTTTTGCAAATGCTTCTTTAGTCTTCCTGTGTTTTCCCTCTCTTTCTAAGACTCTGATGGTATGAGTCACAAATCTTGTGTTAGTGTTCCACAGGTCTCTGAGGCCCTGGCTCTTTTCACTTTTTTTCAATCTATTTTCTGTATATTATTCAAACTGAACAAATTTCATTCACTTATCCTTAAACCCAATGATTCTATGCTTTATGCAACCTTACATGATTTACCAACTCCTCTATTGAGCCCACTGAGCAAATTATTTTCTGTTGTATTTTTAAGTTCTATAATTACCATTTGATTCTGATATAGTTTTGCTGTGTCCCCACTTAAATCTCATCTTGAATTGTAGCTCCCATAATCCCCATGTGTCACGGGAGGGACCCAGTGGGAAGAAATTGAATCATGGGGGCAGGTTTTTCCCATGCTGTTCTTGTGATAGTAAATAAGTCTCACAAGAGCTCATGATTTTATAAAGGGCAATTCCCCTGCACGATCTCTCTTGCCTGCTGCCATGTAAGACATGCCTTTCTCCTCCTTGCCTTCCACCATGATTGTGAAGCCCCCCACCAGAGCCATGTGGAACTGTGAGTCCATTCAACCTCTTTCCTTTATAAATTACCCAGTCTCAGGCGTTTCTTTATAGTAGTATGAAAATGAACTAATACAGATTCCTTTTCATAACTTGCATTTCTTTGCTGAGAATTTATATTTCTTTATTTGTTTCAAGAAAAGTTGTCACTGGTAACTGAAGCATTTCTATGACAACAGCTGTAGAATCCTTATCAGATAATTCCAACATTGGATTCACATCACTATTGTTATCAGTTGATTGTATTTTCTCATTCAAATTGCATTTTTTAAATGATTCTTAATGTAATGAGTGATTTTCTGTAATATATTAGCCAGTTTGTCTATTATACCGGAAGACTCTGGGGTCTTGTTTTAATCTTTCATTTTAGCAGGATATCACCTTATTTAGGTTTAGACGTGGGTCCTGGCTTACTTTTGTGGGCTGTGGTTCCAATGACAGTTTGAGTTTTAGAGCTTTTGCAGTGTTATTTTATTCTTTTTGTTTTATCTGGGGCTGCTGGGATCCCTCTTTTGTTCTTGCTAGTGTTGCCTGAGGAGATGAAAAGGGCTTCCTCAGGATGGACTACTCAGTGTCTCTTGGTAGAGGAGTCTCAGGCCTTGGTCATAAAGAAGCTTCCCTGGCTGAGTACTGCATTGGTAGCATGTCCCCTTCTCATGAGGGTCCAAGAATGCTTCCCGGACCAGAGGCACTTCTTGTGGTTAGATTCCTCCTTCTGGTTCCCCACAGTCCCCCAACGTCTCTAGGTGGTGAAGGACAGTCTCATGTCCAGAAGGCAAAGAGGCTTCCTGAGCTGGGCTGTTTATTATGAAGGGTCCCTTCCAGTGCCACCTCTCTGTCCCAATATCTTTCAATGGGGAAGGGGAGTCTCTAGCCCAAGGGAAAAGTCAGTTCTTTCCTTGGCCATTTATTAGTAGGTCACTTGATCAGCCCCTCTGCAGTCATACCATCCTCACCTGGTGTGGCCCGTAGGACTTCAGTTCAATCCCAGGGAAGAATCAGTCTACCTGGGCTGCCATCTGTTGTTTGGTTGGAGGTTGAGAAATGCAGGTCTAAGTTGCCTTGTATTGGGTTGGGGGACATAAGACACTCTGCTACTGTGATTTACCTTCAGTGCTGGGATCCTAAATCAGTTTGCTTTCCTCTTACCACCTTTCAGAGTTTTTCTTTGGTTGCCTGTTACATTATTTTCAGAGTTTACAGTTGTATTTAATGGGGAGGAACAGAAAGCTATGAATATATCATTTGTCCAGACCAGAAATCCGAGAGCATATACATATATTTTAATGGCATCATCATAGCTCATTATATGGCTTTGGAATGGGTTTGTAGTCCAAATATAGAGAAACTTTTTTTTCCAATATTTTACTGTTAAAAATCTCTATGAAACAATGTTTTCCACATTTTGGGTTCTATATCATAAGATGTATGACCAGAACAGAAACAGTGTTCAAAGAGTACAAACGTGCTTAAAGTATCTTTAATAGTGCATCTTGATAGTGTGATGATTTCCTGCAGCTGTATCACAAACCACCATACACTTTGTGGCATAAAACAGCAGTGATTATGTTTCATAATCTCTCATGTTGCTGGGTTCAGCTGGGCAGTTTTCACTCAGGGTCTGCATGGAGTTGTAGTCAAACCGTAGCTGAGGCTTCCTTACTCCCATGCCTGATGGGTGATGCTGGTTGTGAGTTGGGGTCTGAGCCATGCTTTGGCAGGATCACTGACATGAGTTTTTTCTGTATGGCCTGAGATCCAGCATGGTGGCTGGGTTCTGAAAGCAAGGGTTACAAATGATTCCAAGCTGATGCTGTATTGTCTTTTATGATTTAGTTCTGAATGTCATGCATCACTTCTGCCATTTTTTATTTTTGAGAAGTGATTCCTTAAGATCAGCTCATGTTCCAGGGGAGGAGAATTAGACTTGATGGGTAGAAATGTCAACAAATTTGGACACATGTCTTAAGACCACTACATATAAAAAGGAAAAGAGGGACAAATATCTGGCCAGATATGAGAAACCCATGTCAGCTGGAGCTATTATAAGTTGTCAGTGGCCAACCCTATATGCAAGATAAGAAAAGGAATGATACGTCTCATCTACTACAGGAGAGGGCTTGGCAGGGGAGCTGTGGGAGTAACTCTCTGCCATTTGTACATGACACTCAGGAATTATAAAATCTCTTGACATGAAAAAGTGGCTTATTTCAACCAAATGGAGAATTCTGCATTCCTTATTAAATAGGCAGACTATGTTTCTCCAGAAATTTGAGGGTATGAGAAAGAAAATATATGGCTACAGTATGTTTTTCTGCATACCAATGCTTTCATTAGCTATAAAACTGTATTATATTTCTTAAAGAAGTCAATGACAGGGTATTTAATGTAACACTCTGAACAGAACATTTCCAGTGTTATGTAGCATTATAAGAGTACAACAGGGACATTGTGAGATTGAGACTAAGATGGCCTAAGTGTTAGAATATTTTATCCCTTCAGTGACTCATGAGAATGTTTTTAGGCAGCAGGAGGGAGCCATGACAGTTTGTGCTAACAGTTTTTCCCATATATAAAAACTCAGGCCAGGTGCAGTGGCTAACACCTGTAATCCCAGCACTTTGGGAGGCCAAGGTGGGTGCATCACCTGAGGTCAGGAGTTCAAGACCAGCCTGGCCAACATGCTGAAGCCCAGTCTCTACTAAAAATACAAAAAATTAGCCAGGCAAGGTGGCAGGTGCCTGTAATCACAGCTACTCGGGAGGCTGAGACAGGAGAATCGCTTGAACCCGGGAGGTGGAGGTTGCAATGAGCCGAGATTGCCCCACTGCACTCCAGCCTGCAAAAAGAGTGAAACTCCATCTCAAAACAAACCAAAACAACCCCCCCCCAAAAAAAACAGTATATTATATGTCCCAATCATATGACTACTGTAGTTTTTGATTGATAATGCACGTATTTTTTAATTTTTTAATTTAATTTTATTTTTTAATGCACATATTTTTATTTTGTTGTTGTTTTGGTTCCAGAGTCTTCTGTCTTTTAGGAAGACTCTAGACAATGGTTAAGTAATTAAACTAGACTTGGGTGTAGACAAACAGTAACATGATTCTGTCACTGTACTTTAACTTTTGTCCACTCCCCTGGTTTTTTCATCTCCACTAATGCTACATGAAATTTCAGTTAGGTCCTTCAGCATTTTTTTTTTTTTTAGATGGACTCTCACTCTGTCTCCCAGACTGGAGTGCAGTGGCGCGATCTCGGCTCACTGCAAGCTCCGCCTCCTGGGTTCACACCATTCTCCTGCCTCAGCCTCCCGACTAGCTGGGACTACAGTCGCCCGCCACCATGCCTGGCTAATTTTTTGTATTTTTAGTAGAGACGGGGTTTCACCATGTTAGTCAGGATAGTCTCGATCTCCTGGCCTCGTGATCCACCCGCCTCGGCCTCCCAAAGTGCTGGGATTACAGGTGTGAGCCACCGCGCCCAGCCAGGTCCTTCAGCTTTTAAGGTCATTCATGGGTAAAAAAATGTCCCCTAAGTTATTTTCAGGTTTTAACAAAAGATATTATAAATCATGTATTTTTCTAGGTGTTTTAAAATAACCCAGTTTAGTGTTGTATCAAAGCCTAAGCTATCATTCTCTTAAAATGTCTTCAGTCTCCTAGCTCAGCCTTTTTGTGGCTAGGAAACCTGCAGTGGGGAGGGGGCAGTGGATGATGGTGGCCTCCTTCCCTCTGCTTCATTCCGTCACTCTCTGACTGTACTTTGGGTCCCTGCAGAGTTGGAAAGGATGAGAGGGGAGAGGAGAGGTGCACTTGACTAATGCCTTTGGATTTCCCATTGGACCTTCTGGTTGTGTCCCATTGGACCTTCCTCATGGGGGACTCTGGAGGGTTATTTGGTCATCCCCTCCCTGTCATCAGGAATCCCTCACCTGAACTTCCCTTGAAGTGGGCAATGCCTCTTCCCCTCGCTGCTTTTAGCTCTCTGCTCAGCTCCTGTCCTGAAGTTCACCTTCTGTTGGGGTCATCTTGTCCCTGATGGAAGAGTCCCTTTAGCAGGCCCATATGTGGCACATAGACACCTCACTATACTTTGCCCTGCCCACTCTAGACATACAGGCCATTCTGGTACAGTTCCTTCTCTGAGTGACAGCCAGGTGTGAGACTGCAAGCCCTTTTCTGCAGCTCAGTCACAAGCGAGTCAGATGCCCAGTTCCCTATGATGTTCCAACCCCAGAGCCACACAGAATACCCCCAGATGGCTTTCTTCCAGCCCCCTCTTTTGCCCTGAGGCTCCCATAGGGAGCGGATATATAGTATACTAACAAGTCTCTCCAGAGAAATCCTCTATACCCTTCTTAATCCATTCTTATATAAGCAGCCTGTCACAGGACCAATGCTGGCTGAAGCGGTTTGGCCTCTCTTAGCATGTCCTGAGCATGGTCTAGGCCCTTAGTTAAGGATGTTTGTGTCCTTGACACATTTCATACCTGTCTTGGCCTTTGTGATCTCTGCCAAAACTTTGAGCAACAGGGTAGCATCTATTTAAGCAAAATTGTTATTTAACACTTCATTTTACTGGCAATTTTTTTTTTTTTTTTGAGACAAAGTCTCACTCTTGTCACTCAGGCTGGAGTGCAGTGGCGCCATCTTGGCTTACTGCAACCTCCACCTCCCGGGTTCAAGCAATTTTTCCTGCCTCAGCCTCCTGAATAGCTGGGATTACAGGCGCCCCCAACCACACCTGGCTAATTTTTGTACTTTTAGTAGAGACGAAGTTTTGCTGTGTTGGCCAGGCTGGTCTTGAACTCCTGACCTCTGGTGATCCGCCTGCCTCAGCCTCCCAAAGTGCTGGGATTACAGGCATGAGCCACCGCGCCTGGCCTTTATTGGCACTATTAACTAGGAAACTGGAGAAAGACGAAATATCAGGATGTTAATGAAATCTTATTACCTCTTTCAAGCCTCAGACATATCATTTTATACAATGATCTTTTTGTTTGTTTGTTTGTTTTTGAGATGGAGTCTCGCTCTGTTGCCTAGGCCAAGTGCAGTGGCGCTATCTCAGCTCACTGCAACCACCGTCTCCGGGGCTCAAGTGATTCTTGTGCCTCAGTCTCCTGAGTAGCTGGGACTACAGGCATGTGCCACCACGCCTAGCTAATTTTTGTGTTGTTAGTAGATACAGGGTTTCACCATATCAGCCAGGCTGATCTCGAACTCCTGACCTCAAGTGATCCAACCACCTCAGCCTCTCAAAGTGTTGGCCTTACAGGTGTGAGCCACCATGCTCATCCTATGCAATGATCTTAAACATCCAAGGAAGTGTGAGCTCATTGCAGAACTCATCTGCCTCCTGAGATCTAGCACTGCAAATGACCAAGAACTGATAGATTCTGCAGCTTTCATTTGTAGTTAGGACATGGTAAGGTCTCTGCCACACACGTCACAGCTGAATCACAATTACAGTTCCTTTAATTATAAATATGTAAACATGGACGTAGAGTGTGTAATGATAGAACATAGAGACTAAGAAGGGTGAGAGGGTGAGAGGGAGGGCAGATAATGAGAGATTACTTAATGGATACAATGTATGTTATTTGAGTGATGGATACCCAAAAAGCTCTGACCGTACTATGCAATCTATGCAGGTAACAAAATCACACTTGTACTCCATGAATCTGTACAAATAAAAAAAATTTAATAAAAAGTTAAAAAAAACCCACAAATATTAAATTACTTTTACAAGTGTGTATCAAGGACTCTGTCTTCCAGCCAAATGAATTCTAACTGGGGAAAACTTACATTGACTGTTCCATGGGAATAAGTGGAGTTTCAGATAACTCCTGGCAGCTCTCCACTAGGATATTATTTTGTAAATGCCTTTAATAAGGAGACTTTCAGAGGCTGCAACCTGGAAACTCAGCCTAGGGTTGGCAACAGGCAGGCACTTAATCAAGTTGTAAAACGCATTCTAATGTAAAAGGAGAAGAATCCACAGACAGCTGGCAGGGACTCAGTGCCCTGGCCGGGCTCTGGAAGGCCCTGCTGGGCATCTTTAACAGGTTGCAGCCAAGAAAAAAAAACGGGCTAGTGGTTCCTAGGAGAAGTGCTTGAGGAAACAGAATTACCCGCCTCTTCATGACATCTTTTCAGCAGATGCAGTTTCAAATGGAGTGATTGATTCTACCTTTTCGTCCCCCCTCCACCCACTTCAGGCAGAGCCAGCCAACTAATTTAGACATTTCTCTTAGATTAGGAGCCAGGAAATGAGAAAAATCCTGTCTCACAAGGGAGCTCTTCTCAGGTCACATGGCTGCCTGGCAGAAATGCAGATAAATAGCCAGGTGCAGTGGCTCACGCCTGTAATCCCAGCACTTTGGGAGGCCCAGGTGGGTGGATAGCCTGAGGTCAGGAGTTTGAGAGCAGCCTGGCCAACATGGTGAAACCCTGTCTCTACTAAAAACACAAAAATTAGCTGGAAGTGGTGGTGCATGCCAGTAATTCCAGCTACTCAGGAGGCTGAGGCAAGAGAATCACTGCAACCTGGGAGGCAGAAGTTGCAGTGAGTCAAAATCGTGTCACTGTACTCCAGCCTGGGTGACAGAACAAGACTGTCTCAAAAAAAAAAAAAAAGAGAGAGAAAAGAAAGAAAGAAATAAACAGGAATGTTTTATTTGGGGGGCAGGGGACCCAATGAATGACCACTTTTGTAATTGTTCTGTTCCTTCTACCACCTCATACTTTCTGTCCCCCTTTGCAACCTTTCTATTCCTGCACAGCCATTCTGCACAGTCTCTGAACACTGCAACGTTAGAATCATTCATAGGGGCTGGGCATGGTGGCTCACACCTGTAATCTCAGCACTTTGGGTGGCTAAGGTGGGTAGATCACCTGAGGTCAGGAGTTCAAGACCACTTTGGCCAATGTGGCGAAACCCCATCTCTACCAAAAAATCAAAAAATTTAGCTGGGCATGGTGGTGTGTGCCTGTAATCCCAGCTACTTGGGAGGCTGAGGCAGGAGAATTACTTGAACCCGGGAGGCAGAGGTTGCTGTGAGATGAGATAACGCCACTGCACTCCAGCCTGGGTGACAGAGCGATACTCCGTCTTGAAAAAAAAAAAAAAAGATTCATTTATAGGACCATTAAAGCAAAGAATCTTAGAATCACAGAATGTGACATGCTTGATGTTGTGGAATTGAATTGAACAGAAAGAAGGTATGCTGTTCATTAGCTGGGTGAGTAGGAAAACTGCCTAGCCTTTCAAAGCCCTGGTTTCCTCATCTGTGAAATGGGAACAATGACCAGAATGATCAAACTGGAGAACATAGCCACAGCATCATATACCATAGTACTTAGAATATAGTAGGAATTCAACAACCCCAAGCCCCTTTATTTTTTATTTCTATTTATTTTATTTATTTTTTTTTTACAGACAGGATCTTGCTCTGTTGCCCAGGCTGGGGTGCAGTGGCATGATCATAACTCACTGCAGCCTCCAACCCCTGGGGTCAAGTGATCCTCCTGCTTCAGCCTCCTGAGTAGCTGGGATACAGGTGCACACCCCCAGGCCTAGCTAATTTTAAAAAAATTTTTGTAGCGATGAGGTCTTGCTATGTTGCCCAGGCTGGTCTTGAACTCCTGGGCTCAAGTGATCTTCCCACCTTAGCCCCCCAGAACACTGAGATTACAGGTATGAGCCACTATGCCAGGCCCCACATCCCTTTAAGCTATATTTTCACAAACTTGAAATCCTGGAATATTAAAGATTAAAGAAACTAGTCACTTGCCAGTTCAATTTCCTATACCATTTATTAATGTCCTCTAAACAATATGTAGGCTGCCGTGTTCCTTTTAAATATAGCATTTAAATCTGAACTTGTCTGGCCCACGGACAATAAGGCAGGTCTCTGTACAACTAAACATCAGAATAAAAACCCTTTGTTGAGCCAGTCAAAACCAATGAGTCAAAGCTGAGTTCCCTGTTTGATATTTATGCAATTGTTTTTAGAACTAAAGTGAAGAAGTTTGCATTTATATCTACTACATTCCATATCATCAGGCTTGGCCCATGAGCTCAGGCTAGAGGGACACTATTTCATAACCCTTTATACCCTTCCACATCCAGAGCAGGGGAAGAATCTCGGGGAATTACATTGCAACCCACTGACCAGCCACGTTTGCTGAAGAAGAAAGCTGCTTTATGTGGTCCATCTCTTGTTTCTTGGCTGCAACCTGTTAAAGGTGCCCAGCAGGGCCTTCCAGAGCCCAGCCACGGCACAGCATCCCTGTCAGCTGTCCACCAATTCTTCTCCTTTTGCATTAGAATGCATTTTACAACTTGATTAAGTGTCTGCCTGTTGCCAACCCTAAGTTGTGTTTCTAGCTTTCAGCCTCTGAAAATCTCATTATTATTATTATTATTATTATTATTATTATTATTTGAGATGGAGTCTCACTCTGTTGCCCAGGCTGAAGTACAGTGGCGCATCTTGGCTCACTGCAACCTCCAACTCCCGAGTTCAAGTGATTCTCCTGCCTCAGCCTCCCAAGTAGCTGGGATTACAGGCACACACCACCATGCCCAGCTAATTTTTTTATTATTTTAGTATAGATGGGGTTTCACCACGTTGGCCAAGATGGTCTTGATCTCCTGACTTCATGATCCGCCCGCCTTGGCTTCCCAAGGTGCTGGGATTACAGGCGTGAGCCACTGCGCCCGGCCTAATTTTTATATTTTTAGTAGAGACGGGGTTTCACTATGTTGGCCAGGCTGATCTTGAACTTCTGACCTCAGGTAAGCCACCTGCCTCGGCCTCCCAAAGTGTTTGGACTACAGGTATGAGCCACTGCACCCGGCCAGCACTGACAATCTTTTTTTTTTTTTTTTTTTTTGAGACAGAGTCCCGCTTTGTCGCCCAGGCTGGAGTGCAGTGGCATGATCTCAGCTCACTGTAGCCTCCGCTTCCCAGGTTCAAGCAATTCTCCTGCCTCAGCCTCCCAAGTAGCTGGCACTATAGACCTGCGCCACCACACCTGGCTAATTTTTGTATTTTTAGTAGAGATGGGGTTTCACTATGTTGGCCAAGCTGGTCTTGATCTCCTGACCTCGTGATCCGCCCACCTCGGCCTCCCAAAGTGCTGGCATTACAGGCATGAGCCTCTGCACTCAGCCAGCACTGACAATCTTAATGAGTATGTCCTCTGATTCTCCACTGGGTCTGACAGGTATAGGAAATTGGGCTCTAATGTGAAGAAGCTAATACCTAAGAATTTAGGAAAAATGTTTTAACTTGTTGTCCAGTAGAGCTTATCTGAGCTCTGAATTGGGGTCTGGGACCCAGGCCCAGCTATTCTTAGTCATGTTGCTTTTTTATTTCTTCTTCCTTTTTTTTTTCTTTTTCTTTTTTCTTTTTTTTTTTTAATATATTTTTTGTCTATGCCCCTAAAGTGAGGACATCTCCTTCTGAAACTCACCATTGAAGTGGCGTTGTTGTCTGGAGTAAATACCTGCGGTTCATCATCTTGCACCAAGAAATTTAGGACATGGACACACACAAGGAGTTTAGGAGCAGAGGTTGTATAGGCAGAGGAGACCGGGCATGGTGGCTCATGCCTGTAATCCCAGCACTGTGGGAGACCAAGGCGGCGGATCACAAGGTCAGGAGATCAAGACCATCCTGGCTAACATGGTGAAACCTCATCTCTACTAAAAATACAAAAAAATTAGCCAGGTGTGGTGGTGGGTGTCTGTAATCCCAGCTACTTGGGAGGCTGAGGCAGGAGAATCGCTTGAACCTGGGAGGTGAAGGTTGCAGTGAGTCGAGATCGTGCCATTGCACTCCAGCCTGGGTGACAGAGTGAGACTCTGTCTCAAGAAAAAAAAAAGATTTTGATGCTGCTTTTCATTAAAAAGGAAAACATTATCAAGGACTCCTGTACCCTCACTATCTGCCTAAGTAATTTCTTCTTAACTTCTGTATCACCATGATGAGTGATTAGGGCATTGGACAAAATTAGAACATTCTTAGGCCCTAAACACCACATTACCATTATCACATTATCCTGGTATTGGCTGGGCGCAGTGGCTCATGTCAGTAATCCCAGCACTTTGGGAGGCCAAGGTAGGTGGATCTCTTGAGGTCAGGAGTTCGAGACCATCCCAGCCAACATGGTGAAACCCATCTCTACCAAAAAATACAAAAATTAGCCAGGCATGGTGGCACATGCCTGTAATCTCAGCTACTCAGGAGGCTGAGGCACAAGAATTACTTGAACCCAGGAGGGGGAGTTTGCAGTGAGCCGAGATCATGCCACTGCACACTCCAGCCTGGGTGACAGAGTGAGACTCTGTCTCAAAAAAAAAAAAATTATGTTGGTATTTCAACTCATTAGGAATGGTCAAAGTCTTTACCAATGGTTGAACAAGGTAGTGTAAGTTTAGTTCCTATAGAATGTAGCCAAAGAATGACCCTTTGCCCCTTATAATTATGGAAACTTTGTTTTCGAAGAGGCTTTTCCAGAAACTGACTTTACCTCCCTTGAGTAATATTCTGTTCAGGTGATCATTCACCATCTACTTGGATATGGCTAATTATAGAAAGCTGACTATTTCGTAGAAATCCCCATAACATCTCACTAATCCCTAAATTCAACTTTAAATAGAAAAAGGGTCCATATTCCTATAATTAGGAGTGTTAGATAATGCCTTCGCTGCATGGAGTCACTTTGCATTTGAACTACTCCCTGCTGTGTAGTAGATGACTTTATTGTGCATAATAGATGCTCAATAAATATGTGTTTAATCTATAAATTCAACAGTGTTGCTTATTGCCCAGAAGTCATGGTGAGTAATATTTATATAATTAGCCAATCATGTCAGGAGTTTTGAAAGACGTATTAAGTCAACATAAGCAAACTATTTTTTCATTTAGTTTTCTCAACATTAAAAAAAAAACCCTTCCTCCTAGGCATTATAAATGATGCTGGAACAAAATAAGATTAATAAATGTCCCTTGATGTTGAGGATCCTAAATTCTCAAGGAAAGGGAGGTGATATATACACAGCTAGTTATTCTGACAACATGACTGAGTTATACAAAGCAAGTACCAAGTGTATACACCACAGGAGAGTGGGAAGCAGAGAAAATTTCAATACATAGGCATAGAATTGACCCACAACACAGAGGTCGAGGATGTTGATACCAACTCAATGTTGCAATGACTATAGCCACGTGTGCTCACTTTATTATCACTCCGTTTCTGTCCTTAACCATTGGTCTAAGTTGGCCCAATGGTTAAAACCATGGAGCATCCTGATCTCCAACTCCTTGTTTTCCTTGGTGTGGGTAGATACAGAGCCCAGGGCTATGGTCAGGAAACCTCAACCTTGTACATTCTGGCCATTAGCAAACATGGAACACCTCCAGCGTTTCAAGCATGGAGCCACAGGGAGAGGTGGAGGGCAAAGGGATGTCACCAACAAAGTTCTTGTCCTCAGAGGACAGAGTCTGGTCCTGAAGACTCACATAGAATTAAACATGTCAGACACAGTAATGAAACCAAAGCAGAGGCCGGGCGCGGTGGCTCACGCTTGTAATCCCAGCATTTTGGGAGGCCGAGGCGGGCGGATCACCGGGTCAGGAGATCGAGACCATCCTGGTTAACACTGTGAAACCCTGTCTCTACTAAAAATAGAAAAAAATTAGCTGGGTGTGGTGGCAGGCACCTGTAGTCCCAGCTACTCTAGAGGCTGAGGCAAGAGAATGGCGTGAACCCGGGTGGCAGAGCTTGCAGTGAGCCGAGATCGCGCCACTGCACTCCAGCCTGGGGGACAGAGCGAGACTCCATTTCAAAAAAAAAAAAAAAAAAAAAAAAAACCGAAGCAGAGACATAATGCCTAAATTTATGTTTTCCCAACTGTCAGTTTATTTATATGAAACTCTACAGTCGACACTATTAATTACCTTACCTATAGCCAGTCCTCACTTTTTTTCCTAATGAAATCTCCATGTTGAGTGCAGGTAGTAGGATCTCATCCTTTGATCTCAAGAAGGAATGTCCCTCACCCACAATGTGGTATGAATCATAATTTGTCTATGCCAGTCATGGTGTGGTAGAGATGCAAGCTGCAACCGAACTCTGTTCTACACATCTATTGCTATAGTTGTAGCAAACCTGTGTCCAACTTGGGACTGCATTTTCCAGCCCTGTTTGACTAGGGTGACCTGCTGGTGGAACTGGAAATAAAGTAATATGTGCAATTTCTGCCTCATTTACTGAAAAGGAAATTCGGGGGTTTAAACTTCCATACTTTCCATCTTCCCACTGGCAGGAAAGGTGACACTCAGTAACTTTTGAAGCCATCAGCCTGAATTCCTGAGCTACTACATGGAGTAAAGCTTCCTGTTACCCTGAATGCACACCTGGAAAATTCTACTTTATTTATTTATTTATTTATTTATTTATTTATTTATTTATTTATTTATTTTTGAGATGGAGTTTCGCTCTTGTTGCCCAGGCTGGAGTGCACTGGTGCGATCTCAGCTCCCTGCAACCTCTGCCTCCCAGATTCAAGCAATTGTCCTGCCTCAGCCTCCCAAGTAGCTGGAATTACAGGTGTCTATCACCATGCCTGGCTAATTTTTTGTGTTTTTAGTAGAGATGGGGTTTCACCATGTTGGTCAGGCTGGTCTCAAACTCCTGACCTCAGGTGATCCACCCACTTTGGCCTCCCAAAGTACTGAGATTATAGGCATGAGCCATCTCACCAGGTTGAAATCACCTGAGGTCAGGAGTTCAAGACCAGTCTGGCCAACATAGGTGAAACCCCGTCTCTACTAAAAATACAAAAAATTAGCTGGGCATGGTGGCAGGAGCCTGTAATCCCAGCTACTCAGGAGGCTAAGGCAGGAGAATTGCTTGAACCCAGGAGGCAGAGGTTTCAGTGAGCCAAAATCACGCCATTGCACTCCAGCCTAAGCAACAAGAGCGAAACTCCATCTCAAAAAAAAGAAAAAAAGAAGAAGAAGAAAACATTTGTGTGTATTTAATAAGGAAAACTCTAGATTATTTAGGATACTTTACGTTGGAGTCCTTTTGATAGCAGCGTGACACAATCAACATGTATATATGGAATTTCTCTTTGCTAGTGATATTATTTAGCTCTGTGTCTCCACCAAAATCTCATCTTGAATTGTAATCCCCATGTGTAGAAGGAGGGATCTGGTGGGAGGTGATTGGATCATGGAGGTGGTTTCCCCCATCCTGGTCTTGTGACAGTGAGTGAGTTCTCACAAGATCTGATGGTTTAAAAGTGGCACTTCCCCTTTCACTCTCTCTTTCTCCTGCCACCATGTAAGATGTGCCTTGCTTCCCCTTCACTTTCCACCATGATTGTTAAGTTTCCTGAGGCATCCCCAGCCATGCAGAACTGTGAGTCAATTAAAACTCTTTCCTTTATAAATTACCCAGTTTCAGGTAGTTCTTTATAGAAATGTGAAAATACAGCTAGATTCTAACTTTCTAACTTTCCCTTGTCACATGGACATGTGACACGGATCTACCAAATGAAGTCAGAAAGGAAAACTTGAAAATGTTTCCTTCTCTGTCTTACAAGGAAGAAGTGTGTAAAAGGAACCTGCTGAAGAAAATTTAGTTTTGCTTTTGATACTTTCTTTCAATTTAAGATTCCTGTGTGTGATGTTGATGCCTGGAGCTGCAGCAACTGTCTTGTGACTGTGAGGAAAAGCCAAGAGAAAGCAGAGAAGTCCTGGTTGTTCCGGAGGCTAAGGCAGGAGGATCGCTTGAGCCCAAGAATACAAGTCTGCAATGAGCTATGATTGTACCAATGCACTGTAGCCTGGGCAGTAGAGCAAGACCAAGGAAGGAAAGAAGGGAGGAAGGGAGGAAGGGAGGAAAGGAGGAAGGGAGGAAGGAAGGAGGGGAAGAGGGGAGAAGGGGATGAGCGGAGGAGGGGAGGAAGGAAGGAGAGGAGGAGGGAAGGAGAGGAGGAGGGAAGGAGAGGAGGAGGGGAGGAGGGGAGGAAGGAAGGAGGGGAGGTGGGAAGGAGGAAAGGAGGGAGGGAAAGAGAAAGAGGGAGGGAGGGAGGAAGAAGGAAGGAAGGATGGAAGGAAGGAAGGAAGGAGGAAGGAAGAAAAAATAAAGAAAGAGAGAGAGAAAGAAAGCAGGGAGGAAGGGAGGGAGGAAGGAAGGAAGCAAAGAAGCAAGGAAGGGACAGAGGGAGGGAGGGAGGAAAGGAAGGAAGAAAGGCCAGCACCCTGATGCCACTGAGCTGATGAACCCGCCCTGGAAGAATCTACCTACAACTTTTTGGTACATGAAAATTGTCATGGCTTTCTTGCTTTGGCTACCATTAGTCTGATTTCATGTTACATGTAGTCAAAAGCATTCTTAAATTATTCCAAAGTCTTAGATGTAAACATAAAATTTCTTTTTGCCTGGACGCGGTGGCTCACGCCTGTAATCCCAGCACTTTGGGAGGCCAAGGTGAGCGGATCACCTGAAGTCAGGAGATCGAGACCAGCCTGACCAATGTGGTGAAACCCCCGTCTCTAGTAAAAATACAAACATTAACTGGGCATGTTGATGGTTGCCTGTAGTCCCAGCTACTCAGGAGGCTGAGACAGGAGATTTCCTTGAGCCCGGGAGACAGAGGTTGCAGTCAGCTAAAATCATACCACTGTACTCCAGCCTGGGCAACAGAGCAAGACTCCATCTTAAAAAAAAATTCTTTTTATGTTATCTATTAAATTAATTATCTTTTATACAAAATTACATGAAAAAAAGTCAAATTTGCTGTACATGTAAATAAAATACATGGTCCCTTTCATCATTCACATCTACAGAGGATAGGAGGCACCATTACAGTCTTTTTTTGGAAAATCTCAGCTTGTTCACTTGTTAGCTTGTAGACTAGATTGACTAAGTCATTATTTTCAGAAATACAGAATTTCTAACATAGTAGCAGTATATAAGAAAATGTAGGTTGAGTGCAGTGGCTCATGCCTATAAACCCTACACTTTGGAATCCCAAGGCAGAGGAATCATTTGAGGTCAGAAGTTTGAGACCAGCTGGGGTAACATAATGATACCCCTCATCTCTATACAAAATTAAAAAATAAAAACAAGCCATGCATGTGGTGCAGGCCTCTGGTCCCAGCTACTTGGGAGGCTGAGGCAGGAGGATTGCTTGAGCCCAGGAGTTCAAGGCTCCAGTGAGCTATGATCATACTACTGCTCTCCAGCCTGAGAGACAGTAAGACCCTTGTTGCAAAGAAGGGAAGAAAGAGAGAAAAAGAGAGAGAAAGAGGAAGAGAGAGACAGAGACAGAGACAGAGGGAGAAAGAAAGAGGGGGAGGAAGGGAGGAAGGAAGGGAAGGAAGGAAGGAAGGGGAGGAGAAGAGGAAAAGAAGAAGAAAGAGGAGGAGGAGGAAAGGAAGGAACAAAGGAAGGAAGAAAAGAAAAGGAAGAGAAAGAAAAGAAAGAAAATGTAATTGACGATGAGACTGTCCTGAAACATCCAGGATACATAGCACAATCTAGAACGTGTATATTTTGCATTACACATGTGGTTGTCTAGCTCACCTACGATGATGTATGAATTCCCATGTTAGTGGCTGCTCATGGAGAATTCAAACGCCTCCTGCCCCCACCGCACTGCTGAAGCAGCAGTCACAGCATAAAACTTCTGACAGATAACAGACCTTCATTAAAGAGCACTAGGCAAGTTTGGCCGGGCACTGTGGCTCATGCCTGTAATCCCAGCACTTTAGAGGCCAAGGCAGGCGGATCACTCGAGGTCTGGAGTTTGAGACCAGCCTGGCCAACATGGCAAACAAAAAATACAAAAATTAGCTGGACATAGTTGTCCACGCCTGTAAACCCAGCCACTCAGGAGGCTGAGGAAGAAGAATCGCTTAAACACAGGAGGTGGAGGTTGCAGTGAGCCAAGATTGCACCACTGCACTCCAGCTTGGGCGACAGAGTGAAGCTCTGCCTCAAAAAAAAAAAAAGTGATATAGTGATATGCATCAAGGCAAGCAGTAATAGCTTTCCTGTTACTTAGAATCTCTAGGGGCCAGGTGCAGTGGCTCACGCATGTAGTCCCAGCACCTTGGGAGGCCGAGGTAGGTGGATCACTTAAGGTCAGAAGTTCGAGACCAGCCTGGCCAACATAGTGAAAACCCGTCTCTACTATCAAACAAACAAACAAAAAGTTAGCTAGGCTTGGTGGCTTGTGCCTATAGGGTTTTTAGGATTTTTAGGATCAAAAATTGTTATGGGCTGGGCACAGTGCTTCATGCCTGTAATCCCAGCACTTTGGGAGGCCAAGGTGGGCAGATCACTTGTGGTCAGGAGTTGGAGACCAGCCTAGCCAACATGGCAAAATCCCATCACTACAAAAAATTCAAAAGTTAGCCAGGCGTGGTGGTGTGCACCTGTAATCCCAGCTACTCAGGAGGCTAATACAGGAGGATTGCTTGAGCTCAGGAGTTGGAGGCTGCAGTGAGCTATCATCGGACCAAGCCTGAATGACAGAGCAGGACCCTGTTTCAAAAAATAAAAAAGAGTATCTTATATTGGTGACATTGCCCTCTGTATGCCTTTGTTTCACCATGATTTGAAAGTATTCATTAGTCCTCTAAGAGCTAGTTTTTAATCTATTTAATAGTATATATAAATATGCTATTTATATATATAAATATGCTATTTATATATAAATATGCTGTTTATATATAAATATGCTGTTTATATATATAAATATGCTGTTTATATATATAAATATATATATAATAAATAAAGTATATATATAATATATATAAATATGCTATTTAATAGTATGGATTTTTTCATTTACTAGAGTTCAGAAAAGGGATTTATCTTTTTTTTCTCAAATAAAAAATGTCTCTCTCCATGAATCAAGTGCATTCTTGCTACTTGAAAACAGCTTCAGGTGCAAGCCCTCCACCAAGGATTCACAAGTTAGGCTGGGCGCGGTGGCTCACGCCTGTAGTCCCAGCTACTCGGGAAGCTGAGGCAGGAGAATGGTGTGAACCCGGGAGGCGGAGCTTGCAGTGAGCCGAGATTGTGCCACTGCACTCCAGCCTGGGCCACAGAGTGAGTCTCTGTCTCAAAAAAAAAAAAAAAAGGATTCACAAGTTAATAAGTTTTGTGGCAGGCCTAATCATCCGCCCTTGCCAGGAAAGTCCTGAGTAACCCTTTGGAGGAAGCAGCCACTTATCGGGGGAAATTCAGCCAGATATCGGGCAAAATTCACCCCCCGATATTTCACGTAGGTTCTTTTCTATTTTCCCTAAGCGTTGGCCAGTTTGAGAAATAAAGGGACAGAGTACAAAAGAGAGAAATTTTAAAGCTGGGCGTCCGGGGGAGACATCACATGTCGGTAGCTTCCATGATGCCCCACAAGCCGCAAAACCAGCAAGTTTTTATTAGTGATTTTCAAAGGGGAGGGAGTGTACGAATAGGGTGTGGGTCACAGAAATCATGTGCTTCACAAGGTGATAGAATATCACAAGGCAAATGGAGGCAGGGCGAGATCACAGGACCACAGGATCAGGGCGAAATTAAAATGGCTAATGAAGTTTCAGGCACCATTGTCATTGATAACATCTTATCAGGAGACAGGGTTTGAGAGCAACTGGTCTGACCAAAATTTGTTAGGCAGGAATTTCCTCATCCTAATAAGCCTGGGAGCGCTACGGGAGACCAGGGCTTATTTCATCCCTACAGTTTCGACCATAGAAGACGGCCACACCCAAAGGGGCCATTTTAGAGGCCTACCCTCAGGGGCACATTCTCTTTCTCAGCGATGTTCCTTGCTGAGAAAAAGAATTCAGCGCTATTTCTCCCATTTGCTTTTGAAAGAAGAGAAATATGGCTCTGTTCCGCCCGGCTCACCGGCGGTCAGAGTTTAAGGTTATCTCTCTTATTCCCTGAACATTGCTGTTATCCTGTTCTTTTTTCAAGGTGCCCAGATTTCATATTGTTCAAACACACATGCTCTACAATTTGTGCAGTTAACGCAATCATCACAGGGTCCTGAGGTGACATACATCCTCCTCAGTTTACAAGATGACAGGATTAAGAGATTAAAGTAAAGACAGGCATAGGAAATCACAAGGGTATTGATTGGGGAAGTGATAAGTGTCCATGAAATCTTCACAATTTATGTTTAGAGATTACAGTGAAGACAGGCATAAGAAATTACGAAAGTGCTAATTTGGGGAACTAATAAATGTCTGTGAAATCTTCACAATTTATGTTCTTCCACCATGGCTTCAGCCGGTCCCTCCATTTGGGGTCCCTGACTTCCTGCAACAGCCACTGGCGTCGGAAATGCTGCCCTTCTGTAGGGTCAGGCGGAGAGAGGTGATTGCATCAGGCTGCCTGACACTGGCTGGCAGAAGCTGAAATTCTCAGTAAGTGACATCTTGATGTTCTGGAAAGCAGGTTAGCCGTGAGAACACAGGGACAAACAGTGGGGGATTCAGGAGGGCCTTAGAAGAAAGCCTTCAGGGCCGGGCGAGGTGGCTCATGTCAGTAATCCTAGCACTGTGGGAGGCAGAGGTGGGTGGATCACCTAAGGTCAAGAGTTCAAGATCAGCCTGGCCAACATGGTGAAACCACGTCTCTACTAAAAATACAAAAAAAATTAGGTGGGCATGGTGGCAGGCACCTGTAATCCCAGCTACTTAGGAGGCTGAGGCATAAGAATTGCTTGAACCCAGGAGGTGGGGAGGTTGCAGTGAGCTGAGATCATGCCATTACATTCCAGCCTGGGCAACAGAGCAAAAACTTCATCTCAAAAAAAAAAGAAGAAGAAGAGGAAGAGGAAGAAGAAGAAGACAGCCTTCAGGTGGCAGAAGGGAGTGCAATGTTGAGAAGGAAACAATGAAAGACAACCAAGGCTGGGTTCCAGCCCCAAGGTTCAGCTGTCATACCAATTTCTTGATGCCAGGTTTGCCGGGGCACCTGACATGGGTGGAGTAAGAAGGTGAAACCCAGGACCAGAAAGAGGAGGTGGTGAGCCAGGTCAGATTTAGGAGATCAGCAGGGAACAGCAAAAGATGATGCAGGAGGGTGAATATTTAATATTTTTATTTTATGTTATTTTTTGAGACAGGGTCTTGCTCTGTTGCCCAGGCTGGTGCACAGTGGTACAAGTGCTACTTGGGAGGCTGAGGCTGGAGGATGGTTTGATCCCAGGAGTTCCAGGCTGCATGGCTCACTGCTGGCTCACTGCAGCCTGGAATTCCTGGACTCAAGCCATCCTCCAGCCTCACCCTCCCAAGTAGCTGGGAATACAGGCATGCACCACCACACCCAGCTAGTATTTTTATTTTTTGTAGACCTGAGGATCTTACTATGTTGCCCCAGCTGGTCTCAAACTCCTGGCCTCAGGCAATCCTCCTGCCTCAGTCTCCCAAAGTGTTGTGATTACAGGTGTGAGCCACTGTGCCCAGCCAAATATTTAATTAAAAAGCCCAAGTCTGAATATACATTGGTAAGGCAGGAATGGGTGGACATTAAAGGGCCCAGTTAGAGGCAGGAACAGAATCCAGTGGTGGGACATACTGAGGCCTAAATCAAAGTGTGAACGCAGGCATAGGATGACACTTTACTAAACAATCAGGTTGACAGGAGTAGGTTGTGGAAAGACAGTTTGGCCCCGGAATGCTTGCTCAGTTCAGGACCCAGGCAGGGATCCTCAGCATGTGCTGGGTTGGTCATATTTTCCCTTTATACCTGAGCCAGGCTGCAGAACCATGAGTTCTTTTTTTTTGACTGAGTCTCCCTGTGTCTCCCAGACTGGAGTGCCCTCTCAGTTCACTGCAACTTCTGCCTCCCGGGTTCAAGGAATCTCCTGCCTCAGCTGCTAGTTTATTCCTTTGTTCCTGGTTCCTCTAAGTCTTCCTCTGGTGTTGTGTCCCTAGCCTTTGCTACGTAACAAGCCACCCAAACATTAGTGCTTTAAACCAATTACAATTCTGTGCATTCGGTGCAAGTTTACTTTGCTGATTTTTCCTGGGCTCTTTCATCTGGCTATATTTTTTTTTCTTTTTTTTAAATTGTGCTAAAATACAACATAAAATTTACCATCTGATACGGTTTGGATGTATGTCTCCTCCAAATCTCATGGTGAAATGTGATCCCCATTGTTGGAGGTGAGGTCTGGCCTGAGGTGATTGGGTCATAGGGGTGGATCCCTTGTAAATGGCCTGGTGCCCTCCCCATGATGATGAGAATGTTCTCATTCTGTTAGTTCACACAACAGCTAGGTGTTTCAAGGAGCTGGCACCTCCTTCTCTCTCTCTCTCTCTGTCTCTCTCCTCTCCTCTCTCTCCCTCTCTCTCCATGTGATGTGCCTGCCTGTTCTCGTTTCACCTTCTACCACGAGTAAGTTTCCTGAGGCCTCACCAGAAGCCTAGCAGATGCTAGTGTCATGAATGTACAGCCTGCAGAACTGTGAGCCAAATAAACCTCTTTTTTTTTTTTTTCTTTTTTGGAGACAAGTCCTGGCTCTATCACCCAGGGTAGAGTGCTGCAGTGGTATGATCATAGCTCACCGCAGCCTCAAACTCCCAGGTTCAAGCCATCCTCCCACCTCAGCCTCCCAAGTAGCTGGGACTACAGGCGTGCACCACCACACCTGGCTAATTTTTGTATTTTTTATAGAGACAGGGTTTCACCATGTTGCCCAGGCTGGTCTCGAACTCATGAGCTCAAGCAAGCCTCCAGCCTCAGCCTCCCAAAGCACTGGGATTACAGGTGTGAGCCTCTTTTCTTTATAAGTTACCAGCATCAGGTATTCCTTTACAGCATGGCAAAACAGACTAACTCACCAGTTCTTAAGTGTACATTTTGGTACTATTAAATACACTTATAATGTACAACCTTTATCACCACCCACTTCCATAATTCTTTTCATCTTTAGAAACTTAAATTTTATATACATTAAACAATAATTCCCCATTTTCCTGTCTCCCCTGTCCCTGGAAACTACCAATCAACTTTCTGTCTATATGATTGTGACTACTCTAAGTACCTCGTATAAATGGAATTATACAGTATTTGCCTTTTTAGGACTGGCTTATTTCACTTAGCATGTTGTCCTTAAGTTTCATCCAGGTTATAGCATGTGTCAGAATTTTCCTTATTTTTAAAGCTGAATGATATTTCATTGTATGTCTATACAACATTGTGTTTATTAATTCATGTGCAATGGACACTTGGGTTGTTTCCATGTATTAGCCATTGTAAATAATTCTGCTCTGAACGTGGCTGCACAAGGATCTCTGAGTCCCTGCTTTCAATTCTTTTGGGTATATAACCAGAAGTAGAATTGCTGCATCATATGGTAATTTTTTTTTAATTTGAGATGGAGTCTCTCTCTGTGGCCCAGGCTGGAATGCAGTGGCATGATCTCAGCTCAGTTCACTGCAACCTCCATCTCCCGGGTTCAAGCAATTCTCCTGCCCCAGCCCCCGCCGAGTAGCTGTAATTACAGGCATCCACCACCACCCAGCTAATTTTTCTATTTTGCAGTAGAGACAGGGTTTCACCATGTTTGCCAGGCTGGTCTTGAACTCCTGACCTCAGGTGATCCACCCTCCTTGGCCTCTCAAAATGCTGGGATTACAGGCATGAGCCACCATGCCTGGCCAATTGTATTTTTAATGTTTCGAGGAACCACCACACTGTTTTCCATAATGGCTGTACCATGTTACATTCCTACCAATAGTTCACAAGGGCTTCAATATCTTACATGGCTGGAATTTATGGGGTTATCAATTGCACAAGAAGGTCCAAGCTGGCCTCACTCAAAGGTCCAACAGTTAGTGCTGGCTGTTAGCTGGACACCTAAAGTTCCTCAATGGTGCCTGTGTCAGTCCTGGTATTCCAAGCAGATGCCAAGTCTGGATTTATTAAAGAAAACTCTAATAAGAGTGCAAGTGATTTATTAGGGAAAATTCTGCTACAGAAAATGGGAAGGGAGCCAGCAAAGTCCAGGACAGTCATCAGACCTCAGTGCAAGTCTAGCACCAGTGAAGAAGGGAAAGACTTTGAACAAGGTTCTGCAAAAGTTTCTGCAAAGCTGATGGGGCGCCCATGACAGGAGTGGTGCATTTCCCAGGAGTGGGCTTGCCTGAGAATCCTGCCACGCTCAATCACTCCCTGGGAGCAGTGGGGAAAGCTTGGCCTCCATGGAAACATGGTGGTTGGTAGATTTCTGAGTGCAGCAGCTGGGTCACTGGTCAACTCATTCCCTGTGTTCTAATATCTGAGGAAGAAAAATAGGAAAAGGATTGGTAAAAAGAACTGTGACTGCTTTGTAACTTCATCCCATTCACAAGAAGGCAGAACGGCTTCTCGTTACACATAAATTATCACTGTGTATTGTACTAGGCCTCTGGCAGGGCCTACTTCAATAGTGATACTTCTTCCCTGGACATCTGCTGCAGCCTCCAGCACCACTCAAGGTCTCTATTCAAACGCCATCCTCTGCCATCAGGTTCTTCCCTGATGACCCATTTAAAATCTGAAACACCTCTTCCCCAGCCACACTTCTTGCCCTTCTTCCCCACCTTATTTCCTTCTATGGCAGGTGTTGCATTCTATATATTTGGCTCCTTCACTAGAATATCAGTTCTACAACTGCAGGGGTTTGCCAGTTTTATTCAGTATTATATCCCTAGCATGTACAAGTGGGAAGGCCAAAGAATGTGCTCGATGAAAAAGATTTTTATTGAATAAAGAATAGTAGCTCATGTCTGTAATCCTAGCACTTTGAGAGACCAAAGTAAGAGGATCGTTGGAGGCCAGAAGTTTGAGACCAGCCTGGGCAGCATAGCAAGACCCTGTCTCTACAGAATTTTTTTAAAAAATCTAAGTATGATGACAAATACCTGCTTGAGCCCAAGAGTTCCAGGCTGCAATGAGCTATGATCACACCAGTGCACTCCAGCTTGGGTGACAGAGTGAGACTTCATCACTAAAAAAGAAAAAAACAAAAAAAGAATGAAAAAAGTCTGTGATCTATTATACACTGTCCTGTAGACTCTATTCATCTATCATCTATCTACCTATCCATCCATCCATCCAACTATCCATCTAGCTATCTATCCATTCATCCATCTATTCATTCATTCATCTATCCATCCATCCATCCATCCATTTATCCATCCATCCGTCTATTTATCCATTCATCCATCTATTCATCCATCCATCTATTTATACATCCATTTATCCATCGATCCATCCATTCATCATCCATCTATCCATTTATATATTATCTTATACAATTTATATATAATCTTATCCATTTATATATAATCTTATACAATTTTTCTCTACTTTATTGTTATCCTTCAATTACTAAGAGCCAGAACAGTCACATAATGTGTGTGGGGGTCACACAATTGTGAGTGATGGACCTTGGATGGGAACCCAAGCCTGCCTCCAAATCTACTATATTTCCCAGTAACATGCATGGCCTCATTACAAAGATACAGACAGAGAAAATGAGGAAGGAAGTGAGGGAGGAGGAAGGAAGCAACAACATCCACATATACCTAAACCCTGCTAAATTCAAGTAGAGTATTCAGAGTCTCATAACTAGAAAACCATCTTGACTGTTTTTATTGTTTTGTTTATCCAGTGAAATGTCCAACATTTTAGCATAGCTTCAACAAAGTGCATTTAACGATGTGCCTACATTATAAAGGCAGAGGGAGAATCTTCATGAATTTGAGTGATTTCTCCTTAGGAATCACACATCCTCATCATCCCCATCCGGGTGGCTTCTCTGAGCTATAAATAGATGAAAGAACTGAAGACTCTGTACTTGCTAGTCCACCTGAGGGGAGACGGAGAATGCTCCCCAGCAAATTTGAACTCTTTAGAATCCTTCTTAAGAAAGTGCATGATTAATGAGCCATTTAGAACACATGCCAGAATCCACATGCTTTTTAAGTGCGTTCTGCATAGAAGCAGGGATTGTTGGTATCCAAGATATAAGGGCCTCTGTACACAGGATTCCTCTTCTTGTTCCAAAAAAGGGAGGAGATGAAAAATGCATCTAGGGCTAAAGAGGACTGGGAAACAGAGGTTGCTTTGAGAGAAGTATGATGTAACTGTGAGAGGAAAATAAATCTGGGGGCCCCAAATCACTAAGCTAAAGGGAAAAGTCAAGCTGGGAACTGCTTAAGGCAAACCTGCCTCCTATTCTATTCAAAGTCACCCCTCTGCTCACTGAGATAGATGCATATCTGATTGCTTCATTTGAAGAGGCTCATCAGAGACTCAAAAAAATCCAACCATTTGTCTCTTACCTACCTATGACCCAAAAGCCTCTCCCCACCTCGAGTTGCCTGGCCTTTGCCTCCGGTTGTCCCACCTTTCTGGACTGAACCAATGTACATCTTACACATATTGACTGATGTCTCATGTCTCCCTAAAATGTATAAAACAAAGCTGTGCCCCGACTACCTTGGGCACATGTCGTCAGGACCTCTGAGGCTGTGTCACAGTGCGCACCCTCAACCCTGGCAAAATCAACTTTCTCAATTAACTGAGAAAGTCTCACATTTTCAGGTTCACATACCTTCCTGCAAAATAATTTGAATGCCTCTAATTTGACAGTTTCATGTTTAGCAGCATAACTATCACTTCTCTTAGCACTATGAACAAGGAACTCCTTATTGAAAATAGAAAGCTAACTGAGATTCTGCAGGGCTTTTTAGTTTACAGACAAAAGCAAATACCCTATCAACATAACATTGACAGCACCTGAAGGCCCACTATGTGCTGCTTTGAAATCCCCCCCATCTCTGGGTGATAAAGCATGCTCTGAAGAGACTCTGCAAGACCAGCTTTTCTGTAAGTGGACTGTGGCTTATTTATAGTCATTCTGCACGTATGCTAACGAGCCATGGCCACCTGGCAGACATAATTTAACTTTCTATGGCTCTTGGTTTTCTCATCTGTAAAATTACAAGGTTGGACAAGTTAAATTCTAAGAACTGTTGAACTGACCGGGCACAGTGGCTCATGCCTGTAATCCCAGCACTTTGGGAGGCCGAGGCGGGCGGATCACAAGGTCAGGAGTTCGAGACCAGCCTGACCAACATGGTGAAACCCCGTCTCTACTAAAAATACAAAAATTAGCCGGGCCTGGTGGCATGTGCCTGTAATCCCAGGTACTTGGGAGGCTGAGGCAGGAGAATCACTTGAACTCGGGAGGTGGAGGTTGCAGCGAGCCAAGATCGCACCATTGCACTCCAGCCTGTGTGACAGAGCTAGACTCTGTCTCAAAAAATAAATAAATAAATAAATAAATAAAAACTAAGAACTGTTGAACGAAAACATTCTCTGCTCTCAGGACACTGTGGTTAAAATAGCATGTTATTTTGACTTCTTAGTAATCCTGACTGTCCTTCTTCCCCATTGATTCTGAATGAGGATTTTCTGCCTGCTCTAACTTACCCAAAACATTAGCTCAGCTGATGATCTGACACACTGAACAATGACTAAACAGTGACTGAGATAAGGCCACTGGCTAAATGTATGTAGATAAATGTTCAAACCTCTCTAGGTCTCAATGCTAGTGTATGGAAGACACATTTGAGAGCAATAACTTAAGCAACTTAACCCTGAAAATAACACCATGGTCTAAGGAAATGTGTGTTCAAAGTTTCAAGCTAAGGAATCCAGAAGTGGCCAACCTGAAGATCCACTCCTTATCTGTGAAGGACATCAGAAGCCCTGTCCCATCCCCTTGAAATGCAGGCTCTACAGGGGCTGCCCTTTGTTTTGGGTTACATGGAGGTTGCTAGGTGGGGGTTGCTAAGTGAAAAAATGATATAACTGGTGTGCATTTTTTAAAAAGGTAGGGAGTCTCCTGTCCAGCCTGCCACTCCTGGACTGCCCCATTTATAAGTCCTCAATAAATCCTATTGACACAGGATTCTTTGGGTGCTGCTTCACCAGCTGGAAACCTCTGTGGCTGGCAGCACCTCTGCCCGAGTTTTGCTCATGACTGCTGGGTTGGCTCTGCCCACTCAGCTCGGCAGGCTGTGCTGAGCTGGCTGTGCTCGGCTCTCGATACTGGCCCAGATCCCACACCCACTGTAAGCGAGCCAGGTGCAGAGTGGCGAGGGGTGTGTGAGTGAGCAAGCATGAGGCACAGCCATGGTGCACAGCCAAGTGCACTGGCTGCTAAGGTGAGGTGGGCAGCTCCAGGCACCAGCACAGGCACAAGCTCTGTACAAGGCTGTGGCTGGACCAGATGTGCCTCAAGTGGTTTCCACCTTGGGCACTGGCATCTGGATGAGGGGAACATGTTGGTGCCCGAAAATTCAGAGACACCAGCAACCACAGAGGCCTAAGTGCATGTTACAGCTTGTCACAGCTCTGGATCAGGAAATCCCAAGACCTGGGCCCCCAGAAGGTTTACCGCTCTTCCACTGTAGTCCAGCAAATGAGAGCGTGTCACCACCTGCTTCTTGGCGAGCCAGCCAGGAACTTGTTACAGCCCTTTTCACTCTTGTCATTCAGCAGGCTGTGGGTTCTTGTCCCGTGACCAAGAATAAGGTTATGTGGACAACCAGAGAGTAAGCAAGGTGGAGAAGAGTTATACTGAGCAACATAACAGCTCTCAACATGAGAGGGGAACCCGAAGTGAGTAGCCCCTTCCCCAAGACAGGTAGTCCCATTGTGGGGCTGAGTCTGGGGTTTTTATGGGCTCAGAATGGGGGAGTGCATGCTGATTGATCCATGGGTGGGCCTGGAAAAAGCATCATTTGATTGGCTAAAAAGATATCGAGGAAGTTCTCACTCCAGTCCTGGGCTGTAGTAGCTAGGTTTTCAGGCATCGAGCTGTCTTTGGCTTGAAGGTCGGATTTCAGCAGGGACCTGCCTCTGGCTGCCTAGGAATTTGTCTGCCTCCTGCCAATGACATTATGTAACCTTCACTGGCTCCAGGTCTCCTCTTTGGCTTCTGGGACATGGGGCCATCTCTATTGGAGTCAACAAGGGTCCAGTGCAATAGCTGGAAATTTGCAGAAGAAAAGAAAAGTTGCTCAAAGATGTGTGAGGAAAGAAATAACGAGGATGAAGCTAACAAAGAGCATTCTATTTCTCAAGATTACAGCAGCCCAAGATTATTGAAAGGAAATCACGTTTGGAACTGTCTCTCTGGGCTAGTTTGCTGGCAGGTCTGCATGGTGGACCACACTGTCATCTGTTTTTTGTGTCCTTCAGCATGATGAACTCTGCTGTATGCGTCCTGGTGCTGGAACTGCTATTACCAACAAGCTAATTGAGTTTGCTGGCCTTGAAAATGCATCCCTGTAGGTAATGTGATGATGTAATGCTGTGTTCCTGCCCTCTGGATTTCCTCCCTGCCATTACAGAGGCCTTATGTATGAGACTGGAAACAAAATCAAAAACAAAAAAACAGGATCGCCTTTTGATGTGACTTAAACAAGGCTGGAACAGAGCCTGAGGCTAAGCTTTCCATATGCCAGGACTCAAGATGCCAGGACTCAAGTGAAGTAGGAAAATCCCAGAAAGCAGGTGGGGGTCCATGAGAGTCTGGTGGACACAGGTCTGAGGAACATAGGTGCAAGGATGCCTGGAAGAAGGGTGAGCAAATGGCAAATGCCGGATGCACAAGCACCACTTATGAACAGAAGGAGGACGGGGCTAGGTCAAATAATCCAGCAGACCCTGAGCTGAGTTTGGAGAGAGGGAAGGCAGGACCCCTCTGAAGTCTAAGGAAAAAGAGCATGGCAGACTGCCCAGGGGAGGTGGTATGCCCAACACAGGACAAGCTGGAGGCATGCAGGGAAGTCCATCTGGGCTGTGCAAGGGAAAGCTAGAAACTATCAAAGCTAGTCAGCTACTGGAAATTCAGTGAGCCCCTCTGTGCCAGGGGCGGGGCTGTGGAAAGCCAGGCAAGGCACCTGCCCTCATGGAACTAACCTTCTAGTGCTGAAAATGAACTGAAAGGGCTTAAAAACAGACACACAGACCAATGGAATAGAATCAAGTCCAGAAATAAACCCTTGTATATGTGGTCAAACGACTTAGAACCAAAAGCATTCAATGCTGAAAGGACTCTCTTTTTTTTTTTTTTTTTTTTGAGATGGAGTCTCATTCTGTCACCCAGGCTGAAGTGCAATGGCACAATCTCGACTCACTGCAACTTCCGCCTCCTGGGTTCAAGTGATTCTCCTGCCTCCACCTTCCAAGTAGCTAGGGTTACAGGTGTCCACCACAATGCCCAGCTAATTTTTGTGTTTTTAGTGGAGACAAGGTTTCACAATGTTGGCCAGGCTGGTCTCGAACTCCTGACCTCAGGTGATCTGCCTGACTTGGCCTCCTAAAGTACTGGGATTACATGCCTGAGCCACTGGACCGGTCCTTGAGCTATACAGCTTTCTGAAAGCTGCTCAATTGTTGTACATTTAGGTGCTCAATTGCTGTAAACTTAGGTCCCTTAATCAGTCTGCTTTTTTTTTTTTTTTTTTTTTTTTTTTTTTTTTTGAGACAGGGTTTTATTCTGTCACACAGGCTGAAGCATAATGGTGTGATCATGGCTTACCACAGCCTGAAACTTTGGGGCTCCAGGGATCCTCCTGCCTTAGCCTCCTGAGTAGCTGGGGCTACAGGCATGCACCACCACACCTGGCTAATTTTTTTTTTAATCTTTTGTAGAGATGGGGTTTTGCTATGTTGGCCAGGCTGGTCTCAAACTGCTGGCCTCATGTGATCCTCCCAACTTGGCCTCCCAAAGTGCTGGGATTACTGGTATGAGCCACTGCAACTCGCTACTATGGCTGCTTGAAGCGCCACACAGACAATGAAATAAAGTTATTATCTGGCAGACACAGGGCCTCCAAGAAGATATTCGTGTTACTTCAGTCTCTGTCTTTTGTCTGATAAAAGTCAAAATGAATATGAATTTCCATCATGAATCCTCTCCTTCTTTCTCCCAATGCAGTGAACAGAGCCTCTAAAGTTGCCCTTGGGGTATCTCTTATCATGCAGTTTTGCTCTTCAACATTTGCACCGTAATTAACTACTTTTTGTGTTGCCTTTCATTTAGAGCTATGCCCAGTGAACTGCTTCCTGGTAAATACTTCACGTCCTCAGCAGCACAATGAAGTTAGAAAAAAATGCAAAAATACTTCCTGAGTGAATAAATGATGATGTTTTTTGTAATGCAATGCACACACAAACACACCACTTCCAAGGAAGGGAATCATTAAAATATTTTTAACCCATTTCACATCAATATTGCCCATGTTATCTGAATCACCACTTGGCAAAATGATATATATATATATATCATTAAATTGGACTGTGAGAGCTGACCATAAACACGTTGCAGAAGAAAGTCCTGGTTTGTGAAGACAGGTGAAAGGAGAAAGTGCTTGCCTGCTAATGGAAGATAAATTACCCAGGAAGGTAAAAAATAAAAGGCAACCTGAAACAAAAGCAACATGAATCAATTTCATTCTGAAAAGAACAGAAGTGAAACAATGTTGCTAAATGAGACACAATTTCTGACAAAGATCTTCTCTGTTCTCCAAGAACTTTTGTTGTGCTGGGCGTACCAAGAATTATGTGTTTTCTTCCCAAAAAGTCAGTGTATTTTATTTTATGTGTGGTACCTCTCTTTGCCTCTTCTCCCCACTTGCTACAATTTAAGCTGTCTATTGTAGTGCCCTATCTCTGATCAGCCCTAAAGATCTGAAAAGTCCTGAGTTTGCAAGAATTAAAAAAAAAAAAAATAGGGCCTTGGGTTTGACAGTGATAGATCCTACTGTCCCCTCGGGATGATATTCCTGCACTGTGAAGACCACAGATCCTCCAGTAACAAGCAGTAGCTCCTGTTTGCCTCATGCCTTTGTGTAGAGGTCAGGATACCTGCAAGGGAAAGGGCATTGCTGGGAGAGCCTAGGCTACTTTTACCAAGCACAGCAGGGGCAGTTTCATATTAGAGGCAATACGTTTGGGTGAAAGGGAAGGTAGAGATACAGTCCTTGAACTCAAGGATGTCATAAAGGAAAGCAAAGTTTACGATGCAAAAATGACCCTTTAAACTTAACCCAAAATTGCTATAAGCTACTTTCTTCATTTTTGGAGACAGGGTCTCACTGTGTTGCCCAGGCTGAAGTGTGTGCAGTGGCGTGATCATAGCTCACTGCAGCCTCAAACTCCTGGGCTCAAGCAATCCTCCTGCCTCAGCCTCTGAGCAGCTGATACATAGGCGCGTGACACCAGGCCCAGCTAATTTTGTAAATATTTATTTTTTATAGAGATGTTTGCTAGGCTGGTCTGGAACTCCTGGCCTCAAGTGATCCTCTCTTCTTGGCCTCTTGAAGTGCTGGTATTACAGGTGTGAGCCACCGTGCCCCACTGCTATTCAGCTACTTTCAAGCACTGTGCCCTTGCCTCCCTAAACCTCAGTTTCCTCATCTCTAAAATGGGATAACAGTAGCATCTGCTACAAAGGATTGCTGTAGGGAGTAAATCATATCATACATGCAAGGCTAGTATCACTGTGGTGAGAGCCAGAGAAATACCACTTACTGTTATTGGTATTATTTGTATAGTGAGCTTTTTATACCTTAGCATTCCTTGGTGTAGTGAGTGATTAATACCATCTTATTTTTAATGAATGAACAATTAGAATCCAATTAAGCAAAGAGAATTGCATTACTCTTCTGACTAAAAGCCTGGTACCCAAAGGATGAAATTTGAACTCTTTCGCATGGCTTTCCATCTGGCGCCAGGCTCACCTGCCAGCCTCTTCCCTGTCAGTACAAGCTCTGCTGAGCTTCCAGAATTTATACACACTCACTGAACATTCACCACATTTGAACTTGACTTGTACCTGTGGGTCCAAACATAGCATGTGTTCAGTCCTTTCCTCTATGACCAACAAATGGCAGATGGGAAAGTGAGTTGGAGAATTCCTATGTGATCTTCAATGCCCAACCCAGATGCCACTTTCCCTATGAAGCCATCCCTTGGCTGCCCTGAAGCATTGGTCATTTATCTCTCCTCCGGGCTCACACCATATTTTATGACAGTGCTTATCAAATTGTGGTCCCTGGACCAGAAGCAATAGCATCATCTGGGCACATATTAGGCCAGTATCACTGTAATAGAGGCTGGAGAAATACCACTTGTTGTTGTTATTATTATAGTAAGCTTTTTGTACCTTAACATTTGTTAGAAATGCAAATTACTTGGCTCCATCATGGACCCACTTAACCAGAAACTCTGGGGCCAGGACTCAGCAACCTGCGCTTTAAGGAGCCTTTCCCATGATTCTGATGCACACTCGCATTAGAGAACCATAGCTCGATGCAAACCTCCACTTTACCCTGCCTCCTACACTTTCAAAATCACTTGCTTAAACATATGACTCTGTCCTACAAGAGTTAGCTTTTAGCCAACTTCTTTTACCTTGCTGTGTCTTAATTTTCCTCATCTTTTAAAAATAGGAATGATCATTTTATCTTACAAGAATGCTTAAAATTAGCAATAAACTGTGATCTATAATATCTCAAACACTAGTGTCCTCCAGACCCCTCCACCCTCACCTCTCAACTGTTTATTCATGATTGCCTAGTGTAATGGTCTTCATATAAAACTGCCCATTGCTTTGCCAAAGAGACCCATCCAAGAGGTATAATTCCAGGTGGAGAGTCTGTTAGGCTTTTGGGAACTGAGCAATCTATCCCAAACATCAACAAAAATGACTGAACTATTACAAATGAGTGAACCATGAGTAAACTCTTCAGCATGAGGTAGAGATGGCAGGAAAGGGAAGAAAGATTATTTATGGCTACCTCCAAGGAGGATGAGTCAAGCCAGGGTCAAGAAAGGATAAGTTAGAGGGATGGATATAGAACTTTGCAATCAACTTACTGTGATTGTGCCTTTGGGGTGGCTGCATTGTATGTGAGTTTTCTCTCCATCGCTAAATGAGTATGCATAAAGATCCCAGAAATTGCACTGTTTTGCCCATGAGCCTGGTTCCATACACGTGGAAGGGCCTGCATGAGGGATGACTGAAAGAGGCCTGGTGGCCACAGTGACGTCACCTATGTAGCTCATGTACCAGATAAAAATGTGTCACAGGCTCCATGCAGCTTTCCTGGCTGGAAGAGTTATACATATTTGGTGAACACATAATAAATGTTTTCAGAGTCAGGCAGGGCTTGCAGTAATCAGGGTAGACTTCCCAGAAGTGATCTATGGGTTTAAAGAGATCTGGGGTTCAGATTGTCAGAGACAGTTCAATGAATATTTCAGCCAGGGGAATAGCTGAGCACCTCCCACTAAGCTCTCTCTTAAAACACCATTTGTTTATCTCATAGCGCTTTTCGCAATTTGTAATTATCGTTCATTTATTTAGGGTTGGTTTCATCCTTCTCCTATACATGCTAGTTGGGCAAGGGCCACATCCAACCTTTTTTTTATTATTTTATCCTGAGCATCTTAGAGCTAGACCTAGAATGGGGTAGGTTCTCAATATGTGTTTTTAATATTCATCTCAACGAACATTGTTTAAATGAATGAATGAGTCAGGCCAGCTGACCAGGTAAGGCAGTGCCTAGTTCCAGAAGGCTCTGACATCTTTGCTGGAAAATTTGCTCTTAATATCATAGTCAGTAGACAATTGTGAGCTCCTCGAAAACAAAAATTATTGGTCGGGCATAGTGGCTCATGCCTGTAATCCCAGCGCTTTGGGAGGCTGAGGCAGGTGGATCACTTGAGGTCAGGAGTTCAAGACGAGCCTGGCCAACAGGGTGAAACCTCGTCTCTACTGAAAATACAAAAATTAGCCTGGAATGGTGGTGGGCGCCTGGAATACCAGCTATTCGGGAGGCTGAGGCAGCAGAATCGCTTGAACCCGGGAGAGGTTGTGGTGAGCTGAAATTGCACCATTGCACTCCAGCCTGGGCAACAGAGCAAGACAACGTCTCAAAAAAAAAAAAGAATTATTTCCCAATAATCATTAATTCAGTGAATTTATTCAATAGTAGACTGTGCCAGACACCATACAAAGTTTAAACAGAGAGCACCCCTACATTAAAGGAGATCAGACTCTGAATGTGGGCAGGGATTGGCTGTGTACATGAGCAGCAATAACATAGAATAGGAAGGATGCCTGCTGCGTGGGAGAGGCAGGAGTTCAGTGTGGAGGGAAGGAAGGACAGAGAGCTTCAAGTCTGTCTAGAGACAGCTTGTTGATGTGGAGCTGGGGAGAACAGGAGAGAGCAAATGGTTGAGTCTGGCTACATCCTCTTTGCCTCCCCCACAACATTTAGCATACTGCATTGCACACTGCTGGCATTTAATGACAGTAATGTCTGTTGCATTATTACTTACCTCCTTGATCAAGGACGTGACAGAAGGCAACTGCGAATATTTTAAATGCAACTTCTTCCGAACTGGAACTTGTTTTTTTTCTTTCTTTGAGATGGAGTCTGGCTCTGTCGCCCAGGCTGGAGTGCAGTGGCACGATCTTGGCTCACTGCAAGCTCTGCCTCCTGGGTTCACGCCATTCTCCTGCCTCAGCCTCCCTAGTAGGTGGGATTACAGGCACCTGCCACCAAGCCCAGCTAATTTTTGTGTATTTTTAGTAGAGACGGGGTTTCACCGTGTTAGCCAGGATGGTCTCGATCTCCTGACCTCGTGATCCGCCCACCTCGGCCTCCCAAAGTGCTGGGATTACAGGCATAAGCCACTGCGCCTGGCATGGAACTTGTTTTTTTTTTTTTCACCAACCAAATTAACATTCAGTTTAAAGCAAGTCCTAAAGGTTCATCCATCAAATGGGAATAGAAAGGATGATTTGTGTGTGTGTGGAGTATTGAGTCATTTATCATTGCCCAAGAATTTGTAAGAGTTATACAAGTAGGCAAAGATGGCCCATGCATGGCTTACATTGTGTCAAGGGCTTCATCCTAAAAGCAGCCTTTGGACAGTTTTAAGACTGGGGCATTTGGTCAGAACCGCGTTTTAGGAAGATACCTGTATGGTTTTGTTTCTTTGTTTTGTTTTTGAGATGGAGTCTAATTCTGTCACCCAGGGTGGAGTACAGTGGCACAATTTTGGCTCACTGCAACCTCCTCCTCCCAGGTTCAAGCATTTCTTCTGCCTCAGCCTCCTGAGTAGCTGGGACTACAGGTGTGCGCCAACACACCTGGCTAATTTTTTGTATTTTTAGTAGAGACAGGGTTTCACCATGTTGGCCAGGCTGGTCCTAAACACCTGACCTCGTGAACCACCTACCTTGGCCTCCCAAAGTGCTGGGATTACAGGCATGAGCCACTGTGCCTAGCCTCACCTGCATGGTTTTTGAGGGATGGGTTGGTGGTAGGAATGGCTAGTCTTCCTCCTTTCTCCCATAGTAACTACGCTTCTCCCCTCTCTCATTGCAAGCCTGTCATGGAATAGGATTGTAATTATTGGCTCACGTGTCCTTCCCTCCCACCAGAGAGAAGGGCAAGTTTTTTGAGGTCATGGAGTGGGCCTTACTCTTAGAAATCTCTCAGTATTATATTAGCTAGCAAAATTGTCAGGAGGGAAAACAAATGACAAATAATTTCAGTAATTCTGGCAAGAAATGAGGCTGGCCTGAGCCAGGGTATCATTTGTAAAACATGGAGGGCAGGCGCAGTGGCTCACGCCCAGCACTTTGGGAGGCCATGGTGGGAGGATCATGAGGTCAGGAGATCGAGACCATCCTGGCCAACATGGTGAATCCTTGTCTCTACTAAAAATACAAAAATTAGCTGGGCTTGGTGGCACGTGCCTGTAATCCCAGCTACTTGGGAGGCTGAGGCAGGAGAATTGCTTGAACCAGGGAGTCGAAGGTTGCAGTGAGCCGAAATCACGCCACAGCACTAGCAAGACTCTGTTTCAAAAAAAAAAAGGAACGTGGGCAACAAATGTCTGCTACACTTTAGCTGGAAGATATAGAGAACTTTGTCACAGATGGTGGGGTGAAGGAGAAGGAGGAGTCAGGGATTTGAATGACTCAGGTAAAGAATGATGGGTGGCTCTTTGGGACAGAGCACAGAGGAGGAGAAACACGTTTAGAGAAGCATAGCGCAGGTTCAGTTTGGGACATGTTGTATTTAACAAACCAATGGATCTTTGAAGCACAGATGTCTAAAATGGGTTGGATTTGCATGTATAAGTTTTAGAGACAAAGCTGAGCTAAAGAATTCGATGACTCCAAAAATCAATAGAGTGATAGGTAAAGACAGAGAAAGACATGAAGTCAGCCACCTGCTGTACAATATTTGGTATTATCTGTCTTTCTAATTTTTGCCAGCTGGGCCATTATAAGTCAGCATCTCAATGCTGTTCTACTTTTCATTTATGTATTTATCTATATTCTTTTTTGCCTACCAGAGCTCCTTCTTCTGTGAATTGCCTTGAAATATCTTTGGCCTATTTTTCTATTTTTTTTTTCCTGTCCTTTTTTTTGTTGTTGGTTTGGAGGATCTCTTTGTATATTCTAGAAATTATTCCCTTGACTGTTTTAGGCATTGGGAATATCTTCCCACACTCTGTGGTCTATTTAATTTGCATTTGCAATTTCTAGCTTATGCCAGGGGAAGTAATACATTAACTGAGCCCCAGAAATACAGTGGAAGCACATTTCAGAGTAAGATAAGGTTGGAGAGTGGACATATTGATTGAAGAGTGTAAGAATTTGACAGGCAGGCCGGGCGCGGTGGCTCACGCCTGTAATCCCAGCACTTTGGGAGGCCGAGGCGGGTGGATCATGAGGTCAGGAGATCGAGACCATCCTGGCTAACAAGGTGAAACCCCGTCTCTACTAAAAATACAAAAAATTAGCCGGGCGCGGTGGCGGGCGCCTGTAGTCCCAGCTACTCGGGAGGCTGAGGCAGGAGAATGGCGTGAACCCGGGAAGCGGAGCTTGCAGTGAGCCGAGATTGCGCCACTGCAGTCCGCAATCCGGCCTGGGCGACAGAGCGAGACTCCGTCTCAAAAAAAAAAAAAAAAAGAATTTGACAGGCAAAGCCAGAAGATGTACCAACTGATGGGAATGGCATGTTTTTATGGGCCGTAATGTGGTTTGGATGTGTGTTCCCACCCAAATCTCATGTTCAATTGTAATTCCCCATGTTGGATGTGGAGCATGGTGGGAGGTGATTGAGTCATGGGGGTGGATTTCTCATGAACGGTTTAACACTATTCACTTGGTGCTGGTCTCACTATCATGAGATAGTGAGTTATGTCAAAATCTGGTGGTTTAAAAGTGTGTAGCACCGCCCCCACCCTCCTCTCCGCTCTTGCTCCTTCTCTAGCCATGTGAAGTGCCTGCATTCCCTTTGCTTCCCGCCATTATTGAAAGTTCCCTCAGATCTTCCCAAAAGCAGATCCTGCCGTGCTTCCTATACCTCCTGCAGAACCAGGAGCCAATTAAACCTCTCTTCTTTATAAATTACACAGTCTAGCAAAGCGAGAATGGCCTAATACAGGGCAGTTACAGAAAAGCCCAGGTGTGGGGGTGTGATAGGGTGGAGAGCTGCAGGGAGGAAGAGTGAGCATGAATGTGATGTTTATGTTGACAGAAAGCCAGGGGAGAGGGGTAGGGGGAGCTAGGACCACAGTCTAAAGAGCAGCAGATGTCAGTCTAAAGACTTGGTCTTCATCTGGGGGTGGTGGAAGTTAAGCAGACGAGAGACCTGGCCAGAGATTTCCTTTAGTAAGCTGAGCCTGGAAATGACATGGAAGGCGCTCAGAACCGGGGGAGACTAGTGTTGGGATACCAATTTAGGGAACCTGGCAACAGGGTAGGGTGGTGGTGAGTTTTATGTGTCAACCTGGTTAGGCTGTGGAACCCACTTATGGAATCAAACACTAATCTAGGTGTTTTTGTGAAGGTGTCTTGTGGATGTGATTAACAGCTACGATCTGTTGACTACTTTTTATTTTTATTTTTGAGATGGAGTCTTGCTCTGTCACCTAGGCTGGAGTGCAGTGGCATGATCTCAGCTCACTGCCACCTCCGCCTCCCAGGTTCAAGCGATTCTCCTGCCTCAGCCTCCCGAGTAGTTGGGAATACAGGCGTATGCCACAGTGTCTGGCTAATTATTACATTTGTAGTAGAGGCAGGGTCTCAACATGTTGGTCAGGCTGGTCTCGAACTCCTGGCCTCAGGTGATCCGCCTGCCTTGGTCTCCCAAAGTGCCGGGATTACAGGTGTGAGCCACCACAGCTGAACAATCCATAGACTTTAAAGTAGACTTAAGTGAAGTGGACTTAAGTAAAGTCTGTGATATGGGTGGATTCCTCTTCCCACCTACGGATTCTTCTTTCAGTTGAAGGCCTGCAGAGTAAAACTGAAGGCCAGGCACACTGGCTCACACCTATAATCCCAGCACTTTGGGAGGCCAAAGCAGGCAGATCACCTGAGGTCAGGAGTTCAAGACCAACCTGGTCAACATGGCACAACACCATCTCTACTAAAAATATAAAAATTAGCTGGGCGTGGTGGCGGGTACCTGTACTCCCACCTACTCGGAAGGCTGAGGCAAAAGAATCGCTTGAACCAGGGAGGCGGAGGTTGCAGTGAGCTGAGATTGTGTCATTGTACTCCAGCCTGGGCAACAAGAGTGAAACTCCATCTCTGAGGTTTTCTGGAGAAGAACAAACTCTACCTCAAGACTGTGACAGACTAATTCTGCACCAGTTTCCAGCCTGCCCTTATACATTTTGGACTTACCAGTCCCTACAATCATATAAGCCAATTTCTTCAACTCTCTTTCTCTCTCTCTCATAACACTTATCCCTAGGAGACAGAGAAGAGATAAATAAATCCTATCAGTTCTCTTTCTCTGGAGAACTGATTGACACAGGAGGTAGGTTATTGGCCTTTGAAGCTTTTTGTTGTTGCAGGCCATCAACTGAAAATTAAATTAAATTTTAAAAAGCACATACACTTCAAAATATGTATATTTTTATTTAGAAATTATTTACATGTACCCAAGTACTAATATGTTGTATATGTTACAAAACACAAAAATAGAAGGTTTTAAAGAATGAACTATGGGTTGCGCGTGGTGGCTTACGCCAGTAACCCCAACACTTTGGGAGGCTGAGGCGAGCAGATCACAAGGTCAAGAGATTGAGACCATCCTGGCCAACATGGTGAAACCCCATCTCTACTAAAAACACAAAATATGCTGAGCATGATGGCAGGCAACTGTAATCCCAGCTACTCAGGAGGCTGAGGCAGGAGAATTGCTTGAACCTAGGAGGCGGAGGTTGCAGTGAACTGAGATCATGCCACTGCACTCCAGCCTGGGCAACAGAGCAACAGACTCTGTCTCAAAAAAAAAAAAAAGGAACTGTAAGAATAACTGGAACTCAAAGTTGAAGAATTTTCTTCTTGTGTTCACCAAGACATACTCACAGTTTGTGGGTATTAGCTGACCAAGGTGACAGATGACAAATATCAAACTCCAATGATTGCAATATAATAAGGACTGAACCAGAATAAAAAAAGATGATGAAAGACTAAGTCAATTTTCTTTTTCTTTTTTTTTTTTTTTGATACAGAGTCTTGCCCTGTCCCCCAGGCTGGAGTGCAGTGGCATGACTGTGGCTCACTGAAGCCTCCACCTCCCAGGTTCACCCCATTCTCCTGCCTCAGCCTCCCGAGTAGCAGGGACTACAGGCGCCCGCCATCACGCCTGGCTAATTTTTTTTGGATTTTTAGTAGAGATGGGGGTTTCACCGTGTTTGCCAGGGTGGTCTCGATCTCCTGACCTCATAATCTGCCCGCCTCGGCCTCCCAAAGTGCTGGGATTATAGGCGTGAGCCACTGTGCCTGGCCTCTTTCTTTTTTTTTTTTTTTTTTGAGACAGAGTCTCGCTCTGTCCCCCAGGCTGGAGTACAGTGGTGCGATTTCGGCTCACTGCAGCCTCCGACTCCCAGGTTCCAGCGATTCTCATGCCTCAGCCTCCCGCATAGCTGGGACTACAGGAAGGCGCCATCATATCTGGTTAATCTTTTGTTGTTGTTGTTGAGATGGAGTCCCACTCTGTCACCCCGGCTGGAGTGCAGTGGCGCAATCTCGGCTCACTGCAACCTCCACCTCCTGGCTTCAAATGATTCTCTTACCTCAGCCTCCTGAGTAGCTGGGATTACAGGCATGTGCCTCCACTCTCGGCTAAGTTTTTTTTTTTTTTTTTTTTTTTTTCAGTAGAGATGGGGTTTCACTGTGTAAGCCAGGATGGTCTCCATCTCCTGACCTTGTGATCTACCTGCCTTGGCCTCCCAAAGTGCTGGGATTACAGGCATGAGCCACCGCACCTGGCCTTATTTTTGTATTTTTAGTAGAGATGGGGTTTCACCATGTTGGCCAGGCTGGTCTCAAACTGCCGACCTCTTGATCTGCCTGCCTTGGCCTCCCAAAGTGCTGGGATTACAGGCGTGAGCCACCGTGCCCGGCCTCACCTGCATGGTTCTTGAGGGATGGGTTGGTGGTAGGAATGGCTAGTCTTCCTCCCTGCTCCCATAGTAACTATGCTTCTCTCCTCTCTCATTGTAAGCCTCTCATGGGATAGGATTGTAATTATTTGCTCATGTGTTCTTCCCTCCCACCAGAGAGAAGGGCAAGTTTTTTGAGGTCATGGAGTGGGCCTTATTCTTAGAAAGCTCTCAGTATTATATTAGCTAGCAAGACTGTCAGGAGGGAAAACAAATGACAAACAATTTCAGTGGTTCAGGCAAGAAATGAGGCTGACCTGAGGTAGGGTAACATTTGTGAAAAATGGAAGCCAGGCACAGTGGCTCACTCCTGTAATCCCAGCACTTTGGGAGACCATGGCGGGCAGATCATGAGGTCAGGAGATCGAGACCATCCTGACCAACATGGTGAAACCCTGTCTCTACTAAAAATACAAAAATTAGCTGGGCTTGGTGACACGTGCCTGTAATCCCAGCTACTTGGGAGGCTGAGGCAGGAAAATTGCTTGAACCAGGGAGTCAAAGGTTGCAGTGAGCCAAAATCATGCCACAGCACTCCAGCATGGTGAAAGAGCAAGAATCTGTCTCAAAAAAAAAAAAAAAAAAAGGAGTGGAACATGGGGAACAGATGTCTGGAAATATACAGGACTTTGCCACAGACAGTGGGGGTGATGAAGGAGAAGGAGGAGTCAGCGATTTGAATGACTTAGGTAAAGAATGATGGGTGGCTCTTTGGGACAGGGCACAGAGGAGGAGAAACACATTTAGAGAAGCTGAGGCAGGAGGATCACTTGAGCCCAGGAGGTTGAGACTGCAGAGAGCTATAGTTGTGCCACTGCACTCCAGCCTGGGCAACACAGCAAGACTCAGACTCAAAAAAAAAAAAAAGAATTATCAAGATACTCAATTGTGGATACCATCTCAGGCCAATCAGGATGGCAATTATTAAAAAGTCAAGAACAACTGATGCTGGTGAGGCTGTGGAGAAATAAGAATACTTTTACACTGTTGGTGGGAGTGTAAATTAGTTCAACCATTGTGGAAGACAGTGTGGCGATTCCTCAAAGACCTAGAACCAGAAATACCATTTGACCCAGCAATCCCATTACTGGGTATATTCCCAAAGAAACAGAAATCATTCTATTATAAAGATACATGCACACGTATGTTCACTGCAGCACTATTCAGAATAGCAAAGACATGGAATCAACCCAAATGCTCACGAATGATAGACTGGATAAAGAAAATGTGGTACATATGCACCACAGAATACTACACAGCCATAAAAGGGAATGAGATCATGTCCTTTGTAGGGATATGGATGGAGCTAGAAGCCATTATCCTCAGCAAGGAACAGAAAATCAAACACCGCATTTCTCACTTATAAGTGGGAGCTGAACAATGAGAACACATGGACACAGGGAGGGGAACAACACACACTGGGGCTTGTTGGAGGGGCGGGGGAGGGAGAGCACCAGGATAGACAGCTAATGCATGCGGGGCTTAATACCTGTGGTTACATAGGTGCAGCAAACCACCATGGCACACGTTTACCTATGTAACAAACCTGCACGTTCTGCACATGTATCCCGGAATGTAAAATAAAATTAAATTTAAAAAAAAAAGAAAAAAAAAGATGCTCAATTGTGGAATGACCTGGTTCTTAACAGCATGCAATCCAGAGTAAAGCCTTGCTTCCTTGAGCTATTCCAAAATACACGACACCAGTATGAACCCTAAATACATCCTTACTGAGATGCCCTAGGGTTTTCCATGATCTGTGTGCTCTTCTTGCATCGCATCAGTAAGCCCACTTTGTTCAGCTGTCAGTGTGTTCCTGGTGGTCTTGGAAGGACAGGGCCAGTTCACGTGTGTGGACCTGTGCAATCCAGAGTCCTGGGCTTAGAAGCATTAATCCCTGGACCGGATTAATGTTTGGCTGCTGCCATATTGAATTCTTTTAATTTTTTTAGAGACAGGGTCTCTTTCTCTGTTCCCCAGGCTGGACTACAGTGGCATGATCCCAGCTCACTGCAGCCTCAAGGTCCTGGGCTCAAGCAATCCTCCTGCCTCAGCCTCCTGAGTAGCTGGGACTAAAGGTGCGGCCACCATGCCCAGTTAAGTAAAATAATTTTTTTTTTAGAGATGGGGTCTTGCTATGTTGCCCAGGCTGGTCTTGAACTCCTGGGTTGAGGCCACCATACCTGGCTTGAAATTCTTTATTATTTTTGTACAGGGGGCTCCCTGTGTTCGTTTTTCACTGGGCCCCAGAAGTTACATAGGGAGTTCTGCTGAAGGGCAGGGCCCGTGGGCAACTTCAGGGTCATCGTGGAAGAGGATGTGAGAAGTGGGTGAATTCAGGACTTTTTGGCTAGGATCCGTAAGACTGGCTGATATTTGGGATTTGGGTGGGAGAATGCAGGGAAGAGAGAGGAATCATTCCTGCATGTGGGCTGGGACTTGGGCAATGAGTGCCGTTTATCAGATGGGAAATATAGGGTAAACAAGTCAAGCAGATTTTGAAGTGGGCAGGTGGGGTCAAGAATCTCAGTTTGGTGAAAATAAGCTTCCTACCAAATATTATAAGGATGGGATATTACATTTTAAAAAATTGCTGACCAGCCAGGCGTCGTGGCTCATGACTGTAATCCCAACATTTTGGGAAGCCAAGGTGGGAGGATCACTTGAGGCCAGGAGTTTGAGACCAGCCTGGGCAACATAGCAAGACCCCATCTCTGCAAAAAATTTTAAAAAATTAGCCGAGCATAGTGGTGCGCACCTGTAGTCCCAGCTACCTGGAAGGCTGAAGCTGGGGAGGATTGCTTGAGCCCAGGAGGTGGAGGCTGCAGTGAGCTATGATTGTGCCACTCCACTCCAGCCTGGGCAACAGAGTGAGGCCCTCTACCAAAAAAAAAAAAGAAAAAAAAAATGGGCCAGGCACGGTGACTCACGCCTGTAATCCTAGCATTTTGGGAGGCCAAGGCGGGCAGATCACCTGAGGTCAGGAGTTTGAAACCAGCCTGGCCAACATGGTGAAACCCCGTCTCTACTAAAAATACAAAAACATTAGGTGGGTATGGTGGCAGACACCTGTAATCCCAGCTCCCTGGGAGGCTGGGGCAGGAGAATTGCTTGAACCTGGGAGGTGGAGGTTGCAGTGAGCTGAGATCATGCCACTGCACTCCAGCCTCCAGACAGGGAGAGACTCTGTCTCAAAACAAAACAAAACAAACAAACAAACAAAAAGATGACCCAATATTGTACTATAGTTTTGCAAGATGCTACCACTGCAGGGGAACCAGGGAAGGGAGTTCATGAGCTCTCTGTATTATTTCTTACAACCACATGTGAATCTATAATCATCTGAAAATGAAAAGTTTAATTTAAAAAACTGGAAAATTGTTGACTCAGAAAATCAGGACGTGAACAGAGCAATAGGCAGCTCGGGGCAGGTGTTGCTCAATTTTATTCATCAGTTCTTAAATCTGGAAGGAGTTTGGGGGCAGCTCACAGAGGCAGACACAGCTGGAAACAGTGAAGGGACTGTTCGTGGTATCTTGGGGGACGGTGGCAGCGGCTGTGGCACCTGAGCATCTGTCCTTCCTGGTGGTCTGGTGTAGAGGACTGATGGGATGGACAGCAGCTCATCTCTTAGAAGCCCTGCCAAGTAAAGGGGTGAACTTGGCTCTAGAGGACAATGTCCTTGGCTCTGATGATACTGACTTCAGCACTCACCTCCTCTAGCAATTTCAGGTCACGTTGGCAGTGGGACAGACACAGGGGCACGAAACCATGGGTAGAGAGGAGGCCAGGATAAGCCCGGTTGGTGTTCACTTTCAAGCTTTCCTTCACTAGAGTCAGGTTCCCAGCAGGGAGAGGAGCATCTCATCTTAAGATATTTGCAGATGTATTCACGGAACTTCCCACATATCTGGATGAGGATATACGACTTGCCCCCTGGAGGAAAGAGTTAAATGAATCGATAAAGCACAAAATGTTCTGTAAAATTGCTTCCATATTTTATTAGATGCAGATGAGCATGAATTATTGTGAAGCCAACAGGGGAGTTTGCAAATTTCTTTCTTACCTTTTTCCATCAACAACCCCCCTCACCTAGATGGTTATGGCAGGACTGATTGAGGGATGCTGGTTTGGGGTGGGACCTTTAAATAAAGAGCTCGTTTACTTACTAATTCATCCAGCCATCAGATGTTTATGGGGCACCTACTGTACTTCAGGGAATGCAAAGCGCAGTTACACCTTGCAGGTATCATTCTTGTTGATCAACATTCCAGCGACACCACCAAGGTCCTTCTGAGATGCGCCACTTTTGTTTTACAGGTATGCTGGGGATGGCTTTTGGGAGAGGAAGCTTCCATTTGAGCCTCTCAGAGTGCCACTGTCTTATCTATGCCATAGAAAAGAAGGCACATTTCACCTACCCTTCCATGGTCAGAAATGCAAATTAACATTAAATTCCAATTTCCCACAACCTCCCCATTTGCATAAAGGTGTAAAACTCCTTAGGGGGAAAATGGACACAGTTGTGCAAAATTGCTTTTCTAGCTGAATAGATCTGATTAGTTTCTTACACTCTGTGTGGCTCTGCCAATTTATTTTTTCTCTTTATTTATGAGACAGAGTCTCACTCTGACGCCCAGGCTAAAGTGGGCACACTCTCGTGGTGTGACACAATCTCAGCTCACTGAAACCACTGCCTCCCAAGTTCAAACTATTCTCCTGCCTCAGCCTCCTATGAGTAGCTGGGATTACAGGCAAGCACCACCACACTCAGCTAATTTTTGTATTTTTAGTAGAGACGGGGTTTCACCAGGTTGGCCAGGCTGGTCTCGAACTCCTGACCTTAGGAGATCCACCTGCCTCGGCCTCCCAAAGTGCTGGGATTACAGACGTGAGCCACTGTGCCCGGCCACTAGTTTTTCTTTTTTAAAAAACTTTTTGGCTGGGTGCAGTGGCTCATACCTGTAATCCCTACACTTTGGGAGACCAAGGTGGGAGGATTGCTTGAGGCCAGGAGTTTGAGACCAGCCTGGGCAATATAGTGACACCCCATCTCTACAACAAATAAAAAATTAGCCAGGTATGGTGGTGCGTGCCTGTAATCCCAGCTAGCTGGGAGGCCGAGGCAGGAGGGTCACTTGAGCCTGGAGTTCAAGACCAGCTTAGGCAACATAATAAGACCTCATCCCAGGTTGCGCCACTGCACTCCAGCCTGGGCGACAGAGCAAGACTCCGTCTCCAAAAAAAAAAAAAAAAAAAAAAAAAAAACCCACCCCTGCAAAAATTACAAAAATTAGCCAGGTGTGATGTAGCCGGGTGTGATGGATCACTTGAGCCCAGGAGCTTGAGGCTGCAGTGAGTTGTGATAGCACCGCTGCCCTTCAACTTGGGAAACAGAGCAAGACTGTCTCAAAAAAAATTTTTTATTTATTTATTTATTTTTGAGATGGAGTCTCACTCTGTCACCCACATTGGAGTGCAGTGGCGCGATCTTGGCTCACTGCAGCCTCCACCTCCCAGCAATTCTCCTGCCTCAGCCTCCATAGTACCTGAAATTGCAGGCGCATGCCACCATGCCTGGCTAAGTTTTGTATTTTTAGTAGAGATGGGGTTTTGCCATGTTGGCCAGGCTGGTCTCGAACTCCTGACCCCAGGTGATCCACCTGCCTCAGCCTCCCAAAGTGTTAGGATTACAGGCGTGAGCCACTGTGCCCAGGCAAAAATTAATTAATTAATTTATTTATTTATTTTGAGACGGAGTCTCGCTCTGTCCCCCAGGCTGGAGTGCAGTGGCGCCATCTCAGCTCACTGCCAAGTTCTGCCTCCCGAGTTCACACCATTTTCCTGCCTCAGCCTCCCGAGTAGCTGGGAATACAGGCGCCCGCCACGCCTGGCTAATTTTTTGTATTTTTAGTAGAGACAGGGTTTCACCGTGTTAGCCAGGATGGTCTTGATCTCCTGACCTCGTGATCTGCCCGCCTCGGCCTCCCAAAGTGCTGGGATTACAGGCGTAAGCCACCGCACCCAGCCGCAAAAATTTATTTTTAAGTTTTTTCATTTCAATAGCTTGAGGGGTTCAAGTGGTTTTTGGAGACACATGGAAGAATTGTATGGTGGTGAAGTCTAGGATTTTACAGCATCTGTCACCTGAGTAGTATACTTTGTATCCAATAAGTAGTTTTTCATCCGTCACCCCCTAACATCATCCCCCTTCTGAGTCTCCAATGTCCCCACTCTGTGTGTCTTTGTGTACCCATAGCTTAACTCCTACTTATTGGTGAGAATACGCAGTATTTGGTTTTCTGTTCCTGAGTTACTTCACTAAGGACAATGGCCTCCAGTTTCATCCAAGTTGCTGCAAAAGACATCAGTCTTATCAGTCTTTCTTTCTTTCTTTCTTTTTTTTTTTTTTAGAGACAGGGTCTTTCTCTGTCACCCAGGCTGGAGTGCAGCAGTATACAACTCACTGCAGCCTTGACCTCCCAGGTTCAAGTGATCCTCCCACCTCATCCTTCCAAGTAGTCCCAAGACTACAGATGTGCACCACCACAGCCAGCTAATTTTTAAATTTTTCGTAGAGATGGGGGTCTCACTGTGCTGCCCAGGCTGCTGTCGAACTCCTGGCCTCAAGCAATCCTCCTGTCTTGGCCTCCCAAAGTGTTGGGACTTCAGGCATGAACCACCTCACCCTGCCCCTATTTCATTCATTCATTCATTCATTCATTTTTTAGAGATGAAATCTTGCTCTGTCATCCAGGCTGGAGTGCAGTGGTATGATATTGGCTTACTGCAACCTTCATCTCCTGGGTTCAAGTGATTCTCCCACCTCAGCCTCCCTATTAGCTGGGACTGCAGGAGTCTGCCACCATGCCTGGCTAATTTTTATAGTTTTAGTAGAGATGGGGTTTCATGTTGGTCAGGCTGGTCTCAAACTCCTGACCTCAAGTGATCCACCATCTCGGCCTCCCAAAGTGCTGGGATTACAGGTGTGAGCCACCACACCCTGCCTCATTTTTTTTTCTTTTATGGCTGGGTAGTATTCCATAATATATACACACCACATTTTTCTTTGTCCACTCATCTGTTGATGGGCTCTGCCAGTTTGATCCCAGCTGGACATCTGAGGGGCCTGGCTTCCCCTTAGCACCCCATCCCAGGGTAGGGGAACTGGGGATGAGAGAATGCATATGTTGTATTTCTCAGCTCTCCTTTAGAGGTTGGGTATAACAGAAAGGATTGTAGGATCACTGGAAGCTGCAGTGATTGGAGTCTTTCACAGGCCCTGTCTGTCCCCACAGAGAGGAGGGAGTGAGGGCTGTGAAGAGCTTGTCTCTGCTGGCTTTGGCCTGAGCTGGTAGGAGCAATGGCGGCTGGCCCCATGGCCTGTGGGTGCTGGCTCAGTTGAGGGGTGGGGTGTGGGCCCTCAACCCATCCTGGGAGGGCTTCCAGGGCTGTCAGGAGCACAACAAATTGACATTTAAAGGCTGCGGAATTTTTTTTTTTTTTTAAACAATCAGACAGAGTCTCTCTCTGTTGCCCCGGCTGGAGTGCAGTGGCACGATCTCGGCTCACTGCAACCTCCACCTCCCTAGTTCAGGTGATTCTCCTGCCTCAGCCTTCCGAGTAGCTGAGACTACAGGCATGTGACCACACCTGACTAATTTTTGTGTTTTTTTTTAAATTTTATTTATTTATTTATTTTGGAGACAGAGTGTCACTCTTGTTGCCCAGGCTGGAGTGCAGTGGCATGATCTTGGCTCACTGCAAACTCTGCCTCTCGAGTTCAAGCGATTCTCCTGCCTCAGCCTCCTGAGTAGCTGGGATTACAGGCACGTGCCACCATGCCCAGCTAATTTTTTGTATTTTTAGTAGAGATGAGATTTCGCCATGTTGGCCAGGCTGGTCTCATACTGCTAACCTCAGGTGACCCACCTGCCTTGGCCTCCCAAAGTGCTGGGATTATAGGCGTGAGCCACCACACGCAGCCCTGGAAGCTGTGGAATCTGCCTCAAAGAGACTTCCTGAGGAAAACCAGAGGGCCGCATTGATGGCCCTTTGCCTGTGTAGCCACACGGGATTCTCACGGCAGCCCAAAGTAGGGCCCTGAGCAAGGGAGTTCTCCTGGCCCCCAATTTAGGGGCAGAGAAACAGCCCAGCAAGCCCAAGAACTCATCTCTGATTACCCAGTGAGTTGTGGAGATTGGATTTCCACTTGTCATACTGCCTTTACATCTTGGCTTTTCAGAGAGAAGCTGTGCATTCAGCCCCTTTCAAAGGCAGAAAAGTGTTGTCGAAAAATATACCAGGGGCCAGGCACGGTGGCTCACGCCTGTAATCCCAGCACTTTGGGAGACTGAGGCGGGTGGATCACCTGAGGTCGGGAGTTCAAGACTAGCCTGGACAACATGGTGAAACCTGTCTCTACTAAAAAAATACAAAAAATTAGCCAGGTGTCGTGGCAGGTGCCTGTAATCCCAGCTACTCAGGAGGCTGAGGCAGGAGAATCACTTGAACCTGGCAGGCAGAGGTTGCAGTGAGCTGAGATTGGGTCATTGCACTCCAGTCCTGGAGACAAGAGAGACTCCATCTCAAAAAAAAAAAAAAGAGAGAGAGATAAATATACTGGAGAAGCCAGGCACGGTGGCTCATGGCTATAATTCCAGCACTTTGGGAGGCTGAGATAGGAGGATAGCTTCAGGCCAGGAGTTTAACACCAGCTTGGGAAATATACTGAGACCTTGTCTCATTAAAAAAAAAAAATTAGCTAGGTGTGGTGGTGTGCATCTGTAGTCTCAGCTACTCAGGAGGCCAAGGAAGGAGGATCACCTGAGCCCAGGAGTTTGAGGTTGCAGTGAACTATGATCACAATCATGCCAGTACACTCCAGCCTGGGCAATAGAGGCCCCTATGTAGGAAAGGGCACCCTTTGCTGCATCTCTCTCTCTCTTTTTTTTTTTAAGGGAGGATGCATCTGTGACAGCCTCAGGAGGTCCTATGACATGTGCGCAAGGTGGTCGGAGGCACAGCTTGGTTTTGAACATTTTAGGGAGACAGAGAGACATCAATCAATATATGTATGATGAACGTTGGTTCGGTCCAGAGAGGCGGGACAACTCAAAGTGGGGAGGGGGCTTCCAGGTCATGGGTAGATAAGAGTAAAACGGTTGCGTTCTTTTGAACTTCTGATTAGTCTTTCCAAAGAAAGCAATCAGATATGCATTTATCTTAGTGAGCAGAGGGGTTACTTTGAATAGAATGGGAGGCAGGTTTCCCCTAAGCAGTTCCCAGTTTGACTTTTCCCTTAGCTTAATGATTTTGGGGTCCCAGGATTTATTTTCCATTCACACAAGTATTAAACAGACTGTAGCTTGTTACCATGGTATGTTAACTATAAGGAAATGTGTTAACTGCAAGCTTTAGTGCTAGATTATCCATCTACAAATCACATGATCAGTGAACGATTCTGTCACTTGTTGCAAAGCCCGTCACTGCACATCTATTATTCAGTTCACACACAGCAAAGTGTGTAGGCGTGTTGCCTCCCTATCTAATCCCAGTGTTAAATCCATGTGACATTTTATAAAAATGGATAAGTGGGAGTTGGCCAGCAAAGATCAAAGTGCAGCAAAGAAACAAAAAGTGATAATACTGGGAATGAAATTTGATGGTGACATAAATGGAGTTATAAAAGTAGCAGCTGACCGTGGAAATATTGGTACTGCGGCTGATACCTTAGACACCCAATCAGAGAATTAGTGAAGGCAAACTTATCAACAGAAATGAAGGATTTAAAAAAAGAATTAAGGTGTCCCAGAGGAAGTGGCCCCAGTGGTAAACAACTTTGCATTAAAGGAACTCTCAGAGATATTTCCCAAGATTGAAAGCACAAAGAATAGAACATTGGAAGCTGATTCAATCTTACTCAGCAGTATGACAGTTCACCAAAATGTTCACTCTGTTGTTCACATAGTTGTACAAACAGGAGAAGGCAAGCACTGCTAAAACTACTCTTGATACATATTTCACAAAGAAAGATTTTAGTTCCCAATATTTCAATTACTTAAAATTTCAGTGTATGAAATATTTTCTTATTTTTAAATTTTTCTATACATTTATAATTGACAGTAAGTTTTTAAAGTTCTGACTTTTAAAGTTCATGAAACAATCATAATTTTTCCCATTGATTTTTTTTTTTTTTGAGATGGAATCTTGCTCTTTCCCCCAGGCTAGAGTGTAGTAAGGCAGTCTCAGCTCACTGCAACCTCCACTTCCCAGGTTGAAGCGATTCTCCTGGCTCAGCCTCCCAAATAGCTGGGACTACAGTCACATGCCACCACCCCTGGCTAAGTTTTTTGTATTTTTAGTAGAGATGGGGTTTTGCTATGTTGGCCAGGCTGGTCTTGAACTCCTGACCTCAAGTGATTCTCCCCCGTCAGTCTCTCAAAGTGCTGGGATTACAGGCATGAGCCACGGAGCCAACCCCCATTGATTCTTAAGATTGTTTTGCATGGTTCTGGCTTGCACAGTCATTGGGCATTTGATGATCCCCACTAGCACACAAAGCAAGGATTGTCTGTATTTACAATGGTAAAAAAAAAAATGCTATTTTATTTGCAATGCTAGTCATTAAACAAAACAAGATAAAATAATGAGGTAAAATAATTCCATCTTTAAAACTTGTTGCATTTTTTCCATGAAAAAGTGTTGTGTGTTCCTACAAAAGGAGCAACATGTTGGATGCGGTTGCTCACGCCTGTAATCTCAGCACTTTGGGAGGCCGAGGCGGGGCAATCACCTAAGGTCAGGAGTTCGAGACCAGCCTGGCCAACATGGTGAAACCCCGACTCCACTAAAAATAGAAAAATTATCTGGGGGTGGTGATGCGTGTCTGTAATCCCAGCTATTCAGGAGACTGAAGCAGGAGAATCGCTTGAACCCGGGTGGCGGAGGTTGCAGTGAGTTGAGGCTGCAGTCCAGCCTGGGTGACGGAGCAAAACTCGGTCTCCAAAAAAAAAAAAAAAAAAGGAACAACATACTGGGGTATAAAATTGCAGCAGAATTAAATTTTATTAGACAGTTGGGGCTTTGTTTTTGTTTTTTCTCTTTCTCTCTCTCTCTCTCTCTGTCTTTTTAAGAGACTGGGTCTTGCTCTGTTGCCCAGGCTGGAGTGCAGTGGCACAATCATAGCTCACTGCAACCTCAAACTCCTGGGCTCAAATGATCTTCCTGCCTTTGCCTCCTGAGAAGCTGGACCACAAGTGCTTACCACTATGCCCGGCTAATTTTCTTATTTTTTTTTTTTTTATATAAACGAGGTCTTGCTATGTTGCCCAGGCTGGTTTTGAACTCCCAGCCCCAAGGGATTCTCCTGCCTTGGCCAGCCACAGTGTTGGGATTACAAGCATGTGCCGCCACACCTGGCCCCTTCATAATAAAAATTCATAGCTCTGACATCATCAGCAAGAAAAAAACATTTTAAAAACTGCTTACCTTTAGAAAAGAAAGTTAGTTCAACCATTGTGGAAGACAGTGTGGTAATTCCTCAAGGATCTACAGAATCAGAAATACCATTTGACCCAGCAATCCCATTACTGGGTATATACCCAAAGGATTATAAATCATTTTGCTATAAAGACACATGCACACATATGTTTATTGCAGCACTATTCACAATAGCAAAGACTTGAAACCAACCCAAATGCCCATCAACGATAGACTGGATAAAGAAAATGTGGCACATATACACCATGGAATACTATGCAGCTATAAAAAAGAATAAGTTCATGTCCTTTGCAGGGACATGGATGAAGCTGGAAGCCATCATTCTCAGCAAACAAACACAGGAACAGAAAACCAACACCACATGTTCTCACTCATAAGTGGGAGTTGAACAATGAGAACGCATGGACACAGGGAGGGGAACATCACACACTGGGGCCTGTGGGGGATTGGGGGGCTAGGGGAGGGATAGCATTAGGAGAAATACCTGATGTAGATGACGGCTTGATGGGTGCAGCAAACCACCATGGCACATGTATACCTATGTAACAAACCTGCACGTTCTGCACATGTATCTCAGAACTTAAATAATCATAATAATAAAGAAACTATAATGCCAGAAAGATTAAATATATCGGTAAATGTAATGGAGTACTAATATCTACCAGTTAATAGAGAATGTCAGATTGAGTTTATAAATACATACATACACACACACATATATATACACTAGTATACAAATGAGAGTTTAAAAGACAAAAAAAGTCACATAGTTTACTGATATCAGAGAAAATAAACTTTAAAGCAAGCAAATATTATTGTGAGTAAAGAGGATTGCTATCATGATCAAGGGTTTGCTTTGCCAGGAAGATCATTTTATTAGTAATAATTAGTTCATTATTAGTAGCCCAACCTCATTTATAAGAAAAATTACAGAACTACATGAGAAATTGTCAAATCCATCAACAGAGTGGAATAGGAAAACACACCTTTCCTAGGAATAAATAAAGCAAGCAGTAAATTACGGATGGGTTGAAATACACAGTTAACAAGCTTGACCTAATGAATATGCATATGCGTGTCCCTGCACCAAACAATTAGGGGAATCATATTCCTCTCAACCACACACGAAACATTTATAAAAACTGACTGCACTGTGAGTCAGAAAGTTCTTTAAATTTTTCGTAGTACTGGCATCTAATAGACCACATTCACCAAAATTTAATTAGAAATCAGCAATAAAAAGGTAACTAAAACTCATGCATTTAGACATTTCAAAAACATACTTTATAAAGATCTTTTTATTCTGAAAATCACACACTTTTTAATTCGTGGGTCAAGGAAGAAATTAACATGGGAATGTTTCATTACTTGAAACTGAACCGTAATAAAATCTTATACATTAAAAATGTTAGTATGCACTGGGAGCTGCCTGCCGGTCCTTTAACAACCGGCAGCGCGAGCGTCCAGTCGCTAGGCCAGAGCTGAGACCCGCGCTTAGCAGCAGACTGTCTGCAGCGTGAGCGGGGCTGGCGTCCCCAGCACGCCGGAGGGGCTGGGGCTGTGAGGGCCGCGGTTCCGGACTCAAGTTACAGCGTCGGGCTGGGCGCGCCGCCGGGTCCCATGGAGTTGGAGGGGCAGTGGTGGCGAGGGCAGCTGGCCGCCGACATTCACCAAGCACTTCGCTACAGGGAGCTGAAGTTGCCCTCCTGTAAAGGCCAGTCCCCTCAATTAAGTCTCAGACGGTATTTTGCTGACTTGATTTGCCACTGTGAGCAATTGCTTCCATGCCTTTGCCCTTCTGCCCGCCATCTTGCTGTCTAGTTTACTGGACCTGTTCATGGACCGCTATGACATCTCTATCCAGCAGCTGCATTGAGTTGCGCTTTCCTGCCTGCTTCTAGCAAGTAAATTTGAAGAAAAAGAAGAAAGTGTGTCTAAGCTGGAGCAGCTCAACAGCCTGGGTTGTATGACTAATATGAATCTAGTATTAACAAAACAAAATTTGCTACATATGGAACTATTATTATTAGAAACCTTTCAGTGGAACCCCTGCCTTCCAACAGCCGCCCATTTCATTGAGTATTATCTCTCTGAAGCAGAACACAAAACAGGTCTTCATGACGGCTGGCCAATGATTTGCTTGGAAAAGACTAAATTCTAAATGGCCAAATGTGCAGATTACTTCCTGGAAGTATCTTTGTAAGATTACGCCTTTCTAAAGTATGCACCTTTAGTAGCTGCTGCGTATGTGGCTTCTGCGAGGATTATACTTCGTCTTTCTCCAACGTGGCCTACAAGACTGCATCGTCTTACTGCTTACTCTTGGGATTTCTTAGTGCAGTGTATTGAACAGCTATTGATCGCTCATGATAATGATGTGAAAGAAGCAAACAAACGGAGAGGGCAAGCAGGACCTCAGTCAGCACAACTAAGTGTGTTCCAGAAAGCCTCCCAGCCCTCACGGCTAGTTCATTTTCAGCAACCTCAATATCTCCATTAGACACCTCAGACCTCACTGCAGTATCGCCATCCTAGTCAGAACCACCAAGCTGTCAGCATATTGTATCGACCACACACACTTCATCTTACACACTACAGACATGTCCTGCTGGCTTCCAAGCTAGTGTTCAGGGCCTTGGGCACATGCAGACTAGTATTGGAATGTCACTGGCAATACCAGTAGAAGTTAAGCCTTGTCTGAGTGTTTCTTATAACCGGAGTTATCAGATAAATAAACATTACCCTTGTATTACTTCGTGTTTTGAAAAGTGATTATGTGTGAAGCTGATAACTGACCCAGACTGCTTTGTGACTATGGGTGAGCGTTTTGTAAACTTCTGTTCAAAAGGAAGGGGATCTAAGTGACATCAGAACTCTTCAGGTACCAGCTCCAGGAAGACTGAATATCCCTTTTAATGCACCATGAATCCTGGGAGGACTAAGCAAATTAACAGTGTGTCAAATTCTGTTACAACAAATCCCTGTATGACAAAAATGTTCAAGTCCTGGCTGATGGTCCAAATATTGCGAAAATATTCAATACAACAGAAAATTTGGGCAGACTCCAATTTGCCATTTTGAGATTTGACCTGTGGTATAGCATCTGGGCCTAATGTTGGCTTCTAAGTAAAAGACTAAATGTTTACCTTATCTGTGGACTTGCCAAACAGTCTTTTATGAAGGAAAGTTACAGTATTAATTTTTGAAAAGGTTTTTTATTCTGCAAATTTTTTTGTTCTACACATGATTTTAGAACTAAGTTTAAACTCATGAATTGTTATGCTATACCAATCTGCAGTAAAAAAAATTTTTTAGATGATTCTATATAACTTCCTCTCATAAATAGTATAGGTATCTGGATTTATATACTAAAATTAATGGTGGAGTAGATCTCTTATTTTTAAAATCACGGTCATAATTTTTCTTTTTTCCCCAAGTGATCAACCTCAAATTTTTAGAATTAAAACACATTTAACTCAGGGAATTTGTACTACTTGGAAACACTTAACTGTAATGCAACAAGCCTTGGAAATGTTATAGTGTGAACTACCTTTATAACATAGATTAAAATACTCTTGCTAGGGTGTGTTTTCAAATAAGAACATAATATTATAGCTCAGAATGAAGTGGTAGTTCCTGTGTTTCATAATACATATGTAGGTTTTGCCTTTCTCAGTGCAATCTGTGATTTATACTCAGAATCGACATTCTTAAAAAGTTATTTCAAGGGAAGGCATAACTAACTGTAAGAGGTTGGTGCTAGAATAAAGTAGGTTTATTTTGGAGGGGACCGTGGCCAGGGAAGTTCTCAGGTTGTGCTAGAGCAGCACTTTGTTATGTGGAAGACACGTTTTTTAAGCAACCTTTGAAGCCAGCTAGTCCGTCTAAGCAGGCAAAGGTACAGACTAAATTTCAGTAGCTACTTTCATTGGATTGACCCTGCAACTGCCCTGGGACATTTCACTGTACTGGTATTAACTGCAAACAGCAATAATTGTCATTACAGCAAGGGCAGTTTGGGGGTAAAGCATTTTGGAGGAATAACCTTAAAAGGTTAAAAAGTCACTGTAATAACTGATAAAGTGTATACATTGTGCTCGTTTCTGTGGGGGAAGAAAGATTTGTTGGAGGGAAGCTTTCTGGTTTAAAAATTAGTAAGCTATGTCTTTTTATGTGTGTTTTTTTTTAAGATAGCACTTGAATAGAAGGGAATCTGCATGGCAGATATGTGACTGTCACAATATGCATTGAAGACAAGCTTACTATAAAGATGTGGGTATGCAGCAGGAGTCTCAGTAATCAAGCCAGTGGCCTTTGTTAGGAAGGGAAGGGGCTCAACACAGTGATGGAGTGATCCAGATGGCTTCCGGGGATGAATGTGGGTGGGTAGCTTCTGCCAGCATGAATGCTTAGAAAAATATGCTTTCCTTAAAAAGAAAATAACTTTTAGAGTACATAGGGCATAATGTGGATTTATTAGTCTGGTAGATAAAATGAAAAAGCACTCAGGTAAGAACACCCACTCATGGCAGTTTTTAAGCATGAAAATTGTTTTTTGAAAGTACCATCACTTTTCCTTTTTAAAGAAGCCTGCTAATTGGATTTTGGTAGTTCTTACCTCAAGAAAACTTGAATTGTTTGGGGGAAAGTAGGCTCAAAAGAGAATATATCTTTCACATTCACATTCAGAACTCAGCAACCTGGAGTCCAATTTTCCGTATTTTAACTACCTCAGTAATGGTATGAATGTGAGATATTGGGATGGAGATCCTGACTTGAAACAACAGGCAGCGCCTGTGGCAACTTCATGTCTTGTCAAATACTTTTATTGATTGGTTTATATGCTATTCTTGTTTTAGAATAATATCTTTTCAAAAAAGCTTATTAATAACACTTTCCCAATTTATATTTTAAAAAGCCAAAGAACACTGGATTAATAATCTTTTGGAAGAGTAGAATAAAATAATTACTATTGCTGCATACCCGGGGTGGGATGGGGTGGTTGAAGAACCAGAACTATTTTTAAAACATTAGGTTTCAATATAAATACAACTCACAACTGCTAGCTTTCGGGGTGGGGGAGCATTGTGTGGGTTTTGTTTTGTTTAATTTATTGATTAGTCTTTGAAGTAGGCTTTTTTTGTAGATTATTGGACCGTCATTAAATGTGTACTGTGAAGAGATTAATATGTATGAAGGATTTTACCAAAGTCCATTAAATAAACACTACTCAAGTACAGACTGCAAACCAAAATGTATTGGTGTTATGACATGAATTGCAAATAGCAAGTATGGTGCTAAAGTCTACACTTTAGACCTTGGAATGGAATTAGATGAGTGCTATGCACTTAATTTTAAAATAAAGCTAGTTTTCCGTTAAAAAAAAGTGTTAGTATACACTAAAGCAATGCTCATAGGGAAATTTATAATCCTAACTGCTTATATCAAAAATATAAAGAGTAAAAATTAATGGCCAAATCATCTACTGTAAGAAGTTAGTGACAGAACACAGAATAAACTTGAGGAAAGTAGCAGGAAGAAAGTAATAAAGATAGAAGATGAAAGGAATGAATTCTAAAATAAAGATGCAATAGAAAGAATTGTCAAAGCGAAAAATAACTTCTTGGGAATGACACAGAAAGAAAAATGCTGCATGATTTCCCTTATATGTGAAATCTAAAAGAAAAAAAACAAAACTCTTGAATATCTAGAAATAGAGAATAGAACAGTGGTTACCAGGGGCAGGGGAGTGGGGAGATGGGGAGATGGAAGTCAAAGTGTACAAAGTTACATTTATATAGAATGAATAAGTCTAGAGAACTGATACACATCGGGACTATAGTTAATAGTATTGCACCGTATACTGAAAATTTGCTAAGAAAGTAGATTTTAGGTACTTTCACCATGAAATATAGCTAACTATGTGGGATGATGAATATCTTAATTTGTCCATAATAATCATTTCACTATGTACATGCATATCAAAGCATTTTTTACACCAGACATAGATGTAATAAAAATAAATAAACAAATATTCCATTGACAGCATTTAAGAAAAAGGGAGAAAAGGCATAATACCATGATTTTAAAAGGCATAACTTGAAGAGAACAGGTTGGGTGCAGTGGCTCACACCTTTAATTCCAACTCTTTGGGAGACCAAAGTGGGAGAATCACTTGAGGCCGGGAGTTCAAGACCAGCCTGAGCAACATAGCAAAACCCCGTCTCTACAAAAACAAATTTTCTTTTTGAGATGGAGGCTCATTCTGTCGCCCAAGCAGGAGTGCAGTGGTGCGATCTTGGCTCACTGCAACCTCCACCTCCCAAGTTCAAGCAATTTTCCTGCCTCAGCCTCCCAAATAGCTGGGATTACAGGCGTGTGCCACCATGCCCAGCTAAGTTTCGTATTTTTGATAGAGACTGGATTTCACCATGTTGGCCAGGCTGGTCTCAAACTCCTGACCTCAAGTGATCTGCCCGCCTGAGCCTCCTAAAATGCTGGGATTACAGTCATAAGCCACTGCGCCCGACCCTCTACAAAAATTTTAAAAATTAGCCAGGTATGATGGCACAAGCCTGTAGTCCCAGCTACTCAGGAGGCTGAGGCAAGAGGAGAGCTTGAGCCCAGAGTTCAAGTCTGCAGTGAGCCATGATTGCACCATTGCACTCCAGCCTGGGAGACACAGTGAGACCTTGTCTCTTAAAAAATATTTTTAATTAAAACAAACTTTACAAAAGAACAGATTAAATAAAGATAACGAGAGATGATGTACATAGTAAGAAAATCAGAAACACCCTAGAAACACCCTAGAAGAAGAAATGGACGTTGTCTTGGGGCGAAAAAGTTTATCCAGCTTACTCAAGAAGAAATAGGAGACTTGAATGCTCCTGAAATAACTGAACAGATTGAATCTGTACCTTATCCATAACAAAGAACAAACTCACAGAAATGCCCCCAAATAAGTAGACTTTTGGTTGTGTAAGATTTTTTCTTTTATCCCTATTCATCCCCTACAGTAGAGTTATTCATATCCTATAAAGCTAAGATCTTCAGCTACCAAATCTGATAACTGCTTGGAGATTCAGGGAAAACTGCTTAACCAGATACTTCAAACATAAATAGATTCAGTCATATGACTTCATAAACAGTGTAAGTTCCCCAAAACAGCAGAGCAAGGCATCAATGTTTAAGGAACTTCAAACCAACACTTTGGGAAAGTTAAAAACACGAAGAGGCAATGAGATGTTAAGTGACCCAGATAAGAAATTAACATCTTCCATTCCCTGAGTTTTCCCATGAAAACCCAAAGTGAATCTAAAAAATCCACAAAATCTTTCTAGAGCAGATGTTCAAAGTGTCCCAGGCTGTAGTTTTGTAGTTCTCTGAGCTACAGGTTTCAACCATTACTTAGGCTAAATTTCCCCTTTAATGTCTCCCAGGGCGCTGATGGGGGAACCCTCGATTCCCACCTCATTCCCCTCAAAAAGCTGCTTGCTTTTTGCCTCGGAAACCTGGGAAAAGTGAAGAGCAGGTGGTTTTGGACTGTTGGAACTGAAAACGAACGTGTAGCCTTGTAGTGAAGAGGGAGAAGGTAGGCACAGGAGACCTAGCTCCCAAGAGGGTTCTAGCACACACAGAAGCAAAGAGCTATGCCCCAATATCCAAGGGTACCTCTAAGATGCTACTTAATCCTATTATGCCTGGCACTCATGAGCAGTGGATAAAAAAGAAGGACAGGAATGCAATACAGCCATGATCTTTTCATACCCAACCCCACCCTGTGACCCCCACCCGGTCCACATTTACCACAAACTTATCATCATCACTTGCTTCTGCAGTAAATGCAATTAAACTTCCATGCCCAATCCACTGGAAACTTGAAGTGTGGCTTGTAGATGACCCACCTTCTTCTGCCATGATGGTGACTGTTGAAGCCAGTATTGCACTCTATAACAACCAGTGGGGAACTATGGAAAAGGCAAGGCTTGGAAGGACAAGGGACCTGAGTTTATATCCTGCATTGGAGTGGTCTCACATCTCACCATTTAGTATATGCCTCAGCAAAATTTAATTTTAATGTACCATTACAGAAGCTTTCATTGAAAACCCCAATCCCTGCAGACTTGCTATTGGCCCTGGATTCACTGCATTGCCTTATTTCTTGGCTGAGGCAGCCCTAGGTATGACTTGAAGTTCTCGTGGTCCTGGAAGTCTCTGTTGCAAGGTATGACTGCCTCTACAGACCTAGCACCACTGTGGCAGCTAATACTGGTCCCCGTGTCACAAGCGGGCATGGCCAAAGAGCATCTTTCTTCATTCCTGTGCCCTGTTACCTCTCCCTCCACCGTTCTGGGGCTCCCACATTGCTGTTGAGGTGCAAGATGCCTCAGAACCCACTTAGCACTTAGCCTCAAAATGCTGGGCAAACTTTTAACAATGGAAGACAGATGTCAACAGATCAATTCTTTCATCCTTTTCCCTCTTGGCAACGTGGCCTCTCTGAAGACAACCCGAGAAACTGAGATATCATCACCACTGAAGTTGTGAAAAGTTAGCAACACATTTCCTTATATTTGCTCTCCCTCCTTTTGGGCTGACTCCTTCTACCCTGGGATTGCACTCCCCAATAAAGTTTTGGGCTTTAAGCCCTGAAGCTTAAGACGCTATTCTTTAAAAGTGAGTTTTGGCTGGGAGCGGTGGTTCACACCTGTAATTCCAATGCTTTGGGAGGCCAAAACAGGAGGATCACTTGAGGCCAGGAGTTTGAGACTAGTCTGGGCAACATAGTGAGACCTCATCTCTAAAAAACATAAAAATTATCTGAGAAGGGTGGTACATGCCTGTAGTCTCCGCTACTCAAGAGGCTGGAGTCGAAGGATCGCTTGAGCCCAGGAGTTGGGGGATGCAGTAAGCTAAAATCATACCACTATACTCCATCCTGAGTGACAGAATGAGACCCTAAAAAAAAAAAAAAAAAAAAAATGGGTTTTATCTTTTTCGCTTTGTGCTGCCACCTTTAGAAACTGCCCTCCTAGTTTTATGGGCCATGAGCCCAAACCAACACTGACCACTCACACAGTACTCCAGCCCACCCCTTCCCTGGATCCCACCTTCATGCTAAATTCATCACAAAACTAAGCAATAGATTATGTACAAAACAAAGACTCAGCTTCAACTTTTGCAGAATAGCTTTCTACTTGAGCATTTCACAAATACACTTTTCTCCTGTAGCCAGACAGAGAACACTGAAGAATCCATTTTCAAGCAAAGTCTGGTTCAACAAAATATGAGCTAAAGGGGAAGGAGGGGCAACATTCTTCAAGGCAGATTGTCATCACAAATTAAAGCATTTTAACACTCAGGTATAATAGCTTATTTTCAGACAGCTGGGTGGCTTCCTTAGATTTTATTGACAAGAAAAAAATTAATTGTATAAAATCAGAATGTTTGAAAGTAATTTATCTAATCACACACAAGGGTGATATAAAATGGAGACATAACAGAAAATTAAAAATTTTGCTAGTCCCCTAGGTATTATGTCACATCTCACAGTCCTGAATCACTAGATTTCAAAAAAAGAAAGCAAATGAAGTTACTATTAGGACTTTTTTTTTTTTTTTGGAAGACAGAGTCTTGCTGTGTCACCTAGGCTGGAGTGCAATGGTATGATCTCAGCTCACTGCAGCCTCAACCTCTCAGGCTCAAGTGATCCTCCTGCCTCAGCCTCTCAAGTAGCTGGAATTATAGGCATGTGCCACCACACCCTGCTAATTTTTGTATTTTAAGTAGAGACGGGGTTTCACCATGTTGCCCAGCCTGGTCTCGAACTCCTGACCTCAAGTGATCCTCCCACCTCGGCTTCCCAAATTGCTGGGATAACAGGCATGAGCCACAGTGCCCAGCCTAAAATGAAATATTTTTACATGAAATATTTTGTTTAATGAATAGAATTTTAATTAATAGAAACACGAGAGGTTATTATATTGCCTAATGGCCATTCTCTTCTATATCAAATGTTACCACTTCATGATTAGGAACAGAGAGGTCTTGAGATGTCTGTTGGTTTTTTAATAAACCACGAGACATGAGTTTTTTTTTTTGTTTGTTTTCTGAAATGGCATCTTACTCTGTTGCCCAGACTAGAGTGCAGTAGTTCCAACATAGCTCACTGCAGCCCCCAACTCCTAGGCTCAAGGGATCCTCCCACATCAGCCTCCTGAGTAGCTGGGACTAGAGGCATGCTGGCCACCATGCCTGGCTAATGTTTGTATTTTTTGTAGAGACAGAAGGGGTCTTGCCATGTTGCTGAGGCTGGTCTCAAACTCCTGGGCTCAAGTGATCTAATTACCTTCGAGTCTCACTATGTTGCCTGGGCTGGATATGAGTTTTTCTATGGGAGCATTTAAGTCTTTTTCATAACCCCATTCTCCTTTTTTGGTGATGCTAAATATGCAGCACAAATACCAATACTAACATGAAATTTAAAAGGAGACATGTGCTTTATATAAGCAAATGTCACTCATTGCTGTTTATCCAGCTTTTCAAACAGACTCACAAAGATAAGCATGGAAGATTACAAGTAAACAAGTGTGCTAAATGTGCTGCCTCATGTGAGATTCTGAATAGGTAGAAGATAGGTAGATATCCTCCATTCATTCAAAGGGACAAACAAAAACATTTATTGAACGTGGTTATCTGCGAGACACTGGGCTTATTTTATATACATTATTTCCTCTGACTCTGTAATAGGGTAACACTAGCTGCTATAACAAATAAACCCGCCTAATCTCCGTGGATCATCACTCTCCTCTAATTATCTACTGTAGATGTTCCTGGTTAATGCGTATATTTCTTCCATACAGTGAATCCAGGACTTGGTTTTATTCCATCTGTGGGCTCCACCTCTATCTCCCAGGATCCTGGAGTCTTCTTCAGTTTTCTCCCAGTTAGCAGGCAAGAGAACATGATGTGGAGGAGGCATCCAGTCATGTAACTGTGTTGGCTCATATGTACAGAGATCACGCCTGTCCATGTGGTGAGCGTAGTTCCAGCCTCACCTGGATACAAAATGAGAACCAGCAAATGCATCACCTGGTTAGATGCCACCCAGAAACAACTGTATATTACATAAAGGAAAGTGCATGTTTTAGAGCAAAACTAGCCATCTCTGCAACAAGTGCTCTCTCTCTCTTTTCCTCCGTTCTTCCCTCCTTCTCTCCCTTTCTTCCTCTCTTCCTCCCTGTATCTCTCTCCCTCCTCCTCCTTCCTCTCTTTCTCTCTGTCACTCTTTCTCTCTCTCTCTCCCTCCCTCTTTCTCTCTCTCTCAAACACATATACCCACAGCCATGCACACACAAACAAATGCTATGAAGTTGGCATATTTTCTTTTCCATTTTACTACTGACAAAGTGAACCAAGAGAAGTCTTATAAATTTTCTGAGATCTCAGAGTAAATGGGTTGTGACAATCATCCCAGTCTACGAGACTCTAAAATCCTGAATCTTTCTAATATATCATGTGACATATAACAAGAATTTGTATAGCTCCTTTGATAGAAAAAGAGCTTAGGGCTTATTGGGGACTGGTGTGTGAAGTGACATGTCCTCCCTCAGTTCATATAAATAATGTATTTCTTACCATCTTACCAATCAATTTGGAATGAATTAGTATGTACCCCAAAGGGCTTGAACAAATGACTATTTATTTATGAGTTTTTTTTTCAGATTCATTTTAGAGAACAGCAAAATATTTCTAGTATAATAATTTGTAATATGGCAAAAATTATTTTACAAGACACATTGGTTTGGTTGTAATTTTAATGGAATACTTATATTCATAATGTTTTAAACAACTTTGATTTGGTTTATGATTCACTAAAAATAAAAGTGATACTTGGAACTGGTTCTGCCTGGGTTCAGTAAATTAATGTGGTTAGTTCTGGTTTATAGTTCAGTGTAGTACTGGATCCTGGTAAAAACAGTCTTATTTCAAGTAAAATGGATTGCTATGTATTTTTTAAAATATCTTTCCATATAAAGTTGTTTCCTTCCTCTTTGAGGCAGTAAATCTCTGATAAGACGAATAGCCCTGGGCCAGGTGCAGTTGTTCATGCCAGTAACGCCAGCACTTTGGGAGACCAAGGTGGGAGACTCGAGGCCAGGAGCTCAAGACAAGACTGGGCAACATAGTGAGACCCTGTCTTACACAAAAATAAAAAATAAAAAAAATTAACCAAGCATGATGGTGGTGCTCGCCTGTAGATGCAGCTATTTGAGAGGCTGAGGGAGGAGGATTGCTTGAGCCCAGGAATTAAAGGCTGCAGTGAGGTATGACGGTGCCACTGCACTCCAGCCTGGGTGACAGAGCAAGACAAGACATTGTCTCAAAAAAGAGTGATGTTTCTGAGTTGAGGTTTCTAGAGAGCCTCACCTGGAAAGTAAGCATGAACAGTGTTACAACTATTTGGATTGGCATAATGATCCAATCCAAAACTTAGTGACATAAAACGGCCGTTTCGTTATGCTCATGGATTCTGTAGGTCTGAAATTTGAGAAGGACACTGGAGAACAGCTAGTTTCTGCGCTACAATGTCTGGGGCCTCAGCTAGAAAGCCTCAAAGGCTGTGAGTGACATGACAGCTGGAGGGTGAAACCATCTGAAGAAATCTGGGTGTTGATACTGACTAGGACCTCAGATGAATCTGCTGGCTGTGACATCACCATGTGGCCTCCCCACATGGCCTGGGTTTTCTCATTGCATGTTGGCTGCATTCCAGGAGCCAATATGTCAAGAGAACAAAGCAGAAGTGCAGGACATTTTAATGACCCACTTGAGAAATCATATGGCATCATTTCCACCATCCTCTATTTGTGGAAGTGTTACAGGAAACAGTTGCCAATCCCAATCCCAAGACCCCAAGTGAGGGTTCTTGGATCTCATGCAAGAAAGAATTCAGGGCGAGTCCACGGTGCAAAGCAAAAACAAGTTTATTAAGAGAGTAAAATTTAAAAAATAGCGGCCATGCGCAGTGGCTGACACTTGTAATCCCATCATTTTGGGAGGCTGAGACAGGTGGATCCTCTGAGGTCAGGAGTTTGAGACCAGCCTAGCCAACATGGTGAAACCCCATCTCTACTAAAAATGCAAAAAAATTAGCTGGGTGTGGTGCAGGGGCCTGTAATCCCAGCTACTCGGGAGGCTGAGGCAGGAGAATCGCTTGAACCTGGGAGGCGGAGGTGGCAGTGAGCCGAGGTTGTGCCATTGTACTCCAGCCTGGGAGACAAAAGCAAAACTCTGTCTTAGAAAAGAAAAAAAGAAAGAATGGCTACTCCACAGACAGAGGAGACCTGAGGGCTGCTGGTTACCCATTTTTATGGTTATTTCTTGAAGAAATGCTAAGCAAAGGTTGGATTTTTCATGCATCCCCTTTTTAGACCAGGGTAACCTCCTGACATTGCCATGGCATTTGTAAACTATCATGGCACTGATGGGAGTGTAGCAACGAGGATGACCACAGGTCGTTCTCATTGCCATCTTGGTTTTGGTGGGTCTTAGCCCAGCTTCTTTACTGCAAACTGTTTTATCAGCAAGGTCTTTATGACCTGTATCTTGAACCGACCTCCTATTTCATCCTGTGACTTAGAGTGCCTTAACCATCTGGGAATGCAGCCCAGTAGGTCTCAGCCTCATTTTACCCAGCTCCTACTCAAGATGGAGTTGCTCTGGTTCAGACATCTCTGACAGAGGCAATTGCAAAGCTCTTCCTAGGCTCCAGGATAGGGGACATGGAGCACGTCATTAGATGAAAGGGTTGTCAAGGTCACATGTCAGAAGCTGTGGGAGGGGAGAGATTGTTTTGACTATCTTTGGAAAATTCGGTCTGCTATGGGGAGTTCAGGTGATACACTCAAGATGGTGGCAGCTGCCTCTCTACTGTTTCTCATAAGCTACTGCTGTTCCCTGAATCACCGCAGGTGTGGCCATAGCTTTTCCACCATTCTTCCCCACAATGGAAGCCAGGCAGCCAGACTATAGTGCTTGACGGACTTCAAGAAAGGCTTGAAATTAACAAAAGAGTATGACAATGTGGACAACTTCCTTCTATAGACTAGCTGTAGCTGTTCTCAGATGCACAGACTTGGCCCCTGAAGAGTAGAACCCTCATTCCGAAGGTCCTGGAATGACACCAGGTTGCAAGAGTCAGCCACCTTGGTTTGGTGGATCTTAGCCAGCTTGTAAGAGTCAGCCTCTCCCCCAACATCGGCAATGCCCAGGAAGGCATCTCCTCCACCCAACATCCAGGACATAGTTCTCTGAGGCACAGATAAAGTCTATGATGTCCCACTCTAATCTGCCCTTCTCACCCCAAGCTGGTTTGCCGTGGAATACATCGCTTCAAATTTAAGATCTTACCCTTGGGTTCCCCCCGAAAAACATCAGAAAGCTTTATTATATTAGTCTATTTCTCAGAGCATAGAGCATTAAATACTTTAATTTCACCAGGTATAGGGCTTCAAAGAATAGTCCAGGCTAGGTTTCAGCCCTTCTGTTCAGGGCTCTTGGTATTCTCCAGCAGACAGGTAAGAACTTGCCTTCCTCTGTCTTCCAGGTTAAGCTCACAATTTCCTGTGAGCAAATACATGGGAATACATACACCCACAGCTTCTCAATATATAATCACACTTGACACGCAAAATTACCTATTGGAATAGGTATTCATTTTGCATACTAGGAAACAAAGGCTTAGCAGTAGTGAAGAAGCAGGCTCAAGTGTCTTAAACTAGGATTAATAGCTCAGCCTCTAACTCCCAGTTGTTGTCTCCATTGGACTACATTGGCAGTGCAGATTCAGATATTGTAATTTTGAATCTCATGCACATGAGTCAATATTTCCTACTTGATATTAACTCATTCATTATTTCTCTTACAGGAGGAGCCTTTGCCACGGGTTGTAGGTAGCTCCCCTATCTCCCTCCTCCTTCTGCAACCCTTCCTTTTGAGGCCATCAATTTATTTCCCATCATTATCACTTTGGTTTTCAGTTTTCCCTAAGTGATAGAACACCTTGTATCCCAAAGAGAAATGCCGCTACTCTGCGAAGCCAGCCTTTGCGTCTCTTTTTAGAGAGTTCCTACAGTGTGGCAGATTTTAATGACCTTTTCTCTCACGCCTGCATTAGGTCACCTGAGCCACGCTGCTCAAAATGATCTAACAACCTCATAATGCAGGCCAAGGCAGGCTCAGACTCACAGTGGGATGCCTGGCCTAATTCATTGTACCACTCAAAGCCATAAATCACAGGATTCTCCCACCTTTTCTCCCTTCCTTCCTACCAAAAGAAGAGCTCATATGAAATCTATTTACATGGAATAATTATTTAAGTTTTTCATTACATTTGCCAGAAAGCACTGCCAGGATTTCTAAAGCTGTCTTGTGTGTTTGCATTAATGATGACAGTAGTTCATGATACTTAATTTAGCAGTTGTGGCCCATTGGAGGTCATGCCCTGCCATACGGAGACTGGAGACTGTGGAGGGGTGGCTGTCTGGTCAGAAACGTGAGTACCTGACACATATTTAGGAAAATCACAGAGGTATTAACATCTCTGCAAGCTATCTCCACTGCTCCGTCCCCACTGTGGTAGCCTTAACCAAGCTTGGACCTATGTCCTTTCTAGCCCAGGTGATTATAAGAATCCCCCAACCCACCAATTCCTTTTTCTGTCTATTTGATCCCTTCCAAACCAAGGGGGAAGCTGAATCAGGAGGATCTCTTAAACCCAGGAGTTTAAGGCTGCAGTGAGCTATGATCACACCACTGCACTCCAGCCTGGGGGATGGAGTAAGACCCTGTCTCAAATAAATAAAGGGTACATCTGACTTTGTTACTCCCTTTCCTCATACACATCAGTGGTACCCAGTGGCCCAGAGAATAGAATCCAAGCTGCCGGCTCACCTTGCATGCAATACACTTTGTGATCCAGCCCTGACCTCCCTGGCCTCAGCTCTCACTACCTACTCTCCCAAGATGAGATCCATGTTTCAACCCAACACCACTAAACCACCACAACTTCTCAGACACACAGCCTTCCCTGGTGCCCACACTATTCCCTCTGCCTTGAAATATCCTTTACCTTCTTGACCACCTGGAAAATGTGCTCCCATTATTCAATACCCAGCTCAAATATCACTTCTTTGGAAATGATTGCTTACACCTCCAGAGAAGGTCTAGCAATCCTTGTATATGCTTTAATCACAGCCCTTACCTCGTATTCTAATTACTTGCTTTCCTGTGAGTTAAAGTCAGAGTTCTGGTCATTCTTTCTTTTTCTTTTTTTTTTTTTTTCAATAGAGACAAGGTCTCACTCTGTTGCCCCAGCTGGAGTACAATGGTGTGATCATAGCTCATTGCAGCCTGGCTCTCCTGGGCTCAAGGGATCCTTCCACTCTCAGCCTCCCAAGCAACTGGGATTACCACCATGTCCAGCTAATATAAAAAAAATTTTTTTAGAGACAGGGTCTCACTATGTTATCCAAGTTAGTCTCAAACTCCTGGCCTCAAGTGATCCTCCTGCCCTGGCCTCCCAAAGCACTGGGGTAACAGGCGTGAGCCACCATGCCTGGCCGCTGGTCATTCTTTCTTGTACTCCTAATATGGTGACATTCAAATGAGAAATTTTTTAAAAATATGGATTATTTGGAATTCACCTAGGCTTATGGAGAAGCCCAGAAATTGGTATTTTTAAGTTTCCAAAACTGTTTTCTTTTGCTGCCAGCCTGGCAAAATCCATGAACCCTGAGTTTGGGAACAACCACCCTAACATGTGGCCTGGCTCAGCCTACATGTTTGATGATTGCTTGCTGAATGAATGCAGGAAAGTGTATCTGTTGAGCAGGTGGGATCACAGAAGAAGGTTATGCTGATGAAGACAAGGAGAGTAGCTGCTCTTTCCTTCCTCTGACCATTACAGGCCAATGCTGATCTAAGAGAGATCCTTTTTAAACCCATTTAAAAAGAAATGGATGATTGATGGGCATTTCGAGTGGATAGAGAAACTGTTATATATATATGATGGAATATATATATATATGCTGGAATACTACTCAGCCATAAAAATTAATGGAATTCACAGCAACCTGGATGAGATTGGAGACTATTATTCTCAGTGAAGTAACTCAAGAATGGAAAACCAAACATCGTATGTTCTCACTCATAAGTGGGTGCTAAGCTATGAGGATGCAAAGGCATAAGAATGACACAGTGGACTTTGGGGACTCCAAGGGGAAGAGTGGGAAGGGGGTGAGGGGTAAAAGACTACAAATTGGGTGCAGCATATACTGCTTGGGTGAAGGGTGCACCAAAATCTCGCAGATCATCACTGAAAAACTTACTCATGTAACTGAATACCACCTCTTCCCCAATAACCTATGGAAATAAAAATTTTTTAAAAAACAGAAATGGATAAGACATCAATTTGGGTCTCACTTAAGTGCGCTTTGACTTCTAGGCTCCAAATACCATGTATTCCATTACCCTAGCATCTGCTCTTTCCCATGGGCTCCTTGTCCTTAGCCCACACAGCCTCTGGAGCTACTGCTTAGAGTCCAAGGATGCCTCTGGAAATCCCAACACTCACTCCCTTTGTCCAGGCACTGGGAGACCCTCCCAGATCCACTGGCCCTCTGGGCTGTGAACCAACATTGTAAATGTCACCTCCTGTCCCACTGTGGCTGAAGTTAAGCTGCCTGGACTGCTTCTGCTTCCTTTCTGGAGGGCTGATATCTCAGGGGGATCATTCATAGCTCTAGAATTGTCTTCTTCTCCTGGATTTGCTTAGAGAAAGCAAGCTTATTCTGAAGCATTGAGTAACTAATTATAAGACTTTTGCTGGTCAGGCCTTCATCATTGGGTTTGCCAACATCCTCACTGGATGGACACAAACCTTTCCCTGTGAGGACCGGGTTGTGGAGAGAGGAATTTGTCTTTCCTTGTGGCTGTGGAAATGGCTGCTAAGTTCACGTCGGAAACTGTGATGCCTTTGTGCAAAGAACTGGTTCTCCGTACCATGCAGGGCTGGGGCAACCTCTGCATTGTTGACTTAAGGTTCACAGAATTCGCTGCCTGCCAGGGCTGTGTCCTGGCTGCCTCCCAGGTCATTGAAATGCCCAGCAGAGATACCACCATAAGCTTCCTGACTTAAACACTTTACCTTCCTAGAAGCAACCAATACACTTTTAGGGACTGAGCTCTTAGTAAACTCATCATTACCCATCATGCCCCAGTTGAGAAAATTCCAGGGAAATGTAGAAAATTCTAGGAAAATAAAAAAAAAATGCGAAAAAGTGGGAAAAAACTAACATTTGTTGAGTTTCTCTTCAGTGCCTGGGATTAAACATATGTCATTCTACTAAAGGTTTACAACTACCTTCTGAAAAAGGTAGTATTCTCCCCATTTATGCATAGGGAAACTGGGGCTCCTATGGGCTGGGTTACTTGCCTGATTTTGTATGGATGTCAAGGCCATGGCTATCTGACCCCCAAGGCCCTTAATCTTTACATTATTCACTCCTTTCTCCAACTGGGTCCTTCCAGCAGGGCCTAAAGTAAAAGTCTGAGGTTTTGTTTACCTATTGGGCATTTTAATTTGGGAAAATCCTGTAAAGAAAGAGACAGTGCTTGGAGTACACATTCCCAAGGCTTCAGCAGCATGAGACCTCAGGGTTCTAGAAGAGCGGGCTCCAGAGGGCTCAAGGCTCAAGACCCCTTCACTACTGAGTTCAGGAAGCTCAGCCTTCTCTGATCCTCTGGGGAACACAGGGAGAGGCAATTGGCCAATTCATTTCTTTGGTTGGAACGATATGCTGCAAAGAGCCAGCTATAAGAATTCAAAATTGAATATACATTTATTAAGAACATACACTCTGCAGGTATTGAAGTATGGGACAGGAGTGGGGGGAAGAAGGAGAAACTTCAAAAGAATGATTAGATGAAGATGTGTGTATTAGTCTGTTTTCACACTGCTAATAAAGACATCTCTGAGACTGGGTAATTTATAAAGAAAAAGAGGTGTAATGTACTCACAGTTTCACATGGCTGGGGAGGCCTCACAAGTATGGCGGAAGGCAGAAGGCAAAAGGCGTGTCTTACCTGGCGGCGGACAAGAGGGAATGAGGACCAAGTGAAAGGGATTTCCCCTTATAAAATCAGATCTCGGGAGACTTATTCAATACCACGAGAACAGTATGGGGGAAACTGCCCCCATGATTTAATTATCTCCCACCGGCTCCCTCCCACAGCACATGGGAATTACGGAAGCTACAATTTAAGATAAGATTTAGGTGGAAACACAGTCAAACTATATCAATGTCTTCAAGGAGATGGAGGATAGACTCACAAAGGCATAACTACAATAAGCCTGAGAGTCTCTCTGTGTTCTGATAACTAGAAATGTGCTTAAAATGTGGGGGGTTAGTCCACAAGGGGCAATTCATTCTGGTGGGCAAAAGGGGTGTAGGGAAAACAGGCACTTGAAGGATGAAGAGAACGTTTCCTCCCTGTGGCCCTAGCCTGTGTGAGAGCAGCTGGCGGGATATGGATCTCCGGGGTCGTCAATTCCCTCCCGACCACATAAAGATGGCAGGTGATTATTTTGTGTGTCCAGGCAGATTTCTTTAACTTCCTTCTGGTGGAGACCTATAAATGTGATCATAGTCCCTACTGTAAACTTTTGCAGGCCCTTTTAAAAACTCGGGCTCTTAATTCACTTCGTTACCTACCAGGGACGGTGGCTTCTTCCACTGATACTTCAGGGGGAGGAAGGAGGTGGCACTTTCATCAGCACCAGCCCTGTCTCCTGAGGGGCCTTCTCCTGTGCTTCCTTCCTGCTCCCCTCACCTCTCCCTGCCTCCCCTCCTCTCCTCCCCTCCCCTCCCTTCTCCTGTCCTCTCCCCTTCCCTCTCCTCTCCTCTGAACTTTGTGAAGTCTGGGTGGTAAAGTAAGCCAGCCAACCACAAAAAACATGGGAGACCTTTGTGATGTGGAGGATGGTTTCATGAAGGTCCTTCAGTTTTCTGCTGTCAGGATGCCCGTCACTTTCTGCCCCAGCCTCTCAGGAATCACCACCTGTGGGCAACCATCTCAGTTTCTCTCTTAGGGATTAGCAAAGAGTCAGTCAGCTGACCAGTTCTCTGTTTCGCAGACACAAAGTCAGGAATTTGAATGTTAGTCTTTTTTATTTTTTTTTTTTTTTTTTCAGACAGAGCTTTGCTCTTGTTGCCCAAGCTGGAGTGCAATGGTGTGATCTCTGTTCACCACAACCTCTGCCTCCCAGGTTCAAGCGATTCTCCTGCCTCAGCCTCCCGAGTAGCTGGGATAACAGGCATGTGCCACCATGCCCGGCTAATTTTTTGTATTTTTAGTTTCTCCATGTTGGTCAGGCTGGTCTTCAACTCCCAACGTCAGGTAATCCGCCTGCCTCAGCCTCCCAAAGTGCTCGGATTACAGGCATGAGCCACCGTGCCCAGCCTCGAATGCTAGTCTTTAAACTACTCGATGGCCAAGTTTCCTCTTCCATTATCTAACTAAACACAAGATTAACCTGTAACTTGAGCTCACTGGTCTCCATCTGAAATTGTCAGGGGAATCTGTGAAATGTCTCCTGATGTTGTGGAAAAGGCCATATGGGCTTTTGCTTGTGTCACTGAAGAAGGAAAACCAAGAGCTCTTTAATCTCCTTTGCATTGTTATTTAAAATTAATATGTGGGCCAGGTGCGGTGACTCATGCCTGTAATCCCAGCACTTTGGGAGGCCGAAGCAGATGGATCTCTTGAGGCCAGGAGTTCGAGACTAGCCTGGCCAACATGGTGAAACCCATCTCTACTAAAAATACAAAAATTAGCCAGGCATGGTGGCACGTGCCTGTAGTCCCAGCTACTCGGGAGGCCGAGGCAGGAGAACTGCTTGAACCCGGGAGGCAGAGGTTGCAGTGAGCCCACATCACACCACTGCATTCCAGCCTGGGCAACAGAGCAAGACTCTGTCAAAAAAAAATTAATATGTGATCTTTCTGGAAAATTTGAAATATTCTAGAATGTATTTAAAGAAAAAAACTTCACAACTTCATAATTCAGAGATAATCACTGTTGACATGTTGGTAGATTTTCTTACACACATATACACATTATTTGCAGTTTATTACTTGCTCCTACTATTTTCATCAACTAGTCATCATAAGAAGCCCATCTAGCACAGCCATGAGCTCCTGTGAGGAGTCTTGGCTCAGAATAGTCATCGATTGGCCTTTATTATCTTTGTTCTTGTATCCTATTAGTAGCAGCAGTAGGAATAAGATACTTGGACCTTTGGGGTTTGTGAAGCTGCACAAACCCCAAAGTTCTAAGTTAGGATTCAGTTAGGAATCTCTTGGTTGTGACAGAAAATATATTCAAAGTTCCTTAAGCAGAAAGGTTAAGGCACTTCAGGGATGTGTTGGTTCACACTACTAAAAATTTAGGGAGAAACAAATAATTAGACGTAGTGGAATTCAGAGATTCAAACTATGCCACTAAGGGCTGGGCTTTCTCCACCTCAGCTCTGTTGCTGTGTGGTTTCCAGCTCACTTTGGCTTTTTCTTCCTGGTGGCAAAATGGCAGTGAGCTGTTCCAGCCTTTTCTTCATGACTTCATGGCTAGAAGTCATGAAGATTTGAAGAAAACTTCAAATCAAGTTCTAGCAGAAGTCTCATATCATTGGCTTTGAAGCAATCACCTGCTCATCTCTGAGCCAATCCCATGTCCCAGATGATATGGCTCTCTGATTGGCCAGGCCTTTGGCACACCCCCTTTTCTGGAGCCAATAAGAGTAGTCTCTGCCTCCAAACTTAATGGGCTGAGAAGGGAAAGCTCCTCCCCTGCCAGGAATTGGGGGCACTACCACCAATGTTCCAATCTTCTGATGGAATCAGTGTTAGTGACACTGTCCATTGCTGCTGTTGCTGCTACTATGTGTGTAAAGGATTCCTACTGCCCTGTCTCATACCTCCAGGGGTGCTGATGCCGAGACATGAGTAGCAGAAGAGAAATACAACATGCGACTTTCTCTCTTTTGATGAACCTGATTGATTTTCTTCACATGCTTCAAAGAAGACTTACAGAGTGATGCCTGACCCTCTTACCCTCAGTCCTAAGCTTCAAAACCCAGCTTAAATACCTTGCTAAATTCCACCTGCTTTGTGATATTGAATGAAGTCCAGCCCCTGGTCCCGTCATCTAGCACAGCCATGGGCTCCTGTAAGAAGTCTTGGCCCAGAATAGTCACTGATTGGCCATTGCTTAATTCTTTTTTTCTTCTCCTATCCTATTGGTAGCAACAGAGAGAGAAGTCTGCAGGAATAAGATGCGTGGGCCTTTGGGGTTTGTGAGACTACACACATTAAATTTTAAAATGTAGAGGTTCTAGGCCGGGCGCGGGGTCTCACGCCTGTAATCCCAGCACTTTGGGAAGCCCAGGTGGGCGGATCACGAAGTCGGGAGATCAAGACCATCCTGGCTAACACGGTGAAACCCCGTCTCTACTAAAAATACAAAAAATTAGCCGGGAGCGGTGGCAGGCGCCTGTAGTCCCAGCTACTCGGGAGGCTGAGGCAAGAGAATGGCGTGAACCGGGAGGCGGAGCTTGCAGAGAGCCGAGATCGCGCCACTGCATTCTAGCCTGGGCGACAGAGCGAGACTCTGTCTCAAAAAATAAAAAAAATTAAAAAAAATTAAAAAACCATATATATATTATATATATAAAATACATACATTATATATAATACATATATTATATATAAAATACATATATTATATATATAAAATACATATAATATATATAAAATATATATAATATACATAAAATAAATATATAAAAAATATATATAATATATATAAAATATATATAATATATATAAAATACATATAATATATATAAAATATATATATTATATATAAAATATATATACTATATAAAATATATATACTATATAAAATATATATAAAATACATATATTATATATAAAATACATATCATATATATAAATTATATATATTTTATATATAATATATATAATTTATATATATGATATGTATTTTATATATAAGATATGTATTTTATATATATTTTATATAGTATATATATTTTATATAGTATATATATTTTATATATAATATATATATTTTATATATATTATATGTATTTTATATATATTATATATATTTTATATATATTATATATATTTTTTATATATTTATTTTATGTATATTATATATATTTTATATATATTATATGTATTTTATATATATAATATATGTATTTTATATATAATATATGTTTTATATATTATGTATGTTTTATATATATTTTATATGTATTATATATGATATATATATTATATATTATATATTATATATTATATATATTTTATATAATATATATTTTATATATAATATATATAATAAATATAATATATATTATATATATTATTATTATAAATATAATATATATTAATTATATTATTATTATAAATATAATATATATTATATATTATTATTATAAATATAATATATATTATATATTATTATAAATATAATATATATTATATTATAAATATAATATATATTATATATATTATTATAAATATAATATATATTATATATATTATTATAAATATAATATATATTATATATATTATTATAAATATAATATATATTTTATATATATTATTATTATAAATATAATATATATTTTATATATATTATTATTATAAATATAATATATATTTTATATATATAATTATTATAAATATATATATTTTATAATGTATAATATATATTATATATAAAATATATATAATATATATTTTATATATATTATATATATTTTATATATAATATATATAATATATATTTTATATTTATTATATAGATAATATATATTTTATATATTTTATATATTTTATATATAATATATATTTTATATATATTTATATGTAATATATATTTTATATATATTTTATATATATTTTATATATAATACATATTTTATACATATTTTATATATTATATATTTTTTATATATTTTATATATATAATATATATTTTATATATATAATATATATATTATATATATAATATATATAATATATATTTTATATATATTATATATATTATATGTATATATTATATATATAGGTTCTAAGACTTATCCAGATGTTAGTTTTCAATGTCTCATTTGCCACTAGTTTCACTGTGTTTGCACGCTTCTTGTAACATTTTTGAAAATTTTGAAAACTTTCTGTAAATGTCTTGGCACTAAAAAAAGGTAATAGTAAAATAAAATAAAATGTATAAGTTCTAGATATGTGAGTGTTAGTGCCATGTAGAATATAGGAGAGCTCCCATCACAGCAATCAGAACAAAAGGAAAGAATATTGGTGAACAAAAATAACTATGTGCACAGCAAGCATTTTCCCATGTCCTTAAACATTCTCTGAAAGCATGATTTTCATGGCTGCATAATACATTACTGTGTAATGCGCCGTGTTAACCAATCCCTGTTAAATGTTTTCTAGTTTTGTGTTTGTTTTGAACTGTTATAATATAATGCTATAAGGAAAATCTTCAGATATAAATCTTTAACTGCTTCTTTATTTTCTCAGGATAAATTCTTATAGTGGAAGTATTTGGTCATAGCCTCAGAAAAGCATTAAATTACAGAACCACCCACTGGGTGTGACATGGATCTCACCTGATCCTTACCATAATGTAGAATCTGAATCTTGGTCATTCATTCAGACAGTCTTAATTCGTGCATTCCATTGCTTTGTTAATATGAGGAAAATAGAATATTGGTATTGAAGGGAAATGTAAAGTAGATAACAAACTAAAAGTGATTTCTGCCATTCAGCTTTGGAAGAGTTAAAGTTAAATCAAAATAAGACAGTGAGGTCAAAAGCTATACTTTGTGGACTTGTGTATGGAATGAAGCCATGATTCTGTCCTGCTGGACTCCATCTTGACATGAAACTGCTCTGAACAGTGTGATATTGGTAGAACCTTGGGTCTTGGGCAAGTAGACTAGAAAATATTCTTTTGTCCACCATTTGTTTTTTGTTAAAGTCAACCAAATATGTTAAATAAAATCTGCTTTTTTCTATTTAATCATTCAAGCTGCATGGAGACAAAAGTAAATCCAGTCATTCATTCATTCATTTGATAAACATTTCATAAGATATTTATTTGAAGAACATTATTCTAGATATTTGAGGCTACAGAATTTGAAATGAAGAAAATGAATCTACTTTCTAATAGCTAAGTGAATTATTCTACACATAAAGAATGAAATCAGAAATATGTACATTACCCTTACTGGGATGAACTGGTTCCTAGGTAAAAATAAGACCTAGTGGGAGTTAACTGATTTTATTGTATTAACTTATCCAGAGAAAGAATGTATTAGACCAAAGGGAAATGTGATCACAGAACATAGAAAAGGGAGTATGGGAGAAATGTATTTTGGCAAAGCCCATCTAAGCACTCTTTTGGTATCCTAGAAGTGCATAGGAACACATGATTTGTTTGATTTCTCTGCAGACATAGATGCATCCAACTATCCCTGCTTGATGATATTAAACATTCAAATCTGCCACCAAGGCCCCTTGCTCAGATCTCTCGTAATCCATGCAACCTTCTGATGATTTGGCTCTCTATGTAGTTTTCCTAGATGGAGAAAATGTGCAGATCAGGCAAATGCAAATGTCTCCTCCTCTTGTAAGTTGAATTTCTCATCGTAAATTAATGAATTGACATTTTGATTTATATACATGAGATTTTTGTGAGCTGGGTTAATTTGCACCCTGAGAAATTGCTCCACTTAATATGCTGAGAAAATCAAGCTTCTATGCCCCCAAGGCTGAGGGTTAGAGTTACTAAAGTGGTACCATCCTGTATAGTCAGTGATGACCGACCAACCTGCCTGATATGTGGACATTGTCCAACAAATGCTTCTTGACTTATATTGGTTTGAATTGAGTGGATTTGATACAATTAAGGTTGGGTGAGCAATAAGGACAGGATCACAGACTTGGAAAGTCACCAGTATAGATCAGATGAATCTACATAAATACATGAGATTGTCCAGGAATCACGGAACTTGTTGAGGGGTGGAAATGGGAGCTGATGGCAGTAACTTAGGGAACGCCCATTAGAAGGATCTGGAGGCTGGGTGTGGGGGCTCACATCTGTAATCCCAGCACTTTAGGAGGCCAAGGTGGGAGGATCGCTTGAGCCCAGGAGTTGGACACCAGCCTGAGCAACATAGCAAGATCCTATCTCTACAAAAATTTTAAAAGTTTAAAAGTTAGCCGGGTGTGATGGCATGTGCCTGTAGTCCCCCCAGCTACTCAGGAGGCTGAGGTGGGAGGAACACACCATCCCAGGAGGCAGAGACTGCAGTGATCTATAATCAGGCGACTGCACTCCAGCCTGGGTGACAGAGTGAGACCCTGTCTCAAAAAAAAAAAAAAAAAAAAAAGGATCTGGAAGAGGAAGAACCGTTACTGGGGCATTTGAGTAAGAGAGGAAATATCAGCGGGCTGAAGATAATGTAATGAAACACTCCAAGTTCTAGTGTATTCTTCTCCATCTCTACTCTGTCCACAGATTATCTACTGGCTTTAAAGATTATTTATATAGCCGCAAATTTTTAGCTCAAGCCTTGACCTTTTTCCTGGGTTCCAAACTCCTATATCCAGCAGACTGTTTGTCATGTATAATGAGATTTCTAGAAGGATTCCTTAACATATTTGAAACAGAACTGTGGGTGTTTTTCCTACAAAGGGAAAAAAAATTTTTTCCTCTTCCAGTCTCCTCAGCTTAGTAAATGCCACTCCAGTTGTTCAAGCCAAAAACCAAAGCATCACCATTGATTCTTCTATTTTCTCTACACATCTTCTCCTTGCATCAAGTCCATCACTATCACCTGTGACTCTATTTCAAAAATAGGTTTCATTCATAAACTTTCCTCCATCCACACTACTCTTAGTCAAACCATCAATATTTCTTGCAGTCTAGAAGATCCTCCTTACTATATCCCTGGCACCTCTATTCTTTTGTGACTGCACATTGGTTCACGGTGCTCCTCTAGAGCCTAAACATATGCAATGTTTTCCATTGTAACTACGATAAAACACAAAGTAAGTCCTCACCATCACTTCAAATTTCTGTGTGAACTAGTCCCAAATAGTCCTACAATTCCATTTCCTGCCATTGATGGCTACTATCCAGCCACACAGGGTTGCCTTCTTTTGTATGAATATGCCAAGCTCTTTCGTTCCTCAGGGGCTCGGCACTTGCTATTCTTTCTGCCCTAGGGCCCTATCTCCAATCTTTGCAAGACCATCAACTGTGATTCCGATCCCACTTGCAATGGACTGAATGTCTCTGCCCCCTACCCCCAAATCTGTGTGTTGAAATCCTAACCCCAAGTGTGATGATATTAGGAAGTGGGGCCTTTGGAAGGTAATTTAGGTCATGAGAGAAAAGTCCTCATGAATGGGATGAGTGTCCTTATGAAAGAGACCCCAGGCTGGGTTCAGTGGCTCATGACTGTAATCTCAGAACTTTGGGAGGCTGAGGCGGGTGGATCACTTGAGGTGAGGAGTTTGAGACCAGCCTGGCCAACATGTCGAAATCCCGTCTCTACCAAAAATACAAAAATTAACTGGCTGTGGTGGTGCATGCTTGTAATCCCAGCTACTTGGGAAGCTGAGGCGGGAGGATCACTTGAACCTGGGAGGTGGAGGTTGCAGTGAGCCAAGATTGTACTACTGCACTCCAGCCTGGCTGACACAGCAAGACTCCGTCTCAAAAAAAAAAAAAAAAAAACCAGACCCCAGAGAGCTCTCCAGCTCGTGTGAGGATATGAGAAGTTGGTGACCTACAACCCAGAAGAGGGCCCTCACCAGAACCCAACCATGCTGGAACACTGAGATCAGACTTTGAGCCTTCAGAACTATGAGAAATAAATTTTTGTTGTTTATAAGCCACCTAGTCTATGGTACTTTGTGATAGCAGCCTACACTAACTAAGACACCACTCAGATACCTCCTTCTTGCTGCCTCTTAGGACCTGATCACATTACCCCATCCCACCTATAGCCACACTGCAACACATTACCTTGTTCCATTTTCTCCATGGTGCCTCTCTGTTAACTCGTTAATTGTCTTTCTTGCTCCACCTCCCCATCACACCTAATCTATGAGACCGGGGCATTTTGTTCCCACCATGCATTCTCCAGAACCTAAAAGACTGCCTGGCACATAGTAGGTGCTCAGCAAACATTTATTCAATAAAAGATTAATAAATGTGTGGGAGGCCGATGCAGAAGGATTGCTTGACTCCAGGAGTTTGAGACCAACCCAGGAAATATAGCAAGACCCTGTCTCTACAAAAAATTTAAAAATTAGCCAGGCATGGTGGTGCACACTTGTCATCCCAGCTACTCAGAAGCCCAAGGTGGGAAGATCACTTGAGCCAGTTGATAATCTGTGGACAGAATAGAGATGGAGAAGAACACACTAGAACTTGGAGTGTTTTTACATTATCTTCAGCCCACTGAGATTTTCTCTGTTACTGAACTTCAAATGCCCCAGTAACTATTCTTCCTCTTCCAGATTGTATTTTTTTTTTTGAGACAGAGTCTTTCTCTGTCACTCAGGCTGGAGTGCAGTGGCATGATCATAGCTCTCTGCAGCCTGGACCTCCCAGGCTCAAGTGATCCTCCCACCTCAGCCTCCTGACTAGCTGGGACTACAGGCACATGCCACCAGGCCTGGCTAATTTTTAAATTTTTTGTAGAGACAGGGCTTCAGTATGTTGCCCAGGGTGGTCTTGAACTCCCAGGATCAAGCAATCCTCCCTCCTTGGCCTACCAAAGTGTTGGAATTACAGATGTGAGCCCAGGGGTTCAAGGCTGCAGTAAGCTATGATTGCACCACTGCACTCTAGCTGGGGCTACAGAGCAAGACACTGTATCTTGAAAAAAAAAAAAAAAGTAAGAAGGTAAAGGTATGAAACTAAAAGGAGACTATATAAGAGGAGGAGGAGAAAATAGACCTCCTCATTTTTTGCCAGAACATATTATTCCCCACCAAGAATCCCCAGTAACAAACCTAGTTCCATTGGCAATGCTTTTTATTTTGCATTCAAAGACTCAAATTCTTGATCTCTGGCTCTTCTTAACAGCCTCAGGCCAGAAAGGAAAACAAAATCCAACCACCCTGTTTAAATACCAGAAAAATAATTTTCATGCGTTCAAACTCAATATTTATACTGGAATACAGAAATGTGATTCTGAGAAAGAAAAAGAGTAATGAAGAGATAGAATCAATTGTAATCGAGCCCCACTTTCTATTTTTTTTCACCTTGAACAGATAAGTTAACCTCTCTGACCCTTAATATTCCAGGCTGGGAAGTAGATGTACCAATGATTCCTCTTCTTAACTCTCAGGTCTATTTTAACTCATAAAATGTGAAAAATATATAACAGTGGCTTAAGGTTAGACAGCTTATAGGTTATAGAGCTTGAGAATTTTTTGACAGCTTTGGAGAAAAGGGTAAATTATTTTTATGGTCATCAGTCAGGGTCAGTTTATCACATTATACAGCTTTGAAAAGAATTATTCTTTAACCAGAGAAATAACATATTTATATTACTGACTGTTATGCTAGTAATAAGATCCGTGACTACAGCATCAACGAAAGGAAGAAACTAGAATGAGAGGAATGCCCAAGGTAATTTATAGATTCAATGCAATCCCCATCAAGCTACCAATGACTTTCTTCACAGAATTGGAAAAAACTACTTGAAAGTTCATATGGAACCAAAAAAGAGCCCTCATTGCCAAGTCAATCCTAAGACAAAAGAACAAAGCTGGAGGCATCACGCTACCTGACTTCAAACTATACTACAAGGCTACAGTAACCAAAACAGCATGGTACTGGTACCAAAACACAGATATAGACCAATGGAACAGAACAGAACCGTCAGAAATAATGCCGCATATCTATAACCATCTGATCTTTGACAAACCTGACAAAAACAAGCAATGGGGAAAGGATTCCCTATTTAATAAATGGTGCTGGGAAAACTGGCTAGCCATACGTAGAAAGCTGAAACTGGATCCCTTCCTTACACCTTATACAAAAATTAATTCAAGATGGACTAAAGACTTAAATGTTAGACCTAAAACCACAAAAACCCTAGAATAAAACCTAGGCAATACCATTCAGGACATAGGCATGGGCAAAGACTTCACGTCTAAAACACCAAAAGCAATGGCAACAAAAGCCAAAATTGACAAACGGGATCTAATTAAACTAAAGAGCTTCTGCACAGCAAAAGAAACTACCATCAGAGTGAACAGGCAACCTACAGAAGGGGAGAAAATTTTTGCAATCTACTCATCTGACAAAGGGCTAACATCCAGAATCTACAATGAACTCAAACAAATTTACAAGAAAAAAACAACCCCATCAAAAAGTGAGTGAAGGATATGAACAGACACTTCTCAAAAGAAGACATTTATGCAGCCAAAAGACACATGAAAAAATGCTCATCATCACTGGCCATCAGAGAAATGCAAATCAAAACCACAGTGAGATACCATCTCACACCAGTTAGAATGGCGATCATTCAAAAGTCAGGAAACAACAGGTGCTGGAGGAGGATGTGGAGAAAGAGGAACACTTTTACACTGTTGGTGGGACTGTAAACTAGTTCAACCATTGTGGAAGTCAGTGTGGCGATTCCTCAGGGATCTACAACTAGAAATACCATTTGACCCAGCAACCCCATTACTGGGTATATACCCAAAGGATTATAAATCATGCTCCTATAAAGACACATGCACATGTATGTTTATTGCAGCACTATTCACAATAGCAAAGACTTGGAACCAACCCAAATGTCCAACAATGATAGACTGGATTAAGAAAATGTGACACATATACACCATGGAATACTATGCAGCCATTAAAAAAAGATGAGTTCATGTCCTTTGTAGGGACATGGATGAAGCTGGAAACCATAATTCTCAGCAAACTATCGCAAGGACAAAAAACCAAACACCGCATGTTCTCACTCATAGGTGGGAACTGAACAATGAGAACACATGGACACAGGAAGGGGAACATCACACACCGGGGCCTGTTGTGGGGAGGGGGGAGGGGGGAAGGATAGCATTTGGAGATATACCTAATGTTAAATGACGAGTTACTGGGTGCAACACACCAACATGGCACATGTATACATATGTAACTAACCTGCACGTTGTGCACATGTACCCTAAAACTTAAAGTATAATAAAAAAAAGGAAGAAACTAGAATGAGAGGAATGGAAAATCAATTTGTCTAGTTTTCCAACCCTACATTTATATGCTGACACCAAGTGCTGATAGTTACTGAGTCAAGTATCAGATGTTTATGTAATGCCTCAAACACCACAGGCTGCCAGGATTTCCTTCTGCAAATTCCAACTGCCTGACTTCAGTTCCCAGTAGGATTTCTTTCTTCTTCTGCTCATTCGTGGTTTGATATTGAATATTTTCCAGCTGTGTTTGGTATGGTGCGATAAATGACTTAATAGTTATACACGTTAGACATAATTTTTGTTGCAATAACATAAGAAACCTTGACTAATATTGACTTTAAAACATTGGGGCGTATTTGTCTATCCAATAAGAATTCTAGGAGAGGGTAGTCTGAGGCTGAGATGTCGAATCAGTGATCCACCAGGAAGCCAGCAGTGGTGAGCTGGTAAATGTTTAACAACCATTCTGAAGGGACAGTACTTATGTTTTGTCAATTTCCATAGTGTTTGTCAATTTCCATAGTGTTTGTCAATTTCCATAGTGCACGTACTTCCACCATGGTTTGATTTCCAGCTATCAATGTGACACATCTAAGTGCAGAGCTGGGAAGAAACACTCAATTGCATTGCAGTATAAGATATTTCCACCATAAATATTACACACATAAATAACCTCACAAGCATTAGATAGTAGTAACATGGTAAAAAAAAAAGTTTTCACTATTATCTTTGTTTTAATATAACTTACTTCATTGTAAGTTTATATAAGGCAATTTTAATCATGGCTGTGCTAATCAAGAGACATGCAAAATTTTTGAAAAGTTATTGGTCAATTCTTGTAAGCTGGTAAAAGCCAGTTCCAACACAAGCTCTTCACATCATTTTGCTCTGCCATCTTTAGGGTGTGGACCTTCATCCACGCGCCTATTGCTTCAGGGTCACAGGATGGTTACTGCCCTTCTGAGCCTCACGTGTGCATGCAAGAAGAGAAAGGTACAAAACAGCTAATGTGGCATACCAATTTAAAAATATGTATATTTCCCAAAACCCCACCTAGAGGCTTCAGTTTACAATGCATTGGCCAGAATGGAGTCATGTGTGCCTAGTCTGAAGATGGCTAGGTAGAAGAGGAAACACAAATGATGTCTGGGTTGGCCAACCAAATGGGTCTGCCATGATAATAAAAATGTATTTACAGAACTCCAAAGTTCAAGACACCGTGCTTTGCACAACGAGGCAAGGAAGAAAATAGAGTGGTTCAAAACTCAATGCTTGCCCTCCAAGATTCTTGGAAGATAAGTCTAGGCAGGGTGGCTCCCACCTGTAATCCTAACACTTTAGGAGGCCAAGGCAGGAGGATCGCTTTAGCCCAGGAGTTCAAGGTCAGCCTAGGCAATACAGCAAGACTTCTTCCTTACAAAAAAAAAAAATTAAAAATTGGACAGGTGCAGTGGCACATGCCTGTGGTCTCAGCTTTTCGGGAGGCTGAGGTGGGAGTCCAGGAATTCAAAGCTGCAGTGGGCTATGATCGTGCCACAGTACTCCAGCCTGGGCAACAAAGCCAGACCCTGTCTCTTAAAAAACAAACAAATAAAGATTCCTGGAAGATAAGACAGAGAAATATAACCAACAATTCCAGTTGAATTTTCCTTTAATAACATACTAAGAGCCAAGTGTTCATTCAGAAGCTAAGTACCTCTGTAGCTGGTAGAGGTGGACATCACTCTGATCTAGGTGGTCCCTTCCAACAGAAAGGCTTATCCTCACAGAAAGAAAAGTCAAGTCAAACAAGTAACTGCCAATGAGTTTATAAATTCTGCTTAATTTGAATAATAAATTACTGTACTTTGGGCACTTGCCTATTTCAGTTATTTTAGCTAATTGCATGGGAGGTATAAATTTGTGTTGAAACATGTGGGCTAAAATTAAATTGCTCTGTCAGCAGTGATCTACCTGCTTTTTCTGGGTAACAGATAACTCATTTTTCTAAGCTTAGTCCAATTCTTTTCAACGCCCTCTGGAAAAACCTTACTGGTATCAAATGCTTTTTTTTAAGTATTCCATTTAAAAAATTATTTCTATGCAAGAAATATACCACCACGATGGTTAAAAGCATCTTGTTACCATTTCCAAAGATGGGCATAAAACTGGTTGATATGTTATGGCCATGTCTCTGGAACTTTCTATCAGCATCAAGGATGAATTAAATTATGCCCATATTTCTTTAAATTTTCTGAATCTCCTCCTGCACCTGGGCAGAGTGGGGACCCTTACTCTTCGCACGAATAACTTCACCAAAATGAACAAGAAGAATGGCTGCTGTAAGTTGCTGAGCTACACAAGCCTCTGGGGCTGTTGAATCAGCCATCAATTTTGCCTGTTGTAAAAGGTTATTCTCTTACTTCCTTCCAGTTTTGCCCTTTCAGCTCTGCACAGGCCACCATTGAATTTTTGCCTTAAAAAAAAAATTTTAGCCTCGTGGCTTGTCTGGCACAATGATAGATCTGGAAAGTTCAGAGAAACTCTTGCTACAAGGTCCTTCCTGAAGGACCTATGATAGACAACAGGTTCCTCTCCTCCCTGGTAACCCAATAACCTTTCTTTTTTTCCACCACCCCATCTTTCTCTCCATATGATATGACCCACTTTTCCCCATATAAAAATAATATATCAATCAGCTATTGCTGCATAATAAACTTCCCCAAAACATCCTGTCTCACTGCAGCAAGCATTTCTTTTGCTAGCTCCCAGGTCTGTGGAGTTCGTGGGACATGCCTGCTCCAGGCTGTGGGTCAGCTTAGCCAGGCTGCAGACTCCAGATTGAATTCAAGTCTTATCTTCTTCATCCATTTGTGTTGCTAAAAAGTGTTGTTGAAGAGTCAAAGTCTGTAAAATATTTGAACAGATTTATTCTGAGCCAAATATGATGACCATGGCCCGTGACAAAGCTCTCCAAGTGCTCAGGGTGGTCAGGGCACAGCTTGGTTTTACACATTTTAAGGAGGCGTGAAACATCAATCAAATACATTTCAGAAATACATTGGTTTTGTTCAAAAAGGCAGGACAACTCAAAGTGGGGGAGAGGGGAAGGGAAAGGGGGAGGGGGAAGAGGGAGAGGGGACAGGGCAGGGGGATGAGGGGAGGGAGACTTCCAGGCTATAGGCAAATTTAAACATTTTTTGGATGACAATGGGTTGAGTTTGTCTAAAGACCTGGAATCAATAGAAAGGAAATGTTCAGGGTGAGATAAAAGATTGTGGAGACCAAGGTTCTTTTAAACTCTCATAGTGGCTGCCCTTAGAGACAATAGATGACAAGTGCTTCCTATTCAGATCTTTAAAAGGTGCTAGATTCTTAGTTAATTGTTGCGGGGTCAGGCAGAATACAGCCATATTTTTCTTCTTGCAGAAAGTGTGTAGGAGAAATATTGCTGAATTCTTTTCCCAGCAAGGAATAGCCCTGGGGAAGGAATGCATTCCTGGGGGTAGGTCTATGAACGGCCGCTGTGGGAGTGTCTGTCTTATGCGGTTGAGATAAGGATTGAAATACGCCCTGGTCTCCTGCAGTGCCCTCAGGCTTGCTAGGATTGGGAAATACCAGCCTGGTGAATTCTAGTCAGACTGGTTCTCTGCTCTCGAACCCTATTTCCTGTTAAGATGTTTATCAAGACAGTGCATGCACAGCGGGACACAGACCCTCATCAGTAATTCTAATTTTGCCTTCACCTTGTGATCTTTATGGCCCGTTGAAGCATGTGATCCTTGTGACCTACTCCGTGTTTGTACACCTCCTCCCCTTTCAAAATCCCTAATAAAAACTTGCTGGTTTTGCAGCTTGAGGTCACCATCACAGTCCTACCAATATGTGATGACACCCTGGGAGGCCCAGCTTTAAAATTTCTCTCTTTGTACTCTTTCTCTTTATTTCTCAGACTGGCTGACACTTAGGGAAAGTAGAAAAGAATCTATGTTGAAATATTGGGGGCTGGTTCCCCCAGTAGTTAATCTCTTCAGGATTGGGAGGGCCTAGAAGAAAAAGATCTAGCTATGTTAGAGAGTCTTTACAGATGCAAATTTTCCCCCACAAAGGACAGCTTTGCAGGGCCATTTCAAAATATGTGAAAGAAACATGTTTGGGGTAAAATATTTTGATTTTCTTCTTTATCACATAATGTTATGACAGAGTCATATTGGAAAGCAAGTTATGATATATAGTGTTAAGTAAAACCAATCTGATGAGAATTTATGGTTTGTAGGGCATGACTCCCCAGATCCCTTAGATAGGAATTTGGGCATTTTGTAGATGATGAAAAGAAAAATTGGGAGTTCAATAAAACTTTGACTAAAATCCAGGTCTCCTGATTTTCCAAGTGAAGGCAAGATTCTGCCAGTCACCTGCTGTGTCCTTCTTATACTCCTAGAGCATTTGCTTATAAGCCATCTCCTCTCTAGCCTCCACAAAACTGAAACTCCAGAACAGCCTTGACTTCAGATGGAAGAACTTGATTCAAATCACAGCTCCCACATATTAGCTGGGTGTCCTTGGACAAATTGTATGCTCTCTCTATGCTTTCATTTGCTCCTCTGCAAAACGGGGCTGATGATGTCTAATGTGCAGTGGAAGCAGTGGAAGAATGTATTTTACAGTGCCTGACGTGTAGGAGCAGAGTGACAAACAGCCATGATGATGGTGATAATGAGGGAAAATGAGCATAGTGGACTTAGACACCTGTCCAGAAATAGACCTGCACAGAGAACTTAGAGAAGGGATGTGGCATGAACTTGCCTGAGACCCACGTGGGGCATCTGTGGTTTTTCTGCCTTGGGATAGCAGAAGCAGTAGTTTCCCTGAACTAGGTGTTATCATGAATTTAATGAGCTACTGTTGGATCAATGCACCTCTGGGGTAGGATAGAGGAAAGTAGTAATGGATCTTAAGATTCAGAGATTTCCCTGAGGATAGGGAGATATTAGTTTGGTGCAAAACTAATTGCAGTTTTTGCCATTACTTTTAATGGCATTACTTTTTTTTTTTTTTTTTTTTGAGACAGAGGCTCGCTCTGTCACCCAGGCTGGAGTGCAATGGCACAATCTTGGCTCACTGCAACCTCCACCTCCTGGCTTCAAGCGTTTCTACTGCCTCAGCCTCCTGAGTAGCTGGGATTACAGGTGCACACCACCATTCCTGGCTAATTGTTGTATTTTTAGTAAAGACGGGGTTTTGCCATGTTGGCCAGGCTGATCTCGAACTCCTGACCTCAAGTGATCTGCCCACATCTGACTCCTAAAGTGCTGGGATTACAGGCATGAGCCACCACACCCAGCCAAACGGCATTACTTCTAATGACAAAAACCACAATTAGTTTTGCACCAACCTAATAGATTTCTCAAAAGGAAAATGGAGATGCACCCCATGGAGATTGGAAGAATAAGACAGTTGATGGGCAGGAAAAAAATGCTGAAGGTAGAAAACAGCAGGGAAAAAAGAATGTGCCACAAGGGACCCCTGTGGACAGTTTATCTTCCTGGGGGCCTTCCTGGTGAGCTACGGATAAATTATCCTTGACAGTTTTAAGGTTTTCCCTCCAATGTTGCAAGTCCCCATTTCCACAGCCTAATCCAAGCGTGAGTGATAATATGATGGAGGACAAAGTGTCAGGAGAATAACGGAGTGCAGTGGTGCAATCACAGCTTACTGCAGCCTCCAACTCCTGGGCTCAAGTGATCCTCCTGCCTCCTCACCAAGCCCCAGTGGTGAGCTGCACCTTCTCTGTCTGCTCACAACCCTCAGATTGACATATTGGAACTTCCTTTCCCTTAAAGCCTCTTTTATTTTAACCAGCCCCTTGCACCTTGGTAGAAATGAACCTCCTGAGTAGCTTGAACTACAGGTGTTCACCACTGCACCTGGCTAATTTTAATTTTTTTCGAGATGGGGGTCTTACTATATTGCCCAGGTTGATCTCAATCTCCTGGGCTCAAATGATCCTCCCACCTCAGCCTCCCAAAGTGTTGGGATTACAGGCATGAGCCACTGCGCCCAGCAACTCAAGTGTTCTTCATAAAAACCATTGTTGATGACCTTGATCTCCTCAACTTCAGTGATTCCTGACCAGACACCAGCAGGTCAGGAACTCAGGACGATGACTTCACTTCCAGGCCACCCAGTGCTGCGAAGGTGGACAGGAGGCTCCAGATTCCTAGGGATTCAGCTTTCATATCTCCTTTCTGGAATGACTACTGCTGGGTTCCCCCGTGGAACTCAGCATGCTCTCCCCCAGTCCTCCCTCCCCATGGGTCTCCACAGATTGTCAAAACACCAGCTGGTTCTCCTCGGCTGCTAAGTCTAGGAGAGGAAAGAGCAGAGGAGTTATGGACATGGCTTTGAGGGTTTTTGCATCATCTAAGGGTTCAATATTTAGAGCAATATTGATTCAATTTATCTAGTGTTGTAATGTTCCATTGGTTGCTAGACAACAGAGTTCTTCCTGCTGTGTACTCTGGATGGCTCATGGGAGTTTGACTACCAAAGAGATTACTTTGTGTATGTGGGACTAAATGGACCATAGGTGCCATACATAAGTGTAGGGGGAAATACTGTTTTACTGGGCAGTGTTAAGACCAGTTTTTCTATCACATCTCAGTAGTTGCATTCCAGCCTCCAGAACAAACACAGTAATTCATTTTCACATTCCCTTACAAGATACCCTCTGAGAACAACTTAACACAAAGTTGTGCTGACGCACAAAACCCTATGTTGTGTGCTTACCATTCCATCCTCACAAAGTTCAAACCTGCACTGGAGCAAGGATGGATTTATTCCTCCCCCTTTCCACCCGCCACAAGCCCATTGATAACCAAAAATAGCAACGTGGATTACAAAAGAGCACATTCTGGTTTGCGCTTCGATCCTAGTATGGCAGGGTCTTTCTTCATTTCCCTTATCCCATCTTCCCTGCTCATCCCAAAATTGCCTTCCCTGTTTTTGTTTTTGTTTTGGAGGCTCTTTTGTAAGTCTTTGACACTGATGCTTGCTGTGACTTTAAAATCCCGTCAGAACAGCAGGTAATGAGGCACTGTCAGCTTGGGCTATGTGGTTCAGTGACTTGGCATTGATGACGTTTATTTTAGAACCTGCATGATGGCCTGACCTATTTTAGGATCTCCACTTTCACCTTACTTTCCTCCTCCATTTTTGCAATTAGAAGTGAAGATAAAGGGGAATTGGGGGAGGATGGAGAGGGAAAGAGAGAAGAACCTGGAAAGTGATTCTCCAGAAGTAACATGAGAAGCTGCCCACATTGCCCTTAACATTGGAACCACTGTCATACAGACAATTTCAAGCCCTACTGAATATGCACGAACTGAGGCTGTGTCCGCAAAATGGGAAGAAAGTCCAGAGGCAATTCTCTGACTAGTTGCCAGGTGCAGCCACAAACCAAAGGCCACATTTGGTATTGTTCAGCATTTTCCTCTGTGGGAAGACCTGTTTGGGAGAGAAATGATCCTGTTCTTCCTAAGAGAAAAGGTATCTAGAGGAGAGAAAGGAAGGGGAAGGGGCAGGGAGAGGCAAGTGCAGGCAAGTGGCCAAACAATGCAATTTATGGGGAACAGAAATGGAAAACAGATGCTATGCAGGAGTATAAAGCATTGCCCTAGACCTTCATCAGCCTCTGGAGAACAGTTTCTCAGATCCAGGCAAATAATAAAGTAAGTCATTGGGAGCTGCAGACTCACTGTAAGCAGCTCTAAGCAATGGCCCTCCTGGGCTGCCTGGTACCCTGTCTCAACGTCTTTCTAGTGGCTGTGCAGTAGCCAACATTCCTCTGATAACCACTGAGGTTTTCTTGCGTTGTCCACAGTGCAGCTGCCCTGGGTCGTGGATCACCGACCTTGACTTCCTTCTTTCCTCCAAGAGTGCTAAACTCCTCTGTTAGACTCTCCGAATAGTGGCCTTGGTCCTTTTGCATCCTTGTAACTCCCACTCTCTTGGAACAAATTCCACTGGAGCCACTAGAAAATGGCTTACAGAGCCACCATCTCCCTCTTGGAGGTCCAGGTCTTGCTGCTCCTGCAAGGTAAGAAGCTCTGCTGTAGATGAAAACACCCCATTGCTAGTTAAAGAGACAAGAACATCTATTCAGAGGAATGCTGTCTACACAGAAGACAGAGAAGGCAAGAAAGAGTGACTGGAAAAAGGATGGCTTCTGATTTTGTCAATCTATTTTGCAGCTTATAGAAGTTGTTGATTTAAATAATCTATTAAAAGACTTTGTGGATGGGCACAGTGGCTCACGTCTGTAATCCCAGCACTTTGGGAAGCCAAGGAGGGTGGATCACTTGAGGTCAGGAGTTCAAGACCAGCCTGGCCAACATAGTGAAACTCCATCTCTACTAAAAATACAAAAATTAGCCAGGTGTGGTGGGGTGTGCCTGTAATCCCAGCTATTCAGGAGGCTGAGGCAGAAGACTCGCTTGAACCCGAGAGGTGGAGGTTGCAGTGAGCCAAGATCATGCCACTGCATTCCAGCCTGGGTGACAGAGTGAGACTCCATTTCAAAAAAAAAAATAGACTTTGTGGGCTGTGTCTTCAGGAAACAATTTGTTAGCTGGACTTATCACTACATTCAATTTTAGGTTTTTTTTCTCTCTTTTTGGTAGAAACAAGGTCAAGCGATTCTATTAGCTTGGTCTTCCAATGCACTGGGATTATATGCATGAGCCACTGCACCTGGCCACTGTGTTCAATTTTAGTGACTTGCCAGAGTGGACACTTATTTCTTACTTGTATTTCTCTGCTTATGACTTGCCTGGGCCCTTTATGTTCTTAGGACCCATATGCTCTAATGGACTTGCTTCCTGGCCCACAGCCTGGTCAGAGAAGACAGTTATACCTCTGGCTTTCTACCTCCCAGAATGCTGGGACCCCACACCTTTACATTCCTTATTCTGTCTCTTTTATTTTTTTTTTTTTTTTGAGACGGAGTCTCGCTCTGTCACCCACGTTGGAGTTCAGTGGTGTGATCTCGGCTCACTGCAAACTCCACCTCCCAGGTTCAAGTGATTCTCCTGCCTCAGCCTCCTGAGTAGCTGGGACTATAGGCACCTGCCACCATGCCGGCTAATTTTTTTGTATTTTTAGTAGAGACGAGATTTCACCATGTTAGCCAGGATGGTCTCTATCTCCTGACCTCCTGATCCGCCTGCCTCAGCCTCCCAAAGTGTATTCTGTCTCTTTAACTGGGAATGAGGTGTTCCCACATACCCCAGAGCTTCTTACCTTGCAGGAGCAGCAAGACCTGGCCCTCCAAGAGGGAGATGGTGGCTCTGTAAACCTTTTTCTAGCAGCCCTGATGGAATTTGTTCTAGGAGAGTGGGAGTTACAAGGAAGCAAAAAGACCAGGGCCTCTATTCGGAGAGTCTAACAGAGGAGTTGTAGCACTCCTTGAGCAATGAATGAAGTCAAGGTCAGTGGTCTATGACCCAGGCAGCTACACTGTGGACAACTCAAGAAAACGTCAATGACTATCAAGAAGTGTCAAAGCTTGAACCACCTGGGACCTGCCAAGGGGAAGAAAGGAGTGTAGAAGGTGTGGGTTCCCAGCATTCTGGGAGGTAGAAAGCCAGAAGTACAACTGTCTTCTCTGACCAGGTTATGACCTAGGAAGCAAGCCCATAAGAGCAGGGGTCCCCAACCCTTGGTCCACAGACTGGCACCAGTACTGGTACTGGTCTATGGCCTCTTAGGAACCGGGCTTCACAGCAGAAGGTGAGCCGCAGGCAGCTGAGCGAAACTTCACCTGTACCATACAGCTGACCCCCATCACTCACATTCCCGCCTGAGCTCCACCTCCTGTCACATCAGTGGCAGCATTAGATTCTCACAGGAGCGGGAACCGTGTTGTGATGTGCATGTGAGGGATCTAGGTTGCACGCTCCTTACGAGAATCTAATGCCTGATTATCTGTCACTGTCTCCCATCACCCCCAGATGGGACCATCTAGTTGCAGGAAAATGAGCTCAGGGTTCCCACTGATTCTACATTATGGCAAGTTGTAGAATTATTTCATTATATATTACAATGTAATAATAATAGAAATAAAGTGCACAATCTATGTAATGCACTTGAATCATCCCGAAACCATCCCCTTCACCCCCACTGTCTACGGAAAAATTGTTTTCCGTGAAACTGGTCCCTGGTGCCAAAAGGGTTGGGGACTGTTGCATTAAAGCAAACAGAGGACAGCTCTGTTGAGGGATCCAAGAACATAAAGGGCCCAGGCAAGTCGTAAGCAGAGAAATAAAAGTAAGACATTAATGTCCACTGTGACAAGTCACTAAAATTAAACATAGTGTCCGGGTGCAGTGGTTCACACTGTAATCTCAGCACTTTTAGAGGCTGAGACATGAGGATTGCTTGAAGCCAGGAGTTTGAGACCAGCCTGGGCAACATAGCAAGACCCTGTCTCTACAAAAAAAAACAAAACAAAACAAAAAAAAACACGAAAAATTTCAATTGAATCTAGTGAAAAATCCAGCTAGCAAATTGTTCTCTGCAAACTGAACCCATGGAGTCTTGTCATAGATTATTTAAATCAACAACTTTTATGAGCTGCAAAATAGATTGACAAGATCAGAAGTCATCCTTTTACTAGAAAAAGAGTGACTAGACACTCTTTTTTGCCTTCTCTGAGTGTTCTCTTACAATTTCACATGGCAGGTAGGTGCTGCAATATTTTGGGCCCAAAAATATTTTTGAGGAAAGCAAGCTCAAAATAGCAACCTGTCAGACATTGTCTTAGATTCTTAGCCTGTCTGTTGGCTGCCTTGCAGAAGCTGGCTGGAAATTGGACCACGTGTGTGTTTCCCCCCTCTTTCCCTACATATTTCCTTTTTTTGCCCAGCATATTTTCCTAGAGTTATGATTCACATATTTAAAATTGGAGCAGAAAAAGGAGGGAAAGAGGTGATTCATGTTCTTTCCCCATTCCTAGCAATGCTTAGCCTCTGGAATCTAGATTAACAATGTGATGTGCTGAGAGCCTGAAGGAAAATGAAAGAGAGAGGAGGAAGAAAAGGAGGAGGACAAATTGAAGAAGATGGAGCTCACTGCAAATTATATTTCCAGTTCCCAGACTTAGAAGGACATTGCAACTGAAATTGCTTGTGCTTGTAAAATTCTATCTTGCTCAAAGAACCTCTTTTATAGATGAAATCAGGTTTACCAGAGGAATATTGTGTCTTGAATAAATCAGTTCCCTAATGAAATATACCATCAAGCATGAAAAAAACCTAAAGGGTAAGAAGTATTAATGTGCTGATTAAGAGGAATGATGATAAGGATGTCAGCTTATGGAAAGTAACACTGTGTCTATATACACAGATGGCTTTGAAAGATATCAACTCTTCCTACAGTTGGACCACAACCAACCAGTTACAAACTGCTTGGTTGCTTGACTGAATTCAGCTGGTTTGGTTTGAAAGTTACCCACACTCTGCCTAACATCATCACTTTCCAAACCACTTTGCTGGGTGCTAGCTTCACATGCCTGCCTGAGTTCAAACTGTTGATGGATGACACTTGGGAATTGGCTGAAGAAGAGAGTTAACAGAACGTCCTGAAATCAGGAGAGGACCAAACAAGAGCTGCCAGCGGAAAGCCAGCTTCAATTGAACAGAGATACCAAACCGAGATGGTGAAAGTGCCCGAGAGAAAACCAGGCGATTCTAGAAAATTCCATCCTAAAACATGTGGAGCCTGTTTTTTCCTAAGCACCAGTGCTCAGGCAGTAATCCTTGAAAACAGGAAGAAAGAACCAGCTTGGTGATCTGGTCTTTCCATACGGGAATTTAGTGAGGTGGGATTATTAGTCAATGACACCTTGGCACTCTCCCCGACATGAAATGTCATTCCTATTTTCATAATCCAGAATTTTTTAGGAACGGCACTGTTGATGTACTGCTTAACTGTTAGTTCCAAGAGAAAGATGGAGAAGTACACAGACAGCCGGCTCTTACTCCAAACATTTGGGATGGAGTTGAAATGACACAAATGTAGACATTCATTTCTAGCACCTCACAGTATTCACACAGCTCCAGAGAAAGGCATGGGGATGGATTCCTTTCTAATTAGTCACAGAAGCTTTTGATAAGAGCCCCAAGAGATCCGTGCCCCCAAATATCACTTGAGCACATGAGTCCACTAAATGCATCCTGGACGAGATGGATAGGTGGTGCCAAGTCCTAAATCTCCTATGGGGTTTCCCTTGACAGCCCACTCTTATGATTTACGGCACCATCGGTGGCCCTGATTTGATTCCTCCACTTGGTAATTCATCTTCTCCAACAAGCTATGGTTCTTGTTTTGTAACGTCCTTCCATTCTTCTCCTTTGAAGAGAAAGAAAAACAGTGATAAAAGCCAGGCTTTGGAACAGAATTCTAGCTTTTTCCTTCCAGAATTAGCCCTCAGTAAGAAGAAGAAAGAAACAGACAGTGAGGTCAACTTAAAGAAAGACTGTACCTATGGGCAAAACAATGACCATTTACATCAAGTATGCCACCTGTATTATTTAACATGTTTGTATAAGTCCCCTGACCAGTCATAGCAACATATGAACAAGTGAGTGGATTTTTCCATCTGAACATTCTGACTATTTAAAAGTTAAAAACACATACGGGTTTTTGTTTTTTGTTTGCTTATTTTGTTTTGTTTTTGAGATGGAGTCTCGCTGTCTCCCAGGCTGGAGTGCAATGGCGCAATCTCCACTCACTGCAACCTCTGCCTCCCAGGTTCAAACGATTCTCCTACCTCAGCCTCCCAAGCAGCTGGGACTACAGGGATGCACCACCATGTCCAGCTAAATTTTTTTTTTTTTTGTATTTCAGTAGAGATGGGGTTTTGCCATGTTGCCCAGGGTGGTCTTGAACTCCTGAGCTCAGGCAATCTGCTCCCCTTGGCTTCCCAACATATGGGTTTTTAAAAGAAAATTATATTTTGACTCTTATTTATATAAATTTGTTAATATATTATGTCTCACAATTCTGTCCTACAAGTTATTACTGCCCTTTTTTTTTGTTTTGTTTTTGAGACAGGGTCTGCATCCATTGCCCTGGCTGGAGTGCAGGGGCATGATCTCGGCTCACTCCAGCCTTGGCCTCCTGGGCTCAAGTGGTCCTCCCACCTCAGCCTTCCCAGTAGCTGGGACTATAGCTGCTCACCACTACACCTGGCTAATTTTTGTATTTTTTGTGGAGATGGGATTTCCCCAGGTTGCTGAGGCTGGTCTCAAACTCCTCAGTTGAAGTGATCCTCCCACTTTGGCCTCTCAAAGTACTGGGATTACAGGCGTGAGCCACCACGCCTGGCCATTATTGCCATTTTGAATTTTGTTATGTATTATCTGCTTTGGCAATTGTAAGTTCCTAAACTTCTTGCTTTTACAACATTTGTAAGCATTACTTAGTGTGCTTTTATTATAGAAGTAATGCATATGCATTATAGTGAACTTAGAAAAATAACATTTCTGGCTAATATAAAGAAAAAACAGTATACTACTATTACTATATACTAGAAATAATCATTATACATAACTTGTTAAATTTTGTATATTTACATATAACATACATGTTAGATAAAATATATAAATATTAGGGTCCTCTAATCTAAAGGTAACACAGTAACATGTTGCTTTTCTCTGTAAACTTCCCTCATCCTAGTCAGCCCTAATCAGCCTGTAATAAACTCTATCAGTCTGAAGGGAGTTTATTATCAAAAGAAAGCATAGGAAAACTGAAGTAAAATTCAGCTTCTGAAATTCAATAATGGGATTCTGCATCAGACAATATCTTGCAATCCGAAGTATGTTCCGAAGAAATGTTTGTCTAAATCTCATAATCTCCCCTACCCTAACACAACCCAAGCCAACTATTTTTGTCATTTAGATTGCAGATTTTTATTTAAGAGACTTATCGCTAGAAAGAGGAAAGGGAAAATCTCGCCCTCTAATATAGATGTGCCAATTTTCCTCTCTCCAGCCTGAGAAGGGCAGCCATACGGATAAATGAAGGTGCTACAGGAGGCAGATATATGGATAAATGAAGGTATTACAGAGTGCAAAGGAGACCCTCAGCCTACATTTCTCATCTATGACTCTACTTCTGAGGCTTGCCTCTCATGTTTCCCCAGCACCATCTTGGGGTGCAGTCACATGAATCTGGTTGCAGAGTATCAGACAGGGAAACACCCTGAGATTTGGCTCTCCTGAGCTGTCCTGGGTTCCTGGGTAGCAAGGATATGCAGTACAGAGCCAAATGGGCTGCCCAGGGGTATGACAGAGCAAAGTGGGTGTATTAGTTTGTTCTCATGGTGCTATAAAGACATACCTGAGACTGGGTAATTTATAAAGAAAAGAGGTTTAATTGACTCACAGTTCTGCGTGGCTGGGGAGGCCTAAGATGTTTAGATCCACAGATTTTAAACTTGGCTAAGTTTTTATTTATGTTGAGGGTAGAAGCAAAATATTATAGAACGTGTAAGGACCTAGGAAACTTACCAACTACTTGCTCTTTGTGGGAAAAAAGAAATGGTTTTGGAAGACATTGTCTAATTGACCTAGAGCTAAATCAATATTATGAACTCCTAAAAGTCAGTGCTCTGACATGCTTTGTATATAAAAATGAAACTTACAATCATGTCGGAAGGCACCTCTTCACAGGGTGGCAGGAGAGAGAATGGATGCTGAAGCATCAGGAAAACAGCCTCCAAGATTCAGTTAACTCCACCTGGTGTTGCCCTTGACCCATGGGGATTATTACAATTCATGGTGAGATTTGGGTGGAGACACAGAGCCAAACTATATCAGTGGGCCTTCTGCAGAGCTAAGATGGGCCCCTAGGTCAGCAGCCTGGATGGAGGATAAGGCAGAAGCTCCAGAATCATGTTTCTTGAGACAGGGTCTCACTGTGTTGCCCAGGCTGGAGTGCAGTAGTGCAATCATAGCTCACTACAGCCTCAAAGGCTGTAGCAATCGTCCTACCTCAGCCCCCCAAGTAGCTGGGACTACAGGCACACACCATCATGCTGGGCTAATTTTTATTGTTATTTTGGAGGGACAGGGGTCTTGCTGTGTTTCCCCAGCTGGCCTCCAACTCCTGGCCTCAAGCAGTCCTTTCACTTCAGCCTCCCAAAGCTCTAAAATTACAGGAATGAGCCACTGCGTCTGACTAGGGATCATTTTTTATACAAAGAGTGTCAGAGCACTGATTTTTATGAGTTCATAATATTGATGTAGCTCTAGGTCAATTAGACAATGTCTTCCAAAACCATTTTTTTTCCCACAAAAAGCAAGTAGTTGGTAAATTTCCTAGATCCTTACATGTTCTATAATATTTTGCTTCTATCTTCAACCACAAATACAAATTCAGGCCAGTTTAAAATCCATGGATCTGGCCGGACATGGTGGCTCATGCCTCTAATCCCAGCACTTTGGGAGGCCGAGGCAGGTGGATCACAAGGTCAGGAGATCGAGACCATCCTGGCTAACACGGTGAAACCCCGTCTCTACTAAAACTACAAAAAATTAGCCAGGTGTGGTGGCAGGCGCCTGTAGTCCCAGCTGCTTGGGAGGCTGAGGCAGGAGAATGGCATGAACCCAGGAGAAGGAGCTTGCAGTGAGCCGAGATCTCCCCACTGCACTCCAGCCTGGGAGACAGAACAAGACTCCTTCTCAAAAAAAAAAAAAAAAAAAAAAATCCATGGATCTAAACACCTTTTCTGTAAAACTTGGGGGACATTATTCCATCCCTTTCAGCATTTCATATTAAGGAGTAGAAGTCTGAAGCCAACCTGATATTTTGTTGTCCTGTGGTGAAACTGATTATTTTCCTGCCTAGATATTTCTAGATGTTTGCAAAATCCTGGGCTTAAGTGTTCCTCTGCCTCTGCCTCCTGAGTAGCTGGGAATACTAGGCATGCGCCACCATGCCTGGATAATTTTTTCATTTTTTGTAGAGATGATGGGGGTCTCACCATGTTACCCAGGCTGGTCTCCACCTCCTGGGCTCAAGCTACCCTCCTGCCTCAGCCTCCCAAAGTGCTGGGATTACAGGCATAAGCCACCACACTGGGCCTGTGTGACTTATTTTAATTCTTGGAATTTTTTTTATTGCTAAAATATGAGTGAGAGTGTGTGTGTGTGTTTGTGTTTGAGTTTTACCTGTAATATAACAAACCATTTCAATCTTTAAATTCAGATGTGTTTCAGATCATACAGATTCCTTAAACATACATTTTTTATTTTGTTCCATTTGTCCTGTTTCTTTCCTCAGAAATCTCTATCATTCTAAAGTTTTCTCCATATCTGTCTAATTCTTCTGGCTTTTAACTATTAGTTTTTTTCTCCTGAACTCTGAGAGCTTCTCAAGTTTGTCTTCCATATCATTGTGTTTTTTTTAATACTGTATATCAGCTTCCTTGATTTCTTCTGTTAATTTCTCTTTCTTCTTGTTTGTCTCTGCTTGTTAAATCTGAATCTCATCCTGTTAAACCCTTCACCTCGTCCATTTCCTTCTTATGATTTTGCTTCCTCTTTGATCAAGGCAGTCTTCCTGCAACTGTTGTGGTCACCAAACAGTTTTCTAAAAGGTCGTCTTTGTTCTTTCAGTAAATATTTTCGGAACTATATTTTTCTACTTAGTACACCAAGAACTTCTGCCCTTTTCTTATTCTTCAGCATTTTTTCCACCTAGCCTATGTGAATTATCCTTTAATGTTCTCATCCTGAAAATAGGAAAGCATACCTATATTGGGGGCTTCTCAAGAGGTTTCATGTGAACTTCTTTGGGCTTTACTCACAAGCCCCATAAGTGCCAGGATGTCCCCTTTTCTTTGTATCAGAATGACCTGAATGAGATTCCCTTAATCAGTGGCTACTTTTACATTGTTTAGCCTGTAGATTTAATATATTGATCCCCTGCAAAATGCAAAATATGTTCGAAGCTACTTTGAGGTTATAGTTTTAAGAATAATTGTAACAGTAGTAGTAAGGAGACTCTCCCATCCAAAGCCCCTTGACATTATCTTAGGTAATCTTTACCTAGGTTTAGATCAGAGAAGGGGACGTCCTAGCCCTTACGGGGCTTGTGAGTGCCTAAATGATCCCACCTCATTCTTAACGATCTTAGATGCATTGATCTAGTCCTAATTTTCTGTTTTCTCCCATCCCCACAGCTTGGTCCTCTACCTTTAAGAAATAATGGAGACCTGGTGCAGTGACTCACGCCTGTAATCCCAGCACTTTGGGAGGCGGAGGCAGGTGGATCGCTTGAGGCCAGGAGTTTGAGACTAGCCTGGCCAACATGGCAAAACACCATCTCTACTAAAAATACAAAAATTATCCAGGCATGGTGATGCACACTTGTAATCCCAGCTACTTGGGAGGCTGAGTTGGGAGAATTGCTTGAACCCGGCAGGTGGAAGTTGCAGTAAGCAGAGATCATGCCACTGCACTCCAGCCTGGGTGACAGAGTGAGACTCCAGCCTGGGTGATAGAGTGAGACTCCATCTCAAAAAACAAAAAAAGAATGGAATATAGACTTACTGTTAGCATTTGTATGCAGTAAAAAATAGACCTAAAAGTTTATAATGGCTCAAATACAGCAGATATATATTTCTAGCTTGTGTAAGAGTTCAAGAGCTGCTGAAAGAGAAGCAGCTCTCCTCCATGCAGTGATTTAAGGACTCAGGCTCCTTGAGTCTCCATCCAGAAGATGGAGGAAAGGAAAGAGAACAAGGAGACAAAATCTCCTCTTAAAAGTCTTGGCCTAGGATGAGCACAAATCACTTCGACTCACATTTCATTGGAAATAATTAAATCATAACTATATTCAGCTTTGAGAGAAGTCCAGCTGTGTGTTCAGGAAAAAGAAAAGAACACTCATCTGGGTGAACAAGTCTGCCACAACATTAGAAACTTTCATCACCAGTACATACTACTATGCAGATTTTTCCTGCCTTCTCCCCTTGTCACCATTGCTTTTCATGGTTGTAAAAAATACAACTCCCAAATTCATTACTGTGACTCTTGCGGCTCCTTCTCTTCCTGGCTATTTTGAGTAAGATGGCCCATCCATCCCAGCCTCAGCCCCTGTGGTGCAAATTCTATAACCAGCTCAGGGAGCCCGAGATCATACTAGAAATTAATCAGAGAAAATTACAAGGAGAGGAGGAAGTGGCCAACATAAGCTAATTCCTCTTCTCTACTTGTTTCAGAAGACTCAGATTTTCTCTGGCAACAGAGGCAAAACAAAGCAAGCCAACACACCCCCAACTCAACAGTTCTCAACGTGTGGTCTTCAGGTCAGAGCCTTAGCATCACCTGCGTACTTATTAGAAATGCAAATTTTCAGGCTCCACCCCAACCTGCTGAATTAGAAACTCGGGAATAAGGCTCAGCAATCTGTTTGAACAAGCCCTTCAGGTAATTCTGTTATACACGATAAGTTGGAGAACCACTGCTCTAAATAAAGCAAGGCTGTGACCTGGGCCCTAGCAAGGAACCCTATGTGAACTAGGAGCAGTTTATTTTCATCAAAAGCAAAACATACAAGCGGAATGAAATTCTAATCTTATGAAAGTACAGAATGATGATAGTAAAACTCAAAGCTCTGTTCTGACTTATGAGGGAAACTTGTAAAATTAAAGTCTTCATTAAATAGAAAGATTTCATCACTCACAAATGGTTGCTTATTTGTTTTCTTTGAGGCTAATTATCTCATTCCCTGTGCTAAATCAACATGACCATCGGTTATAAACACAGAGACATAAAATATCTGATGTGAAAGGAATTTCTGTGACCATCAAGTCAATCCCCTTTATTTTATTTACATTATTTATTTATTTTTGAGGTGGAGTTTTGCTCTCTCTCCCAGACTGAAGTGCAGTCAAGGATCTCAGCTCACTGCAACCTCCACCTCCCAGGTTCAAATGATCCTCCTGCCTCAGCCTCCCAAGAAACTGGGATTACAGGCATGGGCCACCACGCCAACTTAATTTTTGTATATTTAGTAGAGACAGGGTTTCACCATGTTGGGCAGACTGGTCTCAAATTCCTGACCTCAAGTGATCTGACTGCCTCTGCCTCCCAAAGTGCTGAGATTACAGGCATGAGCCACCATGCCCATCCAGATCCCCTTTATTTTAGAAACTGGAAAACTGAGGTCCAGGAAGAGTAAGTGGATCTTCCAATGTCCCACCCTCTGGGTGCAGGGAGAGCCAGAACTAGTGCCCAAAAGTCCTGATTCTGGACCCAAGCACTCATTCTGCCTACATTATCTCATGTAATCATGTTTGTGAAACCCTCTGAAACATACAAAGTGCAAAGTGGTTGCATTCTATTAATATTAAATTGGGTTTGGAAAATTTGAATCCCAAATCTTAAAGAGCCAAAATCAAATGTGTGTGCAAATTTGTGCTCTAATCCCTGTCCAAATGCAAATAAAAAATGAATGAACAGTATCGTCATATAATTATAGAGGATTTTGGAGCATTAATGTTGTTATTAAGAAATGTAATGGAGGCAATCCCATCACTTTGGGAGGCCAAGGTGAGCGGATCATAAGGTCAAGAGATTGAGACCATCCCGGCCAATGTGGTGAAACTCCGTCTCTACTAAAAAAATACAAAAGTTAGCTGGGCATGGTGGCACCCACCTGTAGTTCCAGCTACTCGGGAGGCTGAGGCAGGATAATCGCTTGATCCCAGGACACAGAGGTTGCAGTGAGCCGAGATGGTGCCACTGCACTCCAGCCTGGTGACAGAGCAAGACTGTCTCAAAAAGAGAGAAAAAAAAAAAAAAGAAATGTAATGGAAAAGCATCAGGCAGCACGCTCTGATATCTCCTTTTTATGTTTTCCTCTAAAATGCCTGTGGTATCATAAAGATCTCAGAGAAATTTCCATTAACTTTAAGACAAATAGGCCTGAAGAGGGAACAGTAATCTGTGGGCTCCATAGACCTCATTTCACAAAGAGAGAAACCCAGGCATTGTAAAAGAAAGTGAGAAACGTGACTTTTCCCTCACTGACCCAAGAAACTAGAGCAAAAGCAACAAGAAATCTGGATCACACAGATGGCACACAAAACACTCTTTCCTGCCACTTTCTCCTGCCTCAGCCTTCCCATATCATTTCAACAGCCCTTCAGAGACAGCACCTCCTAGGAACCCACTGGCTGACCTGGTCAGAGACATTCAGTTTCCGAATGCAGTAAGAGTCAGAGCCATGCACTGTGGCAGAGCCAGAACACGTCAGAGATGGAGAGCAAGTGAGGCAGTAATGGGCTTGTGTCCCAGGTCACTGATAAATGGAGTTGGGTGACCCTGAGTTGGCTTTATGGGTGGTCTTGCTGCCTAATACCCCGTTGGCTTACACAGGGCTGGAATAGCCCTGGGAGCCCTGTTTACTTTGCAGTTGACTCTTCCTCAGGAGTGGTGTTCCCTCCCATTTATTTTTTAGGGTGTGAACTAAAATAGTTGTCTCTCTGCCTTAACTTTGTAACTGGCTGAATTGGGTCTTTGACTTGGGAATCATTTTTTAATAGCTTTATTTATATATAATTCACATACCATACAATTCATCCATTGAAATTGTACATTTCAATGGTGTTTAGTATGTTCACAGATCTGTGCGACCATAGCCACAATTTTAGAACTATTTCATCACCTATAAAACCCCATGCCCTTTCACTATCACCTTTCTATTCCCACATCCTTCCCAGCTCTAAGTAACCACTAATTTACTTTCTCAATAGATTTCCTTGTTATGAACATAATATGAATGGAGTCATACAGCACGTGGTCTTTTCTGATTGGCTTCTTTCACTCAGCATAGTGTTTTTATGAGTCATTCATGTTGTAGCATGTACCAGTGCTTCATTCCTTTTCGCTGCTGAATACTATTCCATTGCATGAATTGACCACATTTCATGTATCCATTCTTCAGCTGATGAACATTCGGGTTGTTTCCACCTTTTGGCCATTATGAATCATAGAACTGGAATTTTAGAATTGTCATGTAGTCTAAGGGAAAAAAATTTTTGAATTAGGTAATTTCCTTAATAACTTGCTGCTTTTATGTTGTTTAGCCTATTGATTTAATATATTGAGCCCCTGCAAAATGTGAAAACATACTGGAAGCTACTTTGAGGTTATAGTTCTTAAGAATATTTATAACAGTAGTAGTAATGTCTCTCTTACAAAGACATTATTATTAATGTCTTGTACATTATTTTAGGTAATCTTTGTAACACTATGAATCTGATATTACCAGTCCCCTTTCATAGAAGACATAAACTCTGATAATTTGGGATCACTAGAAGACAGGTTGGAAGACTTCTAGTTCAGCCTCTTGGTAAGGTATATTTTCATAGAAAAGAAATCCTTTTATTACCATTTTCTGTAACAATTAAGGCTTTTGCAGCCCTAGGTTCTGAATCAGAGACTAGCCTGTTTCCCCTATTCTAAATTCCACTATCTCTTTTTCTGCCTTGTAAAACATCACTTTTCACCTTTTATCATCACATCTGGGTTTAGGGTTATTCTCTTTGAGGTAGTCCATAGGAGAAAGATTGCATCAGAAGTCCTCTGAGATGGCTGCTAGCCCTAAAGGTTCTGTAGCATTTTATTTAGAGATGTAGAATGATTCCACCATTACAACAATGTCGGTGGCTTTCCTAACAGTCAGTTCCTTTTTGTAAGTTTGGATAAACCCAATAGAAATGCTGGCCATGTGGACTCATGCTGGCTGGACCTAGAACCATGGGAAACCAGGGTCTTGAATGGGTCAATGCCAGGGAGGGTCTTGTGTTTGCTACAGGAATAACATCATGAGGAAGGGAGATTACCACCAGAGCAAGGAATGAGTGAGAATTCAGAAGGCAAAGAGATGAGTCGGAGGCTGGAAATGGAAAGAAACATAAGATGAGTTAGGGCTGTGGATGGGTCAAGGTAACTGAAGTCTTAGTTATGTCGTATCTCTGTGTCTTGCTAAAAGGCAGAGTTGTCTAACAACCTAAATGTCCATCAGTTGTGACGAATTAAACTATGGTAAATCCATACAATGGGTAAATCCATACTATCAGTTCTTTAAACAGTGGTAGAAAGCTACACATTTTTCTGGGAAGATATTCATGGTATAGTATTGAGTAAAAACAGGCTATGAAACACCATGTCATTAATGTAAAAATGTGTACGTATATATGTGTATGTAATTATGTGTGTGTATATGTGTATGTAATTACATGTATGTGTGCACTTGTGTATATAATTTTATGTCTCTAAGATGTCTCTACTTTAAGATAATACTATTGACCAGACATTCACTATTTGCTAGTTACATGCATTATCTTGTCAGAACTTTACAGCAATTCTCAAGTAAAATATTAATATGTTTTAGATGAGGCAAGCAGGACTTTAGAATGTTGAGAAATTGACCCACAGTCACAGAGCAAGCAAATGACAGAGCTGGAACAGTAATGTCAGACTGTCTAACTCCACAGGAGATGCCCTCAATCACTGTATCACACCCCTATAAAGAATACAAGAAATATCTAGTCTCTAGTAACGACCATGACAGTCCATGAGCATCATTTCCCCTGTTACTTCTTCTCCAGGGACACAGTGAGCAGATCATTATGAACTCGAATCAGCCTTGACAAAGAAAGTTCAGCACTCACAAACCTATTCAAAACTGAGTGACTTAATCCTCTTCATATACCAATGTGATGATTACTTTTATGTGTCAACTTGACTGGGGTAAGGGATGCCCAGATGGCTGGTAAAACATTATTTCCAGGTGCATCTGTGAAGATGTTTCTGGAAGAGATTAGCATTTGAATCAGTAGACTGAGTAAAGAAGGCTGGCCCTCACCAATGTGGGAGGACACCATCCATTCCATTGAGGGCCCGAACAGTACAAAAAGGTAGAGAAAGGGCAAATTAACTTTCTTCTTGAGCTGAGACATCCATCTTCTGCTCTCAGACATCAGAGCTCTGGGTTCTTGGGCCTTTGAATAGGATGTAAGTCCTATTACATCAGCAGCATCCCCAGTTCTCAGGCCTTCAGATTTAAACCTGGAGTTAACATCATCAGCTCCCCTGATTCTCAGGTCTTCAGACTTAGACTGAATTACACCAGGGGCTTTCCTGGGTCTCCAGGTTGCACGTGGCGGATGGTGGAACTTCTCAGGCTCCATAATCCTGTGAGCCAATTCCCATGATAAATCTCCTCTCATATATAAATATATACACATTACATATACATTATATATGTGCGTATTATATACATTACATATAATATATATACATTATATACATTATATATAATATACATGATATACATAGTATATGTTATATACACATTATATGCTATATATAATATAGCTGACATATCTATAGATATACTGTTAGGTTGGTGCAAAAGTAATTGCAGTTTTTTTGTGTTTGTTTTGTTTTGTTGTTTTTTAGAAAGCTGCAGAAAGTGAATTTCTCTTGCTTTTTAAAACAGAATATTTCCCAAACTTGGGCATCAATGCTTGTTTTTTTTTAGGTGGGGGATAAAAGACTGGGCCATCTTCACATACCCTCAGACCCCGGCTCTTGGCAGCCCCATCCGCCAGCCAAACTTCCTACTTGGGGGACGGCTGCTTTCCCGCCACTACCCCCCCACCCCCCAAACCTGCACTGCTCGGTGCAGTTTTGCAGCTACTGGCCTTGCTCAGTGAGGCAAAGTTCTGTCTGACCAATTGTCTGTACTTCCCCATCCTGGCTTCGCGGAAGGCACTGGATTTTGGGTGTCACTCCATACACTCTGACAAGGGCATCTTTAAAATCTGCAACTTGGTAGTAATTGACGGATGGTTTTAGCCGCAGTTTTAGGAGCACACTGTTGCTGTCCAGCTCCCTGTAGAGTTCCCGGCTTCTGCTAAAGTACTTCTGGGAGTTGAGTGCGTCCACCAGGGCGGCAGAGGTCCCATGCTTCTTCATGCTTCCGGAAGTGGCTACGATTGGGAAACGAGTGAATTACATCAGGCCACTATGCCTTCATTTCCGGCAAAAGATCCTTAATCTCTTCTAAATTAAAGTGCCACGATCCATTACATCCTTCACTTTTATCGGGCCATAGTCCCATGTATTGTCCAGTAATCCGGAGGGTCTCTACAGTCGTTTTCAACTGTCTCGCATACTGTCTCAGGCCAGTGCTGGACCATAGTTTTTTCCACTCATGGTTATCACGCAGGCGCTTGTCCGCACCGCCCAGGAAAAGCAATGCCAGGCAGAGGCAGCCCAGCAGGGCCCCGCTCAGGGCTGCAGGGGCATGGTGCCGACCTGAGGAGACAGGACGCCTCCCGCTGCAGCTCCGGCCCCCACTTCCCACCCACCGCCCCAGGAAGGCTTCTCGGACAAACGCTGTCTCCGAGGACCCCGCGCCGCCGCGCTCCTCCCGCTGCAGCTGCGGCCACTGGGTGCGCCTGAGCCAGCGCCTTGCGTGCCCAGCACTGGGCTCCGGGAAGGGCCGCAGCAGCCCTTGGCGACCCCGGCCCCTCGGCGCTTCCGTCCGGGCTCGGCGCCGCAACCCACTGCGACCCCAGCTCCTCCTCGTTGCAGCCACCGCCTGCCCAAGGCCACGGTCAGTCGCGCTTCCGCCCAGCCCAGGGAGTGCCTCTGGCCTTCACCGGAGCACAGAGCCACGCCCCCTGGAGAGGACGCCCCCCCGCCCCCCCCCACCCCCGGCTGACACATCCCCACCGGACGCCACGCCCCCGCCCGGCGTTCACGCCTCGCTCCGCGTTTGGCCCGCAGAGGCCGAGGCCGGAGCAGGTCCGTGGTACTTGCGGGCGTGTCAGGCAGCTGAGTTCCTTCGCCACGCAGGCGCCCCGCGCCTTTCCACGCAGCTCTGCGCCACTCCCCCACTGCCAGGTCCGAGCTAGCCTGGACCACCCGTGAGGAGCGCCCTCGGGGGGACCACCCTCGGGGTGGCCTATGTCTGCGCCACCCCCCCGCCAGCAAGTGGGTGTGCGGGACCCAGGGCCACCCGGCGCTCCAGGGACAGCCCCTAGCCCAACCCGCGCACTCCGCAGGTCGGCGGCCCGCACGCCGCAACCGCCTTGCACGCCGCCTGGGACTTCCTGACTGCAGACGGTGCGTGGCCGCCCTGGCTCCCTGCAGCCGTCACGTCGGCGCTCCACTGCGCAGCCGAAGGGACGGCTCCAGAATTAGGCGGGGACGTACTCGGGCCACTCCCCTGGAAACCTCTGGGTGCTAGGAGCACCAACATTCCTAGAAGGGCCTGGCCTCACCCAGCCCTGGGCCTCACCTAGCTCTGGGCCTCACCTGCCCCTCCCCGCTGGCCCCAGGAGCCCAGAAGGCATCTCTGTGGGGTCCGCAAAGAGCCGCCTCGGAGCGCGACCTGGGAAGTCATCTTGTGAGGGATCCTCTCCCAGAAGGACGGGCCACCCCGGACAGATGAAGGGGACTTCATGTCAGCCCCACCTTGACGCAGCCAGGCCCAGTCCCAGAGGCCCAGGCGCCTCCCCCAACACGCTGGCCTTCCCAGCCCCTCCAAGGCGCGGGCTCACCACCCCGCCCCAGCTACCACCACTGCCCACCCCGCCCACCCACGTCCCCCTCCGCTCCACCAACCTCCTCCCCGCTCCCCCACCCCCGTCCTCATCGTCCCCCCCACCACCCACCACGCTTGGCTGCCTAGGCCTCCCAGAGTGTTGAAATTACAGGCGTGTGAGCCACTGCGCCTGGCCCTTCCTATAACTTTTGATGTAATGTGTTGTGCTGGGTGGGATCATTGTCAAGTTAAACATTAGGATGGAAAACTGACAGCAGGCTTAAGTCCCTTCTAACTCCAAGCCTCTATGAGTCGAATCTAGTCTTTTCCTCATTCATAAAATAAGCATAGTTATTACCTTGCCTGCCTACTTCACACCACGCCTGTTAGCATTGGTTGTGACCACATTGGTTTGGAAAGTGCTAAAAATTTAAGGGGTATCCTTTCGGGCAACACTCATCATGCTTACCTCATTTCAGCATGCCAACTCCACATGACTTATGGAAGTTTCCAAAACACCTCAAAATAGAAAGAATTCTAATATGACCCCTTCCGCCCATACCCATCACCCAGTGGCAGAAATTACCAGTATTTTTTTGCTAAGCTCATCATATGGTTTATTGACCTTGTTCCCATCTGCCTTCTCCTGAGCACTTTCTACGTTGCCAGCGTCCCCAATGAAATGGAATGATTAATGGATTTTAAGCTATTGGAGTAGAGAGCATGTCTGTCCTGTTCATCATGGTATCTCTAGTGCCTGACATTGCCCTGGTCATGGTAGGCTCTTAATAAAAAATTATTTGATAACTGGACTTGGCTGGGCACAGTGGCTTATGCCACTCCATCTCAAAACAAAATAAAACAATTGAACTCATGGAGCTAGAGAGTAGAAGGATGGTTATAAGCTGGGAAGGGAAGGGTAGTGGGGGTATGTGAGTTGGTTAATGGGTATAAAAATATAGTTAGATAGAATGAGTAAGACCTAGTATTTGACAGCACAACAGGGTGACTGCAAAAATATGCTGGGTGCGGTGGCTCACGTCTGTAATCCCAGCACTTTGGGAGGGTGAGGCCGGTGGATCACGAGGTCAGGAGTTTGAGACCAGCCTGGCCAACATGGTGAAACCCTATCTCTACTAAAAATACGAAAAAAAAATTAGCTGGGTGTGGTGATGCTCATCTGTAATCCCAGCTAATTGGGAGGCTGAGGCAGGAGAATTGCTTCAACCCGGGAGGTGGAGGTTGCAGTGAGCTGAGATTGCACCACTGCACTCCAGCCTGGATGACAGAGCGAGACTGTGTCCAGAAAAAAAAGTTATCTGGGCATGGTAGTGCGAGCCTATAATCCCAGCTACTGGGGAGGCTGAGGCAGGAGAATCATTTGAACCCAGGAGGTGGAGGTTGCAGTGAGCCAAGATCGAGCCAAGTTCGAGCCACTGTGCTCCAGCCTGGGTAACAGAGAGAGACTCCATCTCAAAAAAAAAAAAAAAAAAAATTGAAAGACACCAGAAAGTGTGAGTGTTGCCTTATGGAAGAAGAGAAGCTATTGCCTGTTTGCTTTTTCATGCTCTTTATTCTTTAACATCTGCCTTCTGTCTTATCTCAAGATGCATGGACATCATTGTCAGGCAGACTTTGGTTCAAGTCTGGGCTCAGCCTCTTTTACAGTGGTATGAACATGGTGAGTTACTTAACCTCCAAGGCCATACTTTCTTCGTTTGATTTTTAAAATACTTCACTGGCTCTTTGTGGGGACTAAATGGGATATTTAATATTTCACTTACTGTGCTCTACAAAATTCCCGATAAGTTCTCAGTAAGGGATAGCCATTTACATTCTTATCCTCTGTAATTTTCTTCCCTGTGTTATGTTTAAGTAATTTTTTTTTCTTTCATGGAGAAGGTACTAGGAAAGTAAGATGTGGGAAAATGGGACTATTTACATATCAGAAAAGGAAGATTAGTAAAAAATTAATACGTGTTTATTTCCTCTGCTTGTCCATGTTGATTTCTCCTGCAAGAATGAACTTGTCTCTTTTTGCTCATTGCACCCAGGAGGGACAAAACCATGTCCAGAGGTCCCCTTGTTGAGGCTCTGACATGCGCTATTTTTTTACTTTGTTTTGGGGCTCACCACCCCCTGGGAACACTGGTCTTGCAGTCTACTGGGAGGCGGAGGTTGCAGTGAGCCGAGATCGTGCCACTGCACTCTAGCCTGGGTGACAGAGCAAGACTCCATCTCCAAAAAAAAAAAAAAAAAAAAAAAAAAGAAATGAAGGATGGATGAATGGATGAAAGGAAGGAAAGGAAGGAAGGTACCAGTATGTAGCCTGTTAGGAACTGGGCCAGTGAGCAAGCAAAGCTTCATCTGTATTTACAGCCATTCCCCATAGCTCACATTATCACCCTTTCTTTATAAATAAAGATAATACAGTTGTATCCTTTAAACCACTAAGTTTGTGGTAACTTGTTATAGCAACAAAAGCAAAGAATACAGTCACCAAGGGTATAATAAACTGTTCAAAGAGGGAGTGGTCGGCAGGGTTCAGTGCCCCTGGCATACGGATGGCCCCAGATGGGGTGGTACTCTAAGTCAAGGTGGGGTGTGCATTTTTTAAAATTAGGGTGGAGGCAACAGGTTGTGAGGGCAAGGCTCAGAGTAAGGAGTGGGACTTCGTTGACCAGGGATGGGAAGGGTGAGCCAGGCTGGAAGGGGGTTGGGTCTTCGTACCAAGCCCGCCTCCAGGGGTGAGCCAGAGTCTGGGGCCATCAGCCTAGCTGCAGGGACTGCAGCAGCAGAGAGAAAAAAAGTAAGGCAATCTCTAGTTGCTGCTTGTACAAGATTGGCAGGTGGGCAGTGCACAGAAATAGAGCACCTGGGAAGGGGATGGGGTGTATCTAGCTGGATATTCCTGCAGACTCTTGGCATTAAGAAGGCCTCTCTGGGACTGGGTATGGTGGCTCATGCCTGTAATCCCAGCACTTTGGGAAGCCAAGGCAGGAAGATCACTTGAGGCCAGGAATTTGAGACCAGCCTGGGCAACATGGCAAGATCCTGTCTCTTCAAAAAATAAAAAACATTAGTTGGGCACAATGGCACATGCCTGTGTTCTCAGTTACTCAGGAGACTGAGGTGGGAGGCTCGCTTGAGCCCAGGAGGTGGACTCTGCAGTGAGCTATGATCATACCTAGCCTGAGTGCTGTGCTGCACTCTAGCCTGAGTGACAGAGCAGGACTGTGCCTCTAAAAAACAAAACAAACAAAAAGTAAATAAATGAAAAAGGCTTTTCCATAGGCAACAGGCTGAGTCACTCACTGACTGGGTTGGGATTGAAGGTTAGCGCTTCAGTCCGAGATGAGAATTAGAGTGCTAAATGGGTGACTAGGAGCTGGACTAAAACAGAAAACAAATGAAAAGGTGAGACTCCGGGTAGATCCTGGTTTGGGTGAACAAGATGCAAGCCTAGGTATCAGAATATGCTCCTAGAAGTGGGGGCAGAGGCACCTAGGTGATGGGAAACTGAGGCTGAATGTCAGAGCAAGGCCTGGAGGGAGTTAGTTCTCCTTCCTGCACCAGTTCAGATCTGAGATTGTCAGGAGGGGGATCGAATAGCCACAGTCAGAGCCAGCAAGGCTTGCCATAGAGAGCAGAAGTAATGTCACAAAACTGGGTCAAGGAACAGTTAAGAGCAAAGCAGCACCAACCAAGGGTGAAGCTCTGTCTCATCCACAAGTTCTTCCAGTGCTCCTGGTGAGGCTTCTAGTCTGAGGATGGAGCAGATTAGAAGGTGAAGATAGGGAGGGAAGATGAGTGCATGAATATTAACTTAAGGCCAGGAGTTTGAGACCAGCCTGGGCAACATAGCAGGACCTTGTCTTTATATGGAAAACTATACACTTTTATTACAACCCTGTTTCAAGTTGAAGATGCTGAGGCTTTCAGAGGAGGTTGCTTTGCCCAGAGCCCTAAAGCTGTTAAGTGGTGAAAACAGAAATGGCTTTGGGTCTTTGAACTCTCGGGCTTGGGCTCTTTTCCCTGCACCAAAGCCAGCTCTCCAAAAAGGGCCAGGTCATGATTTGCATCTGGCTTGGGTCCACGTGCACATATTTTATAAGGATTGTACAATCTTGGCTCCTTTTTGGTAGGGAATATTCTATGCATTTGAATCCTGAGATGTGGACACTAGATTTCATAAAGCTATTGCCTTTTCTATATTGGCTGTGAGTCAACTGGAGTTGAGATGAGGTGAGAAAGGGCTGGAAATAAGAGCTAATGGATTCGGCATGGAGATATGACACTTGCATTTTTCACTACATTTTAATCTACAGTGAGATGGCCTCCCATGGAATATTTCTGTGATGAAGTCCTGTCCAAAAAAGAAATCACTCATCACAGATGGTAGAGTGAGATGTAAAAATAAATGAAACTGCATATCAATATTTTCTGAAAAACCATTGTTCTGAAAAGAGGAGGGGGCACAGCCAACTCATGCCTGCCGTCATTTACAATTGGGCACACCTGGATCCCATCCTCAAAGATTCCAACTGGATAGGTTTGCACCCGGACATTCAAAGAGCCATTCTGATGCACGTCAAAGGTTGAGCACCACGATGCTAAGTTCTTCCTTGTGACAATTTCACTTTTGTGGGTTTCATTATCAAGTGGCCCCATAACTCCTTGCATTGCACAAATCTGTGCAGAGGCGGGAATCAGAAACCTGCCCTATGTGAGACCTGTGGTGAGAACGACGACCCCAGTAAGCCCAGCTGACTTCTTCGAATTTGAGTATTGGTTGGTTAGTTAGTCTCTCTATGACTCTACCTCATTTAGGGTCTGGAGTTGTGCTCCAGTTTTTGAAGAAAAAAATGTGCTGGCATAGTACTCACGAATTGGAGGATTTGAATGGTTCCCTTGACAGCATTAAAAGCCTATCACCTAAGCCTTTCCAAGTGTTCTCTTTGCTTACTTGCCACATGTAGGTTTCACATCCAGAATAAGTCACCGGCCCTGAGAACATCTGATTTCCATGATCCTGGCAGTTTCTCTGATGGGGCTTCTCTGGGTGAGCAAATGTATCCTTCTCTCTTTCTTGTTTTACCTGGTTGGCATAGGAGGGAAGAAACCCAGCACAGATTTTAGTCTATAATGATTGTGGAGTATTTCCAGATGTGAAGTATGTAATCCTGTTGGTTCTGCTGTGTCTGCCAAGCAAGAGTCTAACAACTGCATTACAGAATAGAACAGAGAGTGAAACAAATGTGAAACGTGATTCTGTTAGTAGGCTGTGCTTGAGGAGAAATGAACACAGTGTAATTAGCATGCATGCTGGGCTGCTTTTTCCCGTTTGTGTGTATTTTAAAATAACTTTGGATGGAAAGATGGTTGAAGGGGGAAGGTAAGGCTGATTTGTGGAGCAAAAAATATTGATGAACAATGTGTTTCTCTGGTTCTAATTCAAGGAGATTGAATTTTTCTGAAAATTGTGGCTCAGTGAACAGGCTCATGTTAACCAGAGAGAAAGAGGCAAGCAGTCATCCAGGAGAGGTGGTGGGGTAAAGAACTGATTACTTGTCTCCTCTCTCTCTCCCTTCCTGGTGTTGACTTGTTTGGACAAGCCTTTCTCAGCAGGGGGATGTGATAGGTTAAATGCAAAACTATATGGGAGAGAGGACTGGGCACAGTGGCTCACGCTTGTGATCCCAGCACTTTGAGAGCTGAGGCGGGAGTATTGCTTGAGCTCAGGAGTTCAAGACCAGCCTGGGCAATGTGGCGAATCCCTGTCTCTACAAAAAAATTAAAAATTAGCCAGGTGTGGTGGCACATATCCGTAGTCCCAGCTACGTGGGAGGCTGAGGTGGGAGAATCGTCTGAGCCTGGGAGGTCAAGGCTACAGTGAGCTGAGCTGTGATTGCACCACTGCATGCCAGAGCTTGGGTGACAGAGACCCTGACTCGAATATGTGTGTGTGTGTGTGTGTGTGTGTGTGTGTGTGTGTGTATGTGTGTGTATGTATGCCACCATGCTCAGTATATATGTGCATGTACATACACATATATACATATATACACACACATATACATATATGTGTGCATATATACGCATGTTTATTTATATATACACATATGTGTATATATTTACACATATATACACACATGTGCGTATATTCACACATATACACATGTGCGTATATTTACACATATATACACATGTGTGTGTTTACACATATATACACATGTGTGTACATATTTACACATATATACACACGTGTGTACATATACACACATATATACGCATATGTGTATATATGTGTATATATGTACACGTGTGTATATATGTGTATATATGTGTATATATGTACACACATGTGTATATATGTGTATATATTTATATATACACATGTGTATATATTTATATGTACACATGTGTATATATTTATATGTACACATGTGTATATATTTATATGTACACATGTGTATATATTTATATGTACACATGTGTATATATTTATATGTACACATGTGTATATATTTATATGTACACATGTGTATATATTTATATGTACACATGTGTATATATGTACACATGTGTATATATGTACACATGTGTATATATGTACACATGTGTATGTGTGTATATATGTACACATGTGTATGTGTGTATATATGTACACATGTGTATGTGTGTATATATGTACACATGTGTATATGTGTGTATATATGTACACATGTGTATATGTGTGTATATATGTACACATGTGTGTGTGTATATATGTACACATATGTGTGTATGTGTGTATATATGTACACATATGTGTGTATGTGTGTATATATGTACACATATGTGTGTATGTGTGTACATATATGTACACACACACATGCACATATATACACACTCACATATATAAGGGAGAGGTTAGAAAAGTGAACACCTTGCCAGGCGTGGTGGTTCACACCTGTAATCCCAGCACTTTGGGAGGCCAAGGCAGGCGGATCACCTGAGGTCAGGAGTTCAAGACCAGCCTGGACAACATAGTGAAACCCCGTCTCTACTAAAAATACAAAAATACAAAAATTAGACCAGCCTGGCCAACATAGTGAAACCCCATCTTTATAAAAAATATATAAAAATTAGCCTGTAATCCCATCTACTCGGGAGGCTGAGGCAGGAGAATCACTTGAATCCACAGGGCAGAGGTTGCAGTGAGCCGAGATCGCACCATTGCACTCCAGCCTGGGCGACAAGAGCAAAACTCTGTCTCAAAAAGTTAAATTAAATTAAATTTAATTTAAAAAAAGTGAACACCTTAATACATACCTGTAATGGAATCTGTTTGATTTCTGACTGTGGGTGGTCTTGGAACCCTGCAAGGTCTCCTGAGCCCAGTACTCAGCCTCATCCAGAACACTTGTAGCTCTCCTGGAAGTTAGACCCTATTGCCTGCATCACGATGGACTTTCTTGATCCAAGGCTCTGCCTTTCTGCAAGACCTCTGATAATAATAGCCTAGTGTCATGCTTTGCAAATACTGACTGTCCCCCAATGTAGACTGCCTATTGCTTACTCCATTGCATCTCCTTCTGACGACTGCTACCATCATTGATGGGTTTGGTCCTGGGTCTTGGTCAGCTGCACCTCCAACATTCAGTGCATGTCTATGACAGCATCCCCAATACAAGCATATTTTGCCTCCTGTTGCACTACCACTGTGATTCATGAATGCTTGACCTGTGTGATTTCTTTTCTTTTTCTTTTTTTATTTTTTAATTTTTTTATTTTTGAGACAGAATCTCACTCTGTATCCCAGGCTGGAGTGCAGTGGCATGATCTCGGCTCACTGCAACCTTTGCCTCCCAGGTTCAAGCAATTCTCGTGCCTCAGCTTCCCAAGTAGCTGGGATTATAGGTGTGTGACACCATACCCAGCTGGTTTTTGTATTTTTAGTAGAGACGGGGTTTCGCCATGTTGGCCAGGCTGGTCTCCAACTCCTGACCTTGTGATCTGCCCCCCTCAGCCTCCCAAAGTGCTGAGATTACAGGCGTAAGCCACCATGCCCCGCCTCTTTTTTTTTTTTTTTTTTTTTTTTTGAGGCAGAGTCTCACTCTGTCTCCCAAGCTGGAGTGCAGTGGCATGATCTCAGCTCATTGCAACCTTCACCTCCCAAGTTCAAGTGATTCTTGTGCCTCAGCCTCCCACGTAGCTGGGATTACAGATGTGTGACACCACATGCAGCTAATTTTTGTATTTTTAGTAGAGACGGGGTTTAGCCATGTTGGCCAGGCTGGTCTCCAACTCCTGGACTCATGTAATCCACCCGCTTCAGCCTCCCAAAGTGCTGGGATTACAGGCATGAACCATGGCACCCGACCGACCTTGTGATTTCTAACTATCTTCATGGACAGTCACGAAACAGTCCTGGGAACCTGGATTTCAGTCTTGGAAGCTTGGATGTGTTGCTTAACTGCTCTCTGTGTTAGTGGCTTTGTCCAAAGAAGGGATTGTGGAAGCTCGACCTCACACCTTTGCAACTAGGTAAACCAAAAGTCAAAAGATGCTTGATAACAATGAACCGCACTAATGCCTTGGTGTCTTTATTGGGTCTGTGTTTGCTGTATCTCACCTCTCTAGGATGACAGGCATCCTCAAAGTGGGACCTAAGTTTGTGGTTCAATTTGGAGAGCATGCAGGATGTTCCAGAAGTATTATAGGATGTCATCAGACATGTTTAAAATGTGTTAAATTTTACACAAACATTTTACTTCTATTTGCAATGTCATTGTCTTCTAAATCATAAATCCACTTTTTGAGTCACTTAAATATTTTCAAAACTCATTATCACTTTTGTCCAATATAGGTATATTTTTTGAGACAAGGTCTTATTCTGTCAACTAGGCTGGAGTGCAGTGGCTCAATCATAGCTCACAGTAACCTTGAACTCCTAGGCTCAAGTGATCCTCCTACTTCAGCCTTCTGAGTAACTGGGACTACAGGTGTGAGGTGGCTCAGATAATTAAAACAAATCTTTTTTGGTAGAGACGAGCTCTCACTATGTTGCCCAGATTGGTCTCAAACTCCTGACCTCAAGTGATCCTCCTGCCTCAGCCTCCAAAAGCACTGGGATTATGGGCATGAGCCACTGTGCCCAGTTCATTTTGGTTGAAATCTTTAAAACTTCTATTTGGCAGTGAGTGTGGCTCAAAGGTAAGCAATATAACAAGTATTTTTGGAAAGTGCAAATTGAGCAAATGCAATATGAAATGCAGGGGTAAGTTCATATATCAGTAGTGAACATAGTAAGTTTGGGCTTAAAATAAAGACCCAGTTGTACTATGTAAATAAGAGCATCCTCTGTGTTTCTTTATGGATGGAGTAAGAGGAATTGATTTTGAAATCACCCATGTTAAATTCTTTGGAAGAACTATTGTGTATTTTTAAAATTCTGTTTGTATTTTAAACTCAGTGAAATTCACTCTCTCATATTTTAGCCTGCACCTATAGTAAAAATAAAACTGGCAACTTCTAGTGTTTATTCCATTAGTATTCAATTATATTTCCCAGAGAAACAGCTGGAGGCCATCTCTCCAGTGACAAATGTGTTTGATTTGACTTCATCACCACCACAAGGCACATAATTTACTAACATTTGCTGTAGTACAATTTTAACAAGTGGGGTGATTCACCCTGGGAAAGGAGAGAAGAAGAATGCAAAAACCGAGAGACAAAAACAGAGGCAAAGGTGAGCATGGAATTAGTAAGGTGTCTGTGCCTCTAAAAATCTCTATTTTTACAGAAGCACAACCTTGACACCGAAGCGTGCACAATTTTAAGGACATAGCTCAATGAACTGTCACAATTTGAGCACATCCACGTGCCAACATTCAGCTCAAGAAATGCAACACATCAACAATCTAGAACCACCCTTCCATACCCCTCCTATACCTCCCTTCCCCACAGTACCTGAGATTGACTGTGTTTTTGTTGATTTGTTTTTGGTTTTTGTTTGAGATGGAGTCTCTTTCTTGTTGCCCAGGCTGGAGTGCAGTGGTGTGATCTTGGCTCACTGCAACCTCCACCTCCCAGGTTCAAGTGATTCTCCTGCCTCAGCCTCCTGAGTAGCTTGGATTACAGGCGTGTGCCACTACGCCCGGCTAATTTTTTTGTATTTTTAGTAGAGATGAGGTTTCACCATGTTGGCCAGGCTGGTCTCGAACTCCTGAACTCAGGTGATCTGCCCACCTCGGCCTCCCAAAGTGCTGAGATTACAGGCGTGAGCTGTTGCACCCGGCCTTGTTGATTTGTTTTTAAGGATCTTTGCAAACTGTCATTTGAGCAGTTTCTCAGCCAGTCTCTTGTGAGGAAGTCCTGGATGTGTTTGTAGACTAAGGTTTCCATGACTCAGGTGTTAGATTTGGGCACTGTGTTCTGAAGTTTCATAGTGGCTCAAAAGGGAGCAAAGGTTTATGATGAGAGGCACGAATCTACCATCCTTTCCCCTGCTGCCTTGGGAAGCCACAGTCATCTTTTTCTTTCTTTCTGCACTGACTTCTCCAGCATGGACACAGGCAGACACCTGATCTATTTCCTTTCAGGACTGCTGTGAGGCTCTGATGACATGATGGATGTGAGAACACTCTGAACAGGATGAAGTATTGTTAAATGATTATATCCTTTTTTTTTTTCGCAGCAGCACCAGAAACATATACACTTTATTGAATGCCATTGTAGAAAAGTGTGTGAGTATAAAGGGCTGATACAGGACTTGGCTCCGGGGCAGGGCAAGGAGTGGAAGGTGGAGTACATGGGATACAGGTCATGGGCAGAGCTCCTGGCCTCAGTGATGCCTCCTGATCTATCAATGGGCTTGGATGATCAACACTGGGATGACGATGAGCAGAATGGTCATGAGGATGCCCAAAGTCAGGGCCCAGATGTTCAGGCACTTGGCGGTGGAGGCATAGGCCTGGGCCCCGGTCAGGTCGCCAACCATCTTCCTGTCCCTAGACTTCATGGAGTAGGTGAACGCTATGAAGCCCAGGCAGCAGGGGTTCATGAAGAGGGTGTTGAACAGGGACCAGACAACATGGTTGGGCATGGAGGTCTCGCTGCAGATGTGGATCACGTCGGGGGAGCAGGGTTGTGGGGCACCCCTGGCACAGCCACCTCATGCTCCTCCTTGAGCATCTCATAGTTGAGGGGCTGGCCGCTGTTGACAGGAGAGAAGAAGGTTTGGACAGTGTGGTTCATGGTGTCCAGCGAAGACCAGCGGTGGTCGGGTTCGATTATATCCTTTAACCAACATGATGGAAAGGTACTGATAGTGCAGGGAGTTATCTTGAACAAGAGGAAGGCATGTAAGTATATGTCCAAACCAAAAGAAGTACTGACCCCAATGGTTTTAAACGGCTTTCTATGATTCTCTAACTTTGGAGAAATGCCATTAACTTATTAGCTTTTCAGGGCATAACCCTAATAAGGGCCAGTGACAGAATTATCTCTATAGGATTTTAGGCAGCGGTCCCCAACATTTTTGGCACCAGGGGCTGGTTTCATGGAAGGCAATTTTTCCACGGATGGGGGTTGGGGGTGGGGGGATGTAGTGGGATGAAACTGTTCCACCTCAGATCATCAGGCTAGTTAGATTCTCATAAGGAGTGCACAACCTAGATCCCTCACGTGCACAGTTTACAATAGGGTTCACGCTGAAATGGGAAAAGTTTTTCCTTATCTACCTCGCAGGGCATGCAATGGGGGTGTGGCTCACTTTTTCAGTGCCCTGCTGCTCAAACCCCTAGGGGGAGTGTGCAGACGGGCAAGTCTAGGGGTTAGTGTTTACAGCTCCCAAAGCCCCAGTGGGCATCCGTTACCACGTGCTCTTTCAGCTTAGCCATCCTCAGGCAGCTTGTGTTAATTAGCTCAATTATATTCTCTGCCTTATCGCAAAGACAGAGGGCTTTCTGTATCTCGGGTTCTTGCCCTAGTGTACTGAAAAATTGGATCACAAGTGGGCTTGGAGGATGGGGGCAAGGCTTTATTGAATGGTGGGAAGTAGCTCTCAGCAGATGGATGGGGAGCCAGAAGGGGGATAGAGTGGGAAGGTGCTCTTCTCCTAGAGTCGGGCTGCTTAGTGGCCGGGCTCTCCTCTGACCTCTGCTGACTTCCCCTTGGTGTCCGTGTCGTTCCATCATCAATGGCCTGCCAGCATCTGTCAGTGCGTTTTTCTGCCAGTGTGTTCCTCTTGATGTCCAACTGCTTGTGTGTGTGCCTGCTGGGGTCTCAGGGTTTTTATAGGCACAGGATGGGGGGTGTAGTGGGCCAGAATGGTTTTGGAAAATGCAACATTTGGGTGCTAAAACAGGAATGCCTGTCCTCACATAGGTCTGTGGGCACAGGCCTGAGGGTGGAGCCTTGCCAGGGACCCCACTCCTCTCTACCCAGCACTTCCCTACCCCCCTCCCATATCAATGCTCCAATGAGAATCTAATGCTATTCTTAATCTGACAGGAGGTGGAGCTCAGGCGGTCATGCTCACTGGCCTGCTGCTCACCTCCTGCTCTTTGGCCCAGTTCCTAACAGGTCACAGACTGGTACCGGCCCTTGGCCCAGGGCTTGAGGACCCCTGATCTAATGAACTTTATTCTGTTTTGTAGCTGTTCCTATTTTCCCCAACTACATCCAATCCTAATAGCTTGTAATTAGATGATCAGATTACCAGAAAAATCAAGATATGTTAACCTACTAATAGAGGACTATTTTTACACAGATCCCAGCATATTCCAATATTTAGGATATGAAGTGATGACCTTTCTGTGCTTTGCCTAAGCAATTTTTGGAATACAGGTTGGTACCCTATAGATGATGTGTTAGGCCTTGGAAATATAATAGTTAATGAAGTGGTCACTCTCTTTACCCAATGATATTTTAAATTTCTCAGCAAGTTTTCCTTATCTTGTTTAGTTTCCTTCTTATTTTGTTGTGTTTTCATCTCAGCCTCTTCCCTTTTGGCTTTGCATTCCTGGATCATAGAGGTTAGATGTTGCCTATCAAGAATAAGTTTTCTAGGCCAGGTGTGGTGGCTCATGCCTGTAATCCCAACACTTTGGGAGGCTAAGGAGGGTGGATCTCTTGAGCCCGGGAGATCAAGACCAGCCTGGGCAACATGACAAGACCCCGTCTCTACAAAAAATACAAAAATTAGCTGGGCACGGTGGCTCACGCTTGTAATCCCAGCACTTTGGGAGGCCGAGGCAGGAGGATCACAAGGTCAGGAGATCGAGACCATCCTGACTAACATGGTGAAACCTCATCTCTACTAAAAATACAAAAAATTAGCCAAGCATGGTGGCGGGTGCCTGTAGTCCCAGCTACTGGGGTGGTTGAGACATGATAATCACTTGAACCCAGGAGGAGGAGGTTGGAGTGAGCTGAGATCACGCCACTGCACTCCAGCCTAGGTGTCAGGGTGAGACTCCATCTCAAAAAAAAAAAAAAAAAAGTGGTCCTCGATAAGTGATGTTAGCAGACCTCTTTTCCATTTGTCCCCATTTCTAGAGGCTTCCCCAGGCTCCCTGTACTCAGGAGCCTTCATGCATGGTAAGTCCTGCTATGGTTTGGATATGGATTGCGTGTCCCCACCAAATCTCATGTTGAAATTTAATTCCACAGTTGGTGGTATTGGGAGGTGAAGCCTAGAGGGAAGTGTTTGGCTTATGGGGCGGACCTTTCATGAGTGGCTTGGTGCTGTTCTTGCCGTAGTGAGTTCTTGCTCTTGTGAGACTGGGTTGGTTCTTGGGGGTAATAATTCATTCCTGAGAGAGTGTGTTGTTTTAAAGCTAGTACCCCCTTGGGTTTGGTCTGTCTTCCCTTTGACCTTCTCAGTTATATACTGATACAGCACAAAAGGCCTCACCAGAAGCCAAGCAGATGTTGCTGCCGTGCTTTTTTTTTTTTTTTTTGAGATGGAGTCTTACTCTGTCACCCAGGAGTACAGTGGCATGCTCTTGGCTCACTGCAACTTCCTCCTCGTGGGTTCAAGTGATCCTCCCAAGTAGCTTAGACTACAGGCGTGCACCACCACACCTGGCTAATTTTGGTATTTTTTAGTAGAGACAGGGTTTTGCCATGTTGGCCAGGCTGGTCTTGAACTCCTGACCTCAGGTGATCCACCTGCCTCAGCCTCCCAAAGTGCTGGGATTACAAGAGTGAGCCACCGCACCCAGCCAGTGCCATACTTCTTGTACAGTCTGTAGAACAGTGAGCCAAAGAAACCTCTTTTCTTTATGAATTACCAAGCCTCAGATACTCCTTTATAGCAACACAAAATAGACTGAGACAAGCCTATGGGTTGAGCTCTAACTCAGTCTCTTCCCTAACCCCAAGCTTGCATTTCCAACTGTCCGGTTATCTCTCTGTCTAAGTCAAAGAGGCATCTCACATTTAAAGGTACCAAAACAGAATTCTTGATTCTTCTTTTCCCACCAAAATTCCTCCAAATGTACACCTCCCATCTTCTTATCTCAGCAACCCCATTCTACCAGTTGTCTAACCCAGAACTTGAGAGCCACCCTAGACTCTTCTCTCTTACATCATATTCAACCCTTCAACAAATGCTACAGCTCTGATTTCTGAGTTCTTCCTGAATCTGTGCCCTGCTCACCACCTCCTCCTCTACTTCTCTATCCTCACCTCCTAAATGACTTTCCTATTTACACTCTTGACTCCATGGAGTCTAGTCTCCTTGCAGCATTCAGAATGATCCATCTAAAATGCAAAGGAGATCATGTACTTCCTCTGTTCCAAACCCTCTAGCAGTTCCTCATCTCATTGGCCTCATTAAAGAACAAAAAGTGCATTCAGAAAGAAATCCGTGCTAGCAAGGTCTCATGAGATCTTGCCCATGCATCTTCTCTTTTCTCCCTCTCTGCCCTCCTTCTGTTCCCTATGCTTGCTGGAATGTTCTTCCACCAGATGTCTGCATGGTTCAGCCCCTCTTTCCCTCGCTTGTGTTCAAATACCATTTCATCAGCAAAGTTTTTTTCCTAATCACCCTGCTAAGTAACACCATCAATCATCCATTCCTTTGACTTCACTTTATGTTTCTTCATAGCACTTGACATGTTATATATTTATTAGTGTGTTGACTATCTGTCTTCCCCATAATTGTGCTCACTGCTATATCTATTTATTTTATTTTTTAAAGACAGTGTCTTGCTTTGTCACTAGGGCTGGAGTGCAGTGGTGCAGTCATAGCTCCCTGTAGCCTCAAACTCCTGGGCTCAAGTGATCCTCCTGCCTTGGCCTCCTAAAGTGATGAGATTGTAGGCATGAGCCACTGCACCCAGCTGCATGGCTATAATCTTTAGTACTTAGAACAGCTCCAGGTACAATTCATATTTGATGAATGTATGGATGAATTGATCATAATACATTAGTTTTGCTCTTCCCAGGTCATTAAAGACCATCAGTCTGGTTAGTAGTTTTCAAACTATTTTTCTGCTATAGAACATTCTCTGTAAACAAAGTCTCGCAAAGAAGACTAATAATGCAAACCAGATGTATTTGGAGTAATGTGATGGAGTGGCAGGTGGCAGCCAGGGAAGGGAGGTGCTTCTTTTTTCCTGCCAAGCTCCTTTCAACTCTTCATCTCTCCTGGCAGCCTGAGTATGTTTGGAAACCACAAATGTAGATTACTTTACCCAATCCCCATGACTGCCATATAAGGCAGATATAATCACCGCCATTCATAAATGAGGTAACTAACAAGGTGGTGTCAGCCGGCCAAGACAACATGGTGAATAAACCTCATGTCTGCCAATATAGTGAAACCATGTCTCTACAAAAAAAAAAAGTAATAATAATTAGGTGGGTGCAGTGGCGCATGCCTGTGGTCCTAGCTACTTGGAAGGCTGAAGCAGGAGGATCACTTGATATCAGGAGTTGGAGGCTTCAGTGAGCTATGGTCACACCACTGCGCTTCAGCCTGAGTGACAGAGCAAGACCCAGTCTCAAAAAAAAAAAAAAAAAACCTTAGGAAGATTTTTGCTGTAGTTGGGATTAAAAAGCATCAAGAGGGGTGGGCACAGTGGCTCATACCTGTAATCCAAGCACTTTGGGAGGCTGAGGCAGGTGAATCACCTGAGGTCAGGAGTTCAAGACCAGCCTGGCCAACATGGCGAAACCCTGTCTCTACTAAAAATACAAAAGATAGCCAGGCATGGTGGCACACACCTGTAATCCCAGCTACTCAGGAGGCTGAGACAGGAGAATTACTTGAACCCAGGAGGCTGAGGTTGCAGTGAGCTGGAGATTGTGCCACTGCACTACAGCCTGAGTGACGGAGCAAGACTCCATCTCAAAAAAAAAAATTAAAATTAAAAAAAGCATCAAGGGGGTCCTCCAACTATTGATTTTCCCAGGTACTGAAGATTTCAGAATGCTTCTTTGTATTTTTTTTTATAGATTCCCTCCTGAGGTAGGCAGGGGTAGGGGGGACCATCCAGACAGGACTTTGGTCCCCTCTTGTAATGATGGAAGAAAGAGCATTGAAATAACAGCAGCTCCCTTTTAATGAGCAAGGGCGCTCTGCCTTGCATTTGCTGAGGGTGTCTATGCCTTAACTCACCCAACCTTCCCATGAACCTATTAGGTAGGTACCAACATGATCCCAAAATGGAGGCACAGAGAAATCAAGTGACTTATCCAGCTGACAAAAGGATCTTGAGAGTAACCTTCAGTTTCCTGCTCCCCAAAGTTTTGCTCTTTTTCTTGTTTTGAATTCTCTAGCACCCAGGGAGGCCAGCCAGAGACTGACAAGGGCACTTAGGGAGTGGAAATAAAAAAACAAAGGCACCTGCAGAGCCAATTAGTGAGTCAAAATTCAACTCCCAAACCTAAGGGTTGGTTCCTTGAGCTAAAGCAGAGAGCTTTGATCACAGTTACTAACTCGTGAATGAACTGACCTCCTTCCCTGCAGGGAAAGGTAAACATTCTTGTGGAAATGTAAACACATCACTAATGGTCTAAAATGGCCTGTAATGGAGGCATAATTTCTTTTGGAAACAAGCCCCCCATCAAGGTCAAGGCAGTGGTATTGTTGTTACCCACTGTGGGGATGATCTTTCCAAATCCAGCCAGCAGTTTTTCTGTGGTAGTGACCTGCAGGGCAGATGAAGAATGAAATACTAATTTCCCAACCCCAAATCTGCCTTGATCTGCTTGAAAAATCAGCACCTCCTCTGCTTGGGAGGTAAGTGTCACTCAGTATAGTTCTCCTCTGAAAAGGAGGTAGATAGGTGAGGTTGAGAAGGTGAAATTACAGGTGGATCCTGGAACATCTCAGACTGTGATACCAGGCGAGGCTTTCTCTGCCAAGTGCACCCATGAAAGAAGAACCTTCCTCGCCACCATTATCAAAACAGCTGTCAGGAAAGTGTCCCTGTTATTAAATGTCGCTCTGCACGTCTCCATGGGAGGCATAATCACAGGTGCTCGACCTGGAGGGGAAGCTGTTCAAGAGGAGGAAGGAAAGAAAACACAAGAATGAGCAAACTAAAAACAAATAAATGAAGTGTAAAAATTCGATTAGAGCTCTAGAAACAGTGAGACAAAATGGAAAAGTGAGAAATGGGGGAGACTATCTGAAGGTTTCTTTAGCTCTTTGATGAATGGATCTGTCCTTTTGGTGAATGGATCTGTCCTTTTTTTCTCTTCCTTTTTTTTTTTTTAATTGAGTTTTGCTCTTTTGTCCAGGCTGGAGTGAAGTGGTGAGATCTTCCCTCGCTGCAACCTCCACCTCCTGGGTTCAAGTGATTCTCCTGCCTCAGTCTCCCAAGTAGCTGGGATTACAAGCACCCACCACCACGCCTGGCTAATTTGTGTATTTTTAGTAGAAACGGGGTTTGACCATGTTGGCCAGGCTGGTCTCAAACTCCTGACCTCAGGTGGTCCACCCACCTCAGCCTCCCAAAGTGCTGGGATTTCAGGTGTGAGCCACCACACCTGGCCCCTTTTTGTTTTTCAATCCATGGAGCAGAGGGAGAGGTTCCAGAAAGGTCACAAACAGGAGAATGTGCAGTCCTGGCACAGCCGTGTCTCCCTGGCCCGCCCACCGCTTCCTTCAATGAAATAATAGACTGTTAGATCAATAAATTAGAAAGCTATTGGTGGCATGTCTGACCTGGCCTTTGCAGGTCACCAAAAACACAAATGACTATCAAAGACCACTTACCAAGCACAGCTGAGTGAGGGGAAGGGGTAGGTTGGCCACCCAAGATTCAGGCATGAGGAAATTAAGTAGGATTTGTTATCCCCAGAGTCATCCCCATGATGGGCCAGTGAACTAAAGACAATTGCTAGGTGTGTGAGTGTCAGTCACCAATTAATAAAATTGTCTTTGAGCTGTGGCTGCAAACCCAGGTGTACATTAGAATCACTGGAGGGAACGGGTGGTTTCAAAATAATTCAATGGGCTGGGCATGTTGGCTTTTGCTAATAATCCCAGTGCTTTGGGAGGCCAAGGCAGGAGGATTGCTTGAGGCCAGGTGTTCAAGACTAGCCAGAGCAATATAACAAGACCCTGTCTTTACAAACAACCACAAAAAAAAAAAAAAAAAAAAAACCCACAATTCAATGCTAGGTATCATTCCAGGACAGTTAAACTAGAATTTCTGGGGTCAGGGCTCAAGCAGCCCCTTGTCTCTCTTTTTTTTTTTTTTTTTCTTTGAGACAAGGTCTGGCTCTCTTATCCAGTCTGGAGTGCAGCAGTACAAGCATAGCTCACCGCAGCCTTCAGCCCCTGGGCTCAAGTGATCCTCCTACGTTAGCCTCCTGCATAGCTGGGATTACAGGTGTGTATCACCATACCTGGCTAATTTTTAGAAGTTTTTTTGTAGAGATAGAGTCTTGCTATGTTACCCAGGTTGGTCTCAAACTCCTGGGTTTAAGTGATCTTGCCTCAGCCTCCAAAAGCACTGGAATTACAGGCATGAGCCACCTCACCTGGCCCCCATGTCTTTTTTATTTTTATTTTTTGAGAGGGAGTCTCACTCTGTTGCCCAGGCTGGAGTACAGTGGTGTGATCTCGGCTCACAGCAAGCTCCATCTCCTGGGTTCATGCCATTCTCCTGCCTCAGCCTCCCGACTAGCTGGGACTATAGGTACGTGCAACCACGCCCAGCTAATTTTTTTTTTTTTTTTGTATTTTTAGTAGAGACGGGGTTTCACCGTGTTAGCCAGGACGGTCTCGATCTCCTGAACTCGTGATCCACCCGCTTTGACCTCCCAAAGTGCTGGGATTACAGGCATGAGCCACCGCACCCTGTCAACCACCCCCATGTCTTTTAAAGCTCCCCAAGATGATTCTAATGTCCAGCCATGATGGAATTACCACCTAGAAGGAAGCAGGACTTGTACGTTATCTCCCGGGAATACCCATCCACACCTAATCTAAATCCTCCCAACCTCGAAGGCACAGCTCATATGTCACCCCTGAAAAACAGCCATTACTGAGCCCTTAGAGGGTGCAAGATAATGAGCTACACACTCTCGAGGACACAAATAAGAACAAGACAGTCTCTGCCCAGACAGTTTAAAAATGCAGGGAGAGAGAAAGCAAGTGTCTTCTATTTATAAAATAAAAGAATGAATGAATAAATAAGCAAATGACTTTACAATAATAATACAGCAAAGAAGCAAGTATTATGCACAGAAGAAGGGATGATTGATGGGGTGGGGGCGAGGGGAGACTGTAAAGGTGGTAGCATTTGAATTGGGCATTGAAGGATTGGTAGTAATAACATGTAACATTTGTTCAGAGCTTTAAAGTTGACAAGTATTTTACATGCATGAACCCATTTAGTGCCTTTCTATAGTGCTTGAGGTTGGCATTGGTTGGTATTTCAGTCCCTACTTTAGAAGTGAGGAAAGGTCAAATGAGCTAACCAAGGTCATGTAGCTGGTGAGGAAGGGAGCCCTGGTCTCAAGCATGGAATCCACTGCCTCTCTGTAACACTGCTGTGGACTCAGGGCATTCCTTTGGGGGAAGGACATTACAGGCCAGGAAAACAGCATAAGAGAGACATGGATGTGTCATTTTGAGCATGTAGTTTATACATGGAAGGGTGATTTTTTTTTAAGGAGGCTTCCTTTTAGGAAGAGTATTGAGAATGCAAGAAGGTCTGGCTGGCAAAAAAAATGAATGAAACCATGTCCTTTGCAGGAACATGGATGGAGCTGGAGGCCATTATCCTAAGTGAACTAACTCAGAAGCAGAAAGCTGTTCTCACTTATAAGTGGGAGGTGAAGATTTGGTATACATGGACAGAAAGATGGAAAATAATAGACACTGATGATTCCCAAAGTGGCCAGGGAGGGAGAGGTTGAAAAACTACCTATTGGGTACAATGTTCAATATTTAAGTGATACGTTTACTAGAAGCCTAATGCTTACCATTATGCAATATACCCATGTAATAAACATGCAGATGTACCCCCGAATCTAAAATTTTTTTAAAAAAGAAGGGTCCAGGTGCAGTGGCTCATGCCTGTAATCCCAGCACTTTGAGAGGCCAAGGCAGGAAGAGGGCTTGAAGCCAGGAGTTTGAGATCAGCCTGGGCAACATAGCAAGATCCTTTCTCTATAAAAAATATAAAAATTAGCCCAGTGTGGTGGTGTGCACCTGTCATCCCATCTACTCAGGAGGCTGAGGTGAGAGGATTGCTTGAGCTCAGGTTACAGTGAGCTATGATTGCACCACTTCACTCCAGCCTGTCTCTAGAAGAAAAAAAAAAAAAAGGCTGGCAGGGAGAGCTGAGATGTTGGTGAAGGTGTCCCCCGAGACCCCTGAACCCCCAAAATCATTAACATTTCTCTTGAGACTTGTCACATCCTGCCAGGCATTCTTCTTGGATGAATTTGTCTCATCTCTCCTCCTATATGATAAACTGCCGAGACCAGCTCGGACGGGGAGACCCTAATCCAGTGGCGCTAGAGGAATTAAAGACACACACACAGAAATATCGAGGTGTATAGTGGGAAATCAGGGATCTCACAGCCTTCAGAGCTGAGAGCCCCAAACAGAGATTTACCCATGTATTTATTAACAGCAAGCCAGTCATTAGCATTGTTTCTATAGATATTCGATTAACTAAAAGTATCCCTTATGGGAAACGAAGGGATGGGCCAAATTAAAGGAATAGGTTGGGCTAGTTAACTGCAGCAGAGCATGTCCTTAAGGCACAGATTGCTCATGCTATTGTTTGTGGCTTAAGAATGCCTTTAAGTGGTTTTCCACCCTGGGCAGGCCAGGTGTTCCTTGCCGTCATTCCGGTAAACCCATAACCTTCCAGCATGGGCTTTATGGCCATCTTGAACATGTCACAGTGCTGCAGAGATTTTGTTTATGGTCAGTTTTGGGGCCAGTTTATGGCCAGATTGGGGGGGGGCTTGTTCCCAACATGTCCCCCTTCTTTGATTTCCAAATTGATAAAAGCAAAGGCAGCTTTGTCATGGTGAGCTACTTCTCGCAGGAGTCAGGATCCCCATCTGCAGACTATACAAAGACAAACAACACAGATTAAAAGCACAATCATCATTGAAATCACAGAGCTTCCAAGTGTTTTTATCCATTTTAATGGGTTACTAGCTGCTAATCTGTCTGCAGCTCCTTTAAGCACTCCAGTTCTTGGCATTAAAGTCAGGTGTGCCTGGTATGCTTTAAATATTTGTTCTTTTAATTTTGCTATATCCAAAAACAAGTTTGTAGAGTGTACTTCTAGGTGCTTTTTTACTCTTTCCCAAATTTTGATCTTATTAAGAGCTATTAATAGTTTCCACAAATCTTTTTTTTTTTTTTTTAATTTTATTTTTATTGATCATTCTTGGGTGTTTCTCACAGAGAGGGATTTGGCAGGGTCATAGGACAATAGTGGAGGGAAGGTCAGCAGATAAACAAGTGAACAAAGGTCTCTGGTTTTCCTAGGCAGAGGACCCTGCGGCCTTCCGCAGTGTTTGTGTCCCTGGGTACTTGAGATTAGGGAGTGGTGATGACTCTTAACAAGCATGCTGCCTTCAAGCATCTGTTTAACAAAGCACATCTTGCACCGCCCTTAATCCATTTAACCCTGAGTGGACACAGCACATGTTTCAGAGAGCACAAGGTTGGGGGTTAAGGTCACAGATCAACAGGATCCCAAGGCAGAAGAATCTTTCTTAGTACAGAACAAAATGAAAAGTCTCCCATGTCTACTTCTTTCCACACAGACACGGCAACCATCCGATTTCTCAATCTTTTCCCCACCTTTCCCCGCTTTCTATTCCACAAAACCACCATTGTCATCATGGCCCGTTCTCAATGGGCTGTTGGTCACACCTCCCAGACGGGGTGGTGGCCGGGCAGAGGGGCTCCTCACTTCCCAGTAGGGGCGGCCGGGCAGAGGCGCCCCTCACCTCCCAGGTGGGGCGGCTGGCCGGGCGGGGAGCTGACCCCCCCCACCTCCCTCCCGGATGGGGCGGCTGGCCAGGCGGGGGGCTGACCCCCCCACCTCCCTCCCGGATGGGGTGGCTGGCCGGGCAGAGGGGCTCCTCACTTCCCAGTAGGGGCGGCCGGGCAGAGGCGCCCCTCACCTCCCGGACGAGGCGGCTGGCTGGGCGGGGGGCTGACCCCCCCACCTCCCTCCCGGACGGGGCGGCTGGCCGGGTGGGGGGCTGACCCCCCCCCACCTCCCTCCCGGACTGGGCGACTGGCCAGGCGGGGGGCTGACCCCCCAACCTCCCTCCCGGAAGGGGCGGCTGGCCGGGCAGAGGGGCTCCTCACTTCCCAGTAGGGGTGGCCGGGCAGAGGTGCCCCTCACCTCCCGGACGGGGCGGCTGGCCGGGCGGGGGGCTGACCCCCCACCTCCCTCCCGGATGGGGCGGCTGGCCAGGCGGGGGGCTGACCCCCCCACCTCCCTCCCGGACGGGGCGGCTGGCCGGGCAGAGGGGCTCCTCACTTCCCAGTAGGGGCAGCTGGGCAGAGGCGCCCCTCACCTCCCGGACGGGGCGGCTGGCCGGGCGGGGGGCTGACCCCCCCACCTCCCTCCCAGACGGGGCGGCTGGCCGGGTGGGGGGCTGACCCCCCACCTCCCTCCCGGACGGGGCGGCTGGCCGGGCAGAGGGGCTCCTCACTTCCCAGTAGGGGCAGCCGGGCAGAGGCGCCCCTCACCTCCCGGGCGAGGCAGCTGGCCGGGCGGGGGGCTGACCCCCCCACCTCCCTCCCGGACGGGGCGGCTGGCCGGGTGGGGGGCTGACCTCCCCACCTCCCTCCCGGACTGGGCGACTGGCCAGGCGGGGGGCTGACCCCCCAACCTCCCTCCCGGAAGGGGCGGCTGGCCGGCCAGAGGGGCTCCTCACTTCCCAGTAGGGGCGGCCGGGCAGAGGCACCCCTCACCTCCCGGACGGGGCGGCTGGCCGGGCGGGGGGCTGACCCCCCACCTCCCTCCCGGATGGGGCGGCTGGCCGGGCGGGGGGCTGACCCCCCCACCTCCCTCCCGGACGGGGTGGCTGGCCGGGCAGAGGGGCTCTTCACTTCCCAGTAGGGGCAGCTGGGCAGAGGCGCCCCTCACTGGCCGGGCGGGGGGCTGACCCCCCCACCTCCCTCCCGGACGGGGCGGCTGGCCGGGCGGGGGGCTGACCCCCCACCTCCCTCCCAGACGGCAGACGGGGTGGCTGGCCTGGCGGGGGCTGACCCCCACCTCCCTCCTGGACAGGGCGGCTGCCGGGCGGAGATGCTCCTCACTTCCCAGATGGGGTGGCTGCCGGGCGGAGGGGCTCCTCACTTCTCAGATGGGGCGGCTGCCGGGTGGAGGGTCTCCTCACTTCTCAGATGGGGCGGTTGCCAGGCGGAGGGTCTCCTCCCTTGTCAGATGGGGCGGCTGGGCAGAGACGCTCCTCACCTCCCAGACGGGGTCGCGACCGGGCAGAGGCGCTCCTCACATCCCAGACGGGGCGGTGGCGCAAAGGCACTCCCCACATCTCAGACGATGGGCGGCTGGGCAGAGACGCTCCTCACTTCCTAGATGGGATGGCGGCCGGGAAGAGGCGCTCCTCACTTCCTAGATGGGATGGCGGCTGGGCAGAGACGCTCCTCACTTTCCAGACTGGGCAGCCAGGCAGAGGGGCTCCTAACATCCCAGATGATGGGCGGCCAGGCAGAGACGCTCCTCACTTCCTAGATTGGGTGGCGGCCGGGCAGAGGCTGCACTCTGGGCACTTTGGGAGGCCAAGGCAGGCGGCTGGGAGGTGGAAGTTGTAGCGAGCCGAGATCACGCCACTGCACTCCATCTTGGGCACCATTGAGCACTCCACAAATCCTTAATGTTTAGCTCCTACAGTGGGCCATATCATTTGAGGTTGAGGTGCCACTATACCTCCATGGTTCCAGATAATAGGAACTCTTGCCATACTTCTTATCATTTCTACCATCTGACCATTTTGTTCAGACCAGCTAAATATAGAGTAGCCATGGCATGCAGACTGAGAGGTGTAATTCAAACTAAACATCCCCTTAGGGGACCAACTAATAATGATTCCATAGTAATCGTTGTGCAGCACCTCTGCCTGTTCTCCAGTGCAATCTTCCCAAACAACTATGTTCATTATTTCTGGCCAGGTACAATTTTGTTTACAAATAGGTTTTTGAGGGTAGTATGCCTCAATTATAGGAGCAGATTTATTATGGTAAATACTGAGATCAGAAAGCATGTGTAACTATGTCATAGAGTGATATATCCAGGCATTATTACCAGCCAAGATTGATAAATATGTCCATAAGTATAATTGTTCTCTGTGTCAGCCCTTATTGAAGGAATACTCATGGCAGTGGTGATAACCGCTATCATAGCTACCATTAAATTACCCATTGTGACTTGTTGTCCCGCTTTCCTCACATTTTCTTCTGCCATCTGTGACAGCTTCTTGATCTGTCCCCAGGTGGGTGGCTGTGTTCAACAGGTGTTGCTTGTGACAGTTGGGGTCCTCCTCAGTGTCAGTCTCACCATGGCTGCAACTGAGGGGTCCTTGGGATCCTCCCAGAATCTGGCTCATGATAAGGTGTCAGGTGTCTTGATGGTATCCAAATCGGCTGTTGATTTTGGCCTGGAGAAACACAAGCATAACCTCTACCCCAAATTATTATTTTACCTATTTCCCAACTTTTTGTTATTGGATCTCTCCACCAAATCAGTTGTTCTGCTTCTGTCTTTGCAGCTGGTTTCTGTAGATGCTGTTCAGCTGCTGATAACATTTGGCCTTTTGGGCAGGCTCAAAAAATTTAGTTAATAATGCTAGATTCAGTTGCATCTGCGGGGTTCCATATTCTCTGTCTCCCCCTTTCTGCTTTTGCAACTGCTGTTTTAGGGAAAGATTCAATCTTTCCACTATGGCTTGTCCTTGAGAATTGTATGGGATACCAGTAATGTGTTTAATATTCCACATAGAGAAAAATGTAGCTAGAGCTTGGCTAGTATAGCCTGGGGCATTATCTGTTTTAATAGAAACTGGAATGCTGATCACCACAAAACACTGTAAAAGATGATGTTTAACACAGGCAGAAGACTCTCCTGTTTGGCATGTAGCCCAGACAAAGTGAGAAAAGGTGTCCACATATACATGTACATAAGCTAGTCTCCCAAATGAGGGAATATGTGTGACATCCATTTGCCAAATAGAGTTAGGTTCCAATCCTCTAGGATTAACTCCTCCTGTAAAAGATGAGGAATATACCATTTGTCAAGTTGGGCATTGCTGGATAATAGCTTTAGCTTCTTTCCAGGTAATGCTGTATCTGCATTTGAGACCACAGGCATTAACATGTGAAAGTGTCTAGCATTAGATACTGCATTAGCAACTAGGCAATCGGCCATTTGATTCCCTTCAGTCAAAGGTCCTGGAAGAGGTGTATGAGCCCTAATGTGAGTGACGTAAAAAGGGTGCATTCTACTTCTAACTGCTGTTTGCAATTGGGTAAATAAAGTTATTAGTTGTTTATCTGTATGAAATTGTAACTGAGCATTTTCAATTAACTGTGTGGAATGAACCACATATGAAGAATCAGAAATCACATTAATAGACATATCAAAAGCAGTCAATACCTCAATTACTATTACAAGCTCCGCTTTTTGAGCTGAAGTACAGGACGTCTGGAAAACTTTACTTTTCGAGCCAGAATAAGAAGATTTACCATTACTAGACCCATCTGTGAAACAATGAAAATGCTTAGCAGGCTGCAAGTTGTTTACTGCAGGAATTGTAAATGCAAACCATTCACAGTCTTGCTCAGCTAAAGGGATAGTAAAGAAACAGTCTTTTAAATCTATGACTATTAAAGGCCAATTTTTTGGAATTATAGCAGGAGAAGGCAATCCTGGCTGTAATGCTCCCATAGGTCATATAACTGAATTGATGGCTCTTAAGTCAGTTAACGTTCTCCATTTACGTGATTTTTTCTTAATTATGAAAACTGGAGAATTCCAAGGGGAAAATGTTGGAGCTATGTGCCCATTTTCTAATTGTTCGGTAAATAATTCCTCTAAAGCCTCCAGTTTCTCTTTACTTAGCAGCCAATGTTCTATCCAAATTGGCTTATCTGTTAACCATTTTAAAGGTATAGGTTCTGGAGGCTTAACAATGGCTGCCATCAAAAATTATTTCCTAATCTTTGGCGGGAACTTTGTTTTTCTGCTTGAAGCGGTTCTTTCAAACCTTGCAAATTTTTTTCTAGTCTCATACCAGGGACATATCCCATTTCATGCATTGTATGTTTACTTTGAGGGCTATATAATTGTTCTGGAATTAGAACTTGTGCTCCTCATTGTTGTAATAAATCTCTTCCCCATAAATTTATAGGTACATAAGTTATAATTGGTTGAATAGTCACATGTTATCCATCGGGCCCTTCACAATGCAAAATATAACTACTTTGATATACTTCAGGGGCTTTACCAACTCCAACTATGTTAAATTGAGTGGGTTGATTTGGCCACACAGACGGCCAGTGCTGTAAAGAAATGATTGAAATGTCTGCTCCTGTATCTACCATACTTTTAAATTTCTTTCCCTGTATAGTTATTTCACAGGTAGGACATTTATCAGTAATTTTACTTACCCAATAAGCTGCTTTGCCTTGTTTATTTGTGCTTCCAAATCCTCCTGTTCATTTAATTTCACTTTTTCCCATTCCCACATATGGCACAATCAGGAGCTGTGCCATACACTCTCCTGGCTCTGCTTTCCAGGGAACAGAAGTAGATACAACAATTTGAATTTCCCCATTATAATCTGAATCAATGACTCCTGTATGTATTTGTACGTCTTTTAAATTTAAACTAGACCTTCCTAAAAGTAATCCTAGTGTCTCTGCTGGCAAGGGTCCACAGGCTCCTGTTGGGACATTTTGCAGGGGTTCCCCAGGCAGAAGGCTCACAACTTTCATGCAGCATAAATCTACTGTGGCACTACCGGCTGTGGCGGGGGACAGACATTGTACAGGGGTGAGGGAATGGCCTGAGCTGGAAATGCCCTGGTTTAGAATGGGACCCAGGACGGGCCCCTCATGACATTTCCCGAAATCAGTTTCCCTTCTTTATCAAACTTAGAGTGACATTGATTAGCCCAATGTTTTCCTTTTTTACATTTGGACATATTTCAGGATCAGCAGTTTTCCTTTTTCCCCTATCTGGTGGCCTGACTCATTGATTTTTTTCTACATTCTTTTTTAGTATGACCATGCTTCCCACAGTTAAAACAAGCTCCAGGAAATGGAGTATTTCCTTTATCCACTCTCAGTCCTGCCATTGCCTGTGCTAGCAGAGTAGCTTTATGCAGATTACATCCAATACCATCACAGGCCTTGATATAATCAACTAAATGTGCTTTCCCTCTGATACATTGCAGAGCAGCCTGGCAATCAGGATTAGCATTGTCGAAAGCTAATAACTGCAACACTATATCCTGAGCAGCCGAATCTGCAATTATCTGTTTAAGAGACTCCTGTAACAGAGCTATAAAATCAATGTATAGTTCTCTTGGTCCCTGTTTTATAGCACTAAAGGAATGGTATTGTTCCCCACCTGAAGTGATTTTTTCCCAAGCTCTAACGCACACTCCTCTAAGCTGTTCTAAGGCATCATCCTGCATCAGCAGCTGTGCATCTAAACCAGCCCGGCCCCAACCCCCAAAAGTTGGTCTGCAGTTATATTAATTTGAGCGTGGGCCTGGGTATTGTGAGCAGCCTGAATGGAAGCTTCATCTGCCCACCAAGTTTTAAATTGTAAGAACTGAGCAGGAGTTAGACAAGCTCAAGTAAGAGTGTCCCAGTCAGTAGGAATCATCCGACTAGAAACAGCAACATTCCTTAACAGTCCCATTGCAAAAGGAGAAACTGGTCCATACTGAATTATAGCTTGTTTAAATTCTTTGAGTAATTTAAAAGGAAATGGCTCAAATGTAGCTATACTATTTCCCTGTTGATCTGGGGGGTGTATTCTAACAGGGAACTGCCAAGCCTCTAAATCACCCTCTCATCTAGCTTGCTGAATTCCTGCCTGAATAGAACTGAGAGTGCTCGCTTAAGGTGCTGTTGAACAGTCACCGGGGCAACTACTTTTCCCCCAGTGTCCTCCAGAAAAGAAAGATCTTGAGGGTTTTTATCTTCAAAATAATAATGAGGGGGTGCAAAAGGGTAGAGATGAACCTCTCCTTCCTTTGCTGCTTTAGCTTTAGCTGGTAAATAAACATGTTCTGTAACCTCTTCCATTACTTCACTATACTCTCCTTCCTCCTCATTATCAGTGTGAAAAAGTTCCAACACGGAACGAACCAGACCCCACACTTGTCCCATTGTTACCCTGACACTTCTGAGCTCCCCTTCTTACTCACCATGGGGATTGCTTTAAGAGTACTCGGGTGTCCTCCAGCTATTTCCACATTCTCCAACTGTCACTCTGGCAACCCTTCAACCTGGATTCGAGCCCCACGTTGGGTGCCAGCTCAGTCAGGGAGACCCTAACCCAGCGGCGCTAGAGGAATTAAAGACACACACCCTAACCCAGCAGCGCTAGAGGAATTAAAGACACACACACAGAAATATTGAGGTGTGAAGTGGGAAATCAGGGGTCTCACAGCCTTCAGAGCCATAAGCCTATAAATATTTGATTAACTAAAATTATCCCTTATGGGAAACCAAGGGATGGGCTGAATTAAAGGAATAGGTTGGGCCAGTTAACTGCAGCAGGAGCATATCCTTGAAGCACAGATCACTCATGCTATTGTTTGTGGCTTAAGAATGCCTTTAAGTGGCTTTCTGCCCTGGGCAGGCCAGGTGCTCCTTGCCCTCATTCCAGTAAACCCACAACCTTCCAGTGTGGGCTTTATGGCCATCATGAACATGTCACAGTGCTGCAGAGATTTTGTTTATGGCCAGTTTTGGGGCCAGTTTATGGCCAGATTTTGGAGGGCTTGTTCCCAACAATAAACTCCTTCACCAGTCACTGGCCACATCTGTATTTAAATTTCTCTAAAACTCAGCCAGGGTGGATGTAGGTTTTGTGGATCCTGTAGCTTATACAATTTGAAAAGCCTTCTTTAAGAAAAATAATCTAAAATTATAAACACCAGATTCAGTACAAAGTGATTATTTATTTAGAATGAAGGAAGAGCACACTACCAATTACAAATTTTAAAAATAGACAAATATAACAAAACCAGGAAAAGAACAGATATGTTTATTTCTTAACTACCTGACACCCCTTTGTAATACATTTTTAACCTCCAATTTTTTGGCCACATAAATCTTGATTGCCTTTTGAAATGATTTTTAAATTTGTAATATCATTTTTGATAGCAAGCATGGCTGACTAAAACTAGGTTCATATTATTGAGGGTTTGCTAATGTTTATTTGAGCATTATAACTTGTTAATAGTGATATTATGTTTATAAAGTTAATTTATTTGATAACTGTAAGATTTGGAGACATTTCTTGCACAAGGACAAATCTCCAATACTCTTTGTCTTGATGACTCTGAGAGATAGGAAAAAAAGAAAATCACACATCACTCAGCACAACACTTCTGACATCAGATGTGTAGGATATGGAGGGGGGTGTTTCCCCCACACACCAACCAAGCAATTCTCCAGCAGACACCAACTGGAGGTCCTATAATTCAATTCAATTCAGTTCTGATACTATCTATATGGAGATAGCATCAGATCCCACAGGTTAAAGACTCAGTCCAAAAACTGCCCCCCACTTCAGATGCTAATCACAAGCCCTAGGTTGTGATTTGTGCTTCTGACCAATTATCAATCAGGGATTCTCACAATCCCCCCTTGAGTTTGATTAATTTGCCAGAACAGCTCATATAACTCAGGGAAATGTTTATGTTCACCTATTTATTGCAAAGGATATTACAGAGGATAGAGATAAACAGCCAGATGGGAGACGGGCGTGAGGCCAGGCATGTGGGAAGGGGAGGGGAGCTTCTGCACTCTCTCCGGGCTCACCACCCTCCAGGAACCCCAATGTGTCCCGCTATCCAGAAGGCCCCTGAACCCTGTCCTTTAAGGTTTTCATGGAGGCTTCATGACATAGGCATGATTGATTACATCATTGGCCACCAATGATCAACTCAACCTTCAACCCCTCTCCCCTGTCTGGAGGTCGAGGGTTGGGCTGAAAGTTCCAACCTTCTAAACACGTGGTTGTTTCCCCTGGCAACCAGCCCCATCCTGAGGCTGTGCAGGAGCCAGCAGCCACCAGTCATCATATTAGCCTACAAAAAGACACACTGCAGCTGGGCGCGGTGGCTCATGCCTATAATCCCAGCATTTTGGGAGGCTGAGGCAGGTGGATCATCTGAGGTCAGGAGTTCAAGACCAGCCTGGCCAACATGGTAAAACTCCATCTCTACTAAAAATACAAAAGATTAGCCAGGTGTGGTGGCAAGCACCTGTAATCCCAGGCAGGAGAATCACTTGAACGCGGGAGACAGAGGTTGCAATGAGCCAACATGGCACTGCTGCACTCCAGCCTCAGCAACAAGAGTAAAACTCGGTTTCAAAAAAAAAAAAATCACTTTGGAGATTACAAAGCCTTTTAGGAGCCATGTGCAAGGAGATGGGGGAATGTAATATATATGTCTTATTATAAATCACAATTTTACAATGACCCTCATTTACCAATACGTCATAGATTGTTCTTTCAGTGGTGCTGTATCCTTCATGTTATCTTTTTTTTTTTTTTTTTTTTTTTTTTGAGACAGAGCCTTGCTCTGTCACCCAGGCTGGAGTGCAGTGGCACGATCTTGGCTCACTGTAACCTCTGCCTCCTGGGTTCAGGTGATTCTCCTGCCTCAGCCTCCTCAGTAGCTGGGATTACAGGTAAGCACCAACACACTGGCTAATTTTTGTATTTTCAGTAGAGACAGGGTTTCACCATGTTGGCCAGGCTGGTCTCTAACTCCTGACCTCAAGTGATCCCCCTTCCTCGGCCTCCCAAAGTGCTGGGATTATGGGTATGAGCCACCATGCCCAGCCCCCCGCCAAAGGAAAATCTTGAGTTCCTTCAAGGGAAATTCTAGGCACCTAGCCAGCTCTGAGATGTAAATGAGCAACTTGATAAACAACAAGGTAATAGTGGCTTAAAATGATAGCCAAGGAAGTTACAGTGAAGAGATGTTTGGTCCCCTATAGAAACTAAAGATAACATCTTAACATATGACCCCAAGTTGCTTTTCAGAAACCCAGACCCTCAACAAATGGATGCACTGACACAGAGACCTCAGATGAGGGGAAGCTGAGGCCTGAACCCTGACCCCCATTGTTCTAAATTTCTTCCTGCAGGACCTGGAGGAAGCCATGCTCACAGGCCAGAGCTAACATTGTTTTCTACTGAACCTTAATTTTTAAACAAAGCTTTGCCTCCTGAACCAATTTCAAATCAGAAAACCTTTGAAATCAGAAACCACCTATTACCTGTGCCCCCATGCCCCCATTTTTAGATGTACCATCTTTTTAGGTCAAACCAATGTAGAGCCTCCATGCATTGATGAATGGTTTTGCCTGTAACCTCTGCTTTCCCATCTTTAAAAACCCCTCCTTGCAAGCCATCAGAGAGTTCAGGTCTTATGGAGTTACCTGCTTCTCCTTGCTTGGCACCCTGCAATAACCACTTCGCTTTCTCTCACTGAAAATCCCCATGTCAGTGTTTGGCTCTGCTGCATTGGGTGGGGGAACCCAAGTTTGATTCGGTAACAATGACAGTTATAATGTATTAGGTTTATGAATTTAGGAAAAACATATGAGAATGCAAACACATTGCTGAGGCTTACCCAACACCCTGGAAGAAAAACTGAGGCAAGAAAGGAGTTTGAAGCTTCAGTTTCATCAGCTTCAAAGTAGATCCACCTTTGAACACATTCCAGTGCTTTTGAGAGAATAAGTGCTGAATGAATGAATGAATGAATGAATGAATGAATGCCTTTTTCTCATAATGTGGAAGCCTAGGCTCGAGGCTGAGATTACAGAACACTCCAAACAAGGGTCCTGCAGGCACTCTCTTCCTGATATGTGTCCCAGGTTGGTGGGTCCAGCCCAGAATTAAGCACAGTATTCCAAGAGTTATCTGGGTCTGCAAGGTGGGCAGAGTGCACCTGTTGCCTTGCTCATTTCAGGCCATTTGCCTCTATTAATCCAAACTAAAATTGCTGTATTGGGCTTTTTTTCTTTCCTTCTCTTTTTGGCCAACTACTCTTTACATGGATGCATACTGAGCTTGTAGTCAACTAAAACCTTTCAATGAGGCCAGGCATGGTGGCTCATACCTGTAATCCCAGGAATTTGGGAGGCCGAGGCAGGCAGATCACCTGAGGTCAAGAGTTCGAGACTGGCCTGGCCAACATGGTGAAACCCTGTCTCTACTAAAAATACAAAAATTAGCTGGGCATGGTGGTGCACACCTATCGTCCCAGCTACTCAGGAGGCTGAGGCAGGAGAATCGCTTGAACCTGGGAGGTGGAGGTTGCAGTAAGCTAAGATTGCACCACTGCACTCCAGCCTGGGCAACAGAGCAAGACTCTGTCTCAAAAAAAAATAAAAATAAAAAATAAAACTTTCAATGTTTCACACTTGCTAAACTAGGTCTCTCTCAGGCTGTAACTGAGCGACTTAAGGTGCAAATATATGATTCCATATTGATTTCAATTAAATTCCACATTTTTATGCTTAGCTCACCACTCTGACCTCATGAGATGGATTTCACTCTCCAGTGTGTCATCCAGCATGATGACTATGGCTACCCTTTCTAGAACATCTAAGTCACTGATTCCAAGACATCAGATGTGGCTCTGAGTGGAGCCCTGAATCTCATCCCCCTGAACTTCCACTCTGGCCTGACATTAATTCACCATCAATATCTTTTTAGTCCAGATGTTTAATCTATTTTGAATCCGTGTGGTTGTAATGCCGTACAACCCAAATTTCAAACTTAGAAAATATCAAATGCCTTGGTAGACTCTATGTATATTCCATAGTTCCACATTCCAACAGTACAGATATTCCATCAAAAAAATTAAATGGGCCAGGCGCAGTGGCTCACCATGTAATCCCAGCATTTTGGGAGGTGGAGGTGGGGGGATCATTTGAGGTCAGGAATTTGAGACCAGCCTGGTCAACATGGTGAAACCCCATCTCTACTAAAAATACAAAAATTAGCCGGACATGGTGGTGTGCACCTGTAATCCCAGCTGTTCCAGAGGCTGAGACATGAGAATCACTTGAACCCGGGAGGCGGAGGCTGCAGTGAGCCGAGATTGTGCCACTGCACTCCAGCCTCAGTAACCGAGAGGGACTGTCTCAAAAAAAAAAAATTAAATGCAGTTGGTAGAAGATGCCTTTTTTCTTAGCACATCTATTCTTTTTCCTGTTTACCATCACTTTTTTTTTTTTTTACAAGCACATGACACTGGCTTATCAGCATCCGATGTGGTTTGAATCTGTGTCCCTGCCCAAATCTCATGTCAAATTGTAATCCTCAATGTTAAAGAAGGGACCTTGTGGGAGGGGATTGGATCATGTGGGTGGATTTCCTGCTTGCTGTTCTTGTGATAGTGAGTGCTGTTCTTGTGACGGTGAGTTCTCACAAGATCTGGTTGTTTAAAAGGGCTGTAGCCAGCACTTTGGGAGGCTGAGGTGGGCGGATCACAAGGTCAGGAGATAGAGACCATCCTGGCTAAGACGGTGAAACCCCATCTCTACTAAAAATACAAAAAATTAGCCGGGCGTGGTGGCGGGTGCCTGTAGTCCCACCTACTCGGGAGGCTGAGGCAGGAGAATGGCGTGAACCCAGGAGGCGGAGCTTGCAGTGAGCCGAGATAGCGCCACTGCACTCCGGCCTGGGCAAAACAGCGAGACTCCATCTCAAAAAAAAAAAAAAAAAAGTGGGTAGCACCTCCTCCTTCACTTTCTTCCTCCTGCTCTGGCCATGTGAAAGATATGCCTGCTTCCTCTTCACCTTTCATTATGATTGTAAGTTTCCTGAGGCCTCCCCAGTTATTCTTCCTGTACAGCCTGTGGAACCATGAGCCAATTAAACCTCTTTTCTTTATCAGTTACCCAGTCTCAGGTAGTTCTTTATAGCAGTGCGAGAACGGACTAGTGCATCTCATTAGCTCATCTGACTCATGGGTCTCTCCAGGAACAACTCTTTGCAATAGGTAATAATACATCTTCCCATGTCTTTTAAGGTCAATGATTCCAGAATGTATTCATTTGCAATTATTAATGTCATAATAATACTTTGAGGTTTTGCAGTTTACAAGGCTCTGTCTTGTACAATCTCATTTAACAAAAAGCTACCTAAGAAAAAATACGAGAATTCTACTTTATGAAAAAGAGTAATGAATTCTAATTACTAATGCCCTGTCCAGCCCCAGGACATTTCACTCCAAAAGTCAGTAAAATTGTACTTCCCAATTGAGCATTCTCAAATCCAGGTAACATGATACCAGGATTCTAAAAGCCTTCATCTCCATGACACTGTCTTCATTAGAGCACGAAGAGAGTTCTACAAAATACTGATTTCCAAACTGCATGGGCAGCCTCTGTTAGGAATTAGAATGTGTCTACACTAACCTTTCCCAAAGACCTATAATTTGCATTCAAATAACGGTATCAGATTGGAGACAGGATGAGGTGTTAAATAGAGTCAAGGAAACCAAGTTCAGAAAGTGGACAAGTTGCATGTTTTACAATAGGGATAAAGCTCCTCAATCTTGAATTTGATTTCTTATTCACTACCTGGAGTTCAGTGTAGACTATGAGAAGAATGGATTAAATCAATGTAGAGACCTGGAATATGTGGACTTCTTCGGAAGTTAAGAGCACAACCATTCCTGGCATGCTTCTCCTTCAAATGGGAAGGAAGCCAGATGGAGACAGAGAGCCTGGAGTTGCTGTCAGAAAAGAGGAATTTAAATCCCCAGCTCTGTCACTTAGTGGTGGCCACTTCGGCAAACCATTTTGTCCCTTTTGCTCGACATACATTCTTTCTGTAAAACAGGAATGATTTCCCCCCTTGCTGGGCTTTTCCTGAGATGTCAGAGTTCCTGGCACCTAATCTAGTGGTTTTCAAACTTGGTCTCTGGACTAGCAGCATTGGCATCAATGTGGAACTGGTTAGAAATGCAGATTCTCAGACCCTTTCCCAATTCTATTGAATCAGAAACTCTGGAGATGGGGCCCAAGAATCTGTGTTTCAACAAGCTCTCCAGGGGATTCTGGTGTATGCTAATATTTGAGAACCTGACTTAATATAATATCAGTAAACATTTATTTTATTTTATTATAGATTCAGGGGGTACATGTGCAGGTTTCTTCCATGGGAATATTACATGATGCTGAAGTTGGGTTTCTGTTGACCCAGTCACCCAAAGAGTGAATATAGTACCCAATAGGTAGTTTTGCAACCCCTTCTCCTCTCTCTCCCTCCCCTCTTTTGGAGTCCCCAGCATCCATTATTCCATCTTTGTGTCCATGTGTACCCAGTGAATAGCTCCCACTTATAAATGAGAACAGGCAGCATTCAGTTTTCTGTTTCTGCATTAATTCCTTTAGGGTAATGGCCTTCAGCTGTATCCATGATGCTACAACAGACATGATTTCATGCTTTTTTATGGCTGTATTCTATGGTTTACATGTATCACATTTTCTTTATTCAATCTACTGTCGATGAGCACCTATGCTGGTTCTAGGTCTCTGCTATCGTGAATATGGCTGTGAAGAATATACAGGTGCAGGTGTCCTTTGGTAAAATAATTTATTTTCCTTTGGGCATATACCCAGTCATGGAATTGCTGGGTCAAAAGGTACTTCTACTTTTAGTCCTTTGATTAATCTCCAAACTGCTTTCCACAGGGGCTGAACTAATTTACATTCCCACCAACAGTGTATAAGCGGATTTTTTTTTTTCCTACACAACCTTGCCATTATCTGGTGGAGTTTTTTGACTTTTTATTAATAGCCATTCTTACTGGTGTGCTGTGGTATCTCATAGTGGTTTTGATTTGCATTTCTCTAATGATTGATGATGTTGAGCATTTTTTCACATTTGTTAGCCACTTGTATGTCTTCTTTCAAAAAGTTCCTGTTTATGTCCTTTGCCCCCTTTTTAATGGGGTTATCTGGGGGTTTTTTCTTGTTGATTTGTTTAAGTTCCACATAGAATCTGAATATCAGTCCTTTGTCAGATGCATAGTTTGCAAATATTGTCTCCCATTCTGTCAGCTGTCTGTTTACGCTGTTGATAGTTTCTTGTGCTGTGCAGAAGCTTTTTAGTTTAATTAGGTCCCAGTTGTCAAGTTTTGTTTTTGTTGGATTTGCTTTTGAGGTCAGTAAATATTTAGAGTCTGCAGATGAAACACTGGATCACATCTGTGGTCACTTTCCCACTAGCACACAGCTTGTGCTCTCTGCCGCTAGGACTCTCCAAAGTTAGACTCCTGTCTCCTGTAGGAGGACCTGTCACAATGGCCCACATTCAGAGGCTGCTATTAGCAAGGGTACTAGTGGTTTACCAGGAAAGGCATGAGCAGGGTCATATACAACCCCTGACCCAGGGAGTTGTGAAAGTAGCTGAAACAACTCTGCATGGTTTGGTTGCGCTGAGCCCTTCTTCACCACCACTAGCAATGTCACAAAGCAGAATACATGCCAGTCAACTCCTTGTTCTATTATATATGCGCCCTACAAGGAGTATACACTGTGCTGGGAGGCTAAAGCAGCCTCCTTTCTGATATAGGGTGTGTCTGTCTAAGTACTTTCTGCCCCATCTCTGACCCTTTAAATCAAGGCAAAAAGTCAGGTATCAAGGGTGATCAACCATCCCAGTTTGCCCAGGACTGAGGGATTTCCCAGGAGATGGGTTTTTCAGTGCTAAAAGCAGGGATGTCCCAGGCAAAACAAAACAGTTGGCCAGGCCAGGCACGGTGGCTCATGCCTGTAATCCCAGGACCTTGGGAGGCCGAGGCCTGTGGATCACTTGAGGTCAGGAGTTTGAGACCAGCCTGGCCAACATGGTGAAACCGCATCTCTACTAAAAATATGAAAAATTAGCTGGGTATGGTGGTGCACACCTGTTACCCCAACTACTCTGGAGGCTGAGGCCAGAGAATTGCTTGAACATGGGAGGCGGAGGTTGCAGTGAGCTAATATGGAACCACTGCACTCCAGCCTGGGTGACAGAGTGGGACCCTGTCTCAAAAAAACAAAACAAAACAAAAAACAGTTGGCCACCCTACAGTGAGATAGCACACACTGCAGACAGGCTTCTTGAGAGATGTTTACCGCATTCATCCCTGAGAAGGAGCAGGGAACCTTCTTAGAAGCCTGCTGGGCCCCCCAAGGATGGAAATAAAGGAAAATCTTGAGTTCCTTTAAGGAAATTCCAGGCACCTAGCTAGCCCTGAGAAGTAAGTGAGCAACCTGGTAAGCAAGAAGAAACCCAGGCCCCACCAAACAGATCTGCTGGTATATAGATCTCAGATAAGGGGGAGCTGAGGACTGAACTTTTGCTGCAATTATTTGTTCTAAATTTCTTCCTGCAGGGCCTGGAGGAAGTCACAAACACAGGCCAGGCCTTAACATTCCTTTCTGCTTGACCCCAAGTTTTTAGACAAAGCTTCACTTCCTTAACCAATCACAAATCAGAGTCTTTGAATCCACCTCTGGCCCGCAAGCCTCTCCACTTCAAAATATCCTGCCTTTTTGGGCCAAATCAATGTATAACCTTCATGTATTGGTTTAAAATTTTGCCTGCAACTTCTACTTTCCTGAAATGTACCCCTGCCTTTAAAAATCCTTGCTTACAAGCCATCGGGGAGGTCAGGTCTTAAGTGTGATCTGCCCAATTCTCCTTGCTTGGTGCCCTGCAAATAAATGCCCTCCTTTCTCCTGCTGCAAAACCTCAGTGTGGATATTTGGCTTTACTGCACTGGGTAAGGGGACCCCAGTTCAATTTGGTAACATCCTGAGTCTTTTCTGATCCAGACACATTTACTGACCAGAGCTCTGTCTTAGTCTTTGATTTCAAGCCTGTTTCTATTAATAGTTTTTTGGACCTGATGACTATACTCTGTCTTACTGAGATTTCACCATTGGTTTCCCCTACTACATTTTGAGTAGATCCACATCTCTGGTTCTCACAGATGGTCTCTAAGAAAGCAATCCTGGCTGGGCATGGTGGCTCATGCTTGTAATCCCAGCACTTTGAGAGGCCGAGGTGGGCAGATCATTGGAGGTCAGGAGTTCAAGACCAGTCTGGCCAACATGGTGAAACCCCATCTCTACTAAAAATACAAAAATTAGCCAGCCATGATGGTGCAGGCCTGTAATCCCAACTACTCTGGTGCTGAGGCAAGAGAATTGCTTGAACCTCGGAGGTGGAGGTTGCAGTGAGCCAAGATCATGCCACTGCACTCCAGCCTGGATGAAAGAGTGAGACTTTGTCTCAAAAAAAAAAGAAAAGACAAGACAAGACAAGAAAGCAATTGTGTTTCCAGTCATTAAGCCATCTATCCATTCTCACTCCCACACACTCACAAGGGGGATATCTTAACACTCACAGATGCATTTGGGGTTCACAAAAGACAAGCACTTTGATTTAGATTCCTCTAGAAGGAGATGCATTCAAAATTGACTGTTTTGCCTTCCAATTAGCAATAACATCAACAGTTTCTTGCATACTCTACCCCACTTTCAACAAGTTTGCATGGATAGACACTTATGCAAATAGACTCCTCAAGGAAATTGTGAAATTTCCTTGGGCCTTGTGTTTTGGAGTGGCCAGTAGGTCAATAGCACAAGAATCATAAAACAGAATTCTAGAATCAGGATCTCCTCTACCCTTCCCTGGGGTCCTCTGACATATGACATGTAACTGGCTTAGAGAATAGAAGCTAACTGGGTGTGGTGGTTCACACCTGTAGTCCCAGTTGGGAGGCTGAGGCAGGAGAATCACTTGAGGCCAGAGGTTTAAGACCAAACTGGGAAATACAGTAAGACACTATCCTAAAAAAAAAAAAAAAAAAAAGTTTTTTAATTAGCCAGGTGTGGTGGTACACACCTGTAGTCCCAACTACTTGGGAGGCAGAGGCAAAAGAGCAGTTTGAGGCCAGGAGTTTGAGACCAATCTGGGCAATATAGTAAGACTCCATCCCTAAAAATTTTTTTAATTAGCCAGGTGTGGTGGTACACACCTGGAGTCCCAGCTACTCAGGAGTCTGAGGCAGGAGAACCACTTGAGGTCAGTAGTTCAAGAAAAGCCTGGGCAACAGTGAGACCCCACCTCTAAAAATTTTTTTTAATTACCCAGGAGTGGTGGTGTTCACATCAGTAGTCCTAGCTACCTAGGAGGTTAAGACAGAAGGATCACTTGAGTCTAGGAGGTCGGGGCTGCACTGAGCTATCATTGTATCACTAAACTCCAGATTTGGTGACAGAGGGAAACCCTGTCTCTAAAAAAAATATTTTTTTAAAAAAAGAGAAAGATAGGAGTCAGCAAGGGAACCTGAGGACCAAAGATAGATGATACCAGGGTCTTCAAGAGCTGTGATCATAAGAACAACCAGCATCTGTCACATTCACCGTGCACACTGGGACACATCACATTGAAAAAAAAAATTTGCAGGATGCAGTTGCTCACACCTCCCATCCCAGCACTTTGGGAGGCCAAGGCATGTGGATCACCTTAGGTCAGGAGTTCAAGACCAGCCTGGCCAACATGGTGAAACCTCGTCTCTACTAAAAATACAAAAATTAGCTGGGCATGGTGACATGCGCCTGTAGTCCCAGCTACATGGGAGGCTGAAACAGGAGAATCACTTGAACCCAGGAGGTGAAGGTTGCAGTGAGCTTAGATTGTGCCACCGCACTCCAGGCTGGGCAACAGAGCGAGACTCCATCTCAAAAAAAATTTTTTTTAATCAAAATATTTTGTTTTGTTTTGGTTTGGTTTGGTTTTGAGTCAGGGTCTCATTCCATCACCCAAGCTGGAGTACAGTGGTGCAATCATAGCTCACTGCAATCTCCAACCCCTCAACACAAGTGATCCTCTTGCCCCAGCCTCCCAAGTAGTTGAGGCTACAGGGGCGTACCACCATGCTTGGCTAAGTCACATGTTTTAAGCCTACCCACTGTGCTCCATTTCTTAGCATTCTTAACCTATAAAACAACTTTCACATATTATCTCAGTATGACCTTATGATAAATCTGACACCAACCCTATGAAACAGAGAAAAAGGTACCATTGTCCTTTTTCTGATGAATCAATAGAGGCCCAGAAGAAACAAGTGACTTATGACCTCAACAGTGTTAAAACCATCAGTTAAGCTGCTCTTGATGTTGTGGGTCAGAAAGTCTCAGCTGATGGTGCATCTCTGCTCTCCATGTCACAAGCTGGGCAGGCAAGGACTAGAGGATCCACTTCCAAGAGGGCTTCCTCACCCTCATGTGTGGTGCCTCGGTACTCCTTGGCCTCCATCATTCTACAGGTGCCACATCTTCCAGGCCTCTCCACATGACTTGGACTTTTTACTACACAGAGACCTAATGGTGAACACACTTCTAAGGCAGATGGTTCCCAAGAGGCAGGAACTGGAAGCTGCCAGGCCAGCAAAGAGCCATGCCTGATCTGACCCAGAGTCATTTTTTCTGTGCCCTCTTTATTAAAGTAGTCACAAGGCCTGCTTGGGGTCAAAGGGATAGACACTCTCCAATTCCTGATAAGGTAAAGTCAGGCTGAGAGATTATTCTGGTCACCTTTGCTCCATGTCAGGACTTTGATTTCCAAAATCCCATTTCCTAGTGCTTCCTGACAAATGACACTTTTTCTTTTTTTTTTTTTTTTTTTTTAGACTGGGGTCTTGCTCTATCATCCAGACTGAATTGCAATGGCTCACGCCTGTAATCCCAGCACTTTGGGAGGCCAAGGTGGACAAATCACCTGAGGTCAGGAGTTCAAGACCAGCCTGGTCAATATGATGAAACCCTGTCATCATAGCTCACTGCAGCCTCGATCTCCTGGGCTCAAGTGGTCCCCCAGCCTCTGCCTCCTGAGTGGTTGGGACTACAAGTGTGTGCCACCACACCTGGCTATTTTTTTTTAATATGTTGTAGAGACAAGGTCTTACTATGTTGCCCAGGCTGGTCTCCAACTCCTAGCCTCAAGCACCTTGCACCTTGGCCTCCCAAAGTGCTGGAATTGCAGGCATGAGCCACCATACCCGGCCAGATAATACTTCTTGATTATGTTCCAAATGTAAATGATGCACATACATTTACCTTAGCAGAACATAAGTGCTTCATTCATCCCTTGTCTAACATTTTCCCCAAGAAAACAATTTGAATTTAACCCAATTTTTGGCAATTATAAATTCACAAGTGAAAGGTAAGTTTTTGTAAGCCAATAAAATACACATCCAGAATCAGCTCTTCTGAAATTAGTAGCAATTTTAGAAACATGTTTGCAAACCAAATGATCAATTCTAACAAAATCGGAAGGGGAAAAGTGAATCTACTTAAGAAAATTAACTCTGGATACTTAACATTCACGTTATCAGCATCATTTGCATGTAAACATTCTGCTCTTTTCAAAGATTCTTATCTAGTCATTAAAGTAGGCCTTGTACTTGGCTAAATGCTTGTCATAATTTCACATTTTCAGTCACTAGGGCTGTCCACCCTCCAAGATATTCCAATTAAGAGTTTATCCCTCAGGCTGGGCACAGTGGCTCACGCCTGTAATCCCAGCACTTTGGGAGGCCAGGACGGGTGGATCATGAGGTCAGAAGTTCGAGACCAGCCTGGCCAACATAGTGAAACACAGTCTCTACTAAAAATACAAAAAATTAGCTGGGTATGGTGGCGGGCACCTGTAATCGCAGCTACTTGCGAGGCTGAGGCAGGAGAATCACTTGAACCCAGGAGGCAGAGGTTACAGTGAGCCAAGATCATGTCATTGCACTCCAGCCTGGGTGATAGTGTGAGACTCTGTCTCAAAAAAAAAAAAAGAGTTTATTACTCTGTCACACTTTCAGGAGCCTGAGTAGACATATAGTAAAATTCTATCTAAAGGATGTATCCCAGGCTATAGCTGCTCTGCCTCAGTGCCATTTTTTTTTTTTTTTTGGCCTTGGGTTTCTAATGAAAATAATCTATTGATCCTGTTCAAAAGAGAAACACACAGCTCCAAATCATTACCTCCTGGCAGTAACTGATTTTTGAGTCCTATCTGCTTCACCACACTCCTTTAATGGCAGTTGAATAAATATCTAAAATGCAGACTTTTCAGTCCTTTCTGAAGGATAGTGTCTTCCAAGAGGGGGGCGAAAATCAATAAAACCAACAAATATTTACTGCACATCAAACTATGTGTTCAGTGCCAAGCTAGACACCCTCAGGGTCTTTGTCCTTAAGGAGGTTACACACAGCAGTGGAAACTGGATAAGGTCAAAAGGATAATTCTGAACTGCCTGAAAGGGACCTCTAACCTGCCATTTGACCTTCCCTTGATCCTGCTCAAATAACAGCTCAGGGGACCAGGGAGGGACATGTGACCAAAGCCAGCCAGTGTAAGCCATTGCTTGTGTGTGGCCCGGCTCAGGGAGACAAACTGGTACAATCCAATTCTCACCAGAATTTGAGCTAAAAGGCATAGAAGTTTTTGCCAACAGGGGTGGTGAGCACTAGAGCTGAAAGGTCATATCGATTTAGGGAAGAGGGCAATTTTCAACAACAACTAAAAGGGCTAATCAGCACAAAGAGATGAATTGCACAAACCCACAGCACACAACCAGAAAGAGAAAGAGAAGACAGGCTTCAGTTTGTGATGTCGAGACACAGTTCCCCAGAGGCTGCTTCTATTTCTAGTCCTTTCCTCGGATTCTGTGAGATCGCTTTACAAGACAACAGCTCCTTTTTGGGCCTGAGATTATTTGGCTATGTTCTGTGCCTTAGAACCCAAAAGCCCAAAAGAAGCTCATGCACTTATGTACTAAATGCTGCATTGGCCGGGAGCAATGGCTCATACCTGTAATCCCAGAACTTCGGGAGGCTGAGGTGGGAGAAACAGCTGAGGTCAGGAGTTCGAGACCAGCCTGGTCAACATGGTGAAACCCTGTATCTACTGAAAATACAAAAATTGGCCAGGCGTTTGGTGGGCACCTGTAATCCCAGCTACTTGGGAGGCTGAGGCAGGAGAATCGCTTGAACCAGGGAGGTGGAGGTTGCAATGAGCCGAGATTGTGCCATTGCACTCCAGCCTGGGCAACAAGAGTGAAACTCCATCTCAAAATAAATAAAGAAATGTCGCGTGGGCAATGTTGACAATTCTTGCAACCAGTGTTCACTTGACAGTGCTGGCTTTGGGCTGCAGTTGAGGACTAGAATTTGAAAACTGAGCACAACTTGAAATGATGCAGATTACACTGGCTCTTTCTAAGCCCAGAAACCTTGGATGTTGGCAAATAGCATGCAACAAGAACTCCTGGCAAAACCTGCTACATTGTCTTAGAATAAAGGACTGGCTTGCCAGGGGGCAGGGGTGAGCAGGAGACTTAACTGGGGCTACATACCTTTTTGTGTCTTTCGGAATTTTGTTAACATATGCATATTCAAAAAATAAATAAGCAGTTTATTTTTTCACAGACAGCACACTTGGGCATGAACAAAACATGTAGCAATACGTTTTCATGAAAACAACATCTCGCCCTAGAAAAACATTTTGTTATTTGACCTAGTTACCGGGTCTACCACGGTCTGGTTCAAAGTAATTTACTCAATCCTGCCGCCAACTGCCCACCTTCCAGAACATTCCATTGCAGCCACTCTGGTCTGATTTTAAAAAGTTGCCTTTTTCCTGTATTTTTTAAAATAATAGTACTCTCTTGCAGATCTACCAATATAATAAGTCCATTTAGAGTCAATAAGTAAATATTTCAAGAAACTAAAAATCCAGAAACAAACTTATACATAAAAAAGCGTCTTCTGGACGGGCATGGTGGCTCATGCCTGTAATCCCAGCACTTTGAGAGGCCGAGGCAGGCGGATCACAGGTCATGAGTTTGAGACCATCCTGGCTAACACAGTGAAAACCCATCTCTGCTAAAAATACAAGAAAAATTAGCCAGGCGTGGTGGCACATGCCTGTAGTCCCAGCTACTCAGAAGGTTGAGGCAGAAGAATCGTTTGAACCTGGGAGGTGGAGATTGCAGTGAGCCAAGATCGTGCCACTGTACTCCAGCCTGGGCGACAAAGAAAAAAAAAATTGTCTTCTACTTTCTCCATTCTGAGGTTTTGCTTTTGAGGTTCTACTCAGGAATGCTTTTCTTACCCCAGTCCCTCACCCCCATGCCCCTCACTCCTCCACCTCCTGGTGCTACCCACCTGCTTTCCAGGCTGTGAAAAATTTTCCTCTTAAAGCCCTCCCAGATCCCACCAACCTATTTTCCTACTTCATGTATAGTTTGTTCAGGCCATTTGTCAATTTCTCATGTCTCTTCCAATCAGGCACTGTATACTCTATAACCCTAAAATAAATATTAGTTTTTTCTTGGCTTAAACCATTGTATTGAGTGGCTACTGACATTGTATTGCTGTATAAGCTCTCACAGGTAGACCCTGCTTCCCTAGAGATCAGGGTCTGTGGTCTACTTCACATTCCCTAACTGAATATAGAAGGTTCCCAGTAAATATATATCAATTAATTGAAAGCTCTGCATGAAAAACTTTTATTAGTGCACACACATACAAAAATTAGAAGACCTGGGCCAGGTGTGATGGCTCACACCTGTAATCCCAGCACATTGGGAGGCCAAAGCGGGTGGATCACCTGAGGCCAGGAGTTTGAGACCAGCCTGGCCAACATGGCGAAACCCCTGTCTCTACTAAAAATACAAAAATTAGCCAGGTGTGGTGGCACATGCCTGTAATTCCAGCTACTTGGGAGGCTGAGACAGGAGAATCACTTGAACCCAGAAGGTGGAGGTTGCAGTGAGCAGAGATTATGCCACTGCACTCCAACCTGGGTGACAGAGTGAGAACACATCTCAAAAACATAAAAAATAAAAAATAATTAAAAAATCAGAAGATCCACATTCCCAACTCATCCAGCTGCACAAATCATTCACTGTGTTTCCATGATCTTCTCAAAGAGCTACTATAGACAATTTCCAATTATTTGTGTCAGTGGGGAACAGGAATAGTCTGAAAAATGAAACCCACATAATCTATACCTTTAATTTTGGTGGATGCTTCCAGCCAGTATGAAAATTCCCACTGTGAATGTCACTGTATTTTTGTATTTTTAGTGCAGATGGGGTTTCACCATGTTGGCCTGGCTGGTCTCGAACTCCTGACCTCAGGTGATCTACCCACCTCGGCCTCCCAAACTGTTGGGGTTACAGGTGTGAGCCACCGTGCCTGCCCACCTCTTGACTTTTTATAGTTGTTGTATTATTTTAATCTTGAGTAAATAAATGCTAGCTGAAATGATGCAGTTCAGGAGAATCTTCTGCTTCTGTTACTAAAAAATATATATATATTCTTACAAGTCCAATAAGGTTATGCTAATGTTTATGTTTGGAAAATATTACCTCTTCTGCCGGGTGCATCACTATTGTTCCTGCCCCTCCTCTCTGGCAGAACTTTGGGAGGCCAAGGTGGGAGGATCACCTGAGGTTGGGAGTTCGAGACCAGCCTGACCAACATGGAGAAACCTGTCTCTATTAAAAATACAAAATTAGCTGGGCGTGGTGATGCCTGCCTGTAATCCCAGCTACTCAGGAGGCTGAGGCAGAATCGCTTGAACCTGGGAGGTGGAGGTTGTGATGAGGTGAGATCGCAGCATTGCACTCCAGGCTGGGCAATAAGAATGAAACTCCATCTCAGAAAAAAAAAAAAAAAAAAAAAAAAAAGATTTCTTAAAATGATATTTTCCGTATTTTATAGATGATGTGTGAGTAGCAATCTTAATAGGATGTTACCTGACACTTTAGGGGACTAGAAGATGACAGTGGCAGCTGATTCGATCCAGATGTCTCTAATTCTTTTTTTGTTTTGTTTTGTTTTGTTTTGGAGACAGAGCCTGGCTCTGTTGCCCACGCTGGAGTGCAGTGGCGCTATCTCACTATCTCAGCTCACTGCAACCTCCACCTCCTGGGTTCAAGCAATTCTCCTGCCTCAGCCACCCGAATAGCTGGGATTACAGGTGCATACCACCACACTCAGCTAATTTTTGTATTTTTAGTAGAGACAGAGTTTCACCATGTTGGCCAGGCTGGTTTCAAACCTCTGACCTCAGATGATCTGCCTGCCTCAGCCTTGCACCTGGCCCAGATGTCTCTAATTCTAACATGATGTGTATTGGAGAATCATAGCAGAGTGAGTTGCTGGTGTATCCACAAAGAAATGAGCATGGAACTCTCACGACAGCTGTCCTGAGTAGTGTGTGTGTGCTGTTCTTGAATATCTCACTGCTGATTTATACACAGGCTTTCTGGTGACTGAGTCAACAGTATCTGTTTCATAAATAATGTAGCCTTATTTCTTTCTTTCTTTATTTCTTTTTTTTTTTTTTTTTTTTTGAGACAGGGTCTTGCTCTGTTACCCAGGCTGGAGTGCAGTGGTGCGATCTTGGCTCACCGCAACTTCCGCCTCCCGCATTCAAGTGATTCTTCTGCCTCAGCTTCCCGAGTAGCTGGGATTACAGGTGCCACCATGCCTGGCTAATTTTGGTTTTTGTTTTTTTGTGGGGTTTTTTGTTTATTTTTTGAGATGGAGTTTTGCTCTTGTTGCCCAGGCTGGAGTGCAATGACACAATCTCGGCTCACCACAACCTCTGCCTCCTGGGTTCAAGCGATTATCCTGCCTTAGCCTGTTGAGTAGCTGGGATTACAGGCATGCACCACCACTCCTGGCTAATTTTGTATTTTTAGTAGAGACGGGGGTTTCTCCATGTTAGTCAGGCTGGTCTCAAACCCCCGACCTCAGGTGTTCCACCCGCCTTGGCCTCCCAAAGTGCTAGGATCACAGGCATTAGCCACCGCACCCAGCCTAATTTTTGTACTTTTAGTAGAGATGGGGTTTTACCATGCTGGCCAGGCTGGCTCGAATTTCTAACCTTAAGTGATCCGCCTGCCTCGGCCTTTCCAAGTGTTGGAATTACAGGCATGAGCCACCACGCCCAGGCAGCCCTATTTCTTTAAACCTATATATTTTGCACTTGTTAAAAGTATTTGTACATACACTTATCCAGCTTCCCTTGTTTATGTATGCTTGAATTTTGTATAAGCTTAAATATTTTTTCCAATCTAAGCTTTATTTTATCCCCTTTCTTCTACATTTGTATAACTTTAGGTGACTGTCTTTGTTAAAGTTTTTTCTGAAAAGGCTTAAAATACAATATAGTTCTTGGCATCAACTTGAAAGTTATTTGAGGAGAAAGGGAGATTTATAATGATGATTCAAATGAAGCAAACTAAAAAATAATGAAGCAAGACGAGGAAAAAGCAGTATTCACTTGAGCACATCCCAAAAGAATAACATTTCAAATGTAAGTAGAAAAAGTATACTGAAGTTCACAATACAGAAAGAATTATTAATACTCAAAATAGCTTTAAAGCCCTGCTCAGCTTTTGAATGTTGGGAATTGACCCGGAGGTAGCTGTAACCTAAGATGGTTCCTTCAGTAATGACCATTTTTTCTTTCTCAAGATGATGATTATTCTCCACCTTCTAAGAGACAAAGACCAACGAGCCACCACAGCCACCAGTCCCGGAACCCGCCAATGCTGGGGAACCGAAAGTGAGGGAGTTCAACTCTGGTAAGTTCTCAGCGAAATCCACAGCCTTTTCCTTCATCTTCCGGACTCTCAATGTGACTGATTAAACTTACAACATGCTCTGCAGGGGGAAACGCTTTAGCATGTATTACTACATTTTAATCACATCTTTGTAAAGCCAGGAGCATTTTGAAAGTCACATTACATACATTGTTTAAACATGGTTTCTATTTACCAAAGCATAGGACGTTGTATCATCTCATATTAATCAGTTAGTTGGCTCAAAATTAGTGGTAATGACTTAGTAATTCAATAATTTCTCTTAGCTTTAAAACCTTGTTTATTTCAGAACTATTTCACCTCTTGGTTTTTGTTTTTGCTGTGCATCACTGCCTGCCAGCTGCTAAACTCTTATCTCCCAGTGGATTATGTGTCCTGTGAAGGGACTGAATGAGATATTAGTGGCAAATTATGTTGATGATTCATATTTTGAATAAATAGATTAAGCTTGTATACATTTTGAAAATAGTATTTTAATATTTTACTGTCATAGTCAATACCTGGGGGTACTCTGAGGCTCCCCAAGTTTCCCTGGCCCTGTCCGGCTGTGCTGCTGGCCTGGGCATCTGATGAGCCTGCAAGGGTGACTCCCGAGAGGTGGGTGGTCCAGGAGCTAGGGCAGGAACTTTGGAGTCACGCTGTTGGCTTTGAATCCAGACTCCTACACTTGGTAGCTGTGACCTCTCCATGCCTCAGTGACCTGGAGAACTGAGCTCTGTCTGAGCCAGGTCCCATTCAGGCTATACGGATCCATCCAGAGGGAAACTGCCCCAGGTTGCTCAGTGTTCACTGCCAGCCTTGTGCGATGTCTCAAGGGCTTTCCCAAGCAGATCCTTGTCTCCTTCAAGGCTCTCACAAACCAGTGAAGGAGGCAAAACTCACCTGCTTCCGTCCCTCGGGGCACACCTCATGCCAGGTGCATCTGTGGACATGGGCCGTGCTCCTGGGCTTCCAAAGTTGGAGAATGTTGCCAGGCTTAGGTGGGTACATCAGAGCAGCTGCTGCACTCTGGACACAGTGACAAAAAACACTCTTGGCCTGCCGGGCACGATGGCTCATGCCTGTAATCCCAGCACTTTGGGAGGCCGAGGCGGGCAGATCACCTGAGGTCAGGAGTTCAAGACCAGCCTGGCCAACACAGGGAAACCCTATCTCCAGTAAAAATACAAAAATTAGCTGAGTGTGGTGGCAGGCGCCTGTAGTCCCAGCTATTCAGGAGGCTGAGGCAGGAGAATCGCTTGAATCCGAGAGGTAAAGTTTGCAGTGAGCCGAGATGACGTCACTGCGCTCCAGCCTGGGTGACAGAGTGAGACTCTGTCTCAAAAAAACAAAAAACAAAAACACTCTGGGCCTGGAGTCCTGGTCTGGGGCATTGGACAAGGCTCTTGCACTTCTTTGAGCTTGTTTCCCCATCTGGAAAGTGCGCTGATTGTATCTTCCTGTGGGCACTGAGGGCTCAGTGTTAGTTTGAGAGCCAGCACCTGGGGGGGTCTATAATTGGTCTATAATTCCCCTTTGGCCCTATAGCTGGGGGGAACCAGAGACTTTGTTGGGATTACCTTAGGCATCAGTCTAGCTTCCTGCCCCTAGCTTGGGCTCAGCATCTGAAGTAGTCTAGGGGGGCAGGTGGTCTCGGTGGAGGTTGGGGCTTTTCTCCAGACTGAGGTCACACCCAGAGCCAGAAATCTTGGCACCTGCTCTGGGCTAAGGATGCTCCTGGCCCCCAGGGTGCAGGTAACTTCCCACCTTACCTGGTTTCTGCCTTCCAGGGCCAATCTTCAGAACTTGGGACTTCTCAGCCTATTCCACCTCCCTCTCTGGCCAGCTTTGAATGCTTGTGGGTCCAGCACTTTTTCCAAGCTATCGCCTAGTTGTTCTCCTGGTTGTTCAGCCTGGGCTCATGCTGCTCCCTCTCCCACTCACCAAGACCCACAAGGACCACTCCATACCCAGCTCAGCCCCATCCCCTCAGATAGTCCTGTCTCTTTCCTCAGGTGACCAGGTGCATATTTTGGTGTAAGGACCTTCACTGCACCTGGGAATGCCTACTGGTCACCTTGTTCACAGAGACCAAGGCATTTACTTGATATGAGTGCCCTTGGTTCACTGTCTACATGGCCAGGGAGGGAGTGAATAATAGGCTTTTCACTTGCTGCAAGGGCCAGTTCTCCTGGCCCCATGGCTCTAGGGATGGAGGATGCTGCAGGAGACACACCCCTCACTTCCCAGCTGAGGAGTGTGGGTCATCTCAGGGCAATTTCACTGTCCCTGCATGCCCCATCTCCTCAGCTCTGCAAATACCAAGCAGTGCTGCCTGCCTACGGGACAGTGGGCTCAGGAGTGGCCAGGTAGTCCCCAGAATGCCCTTGGCAGGCCCCTCATCTAGCTTCTCCCACAGCTCTGTAGCAAGAGTTCTAAACTTTTTTGAGTGTGGAGACTGCTGAGAGTAAGAGCTGTGGGCCGTTTTCCAAGAAACGCATGTACACGCTCTCCACACAAAACCTTACATTGTTTCAGGGGGCTCACACCTTCCTAAAAGGGCCCAGTAATCGTACCCCTGGACCTGAGGGTGAGAAACCTTACCTCAGTTCTTCCCCAGTTGATCACCCCAGGAGTAAGGGAGGAGAGGCCAGAAAGCAGAACCCATGGGAAGGGCCCCCTCCTGGAGTTTGAGGCCCACTCCCTCCTGCCCTGCCTCTCCTCTGTCCAGAACTCCTCCCTATTCTGCCCTACTCCTGGGGCCATGGCCAGGGGGGTCTGCATTTTGATATAGGCCCCAGTGGCAACCCTGGGCCCAAAGTGGGCAGGCTCACCTGGAGGGGATCAGAGTAACATGGCAGGAAGTGAGGGGGAAAGCCGCCCTGGAACCGTGCCTCTCTGCCCCCTGACGTCACTGGCATGCACTCCTCCCTCCCCTCACTCAGGCAGTGGCATGAGTTCCATGTGAGTGCTGTCCTGCTCCCTCTGCTGCCTCTTTCTAGTCTTAGGGCTATCATAACACTTTCCCTTCCCCAGCCCTGCCAACCCGGTGGGACATTGGGCTTCCCTCTCACAGAGTCCTTGGGACAGGCCCATCCTGTATCATACCCACAGAGAGACCCTTTTTTTCTTCAGGGCCTGGGGAGCAGCCAGGTTCCATGAGTTAAATGCAGGTCTGACCCATACCAAGCTGGGATTGGGGTACACACTCTCTTCTACTGAAAAGTAGCTAGGGATTCCAACTTGGTGAGAGGGAAAGTGGGGCAGAACCAGACCAGACAAGGAGTGGTCACCTGGAAAAGGCCTGCCATCAAAGGTCTTGGCAAGTGCTGGGTGTAGTGGCTCACTCCTGTAATCCCAGCACTTTGGGAGGCTGAGACACGTGGATCACTTGAGGCCAGGTGTTCGAGTCCAGCCTGAGCAACATGGTGAAAATTTGTCTCTCCTAAAAATACAAAAATTAGCTAGGCATGCTATGCTCCTGTAATCCCAGCTACTCGGGAGGCTGAGGCAGGAGAATCACTTGAACTGGGGAGGCAGAGGTTGAAGTGAGCTGAGATCTTGCCACTGCACTCCAGCCTGGGAGACAGAGTGAAACTGTGTAAAGAAAATGGCCTTGTCAGAGGGGATGGCCCGGCAGTACCTTCCCTTGGGTTTCTCCTGGGTAGGCCTCTGCCATGAGGAGGTGCTTCCTTCTGCCTGTCCATGGCCCACAGCAAAGGAATGTCTGCTTCTGGGGGTTGGGTGGGAGACGGCTGACAGAACTGGAAATCTTCTTCAGGTGGGTTGTTTTTTTGTTTTGTTTTGTTTTGTTTTTTTGTTTTTGAGACAGAGTCTCGCTCTGTTGCCCAGGCTGGAGTGCAGTGGTGCAATCTTGGCTCACTGCAACCTTCACCCCCCTGGGTTCAAGCAATTCCCATGTCTCAGCCTCCTGAGCAGCTGAGATTACAGGCATGTGCCACCATGCCTGGCTAATTTTTGTACTCTTTGTAGAGACGGGATTTCACCATGTTGGCCAGGCTGGTCTGAAACTCCTGACCTCAAGTGATCTGCCCACCTTGGCCTCAGAAAGTGATGGGATTACAGGCATGAGCCGCCACCCGCCGGCCCCTTCAGGTGGGTTTTGAGGCTTCACTACAATACTAGTTTCTAGTTGCTGCTGCAACAAAGTACCACACACTTAGTGGCTTAAAATTATACAGATGTATTCCCTTAGAGTTCTGAAGGCCAGAATTCTAGTCAGTCCCACTGAGTGAAGGTGGGAGCAGGTTCGATGCCTTGCAAGGCTCTCCGGGAGAATCCATTTCCTGGTCCTGGGGGCGGCCTTCACTCATCAGCTTTTGCTGCCCTTTTTCAATGACTCATGTTTCCTGCTTCCATCACTACACCTCCCACCCTCTCCATCACCTGCTCTTCTAAGGATCCTGGTGAGTACATCAACCCCGCAGGGACAAGCTGGGATAATCCTCCTGGCCAAAAATCCTTAACTTCATTATATCTGCAAAGCTCCTTTTGCCATATACGGTCATGTTCACCGATCCCTGGGATTGGGATATGAGCATTTTGGGGGGGTCACTATCAGTCTACTACAGCTAGGCTGCAAAACTATTATACTCTCCTGGTGTTTCAGTGATTGGGATTGGGAGACAAAGTGTTGGGATTTTTTGCTTTGGGGTCCCTCTATTTTTTTTGTTTGTTTTTTTGAGAGGGAGTCTTGCTCTGTTGCCAGGCTGGAGTGTGGTGGCGCGATCTTGGCTCACTGTCACCTCCGCCTCCCGGGGTCACGCCATTCTCCTGCCTCAGCCTCCTGAATAGCTAGGACTACAGGTGTGTGCCACCACACCTGGCTAATTTTTTGTATACATTTTTAGTAGAGATGGGGTTTCACCATGTTGACCAGGATGGTCTAGATCTTTTGACCTCGTGATCCACCCACCTCAGCCTCCCATATCCCAGGCATGAGCCACCATGCTCAGCCAGGGTCCCTCTTAAACTTGTATTTTTAAGGTCTGGGGTCCCTCTTAACCTTTTTTTTTTCCCTTCTTTCTTTTTTGAGATGGAGTCTTACTCTGTCACCCAGGCCGGCAGTGGGGCGTGGTCTCGGCTCACTGCAATGTTCACCTTCTGGGCTCAAGCGATTCTCCTGCCTCGGCCTCCTGAGTAGCTGGGACTACAGGCACCTGCCACAACACCTGGCTTAGTTTCATATTTTTGGTAGAGATGGGGGCGGGGGTGGAGGTGGGGAGGGGGGTTTCTGCTATGTTGCCCTGAGCTCAAAGCGATCTGCCCACCTCCGCTCCCAAAGTGCTAGGATTACAGGCCTGAACCGTCACACCCAGCTGCTGTAAAGTCTTATTTCCACACAGCTGAGACATGTTTTAGGAAGTTTGCTAACAGACCCCTGGAGACCTCCTCATTGTGGCCTCCCTGTTGTTTTTGATTCATCTTTTCTGCCCTCCTGCTTTTCAGAAATTAAAAGGCTAAAAAGAGGTACTAAACTTTAAAACTTCTCTTATAGTCTCCCATTAAACTAATTCTAAGAACCACCAAAAAAGGGGAAAAAAAATTCAAAAGCAGTGAAATGATATGGACTGTGAGGATGTAAAATATTGGAAATAAGTCATTATATGTTAGTGCTGCTCTGACATAGGGACATATTATTGAGAATCAACTTTTGCTCAATTTTCAGAGAAATGGAATAATCGTATGGCTGATCTATGTAAACAAGTTGAAGAATTGTCTGAAAGAAAATATGGTATGTCTAAACTGGAAAAGTCCTGTAATCCTTTGTTCATGAGCATTTACACAATGGAGTTACTGTTCATCATGGGGTACTGTGGACAAGCCCAGGGCTGCTGGTGAATCCTGCCATACTTACAGGTTTCTCCTTGTAAGGTTCTTTGTAGTGTCTAAATATTAGAAACATTCTTTGTTTCTAGATTACTGCAAAGCTAAGGAAAAGTTGTACTTCTTTAATTATCATTATCATTTCTTTTAAACTTTCAGCATGGATATTGGAGATTTACTTACATATTTATTGCAAAGCCCTGGATCTTAGGGATTTAATTGAATGTTTTAATACTGTTTCTCTTAATCTGCCTTGTTAAATTTGGTATTCACCAAGATGCCCCTATTGTCTCTACTTTTATCTTTTTTTTTTTTTTTTTTGGGACAGTCTCGCACTGTTGCCCAGGCTGCAGTGCAATGGTGCGATCTCGGCTCACTGCAACTTCTGCCTCCCGGGTTCAACCCACTCTCCTGCCTCAGCCTCCTGAGTAACTGGGATTACAGGTGCCCACCACCACGCCCCACTAATTTTTTTTGTAGTTTTTAGTAGAGACGGAGTTTCACTATGTTGGCCAGGCTGGTCTCGAACTCCTGACCTCATGATACACCCACCTTGGCCTCCCAAAGTGCTGGGATTACAGGCGTGAGCCACCGCGCCCAGCCTCTACTTTTATCTTGATGCATCACCGAGTTGATGTTAGATTTCAAATTCTTCTTTGCCCTTATGCCATTCTATCCTGAACCCACCTTTATATGATGATGAAAGAAATTAGCAATATGTTATTATCTATCTGTTGGTATATATCAAATGCTCACCTAAAAATAGCAACAACCAGTGAAAAACATCATGTGCTTTGGTGTTTTTATTTGGATGACTATTTACTTTGCAATCTACTAGCAAGCTATAATATTGTATGATATGCAGAATTTTAACTGAATTGCTTTAAGTGAACATTTAAACATGATAAACCATATTGATGGTATTTATGTTAATATACTTGAAATGAACATTTTTTTCTTCATCATGAGTAATATATCCCTCAATGAAAATCTAGAATTAGAGTAAATTTGCTAATGAATTCAATAACTTTTCCATAATATTTTTAGTTATGTGCTTAAGGTTCTCTTAGTGTTTCTCCCACTTTTTAATAGCTTATGCCTTTTTTGCCTTTGTTTTTTATTGGTTCATTTTAAAGCAAAAACCTCACAACATGTGCTCCCCAGAAGCACTGTAACCTAGTGGTAAGATCATAGACTCTGGGGACACAGGCTGGCCACGTCTCTTCTCCTGTCTGAGCCTTAGTATCCTCCTGTAGTCATGAGAACTGAAGATCTATCCTGAAGATTTGATAAGATAGTAAAGTGCTTCACATAATATCGGGCATATAAATACATAATAAATGCTTCCTGACCTCAGGTGATCCTCCCACCTCGGCCTCCCAAAGTGCTGGGATTACAGGTGTGAGCCACCACGCCCAACCAAGAAATTCTTATGTAAAAAGAGGTTGGGCTCAGTGCCTCAATTCTAGCACTTTGGGAGGTCAGGGCAGGTGGATCACTTGAGGTCAGAAGTTTGAGACCGGCATGGGCAACATGATGAAACCCCATCTCTACTAAAAAATAAAAATAATTATCCAGGTGTGGTGGTGGGCGCCTATAATCCCAGCTTCTCAGGAGGCTGAGGCAGGAGGATCACTTGAACCTAAGAGGCGGAGGTTGCAGTGAGCCGAGATCATGCCACTGCACTCCAGCCTGGGCAACAACAGCAAGACTCCATCTCAAAAAAAAAAAAAAAAAAAAAAAAAAAAAAAAAACAGACTCCATCTCAAACAAAAACAAAACACAAATGTGGTATGGCAATGAAAATAATTGCTGTGTTAAAGACAGTTTCATAGAAAATAAAAGACCACTCAAATACAATAAGCTGTCTTTTTAGATGGGTATAATTATTATCCTTATTTAACAACTAAAGAAACAGGCTCAGAGGATGTTATTTGATTGGACTGTGTTGCATCTCTGGACAGTGCAGCTGAGATCAGACTTCATGTGTAACTCCACTAGCCTACCAGGGTGCCTCTCATAAAGGTAAAAAATGTAAATCTGGCCTAATCTACAAAGTTGCCAGGGCAGCACTGGGTCAATTCTACATACAGTACTTCTATATTCATAAAGAGAAACATTAAGGGAAGGTGAAAATGCTTCTAGAAGGCGACTGAACACCAGCACCCTTGCTTACTACCTTTGGGCTCTTCTTTAAGGCCAACAGTGACCTGAAATTATTGACTGACTTTTCCAATCAACTGGAGAAAATGGTACCAAGGTCACCAACATCAGACAAATTCACTTGAGGACCTATCTATGTGCTTTGAAAGACAAAACTGCTTTTGTAAAGGATACAGTATTTCAGAAAAACAATCATATTAACAACTAATAATACTGTAAAATGCTGATGTGTTGAATGCTACTTTAGAAAAACAGGTTCAAATCTAGGAAAAAAATTTCCGACAGAAAGCTATGTATCAATTATCTAGCTAGCTATCTAGAGACATGGTCTCATTCTATTGCTCAGGATGGAGAGCAGTGGGATGATCATAGCTCACTGCAGACTTGAGTTGCTGGCCCCAAGTGATCTCCCTGCCTCAGCCTCCTAAGTAGCTGGGGCCACAGGTGGACACAGGTACACCTGGCTTTTTTTGTGTGTTTTGTAGAAACAAGGTTTCACTACATTGCCCAGGCTGGTCTCAAACTCTGGAGTCTCGATCTGTCGCCCAGGCTGGTCTCAAACTCTGGAGTCTCGATCTGTCGCCCAGGCTGGGATGCAGTGGTGCGACCTCGGCTCACTGCAACCTCCACCTCCCAGGTTCAAGCAATTCTCCCATCTCAGCTTTCTGAGTAGCTGGGATTACAGGCATGTGCCACCACACACAGCTAATTTTTGCGTTTTTTGTAGAGACCAGGTTTCACCACATGGGCCAGGATGGTCTCAAACTCCTGACCTCAGATGATCCACCCGCCTTGGCCTCCCAAGGTGAGGCGGAGTCACCACACTTTCTTATGTTATTAAATAGCCTAACCCAGGAAGGGTTACAGCTGTAATCCCAACAACTCTAAAGGCCAAGGTGAGAAGATCACTTGAACCCAGGACGAAACTGGCCTGGGCAACATAGCGAGACCCCCATCTCTACAAAAAATACAAAAATTAGGCCAGGGGTGCACCGCGCCCGGCTAATTTTTGTATCTTTTGTAGGGACGGGGTTTCGTCATGTTGCCCAAGCCATCCATCCTCACGCCTCGGCCTCCCAAAATGCTGGGATTACAGGGCCCAGTCAGCCTCATGTTTTCTTTAAGCAGTCCCTCCCTATTGCACACTTGGATAGTTTTCTTTTTTATTTTTTTAGACAGAGTTTACCTCAGTCTCGCAGGCTGGGGTGATGTAGTGGGAACATAGCTCATTGGAGCCATGAACCTTGGAGTTCAAGTAGCTGGGAAGCTGAGGTGGGACTTCAGAGATGGGGTCGCGCCATGTTGCCCAGGCTGCTCTTGACTGCCTGGCCTGAAGGGATCCTCCCACCTCCGCCGCGCCTGAACATAGTTTCCTATTTTTGACCAACATAAACACTGTGCTGAGTTGGAGTTTGTCAGCTACCCTTCTCCAGCAACAACAGGACCTGGCGGGGAGGTCCCGGTTACCAGGCTGCACTCCAAGGAGAAGACAGCCCTGCTCCAGGCACTGTACCGCCACTGTGACGTCGTCGAAGGTCCGCCTCTGTGGCGTCGCCGAAGGCACCCCCACCTTCACGCGGAGCCCATCGGAACTCGAGGCGGGGCTGCTGGGTCTTCCAGGAGCGCCCAGACGCGGGCAGGTGGCCGCCGGTGGCCACAGGCCTGGGCAGGATGGAAGCGCCCGCAGAGCGGGCGCTTCCACGTCTGCAGGCTCTGGCTCGGCCGCCGCCACCCATAAGCTACGAGGAGGAGCTTTACGACTGCCTGGACTACTACTACCTGCGCGACTTCCCGGCCTGCGGGGCAGGGCGCAGCAAGGGCCGGACTCGGCGCGAGCAGGCGCTGCGCACCAACTGGCCTGCACCTGGCGGGCACGAGCGCAAGGTCGCGCAGAAGCTCCTCAATGGCCAGCGCAAGCGCCGCCAGCGCCAGCTGCATCCCAAGATGCGCACTCGCCTCACCTGAGCCTGGGTACGTGCGCCCAACACCTCCCCCAACCAGTGCCCCGGGGACCCTAGGAGCGTCCCCCCACGGCGCGGCGCTGCTCGCCCTGGGCAGAGTCGGCTGCCTCTGAGGGAACCGTATTAGGGAACCGCACCCGCCAGCTTGGCCTCTTATGGCCATAGCAATAGCATTAAAGCCTGCGGAACTTCATAGGTGGGTAGAAGGGGCTAGGAAACGAAGAAAACATCTTTTTAAAAATATAAGCGATCGATGCCTGGGTGCAGTGGCTCACACCTGTAATCCCAGCACTTTGGGAGGCCGAGGCGGGCGGATCACAAGGTCAGGAGATCGAAACCATCCTGGCCAATATGGTGAAACCCCGTCTCTACTAAAATATATATATATATATATATATAAAATTAGCCAGGCACTGTGGTGCGCGCCTGTAGTCCCAGCTACTTGGGAGGCTGAAGCAGGGGAATGGCTTGAACCCTGGAGGGGGAGGTTGCAGTTAGCCGAGATCGTGCCACTGCACTCCAGCCTGGCGACAGAGCGAGACTCCGTCACACACACACACACACACACACACACACACACACACACACACACACAAATATATATATATATATATATATATATATATATATGCGATCGAGCCCGGGAGGCTGAGGTTACAGTGAGCCGAGCGGAGATTGCGCCACTGCTCTCCAGCCTGGGTGACAGAGGGAGACCCTGTGTCTAAAAAAAATAGATGCAGGTAGGAGCTTTTCTTCCGGCGCTCATACTCAGACTGAAGAAAGTAATTGGGCTGGGCCCGGTGGCTCAGATCTGTAATTCCAGCACTTTGGGAGGCCCAGGCAGACGTATCACTTTAGCTCAGGAGTTCCAGACTAGCCTGGTCAACGTGGTGAAACCACGTCGCTATAAAAATACAAAAAATAAGCTGGGCGTGGTGGCGCGTGCTTGTAGTCCCCGCTACTTGCGTGGCTAAGGCGGCAGGATCGCTTGAATCCAGGAGGTCTAGGCTGCAGTGAGCCATGATCGCCCCACTTCACTCCAGCCTAGGCGACAGAGTGAGACCCTGTGTCAAAAAAAGAAAAACAAAAAAGTAAATGACCTGCGTTTTTGTCTGTATTTCCTACAGGATACCGAAGGACCTGTTCGAAGTATTTACTGTAACTCCAACTGTAACTTGGTTCTGAGGAGGAGAGAATCCATGTTTGGTCAACAGAACTTTTCGCTGTCACTTAAGTTTACTGCTTCGATATCTTTTCCTTACTAATTGATTGTTAATTAAGTAGTGCCCAAGTGGATTAGCCTTTTTAGAGTTTATTAATTAAAAGAGAGCAGCAAGAATGGCATTTTAACTCTCCCGGGTTTTTTTTCAGTTACTATGGTAACTCTTTTCAAGTCCACAAATGATTTGTTCTTATCTGTAAAGAAAAGGTCACAAAGATAAGCGGAGAGAGACCAAAGATAGGAATATGTGTAAGATTTCTACCTAAATGTCGGCCGGGCACTGTAGCTCACTCCTGTAATCCCAGCACTTTGGGAGGCCGAGGTGGGCAGATCACCTGAGGTCAGGAGTTTGAGACCAACTTGGCAAACATGGCAAAACCCCATCTCTACTAAAAATACAAAAATTAGCCGGACATGATGGTGGGTGCCTGTATCCCAGCTACTCGGGAGCCTGAGTCAGGAGAATTGCTTGAACCTTGGAGGCCAAGGTTGCAGTGAGCCGAGATCATGCCACTGTGCTACAGCCTGGGCGACAGAGCAAGACTACATCTCAAAAAAAAAAAAAAAAAAAAAAAAGGATTTCTACCTAAATGTGATAGACTACTCTGAAGGTTAATATTTGCATATTATAATGTATATTGCACAGTGTGTCAATCTCAAATAATCAAAAGGGTCAGAATCTAAAGGGAGTTTATTCATGCACAGAGTTTTAGGAGGGCCACCTGGGAACCACAGATACCAAAGAGTGGAAGTCAGTGTTCCAAGGCTTAAAAGTTTGGGATCACTTACATAGACAAAGTTTAGAGAACCTTAGCAGAATTAAAGCACCTCTCCGTTTAGTCCAGGTGGTCTTTCTTTCACTCTGTCACCCAGGCTGGAGTGCAGGGGCACAATTGCAGCTCACTACAGCCTCAACCTCTCAGGCTCAAGCCATCCTCCCACCTTAGCATCCCTAGTAGCTGGGACTACAGGCACACACCAACACACCCAACTAATTTTTGTATTTTTTGTAGAGACAGGGTTTTGCCACATTGCCCAGGTGGTCTCAAACTGCTGGGCTTAAGCAATCCACTCACCTTGGCCTCTCAAAGTACTAGGATTACAGGCATGAGTGACTGTGCCCAGATGAGGTGGTCTTTTTTCCGGGAAAGGTGTGTTTAACCTTCCACACTGAAGATGTAAGTCATAGAGTCTTTTGTGCCATCTGGTGTGAGTTAGGTACAGAACAATAAAGGAGGCAGTTAATCTTTTAACAAAGATGAGTGATTGGAAGGAGAGGAGGTCTAGTCTCTGGTCTCTCATAGTCATTTACAGAATGAAAATAATAAGGAAAGAATAAATTATAATTTAAGAACCAGAAGTTACGAACATGCTATGTGGCTCAATCAGGGTGTAACTTCCCCCTTGGTGTGATAAATTTATATGGGGTCCTGAAACTTTTTTTTATAGTTGGTAGGTTCTCCACACTATTGATCCCACAACAATTTTTCGAGGTAGATGCTGCTATCCACATTTTTTTTTTTTTTGAGACAGTGTCTTGCTCTGTCGTCCAAGCTGGAGTACAGTGGCATGATCTCAGCTCACTGCAACCTCTGCTTCCTGGGTTCAAGCAATTCTCCAGACTCAGCCTCCCAACTAGCTGGGATTAAAGGTGCCCACAACCATGCCTGGCTAATTTTTGTATTTTTCATAAAGACCAGGTTTCACCTTGTTGGCCAGGCTGGTCTCGAACACCTGACCTCAGATGATCTACCCGCCTCAGCCTCCCAAAGTGCTGGGATTACAGGCATGAGCCACTGCGCCCAGCCCACATTTTAGAAAAGGGATTCTAAGGCACAGAGAGTTCAAGTACCTTTCCAAAGATGACACAGCTAATTAGATAGCAGACCAGGTGGCCTGACCCCAGGACTTTGCCTTTGGCCTCTATACTACCTTGTTGAGCACAGCAGTAAATATTTCATATGTAGTTTTATCCAGAATTTTCCTGTTGGTTGTGGTAAACCATGGTTTGTTCTTTTGAGACAGGGGCAAGCTCTGTTGCCCAGGCTTCTGGTGTGCAGTGGCACAAACACCAGCCTCAACCTCTTGGGCCCAGACAATCCATTTCAGCCTCCCAAAGCGCTGGGATTACAGGAATGAGCCATCATGCCCGGCCTCACACTATATTTTAATGCTTTTTTTGAAAATGGAAACTTTTACAGGCAATTCACTTCCTTCAAACTAATGATAAGGAAATGATGCTGTTCTGTTTTGTTTTGTTTTTACATGTTTTTTTTTGTTTGTTTGTTTCTTTTTTGAGACAGGGTCTTGCTCTGTTGCCCAGGCTGGAGTGTGGTGGTGCAATCATGGCTCACTTCAGCCTTGACCTCCCAGGCTCAAGCAATCCCTTCCCCCTCAGCCTCCCAAGTAGCTGGGACTGCAAGTGCATGCTACCACACTTGGCTAATTTTTGTATTTTTTGTAGAGACAGGTTTTCACCATGTTGCCGAGGCTGGTCTCAAACTCCTGGGCTCAGCTATCCTCTACCCTCGGCCTCCCAAAGTGCTGGGATTACAGGCGTGAGCCACTGTGCCTGGCTGATGCTGTTCTTTTCAAATGCATTTGTTGGTTTTTTATGTGTTTTTTTTTTTTTTTTTTTTTTTGAGATGGGGTCTCTGTCTCCCAGGCTGGAGTGCAGTGGTGCAATCTCTGCTCACAGCAGGCTGGTCTCAAACTCCTGACGTCAGATGTTCTTCCCACCTCAATATCCCAAAGTGCTGAGATGACAGGTGTGATCAACTGCACCTGGTGATTTTGCTTATTTAGCTAGTAGAACTTTTTAATTTAAAAAAAAATGTTGTTGAGCTGGAGTGCAGTGGTGTGATCTCGGCTCACTGCAACCTCTGCCTACTGGGTTCAAGTGATTATCCTGCCTCAGCCTCTCAAGTAGCTGGGACTACAGGTACATGCCACCACACCCAGGTAATTTTTGTATTTTTAGCAGAGATGGGGTTTCACCATGTTGGCAAGGATAGTCTCGATCTCTTGACTTTGTGATCTGCCCGCCTCGGCCTCCCAAAGTGCTGGGATTACAGGCATGAGCCACCACCCCTGGCCAAAAAAAATTTTCTTTTGAGACAGAGTCTCACTGTCCCACAGGCTAAAGTACCGTTGCACAGTCACAGCTCACTGTAGCCTCAACTTCCTGGACTCAAGTGATTCTCCCACCATAGTCTCCCAAGTATCTGAGACCACAGGTACACACCACCACACCTGGCTAATTTTTTTTGTATTTTGTAGAGCAGGGGTTTTGCCATGTTGCCCAGACTGGTCTCAAACTCCTGGGCTCAAGCGATCTTCCAGACTCAGCCTCCCAAAGTGCTGGGATTACAGGCATGAGCCACTGCACCTGGCCTTTTTAATTAAATTTAAATTGTAAATGTGGTCACTGTAGGAAATATGTGTATTACTTATCTACTGCTATGTAACAAATTACTCCAAACCTAGTGGCTTAAAATAAATACTTAGGGCCAGGCACAGTGGCTCATGCCTGTAATCCCAACACTTTGGGAGGCCGAGGTGGGCAGATCACAAGTCCAGAAGTTCAAGACCAGCCTGGGCGACATCATGAGACTCCATCTCTACAGAAAATGCAAAAATTAGCCAACCATGGTGGTGCGCACCTGTGGTCCCAGCTACTCAGGACGCTGATGCAGGAGAATCACTTGAGCCCGGGGGGCAGAGGTTGTAGTGAGCCAAGATCACACCACTGCACTCCAGCCTGGGTGACAGAGTGAGAGACTGTCTCAAAAATAAATAAATATAAAAAAAACTTAGATCTCCATTTCTGTGGGTCAGGAATTCAGGAGTGACATAGCTGGGTCATTTGGGCTCAGGGTGTCTCATGACATTGCAGTCAAGCTGTCGACTGAGACTGCAGTCACCTAAAGCCTGTTTCCAAGGTGGCTCACTTAAGGTGACTGCTGACCTGAGGCCTCACTTCCTGTCACATGAGCCTCTCTACAGGCTGCTTAGGTGTCATGGTGTGACAGCTGGCTTTCCCAAGTGAGTAATCAAAGAGTGAACAAGGAGGAAGCCACAGTACCTTTTATGATGTAGTTTGCAAAGTTGCAAACCATCACTTTTGCTTTTTCCTATCTGTCAGAAGGGAATCAGTTAACCCAGCCCCCACTCAAGGGGATAGGGACTGGGCTCCACCTTTTGAAGAGAATATCAAAGAATTTGTGGACATATTTTAAACTACCATGCTATGTTTAATTATGGCAAGTATGGTCACTGTAGAAAAACTGGAAAATAGGGACAAGCAAAAAAAAAAAAAGTCACTTATAATTCCATGACTCAATGGATGACAGTACTAGTTGGGTATATATAATTCCAATATTCAAAATATATATTTACTTTCTCAAACTATAAACACACTGTGTACTATTGTGTAATCTTCTCTTTCACACAATGTATTGTATGTATTGTAAAAATACCTTTCACGTCAAATATTCTTTCCTAACTTTTTTTTTTCTTGAGACGGAGTTTCCTTCTTGTCGCCCAGGCTGGAGTGCAGTGGTGCAATCTCTACTCACTGCAACCTCCGCCTCCCGGGTTCAAGCAATTCTCCTGTCTCAGCCTCCCAAGTAGCTGGGATTACAAGCATGAGCCACCCACACCCAGATAATTTTTTGTATTTTTAGTAGAGATGGGGTTTCACCATGTTGGCCAGGCTGGTCTCAAACTCCTGACCTCAAGTGATCCACCCACCTCAGCTCCCCAAAGTGCTGGGATTACAGGTTTGATCCACCGTGCCCAGCCCCTCATAATATTTTTTAATGGCTGCATACATTTCATCATATATATGTATCATAACTTATTTAACGAATTCTATTATAGGACACTTAGGTTGTTTACAAGTTTTTCCTGTTTTACACATTTTGTTAAATAAACATCCCTACGACACATTTATTTGTACAATCTTCACTGTTTCTTAAATTCCTAGAAGTAAAATTTCTGGAATACAGTTTGCATAATTTTAAAACTTCAAACACCTGTTACCTAATTTGAGCAGAATGTTTACTACAATATTCAAGAGTCCATTCAGCCAATGTCATATCTATGATAAAACCTGCAAAAGTTCGGATATTAATAACTGTAAGTAAATTTGTTGAGAGTGACTGAAATCACTATGGGATGAGAAGTTGCTATAGAAATTTTACTAAAGAGTGAACTAGCCAGGCACAGTGGCTCACACTTGTAATTCTAGCACTTTGGGAGGCCAAGGCAGGTGGATCACTTGAGGTCAGGAGTTTGAGACCAGCCTAACCAACATGGTGAAACCCCATCTCTACTAAAAATACAAAATTAGTCAGGTATGGTGGTGCACACCTGTAATCCCAGCTACTTGCGAGGCTGAGGCAGGAGAATTGCTTCAACCTGTGAGGTGGAGGTTGCAGCGAGCCAAGATTGCGCCTGGGCAACAAGAGCGAAACTCTGTCTCAAAAAAACAGAGTGAACTTCACACATCTGTCCCAGCAAACTATAAATGGTATATAGCAGAATTCTGGTATTTTCCATTCTGAGTTTTTTGTTCTTTGTTTTAATTAACTTTTTCTTAATTTGTTTTTTGGATAGAATAGATTAACTGCTTCAAAATCCAAAAGCTACTGACTGCCCCCCGCACCACAGACACCCAGTCCCACTGCCTGAAGGCAACCAGTGTTATCAACTTCAGATATTTTATGCATATCCAATATGGTCTTTTCTGTTTTACACAAATAATAGCACACTGTACTCAATTCTACCCCTTCCTTTTTTTTATCACTTGTAGTTTATTTTGGAAATCATTTCACATCAATATACAGAGAAGATTCCTCATTCTTTTTTTATAGTTGCATATTATGTGAATGTGTCTTTTTTTTTTTTTTTTTTTTTTGAGATGGAGTCTTGCTGTCGCCCAGGCTGGAATGCAGTGGTGCAATCTTGGCTCACTGCAACCTCTGCCTCCTGGGATCACGCCATTCTCCTGCCTCAGCCTCCCGAGTAGCTGGGACTACAGGCACGTGCCACCTCACCCGGCTAATTTTTGTATTTTTACTAGAGACAGGGTTTCACCATGTTAGCCAGGATGGTCTCAATCTGCTGACCTTGTGATCTGCCCACCTCGGCCTCCCAAAGTGCTGGAATTACAGGCGTGAGCCACCACGCCCAGCCTGCCATTATTTTTTTAACCAATATTCTATTGGCAGGAATTTAGGTTTTCTCCAATCCCTTACCAACACAAAATAACTTTGTGTGAACATCTAATAGTCTTTCAATTTAGGAATGAATGACTTAGCCACGTTTGAGTAAAATGGTGCCTGTTCTGGTCTGGATTCCTTTCTGTCTTGAACTGTCCAAAGTTCTCCTCGCTCTAAACCCTTCTTGTGCCAGAATGTATCCTTTATAAGACTGCTTTTCTTCATCTCTGCTTTTGAATTATCTAAAAGCAAGTAAAAAGTCTTATTATTTGTAAAGCATTCATTCTTTTAAGAAGTTATGTAAAAATAAAGCTTTGTTTTTTACAAAAGATTTTTATATAATTCACCCTTTTTATTGTTTGAAATCTTTTTATTTCAATACTTTTGGGGGAACAGGTGGTGTTTGGTTACATGGAAAAGTTCTTTAGTGGTGATTTCTGAGGTTTTGATGCACCCATCACCTGAGCAATGTACACCGTACTCAACAGTGTAGTCTTTTATCCCTTACCCACCTAGCACATCCCTCCAAATCCCCAGAGCCCATTATATCATTCTTTTGCCTTTGCATCCTCATAGCTTAGCTGCCACATTATTCACCCTTTAGTTCCAAGTACATTCTGCTGTTGCTGGGACACAGGAAGGCTGTTTTAAACTCTACTTCCTCTGATGGAAGGGAGAAATTTCTGATTGACATCAAGCAGAAATGGTTCCATGTGTGCTTCCTCTCCTCAATAAACCTCACTCCAACCGCAAGGGACTTTCCCATGAGCCCCTTATGAAATGCCACTAGCCAAATTTCCCCTTATTTTAGCGATGTTTAATGTAACTGTTGAAAGCATTTCAGGCTGGGCCTGGTGGCTTATGCCTGTAATCCCAGCCCTTGCAGGCCGAGGTAGATGGATCACCTGAGGTCAAGAGCTCAAGACCAGCCTGACCAACATGGCGAAACCCTGTTTCTACTAAAATAAAAAATTAGCCAGGCGGGTTGACGTGCGCCTGTAATCCCAACTACTCGGAAGGCTGAGGCAGGAGAATCGCTTGAATCCGGGAGGCGGAGGCTGCAGTGAGCTGAGAACGCGCCACTGCACTCCAGCCTGGGCGACAGAGCCAGACTCCGTCTCAAAAAAAAAAAAAAAGCATTTCACACCAAGTATCACTAAAGCACAGATCCTTGGGGCCTTTGCAATTGCTGTTCTCTCTTCCTGTAGTGTTCTTATCTTCATAAACACATGGCTTGCTTCCCCACCTCTTCAAGGGCTCCGTTCAAATGACTCCCCCCCGCCCCGCCTAACCTCTAATTTCCAGTCTCCTTCCTCTCTTTTCATGTCACCACCACCTGATTTACGTAGGCGTTTGTGTCTCCCCTCCTTGAAACTTAACTTCGTGAAGGTAGAATCTTATCTGATTTGGTGCAGTATCTCCATAACCCAGTTAGACAGTAAATTTTTGTTGAATTTACCAGTGTATGGTTACTGTCCCAATTCTGGACACAAATTCTATAATACATATGAAAAGGAGCTGAAAATATATAGTAATACATAAATGTAAAACATTATTGCTGCCTGAATTTAACTTTTGCTGACTGGATCCACAGACAAGAAAGAGAAATACCAAATACAACTAATTCAACTCTGTTTATTTTTGACGAAACCGATTTCTTTCATTCAGTTCATACTACGCGTCCACACTGTGCCTCCAAAAATATTTGCCCTTATAACTGAATGCTCAGAAAGGCTAAGAAATCTGCCCAAGGTCCCCTGGCAATCCAGCCAGAGATGTGAGTCACTCTTAAGGTTGGATTTAATACAAATGTTTGAAGGACGGAGCGACAGGCCAGCTGCCCTAGGGAAGCAAAATGCTAAGTGCTCTGATGCGAGGACCGGAGGACAAGGTTCGCGGATGAACCACAGGAACTTCCGGGTTTTAAAGATCCTGGCGCCAAGTTCAGGGCGTTGACCGCGAAGGACGAGGCGTCCCCGTGACGTCCTGCTCTTCCAATGAACTTCAGGCCTGCGGAGACGACGGAGAACGGAAGTTCTCTGCCTGTGTGCTGGTTGGTTGCGCGTTGAGGCCAGCCCCGCCTCCCATCTTCCGGTCTCCTCAGAAGTCGCTTAGCTCTTCGGTGGTTGTCCCACGTCCGGAGGCCTAGCCGTCGCTTACCTAGGATGCCGCGTGGAAGCCGAAGCCGCACCTCCCGCATGGCCCCTCCGGCCAGGTGAGACCATCGCAGGGTTTGAGACCAAAGCGCGGCCGTCCGGACTCTACTGGGGCAATGACGCAGAGGGAGGCCGCGGGCGGGGGTGAACTAAGGTCGGCTGCGGCGTGGGCTCGCCTCTGCCAGGCGGGGGTAGATTGAACGTAAAGCCTATGTTAGGGGAGTGTGGGGAGGGAATTCACTTACGGAAAAAGCTTCCTATCCAAACAACGGGAAAGGCATAACGTTATGGCCAGGTGGTAGGAAGGCATAAATTTTGACCTAGCTTGATTTCGGGGAAAAGAGCACCCAAGGAAATAATCCGGAAATGGTCAGAGGGAGCGTGATACATATGAAGATTTTTAAATACGTGCAGGACATAATTAGTCTTTTGTTATTTGAGAAGGGGTCTCGAAATTGTTGAAAGCATCTGAACGTTGAACAGATGAGGAATAGTTGAAGTTGCTTTTGGTATAATAGTTCAGACGAGTCACTTTGGCCAGTCTTGTTTTGTAATGTGTAAAATGAAGGAATTGGACTAGATTATTTCCCCAGTTGACCATCTTTAAGTCCTAATTAGAATGTTTATTTATTTATATTTTGAGTCAGAGTCTAACTCAGGCTGTAGTGCAGTGACGTAATTATGGCTAACTGCAGCCTTGACTTCCTGGGCTCAAGCTATTCTACCACGTCAGCCTCCAGAGTAACTGGGACTACAGGCATGCGCCACCTGTGCACCACACTTGGCGACTTTATTCTATTTTATATTTTAGCAGAGACAGGGTCTCATTATGTGGCCCTGGCTGGTCTCAAAGTCCTGGCCTCAAATGATCCTTTCGCCTCCACTTCCCTAATCACTGGGATTACAGGCAAGAGCCACCACTCCGCAGCCTATGTTAATTATTTGATCCGTCAATAAAATGTAAACTCCATGAATGCAGAGATTTTTGTCTCTTGTTCACAGTTACATTACCAGCGCCTTGTAGTTACCTAATACTTGAATGAATGAATCCTGTAAGAATCTTTCTAACTTTTAGTAGTCTGTATTTCTTATGACATGTTGGATATGTCTTTAAAGATACTGTGGGCTATCCGAATACATGGAAATTGTTGCAAAGAAGCAGAAAAAACTAGTATGTCCTAGGCTATTACTATTATAAGAAAAGATTAAAGTGGCCGGGCGTGGTGGCTCATGCCTGTAATCCCAACACTTTGGGAGGTCGAGGCGGGTGGATCACTTGAGGTCAGGAGTTCGAGACGAGCCTGGCCAACATGGTGAAACTCCGTCTCTACTAGAAATACAAAAATTAGCTAGGTGTGGTGGTGCGCGCCTGTAATCCCAGCTACTTGGGAAGCGGAGGCAGAAGAATCGGTTGAACCCAGGAGGCAGAGGTTGCAGTGAGATTGGATCGTGACACTGCACTCCAGTCTGGGCATCAGAGTGAGGCCCTGTCTCAAAAAAAAAAAAAAAATTAGGCCGTGCGTGGTGGTTCACACCTGTAATCCCAGCACTTTGGGAGTCCGAGGCGGGTGGATCACCTGAGGTCAGGAGCTGGAGACCAGCCATGGTCACCATAGTGAAACCTCGTCTCAACTAAAAATACAAAAAATTAGCCGGAGGTGGTCGCGGGTGCCTGTAATCCCAGCTACTCGGAAGGCTGAGGCAAGAGAATCGCTTGAGTCTGGGAGGTGGAGGTTGCAGTGAGCTGAGATTGCACCATTGCACTCCAGCCTGGGCAACAAGAGCGAAGCTCCATCTCAAAAAAAAAAAAATTGAAGAGAGAAAATGATGTAAATAATTTGAAATGAAAATCTTGAGGTCCATTTTAATATGTAAGTTATTTTAAGTTGACAATTTCCAAAACTGGTTGGAATTGGGAACTTGATGTTTTTTTCTTTTCTTTCACAGCCGGGCCCCTCAGATGAGAGCTGCACCCAGGCCAGCACCAGTCGCTCAGCCACCAGCAGCGGCACCCCCATCTGCAGTTGGCTCTTCTGCTGCTGCGCCCCGGCAGCCAGGTCTGATGGCCCAGATGGCAACCACTGCAGCTGGCGTGGCTGTGGGCTCTGCTGTGGGGCACACATTGGGTCACGCCATTACTGGGGGCTTCAGTGGAGGAAGTAATGCTGAGCCTGCGAGGCCTGACATCACTTACCAGGTGGGAATTTAGGCAGCATTTCCCTTCCATGGGTGGATTTTATGAGAAAAGCCAGACGTTTGTAAGTTCCTTAAGTGTAGGAATTGTCTTTGATTTTAGAACCCACTGTGCTGTTAATAGACAATGGGTTTTAAAGCCACATTTGGCCGTTGAGTTACTGCCTTAGGCCAGCACCAACAAGTACTGTACAAATTGTGTTTCTTCCCAAGGAGGAGACTTACAACAGTCCACTTGACTCACTGTAAAACAACCACTTTTCCCTTTGAATATTTCATCCCAGTGACACTTCCTACTAATCTTGTCTTGATCTTAGTTAACAAATCAAAAATCTCGCATAGCTGTGTGTTCTTTTACGTGATGTTTGCCATTACCCATCTTTCTGATGTGTGTGGGCTTTCTAGTCTAATGAGCATAGGTGTGTATACTCTTGTATTTCCGGTGTGCTTGAAACTGCTCCATCCAGTTTTCTATAATAGTACCATTTTTCCTCCCTGAAGCTTCAGTAAACCATTTAGTCTTGATAACAAGATAATAATTCCACTTTATTTGCATCTTTATTTAGGAATCTTTCTGGTTGTAATTGGAATTTTGTTAAAACTGTTGGCTTTCAGCTTTTAAATATTTTCACTTTTGGCTGGGAACGGAGGCTCATGCCTATAATCCCAGCACATTGGGAGGCTGAAGTGAAGGGATTGCTTGAACCCAGAAGTTTGAGACCAGGCTGGGCAACATAGCGCAACCCTGTCTTTACTAAAAATATTTATTTAAATTCTTCTTTTTTGGAGGTGGAGTCTCGCTCTGTTATCCAGGCTCCACCGCCCGGGTTCAAGCGATTCTCCTGCCTCAGCCTCCCGAGTAGCTGGGATTACAGGTGCCTGCTACCACGCCTGGCTAATTTTTGTATTTTTAGTAGGGACGGGGTTTCACCATATTGGCCAGGCTGGTCTCAAACGCCTGACCTCAAGTGATTCACCCTTCTCGGCTTCCCAAAGTGTTGGAATTACAGGCGTGAGCCACCATGTTTGGCCTAAAATATTTTTTAAGTAAATGAAGATTTAAATGTTTTCACTTCCCATGTTAATAGTTGGAAACTTTAATTAGCATCTGGTGCTAGTTCCATTTTCCATTAACCTCAAAGAGGATGGATACTCTTCATTGTCTAGGCATAAGTATGATTTTCTTTCTCAGCAATGTTGAATGTTTTGCCTTTGCAGGAGCCTCAGGGAACCCAGCCAGCACAGCAGCAGCAGCCTTGCCTCTATGAGATCAAACAGTTTCTGGAGTGTGCCCAGAACCAGGGTGACATCAAGCTCTGTGAGGGTTTCAATGAGGTGCTGAAACAGTGCCGACTTGCAAACGGTAGGTAATTTGTCCAATTTACATCTGCTTAATTCACAGTGGAATTCCTGGATCCTGTAGAACTTAGGGTAATCTGTGTTTAATAAATTAGAGAAGACTTTGTTGAAATTTCTCTAGAATTAACTCCTAACAACTGGGCCGGAGGTTTCTAGTCATTTTTATGAGTAATTTTCTGAATTTTCTTCCTTTAGAAGGTATAGGCCAGGCACAGTGGCTCACGCTTGTAATCCCAGCACTTTGGGAGGCCAAGACGGGTGGATCACCTGATGTCAGGAGTTTGAGGCCAGCCTGGCCAACATGGCAAAACCCCATCTGTACTAAAAATACAAAAAATTAGCTGGGTGTGGTGGCAGGCACCTGTAATCCCAGCTACTCAGGAGGCTGAGGCAGGAGAATTGCTTGAACCCGGGAGGCGGAGGTTGCAGTGAGCCAAGATCCTGCCACTGCATTCCAGCCTGGGCAACTGGGTGTCTCCAGTGGGAGACACTGTCTCAAATTTAAAAGAAAAAAAAAAAAAAGAAGGTATAAATCAGTATGCCAGATCTTACTGTGATTACTGGATGTAAGTGACCTTCTAACCTTAAGGCTGCGAATATAAGATTAGATTCTGTTTTCACCAAAATCCAGGAATAGACAAAAAGACTGATACCTGGTATCTGTACCTCATTGAGTGAAAGGAGTTAATTAAGTTCCTCAGGGGAACTCCGGAGATTCAGGGTGTCTTGTTAGTTGTAGGATGCCTTCAGTAGCTTACAAACAAAACCATAACCTTCCTGGAACCCAGCACTCTGGAAGGCCAAGGTGGGAGGATTGCTTGAGTCCAGGAGTTCGAGACCAGCCTGGGCAACATAGCAAGACCTCATCTCTATTTTTTATCAAAAAAAAACAAAAAACAAAAAACCCATAGCCTTGGCCTTTTGTCGCTGCTTTCATAATTTGGAAGGCTTCTGTTTTATTGAGTATACGAAGCTAGCATTCTTCTAACTTAATCTTTTCTGTTTGCAGGATTGGCCTAATGAAGAAGTTCAACCTGGAGAGATGGAAAATCAGCTCTCATAACTAAGTTAATTTAGTATAAAAATAGAATTGATAGTGAGGGTATAAAGTGTAACCATCAGTTAAACCTCTCCTGTCATTCCTGGCTTCCTTGCTTCAGAATTGAAATGGAAGTGGGGGTGTCCCTACTCTGTAGAATCTGGGACTGGGCAAATGTTTGTGTGGCCTCCTTAAACTAGCTGTTATGTTATGATTTTATTCTTTGTGAGTTAATTAGAATAAAGTCATTTTCTTCCAAGGTATGGTTCATTTAGTCTATAGTCTCTGGTTATGAAATTAGCATCCTCCCAGATCTGACAGCTCCCTGAGGGGTTATATAAGGAGTAGCTCACTTGCAAACATAACATGCTGCTCAATTCAAAGGTTCTAGCTGCTGTGGGTCTGGAGTTATGTAAGCTGAGCAGTAGCAGGAAACTCTGCTTAAAATATTGTTTAAAGCTGTGCGTGCTGGCATGTGCCTGTAATCCCAGCTACTTGGGAGACTGAGGCGGGAGAATCACTTGAACCCAGGAGGTGGAGGTTGCAGTGAACTGAGACCATGCCACTGCACTCACTGACAGAGCAAGACTCTGTCTCAAAAAAAAAAAAAAAATACATTGTTTTAATCAGGTGAATGATAAAGGAAACAGGAATAGGTCTATTTGGGGTGGGTTCCCTGTGGCTAGGTCAGCACTGCGTATCACTATTCCTCTACTGTTTCCAAGCAAGCTTGTGCAACCCACCTTTTGTTCTGTTTTCTTTTGCTTTAGGCTTTTAGCAGCCTGGAGTTATAGTTTGTCTCTAGTGATAAGTGGAAAAGAGCGATGAGGAAGGGGTTTTACTGGCCTAACCATAAACTGTAACTAAACCCATGACTGCATTCTCTCCCTTGGACGCCCCTGATTGAAGATAAAAAACCATTCTTAATATATGCAGTTCCCCTGAAGGTGCTTTTGCTCTGTTTAAGGTGTTGTAGCCTCCTCTTCCTAAAACACTCAGGCTAACTGCCATCCCCCACTCCGTGCTAGGGAAGAACTTTAAGGGGATGGAATTCAATTTGGAGTAGGCCACTTTTTTCATGTCAGATGGGTAGTGTGTCAATGCAACCAGTTTTGAGGGAGGCACACTTCATGAGTGTGAAAACCCTGTCATCACACTTAACTACAAAAGGATCAGCAGGTCTTTTTTTTTTTTTTTTGAAGTGAGCAGCAGAGATGGTTTCACTATGTTGATCAGGCTGGTATAGAACTCCTGACCTCAGGTGATCCCCCAGCCTCGGCATCCCAAAGTGCTGGGATTGTAGGCATGAGCCACCACACCTGGCCTCCGTAGGTTCTGTTTTCTGATTTTTTTCTGAGTTTCAGAGCCCTGCATCACTGCCAGGTGAGTGAAATGCTGGTGATTGAGGGAATTAGCCAGTTGCTGTCTCGCCTCCTATCAGCTGTGTTCCTGGAGTGCCTAAACATTCAGTTCCTGAAAGAGGCTCCCTTTCAGAAAGAGGGTCTCAGCACAGTTCACTCCTGGCCAGTTCCCCGGCATATTCCCTCCTGGGTTTATAGAAGACACTTTTGCTAATTTTCCTGGAGGCTCGGGACCTCTGTGAGTCTGTAGTGTTAATGCTCAGATGTCCCTCGTGTCCAGGTGTAGTGGTGATTCAAATAAATTGAATCAAAGAAAAATGACGAAATGTAAGCGTGACTGGCCAGGCCTACTCCCTGGTAGGAGTCATTGCTACAAGGAGAAAGGTGTGGAATAATCCTCTAGGTGCACTGGCCTTTTGCCCTAAAGTCAGAAAGGATTTTGTGATGCATTCATTGATTGTCCAGTTGGCGCTCCAATTCCCTGAGTTTGGTGTCCATGGATTCAGCCAATCGAGGATTGAGAATATTTGAAGTCTGTGCAATAAAGTGAGATCCCTACAAAAAATAAATCAGCCAGGTGCAGTAGCATGCACCTGTAGTCCCAGCCACTAGGGAGGCCGAGGTGGGATCACAGAAGCCCAGTTCAAGGTTGCAGTGATCTATGATCACACCACTGAACTCCAGCCCAGAGTGAGACCCTGTCTCAAAATAATTTTTTGGAAAAATTCATGGTCATTTTTGTAGGAAACATGTAGACTATTTTCCTTGTCATTCCCTAAACAATACAGTGTAACAACTTTACATCCTGTTTATGTTATACTAGGTATTATAAGTAATCTAGAGATGATTTAAAGTATACAGCAGGAAATGCATAGGTTATATGCAAATAATGTGGCATTTTATGTAAGGGATGTGAGCATCCGTGGATTTTTGTTATCCATAGGAGCCTTGGAACCAATCTTGGAAGATACCTTAGAAACCAGCAAGAGTCAAATCTGTAGCTTAGAAATGTGAGGGAGAAAATAGGTTTTTAATGGTAAATTAGGCAGGGCGCAGTGGCTCATGCCTGTAATCCCAGCACGTTGGGAGGCTGAGGAGGGCGGATCACCTGAGTTCAGGAGTTTGAGACCAGCCTAGCTAACATGGTGAAATCTCATCTCTACTAAAAACACAAAAATTAGCAAGGCATGGTGGTGGGTGCCTGTAATCCCAGCTACTTGGGAGGCTGAGGCAGGGGAATTGATTGAACCTGGGAAGCAGAGGTTGCAGTGAGATGAGATTGTGCCACTGCACTCCAGCCTGGGCAACAGAGCAGGACTGTCTCAAAAAAAAAAAAAAAAAAAATTAGCCAGGCCTGGTGGCACACACTTGTAGTCTCAGCTACTCAGGCTGAGGCAAGGAGAATTGCTTGAACCCTGGATGCAGTGAGCCAGGATCGTGCTACTACACTCCAGCCTGGGTGACAGAGTGAGACTCTTCTCTCAAAAAAAAAAAAAAAAAAAAAAAAAGCAAATTAGACCTGGCACAGTGGCTCATGCCTGTGATCCCAGCACTTTGGGAGGCCGAGGTGGGTAGATAACCTGAGGTCAGGAGTTCAAGACCAGCCTGGCTAACATGGTGAAACCCCATCTCTACTAAAAATAAAAATAAATTAGCCAGGTGTGGTGACGTACGCCTGTAATCCTAGCTACTCAGGAGGCTGAGGCAGGAGAATCGCTTGAACCCGGGAGGCAGAGGTTACAGTGGGCCAAGATTGTGCCATTGCACTCCAGCCTGGGCTACAAGAGTGAAACTCTGTCTCAAAAAAAAAGAAAAAACAATTGCTGGCCATGGTGTTGCCCGCTTTTGGTCTCAGCTATTCAGGAGCCTGAGGTGAGAGGATCTCTTGAGTCCAAGAGGTCAAGGCTGTAGTGAGCCATGTTTGCGCCACTGCACTGCAGCCTGGGCAACAGAGCAAGACCCTGTATAAAAAGCAAAAAAAAAAAAAAAAGAGAAAACAGTAAGTTAAAGAGTTCCAGGTATTTAAAACCTTGCAGAATTTGTGTTTCAATGTGTTGCATTTCAGTAAGTTGGAGGTTTTTATGCTTAGCACTCATTCCCTGAAGTATTTTTCAGCTCTTTTGTATGTAAACAATTCAACAAAAATTTTCCCCAAAGTGAAAGAAATAGATGGTCAGCATTATTATTATTATTTTTTTATTTTTGGGACAGAGTCTAGCATTATTATTATTATTATTATTATTATTGAGACCGAGTCTAGCTCTGTCACCAGGCTGGAGTTCAGTGGTGTGATCTCGGCTCACTGCAGTGCCTCCCGGGTTCAAACAATTCACCTGCCTCAGCCTCCTGAGTAGTTGGGATTACAGGCATGTGCCACTGTGCCCAGTTAATTTTTGTATTTTTAGTAGGGACGGTTTCACCATGTTGGACAGGATGGTCTCAATCTCCTGACCTCATGATCCGCCCACCTCAGCCTCCCAAAATGCTGGGATTACAGATGTGAGCCACCGCACCCAGCCAGATGGTCAGCATTATAAGGAACTGCTGGCGCCCACAACATCTGGGGTTAATCTAGGCTCTCTGACTCACCTACTTGGCAACCTTGACCAAGTCACAATCTCTCTAAAATTGGCTTAATACCAGGGTTTCGTTGTCCAAGTGAAACTGTATGAAGTGCTTTGTAAAATGTGTATCAATTAGGTATCTGTGGTCAAGTGTGGTTTCTCACACCTGTAATCCCAGCACTTTGGGAGGACCAAAACAGGAGGATTGCTTAAGCCCAGAATTTTGAGACCAGTCTAGGCAACATCGTGAGACCCCTATCTCTTGTTATTTTATTTTTTATTTTTTTTGAGGCAGAGTCTCGCTCTGTCACCCAGGCTGGAGTGCAGTGGCACGATCTCGGCTCACTGCAACCTCTGCCTCCCGGGTTCAAGCAATTCTCCTGCTTCAACGTCCAGAGTACCTGGGACTACAGGCACCCACCACCACGCCGGACTAATTTTTGTTTTGTTTGTTTGTTTGTTTGTTTCTTGAGACGGAGTCTCACTGTATTGCCCAGGCTGGAGTGCAGTGGCGCAATCTCGGCTCACTGCAAGCTTCACCTCCTGGGTTCACGCCATTCTCCTGACTCAGCCTCCTGAGTAGCTGGGACTACAGGCATCTGCCACCATGCCCGGCTACTTTTTGTATTTTCAGTAGAGACGGGGTTTCACCATGTTAGCCAGGATTGTCTCGATATCCTGACCTCGTGATCCACCTGCCTCGGCCTCCCAAAGTGCTGGGATTACAGGCGTGAGCCACCACGCCCAGCCTAATTTTTGTATTTTTAGTAGAGATGTGGTTTCACCATGTTGGCCAGACTGGCCTCGAACTCCTGACCTCAGGTGATCCGCCCACCTCAGCCTCCCGAAGTGCTGGGATTGCAGATGTGAGCCACCGCACGCAGCTCCCATCTCTATTTTAAAAATTAAAAATACATACAAAATTAAAAACAGCCAGGTGCCATGGCACGCGCCTGTAGTGCCAACTACTCGGGAGGCTGAGGCAGGGGAATCACTTGAACTTGGGAGGCGGAGGTTGCAGTGAGACAAGATCTCACCACTGCACTCCACCCTGGCAACAGAGGGAGACTCCACCTCAAAAAAAAAAAAAAGAAAAAAATTAAAAACATATTTGTGGGCTCAGATCATGGGTAAAGCACTGTCTCCCCTACGTTCACCCCTGCCATCAATTTGGAATATTAGGAGTTTGGAAAAAGGTAGTTTTAGAATGAGAGGGAACAATGAAAACTAAGTGTCCACTGTGTGCCTGCATGCTGCACAGTGCTGCCAGTTTTGTCAACTCCCTGTAAGGTAGACTCATACTGATGAGGACCCTGGCAGGAAGTCACATGCACCGAGAGACCACGTTTTTCCTGGCATATGAAACTCCTCACAATAGAAACTGCAGGCTGAAAATGAAATGGGTAAGGAAAGTTCTTTAAAAAAATAAAAATAGGGCTGGGGGTGGTGGCTCACACCTGTAATCCGAGCACTTTGGGAGGCCAAGGCAGGCGGATCATGAGGTCAGGGGTTCAAGACCAGCCTGACCAACATGGTGAAACCTCGTCTCTACTAAAAACAAAAATCAGCTGGGCGTGGTGGCACGTGCCTATAGTCCCAGCTACTCAGGTGGCTGAGGCAGGAGAATCGCTTGAACCCGGGAGGCAGAGGTTGCAGTGAGCCGAGATTGCGCTACTGCACTCCAGCCTGAGTGACAGAGTGAGACTCTGTTTCAATAAATACATAAATAAAATAATAAAAGTAAAAGGCTGGGCATGGTGGCTCACGCCTGTAATCCCAGCACTTTGGGAGGCTGAGGCGAGCAGATCACCTGAGGTCAGGAGTTCGAGACCAGCCTGTTCAATATGGTGAAACCCTGTCTCTACTACAAATACAAAAATTAGCCGGGCATGGTGGCAGGCATCTATAATCCCAGGTACTCAAGAGGCTGAGGCAGGAGAATCGCTTGAACCCGGGAGGCAGAGGTTGCAGTGAGCCAAGATCGCACCGTTGCACTCCAGCCTAGGTGACAAGAGTGAGACTCCATCTCAAAAAAAAAAAAAAGAAAGAAATACAAAAATTAGCCGGGCATGGTGGCTTGCGCCTGTAATCCCAGCTACTCGGGAGGCTGAGGCAGGAGAATCGCTTGAACCCGGGAGGCAGAGGTTGCAGTGAGCCAAGATCGCACTGTTGCACTCCAGCCTGGGCGACAAGAGTGAGACTCCATCTCAAAAAAAAAAAAAAAAAAAAAGAAATACAAAAATTAGCCGGGCATGGTGGCTTGCGCCTGTAATCCCAGCTACTCGGGACGCTGAGGCAGGAGAATCACTTGAACCCCAGAGGCGGAGGTTGCAGTGAGCCAAGATGGCACCACTGCAGTCCAGCCTGGGCAACAGAGCAAGACTCCATCTCAAAAAAATAAAATAGGCCAGGTGTGGTGGCTCACGCCTGTAATCCCAGCACTTTGGGAGGCTGAGGCAGGCGGATCACGAAGTCAGGAATTCAAGACCAGCCTGGCCAAAATGGTGAAACCCCGTCTCTACTAAAAATACAAAAATTAGCCTGGCGTGGTGGTGCGTGCCTGTAATCCCAGCTACTCAGGAGGCTAAAGCAGGAGAATCATTTGAACCTGGGAGGCGGAGGTTGCAGTGAACCGAGACCGTGCCACTGCACTCCAGCCTGGGTGACAGAGCAAGACTCTGTCTCATAAAAATAAATAAATAAAATAAATAAATAAATAAAATAAAATAATAAAAATAAAAGGCCAGGCATGGTGGCTCACGCCTGTAATCCCAACACTTTGGGAGGCCAAGGCGAGTGGATCATCTGAGGTCAGGAGTTTGAGACCAGCCTGGTCAGCATGGTGAAATCCTGTCTTTACTAGAAATACAAAAATTAGCCAGGTGTGGTGGCAAGCATCTGTAATCCCAGGTACTCAGGAGGCTGAGGCAGGAGAATCGCTTGAACCTGGGAGGCGGAGGTTGCAGTGAGCCGAGACTGTGCCATTGCACTCCAGCCTGGGCAACAAGAGTGAGACTCCATCCCCCAAAAAAAAGGGCCAGGCACGGTGGCTCACGCCTGTAATCCCAGCACTTTGGGAGGTCGAGGCAGGCGGATCACCTGAGGTCAGGAGTTCGAGACCAGCCTGACCAACATGGAGAAACCCCGTCTCTACTAAAAATACAAAATTAGCCAGGTGTGGTGGCACATGCCTGTAATCCCAGCTACTTGGGAGGCTGAGGCAGGGGAATTGCTTGAACCCGGGAGGCGGATGTTGCAGTGAGCCAAGATCACACCATTGCACTCCAGCCTGGGCAACAAGAGCAAAACTCTGTTTCAAAAAAAAAAAGAAAGAAAGAAATACAAAAAATAGCCGGGCATGGTGGCTTGCGCCTATAATCCCAGCTACTCGGGAGGCTGAGGCAGGAGAATCGCTTGAACCCCAGAGCCAGAGGTTGCAGTGTGCCAAGATCACACCACTGCACTCCAGCCTGGGCAACAGAGCAAGACTCCATCTCAAAAAAATAAAATAGGCCGGGTGTGGTGGCTCACGCCTGTAGTCTCAGCAATTTGGGAGGCCAAGGCGGGCAGATCACCTGAGGTCAGGAATTCGAGACCAGCCTGGCCAACATGGCGAACGAAACCCCATCTGTACTAAAAATACAAAAATTGCTCGGTGTGGTGGCGGGCACCTGTAATCCCAGCTACTTGGGAGGCTGAGGCAGGAGAACCGCTTGAACATGGGAGGCAGAGGTTGCAGTGAGCCGAGATCATGCCACTGCCCTCCAGCCCAGGCAACAGAGCAAGACTCCGTCTCAATAAAATAAAATAAATAAAACACATAAATAATTTTAAAAACCCACACATCTGATGTAAGATTAAAGGAAGGTTTTTTTGTTTTGAGACAGGGTCTCCCTTTGTCACCCTGGCTGGAGTGCAGTGGCATGACTTCGGCTCACTGCAACTTCCGCTTTCCAGGTTTAAGTGATTCTCCTGTCTCAGCCTCCTGAGTAGCTGGGATTACAGGTGTGCACTACCACGGCTGGCTAATTTTTGTATTCTTGGTAGAGATAGGGTTTCATCATGTTGTCCAGGCTAGTCTCGAACTCCTGACTTCAGGTGATCCACCCGCCTTGGCCTCCCAAAGTGCTGGGATTACAGGCATGAGCCACCGTGCCTGGCCTTAAAGGAAGGCTTTTTAGATGAAATTATGGAGGGTAGATCAGAGGTGGATTCCTGCAGGGGAAGGTCCCTTATTGATTGATTGATTGATTCAGACTGAGTCTCTGTTGCTCAGGCTGGAGTGCAGTGGCATGATCATAGCTCACTGAAGCCTTGACCTCCCAGGCTCAAGTGATCCTCCCCACTAAGCCTCTTGAGTAGCTGGGACCACAGGTGTGTGCCACTACACCTGGCTAATTTTTTAATTTTTTTGTAGAGCCAGGGTCTCACTTTGTTGCCCAGGCTGCTGTCAAACTCTTGGACTTAAACAATCCTCCCGCCTCGGTCTCCCAAAGCGCTGGGTGTGAGCCACTGCACCCGGCCTCCCTAACCTGTACAGGTCTGCATTATGTAGGGTGATCATGCACACTGTCCCTGCGACAGCCCGGGCAGTCAGCTGCTGCAGTCATGCATTGAGAAAGTCTCCAGGGCAGTGCTCTCAGCATACGTGGAAATCAAAATTGCTCCCAGAGAAGCAAGTGCCCTCCGCACAAGGCTGGATTTACGTTCTCTGGGCCTGGAGGCCAAGGGAGCTCCAGAGGGGAGACTGATCACTCTTACATCCTGTCTGGCCTGGTCTCAGGCCACACAAGCTTCCCTCACCCTCCACCAGAGGTCCCCCACCTTCCGCCCGGAGACTGGGCTCCATGCCCTGTCCCTGCGGAGCCTTGGCCTGCCTCCCGGGTTTGCAGTTGTGATTTATTTTTGGCACGTTAGCCTCCGGTCATCAAATAGCAAAACCCAAAACAACAGCAGATGATATCTTCCAAGTGTCTGCTCGGGACACGGCTTCAGCCCTCTGTGGTCCCCTCTCCCCGGGGGGCTTTGGGATTCTTGTCAAGCTCCTTCAAGAGCCTGCAAGCACTTAACCGTGAGTAGCTAGCCCAGTGATGGACAAAAGCCAGGTGATAGGCAGGGAGCGGGGAGGACTGGGGGTGGAGAAGATAGAAACCCCCACATCCATTCCATCCATGTCTCTTTTCTGAAGGCGGATGGACCAGGGAGAGTGGCAGCATTGACCCTTGAAACCTCCATCTGCAGGAATTTTCTACAGAAAAGAGGTCCCCGGGACTGATCTGGTTTTTGGACTCAGAGTTCAGGGGAGGGAAGTTATGTGCCAAAAAGTACCAGGCCAGGCAGGCGCGATGGCTCATGCCTATAATCCCAGCACTTTGGGAGGCCAAGGTGGGAGGGTCACTTGAGGTCAGGAGTTCAAGACCAGCCTGGCCAACATGGTGAAACCCCATATCTACTAAAAATACAAAAATTAGCTGGGTATGATGGCTCGTGCCTGTAGTCCTAGCTACTCAGGAGGCTGAGGCAAGAGAATCGCTTGAACCCGGAAAGCAGAAGTTGCAGTGAGCTGAGATCTCACCACTGCACTCCAGCCTGGGCGACAGAGCGAGATTCTGTCTAAAAAAAGGACTGGGCCACCTACTCCCATGTGGTGACCCTGTCCACAGGGGTCTTGGGAAAGGTGTGAGGGGTGGGTGGGGCAGTAGACAGAGGCACAAAGTTGGCCCCAGTCAGAGCTGGGGCTGGGGCAAGATAACCGCCTCCTCAGCCCCCCAGGAAAGGTGAGTGCAGCCACAAGTTGGCCAAGCTGGCTGTGCCAAGGACTGGAGGCTTGCGCCTAGGCTGGCATCTCATATGGGGGTCCAAGTGTACTTTCTGCTCATGGAGGGCTGGGGGAGAGGAGAGAGCTAGCGCTACCCAGCTTTGGGAGGTGATGAGGCAAAGGTGCCCATTGTGAGGACTTAGGACTTACCAGCAAATGGGCTTGTTTTTATGGGAAACAGACAGTCCCGGGCTCCGCCAAGTTGCTGATGGGGCAGGCAGAGAAGGCCTGTGTGTGAGCAGCCCAGGGGCCTGGCACCAGCAGAGGGGACTTGTTATTCTAAACCTTCTTCTGGTAACCAGGCACCCAGTAGTGGGGCCACCAGGATTCCTGGAACAGCCTGCCCAATCCCGGAGGCAGCCAGAGCTGCTGTTGGCTGGTCAGCAAATTGGCTCCTTTGTGAGACCAGGCCTTCTTAGGCCCAGAAGCAGTGGGGGAAAGGGGGTTGGAGGCAGCTTTGGCACTGCTGAGTGGCAGGTTGGGCCTATTTTCTATCTGCCCTTTTCCCTGTTGGTTTTCTGCATTCCTCAAATCCTGCATCTGATTTTGTTTTGTTTTGTCTTTTTTTTTTTGAGATGGAGTCTCACTCTGTTGCCCAGGCTGGAGTGCAGTGGCATGATCTCAGCTCACTGCAAGCTCCACCTCCCGGGTTCACACCATTCTCCTGCCTCAGCCTCCTGAGTAGCTGGGACTACAGGTGCCTGCCACCACGCCCGGCTAATTTTTTGTATTTTTTAGTAGAAACAGGGTTTCACCGTGTTAGCCAGGATGGTCTCGATCTCCTGACCTCGTGATCCTCCTGCCTCGGCCTCCCAAAGTGCTGGGATTACAGGCATGAGCCACTGCGCCCAGCCTGTTTTGTCTTATTTTTTGAGACAGAGTCTCACTCACTCCGTCACCTAGGCTGGAGTGCACTGGTGCACTCTCAGCTCACTGCAACCCCACCTCCTGGGTTCAAGTGATCCTCCTGCCTCAGCCTTCCAAGTAGCTGGGACCACAGGCCCGAGAGCCATCATGCCTGGCTAATTTTTGTATTTTTTGCGGAGATGGGGTCTCGCCATGTAGCCCAGGCTGGTCTCGAACTCCTGACCTCAAGTGATCTGCCCACCTCAGCCTCCCAAAGTGCTGGGATGACAGGTGTGAGCCATCACGCCACGCCTAAATCCTACATCTGAAGCAGGAGTTGAGTTCCCTGGTAGGAGCCTCCATGTTCCTGACACAAAGCGGGGTAGCTCAGCGCCTCTGTGTACAGGCCTGAGTGTCCTGGCTCTGTACTGCCTCTATCCTGCAGCAGGACCCCTCAGGGCTCACTGGCCATTGTTAAGTAGGACATGGGGCATTCTTCCAGCAGGACCCTGAGCCAAAGGGGTACCTGCCCAACCCTTGACTCACATTCAAGGTATAGCCCCTGCCGGACACCTGCACTGGGTATGGGGGGCAGAGATGGCTAGGACATCCTAGAGATGATAATCTAGTGGGGGAGGTGACAGCATACACTGACAAGTGACACCAGAGGCGGACCAGGATGGACCCACCCAGCTCTCCATCCCTCAGAGCACCCAGCATGGTGGTTGGCAAAGAGTGGGTGTTCAGTGTCTGCAGAATGGAGATGTAATGAATGAGTGAGTGAGTGATTATGAAAGTCCCAGTTATGGATAGAATACATGAGGAAGGGCCAGGTGCAGTGGCTCATGCCTGTAATCCCAGCACTTTGGGAGGCCAAGGTGTGTGGATCATTTGCAGTCAGGAGTTTGAGACCATCCCGGCCAACATGGTGAAACTCCATCTCTACTAAAAATACAAAAATTAGCCAGGCATGGTGGTGCATGTCTGTAATCCCAGCTATTCTGGAGGCTGAGGCAGGAGAATTGCTTGAACCTTGGAGGTGGAGGTTGCAGTGAACCAAGACCACACCACTGCACTTCAGCCTGGGTGACGGACTGAGACTCCGTCTCCACAAAAAACACCAAAAACAAAAACAAACAAACAAAAAAACATGAGGAAGGAGCAGTGGGATGGAGTGCAGGAAGCCTGTCCTAGAAGGGGGTGTGTTTTCAGAGAACACAGTCACAACAAGGGGAGATAAGGAGAGGCTACAGGAGTGGCCTATTTAAAAGGAAATTGTGGCCAGGTCCAGTGGTGGTTCATGCCTATAATCCCATCTCTTTGGGAGGCTGAGGCGGGAAGATTGCTTGAGGCCAGGAGTTTGAGACTAGCTTGGGCAACATAGGGAGACCCCGTCTCTACAAAAAACTTAAATATTAGGGCCTGGCATGGTGTTTCACGCCTTTAATCCCAGCACTTTGGGAGACCAAGGTGGGAGGATCACCTGAGGTCAGGAGTTCGAGACCAGCCTGGCCAACATGGCGAAACCCTGTCTCTAATAAAAATACAACAATTAGCCAGGCGTGGTGGTAGGTGCTTGTAATTCCAGCTTCTTGGGAGGCTGAGGCAGGAGAATCGCTTGAACCTGGGAGGTGGAGGGTGCAGTGAGCTGAGAGCCAAGATTGTGCCACTGCACTCCAGCCTGGGGGATACTTTAGTCCTAGCTACTCAGGAGGCTAGGGTGTGAGGATCGCTTGAGCCCAGGTGGTTGAGCCGGCAGTGAGCTATAATCGTACCACTGCACTCTGGTACAGAGATGGGTAACAGAGCATGACCCCATCTCTACAAAGATTTTTTTTTTTTTGAGCCGGAGTCTGGCTGTGTCGCCCAGGCTGGAGGGCAGTGATGCGATCTCGGCTCACTGCAACCTCTGCCTCCTGGGTTCAAGCGATTCTCCTGCCTCAGCCTCCCAAGTAGCTGAGACTACAAGCGTGTGCCACCACATCCGGCTAATTTTTGTATAGTAGAGATGAGGTTTCACCATGTTGGCCAGGCTGGTCTCGAAATCCTGGCCTCAAGTGATCTATCTGCCTCAGCCTCCCAAAGTCTGGGATTATAGGTGTGAGCCACCACGAACGGCCTCAATTCACAAACATTTATTTGGAACATTCACTATAGGCCAGTGTAGTGCCAGGAGATGTAAGGATGAGTGAGAAACAGTTCCAGACCCCAAGGAGAACAGCCCCTGGGTCAGGAAGGCTGACAGCTTCTTTCTTTTCCCCTCTCAGAGCCACCCAGAGTTCCCTCACTGAAGATCTGAGCATGACCCGGGACGAGGCACTGCCGGACTCTCATTCTGCACAGGACTTCTATGAGAATTATGAGCCCAAAGAGATCCTGGGCAGGTAAAGCCCAAGCTTTCCCCACGAAGTGCTGTCCTAGGCTCCAGCAGACCCTGTGGGCTACAGCCAGCTCTGCTCCACCCCGAGTACTAACGCCACTTTCATCCCCAAAGTGCTGTTCACTTGGAGAAACCCTTTGTTTGGGGTCCTGCCCTCCTGAAGCCAGGACAGATAAGAGAAACCTCTCCCAGCAAAAAGTTCCCAGGGGCAGGCGCAATGGCTCACACCTGTAATCCCAGCACTTTGGGAGGCTGAGGTGGGAGGATTGCTTGAGGCCAAGAGTTCAAGATCAGCCTGGGCAACATAGCAAGACCCCGTATCTTTTTTTTTTTTTTTTAAGATAGGGTCTTGCCCTGTCATCCAGGTTGGAGTACAGTGGCATGATCTTGACTCACTACGATCTCTGCCTCCTAGGCTCAAGTGATCCTCCCACCTCAGCCTCCCTAGTAGCTGGGACAACAGGTATGTGCCACCAGGTCTGGCTAACCATCTCTATTTTTTTTTTTAAAAAGGGGGGGCCAGGCACAGTGGCTCATGCCTGCAATAGCAGCACTTCCTGCAATACCAGGGAGGCCAAGGCAGGAGGATCACCTGAGATCAGGAGTTTGAGACCAGCCTGGCCAACATGTTGAAACCCCATCTCCAGTAAAAATACAAAAATTAGCTCTGTGTGGTGGCAGGTACCTGTAGTCCCAGCTACTCAGGAGGCTGAGGCAAGAGAATTGCTTGAACCCGGGAGGTGGAGGTTGCAGTGAGCTAAGATTGTGCCACTGCACTCCAGCCTGGCAATAGAGCGAGACTCCGTCTCAAAAAAAAAAAAAAAAAAAGCACTGAACGGCTCAAAAAGGAAAAAAAAAAAAAAAAAAGAGTCACACGGCCTGAGAGCAGGCTTGTTACTCACCAGTTCTGGGCAAATCACCTGTCTGTGCCTGTATTTATTCATCCACCATTTCCAAAAGCTCAGAGGAAGTTGGGGGAAAGTGTAAATCTCTGTCAAGGGCAGGACATCTCTGCTGCAGCCTCTAATCTGGGACCCCCCATGGGGTGAGGGGCCCCCCGAGGCCATCTGTCCTCTGCACTCCCAGGGGCGTTAGCAGTGTGGTCAGGCGATGCATCCACAAGCCCACGAGCCAGGAGTACGCCGTGAAGGTCATCGACGTCACCGGTGGAGGCAGCTTCAGCCCGGAGGAGGTGCGGGAGCTGCGAGAAGCCACGCTGAAGGAGGTGGACATCCTGCGCAAGGTCTCAGGGCACCCCAACATCAGTGAGTGATGGCCCCAAGCCACACGGCAGGGTGCCCCCCTGTGATTCTGCCCTGACAGCCCAAGCCAGGGAGTGTGGCCCCACCGCACAGCCAACTAGAACCACCCAGGCTCAAGGCTCCCAGCTCCACCCTCACTGCTCTGATAGAAGGGGTCCCAGGCAGGGATGGATGCAGGCAGGGGAATGGGGGTTTGATGTCCCTGGGCTGAATTAGCCAGGCATGCTGGTGCATGCCTGTAATCCCAGCCACTCGGGAGGCTGAAGCAGGAGCATCACTCAAGCCCAGTAGTTTGAGGCTGCAGTGAGTTATGATTGCACTATTACACTCCAGCCTGGGTGAGACAGTGAGATCCTGTCTCTAATAATAATAATAATAATAATAATAATAATAATAATAATAATAAAGTCCCTGGGCCTGCCCACATCCCAGGTTGACGTCTTTGAGCACCCTCCTGATTCCCCTGTCAGCTTTTGAAGTTAGCCCACAGCAGCCTCGGTCCCTGACCCCCGTGCCCCGGCTGCCCCTGCCTGGGCTCCCCTGCTACTTGAGACAAGCTAGCCATTTCCATTTCAGTACAGCTGAAGGACACTTATGAGACCAACACTTTCTTCTTCTTGGTGTTTGACCTGTAAGTACCCAGCACTGGAGCAAGCCACACCTGAGAGAACCTCCGACTGCTGTCCCCTCCCCAACCCCAGGGCTGCCTGGAGACCACAGCCAGCTCCTGCGCTGAGGATGCCAAATACAATCACGGTGTTTAGACAGATCAGCCCCTGGGGTCAGGCTGCCGGCTTTGGAAACCTGGGTTCACCACTTGTGGGCTGGATCATTTCTTTAAATCTTGGTTTTCTCATCAGTATTATGGGAGTGATAATAGCACAGTGACTGGCATAGTGTGAATACTAATAATTATTAGCTACAGGCGGGCGCAGTGGCTCACAACCGTAATCCCAGCAGTTTGGGAGGCTGAGGCCCCAGCTACGCGGGAGGCTGAGGCAGGAGAATCGCTTGAACCCAGGAGGCGGAGGTTGAAGTGAGCCGAGATCACGCCGTTGAACTCCAGCCTGGGCTACGAGAGCGAAACTCCATCTCAAAAACAAAAACAAAACAAAACAAAAAAAACCCCAAAACTCTTGGCCTCACGTGATTCTCCCACCTCGGCCTCCCAAAGTGCTGGGATTACAGGCATAAGCCACCGTGCCTGGCACAGTATAGTGATATAATTGTTCTATTTTATTATTGGTTGTTAGTCTCTGACTGTGCCTAACTTATAAACTTCATCTTAGGTATGTACATATAGGAAAAACATAGTAAGTATAGGCTTCAGTGCTATCCATGGTTTCAGGCATCCACTGGGGGTCTTGGAACATATCCTATGCAGATAAAGAGGGATGACTGTAGACATATATAAAGTAGAACAAGGGGTTAGCAAGAGACAGGGGCTTCCTTAGACCGAGTGGTCAGGAAAGCATGTCCAGGAAGTGACCCAAGCAGAGGGTGGCAGGATGTAAGGTCGGTCAGCACCAAAGACCAGGTCCTGCAGGCATTTTAGCCATAGTAAGGAGTTTGGAGGGTCAAGACTGGGAGGGTGACATGATCTGATTTACTTTTTTTTTTTTTTTTGAGACAGAGTTTTGCTATTGTCGCCCAGGCTGGAGTATAGTGGTGCGATCTCGGCTCACTGCAACCTCCGTCTCCTGGGTTCAAGTGATTCTCCTGCCTCAGTCTCCCAAGTAGCTGGGATTACAGGCACCCACCACCATGCCCAGCAAATTTTTTATGTGTGTACTGTTTTAGTAGAGACAGGGTTTTGCCATGTTGGCCAGTCTGGTCTCGAACTCCTGACCTCAAGTGATCCACTCGCCTCGGCCTCCCAAAGTGCTGGGATTACAGGCGTGAGCCACTGCGCCCAGGCTGACTTCCTTTTGAAAAGATCTCACTGACTATCTAGGGACGACTGTAATGAGGCGGGATTGGAAAAAGGGAGGCCAGCAGTATTGAGGAGAGAGGCAGGTGGTAGAGGTTGCATCTGGGGTGTGGTCCAAAGATCAATATCATCATCACCATCACCACCATCATCACCATCATCATGCCCCTGCTTTGGCATCAATAGGATTAGTAAGATGAGCCCCTTATTTCTAAGCATCAAATGTGAACAATACAAAGTGCTCTGTGAAATGCAAATTCCAGACTTATCATGGGCCAGGCACAGTGCCTCACACCTGTAATCTCAACACTTTGGGAGGCTGTGGTGGGAGGATTGCTTGAGGCCAGGAGTTTGAGACCAGCCTGGGCAACAAAGTGAGACCCCATCTCTACAAAAAAATATAAAATTAAGGCCAGGCATGGTGGTTCACCCCTGTAATCCCAGTACTTTGGGAGGCTGAGGCAGGCGGATCAGATGAAGCCGGGAGTTCGAGACCAGCCTGGGCAACATGGCAAAACCCCATCTCTACAAAAAATACAAAAGTTAGCCCAGGATGGTGACAGATATCTGTAATCCCAGTCACTCAGGAGGATGAGGCACAAGAATGGCATGAACCCAGGAAGCAGAGGTTGCAGTTAGCTGAGATCGTGCCACTGCACTCCAGCCTGGGCAACAGAGGAAGACTTTCTCGGACCCCTCCAGACTCACCAGCTGCAGCTGTCTCGACTGCTCTGTGGCACTGTCCTGTATAGCCCTTGGGGACAGCTCAAATGTCTTTAACCTTTGAAGAAGTTGCTGGGGGAAGCTATTTTTAATGCTGCCCTGAGGAGCCCTCCAGGGTATAACTAGATTGTTCTAGCAGAGTCCTTTCTAGATCATCCCAGGAGGTAAGAAGATTGAACCTCAATTCTTAATCCTGTAATTGGCAAACTTTGCTCCTGCAACTCTTGCACAGCCGATTCTTCCCATTTGTTTCCTGGGAAAAAATCGGGATACTCGGCCAGGCGTGGTGGCTCACGCCTGTAATCCCAACACTTTGGGAGGCTGAGACGGGTGATCACCTGAGGTCAGGAGTTGAAGACCAGCCTGGGCAACATGATGAAACGCTGTCTCTACTAAAAATACAAAAATTAGCTGGGTGTGGTAGTGGGCACCTGTAATCCCAGCTACTCGGGAGGCTGAGGTAGGAGAATTGCTTGAACCTGGGAGGCAGAGGTTGCAGTGAGCCGAGATTGCATCATTGCACTCCAGCCTGGGTGATGAGCAAAAACTCCATCTCAAAAAAAAAAAAAAAAAAAAATCGGGATACTCACGTCCTTCTGATCTGGGTCTGGGGTCCTGGGCCAGTGGTTCATAGTCCCCTCTTTCAGCCTCCAGCCATCATTTAGGCCCCGATACATCCCAGTCCACACTGTCACTTCCACAGATGGGAAGACACTGATACAATGGAGATGGAACAGAAATGGTGCTTGGGCTGGGACTCTCCCAAGTCCACCAACTTCAGGGCCCAGGGCAGGGCAAGGTACTGCTCACAGGGCCACCAGCTCGGGGCCCATTGCTTCCCTGGTCACTTCTAGCCATCCTGGCCTGGAACTAGGGTAATGGGAACCTGGGGAGGGGACTTAGCTGAAGAAATGCCTACCTCATGAAATGGTGGGAAAAATTTTTCCAGGGGAAAAATTCAGTCAGGGGAGAAACCTAGGCCTATTCCTCGGAGGGTTGATGAGAGCCTGAGCCCCTGATGTGGGCCACCTCTCCAGCCTCCTCTGCTTTTCTCCCAGTTCTTCCAGAACACTTCTCACTTCCCCGGCTCCTCTCCCCAGACTGTGGTTCTCCACGGAGAGTGGCCCACTTAGCTTCTAGAGGTATCAGGGTGGAAGGCAGCTCTCTGGGAGCAGGGTAAGGGCAGTGGTGGTCTTGGGACCGATCCAGCTATCAACCCTCTGTTTCCACAGGATGAAGAGAGGGGAGCTCTTTGACTACCTCACTGAGAAGGTCACCTTGAGTGAGAAGGAAACCAGGTGAGGGTCCCTTTGCCCTTCTCTCCGCTCCCTCCCACGTGGCTTAGGGCCACAGGCACTGGGGTCTCAGGGGAGGCAGGGCGTGCACATGTCTGGGCTGGGCGTGTGTGCTGCTCCCTTGCAGTGTGGCTGAAATGTGAGCTGTGTCTCCCTGCCTGTTACCTGACCCTGAGCAGAGGAAGAGTAACAAGTGTGTGCCCCACCCTAGAAAGATCATGCGAGCTCTGCTGGAGGTGATCTGCACCTTGCACAAACTCAACATCGTGCACCGGGACCTGAAGCCCGAGAACATTCTCTTGGATGACAACATGAACATCAAGCTCACAGACTTTGGCTTTTCCTGCCAGCTGGAGCCGGGAGAGAGGCTGCGAGGTCTGGTAACATGGCCTTGGCCCACGTCCAGGCCTCGGGTGCTCAATCAACCATCTGCAGAATAGAGATGGTCTGGGTTTCTCCCCTAACTTAATTGTTCCCTGGAATAAAAATTCCACCATTTCAAGGGCTAGGGATTTTTTTTTCTTTTTCTTTCTTTTTTTTTTTTTTTGAGATGGAGTCTCACTCTGTCGCCCAGGCTGGAGTGCAGTGGCACAATCTCGGCTCACTGCAACTTCCACCTCCCGAGTTCAAGTGATTCTCCTGCCTCAACCTCCTGAGTAGCTGTGATTGCAGGCACGCGCCACAACGCTCGGCTAATTTTTGTATTTTTAGTAGAGACAGGGTTTCACCATGTTGGTCAGGCTGGTCTCGAACTCCTGACCTTACGATCCGCCCGCCTCGGCCTCCCAAAGTGCTGTGATTACAGGCGTGAGCCACCATGCCCAGCAGGGCTAGGCATTTCTTCAGGTAAGTCCTCTCCCAGGTTCCCATTACCCTTGTTCCAGGCCAGGATGGCTAGAAGTGACCAGGGAAGCAATGGGCCATGAGCTGGTGGCCCTGTGGGCAGTATCCCGCCCTGCCCTGGGCCCTGAAGTTGGTGGATGTTGGGGGAGTCCCAGCCCGAGCGCCATTTCTGTTCCATCATCTCCATTGTCTCTTTGGACTTCCTCTCTTTTTTTTTTGAAACAGAGTCTCACTCTGTCACCAGGCTGGAGTGAAGTGGGGCGATCTCAGCTCACTGCAAACTCCACCTCCCAGGTTCAAGCGATTCTCCTGTCTCAGCCTCCTGAGTAGCTGGGACTACAGGCACATGCCACCACGCCCAGCTAATTTTTGTATTTTTAGTAGAGATGGAGTTTCGCCATGTTGGCCAGGCTGGTCTCGAACTCCTGGCCTCAGATGAGCCACCTGCCTCGGCCTCCCAAAGTGCTAGGATTATAGAAATGAGCCACTGCGGCCAGCCTGGACTTCCTCTTCTGAGTGCCCTGCTGACCTGCCCTGATGATGACTGTTCCTGCAGAGGTCTGCGGGACCCCCAGTTACCTGGCCCCTGAGATTATCGAGTGCTCCATGAATGAGGACCACCCGGGCTACGGGAAAGAGGTGGACATGTGAGTGCGCCGGGAAAGGAGGAGCACCCAGCTAGGCTGGGCAAGGGAGGAAGTAGGCAGGGCTGGGCCGGTGCCCCTGGCGCTGGGTAAGTGGCCCTGGGCCCTCGCATGTCCAGGTGGAGCACTGGCGTCATCATGTACACGCTGCTGGCCGGCTCCCCGCCCTTCTGGCACCGGAAGCAGATGCTGATGCTGAGGATGATCATGAGCGGCAACTACCAGTTTGGCTCGCCCGAGTGGGATGATTACTCGGACACCGTGAAGGACCTGGTGAGAGGCCAGGCCAACTGGCTCCTGGGCTCAGGGCTGCGATGCCAGGCGCCCCTGCCCGGGGAGGCCCTGCCTTTCCTGACATGCTGGAGGGGACCTGCCTTGACATTCTCGGTTCCCCTCTCCTCCTCTCACAGGTCTCCCGATTCCTGGTGGTGCAACCCCAGAACCGCTACACAGCGGAAGAGGCCTTGGCACACCCCTTCTTCCAGCAGTACTTGGTGGAGGAAGTGCGGCACTTCAGCCCCCGGGGGAAGTTCAAGGTACTAAGCGTCCTGATCCAGGCCCGCCAGCTCCCTAAGTGCAAACCTCTAAGCCCCCTCCTCTCCCAGGAGTCCTTACACCCCGTGAATTTCCAGAGTACCCATCCCTCCCCTCCCAGCTGCCCTGTGATGGCTTCAAAGACGGCAGGTGTCAGCCCACTGGCTCGGTCCCTGAGGATGCTGGCCAAGTGGGAAGTGGGGGACACTAGGAAGGCCCCGCAGAAGCCACCCAAGGCTTCGTGGCAAACGAGCCCAGAGCGTCCCTGTGCTGGAGGGGCAGGGCCTGGCAGGGCGGGGGCTGCAGCCCAGCTTCTCCGCCTGGCCCTGCAGGTGATCGCTCTGACCGTGCTGGCTTCAGTGCGGATCTACTACCAGTACCGCCGGGTGAAGCCTGTGACCCGGGAGATCGTCATCCGAGACCCCTATGCCCTCCGGCCTCTGCGCCGGCTCATCGACGCCTACGCTTTCCGAATCTATGGCCACTGGGTGAAGAAGGGGCAGCAGCAGAACCGGGCAGCCCTTTTCGAGAACACACCCAAGGCCGTGCTCCTCTCCCTGGCCGAGGAGGACTACTGAGGGGCTGGCCAGTCAGGGAGGGCTAGGGGGCAGGTGGGGAGGGGAAGCCATGGAAATACAAGTCAAAGGGGTGAGATGCGTGCAGGCCTCTGCAGAAGGAGCACTTGGCCCTGGCCAGGAACCCCTGGAACTGAGGCCACGATCCCCTCTCAAAGGCTGTGCACAAGGGAAGTGGGTGTTCCCACCACACAGCAATACCTGCAGGCTGGGGCAGGCCCTGGGTGGGCAGAGATCACACGTGGCCTGAGAACCAGGAACCCCCTGCTCCTCTACTTCCTAGATGAGCCACCATCTCCATTTCTCTTTAGGGGAGGCCCAGAGTTACTGACACTCAGGCTTTCTTCCCTTAGGGTCACAGGGTGAGGATCAAAGACACAAATGTCTGAGATACACAATTGCAGGAGATTTTATTGGCCCCATGACATCCAGTGACAGTGTGGGAGCAGGCTACTCTCCAGGGACATGTTTTTGGAGGCATATGGAGAAGGGGGCCCAGGCGAGGTGGCTCACACCTGTAATCCCAGCACTTTGGGAGGTCGAGGTGGGAGGATCGCTTGAGGCCAGGAGTTCGAGACCACCCTGGGCAACAGAGCGAGATCCCATCACTACAAAAATTCAAAAAATTAGCCAGGCATGGTGGTGCACACTTGTAGTCCCAGCTACTCAGGAGGCTGAGGTGGGAGAATTGCTTGGGCCCAGGAATTCAAGGCTAGAGTGAGCCGTGATCACCAGTGCACTCTAGCCTGGGCAACAGAGAAAGACCCTGTCTCAAAAAAAAAAAAAAAAAAAAAAAGAATAGGAAGCTTCTGATATTTGTCTTTCTGGAGTACTATTTGCTTTGTGATTCCCACAATGCAATGCTTCACCTAGTACATCATCTGGTTCTCCCAGACCCTTTTAGGACTGAACTGTGCTTTAAATAGTTACATGTCTGCCTGTTACACAGTGGAAACTAGTTTCCTTCAGAGGGACACGAAACCACAGATGAGGCCACAAAGAAAGCATTCTCCTTCCACAGCAACTGGCTGAGAAAACAGAACCAGGAAAATTCTGCCTTGAGGAAACAATGTCAGCTTCCTGAATCATCCAGGGAGAAAGGGGGAGAGAATAGATTTTAAAATGCTTAAAAAATGGCCTTTCAGAGTGCTCTGTTCCAATTGTTTGTGTGTTTGCAATCCTGTGTCAATAATACTTGGCCTCTAACAGAAACACCTGGCCCCCAGCCATCGTCAACACACATTGGGCCCCTTCTCCAAAACACAGGAGGCTGAGTCCTCTCCTGCCCTGGTGAGAGGCGCCTGCCACAGAGGGATGGGAGACAGGGAAGGGGAAGTTCTTTCCTGAGGCTGAAGCTCTCGAGCTTGGAATTGCGCTGTTTGCAACATGGCCAGGGAATGACAGTGACCCTAGAAGGCTTTTCTCCTTGTCACCACCCGGCTGCTTACAGCTCCCCTGGCGGCCGGCCTGCGTCTGCAGCACAGCGGAAACCGAGGTTGTCTGAGGCTGAATCTGGAGTGTTGCCCATCCTGCCAGCAGAGAAGGGGAGAGAGGACAGACACGTCCTGAGAAAAAGGCCTAGGGCTTACCCATCTTGCCTGCCTCATCCGCAGGGCCGGCCATGATCAGGGAGCATGAGGGCTGGGGAGAGCATGGTCTGGAAAGAAGCCTGGTGTGAGGACAGGTCCTGAGCCTGTGCCAGTCCTGGGAGAAAGGGGACAAGAAGGGGCTTTGGGACAAAAGGAGTCTTGCAAGAGTAGGGGGAGGGACAGTGGCCCCAAGAGACAGCACTGAAGAGCAGAAAAGACAGTGACTAACTTCTATGTTAGCAGTTGACAACAGCTCAGTAGAGAAAACCTGTCCACAAGCAATGAGAATATCACGGCCGGGTGCAGTGGCTCACACCTGTAATCCTAGCATTCTGGGAGGCCAAGGCGGGCTGATTGCTTGAGTCCAGGAGTATGAGACAAACCTAGGCAGCATGGCAAAAACTCATCTCTACAAAAATTAGCCGCACCTGTAGTCCCAGATACTTGAGGAGCTGAGGTGGAAGAATCGCTAGAGCCTGGCAGTTTGAGGCTGTAGTGAGCTGAGACTGTGCCACTGCACTCCAGCCTGGACAACAGAGCAAGACTCTGTCTCAAAAAAAAAAAAGATTTTTCGTGTGCCCACCAGTTTGAAGAGTCAGTAAGTCCATGACCACCAGTAATGACCTACTGGTGTGGTCATTCTACTTCCCTCCCTTTGCCCACCTAGTGGTAAGGACAAGAGGAGAAACCCCATAATTAAGATGCCACACACAGTCTCCCTGGGTACCAAGAGCTGGCAGGAGAGTCACAAGGTGTCCTGGGTCCCTTTGCTTTTCATAGCAAGTGCTGCTGGCTTTCTTTTTTGTACCCACAACTGGGCACAGGCTCAGGGAGGTGCTGGGACCAGCTCATCACACACAGACGGTTGGTGGTGTGAAGGTAGGGACACTCTGGGACCGGGATTCAGACATCAGCCCCCAGCTACAAGGCCCCGTGTTGCCTGGGACCAAGCCCCTTACCTGGTGGTGACCCGGGCCCGGTGATTGGCAGAGCCATCAGCTGTGTCGATCCAGGATGCCCCCCGGAGGACGCGCATGTCCTGCTCAGCAGCCTGGTACGGTGATGCTGTCCACTCCCACACGTTCCCCAGGAGGTCATAGAGCCCTGCAGCCCCACCGGCGGGTCAGGCCAGGCTGGGACCCGCCGACCACCCCGCCTACCCTCTGAGGTCCTGGGGGCCAAATGGCAGAAGGGAGGTGCTTCCCTCTGCCTCCTCTCTCAGACATGATGGTCCCAACAGCCAGTTCATGGGCACAGCCGCAAGCCCAAGACAGCTCTTACCGTAGTTGTTCTGGGCGGGGAAAGCATTCACTGGGGAGACTCCATGGAAGCCATCCTCAGCTTTGTCTCCCTTGGGGAACTTTCCCTGATGGGAGAAAGGAAGGGTAAAGGATTTACCACCTGTCCCAAAGCAGGTCCTCATGCCTATCCAGAGGAAAACCAAGGTCGTCTTGCTGTTGCATCTGGGGAAGGGGAAGGGCACGGGGCGGTGACCTAAGATTCCTATCTAGAGCTCCCAAACCCATCACCTTACATCCCCAGGGTGACCCCCACTGCTGGATTAGGAAGAGTGTTTCCCCTGTACCCACAGGGCTCCAGGTCAAGCCCAGCCCACACCTGACTTCTCCACTCTCAGCAACATCCTGCCCTCTGCCTGGAACCCCACATGCCACAGTGCCTCAAGAAGACAGGATCCTCTGCATCCTGCCCCCATGTCTCATGCCTGAGCACTGCAGCCTATTCCTGCTGGCCTTCTCAGGACAGTGCTTTTTTATTTGCTTATTTTAGTTTTATTTTTTATTCACTTTTTTTTTTTTGAGGCAGGGTCTCGTTCTGTCGCCAAGGCTAGAGTACAGTGGTAGCTCACTGCAACCTCCGCCTCCTGGGTTCAAGTGATTCTCCTGCCCAAGCCCCAAGCAGCTGGGATTACAGGTGCATGCCACCATGCCCAGCTCATCTTTTATTTTTTGTAGAAGCAGGGTTTCACCATATTGGCCAGGCTGGTCTTGAACTCCTGACCTCAGGTGATCCACCCGCCTCGGCCTCCCAAAGTGCTGGGATTACAGGCGTGAGCCACTGCACCCAGCCCTACAACTCTTTAATAGAAAGTACTTACGCTGGCTGGGCACGGTGGCTCATGCCTGTAATCCCAGCACTTTAGGAGGCCAAGGCGGGTGGATCACCTGAGGTCAGGAGTTTGAGACCAGCCTGGCCAACATGGCAAAACCCCATCTCTACTAAAAATACAAAAAAATTAGCTGGGCATGGTGGCAGGCACCTGTAATCCCAACTACTTGGGAGACTGGGGCAGGAGAATCGCTTGAACCTGGGAGGCGGAGGTTGCAGTGAGCCAAGATCGCACCACTGCACTCCAGCGTGGGCAACAGAGAGAGACTCTGTCTCAAAAAAAAAAAAAAAAAGAAAGCACTTATGACCCATTGTCTTTTGCTTTACCAGCTTATGAGTCATCAGTTGCATTAGAACCCAAGCCTTCTGGATGCCGCGGCCTAACAACACAGTGCCCAGCCTCCAGCAGGTCTCTGTCAATGCTTGGTGAAAGGAGGAACGTAGGTCTTACCTGCCACAGGTTGGTGCGGTTTGGCTGGAACCAGTTCCCCCATGGGTAAACTTGACCTGCGAGGAGAGCAAGGAGGCAGCAGAGGAGGGGGAGGTGAAGAATTAGGGAAGGAAAAAAGAACACAGAAAGAGTGAGGGAATCAAAAGGAAGTTAGAGGGTGATGAGAAAAAAGAGTGAATGACCTGCTTTTATTTGCCATGCCCATCCTCTCCACTCGCTGAACTGCATTAGAGGGCCCTGGCCTCCTCATGTGCTCCAGGGCAATGTAATCCTAAGCATGGTTCTGGGACCTGAGCCAGTTTATAAAGCATCTGTTATCAGTTCATGTTGAGAAAAGTACAGAAATCGAGAAACTTGAAATTGGACTTAGATTGCATAAATGAATGAGCCAGAGGCAACCTCACAGGTCATATTAAAAACTTCGATCACTGGCTGGTCGCGGTGGCTCACACTTGTAATCCCAGCACTTTGGGAGACCGAGGCAGATGGATCACGAGGTCAGGAGTTCGAGACCAGCCTGGCCAACACAGTGAAATCCTGTCTCTACTAAAAATACAAAAATTATGCAGGGCATGGTGGCTCACGCCTGTAATCCCAGCACTTTGGGAGGCCAAGGCAGACGGATCAGGAGGTCAGGAGATCGAGATCATCCTGGCTAACACGGTGAAACCCCGTCTCTACTAAAAATACAAAAAATTAGCCGGGCGAGGTGGCGGGCGCCTGTAGTCCCAGCTACTTGGGAGGCTGAGGCAGGAGAATGGCGTGAACCCGGGAGGCGGAGCTTGCAGTGAGCCGCGATCGCGCCACCATACTCCAGCCTGGGCGACACAGCGACACTCTGTCTCAAAAAAAAAAAAAAAATAGCCGGGCATGGTGGCAGGTGCCTGTAATCCCAGGTACTAGGGAGGCTGAGGCAGGAGAATCCCTTGAACCCGGGAGGCGGAGGTTGCAGGGAGCTGAGATCGTGCCACTGTACTCCAGCCTTGGGCGACAGAGCTAGACTGTCTCAAAACAAAAAACAAAAAACAAAAAACTTTGATCACTGATGTACCTGGTGTTCACTGAAAGATTGTGTAGAGGGGTTTAATGTGCGGAGTTGCTTTTTGCTGTCCTAACTTTTTGTGTAATTAGGATTGCAGAATGACAAATGACCGAGTTAGGAGCAAACAGTGATTCTTTTTTTTTTTTTTTGAGACGGAGTCTTACTCTGTCGCCCAGGCTGGAGTGCAGTGGCGTGATCTCGGCTCACTGCAACCTCCACCTGCCAGGTTCACGCCATTCCCCTGCCTCAGCCTCCCAAGTAGCTGGGACTACAGGCGCCCGCCACCAAGCCCAGCTAATTTTTTTTTGTATTTTTAGTAGAGACGGGGTTTCACTGTGTTAGCCAGGATGGTCTCAACCTCCTGACCTCGTGATCCACCCACCTCGGCCTCCCAAAGTGCTTTGATTACAGGCGTGAGCCACTGCGCCCGGCCGCAAACAGTGACTCTTAACATTAATCTCTGTACCCCAGAGGCAGAAGTGTGTAGTCTTGGTAATTCTTTTTCCTTATGCTATGTTGCTCTAGTTATATTTATTGAAATGTAACATGTCTGTGGAATTTCCAATAAAATATTTTATGTCTGTTCTTTCAATTTTCCAGTTATTAATTTTTATGGTATTTTATATCAGTCTGAGATGGACTAGAAATTAAAAAAAAAAAAAAACACTGGTCCTCCACCACAGATAGCTTAAGAAGCACTGCTCTAGGGAACACAGACCCTTCCTGCCCCATCCCCCCGCTTTTTCTTTTGAGACAGGGTCTTGTTCTGTCACTCAGGCCAGACAGCAGTGGTGCGATCATAGCTCGCCGCAGCTTTGAACTCCTAGGCTCAAAGGATCTTCCCACCTCAGCCTCCTGAGTAGCTGGGACTACAGGCACATGCCACCAGGCCCAGCTCATTTTTGTATTTTTCGGAGAGACAGGGTCTCCCTATATTGCCCAGGCTAGTCTTTTACTCCTGGCCTCAAGCGATCCTCCTGCCCCAGCCTCCCAAAGTGTTGGGATTACAGGCATAAGCCACTGCGCCCAGCCCCTTTCCACCCTTTAAAGCCCCTCATGCTGGGCAGGATGGGGAGAAGAATAAAGGAAAATCGCCTTATCATCTGGATACCCTTCAAGCCCCCTCGGGCGGCAAACTCCCACTCTTCCTCCGTGGGCAGTCGTTTTCCCCGCCAAGCACAGTAGGCACGGGCGTCATTCCAGCTCACGTGTAACACTGGGTGCTCCAGTCTCTCTCGGATGCCAGAGCCAGGACCTGCAGGCTGACAGCCAGGATTAAGTGAGACAGGCTTCCGGGAGCGCATTAAGTCGGAGGCAGGCTAGGTTTAGGGCGCCCGCGTTCAGCTTTTACCACTAGATGGAGCAAGAGAGCTGGAAGAGAGCCGGGTGAGTGACCAGTGGTCGGAGTCAGAAAAAAGAGACTACAGGAGGCTGAAGGGAGAAATGGATGGGTAACAGGAAACAGGATTCGGGCAGGTGAAACAGGCCTGCTGAGCGCTTTCCCTGATATTCCCCTATCCTTCTTTGAAACTCAGTGTTCCTGGATGTACGAGGGGTAGAGAGGAGGCTGGGCCTGGAGAATAAGAGTCAAGCAGGGGTAGAAAATGAGGTAGCGGAATCAGCCCTTACCTGCCTCCAAAATGCCTTTTCCACTGGAAGCCACCAGAGTACAGACTGCGAAAAAGAAGGAGACCGACTGCAAGATGCTCCGGCCCAGCAAAGGCACCTCCCCGACTGAGCCACAGGACGCAGAACAGAGACGTCAGGCTGAGACTCAGGTGGTCTAAGTGAGGTTGTGGCTGATTTTTTTTTTTTTTTTTTTTTTTTTTTTTTGAGACAAGATCTTGCTCTGTCACTCAGGCTAGAGTGCAGTGGCACCATCAGAGCTCACTGCAGTCTCAACCTCCTGGACTCAGGTAATCCTCCCACCTCAACCTCCTGAGTAGCTGGGACTACAGGTGTGCATGACCATGCCCAGCTAATTTTCTTTTTTTTCTTTTTTTTGTAGATATGGGATCTATGTTGCCCAGGCTGGTCTTGAATTCTTGGGCTCAAGCAATTGTCCCACCTCGGCCTCCCAAAGTGCTGGGGTTACAGGCGTGAGCTGCTGCGCCCAGCTGAGACTGGAATCTTTATAGAGCCCATCTTACCACCCTTATTAGAGGTTGGCTTGCCAAGGTGATCTCTCTTTTTTTTTTTCTTTTGAGACACAGTCTCACTCTGTCACCCAGGCTGGAGTGCAGTGGCGCCATCTCGGCTCACTGCAACCTCTGCCTTCCAGGTTCAAGCGATTCTCATGCCTCAGCCTCCTGAGTAGCTCAGATTACAGGAGCGTGCCACCATGCCTGTCTAATTTTTGTATTTTTAGTATAGACGGGGTTTCGCCATGTTGGTCTTGAACTCCTGACCTCAGGTGATCCACTCACCTCAGCCTCTCAAAGTGCTGAGATTATAGGCATGAGACACCACGCTCGGCCCACCAAGGTGATCTCTTGATTCAAGTTCCTTGGATCCTATCCTGACTTGGACATTTAGGCAAGAGCTAACTTGGGTTCAGGGTTAACTTCCTGGGAGTGTGTACTGATCTGACGCTCCATGGTGAGTTTCTCTTGCTTCCCCTCTGCCTCCACCTCTCAGGTCTGATTCTCCACTGTGTCCCAGGTAACCCATGTCCCACAGGATTCCCTGTCCAGGTCCCACTCCTATCCCCTCAGCTGCAAGACCAGGTTCTCTCACCTTCATTGGCTGGGTGGCTTTGTTTCTCAGCTCATCAGAGACAAAGTCCTCAAAGACAAAGCTCCATCCAAACATCTCAGCTTCTGTCCGATACTTTTTCTCCCTGACAAAATCCCTATAAAGACATAGTTCAGCTGGTTCAGCTGGTGAGGTTCTGTGCCCACCCCATCTTCTCCTGCTCCAGGAAACTTCAGATATCCCTGTCCTGTAAGTTATACACCACAGAGTGTTCATGATTGCCAAGGAATTAACCTGAAGCCTGAGTGATTTTCTTTTAAATTAGAATACAACGAATTCACATACAGTAAAATTCACTCTCTTCAGTGTTTAGTTCTGTGAGGTTAATTAATTTTTTATTTTATTTGTTTGTTTATTTGTGTATTTATTTAGAGATGGAGTCTCACTCTGTCGCCCAGGCTGGAGTGCAATGGTGTGATCTCGGCTCACTGCAAGCTCCGCCTCCCGGTTTCACGCCATTCTCCTGCCTCAGCCTCCCAAGTAGCTGGGATTACAGGCGTCTGCCACCACGCCCAGGTAATTTTTGTATTTTTAGTAGTGACAGGGTTTCACCATGTTGGCCAGGCTGGTCTCGAACTCCTGACCTAGTGATCCACCTGCCTCGGCCTCCCAAAGGGCTGAGATTACAGGCGTGAGCCACCACACCTGTCCTATTTATTTATTTTTTTGAGACAAAGTCTCACTCTGTTGCCCAGGCTGGAGTGCAGTGACACAATCTCAGCTCACTGCAACCTCCACCTCCCAGGTTCAAGTGATTCTCTAGCCTCAGTCTCTTAAGTAGCTGGGATTACAGACGTATACCACCACGCCCAGCTAATTTTTGTATTTTTTGTAAAGATAGGGTTTCGCAATGTTAGCCAGGCTGGTCTCGAACTCCTAACTTCAGGTGATCCACCCAAAGTGGCCTCCCAAAGTGTTGGGATTACAGGTGTGAGGCACAACACTTGGCCAATATTTTTTTTTTTTTTTTTTGAGACAGAGTCTTGCTCTGTCTCAAAAAGACTGTTGCCCAGGCTGGAGTGCAGTGGTGCAATCTCAGCTCACTGCAACCTCCACCTCCTGGGTTCAAGCGATTCTCTTGCCTCAGCTTCCCCAGTAGCTGGGATTACAGGTGCACACCACCATGCCCACTAATTTTTGTCTTTTTAGTAGAGACGGGTTTCACCATGTTGGCCAGGCTGGTCTCAAACTCCTGACTTCATGATCTGCCCGCCTCGGCCTCCCAAAGTGCTGGGATTGCAGGCATGAGCCACTGTGCCCAAATTATTTTTTATTTAATTATTTATTTATTTATTTATTTATTTATTTTTAGACGGAGTCTCACTCTATGGCCCAGGCTTGAGTGCAGTGGCATGAACTCAGCTCACTGCAACCTCTACCTCCTGGGTTCAAGCGATAATCTTGCCTCAGCCTCCTGAGTAGCTGGGATTACAGGTGTATGCCAGCACACCCGGCTAATTTTTGTATTTTTAGTAGTGATGGGGTTTCACCATGTTGGTCAGGTTGGTCTTGAACTCCTGACCTTGTGATCTGCCTGCCTCAGCCTCCCAAAGTGCTGGGATTACAGGTGTGAGCCACTGCGCCCAACCAATCATTTATTTTTTTGACACCAGGTCTCACTCTGTCACCCAGGCTGGAGTGCAGTGGCACAATCATGGCTTACTGTAGCATCGACCTCCTGGGTTCAAGAGATTCTCGTGCCTCAGCCTCCTGATTTATTTTAATTATTTATATTTTGAGACTGGGTCTCACTCTGTCACCCAGACTGCAGTGCAGTGGCATAATCACAGCTCACTGCAGCCTTGACCTCCTGGGCCCAAGCAATTTTCCCTCCTCAGCCTCCCAAGTAGCTGTGACTACAGGTGCATGCCACCATGCCTAGCTAATTTTGTAGAGATGGGGTCTCACTATGTTGCCCAGGCTGGTCTAAAAATTCTGAGCTCAAGTGATCCACACACCTCGGACTCCCAAAGTGTTGGGACTACAGGCATGAGCCACTGTGCTCAGCAGTTCTGTGAGTTTGACAAAGCATATAGTCACTACAATAATCAAGATACAGAATAGTTCCATCGGTCACCTCCAAAAAAATTTCCCTGCAACTCACCAACCACGGACCAGGTTTTTTTGTCCCTATAGTTTTGCCTTTCCCAGAACACCATATAACTTGAATCATACAGTATGTAGTCTTCTGGGTCTGGCGGAGGTTTCCTTCACTTAGCAAAAGGCTTCTGAGATTCATCCATGTTGTTGCCATTAGTAGTCTGTCCCTTTTTATCGATGAGTAGTATCTTATTGTATGGACATACCATATTTTGTTCATACACTTACCAGCTGAAGATCATGTGAGTTATCTCCTGTTTTTGGAGATCATGAATAAAGCCACTGGAGCAGGAGATTTAAGGGTGGGGAATGTGTCTCTTTTCTGAAAGGTCTCCAGCACATCTTTTTTTTTTTTCTTTTTTTTGAGAAAGGATGTCTCTCTGTTGCCCAGGCTGGAGTGCAGTGGTGCAATCATGGCTCACTACAGCCTCAACCTTCCACACTCAAGTGATCCTCCTGCCTCAACCTCCCTAATAGCTGAGACTACAAGTGTGTGCTACCATGAAGGGCTAATTTTTTTTTTTTTAATTTTTAGTAGAGATGGGGGTCTGTGTTGCCCAGGATGGTCTCGAACTCCTGGGCTCAAGTGATCCTCCCACCTCAGCCTCCCAAATTGTTGGGATTACAGACGTGAGCCACTGCATCCAGCCCTTCATCACATATCTCATCTCACAACAACCATCAGAGATAGATGTAACAGGTGTTATTGTTATTAACTCCATTTAAGAGGTGAAAAACACTGAACCAAATAGAAGTGAAAAATTGGGCTTTTAAAATGGATTTTTGGCCGGGCGTGGTGGCTCACAGCTGTAATCCCAACACTTCAGGAGGCCAAGGCAGGTGGATCACCTGAGGTCAAGAGTTCAAGACCAGCCTGACCAACATGGAGAAACCCTGTCTCTACTAAAAATACAAAAAATAGCTGGGCGTGGTGGTGCATGCCTGTAATCCCAGCTACTCAGGAGGCTGAGGTAGGAGAATCGCTTGAACCCAGGAGGTGGAGGTTGTGGTGAGCTGAGATCGCACCATTGCACTCCAGCCTAGGCAACAAGAGGAAAACTGTGTCTCTAAATAAATAAATAAATACAAATAAATAAAATGGATTTTCAAGGCCAGGCATGGTGGGTCACACCTATAATCCCAGCATTTTGGGAGGCCACGGCAGAAGGATCATTTGAGCCCAGGAGTTCGAGACCAGCCTGGGCAACAGGGCAAAACCCTGTCTCTACCAAAAATACAAAACAAAATAAGCTGGGTGTGATAGTGCGCACCTGTAGTCCCAGGTGATGGTTTGAGCCTGGGACGCAGAGGCTGCAGCGAGCTGAGATCATACCACTGAACTTCAGCCTGGGTGACAGAGCCAGACCCTGTCTCAAAAAAATAATAACAATAACAATAATAATAATAAAATGAATTTTCATATACTTTGGTATGGTTTAGTAAGTTTCAGGGGGCAGACTGTCAGGGTAAGATGGATTGTTATATATATGTATTTATATATATATGTGTGTGTATGTATATTTATATACTTATTTACTTATTTATTTATTTTAGCAGAGATAGGGTCTCCCTATGTTACCAGCCTGGTCTCAGACTCCTGAGCTCAAGCAATCCTCCCACCTCGGCCTCCCAAAGTGCTCACATTGCAGGTGTGAGCCAGCACACCTGGCCTATAAGGGGAATTTAAAGGACTCTCTACTATGATGTCCCTTCTCCCAATCCCTTCCCCATGTAGAAGAGGTTTCTGTTGAGTGACTGGCGTTTGCTTATATTTCTCAGTGCTATGCCCAGTGTAATGGAAAATGCACTGGCTCAAGAGCCCAGGGATTTGAGTTCCAGGCCAAGCTCATCCACTAACTGAGAGAGTCAGTCAAACCTCTTTGGATTTCAGGTTCTTCATCTGAATAACATATCCCATAGTACACTGCAAAGATGACACGTGACAGTGAACAAGTTAGTTTTCCTTTAGATATTAAGAATGAGGCCAAGTGCAGTGGCTCATGCCTGTAATCCCAGCACTTTGGGAGGCTGAGGTGGGCAGATAGTTGAGGTCAGGAGTTCGAGCCCAGCCTGGCCAACATGGAGAAACCCCGTCTCTACTAAAAAAATACAAAAAAAAAAAAATTAGCCGGGCGTGGTGGTGAACACCTGTAATTCCAGCTGCTCGGCAGGCGAAGGCAGGAGAATTGCTTGAACCCGGGAGGTGGAGGTTGCAGTGAGCGAGATTGCGCCACTGCACTCCAGCACCTGGGTGACAGAGGGAGTCAGTCTCAAAAAACAAAAAAAAAAAAAAGAAAGAAAAAAGAATGAGATTAGAGAGGGTCTTCATTCCTCCTGGAAGAATACCTGATGTACCTGAAATCTTTGTTGGTGACAGGAAATATGTCGATGGCAAAGGGTTTCACTGTCGCCTCCCGCACAGGCCCGTCACCATCTCTGCTGTCTGGAGAATTTGTTCCCATCAGGAATCTCCCACCCTGCAGTTGGACCATGCTAGTAGCCTGTCCATTTCCTGCAGAGAAAAAAGAGAGTTACCAGTAATACATGCATATATATAAAACAAGTGGTAATATTTGGATCATATGCAATACTCATGATGGTATAACAAAACACAACAAAAAATGTGGAGGCTTAAAAATCTGGCTTTAAATTCCTTTTGGGCTGGGCACGGTGGCTCACACCTGTAATCCCAGCACTTTGAGAGGCCGAGGCGGGTAGATGACGAGGTCAGATCAAGACCATCCTGGCTAACACGGTGAAACCCCTTCTCTACTAAAAATACAAAAAAAAAAATTAGCCGGGCGTGGTGGCAGTCGCCTGTAGTCCCAGCTACTTGGGAGGCTGAGGCAGGAGAATGGTGTAAACCCGGGAGGCGGAGCTTGCAGTGAGCCGAGAGTGTGCCACTGCACTCCACCTGGGCAACAGAGCGAGACTCTGTCTCAAAAAAAAAAAAAAAAAAAAAGAAAGAAAAAAAGAAAATTCCTTTTGCGTTTTGTTTGTTTGGCTTCACATTCTTGTTCTGCCACTTAATTTGCTGGGAAACCTTAGGCAAATTACTTAATCTGAGATTCAATTTCTTGTCTTTTTTTTTTTTTTTTTCGTGACAGGATCTCGCTGTGTCACCCAGACTGGAGTGCAGTGGTGCACTCTGGGTTCACTGCAACCTCTGCCCCCGTCAGCTCAAGCAATCCTCCCACCTCAGCCTCCTGAGTAGCTGGGACCACAAGTGTGCACCACCACACCTGGCTAATTTTTGTATTTTTTGTAGAGATGGGGTTTTGTTATGTCGCCCAGGCTGGTCTCAAACTCCTGAGCTCAAATGATCCTTCCACCTCAGCCTCCCAAAGTGCTGGGATTATAGGTGTGAGCCAGCACGCCCAGCTGAGATTCAATTTCTTCATCTGAAAAATGGGGATATCTATGGACGACCATAGCTTATTAATAAAAGAAAAAATAAGTATGAAAAATAGGGATAATATCTCACTATCTCTTAGGTAGCAGCTGTATCAATTAAAATAACATGGAACCAGGAGCAATGGCTCAGAGACAGGGTGCAGAGGCTAAGGCAGGAGGATTGCTTGAGCCCAGGAGTTCAAGGTTGTAGTGAGCTATCATTGTGTCACTGCACTCCAGCCTGGGTGACAGAGTGAGACCCTGTCTCAAAAAATAAAAAATAAAAAGATAATAATAACAATAAGATAGCATGGGTGAAATGTTGAACACATGGTAGATTTGCACTTACCTCTTTCTTCCTCTACACAAGTCCTTTTCTTCCTCTACACAAGCCCTTGTCCCAGCTAGGTGAATTTAGACACTCTATCCTAAAATACATCTAGCACTTTCTTTCCATCCTTCTGCTCATGCTGTTTCTCTGCCTCTTCCTCTCCACTTACTGAACTCTTATCAGTTCTTAGTGATTCTCACCATTATATGAGCCAGAAGAGAAGCATATAATACATATATGACAGTATATCCCTGGCCTCTGCCATAAGTGCATAATTATTGCCAAATAGTTGAATGAGCACCTTTAGACTTGTATGAATGCCTCAGAAAATCATAGAATTAAAAAGGACTGGCCAGGTGCGATGGCTCACACCTGGAATCCCAGCACTTTGGGAGGCCGAGGCGGGCAGATTACCTGAGGTCAGGAGTTGGAGACCAGTCTGGCCAACATGGCGAAACCCCATCTCTACTAAAAATACAAAAATCAGCCAGGCGTGGTGTCAGGTGCCTGTAATCCCAGCTCTCAGGAGGCTGAGGCAGGAGAATCGCTTGCACCCGGGAGGCGGAGGTTGCAGTGAGCCGAGATCACGCCACTGCACTCCGGCCTGGGCGACAGGAGCGAGACTCCGTCTCAAAGAAACAAACAAAACCAAAAATAAGCCAGGTATGATGGTGTACACCTGTAATCCCAACTACTCCGGAAGCTGAGGCAGGAGAATCACTTGAACCTGGGGGGGCGGAGGTTGCAGTGAACCAAGATCGCGCCACTGCACTCCAGCCTGGAGGGACACAGCAAGACTCTGTCTCAAAATAAATAAATAAATAAAAAATAAAAAAGGATCTTTGCTTCAACCTCCTTATTCCACAGGAGCAAACCAAGATCCAAAAAAGAAATATGACTTAAAGAGCTGGTTAGCAGGAGACAGGACTAGATTTAGGTCTCTTTACGGTGCTGTTTCCAATAAGCCATACTGCTTCAGCTGATGCACCACTTCACAGTGTCTTTCCAAGAAAGGATGTCTAAGCACTACAACTTCTTTCAAGGCAGAGTCCTTGTCTTTTGATGTTCCTCAAGATCCTATCTTTGGATCTCTTATTCTGACACACTCTCAGTGATTTCATCCATTTTCAGTTTTTCGTTTTTTTTGTTTTGTTTTGTTTTTGATTTTTTTTTTTTTTTTTTTTTTTGTGAGGCGGAGCCTTGCTCTGTTGTCCCGGTCAGAGTGCAGTGGCCCGATCTCGGAAAACTGCAACCTCCGCCTCCTGGGTTCAAGCGATTCTCCCGCCTCAGCCTCCTGAATAGCTGGGACTACAGGCGCCCGCCACCACGCCCGGCTAATTTTTTTGTATTTTTAGTAGAGACGGGGTTTCACCATGTTGGGCAGGCTGCTCGAACTCCTGACCTCGTGATCCGCCCGCCTCAGGCTCTTAAAGTGCTGGGATTTCAAGCGTGAGCCACCTCACCTGGCCCATTTTCAGTTTCTTTCACAAATATATTGCAAAGGGAAAAAACGGATCATCCTGGCGTGGTGGCTTACGCCTGTAATCCCAGCACTTTGGGAAACTGAGGCAGGGATTGCTTGAGGCTGCAGTCAGCTATGATGGAACCATTCACTCCAGCCTGGGCAACACGTCGAGACCTTGCCCCCCGCCCCACCAAAAATAAATAAATAAATAAATAAAAGGAGTAAGTAGGGAAATCTCAGATTGAATCGGAATTAAGAAATAACATACAATTGCAATGTATGAGCTTTATTTTGTCCCTAATTCAGCCAGCAAACGTTAAAAACCATTTATGAGATAATAGATGAATCTGAACAGACTGAATATATTATTAAGAAGCACTGTCAATTTTTTAGGTGAGAAACGGTTTGACTATTCAAGCTTAATAAATCCCTAGAATAAAATGGGATAATGTCTGGACCCACTTCCAAATGGCTCCAGGAGAGGGGGAGTGTGCGATTCCGCAGGAGCAGGACTGGCCACAAACTGGCAGCTATTTAAGCTGGCCGAGTACGTGGGGGCGGGGGTCGTTCCTCGTTATATTCTCCTTTTTCCTTTTTTTTTTTTTTTTTTTTTTGAGACGGAGTCTCGCTGTCGCCCAGGCTGGAGTGCAGTGGCGCTATCTCCGCTCACTGCAGGCTCCACCCCCCGGGGTTCACGCCATTCTCCTGCCTCAGCCTCCCTAGTAGCTGGGACTACAAGCGCCCGCCATCACGCCCGGCTAATTTTTTGAATTTTTAGTAGAGACGGGGTTTCACTGTGTTAGCCAGGATGGTCTCGATTTCCTGACCTCGTGATCCGCCCGCCTCGGCCTCCCAAAGTGCTGGGATTACAGGCGTGAGCCACCGCGTCCGGCCTTTTTTTTTTTTTTTTTTTTTTTTTTTTGAGATAAAGTATCGATCTGTCGCCCAGGCTGGAATGCAATGGCACGATCTCGGCTCACTGCAACCTCCGCCTCCTGGGTTCAAGCGAGTCTCCTGTCTCAGCCTCCCGAGTAGCTGGGATTACAGGCACCCGCCGCCACGCCCGGATAGTTGTGTTTTTTTGTTTTTGTATTTTTGTAGAGACAGGGTTTCACGTTGGCCAGGCTGGTCTCCAACTCCTGACCTCAAGTGATCCACCCGCCTCGGCCTCCCAAAGTGCTGGGATTACAGGCTCGAGCCACCGCGCCCGGCCTCTCTTTCCCTTTTTTAGGTTTGAAAGATTCCACAACAAGAAGTTGAAAAGTATAAGGCGGTGAGGCGCCACGCGCACCGAGAGCTACCTCCCCAGCCTGCCGCTGCAGCCGCATCCCGGAAGCCGGCAGAAGGGCCTAAGGCTCTCTCCCGTCAGGGCGGAGCGCCCCATCCCCTTCCCAGCGCCCCCAGGATGGACGGCCGGTTCACTGACCTAGCTTGAGCCACGCGCCGACCAGGAGCGACAGCAGGGGCAGCAGCGGTAACCCATGCCGGGCCATCAGGACTGCCGCGCTGCGCCGCGTACACCCACGGCCCCGCTGCGCATGCGCCCTCATGCACCGCAGCGGCAGTCGACCCCTATGCACATGCGCAGGCTGCGCCACCACCCGCCCCGCACCCAATAGTTCAGCAGGGGGAAACTGACGGAGCGAGGCGGAGGACTGGCCACACCACCTTCAGGACCGCCCAGGGAATTAAGGAAAACCACGTTGAGGGTCCCGGCCGTTCCAGAGGCCCCTTCACTACTTTTCTGAACCTTTGGACAGTTTTCATTCCCCTTAAGATTGCTTTTGTGCGTCATACCATTGCAAGAACAGAAAGGAGGTTTCAACTTAACATTTATTGCACAACTCACTTCAGGCCACTGCTGACATCCCAAAACACAGCCTAGTAACACACAACTTCACCTTCAAGGACTGCAGAGATAGACCAACTATATATAAATAATCTCGTGGAAACGTAATTTGGGTGAGAAAAATATGACGCTAGAGACTTTGCGATGAATATTTTGCCTAAGTTCAGAAGCTTGAAAATACAGTTGGCCTACAATCTCAAATTTCACCCAATAACCGTGGCCCTTAGTCACCACACCTTCCATCATCTTTTTACCTCTGCCTGTTCTTGCCCTTTACAGTTGCAGCTCTCTCAACTCCCTTGCCTCTAGTTGACTCCTCTTCCCATTTCCTACAACTTTGTGGCGGGAGCATTTTAGCAAAGCCATTTCAAAGGCGTTCAAAGTCCAACTGATCCAATGCATTTACTCAGAAATTTATACCAACAGGGATGCTTTCAATATTTTAAATTACTTGAGCATTTATATTAGCATAAAAATTTTAAAACCAAATGCTTAACAATAGGGTAGTTGGATAATTTAACATACGTCCACATAAAATTAAACCATTAAAATTTGCTTTTCAAGAAATATTTAATAACAAGGTAAGTAACATATGCTTATCTAACATGGAATTTTATGTCACTGCTGCTAAAGCAAAACATCCTGTTCACTGGATAAAAGACCTGCTTTATGTGTATACACTTCAGTGCAATTTTTAAAAATACTATAATTTCAGAACTTCCAAATTTCAACAGATGCCAGTGTTCTCTCCTTTTTTCATATGGGAAAATTTCTTTCAAAATTATTTGAAGCTTGGACAAAAATTCCACAGCTGTAATCCTCAGGATCACTTTGCAGTCTTCAAGATTCAGATACAGAGGAAGCTTCAATTCAACCTTTCAGAGAAGACATTCCAGCTCGCATGATCTCATCAACCAAGAGAATGTTGGTGGCAATCACAGTGCTGAAAGGGGGACAAAAATAAGATGGCTCAGATGATTAGGAGCCCTAATTCGACTCAACTTCCCACTTCCAACCAAGCTGCACACATTACATCCAATTAAATTTCCCCCTTCCCCTCTACACATCAGAGGGCTAGTTCAGTTTCCATACTTCCAGCTGATCACATTATTCATGGGGGAAAGGAGCAACTAAACAGAGAACACCAAATGAAAAAAGTATGATTCTCTAACAGTTTAGTTTTCATTTTCCCAAACTTACCAGGAGTGAAGAAGCTGTTTCTTTACACAATAGTTATCCCATACGCCTACTTCTGCTGCCACCATTGGCTCACCTAAAAGGCAACCAAATCTTAAAATAAGTTCAGTCAGTAAGAACCAACAATATTGTGTGCAGCTTTGCTTATCACTGATGACTCATTTCCTCCAGTATTAACTATGAGAATTCAAAGCTTCTCTGTTAGCCCAATTTTCTACTCTAAACCATGACCCCCGTCCACAATATTTGATGAATGTCTGACTTATACTTAGAAGTCCTGAACACCCCTCTCTTCTTCTGGATACATTTCTGTTTACTCATACTGAAGTATAGCACTTCAACTATAATCTGACTAAAATGGACTGATCATTTCCCTCATTCCAGAAACCTTTTCTATTAATGTTGACAATAGGTCTTGCACATACTGCATGGAGGTACCTGTTATCTCCTACTTTGTACTTAATTTGTGTTGTTTTGTTACAGGAACCTAAGATCAGGGCTGTCACCATTTCACTAGATTTCTACATCCCCTTTTCTGGCATTAATTGCTATCTTTAGCTGGTTTTCACCCATGAATATAATCACCACATCTATTTTCTTATCATAGTACTTGATTAAAAACTGAGTAAGGCAAATGCAATATGAAAATCCTTCAACATTAATCTGAACCATCTACCACCACTCAACATCTCCAAAATTGTATCCCCAAATTACTCATGTCTACTCGTCCCTTAATTATACCTAGTCATTCCATTTTTTATTAATATCCTATTTTATCCCATTTTAGAACCCAGAGTTCCCTAACAGCACTGGTGTCAAATTGCAAAGCAAAACATTTTTAATCTTTCCTGGCTTCAACTCACACGTATTACATCTAGTTTTCCCTCTACAACAGTTGCATTCTCTTACCTGTGTTCAGGTCCACACCCACAAGCTGACCTGATTCTGAATGTTCTGCTTGAATTTTAACTAATGTTTCCTGAAGGTCAAAACCAGAGTTCTGAGCAAGAACCTAAAGTAAACAAATTTAATTCTTGAGAAAACAGGAACTAATAACTGATAGTAAAAAAAAAAAAAAAAAAAAAAAAAAGAAAAAAGAAAAAGAAAATCTCGGCCTGGTGCAGTGGCTCACGCCTGTAATCCCAGGACTTTGGGAGGCCGTGGAAGGTGGATCACCTGAGGTCAGGAGTTCGAGACCAGCCTGGCCAACATGGTGAAACCCCATCTCTACTAAAAATAAAAAAAAACCTGGCCGGGTGTGGTGGCAGGTGCCTGTAATCCCAGCTACTCGAGAGGCTGAGGCTGCAGTGAGCTGAGATCGCACCATTACACTCCAGCCTGGGAAACAAGAACAAAACTGTCTCAAAAAAAAAAAAAAAAAAAAACTCATTGCATAAAGACAGAACATTTATGTTCCCTTCAGAGAATACCAGACACAAGTTACTGATCAACTCTCTCAACTACCCCAAACCCAGCAGCAATACACCAGTCATAAATTATATATCAAAACTGGTATATAATAGAAAACAATGATATCAGTTTAAAACAAAAGCAAAAAGCAAGTTTGTACTCAAGTATAACCCCTAATACTGCAAATATTAAACTACAGGTTATCTCTTGCCATCTGCAATGTCAGCTATTCAGGCTTCCCAGAGAAACCAAATATATCTGGATGATGAGGAATACCTGTTCTAGAGTCAGAAAGAAAACTGATCAAACTTGCTTATCCAAAATCCACTTTATGAATAAATCCTACATTATCAGAAAGGTTTGATCAGCTGAATCTTTTGGAAGATTGACTGTTAAAAGCATGCACACCTTGGGAATAATGAGCAATGCATCAGCAAATGCTTGGACTCCAAGCTGTGCCCTGCCCTTTACACTGGGCTTATGTTTAATCAGGGCTTCTGCCATTGCCACTTCCACGGCACCAGCACCTGGAACCACACAGCCTGTTGGATGGGGGAAAAGGAAAAATGCTAAGAAAACTGCAGAACTAATTATGAATAACAAAATATACATATGAAAGCCATTAATTTCTTACAAATTTACTATGACAAAATACAAGTGACTAACATACCAAATAGGAGAATGGTTCAACCAGAATGGCTTCACTAGCCACTGGCAGCTTTCAACAGATCAGTATTAGTTCATTTATTTGTATTCACCTTTAATAATGATATGCTATGAAAAACCTTAGCATACCATCAGTCATTCTAAAGGGAAGACTGCTTTTGCATGGTGTCTGGCTGTGTAAACTACTGATAAAAACACAGTATTCGGCCATGCCTTTCAGACCAGCAAAACAATATAAAAGAATTGAAATACAGTGAGGATCTTACCATCATCAATAGCATTTTTGACAGCCCTCAAGCCGTCCCTCACTGCATCTTTGATCTGAGTGAGTGTGTGCTTATTTGGTCCTTTGATCAATAATGTGACAGAACGAGGGTTGTTACATTTCTCAATAAAGGTAAACTTCTCTTCTCCCTATGTGTAGAAAAAATATGATTTTCAAAAACAGGATTTGTGCAGAGTGAAGAGAGAAGAGGGACTTACAGAGAATGACAAGTAGCATATTAATAAGGAACAAACTTGATCACATTAAAGCAAATTATCTCCTTTTGAAAAATCACATAAAAGAAATGTGATTTTCCCCATCAATGGCTTCCCATTACTACACATAAACCTTCAAAATGTATATAAACAAAAATCTGATCCTGAATTTCAATTAATTTTTCTGCTAAAGACTTCATGAACCAGGCACGGTGGCTCATGCCTGTAATCTCAGCACTTTGGGAGGCTGAGGGTGAAGGACAGCCTGAGCCCGGGAGTTTAAGACCAGCCTGGGCAACACAATTATGAACCTGTTTCTACAAAAATTACCAAGAAAAAAAAAAATTAGCCAGTCATGGTAGCACACACGTCTGTGGTCCCACCTGCTCAGAAGCCTGAGGCGGGAGGATCACTTGAACCCAGGAAGATGAGGCTGTAGTGAACTGTGATCACACCACTGCACTCCAGCCCGGGCAGGAGTGAGACCCCACCTCAAACAAACAAACAAAAATAATTCACGAGCTAAAAGGTTCTATTACCTTTAAGAAAAAAATACACTTACCAATGTATACTCATATACAAGTCCTGCATGTCCCAAGCAGTCAGGACTTAGGTCGTCAAAAGAATTCAGGGCTACCCCACCACAAGCAAGAGTCAGCCTGAAATAGCATTTTAAGGGAGATGGATAAGCAACGTTACCAGTGAATTTCAAAGATAAGACCAGTAATTTTTAGGAAGGAATTTTTCAGAATTACACACAAAATTAAATTTTAAAATGTACTTTAAGCCTTTCCATTTGCCATCAACCAGCTAAAAACTAGTCTTTTCTCTTAACCCTCCATTTAAACCACTCTCCCCAAGTTAGCAAATGAAATCTAAAAGGTGGACAAGAGCTCTTTATTAGCCAGGCATGGTGGCTCACACCTGTAATCCCAACACTTTGGGAGGTTGAGGTGGGTGGATCACTTGAGGCCAGGAGTTTGAGACCAGCCTAGCTAACATGGCAAAACCCCATCTCTACTAAAAAAACACAAAGCAATTCAGTGGGCATGGTGGCAGACACCCGTAATCCCAACTACTCGGGAGGCTGAGAATCCTATGAACCCAGGAAGTGGTAGTCGCAATGAACCAAGATCATGCCACTGCACGAAAGAGCAAGACTGTCTCAAAAAATAATAATAAAAAATTTTTAAAAAAAGCTTTTTATTGTGGGGAGCTCTTTGGAAAAAAGTATATTGAATTCAGAAACAAAAAGTAAAATAATGTTTACAAGGGGCAAGGGGGAGGGAGAAATGGGGAGTAACTATTTAATGGGTATACAGTTTCAGTTTGTGATGATGAAAAAAGTCCTAGAGATGGACAGTGCTGACGGGGTGCACAATGTGAATATAGTTAATGCCAATTAACTATACAGTTGAAAAACCCAAAAATAAAGTATAAGGAAAAAGAAATAATCCCAATTCACTTGCAAAATGAGTAAAAGTCAAATTACTCGGATACCTCTCCATATTTCTCCTTTTAGCTCTGCGCAGAGCAACTATGCCTTCTTTTGAAAGAGCATCTAAGGAAAAGGGGTCAATTCCCTGTAACAAAAATAAAAATTAATTTCAACATCTTTCACCTTAAAAGTAAAAAGGATGATACGTACTATTTAGTTTATACATTGAGTTTTCATTCTCACCTTTTGATTAATAACAACAAATCCTTTATCTGAATCGCCACAGACTTTCCTTTTCAGTTCTATTATTTTTTTAACCCTATCTTCAATGAATTTTCTTTCAGCTTTCACGAGTTTTTCTCTCTCTTCTGCACTCTTGTAAAAAAAGCCAGAATTCACTTCTCTATTAAGAAAAAAAAAAGTTACAGAAAGCAGGGAAACATTAAGAAAGCAGCTTCTGAAACTGGATTAGTCCTAAGATTTAACAGTTCACTGAGCTCCAATCCTGCCCCTTATGCATCTTCAGAGACTGTTTCCTATAGCTCCCCCAAACCAATTTGAGCATTATTGTCCTTACAGTGGGAAACAAAGTTTCACAAAAAAGTAACTCGCCTAAAATACGAAGCTTCTCCATTTCACTGTTAAGGGGCTATAAACTTACGTTTTCTCATACTCTAATGACACGTTACAAGTGAGGATGTATGCATCCTCCACCCTTTTCTTCATATCAGGATGCCGTGCTCCGTGGTCCAAAACAAGCCCTCTGATTAAGCTGTTTAAACACACACAAAATTATGGTTATTGATTTTCAGATGGGTATTTAATATATTAAACACTGAAATGAGAAGGTATTGATATTTCACGCAGTCACATTTTTCTTTTTTGAGATGAAGTCTCGCTCTGTTGCCCAGGATGGAGTGTAGTGGTGCCATCTTGGCTCACCGCAAGCTCCACCTCCTGGGTTCACACCATTCTCCTACCTCAGCCTCTCAAGCAGCTGGGACTACAGGCACCCACAACCATGCCCAGCTAATTCTTTTGTATTTTTAGTAGAGACGGGGTTTCACCGTGTTAGCCAGGATGGTTTCGATCTCCTGATCTCGTGATCCGCCCGCCTTGGCCTCCCAAAGTGCTGGGATTACAGGCATGAGCCACTGCGCCCGGCCTATTTCTTAAATTACCTGAAGATCCTACGCTGTACAGAAAAGTCTGCAGAGATGGTCTCACTGGTAGGCTGTCAAACTGTGATGACGTCCTTTAAAAACATGTTTTCTACCAAGCACCTGTAATCCCAGCACTTACGGAGGCAGAAGTGAGAGGACACCTTAATCCCAGGAATTTAAAACCAGCCTGGGCAACATAGGGAGACTCCATTCTCCACACAGACACACACACACACACACCCCAAAGGGAAAACAAACATGTTTTCTAACTAACTCTTTGAAAAAAATATTTTTTTAAATTCCTCTACTACTTCTCATTATGCTTTGTACCTAGCAATTCAATAAATGCCAAATGACTGATGTTGTTCACTTTTCAGAATCATTCTAACCATAAACATAACATTCACCTTATTTCAGGAGAAAATATTACTAAAAACAATATTCTCCTAGCAGTTTATCCAACTTATATCTTCAGGTAAATATATAACATTTTATATCCAAAGATATTTTTAAAATTGCCATCTCACGCCTGTAATCCCAGCACTTTGGGAGGCCGAGGTGGGCGGATCACGAGGTCAGGAGATCGAGATCATCCTGGTTAACATGGTGAAACCCCGTCTCTACTAAAAATACAAAAATTATCCGGGCATGGTGGCGGGCGCCTGTAGTCCCAGCTACTCGGGAGGCTGAGGCAGGAGAATGGTGTGAACCCGGGAGGCAGAGCTTGCAGTGAGCCGAGATCATGCCACTGTACACTCCAGGCTGGGCGACAGAGCAAGACTCCATCTCAAAAAAAAAAAAAGCCAACTATCTATATTGTACAAAGCACCCCTAAATTTCTAAACACAGTTTATTTTTTGTTTTTGTTTTTTTTTTAATGGGACGGGGTTTCGCTCTTGTCACCCAGGCTGGAGTGCAATGGTGTGGTCTCAGCTCACTGCAACCTCCGCCTCCCAGGTTCAAGCTATTCTGCTGCCTCAGCCTCCCGAGTAGCTGGGATTACAGTCATGCCCGGCACGCCTGGTTAATTTTTGTAATTTTAATAGAGACGGGGTTTCCCCATGTTGGCCAGGCTGGTCTGGAACTCCTGACCTGAGGTGATTTGCCCACCACAGCCTCCCAAAGTGCTGGGATTACAGGTGTGAGCCTCCATGCCCATTAGTATTTCACAGTCTTCTACCACCTACCTTGTATCAGTTTCAGATTTATGTTTCATCTCCATGATCTCAATCATGAAGAGATCAATAGGTTCATCTTGCTTTTTAATGGCCAAAATGGAGTCCACTACAGCCTGCAATTGGAGGAGCATAACCGTTAAGTAAATTCAATTTGCAGCAGAAACATGTTGCTTTTCAGAAGGCTAAAGTAGGCAGTTTCATTTTACAATTCTACACTGATTTAAGTCTTTTTCTATCAGCAAATAGAATACATTATATGTAAAAGGCAACAGCTGAAGTCATTTACATTTCTGAAATCTCCATCTATAATTCCCAAACATTAACATTAATTAACATTAACATTCCTCGTTTTATTAAAAATACTGGTAACTGGAAGCTTTCTAATAAAAAAATCTCCACTTTATAAACCTTTTAATGAAAGCTTCAATTTTACTTTTATAACCTGGTTAGGTATACTATTATTTTAATTTCCTCATTTTTAGAGACACAGATTAGGTATCATTGCCACAAAAATGAACCTACACAGCACCTTGTAATTGAAATTGGTAATCATATTCATGTTTCTACTATCAGAGATTTTCTATATAGGTATACTATACCAGACATAGACAAAATTTAATACATACCTCTGTTAAGACATCTGCAAGTTCAGCATGAACTTTAGTACGAAGAGATGTTCTGGCCACATCTATAAGTGTTTCCCTGTCCATCTCTCTGCTTACTTTGACTTCTTCCAAAAACTGAAGGGCCTTTTCCTTTGCAGCTTCAAATCCTTCAGTGATTATTCTAGGATGAAGGCCCTAAAATAAACACACATTAACACTTGCATCTTCAATTAGGTGCAACCATAGTTCATGATAAAGTTCAGGTAATTATTGAAGGAGTGTTCTGGATCATCATACCTTTGAACACGAGGTAATATAATGTGCTGGCTTTCTGAATACATTTAAAAGGACAAATATTCCTTTCAATGCAGAGCAGATGAACAGGTAATGAATGCTCTAGCACAGGGTCAAAGCCAAGGGAACTATAAAGCACACTTGGGTGTTCACTGTGCAAACCACTCTGAATCATTTCAAAACCAACACTGTGTCCCAACAACTCACAGATGGTAGCATTATCCTATCTTTATTTTCTTTCATTTTTTTTGAGATGGAGTTTCGCACTTGTTACCCAGGCTGGAGTACAATGGCACAATCTCGACTCACCACAACCTCCACCTCCTGGGTTCAAGCAATTCTCCTGCCTCAGCTTCCCAAGTAGCTGGGATTACAGGCATGCACCACCACGCCTGGCTAATTTTTGTATTTTTAGTAGACACGGGGTTTCTCCATGTTGGTCAGACTGGTCTCGAACTCCCAACCTCAGGTGATCCGCCCACCTCGGCCTCTCAAAGTGCTGGGATTATGGGCGTGAGCCACTGCGCCTGGACTATTCTATCCTTTCTATAGGTAATCTCAAACTAACTCACATCATTTACTAATAAAAATAAAGACTGTTCTCTTTCTCCAGGAAATTCTGACAATACATTCATATTCACTGAGGTTTGCTTTAACCTTGGAACTAGTCAGGGCTAAAAAAGTGGAATTTATCCAAATATAAGCTTTTGGTTGCCTTTTTCCTAACAAATATGCCTAGTCCTAAACATTCCATTTTTAGATCTCAATTATTAATCTACACTAAAGACAGATGCAAATCACATAGGCAATGCAACTTGATTACAAAATTATTTTCAGGCCAAGAAAGGTTCTATAACCTGTCCAAGGTCACAATTTGTTTTAGACCAGGATAAAGACCCAGATTTAAGCCCCCTAATTCTACTGTATGACCTCAGCTACTATTAACAGCACATCAATTTGTATAAATATCAGACACTTCCTATATACAAAAAAAAATTACAGAAACAAGAGTTGTGCATACTTCAGAAATGTAGAGATCCGCCTGTTTCAGCAGCTCTCCAATGATTAGGACATTAGAAGTCGTACCATCACCAGTTATATCATCCTGGGCTGTTGCTACCTTTGCTATTAAGGAAGCTGTTGGGTGTTGAATTTGCTGTAAGTAGAAAAAGAATGAATCACTTAAAACAATATGAAGCAGTCTAAATATACCACAGACAAAATGCAGGAAGGGCCTCTTTGAGTGCTATCTACTTGAAAAAGCTACCCAAATGTTGGCTACAAATTACTTCGATTAACTATCATGCACATGCAATTATAATGATTGAAACGTCTTCATGTGTAATTTATTTCCCAGGTTATCTCTACTTTACAGATGAGGAAGCTTGAGGCTCAGTAGAAGTTTACTCAAGATGACAGAGCTACCAGTTAACAGTAACACATAATTGTACATCCTTGCCTCTTTATGGCAAGTGTAGAGCTCTAGTGAGAATAAGCCAGGTATCTCCTAAAGGGCACACACATTATAATTATTTTTGTAGGTTTGTAATTTTTTCAAAGAAAACTGAAAAACAGACTTCTGGAGATTGGAGAGAGGTTCCAATGGGACGAGACTTCTGAGGTGGTAGCAACAATTTATTAGCTACAGTGGTGGTTGTGTGTGTCCATTTTATAATTATTTCTTAAATTGTAAATGTTCAATGTGCTTCTCTCTACCTACGCTGTATTTCTCACACACTAAAACCCAAATAATTTTTTGTTTTGTTTTGGAGATACCCTCACTCTGTCTCCTACACTGGAATGCAGTGGCACAATCTTGGCTCACCGAAACCTCAGTCTCCCAGGTTTAAGCGATCGATTCTCCTGCCTCAGCCTCTGAAGCAGCTGGGACTACAGGCGTGCAGGACCACACCCGGCTAATTTTTGTATTTTTAGCTGAGTCGGAGTTTTAACCATGTTGGCCAGGGCTGGTCGTGAACTCCTGGCCTCAAATGATCCACCTACCTTGGCCTGCCAAAGTGCTGCGATTACAAGCATAAGCCACCACACCTAGCCCCCAAACAATTCTGAAGTCAAGTTTAACTGTGGCTCCACTTTTCAAACACGGGCCACCACTGAGCCCACTAAAAACAAAAACTACACCTCCTAGGTTAGCAAGTCCTTACTAAAGATATTTCATCTGGATGTTGATGGCATGGTATACCACTAGCAAAACCCTACATATTATTCTGAACTCAAATCAGCAGGAAATAATTTCCTTTTCTTGGATTTGAACTGCTAAGTTTTGGGAATTTAGGGATGAGTAAAAAGCATACTCCCCTCAATAATCTAATATTCTCCATCCCTAAGACTTGCAAAGAGACAGATTTATCTCCCCTCCAGTTGGAGATAGAGATGAGACCTAACAGAGAAACTGCTGTTTTAAAAAGAGAAAACCCAGCTGGGCACGGGCCTGGTAATCCCAGCACTTTGGGAGGCTGATGCGGGGGGATCGCCTGAAGTCAGGCGTTCAAGACCAGCCTGGCCAACACGGTGAAATCCTGTCTCTACTAAAAATACAAAAATCAACTGGGCGTAGTGGCGCGAGCCTGTAATCCTAGCTACTTGGGAGACTGAGACAGAAGAATCGCTTGAACCCGGGAGGGAGAGGTTGCAGTGAGTTGAGATTGTGCCACCGGACTCCAGGCTGGTCGACAGAGCGAGACTTCGTCTAATTAAAAAAAAAAAAAAAGAAAAGAAAAGAAAAATCATCCTCATGCATTTTGCCCATGTGATTGTGTCAACCTCTCTTAATTTTTCAAGTTTTAAAATAATTAACTTTAATATACAATTACAGCCCTTTAGCCCGGACTGTGAATGGCAAAAAAGCAGGGATTCAAAGGCAGGGCTGTCAGACTCCAGGCACTCAGGACTATTACTGATTACACGCCACTTCTGAATGTTCTCCTACCTTGAAAATGGACACTGCAAATCTTTCTACAAAGAAAACATTCTACGGAAAATCAAGACCTTTCTGACCTAGCCCAGAGCACCTCTCACCATTTCGTGAAGCAGCACATTGCCGTCTTTAGTAAGTTTGATGTCTCCAGCGCCAGAAACGAGCCTGTTTAAAGGACAGAAATGAACCAGACTATGACTTTTTCAACGATAACTAAAAGTCCCATTAGAAAACGGGCTTTTCCCAGATTTTAGGGAGCCAGGGATGTGGGGCTAGTTATGTCCAGCAGGATGGAGGACAGGTGTAGTGCCCACCCCGTCCCCGCAGAGATTGTGCCGAGTCCTCAGGGTGCCTGGAAGCCCCAGAGGGCGGGGAACGCCGCGCTCTAGAGCCGCTTTGTTCTCCGCGGAGACTGCATCGATGCGGGAAGAAATGGCCGGGACGGTGGGGCTTAGGAGGGACACAGGACCGACCCCGGAGGACGCCGAGAAGGACGGCTGCGCAGCCCCGAGGCGGCGGGCTCCAGTCCGCGGTCCCGGGCCCGCCAGGAGCGCGGCGGCGCGCGGTGCCCGCCCGGCCCTCCGGTTCAGCCCCGCCTTACATCTTCATGGTGCCCTTGGGCCCCAGGTTGGTCCTTAGCACGTCCTGCAGACCCCGCGCTGCGCTGATGTTGACCGCCAGCGCCGCCTGCGCTCGGGCCACCTCGGCCTTGGGGTTCAGGGTCTTCACCGCCGCCATAGCTGCTCCAGCGGAGGAAAAGGAAACGATGCTGAGTGCCCAGAGCCGGCGCGGCGTGGCCGGGAGGAACTATCCGGGTCTTCTGGAAAAGTCGGCCCGTCTGGCCGGCCCCCAGCGTGCCCGCGCGCCGCCGCCATTGGGCCACAGGTCGTCCGGCGCCCGCTCATTGGTCCGCGGCTGCACGGCTCCTGCGGTCCCACCCTTCGCGCCTCGGCCTTGTCGTCATCGCGCACGGGAGGAGCTTGTTCCCGGCATTCCGTGCTCCTTGGTTCCGGCGTTGGAGCTCTTTGGGGCCCAGCTTTGCGGACCCGGGAGCTCGGGACGCAGGCGGGGCTTGTGCTCCGCGGGGGCAGGGCGTAGGGTGGGCCTCCTACCTCCCCTGATCTCGCGGTTTGTTCCGTTTCATTGGAGCTTCCCGGACCGTGTGCTCGACGGTGCCCTAGGTGCCGTGGGGCCACACGCGAGTCTGATAAGCACCCTCCCCCGGAATCATGCGGTGCTGTGAGGCCTAGCGAAGATGAAGATAGAATGCAAGGTAGAAAGTGCTGGATACCTTTAGAAAGCTGCAGGACTGGTGCGATGGGAGTTGAGACGTAAGAACCTGCCCGTCCGTAGGGCTCTGGATGCTGCTGAGGCCCGAGGCCCCTATGGCAGATTTGAAAATTCACCCTTGTAGAGTCATTCCTGCCTTTGAGCGGACTCCCTTTTAAGGTAAATTTCCAAAGAGCTCCACAATTGTTTCCAGTATCCAGTGTCCCGCCAAATACCAGGGATTCAGTAACACGTGGTATTTTACTTTATTTATTTTCTTTTTGTAAACATAGGGTCTCACTATGTTGCCCAGGGTGGTCTCAAACTCCTGAGCTCAAGTGATACTCCTGAGTTCAAGTGATCCTCCCGCCTCGGCCTTCCAAAGTGTTGGGATTACAGGCGTGAGCCACCGCGCCCGGCTGTATTTTATTTTTAATAAATAACGGAAATTGTTCTGAATTCAAAAGGCACCAAAGGGCATGTAGTGAAAATTAAATCTTCCTCCCACTTCTAGTTCAACACTAGAGACAAGCAAAGTTACCCCTGGGTACTCTATGAATTTTCGGAATGCTTTCTGAATTTATAAACTTACATATGAATATAATCATTTCCCCACACAAATGGCAATTCATAATACACACTGCAGGGTGTGTTATACTTTAAGTGTCTTGGAGATTGTGCCATATCAAGACTAATGGGAAGTCCTCGGTAACAGCAGCGTGATGTTCTTTGTAAGAATGACTCAACTAGGGGCCAGGGCTGGGTGGCTCACGCCTGTAATCCCAGCACTTTGGGAGGATGAGGCGGGGGCATCACTTGTGCCCGGGAGTTCAAGACCAGTCTGGGTAACATAGCGAGACTCCATCTATACAACAAATACAAAAATTAGCCAGGCGTGGTGGTGCACGTCTGTGATCCCAGCTACTTGGGAGGCTGAGGTGGGAGGATTGCTGGAATCTGGGAGGTGGAGGTTGCAGTCAGCTATGATCTTGCCACTGCACTTCAGCCTGGGCTACGGAGCTGACCCTTTCTCAAAAAGAATGACACAACTAACCGGTCACCTACTGACTGATGTTTAAGTTGTTCACAGTCTGCTATTCAGACTGCAGTGAATATCTGGGTATATGATGCTCTTAGGTGGGTTTGTGTATTTGAGAATCACAAAAACATCTATATATGTGACTAGTAGCACTGCACGATAGAAGACTAGTTATTAGTTCCATAGGCATTACACGGTGTGCATGCGGATTTATTATAACTGCTGTTAAAAATGTTATGAGGAGGCCAAGCATGGTGGCGCACGCTTGTAATCCCAGTACTTTGGGAAGCCGAGGTGGGCGGATCACTTGAGGTCAGGAGTTCAAGACCATCCTGGCCAACATGGTGAAACCCCGTCTCTGTAAAAATACATCAGCCTGGCCTGGTGGTGTGCATCTGTGATCCAAGCTACTTGGGAGGCTGAGGCATGAGAATTGCTTGAACTCAGGAAGCAGAGGTTGCAGTGAGCCGAGATCATGTCACTGCACTCCAGCCTGGGCAACAGAGCGAGATTCCTCAAAAAAAATAATAATAATAATAAAGGCCAGGTACAGTGATTCACACCTGTAATCCCAGCACTTTGGGAGGCAGAAGCGGGTGGATCACCTGAGGTCAGGAGTTCGAGACCAGCCTGGCCAACATAGTGAAACCCGTCTCTACTAAAAATACAAAAATTAGCTGGGCATGGTGGCGGCTGCCTGTAATCCCAGTTCCTCGGGAGGCTGAGGCGGGAGAATCACTTAAACCTGGGAGTTGGAGATTGCAGTGAGCGGAGACTGCATTACTGCACTCCAGCCTGGGCAACAACAGCGAGACTTGTCTCCCAGGCGACATCTGATGGAAGCATATTAAATACATAAATAGGTGTTCTTGATAAGGGGAAAAAACAATTTAAATAACATGTATAAGAAGTTCTCACTTTTGAAACATTTCCCATGGGTCTGTACAGGGAGGGGAACATCACACACTGGGACCTGTCAGGGGGTGGGAGCAAGGGGAGGGAGAGCATTAAGACAAATACCTAATGCAAGCAGGGTTTAAAACTTAGAGGATGGGGGCTGGACGCAGTGGCTTATGCCTGTAATCCCAGCACTTTGGGAGGCCGAGGCGGGCAGATCACAAGGTCAGGAGATCGACACTATCCTGGCTAACACGGTGAAACCTCGTCTCTACTAAAAATACAAAAAAAAAAATTAGCTGGGCATGGTGGCGGGTGCGTGTAGTTCCAGCTACTGGGAAGGCTGAGGTGAGAGAATGGCATGAATCCAAGAGGCGGAGCTTGCAGTGAGCCGAGATGGAGCCACTGCACTCCAGCCTGGGTGACACAGTGAGACTCTGTCTCAAAGAAAAAAACAACCACCAAAAAAACCCTAGAGGATGGGTTGAAGGGTGCAGCAAACCACCATGGGATATGTATACCTATCTAACAAAACTGCTCATTCTGCACATATATCCCTGAACTTAAAGCAAAAAAAAAAAAAAAAGCCAGGTGTGGTGGCACACGCCTGTAATCCCAGCTACTTGTGTGGCTGAGGTGGAATTGCTTGAACCCAGGAGGCGGAGGTTGCAGTGAGCCAGAATCACAGCACTGCACTCCCAGTCTCGGCGACAGAGTGAGACCTTGTCTCAAAAATGGAAGGAATTTGTAAAAAACAGTAAGAAGAATTCCCATACTCTACCCACAGATCCCCCAGTGTAAACATCACATTTAACCCAGGAATAAGAAATTACAGTGATGCCGGATCCAATCTATAGATTTCATTCAAATTTTGCTAATTATGTCATGAATCTTCTATCTCTGGCCCAGGATTCTATTTATCCAAAATTACATTTCACATTTAGTTGTCATGTTCTTCAGTCTGGAACAGTTCTGCAATTTTTCAGTCTTTAATGATCTTGGCATTTTTTTGAATACTGGCCAGTTATTTTACAGACTGTCCCTTACTTTAGGGTTATTTGATGTTTCCTTATGATTTTTTTTTTTTTTTTCAAATTTTTTAAAGACAGAGTGTTGCTCTTTTGCCCAGGCTGGAGTGCAGTGGCATGATCTCTGCTCACTGCAGCCTCCGCCTCCTCGGGTTCAAGTGATTCTCCTGCCTCAGCCTCCAGAGTAGCTGGGATTACAGGCACCCACCACCATGCCGGGCTAATTTTTGTACTTTTAGTAGAAATGGGGTTTCACCATGTTAGCCAGGCTGGTTTTGAACTCCTGACCTCAGGTGATCTGCCTGCCTTGGCCTCCCAAAGTGCCGGGATTACAGGCATGAGCCACCACGCCTGGCCTGATGTTTCCTTATGTTTAAATACAGATTATGGCCGGGCACAGTGGCTCACAACTGTAATCCCAGCACTTTGGGAGGCCAAGGCCGGCGGATCGTGAGGTCAAGAGATCAAGACCATCCTGGCCAACATGGTGCAACACCGTCTCTACTAAAAATACAAAAAATTAACTGGGCATGGTGGTGCACGCCTGTAATCCCAGTTACTCAGTAGGCTGAGGCAGGAGAATCACTTGAACCCAGGAGGTGGAGATTGCAGTGAGTCAAGATCACGCCACTGCACTCCAGCCTGGGTGACAGAGCGAGGCTCTTATCAAAAAAAAAAAAAAAAGCAGGTTATTCATTTTTGGCAAGAACACCAGAGAAATTAACGTGTCCTTTTCAAGGCATTATAGGAAGAGTCACATGATGTCAGTTTTTCTCATTCCTGGTGATGTTAACTTTGTTCACTTGGTTAATATTTGCCAGATTGCTCTACTTTAAAGTTAGTAGTTTTTCTTTGTATTTAATAAGCATTTAATAAGCATCTTATGGGAAAATATGTGACTGTTCTGTTTTTCATCATAACAATGCCTACTAATTTAAGCATCCATTTTTTCTTTTTTTTTTTTTGAGACAGGGTCTCACCCTGTCGCCCAGGCTGGAGTGCAGTAGCTCAATCACACAGCTTACTGCAGCCTGAACCTCCTGGGCTCAGCTTCCTATCTCAGCCTCCTGAGTAGCTGAGACTACAGACGTGCACCACTATGGCTGGCTAATTTAAAACTTTTTTTTTTTTTTGTAGAGAGAAGGTCATGCTATGTTGTCTGGGTGAGTTTCAAACTTCTGGGCTCAAGCAGTCCTCCTGCCTCAGCCTCCCAAAGTGCTGGGGTTACAGGCGTGAGCCACTGTACCCAGCCCATCAATAATTTTTGCCTGAAACAATTATTACTGTGATCTTTGTATTGAAAGTCCTCCATGGATCTGTTGTGTGCTTACATGTCTTGCTGTGTGTGCCAAGAATGCAAGGCCCAAGAATGCTCTTTATCTGGGGCTTTTCTCAGGGTTGTTTATACAGTTGCTAATCTTCAGAGACAAGTTAATGTTTCTTCCTGGACAAAGAGCAGGCTTGCCCACTCACTACTTGGTATGAAAACAATAGATTTCAGCTGGGTGTAGTGGCTGATGTCTATAATCCTAGCCCTTTTTTTTTTTTTTTTTTTGAGGTGGAGTCTCACTCTGCTCATTCTCACTCTGTTGCCCAGGCTGGAGTGTAGTGGTGCGATACCGGCTCACTGCAACCTCCACCTTCTGGGTTCAAGTGATTCTCCTGCCTCAACCTCTTGAGTAGCTGGGACTACAGGCTCCCGCCACCATGCCCAGCTAATTTGTGTATGTTTGTAGAGACAGGGCTTCACCATGTTGGCCAGGCTGGTCTCGAACCCTTGACTTCAGGTGATTTGCCCCCTCGGCCTCCCAAAGTCCTGGGATTACAGGTGTAAGCCACCGTGCAAAGCCATCCCAGCACTTTGGAAGGCCAACGTGGGAGGATCCTTTGAGGCCAGGAGTTCAAGACCAGCCTAGACAACATGGTGAGACCCCATCTCTACAAAAATAAAACAATAAAACACCGAGGTGGGCAGATCACCTGAGGTCAGGAGTTCGAGACCAGCCTGACCATCATGGAGAAACCCCGTCTCTACTAAAAAAATACACAATTAGCCAGGCATGATGGTGCATTCCTGTAATCCCAGCTACTCAGGAGGCTGAGGCAGGAGAATAGCTTGAACCCAGGAAGCAGAGGTTGCAGTGGGCCAAAATAGCGCCATTGCACTCCAGCCTGGGCGACGAGTGAAACTTTATCTCTAAAAAATAATAAATAAATAATAAAAACCAATAAAACAACAACAACAAAAGCAATAGATTCCCCGAGCTGAGTGTTCCTTAGCTGTGATCCAAACCCACCATCTTTGAGGCATCCATCTGGGCCACATTGTGTTACCCCATGGAAGTTGGAGGGAAAGGGGAACTGATGCAAATATCCTACTGCCCACACTGCTTGCTGTGCTGTAAGCAATAAAGTTCTTTGTCTCTGACACAGGAGACTTGTTTCTTTCTTTTTTTTTTTTTTTTTTGAGACAAAGTCTTGCTCTGTCACCCAGGCTAGAGTGCAGTGGCATGATCTTGGCTCATTGCAGCTTCTGCTTCCTGGGTTTAAGCGATTCTCCTTGCCTCAACCTCCTGAGTAGCTGGGACTATAGGCATGCACCACCACACCCAGCTAATTTTTGTATTTTTAGTAGAGGTGGGGTTTCACCATGTTGGCCAGGATGGTCTCGATATCCTGACCTCATGATCCACCTGCCTCGGCCTCCCAAAGTCCTGGGATTACAGGCCTGGAGCCACCGCGCCTGGCCAGGAGTCTTCTTTCTTAGGCCACATCCATAAAACAAGCAAGAGACTAACGTATTAGTTTGTAAGTAGGGTAAAGTCAAATCTCAGACCTAACCATTTGCAAGTGGTAATTTTCTATTAATTTTTTCTTTTATATATTTTTAAGAGATAGAGTCTCACTCTGGTGCCCAGGCTGGAGTGCAGTGGCGCAATCACTGCTTACTGCAACCTCGACCTTCTGGGCTCAAGTGATCCACCATCATGCCTGGCTAATTTTTTTGCAGAGACAAGTTCTCTGAAAAGCTATGTTGCTCAGGCTGGTCTTGAACTCCTGGCCTCAAGTGATCCTCCCACTTTGGCCTACCAAATTGCTAGGATTACAGGAGTGAGCCACTGCACCTGGCCAATTTTCTGCTTTCATCATTCATTATACATTTATTGGTTGAAATTCTGCTGTAAGGAAGAACTTTCCCTTCTCCTCCATGAATGACTGACTGAATGAATGAATTTGTATCAGTATGGATTCAAGAATTCTATTTTTTTTTTTTTTTTTTTGAGGCAGAGTTTCACTCTTGTTGCCCAGGCTGGAGTGCAATGGCACGATCTCAGCTCACTGCAATCTCCACCTCCCGAGTTCAAGCGATTGTCCTGCCTCAGCCTCCCGAGTAGCTGGGATTACAGGCATGCACCAGCATGCCCAGCTAATTTTGTATTTTAGTAGAGATGGGGTTTCTCCATGTTGGTCAGGCTGGTCTCAAACTCCTAACCTCAAGTGATCTGCCTGCCTGGATTACAAGCATGAGCCACCACACCTGGCCCTTTTTTTTTCCAGTCTCACTGTGTCACCTAGGCTAAATAAAGTGCAGCGGCACAATCATTAGCTCACTGCAGCTTTTAACTCCTGGGCTCAAGTGATCCTCCCACCTCAGCCTCCCAAGTAGCTAGCCTCAAGCGATCCTCCTGCCTCAGCCTCCCAAAGTGCTGGGATTACAGGTGTCAGCCACCATGATTGACCTATTATCTGATTTCAGCCAGCAATATTGTTTTTCTTAATATTATTCTTACACTGTTAATTAAATGTGATTTAAATAATCTTTTAACTCTCGGTTATTATAGATGAAACAGCCTGCAAAAACTCACCCTACTTCATTTATTCCATAATCTTTGTCCTCCTAATTTTTCTATTGCATCATTTCTGTATTGTCAGAGTAGGTAACGTTTACATTCTGTTTTTTCTCCCCCAAACCTGGGTTTATTTAGTCTTAGTTTTGCAATGATGTACACTCAATGCTCTTGCTTGTCCCTTTGCTGAAGTTCCCTTTGCTATCCATTGGTGAGTAATGTTTATTCATTAGCAGTGTCCTCAAGAAAAATATTCCCATGCAAGACCAGGCACAGTGGCTCATGCCTGTAATCCCAGCACTTTGTGAGGCCAAGGTGGACAGACCACCTGAGGTCAGGAGTTCAAGACCAGCCTTACCAACATGGAGAAACCCCGTCTCTACTAAAAATACAAAATTAGCCAGGCGTGTATTCCCAGCTACACGGGAGGCTGAGGCAGGAGAATCACTTGAACCTACGAGGCGACAGTTGCGGTGCACCAAGATCGCGCCATTGCACTTCAGCCTGGGCAACAAGACGAAACTCCATCTCAAAAAAAAAATATTCTCATGGGAAAAATATCCCCAGAATTCCTGTATGTTCAAAACTATCGTTTGTAGCCTTTGTGTGTGAATGATGGCTTGGCTTGTTTTAAAACAAAAAAATCGCTGGCTCATAACTTTATTCATTTGTTTTTTTGAGACAGGGTCTTGCTCTGTTGCTCAGGCTGGAGTGCAGTGGCATGATCACAGCTCACTGCAGCTTCCACCCTGGGGCTCAAGCTATCCTCCCACCTTAGCCTCCCAACAGGTGTGCGCCACCACGCCCAGTGAATTTTTTTTGTTTTATTGTAGAGACAGGGGTTGGGGTGGGTGGGGGGAGGGGTGGTCTCATGTTGCCCAGGCTGGTCTCGAACTCCTGACCTCCAGTGATCCTCCTACCTTGGCCTCCCAAAGTGCTAGGATTACAGGCATGAGCCACCACGCCCAGCCTCTATATCTTTAAATATTTATTTATTTATTTATTTATTTATTTTTAGAGATATGGGGTCTTACTCTGTTGCTGAGGCTAGCCTTGAACTCCTGGCCTCATGTGATCCTCCTACCTCAGCCTACCTAGTAGCTGGGATTACAGGTTCAAGTCACCACACCCAGTTAAATACTTATTTGTTCTAATGTTTGGGTTATCTTCGTTGAAAATTTCAATTGTGCATGTTGGCTTTCTTTGGTCTGTCCTCTACAGCTGTCTTTTTTTTTTTGAGATAGAGTCTCACTCTATCGCCCAGGCTGGAGTGCAATGGTGCCATCTCAGCTCACTGCAACCTCCCCTTCCCAAGTTCAAGCAATTTTCATGCCGCAGCCTCCTAGCTGGGATTACAGGTATGCACCACCTCGCCTCACAAATTCTAATTTTTGTATTTTTAGTAGAGACAGGTTTCACCATGTTGGCCAGGGTGGTCTTGAACTCCCGACCTCAGGTGATCCACCAACCTTGGCCTCCCAAAGTGCTGGGATTACAAGCGTGAGCCACTGCACCCCGCCAACTATCATTTTTTCTCTAATTTCATTTAATTCCTTTTGTTTATATGATTTGCTTTTCTCATTTTTATCATCCATATTGGTTAATATATTTTTCATAGTGTCCACTTTTATTTGTCCTCTTTTTAGCTTCATATTCACTTCTGTGATGGTTATTTTACCTGTTTTTTGGAGATGGTGTCTCAATATGTTTCCTAGGTTGGATCTGAACGCCTAGGCTCAAGTGATCCTCCTGCCTCAGCCTCCTGAGTAGTTGGCATTATAGGCATGTGCCACCATGCCCAGTGTGATAGTTATGTGTTTTCCTTCTACATCCTTTTTTTTTTTTTTTTCCTTCTGAGACAGGGTCCCACTCTGTTGCCGAAGCTGGAGTGCAGTGGCACGAACATGTCTCACTGCAGCCTCAACCTCCTGGGCTCAAGCTTTCCTCCTGCCTCAGCCTCCTGTGTAGCTGGGACCACAAGCACTCGTCACCACACCTGGATAATTTTTTGATGTTTTGTAGAGACAGTGCTTCAGTTTGTTGCCTGTGCTGGTCTTGAACTCCTGGCCTCAAGCAATCCTTCTGCTTTGGCCTCCCAGATTGCTGAGATTACAGGTGTGAGTCACTGTGCCCGGCTCCCTTCTGCTTCTTTCCTGGATTTTGTCAGTTTTGTCTTGCCTTATTTTGTCATGTTTTCCATGAATCTCTATATTTGTATTTTTGTTTGTCCTTCTTGGAAATAATTCATTAAGTTTTTTTTCAGACAGATTTTTTTTTTTTTTTTTTTGAGACAGAATCTCGCTCTGTCGCCCAGGCTGGAGTGTAGGGATCTTGGCTCACTGTAAACCTCCGCCTCCCGGATTCAAGCGATTCTCCTGCTTCAGCCTCCCAAGTAGCTGGGATTACAGGTGCACGACACCACACCCTGGTAATTTTTGTAGTTTTAGTAGAGACGAGGTTTCACCCTGTTGGCCAGGCTGGTCTCGAACTCCTGACCTCAGGTGATCCACCAGCCTCGGCCACCCAAAGTGCTGGGATTACAGGCATGAGCCACTGCGCCCGGTCCAGATCTTTTTTTTTTTGAGACAGAGTCTCGCTCTGTTGCCCAGGCTAGAGTGCCAGTGGCACAATCTCAGCTGACTGCAACCTCTGCCTCCCAGTTCAAGCAGTTCTCCTGCCTCAGCCTCACGAATAGCTGGGATTGCAGGCATGCACTACCACACCGGGCTAATTTTTGTATTTTTATTAGAGACAGGGTTTTGCCATGTTGCCCCAGCTGGTCTTGAACTCCTGGTCTCAAGTGATCTGCCCACCTCGGCCTCCCAAAGTGCTGGGATTACAAGTGTGAGCCACCGTGCCCGGCGCACTCACACGTTTCTAATGTCTCTCCATGTCCAAATTTTCTCTTCTTACAAGGACACCGGTCACATTAGATTAGGGCTCACTCTGAACACCTCATTTTAACATAATCGCCTCTTTAAAGACCTTGTCTCCAGGCCAGACTAGGTGGCTCATGCCTGTAATCCCAGCACTTCGGGAGGCCTAGGCGGGCAGATCACAAGGTCAAGAGATCGAGACCATCCTGGCCAACATGGTGAAACCCCATCTCTACTAAAAATACAAAAATTAGCTGGGCATGGTGGCAGGCACCTGTGGTCCCAGCTATTTGGGAGGCTGAGGCAGAAGAATCGCTTGAACCTGGGAGGCAGAGGTTGCAGTGAGCTGAGATTGTGCCACTGCACTCCAGCCTAGGCCACAGAGCGAGATTCTGTCTCAAAAAAAAAAAAAAAAAAAAAGAGAGAGAGAGAGAGATAGAGTCTTGCTATGATAATCAAGCTGGTCTTGCATTCCTGGGCTCAAGCAATCCTCTCGCCTTGGCCTCCCAAAGTGTTTGGATTACAGGCGTGAGCTTCTGTGCTGGCCAAAACAGAATGTTGGAGACACACACTGAATTTACTTGGAAGGCTGATTGTTTTCCCACGCCCTCCCTAGGAGGGTGAGCTGGGTGTTGGGACCTTAACTCTGCCCATAAGATGTTCAGGCCAGGAGAGATGCCCTTTACCCCTTGGGTTACAAGGGTTTCCACTCCCTTTCTGCTTGATTGAGGCTTGCCCTCAGTTCTTTGTATCCCTGCTCTGCTCTGCTTGTTTCAAACAACACATTTTTGCACTGTGTCATGAACAGCTCATCTTCAGAGAGTCTGTTTTTGCTGGTGTTTTCCGGGATCTGCATGTGCCTCTTCCCATGTAACTTTGGTAGGCCTTGTGCAGGTCTTGGAGTTTCCAGTGACTTTTTGTCTTCTAGTTTCGTTGAATATGGGATTTCTGCCTCATTCCCCCCCTCACCACCATATCTCCCTATCACTTTGCATAATTTCTAGGAGGAGGAAGGGGACAATTCAGTCAAATATTGCCACAGTTCTTATACTATAATCATATCGCTTTGTAATATAAATTTCTCCCACTTTTTCCATTATAAGATTAAAAATAGCTCACACCAAAATCCCATCGCTTGAACCCAGAAGGCAGAGATTGTAGTGTGTTGAGATTACACCACGGAACTCCAGCCTGGACAGAGACAGAGCCAGACCCTGTCCCAAAAAAATAAAAATAAATAAGTAAATAAATGAATAATGTTTCCTTTTTTATATAGATATATAGACATAGATATATAACCATATATCATACCTGGATATAGACACACATAGAGATTTCTTTGTTCAAAAATGGCTCAAACGATATATACGTTCTTCAACTTCCTTTATTCATGTGAACATATCATGGGCATATTTCCATGGTATGACTTATTTTGAATGCCAATGTTTATATTAAATCACATTTCAAACTGTGTTCACTGTGTTCTTTCAAGACATTTATATTATTTTAATGTATTGGTATTTTTTTTTTTTTGATGGAGTCTTGCTCTGTCACCCAGGCTGGAGTGCAGTGGCACGATCTCAGCTCACTGCAAGCTCTGCCTCCCAGGTTCACGCCATTCTCCTGCCTCAGCCTCCCAAGTAGCTGGGACTACAGGCGCCCGCCACCACGCCCAGCTAATTTTTTTGTATTTTTAGTAGATACGGGGTTTCACCATGTTAGCGAGGATGGTCTCGATCTCCTGACCTCGTGATCCGCCCACCTCGGCCTCCCAAAGTGCTGGGATTACAGGCGTGAGCTACTGCGCCCAGCCATATATTGTTTTTTTTTTTTTAATTTTTTTTTTTTTTTTTTTGAGACAGAGTCTTTCTCTGTCACCAGGGTGGAGTGCAGTGGTGCAATCTCGGCTTACTGCAACCTCCACTTCCTGGGTTCAAGCGATTTCCCTGCTTCAGCCTCACAAGTAGGTGGGACTACAGGCACGTACTACCATGCCCAGCTAATTTTTTGTATTTTAGTAGAGATGGGCTTTCACCATGTTGGCCAGGATGGTCTCGATCTCCTGACATCGTGATCTGCCTGCCTTGGCCTCCCAAAGTGCTGGGATTACAGGTGTGAGCCACCGTGCCCGGCCAGCAATGTATTGGTATTTAACGTATTGATAAGAAATATTACAATTGTTAGCAAATATTTTATACACACAGATATAAAAAGCATCCGTATACCTACCATCCTACTTAAAGGAAAATTATTATAATATCATTGATTAACTACATACCTTTTCTCAATCTCATTTCCTTTCTTACTTTCAGAAGTAACTACTGTCCTGAATTTTATGTTGTAAATTATCATTTATGACATTAAATGATAGTCTCTTTTTAAAGTTTCCAGTGGCTATTGGAGCATCACAGTAACTGAGAATGTTCACAGTACTGCTGTGAGAATTCTTATATATGTGTCATTTTTTTTTTTTTTTTTTTTGAGACAGAGTTTTGTTCTTGTTTCCCGGGCGGGTATGCAATGGCATGATCACAGGTCTCCGCCTCCCGGGTTCCGCCTCCCGGGTTCAAGCGATTATCTTGCCTTGGCCTCCTGAGTAACTAGGATTACAGGTATGCACCACTACACCCAGCTAATTTTGTATTTTTAGTGGAGACGGGGTTTCTCCATGTTGGTCAGGCTGGTCTTGAACTCCTGACCTCAGGTGATCTGCCCGCCTCAGCCTCTCAAAGTGCTGTGATTACAGGTGTGAGCCACTGCACCCAGCCTCATTTTTTTCTTTTTTTTGGGGGACGGAGTCTCACTCTGTCACCCAGGCTGGAGTGCAGTGGCGTGATCTTAGCACAGCCTCAACCTCCCAGGCTCAAGCCATCCTCCCACCTCAGCCTCCCAAGTACCTGGGATTCGAGGTGTGTGCCTCGAGGTGTGTGCACGTCCAGCTAATTTTGTTTATTTTTTGTACAGATTAGGTCTTAGTATGTTGCCCAGGGTGGTCTTGAACTCCTGGGCTCAAGCGATCCTCCCACCTAGGCCTCCCAAAGTGCTAGGATTAGAAGCATGAGGCACCACACCCAGCTTACTCATGCAAGTTTCTCCTGAGTGTCTTCCTCAGGTGGGATTGCTGGGTCATAGAAATTGCACGTGTTCAGTGTTTTTTGTCTGTTTGTTTTTTAGACGGAGTCTCGCTTTATCGCCCAGGCTAGAGTGCAGTGGCGCGATCTCCGCTCACTGCAAGCTCCGCCTCTTGGGTTCATGCCATTCTCCTCCCTCAGCCTCCCAAGTAGCTGGGACTGCAGGCGCCCACCACTACGCCCGGCTAATTTTTTTTTTTTTTTTTTGTATTTTTTGTATTTTTAGTAGAGACGGGGTTTCACCGTGTTAGCCAGGATGGTTTCCATCTCCTGACTTTGTGATCTGCCCTCCTCGGCCTCCCAAAGTGCTGGGATTACAGGTGTGAGCCACCGCACCTGGCCGCATGTGTTCAATGTTACTGAATAACACCATATTGTTTTCCGGAGGGCTTGTTCCAATTTACTATACTTTAGAAGGCTATTAGCACTGAATGACTTATAAAAAGAGTACATGATTCTAATATAATTAGCCATGAGAAAATTTGTGGCTGGGCACGGTGGCTCACTCTTGTAATCCCAGCACTTTGGGAGGCCAAGGCGAGTGGATCACCTGAGGCCAGGGGTTCAAGACCAGCCTATCCAACATGGTGAAACCCCGTCTGTACTAAAAATACAAAAATTAGCCGGGCATGGTGGTGCATGCTTGTAATCCCACCTACTTGGGAGGCTGAGGCAGGAGAATCACTTGAACCCAGGAGGCAGAGGTTGCAGAGAGCCAAGATCACGCTACTGCACTCCAGCCTGGGTGACAGAGCAAGACTCCATCTCAAAAAAAAAAAAAAAAAAAAAAAATTTGTTAGCTTACAAAAATGTGATCTATAGAAAACCTTTCAGAGCTGGGTAAAGTGGATCACACTTGGGCTTGAGCCCAGGAGTTGGAGACCAATGAGACCCAGACTCTACTAAACAAAAACCAGCCTGGTGTGGTGGCACACACCTGTGGTCCAACCTACTCGGAAGGCTGAGGCAGGAAGATTGCTTGAGCCCAGGAGTTCGAAGCTTCAGTGAGCTATGATCGTGCCACTGCACTTCAGCCTGGGTTACAGTGAGACCCTGCCTCAAAAGAAAAAAAAAAAAAGGAAAGAAAACCTTTCCGGAACAGTAGTATGACCTGTATTACTTTTGACTAACCAATTGTGATTAAAACTTTGCAAAATAATTTGCTAATATTTTTATTACACCTTCATTATGCTGTATTGTATTTGGTTCTTATGTGCTATTATTCCAGTAATTATGCCTTTGTCTTCATTATGCTATATTGTATTTGGTTCACATGTCCTATCATTCCACTAAGAACAGCTATGAAGCTTTTTTTTTTTTTTTTTGAGACAGAGTCTGGCTTTGTCACACAGGCTGGAGTGCAGTGGTGTAATCTCGGTTCACTGCAACCTCTGCCTCCCGGGTTCAAGTGATTCTCCTGCTTCAGCCTCCTCAGTAGCTGAGATTACAGGCGCCTGCCATCAGGCCTGGCTACTTTTTGTATTTTTAGTTGAGATGGGGTTTCGCCATGTTGGCCAGGCTGGTCTCAAACTCCTGACCTCAGGTGATCCTCCCGCCTCAGCCTCCCTAAGTGCTGGGATTACAGGCATGAGCCACTGTGCCCGGCCTGATGAAGCATATTTTAATCTGTTTCACAGTTTTGCCTTGTCTGGCAAGATTACCTCCTGGTTGTTACACTTGTATGTGACCACTCATTAGTGTCTTCTAGGCAACTATATATATATATTTTAATGTGATGTGCTCTAGCAAAACAATGTCTACAATACAGCCATCTCATGCTCACAAGTATCAATATAGGTGTGAGTATGAGGTGGATTCCAGGACCATGAAGAGGTGGCAGATTTTAATTAATTAACTAATTAATTTTTCAGAGACAAGGGCTTGCTCTGTTACCCAGACTGGAGTACAGTGGCATGATCACGGCTCACTGTAACCTCGAAATCCTGGGCTCAAATGATCCTCCCGCCTCAGCCTCCCAAGTAGCTGGGACTATAGGCATGCACCACCACACCCAGCCAGATTTTAGTAAATATAAATATTTTATCTGAAATTTTTAAGAATATTTAATATTTTAAAGAATACTTAATATTAAACATTTATGAAATACAAATAATAGCATAAGTTAACTCTTCTAGCCTTCCACATTTACTTACTTGAGTTTCTTTTCACCTCAAACAAAATAAATTCTGTTACCACTTAGATACAAACATTTGGTGTTTAACATTTTGTTTCTTTTATTATGCTTTTTATTTGTTTATTTGTGGGTTTTTTTGAGATGGATTCTCGCTCTGTTGCCCAGGCTGGAGTGCAGTGGCATGATCTCAGCTCACTGCAACCTCTGCCTCCCAGGTTCAAACGATTCTTCTGCCTCAGCCTCCCGAGTAGCTGGGATTATCCATGCACCACCATGCCAGGCTAATGTTTATATTTGTAGTAGAGATGGGGTTTCAACTTGTTAGCCAGGCTAGTCTTGAACTCCTGGCCTCAGATGATACACCCACCTCGGCCTCCCAAAGTGCTGAGATTACAGGCGTGAGCCAAGGTGCCCGGCCTATTATGCTTTTTAAAAAACTACTGCAGGCTGGGCGTGGTGGCTCATGCCTGTAATCCCAGCACTTTGGGAGGCCGAGGTGGGCAGATCATTTGAGGTCAGGAGTTTGAGACCAGCCTGGCCAACATGGTGAAACCCCATCTCTACTAAAAATACAAAAATTAGCTGGGCACGGTAGTGTGCGCTTGTAATCCCAGCTACTGGGGAGGTTGAGGCAGGAGAATCGCTTGAACCCAGGAGGCGGAGGTTGCAATGAGCTGAGATAGCACCACTGCACTCCAGCCTGGGCAACAGAGTGAGACTCAGTCTCGGGGGAAAAAAAAATTGTGTTTTGGTGGGGAGGGTCCTGTAGCTAAGGGTAGAGATGCTGTGACCAAGTGTCCTGCCCCAGGGATTGCATCCTCTGCGTGGGTGAGCATCTTAGAGTGAGCCTGGAGTGCAGACTGTCAGCCTTTGAGGTTTCAGGTTATGTTTTTGAGTGGATCTCAATGCCCAGCTCCAGCCAGCTAACTCCAGTGGTAAATGTTTGGGGGAAACACCCCTTATTTGTTGTAGTTAACATACAAGGAGCTGGGCAAGTGACACATGGAATAATTTTTTTTTTAAACGGAGTTTCACTCTGTTGCTCAGGCTGTAGTGCAGTGGCACGATCTTGGTTCACTGCAACCTCCTCCCCCCACCCGGGTTCAAGCAATTCTCCTGCCTCAGCCTACCAAGTAGCCGGGACTACAGGCATGCACCACCATGCCCCGCTAATTTTTGTATTTTTGCTGGAGATGGAGTTTTGCCATGTTGGCCAGGCTGGTCTCGAACTCCTGACCTCAGGTGATCCGCTTGCCTCAGCCTCCCAAAGTGCTGGGATTACATGCTTGAGCCACCGCGCCTGGCCAGAAAATTTTTAAAAAGAAATAGGCCGGGCGCGGTATCTCACATCTGTAATCCCAACACTTTGGGAGGCCAAGGAGGAAGGATCGCTTGAGCCCAGGTGTTTGAGCCCAGCCTGGGAAACACAGTGAGACCCCCCCCCATCTCTATTTAAAAACATAAATAAAAATTAAAAATAAAAGTAAGGTGCAAAGACTCTCATTTTGTTACTCATGGTTGCATTTTAATTAAGAATATAAGTAGTCTTGGCCGGGCGTGGTGGCTCACGCCTGTAATCCCAGCACTTTGGGAGGCCAAGGCGGGCGGATCACGAGGTCAGGAAATCGAGACCATCCTGGCTAACACGGTGAAACCCCGTCTCTATTAAAAAATACAAAAAATTAGCCGGGCGTGGTGGCGGGCGCCCGTAGTCCCGGCTACTTGGGTGGCTGAGGCAGGAGAATACCGTGAATCCAGGAGGCGGAGCTTGCAGTGAGCCGAGATCGTGCCACTGCACTCCAGCCCAGGCGACAGAGCGAGACTCCGTCTCAAAAAAAAAAGAATATAAGTAGTCTTTGAAGTTCTTTTGGGACCTACACTGCTGCAAGCGTATAATGCCAAACGTGGATTTCAAAAGAGGCCCCCCGACGGAGATTTCACTAATTGCTAAATCAGTGCAGCAGTCCCTTGCTTCCCTCACCTATCCTTATCCTAAGTGGTGGTGGCGGCAGCGCGGAGCAGCTTCTGAAGGTCCGGGAGCTCTTTTCCTCTGCAAAGCGGAGGTGCCACAGGCACCGTGCACCTCTCAGACTGCAGGGGCTGAGCCCCCGGAGGAGGAGGGGGCTGGTTCAGGGAGCCCCTCCCCTGGGGCGGGGCCAAATCGTCCTCCCAGCCCGGCTTTGCAGAGCAGACAGATCTGGTGTCTCCAGTTTACAGAAGCACTTGCAGAACTCATCAGAAGCCACCCCGCTTATCAGCAGATCTCAAGAGAGCGTTCGGTGGAGGCCCTGGGTCTGCACAGCTCACCTCCCTGGGAACTGCTCGCCCGAGCGTCGGAGCCGGCGCTGGCCCCCTGCAGCCGGAAGGTTGCAGCCGCAGGAGCCCCGGAGGCCCAGGACACAGGGTAAGTCCCGGCTTGTGCCTTCCCTGCGCCCAACTTTCAGATTTTGCCGACTTTCCTTTTCCTCTTCCAGGCTTCCTCTCTGAGTCTACATTTCTTCTTAATCGCGTAGGCAGATCATTTCCTAAAATCTCCAGGCTTTCTTTTCATTGATTTATTTTTTGGGTAGCTTCACTTGTCTAATCTTACAGCAGCTGCCTGTTGCCAAACAGCATGAATGAATGATGCAATCCTACACAGGAGCACCCTTAGTGCAAGATTGGAACAATCCCCAAACTCAGAGTTGAAGTGTCCGACTTTGTCTTCTTTCCCATTAGAATTAGAATTTTAAAATAAGTACTTACCAGATACATTGTTATAACGATACAGCCTTAAGTTGGGAATTAAATAAATCATGCTTTCATTCATTAAATATATTTATTATATTTTCTTTTCTTTTTTTATTTTTATTTATTTTTTTTTTTTTCAGACAGAGTCTCGTTCTGTCGCCCAGGCTGGAGTGCAGTGGTGTGATCTCGGCTCACTTCAACCTCCGCCTACAGGGTTCAAGGGATTCTCCTGCCTCAGCCTCCTGAGTATCTGGGTACCCACCATCATGCCTAACTAATTTTTTAATTTTTGTATTTTTAGTAGAGACAGGGTTTCACCATGTTAGCCAGGCTGGTCTCAAACTCCTGGCCTCAAGCGATCCACCTGCCTCCACCTCTGCCTCCCAAAGTGCTGGGATTACAGGCATGACCACTGTACCTGGTCACTATATTTTCTTTATGTATGATTTGCATATTATTACTTTTTAAATATTTGATGACTGATATTGGAATGAGGATCAGGGAGGAAAATAATAAAATCCAAGATTTCTGTATTACCGTGCCGGGTAGGTTTTCAATATCATGACCATATAGCCCTGTCACTTTCATGTCGGTGAAACAAAGTAGTCAGGACTTTTAAAATTTTCAAATGATTTAATATATGCCTGATACCTACCCTCCTTTCCTTCCTTCTTTTTTTTTTTTTTAAGAGACAGGGTCTCACTTGGTCACCCAGGCTAGAGTGCAGCGGTGCAATCATAGCTCATTGGAATCTCAAACTCCTGAGCCCAAACTCCTGCCTCAGCCTCCCAAGTAGCTGGGACTACAAATACGCACCACCATGCCTGGCTCATTTATTTTATTTTTTGTGGAGATGGCATTTCACTATGTTGCCCAGGCTTATCTTGAACTCCTGGGCTCAAGCAGTCCTCCCTCCTCGGCCTCCCGAAGTGCTGGGATTACAGGTGTGAGTCCCCATGCCCGGCCTTTTTTTTTTTTTTTGAGACTCGCTCTGTCACCCAGGCTGAAGTGCAGTGGCACGATCTCAGCTCACTGCAAGCTCTGCCTCCTGGGTTCATGCCATTCTCCTGCCTCAGCCTCCCGAGTAGCTGGGACTACAGGTGCCCAGTAGCATGCCTGGCTAAATTTTTTTTGTATTTTTGGTAGAGACGTGGTTTCGCCATGTTAGCCAGGATGGTCCTGATCTGACCTCGTGATCCGCCCGCCTTAGCCTCCCAAAGTGCTGGGATTACAGGTGTGAGCCATCATGCCCGCCCAAGTCTGCTTCCTTGTCTCTGCATTTAGTTCTCCTAAGAGATTCTCTTTCCCTCTCCCTTGTCTTTGTACCCTGCTAATCAGGTGTACATGATTTCCTATCAGACTTGAACCTTGCAGAATTGAAGCCATAGAAGAGTATGTTGACTCTACAGTGCTTGAAGGTGGGTAGGAGTAAAGCATTTCCCAGAGGAAGCAGTCTTAGGAAATTTTGCCTCTGACCCATTTTTGTGCCAGTCCCGCCAGGAGAGAGAGTGAAGCCAGTCTCCCTCTTTCCTGTTTTGTGTATGGACTTCGATGTTCATTTCCTCATTCTCTCTTTCTAGGCTCTTGCTCTTGCAGAATCCACAGGTCTTTCTTGAGGAAATCTGTAGACAGAACTTTGTGCTGCGTTTTTATCTAGGGAAGGAACAGAAGAGTGTCGTCTCCTAGAAATCTAGCACTGGAGAAACGTGAGTCTGATTTGCCTTTTCTTGGTTTTGTTTTGGTTTTTTGCTGTCATTGTAATGTTTTTTACGCATTGAACTGTTACACGTTTGTCTATCTGCTAGCAGTTTACTCTTTTTTGAGACAGAGTCTTGCTTTGTCGCCTAGGCTGGAGTGCAGTGGCGCAATCTTGGCTTACTGCAACCTCCACCTCCTGGGTTCAAGTGATATCTCCTGTCTCAGCCTCCTGAGTAGTTGGGATTACAGGTGTGGGCCACCACACCTGGCTAATTTTCGTATGTTTAGTAGAGACAGGGTTTTGCCATGTTAGCCAGGCTGGTCTCGAACTCCTGACCTCAGGTCATCCATCCACCTCGGCCTCCCAAAGTACTGGGATTACAGGCGTGAGCCACTGCACCCGGCCAGCAGTTTACTCCTCACCTGAATTTTAAAAATTGATGTCAACTATGTGGCATGCAGAAGATCTCAGCTTCCCAGAATAGCTGGTTATATTACATATCATTTCAACTTTTATTTTAGCTTTAAGGAGTACATGTGCAGGTTTGTTACATGGGTATATCACATGATGCTGAAGTTTGGGGTACAATTGATCCCATCACCCAGGGTTTGAGCGCAGTACCCAGTAGGTAGTTTCTCAGTCCTTGCCCTCCTTCCCCTGCCTTCTTGTAGTCCTCAGTTTTTTTTGTTTGTTTGTTTTGTTTGTTTTTTTTTTTTTTGAGACGGAGTCTCGCTCTGTCGCCCAGGCCAGACTGCGGACTGCAGTGGCGGAATCTCGGCTCACTGCAAGCTCCGCTTCCCGGGTTCACGCCATTCTCCTGCCTCAGCCTCCCGAGTAGCTGGGACTACAGGCGCCCGCCACCGCGCCCGGCTAATTTTTTATATTTTTAGTAGAGACGGGGTTTCACCTTGTTAGCCAGGATGGTCTCGATCTCCTGACCTCATGATCCACCCGCCTCAGCCTCCCAAAGTGCTGGGATTACAGGCGTGAGCCACCGCGCCCGGCCCCTCAGTTTTTTGTTGTTGTTGTTTTTTGTTTTCACAGAGTCTCGCTCTGTCACCCAGGCTGGAGTACAATGGTGTGATCTCGGCTCACTGCAACCTCCACCTCCAAGGTTCAAGTGATTCTCCTGCCTCAGCCTCCTGAGTAGCTGGGATTACAGGTGCCCACCACCATGCCTGGCTAATTTTTGTATATTTAATAGGGACAGCATTTCACCATGTTGGCCAGGCTGGTCTTGAACTCTTGATCTCAAGTGAGTTGCCCGCCTTGGCCTCCCAAAGTGCTGGGATTACAGCTGTGAGCCACCGCACCTGGCCATCACTGTGTGTTTTTCCCGTCTTTGTATCCTCATGTACCCAGTTTAGCTCCCACTTATAAGTGAGAACATGTGGTATTTGGTTTTCTGTTCCTGCGCTAATTCACTTAGGATAACGGCCTCCAGCTGCATCTGTGTTGCAGCAAAGGACATGTTTTCATTCTTTTTTATGGCTGTGCTGGCTTTTTTTTTTAGGCCGGGCATGGTGGCTCACACCTTGGGAGGCCGAGGTGAGCTCCCAGCACTTTGGGAGGCCGAGGTGAGCAGAACTCCTGAGGTCAGGAGTTCAAGACTAGCCTGTCCAACATGGTGAAACCCCATCTCCACTAAAAATACAAAAATTACCTGGGTGTGGTGGCGCACACTTCTGATCCCAGCTATTCGGGAGGCTGAGGCATGAGAATCACTTGAACCCAGGAAGCAGAGATTGCAGTGAGCCAAAATCATACCACTGCACTCCGGCCTGAGTGACAGAGCAGGACTCCATCTCTAAACAAAAGATAAAATAAAATATAGTGTAAGTGCATGTGCTGGGGATCCCAGCCCTTGTTACAGGGAACCTCTTTGACTCTCCTCTGATTCAGAACCTTTTCAGAATCTACTGTGTATTCTTTTTTTTTTTTTTCTTTTTTTTTTTTTGAGATGGAGTCTCGCTCTGTCGCCCAGGCTAGACTGCAGTGTGGCACAATCTCGGCTCACTGCAACCTCTGCCTCCCAGGTCCAAGCAATTCTCCTGCCTCAGCCTCCCCACGCCCGGCTATACTTTGTACTCTTTCAATGCCCGGGGACCTGAACAAATTTATCCCTACTACCAAAGCAAATAAGCTTGGTTCTCGCAACTATGCATGACCTTCACAACTCTGTACAGGCTTTTATTTTTTCTTACACAGGTGAAGATAAGAGGTCAGTCCTAACAAGGTGAAGGAAGTAAGGTGATCTTAGAAGCCTCTTGAAAGATACAGAGATTGAGAAGTTGGGAAAGCATTTCTTTGGGCAAGGAAATTTTTCCTCTTATCCAAAATCAGACCTCCGAAGGCTGGCCCTGGAGGAAAGCTTGCTTTTGTACTTTGGAACTAGGGATGAGAAGGCCTTGTCAGCAGTGGCTTTTTTTTTTTTTTTTTTTTTAATCAGTTGGTCCTTTGCTTGCCAAGAGATGAACTAGCTGGGGCCAGCCAGGCAGAAGTTCTGTTCTGAGCTGCAGAAGGCAGTGGTCCGGATGGGACCTGGGAGCTGCTGTGTCTGAGAATCTGAGAATAGACCTTCCCACCGGCATGTCTTCTACCCTGGCCCTGCCCTCTCCCTCCCTGTTAGAGCCAAATACGAAGAATCCAGAGTCCATTCTCTGGCAATGATTTTTCTGTGTGTGGAATTCTAATGTACACAATTTACTTTGAAGCAACTGACCTTACTCAGCAGACTTTTTCCCCCTATAGCCACGAGAATTTTAAATACGCATAGATTGTGAGTCACTCCTGGTGGAGACAATGAAAAGAGGAGGAAATTGGCCAGGCTTGGTGGCTCACACCTGTCATCCCAGCACTTTGGGAGGCCGAGGCAGGTGAATCACTTGAGGTCAGGAGTTTGAGACCAGCCTGGCCAATATGGTGAAACCCCATCTCTACTAAAAATACAGAAGAATTAGCCAGGCGTGGTGGCAGGCGCCTGTAATTCCAGCTACTCAGGAGGCAGGAGAATCGCTTGAACCTGGGAGGCGGAGGTTGCAGTGAGCCAAGATCACATCACTGCACTCCATCCTGGGCAACAGAGTGAGACCCCATCTCAAAAAAAGTAAAAATAAAAATTAAGAAGGAGGAAATCAAAAGTGTACAGGGAGGTGCACCATTTTGCAGAGCAGGATGGGAAGAGCTAAAAGGAGCTGTGGCCGAGTTTGCTCTGCTGCCCAATCAAGCAGGGAGGGAGTTGATACTCTTGTAACCCAATGGGTGAAGGCCATCTCCCCTGGCCTGACCGTTTCATGGGCAGAGTTAAGGTCCTAAAATCCAGCTCAGTCTCCTAGGGAGGGTGTGGAAAAAGAATCAGCCTTCCAAGTAAATTCAATGTAAAGTGAGTCTCTAACATTCTATTTTGGCCAGCATGGTGGCTTACACTTATAATCCCAGCACTTTGGGAGGCTGAGATGGGAGGATCATTTGAGGCCAGGAATTCAAGACCGGCCTGGGTAACATAGTGAGACCTCATCTCTACAAAAATAATAATAATAGTAACTTAGCTGGGTGTGGTGGTGCGTGCCTGTGGTCTCTGCTACTCAGGAGGCTGAGGCAGGAGGATCACTTCACCTAGGAGGTTGAGGCCACAGTGAGCTATGATTATACCATTGGCACTCCAGTGTGGGCAACAGAGTGAGACCTTGTCTCTAAAAAAAGCCAAAAATATTCTGTTTTCTCCTTGGGACCACATTACAACCCAGGAGGCAGGTGTCAACAATTCTGAGCTGTAAGTCAGGCCTAATGTTCAGCTGGGGATGTGTAAATCAGTTCTCACTTTTAGTGGAGGAAATGTACCTTTCCTTTCAAACTCAAGGCTGATGGTCTTGCTTTTTTTTTTTTTTGAGGCAGGGTCTCACTCTGTCACCCAGGCTGGAGTGCTGTGGCCTCACTGCACCCTTGAACTCCTGGACTCAAGCCATCCTCCCACCACAGGCTCTTGACTATCTGGGACCACAGGCATGCACCACCATGCCCCACTTTTTTTTTTTTTTTTTTTTTTTTTAGAGAAAGAATCTTACTGTGTTCTCGAGAACTGATCTCAAACTCCTGGGCTCAAGTGATCCTGCTGTCTTAGCCTCCCAAAGTGCTGGGATTATTACAAGTGTGAGCCACTGCACTCGGCCAATCTCATTGAAACTATTGCTAGTGTCAGTGGTTGGAAAGAGGTTCAAGTACCTGGTTGGCCTTTTTTTTTTTTTTTTTGAGATGGAGTCTTGCTCTTGTCATCCAGGCTGGAGTGCAGTGGTGGGATCTCGGCTCACTGCAAACTCCACCTCCCGCGTTCAAGCAATTCTCCTGCCTCAGCATCCTGAGTAGCTGGGATTACAGGCACCTGACTAATTTTTGTACTTTTGGCCAGGGTGGTCTCGAACTCCTGACCTTGTGATTCGCCTGCCTTGGCCTCCCAAAGTGCTGGGATTACAGGCGTGAGCCACCGCTCCCGGCCAAAGTAACTGGTTTTTCAAACATGGCCAGTAATTATTTGTCTAATCATTTCGACAAGACTGGAAACCTCTTGAAGATGGCACCCATGCATTATGCATTCCTCTTTGGGTCTTGTGTCAGGGTCCCTGGGGACTGGCTTTGAGATTCTGGTGTCCATCAGTCATTCTCAGGAGCATTGCCCATTCTTAGTTATGTTATGTTGCCTCATGCATCTTCTTTTTTTTTTTTTTTTTGTTTTTGAGACAGAGTTTTGCTCTTGTTGCCCAGGCTGGGGTGCAATAGCGCAATCTCGGCTCGCCGCAACTTCTGCCTCCCGGGTTCAAGCGATTCTCTTGCCTCAGCCTCCTGAGTAGCTGGGATGACAGGCATGTAGCACCATGCCCAGCTAATTTTGTATTTTTAGTAGAGACGGGGTTTCACCATGTTGGTCAGGCTGGTCTCGAACTCCCAACCTCAGGTGATCCACCCGCTTCAGCCTCCCAAAGTGCTGGGATTACAGGCATGAGCCACCGTGCCGGGCCTTCTCATGTACCTTCTTAAAAAGTTCTTTAGCTTATCCCACTTACCTCATTTTAGCTCCTCTTACACCATTTGTCTGTTTCTGGCTTCCTCTTCACTCACCTATGGTTCATTCTCCATTCTTAGTGGACTTGCACTACAGTAAGTGCTGCTACTCTGCTGATAGACCTGCTGACTTCAAGGTCTTTACAGTGAGCCTGCCTGGGCATGTAGTATGAATTAGCTTGATTTCTGCTGGACCAAAGCCAAATGACTGGTTTCTTTTTATTTTTTATCTTTTTTTTTTTAATAGAGACAGGGTTTCACCATGTTGGCCAGGCTGGTCTCAAACTCCTAGCCTTAAGCAATCACCTGTCTTGGCTGCCCAAAGTCCTGGGAACAGGCATCAGCCACCATGCTGGCCCTTGTTGAGTTCTTTTTTTTTTTTTTTTTTTTTTGAGATGGAGTCTCGCTCTGTCACCCAGGCTGCAGTGCAGTGCAGTGGTGCAATCTCGGCTTACTGCAATCTCCATGTCTCCACCTCCCAGATTCAAGCGGTTCTCCCGCCTCTCCGTCCCAAGTAGCTGGGATTACAGGTGCCTGCCACCATGCCCGGCTAATTTTTGTATTTTTAGTAGAGATGGGGTTTCACCATGTTGGCCAGGCGGGTCTCGAACTCCTGACCTCAAGTGATCCTCCTGCTTCAGCCTCCCAAAGTGCTGAGATTACAAGTGTGAGCCACTGCAGCCGGCCCCTTGTTGAGTTCTTAATAACTGCTTAGGTTCAACTCTATTTAATTCATAAAATATTTAATTCATGAAACATTTAACTAACACCTATTGGGTGCTGGGTGCAGAGATAGAAGATAATTCAACTGGAGTGATTGACTGATTTTCTGGGTTGATGGGGAGGAAATAATGTGGTATAAGGGAGGCCACTTGATCTGCACGGTGAAGAAGTAGGACTTTCTTCATGACATGGGGGATATGGTGATTCCAGGCAGAGGAGCAGCATTTGAAATGGTGTAGAGGAATAAAAAAACACATGACATAGGCCGGGTGCGGTGGCTCATGCCTATAATCCCAGCACTTTTGGGAGGCCAAGGCAGGTGGATTGCCTGAGGTCAGGAATTCGAGACCAGCCTGGGCAACATGGTGAAACCTTGTCTCTACTCAAAATACAAAAATTAGCTGGATGTGGTGGCACGTGCCTATAGTCTCAACTACTCAGAACGCTGAGGGAGGAGAATTGCTTGAACCCGGGATGGGGAGGTTGCAGTGAGTCGAGATTGCACCACTGCACTACACTCCAGCCTGGGTGACAGAGCAAGACTCCGTCTCAAAAAAAAAAAAGTCCTTAGTATTCCTTGAGCCATAAATTGTGTGTGTCACCAGGCGCAGTTGCTCACGCCTGTAGTTCCAGCACTTTGGGAGGCTGAGTCGCATGGATCATTTTAGCCCAAAAGTTTGAGACCACCCTTGGGCAACATGGTAAAACACCATCTCTACTAAAAATACAAAAAATTAGCCAGATATCATGCCTGCCTGTAGTCCCAGCTGCTCAGGAGGCTGAGCCAGGGAGGCAGAGGTTGCAGTGAGCTGAGATTGCACCACTGCACTCCAGCCTGGGTGACAGAGTGAGGCCCTAACTCAAAATAAAAAAAAATGTGTGTGTGTGTATGTGTGTGCATGTGCATGTGAATAATGTGTGTGTGTAAAAATGTGTGTGTATGTGTATTTGTGCGGACTGAGGTTGGTAAAATCCACAGGCATAGGAGCCAGATCGTGATGGGCATAAATTATGTAATAAAGACATTATGTTAATGGCTGGGTACTGTGGCTCTGGTAGGGCACGGTGGCTCACACCTGTAATCCCAGCTCTTTGGGAGGCTGAGGCAGGAGGATCATTTGAGGTCAGGAGTTCGAGACCAGACAGGCCAACATGGTGAAACCCCATCTCTACTAAAAATGCAAAAATTAGCTGGGCGTGGTGGCATGCACCTATAATCCTAGCTACTTGGGAGGCTGAGGCAGGAGAATCACTTGAACCTGGGAGGCAGAGGTTGCAGTGAGTCAAGATTGTGCCACTGCACTCCAGCCTGGGTGACAGAGCGAGACTCCTTCTCAAAAAAAAAAAAAAAAAGATTTATTAATAGACACTGAAATTTGAATTTCATTTTTATTTATTATTATTACTTTTGAGACAGGGTCTCACTCTGTCACCCAGGCTGCAGTGCAGTGTCATGGTCATAGCTCACTGCAGCCTCAAACTCCTGTGCTCAAGCAATCCTTCTGCCTCACCCTCCTGAGTAGCTAGGTCTATAGGTGTGTGCCACTACACCTGGCTAATTTTAAAAATACTTTTGTAGAGATGAAGTCTTGGTATGTTGCCCAGATAGGTGTTGAACTCCTGGCTTCAAGTAATCCTCCCACCTCAGCCTCCCAAAGTGCTAGAATTACAGGTGTGAGCCACTGCAGCCAGCCTGAAATTTGAATTTCATTAGTTTTTACATGTCAAAAAATATTATTCTTCTTTTGATTTTTTTTTCAACTGTTTAAAATGTAAAAATCAGCCAGTCGTGGTGGCTCACACCTGTAGTCCCAGCTACTCAAGAGGCCATGATGGAAGGTTCACTTGAGCCCAGGAGTTTGAGGCTACAGTGAGCTATGATGGCACCACTGCACTCCAGCCTAGGTGACAGAATGAGATCCTGTCTCAAAAAAAGTAAAGTAGGCCGGGCGCGGTGGCTCACGCTTGTAATCCCAGCACTTTGAGAGGCCGAGGCGGGCGGATCACGAGGTCAGGAGATCGAGACCACGGTGAAACCCCGTCTCTACTAAAAATACAAAAAATTAGCCGGGCGTGGTGGCAGGCACCTGTAGTCCCAGCTACTTAGAGAGGCTGAGGCAGGAGAATGGCGTGAACCCGGGAGGTGGAGCTTGCAGTGAGCGGAGATCGCGCCACTGCACTCCAGCCTGGGCGACAGAGCCAGACTCTGTCTCAAACAAAAAAAACAAAAAAAAAAAGTAAAATAAAATAAATGTAAAAATCATTCTTACTTGTGAGCCATACCAAACCAGGTGGCAGGGTGGATTTGGCCTACAAGCTATAGTTTGCTGACCCCTGACTTAAAATATTTTTTTTTCCAGGTCAACTTAAAATGGCCTTATTCTGCCAACTGCATTGGTTGGAAATCAGTTGAGCAGTGGGTTGTTCAACTGCTTTGAGTCTGTTTTTAACTGCAGTCTATTCTAAATATAGATTACTTACATCATCTGTGTAGCCTTGTATATGACATATTAGTCTCTGATAGGAGGCTGGTCTAGGCAATCTTGAGGGTCCCTTTCATCCTAATTCTAGTCCAAAGATTTTCTAAAAAATAAAGGCCAGGCATGGGGGCTCATGCCTGTAATCCCAGCAATTTGGGAGACCTAGGTGGGAGGATTGCTTGAGTCCAGGAGTTGAAGACCATTCTGGGCAACATAGCAAGACCCCCATCTCTTCAAAAAAAAATTTATAAATTAGCCAAGCATAGTGGTGCGCACCTGTAGTCCCAGCTACTTGGGAGACTGAGGCAGGAGGATCACTTGAGCCCTGGATTTGGAGGCTGCAGTGAGTCATGATTGTACCACTGCACTCCAGCATGGGTGACAGAGTGAGAACTTGTCTAAAAAAAAAAAAATTTGTTTTGACTCTCTGTCCTCTGCAGCTTCTGTAGCAGTGTGGCTTCCAGAGTTTCTTCCTGTACCTTCACCATTTTCGTTCTCCTTCCCAGGCTCAAGTCAGGACATAAAGGTGGTGGTCCTGCAGGCTCTGTCCTTAGCACTCTTTTCTTCTCCCTCTCTCTATTCTCCCTGGACTTTATTTTTATGATTTTTTCTTTTCTTCAGACAGGGTCTCATTCTGTGGCCCCATGCTGGAGTGCAGTGGCGTGATCTTGGCTCACTGCAATCTCCGCCTCCCAGGTTCAAGAGAGTCTCCTGCCTCAGCCTTCTGAGAAGCTGGGACTACAGGTGCACGCCATCCTGCCCGGCTAATTTTTAGTTTTTTAGTAGAGATGGGGTTTTGCCATGTTGGCCAGGATGGTCTTGAACTCCTGGCTTCAAGTGATGCTCCCGCCTCAGCCTCCCAGAGTGCTGGGATTACAGGCGTGAGCCACCGCGCCCAGCCTCTTCCTGGACTTTAATCAGACCATGTCTTCAACTAGCCCCTGTACATTGGCGACATTGTGTATGTTTAGCCCTCATATTTAGCTCTGACCTTTTTTCTGAGGCTTAAAGCCTTTCCCAGTATCTGGAAGTTAAAGTCTAAACTCCTTAGCCTGGCCCTAGGACCTGCTTAGTGTGAATTCCTGATGCACAGCCAGGCCCCTGGGCCAAGCCATAGGGTAGCTTCCAGCAGGTCATCTGCTTCCTTCTCCTTGTCTTTGCTCACACTCCTCGCTCTGCCATCACAAGCCTCCCTCCTTGTCTCCACCCCCGCTCCCTCTCCTCCCAGCACATGCCAAATCGATGCCCTGCCCTTTGACAACCCACTCAGAGGGCCACTTACCTGTCAGATTCAGCTCAAATACTTGTGCCTCCTTGAAGCCTTCTTTTTTTTTCTTTTAGTTAGAGTCAGGGTCTTGCTCTGTTGCCCAGGCTGGAGTGCAGTGGCACGATCTCAGCTCACTGCAGCTCTACCTCCTGGGTTCAAGTAATTCTCCTGCTTCAGTCTCCCAAGTAGCTGGGATTACAGGCGTGCACCACTATGCTCAGCTAATTTTTTGTATTATTATTTTTAGTAGAGACTTGGTCTCTCTATGTTGCCCACGCTGGTCTTGAACTCCTGGCCTCAAGCAATCCTCCTCCTGCCTTAGCCTCCCAAAGTGCTGGGATTACAGGGATGAGCCACTGTGCCCAGTCTGAAGCCCTGTTTCATAGATAAGGCTAAACATTTTTCCTGTGTTCCCACAGAGCCTTATGCACACCTCTGCTTTTTTTTTTTTTTTTTTTTTTGAGACGGAGTCTCGCTTTGTCGCCCAGGCTGGAGTGCAGTGGCGCGATCTTGGCTCACCGCAAGCTCCACCTCCCAGGTTCACGCCATTCTCCTGCCTCAGCCTCCCGAGTGGGTGGGACTACAGGCGCCTGCCACCACGCCCGGCTAATTTTTTTATATTTTTAGTAGAGACAGGGTTTCACTGTGTTAGCCAGGATGTTCTCGGATCTCCTGACCTCGTGATCCGCCCGCCTCAGCCTCCCAAAGTCCTGGGATTACAGGCCTGAGCCACCGCGCCCGGCCTCACACCTCCGCTTTAATGCTTGCTTCCTCACTACAATTAGGTAGAAAAAAAAAAAACAACTATATATATATCTAAAAGAAAAGAAAGATGGCTTCAAGGAGGCACAGGTATTTGAGCTACTCAGGAGGCTGAGGCAGGAGAATCACTTGAACCTGAGTGGTGGAGGTTGCAGTAAGCCAAGATCGTACCACTGCCCTCCAGCCTGGGCAACAGAGTAAGACTCCACCTAAAAAAAAAAAAGAAAGAAAGAAAGAAGAAACTGGTGTAGTGTGGGAAGTAAACAAAAAGAAAAGGAAAAAAAAATGAATCTGTGAGAACACTCTTATGTGGCCTGCACTGACTTTGACACAAATTAGATTGGCTTAGTAGGCAAGGTGGGATCTTTTCATAATTTTATTTGATGTCTTTAAATACATTTATCTTTTTTCTTGTAGGAGGAAAATTCTTCCAGCGATGGTCTCCCACTCAGAGCTGAGGAAGCTTTTCTACTCAGCAGATGCTGTGTGTTTTGATGTTGACAGCACGGTCATCAGAGAAGAAGGAATCGATGAGCTAGCCAAAATCTGTGGCGTTGAGGACGCGGTGTCAGAAATGTAGGGATAGCATTTATTCACTTTATGAAATGATAAAGACTTTCTAAAGAGTGACTGTTTTGGATGAAGTGCTAGACCCTGGCTATGGAACATTTGCACTAGGCTTTTTCTTTCATTCCTTAGAGCTGAATTTGACATATTCATTCATTTATATAAATATTTATGGCAAACAAACATGGATAAGACATGTTCTTAGCTTGATCGGGGAATGACAACCGTCACTAACTAAAGAAGATGGCCTGGGGGGCGAGGTCCAAGTGTCCAGTGGCTTTGTGTCATGGTTGAAAGTGTGACCTTAGTGGTTCCCTGGAAAGGTTCAGAGTCTCTTGGTGGATCCTGGGTCAGATCCCCTCTCTCCCTCCTGCCCTCCCGCCCTGCAGCTGGGGACCTCCCTCTGCAGTCCCAGTCCCCCAGTCATGCACCATGTCATTTTCTTTTTTTTTTTTTCGAGACGGAGTCTCATTTTGTCACCCAGGCTGGAGTGCAGTGACCCAATCTCAGCTCACTGCAACCTCTGCCTCCCAGATTCAAGCAATTCTCCTGCCTCAGCCTTTTGAGTAGCTGGGATTACAGGCGCATGCCACCACGCTCGGCTAATTTTTGTATTTTTAGTAGAGATGGGGTTTCACCATGTTGGCCAGGGTAGTCTCGAACTCCTGACCTCGTGATCCGCCCACCTTGGGCTACCAAAGTGCTGGGATTACAGGCATGAGCTGCTGCACCCGGACACTATTTCATTTTCAACTGCCTTTCATGGAAGAATGCTTAACCTTTGGTCTCTTTCTTGATTTATGACAGCTCACAGCTTGCAAGAAAAATACCTATGGATAGGCTGTGTGCCTTTTTTTTTTTTTAGATGGAATCTTAACTCTGTCATCCAGGCTGGGGTGCAGTGGTGAGATCTTGGCTCACTGCAACCTCTGCCTCCCGGGTTCCAGCAATTCTCCTGCCTCAGCCTCCTAAGTAGCTGGGATTACAGGCGTGCACCACCACACCTGGCTAATTTTTGCATTTTTTTAGTAAAGATGGGGTTTTGTCATGTTGACCAGGCTGGTCTCAGACTCCTGGCTTCAGGTGATCTGCCCACCTCAGCTTCCCAAAGTGTTTGGGATTATGGGCATGAGTCACTGCACCCAGCCTGTTAATGTTATTTTCAAGCAATCCTTCAAAAGTTTATTCCAAGGCCTTGCTCTCCTAGTAGCAAAGCCTGTCTGTTGCACACTGGGCTCTTGGTAGCATCTTCCTTTTGGTGGATGTCGTGCAGACCCGGGGCAGTAAGGCATGTTAACCTTGAGGACATCGGACCTGGCTGGCCTGACTGTTGGGTCTCCCTCCTAGGACACGGCGAGCCATGGGCGGGGCAGTGCCTTTCAAAGCTGCTCTCACAGAGCGCTTAGCCCTCATCCAGCCCTCCAGGGAGCAGGTGCAGAGACTCATAGCAGAGCAACCCCCACACCTGACCCCCGGCATAAGGTAAGAGGAACCCCGGCTCCAGGTGTATTTCAGCACCAGTGTTGGGGGGCACATCCTCCCAAGAGCATCTAACTATTCCTTTAGAGTGCCCTCTGGGTGGTTTATTTATTTTCATTTTCATTTTTTAATTTTTTAATTATTTTTTTAAATTGTATTTTTTCGAGATGAAGTCTCACTCTGTCACTCAGGCTGGAGTGCAGTGGTGAAATGTCAGCTCACTGCAGCTTCTGCCTCCCAAGTTCATGCAATTCTCCTGCCTCAGCCTCCCGAGTAGATGGGATTACAGGTGCCCACCAGCACACCTAGGTAATTTTTGTATTTTTAGTAGAGATGGGTTTCGCCATGTTGACCACACTGCTTGAACTCTTGACCTCAAATGATCTGCCTGCCTGGGCCTCCCAAAGTGCTGGGATTATAGCTGTGAGCCACTGCACCCGGCCTATTATTATTTTTTTTAGAGTCAGCGTCTCATTCTGTTGCCCATGTTGGAGTACAGTAGTATAATCATGGCTTACTACAGCGTTGAACTCCTGGGGTCAAGTGGCCCTCCCTCCTTAGCCTCCTTAATAGTGGGGACTACAGGTGCATGCCACCATGCCCAGCTAATTTTTAAAAAAAAATTTTTTTTGAGAGACAGGGTCTCACTTTGTCACCCAGGCTGGAGTGCAGTGGCATGAATAGAGCTCACTGCAGCATCAGCCTTCTGGGCTCAAGGGATCCTCCTGCCTCAGCTTCCTAAGTAGCTGGGACTACAGACGTAGGCCACCATGCCTAATTTTTTTTTTTTTTAATTTTCTGTAGACACAGGGTCTCACTATGTTGCCCAGGCTGGTCTTGAACTTGTGGGCTCAAATGATCAATTTTCCCACCTCAGCCTCCCAAAGTGTTGGAATTATAGGTTTGAGCCACTATACCCAGCCTTTAAAATATTTTTTGTAGAGATGGGGGTCTTGCTATGTTGCCCAGGCTGTTCTCAAGCTCCTGGCCTCAAGTGATTTTCTACCTTGGCCTCCCAAACTGCTGGATTTAAAGGCGTGGCCTGTGTGGTGCTTTTGGCACTTACACGTGGTCTTGTCTGGCCAGTTGTCTGGTCCTGTCGGTTTCTGCCTTTCCTCTTTCTCCAGGGAAAACCTAAGCTTTCCTTGTTTGTCCTCATCTTGTGTTTTTCTGGGTCCATGGGCAGAGTAGAGTTCTGGAACGGTTTCCTAAAGCAGACAAACCCTACCCATTGTTTTTTTTTTGTTGTTGTTGTTTTTTGAGACAGAGTCTCGCACTGTTGCCAAGCTGGTGTGCAGTGGTGCAGTCTCGGCTCACTGCAACCTCCACCTCCCAGGTTGAAGCAATTCTCCTGCCTCAGCCTCCCAGGTAGCTGGGATTACAGGCATGTGCCAACATGCCCAGCTAATTTTTGTATTTTTAGTAGAGATGGAGTTTCACTATTTTGGTCAGGCTGGTCTCGAATGCCTGAGCTCGTGATCCACCTGCCTCGGCCTCCCAAAATGCTGGGATTACAGGCGTGAGCCACCACGCCCAGCCCCTACCCATTGATTTCTAAGTGCATTTAGAAAAACATATAAGGCTGGGCATGGTGGCTCATGCATGTAATCCCAGCACTTTGGGAGGCCAAGACAGGCAGATCACCTGAGGTCAGGAGTTCAAGACCAGCCTGGCCAACATGGTGAAACCCCATGTCTACTAAAAATACAAAAGTTAGCTGGGCGTGGTGGTGCGCATCTGTTGTCCCAGCTACTCGGGAGGCTGACACAAGAGAATCGCTTGAACCCTGTAGGAGGAGGTTGCAGTGAGCTGAGATCGCACCACTGCACTCCAGCCTGATGACAGAGACAGAGGGAGACTCCATCTCAAAAAAAAAAAAAAAAAAAGTAACTGGGTGTGGTGGCAGGTGCCTGTAATCCCAGCTACCTGTGAGGCTGAAGGAGGAGAATCGCTGGAACCCTGGAGGCAGAGGTTGCAGTGAGCCGAGATCGCACCACTGCACTCCAGCCTGGGCGACAGAGCGAGACTCCATCTCAAAAAAAAAAGAAAAAGAAAAACATATATAAAACATTAACACCCCAGGCAGTATACCTTGTCAAACATACCTCAGGCAAATGCATTCAGGAGAAGAAAATGTATCTTATTTCCCTCTTCATGTTTCGTTTTTTTTTTTTTTTTCTTTTGTATTACTCAGTGTTGGGTATTTTGTATTTTATTTTGCAGGGAGCTGGTAAGTCGCCTACAGGAGCGAAATGTTCAGGTTTTCCTAATATCTGGTGGCTTTAGGAGTATTGTAGAGCATGTTGCTTCAAAGCTCAATATCCCAGCAACCAATGTATTTGCCAATAGGCTGAAATTCTACTTTAACGGTAAGATGTTAACAGTAACATGTTCCCTTTCTTAGCAGTTCCATTGTTCAGTATTCTGGGTAATGTCTTTGGAATGCAACTTGAACAGTCACATCAGAGTTAAATATTGAGATGAATGGTTCTCTTAATTGATGTCTTTTGCCCTTTGGTACCCTTTGCTCAGCAAAATAGACTTAGGTCATCACCTGTCCTAGCTTTGGTATCTATAACATCACCTGTCTGTACATAAATGTCTGCATTTCGTGAAACATTAACTCCTACGAAGCCCCCTATGACTTACTTTGCTATATGTTATATTTCAACTTTATGGGAGCTTCTATGCATTTGAAGCAATTTAGACTCAAGAAGGAGACTTTTGGCTGGGCACGGTGGCTCACGCCTGTAATCTCAGAACTTTGGGAGCCTGAGGCGGGAGGATCACTTGAGGTCAGGAGTTCAAGACCAGCCTGGCCAACATGGTGGAACCCCAACTCTGCTAAAAAAAAAAATACAAAAATTAGCTGGGCATGGTGGCACATGCCTATAGTCCCAGCTACTTGGGAGGCTGAGGGAGGAGAATCACTTGAAGCTGGGAGGCGGAGGCTGCAGTGAGCTGAGATCTCGCCACTGCACTTCCAGCCTGGGTGACAGAGCGAGACCCTGTCTTTAAAAAAAAACAAGACAGAGACTTTAGAAGGGAGACTTTTGTTAATGGATTACTGAACTACAGCCCTTGGGGAAGCCTCCTGTCCCCTCTCTGGTCCATAGCGGTGCCACAGCTGTTATATTATCTCAGATCGCCAGTTACATCAAGGAGTGACTGATAGTGATTTTTTTTTTTTTTTTTTTTTGAGACAGGGTCTCACTCTATTGCTCTGGCTGAAGTGCAGTGGCTCCATCTCGGCTCACTGCAACCTCTGCCTCCTGGGTGCAAGCGATTCTCCTGCCTCAGCCTCCCAAGTAGCTGGGATTACAGGTGCCCACCACCACACCTGGCTAATTTTTGTATTTTTTTTTTAGTAGAGTCGGGGTTTCATCATGTTGGTCACGCTGGTCTCAAACTCCTGGCCTGAGATGATCCACCTGCCTTGGCCTCCCAAAGTGTTGGGATTACAGGCGTGAGCCACTGTATGTTAACAGAACATTCTTGAATGATCTAGAGATAGAGATCATTGAAAAAAGAAGTCAAGAATGAGTGTGGTAATTACTGTAAAAATAGAAATAATTGATAAAAAATAAGCTGGAATTTCCTCTTGGGTGACATAATATATTAACATTTTAAATTTAATATATTAAGGCTGGGTGTGGTGGCTCACGCCTGTAATCCCAGAACTTTGGGAGGCCGAGGCAAGTCTGATCACCTGCGGTCAGGAGTTTGAGACCAGCCTGGCCAATGTGGCAAAACCCCATCTCTACTAAAAATACAAAACTTAGCTGGTGTGGTGGCATGCGCCTATAATCCCAGCTACTTGGGAGGCTGAGACACGAGAATGGTTTGAACCTGGGAGGCGGATATTGCAGTGAGCCGAGATCACACCACTGCACTCCAGCCTGGGCAACAGAGTGAGACACTGTCTCAAAAATAAATTAATTAATTAATTAATTTGATACTACTATTTTATGGTGTTCTGCCACCTCAACAAGGTTTGAGAATTACTGGAAGCTTAAAGGATACAACAAAATTCACCCAATTTATTTATGACCTAATAGAGCCATCTCTACAATTGATAGTTATAATTTAAAAGCAAAGGTTGGCTAGGTGTGATGGCTCACACCTGTAATCCCAGCACTTTGGGAGGCTGAGGCAGGAGGATCACATGAGCCTAGGAGTTCCAGACCAACCTGGGCAACATACCAAGACCCCATTTCTATAATCATAATCATAATCATAAAAGGAAATAAAAGCAAAGCAAAGCTTGTTTATTCCCAGGAACAGGTGTGGAGCTCCAGGCTGTGTGACTTTACCGACGGCCATTTTTAGCCTTCTCAGTGACATTTAAGTGAAGATATCATCTATGCAGAAAGCTGGCATTGGTCAGATACTTCTCTGGGTCTTTAACCCTATTTTTATTTCTCTTTTAAGGTGAATATGCAGGTTTTGATGAGACGCAGCCAACAGCTGAATCTGGTGGAAAAGGAAAAGTGATTAAACTTTTAAAGGAAAAATTTCATTTTAAGAAAATAATCATGATTGGAGATGGTGCCACAGATATGGAAGCCTGTCCTCCTGCTGTATGTATTAAGGGTGCTAATTTTTTTTCAGGTTGTACTTTTGTTTTATTTATTTATTTATTATTTCTTTATTTTTTTTGAGACGGAGTTTCACTCTTGTTGCCCAGGTTGGAGTGCAGTGGCGTGATCTCAGCTTACTGCAATATCCGCCTCCTGGGTTCAAACCATTCTTGTGTCTCAGCCTCCCAAGTAGCTGGGATTACAGGCACACGCCACCATGCCAGCTAAGTTTTGTATTTTTAGTAGAGACAATGTTTCGCCACGTTGGCCATGCTGGTCTCGAACTCCTGACCTCAGGTGATCTGCCTGCTTCAGCCTCCCAAAGTGCTGGGATTACAGGCATGAGCCACCGTGCCCGGCCGTACTTTTGTTTTAGACAGCTGATGCATCCTATATTCCCAACACTTTGGGAGGTCGAGGCAGGAAGATGGCTTGAGCACAGGAGTTTGAGACCAGCCTGGTCAACATAGTGAGACCCCATCTCTACAAAATAAATAAATAAAATAAAATAAAAACAGCTGATTTCGAACTACATAAGATTTAAAACAGGAGTTAACAAAAACAACTCTCATTACAAGATAAAAATGAAGTAATAAAAACACATTCAATCTTGTTTTGTCAACTTTGTGCAAACCCAAGAAAAGTTGTGAATAAGGAACTAAAAACCTTTTAAAACTTTTAACAATGCCTTATCCCCGTAGGATGGGCACCACCTTTTAGCCTAGGTGTGTGCTCAATAAGTTGATTTCATTTCCCCAAATAATACCATCAACAACTCATAACCAAGATTTTAATGTCATTTTATGCTTTATATACTAGCTCCTCATACATTACCTCATTTAATCTTCATAACAGCCCTGTGAAGTCAAATATTATGTTTTGTTTTGTTTTTCTTAGATAGAGTCTCACTCTGTCACCCAGGCTGGAGTGCAGTGGTGTGCTCTCAGCTCACTGCAACCTCCGCCCTCTGGGCTCAAGTGATTCTCCCACCTTAGCCTCCCAAGTAGCTGGGACCACAGACGCATTCCACCACACCCAGCTAAGATTTTGTGTTTTTGGTAGAGGCAGAGTTATGCTATATTTCCCAGGCTGGTCTCAAATTCCTGAGCTCAAGCGATCTCCCCTGCTTTGGCCTCCCAAAGTGCTGGTATCACAGGTATGAACCACCATGCCTGGCCAAATGTTGTGTTCTTCTTACTGATAGGGGAACTGAGGCTTGCAGAGATTATATGATTTACCTGTAACATATCAGAGCATTTTGTTTTTATTTATTTATTTATTTTTATTTTTTGGAGACAGGGTCTTGCTATGTTGCCCAGGCTGGAGTGCAGTGTTGCGATCATAGCTTATCACAGCCCTGAACTTCTGGGCTCAAATGATCCTCCCGCCTCAGCCTCCTTGGTAGCTGGGATTACAGGTGTGTGCCACTGCATCCCACACCACAACAGCATTTTATTCCTCTGAATTAATGTCATTTTCTGAGACTAGCAGAGGTTTTATTTTTTGAGACAGGTTCTTGCTCTGTCACCTAGGCCGGAGTGCAGTGGTGCAATCTCAGCTCATTGCAGCCTCAACGTCCCAGACCAAGCGATCTTCCCATCTCAGCCTCCTGAGTAGCTGGGACTGCAGGCGCATGCCACCACACCTATCTAATTTTGTTTATGTTTTGTAGAGATGAGGTCTCACTATGTTGCCCAGGCTAATCTTGAACTCCTGGCTTAAGTGATCTTCCTGCCTTGGCCTGCCAGAGTGCTGGGATTACAGGTGTGAGCCAACATGCCCGGCCAGGGATTTTATTTCTAAGCATTTTAAAATCAATGCTATATATATGTGTGTGTGTGTGTGTGTGTGTGTGTGTGTGTGTGTATACACATACACATATACGTATATATATGTGTGTGTATATAAATATATACACACATATGTATATATATGTGTGTATATAAATATATACATACACATATACATATATGTGTGTATATATATACATATATAGTATATGTGTGTATATATATAATCAAATGCTATATAGCAAGTGTCATAAATATCAAATGTGTCCATTTCACATAGGGCTTTGCCTTTGCCATGTCATTCTAACGTAAGAAAAACTACACCAAAAATATAGTGTGGCCAGGCGCAGTGGCTCACGCCTGTAATCCCAGCACTTTGGGAGGCTGAGGCAGGTGGATCACCTGAGGCCAGGAGTTTGAGACCGGCCTGGGCAACACGGTGAAACCCCGTCTCTACAAAAATACAAAAAAATTAGAGACAGGGTTTCACCATGTTGGCGAGGCTAGTGTCAAACTCCTGACCTCAGGTGATCCACCCACCTCAGCCTCCCAAAGTGCTGGATTACAGGCATGAGCTACCACACCCAGCCGCCTTTGAGTCTTTTTACTGTTAGCTTAGATAATTTATAACCAATGTTGGGGTTGTCTAAGTAGTGAACATTGGGCTACTAGTTTAATGAGGAATGCATAAAAGTAAAATGAAGAGATTTCTCAGGGAGCTCCCAATCTCATTTTCAAGAAATGACAAAATCAGCCAGGAGCGGTGGCTCACGCCTGTGATCCCAGCACTTTGGGAGGCTGAGGCGGGAGGATTGCTTAAGCACAGAGGTTCAAGACCAGCTGAGCAACGTGGCAAAACTCTGTCTCTAAAAATTTATTCAGGGATTGTGGTGTGCACCTGTCATCCCGGCTACTCAGGAGGCTGAGGCAGGATGATCACTTGAGCCCAGAAGTTCAAGGCTGCAGTGAGCCATGACGGTGCCACTGCACTCCAGCCTGGGTGACAGGGTGAGACTCTGTCTCAAGAAACAAAAAAGGAATGACAAAATTAGATGGGTGCAGTGGAGCATACCTGTAATCCCAGCACTTTGGAAGCTGACGCAGGAGGAGGTTGAGAGCAGCCTGGCAACATAGCAAGACCCTACAAAAAATAAAAAAAAGTAGCCAGGCGAGGTGGGGCATACCTGGAGTCACAGCTACTCAGGAGGCTGAGGCATGAGAATCACTTGAACCCAGGAGGCAGAGGTTGCAGTGAGTGGAGATTGTGTCACTGCACTCCAGCCTGGGTGACAGAGCGAGACTCCAAAAAATAAATAAATAAATAAAAATAAAAATCATTTCTCTCTCTTTTCTTCCTTCTTAGGATGCTTTCATTGGATTTGGAGGAAATGTGATCAGGCAACAAGTCAAGGATAACGCCAAATGGTATATCACTGATTTTGTAGAGCTGCTGGGAGAACTGGAAGAATAACATCCATTGTCGTACAGCTCCAAACAACTTCAGATGAATTTTTACAAGTTATACAGATTGATACTGTTTGCTTACAGTTGCCTATTACAACTTGCTATAGAAAGTTGGTACAAATGATCTGTACTTTAAACTACAGTTAGGAATCCTAGAAGATTGCTTTTTTTTTTTTTTTAACTGTAGTTCCAGTATTATATGATGACTATTGATTTCCTGGAGAGGTTTTTTTTTTTTTTGAGACAGAATCTTGCTCTGTTGCCCAGGCTGGAGTGCAGTGGCGCGGTCTCGGCTCACTGCAAGCTCTGCCTCCCAGGTTCACGCCATTCTCCTGCCTCAGCCTCCCGAGTAGCTGGGACTACAGGCACCCGCCACCACATCCGGCTAATTTTTTGTATTTTTAGTAGAGACGGGGTTTGACCGTGTTAGCCAGGATGGTCTTGATCTCCTGACCTTGTGATCCGCCTGCCTCAGCCTCCCAAAGTGCTGGGATTACAGGCTTGGGCCACCGCGCCCAGCCAATGTCCTAGAGAGTTTTGTGATCTGAATTCTTTATGTATATTTGTAGCTATATTTCATACAAAGTGCTTTAAGTGTGGAGAGTCAATTAAACACCTTTACTCTTAGAAATACGGATTCGGCAGCCTTCAGTGAATATTGGTTTCTCTTTGGTATGTCAATAAAAGTTTATCCGTATGTCAGAACGGATTTGTGGAATTTTCAGTTCTGCCTCTTGCATATTGGAATACCCAATATTTCAGGTACCGTGTTGAAGCATAAATAGCCCCCAGGCAAGAAACAGGCTTAAGACTCTACTTTGCTTAGTGCTGGGTACAATGTCCTCACCCCATGAGCCCACTCCCACTTCCTGAAGCCCTGGGACCTGGAAAGTCCTTTTTTTTACTTCTTGGGATTTGTCATATATGAAATGTTACAAAAGTTTTTTGTTTTTTGTTTTCCTCCAATATAACAATAGAGTCTTAAACAAAAGTACTGATTAAAAATGGATATTTGGGCTCAGGCCTGTAATCTCAGCACTGTGGGAGGACAAGTTAAGAGGATCACTTGAGGACAGGAATTCGAGACCAGCCTGGACAACAGAGCAAGACCCTGTCTCTACAAAAAATAAAAACATTAGCTGGATGTGGCGGCACGCACCTGTAGTCCCAGCTACTTGGTGGGCTGAGATGGGAGGATCCCTTGAACTCAGTAGTTCAAGGCTGCAGTGAGCTGTGACTCTGCCATTGTACTCCAGCCTGGGTGACAGTGAGACCCCGTCTCTTAAAAAAAAAAAAAAAAAAAAGATATTCGAAAATCACATAAAGTAAAAGAAATAAAAACAAGTTTTACTAATCACAAAGGCCAGCATTTTCCCCTAAATGAATTAAATATTAATAACTCCTAACAGCCTATATAAACCATTTCTTTTTTATAAATGACTTGGAAATACTCGAAAGCCAGGTTTATGTTTGTTTTGAGCAGAGCCAAGCAAGGGAAATTTCAGAACATGCTTTGAATGTGTGAGATGCTATACCCTCCCTGGAGGAAAAATGGGGGGAGGGAAAGCTACGGGGTTAACATTGAGAATTAGTTGAAAAATGTATCATTTAACCAAATTTGGCCAAATAATTAAATAATTATTCAGCCACATAAGCAAATCAGATGAATCAAATTTCCTCCAAATCAGTTTCTGAAGGAGAGACATGAAATAAGTTTGGCACCATTTAAATGAGATTCCAAACAATGAGGCCGTTGTTCCCAACTGTGAATACCTCCTGGCCGCTCTCCTAGAAACTGTTTTGTGGTGTTTGCACTTTTCAGTAGTGCCAAGCTCTGGGCAGGACCAGGCATGCCAGGACCTTGAAAAGTGCTGCAAACGGCATCAGCCTCTGCACCGCCTGGTGTGCATGGCAGGAGCAGGCCATGGGTGGACAGGTGGGAGGACCAATCCCCCACTGGTTTTCACTGTCTGACCGTCACAGCTGCTATTGCCACACGGGTTCTTCTTGCCTGCGGCCCAGAGAGAGCCCATTTCTCAATACAGGGGAATTGCAATAGAGACAGAGATTAATTCATGCAGAACCAGCCGAACAGGAGGCCGGAGCTTTATTCTTACATCAATCACCCCAAAAATTCGGAGGCTAGACTTTTTCAAGGATACTTTGGCAGGCCAGGGGATTCGCTTCTGGCTGGGGCCATGGGGTGGGGTGGGGTGAGGTGGTGGGGCGGCAGGGGTGGGGAGGTCATCGGATCCAGGTGGAGCTACTGATGGTCAGAAATGCAAAAACCTGGGCCAGGCACGGTGGCTCACGCCTGTAATCCCAGCACTTTGGGAGGCCGAGGCGAGCAGATCACTTGAGATCAGGAGTTGAAGACCAGCCTGGCCAACACGGTGAAACTCCATCTCTACTAAAAATACAAAAATTAGTGGGGCGTGGTGGAGCACACCTGTTATCCCAGGTACTTGGGTGGCTGAGGCAGGAGAATCACTTGAAAAACTCCAGGGGGCAGAGGCTGCAGTGAGCGGAGAGATCACACCACTGCACTCCAGCCTGGGCGACAGAGTGAAACTGTCTCAAAAAAAAAGAAAAAAAGAAATGCGAAAATCTGAAAAGACATCTCAAAAGGCCAATCTTAGGTTCTACAGTGGTGATGTAACCCGCAGGAGTAACGGGGAATTGCAAATCTTGTGCCTGCCCTCTGGAATAATAACTGGAAATGGTGTTGATGTGTACACCTTGGCAGAATTTAGGCTTCTCTCATCCTCCTTGCCTGGTGGTCTCTCATTAGCTTTATTAAGGTGGTTGAGTTTTGGGGAAGGGCTGTTATCTTTTTTTTCTTTTTTTTTTTGAGACGAGTCTCACTCTGTCACCCAGGGTGGAGTGGAGTGGCGCAATCTTGCCTCACTGCAACCTCCGCCTCCTGGGTTCAAGTGATTCTCCTGCCACAGCCTCCTGAGTAGCTGGGATTACAGGCATGTGCCACCACGCCCAGCTAATTTTTTTCTGTATTTTTAGTAGAGACGGAGTTTCACCATGTTGGTCAAGCTGGTCTCGAACTCCTGACCTCGTGATCCTCCCGCCTCGGCCTCCCAAAGTGCTGGGATTACAAGTGTGAGACACCACACCCGGCCAAGCTATTATCATTTAAGCTATAAACTAAATGTCTCCCAGTTTTGCTTGGTCCAAGCCCAGCTATGATTAAGGGCAGTTTGAAGGCTAAAGGCAAGATTGGGGGGTGGTTAAATTACATCTCACTTGTTAGAGTTTTTGCAAATGTGGTTTCATTTGTGTGTGTGTGTCTGGGGGTTTTGTTTTTTTTGTTGTTGTTGTTTTTTGAGACACAGTCTCGCTCTGTCATCCAGGCTGAAGTGCAGTGGCACGATCTCGGCTCACTGCAACCTCCGCCTCCTGGGTTCTCATTTTTCTTTGCTGGTCCATCTTTCACAAGCATGCAAAGGTGGTTTCAGAGCCCATCCATGGGGCTGTGGCCTGAACATAAGGTGGACATGAATTTGGCTCAGAGGGATCTGATCCTCCGAGAAATACTGATGGCCACATGGGACCCTTTATAAGAGGGGCTGGTCCCACAGGCTGCCCAGCTCTCAGCAAACTGCCCAAAAGCTGCCGTCTCAGACAATCCCTGCTTTGTTGTGTTAGAGGAGTGAGTTTGAAATGATACAAGAACTGCCTTTCATACGTTTTGAATTCTGGACTCACTGGAAACAGCTACGGAACAGCTCTCCCAGGAGTTACGCACATGCCTACACTAGGATGGACTCAGAAAGGCATGGCTGATTGTCCGTGTGACGCCATTGTTCATTCTGATTATGAACACCGCTTACGTAAACAGAAAGAGCTAAGAATTGGGATCATGAAGCCAAGAGCAGAAATTTTTCAGGGTATTAAGTTGAAACAATAAAAGTCCTTTAAAGCTTTTATATGCTTTAAAAAAATGACTTTATGCCCCCACCCACTCCATTCTCTCCTGGTTTAACTGCTGCTTATTTTTTATTTTTATTTTTTTGTTGAGACAGGGTCTCACTCTGTCGGTCAGGCAGGAGTACAGTGGTAAGATTATAGCTCATTGCAGCCTGGAACTCCTGGGCTCAAGCGGACCTCCTGCTTTGACCTCCTAACTGGGACCACAGGTGCACACCACCACACCTGGCTAATATTTAAATTTTTTGTGGAGATGGGGGTCTTGCTGTGTTGTCCAGGCTGGTCTTGAACTCCTGGCCTCAAACGATCCTCTGTTCTCAGCCTCCAAAAGTGTTGGGATTGTAAGTGTGAGCCACTGCATGCAGGCCTAACTGCTGGTTTAATGATTCTTCCATTTCTCTCTCTTCTACTGGAGACAAGTGTGTCTGTCTCCATGGTACCCAGGGAGGCCCACTGGGGCTGCTGCTCCCAAGGGCAAGGCCACAAGAGAGCGGCAGATTTCAGAGATTGGCCTCAGGAAGCGGTAACATGAACCTGATGGCTTTTGACCCTACGACCCTCAGAATCTTTATGAGCAGCTTCAGAAAAGCTAACCATGAGTCACAGTGCTTATTTTCACATTTTGCAAGGTGTTTTCATGTCTCCTCATGTGATTCTCACAGTCCTAAGGTCAGCAGTATAGAAACTGCTGTCCTTTTTTTTTTTTTTTTTTTTTTTGAGATGGTGTCTCGCTCTGTCACTAGGGGCTGGAGTACAGTGGTACGATCTGAGCTCTGCGACCTCTGCCTCCCAGGTTCAAGTGATTCTCTTGCCTCAGCCTCCCAAATAGCTGGGATTACAGGCACCATGCCTAGCTAATTTTTGTATTTTTTGTAGAGACTGGGTTTTGCTATGTTGCCCAGGCTGGTCTCAAACTCTTGGCCTCAAGAGATCCACCCACCTCAGCCTCCCAAAGTGCTGGGATTACAGGTGTGAGCCACCGCGCCCGGCCCTGCTGTCCTCTTTAACAGCTGGGAAATACCCTACCAGAGTTCATGACAGCTGTGAGATTACATTCAGAGCTGGAACCCGAGGCAATGATTTCCACACCATTCTTTATCTTGTAAGCATTCCTAGAGAGTTAACAATTTAGCAGGCCAGGATTATCCACCCCAAGTGAATACTTAACACTGTGGTCACAAGTGCTGACATATGAATACAATGGAGAAATTTTACTCCCTGAGATGGAAGGCCTGTTTTGCAAAAACTTCAAGTGGTTTTCATCTATTTTTTAAATTTTTTTGTAGAGATGGGGGTCTCATTATGTTAGGCTCAGGAACTCAAGATCAGCTTTACAATGTAGCAAGACTCATCTCTACAAAAAACACAAAAAGTAGACAGATGTTGTGGCTCATGCCTGCCGTCCCAGCTACTCAGGAGGCTGAGGCAGGAGGATGGCTTGAGCCCAGGAGGATGAGGCTGCAGTGAGCCATAATTACACCACTGCACTCCAGCCTGGGCGACAGAGTGAGACCCCGTCTCCACAGAAAAACAAAAAACCCCAAAACTGACAGTCTCTATACTTTTTCTTCTCCTTCATTCTCTTCTCTCTCCCTCTCTCCTTTTACTTCTTCCCTCCTTTCTTTTTGTTGATTCATCTTATTATTGACCATCTATGATGCCCCAGAAATAAACTGAAAGTATAAATTTAATAAGAAATACATTTATAGAGCAGGGTGCGGTGGCTCATGCCTGTAACCCCAGCACTTTGGGAGGCCGAGGTGGGCAGATCACGAAGTCAGGAGTGCGAGACCAGCCTGGCCAACATAGTGAAACCTCGTTTCTACTAAAAATACAAAAATTAGCCAGACGTGGTGGTGCACTCCTCCAGTCCCAGCTACTCCGGAGGCTGAGGCAGGAGAATCGCTTGAACCTGGGAGGCGGAAGTTGTGGTGAGCTGAGATCACGCCACTTCACTCCAGCCTGGGCAACAGAGCGAGACTTCACCTCAAAAAAAAAAAAAAAAGAAAAAGAAATACATTTGTAGGCCATGATGGTGGGCTCAAGTCTATAATCCCAGCACTTTGGGAGGCCAAGGCAAGCAGATCAAATGAGGCCTGGAGTTCAAGACCAGCCTGCCCAACATGGTGAAACCCCATCTCTACTAAAAATACAAAAATTAGCTGTGCTTGGCGCACACCTGTAATCCCAGCTACTTGGGAGGCTGAGGCAGGAGAATTGCTTGAACCCGGGAGGTGGAGGTTGCAGTGAGCCAAGATCCTGCCACTGCACTCCAGCCTGGGTGACAGAGTGACACCCTGTCTCAAAAAATAAAAAAAAAATAAAAATTTGTAGTGAATTCTTATAACTTTATATTGCATCAGCAACCTTTTGAAATTTAAGTTGGACTTTCTACTACCAGAAGCAGGGCTCAGTCATTCTTTTTTTTGAGACAAGGTGTCGCTCTGTTGCCCAGGCTGGAGTGCAGTGCTGTGATCTCGGCTCACTGCAACCTCCTCCTCCCAGGTTCAAGCAATTCTCCTGCCTCAGCCTCCCGAGTAGCTGGGATTACAGGCATGTACCACCATGCCGGCTAATTTTTGTATTTTTAGTAGAGATGGGGTTTCACTATATTGGCTGGGCTGGTCTCGAACTCCTGATCTCAGGTGATCCGCCTGCCTCAGCCTCCCAAAGTGCTGGGATTACAGGCGTGAGCCGCCACAGCACCGGGCCAACTCAGTCACTCTTGACACTGTTTCCAGTTCTACTCCCTGACCCCCACAGTCCCTCAATGTGGTGGATCCAGAAGTCTGCCTTACACAACTGCCCCCTGGTGGCCACCTTCCCGTGGGACAGTTACATGCAGCCTGTTCAGCAGGCCCCACTGACCCTCACACCGACACGGACTGTGCAGATATGCTGCAGTGACCACCATTCAGTCACTGCAAGACCTCCTGGAACTCGTGACTGCTTGCTTTATTTTTTGTTTGTTTTTTGAGACAGGGTGTGTCTCTGTTGCCCAGGCTGGGGTGCAGTGGTGCAATCTCAGCTTACTGCAGCCTTGATCTCCCAGGCTCAAGTGATCCTCCTACCTCAGCCTCCCAAGTAAGCTGGGACTACAGGCGCCCACCACCACGCCCAGCTAATTTTTGTATTTTTAGTGGAGACAGGGGTTTCACCATGCTGGCCAGGCTGGTTTCAAACTCCTGACCTCAGGTGATCCATCTGCCTCAGCCTCCCAAAGTGCTGGGATTGCCGGCGTGAGTCACCTCACCCGGCCACTTGCTTGCGTTAAACCCACCAGTTAAAATCCCCACGTGAAACCTGCTTGGGTGACACCCAGGACCCCACTAAAGGCACTGGCCCCCAAGTCTCTTTCTGACCTCCTGTGTATGACCTCCAGGAGTGTTGTGTATCCCTAGGATCTTTAAGTGATAAACTGTTTGTTTGGTTTGGTTTTTTGACAGGCTCTCACTTTGTCACCCAGGCTGATGTACAGTGACACGAACACAGCCCACTGCAGCCTTGACATTCCAGGCTCAAGTGATCCTCTTGCCTCAGCCTCACAGGTAGCTGGGTACCATCACACAGGTACCATCACACCTGGCTAATTTTTAAATTTTTTGTAGACACAGGGTCTACAGAAATTGCCCAGGCTGGTCTCCAACTCCTGTACTCAAGAGATTCTCCTGCCTCGGCCTCCCAAAATGCTGGGACAGGCATCAGCCACTGTGCCTGGCCAAGTGATAAACTATTTCCATCTTGGGCCTCTCCTAATCACTGGAGGGGTGCTGTCCATCTTAAAGGCCCTACATTAAAGCAATGGGCAGCCAAGCGCAGTGGCTAATGCCTGTAATCTCAACACTTTGGGAGGCCCAGGCAGGAGGATTGCTTGAGCCCAGGAGTTGGAGACCAGCTTGGGCAACATAATGAAACCCTGTGTCTACAGAAAATTTAAAAATTAGCCAGGCATGGTGCATGCACTGTAGTCGCAGCTACTCAAGAGGCTGAGGTGGGAGGGTCACTTGAGCCTAGGAGGTCGAGGCTGCAGTGAGCTGAGGTCACGCCATTGCACTCCAGCCTGAGTGACAAAGCAAGACTGTCTCAAAAACAAAACAAAACAACTACTTGATATCAGCGGAAGCTTGTCAGGTAAACGTCCAAAGAAAAAGAAGAAAAAAAATATATATATATTGTTTTAGTCACCTAGAAATACAAGCCATTCTAAAGATTTTACTTACAGAACACTAAAAGGGCGAGAAAGTAACTGATTATCTTGTGGTATGGGCTGTCCCAGAGGGAGGCTACTGCCTAGGGACATTGAGTTAAAAATCTTCCTCTTTTTTTTTTTTGAGATGAAATCGCACTCTGTCCCCCAGGCTGGAGTGTAGTGGCATGATCTCGGCTAACTGCAACCTCTGCCTCCCAGGTTCAAGCGATTCTCTTGCCTCAGAATCCCAAGTGGCTAGGGTTACAGGTGCATGTCACCACACCTAATTTTTGTATTTTCAGTAGAGACAGGGTTTTGCTTTGTTGGCCTGGCTGGTCTCGACTTCCTGACCTCAGGTGATCCGCCCTCCTTGGCCTCCCAAAGTTCTGGGATTACAGGTGTGAGCCACTGCACCTGGCCTATATTAACACATTTTTGATGTGGCTCCCATCCCAAGGGTTAAGAGGCCAGGCTGGGGGCACGCACTCTCCTAGGCCTCACTAACCACAGATTGTGACACAGCCTCCACCTCCTGGGCTCAAACGATCCTCCTACCTTAGTCTCCTGAGTAGCTGGGGCCACAGGTGTGTACCACCACACTGGCAAATTTTTTGATTTTTTTTTTTTTTTTTTTTTGTAGAGACAGGATCTTGCTATGTCGCCCAGGCTGGTCTGGAACTTCTGGTCTCAAGAGATCCTCCTGAGTTGGCCTTCCAGAAGAGCTGGGATTATAGGTGTCAACCACTGTGCCCAACCATGCTTGCTTTAAATCTACTAATTAAAACTCCTCATAGGGAAATCTGTTTGAGCAATGCTCTGTACCCCACTAAAGGCACTGGCCCATGCGTCTCTTTTTCTCCCCGTCTGTGCTCCCTGACTCCATGTGTGTGACCTCCAGGCATGGTGTTTACCCCCAGGACCTGTAAGTAATAAAATCTTTATTTCCATCTTGGGTGTCTCCTAATCACTGGAGGGATGCCCTCCATCCTAAAGATCCCAAACTAAAGCAAAATTATGATGGGGAACTGCAAAAAGGGTCTTTCACAGGCAGTTGTGAAAATAAAAGACGGTTCTATCAATGGCTAGTTTGGAGGAGAGCAAAGTGGTTCTAAAAAGGCTTTTAACAAGTGGTAAGGGCTGGGTGCGGTGTCTCACGCTTGCAGTCTCAGTGCTTTGGGAGGCTGAGGTGGGAGGATTGCTTGAACCGAGGAATTTGAGACTAGCCTGGGCAATATGGTGAGATGCCATCTCTACAAAATAACAGTAATAATTTTAAAAAGCCAGGCATAGTGGCACACCTGTAGTCCTAGCTCTTTGGGAGACTGAGGTGGTAGGATTGCTTGAGCCCAGGAGTTTAGGGTTACAGTGAGCTGTGGTCGCACCACTGCACTCTAGCCTGGGCGACAGAGTGACACTGTCTCCAAAGAACAAAAAAGGTGGTAGGGATGCTGATAATATGGCACACTTGCTTTTTGAAACAGACTTAAAAACCTCACGTGTGATAACGAAAAATGAGTTGGCTTTTATAAGTAATATTCCTCAGACTTATAACCAATAAATTGAAAATGAGTTTGGAAGTTTTGAATACTGCCAATGAAAAGTAATAGTGTGGCTGAGGACAGTGGCTCACACCTGTAATCCCAGCACTTCGGAAGGCCCAGGTGGGTAACTTGAGCCCAGGAGTTCGAGACCAGCCTGGGCAACACGACAAAACCCTGTCTCTACAAAAAAATACAGAAATTATCTGAGCATGGTGGTGCACACCTGTGGTCCCAGCTATTCGGGAAGCTGAGGTGGGAGGATGGCTTTAGCCTGGGAGGTGGAGACTGCAGTGACCCAAGATCGTTCCACTGCACTCCAGCCTGGCGACAGAGCCAGACCCTGTCTCAAAAAAGAAAAAAGAAAATTAATAGTGGGACAAAATAATGATTCATTGTGCTATAGAAATTCAGTAAAATGACTTGTCAAACTGAGCAGGAATTGCTAAAATAAAGTGATAATTTCATAAAATAGCTCAAGAATAGAATGCCCTTATCAAAGGTCACTTAGTGACCATCATGTTGCTAAATTCATGAATTTTTTTTTTTTTTCCTAGATGGTGTCTTGCTCTGTCACCAAGGCTGGAATGCAACCTCCGCCTCCCAAGTTCAAGTGATTGTCTTGCCTCAGCTTCCCCAATAGCTGGGATTACAGGCGTATGCCTCCATGCCAAGCTAATTTTTGTATTATTTGTAGAGATGGGGTTTCACCATGTTGGCCAGGCTGCTCTCGAACTCCTGACCTCAGGTGACCCGCCCGCCTCGGCCTCCCAGAGTGCTGGGATTACAGGTGTGAGCCACTGCACCCAACTGTGAACAGTTTGGGGACCACATCTGGCCCAGCCACTTGACAGCATTTGACAGAGGTGATCTCTGATGGACTTTCACTTGGCTCTCATGACGCCTCACTTGCTTGAGTGTCTGCTGAGTTCCCTGGTGGTTTCTTAGTCTCTTTTGCAGGTTCCTCCTCATCTTGATCCTCTCCTCTGACTACAGTCACTCCCTTGGTGAGCTCCTCTAGTCTCACTTTTTTTGAGACGGGCTCTCGCTGTCACCCAGGCTGGAGTGCAGTGGTGCGCTCTCAGCTCACTGCAACCTCCACCTCCTGGGTTCAAGCGATTCTCCTGCCTCAGCCTCCCAAGTAGCTGGGATTACAGGTGCCCACCCCCATGCCCAGCTAATTTCTGTGTTTTTAGTAGAGACAGGGTTTCACCATGTTGGCCAGGTTCATCTCGAACTCCTGACCTCAGGTGATCCTCCTGCCTTGGCCTCCCAAAGTGCTGGGATTACAGGTGTGAGCCACTGTGCCCAGCCTTGTTATTATTTTTGAGACAGGATCTAGCTCTGTTGCCCAGGCTGTAGTGCAGTGGTGCAATCACAGCTCATTACAGCCTCGACCTCCTGGGCTCAAGCAATCCTCCTGCCTCAGCCTCCTGAGTAGCTGGGACTACAGGCACATGCTACCATGCCCAACTAATTTTTCGATTTTTTGTAGAGATGAGGTTTCATTCATGTTGCCCAGGCTGGTCTCAAACTCCTGCGTTCAAGGGATCCTCTGGCCTCGGCCTCCCAAAGTGTTGGAATTACTGGTGTGAGCCACTGGGCCCGGCCACTAGGGTCTTTCTAATGGCCTCCAACACTCAAGGGATCCAGCCCTGTGACCTCTGAGCTCGTGTCCCACCACACTCTCCCTCATGTCTGCTTCTGCCACTGGCTTCTGCTGCCCTCAGCACATACCAGGCATGACCTTGCCCAGGGCCTCGTAATTTGTTCCTATGGAGGGATTTTCCCCAGAAGCCAGCTGACTTCCTCACTTCCTTCAATCTTTTGTGACAAGCTATTTTGCAAGAGTGACAAGGTCATTCACAGCAATGTTTGTCAATCTCAGAACAAATTAAAAAAGAAAATCCAAACGTGATATGTGGAAATTAAGAGGATTTTATTGACTTTTCTATGTTCTTTGAGAAAATCATTCACATGTAAAAGTTTGACATTTGATATGAGATTTATTCACACTTTACACATACATTCTTGATTGTGGGGCAGACAATTGTTCATTTCAACAGGACTTTCACATGGTAACAGTCACAAAATTGGCATACTATATTAAAAAATGAAATCAAACAGCTAGACAAAAAGTATGCAGCTTTATGCCAATTTAAATCTCAACATGCACCACCCCTCACCCATGATCTCAGAATTATCTGCTGTGAGCTTATTAAAATATTAGCCAGAGAGTGTCTGAGGTCACAAATGATCGTTTACAAAATAAAACCTCTTTTCCTAGAGCTACTTGTTTTGTTATAGAAAAATACCACAAATAAAAATTAGTGCTATTCAAGGTGTTCATTTCAAAATCACATATGATACACAAGTTTCAAGCCATTGTTTTTGTGTCTCACATTGAAACATCACAATACATGATGTGAAACTGATTTACTGATTAAATGTACCTTGCCCAGCTTGGAAAACCCATTGTCTACTATGTGGACTGCTTACAAATGAGAGTGAGTTAAAACATTTTCAGTTATTGGGTACACTTGTAATTTGTTCCTCCTCAGAAACTACTCAGAAAAACTGCTTGAGAAACATGACAAAATTTGTATTTCTTCCTGATACAAGAAATTTGTCTAAAAATCTGTGATTATAAAACAGATTTGTTTTTTGGTTTTTTTTAGTAAAGAAATGGCTAAATTTTTTTTGTGGTTGGAATCTTATTTTCAAGATGATTCAGAATTCAACGTGGACCCCTTCTGGAGGGTGGGGAGAAGTGGCTCAGTGTTATAAGGTATACTGGACAACACGGGGTGTTTCAAAGAGGACGACAAGGCACTGTCACAATCAGTCCAACTGTAATTCTTTCCTTTCTTGTGATTATGTAAATTTTAAAGAAAAGAGGTTTCTCACAAGCTATATACAGCAGCTTAAAACCTCAGTGTTTCTTTTTCACTTGATACACAATTAAAATTAATTTACGACAAATACTTGTCACAGAAATGTATGTAGGCACATAGAAACTCTACAGCTTTACTGGAGGGGCGAGGTCTTCAGTGGGATCATGATTCTGGATTCCATTTCCTGAATAAGTGGAACTGAAAACAAGATCAGGGTTACTGCACTTGTTACTTTCTAAACACATTATGGTAAATGACACTAACAGACAGATTGCCGAGAATGTTCACAGATGTGCTGCTTGAAAACAAGAGAATATCATAATATACAGGACTAACCTCAAGGGCAGAAATATACAAGCGGACCCTGTATCAGCTGCCATCCTACAAGATGCTATTAAAATTACAACAGATCAGCTGGGCGCAGATCACCTGTAATCCCAGCACTTTGGGAGGCTGAGGCAGGTGGATCACGAGGTCAGGAAATCGAGACCATCCTGGCCAACAGGGTGAAACCCTGTCTCTAGTAAAAATACAAAACTTAGCTGGGTGTGGTGGCGCCTGCCTGTAATCCCAGCTACTCAGGAGGCTGAGGCGGGAGAATCGCTTGAAACCGGGAGGCGGAGGTTGCAGTGAGCCGAGATCGCGTCACTGCACTCCAGCCTGGCGACAGAACAAGACTCCGTCTCAAAAAAAAAAAAAAAAAAAAAAAAAACAGATCCTACCTGGATATTTGTTTTATTTGTGGGAGGTAGGAAAAGTCCATACTGTGAGGAGAAATGGTGATTTCTCAAACGTTCGCGTAAGCAGCAAAATCAAATACAATTATATAATTATAACATGTAATTATATGTTATATAATCTCTTGAACTGAAAGACAAGGTAACACCTACTTTCTAGGACAAATTACTCTTTTATTTTCTTGGTAGTATAGGGGCTGAGATACACTTTTTTTTTTTTGAGACGGATTCTTGCTCTGTCACCCAGGCTGGAGTGCAGTGGCACAATCTCCACCTCCCAGGTTCAAGCGATTCTCCTGCCTCAGTCTCTCAAATGGAGACAGGTTTCATCATGTTCGTCAGGCTGGTCTCGAACTCCCGACCTCAGGTGATCTGCCCACCTCAGCCTCCCAAAGTGCTGGGATTACAGGCGTGAGCCACTGCGCCCGGCCTGAAATATACTTGCCATGCAACATGGCTGGTACTGATTACCTCTACCAATGCCACTGGGTTACATTCAGCCAACTGTTTTCTTTTAAAAATCAAGCAAACAGGGTTTCATAATATACTTATGTATGTGCACATGCATGTATTATGTACCCAGATACATACTGTACATACAGGAAGTTTAATTTATCTAATTTCAAAATCACTCTTTAATTGATGTATTAAGTTCTGATTTGGGATACTAACAATTCTGATGGAAAAGGAAAGCTTAGAAAAAAATTTTATTTGTGTAATAAGTTTTCAGAGAATATAGAAATCTACAAAAACAGGTAATGATGTAAAATTTACAACATCCAAGGGTCTGAAAACTGTAACAGATGATATACCTATTTGAAAGCATGGATATTCTACTTTATTGAAAAAAAGTCATGTAAGTATTAGAGAAAAATTGACTATCTCCCTTCCCCCCACAACCTGATAACTCACTATCCTAGCAACATACTATTACAAAACCCACCTATTAGTGTCAGGGTGAAAGAACATGATTGAAACAGTAAGACAAAAAGCATATTTCATGGCTGTTAAGAGATTACCTGTGTAATATACCAATTCCTCCCAGCCATGTTTGTGCCATGCTGCATTCCGTATGTCTTCCCTGGTCTGAAGATCCCTGTAAGCTTAAAAATAACCACACAGAGAAGTAAGACTTAAAACACATACACTGCATTCCACCCATACATCCGTTAAAGTCTTGCTTCACCTGGACATCTAGTTTTCTCAGGGACTACTTCAGGTGTGTAATATACTGGGCTGGGGAAATTCTGAGCAAAATTATATTAGGCCACGTGGGAAAAGCAAACTTTCAGTCTTTTTTTTTTTTTTTTCTGAGACAAGGTCACTCTGTCAACCAGCCTGGAGCGCAATGGCACGATGATGTTTCACCACGGCCTTGACCTCCTAGGCTCAAGTGATCCTCCCACCTCAGCCTGCTGAATAGCTGGGACTACAGGAATGTGCTACCACATTGGCTAATTTTTGTATTTTTTTGTGCCCAGTCAGATGTCAAACTCCTGGGCTCAAATCATCAAAACGCCTCAGTCTCCCAAAGTGCTAGAATTACAGGGGTGAGCCACCACGCCTGGCCCATTCTTAAGTTAAAAAAATTATTTGTTTGTTTGTTTGAGATGGGGTCTCACTATGTTGCCCGAGCTGGTCTCAAACACCTGGACTCAAGTGATCCTCCCGACTCAGCCTCCAAAACTGCTGGGAATCGAGGCGTGAGCCACCACATCCAGACACAATTCCCTCTTAAGCTTTACAATCTAGTGAATCTAAGATATACCTTTATAAACCAAGTGAAATTCTCCAATAACATGTTAAATTCATGACCAGAAACTGTGAGACCACAGATGAGCAATGTCAGATCAATTTTACTCAACATTTATCTCGCACTACACTGATCTGGGCAGGGAGCGTGTTCCAGCGGTGAAGCCCCAGGATATGAGGCAGGCGAGGTCAGTTGTGGAGAGTGCCGTGGCCCATACAAGGACACAGTGTATAGGGGAGCAGGGCAAGCAATGGGAGAGCTGTGGGAAAGGTGCAAGCTGACCAGGTGGGTGTTGAAGTTGAAAAGGACATCACTGACGTAGGAATAGGAAGAAAGGCGCTTCAGGTGGAGGGGGATCACCTGTGTCATGGTACAATTCACAGGTATCTCATCCAGATGCCTTGGTTTCTTTTCTTTTTTTTTTTTTTTTGAGACGGAGTCTTGCTCTGTTGCCCAAGTTGGAATGCAGTGGTGCGATCTCGGCTCACTGCAACCTCCGCCTCTTGAGTTCAATCGATTCTTCTGCCTCAGCATCTTGTGTACCTGGGATTACAGGCATGCGCCTCCATGCCTAATTTTCTGTATTTTTAGTACAGATGAGGTTTCACCATGTTGGTCAGGCTGGTCTCTTAACTCCTGACCTCAGATGATCCACCTGCCTCGGCCTCCCAAAGTGCTGGGATTATAGGCGTGAACCACTGTGCCCAGCCAATATCTTGTTAATTACATTTTTTTTTGAGACAGGGTCTTGCTCTATTTGCCCAGACTGGAGTGCAGTGGCACAGTCATAGCTCACTGCAGCCTCAAACTCCTGGCCTCAAGCAATCATCTTCAACTTGCTGTTGCTCTGTGAAGCCTTGAGTCCTCCCGACAGGGCAGAGACAAGAGGTCTGTCCTGCATTCCCCACAGCCTCTATGAGAGCTCCGCCATTCACACTCTGGTGCCTGCCTGTTTGCCATTCCAGGATCCTGCATCTGGGAGGCCCTCTCCGGGCAGCTACAGGTGCTGATGTGAATGGAGCATGCACCTGGCTTGACCTCTGCCCAACAGCCAAAGGGATGGAACCTTCCTCCATCCAATCCTGCCCTTCTAGCACCTGTGCTTATTCACATGCCTGGGAGGGTTGCACACCATATACAGCCGCAACGGTAATAACCAGCACCACACAAGGCTCTGGGGGCTCAGGAGGAGTGATGATGTTCACTACTGGGGAAGGGTGACATCTGGGGCAGGCCTGGAAAAATACCAAAGATGGTGCCAAACAAAAGTGTGTGGGGATGGAAATGGTGAGGGGGTCAATGTCATGAGACAGTGGAACCACGTCTACAAAGGCAGGCAGTGAGTATGTGCAGGAAGCTGCTGCTCTGGGTAAAATGCAGGCCTGCCTCTGTCGAGGAAGTAAGCAGTCAGTCTACAAAGAAAGGCTGGGACCACTCTGTGGAAGGCACTCTTGACTTCCCTGGCCTCCTTCTTCCATGGCTGCTTGCTTTACCCCTTATTCCTTTCCCCATCATCCCTACTCACTTTCAGCTCACTAATGCCATCAATCTATGGACTTTCACTGTTGACCTCGCTAGTTCCAGACAGCCCCGTACAGACTGTCCCTCTGTGACGTCGGATTTGCTGTAGTGGTTAAGGTTACTGACTCAAGATGTGCTCTACTTCCCAGTACAACTTAGTAATGAACTCTTAAATCCCAGTAACTCGAAAAGGGAAAAACAGATACCCCAAAGATGGTGCACCATGTACAGCTGCCCAATCTGAGAGAAGAATCCTCCGACGGCTTCGTTACCATCCTGTCTGAAGCGGATTGCACGAGCCCTGTAAGAATGAGATGATGTTTGTTTAAGACACTGAATTAGATACGCTAACGAGAATCGGTAGACTAAACCTTCACCATACTCAGGGCAGGCTGTTTAAAATGAAGACTAATGGTTTATCAAACTGGTATCAAGTTATCTAAGGCAAATCAAAAGTTATTTTATTTACTTTATTATTATTTGAGACGGAGTCTCATTCTGTCACCCAGGCTGGAGTGCAGTGACACAATCTCAGCTCACTGCAACCTCCACCTCCTGGGTTCGAGCCATCCTCCTGCCTCAACCTCCTGAGTAGCTGGGATTACAGGCACCCGCCACCATGCTCGGCTAATTTTTGTATTTTTAGTAGAGACAAGATTTCCCTATGTTGGCCAGGCTTGTCTCAAACTCCTGACCTCAAGTAATCCGCCCGCCTCAGCCTCCCAAAGTGCTGGGATTATAGGCGTGAGCCACCACACCTGGTCTAAAAGTCATTTTAATGTATATGAAATGTAAGCATACTTTTCTGTAGCTATACTAATTTTTTTGAGAAAATGTATTTAATAATTATTAAAAATAAAAACAGCAACCTGAAGATGTATATATAGTTGCACTGGTGATTCTTGAAATAAAGTCTAGAACTGGCAGAGGATGGGACCCGTCAATTTAAAAAGCACTGCTTCTCCAGAACACCCTCAGAGGGGAAGCGAGGCAAACCTGGAACTAGAGCACCCAAGGTGCCACAGGGCACTGTACCCAAGGGAGACAGGGACCACCCCTGGGGCAGGGCGTTAAAACACAGGTGAAGGAAGCACACCTTCAAAGCAGCTGATGACTCTGAAATCCTGAGAAACACCCCTGCTCTCTGAACTACACAAGGGACTCTGCAACTTCTTGGATGCCATACAGAGGAACCATGGGAATGAAGCTTTCTGGTGGTACAGCCTCAGTAGTGCAGGCAAAGCTGCCTCTTGCTTTTTTTTTTTTTCTTTCCTACTAGAGCAAACCATTCAGAAAATGAGTACCAAAGGCATTCATTATGTACCAAATATGGAAGAAAGTACTAATATACATTGTGCCTCTGTGGACATCACACTATGATCAGTTAAAAATAGGCACTTGGCTTAAAACTTTAAGAATTTCCCACTGCAAAAGGTATCAGCTCTTTAATTTTTTTTGAAACAGTCTTCCTCTGTCTCCCAGGCTGGAGTGCAGCGGCGTGATCTCAGCTTACTGCAATCTCCATCTCCTGGGTTCAAGTTATTCTCGTGTCTCAGCCTCCTGAGTAGTTGGGGTTATGGGCACATGACATCACGCTCGGCTTTTTTTTTTTTTTTTTTAGATGGAGTCTCGCTGTTGCCCAGGCTGGAATGCAATGGTACGATCTTGGCTCACTGCAACCTCCACCTTCTGGGTTCAAGCGATTTTCCTGCCTCAACCTCCCGAGTAGCTGGGATTACAGGCGCCCACCACCACGTCTGGCTAATTTTTTGTATTTTTGGTAGGCATGAGGTTTCGCCATGTTGGCCAGGCTGGTCTCGATCTGCCCCGCTTCGGCCTCCCAAACTGCTGGGATTACAGGCATGAGCCACCAGGCCAGCCTACAGCCCTTTTTTTTTTTTAGACGGAGTCTTACTCTGCCACTCAGGAGTGCAGTGGCGGGATCTCGGCTCACTGCAACCTCTGCCTCCCAGGTTTAAGCTATTCTCCTGCCTCAGCTTCCTGTGTAGCTGGGATTACAGGTGTGCACCACCACGCCTGGCTAATTTTTGTATTTTTAGTAGAGATGGGATTTCACCACATTGGCCAGGCTGGTCTTGAACTCCTGACCTCAAGTGATCTGTCCACCCCAGCCTCCCTAAGTGCTTGGATTACAGGTGTGAGCCACTGCGCCTGGCTCAGAGCCCTTTCCTTTCATACTTGCACCACTTAAAAAAAAAATATTTAGTGATGCATCTGAATTCCTAAAAATGTTTTAAAATGTGCCCATTTTTTCAAAAGCAGTCTTCTAGAATCAAAGGTGAAAAGGAAGGGGCTTCAAATGACATAGGGAGGTCACCAGAAGACACATGGTTAAGGTCTATCAGGAGATGACACACCATGCATTACCCAGTAAATCCATACCACACTGCCCAGGCTCTGGCCTGAAGTCTCAGTCATATCAGGGTCCCACAGGTGACAAGACTTGGGAAGACAGATTCACTCTAATTCATTCAAAAGAGCTGGCAGCATATAAACAAGGATAGCAACCTACTAACAATGACAGTGAAAGATGTCACTCTCAAGGCACAAGATGCTTGAGTTGGCTTGGCTGAGCATTCTCTTCCTGGAGGCAAACTTCATATATACTGAATGATAACATCTCAAAAGGGGGAAAAAAATCCAAGAGTGATTTCCTGTGAGTGACTAAGCCAATCTCCTTTTTTAAGACAGAGACTCACTCTGTCACCCAGGCCGGAGTACAGTGGCATGATCTTAGCTGACTGCAGTCTGGAACTCTTGGGCTCGAGGGAGCCTCCTGCCCCGGCCTCCTGAGTAGCTGGAACTACAGGCTTGCACCACTAAGCACAGCCAATTTTTTATTTTTTATTATGTTTTTGTTGTTGTTGAGATGGGGCCTTGCTATGTTGCTTGGGCTGGTCTCGAACTCCTGGGCTCAAGCAATCCAGTCTCCTTAAAATCACTCTACACCTCTGCTCTAATCCACCATGGGCTCAGTGCCATGATGGGAACCTTACCCAAGCGCTTGGGTTCCTTTATGGTGAAAAAGGGACTTCTTGCTATTGCCCCCATGGATTATCCACAAATAAGATGACATCTTTAATCTTTACATTGAGAATTAAGTGATCAATATCTTCACAGAAATTATAAATCTGATTATTGAAATTAAGCAAATCACTTCAATGTGCATTCTAACTCTATTCAGAAGAAAAAAACCTGGCTTTCATTGATAGTGATAAATATTCCAGATTATTCATTTCATTCTGAATTTTTGTAATTTAGTTATGGTAGGCAAACAAAACATACTTGCCTTAGCCTGGTAACAATCAGAAGCCTGTACAGACGAGGTGGTCACCATCTTAGTTACCTATGTGCCAAAATATAAATTGAATGCTAAACTGGCTTTATAAATTATATATATATATATATTTTTTTTTTTTTTTTTTGAGACAGAGTTTCACTCTTGTTGCCCACGGTGGAGTACAATGGTGCGATCTTGGCTTGCCACAACCTCTGCCTCATGGGTTCAAGTAATTCTCTTGCCTCAGCCTTCCGAGTAGCTGGGATTACAGGCATGCACCACCACACTTGGCTAATTTTTGTTATTTTTAGTACAGACAGGGTTTCTCCATGTTGGTCAGGCTGGTCTCGAACTTCTGACCTCAGGTGATCTGCCCATCTTGGCCTTCCAATGTGCTGGGATTACAGGTGTGAGCCACCGCGCCTGGTCAAATAATTTTTTAAATAACTGAATAACCCCAGTATGTCCCTGTGGATTCCACGGCGAGCGAGTCTTGATCAGTAATGGGCAAAAATTGAACTAGTGAGTAATCCTATTCCGTGAGTAGCTACATGATTAACAACAATAGTCCAAAAACAAAAGAACAAAAATTGTATATAATAGTAGCATACAACCAAATATGTATTTCTTAGTTTTCAAATGAAAAGAAATTCTAACTTCCATTATTTAGCCTTTGATGATCTAAGGAGGAAAGGTTCATTAGAAATAAAGATCACAGAACTATTTGTTGGAGACAGAAGGGATCTTAGAAATTATTTCATGCACAGCAGGAAATTTCATAACCGAAAAAAGAGAAAAACTGGGGCCGAGCGCGGTGGCTCACACCTGTAATCCCAGCACTTTGGGATGCTGAGGCAGGCAGATCACTTGAAGTCAGAAGTTCGAGATCAGCCTGGCCAACATGGCGAAACTCTGTCTCTACTAAAAATACAAAACATATTAGCCAGGTGTGGCGGTGCACGCCTGTAATCCCAACTACTTGGGAGGCTGAGGCAGGCTAATCGCTTGAACCCAGGAGGCAGAGATTGGAGTGAGCCGAGACTGCGCCACTGCACTCCAGCCTGGGCAACAGAGCAAGACTCCGTCTCAAAAAAAAAAAAAAGAAAAAGAAAAAAGAAAAGATATAAGTTGAAGTTAAAAAAAAAGGCAAAAAGGTACAAGTTCTCTTTTCAAGGTGAGAGCTGTCAAGTAACTCAAACCCAGAGCTTTTTCTCAGCACCATGTGGCCTCCCCCTTTGTGGGTAAATAGTTATGAAATGCCAGCTTAGGAAACAGAAATAGCAAGCTGCCAAAGAAAAGTAAGAGTTAACATAATTACTTCAAAGAAATAAACACACACATCTCCCCCTAAAAACAAAAAACAGGCTAGGCACGGTGGCTCATGCCTGTAATCCCAGCACTTCGGGAGGCCGAGGCAGGCGGATCATGAGGTCAGGAGATCGAGGCCATCCTGGCTAACACAGTGAAACCCCGTCTCTACTAAAAAACACACAAAAAATTAGCCGGGTGTGATGGCTGGTGCCTGTAGTCCCAGCTACTCAGGAGGCTGAGGCAGGAGAATGGCGTGAACCTGGGAGGCGGAGCTTGCAGTGAGCCGAGTTCGCACCACTGCACTCCAGCCTGGGCAACAGAGCAAGACTCCGTCTCAAAAAAAAAAAAAAAGAAAAGAAACAAAAATTAAGGTACAGAAATATGTTAAGTTTCAAAGAAAAAAAATGCTATAAATCTTTTGTTGAATTAGATATAGATGTATGCTTCAGATTATTTTAGGAAACTATCCCAATGTTTCAAAATTATATATATATTCTGAGATGGAGTCTCACTCTGTCGCCCAGGCTGGAGTGCAGTAGTGCCATTTTGGCTCACTGCAGCCTCCATCTCCTGAGTAGCTGGGACTACAGGTGCTCGCCACCACACCCAGCTAATTTTTTTTTTTTTTTTTTGGATTTTTAGTAGACAGGGTTTCACCATGTTGGCCAGGCTGGTGTCAAACTCCTGACCTCAAGTGATCTGTCTGCCTCAGCCTCCCAAAGTGCTGGGATTACAGGCGTGAGCCACCATGCCCAGGCAGTATTTTTAGCTTCCAAAGAAATCCCATAATGAAGTAAGTATGGAGACTGGTAAAAAGAAAACACCAACAATCTCACCATCACAGAACCCTAAATGTCACTAGTGTTTTTCTTTCCATTTCCTGTCCTAGGCACTGACTTCAGCTAACCAATGGTCAATAATTTATTCTTGCATCCCTCTTAATTATTGAGGCTTTTTTGGGACAGGATCTTGCTCTGTTGCCCAGGCTGGAGTGGAATGGCATGATCATGGCTTGCTGCAGCCTCAACAGCAAGGGCTCAAGTGATCTTCCTGCTCAGCCTCCAGAGTAGCTGGGACTACAGGCAAGTGCACCACTGCACCTGGCTAATTTAGTATTTTTTGTAGAGATGAGGTTTCACCATGTTGCCAAGGCTGGTCTTGACCTCCTGGGCTCAAGGGATCCTCCCACCTCAGCCGCCCGAAGTGTTGGAATTAGAGGTGTGAGCCATAGCACCCGGCCTATTGAGGCTTTGTATGTCTCTGTCTTTTCTCATATTATAATAGTCAGGATTTCTAAAAACGGTATTAAATCATAATGGTGAAAGCTGGTATTTTGTTACAATTGTAATCAGCATGCTTCTTGTGTTTCTTGTGTTTTGAATTTAAGGTAGCTCCTGGGAGGACGTGGACAGCTTTATCATTTAAAGCAGGGCTAGTAAACTGGCCCTCTGGCTAATCCCACCCTCTGCTGATGGGCATTTAGGTTGTTTCTACTTGTTGGCTATTATAAAACATGCTGCTATGGTCACTTAAGTGTTTACATGGATGTTTGCTTTCTAACTTGCATTATTTAGCCTTTGATGATCCAAGGAGGAAAGATTCTTGTATAAGAAACACTTATACACATATATATAAGTGTTTATATGGATGGTATCTTTTGGGTAGACACCCAGGAATGAAATTGCTGGGTCATATGTAATTTTTTTTTTCTTTTTTTTGAGATGGAGTCTTGCTCTGTCACCCAGGCTGGAGTGCAGAGGCGTGACCTTGGCTCACTGCAACCTCCACCTCCTGGGTTCAAGCGATTCTCCTGCCTCAGCCTCCTGAGTAGCTGGGATTACAGGTGCACACCAACATGCCCGGCTACGTTTTTGGTATTTATTTTTAGCACAGATGGGGTCTTGTCACGTTGGCCAGGTCGGTCTCGAATTCTTGACCTCAGGTGATCCGCGCCCTCAGCCTCGTTAAGTGCTGGGATTACAGGCGTGAACCACTGCGTCCAGCCCACATGTAATTTCTGAGGGACTACTAGACTATTTCCAAAGTGGCTGCACCATTTTACATTCCCATCAGCAATATCGGAAGGGTCCACTTTCTCCTCACCTCACTAACACGTTATTATCTATCTCTTTTAAGTTACAGCTGTCCCAGTGTGCAGGAACTGGTATCCCATTATAGTTTCACTTTGCATTTCCATAATGACTAAGAAGGTTGAGTCCCTTTCCATAAGCTTATGGGCATTCATGTATTTTCTTTGGTGAAATCCTATTCAAATCCTTTGTCCGTTAAAAAGTTTTAAAATTTATTTAAAAAAAAATTTTTTTTTTGATACAGGGTCTGTAGCCCAGGCTGAAGTGCAGTGGCACAATCTCAGCTCACTGCAACCTCTGCCTTCCAGGTTCAAGTGATTCTCGTGCCTCAGCCTCCCAAGCAGCTGAGATTACAGGCATGTGCTACCACACCTGGTTAATTTTTGTATTTTTTGTAGAGATGGGGTTTCACCATGTTGCCCAGGCTGGTCTCAAACTCCTGATCTCAGGTGATCTGCCCACCTTAGCCTCCCAAAGTAGCTGTGAGCCACTGCACCTGGCCTAAACATTTTTTAAACGTATTTTTTATTGTGGTAAAAAAAACACGTTAACATTGAATTTACCATCTTACCCATTTTTATGCAGTGTCCAGTATATTTACACTGTTATGCCACAGATCTCCAAAACATTTTCATTTTGTAAAACTGAAACTCTATACTCAATAAACACCAATTCCGTATTCCCTCTCTGCCCAGCTCCCGGCAACCACCTTTCCACTTTCTGTTTCTATGATTTTGGCAACACTGGATACTTCACATAAGGAGAATGATACACTATTTGTCCTCTTATTTCACTTAGCATTACATCCTCCTCAATGTTCACCATATTGCAGTATAAGACAAGACTTCCTTCTTTTTTGGAGGCGGGGGATGAAGTCTCGCTCTGTTGCCAGGCTGGAGGGCAGTGGCGCGATCTCAGCTCACTGCAACCTCCACCTCCCGGGTTCAAGTGATTCTCCTGCCTCAGCCTGCTGAGTAGCTGGGGCTACAGGTGCACGCTACCACGCCCAGCTAATTTTTGTATTTTTAGTAGAGACGGGGTTTTGCCATGTTGGCCAGGCTGGTCTCAAACTCCTGAGCTCGGGTGACCAGCCTGCCTTGGCCTCCCAAAGTGCTGGGATTACAGGTGTGAGCCACCGCACCCAGCCCACAATTTCTTTATCCATTTATCTATTGATGGATATGTGGGTTGTTTCTACCTCTTGGCTACTGCAAATAAAGCTATGATAAACATGGGTATGCGAATCTTTTTGAGATCTGCTTTGAATTCTGTTGGATATATATCCAGAAGTGGGACTGCTGAATCACACTAATTCCATTTTCAATTTATTTTTTATTTTTGTGAGACAGGGTCTCACTGGGAGTGCAGTGGCATGATCATGGCTCACTGCAGTCTCCACCTCCCCAGGCTCAAGCAATCCTCCCACCTCAGCCTCCTGAATAGCTGAGACTACAGGCATGTGCCACCACCACGCCTGGCAAGTTTTTTTTTTTTTTTTTTTTTTTTTTTATAGAGACAGGGTTTCACCATGTTGCCCAGGCTGGTCACCAACTCCTAGCATCAAGCGATCCTCCTGCCTTGGCCTCCCAAAGTGCTAGGATTACGGGTGTGAGCCACCACACCCAGCTGCTGTCTTTTCAAATTCTTTACCCATTTTTTAATTGAGTTATCTGTATTCTTATTATTGAGTTGTAAGAATTATTTATCTATTCTGAATTCAATTTGCTTATCAGACATATGATTTGCAAATATTTTATTCCAGTATATGACTTGTCTTTTTAATTAAATTTTTTTTTTTAGTATCACTGAAAGTAAGGCAATTTTTTGTTTTGTTTTGAAACAGTCTGCTGTCACCCAGGCTATAGTGCAATGGGGTGATCTTGGCTCACTACAACCTCTGTCTCCCAGGTTCAAGTGATTCTCCTGCCTCAGCCTCCTGAGTAGCTGGAACTACAGGTGCACACCGCCATACGTGGCTAATTTTTGTATTTTTAGTAGAGACAGGGTTTCACCAAGTTGGTCAGGCTGGTCTCAATCTCCTGACCTCAAGTGATCTTCCCACCTTGGCCTCCCAAAGTGCTGGGATAACAGGTGTGAGCCACCATCCCCGCCCTAATTTTTTATTTTTTTGAGACAGGGTCTTATTCTCTCCCAGGCTGAATAGTAGTACAATCATGGCTCACTGCAGCCTCCACCTTTAAGGCTCAGGTGATCCTCCCACCTCAGCCTCCCGAGGAGCTGGGACTACAAGTGTGTGCCACCATGCCCGGTTAATTTTTGTATTTTTTTGTAGAGTTGGGGTTTCGTCATGTTGCCCAGGCTGGTCTCAAAGTCTCAAACGTCTGGGCTGAAGCAATTCTCCTCCTTCAGCCTCCCCAAAGTGCTGGAATTACAGGCATGAGCCATCATGCCCAGTCTTTATTTTTATTTTTATTTTATTTTTTTGAAAAGGAGTCTCACTCTGTCACCTAGGCTAGAGCACAGTGGTGTGATCTCAGCTCACTGCAACCTCTGCCTCCTGGGTTCAAGCAATTCTCCTGCCTCAGCCTCCCAAGTAGCTGGGATTACAGGAGTGCACCACCACGCTCGGCTAATCTTTATATTTTCAGTAGAGATGGGGTTTTGCCATGTTAGCGAGGCTGGTCTCGAACTCCTAACTTCAGGTGATCTGCCCACCTCAGCCTCCCAATGTGTTGAGATTACAGGTGTGAGCCAACATGCCCGGACTTTTTTTTTTTTTTTTTTTTGAGACAGGGTCTCACTCTGTTGCCCAGGCTGGAGTGCAGTGGTGCAATCTTGGCTCACTGCAAACTCCATCTTCTGGGCTTAAGCAATTCTCTTACTCAGCCTCTCAAATACCTGGGACCTCAGGCATGTGGCATCACACCTGGCTAGTTTTATTTATTTATTTATTTTGGTAGAGGTTGGGGGTCTTACTATGTTGCCCAGGCTGGTCTTGAACTCCTGGACTTGAGTGATTCTCCTGCCTTGGCTTCCCAAAGTGCTGGGATTACAGGCATGAGCCACAGTGCACCTGGCTAGTCTTTTGCACTTCTAAAGCCTGCTGGGAGTTTGATAGGGATTCTGCTGAATCTACATATCAACTTGTGGAAAAATTGTTATTTTTCTACTCAAACTAGCAAGGAAAAAAAGAAGAAACCATTATTGACATGGTGTGTATATATGACAAAAGTAACGTTTCAGAAAAGATGATATCCAAGAAGTATGTAAACTAACCTTATGCAATATTGGTTTTGCTTTTAAAAAAAAGGTGCTTATCTTTTAGAAATATATATAGTACTGAAATATTTATGAATGAAATAGAATGCTGTCTGGGATTTAATTCCAAACAATCTGGGTTGAAGGAGTTAGGCCTAAACAAGATTGGCCATGTGTTAATTATTGAAGCTAAGAGATGGATGTGGAAGGGGAGCCCCATTATTCTCTCTAGTTTTGTATGTTTGAAAAATCTCATAATAAAAACATCAAACGAAACATTAGTGCAGTGTTAAGTCACAGTACTATCCTCAGATTTTTTTCCCTAGAATTAACACTATGGCCTAAACTAATCTATTCACAAGACTTAAAAAATCACCATTCAGTAATATACTCACCAGTAATTGCCCCATTCAATCATGGTTCCTGGCTGAAAACAGATTTAGATTTGGTTTGTTAGTTCTTCTGTGAAAAAAAAAATACAGAAATAGCAAACAGCAGTAGAAAAAACATTAAGTGACAAAACTAACTTCAAAAAACCTTTTTTTTTTTTTTTTTTGAGACAGAATCTTGCTCCGTCACCCAGGCTGGAGTGCAGTGGCTCAATCTCAGCTCCTGAAACCTCCGCCTCCTGGGTTCAAGCAATTCTCCTGCCTCAGCCTCCTGAGTAGCTGGGATTACCGGCGCCCGCCACCATGCCTGGCTAATTTTTTATATTTTTAGTAAGAGATGGGGTTTCACCATGTTGGCCAAGCTGGTCTCAAACTCCTGACCTCAGGTCACCCACCTGCCTTGACTTCCCAAAAAGCTGGGATTACAGGCATGAGCCACCACACCCAGCCAAAACTTTACTTTTTAATTTAATAGAGACAGGGTCTCACTATGTTGTTCAGGCTGGTCTCAAGCTTCCTGGCTCAAGCAATCCTCCAACCTTGGCCTCCCAAAGTGCTGGGATTACAGGCATTAGCCACTTTAATAATGCTGCTATGTGGGGCTTTCTTTCTAGTCCTCAGTAGGAAAATTTCTAGAAAGTGTTATATTATTGCCTTTTACTCTTATCATGTTATATAATTTGTTCAACAGTCACAGTGTTTATTAGCTGCTCTCCTTTAACCACAACAGATGTTACATATTGTACCTTATCCTGCACTTTAGGTCTTTCTTCTTAAAAACAAATATGTTATTTAGAAAAATATCAAATAATAAGCATTATGTGTAAGGCCATAAAAAGCAAAAGAGCTTAGCCTTGGTGACAGTGTGAGACCCAGTCTTAAAAAAATACATATATATACATATAATGCTAGACATACATCACAGAATGTACACACAAGTTCTGTTGTCAGCCTTACAAAATGCTTGTGCTTTTTCACAGAGGAGTAAAAGGAATAACTTATATTTCTGTACTTACTCGGAGTTGGTAAGACCTGAGTTCATATATATTAGGTCCGGATCTTGGCACAGGCTCATTCCAGAAACTGAACTCCAACAGGAGCTGATTCTTCCTGGAGAGAAGCATGTCACTTCTTGCCTTACGAAATTCCAAAAATTCCTTTGAGTGAAAAAAATGTGCTCATGAAATCTTCTGATACTTACATATAAGCCCATTTCAGTAACATTGATGTTCCTACAGAATACTATAATAGGGTAATCAACAGGTCCCAGTTGGCCTGAGACAGTCCCAGTTTACATCTGTTGAGCTTGCATAATCATTAACAGCATTCCTTTTCATTCTCAAAAGTGTCCAGGTTTAGATGACAAATTACTTGGTCATCCTAATTATTTAGGTGGCAATGCAAACAAATTTAATTTGCTATATTTTTAGATTCTTCTAACAGTGTTTGATGGCACATCAATAGAAGTAGCATGCAGACTACAAAAGAGCAGATAATTCAAAACCTATTTATATTTGTCTGGGAATCTATACAAAAGAATTTCTTTCTTAATGATGTGTGGCTTTTAAATTTCTCCCTATTGACAAACACCTGCTAGTGAAGGGAGGGTGGAAAGCAAAGTCAGCCCAAGATAAACTCTATGTGTGTGACAAACAGTTCCTGAATTAGACAGTTTTAGGTCATCCAGAGCTAATTGTGCCTGCCATGCTGATTGATACACCAGTCACCAGTCTTTTGGGGGTTTTTTTTGTGTTGTTTTTTTGAGGCAGAGTCTCACTCTGCTGCCCAGGCTGTAGTGCAGCGGTGTAGTCTCGGCACACTGCAACCTCTGCCTTCTGGGTTCAAGCAATTCTCGTGCCTCAGCCTCCCGAGTGGCTGGGATTACAGTTGTGCACCACCATGCTCGGCTAATTTTTGTATTTTTAGTAGAGATGAGGTTTTGCCATGTTGGCCACGCTGGTCTCAAACTCCTGGCCTCAACTGATATGCCTGCCTTGGCCTCCCAAAGTGCTGGGATTACAAGCATGAGTTACCGCACCCAGCCCAGTCACCGGTTTCAAAGTACCACCTTATCAGTTTCAAAGCATAATTGACTTTTATAATAAGAACAATAAGAATTTTTTTTTTTTTTTTGAGACAGAGTCTTGCTCTGTCGCCCAGGCTGGAGTACAGTGGCGCAATCTCAGCTCACTGCAAGCTCCACCTCCCGGGTTCACGCCATTCTCCTGCTTCAGCCTCCCGAGTAGCTGGGACTACAGGTGCCTGCCACCAAGCCCGGCTAATTTTTTTGTATTTTTTTTAGTAGAGACAGTGTTTCACTGTGTAAGCCAGGATGGTCTCAATCTCCTGACCTTGTGATCCGCCTGCCTTGGCCTCCCAAAGTGCTGGGATTACAGGCGTGAGCCACCGCGCCCGGTCAGAATTGTTGTTTGAATAGTATTACAACTGTTTATGTTTAAATACAACTTCAGGAGTCCAAACAATAAAATTTCTGTTACAAAAAAATGAAGTTTATTAACAAAAACTGAAGACAGAAAAGTCATTTAATTCTGTACTAACATCTATATATCATTAGTCTAAGTAAACATTTTTCAATATCATTACCTTATTTTCTCTGAGTTTATTCATGACTTCTGTGAGGGCTGGATAGCCTCCTTCATACCTCCAGAGGTGGACTGAAATGCATTTTAAAAGACAGTATACGTTTAGAATTTCATGATACTACTACTTGAAAATGTTCTAGATAGGTATAACGTTAACACAGCACAAAACTGTAGGCTGGGTGTGTGGTGGCTCATGCCTGTAATCCCAGCACTTTGGGAGGCTGAGACAGGCGGATCACTTGAGGTCAGGAGTTCCAGACCAGCCTGGCCAACATGGTGAAACCCTGTCTCTACTAAAAATACAAAAATTACCTGGGTGTGGTGGTGGGCACCTGTATTTCCAGCTACTTGGGAGGCTAAAGCAGAAGAATCGCTTAAACCCGGGAGGCAGAGGTCGCAGTGAGCCTAGATACTCATCACTGCACTCCAGCCTGGGCAACAGAGCAAGACTCTGTCTCAAAAAACAAAAAAACTGTAATGCCCCATGTTTTGGCCTATGAGTTACATCATAATGGTTCAATAATAGATTCAAACATTAAAAACAATTTTAAAACCATTTTCGCAATGAATTGTTGAAGAAACTACTTTAATCATAAAATTAGACTGAGACTTGGAAAGCTTTGATGATAAGAACAAGCATTAAATTAGAAAATTACTTAAGTGTTACATAAGGCTTAAGGAAGAAGTGTTTATTCCAAAGACTTCGCTTCCTACCAGCTTGGTCCTGCTCGCCATACCACGTGTTCCAAGTCCCCACCAAAGTACAAGGGTAGTGTTTATCTTCGTGAATCTTTGGCAACACCTCTTGACTTAAAGAGAAGAAACAGCAACACTAATTAAACAACCAGCAAAATTTGACCAGGTGGACAGCACCTGATCAGTAACAGGAAAAAGACCACCTACTCTGTGTTCTAACAACTGACCTTAGAACATCATGATAAAACGGCATGTGGAGTTAACCTTTTAGCTGAATTATGTTGTATTCCAACACCCTGCTGATCAGAAGCTTAGGTTTCTGATACCCCAACTATCTAGAAGAGTTGTTCAATCAGTATAATGATGATAAAGAAAAACCAAAGGTCCCAGGATTTTGGGAGCTATGGGTCTACTATTTTCCATTTGAGGGGAAAAAAAACGACATCACCAAAAAACATTCTGTTGGTTCCAAAGACAGAAGAATGAGAGACGGGGAATAGTAGAAAAGAACACAGAAGAAATAAGGAAGATGGAAAGGGAGGAAAGTAATGTTCAAGACAGAGGCAGACAACACAAGCAGTACCAGCAGGCAGAGGTAACAGGAGCAGAGAACAAGCTGGCCTTCAGGAAGGAGCAAGAAGACAGCTGGAACACAACATAGTCTGGAAGCGACTCCAACCTCCAATACTCCCCAAGGGCATCAACATGGCAGAAGAATAAAAATTAAAGATACAATGCGAAGCATAAATTATGTTCTACTCAATTCAATGGGCCAAGGGGATGGGAGGGGTGTCACGTAGTCTCGCACCGAACACACCAACCAATTCATTCCCGCGCATTGTGCAGGGACAGGGACAAAGCCATGACAGGTCACGGCAGTGTATGAATTTAACAGGGGTGTCAGAGTGGAGCTTGGTTCCATGGAAGCTTTCCTATGGTATAGATTCTAATGTACAGGGAAAGGCAAAGGGAAGAGTGTAACTGTTTTACACCAAGAGAAAAGCTAAAACCTGCACACTTTTTGAATAGAAAAATTATGATGAAAAAGTATCATACAGATTCAACAATGGATGCAAAAGGGGATCAAGGGCAAGAAATGGAACCTGTTCACACTATTTGCTGACTCTGATATTTAGCTAGTGATCACCACCAGATGCTGGGGCTACAGGACCAAGGGTATGTAAGTACCATGTGCTAACCGACTGCACCACTGGAGCTCCATACGACCAGGGATACATAAATGGTTAACAGAGAAAAGTTCCAAAACGGTCTAAGTCTAACTAACTGAAAACCCATACATCTTTATGACCCAGTATAGTGACCACATCATGTGTACTTTTGGAAGAGTAGCATTTACTTTTTAAATTAGGATCTGATATTAAATGTATCTGATGCGTGACTCATGAATGTTCAGAAATAACATGGGATCAATGAAAATCGAGGACAGGGAAAGAGGGATTCTGCTAGGGAAATGTATGTCCAACATTTCCTTTTCGTCGCATGACATGAGCAGGAATAGACAACCCTGCATTGGAGGCAGTGCCCAGGAGGAAGCCCAGTACACATGATTCAGGTGGGGTCCAGAAAGGGGCCTGGCAACGGGGCCCAGGTTTTTCACCAACACAAAGTCACGCATGGATTTGTAGCCACTCCTCTTTGCTGGGGACCCCAAACCTGCTCTTAGGAGCCCTGGCCTTACCTGAATGGAGATTGTAAGGCAGGCAGTACTTGTACCCAGAACTGGATGGGTTGGGCAGAATCCCATTATTGGGACCCCTAAAAACCAGGCAGGAGTTAAGTCTTTATGTTCTGCAAACAGGGAGCTGCTGAAAGTTTCAGAGAAAAGAAAAAACGTGATGAAAAAAGAAAACAGAACTCAAGCAGATCAATCTGACAAACTTTGGGGTAATGTATTGCAGGGCAGGAAGGAGACACAGGTATAGCTTGGAGCCCAGAAAGGTAGTCAGAAAAAAAGCTACTTGGGAATGGGGCTCGAGAGGCTTGGAGAGAGAGATGGAGAAGGAAACAAGAGAACCAAAATACATGTCCGATGAAGAATGCACAGCTTAGGTGACAGATTCACCACAGAGAACTAAGGAACGGGCTGAGTAAAACAAGGTGAGTGGCACAGACAGGGAAGTTGGAAGAGCAAGGTGATTCTACATGCTGGGTGTGAAGTGAGAGCACAACATCAAATAGAAATAGGAACAGACAGCCAGAAACCCGAGACAGGAGACGAAGTGATAAGACAGGACAAAAAAGGTAATCCAGGACAACATCGGCATAGGGAAAAATTCCATTTTTATGAGAAAAGACTTAGAAATAAACATCTGCTTTGTTTTAAGGGCATTTTTTAATAAAGAGAAATGTGCTGGAATGAGCAAGAAATTCAATGCTATTGTTACATTTCATAAGCTATCTTCAAAAACAAAACAATAAAAAACAAAAGGTTTTTCTTCTAAAAAGTATGCTGATTATAGGGACAAAATTGTTTGCTTTCTTAAGAACGTAGTAGATATTAAAGGTAAAAACAAAACAAAACTAAAAACCTTTTTCTTCACATTTGCTCACCATGGGTCATTAAAATACTATTTCTGTTAACTTAAAAGCTGGTAAGCTTAGTTCTCCCCTTTCGTCTTAAAGTTTACAAATTCTGTAAGCAGGTTTAGATCGCAAATCATAGGAGAATCAGCGGAAGGGACTTGGATCCTGGAGAACAGAGGAGTTGGGAAGAAATGGCAGCTATGTTCAAATACATACAGGACTCTCACAGGGCAGTTTTACTTAGGGGAATCAATGAAGGACTCAGAGATGTGAATTCTTATTCCTAACACTCAGAGCTGTCCAGAGATGGAACTTACTTCAGGACAGGCAGTCAGGAAGGTCTGTGGAAAGGACTCCAGCACTGGATAAGTAGATGGACTAGACAGCCTGGCAAAGTTCCTCCAAACACAAGAGTCTGGTAACATTCTAAAGTCTGATAGCCTATATGATGATTTAGCTGTGTGAGTGCTTAAAATCAAAACGCCTTCGGCAATCCCACATGAAGCTCAGTTTAAGAGCCTCTGAATGTTCAGCTTCAAAAGAGAGGGATGAAAGATCTCTCTCTATGCTATCAAGTGTTAGTGGAATTAACTAACAAATAAAGTCATTATTTTTCCCCAAGTAAAGGATAGTTTGGTATACACACCAAATTTTGTTGTATGCTTCTAGGCATTCCGGTTTAACATTGTGAACTGAAACAAAAGAAAATTCAACGATAAACTTAGGAACAAAGGGGAAAAAAAGTCAACTATGAAGATAGCAAACCTGTCACTCACACTGTAATTTGTATAGATTGCTTGTTTCCTTTTTGGCTAGGAGATTGGAGTGGGCATCTTTTCTTGGATCAACTTTCCGGACAAATAAGGATTTTAGCCAGCTGTCTTCTCGAGATCTGTTGCTGGAAGATGTCCATGTCCTATGGAATAACAAAGGTGTTGTCACGCAGTATACTGTTTTCATATATCCATCAGTTAATCTGGCAAACACAGTGAGCAGCTATTCTAGGCACCGTTCCAGAACCTGGGCTACCAAAGAATGCCTGCTTTCCATGACAACAGCATGCACTCCAAGAAGCAGAAGCAAAGAAAAATGTAAAATGTGTGGCACTCCTATAAGAGAGCCCACATTTATCTTTGCAATTTGCACTATGTGTTTTTCAAAGCAATTTTTGACACAGAAAAAATATACATGGATACCTAGAGTAGATAAACCCACAGAGACAGAAAGCAGAACGGAGGTTGCCAGGAGGTGAGGAAAGGGGAGGTTGGGGTAAGGAGTTTCAGTTTAGGAAGATGAAGAAATTCTCAAGATGAATGGTAGTGATGTTTCCCCAAAATGTGAATCTACTTAATGCCACTGAACTGTATGCTTAAAATGGTTAAAATGGTGAATTTTACATTACGTACATTTTGCCACAATTTAAAAAATATTATTTGATTTGGAAACAGATAGTGGTGATGATTGTACAACAATGTGAATATAAGTAATGCCACTGAATTATGCACTTAAGATGGTTTAAATGGCAAATTTTATGTATATATGTTTTACCACAATAAAAATATTTTAAAAATACAAGGAAAATGAAATACATTCTTTCTTTAAAAAAAATTTACCCCTCAAGTAACTTAAAAATCAAAAAAAAATTTTTTTTTAGATGGAGTCTCGCTCTATCGCCCAAGCTGGAGTGCAGTGGCACGATCTGGGCTCACTGCAACCTCCGCCTCCCAGGTTCAAGCGATTCTCCTGCCTCACCCTCTAGGGTAACTGGGATTACAGACACACACCACCACACCCAGCTAATTTTTTGTATTTTAGTAGAGATGGGGTTTCACTGTGTTGCCCAGGCTGGTCATGAACTCCTGAGCTCAGGCAATCCACCTGCCTCAGCCTCCCAAAGTGCTAGGATTACAGGCAGGAGCTACCGAGCCTGGCCAAAAAAAAAATCAAGATTTGTAAAAATTAACTTTAAAAATCAAAAATTTTTTAACTGCCCCCACAAACCTCAGAATACCAACTTTATTAACACATAATTTGCTAATTTTCATCTCATAATTAAATTTCTATTGTGAATGCTTTCAGAAAGTGAGGATAAATTTGACTCAAGTCACAAACTATACTTTACTCATGGATTTTTTCTTTCTTTTTTTGAGACTGGGTCTTGCCCTGTCACCCAGGCTGGTGTGTGGTGGTGCGATAGCTCACTGTAGTTCACTGTAGCCTCAAATTCCTGGGCTCAAGTGATCGTCCCACCTCAGCCTCCTGAGAAGCTGGGACTAGAGGCATACGTCATCTTGCATGGTTAATTTTTTTAAATTTTTTGTAGAGATGGGGTCTTGCTATGTTGCCCAAGTTGTTCTCAAACTCCTGGCCTCAAGCAATGCTCCCACTTCAGCCTCTCAAAGTGCTGGGATTATAGGTGTAAGCCACTGCAATTGGCCCTACTTCACAAATATCTATGTGCATGTTGAACTCCCATATGCCAGCTAATAGGAATACAAATTTGTTGACCTCCCAAGAGGGCAGTGTGGCATCATCCATATCAAAATGGAAACTGTGTATGACTTCAGCCCAATAATGACACTTGCGGTTATGTCCTACGGCCAGCTATATTTAGACAGGTGCACAAAGTTGAATGCATACAAATATTCATTGCTGTCTTGTTTCCAGTTATCTCCTGGCATAGGCCATTTGAATAGCCATTAATGCAGACTGGTCACGTAAATTAGGAAATACTCCCCGTCAGAAAATATGCACTCGATAAAAAGAATGAGGTAGATTTATGTGCACTGATGTGCTGACATCTCCAAGATAAATTCTGTAAAAAAGCCGGCACAGAACAGCACTATATATACACATACAGAGTGAGCTGTTAAAGGGTGATGACATCTGGGGAACATGACTGGGCCTGGGGTGGGAGTAAAGGTTTTTTCTTTTCATTGTATAACCTTCTGAACTATCTGAACAATTTCTACACACACACACACACACACACACACACACACTTTTTTGAGAGAATCTCGCTCTGTTGCCAGGCTGGAGTGCAGTGGCACCATTTCAGCTGACTGCAACCTCCACCTCCCAGGTTCAAGCGATTCTCCCGCCTCAGCCTCCTGAGTAGCTGGGACTACATGGTGTGCCACCGTGCACGGCTAATTTTTGTATTTTTAGTAGAAACAGGGTTTTGCCATGTTAGCCAGGCTGGTCTTCAACCCCTGACCTCAAGTGATCTGCCCACCTCGGCCTCCCAAAGTGCTGGGATTATAGGTGTGAGCCACTGCGCTCAGCCCTCTTCTGAACTTTATGTAACCATGATCAAATGACAAACAGCGTTTCCCTCATCTTCTTGGTTTTTCACATCTATGTACAATAAAATGTACTTTTTTGGCAGACAGTACTGAGTTTTGACAAATGCCTAAAGTAATGTAACCAGCATCACAACAGCTTCTTCACCCCTTGAAGTTAATCCTTTTATAATCAACCCCTCTCCCCATCTCTAGCAACCACTGCTGTGTTCCTTGTCCCTCAGTTTTGCCTTTTCTAGAACATCGTATGTATGGAATCATACAGAAGGGTAGCCTTCTGAATTCCTGCCCCTTCTTTCTGCACAATCCCTTTTATAATTGGTGATCTTACCTCTGGCCAGGTCTATCACAGCATACCCTTTATACTTTTGTTCTCTTTTTATTTTTGAGACAGGCTCTTACTCTGTTGCCCAGGCTGGAGTGCACTGGTGTGATCACGGCTCACTGCAGCCTTGACCCCCAGAGCTCAAACGATTCCCCCACCTCAGCCTCCAGATTAGCTGGGACAACATATGCACACCACCATGCCTGGTTAATTTTTGTATTTTCTATAGAGAATGGGTTTTGCCAGGTTGCCCAGGCTGGCCTTGAACTCCTGGCCTCAAGCGATCCTCCTGCCTTGGCCTCCTGAAGTGTTGAGATTTCGAGCATGAGCCACCATGCCCAGCTACTTTTGCTCTCCAACTGACCTACACATAGATCTTTTCTGCCTTTTCCTAGATCAGTAATGTACTGGGATTCCAAAGGGCCAGCATAAATGTCCAGAATCTTAGTGCTTCTGGACATAAAAGTCCAGATGCTGATGGGCCAGTGTGAACCTCTTCTTGGGGATCTCTTTAGAAACACTAGATGATTTTCTACAACAGTATTTCTTTTTTTTTTTTTTTTTTTTAAGACAGAGTCGCGCTCTGTTGCCCAGGCTGGAGTACAGCGGCATGATCTTGGCTCACTGCAAGCTCCGCCTCCCAGGTTCACGCCATTCTCCTGCCTCACCCTCCTGAGTAGCTGAGACTACAGGCGCCCGCCGCCACACCCGGCTAATTTTTTGTATTTTTAGTAGAGATGGGGTTTCACCGTGTTAGCCAGGATGGTCTCGATCTCCTGACCTCATGATCCGCCTGCCTCGGCCTCCCAAAGTGCTGGGATTACAGGCGTGAGCCACTGCGCCCAGCCTTCTACAATAGTATTTCTAATCTGCTTGGTAGACTTGCTTAAGCACCCAGATACCACCAGGTAAACATTAAGAGGAAAAGAAAGAGCAACTCCAGGTATTAAAAAGGGGGACCAGGAATTTAAACAAGGGACAAGAAAAACTCTCATGAGAGCAAATTCCCCAGTACTTCATGAAATGAACACATGGATTTCATACTACAATAATAGAAATTCCTATTCTTATGCAGCAACGGTATTTTAGAAGTAGGGCTCTAAATTTCACATGATACTGGCAGCCTTTTTCTTTCTTTCTTTCTTTCTTTTTTTTTGCTTAAAAAATCAGTTTGCTGCTTTATTTATTTATTTTTGAGGCAGGGTCTCATTGCACTTGCTGGAGTGCAGTAGTGCAATCTCGGCTCACTGCAACCTCTGCCTCCCAGGTTCCAGCAATTCTCCCACCTCAGCCTCCTGACTATCTGGGACTACAGGTGCATGCCACCACATCCGGCTAATCTTTGTATTTTTAGTAGGGACAGGGTTTCATCATGTTGGCCAGGTTGGTCTCGAATTCCTGGCCTTAAGTGATCCGCCAGCCTCAGCCTCCCAGAGTGCTGAGATTGCAAGGGTGAGCTGCCGCACTCAGCCTAGTTTGCTGCTTTCTTGAACAAACATTACAGAGCAATCTTCTCCCCAATATGATGTTCTTTTAATTTAAAAACCAATTCATAGGATATTGTCTCAAATAGGTAGAAACCAGATATAAAGATTTTTGAATGATGTGAACTTACAAATACAAATATATTGGCCGGGAGTGGTGGCTCACGCTTCTAAATCCCAGCTCTCTGGGAGGCCGAGGCAGGTGGATCACCTGAGGTCAGGAGTTCAAGACCAGCCTGGCCAACATGGTGAAATCTTGTCTCTACTAACACTACAAAAAAAAAAAAAAATAGCTGGGTGTGGTGGCACACGCCTGTGATCCCAGCTACTCAGGAGGCTGAGGTAGGAGAATCGCTTGAACCCAGGAGGTGGAGATTGCAGTGAGCCAAGTCGTGCCACTGCACTCCAGCCTGGGCTACACAGCAAGACTCAATCTCAAAAAAAGTAATAATAATAAAATAAAATAAAATAAATTAAAAATAAAATGTGCTCTATAAATAATTATAAAGAAATATAAAAGCACGTTTTCACATCCTTCAAAGATTAAAAAGAAGCAAACTCACTTTAAACAAGCAAAATAACAATACCAGTAAATGCAATTTTTCTTGAAAGATAAAAACATATAGTATTAAGTGGCATTTGCAGATGTAAGTTGAAGATGCTTCCAATTTGTGTTTACTATATATAAAAATTCCTAAAAATTAAGAAAGCATTAATGGTGGTTTCCCTGAGAAAATGGTTTAAAGGGATAGAGGGGAAAGACACACAGCTTTCTCCATATAATGTCTATATTGTGCTTTTCTCTTCTGTATTTTTTTTTTCTTTGAGACAGGGTCTCACTTTGTCACTCAGGCTGGAGTGCAGTGGCGTGATCTTGGCTCACTGTAGCCTCGACCTCCCGGGTTCAAGCTATCCTCCTGTCTCAACCCCTCCCAAGTAGCTGGGACTACAGGTGCCCAGCACCACATCCAACTAATTTTTGTATTTTTTTGTAGAGACAGGGTTTCACCATGCTGCCCAGGTTGGTCTTGAATTTCTGAGCTCAAGTGACCTGCCTGCCTCAGCTTCCCAAAGTCCTGGGATTATAGGCGTGAACCACCACACCCAGCCATATTCCAATAAAAATGAAAGCACATTTTGTCAATTAGTTTGAAGTGTTTTACGTACACTACATTTAGGGATATCTGTTTAATAATATCATGGGCTGGGCACAGTGGCTCATGCTTGTAATCCCAGCACTTTGGGAGGCCAAGGAGGCGGGTGGATCACCTGAGGTCGGGAAACCAGACTGACCAACATGCAGAAACCCCGTCTCTACTAAAAATATAAAATTAGCCAGGCATGGTGGCGCATGCCTGTAATCCCAGCTACTCAGGAGGCTGAGGCAGGAGAATCGCTTGAACCCGGGAGGTGCAGGGTGTAGTGGGCCGAGATCACGCCACTACACTCCAGCCTGGGCAACAAGAGTGAAACTCTGTCTCAAAAAAAAAAAAAAAGAAAAAGAAAAAAGAAACTTACGCATTACTTTAAGGCAACCATATAAAATTAGTGATACACAAAGTAGAAAGTTTTAAGATTTGTTTATGGGACTATGTAATTTCTGTATGTTCTTTTTTTTTTTTGAGACAGAGTCTTGCTCTGTTGCCCAGGCTGGAGGGCAATAGTGGCACAATCTCAGCTCACTGCAACCTCCGCCTCCTGGGTTCAAGTGATTCTCCTGCCTCAGCCTCCTAAGCAGTTGAGACTAGCGGCACCCACCACCACACCCATCTAATTTTTGTATTTTTAGTAGAGGTGGGTTTTCACCATGTTGGCCAGGCTGGTCTTGAACCCCTGACCTCAGGTGATCCACCTGCCTCGGCCTCCCAAAGTGCTGGAATTATAGGTGTGAGCCACTGTGCCCAGCCAATTTCTGTGTTTATTTTAGATTTTAAGTTCATTAAACAGAAATTGTGTCTACAATTTTTTTTGTTAAATAAATTGTAAAAGCTTAGGAATAACAATTATGAACAATTAAGAAAGGGATATAATAAAAAGTGTCTAAAAATACTGACTAGGGAGTTTCACTTAAAATAAGAAATACTAAAGCAATGACTACTAATAGTTTTATGTATATCCTTCCAGAAATACAGAGGCAAACATATATTATGTATATTTATAGACAGATAATATTTTCACTGATAAAGGATGCCTTTGAAATAAAAATCACCCCAACTGAGCATTTATTTCATATCTCAGAAACACCAAAGTCAGCCTGGGCAGCATAGGAAGACCCTGTCTCTACAAAAAAAAATAAAAAGAGTAGCTGGGCATGGTGGCTCGTGCTTATGGTCCTAGCTACCCAGGAACCTGAGGCAGGAGGATCGCTTGAGCCCACAAGTTCAATGCTGTAGTGAGCTATGATCATGCACTGTACTCCAGCCCGGGCAACAGAGCAAGACCACCTCTAAAACAAACAAACAAATAATAATACCAAAGGGATTCCCCTTTGGGTGGGTACAATGAGGTAAGGGATGTGACAATGCTAGTAATCGAAAAATGCAGAGCAGGGGGTGAGACTAAATCAACACAGCACACACAAAAGAACCTGAGTGGCATTTGCTTGTGAACTTGGGCAGCAATCGTCTTGACAAATGAAAAACAAGCCGGCCAGTACTACCCCCAACCGTCAAACTGAAATCTTTGAGTGTCAGGTGACCAAAGCTGCCTAACATGCCCAACCTATCTAGTCATTCGAGTCGCAGCTATGCCAACGGCTGCCCAAATGATAAGATCTGGCTTGGGCCTGGGTTCTTAACTGACAGTGACAATCGCCAAGATGGTAGGGGGCACTTTCCAGAGGATAAGGAAGGGTGCACTATACAAAACACTAGACTTGAAATCAAGTCAGCATTCTATGCCGGGCTCTATGGATACAAAGATAAACCAGATGCCAAGCCTATTCAGTCTCACAGGAAAAACCTATCAGTAAACAGCCAGAGTGGCCACAGATGCTGTAAACTTAGACATACACTGCAAGAGCTCAAGTGAACCCACCATCAGCTTGGCCTGGGAGGTGCAGGAGGGACTCCAGTAGGGGCACTCTGGCTCTGTTTTGGAGGGCAAGCAAGACAGGTGGAGAAGGCAGGTGCTAATTCCAGTCAATGGGAACAACATGTACAGGGACATGGAGTCATGACACTGAATGGCATATGTCTGGAATGGCAAGCTGTTTAGCAAGGCAGAAGAGCATGTGGGAGGACCGTGAGGGCGAGGCGAGGGCGACTTTATTCTGTGTAGGGTGAGATGCTGTCAAGTTTTCAAAAAAAATATAAGTGTCGGACAAGCGCAGTGCCTCATGCCTGTAATCCCAGCACTTTGAGAGGCCGAGGTGGGCGGATCATCTGGGGTCAGGAATTCAAGACCAGCCTGGGCAACATGGCCAAACCCTGTCTCTACTAAAAAATACCAAAAAAATGGCCAGGTGTGGTGGTGGACGCCTGTAGTCCCAGCTACTCGGGAGGCTGAGGCAGGAGAATCACTTGAACCTGGGAGGCGGACGTTGCAGTGAGCCAAGATCACGCCACTGCTCTCCAGCCTGGGCAAGAGTGCAAGACTCCGTTTCAAAAAAAAAAAAAAAAATCTAAGTGTCAAAAGCAGCCTGGCAGGAGCGTGGTATATGGCTGCAGCAACAAAGGCCAGGAACATGCTTCCTGGGCACCCTGGCTGCCATGCCCAGCAGCACCAGGTATGCAGAAGGCACTCAATAAATACTCACTAGATGGTCTGGGGTTAAGATGGCAGTGGGGATGAAGAGAAAGGAGTGCATTCAGAAGAAGCTTGTGAGTGCTGATCAGGCGGGGAAGAGGAAACTGAAGAAGGGAAAGGACTTAACGCTGAGACCACAGGATGAGGCAGCAGGAGCACACCGTGCTTCATTCATATGATCTTTTTTTTTTTTTTTTTTTTGAGACAGAGTCTCGCTCCGTCGCCCAGGCTGGAGTGCAGTGGTGGGATCTCGGCTCACTGCAAGTTCCGCCTCCCGGGTTCACGCCATTCTCCTGCCTCAGCCTCCTGAGTAGCTGGGACTACAGGCGCCCACCACCACGCCCGGCTAATTTTTTGTATTTTTAGTAGAGACAGGGTTTCACCATGTTAGCCAGGATGGTCTCGATCTCCTGACCTCGTGATTCGCCCACCTTGGCCTCCCAAAGTTCTGGGATTACAGGCGTGAGCCACCGCGCCCGGCAATATGATCACTGTTATTTACAGACTGTGCACTACACCTGTCAGCCACTGACGATGCACAGATGAACCTGGCCCTGACTTCACGGGAGCTCAGTTTGCTGGTGAGGGCAGACAGACAAACACGATCACAACTCAAACAGACAAGCTCTTCAATGATGACACAAGGAAGTAGGTAGCTGTTGTGGCATGGGTAAGGGCAGCCTGGGGGCCTGCTCTAACGAAGTACCTGTTGAGTGGAAGACTGGAAAGAAGAGGAGCAGATGGTCAGGTAGATACCCATGGAAGGGAGATTCTAAGCAGAACCAGTGAAGGCCAAAGACACAAGTGTGCAAACAGCACCAGCATTTGGAAGCACAGACCCGGGGGAGAGAAGAGGTTGACAGACCCATGCCAAGAAGACTCCTGCCTTAAAGCAGCAGCTCCCTGACTCCCCTCCCCACCACCACACTCCATCCAGCCCCAGTACCCCGTCTTCCACACTGCTGCTCCAGAGACCTGTTCCCACACCTTTCATTTCCAGAAACTTCAAACCCAGAGGAGTTTAAACATGACAAGACTTTTCTGCCCTGCATCTAGATTTTAAAAATGAACATTTTACCATTAAAAGTTTTTCTCTATATATATTTGCTTTTTAATTTCTTTTTTTCTTTTTTTTTTCAGACAGGGCCTTGTTCTCTCATGTCAGCTGGAGGGCAGTGGCGCGATCTCGGCTCACTTCAGCCTCCACCTCCTGCGCTCGAGCAATTACCTTGCTTCAGCCACCTGTATAGCTGGGACTACAGCCCTGCACCACCACACCCTGCTAAATGTTGTAGTTACCCTGCTAAATGTTGTAGTTTTAGTAGAGACAGGGTTTCATCATGTTGTCCACGCTGGTCTTGAGCTTCTGGCCTCATGTGATCCGTGAGCCTTGGCCTCCTACAGTGCTAGGATTACAGGTGTGAACCACCACACCCGGCCCTATATTTGCTTTTTAATTTCTACTGAACCATTTGAAAGTAGAGTTTTGGGCTGGGGGCAGTGGCTCACGCCTATAATCCCACCACTTTGGGAGACCAAAGCAGGCCAAGGCGGGCAGATCACGAGGTCAGGAGATCGAGACCATCCTGGCCAAATGGTGAAACCCCATCTCTATTAAAAATACAAAAAAATTAGCTGGTTGTGGTGGCGCACGCCTGTAGTCCCAGCTAATCGGGAGGCTGAGACAGGAGAATCACTTGAACCCGGGAGGCAGAGGTTGCAGCGAGCCGAGATCACCCCACTGCACTCCGGCCTGGGTGACAGAGCGAGACTCTGTCTCAGGAAAAAAAAAAAAAAAAGAAAGTAGAGTTTGGACATAATGATACTTCTCCCGTAAATCCTTCAGCATGTACCTCCAAAACACAATGACAGAACTACAATGCTATCATCACATCTGAGAAAAACAATTATTCCATCATATCTAATATCCACTCCCTATTAAAATATCCCCAGTTCTCCCCAAAATGTCTTTCATTGCTCTTGTGGGTAGGGGAATGGGGGCAGACAGGGAGGAGGGATTAGGAACCAGTCAAGGTTTGTGTCATAGAGATCTTTCTACTAGGAAAATGTCCGCTTAGAATTCTTTAGACGTGTGGCTGGGCACAATGGCTCACACCTATAATCCTAGAACTTTGGGAGGCGGAGGGTGGGAGGACTGCTTGAGGCCAGGAGTTTGAGACTAGCCTGGGGAACATAGCAAGACCCCCCTCTCTACAAAAAAATTAAAAATTAGCAGCCGGGTGTGGTGATTCATCCCTGTAATGCCAGCACTTTGGGAGGCCGTGGTGGGAGGATCACTTGAGGCCAGGAGTTTGAGACCAGCCTGGGCAACATGGAGAAACCCCATCTCTACTAAAAATACAAAAATTATCCAGGCGTGGTGGTGCACGCCTGTAAGTCCCAGCTGTTCAGGTAGCTGAGACAGGAGAACTGCTTGAACCCAGGAGGTGGAGGTTGCAGGGAGCCGAGATCACGCCACTGAACTCCAGCCTGGGCAACAGAGTGACACTCTGTCTCAAATAAATAAATAAATAAATAAATAAATAAATAATAGCTGGGCATGGTGGTGTGGGCCTGTAGTCCCAGCTACTTGGGAGGCTGAGGTGGGAAGATCCCTTAAGTCCGGAAGGTCAAGGCTGCAGTGAGCCGTGGTCATGCCATTAAACTCCAGCCTGGGCAACAGGGCAAGACTATCTCCAAGGAAAAAAAAAAATTCTTTAGTCATCCCCTTCACTAACAGGTTCGAGCCCACACTCTTCGTAGGAATCCAGACGAGTATTGCTGAGGGTTGAGCTAGGGCAGTGAAGATGGAGAGGGTGGATTCAAGACATACTAGAGGCAGAACTGACAGATTTGGTAAATGATAGATGGCGGGAAAAAGAGGGATGGGCTTGGGGAAGACCATCTGGTGTCTGGCCTGGGCCACCACATGGAAAATGTTTCATGACTGGAGAAGAACAACCAAAGAAAAGCAGGCTTCACAGAAGGAAGAGGAGTTAAATCCTGGGTACAGCAGTGTTTTAAGCACCTGTGAGACACTTATGCAATGTCCAGGAAGCGGCTGGGAATTCCAAGCTTGCTGCTGAGCAGCACTAAGTGAAATACGCTGGCTAATGTACAGGCAGGGATGAGGCTCCCGGGAGGACGCCCTTCTCCCTTGCTGAAACTGATTCAGCAAATCCTGTTTTCTTCTGTCATTTTACCTAACACTTTGGCAGCGGATGGCACTCCCTCCCTCCTCCTGGCCACTGCCACATAACAATGAGCTTGCCAGCTCCCCCTCCTACATTCAGCCTATATACGCTGCACATCCCAGGACTTGCTTTGCAGCCCCTTCTCTCTCCACACTCTCGCCTCAAGCAATCTCACACATTCCTATATTTTTTTGTTTGTTTTATTTTGGAGACAGGGTCTGGCTCTGTCACCTAGGCTGGAACGCAGTGGCATGATCTCGGCTCACTGCAACCTCCACCTCCCAGGTTCAAGCCATACTCCCACCTCAGCCTACCAAGTAGCTGGGACTACAGGCGTGTGCCACCATGCCGGGCTAATTTTTGTATTTTTTGTAGAGATGTGTTTTGTCATGTTGCCTGGGATGGTCTCGAACTCCTGAGCTCAAGCGATCAGCCCAGCTCGGCCTCCCAAAGTGCTGGGATTACAGCCTGAGCCACTGCACCCGGCTTCCTATGGTTTAAAAAAAGTTTCATTATACAAATTTTTATTTATGTACTTATTTATTATTAGGGACAGAGTTCCACTATGTTGCCCAGGCTGGTCTCAAACTCCTGGGCTCAAGCAATCCTCCTGCCGCAACCTTCCAAAGTGCAGGGATTACAAGTGTGAGTCACTGCGTCCAGGCTTTATTATGAAAAACGTAAATCAAATACGAAACAGTATAATGAAATCCATGTGTCTATTAACATTTAGCATTCCTATATACTGACAACTCCTAAATGTTACCTGTAGCCCAGACACCTCCTTTGAGGAGTCATACTGCCAACTGTCTGTTTGCGTTTCCACTTGAATAGCACACAGCCTTCACAAACTTTACCAGGTCCTAAACTGCTCTGAATTCTTCTTCCCCAGCCCTCCTGAATTACTGGTAAGCTCCGGATGGCCTTGGACGCCTTATTCACTGATGTCTCTCAACAGTCAACAGTGCCTGGCACGTGGTAGGCACTCACATTTTGGCAGAACAGCTCTCTGCAAACTCTCAACTCTCAGTGCCAGGGTCCACTCAGCTGGCCACTACCCTTAATTCTGCCCCCTCTCCCAAGTCAGACTCATCTTTTTAAAAAGATCAGGCCGCGCCTGGTGATTCACGACTGTAATCCCTGCACTTTGGGAGGCCGCGGCAGGTGGATCACCTGAGGTCAGGAGTTCGAGATCAGCCTGACCAACATGGTGAAACCCCGTCTCTACTAAAAATACAAAAATTAGCCGGGTGTGGTGGTGCATGCCTGTAATCCCAGCTACTTGGGAGGATGAGGCAGGAGAATTACTTGAACCCGGGAGGCGGAGGTTGCAGTGAGACAAGATCGTGCCGTTGCACTTCAGCCGGGGCAACGAGAGCAAAACTCCGTCTCAAAAATATAAATAAATAAACAACAACAATAATAATAATAATAAACCATGTTACTGAAACCTCCCTGGCCCATGGCGAGTTTAACACACAGTTCCTTAGGTAATTTAAACTACCCAAAGCAATGAATACGAGAAAGCAACTCTGGGTAAGTCAGGATAGGCTTTGCTGTTTGAATGTGGAAAACAGCACATGCAAATATCAAGGTGATGAATTTGGACAACCAAACGTCCAATCCACTGAAGTTAGAAAAAAAAAAAAGTTTAAACAAGAGCCCCACGCCTGAACTTAGTGCTGATAACTCTAAGTACTTTTAGATCCACGGCCGGCTTTAAATTTCAACTCCAAGACGTTAAGTGATTTGACCTCCTCCAAGCTCTAACTTCCCCTACGCTCCGCGGAGAGCTGGCCCGGGACAATGCTTTACTCTTTTATTCCCTACTCCCGGCACCTCAGAGACCAGGGTCACCAACGTCCTCGGCAGACGCAGCCACTCAGGCTTGGAACAGCCTCCGGCGAGGACCCAGCAGACGGCGTCCGGGGCCTGCGGCCTCAGGCGCGCGCTGTCCCTGTCCCTGGCCACGGGTCGCGCCGGTCAGGGCCCTGCAGGCCGGGCCAGCGCCGCGGGGAGGATGTGGCCTCCGGGCCAAGCCTCGGGGGCCTTCCCGGGCGAGGGTGGAGCCGCAGAGCGGCCCGTCCCCTCCGTGACCTTGAGCCCGAGGACGCCCCGACCCCGCCCCAGCTCCGGCCCCACCCCAGCTCCGGCCCCACTGCCCCGAGGCCGGGCAGCCACCCGCGCTGGGGACAGGGCCGGGGCGGAGACCGGCGCCGGGAAACCCGCGCCCTCCGCCTCGCGGCGGCCCCTCCCCGGCACCTCCCGGGAAGGGCGGCGCTGCTCACCGGAGCCTGGGCAGGAGGCTGCAGGGGGCCGCCCGCTGCAGGAGGCCGCCGGCCCAGGCCGCTCCGCGGGCGCGCAGCACTCGCGCCGCCATCTTGCTCGGCGCCTCGGCTCCCACCGCCCGGGCGCCGCCGCTGACGCCGCCGCCGCGCGACCCCTCCCCCGGCCGGGCCCCAACGCGGCCACTGCAGTGCGGGGCGCGGCCGCCAGGGGGAGCAGGGCGCGCGGCCGCGGGGGTCGGCGGGGCGTCCAGGCGCCAAGGCCCGGCCGCTGCGGGAAAGCGCGAAGCCCAAGCGCAGTCAGTGCAAGCCGATCACTTCAGCGGGAGGAGCTCGGTGCCCAGAAGCGCGGGTGCAGAAGGGACAAGGGCATAACTTCAATGATCAGGGAAAACTCCAAAAGGAAAGAGTAACACTGTGCCTAGGGGAATCCAGGGCCTGGGGCGGGGCAGTGGCAGTGGGTTTACCCCCACCCCACCCCGCCAATGTCTTTTAAATTTTGTAGTATATGAATATATTGTCATTTCAAAAAGCCCCACAACGCTTTAACAAGTGCATTCTGGGGCCGGACGCAATAGCTCACGCCTGTCATCCCAGCACTTTGGGAGGCTGAGGCCGGAGATCTCTTGAGGCCAGGAGTTCGAGACCAACCTGGGCAACATAGCGAGCCCTCACTGTGCAAAAACATTTTTAAATTAGCCGGGCATGGAGGAGCACGTCTGTGATGCCAGCTACACTGGAGACTGAGGCAGAAGGATCGCTTGAGTTCAGGAGGTGGAGGCTGTAGTGAACTATGATCGTGCCACTGCACTCCAGCCTGGGCAAACACACGACGTCCTGTAGCGAAAGAAAGAAAGAGAGAAAGAGAGAGAAAGAAAGGGAGGGAAAGGAAGGAAGGAAGGAGAAAGAAAGGAGGAAGGAAGGGAGGCAGGAGAAAGAAAGGAGGGAAGGAAGGAGAAAGAAAGGAAGGGAGGGAGGCAGGAGAAAGAAAGAAAGAGAGAAAGGAAAAGAAAAGAAAGCAAGTGAGGAAAAAATTAAAAAACACCATACACACACAAAAAAAATTAAGGAGAAAGGACTGGGAAGGTTCTCTTGAGGTCTTGGGACTGCATCGTTCCCATTCATTTCAGCACCGGTGGGCACTGGCCATGGGGAGTCCTTGGTACCTTACCCTCAAGGCCGTCTGGGTCTAGTGGGGACAGAATGTACAATGATGATTGGACCGAGTGTGTTAAGTGTCAAAATGGACAGGTTCATGAGACACGAAAGAGGCACGGAAAGAGAGCATGTAACCGGGGGTGGCTGTGAATTAGAGGATAGATGGGGAGAAAGTTCTCCAAGGAGCTGGCAGGACATATCAGTCCCAGGGGAAGAAGGGAGGGCATCCCTGTCTTGAGGAAATAACTTAAGCAAAGGCGTGGATCTGGGTGGCTGGCGCTATAGAGGGAAAAATGTGTCCTCCAGGAAGATTTTTTAAAAAGCCACAAATGAGCCAGGCACGGTGGCTCACGTCTGTAATCCCAGCACTTCGGGTGGCCGAGGCGGGCGGATCACCTGAGGTCAGGAGTCCGAGACCAGCCTGGCCAATATGGTGAAATCCCATCTCTACAAAAATACAAAAATTAGGCAGGCATGTTGTCGGGTGCCTGTAATCCCAGCTACTCGAGAGGCTGAAGTGGGAGAATTGCTTGAACCTGGGAGGTGGAGGGTGCAGTGAGCCGAGATTGTGCCTCTGCACTCCAGCCTGGGCAACAGAGTGAGACTCCATCTCAAAAAAAAAAAGAAAAGAAAAAGAAAAAAGCCACAAATATAACCATGAAAACTGCAACCAAGGTGAGGGCAGGAGGAAGGAAGCTGGACCCTGGGGGTGGGGGAGAACCTGGGAGAAGTAGGGGCTCTGGCCACCAAAGGGAGCATTTCCAGGCCAGTGCGGGGCTGCAGAGGCAGAGAGGAAAGTGCCCTCAGGACTGGGTTGCTTGGAGGTCATAAGGTGGACAAAAACTGGGAGGTTCCCTGAAGCTGGTAATCTTGGGGGCCAAGGGAGCATCAGGGCTCAAGGGGTGCAGTTTTCTGACTGGGGTAGAATTTGAACACGTTAATATGGCAAGGAGCCACCAGGGAGGACAGAGGTGGACCCTGTGGATGGAGGAGGGCTTTGCCCCAGAGCAGGGAAAGGCACCTGTCCCTTGGAGGCCAGTGGGATGGAGGCCAAGGGACACAAGGATAGGAGGCCAGAGGCTGTGTGGCTGAGGACCTCCTGGCCTCAACTAGTGTATGCTTAGTAAAGCTGTGGAGAACCCTGTAAGAAGTACTTTTTAAGTGGTCCATTTTCAGAAAACAGACAAGTCTGGGCAGTTCCCTTGTGGATGTGACAAGATGCACGGGTACAGACATCTGGGAAGAGTGATAAAACTCACAGAAGTCAGAGGGGAGGGAGAAAAGTGGCAGGGGTGTCTAATCCATAAAAGGAAAGAAAGCTTAGCCATTGGGAAATCGAAACTTCAAGTAGGGAAGAGGACAAGATGTAACCTAATAAGGGGATAATGGAACTTAGGTGATGTCCAGGAAGACTGCAACCCCATATTACTCAGCCTGTGAGGAACTGGGGAGGGACCTGTGCTCTAGGGGATAAATTGTTGAAACTGCACTGGGTGTGCCTGCCCATCACACATCCGATCTTGCAAAACCATTATTAAAAAGTCTTACTTTTGTCCGGGTGCGGTGGCTCATGCCTATAATCCCAGCATTTTGGGGGGCTGAGGCTGGTGGATCACCTGAGGTCAGGAGTTCAAGACCAGCCTGGCCAACATGGTGAAACCCCATCTCTACTAAAAATACAAAAATTAGCCGGGTGTGGTGGCGCATGCCTGTAATCCTAGCTACTCGGGAGGCTGAGGCAGGAAAATCACTTGAACCTGGGAGATGGAGATTCACCTGGGAGGTGATCTCAGCTCAGCAATGAGCTGAGATCGCACTGCTGCACTCCAGCCTCAGTGACAGATCAAGACAGACTCTCAAAAAAAAAAAAAAGTCTCACTTTCACTGTTCTTCATGCCTCTAAGTCCATTCTTTGGGTTTGAATGGGTGAGTGTGTTTCTCACACTCCAAAGAGAGGCAGAAGTGAGCTCTCTCCAGGGTATCAAGGACTTGGCCCAGCCCTACAGAGCAGGAGGCCAGGCCTCTTTAAGGGTGGATGAGCTCCTGTGACTGTCACAAATGCCCCCAATTTCTCAGCTCTGTTTCATGAGACACCTGCTTTTAAATTTATTCTGAAATATAAACTGTAGCTAGACACTTCTTTGCTGACCTTGCTTTTGTGTTTAGTATTAGCCTGCTTAGCCTGCATTGCTTTTCTCCACTATCATTTTGTTGTGGAGTTCCATTCACTCAGGACTTTTTACTGGGGAAAAAGAGGGTACTCTGATTTCACAGCTGTGTGGCTTCAGATATTTGAAGCCATAGAATAAACATAGCAAGTCTTCCTGGAGCATAAGTTTTATACAAAGACTCTCAGGAAAAAGTATGTGTTAAAATATAAACAAGTATCATTTATATGTTAACATTTCAGTGGTACTTAGGTATAATTTATATTTTAATACTTCGATGGTACTTAAGTATCATTTCTATTTTAATACTTGAATGATACTTAGGTATCACTTATATTTTAATGCTTCAATGGTACTTAGGTATCATTCATATTTTAATACTTCAATGGTACTTATACATCATTTATATTTTATTTTATTTTTTATTTTTTTGAGATGGAGTCTCACTCTTGTCACCCAGACTGGAGTGCAGTGGCACGATCTTGGCTGACTGCAACCTCCGCCTCCCAGGTTCAAGCGATTCTCCTTGAGAATCTGCCTCAGTCTCCTGAGTAGCTGGGATTACATGTGTGCACCACCACGCCCCGGCTAACTTTTGTATTTTTAGTAGAAATGGGGTTTCACCGTGTTGGTCAGGCTGGTCTCCAACTCCTGATCTCATGATCCGCCTGCCTCAGCCTCCCAAAGTGCTGGGATTACAGGCGTGAGCCACCACGCCTGGCCATCATCATTTATATTTTAATCCTTTGATGGTACTTAGGTACTATTTATATTTTCACATGCTTTTAATTTTATATTTATACTTTAATACTTCATTGGTACTTAAGCATCATTTATATTTTAACATATTTATAAATGATGCTTATTTATAAATGTTTAAATATTTAAACCTTTAAAATATTTTAGAGACGGCTTGGACTCCATCCCAGAGCTGGTGACACATGTGTCACCATATGCTAGGAGCACCACTTGGAGACGTCTGATGCTTTATTTTTAATTTTTTTTTTAATTTTAAGTTCTGGGATACATGTGTAGAACATGCAGGTTTGTTACATAGGTATACATGTGCCATGGTGGTTTGCTGCACCTATCAACCCATCATCTATGTTTTAAGCCCCATATGCATTAGGTATTTGTCCTAATGGTCTCCCTTCCCTTGCCCCAACAGGCCCCGGTGTGTGATGTTCCTCGCCCTGTGTCGATGTGTTCTCATTGTTCAACTCCCACTTGAGTGAGAACATGCAGTGTTTGGTTTTCTGTTCCTGTGTTAGTTTGCTGAGAATGATGGTTTCCAGCTTCATCCATGTCCCTGTAAAGGACATGAACTCATTCTTTTTAATGGCTGCATAGTATTCCATGGTGTATATGTGTCACATTTTCTTTATCCAGTCTATCATTGATGGGCATTTGGGTTGGTTCCAGGTCTTTGCTATTGTAAGTAGCGCTGCAATAAACATATGTGTGCATGTGTATTTATAGTAGAATGATTTATAATCCTTTGAGTACATACCCAGTAATGGGATTGCTGGATCAAATGGTATTTCTGGTTCTAGATTCTTGAGGAATCGCCACACTGTCTTCCACAATGGTTGAACTAAGGTGATCTTTTTTTTTAAGCTGCTTATTAGTGATATGTACTCTCAAAGCAAAAACAGCCAAGCATGTTATTTTCACAGATATCAGACTACACAAGTGTGTTTTCAAAATCTCTGGTTACTCCTTGGGTTTCTAACCCTTCCCCTCAACTGTGTAGATGGTATTCTGGTGTTTTCTTGAACTTTCTATCACAGAGAAAAAGCCAGGGTCAGTCTGATTTTCATTCAGTTCTAAGTACTTTTCTCAGATCCTGGAATGGTTTGAAGTTTTCCAGCATTTCAATACATATTTTGCCAGGATATGTCTATGTGAGGATCTCTTTTTATAGAACATGATTTTTCTAAAGGTCAAGAAAAAATGTTTTCTATTTCTTTTTTTCATTAGTTTGTTGTTTTTGTTCTACTCTATTCTGAAAAATGTATTATATTTATATTGGAGTTTTAAAATTCAGTCTCACAGAACTATCATTCTCGTTACTTTCATTTCTTTATCCTTTTCCTCTACATTCTTAGAGAACTTCTGAAGCGTATTCTTACTATCACTGATTTGACTTTTCTTTTCTTTTTTTTTTTGAGACAGAGTCTCGCTCTGTTGCCCCGGCTGGAGTGCAGCGGGGTGATCTTGGCTCACTGCAACCTCCGCTTCCCAGGTTCAAGCGATTCTCCTGCCTTAGTCTCCTGAGTAGCTGGGATTACAGGCGCGCGCCCTCATACCCGGCTAATTTTTGTATTTTTAGTAGAGACGGGGTTTCACCATTTTGGCCAGGCTGGTCTCGAACTCCTGACCTCGTGATCTGCCCACCTCGGCCTCCCAGAGTGCTGGGATTACAGGCGTGAGCCACCGCACCCGGCTGATTTGACTTTTCTACGATATCAGTCTTGCCTCACTTCCATGTGGATATTTAAATGCTTTTTGATTTCTTGCAAATCTTATGGCACATATGATGGTTCCCTCCCTGTGTCCACGTGTGTGATGTTCCCCTCCCTGTGTCCATGTGTTCTCATTGTTCAACTCCCACTTATGAGAATATGTGGTGTTTGGTTTTCTGTTCCTGTGTTAGTTTGCTGAGAATTATGGCCAGCTTCATCCATGTCCCTGCAAAGGTCATGAACTCATTCTTTTTTTTTTTTTTTTTTTTTGAGACGGAGTCTCACTCTGTCGCCCAGGCTGGAGTGCAGTTGCACAATCTCCACTCACTTCAAGCTCCGCCTCCCAGGTTCACGCCATTCTCCTGCCTCAGCCTCCTGAGTAGCTGGGACTACAGGCGCCCGCCACCACACCAGGCTAATTTTTTTTTTTTTTTTTGTATTTTTAGTAGAGACAGGGTTTCACCGTGTTAGCCAGGATGGTCTCCATCTCCTGACCTCATCATCCACCCACCTCGGCCTCCCAAAGTGCTGGGATTACAGGCGTGAGCCACCACGCCTGGCCTTATTTTTTATTTTTTTTGAGACGGAGTTTCACTCTTGTTGCCCAGGCTGGAGTGCAATGCTCACTGCAACCTTCGCCTCCCAGGTTCAAGCGATTCTCCTGCCTCAGCCTCCAGAGTAGCTGGGATTACAGGCACCTGCCATCACGCCCGGCTAATTTTTGTATTTTTAGTAGAGACGGGATTTCACCATGTTGGTCAGGCTGGTCTCTAACTCCTGACCTTATGATCTGCTCGCCTTGGCCTCCCAAAGTGCTGGGACTACAGGCATGAGCCACTGCACCCAGCCGAACTCATTCTTTTTTGTGGGAGATGCCTGATACTTTCATGTACCCTTCCAGGCTAAGCAGTCCCACAGCCCCACCTGCCAGAGACCTGGACAGTCTAAGATGCTTCCGTTTCCTTCACCTACCCTGGCACCAGTTCTGCCTTGGAACCTGTTATTCAGTCCCTCACTGCTGTTACTCAGTCCTTCCCTGCACAACTCAGTTTGGGTCTTAGGACCAGTCTTTGAACTGTGGTCTCCCCACCTCTATCTAACATGTCCGCTTCCAGTCTGTTCTCTACAATCACGCAATCACTTTTATTAAAATGCAAATGCAATTGTGTCACTCTTTAAAACGTTCAGCCACTATCACTTATAGTTACTTTCACCTATTTCTGAGTTCCACCACTGCTGAAAATGTTGCAGCAATCCTCATCTGCTTCCGGAAGCCCTGGTTATACTTTCATTCACTTTGTGGATTTTACATTCCCTTTCCTCTGCCTCAAATGCCCTTTCCACCCCATCATCTACTGTCCTGGAGACTCTTGCTTCAATGCTTACTTCTAGCACCATCTCATCTCTCCTGAGAAGTGACCTTCAATTCACCCTCACCCATATCCTGTTTGCCATGGAGGCACCTGTGCATACCTCCCCAACTAGATTGATCCCTGAGGCCGGCAAGGCCTGTGATCATCCTGGAAACCCTGTGCTTACACAATACATGTATCAAGGCTGGGCACGGTGGCTCAACGCTGTAATCCCAGCACTTTGTCAGGCTGAGGCGGATGGGATCACCTGAGGTCAGGAGTTCAAGACCAGGCTGTCCAACATGGTGAAACTCAGTCTCTACTAAAAATACAAAAAATAATAATAAAATTAAAAAAAATTAGCTGGACATGGTGGCAGGCAGCTGTAATCCCAGCTACTTGGGAGCCAGGAGAATTGCTTGAACCCAGGAGGCAGAGGTTGCAGTGAGCTGAGATCACACCATTGTGCTCCAGCCTGGGCAACAGAGCGAGACTCCATCTCAAAACAAACAAACAAACAAATATGTATCAGCTATGATTGAAATATTCCCCTTTTGGCCAGTCGCAGTGGCTCACGCCTGTAATCCCAGCACTTTGGGAGGCTGAGGTGGGCAAATCACCTGAGATCAAGCGTTCGAGACCAGCCTGGCCAACATGGTGAAATCTCGTCTCTACTAAAAATACAAAAAAAAATTAGCTGGGCGTGGTGGTACACTCCTGTAGCCCCAGCTACTCGAGGAGGCTGAGGCAGAATTGCTTGAACCCAGGAGGCGGAGGCTGCAGTGAGCCAAGATTGTGCCACTGCACTCCAACCTGGGCAACAGAGGGAGATTCGATCTCAAAAAAAAAGTCCCCTATTCTCTTTCTAGGGGCCAGAAAACGGAAATATACTGCTCAATGCTTCCTTAAGTCAAAATCTAAATTATCGTGGTATATTAATGAATAGCAACAAAACTCACTCTCCATCCCAAATGCATGTGGGAGAAGTCCTACAACTTAATGTGTCAGATTTTAGGAACTTACACCTATTTAATCTAGCCTAGGATGTAAGAAAAGTGGCACAGAATTGTAAAATTTTATTTTCCACACATCAATATTCTTATTAACACAGCTTGATTGAAAGAATTCTGACCAGTGGCTGGTCATTACATGCAGTGGCTCATGCCTGTAATCCAAGCACTTTGAGAGGCCCAGGCGGGCGGATCACCTGAGGTCCGGAGTTCAAGACTAGCCTGACAAACATGGAGAAACCCCATCCCTACTAAAAATACAAAATTAGCTGGGCGTGGTGGCACATGCCTGTAATCCTAGCTACTCAGGAGGCTGAAGCAGAATCACTTGAACCTGGGAGGCGGAGGTCGTGGTGGGCTGAGATCATGCCATTGCACTCCAGCCTGGGCAACAAGAGTGAAACTCCAGCTCAAAAAAAAAAAAGACTTTCTTCCTTCAAAATAAAGGTTCTAAGATAAATTCAAAATTCCTTTGAATGAAATAAAGGAAACCGGCTGGGCACAGTGGCTCAGGCCTGTAATCCCAGCACTGTTAGGCCAAGATGGGCAGATTGCTCCCAGGAGTCCGAGACCAACCTGGGCAACACAGGGAGACCCTGTCTCTACAAAATTTACAAAAAATCAGCCAAGTGTAGTGGTACGCTCCTGTGTTCCCAGCTACTCAGAAGGCTGGGGTGGAAAGATGCTAGAGCCAGGGAGGTCAAGGCTGCAGTGAGCCAAGATCATACCACTGCACTCCAGCCCCCACAACAAAGCAAAACCCTGTCTCAAAAGACAAAAATAAAACCTTCTAAAACAGTGAGCTTGCTAAGCACAGTGGCTCACGCCTGTAATCCCAGCACTCTGAGAGGCCAAGGCAGGCAGATCACGAGGTCAGGAGATCAAGACCATCCTGGCTAACACGGTGAAACCCCGTCTCTACTAAAAATACCAAAAAAAAAAAAAAAAAAATTAGCTGGGCATGGTGGCAGGCGCCTGTAGTCCCAGCTACTCGGGAGGCTGAGGCAGGAGAACGGCGTGAACCCGGGAGGCGGAGCTTGCAGTGAGCCAAGATTGCACCACTGCACTCCAGCCTGGGTGACAGAGTGAGATTCCATCTCAAAACAAAAAACTGTGAGCTTACAAAATGCAACAGACTGCTAGGCACACTTAATGTAACGTGGAAGTATGTTCACTGAAATGATGAAAATTTGAAACACGACCATAAACCTTTGTGAAAAACCATAGTATGCCCTTTACTTCATTTGCTTTTAGCTATTTCATAAACACCACAGAGAAACTGGACACAGTTTGTGATGAAACTTAGAAAAATTTCTTTTTCCATAACATAAACATGTCAGTTTTTCCCTTTAGATCCTTCTTCCACTCCCGCTTCACTGTGCTGAAGAGATATTGAGTTCTTCCAGATTTTTGCTTAGCTGGGTGGTTTCCGAACTCAACGGACTCTCCAGGTAGGTAGTTCCAGCACAGGGCTTTCCTGTCACTGGATCTATGACTTTTCCAACTTTGAAAACGATCTCAGCCAGTTCATGTTTCACATGCTTTGCTCGTGGAACAGGTAAAGCTCTGAGAAGCACAATATCCCCAACTGTGCACTGCTGAAGGGCATCGTGAGCAAAGTAGGTTTTCCGCTTATTAAAATACTGTTGAGAGAGGGAGAGAAGCAAATCAGTAGTTCCCATCTGTGACCTGGTAATGTAATATGTAATATGAAAAAGTAACGTATGGAAAACAAGCCAGGACTTAGGAAAAGATAAGATACTAAGGAGGCTTCTAGTACAAAAATTAGAGCCTGAGTGATATAGTGAGACAATCCAGTGAGATGGATTCTCGCTCTGTTGCCCAGGCTGGAGTGCAATGGCACGATCTCAGCTCACTGCAACCTCCGCCTCCCAGATTCATGAGATTCTCCTGCCTCAGCCTCCCAAGTAGCTGGAATTACAGGTGCCTGCCACCATGCCCGGCTAATTTTTTGTATGTTTTTTTAGTAGAGATGGGGTTTCACCATGTTGGCCAGGCTGGTCCTGAACTCCTGACGTCAGGTGATCCACCTGCCTCGGCCTCCCAAAGTGCTGGGATTACAGGCATGAGCCACCGCGCCCAGCCTAGAATCACCTATTCTTTATAACAACCCTGTTGCAGCAGGTACATATGAGAAAAGTTCAGGGAGGTTAAGCCATGTGTGTAGCTGGTAAACAAGAGTCAGTATTCAAACTAAGGTCTCCCAAAGGTCAAGGATCATGCAGTCACTCTTCAGCTTGCTCCTGTGTTTCTAATCCTTGATAATGACCAGCATTGGTACCCACCTGTGTGCTGAACTTTGGATGTGAAACCATCCTTGGCACCTATCCGTCCCCTGGGCACAGCAAACAAATCAATGACTCTGTCCTTCCTGAAATATTTTTTCCACTCCATCCCCACTACATCAACTTTAGTTCAGGTCCTTATTTCCATCCTAGACTTTTGCAGCAGCCTCTTTGCCCATTCCCTTACCTCCAGTCTTCATCCCTACCCGTGTTTCCAAGCCTGTCTTTGGGTTCAAGCAGGGATCCCCAACCCCCAGGGCAGCAGACTGATACCATTCAGTGGCCTGTTAGGAACAGGGCCGCACAGCAGGAGGTGAGTGGCGTTGAGCCAGCATGAGTATTACCGCCTGCGCTCCACCTCCTGTCAGATCAGCAGCGGCATTAGATTCCTATAGGAGCACAAACCCTATTGTGAATTGTGCATGGTAGGCAGAGTTTTGCTCTTGTCCAGGATGGAGTGCAATGGTACAATTGTGGCTCATTGCAACCTCCGCCTCCCGGCTTCAAGAGATTCTCCTGCCTCAGCCTCCAGAGTAGCTAGGATTACAGGTGCGCACCACTATGCCCAGCTAATTTTTGTATTTTTAGTAGAGACGGGGTTTCACCACGTTGGCCAGACTGGTCTCGAACTCCTGATCTCAGGTGATCCAACCGCATCGGCCTCCCAAAGTGCTGGGATTACAGGTGTGAGCCACCTCATCCGGCCAGTACTTTGCATACAGAATGACTACAGCAGTTAGAGTGGATTGACATTAACTGTTTTCTTGGAATGTGTAAACCGTGTTATACCTACAGACCAGCAAAATGCCTGGCTCAAAGCAGATGAGAGACAAGACATCTTTACTGAGAGATAAATGTTTTTTTGCTTAGGACCCAGGACATGGTGGTGATTTACCAAAGCCACCCGGAAACAAGAATGTTTCTCACCTTTAATAAATAGGGATCCAGAACAAGCCTGGTCACTCTCACTTTAGCAGTCTTTTGCATTTTTGTCCCAATCACCTTCCCCACAATCCATCTGGCATGGACGGATGAGCGAACTACGGACATTACGTGGCTTTGGTCACCTGAAAAGCAAATTCCAAAGTCTCATATTCTGGTGGTTATGATGCCACATGAATTTTGTCACAAGAACTGTCCAGGTTAGTCCAGAAACAGTTTTTTTCTTTTTCGTTCCCCCCTCCACCCAGAAACAGTTTTGTTTTGTTTTTTTTTAGATGTAGTCTCTCTCTGTCGCCCAGGCTGGAGTGCGGTGGTGCGATCTTGGCTCACTGCAAACGCCGCCTCCTGGGTTCACGCCATTCTCCTGCCTCAGCCTCCCGAGCAGCTGGGACTACAGGCGCCCGCCACAACGCCCGGCTAATTTTTTTGTATTTTTAGTAGAGATGGAGTTTCACCGTGTTAGCCAGGATGGTCTTGATCTCCTGACCTCGTGATCCGCCCGCCTCGGCCTCCCAGAGTGCTAGGATTACAGGCGTGAGCCACCGCGCCCGGCCATATGTATTTTTCTTTAGATGAAGTTTAGTTCTTTCGCCCAGTCTGGAGTGAAGTGGCGCGATCTCGGCTCACTGCAACCTCCGCCTCCCGGGTTCAAGCGATTCTTCTCCCTCAGCCTCCCGAGTAGCCGGGACTACAGGCCCGCACCACCACGCCGAGCTAATTTTTGTATTTTTAGTAAAGACAGAGTTTCACCATGTTGGCCAGACTGGTCTCGAACTCCTGACCTCAGGTGATCCGCCCGCCTCAAGCCTCCCAAAGTGCTGGGATTAAGAGGCGTGAGCCACCGCGCCCGGCTTGAATCACCATTTCAGAGATGCTTACACGTTCCCCACTACCCAACCTCTCATCTTTACAGCGCTTACAAAGCGGTAACTTTAACTTCGCCAAGCCTCACGTTCCCCTTCTGCAAAATGGGCAGGCCTATTTCGCAGGAGTGCTTTGAGAATTTGACCCACAGAACGCTCAATACCACGGACAAACGCTGGACGTTACTGGTCCCTTATCTCTCTCCACCCCGCTGGGTCGCCTCTCCCCACAGGCTCAGTGCCCAGGTAGCACTCGGCGGGGCCGCCGCGGTGTCCCCCTCCCCGGCCCAGCGACGGATGACTTGGGCTGCTTTTGAGATCAGTTCACAAGCCATTCCACCAGGCTTCGGAAAGGTTGGGGTGATTCGTGCCCTCGCCCCAGACAACCCCGAGGTCAGACGAAGCGATTCGCTCTCAGGGCTCTCACGCGAGGGTGCCTTGGGTCCCCAGCAAATCCTCCCCCGGCAGCAATACCCCGGAGCCTGCCCTCACCTCCACCACGAGACTCACCTCCGCCAAGACTATGCAGCCACCTGCCCCGGGGAGCGCCGGTCGCAGCGGGATGGCGTCACGCCGTACGCATTGGCTCAGTCCCACACTACCCCTCTCGTAGGCCGTGCATCTCCTTAGCCGTGGGCGGAGTTAAAGGCAGGACCCCGCCCACTCTCCCTTAAAGGGACCCGCGGCGGTGGCGGGGTCGGGGGCGCTGACCTCTGGTTTCCTAACGCGCGCAGCTAGTGGACAGTGGCGCAGGAGGTTTCGGACTTTTCTTTCATTCTTTTGTTTTGTTTCTTTTTTTTTTTTTTTTTTTTGAGACGGAGTCTCGCTCTGTCGCCCAGGCTGGTGTGCAGTGGCGCGATCTCTGCTCACTGCAACCTCTGCCTCCCGGGTTCAAGCGATTCTTCTGCCTCAACCTCCCAAGTAGCTGGGATTACAGGCGTGCACCACCATGCCCAGCTAATTTTTGTATTTTTAGTAGAGACAGGGTTTCACATGTTGGCCAGGCTGGTCTCGAACTCCTGGCCTTAAGTGATCCAACCACTTTGGCCTTTCAAAGTGTTGGAATTACAGGCGTGAGCCACCGTGCCTGGCCTAAAAGTGTTTTTTTTTTTTTTTTTTTTGAGACAGGGTCTCACTCTTGTTGCCCAGGCTGGAGTGCAGTGGCATGATCTTGACTCACTGCAACCTCTGCCTCCTGGGTTTAAGGGATTCTCCTGCCTCAGCCTCCTGAGTAGCTGGGACTACAGGCATCTGGCACCACGTCCAGCTAATTTTTTTTATTTTTAGTAGAGACGGGATTTCACCATGTTGGCCAGGCTGTTCTTGAACTCTTGGCCTCAAGTGATCCACCTATTTCGGACTCCCAAAGTTCTGGGATTACAGGCATGAGCCACTGTGCCTGGCTGGTCCAGATTTACCTATACTTTCCCTGACCAGTTATTGTATCAGAAGTTTTTCAAACGAAAAATATCAGTGGGGAGTGGTACTTAGCAACAAAGCTCTGAGTGCTAGGTGAGCAACTTGCTACTGGGATTTTCCTGCCTGTAGGCTATTTCAGCAGATGTAGCTATCGATACATTGAAACATACACACACGCACACACACACCTACCTTTAAACAGCAGTGGGTTTCTTTCTTTTTTGGGACGGAGGCTGTCTCTGTCGCCCAGGCTGGAGTGCACTGGCGCGATCTCGGCTCACTGCAAGCTCCGCCTCCCGGGTTCACGCCATTCTCCTGCCTCAGCCTTCCGAGTAGCTGGGACTACAGGCGCCTGCCACCAGGCCGGCTAATTTTTTGTATTTTTTTTAGTGGAGACGGGGTTTCACCGTGTAAGCCAGGATGGTCTCGATCTCCTGACCTCGTGATCCGCCCGTCTCGGCTTCCCAAAGTGCTGGGATTACAGGCATGAGCCACCAGTGGGTTTCTTCTTTTGCTTCACCAGTTCCGTATTTTTATCTCCTTTCTTCCACAGTTAGAACTCTGGTCCCTACCCCGACAACATCAATGATTAATGCTAAATCCTATAGTATACACTATATGCTTTTGGAGTTGTACTAACAATATCCCGACTAAAAACAAACTTTCTAAGTGATGCGTGAGATTATTTTTTGTGGTTCTTTTTGTCCTTAGAGTGTACAATGACAGCACTGTGTTCAACATTTCTTGGGATTCTTTTTTTTTCTTCTGTGTGGTTGTAACAATATTCTATACAATTAGATTTTTTTTTTTTTTTCAGACGGAGTCTCGCTCACAATCTCGGCTCACTGCAAGCTCTGCCTCCTGGGTTTACGCCATTCTCCTGCCTCAGCATCCCGGGTGGCTGGGACTACAGGCACCCGCCACCACGCCCGGCTAATTTTTCTTGTATTTTTAGTAGAGATGGAGTTTCACCGCGTTAGCCAGGATGGTCTCCATCTTGTGACCTAATGATCCGCCCGCCTCGGCCTCCCAAAGTGTTGGGATTACAGGCGTGAGCCACCGTGCCTGGCCTTCATTTTTATATGTTTGTATACAATTTTGTATTCGAGGATAGGAAAAACCATATCCTTTTAATCTTATTTTTTGAATGTGTAAATCATTAAAATGGTTCAAAAATTAAAACTTTAAGGCTGGGCGCAGTGGCTCACGCCTATAATCCCAGCCCTTTGGGAGGCCGAGGCATGCGGATCACCTGAGGCCAGGAGTTCGAGATCAGCCTGTGGCAACATGGTGAAACTCCATCCCTACTAAAAATACAAAAATTAGCTGGGCATAGTGACACACGCCTGTAATCCCACCTACTCAGGAGGCTAAGGCAGGAGAATCGCTTGAACCTGGAAGGTGGAGGTTGCAGTGAGCGGAGATGGTGCCAGTGCACTCCAGCCTGGGTGAGGGAGTGAGACTCTGTCTCAAAAAAAAAAAAAAAAAAAAAAAAAAAAAGGGACGGGAAGGGAGGGGGGAAGGGAAGGGGAGGGGAGGGGAGGGGAGAAGGAAGGACTAAAACTTTAAAAAGATACAAGCAGAGAAATTTCATTCCATTCCCAATCTTTTTGATCTTGTTCTTGTTTCCCATAGGTAACTAATTTATTAGTTTCTGGTTTGGCCTGCTTATATTTCTTTTTGCAAAGATTGTATATATTCTCTTACAAAAGTAACATTCTATGTAGACTGCTTTGTATTTGCCCTTTTCACTTAACATATCCTGGAAGAATCGCTCCAAATCAGCTTCTGGAGTGTACTGAACATGCTGATCTTTCTTTTCAGTTGCACAGAACTTTACTATGTGAATGTACAATAGTCTTTTTTTTTTTTTTTTGAGACAGAGTCTCACTCTGTCACTGAGGCTGGAGTGCAGTGGGGTGATCTTCGCTCACTGCAACCTCTGCATCCTGGGTTCAGGTGATTCTCCTCCCTCAGCCTCCCGAGTAGCTGGGATCACAGGCACTCGTCACCATACCCGGCTAATTTTTGTATTGTTAGTAGAGACAGGGTTTCATCTTGTTGGCCAGGCTGCTCTTGAACTCCCGACCTCAAATGATCCACCTGCCCTGACCTCCCAAAGTGCTGGGATTACAGGCGTGAGCCACTGCACCCAGCCTTATTCATTATTGACCTAAAAATATATATTTTTTTCTTACTAGGTACGAGCATATGTACACACACACATATATATGTATGTGTATATAGATTTGTTCCTGTTTAATCAAGAAATAATAAACATTGGGGTGCTAGGCAAGCCAAGTAATCTTGGAAAAAGTTACTTCAACAAAGTAGAAAGATGGTCTAACAGTTAAAATAGTTACTTCAACAAAGTAGAAAGACGGTCTAACAGTTAATTGGCTCTAATGATTACATACAATAATAACCAAGGAGAAGCAGGATTCAACAGTGTGTTTCAAAATGATTAAGCAGCCAAATGTTCTACAATGAAAAGCTGACTACAAAAACTGCACTCTTCACGAAGAAGGAGCTGGATGGCCTTTTGATTATACAAATAAGGAATATAAAGGCTTTGGAATAATGCTAGCTAAAAAGATCATTATGTCCTGTCAAAAAAATGACCAGACAATGGCTAGATACTTTTGGGAAAGTTCAAGTCTCAAAAATTTAAAGTTTATACAAAAGGTCTTAAAATGTCCCACAACACTACAAGTGATATTTTGTTATAAAAGACCAAATAAGAGTTATTTCATTGATGCAAGGTCTTATGGATGACGTGACCAAGGATGAGGCATTGCTAATGCATATGCTACAATTTAGTTTGAGACAGTATTATTATTTTGGGTCTGGTAAGATTGGCAGGCGGATCACAAGGTCGGGAGTTGGAGACCAGCCTGGCCAATATGGTGAAACCTCATCTCTCTTAAAAATACAAAAAAAAAAAAAAAATAGCCGGGCGTGGTGGTGCATGCCTGTAATCCCAGCTACTAGGGAGACTGAAGCAGAAGAATTGCTTGAACCCAGGAGACGGAGATTGCAGTGAGCTGAGATCATGCCACTGCACTCCAGCCTGGACAACAGAGCAAGACTCTGTCTCAAAAAAAAAAAAAAAAAAAAAAGGTCGGGTGCAGTGTGGCTCAGGCCTGAAATCCCAGCACTTTGGGAGGCCAAGGCAGGTGGATCACCTGAGGTCGGAGTTCGAGACCAGCCTGGCCAATATGGCGAAACCCCGTCTCTACTAAAAATACACAAAAGTAGCTGGGCGTGGTAGTGGGCACCTGTAATCCCAGCTCCTTGGGAGGCTGAGGCAAGAGAATTGCTTGAACCTGGGAGGTAGAGGTTGCAGTGAGCTGAGATTGTGCCATTGCACTCCAGCCTGGGTGACAGAGTGAGACTCTGTCAAAAAAAAAAAACATAAACCTAGAAACATATGGAAAATTGGAACCCTGTTCCAATTGGAAAAGTGTTCAAATAAGGATAAGAAAAAAATTAAATCCACGCAGTTAACATTTTTCAACTGGTTTTGGTATAATGATTGTGACATCTGGGTGTATCTTTTCTGTTTCTTGAAGTGTTTAAAGCATTTAATAGAATCTGACAGTTTAGGTTTGGATATAATGAAACATTAAGATCTGTTTACATCTGAAGTTAATGTTTAAAAGAGTAGGCATATCTAATTTTAGAAATTCTTAATTTTTTATTTATTAGTTGCAAATGTCCAAATAAGTAGAGGAATGCTGACTGTTTAAAGAACATCAATTGTTTTCTTAAATAAATACACAGAGTTAGGTGTCGTACCTCATGCCTGTAATCCCAGCACTTTGGGAGGCTGAGATGGGCGGATCCCAAGGTCAGGAGATCGAGACCATCCTGGCTAACATGGTGAAACCCTGTCTCTATTAAAAATACAAAAAATTAGCCAGGCGTGGTGGTGGGTGCCTGTAGTCCCAGCTACTCAGGAGGCTGAGGCAAGAGAATTGCTTGAACCTGGGAGGTAGAAGTTGCAGTGAGCCGAGATCGTGCCACTGCACTCCAGCCTGGGCGACAGAGTGAGACTCCGTCTAAAAAAAAAATACACTGAACATTAATCAAAATACAAATTCTAATGAGTATTTGTATTAGTCTGTTTTCTCACTGCTATAAATACCCAAGATTGAGTAATTTATAAAGGAAAGAGGTTTGACTCACAGTTACACACGGCTGGGGAGGCCTCGGGAAACTTACAATCATGGCAAAAGGGGAAGCAGGCATGTCTTACATGGCGGCAGGCAAGACAGAGTGTGAGTGAGCGAAGCGGAAGTCCCTTATAAAACCATCAGATCTCAAGAGAACTCACTCACTATCACAAGAACAGCATGGGGGAAATGCCCCAATGATTCAATCACTTCCCATTAGGTTTCTCCCTTGACACATGGGGATTACAATTTGAGATGATATTTGGGTGGGGACACAAAGCCAAATCATATCAGTATTTTTCTCCATGCTAACAAGCTCTTTGGACATAAAAGAACCAATGAACAGGACGATTGTTTACTAATACTTTGAGGTTATGAGAAATAGTCACACAGATTTTGGTGTTGAGCAGCAATCTTTCCTTTTATTAAAATTCATATATTTACCAAATGTTTTCAGAGTGTTATAATAGACTGTTCCAGGCACTGTTTATATCTACTGGATTAGGAGTCAAATGACTGATGTTATAGTGACATTTCAGTCAGAGAAACCCTGAATAATAAGTCATCTACTACTATGTGTAGCTTAAGTATTTCTTCTTATAGAAGGACAACAACACCTGGTTGGATGGACCAAAGAAACTGATACAGTGAAAGGGTAATATATTGCTCTCCTAGATAGAAACAAGTCATAACAAATAAGTACTGGAATGTGTACACCTCTGGCTCCCGTACACTGGGGGTACCAGTATTTTGATGTAATGAACATATTTAGGCTTCACTCCTTAACTTGGAACATTTTGAAGAGAACAAAGGACAACATGAGAATGAATCCGCACCAATTTTACTGTACAATTAACATAAACAGAATCATCTGTGACCCTAAGGAATATATAATAGGATTCTAATGTACCATTCCTATGTATGAAGAATTGGTGAAAGTCCTTGGCCAACTGTGGTCGGGTTCAGTCCAGACACCTTTTTTCTGGGATGTCCAAGTTCTGCTCATCCTCTTCTGAGAATTCCATCTTGTTCTTGTTTTTCACCTGTGCTGTGATACAGATACACTGCCTTGTGCTGGAGCCTTTAGAACTCTTTGCAAAATACTTTTTTTTTCCTGGTTGCAAAAGTAAGCTTTTTTTTTTTTTTTTTTTTTTTTGAGACGGAGTCTCACTCTGTCACCCAAGCTGGAGTGCAGTGGCACAATCTCGGCTCACTGCAACCTCTGCCTCCTGGGTTCAAGCAGTTCTTCTGCCTCAGCCTCCCGAGTAGCTGGGACTACAGGTGCGCACCACCATGCCCGGCTAATTTTTGTATTTTTAGTAGAGACGGAGTTTCACCATATTGGCAAGGCTGGTCTCGAACTCCTCACCTCATGATCTGCCCGCCTCAGCCTCCCAAAGTGCTGGGATTACAGGCATGAGCCACTGCGCCCAGCCACAAAATTAAGCTTTGATCAAAGATTTTACCAAGTGTAATTAACCATTACTTTTAAAAAGTACATACTTGGCTGGGTGCGGTGGCTCACGCCTATAATCCCAGCACTTTGGGAAGCCGAGGGCAGGCAGATCACGAGGTCAGGAGTTTGAGACCAGCCTGGCCAACATAGTGAAACCCCCCCCTCTACTAAAAATACAAAAAATTAGCCGGGCGTGGTGACAGGCGCCTGTAATCCCAGCTAATCAGGAGGCTGAGGCAGGGGAATAGCTTGAACCCAGGAGGCGGAGATTGCAATGAGCCAAGATAGTGCCATTGCATTCCAGCTCAGGCAACAGTGCGAGACTCCGTCTCAAAAAACAAACAAACAAAAAAGTACATACCTCTGCTGAGACGTCACCTTCGCTCACTCTCTCCCCTCCTGAAATCTGAGTGCCCTATATCCTGCCTCATTATGGCAAATGAATGTTAAATGTGGCTTTTTTTGGGTGAGGATGCTTCCAGAATTGATTTGCCCTGAAAATGCATCGCCACTGCACACGTTTGGACAAAATACTATTAGAAATCCTCCCTGATTACAGTAACTCAAGGTTTTATTAACTATTTCATACCTACTGTTGCATGGGACAAAAATGCTTTTGAAAAGTTTAATTTCTACAATGAAATGAGTTTTTTTGGGGGGGTTTTATTGTTTTTGTTTTTTAAAGTCCTTAAATCATTTCAGCTTTGACTCAGGGCCTACAAAATCTAGTCCTTTCTCGGGGAGAATAAATCAGGGAAGTCTTGAGCCAGGCTCAAGTTAGAAGAAAGATGAGAAAGCAAGTGGGCTGCACTCCTACCTTAACCTTATGTTTTCTTCAGCCATGCCTGAGAAGACAGAGGAAACCTGAAAACCAAGAAACTGAAGTGTCCCTATGCTTGCAGCTATTCCTGGTTTATGACCGTTTACATTTTGAATGCTTTAAAACATCAAATGTGGGGCCGGGCACGGTGGCTCACACCTGTAATCTCAACTCTTTGGGAGGCTGAGGCGGGTGGATCACCTGAGGTTAGGTGTTCGAGACCAGCCTGACCAATAGAGTGAAACACTGTCTCTATTATAAATACAAAAATTAGCCAGGCGTGGTGGCGCGCACCTGTAATCCCAGATACTCGGGAGACTGAGACAGGAGAATTGCTTGAACCTGGGAGGCGGAGGTTGCAGTAAGCCAAGATCAAGCCACTGCACCTCAGCCTGGGTGACAGAGCGAGACTCTGTCTCAAAAAAACAAACAAAAAACAGAAAAAAACATCAAATGTGACTTCTGTCAAACAAGGCAGCAATCATAAAAATCAAATGAAATCACCTTAAATTCTGATATATTATACTTTGGATATTTGTCTCTTCCAATCTCAGGTTGAAATGTGATCCCCAATGTTGGAGGTGGGGCCTGGTGGGAGGTGTTTGGGCCATGGGGGTGGATCCCTCATGAATGGCTTGGTGTCCTCCTGTGTTATTGAATGAGTTCTTGTAGGGAAAAGAAAGAGAGATCAGACTGTTACTGTGTCTATGTAGAAAGGGAAGACATAAGAGACTCCATTTTGAAAAAGACCTGTACTTTGAATAATTGCTTTGCTGAGATGTTGTTAATTTGTAGCTTTGCCCCAGCCACTTTGACCCAACCACTTTGATCCAATCTGGAGCTCACAAAAACGTGTTGTATGAAATCAAGGTTTAAGGGATCTAGTGCTGTGCAGGACGTGCTTTGTTAACAAAATGTTTACAAGCAGTATACTTGGTAAAAGTCATTGCCATTCTCTAGTCTCAATAAACCAGGGGTACAATGCACTGCAGAAAGCCACAGGGACCTCTGCCCTTGAAAGCGGGGTATTGTCCAAGGTTTCTCCCCATGTGATAGTCTGAAATACGGCCTCGTGGGATGAGAAAGACCTGACCGTCCCCCAGCCCGACACCCGTAAAGGGTCTGTGCTGAGGTGAATTAGTAAAAGAGGGAGCCTCTTGCAGCTGAGATAGAGGAAGGCCACTGTCTCCTGCCTGCCCCTGGGAACTGAATGTCTCGGTATAAAACCGGATTGTACATTTGTTCAATTCTGAGATAGGAGAAAAACCGCCCGATGGTGGGAGGCGAGACATGTTTGCAGCAATGCTGCCTTGTTATTCTTTACACCACTGTGATGTTTCGGTGGAGAGAAACAAATCTGGCTTACGTGCACGTCCAGTCATAGTACCTTCCCTTGAACTTAATTATGACATAGATTCTATTGCTCACATGTTTTTCTCCTTATTATCACCATGCCCTCCTACATTCCTTTTTGCTGCAATAATGAAGATAATAATCAATAAAAACTGAGGGAACTCAGAGACTAGTGCCGGTGCAGATCCTTGGTATGCTGAGCGCCGGTCCCCTGGACCCACTGTTGTTTCTCTATACTTTGTCTCTGTGTCTTCTTTCCTTTCTCAGTCTCTCATCTCACCTGACTAGAAATACTCACGGGTGTGGAGGGGAAGGCCACCCCTTCAAGTTCTCACTCTGGTAGTTCATGTGAGAGCTGAGTGTTTAAGAGGTTGCAACCTCCCCCATCTCTCTTGACCCCTCTATTGTCATGTAATATGCTGGCTCCCATTGACCTTCCGCCATAATTGGAAGCGTTCTGAGGCCATCAACAGAAGCAGACACCAGCACCGTATTTCCTGCACAGCCTGCAGAACTGTGAGCCAAATAAAGCTTCTTTTCTTTATAAACTACCCAGTTTCAGGTATTCCTTTATAGCAATGCAAACAAACTAATATGAATTCTTTTTGGAAAAAAGTGTTACAGATATATATTTCTTTTTTCTTTCTCTCTTTTTTTTTTTTTTTTTTTGAGATGGAGTCTCGCTCTATTGCCCAGGCTGGAGTGCAGTGGTGCAGTCTCGGCTCACTGCAACCTCCGCCTCCCAGGTTCAAGCAATTCTTCTGCCTCAGCCTCCTGAGTAGCTGGGGTTACAGGTGCACACCATCATGCCCAGCTAATTTTTGTATTTTTAGTAGAGACGCAGTTTTACCATATTGGCCAGGCTGGTCTTGAACTCCTAACCTCAAGTGATCCACCTGCCTTGCCCTCCCAAAGTGCTGGGATTACAGATGTGAGCCACCGTGCCCAGCCCAGATATATATTTCAATAAATAAAATAAATGATTAAGCCAATTAGACTACTTCGTCAGGTGTTTATATAAGCCACTGCAGCTCTCCTGATTCCCACCCTCAACATGGCACCAGGGCTCACCCGCAGGTACAGTTCCTCACTTCTCCATCTTCCACAGTGATACGGGGTGGCATGGGAATTCTTAGTCTCTGGTCATTATTTTACAAAATCCCAAAACTTCTGTTCTACAAATACAGCAGAAATAATTTTAACTGAAAAAAAATCTAGACTTGCCACAGGGAAATTTAAAGCTAAAACAAAATAGAAAAGCAGACTTCTCTGAATCAATATTTCAAAGTTCATCAATAGGACCCTCAAGTCTTCTTCAAGGCTCTTCTCAAAGTGATCCTAGGATTCATTTGATGAAAATAATGTCAAGATTGCAAAAAGAATCATCACAGGATATTGCCACAAACTATCACACTGTTTCTCAAACAACGGCACACAAGATTTTTGGGGGGACATCAACGAATATTTTTAATTTCAAGGTTATGTATCTATTTTGATGAAGAGTAGAATAAATTTAATTAGCATATAAAACTAGCATATAACTTATTTTATATGCTAAATAGTATTTCCTAGGAGAAGGCTAAAAATCTTGCATCCCTTTATAAAGAATATTAAGTAAATACTAGATATGGTAAAAACTGTAAAGAAAGCATACAAATAACTGACGTTCGTGAAATATTCCTCTTTTATGTTTATTTCAAGTTAATGTGACTGGCTGCACTACAGCATCGCCTTTATTTTTAAATTTTACTTTTTTTTTTTTTTGAGACAGTCTCACTCTGTTGCCCAGGCTGGAGTACAGTGGCGTGATCTTGGCTCACTGCAACCTCCACCTACCGGGTTCAAGCAATTCTTCTGCCTCAGCCTCCCAAGCTGCTGAGACTACAGGCGTGCACCACCATACCCAGCTAATTTTTGTATTTTTAGTAGAGATGGGGTTTTACCATGTTGGCCAGGCTGGTCTCAAACTCCTGGCCTCAGATGATCACCCCACCTCGGCCTCCCAAAGTGCTGGGATTATAGGCGTGAACCACCGCCCCCAGCCAGCATTGTCTTTAATTAATCAAAATTTCTGATTTAAAAGTTTTATACCATAACCTGCCAGGTGCAGTTGCTCACGCCTATAATCCCAGCACTTTGGGAGGCCGAGGCGGGCAGATCACAAGGTCAGGAGTTCGAGACCAGCCTAGTCAATATGGTGAAACCGTGTCTCTACTAAAAAATACAAAAAAAAAGTTAGCCAGGCGTGGTGGTACGCACCTGTAGTCCCAGCTACTCGGGAGGCTGAAGCAGAAGAATCGCTGGAACCCAGGAGGTGGAGGTTGCTGTGAGCCGAGATCGCGCCATTGCACTCCAGCCTGGGTGGCAGAGCGAGACTCTGCCTCAAAAAAAAAAAAAAAAAAAAGTTTTATACCATAAAACTTACAGGTGAGTAATTACAAGTTGTTGCCTATAGGCTTTCTTTCTTTTTTTTTTTTGAGACAGAGTCTTGCTCTGTTGCCCAGGCTGGAGTACAGTGGCATGATCTCAGCTCACAGCAACCTCCACCTCCCATGTTCAAGTCATTCTCATGCCTCAGTCTCCAGAGTAGCTGGGATTGCAGGTGTGCACCACCATGCCTGGATAAGGACTTCTGATTTTTTAAAAAGTTTTATATCAGATTTGGAACATGACTCCAAATATAATCTCATTTGTAAAATAAATTATTTTTTCTTTTTATAACCCCTCCTGGGAATGTAATATGCTGCTAGTTTAAGGTCTAAATTAATTTGGTTTCTACGCATTGAAAGTTTATGGCCAGGCGCAGTGGCCCACGCCTGTAATCCCAGCACTTTGGGAGGCCGAGGTGGGCGGATCACCTGAGGTTAGGAGTTCGAGACCAGCCTGGCCAACATGGTGAAACCCCGTCTCTACTAAAAATACAAAAAATTAGCTGGGCGTGGTGGTGCATACCTGTGGTCCCAGCTACTCAGGAGGCTGAGGCAGGAGAATCGCTTGAACCCAGGTGGCAGAGGTTGCAGTGAGCCAAGATTGTACCACTGCACTTCAGCCTGGGTGACAGAGTGAGACTCAGTCTCAAAAACAAAACAAAACAAAAATTTATGTATAAGCTTTCTCTCCACTATGAATAATTTGATATTGAATGGGATAAAAAGGTCTGACCAAAAAATCTCCTACATTTATATATTTATCTGATTTCCCCCACCATAAGTTATGTGCTGCTAAATGAAGGACTGTGGCGAACAGTTTGCTCACATTTATATTCACATAATTTCTCCCGAGTATGGATTTTCCTGTGTTGATTAAGGTGTGCACTCTGGCTAAAGGCTTTCCCGCATTCATTACATTTATAGGGTTTCTCTCCTGTATGAGTTCTTTCATGTTGATTCAGATGTGTCCTCTGACTGAAGGCTTTGCCACAGAAACCACATTCGTAAGGTTTCTCTCCGGTATGAAGTCTATGATGTTCAGTAAGGGATGTGATGCGGCTAAAAGCTTTACCACATTGATTACATTTATAGGGCTTTTCTCCAGTATGAATCCTCAGATGTTGAGTAAAGGATGAATGCTGACGGAAGGCTTTCCCACATCCATTGCATATAAAAGGCTTTTCTCCTGTGTGAATTCTCTGATGTTGAATGAGATGTATCCTCTGGCTGAATCTTTTTCCACATTCATCACACTTATAGGGCTTCTCTCCTGTAAGCAACATCTGAGGCTGGCTAAGAGATGAGGTGTGGCTGAAGGCCTTCCCACACTCACTGGGTTTCTCTGCAGTATGAATATGATCAGTAAGAAGAATATGTTGATTGAAGATTTTTCCACACTCACTATATTCATAGGGAGTCTCTCTTACATAATTTCCCTGATAGTAAATCAAGTCTGAATTATGTTTGATGCTGTTTCCCTGTGTGTCAGAATTCAGGGGTATTTTAATGGAAGGAATTCTCTGCTGCATAAGGTTTGAGTTCAGATTACAGTTTTCTGCAAATTTATTACACTCAAGGCTTCTCTCCTGTGTGATCTTTTTGTGGGTCAAAGTTACTTGTCCTAAATATCTCTTGTGGTTTTCTTGGTTAAACTCTGGATGGTAATCAAAATCCCAGAGTCCTCCTAGGATGGAGTACCAGAAGCTGTCTCCTGCGAGTCTCTCCATTATCATCTCATGGGTTTGATTTTCATCAGAAATATTCTGGCTTGTGGTTGACTTTTTGATTTCGGGTCTGTTTTCTCCATCTAAAAGAAATTCAGAACATACAAATACTTTCCAATATTCTCATGTTATCTATGATTTGAAAAAGAAATTGTTGCACAGCGAATTACCAAATAAAACTGACAGTAATGTGTACAAGGCATACACGGCATTGAAAGTTTTTCAATGTGGCCACGTCACAAAGGGAAAGATTATGAGAAGTCACAAGAAGCAAGGAGCAGGGGGAAATTTTTAAACATGTGCAGTAATCATAGAAAGAAGAGCTCATCCAGGAGTATCCATGCTTGAAAGCAGATGGACAGGAGAATAAGACATATCAGGGAAAAGTCTCTGATCAGTGGTGGGAGACAGGGGAATGATTAATTAGAGAAGGCTGGTCTAAGGCCAGGCCTTTATAAATCTCATACGCCAATGACTTGATTGTAATGCCAGCTACTTGTTCATTTAAAAAGTATTTCTTCCTATTTTTATCTTTTGTTTAAAATGATAAAACTAATACTTGCTGATAGAAATGTATTCAAATAATGTGAGAATGTGTAAAGAAAGAATCCCACCCATTAAAGGAAATCCTTGTTAATAGTTTAGAGCCTGTCTTGTCAGATTTTCCCTATGTACACACAGGTATATATGAAAAACATATTTTGGACAAGCATGACTTATGGATTATGATTTTTAAATTTCATTTTAGTTTCCCACAACTTCTTTAAACTTTACTTAGTGGAGGTATTCTTCCTCTGCTTCTAGATGAAGACTTGAACAGGTCCCATGGCTTTCCTCTTTTTTTTGTTTTTTTGAGATGGAGTCTCGCTCTATCACTCTATCGCCCAGGCTGGAGTGCAGTGGTGTGATCTTGGCTCACCGCAACCTCCACCTCCCGGGTTCAAGCAACTCTCCTGCTTCAGCCTCCCGAGGAGCTGGGATTACAGGTATGTACCATCACACCCAGCTAATTTTTGTATTTTTAGTAGAGACAGGGTTTCACCATGTTGGCCAGGCTGATCTCAAACTCCTGACCTCAGGTGATCTGATTGCCTCAGCCTCCCAAAGTGCTGAGATTATAGGCATGAGCCACCGTGCCCGGCCTCTTAATTCTTATTTTTTGAGAAAGTGTCTCACTCTGTCACCCAGGCTGGAGTGTAGTGGCATGATCATAGCTCCCTGTAGCCACCTCCTGGGCTCAAGCAATCCTCCCACCTCAGCTTCCCAAGTAGCTAGGACTACAGGTGTGTGCCACCATGCCTGACTAATATTTTGATTTTTTTTTTTTAGAGACGGGGTCTCACTACGTTTCCCAGGCTGGTCTGGAACTCTTGGCCTGAAGCAATCCTCCTGCCTTGGCTTCCCAAAGTTGCTGGGATTACAGGTGTGAGCCACTGCTGCCAGCCTCCCCTTAATTCTTAGGTAACAGATGTTCCTACTGTTACATTGTCACAAACACAGTATCTACTCAATAATTAAAATGCTCAGTCCTGGGTAATAGAACCCCAAAGTAATTCCTTTCCCTTCCCCTGGATGGGTTACAGAAAGGGTCATGTTCTATCTTTCTCCCTGCCTGAGCCGCTCCCCGACTCTACCCTCTCCCAATGAGTCTCTCTGCCTCTACTCTCTTGCTTCTTTCCCCGCTTAACTACTTCCCTGCTCGCCCCTGCCCTCACTCACTCACTGTAGTTTTTTTTAATTTTAATTTTAATTTTAATTTTATCTGGAGACAGAGTCTTGCTCTGTGGCCAGGCTGGAGTGCAGTGGCGTGCTCTTGGCTCCCTGCAACCTCTTGTCTTGTGGGTTCAAGCGATTCTTGTGCCTCAGACTCCTGAGCAGCTGGGACCACAGGCATGCACCACTACACCTGGTTAATCTTTTGTATTTTTAGTAGAGACAGGGTTTTGCCATGTTGGTCAGGCTGGTCTCGAATTCCCAAGCTCAGGCAATCCGCCCGCCTTGGCCTCCCCAAGTGCTGGGATTACAAGCATGAGCCACCGCACCCAGCCCACTCACTGCAGTTTAGTTTCTAACAAGAGTTAGGGATTAGGGACTGTGTGGAGGGAGGAGAGAAAGGCTCGTTTTTGTATGGCGGAGTGGCTTCACTCAGCTTAGCAGATGGTTAAAATGGCTTCATTTTGGAGAACTTTTACCACTTTTGGGAGGCTCTTGCTAGACACCTCCCCCTCACCCCTTGTCATTTCCATAATCTAGATAGATATATCTCTACTTTGGGCACGCATCCTACTTGACAAGATCCAAGACCATGCTGGCTGACCCACAGGAAACACCGATGATACCTTGCCCCAACAAAGCGGGGCAATGCAGACTCATCCCAACTCAGCAGCTTCTCCTGGCTGACCCACAAAGGCCATTTAAGTCATCTCTTCCTGGTCTTGGACTTTCTGAGTGGGTCAGCTTCAGCATTCTTAGACATGAGGTCCACATCAGTCTTCACCTTCCAACCACAGGGAACAGATATTACAGGTGCCAGAGTGGTCCCCTTGAAGTTGGGTAACCAGATAATTATTGTCTTAATTGGGACACTTGATGGTAAAAGGCAGTATCATCACTAATTCTGCCAGGAACTGTCATGGGAAACTGGGTGGGGAGAATTCTGACCATTCCACCTTGGCTCAACCCTTAATATGCATCCTTCTACCTCTTCCCTCAAAAGGGGGTTAGGACCTCACAACATGGTTTTCTGCTCTTTACCCAATCTCCTCACGGAAGTCCCTCTCAGATTTTTTTTTTTTTTTTTGGGACAGAGTCTCATTCTGTTGCCCAGGCTGGAGTGCAGTGGTGTAATCTCAGCTCACTGCAACCTCCGCCTCCTGGGTTCAAGTGATTCTCCCACCTCAGCCTCCCGAGTAGCTGGGACTACAGGTGCACACTATCATGCCTGGCTAATTTTTATATTTTTAGTAGAGACGGGGTTTCACCATGTTGGCCAAGTTGGTCTTGAACTCTTGACCTCAAATGATCCACCTGCCTCCGCCTCCAAAAGTGCTGGGATTACAAGTGTGAGCCATCATGCCTGGCCTCTCTCAGATCTTTCTCTTTTTTTTCTTGAGACAGAGTCTCACTCTGTTGCCCAGGCTGGAGTGCCGTGGCGTGATCTCGGCTCATTGCAAGCGCTGCCTCCCAGGTTCACGCCATTCTCCTGCCTCAGCCTCCTGAGTAGCTGGGACTATAGGTGCCCGCCACCACACTCGGCTAATTTTTTTTGTATTTTTAGTAGAGACGGGGTTTCACCGTGTTAGCCAGGATGGTCTCGATCTCCTGACCTCATGATCCGCCTGCCTCGGCCTCCCAAAGTGCTGGGATTACAGGCGTGAGCCACCGCGCCTGGCCGTTAGATCTTTCTTATAGCCTTGCTCTGGCTGGCCAAGGGATGAGGTTCATGAGGCCATTTCCTATGCTCATGGAGATGTGGGTGAGGGTTCCTACACCTACTTTGATATGCAGGTATCTTCTGTCAACTCTCAGGGAGGAAGAGTCCCTTCTAACACACACGTATATATGAGTAACTATGTGTATGTATTTATACATATATAGTTTTAATTTATTTTTAAACCAAAACAGGATAATGTATGTATTGCCCATGTAATTTCATTACTTAACAATATTCTTTCTAAATGAGTATATATATATATAGGTCTACTTCATTCTTTTTAAAGGGCATATCCTACTTTTAAAAAATCTTTTCTCCTGCTGTTAAATTTTAGGTTTCCAATTTTCTTTGCTATTTCATACAATAATGCAATGAACATCCTTATACAAACATCTTATGGACCTAAGCTAGTATTTCAATATGACAGACAATATGCAATGCCAGTCCAGGCACGGTGGCTCACACCTGTAATCCCAGCACTTTGGGAGGTCAAGGTGGGCGGATCGTGAGGTCAGGAGTTCAAGACCAGCCTGGCCAACACGGTGAAACCCCATCTCTACTAAAAAAATACAAAGATTAGCTGGGCGTGGTGGTGCATGTCTGTAATCCCAGCTACTCAGGAGGCTGAGGCAGGAGAATCACTTGAACCCAGGAGGCGGAGGTTGCAGTGAGCCAAGATCGTGCCACTGCACTCCAGTCTAGGCAACAGAGCAAGACTCCGTCTCAGGAAAAAAAAAAAAAAAAAAAGGCAATGCCAGATCATAGGGTTTGCACACTACACATTTTGATAAATTCTGTCAAATTGTTCTCTTAAAAGGCTCTACCATGGCTGGGCACAGTGGCTCACACTTGTAATCTTAGCATTTTGGGAGGCCAAGGCAGGCAGACTGCTTGAGCCCAGGAGTTCAAGATCAACCTGGACAACAAAGTGAAATCCTGTCTATAAAAAATACAAAAAACACAGCCAGGTGTGGTGGCATGTGCTTGCCATCCTAGCTATTAGGGAGGCTGAGGTGAGAGGGTCACCTCAGCCCAGGGAGGCTGGGGCTGCAGTCAGCCATGATTGTGCCACTGTACCTAAGCCTGGGAGACCAAACACACATAAGGCTCTACCAAATGCACCTAACAGTGTGAAATGTAACTCATTTCACCCACACCATTCCCCATACAAGATGTGATAACATTTTGATTTTGCCAATTTGATGGGTGAAAAATGGTACCTCATCCATTTTAATTTTTATTTATTTCATTATGTTTAGCTTGAGCATTTCCCCATATATTTATGGGCTGTTTTATTTCTTTTGTGAATATTTTGGTGGTACTGGGGATCTGTAGACCTGCTAAAATTGAACACGAAGTTTTGTGCGCAAGTACATATATATTTTTTTCTGGAGCGAGAACCATAACTTTCATTAGATTTTCAAAGGGGTCCAAGATTCAAAAAAAGTTTAAGAGCCTCTGTTTTAAGGAGATCCTAACTAGTCTCTTTGCCAACAATCTTTCCTCCCATTTTATTATTCAGCATAATAAAACTAAATTATTCTTCCTAAGTCACTGATTTCATCATGTTCACCCACACAAAATCTGGTAGCCCCAACCCTTTTAAATTATCCTTAACAAAAAATTAGGCTCGGTATGGTGGCTCTTGCCTGTAATCCCAGCACTTTGGGAGGCCAAGGTGGGCAAATGCTTGAGCCCAGGAGCTCAAGACCAGCCTGGGCAACATGGCAAAACCCTGTCTCTACAAAAAGATGCAAAAATTATCTGGGTGTGATGGTGCGCACCTATAGTCCCAGTTACTGGAGAGGATGAGGTGGGAGAACTGCTTGGGCCCGGGAGGCAGAGGTTGCCGTGAGCTGAGATTGTGCCACTGCACTTCAGCCTGGGTGACAAGAGCCAGACCCTGTCTCGCAAACAACAACGACAAAAACAAAACAAAACAAAAATTAGTTTATGCATGGCCAACAAGCTATTCCTACTCATTTAATACAGTACATTCAAATAAGTAAATTCAAGCATAAAATTATAGGAGGAAGCCGGGCACAGTAGCTCACACCTGTAATCCCAAGCACTTTGGGAGGCCGAGTTGGGTGGATCACCTGAGGTCAGGAGTTCGAGATCAGCCTGGCCAACATAGTGAAACCCCATCTCTACTAAAAATACAAAAAATTAGCCAGGCGTGGTGGCACATGCCTGTAATCCCAGCTACTCGGGAGGCTGAGGCAGGAGAATCACTCGAACTCAGGAGGTGGAGGTTGCAGAGTCGAGATTGTGCCATTGCACTCCAGCCTGGGCAACAAGAGTGAAACTCCGTCACAAACAAACAAACAAAAATTACAGGAGTAAAAGTAGGCCTTAAGACCTTATGTATGAAATTATTATTATTATTATTTTTGAGGCAGGGTCTCACTTTTTCACCCAGGCTGGAGTGCAGTGGTGTGATCTCGGCTCATTGCAACCTCTGCCTCCTGGGTTTAAATTATTCTCCTGCCTCAGCCTCCCAAGTAGCTGGGATCACAGGCGCCTGCCACCACGCCCAGCTAATTTTTTGTATTTTTAATAGAGATGGGGTTTCACCATGTTAGTCAGGCTGGTCTTGAACTCCTGACCTTGTGATTCGCCCTCCTCAACCTCCCAAAGTGCTGGGATTGTAGGTGTGAGCCACCGCACCCAGTCAGTACCAAAGTATTTTTAACCAATTCACATTTAGGTTGTAGCTTCTTTTTTTTTTTTTTTTTTTTGAGACGGAGTCTCGCTCTGTCGCCCAGGCCGGACTGCGGACTGCAGTGGCGCAATCTCGGCTCACTGCAAGCTCCGCTTCCCGGGTTCACGCCATTCTCCCACCTCAGCCTCCCGAGTAGCTGGGACTACAGGCGCCCGCCACTGCGCCCGGCTAATTTTTTGTATTTTTAGTAGAGACGGGGTTTCACCTTGTTAGCCAGGATGGTCTCGATCTCCTGACCTCATGATCCACCCGCCTCGGCCTCCCAAAGTGCTGGGATTACAGGCGTGAGCCACCGCGCCCAGCTGTAGCTTCTTATTAGAAATAGCACAGCAAGAGTAGTTAGTTGGCCAAACATATATTAGATTTTTTTTTTTTTTTTTTTGAGACAGGGTCTTGCTTTGTCACCTAGGCTGGAGTGCAGTGGTGTGATCATAGCTCACATCAGCTTTGACCTCCTGGGCTCAAGTGATCCTTTTGCCTCAGCCTCCAGAGTAGGTGGGACCACAGGCACGTGCCACGATACCCTGCCTTTTTTTTTTTGGTAGAGACGAAGTCTCCCTACATTGCCTAGGCTGGTCTCAAATTCCTGGGCTCAAGTGATCCTTCCGCCTTGGCTTCCCAAAGTGCTGGAATTACAGGCGTAAGCCACCACGCCTGGCCACAAATTTTTAAGAGAAAAAAAAAAGTCCAAGTCAAAAAGTTATGGAAAATAGATCAATAGATGTACAAAATATATACAAATGACTATGGTCTAAGATTAAATTACACATGGAAAAATTAAAAGTATATGTGATTACAGTTATACCTGATTGAGAAGATTAATTTTAAACCGATGTATTATTTCAACCAAACTATCAACTGGAACACTTTCTTTTCAGCCAAAAGGCTTCTGTTGCACGTGGACTTTGACTCCAGAGTGTTTGAAATGATTGGCTGGAGCTCTACAGACTGCCTCTCACGTCTCTTAGCACTGAATCTGCAGCCTGTGGACCTGGTTCCTGAACCCACAGGGAGGTATGGTCCTCTAGGCTCCTACTACACAGGAGTCTGGAGTTCAAGGCATTCATTGCCTAAGCTCTAGCTTAGTATGAGCATGCTGTGATGCCACTGGGCAACCTGAAGAACATCTTGCAGGGCCTCCGCACCAGGGCATGCCTTGCCAAGCAGATGTTTCCCCTGCTCAGGCCCATCCATGGCTTTTGAACTACATTGTTTAGGAAACAGGAAGGAAGGAAACAAGGAAGTAAGAAAGAAGGGAGAGAGGGAAAGAAGGAGGGAGAGGAGAGAGGGAAAGAAGGAGGGAGAGGAGAGAGGGAAAGAAGGAGGGAGAGAAGAAGAGAGGGAAAGGAGGGAGAGAATTAGGGAGAAAGGGAAGGGGGAAAACAATTTTTTTGAAAAAATATTAATCCTTTCTACATGTAAAGCATCATCATATTTTTGGTTCTCTTATTAATTTAAAAATGCGTCAATTTATAGTGGGTTATGACTTTAATTCAGTAGTTAATTCAAATTAGAAACAAACAGAATATGCTAAAAAAAGACAGAAAATGTCAGAGTTCATCAGACACAGTGATAACGATAAATATTGTTGGGTAACACTTCTGTTTCAATTTTTTTTTTTTGAGACAGTTTTGCTCTTGTTGCCCAGGCTGGAGAGCAATGACGTGATCTCGGCTCACCGCAACCTCCAACTCCCAGGTTCAAGAGATTCTCCTGCCTCAGCCTCCCGAGTAGCTGGGATTACAGGCGCCCGCCACCATGCCTGGCTAATTTTTGTATCTTTAGTAGAGACAGGGTTTCATCAGGTTGGTCAGGCTGGTTTCGAACTCCTGACCTCACGTGATCCACCCACCTCGTCTCCCAAGTGCTGGGATTACAAGCATGCACCACTGCGCTAGGCCTCAATTTCAATTTTATAGATTATATAGATCTTATGGATGGCAAGAAAAATGCATTTTTTAATGAAAGTGGTGGTTAACAATAATTTACAACTATTGCTTTGGCAAGGTTGACAAGTTTTTTTTCTGTAAAGGGCCAGATAGTAAATATTTTAAGTTTTGTGGGCCATATGGTCTCTGTCGCACTCAGCTCTGCTGTTGCAGGGTGAAAGAATCCACAGACAATGGTTTTTTGGTTGTTTTATTTTTGAGACAGTCTCTGTTGCCCAGGCTGGAGGCGAGTAGCACGATCTCGGCTTACTGCAACCTCCACCTCCTAGGCTCAAGTGATCCTCTTGGCTCAACACTCAGCCTCCCGAATAGCTGGGACTACAGGTGTGCACCACCACGCTTAGCTAATTTTTGTGTTTTGTGGCTATGGGTTTCTTCATGTTGCCCAAGATGGTCCTGAACTCCTGAGCTCAAGCAATCCTCCCGCCTCTTATGTAAAAGAATGAGTGTGGTTGTGTTCCCATAAAACTTTATTTACAAAAACATGTTACTCTAGACTACATTATTTTTCATCCAAAGAGCCTACAACACCAAACAAGGTATGTGGAAAGGAAGCCCCATGACTGGTCTAGGACATCTTTGTGCTGACTTCCAGTTCACCTGATCCCAGTAATGTATGAAAATGCTTTCCTCCTCATGGACCCAGCGGTGTATACTGCCAAACTTTTCAACTTTTGCTAATATGGTAGGCAAGAAAATATAATTTGTGCAGCTTTAATTTGTATTTCTCTTATTATGACTGAGATTGAACATTTTTTCATATGTTAAATGTATCTGGATTCCTTTAAGAACTGTTCATAACCTGGGAGGCAGAGGTTGCAGTGAGCGGAGATCGTGTCACTGCACTCCAGCCTGGGCAACAGAGCAAGACTCTATTTCAAAAAAAAAAGAACTGTTCATATTATTTTTATTGGGCTGTTGGCCTCTTATTAAGAGGAGCATTTTATAATATTCATGGATGATCAGCTCTTTTGACCTAAGTTGAAAATATTTTCCTCCATTGTTATCTTTTCACTTATTTTACATCAAGCAGAATTATTATTTTATACCATGCAGAATTTTTGGATTTGTGTGTATTGAATATATGAATCTCCTCTTTAATGGCTTCTGGATTTTAAATTATAGTCAGAAAAAACTCCCCCATTTCAAGGTTATAAAAGATGTCTCCCATGTTTTCTTCCAGGTCTCTCTCTCCAGTTTTTTTTTTTTGAGTCTTGCTCTGTCACCCAGGCTGGAGTGCAGTGGCGCAGTCTCAGTTCACTGCAACCTCCACCTTCCAGGCTCAGGCGGTTCTCATGCCTCAGCCTCCTGAGTAGCTGGGACTACAGGTGTGCGCCACTGCACCCAGCCTCTTCCAGATCTCTTATAGTTTCATGTTTTACGTGTAAAATCTGTTTCCTTTGGAGTTTATCTTGGCTCAAGGGGTAAGCTATAGATCCAATTCTGTCTCTCTCCAGATGGCTATCTACCATATATGAGGAGGTGCACATTTCAAAAGCACCAGTTGTCTCAACACTTTACTACAATTCCCACTTTTCACCTCCTAATTTGAAATGATGCCATTATTTAAAATAATGCCTTTATATTAAATGCCCACATGTATTTGGGTTTACTTCTGACTTGTCTATTCTGTTCAGTTGGTCTGACTTCATTAATAAAATTTTACTGTATATTTTAAATATCTAGTAGGAATAATCTCCCTCATCGATTTTCCTTTTCAGAATTTTCTTGATAATTTTTGTGCTTTGGATTTTCCATATGAACTTTAGATAAGCTTACCTAGCTTTCCCCTCAAACTCTTGTAGGCACGTTTTTTATTTTTGAGATGGACTCACATTGTAGCCCAGGCTGGTGTGCAGTGGTGCAATCATAGCTCACTGCAGCCTCGACATCCAGGGCTCAATTGATCCTCCTGCTTCAGCCTTTTGAGTGGCTGGGACTACAGGCGTGTGTTACCACACCTGGCTATTTTTTTTTTTTTTTTTTTTGGTAGAAATGGGCTCTCAACCTGTTGCCCAGGCTGGTCTCAAACTCCTGGACTCAAGTAATCCACCTGCCTCAGTCTCACACAGTGCTGGGATTACAGGTGTGAGCCCTGGCACCCGGCCTGCAGGCACTTTTTATGGAATTGTATTACATGTATAGTAGGGACATTGCCATCTTGGCATGTCTATTTATTCAGGTTTATTTTTGTGTCTGTCGGAAGTGTTTAAAGTTTCTCCTATGAAGGTATTGCATATCTCTTGTTGAAGTTTATTCCTAGGTGTTTTATTTTTTTCAGTTCAGTTGCTATTACATGGGTGCTTCTCTTCCATCTTGTAATCCAACTGGTAGTTGTTTGTGCCTTCACCTTTGTTCCACCTTCAACAGTCTACTTACATGGCAATACATTCATATTCTGGACCTTGCCTGCTCCACGTTAAGAAATCTCCAACTCATTGTAACACTCTCCTGCCTTACTCACATTCTGTCTCTTTCTGACCTCTTCTACACCTCCATTTCTTTGACTCTCCCTTGGTCTTTTAGTTTTAAGTCCTCGTCAGGCCTCATTCTACTTCCTGTCACTTCCTAGACTTGTCAAATCACTTGAATTAACTCTCATACAGTTTCACACAGTTTTCCTCCTTCAGTCCCTAAAATCTAACACCCTCAACCCCTGTCCTATAAACCCTTTCCAGTGTTAAATATAACAGGAGGAAGAGCATACTCATGCAAATTAGAAACCACAGCTGTATGGGGCAGAGTCTCACGGGGGCCCTCATCACTGCTCAGTGCTGCCTCTGCTCGTCTTTGGTCAGCTTCCACTGACTCTTGTAAGCTTCAGCAAATGTACCATGAGTCCTCTACCTGCCTTCCCAATTCCCTTACACTCAACAAAGGAAATTGCTTCCTAATTTGCCAAGAAAACAGAAGTCATGATGTGTGAACTCCCCCAAATCTTCCACTGACATATTTACTGACATATACAGTCACCCTAATGTCCTTCCCTCTAATCCCACTCCCATCTCTTCTAGAACCTTGCTCCATCTCTTGTGGCTTTTTTTTTTTTTTTTTTTTTTTTGAGACAGAGTCTTGCTCTGTCACCCAGGCTAGAGTGCAGTGGTGCAATCTTGGCTCACTGCAACCTCCGTCTCCGGGGTTCAAGCGATTCTCATGCCTCAGCTTCCCGAGTAGCTGGGATTACAGGTGCACGCCACCAAGCCCAGCTAATTTTTGTATTTGTAGTAGAGACGGGGTTTTACCATGTTGGCCAGGCTGGTCCTGAACTCCTGACCTCAAGTGATCCGTCCATCTCGGCCTCCCAAAGTGCTGGGATTGCAGGCGCGAGCACCCAGCTGTATCTATTTTTTTACTTGTCCTCTCTACTGGTTCCTTCCCTTCAGCATTATAAACAAGTAAAATCGTTCCTGCTTAGAACAATTCTTTTGCTTTTTTCAGACAAGGTCTCGCTCTATTGCCCAGGCTGGAGTGCAGTGGTGCCATCGTAACTCACTGCAGCCTCGACCACCTAGGCTCAAGTGATCCTCCCAGCTCAGCCTCCCAAGTAGCAGAGACTACAGGCTCATACCTCCACATCCGGCTTTTAATTTTTTTGTAGAGATGGGGGTCTCACTATGTTGCCCAGGCTGGTCTTGAACTCCCGGGCTCAAGGGATCCTTCCACGGTCTCCGAAAGTGCTAGGCGTGAGCCACTGAGCCTGGCCTAGAACAATCCTGTTTTGACACTACCTTTTATTCTGGCTGCTAATATCCTCTTTATTATTTCCCCTTCCCACTCCTCACTCTAGCTAGCTGCTGCTTCTTTTTTTGTTTGTTTGAGATGGAGTCTAACTCTGTCACCCAGGCTGGAGTGCAGTGGTGCAGTCTTGGCTCACTGCAACCTCTACCTCCCAGGTTCAAGTGATTCTCCAGCCTCAGCCTGCCACGTAGCTGTGATTACAAGCGCCCACAACCATGCCTGGCTAAGTTTTGTATTTTTAGTAGAGATGGAGTTTCACCATGTTGGTGAACCCCAGGCTGGTCTCAAACTCCTGACCTTGTGATCCATCTGCTTTGGCTTCCCAAAGTGCTGGGATTATAGGCATGAGCCATGAGCCACTGTGCCCGGCCCTCAGTCTAGCTGCTTATAAGAATATTACACACTTGCTAGCTCTAATTTTTTCATTTTAAACCTCCCCGTTGTTCATGCAACAATGTACAAACTGACTGTTCTTCCAATCATCCCCCTGTCACTTCTCTCAATAATATAATTGCCAATTTTCTTGCTGCTAAATCTACTGGGTATTTTCCAGGTCTCAGCTTAGCTTAAGAAAGATTTTAGATAAATAAGGACCAGCAAATGTCAATAACAATGAGGCATGCAGTACCCTAGTGGGCGTGCAGAATTAGACTGCATAAGCTCTATCATTCTCTTAGCCTCCTGACAAACAGAAATGTTTTACTACATCCTCTCAGGGGAACCCCTGATTCTGTCTCACAGGATATTGAAGAAATGCAAACAGTCACCTTAGGGAAGACGGTTAGGCTGCCTGTCCCTGATAAGAGATGTGAAAAAAACCACTTGCTCAAGCTTATATGTGAACCAAGAGCCTTGGGCATCCACATATAGATGCACAATGAAATTTGGAAGTTTTCTTTTTATTTTTTTGGAGACAGAGTCTCGCTCTGTTGCCCAGGCTGGAGTGCAGTGGCACAATCTTGGCTCACTGCAACCTCTGCATCCCAGATTCAAACGATTTTCCTGCCTCCGCCTCCCGAGTAGCTGGGATTCCAGGCATCCGCCACCATGCCTGGCTAATTTTTGTATTTTTAGTAGAGATGGGGTTTCACCATGTTGGCCAGGCTTGAACTCCTGATCTCAAGTGATTGTCCACCTCAGCCTCCCAAAGTGCTGGGATTACAGCCATGAGCCACTGAGCCCGGTCAAAATCTGGAAGTTTTCCTAAATTAGCAGTTATTTTTTCGAGTTGGGGGTCTGTGTAGAGGGACACAATAGGAGATAGTGTGGGTCCTACAGATGGCAGCATAGGTGCCTGGGGGAAGGAATAGCTCTGCTCTCTGCTGTAGGTCCCTGCCCTGGAAATTTACCTGAAAAGGGAGTTCTCTAATTTGTTCCTTTAGTTTCCTACTCCCCAGGTTTGGGGATGTGGAAGGCTGTAGAAATATGTCCCAGCATTGTCAGGGAAGGTGCCCAGGCTTCTTGACAAAATGTCTTAATTACCAACTCTATTCATGGAATGTGAGCACTGGTTAGGTGAAAATTCTGGTTCAGTGAGGCTAAGAGATCTCAGTGAGGCTAAAACAGGAACAAGGTTTTCTTTTCTTCCCTTTTCTTTTTTGAGATGGAGTCTTGCTCTGTTGCCAGGCTGAAGTGCAGTGGTGCAATCTCGGCTCACTGCAACCTCTGCCTCCCAGGTTCAAGCGATTATCTTGCTTCAGCCTCCCAGGTAGCTAGGACTACAGGCGCACGTCACCACGCCTGGCTAATTTTTGTATTTTTAGTAGAGACAGGGTTTCACCATGTTGGCCAGGATGGTCTCGATCTCTTGACCTCGTGATCTGCCCGCCTCGGCCTCCCAAAGTGTTGAGATTACAGGCGTAAGCCACTGTGCCCGGCCAGGAACAAGGTTTTCTACCTAAGATCACTTAGAGCATTAAAAGCAAGAAGGATAGCCAAGTCAAAGTCAACTTGAAAAAGCCGAAGAGTTTGAATGACAGAAAACCAAGTCCAAACGATGAAGCCAGGTACCAGAGCAAAGAGCCAGAGTGGGAACTCACAGAGATGGGGTAGGTTCACCTGGTGTCATGGACCAGAGTAGAAACTACCTAACTCAGCATCTGGTGTACAGTCAGCAGTCCACTCCTTGTTAAAACAGCCAGGCAGAACATCGTAGGTGGTATGCCAGAAATAGGAAACTAAGGTGGTTGGGATTTTTTTTTTTTTTGGTCAAGAAATCCCATATTTAAGGGAATGCTTTAAAGAAGAGAGTATAAAGCCAACAGATCCAGGTTTTGAAATATTTAAGTAAAATGACAGCATGACACTAATAAACAAAAATATAATCTAAATTGTTTTTTTATTTTTGAGATGGAGTTTCGCTCTGTTACCCAGGCTGGAGTGCAGTGGCGCGATCTTGGCTCACTGCAACCTCCGCTCCCAGGTTTAAGCAATTCTCTTGCCTCAGCCTCCCAAGTAGCTGGGCCTACAGGCGAGTGCCAGCATGCCTGGCTAATTTTTTGTATTTTTAGTAGAGACTGGGTTTCACCATGTTGGCCAGGCTGGTCTCGTACTCCTGACCTCAGGTGATCCATCTGCCTCGGCCTCCTAAAGTGCTAGGATTACAGGCGTGAGCCACCATGACCAGCCATAATCTCAATTCTGACAGGAGAATGTGGGTGAAATACTGGGACTAGAAATGGAGAAATGGGAAAATGATACAGAAGGACTACTTAAAAGCACTTTACTGCAGAGTGGAACAGCCAGTCCATAGGGATACATATTTTTAGGAGAATAAGGAGAAAGAAAATGCAGGAAAGGGACAGAGGGAGATACAGAGAGAGGCTGGAAGGGACAAGAATCGTGTGCATCACAAGCCAGGGTGGAAGAACATTTCAAGAAGGGAAAGTCAACACAATCCTAACTGGCTTTGTAGCCACTGGATTTGACTGGAAGGAAATTAGTGGTAATCTCCAAGAAAACAATGTTAGTAGTAGAGGTAGGAATTGGGGACATATCACAAAGGAGAGCAAGAGAATTAGAAATTAGGCTGTGGGTTGTATACAAGTGTCAAGAGTTTGATGATAAAAGGAAAAAGAAAAGATGAAAAATAGATTAAAATGGCAGAAGATTTTTGATATGGAAAAGAAAGCTTTTTAAAAAATTTCTTCTCGGATCACCTCTCATGGAAAAGAAAGATTTAAAGAATACTGATAAGGGATGTGTAAATAAAAAATACAAAGAAAGTGCTGTGTGGATATCTGTAATATCAAGATATTTATGGGTGTTTAAATGGATACCTTCAAAATAACCTTTGGTTTGTGTGCATTTTTAAAACAATATAAGTGTATATTATCTGTTCAATGAGAAAAAATAAGACAGCCATTTCAAATTCAGAAAAATATAAAATATGAACTGATTTTTTTCAAAAGGCTTAGTATTCCTTATATCCCAGAGGGAGATTTTTGGAACACTCCACTGAGTGGTTCAGAAGTGGCTGTTTTCCCTCATTAAGTAGCAGTGCCCAAGAGTGTGCACTTACCTGGATGAGTATCCAGCAGGCTGTCTCTTTCTATCACCCATTCTTCCTCTAGCTCCAACTGCGCGATTACCTCTGGCTTACAAAGCTGATACCCTATTCACAGGAGTAACATACATCTTAGGAGTTTGTACTGGGAACAAAATTCTCAGACACACTCCCAACCTTTTCAATCTTTAGAGCCTCTGGAGGGGAGACTTCAGAGGCAGCAAAATAAAGCCACTCATCTCAAACTCAATCAAGACATTCCATTGGAGGAGAAAGAGCAGAAAACAAAGGTCTTTGACTCCAAAACTGATTAGCATTCTTCTATCCCAGCCCAAACTATATTCACAAAAACTTTGCAGGCTTCTACTAGTTCAGGAAATAAACCCACGTGAACGGCTTCCGGTTTCACAGGGATGCCATCCTCACCCAGTGCAACTAGATTCCTGTAGTTCTCCAGCATCACGTCTCGATAGAGGTTCTTTTGGGCAGGGTACAGCTGGTCCCACTCCTCTCTGGTGAAGTCCACGGCCACATCCTGAAACGTCAGTGATTCCTGAAACATCAAGCACATCCCTGCTCAGGCAAAAACGGTTCTTACAGGGACCCTCAAGGGAGGGAATGAAAGTGTAGCACCAGGTTATCTAAGCCATTGTGCTGATAGTCTTCAGGACTCTGAGTTGTTCAGGTCAAACTTTTCTTTTAAAAAAATTAGTACCTTTCTATCATCTTTCAAGACAAAAACATACATGAAATAATTTCTGCGTTTAAGTGTTTACAGTTTGCTGCACGGGAAAAATGACTCTCATTTCATCCAAATGATTAAAAAACTACAAGGACACCTCAGAGATATTGTGGGTTCAGTTCAGACACCACAATAATATTGCAATAAAGTGAGTCACATGAATTTGTTGGTTTCCCAGTGCCTATAAAAGTTAAATTTACTCTATATTTGGTCTATTAAGTGTGTAATGGCATTACATCTAAATAAATAATGTGCATACCTTAATTTAAAACATTCAATTGCTAAAAAATGGTAATGATCATCTGAGCCTTCAGCAAGTTGTAATCTTTTTGATAGTGGAGGGTCTTGCCTTGATGCTGATGGCTGCTGACTGATCAGGGAGGTGGTTGCTGAAGGTTGGGGTGGCTGTGGCAACTTCTTTTTTTTTTTTTTTTTGAGACAGAGTCTCACTCTGTTGCCCAGGCTGGAGTGCAGTGCCGCAATCTCGGCTCACTGCAACCTCCGCTTCCCAGGTTCAAGCAATTGTCCTGCCTCAGCCTCCTGAGTAGCTGGGACTACAGGTGTGCACCACTACGCCCAGCTATATATTTTTGGTGGAGACAGGGTTTCACCATGTTGGTTGACCAGGATGGTCTCAATCTCTTGACCTTATGATCTGCCCGCCTCAGCCTCCCAAAGTGCTGGGATTACAGGCGTTAAGCCACTGTGCCCGGCCAAGGCAACTTCTTAATATAAGACAGCAATAAGGCCAGGCGTGGTGGCTCATGCCTATAATCCCAACACTTTGGGAGGCCGAGGTGGGTGGATCACTTAAGGTCAGGAGTTTGAGACCAGCCTGGCCAACATGGTGAAACCCCGTCTCTACTGAAAATACAAAAAAATAGCCAGGCATGGTGGCACGTGCCTGTAATCCCAGCTACTCAGGAGCCTGAGGCAGAAGAATTGCTTGAACCCGGGAGGTGGAGGTTGTAACGAGCCAAGACTGCACCACTGCACTTCAGCCTGGGCGACACAGCGAGACTCTGTTTCAAACAAACAAACAAACAAACAAAAGACAGCAATAAAGTTTGCTGCACTGAATCTTCATTTTACGGAAGAGTTCTCTGTAGCATGTGATGCTGTTTTATAGCATTTTTACCACAGTAGAACTTCTTTCAAAATTGGAGTCAGTCTTTTCAAATCCTCCTGCTGCTTTATCTAATAAGTTTATGGAATATTCTAAATCCACTATTGTCATTTCCACATTATTCAAAGCATCTTCACCAGGAACTGATTCCATCTCAAGAAACCACTTTTTTTCCTCATCCTTAAGCAGCAATTCCACCACATCTTCAGGCTGCACTTCTAATTCTAGTTCTCTTGCTATTTCCACCATGCCTGCAGTTTGTTCCTCCACAGAAATCTTGAAAGCCTCAGTCATTCATGAGGGTTGGAATCAACTTCTTCCAAACTCTTGTTAATGTTGATATTTGACCTCCTCTCACGAACCACAAATGTTCTTAATGGCATCGGAATGGTGATTTTTTTCCAGGAGGCTTTCAATTTACATTGGCCAGATCCATCAGAGGAATCACTATCTACGGCAGCTAGAGCCTTATGAAATGCATGTCTTAAATAATAAGACTTGAAAGTCAAAATTACTCCTTGATCCGTGGGCTGCAGAATGGTTGTTGTGTTAGTGGGCACGAAAACAGCATTAGTCTTCTTGTACATCTCCATCAGAGCTCCTGGGTAACCAGGTGCATTGTCAATGAGCAGTAATTTTTAAAGGGATTTTTTTTTTTTCCTGAGCAGTGGTTCTTAACAGTGGGTTTAAAATATTCAGTAAACCATGCGTAAACAGGTATGCTGTCATGCAGGCTTTGTTGATCCATTTCTAGCGCACAGGCAAAGTAGACTTAGCATAATTCTTAAGGAACCTTGGATTTCTAGAATAATATGAACATTGGCTCCAGCTTAAAGTCACCAGGTGCATTATCCCTTAACAAAAGAAGTCAGCCTGTCTTCTGAAGCCATGAGTTGACTTCTTCTAGCTATTAAAGTCCTAGATTGGGTTGGGCATGGTGGCTCACGCCTGTAATCCCAGCACTTTGGGAGGCACAGGCAGGAGGATCACTTGAGGTCAGGAGCTCGAGACCAGCCTGGCCAACATGGTGAAACCCCGTCTCTACTAATAAAAATAAATAAATAAATAAATAAATAAATAAATAAATAAAGTCCTAGATGGCATCTTCTTCCAATATAAGGCTGTTTCATCTGCACTGAAAATGTGTTTAGTACAGTCACCTTCATCAGTGATCCTAGCTAGGTCTTCTGGATAACTTGCCGCAGCTACTATATCAGCATTTGCTGCTTCACTTAGCACTTTTATGTTATCGAGACAGCTTCTTTCCTTAAACCTCTTATAGCTTCCAACTTTTCTTCTGCAGCTTCCTCACCTCTTTCAGCCTTCAGAGAATTGAAGAGAGGTAGGTAGGGCCTTGCTCTGGATTAGGCTTTGGCTTAAGGGAATGTTGTGGCTGGTTTGATCTTCTATCCAATCCATTAAAACTTTCTCCATATCTGCAACACAGCTGTTTTGCTTTCTTATCATTCATGTGTTCACTGGAGTAGCAATTTTAATTTTCTTCAATAGCTTTTCCTTTGTACACATGACTTGGCTGTTTGGCCCAAGAGGCCAAGCTTTTGGCCTATTTCAAATGCATTCGACATGCTCTTCTCATTTAATCTTAATCAGTTTCAAAGCATCTTCACCAGGAGTAGATTCCATCTCAAGAAACCACTTTCTTTGCTCATCCATGAGTGGCAAAAAATCCCTGGTTCCTTTTAGTGAAGAATGTGACTCTTCCTTTCACTTGAATGCTCAGAGGCCATTGTAGGGTTATTACTTGGCCTAATTTCAATATTGCTGTGTCTCAGCAAATAGGGAAGCCGGGGGAGAGGGAGATGGAGGAACAGCCAGATGGTGGAGCAGTCAGAACACACAACATTTATCAATTAAGGTTGCTGTTTTACATGAGTGCTGTTCATAGCATGTATACCCTTGTAACAAACTTGCACGTTCTGTACACATACCCCAGAACTTGAAGTATAATAAAAAAAAAAATACACTTGAGGTAGAGAGTAGGAGAGAACACACAGAAGGATCTTCTGGGATACTGGTAATGTTCTGTTTCTTGATCTGGATGAAGATTGCACGAATGAATTCATTTGGTGATTAATTGAGCTTTTAACATTTATAGTATGTGTATTTTTGTATGTTCCTTTACTTCAATAAAAAGTGTAAAAAAATTTAAAAAATTAGCCAGGTGTGGTGGCACATGCCTGTAGTCCCAGCTACTCGGGAGGCTGGGGCAGGAGAATTGCTTGAACCCGGGAGGTGGAGGTTGCAGTGAGCCAGGATCGTGCCACTGCACTCTAGCCTAGGCAACAGAGCAAGACTTCATCTCAAAAAAAAAAAAAAAAAAAAAAAAAAAAAAAAACTGGAGTGTTTACCAATTTATCCAGCTACACTACAATACAAATGCCACACCCATAAATCTCTTTGAGATCAGCCATTCTCTCCTTTGGGTTCCCTGTGAGACTGCATTGGCACATCACCTTAACCATTCTTAGAAACCTTGCGTTTAAGAGAGGACAGGTCCTCTGAGGCATTGCCCTGGATCCTTCTGAAGTTGTTACACAGCATATTATAGTCCACCCTGGGTTAGATCTTTGGTGTGAATCCCTTTCTGAATTTGGTTATCATTTGCTGCTTGGACAGATGTGAATGAGAAAGTTTTCTTTTCAAACTCAGGAATTCATTGTTCACTTATATTTAACAGTTCTTCAGTTAGTTTATCTTTTTCCCTCACATTTTACTTTAGGCAGCCAGAAACTGCCAGTTGGCACTTTCAATTTTCTACTTGAGAATCTCTTTAGTAGATCGTTGAGTTCATTAAATATATTCTCTATTTTCCTTTTTTTTTTTCTTTCTTTTGAGGCAGAATTTCTCTCTGTCACCCAGGCTGGAGTGCAGTGGTGCAATCTGGGCTCACTGCAACCTCCGCCTCCCGGGTTCAGGCGATTCTCCTGTCTCAGCCTCTTGAGTACCTGGGATTACGGGCGCAAACCACCATGCCCTGGCTAATTTTTGTATTTTTAGTAGAGACGAGGTTTCACCGTGTTGGCCAGGCTAGTCTCAAACTCCTGACCTCGAGTGAGGCCTTGGCCTCCCAAAGTGCTGGGATTACAGGCATTAGCCACCATGCCTGGCCTCTATTTTCCTTGTTACTGAAGGTAACAATGTTATCCAACATTTCTTCTTCGAGGGTCCTCTATCCTCCAGCTTCTAATAACATTCTCCTTACTATCCTTTGAGTTTTGACAAAGGCCCTTTAGTTTTCCATTAACTCGCCTTGAGGCCCTTTATTATTTCACTCGTTTTCTATCTTATCCCCAGTGCTCAGTTCCAAAGTCAGTGCCCTGTGGTTTAGGTTTCTGTTTTTGCAACACTCCACTTTCAGGTACTAAAATCCCTAACAATTATCTTGCTGCATAACAAACCATCCCAAAACTTGGGGGATTAAAATAGCAAGTATCATTTACTTTGCTCATAAATCTGCAATTTGGGCAGGACTAGGTGGGAAGGTTTGACTGGGGATTGGAGGATTCACTTTCAAGATGGCTTACTCACAAGGCTGGCAAATTGGTACTGGCTTTCAGCTGGGAGCTCGGCTAGGGCTGTGGGCCTTGGCTCCTCTCCATATGGGCTTCTCCATGGGCTGTCTGGGTTTCCTCCTGACAAGGTGGTCGGGTTTAGAGTAAGCATCCCAACAGAATGAGGTAGAAGTCTTACTGCCATTTATGATCTGCCTTGAAAGTCACAAAGCTTTGCATCCTCCAGTCACAGCCTTGCCGAGATCCAATGGAGAGCACACAGATCTCCACATCTATAATGGGATGAGTGTCAAAGTCACTTGCAAGAAAGCATTTGGGATGGGAGGTATTTTGGCCATTTTTCTGAAAATGCAATCTGTCACATTCACACCAGCAGTGTAAGAGTGTCTGTTTCCCCACAGCTTTGCCAACAGAATATGTTATACTTGTGGAAAATATCAAACTCATGGCAAATATCAAGCTTGGTGATAAAATATCCAGCTTTCTCTAGTTTTAACACAAATTTCCTCTTGTTTGCAGTACAGATGAACACTTTTCCTGTGTTTAAGATCCATTTGAACTTTATTTGCTGTGAACTGTCTTTAAAATTTTTTTTCTTTTTTTTTTTTTGAGACAGGGTCTCACTCTGTCACCCAGGCTGGAGTGCAGTGGTGCAAACATGGCTTACTGCAATCTTCACCTTCTGGGCTCAAGTGATCCTCTGACCTCAGCCTACTGTATAGCTGGGACTACAGGTGCACACCACCACTAGTCCCCCAGCTAATTTTTGTATTTTTGGTAGAGATGAAGTTGCACCAAGTTGGTCACACTTGTCTCAAACTCCTGACCTCAAGTGATCAGCCTGCCTCAGCCTCCCAAAGTGCTGGGATTACAGGCATGAGCCACTGTCCCTGGCCTTTTGTACCTTTTTCTGTTGGACTCCTAATCTCTTGCTGATTTAGAGAAGTATTTTATATATTAGAAAGATGAGACCACTGTAATTCGAGTGGCAAAATATTTTTTTCAACTTGACATGTCTTTTTACTTTGCTTATAGTTTGTTGTTTTTTTTTTTCCATGCAGATGCTTTTGGTGTTTTTTGTTTGTTTGTTTGTTTGTTTTGAGGCAGAGTCTTGCTCTGTCGCCCAGGCTGGAGTGCAGTGGCGCAATCTCGGCTCACTGCAAGCTCCGCCTCCCGGGTTCACGCCATTCTCCTGCCTCAGCCTCCCAAGAAGCTGGGACTACAGGCGCCCACCACTATGCCTGGCTAATTTTTTATATTTTTAGTAGAGACGGGGTTTCACCGTGTTAGCCAGGATGGTCTCAATCTCCTGACCTTGTGATCTGCCCACCTAGGCCTCCCAAAGTGCTGGGATTACAGGTGTGAGCCACTGCGCCCGGCCGCTTTTGGTGTTTTTAATGAGTTGAACCCATCAATCACTGTGATTAGAAAGTTTTTCTTTGGTGAAAGTTATAAAGGAATTCTCCCATTTTTTTCTTGCATAACTTTTTGTGGTTTCATTTTTCATATTTAAATATTTGATCCATTTGAAGACTATTCTGATGTGAAGTATGAGGTACAGATCCAACTTTATCTTTTTCCAGATGGTTTCCCAGAAATCCCAACATCAATTATTGAACAAAGCAGCTTTTTATCACTGGTTTGAGATGTTACCTTTATCATATGCTAAATTCCCCATGTGTTTAATGAATGGTTATTCAGTGCTTCCTATATATATGCCAGGCATGGTGCTTGGGATGTACCAGTGAATAAAAGAGACAAAAACTCCCTGCCTTTATGAAGCTTATATTCTAGGAAAGAAAGTAGACAACAAACAGCATAACTGGGTAAATTATATAGTATGTCAGAAGATAAAAGTAAAGTAGTGTAAGGGTTCAAGAATATGGGTGTGGGGCAGTTACAAATTTAAATAGCGTGGTCAGGAAAGATGGCACTGGAGAGGTGACATTTGAGAAAGAAGCTTGACAGGTTAACAGTGCAAAGGCCCCAGGGCCATGTTTAAGGAAGAAGAATGAGGCCAGGATGGCTAGAATGGAATAAGGGGAAGAAAAGTAAATGATGAAATTCGACAGGTAACAGGCCAGATTCTATAGGACTGTTTAGGCCATCTTAAGGACTTTGGGTTTTACTCTGAGTGAAATGGGAGCCATGCGCTTTGAGCAGAGGAATGACATGATCTGATTTACCATTACCAATAGTGCCATTTCCTGGGTTCCACTCTTTGAAGTCATCTTTTTTCTTCCTTTGCTTTTACCCCTTAGCTAATCTCTGCTGTTTCCAAAGGAAAGCACTCAAATCTCCCTCCTTTCCTCCAATGACTAGTTTTATGCTATTTTCTATCACTGAGAATGCTACAGTAGCTTAACTGGTTTTTCTCCTTTCAACCTCTGCCTCTCACAAATTCAGTTAGTATATAGCACCAGGATGATTTTTAATGTAGAATTGGATTACTTATTATGTTATCTTTCTGCTTAAATTCCCCCAAAGGCTTTCCACTGCACTCAGAGTAAAAGTCAGACCTGTTTTCATGGCCACAGGCTTTGTGTATTTAAGACCTGCTCACTTCTCCAAGCTCACTTCAAGTCATTCTCTCCCTCCTTCCACACCAACCACAGTGGTCTTCTTTTAATTTCTCAAATATACCCGTGATTTTTGCAGATGATTTTTAGCACATGTCCAAAATGCTCTTTTCCACTTACTTTTCGTAGGTTCTACTTATCTTTTCTTTCTCATCTTAAATTTCACTTCCCCACAGTTTCTCCCTGATTCCCTAATGTGTATTCATAGCACCCTGTTTTCATTTTGTTTAAAACACATCTCTTTTGCAATTTATTAGTATAGTTGCTAAATGTCTTTCAATAAGCTCCTTGGGTTTGGGGTCATGTCTATTTTTCTCAGTGATGTCTAGCTGATAAAAAGCATAATTTTTGTCACATATGAAATGACCAGTAGACCATAAGAAGAAAAAAGGAAAAGAAAAAAAACTTGTCACATACTAGCTACTCAAAAAATATTTATTGAGTGAATGAATCATCTTCCTTCTAAACATAATAAATGGTTCCAGAAAATTAAAACTAACTCCTTGGGCTAGAATGTGGAAAAGCAGACATGCCACTTATTTCTAGATGTCTTTCTATTCCTGTCTTTGGGGAGTCTTACAGTTAATTAAGAATAAACCAAATGGGCCAGGTGCGGCGGCTCACGCCTATAATCCCAATACTTTGGGAGGCTGATGGGGGCGGACTAGCCTGGCCAACATGGTGAAACCCCGTCTCTACTAAAAATACAAAAATTAGCTGGGCGTGGTGGCGCATGCCTGTAGTCCCAGCTACTTGGGAGGCTGAGGCAGGAGAATCACTTGAACCCGGGAGGCGGAGGTTGTAGTGAGCCGAGATTGTGCCACTGCACTCCAGCCTGGGTGACACAGTAAGTCTCTGTCTCAAAAAAAATAAAATAAAATAAAATAAACCAAATGAATCTATCCCTTGAAACCCAAAGATCCCAAAGCACTAATATACACCAAATAAAAGCTCAGCTCTAGCTGACAGTCTCCTTATTGTCCCTGCTCTTGCTCAAGTTTTATTTCCTGTCTGCAATGGTCCCCCGTTTTCTCTAATCTCCAAACCCTACCTGCTGGTATCAACACAAATTCAAACTCTGCCTTTTTCATGAAGTCTTCCCTCATCCCTACAGTCTCAATCAGACTTCTCCCTTCTCCCAGCACCTGTTGTATTTGTTGTCTTTTGCATTCACAGCAGCATCCAACATTATGCATTTCTGAATATTAGTTGTGTGATGTGGATTTTAACAAGCCCCCCACGCTGTGTGTGGTGGCTCACACCTGCAATCCCAGCACTTCGGCAGGGAGAGGTGGGAGGATGGCTTGAGCCCAGGAGTTTGAGAACAGCTTGGGCAACATAGTGAAACCTTGTCTCTACAAAAAACAAAAAACAAACCAAAAAAATCCCCTTCAATGAGTTTATTGGCTACATAAGGATAATGATTATCACATATAATTGGAATGATAGAAATCCTATCTGAAGCAATTGAGACCGGTATCTGATGTGTTAAGCAAAAAAGATGGCTAAACTAGCGATCCATAAAAGAGATCTTAAATATTTTATTTTAATTTAAAATATATAAATGTGCATTCATTTTCTCATCTTTGGAAATAAAGCTAAGCCTCTTTTTTTTTTTTTTTTTGAGATGGAGTCTCGCTCTGTTGCCCAGGCTGGAGTGCAGTGGCACGATCTTGGCTTACTGCAACCTCTGCCTACCAGGTTCAAGTGGTTCTCCTGCCTTAGCCTCCCGAGTAGCTGGGACTACAGGAACCTGCCACCACGCCTGGCTAATTTTTGTATTTTTAGTAGAGACAGGGTTTCACCATATTAGTCAAGCTGGTCTTGGAACTCCTGACCTTGTGATCTGCCCACCTCAGCCTCCCAAAGTGCTGGGATTACAGGCATGAGCCCCTGCACTCAGCCAGCTAAGCCTTTTCTATGAGTGATTTTAAAGAATGGGTGCTCATACCTATAATGCAACAGTTTCTGTTTCATGAAGCAGTTTCACAAGTCAATTACACAAGCAACTGACACGTGGCAAATATTTGTGGAGGAATCCTGAGAGTTTTATGATTTTTCTTCAGTGAGGTAGTATTGCTAACACCTAATTTGATAGCAATTTTTAAAAAGTGACAGCATTTATCAACTCCTTCCAAAGCATTCGACTAGTTTTCATAGAAACAACTCTTGTTGCATTCATACTCACCAGTTTACATAATACCGAATCAGATTATAGAATCGTAACAGACTTAGGCCGGGCGTGGTGGCTCACACCTGTAATCCCAGCACTTTGGGAGGCTGAGGTGGGTGCATCACGAGGACAGAAGATCGAGACCATCCTGGCTAACTCAGTGAAAGCTCATCTCTACTAAAAATACAAAAAATTGGCCGGGCGTGGTGGTGGGCACCTGTAGTCTCAGCTACTCGGGAGGCTGAGGCAGGAGAATCACTTGAACCCAGGAGGCGGAGGTTGCAGTGAACCGAGATCGTGCCACTGCACTCCAGCCTGGGCAACAGAGCGAGACTTTGTCTCAAAAAAAAAAAAAAAAAAAAAAAAGGAATCAAAACAGATTTAAACAGGTTTTGGAAGAGATACAACAGATGCTTGGGAAACATTAATTTGTGATAGATGTTACCCTCAGGCATTCTTATTAATCCCATTAGCTCCAAGCAGTCCTAGGGGCCTCGGCATCAGTCACTGTGTTTACACAGAGAATGCAAGCATTGTTTAAATTTTACTGAGCTATTTAAGGACGATTAAAAGACAGTCCATTGTTTTGTTTTCTTCACAGCGTCCAGAACAGGCAGGAATCCATGAAATTGAGTCTGGTGAAAATGCTGGAAGGAGGGAAGAGCTAGAAAGAGCTACATAGGTGAATGGAAAACATGCTGTGGAGAGTATATCATCTGTCACATGAATCTCCTGGGCTCTGGATTTTTGTGACTCAGCACTTCTGAGAAATGAAAAAGTAAAAGTGCCCACATTCTGAGAACACTGGCATTTCAGAGGAGAGGAAAACTGAACTTACCTGAGATCTCACCATCTGTGAGCCATCATTCATTTCTTCCTCCTCCATGTTCCCCTCCTGAGAAAAAACAGCATTCTGAGAAGGCATAACTAGGAAAAAGAGAAGCATCTTGTTAATATATGACACGAAGGTTAAATTTAAATCCTGGAGATTCTGCTTTGTGTAGGTATGGCAGACAGTACTGAGAAGCCCTCTAAGACATAAGCCTAAAGGTTGTGACGTCTCTACTCTTCTATGATGTTCAGGAGTTCGGGAATTCAATGCAGAACTGTCTGTCTTCGGGGGTGCAACTCCCCTTGTTGTGGCATAGGGGAGCTCAGGGGCTTTCAGCCCTGGCTAAATACTGATGGCAATTTAAAAAGAAGCCAGTGTTCAGCCCCTACACTCAGAGATTTGGATTTAATTGATCTGGCATGGGTCTGAGCAACAGCATTTTAAATTGTAAAGTCTCCAAGTGACTCTAAGTGTAGATGAGAACTACTGGGATGAGGCGATGGAGAGCACATGGGTGAGGGTCCATTCTTACTCTTTATCCCCACAAGGAATGAATTCACCCCAAAGTGAATACTCCAGAGATCTGCCTCTCCTCTCCCCTAAGGTGATCCTTCCAATATGCAAAGGAGATGTCACTATTCTGATTTTTCCAAGTGTTTACCTTCCTTTTTGAGTCTCTCGATTCAGTCTTCCACTGGGATTACACCTCTCTGCAGTTCTTATGTTGTAATGTCGCCAAAGCTCTGCTATCTTCTACATGAAAGTCAGCAGATGCACCAGGACCAGCAGCTTAAGGAGCTGGGGCTGCTCTTGAAAGTTGATGTCCAGTACCTTATGGGCAACAGTCACTCCCCTGGTACTAAAGGTGCCCCATCTCTGATTAGAGCCTCAGGAGCCAATGGATAGCCACAAGAATAATTTCTGCTTCCAGGGGCGGCCACTCTCAGAATCTTGCCTTGTTTATGCCGAGTTGAGATGAAGGGGCTCTTGAAGGTTGTTATTACCTTTTTTTTTCCTCCCTAAAAGCATCATTTCTTCATGTACAGACTTCACTATAGTATTCAAATCTGCATCCTGGCAAGGATCTTGTAAGATAGAATTTTAGGTTGAAGACCTGTAATGAGATGCACCAGGGTCAGCAGAAGAAATCCAGCAGTCTCAGCCACCTAGGGGCTTACAGAGTCTGTAAGGAGACATACAAACTATTCTTCACACAGACAGAGCACAGTAAGGTGTGGCATTCTTGAATCAAAAAGCACTTTTAGAATTTCTCAGATTCACACATTACAAAAGGCAGAGGTGTACATGTGTCAATAACAACAAATTCAGCCTCAGTCCTTTTCTTACCTTTTCCAGAACAGAGAACACATGCTCTCTGCCTCGAGAAACAATGACTGTTTTCTTTAGAAAGATGGAAAAACACATGTTTCAACAACAAAGTAAGATTGTATTATTATTTGCTAATAATCATGAAGGAATACATCTTTTTCTGTTCACAAAGGTTGACCTGAGAAATCTATTTTAAAATGTGAGTGATGGAAATAAAGAAAGAAGCCATTCTGAGGAGCAATTTTTTAAAAGAGAAAACTGCAGTTCCAGTGAAATGGTCCTGTGAGATAAGGCAGCCATTCCAAGCATGGCAGGAATCTAACATTTCAAAAGTCCTTCATTAACAGTCAGACCTTTCAGGAGTGATTTAAAAACACTTTAAGAAATAGGTTCTTCATTCCCTAAGCATAAGCTTGGAAGAAGCCCCACAGTCAGGAGAAGCAGACGGGTTTTTCCCCAAGATGGGCAACTAGAGATGGCAGAGCCAGTTGTCTGCAGAAAGAACCAAGGTTACAGGTGAGAATGACCGTGGCTGGAGGGGAAGGCTGAGGGAAGAGTACTGGAACCTGTCACAGAACCCATGGGTAGAAGCTGGGGCGCAGTGGAGCCAGGCACGGTGGCTCATGCCTGTAATCCCAGCACTTTGGGAGGCTGAGGCAGGCAGATCACGTGAGGCCAGGAGTTTGAGACCAGCTAGGGCAACATGATGAGGCCCTGTCTCTACAAAAAATACAAAAATTAGCTGGGTGTGGTGGCTTGTGCCTGTAGTCCCAACTACTTGGGAGGCTGAGGTGGGAGGATCGCTTCAGCCTGGGAGGCAGAGGTTGCAGTGAGCCAAGATCACACCACTGCACTGAAGCCTGGGTGACAGAGTAAGACCCTGTCTTAAAAAACAAAAACAAAACCAAAAAACCCTCAACAAACCAAGCATCAAAGGAATATACCTCAAAATAATAAAAGCCATATATGACAAACCCACAGCCAACATCATATCGAATGGGGAAAAGTTGAAAGCATTCCCCTAAGAACTACAACAAGACAAGGATGCACACTCTCACCACTACTATTCAACATAGTACCAGAAGTCCTGGCCACAGCAATCAGGCAAGAGAAAGAAATAAAGGATATTCACACTGGAAAACAGTAAGTCAAATGATCTCTGTTTGCTAATGACATGATCTTATACCTAGAAAACCCCAAAGATTTGATAAATGACTTCAGTAAAAGTTTCAAGATACAAATTAGTGTACAGTGGCTCATGCCTATAATCCCAGCATTTTGGGAGGCTGAGGTGGGAGGATAGCTTGAGCCTGCGAGTTCAAGACCAGCTTGGGCAACATGATGACACCCTGTCTCTTAAAAAAATACATATATATATATACACACACACACACACATAAACGTATATACACACACACACACACACACATAAACGTATATATACACACACATATATATACACACATACATATATTCAAAAATAAGAAAAAAAGTAAAAGAATCAGTAATATTTCAATATACTTTTAACGTTCAAGCTGAGAACCAAACCAAGGCAAATCCCATTTACAATAGCATTCCCATTTACAAAAGGCAATCCCATTTACAATAGCCACACAAAATTACCTAGGAATACATTTAACCAAAGATGTGAAAGATCTCTATAAGGAGAATTACAAAACACTGATGAAAGAAATGGTAGATGACACAAACAAATGAAAAAACATCCTATGCTCATGGATTTGAAGAATCAATATCATTAAAATGGCCATACTGTTCAAAGCAATCCACAGATTCAGCACAATTCCTATCAAATTACCAATGTCATTTTTCACAGAATTAGAAACAACAATCCTAAAATTCCTAGGGAACCAAAAAAGAGCCTGAATAACCAAAGCAATCCTAAGCAAAAAGAACAAAGCTGGAGGCATCACATTATGTGACTTCAAATTATACTAAAAGGCTACAGGAAACAAAGTAGCATGGTACTGGTACAAAAACAGACACATAGATCAATGGAACAGAATAGCTAATCCATATATGAGTAAAGCCACTTACCTACAATCAACTGGTCTTTGACAAAGTTAACAAAAATATACATGGGGAAAGGACATCCTATTCAATAAATGGTGCGGGAAAACTTGGATAGCCAACATGTAGAAGAATGATACCGGACTCCTATCTTTTTTTTTTTTTTTTTTTTTTTTGACGGAGTCTTGCTCTGTTGACCAGGCTGGAGTGCAGTGGCGTGATCTCGGCTCACTGCAACCTCCGACTCCCTGGTTCAAGCGATTTCTCCTGCCTCAGCCTCCCAAGTAGCTGGGATTACAGGCACGTGCCACCACGCCCAGCTAATTTTTTGTATTTTTTAGTAGAGACAGGGTTTCACCATGTTGGCCAGGATGGTCTCGATCTCCTGACCTCACCTCACCCTCCCAAAGTGCTAGGATTACAGGCATGAGCCACCGCACCCGGCCTGGACCCCTATCTTTAACCATCTACAAAAATTAACTCAAGATGTATTACATTAAGACCTAAGCATAAGACCTGAAACTATAAGAAACCTGGAAGAAAACCTAGGAAAAACTCTTCTGGACATTGGCCCAGGCAAAGAATTTACGACTAAGACTTCAAAAGCAAATGCAACAAAAGCAAAGATAAAGAACTGGGACTTAAGAAGTTTCTGCACTGCAAAAGAAATTTTCAACACAGTAAACAGACAACAGGACAAAATATTTGCAAACCATGCATCTGACAAAGGACTAATATCTAGAATCTACAAGGAACTCAACAAGAAAAAAAAAAACCCATCAAAAAGTGGGACATACGAGCAGCCAACGAACATATGAAACAATGCTTAACATCATTCATCAACAGTGAAATGCAAATTCAAACCACAAGGAGATACCATCTCACACCAGTCAGAATGGCTATGATTAAAAAGTCAAAAAACAACGGATGTTGGCCAGGTGCAGTGGCTCATGCCTGTAATCCTAGCACTTTGGGAGGCCAAGGCAGGCGGATCATGTGGTCAGGAGTTCGAGACCAGCCTGACCAACATGGTGAAACCCCGTCTCTACTAAAAATACAAAAATTAGCCGGGTACGGCGGTGCATGCCTGTAATCCCAGCTATTCAGAAGGCTGAGGCAGGAGAATCGCTTAAGCCTGGGAGACGGAGGTTGCACTGAGCCAAGATCACACCACTGCACTCCAGCCTGGGCGACATGGCAAGACTCCATCTCAAAAAAAAAAAAAAAAAAAAAAAAACAACAACGGATGTTGGTGAGGATGGAGAGAAGTGGAAACATGTATACACTGCTGGTGGGAATGTAAATTAGTATTAGTACAACCTCAATGAAAAACAGCATAGAAATTTCTCAAAGAACTAAAAATAGAATTACCTTTCGACCCAGCAATCCCACTACTGGGTACCTATCCAGAGATAAATAAATTATTATATATAAAAAGACACCTGCACTTGTATGTTTATCACAGCACCATTCACAACAGCAAAGTCATGGAATCAACCTCAGTGTCCATCAACCGATGATTCGATAAAGAAAATGTAACATATATACAACATGGAATACTAGGCAGCCATAAAAAAGAATGAAATCATGCCTTTTGCAGCAACATGGATGGAGCTGGAGGCCATTATCCTAAGTGAAATAACTCAGAAACTGAAAATCAAAGACTTCACATTCCCACTTGTAAGTGGGAGCTAAACAATGGGTGCATGTAGACATACAGAGGGGAACAACAGACACTGGAGACTCCAAAAGGAGGGAGGGTGGGACAAGGGTTAGGGTTGAAAGATTACCTACTAGGTGCAATGTTCACTATTAGAGTGATGCATACATCAGAAACCCAGACCACATTGCTACGCAACATGTCTATGTAACAAACCTGCACGTGGAATACCATGCAGCCACAAAAAAGAATGAAATCATGTCTTCTGCAGAAACATGAACGAACTAACTTCAGGATGAAGCCCTTTAATGAATACAGGACAAAGAAAGTATCTGCAGTTTCCAGGGCCTAATATTTAAATACATGAAAGGCAGGCACAACTGGAAGGCAGTGCACCTAGATATTTAAAAATCAAAAATCTCACTTTTATATTTAATCCCCAGTGCCCCAAAAGAAGGAAACACCATAATACCAGGCTATGCAATGCGTCCACAGTGCTCCTTCTACAAAAGCTTTCAAAAAGGCCAATGAAGTTTTACATTTTTCTCAGCAAAAATGCCAACATAGGAAGCAAACAGGGAAGGAACACATTTAAAAAGGGACTTCAGCTGGCTAAAAAAATTCCCAGAAACAGGATCTAAAAGAGAAAAAAGTGGAGAGGCCTTCCTTGCTCCAGAAAACGTTATAACCTAAATATAGGCTTTTAATTAAGCTGATTTCTGACCACAGAGCTGTAACATAAAAAGTCTTTCCAAATTTCTTATCAGATTTCAGCTGGGACAAACCTAAAGTAGGTCTCCTCTTCAGGTTGTCTGGTTCTAAAACCAGCTTTTCCCCCTTAATTGTGTATGCAAATGAATTACTTTACATTTCAAAGGATCCCATTTTTGGCTACTGCTGCTTACGACCACCATGTGTTAGGTGGGTCCACTTTCCTAGATATTTACGAGAGGACGCCCCATAAGTGTCATACACAAACCCAGCTGGTGATGGTCACAAATGAAAAACCAAGCCCCAATTCCCAAAAATAAAACACAGCTGCAATCTTAAAAGCATGCTGTATAAAATGAGACCATAGGTGCCACACTGCCAATCCCTTACCCTAACCTCCCGTCCTGAGGCAGAAGCAGAAAAACCTTGACCTGAACTTTCCGCTGTGACAGAGGCAGAAAAAAAAAGGCAGTTCTCTGCAGATATCTTGACCTGAATCTCCTGTGCAAAGACAGAGATTGAAGCCCTCACTCTTAAGGAAAAGGGAAGGTTTGAAAAACAGCCCAAATAATGTCTACACCTTCACCCAAATAATGGGAGGTCTGAATTCAGGAGAACTTACCCAAAACACCTGATGGGATTGCTGAGGATGGGGAGTTCATGCTGGTGCCAAGCGCCACTTTCAAAGAGCAACACCAGTGGTGAGTGAGAGTCACTCAATCCTGCCTCCTTAGGCCAGGTATGTTGACCTAAAAGGAAGAAGTTGAGGCAAAGTTAATCTAAGCGGAGAGCTTATTTGGGCCAAGCTTGAGGACTGCAACTTGGGAGCATAGATTCAAGTTGCCATGAAAATACACTCTGATTAACAGCAGTTATAAGTGGATTTTTTTTTTTTTTTTTGAGTCAGAGTCTCGCACTGTCGCCTGGGCTGGAATGCAGTGGTGCGATCTCAGCTCACTGCAACCTCTGCCTCCCAGGTTCAAGTGATTTTTCTGCCTCAGCCTCCCAAATAGCTGGGACTACAGGCGTGTACCACCACACCTAGCTAATTTTTGTATTTTTAGTAGAGACGGGGTTTCATCATGTTGGCCAGGATGGTCTCGAACTCCTGATGTGGTGATGCGCCCGTCTCGGTCTCCCAAAGTGCTGGGATTACAGGCATGAGCCACCGCGCCCAGCCATAAGTGGATTTTTAAAGGAAAATAAGGAGCAGTTCCTGAGCTGTTTACCAAAAATCTACATCAAAATCACATAAGGTATTGATTGGCTATACATTATTCTTTGTATCATAAATTCCAGGAACGTGAAGATAATGGGTCAGTCTGGAACAAAATGACTCTAAACATGTGCGCCCTGCAATGGGTGCAGTGGGGTGATGTTCTGCACCCAGGGTGCAGAACAGCTCAGACTGATCCATTTTTCTTTTCAGTACAAACTGAAGAGGGCTCCAGAGATTACCTAATTGTAGTTTTCCCAAAGTGTGCTAAATTAGTATTTTATGTCTGTTACACTGGTTCCAGAACCCCCATGGATACCAAAATCCATGCCTAAGGAATACCAGTGAAGCTCACTGCCTGTGTAGTGGTTCTGTCTGAGCTGTGCATTAGACACACTAGTGTAGTAATGAGTCTAATGTAGTGATTTTAAAATACACAGATATAAATACATAGACATCCAGGTTCCACCAGAGAGCTCCTAGGTCAGAATCTGAGAGGTGAAAATCTGCCATCTACATATTTTTTAAATGCCCCACAAGTGATTTTGATCCGAGCCAGAGTTCGGAACAACTACTGGAACCTTTCATTTCCTTGACTTCTTCAACCTCAATGTTTTTCACTATCTTTCTACTTCAGTCACCCACTTCGGAGGCCACGCCCCTTCTGAAATCTTTCTTACCTTAGAAAACACTAGACAGTGGGATCTAGACTGGATAGGGAAGAAAGTGAAGAGAAGAGTGGCTTAAAAGGAAAGAAATTAGGCTGGGCATGGTGGCTCACACCTGTAATCCAGCACTTTGGGAGGATGAGGTGGGTGGATCATTGAGGTCAGGAGTTCGAGACCAGCCTGATCAACATGGTGAAACCCCGTCCCTACTAAAAGTACAAAAATTAGCCGGGTGTGGTGGTGCATGCCTGTAATCCCAGCTACTTGGGAGGCTGAGGCACAAGAAATGCTTGAGCCGAGGGGGTGGAGATTGCAGTGAGCAGAGATCAAGCCACTGCACTCCAGCCTGGGTGACAGAGTGAGACCGTCTCAAAATAATAATAATTTAATGTCTCTCCAACATTAAAAACTCTCACTGGCCACACACCCCTTTTGCAACTACCATCCTCTCTTTTTTTCAAGGCCACAACTCTTCAAAAAATTGTCAATACTTTCTCTACTTCCTCATCGCCCATTTCTCAGTTCTCTATAGTCTGGCTTTTGTTCTGCCCTCAGTACTCTGCTGAAACTGCTCTGGTTATGACCACCAAAAACCTTTATGTTGTTGTTCATGCAATGGACCTCATTACTTTTTTTTTTTTTTTTTTTTTTTTTAAAGATACAGTCTGGCTCTGTTGTCCTGGCTAGGGTGCAGTGGTGTGATCTTAGCTCACTGCAACCTCTGCCTCCTGGACCCAAGCTGTCCTCCCACTTCAGCCTCCCAAGTAGCTGGGAATTACAGGTGTACACTACCATGCCTGGCTAATTTTTGTATTTTTAGTAGAAGTGAGGTTTCACCACGTTGCCGAGGCTGGTTTCAAACTCCTTAGCTCAAGTGATCCACCCGCCTCGGCCTGGTGCTGGGATTGCAGGTGTGAGCCATCAGGCCTGGCCTGACCTCATTACTTCTTCCAAGACAGTATCTGATACGGGTGACTGGTGACTGGTGACTCTTGCTTTACTTCCACCGTCTCTCTCAGGGAGCTGTGATCTAGTCTCTTTTTCCTTTGCCTGCCTTTTATGTGTTGCTGCTTCTTAGGTTTTCCCAAGATCTACTCTTTTTCCTCTGTAGTTGACTTACAGGGATCTTAAAAAGACAAAAACCTGATCATATCAGTCCCACACTTAAAATTATTCAGGGCATCCTGCCACTCTTAGGTTGGAGTAGAAAGCCATAAAGAATCCTACGACTGACTGCTTTCTGCTCTCTGCAGTTACTCTCCTGTTTGCTCGAGGCTTCATTCACACGGACCTGCTGTTAGGTGCTGAAACGTGCCATGTGCCCTCCATCCACCCCCATGATATCTACTCCTTTTTCAGGTCTCAGGGAAGATTTTGACATCACAGACCAGGTGAGGTTGCTCATTTACATCTTCCTTTTCCAGGTAGGTTTTTTTTTGTTTTTTTTTTTTAAGACACAGTCTGGCTCTGTTGCCCAGGCTGGAGTGCAGGGGCACGATCTCGGCTGACTGCAATCTCTGCCTCCTAGGTTCAAGCGATTCTCCCGCCTCAGCCTCCCAAGTGGCTGGGATTACAGGAGTGTGCCACACCTGGCTAATTTTTGTATTTTTAGCAGAGATGGGGTTTCACCATATTGGTCAGTCTGGTCTTGAACTCCTGACCTCAAGTGATCTTCCCGCCTTGTCCTCCCAAAGTGCTAGGATTACAGGTGTGAGCCACCACACCCGGCCATGGGCAGCATTTTTTTTTTTAAATCACTGTAATTATTTGTCTAGTAACCCATCTTCATACCTCACCATTGTGTTATGTTAATCTCCATGACGGTAGGAACCTGGTCTATCTGGTTAACTATTCTATTAATATTTTCAATGTCCAGTGCCTGGCACATAGAAGGCACTTAATAAATATTTGCTAAATTTGTAAATGAAAGGATTTTGGTGTTTGCTTTTAATTTTTTTTAAATTTTTAATTTTAAACCCATTTTAGACTTACAGGAAAGTTGCAAAATAGTGGAGCTCCTGTATACCACTCACTCTACTTGTCCTAATGTTAACAGTTTACAAAACCACAGTACAATGCTCAAAACCAAGAAATTAACACTCTTTTTTTTTTTTTTTTTTTTTTGAGACGGAGTTTTGCTCTTGTTGTCCAGGCTGGAGTGCAATGGTGAGGTCTCGGCTCACTGTAACCTTTATCTCCCCGGTTCAAGAGCTTCTCCTGCCTCAGCCTTCCAAGTAGCTGGGATTATAGGCACCCACCACCATATCCGGCTACTGGTACAATATTATTAGCTCAAATTATTCACATTTCACTAATGTTCTTTCTCCACTAATGTTCTTTCTCTGATCTAGGATACACACTGCATTCAGTTTTATTTTTCCTTAGTTTCCTCCAATCTGTAATAGTTTCTTAGGCTGTCTTTCATGAGCTTGACACTTTTTAAAAAGATTCAAAAGCATTTTATGACATTACATATATTTAAGAGATAGGGCAAAAATGGAGAGATATAGGCCTGAGCATCAAGCCTGAGAGACCACCTCCCTGTTCAGGCCCAGGCTCTGGAGTTCATTACCATCAACGCCATTTTGATTGTGTAGTAAGATGAAAATTCGTCTTTACAATAGTTAAGATGACAAGAGAAATTCACACTATGTATCAAATAGCAAGGTGATGAAGTAAATTATAACAGCATGACAATGCAGGAGCAAGTAACCAATAGATTAACATTACTTTGTCTATTAAATGCTTTAGTGCTCTTGTATACTTACCAATGATTTAAATGGTTTAATAAACATCTAGTTTTATTACACTTTGTACTAGTACAATCTCAAAGATACAATATAATGTATTTTAGCAAAAGAGTAAAATCCTATCAGTTTTCTATTCCTTCTTATATATTGACATTCTTATTTTATTTTTATTTTTTGGAGATGGAGTCTCACTCTGTCACCCAGGCTGGAGTGCAGTGGCGCAACCTCAGCTCACTGCAACCTCTGCCTCCCAGGTTTGAGTGATTTTCCTGCCTCAGCCTCCTGAGCAGCTGGGATTATAGGCACACGTCACCAAGCCTGGCTAATTTTTGTATTTTTAGTAGAGACGAGGTTTTGCCATGTTGACTGGCCGGTCTCGAACTCCTTACCTCAGGTGATCTGCCTGCCTTGGCCTCCCAAAGTGTTGGGATTACAGGCGTGAGCCACTGTGCTCAGTCATATTGACATGTGTAACTGTCATATAAGTTGATACAGCAAACTACATGTCATGTTAGTAAGTGATACAAAGGTTTGCTCTGTAGAGTTAATAAGCTGCACTATGGCTGCAGTGAAATCATACACGTGATCTGTTTAATGAAGGTTAAATCCTTTGTGTTCACTTAACTCAGGAACAGCCAAATGTAAGAGGTAAATTGGGCAAGGGGTGGAGGGTTGGTGGGTGCAGAGCTTCCATGCCCTCTCTGGGCATGGCAACCTCCAGCACCTGTATGTGTTCACCAATCTGGAAGTTCTCCAGACTCCTTTTTTTAGTGTTTCTATGGAGGTTGCATTATACAGTCAAGATTGATTAAACTACTAGACACTGGTAACTTAAAAATTTGTTTAAATTTCTAATTGACAAATAATTATATATATTTATAGAGTACAATGTGATGCATTAATATATATTTACATAGTTGATGTGGTTTGGCTGTGTCTCCACCCCATATCTCATCTTGAATTCCCACATGTTGTGGGAGGGACCCAGTGGGAGGTAACTGAATCATGGGGGCAGGTCTCTTCCATGCTGTTCTCATGATAGTGAATAAGTCTCATGAGAACTGATGGCTTTATAAGCTAGAGTTTCTCTGCATAAGCTCTCTCTCTCTCTCTCACTGCCTGCTGCCATCCATGTAAGATGTGACTTGCTCCTCCTTGCCTTCCACCATGATTGTGAGTCCTCCCCAGCCACTCAGAACTGTAAATCCATTAAACCTCTTTCTTTTGTAAATTGCCCAGTCTTGGGTATGTCTTTATCAGCAGCGTGAAAACAGACTAATACACATTGTGGAATAGCCAATTATCATATCTGTCACCTCACATACTTTTAAATTATTTGTGGTGAAAACATTTAAAATCTACTCTTTTAGTAATTTTGAAATATACAATGCATTATCAGCAAGACGCAGTGGCTCATGCCTGTAATCCCAGCACTTTGGGAGGCCAAGGTGGGTGGATCACTTGAGGTCAGGAGTTCGAGACCAGCCTGGGCAACATGTTGAAACCCCATCTCTAAAAGAAAAAAAGAAAGAGACAGAGAGACAGAAAGAAAACAATGCATTGTTATTTTATTATTTTAGTCATCATTCTGTGTAATAGATCACTAAAGCTTACCCCTCCTGTCTCACTAAAACTTTGTACCCTTTGGTCAACATCTCTTTAGCCCCCTCCCACACAGCCCCAGATTCTAGTAACAACCATTCTACTCTCTACAAGTTCAACATTTTTAGAGTCCACGTTTTAAGTGAGATCATAGAGTTTCTGTTTTTCTGTGCTTGGCTTATTTCACTTAATACAATGTCCTCCAGGTTCATCTATGTTGTCACGAATAATATAATTTCCCTCTTTTTGAAGGCTGAATAGTATTCCATTGTGTATATATACCACATTTTTTTTTTTTGAAATGGAGTCTCGCTCTGTTGCCCAGGCTGGAGTGCAGTGGTGCAATCTCGGCTCACTGCAACTTCCACCTCCCGGGTTCGAGCACTTCTCCTGCCTCAGCCCTCTGAGTAAATGGGATTACAGACACGTGCCGCCATGCCTGGCTAATTTTTGTATTTTTAGTAGAGACAGGGTTTCACCATGTTGGTCAGGCTGATCTCAAACTCCTGACCTCGTGATCCGCCTGCCTCGGCCTCCCAGAAAGTGCTGCGATTACAGGGGTGAGCCACCACGCCCGGCCACCACATTTTTAAAATCCATTCATCCAATGGACATCTAGGTCACTTCCATATCTTGACTACAGTGAATAATGTTGCAATAAACATAGGAGTACAGATATCGCTTTGGCATACCCATTTCAATTCCTTTGAATATATACTCAGGTCCTGGTGTGGTGGCTCACACCTGTAATCCCTGCACTTTGGGAGGCTGAGGTGGGTGGATCATCTGAGATCAGGAGATCAAGACCAGCCTGGCCAACATGGTGAAGCCCTGTCTCTATTATACATACAAAAATTGGCCGGGTGTGGTGTGGGGCATGTCTGCAATTCCAGCTGCTCAAGAGGCTGAGGCACAAGAATCACTTGAACCTGGGAGACAGAGGTTGCAGTGAGCTGAGATCGTGCCACTGCACTCCAGCCTGGCTGATGGAATGAGACTCTGTCTCAAAACAAACAAACAAAAAAAGAATATATACTCAGAAGTGGGACTGCTGGATCATATGGTAGTTCGATTTTTTTATTTTTTATTTTTTTGAGATGGAGTCTCGCTCTGTTGCCCAGGCTGGAGTGCAGTGGTGCCATCTCAGCTCACTGCAACCTCTGCCTCCTGGGTTCAAGCATTTCTCCATCTCAGCCTCCTGAGTAGCTGGGATTACAGGTGCCTGCCACCACACCCGGCAAATTTTTTTGTATTTTTAGTAGAGATGGGGTCTCGCCATCTTGGCCAGGCTGGTCTTGAACTCCTGACCTTGTGATCAACCCCCCCCCCCCCCTCGGCCTCCCAAAGTGCTGGGATTACAGGCATAAACCACCGTGCCTGGCTTGATTTTTTTTTTTTTTTTTTTTTTTGAGATGGAATCTCGCTCTGTCACCTAGGCTGGATGGAGTACAGTGGCACGATCTCGGCTCACTGCAAGCTCCACCTCCCGGGTTCACGCCATTCTCCTGCCTCAGCCTCCCAAGTAGCTGGGACTACAGGTGCCCGCCACCATGCCCAGCTAATTTTTTGTAGTTTTAGTAGAGACGGGGTTTCACCGTATTAGCCAGGATGGTCTCCATCTCCTGACCCTGTGATCTGCCCGCCTCGGCCTCCCAAAGTGCTGGGATTACAGGCATGAACCACCGTGCCTGGCCGATTTTTTGTTTTTTGAGGAACTCCTGTAGTTTGCTGTGATGGCTGTATTAATTTACATTCCCACAAACAGTGCATAAGCGTTCCCTTTTCTCCACACTCTCACCAATACTTGTTATCTTTTGTCTTTTTGATAATAAGCCATTCTAACAGGGGTGAGTGCTCTCTTATTGTGGTTTTAATCTGCATATCCATCAAGATCAGTGATAAGCATTTTTTCATTATCTCTGATGGCCATTTGTATGTTGTCTTTTTTTTTAGAGGTAAATGGGAAATTTTGAATTTAATTTTTTGTGAATGAGAATGTCTATTCAGGACATTTGTCCATCTTAAAATTGGGTTACTTGTTTTCTCGCTACTGAGTTCCTTATATATTTTGGATATTAGTCCTTGATATGGTTTGGATTTGTGTCCCTACTGAAATTTCATGTTGAATTGGAAGGTGATTGGATCACAGGGTGGATTTCCCTCTTGCTGTTCTCACGATAATGAGTGAATTCTCACGAGATCTGATGGCTTAAAAGCATGTGGCACTTTGCACTCTCTCCTCCTGCCATATGAAGAAGGTCCTTGCTTCCCCTTGGCCTTCTGCCATGCTTGTAAGTTTCCTGAGGCCTCCCAGTCATGCTTCCTGTACAGCCTGTACAGGAATCGTGAGTCAATTAAACCTCTTTTCTTCATAAATTACTCAGTCTCAGGTAGTTCTTCAGTAGCAGTGAGAACAGACTAATACAGTCCCATATCAGATGTATCGTTTGCAAACATTTTCTCCCAATCCTTGGTTTTTCTCTTCATTTATTGATTGTTTCCTTTGCCGTGTAAAAGCTTTTTAGATTGACGCAACCCTATTTGTTTACTTTTGCATTTGTGGTCATATCCAAGAAATTTTTGTCTAGACAAACGTCATGGAACATTTTCCTTTCTGAGTTTTATAGCTTCAGGTCTTCTGTTTAAGTCCTTAATCCATTTTGAGTTGATTGTCCATTGGTGATTAACTCTATCTTCAACCCCTCTCTTCTCCTCAGAGGTGGGGTGGGGTTTGGGGTTGGGGTTTAAAGTTCAACCCTCTAATTACATGGTAGGTTCCTTTAGCCACTAGCCTCCATCCTGAAGCTATGTAGGAACTTGGAGTCACCAGTCATCTCATTGGTTATGAATAGCAAAAGACGCTTCTATCATCCCTATCACTCAGAAAATGACGAGGGTTTTAGGAGCTCTGCGGCAGGAACTGGACATGAAGATCTACTCTATACAATGTCAATATGTCTACTATGTTTATGACGTCAATATGTTCACGATGTCAATATGTCTCATTAATGGTAATATGTCTCATTAATGGCAATATGTTTCATTGACGGTAATATTTACCATTATCACTTGGTCAAGGTGGTGTCTACCAGGTTGCTCTATGGTAAAAGTTACTATCTTTCCTTTTGTTGCTAATAAATATCCTGGGGGAAGATACTTTAAGGCTACCTACAGGACAGATGGACGCAGTGGCTCATGCTTGTATGCTTGTAATCCTAACGCTTTGGGAGGTGGAGGTGGGAGGATGGCTTGAGCCCAGGAGTTTGAGACCAACCTAGGCAACATAGTGAGACCTTCACTATGAAAAAAAAAGAAAAAATTAGCTGGGTGTGGTGGCGAGTGCCTGTAGTCCCAGCTATTCGGGAGGCTGAGGTGAGAGGGTTGCTTGAGCCTGGAAGGTCGAGGCTGCAGTGAGCTGTGATCATGCCACTGCACTCCAGCGAGCCATGATCACGCCACTGCACTCCACCCTAGGTGAAAGAGTGAGACCCTGTCTCAAAAAAAGAAAAAAAAAAAAGAAAGAAAAAAGACTATGTACATATCTTGCTTCTCAAACCCATTAATTTTAGCATCATCAGTGTATCTCATCTCATCTGCAACAATTATTAACGTGGTGTTTGCCTAATGGTGTTCTTCTATTTCCCTCTTACTAATTTAGTATTGGAATTTTTCCATAAGGAAAAACTGCTTCTTATCCCCTATTCATTTATTTATTAGATTATTTGCTTATATCTATAGAGACTCATGGATACTTATTTTATTCTATGAGTTAAAAGTCAAATACTTTTCTTATTTATTTTATTGCACAAATTGTTTCAGCTTTGGCCATTACGAGACTCCTGTGTTATTTCAACCAGGCTTTCTCCTTTCTTAAGCACTTTCTCACTTCTTGGCAATATAAGATGTTTCAGGCTCTAGCATTTTTCCTGCCCAGCCCTGGAATCAACCGTTTCTCCAAAGTGCCCTGGTTCCTTTTACTGGAGAACAGGATTTAGAAACAAAGATTTGGGTGCTAGGTATGCTTATTGCTACTGGGGTATCATTGCTTCTAGGCCCTCTTAGCAGACATAACTAGGAAATATATAATATTTATATATATATACACACTAACCATGTATATACACACATCAATTATGTGTGTTTATGTGTGTGTATATATATATACACACACACACACACATATATATTAAATATCATGAGTTCATACTGATATCTGATTCCAATCTAATACCACAAGGTTCATTTTAGTCTTCCCTTTTTCCTTACCGGTAACTTCCTTCTTCAACAGTAAAAAATTGGTGGCTCTTATTATCTACTTATTTGTTCAATTGTGACATACATATAACACAGCTTTATAATAGAGTTCCTAACTCATACCCTTGTGAGAAACACAATTACTGACTTGATTACAGCATTTATGTGGAATTCTTTTCATCTTTAGCCTTACAGTATCCAGTTAAGATACTGTTTCCTAAAGTTATTTAAGGTTATTTTCTTCCTCACCTCTTTCAATGTGGTTACATCCTTCCTTTGTAATGTAGTTAGGTCCAATTTATTAGTGTTTATATTCACTCTCCTCTATTTTTTATTGTATTTATTCTCAGGTGGCTTCTCTCATTGTCTTGGTTTCACTGCTCGTCCTTTCTGAGCTACAGAAAAACATACAAATGTAACCACCCTCCTGGACACCCCCAGGTAGATGTCCCTCATATTTCTGAAGCCTAACATATCCAAAACTCATTCTCTCTCGTCTCTTGCCATTAATTTTCCATACAGTAAGGTAGGTCAGAATGGTGACTCCACAGCCAAACCATATGGGTTGGATTCCCAGCTCCATGACTTTAGCTGTATGAATCTGGTTGGGTAAATGACTCAACCTTTCCAGGCTTCCACTTCCTCATCTATAAAACTAGGAATAATAATAGTATCTACCTGTGGGTTTGTTGTGAGGATTAAGGAAAAGTGAAAATTTGTAAATATTTAGAATATAACAGCACAAGCCAGGCGCAGTGGCTCACACCTGTAATCCCAGCACTTTGGGAGGCCAAGGCGGGCAGATTGCCTGAGGTCGGGAGTTCGAGACCAGCCTGACTAACATGGAGAAACTCCACCTCTACTAAAAATACAAAATTAGCCAGGCATGGTGGCGCGTGCCTGTAATCCCAGCTACTCGGGAGGCTGAGGCAGGAGAATCGCTTGAAACCAGGAGATGGAGGTTACAGTGAGCCGAGATCATGCCATTGCACTCCAGCCTGGGCAATAAGAGTGAAACTCTGTCTCAAAAAAAAAAAAAAAAAAAAAAAAAAAAAAAAAAGAGTATAACAGAATATAACAGCATATAATAAGCAGTAGATAGATAGATATATCTTAATTCTAACTCTTCTATCATATTCCCGATCTCAATGAATAGCAACACCAAGCCTGAAACCCGAATGGCATCCTGAGCTCCCTCGTTCTCCCTTAGGCTCTCTATCTAATCAATGTCACATTCTGGTATACGTATTCCCTTCAGTATCTCATGAATGTTTCTGGTCTTCATCTTCATGTCTAGTACATTGGTTCAGCCACCATCAGCTCTCACTTTGATTACTGCCATTCCCTTCTAACTTATCTCCTTGACTTTAGTCTAACCTTTTCTTCATACTGCAGCCAGAGTGATCTTTCCTATACCCCTCTCTACCATGGAAATACCCTCATTTTACTTTTTGGCAAATATTAAAACACAAATTTTAGTAAATATATAAAAAATGAAAATCACTTATAATATCACCTGGAGATAACTAGTTACCTTATTTTTGGGATTTATCCTTTCAGGCTTTTTCCATGTATACACACACAGGCATACACATGCACATATTATTAAATGTATAATTTTCTTTTCAGAAATCTACATTTTAATTGACAATATTGTAGATCTCACTTCATGACAGAAAACAAAAGTCAAAACATTCATTTTCTTAATAGATTCATAATATATTCCTTTGCATGCAATAACCAAAACTTATTTCATTATTAATAGACCTTTAGGTTGTTTTCTTTCTTGCTTGCTTGCTTTTATAGACAACAGCAAACACTGTTAGACATACAGTTTTTGAATGATTTTGCCTGATTAGTTCCTTAGGAAAAGTGTAATTGCAGGGTCAAAGAAAAGGCAAAACACTGTCCAGGAAGGTTGTATCAATTTATATATTCATCACCAATACATGAGACCATTAACCAATGTCAGGCTTTGTTCTTTTGAAATACATAAACATATTTAATCATTGCTTTAACATGCACTTCTTAGATATATGGGACAGAAGTATTTATATTTTAGCTTTATTTTTTAAATAAATTACCCTTTCGTGTCATCTGTCCATTTTTCCACTATTGTGTTTTTCTTGACAATAGTGATTTCTTGATTTGCAAGAGGTCTTTAGACAGAAGGTAGTATAAAGTAAAGGGATTAACTCAGCAGAACTGGATGATCCAAACCCTGAACATTTCAAGGAAAGGTACCCTGGCCTGCCTCCTTGGGAGACAACCTCTAAACCCCTGGAATATCCTGCCAGTTAAGAGTGTCTTTGTTTGCCTGAGGCCATGGGACATGTTCAGATGTTAATGCTAATAAAGGGACCCTGTTATGTTGAGAACTGCAGGCCATGTGGTAGCTCCTCCTCTGAAAGGGCTGGAGAGTGAAGGTCAGCCACAAGGGTGGTCAAGCCAAGCCCACATGACTGGTGTTGGGGCTCAGAAAATGATACTGCAAATTAAAGGCCTCAAAAGCACAAGTTTCTCTCTGGCCTTCTCCTGCCCTCCTTTCTCTCACCCCTCATTCTCCCCTTAGAGTAGGCTTAGAAACTAAAATACCCCTTCCCCAAGGCAGGTCATAGAAACAACAACCCTTGGCCAGGTGTGGTGGCTCATGCCTGTAATCCCAGCAATTTGGGAAGCCAAGGTGGACGGATCATTTGAGGTCAGGAGTTTGAGACCAGCCTGGCCAACATAGTGAAATGCTGTCTCTACTAAAAATATAAAAATTAGCCTGGTGTGGTGGCGGGTGCCTGTAATCCCAGCTACTCGGGAGGCTGAGGCACAAGAATGGCTTGAACCCGGGAGGCGGAGGTTGCAGTGAGCCAAGATCGCGACACTGTACTCCAGCCTTGGCAACCAGCAAAACTCAGTCTCAAAACAAACAAAAACAAAACAACAAAAAACAGGAATGCTTTTTCTCCAAAGCCAGTCATAAAACCTAAAAATATTACCCTAATTCCCTGCCTTCTGTATAATAACTGGCCATAAATACATTATATGACCTACCTTGTTTCATTGTAGGTCATAAGATCCTCATTCTAGAGTGGTCTTACCCCACACTGGGTAGGAAGGAATACTTCCCAAAGAGAACAAGGAGAATCTGAACACCCAGGCCTGGCTGCATTTCCCCATTCAATCTATAGCATGAGATCATACTCTTTTTGTCCAATCATATTTATACATGGATGTCCATTCCTAAGCATAAACTGTATGTTTATGTTTATGTTTCCCTGTATCTTTGGGTCTTCAGTCTGAAGGCTCCCATGTCACATAAAACTATGATCAAATTAGTCCGGGCGCGGTAGCTCACGCCTGTAATCCCAGCACTTTGGGAGGCTGAGGCGGGCAGATCATGAAGTCAGGAGATCAAGACCATCCTGGCTAACACGGTGAAACCCCGTCTCTACTAAAACTACAAAAAAATTAGCCGGGCGTGGTGGCGGCCGCCTGTAGTCCCAGCTACTCGGGAGGCTGAGGCAAGAGAATGGCGTGAACCCGGGAGACGGAGCTTGCAGTGAGCAGAGATCACACCACTGCACTCCAGCCTGGGTAAATTTGTATGCCTTGTCTCCTATTACTCCGCCTTTTTTTTTTTTTTTTTCCCAAACAATTTCACTCTTGTTGCCCAGAATGGAGTGCAATGGCATGATCTCGGTTCACTGCAACCTCACCTCCCAGGTTCAAGTAATTCTCCTGCTTCAGCCTCCCGAGTAGCTGGGATTATAGGCTTCCGCCACCACGCCCGGCTAATTTTGTATCTTCAGTAGAGACGGGGTTTCTCTATGTTGGTCAGGCTGGTCTCAAACTCCCGACCTCATGTGATCCAATCGCCTTGGTCTCCTAAAGTGCTGGGATTACAGGCGTGAGCCACCGCGCCCAGCCTATTCTGCTTTGTTTTTTTTTTTTTTTTTTTTTTTGGTCAGTGCTTTTCAGCAAACCTTCAGAGGGCAAAGGGGAAGTTATAAAACTATTACCAAATAAACTTGTTATGCTTTTCTCTTGTTAACCTGTGTTTTGTTATAGGGTTTTCTGTCATGACCCTTATGATAGGGAGAAAAGGGATCACCCCTACACCAGTCCCCAATTAAAACCCTGAACACCAAGCTTGAGTGAGCTTCCCTGGTTCTGTATGGCACGAACACAAATCTCTCACACGTTGTTCCTGGGGTTTTTTTTTTTTTTTTTTTTTTTTTTTGAGATGGAGTCTCACTCTGTCGCCCAGGCTGGAGTGCAGCGGCGCGATCTCGGCTCACTGCAAACTCCGCCTCCCGGGTTCACGCCATTCTCCAGCCTCAGCCTCCTGTAGCTGGGACTACAGGCGCCCGCCACCAGGCCCAGCTAATTTTTTTGTAGTTTTAGTAGAGACGGGGTTTCACTGTGTTAGCCAGGATGGTCTCGATCTCCTGACCTCGTGATCCGCCTGCCTAGGCCTCTCAAAGTGCTGGGATTACAGGCATAAGCCATTGCACCCAGCCACTTGTGATTTTTATAAACAAGGGTTTACTACTTCCCACTTTAGATTCATAGATGACAGTCTATCTTAGTTGAGATTTACTTTTTTTCTATGATTTAATTTTTTTCTATTAAATAAGTGGACATCATTTCTCTTAATCTTTTTTCTCTCCTGATTTCTATTTTCATACTTTGCCTTGCAAGTCACATTATACTTTTGTTCCTGCAAACCATTATATATCATGAACTAGTGTGGGTGAAATAAAAATTACATTTTGCAGGCGTTTATATACTCAGATGTGTTTCTGTTTATTTATGTTTTTGTTTTGAGACAGGATCTCACTTTATCACCCAGGCTGCAGTGCAGTGGCACCATCATGGCACACTGCAGCCTCAAACGCCTGGGCTCAAGAGCTCCTCCTTCCTCAGCCTTCCCAGTAGCTGGGACCACAGGTGCGCACCACCACGTGTGGCTTTTTGTTGTTGTTGTTGTTGTTGTTGTTATTAGCGACCAGGTCTCACCATGTTTCCCAGGCTGGTCTAGACACAATTTCTATGATTTAATTTTTTTTCTATTAAATAAGTGGACATCATTTCTCTTAATCTTTTCTCTCCTGATTTCTATTTTCATACTTTGCCTTGCAAGTCACATTATACTTTTGTTCCTGCAAACCATTATATATCATGAACTAGTGTGGGTGAAATAAAAATTACATTTTGCAGGCGTAAATGGAGACACAATTCTTCTATTAAATAACCATGTGACTTTGGAAAGGTATTTAGACTGAGCTTTAATTTCGTTCATATTTATATTAGAATGTTGAAACTGAATTATTTCTTAGTTCCTGTATATAAACTTCTAATTGTCCACATTTATTTGCTGATGAACTAATCAAATAGTAACTTTTTCATTTAGTGTTCATTCAAAACTTAATAGTTTAAAACCTTAATCTATGCTAGGAATTGTTCCAAGCATGTGTGGGAGTAGGCACACTCCTTAATTTTTTTTTCTTTTTTTTTTTTTTGAGACAGAGTCTCACTCTGTCGTCCAGGCTAGAGTGCCGTGGCACAATCCAGGCTCACTGCAACCTCCACCTCCTGGGTTCAAGCACAATTCTCCTACCTCAGGCACGTGCCACCACGCCCAGCTAATATTTGTATTTTTAGGAGATGGGGTTTCACCATGTTGCCCAGGCTGGTCTCAAACTCCTGACCTCAGATGATCCATCCACCTCGGCCTCCCAAAGTGCTGGGATTACAGGCATAAGCCACCACGTCCAGCCTCTCCTTAATATTTGATTCTCCTGTGTATCTGTGATACCAGGATAATTCTTCTTATATCTTTATTTAGAATTCTCTTAAGGGATACATTTTTTCTTGTAATAATGATTTAATTGAGGCAGTTTTAATCTTACAGCAGATTAGAATTTTCAACTCATTTTGATGTTGTAACTGTTATGGACTAAATTATATTCCACACCCACAAATTAGTATGTTGAAGTCCTAACCCGCAATGTGACTTTATTTGGAAATAGGGCCTTAAAGGTTGTCATTTTTTTTTTTTTTTTTTGGAGACAGAGTCTCGCTCTCTTGCCCAGACTGGAGTGCAATGGCGTGATCTCGGCTCACTGAAACCTCTGCCTCCCGGGTTCAAGCAATTCTCCTGCCTCAGCTTCCCAAGTTGCTGGGATTACAGGCACCCACCACCACACCCGGCTAATTTTTGTATTTTTACTAGAGATGGGGTTTCACCATGTTGGCCAAGTTGGTCTTGAACTCCTGACCTCAGGTGATCCACCTGCCTCGGCCTTCCAAAGTGCTGGGATTACAGGCATGAGCCACTGCGCCGGGCCTGTAATTAAAGTTAAATGAGGTCATAAAGGTGGGGTCTTAATCCAATAGCAGTAGTGTCCTCATAAGAAGAAGAGGCACAGGAATGCATGCACCCAGTGCAAAGGCCAGCAGAAGAGGACACAGAGAGATGCCAGTCCCTTCTGCAAGCCAGGAAGAGAGGTTCACTGGAAACCAACAGGGCAGGCACTTTGATTTTGAACTTCCCACCTCTAGAACTGTGAGATACCACATTTCTGTTGTTTGCACTCAGTCTGCAGTATTGTACAGCAGACTGAGCAGGCTATGACAGTCACCAAAGATGCATACTCTAAGGTAAAATTAAAAGCATGGTCTTCACAGCTGACATTTCCAATCAGTTGAAAATGACACCAACGTGTTACAAGAACTATAACTCATAAGATTTATATAGTCCTCTTTTCTAATGAAATTCACATACAAATCTGCACTCAAATTAAACTGCTTTTTTGGGGGTAAAAAAAAAGTGCATGGGTGTAAGACAAAGCCAGATGCAATATCAAGATCATAAAGGGCTTTGAGGGCATCACTAAGGAACTAGAACATTTTCCTGATGGCGGCAGGGAGCCGCAAGTTTTCAGCAACAGAGTGACTTTCCACCAACATTCATCACCGAATAACTATCTATTTAGAACGTACTAATTGCTACAACCTACTAAGTGTTCCAACCTGCCTTTTAAAAAATTATTTTTTTTTAAACTTTTCTGTATCTTTTAAATGCCTCACAATTTAAGTTAAAAGAAATAGATCAGGCCGGGCGCAGTGGCTCACGCCTGTAATCCCAGCACTTGGGAGGCCGAGGTGGGCGGATCACCTGAGGTCAGGAGTTTGAGATCAGCCTGACCAATATGATGAAACTCCGTCTCTACTAAAAATACAAAAATGAGCCAGGTGTGGTGGCATGTGCCTGTAATCCCAGCTAATCGGGAAGCTGAGACAGGAGAATCATTTGAACCCAGGAGGCAGAGGTTGCGGTGAGCGGAGATCACACCATTGCACTCCAGCCTGGGCAACAGGAGCGAAACTCCATCTCAAAAAAAAAAAAAAATCATTATATGAAAGGACACAATTAAGGGGGATTTGCTTAAAACATTTATTTTATTTTTTGAGACAAGGTCTGATTCTGTCGCCCAGGCTGGAGTGCAGTGACTGGCTCACTGCAACCTTCATCTCCTGGGCCAAAGCCATCTTCCCACCTCAGCCTCCTGAGTGGCTGGGGACTACAGGCACACACCACCAAGTCCGGTTAATTTTTCTAGTTTTTTTTGTAGCAACAGGGTCTTGCCATGTTTCCCAGGCTGGTCTCGAACTCATGAGCTCAAGTGATCCTCCTGCCTCTGCCTCCCAAAGTGCTGCGATTACAGGACCGCAACCGGCCTAAACATTTTAAATGAAAAAAATCTATGTATGTATGTACGTATATGTATTCAGTGCAGAAACTGTCAGGGCAGTGACAGAATCTAGAAACAGCTGGCCGAACGCCGTGGCTCATGCCTGTAATCCCAGCACTTTGAGAGGCCAAGGCGGGAGGATCACTTGCGCTCAGAGACCAGCCTGGGAAACATGGTGAGACCTGGTCGCTAACAACAACAACAACAACAAAAAGCCGCACGTGGTGGTGCACACCTGTGGTCCCAGCTACTGAGGAGGCTGAGGAAGGAGGAGCTCTTGAGCCCAGGCGTTTGAGGCTGCAGTGTGCCATGATGGTGCCACTGCACTGCAGCCTGGGTGATAAAGTGAGATCCTGTCTCAAAACAAAAACATAAATAAACAGAAACACATCTGAGCATACACACGCCTGCAAAATGTAATAAAAGTGTCACTGCAATTCCGTGGAAAAGTGACTCAACGGATAACAGCAAGGCAATGAGAGAAAAAGGTAATCTCTACCTAACCCCTTACCACAAATATCATACTCAATGAAATACAGATAAAAAGGAGAAAAAGAAAATATTTTAAAAATTCTTTAAACGTATTATAAGAAAATAAAGCCGAACGTTTGCATAATCCTGAGATGAGGAAAAACTTTCCCCCAAAATGACACCTATGGACGCTTGCCCAAAAATAAACTGCAAGTTTTTCTTCAGCCTCAGAGTCATTCCCAGATAGTAGAAGACAATGTGTTTATAATATTGGAACGGGTAAGACCTTCCTATAAAAGACCAAAAATCTGAAAGGGACACGGGGCGGGTGACAGGAATGGGGACAGCGGGGACAGCGGCCGCCCCTCCCGCCACCTGCCGCCTCCCGCCGCCGCCGCCGCCCGCCGCCGCCGCCGCCGCCGCCGCCCGCCGCCCGCCGCCGCCGCCGCCCGCCGCCCGCCGCCCGCCGCCCGCCGCCCGCCGCCCCCCGCCTCCGCCCCCCGCCTCCGCCCCCCGCCTCCGCCCCCCGCCTCCGCCCCCCGCCTCCGCCCCCCGCCTCCGCCCCCCGCCTCCGCCTCCCGCCTCCGCCTCCTCCCGGCGCGCACTCACCTCCGCAGACAAAGGGCGCTTCGGCAGGCTCCGCCCCCTGACGCCGCCGCCGCCGCCGCCGCCGCCGCCGCCGCCGCCGCGGTGGACCCGGGAGGGAGAAGGTGCCGAGGGCCCCGCAGCCTGAGCCAATGACGCCCGGTGACTGGGCTCCTGGGGCCGGTCCAGCCACCGGCGCGCCAGACCTGCTCTGAGGACAGCCTCCCCGCAATGGCGGCGCAAGACGCTGGCCTCAGATCCCCAATACGCATGCGCTGGCGGCGCTCCGAGCCTGCTTCCTTCATCGCAATCCTCATCGCCGGGGCTCCTGACTCCCACCAGCTTTCCCGGGTCTGTTTTTCATCGGGACTATGCGGACCCCGGGGACCGCGGCCTCGAGCCTTCCCAGAATTTTCCGGTCCTAGAGGAACGAGGGGGACGGGCCGAGGACCCGTCCCTTCGTCCCTGCCAATTAGAAGCGTTGGACTGTCCATCTCCATGGTGACGACACAAGCCTTCCTTTCAGTCCTGGAATCACCCCTCCTTCCCATCAATTTCATATTGATGAAACTCAAAATATAATGATGATGATGTTATTGGCCGGGCGCGGTGGCTCACGCGTGTAATCCCAGCACTTTGGGAGCTTGAGGCTGGTGGATCACCTGAGGTCAGGAGTTCGAGACCAGCCTGGCCAATATGGTGAAACCCCCGTCTCTAATAAACGTACAAATATTAGCTGGGCGTGGTGACGGGCGCCTGTAATCCCAGCTATTCCGGAGGCTGAGGCAGGAGAATCGCTTAAATTCGGGACGGGGAGGTTGCAGTGAGCAGAGATCACATCATTGCACTCCAGCCTGGGCAGCAGAGTAAGACTCCATCTCAAAAAAAAATACAATAATGATATCATTATATCATTATATAGTATATGCTACTGATGCGAAGAATGGAATTTTATTTTATTTATTTATTTATTTATTTTTTGAGACGGAGTCTTGCTCTGTGGCCCAGGCTGGAGTGCAGTGGTGAGATCTCCGCTTACTGCAAGCTCCGCCTCCCGGGTTCATGCCATTCTCCTGCCTCAGCCTCCCAAGTAGCTGGGACTACAGGCGGCCACCACCACGCCCAGCTAATTTTTTTTTTATTTTTATTTTTAGTAGAGATGGGGTTTCACCGTGTTAGCCAGGATGGTCTTGATCTCCTGACCTCGTGATCCCCCTGCCTCGGCCTCCCAAAGTGCTGGGTTTACAGGCTTCAGCCATCGCGCCTGGCCAAAGAATGGAATTTTTTTAGGCGTAACATTTTGCTTAATTGGAGTTCGGAGTTAGTTAGTTTTTTTTGTTTTATTTTGTTTTGTTTTTCAGACAGGGCCTTGTTCTGTCACCCAGGCTGGAGGGCAATGGTGCCATCATGGCTCAGTGCAGCTTCAAACTCCTGGGCTCAAGCATCCTCCCGCCTCAGCCTCCCCAGTAGCCAGGATTACAGCAGCCCTGAGCCACTGCGCCCTGCTAATTTTTAAAACTTTTTTGTAGAGATGGGGATCTCACTATGTTGTCCAGGCTGGTCTTGAACTCCTGGGCTCAAGGGATTCTTACTCCTCAGGCCCCCCAAGGTGCTGGGATTACAGGCATCAGCACTGTGCTAGGCCCCAGAGTTAGTGTTCTTCAGCATCAAAATTGTGTACATCTGTTTCTACCGGTTATAATGAGATTTTACATATTTCATCTTTGAAAATGTTTTTAAGATAGATACGTACTGCCAAACACTGATACCGTCCATGAACATATGATTTAACTTGAGCATATTCATTGCTTGGAAGAATAGAGTTCTGTTATATTCTCTTGAAATTTGCATTTTAGCATGTCATTATATGGCAGATTAATCACTTCCAATTGAAGGTTAGGTGAGAACTCCTCAACTGCACAGTTACAGGGATATTGAAATATAGAAATGTGCTTTGCATTTGCATAGAGGTCCAAAAATGCTACCAGAACTACCAGAACTATAGATTGAGCTTGGAAAATATAGCCACTGCAAATTTCTGCAAACCAACTAAGATAAGGTTATATAAGGTTGATGTAAAAGCAACTGTAGTTTTTGGCATTAAAAGTAATGGCAAAAACCACAATTACTTTTGTACCAACCTAATACTAAATTAGGGTTTTCTTAACTTCTTTAAAAATATTCTTGCCTGACCAGGTGTGGTGACCCACACCTGTAATCCTAGCACTTTGGGAGGCTAAGGTGGGCAAATTGCTTGAGCTCAGGAGTTCAAGACCAGCCTGGCCAACATGGTGAAACCTCATCTCTACTAAAAATACAAAAATTACCTTGGCATGGTGGTGGGTGCCTGTAATCCCAGCTACTCAGGAGGCTGCTGAGGCACAAGAGTTGCTTGAACCCAGGAGGCAGATGTCGCAGTGAGCCGAGATTGCGCTACTGCACTCTAGCCTGGGCAACAAGAGAAAACTCCATCTTCAAAAAAGTCACACACACACACACACACACACACATGCACACACACACATACCCAAATTGACATGATACTTTTTAATGAAAGACAAAATGAATTATATTTTAACTTCCATGGGATTTTGCTCACTCAAGTAACTTGAAGTTCATTGCTCTTATTCCTTGCCAAAGATCCACCAGGATAAGTGAGATGGAGGGGGAGACTCATTGTGGGATACGTTGGAAGGCGGTTCTTGGCTCCCCTTGTACCTCATCTTAGGACTCATGTGGTGTGTGACCAGAAACTGTTCAGTCTCCCAGAAAAAAATGACAGTTTTTTTTTGAGACAGGCTCTCCCTCTGTCGCCCAGGCTGAAGTGCAGTGGTGTCATCATAGCTCACTGCCGCCTTGACTTCCTTGGCTCAAACAATCCTCCCTCCTCATTTTCCTGAGTAGCTGGAGGCATGCACCACACCTGGTTAATTTTTAAATTTTTTGTAGAGATGGAGCCTTGCTATGTTGCCCAGGCTGGTCTCAAACTCCTAGCCTCAAATGATCCTCCTGCCTTGGGCTCTTAAAGTGCTGGGATTATAGGAGTAAGCCACCGTGCCCGGCCCCTTAGCTTCTCTTTCGATGAGCTGCTGCTCATTGCTAGGGAGGAGGGTGGAGAAGGAGGGCATCACTATCTATTGTGAGGAAAAGTTTTAGTTCTGGCAACCATGAATATCTTACTCAGCAAAACAGACTACCATCTGGAAATTTAGTTCCTAGACTGACTTTGTGAATACAGCCCAATCCAGTTGCCTGAGCTTAGTGGGACATGACTCAGGCCAGAATTTGGGTTTTGGAGGTGAGACAGGCTAAAGTGGCCTGAAGAGCCCTGCCTGGGCCAGAACCTGGGTTGGAGGACACAGGATGCAAAGACAACCTTTGTGGGTTTGGAGAGGCCAAGGCTGAGGAAGTGCCCAGAGCCCACTCTGTATGCGTGTGTGTGAGTGTGTTGGGGCATCTGCCCTCAGCAGGGTGGGTGTGTTTGTGTGTGTCAGTAGTGGTCTGTGTGTGACAAACATCTGCTCTCCGTGTGTGTATCTGTCTGTATTTGGGGGATGGTTAGTGTGATCGTGTAGTGTATTGAGGCAACCCATGCCCACAGTGATGTGTGATTTGTCTGTTTTCGTGTGCACGTCGGGTGGTGTGAGTCGCTGTGTGGTATCTGTCCTCTGTGGTAAGTGTGTGCATGTGCACATGCATGTGTTTGTGTGTGGCGGGGTGGAATGTGTGACTGATGGTGTGTATGGTCTGTGTGGAGAGGAGCATGTGCACTAAGCGTGTGAGTGTGTGGGGGGGTGTATGGTTGTGTGGTGCATTGGGGGAATGTGCATCATCAGTGGTGTGCTGTTTGTATTTATGTATCAGTCAATGTGTGTGTGTGGTGTGTAAAGGGTGACCATTCTCTCGTGGGCCCCTGCCTTTTCCACATCGTGCAGCATACACACACCGAGGTGCAGCTCTGTGGGCCTTGAGGGTGGTGCATCAGCATAAATCAAGTTTCATTGCAGCAGGAAGAAGGAAGACCGGGCTGGGCATGGTGGCTCACACCTGTAATCCCAGCACTTTTGGAGGCCGAGGCGGGCGGATCACCTGAGGTCAGGAGTTGAGACCAGCCTGGCCAACGTGGCGAAACCCCAATTCTACTAAAAATAAAAAAGTAGGGCGTGGTGGCACATGCCTGTAATCCCAGCTACTTGGGAGGCTGAGGTGGGAGAATCGCTTGAACCTGGAAGGCAGAGGGTGCAGTGAGCTGAGATCGCATCATTGCACTCCAGCCTGGGTGTCAGAGTGAGACCCTGTCTCCAAAAAAAGAAGAAAAAAAAAAGAAAGAAGACTAAGTATGAATTAACAGGAGTTAGGAAAGGTTTCCTGGAAAGAAGGACTTCCAATCTATGCCTGTGCTCTATTTGACTGGGATTTCAGCAAGCAAAGGTGAGTGTTCTGTTTGGGGGATAGAGGGAGAGGTAAACTTACCATATAGGACCTTGCAAGTGACCAAAGAGCATAGCAGGTGATCCTGGGAGGGTGAGTGACAGGGGCATCACAAGAGAGCTGAGGTGTCAGACCCAGAGCACCACATCCAAGAGCCAGGGTTTGCTTCTTCACAGGGAAGAGTCAGTGAGCATTCTTGGGCTTGGGAGTGATAGGTTCTGGCCTGGCCACTGCCAAATAGGTATTGAAGCTGGGTTCAGTGGCTCACACCTGTAATCCCAACACTTTGGGAGGCTGAGGTGAGCGGATCACCTGAAGTCATGAGTTCAAGACCAGCCTGGCCAACATATAGTGAAACCCTATCTCTACAAAAATACAAAAAGTAGCTGGGCATGGTGACGCGTGCCTGTAGTCCCAGCTACTCAGAAGGCTGAGGCAAGAGAATCGCTTGAAGCTGGGAGGAGGAGGTTGCAGTGAGCCAAGATCGAGCCACTACACTCCAGCCTAGGCAACAGAGTGAGATGAGACTCTTGTCTCAAAAAAATAAAAGGTTGGACGCAGTGTCTCATGCCTGTAATCCCAGCACTTTGGGAGGCCGAGGCGGGTGGATCACGAGGTCAGGAGTTCGAGACCAGCCTGGCCAACATGGAGAAACCCTGTCTCTCCTAAAACATATACAAAAATTAGCGTGGCAGCATGCGCCTGTAATCCGAGCTACTCGGGAGGCTGAGGCAGGAGAATCATTTGAACCCACGAGGCGGAGGTTGCAGTGAGCTGAGACTGCACCACTGTACTTCAGCCTGGGCGACAGAGTGAGACTCAGTCTCTCAAAACAACAACAACAACAACTAAACAAACAAAAATTTGGGGGAAAGGGTGACATTCTTCAGAATAGACCGTATGTTGGGTCATAAAACACACCTTAATACATTTTAAAAATACTGAATTATACAAAGCATCTTTTGTGATCACAATGGAGTGATGCCAGATATCAATAAGCATAAGAAAACTGAAAAATTTGCAAATATATACAATTAAAACATTAAAAAAATTAAAAACAAAACACTATTTTTTTGGTAGCAGAGGACAGGGTCTTGCTCTGTCACCCAGGCTGGAGCGCAATGGCACGATCACGGCTCACTGAAGCCTCAACCTCCTGGGCTCAAGCTATTCTCCCATCTTAGCCTCCTGAGTAGCTGGGTCTACAGGCATATATCACCACACCGAGCTAATTTTTTATTTTTTGTAGAGATGCAGTCTCACTGTGTTGCCCAGACTGGTCAAACTCCCGGGCTCAAGCAATCCTTCCACCTCAGCCTCTCAAAGTGCTGGGATTACAGGTGTGAGCCACCATGCCTAGCCTCTTATGATGTTTTTATTTGGCTTTAATATTTGGATAATACTGGCCTCACAGAATGAGTTAGGAATTGTTTTTTCCTCTTTCCCTTTTGGAGAGTGTGAGAAGGATTGCTGTTAATTCTTTTTGAAATGTTTGGTAGAATTCACCAGTGAAGCCATTTTTTCATGGACTTGACTTTGTTGGAAGGTTTTTAATGCCCTGTTTTACTACTGCTATTCAATATTCTACTAGAACTTCCAACAAGAACAATTAGACAATTTAAAAAAATGAAAAGTATCAACACTGGAGAGGAAGTAGTCAAACTATATTTATTTGCAGATGAGAATACATATCCCAAATATATAGCAAATCCAAAAGAATCCATGAAAAAGGCTACTAGAGCTAATAAATGAATTCAGCAAAGTTGCAGGATGCAAGATTAACATATGCACAAAAATCCATTATGTTTCCATACAATTGAAATAAATAAACAAAAAAGTTAAGAAAGTAATTCCATTTACCATAGCATCTAAAAAGTAAAATACAGACTGGGAGCGGTGGCTCACCCCTGTAATCCCAGCACTTCAGGAGGCTGAAGCGGGCAGATCACCTGACGTCAGGAGTTCAAGACCAGCCTGGTCAACATGGTGAAACCCCGTGTCCACTAAAAATACAAAAATCAGCCGAGCGTGGTGGTGCGTGCTTGTAGTCCCAGCTACTTCAGAGAGTGAGGCAGGAGAATAGCTTGAACCTCGGAGGCAGAGGTTGCAGTGAGCCAGGATGGCGCCACTGCACTCCAGCCTAGGTGACAGAGTGAGACTCCGTCTCAAAAATAAATAAATAAATAAATAAAAATAAACAAAATAAAATACATAGGATAAATCTGAGGTGAATGGCTTATACACTAAAAAGAACACAACGTGGCTAAAATAAATTAAAGAAGGACTAAATAAACAAAGACATCATGTCATGGGTAGGAAGACTCAGTATTGTTAACATGTCAAGATTACTCAAAGTGATCTATAGATTCAACATAATTCCAATCAATATCCCAACAGCCTTTTAGGCAGGAATAAATAAGACAATGCCTACATCCATATGGAATAATTATAAAGGGCTCCAAATAGCCAAAAGCTTGTAAAGAATTACAAAGTCAGAGGAATCACACTTCCCATTTCAAAGCTTGCTTTTTTTTTTGAAGGGTTTTTGTTTGTTTAATACATCTGAAAATAATGCATACACAAAGAATTGAGACATGAGAAAGCATTGGTTCAACAATAATGAATCTACAAGAATTAGGATTGGGAAGGTGGAAAAGATTACTTCAACATTTTTAAAAATTAGAAACTGCAACCAAAATAAGCTGCTAAAATCCCTATTAACACTTATGGAGAGTCTTCATAAGACTCTTTCCGGCTGGGCGCGGTGGCTCATGCCTGTAATCCCAGCACTTCTGGGAGGCCGAGGTGGGTGGATCACCTGAGGTCAGGAGTTTGAGACCATCCTGACCAACGTGGAGAAACCCCGTCTCTAGTAAAAATACAAAATTAGTCGGGCGTGGTGGTGCATGCCTGTAATCCCAGCTACTCGGGAGGCTGAGGCAGGAGGATTGCTTGAACCCAGGAGGCAGAGGTTGCGGTGAGGTGACATCGCGCCACTGCACTCCAGCCTGGGCAACAACAGTGAAACTCTGTCTCAAAAAAAAAAGCCAGGCGCGGTGGCTCACACCTGTAATCCCAGCACTTTGGGAGGCCGAGGCAGGCGGATCACAAGGTCAGGAGATCGAGACCATCCTGGTTAACACGGTGAAACCCCATCTCTACTAAAAACACAAAAAATTAGGCGGGCGTGGTGGTGGGCACCTGTAGTCCCAGCTACTCGGGAGGCTGAGGCAGGAGGATTGCTTGAACCCGGGAGGCAGAGGTTGCGGTGAGGTGACATCGCGCCACTGCACTCCAGCCTGGGCAACAAGAGTGAAACTCTGTCTCAAAAAAAAAAGCCAGGCGCAGTGGCTCACACCTGTAATCCCAGCACTTTGGGAGGCCGAGGCAGGCGGATCACGAGGTCAGGAGATCGAGACCATCCTGGTTAACACGGTGAAACCCCATCTCTACTAAAAACACAAAAAATTAGCCGGGCGTGGTGGTGGGCACCTGTAGTCCCAGCTACTCGGGAGGTTGAGGCAGGAGAATAGTGTGAACCCAGTCGGCAGAGGTTGCAGTGAGCTGAGATCGTGCCACTGCACTCCAGCCTGGGCGACAGTGCAAGACTCCGTGTCAAAAAAAAAAAAGAGGCTTTCCATGATTTTTATTAAACTAGAGAGCCTCATCTGGCTGCTCTAGGGTTCCTCATATGCAAAACAGAAATAAGAGGATTCCCCTGACTGGCCCCCATGTTGTTAAGTGTTCTCCCCACCCCCACCCTACGCCCAGCTTCTTAATGAAGCAGGCCTCCATCCTCCTAACCTGAGAGGATGTGAATCATTCCACAGATGTCTGTCTTCTAGCACCACCCACCCCTCATATTTCCTCTACATACCAGTTCTTCAGCTGCGTTCTAGGAACACCATATACTACTGAGTTGCAAATCTATGCTAAGCATATAAGACAATGACTGACAGGAAAAAAATTTTTAATTACAAACTCAATTCATTCGGTGTATTTCAAAGGTGCAATACTTTTCTTCATTTATTAGTGAAAGAAGTTAGAAATTAACTTCCCCAAAAAATCAGCAAGTGGCAAACAAATGTCCTTGAAAGTCAGTCACATACAGTGCGTCCTAGAAAAGAGGAGGGGCAAGACAGGCTCCACCCACTTTCATGAGTTTCATCAAATACTGGATCTACTCTAGGGTGGAGAGAAAAGGCAACTTTCAAAAAGGAGTATGTTATTAAATGAGGCATTTACTATACTCCTTCCTAGGAGCGCCAGATGGGGAACATGTTTTCTCAACTAGATCTAGGAAGTGGAATGTGGAATCAATCCATCCTCCTCCGCTTAAGGGCTAACCACTGGTTAATGAATTAAAAAAACAAGACTGAGAAACAAACCCCACACACACTCCCCCCAAAAGAGGAGAAAAAAACCAACAACACTAAGATGTGCCAGATTACTCTCCAGAGTGGAACCAGGGAGCGGCTTCAACAATTGCAATTAGTTTGTTACAGAGTCATCCACAAGCATGCCTTGCTGTTTTTTTAAATTTGAAACAGTCTTGCTCTGTCACCTAGGCTGGAGTGCAATGGTGCAATCTCGGCTCACTGCAACCTCCACCTCCAGGGTTCAAGTGATTCTCCTGCCTCAGTCTCCCGAGTAGCGGGACTATAGGTGCCCGCCACCAAGCCCAGCTAATTTTTTGTATTTTTAGCAGAGACGGGGTTTCACCGTGTTAGCCAGAATGGTCTCAACCTCCTGACTTCATGATCTGCCCGCCTCAGCTTCCCAAACTGCTGGGATTACAGGTGTGAGCCACTGCGCCCGGCCCATGCCTTGCTTTTAAACAATAACAAAAAAATTTTTTGAAACAAAACAAAAACTAGTACTAATCACTTTTCTGACAATACACTATTACTCAAAATTAACTAGTCCTGGGAGGGGGAAGGGGGGCCATACCTATGGGCCTGTCTCACATGAGTGCATTTGCGTAGGTGCAGGGCATTTGTCATTATTGCAAAAATGAATTTTAATTTTTAATCTTCAGTTTGATTTAAACATTGCTTTTAGTGTGATGCTGACACCAGCTATGCAGAAAGGGCTCTGGAGAGATGTTCATAGCAGCACACACCTGTGGCTCTTCTTCGATTCTGGAGGCTCCAGCGCAGCCAATGTTGCTTCGTCAAATACATTCTTTAGGCCTTTCTGTGTGAGTGCAGAACACTCCACATACTTGACAATCTTCAGGTCATGGGCCAGCTTTTCAGCAGTCTCTGGAGTGATAGGCTTCTGTTTGTTCTTGGAAAGTTTCTCAATAGTAGAGGGATCATCTCTTGAGATCAGTTTGGGTCCCAGCAAGCAAGATTACACACATGAAAAATAAACACATGTTCTCTACAATGATTTTGTTATTTATGTTGTGAAAAGTTCAGAATAACCATATTACTTTTGGGTCCAAATTGTACTAATATCAGAACGTTGAAAATAAAAATGTACCTTTCTGGGTTCTCGTATTCAGGGAAGAACTGTTCTGCTGCAGGACTGTAATAGAAAAATTAAAATGATTTTTATAAAAACTAATATCTAGATGAACCATAACGAGTTTAGTTTCTTACTTTGAAACTTTGTGTGTTATTTAAAATGGGGACAATCTTTAATAAAATTAACTTTTTCACCTCGGCTTCCCAAAATGCTGGGATGACAGGTTTGAACCACTGCAACCGGCCTGTTTGCCTTTTGAGGAATGGCCACACTGTTTTTCAGAGCAGCCGCAACCCCCGCCAGCAATGTATGTGTTCCAGTTTCACCACCTTGCCACAACTTATATTCTGTTTTTGGTTTTTCAGTAGCCATCCTAGTAAGTACAAAGTTGTGGTTTTGACTTGAGTTTCCTAATAATATTGAATATCTTTGCATCTTATTTCCCGTTTGTATATTTTCTTTGGAAAAATGTCTGTTCAAGTCCTTCATCCATTTTAGTTATTTTTCCTTTTTGCTGTTGAGTTGTAGGAGTTATTTATACATTTTGGATATCATACCTTTATTGCATATACAATTTGAAAATATTTTCACCCATTCTGTAAGTTGCCTTTTCACCTTCTTGATATTGTCCTTTGATATGCCACTGCCACATAGTTTTGATTACTGTAGCTTTGTAGAAAGCTTTAAAATTAGGGAGTGCTGCCAACGCCCTCGTGGAGAAGCTGAGGTCAACATCAGATTTGAAATATTTAAAGTGGATACAAAACTATTTCAGCAATGCAGACAATTAGTGTGTTGTTGTGGGCGATGGTGCTGTTGGTAAAACATGTCTCCAGATATCCTACACAACAAACAAATTTCCATCGGAATATGTTCCGACTGTTTTTGACAATTATGCAGTCACAGTTATGATTGGTGGAGAACCATATACTCTTGGGCTTTTTGATACTGCAGGGCAGGAGGATTATGACAGATTACTACCACTGAGTTATCCACAGACAGATGTATTTCTAGTCTGTTTTTCAGTGGTCTCTCCATCTTCATTTGAAAATGTGAAAGAAAAACCTGAGAGGTTAAGGCAGGAGAATTGCTTGAACCCAGGAGGTGGAGGTTGCAGTGAGCAGAGATTGTGCCACTGCACTCCAGCCTGGGCAAAAAGAGTGAAACTCCATCTCAAAAAAAAAAGAAAAAAAAGAAACCGATTACAAAAAGCACTGTTGGGTTTCTGAGAAGTAATTTGTTAGGCAACTTTTGCTTTATCTTTGTGTGACATTATTTTTAAAATCAACATTTAATGAGCTTTTACCAGCATTTAAATCCAGAAAGTTTCTTCAGGCCCCTTTCAAGTCAGCCTTCTCATCTTAATGGCAAACGGTGTTCAAATTCCTCTTGCCGTGGAATAGCTTTGCCTTTTCTGAAGTTTCACATGAATGAAATCAAATAGTACAGACAATTTTGTGTCTGGCTTTTTCTACTCAGTATCTTGACTTTCAGATTCATCCACTTTGTTTCATATATAAGTAACTCCTTCTCCATTGCTGACTAGTATTCTTTGAATAAATACACTACAGATTGTTTATCACCCTCTTCTTGGACATGTTGTTTATAGTTTTAGGCTATTTTGATAAAGGTGCTATTAACATTCTTATATAAGTCTTTTTGTAGACATATGCTTTCATTTACATTAAATGGATGGCTAGGAATATAATTTCTGGGTTATACAGTAATTGCATGTTAATTACAAGTACTAAACAGAGGCCAGATGTAGTGGCTCATGCCTGTAATTTCAGCACTATGGGAGGCCAAGGCAGGAGGATTGCCTTAGACCAGGAGTTTGAAACCAGCCCTGGCCAACATGATGAGACCCTGTTGCTACTAAAAATACAAAAATTAGCTGGGCATGGTGGCCTGTGCCTATAATCTCAGTAAGACTTGTCTCAAACCCCCCAACACTCCCCCAAAGAAACCCAAAACTACTGAGCAGTATTTTTTTGTTTTTTTGAGACAGAGTCTCACTCTGTCACCTGGGCTTGAAGTGCAGTGGTACAATCTTGGCTCACTCTAATCTCCACCTACTCGGTTTAAGCGATTCTCCTGCCTTAGCCTCTTGAGTAGCTGGGATTACAGGCTCCTGCCACCATGCCTGGCTAATTTTGTATTTTTTTTTTAGTAGAGACAGAGTTTCACCATGTTGGACAGGCTGGTCTCGAACTCCTGACCTCAAGTGATCCACCCGCCTTGGCCTCCCAAAGTGCTGGGATTACAGGCGTGGGCCACTGCGTCTAGCCTCCAAGGACACCATTTTGAGAGCAAGCACCTGCCGGACTGCATCCTGCCCTGGGGCCCAAAAACTCCTGCGTCTCCACATTCCTGGAGCTCCACTGACATCCCCCTCATGTCCTCCTGGACGGCTGCAGTGATGTAACACCAGCTGGACCCAACCCTGCGGCCAGGTCCCCAGCACTGTAGCCCACACAGTGTCTTATATACTTCAGGGAATGGGGGAGGCTGCCTTTGGGACACAGGCAGCTAAAGCACGTGCTCCGAGTTACCTGCCTAGGACTGCCGCCACTGACAGCAACCCTGCTCCCCGACCCCCTGCAACAGAACTGCTGCATACTGCATAGAGCATACAGCATACAGCCTGGGGACCAGCAGGTACAGATGCCATCCCAGGCTCAGAAGATAGGCTTTATTTGCCCACTGTTACTGCAGCTGTTGCCACCCAAGCACACCACCTGGAGACCACCTTGGGGATCACGTAGGGTTTGCTCACCCATCTGTTGCCCTGGGCACACGTGCACACCATCAGTAGGTCTGACAAAAGACCCAGCTGGCCTGCTGATGGTGCAGGAGCATGCAGTCCCAGGGCCCAGGGATCACACCGCCCCATGCAACACAGCCTGCACCCATGGGCACCATGGGGGGGGGGGGCTGAGGAAGGGCATGCCACAGCTGATGCCATCGCCCCAGTGCCAAATGCACTTTCCAAGGGTCTGGGGATTGCCTTGCCGTGCCTACCCCCTCTGGCATCTGTGCATTCCTATCAGGGGACTGAAGACAGACCTGCCTACCCTGCCACCACTCCCATTGCGGGCACTCACCCTCACATGCCACCTGGGGGCCTAGGGAGTGGCCCGTCCACCCCATCGTCACTGCAGCTAACACCAGTGATTGCTGCCAGGGAGCTCAAGGGTTGGCTTGCCCCCTCTATTGCCACTGCCAACATCATGCATGCTGCTCAGGGGCCCGAGAACCTGCCCATCTGCTTGGCCTACCACTGCCACTGCCTGTGCTGAAGCAAGCCACCTGTGGGCCAAGAATTGGCTTGCCTGGATCTGCTAACAATGGCATCCGTGTAGGCTACCCAAGTCAAGATCTTTAACCTTAATCATAATCTCCCCAGCTCAAGATCTTTAACGTTAATCATATCTGCAAACTGTCTTTTGCCCCGTAAGATAAGATACTTACAGGTTCTAGGGATTTAGATGTGATCATCTTTGGGGGTGATGGGCATTATTCTGTCTGCCCAGCTCTGAATCCTATAACCCAGAAACTGGGCTAGTAAGCATTGGCTCCATAAAGTCAAATTTAGGAATAACTGAAGTTCCAATTACGCTCTGGTAACAATGAGTATAGATTCTTATTGAACCTATGCAAATAATTGTAAGGCCATGAAAATAAGAAAATAAGGGTGTTGGGAGAAAAGCTGAGGCAGGGCTTGCAAGTCTGCTAGACTTGCTGGCTCCTTGCTTCTAGCACTCCCATTATCTCAAGCAGTCATATGTATCATTCACTTGATACACTGTTTGCTTTCAACCCCCACATCCTCACTACCTGTTTGTTTGAGCACCAACAAATAGCATGGGCTTCCAGGGCTCAGGGCCTTCTCATTCTCCACACTCCTGAGGGCCCCCTGGTCCCACTTACTCTCTCAAACTGTCTTTTTCTCATTCCTTTGACTCTGCCGGACTTCATCGGCCCCATTACCTGGCGTTGGGTCTGATCACCCCAACATAAGGGTTTTCAAATTCTGGAGGAGCCAGGCAGGGAAAATAAGACATATATATAAACGTTTCACTTCCGTTTACAAAAGCATAGACTATTAAATTTTTATGTTATAGATATCTTAAGAGAAAAAAGAGGTTTCTTATATATGCAAAAAGTAGAACATTGGAACATCAGCAAGAGTCCAAATAACAAAGTCATTACTCATCAGCTCACTCATTTCTGTGTAATTAATTCTTGTTATGCTCTATCTTGAATTTAGTAGTCTCCAGGACTCATCCGCTTCTTAACTAGAATTCCGGAATTTGTGACTCTGTTTACTGGTAGAGTCTCAAATTTAAGTGATGCCATCAGAAGCTGGTACCCCAAAGTACCTGGTGCAATCCTTTTCAGTTGAGATCTGAGATAGCGCTGCTGCTTTTTTTTTTTTTTTTTTTTTTTTTTTTTTTTTTTTTTTTTTGGAGATGGAGTCTCGCTCTGTCACCCAGGCTGGAGTGCAATGGCACAATCTCGGCTCACTTCAACCTCTGCCTCCTGGGCTCAAGCAATTCTCCTGTCTCAGCCTCCCAAGTAGCTGGAATTACAGGCGTATGCCACCACGCCTGGCTAATTTTTGTATTTTTAGTAGAGACAGGGTTTCACCATGTTGGCCAGGTTGGTCTCAAACTCCTGGCCTCAGGTGATGCATCCCATTTCGGCCTCCCAAACTGCTAAGATTACAGGCATGGGCCATGGCGCCCAGCCTGTAGTGCTTCTTTTTTTAAGATGAAATACCATAGCCTGTAGGTGATGGCAAGTGCTTTCAGGCAATCATTAGGGTAAGACAAAAAGCTACTGGTAGACTACAAGAGACTAAAAATGGCTGCGGTTAACTTATACCTATATGTAATAATAGCAGTGGCATCAGTGCCCAAGATGCCTGGCCTGAGGCACAAGAATCTCTTGAACCCGGGAGGTGGAGGTTGTGGTGAGCCAAGATTGCACCACTGCACTCTAGCCTGGGTGACAGAGTGAGACTCTGTCTCAAGAAACAAACAAACAAAAACAAAAAAATAGGCCAGGCGCGGTGGCTTACGCCTGTAATCCCAGGACTTTGGGAGGCCGAGGCGGGCGGATCACGAGGTCAGGAGATCGAGACCATCCTGGCTAACACGGTGAAACCCCGTCTCTACTGAAAATACAAAAAATTAGCCAGGTGTGGTGGCAGGCGCCTGTAGTCCCAGCTACTCCGGAGGCTGAGGCAGGAGAATGGCGTGAACCAGCGAGGCGGAGCTTGCAGTGAGCTGAGATCACACCACTGCACTCCAGCTGGGTGACAGAGCGAGACTCCGTCTCAAAAAAATAAATAAATAAAACCAAAAAATAAAACAGGCATGCATGGAATGACAATGAGTCCAGGGTCCTCAGTGCAGGCTAGCTCACTGTGGAGGTGGTTCTGATGTCTGAGACGTGGGCACTCATGGAGCAGTGGTGGAACTGAACTCTGGAGCACAGATGTGCAGAATGACCACACTTTCATGACCTGGGGTGGGGTTAACCAGCTGTGGTGGTGGTTTTGGTGCCTCGAATGTAGGTATGCACGGTGCAGCCACAGAGCTTGGGACTGGAGTATGGACACACATGGGGCAGCTTTGACTCTAGTATGGGGATGCTTAGGGTTGTGGGGATTGGTGGCTCCAGCCGGGATGGTACAACAGTGGCTTTCTAGCGGGCACAGTAGCAGCTTTCTCTCCAGGAGGTATGCGGTGGCAATGGCTTTTAGTTACTTAAGTGGCAATGCTGGTGTCCTCTGCAGAACAGGCCACTGGGGACCATGATGACACCTACTCTGTGGCTGATACTGATAGCTTCTGCCCTTCTTTGTTCCTTGCCATCCCCAGACATCTCAGGTATGTCAATCTCTCCAGCAATTCTTTCTGTGTGGTAATTATCCATTTTTGGCTTTGTGGTGTTGCCGCAGGTTTTTAAGTGGACACGTGAGCCCTCCCAAAGCCATTTGCATTCATGATTAGCTCTGTACTTTTTTTTCTATTTCCAACTTTTATTTTAAGTACATGCGCAGGATGTGCAGGTTTGTTACATAGGTAAATGTGTGCTACAGTGGTTTGCTGCGCAGATCATCCCATTACCTAGGTATTCAGGCCAGCATCCATTAGTTGTTCTTCCTGATGCTTTCCCTCCTCCTACCTCCTACCCTCCGACAGGCGCCGGTGTGTGTTGTTCCCCACCATGTGTCCATGAGTTCTCATCATTCGGCTCGCACTTGTGAGCGCGAGCCGAATGATGAGAACACGTGGTATTTGGTTTTCTGTTACTGCATTAGTCTGATGAAGATAATGGCTTCCAGCTCCATCCATGTCCCTGCAAAGGACATGATCTTTCTTGTTCCTTTTTATGGCTGCATAGTATTCCATGGTATATCTATACCAGATTTTCTTTATCCAATCTATTATTGATGGCGATTGAGGCTAATTCCATGTCTTTTTATTGTGAATAGTGCTGCAGTGATCATACAAGTACATGTATCTTTATAATAGAATCATTTATATTCCTCTGGGTATACACCCAGTAATGGGATTGCTGAGTCAAATGGTATTTCTGCCTCTGGGTCTTTGAGGAATCGCTACACTGTATTCCACAATGGCTGAACTAATTTACTCTCCCACCAACAGTGTAAAAGTGTTCCTTTTTCTCCACAACCTCACCAGCATCTGTTGTTTTTTGACTTTTTAATAATCACTATTCTGACTGGTGTGAGACGGTATCTCATTGTGGTTTTGATTTGCATTTCTCTAATGATCAGTGATCTTGAGCTTTTTGAGTGCATGTATGTATGTCTTCTTTTGACAAGTGTCCGTTCATGTCCTTTGCCCACTTTTTAATGGTGGTGTTTTTTTCTTGTACAATCGTTTAAGTTCCTTATAGATGGTGGATATCAGACATTTATCAGATGGATGGATTGCAAAAATTTTCTTCCATTCTGTAGGTTGTCTGTTTACTCTGTTGATTGTTTCTTTTGCTGTGCAGAAGCTCTTTAATTAGATCCCATTTGTCAATTTTTGCTTTTGTTGCAATTGTTCTGTCCTCTTTGTTGTGAAATCTTTGCCCGTGCCCATGTCCTGAATGGTGTTGCCTAGGTTTTCTTCTAGGGTTTTTATAGCTTTGAGTTGCACATTTAAGTCTGTAATCTATCTTGCATTGATTTTTGTGTATGATGTAAGGAAGATGTCCAATTTCAATTTTCTGTATATGGTTAGCCAGTTCTCCCAGCATCTCTGTAATTTTTTAGAGACAGGGTCTTGCTCTGTTGCCAAGACTGGAGTGCAGTGGCACAATCCTAGCTCACTGCAACCTCAAATCCCAGGCTGCTTTTGAGTTTTAAAAAAGTTATTTATGTATTCTAGATTCAAGTTCAGTGTTAAATGTGTGGTATGAAAATATTTTCCCCTAGTCTGTAGCCTGTCTTTTTATCCTTTACATAGAATTTTCACAGTGCAAATATTTTTAATTTTTAAATTTTGATGATAATTTACCAGTTTTTTCTTTTATGTATTGTCTTTGTTGTCAAGTCTAAGAATTTTTCACCAGCGCCAGGTCCTGAAATTTTTCTCCTTTTTTCCAAACTTTTATAGGGGCCAAGTGCAGTGGCTCACACCTGGAATCCTAGCACTCAAGGTGATCACTTGAGGCCAGGAGTTTGAGACCAGCCTGGCCAACATGGTGAAACCCCATCTTTACTAAAAATACAAAAATTGGCTGGGCATGGTGGCTCACGCCTGTAATCCCAGCACTTTAGGAGGCCAAGGCGGGTGGATCGCCTGAGGTCAGGAGTTCAAGACCACCCTGGCCAACATGGTGAAACTCCATCTCTACTAAGAAAACACAACAATTAGTTGGGTGTGGTGGTACGTGCCTGTAGTCCCAGCTACTTGGGAGGCTGAAGCAGGAGAATCATTTGAACCTGAGAGGCGGAGGTTGCAGTGAGCCAAGATTGCACCACTGCACTCCAGCCTAGGTGACAGTGAGACTCCATCTAAAAAAAAAAAAAATAAATAAATAAAATTGTGTCTGGAATTGGTGGGTTCTTGGTCTCACTGACTTCAAGAATGAAGCCGCGGACCCTCGCGGTGAGTGTTACAGCTCTTAAGGTGGCGTGTCTGGAGTTTGTTCCTTCTGATGTTCGGATGTGTTCGGAGTTTCTTCCTTCTGGTGGGTTTGTGGTCTCCCTGGCTCAGGAGTGAAGCTGCAGACCTTCGTGGTGAGTGTTACAGCTCTTAAGGCAGCGCTTCTGGAGTTGTTTGTTCCTCCCGGTGGGCTCGTGGTCTCGCTGGCTTCAGGAGTGAAGCTGCAGACCTTTGTGGTGAGTGTTACAGCTCATAAAAGAAGTGTGGACCCAAAGAGTGAGCAGTAGCAAGATTTATTGCAAAGAGCAAAGAACAAAGCTTCCACAGTGTGGAAGGGGACCTGAGCTGGGTTGCCACTGCTGGCTCGGGCAGCCTGCTTTTATTCTCTTATCTGGGCCCACCCACGTCCTGCTGATTGGTAGAGCTGAGTGGTCTGTTTTGACAGGGCGCTGAGTGGTGCGTTTACAATCCCTGAGCTAGACACAAAGGTTCTCCACGTCCCCACCAGAGTAGCTAGATACAGAGTGTCGATTGGTGCATTCACAAACCTTGAGCTAGACACAGGGTGCTGATTGGTGTGTTTACAAACCTTGAGCTAGATACAGAGTGCCGATTGGTGTATTTACAATCCCTGAGCTAGACATAAAGGTTCTCCAAGGCCCCACCAGAGTAGCTAGATACAGAGTGTCAATTGGTGCATTCACAAACCCTGAGCTAGACACAGGGTGCTGATTGGTGTGTTTACAAACCTTGAGCTAGACACAGAGTGCTGATTGGTGTATTTACAAAACTGACCAGCATTAACATCAACAGACTTTAAGTCTGATAAGAAACATTTACAATCTGTTCTCCCTGAATCTTGCTACTTGGAGGCTTCATCTGCATAATAAAACATTGGTTTCCAGAACCCTTTATTGTTACCCAGACATTCCTTTCTATTGATAACAATTCTTTCAACCAATTGCCAATCACAACATTTAAAAATCTACTTATGACCTTGAACCTCCCCTCCCCACACAACTTCAAGTTGTCTCACCCTTCCAGATCAAACCAATGTAAATTTTACACATATTGATTGATGTATATTATGTCTCCCTGATGTGTAAAAGCAAACTGTACCCCTGACCACTTTGGGCACATGTCATCGGGACCTCCTGATGCTGTGTCACAGGAGTGTCCTTAACCTTGGCAAAATAAACTTTCTTTTTCTCTTTTTTTGGAGATGGAGTCTTGCTCTGTCACCCAGGCTGGAGTGCAGTGGGCATGATCTTGGTTCGCTGCAACCTCCACCTCCTGGGTTCCAGCAATTCTCCTGCCTCAGCCTATAGGTGCCTGCCACCATGCCCGGCTAATTTTTGTATTTTTAGTAGACGGGGTTTCACCATGTTAGCCAGGCTGGTCTCAAATCCTGACCTCAGGCAATCCACCCACCTTGGCCTCCCAAAGTGCTGGAATTACAGGCGTGAGCCACCGCACCCGGCCTAAACTTTCTAAATTGATTGAGACCTGTCTCAGATACTTTTAGGTACACACACCCATTAGGATGGCTGCTATCCAAAACCACAGTAACATGTGCTGGTGAAGTCATGGAGAAGTTCGCACCCTGTGCATGTTGCTGGGAATGTAAAATGGTGTGGCTGCTGTGTTTGGGTTTTCTTTAAAAATTAAACATAGATGCTGGGCACAGTGGCTCACGCCTGTAATCTGAGCACTTTGGGAGGCTGAGGCAGGCGGATCACCTGAGATCAGGAGTTTGAGAACAGCCTGGCCAACATGGCAAAACCCTGTCTCTACTAAAAAGACAAAAAGTAGCCAGGCACAGTGGCGTGCGCCTGTAAGCCCAGCTACTCGGGAGGCTGAGGGAGGAGAATCGCTTGAACCCGGGAGGCAGAGGTTGCAGTGAGCCGAGATCACGCCATTATACTCCAGCCTGGGTGACAGAGTGAGGCTTAGTCTCAAACAACAGCAACAACAACAACAGCATTAAGCATAGAATTACCATACGATTCAACAATTCCACCTCAGGGTGTATGCCCAAAAGAATAGAAAGCAGGGTCCAGAAAAGATATTTGCACATTTATATTCACAGCAGCATTATTCACAATAGCCAACAGGTGGAAGCAACTGAAATGTCCACTGATAAATGAATGGATAAGCAATATATGGTATGTATGTACAATGGAATATCATTTAGCCCTAAAAAGGAAGGAAATTCTGACACATGTTAAAACAGAGATGAACCTTGAAGACATTATGCTAAATGAAATAATTCAGTCACAAAGGGACAAATGTTACAGAATCCCATTTGTATGAGGTACCTAAAGTAGTCAAATTCATAGACACAGAAAATACAATTGTGAGTCCCAGAAATAGGGGAGAAAGGATAGTTATTGTTTTATGGATATAAAGTTTTAGTTTGGGAAGATTTGGATTTTTTGAGAGCTATTGCACAGGTTGGTGAATATACTTAGTAATTGTGCACTGTTGGCCAGGTGTGGTGGCTTACGCCTGTAATCCCAGCACTTTGGGAGGCTGAGGTGGGCGGATCACCTGAGGTCAGGAGTTCGAGACCAGCCTGCTTAACATGGTGAAACCCCATTTCTACTAAAAATACAAAAAATTAGCAGGGCGTGGTGGTGCATGCCTGTAATCTCAGCTACTCGGGAGGCTGAGGAAGGAGAATCGCTTGAACTCGGGAGGCAGAGGTTGCAGTGAGCCGAGATAGCACCATTGCACTCCAGCCTGGGCAACAAGAGTGAAACTCTGTCTCAAAAAAATAAAAAAAGAAAAAAGAAAATACTTGTGCACTGTCCATTTCAAAATTACTAAGACGGTAAATTTCAAATGTTCTCACCACAAAAAAACTAAATATTTCAGGTTATGAGTATGTCAATTTGATTAGTTATTTCATATTGTACTAAAAATTTATGACATCACTTTGTACCCATAACTATATATAATGATAATTTGTCGATGTATAATAAAATTTAAAAAAATCTGGTCTGTCTGACTCTTCAAATGGATCGTAAACTCACGTGTATCTTTGTAATGTCAGGCATTGGTCATTTTTTTTTTTTTTTTTTTTTTTTGAGACGGAGTCTCGCTCTGTGGCCCAGGCTGGAGTGCAGTGGCGGGATCTCGGCTCACTGCAAGCTCCGCCTCCCGGGTTCACGCCATTCTCCTGCCTCAGCCTCCCAAGTAGCTGGGACTACAGGCGCCCGCCACTACGCCCGGCTAATTTTTTGTATTTTTAGTAAAGACGGGGTTTCACCGTTTTTTTAGCCGGGATGGTCTCGATCTCCTGACCTCGTGATCCGCCCGCCTCGGCCTCCCAAAGTGCTGGGATTACAGGCGTGAGCCACCGCGCCCGGCCAGGCATTGGTTATTTGAAAAACATCTGTTGGTCAGGCGCAGGGGCTCATGCCTGTAATCCTAGCACTTCGGGAGGCCGAGGCGGGCCAGTCACAAGGTCAGGAGATCAAGACCATCCTGGCTAACATGGTGAAACCCCATCTCTACTAAAAATACAAAAAATTAGCCAAGTACAGTGGCACGTGCCTGTAGTCCCAGCTACTTGGGAGGCTGAGGCAGGAGAATCACTTGGACCCAGGAGGCAGAGGTTGCAGTGAGCCGAGATTGTGCCACTGCACTCCAGTCTGGGCGACAGAGTGAGACTCTGTCTCAAAAAAAAAAAAAATCAAACATTTGTATTGTTAATATCTCTACCAATGTTTTTAGAAAAGTTTTTAAATGTTGGGAAGCTATCAAGATCATGATGGTTGATAGAATTTCTCCAAAAACTCTAATTTTAGCTGTAAAGCTCATATTACAAAATTTACAAAAGTGTAAATTTTATCATTTAAAAAGTACATTTTCACTTAGTTTTCTAATCTTTTCTTTTCATTCATTATTTTTTGTTTGTTTGTTTCTTTAGACAGGATCTCACTCTGTTGCCCTGGCTGGAGTGCAATGGCGTGATCATAGCTCACTGTAGCCTCAAACTCTGGCGCTCCAGCAATCTTTCTGTCTCAGTCTCCGGAGTAGCTGGGACTACAGGCACGCACCACCATGCCTGACTAATTTTTAAATTTTTCTTTTGTAGAGACTGGGTCTCACTATGCTGACCAGGCTAGTTTCAGACTTCTGGGCTCAAGCAGTTCTCCTGCTTCAGATTCCCAAGTGCTGGTATTGCACGATCCACCTCGCCTGGCTTAGTTATTTTTCTTGATGTTACAAACCATGCTTCATTCATTTTCAAGAATCTGTCTTAGAAATCCCCAAGCTTGGCCCGGCGCGGTGGCTCACGCCTGTAATCCCAGCACTTTGGGAGGCCGAGGCGGGTAGATCACGAGGTCAGGAGATGGAGACCATCCTGGCTAACACGGTGAAACCCCGTCTCTACTAAAAATACAAAAAAATTAGCTGGGCGTGGTGGTGGGCGCCTGTAGTCCCAGCTACTCGGGAGGCTGAGGCAGGAGAATGCCGTGAACCCAGGAGGCGGAGCTTGCAGTGAGCTGAGATCGCTCCACTGCACTCCAACCTGGGTGACAGAGTGAGACTCAGTCTCAAAAAAAGAGAAATCCCCAAGCTTAAATCATCAGTGTTTGTCAGTTGCACTTGAAATTAATAACGTTCCGTAAAAAAAGGAGTTCCTATTTCTCAAAACTCAATCAATCACAGAACTTGTTTTCCTCAAGGCAACCATCATACTTGTATACAGTATAAATGCTTTACGTGTATTCATTGGTTTTTATTGTTGTGAATATGTGAAGTGAATAGTTCAATAACTAATAATACAATTTGGAGGCATTTTTTTGGTGCAGGTAGCAGTTTTTTGTGTTTTGTTTTGTTTTGTTTTGAGATGGCGTCTTGCTCTTGTTGCTCAGGCTGGAGTGCAGTGGCATGACCTCTGCTCACTGCAACCTCTGCCTCCTGGGCTCAAGCAATTCTCCTGCCTCAACCTCCCGAGTAGATGGGATTACAGGTGCCAGCGACTACGCCAAGCCATTTTTTGTATTTTTAGTAGAGACAGGGTTTTGCCATGTTGGCCAGGCTGGTCTCGAACTCCTGACCTCAGGTGATACACCCACCTTGGCCTCCCAAAGTGTTAGGATTACAGGTGTGAGCCACCGTGCCCGGCTGAAGGTAGCAGTAGTTTCAACCACCATTGCTTTTGAACCATCAGTGTAAACATCAACACAGTAGAAAGGCAAATTAAACCCTACTATTGGCTAAGTGCAGTGGCCATACTACTCACACCTGTAATCCCAGGACTTTGGGAGGCCAGGCAGAAGAATTGCTTGAGTTCAGGAGTTCAAGATCAGCCTGGGCAACATGGCAAAACCCTGTCTCTACAAAAAAGTACAAAAATTAGCAGGGCATGATGGCAGGTGCCTGTAATCCCAGCTATTTGGGAGGCTGAGGTGTGGAGGATCGCTTGAGTTTGGGAGGTTGAGGCTACAGTGAGTTGCGACTGCGCCATTGCGCTCCAGCCTTGGTGACAGAGTGAGAACCTATCTCAAAACAAAAACAAAAAACAAAAAACCCTAGTATTATTAGAAAAAAATTGAACCCATAGGCCCCCCGCAAAAGAATCTCAGGAATCCTCAGGGCCCAGTGATCGTACTTTGAAAAACTTCTGCTCTAGACTTATGTGAAAGAAATAAACCCCTCTTTGTTTAAGACACTTAATTAGGCTTTTAAATACAAGATAAGTTGCATCTCTAGTTCTCAAATAATTTTTGGCAGATTTGCCAAAAATTCAGTCATTATACAGAGATAGAGACTCTTGAATTTTGTAGTAGTTTACTTCAAATTACTACAGTATTTCAAAAACAATATTTATTGTTGATTTAAATAAACATTGTTATTTATTTTTTGAGTCAGAGTCTTGTTCTGTCTCCCAGGCTGGAATGCAGTGGCGGGATCTTGGCTCACTGCAACCTCCACCTTCTGGGTTCAAGCAATTCTCGTGCCTCAGCCTCCTGAGTTGCTGGGATTACAGGCCTGCACCGCTATGCCCAGCTAAGTTTTGTATTTTTAGTAGAGATGGGATTTTGCCATGTTGGCCAGTCTGGTCTGAAACTCTTGGCCTCAAGTAATCCGCCTGCCTCGGCCTCCCAAAGTGCTGGGATTATAGGTGTTAGCCACTGTGCCTGGCCAAACATTGTTGACTTAAATCAACAATGTTTGTTGCTGATTTCCATTAAAGGCTAGAAATTACTGGCCAGGTGCGGTGGCTCACACCTGTAATCCCAGCACTTTGGGAGGCTGAGGCAGGTGGATCACAAGGTCAGGAGATTGAGACTATCCTGGCTAACACAGTGAAACCTCATCTTTACTAAAAATACAAAAAATTAGCTGGGCGTGGTGGCGGGTGCCTGTAGTCCCAGCTACTAGGGAGGCTGAGGCAGGAGAATGGTGTGAACCCAGGAGGTAGAGCAAAAAAAAAAAAAGGCTCAAAATTACTGCAATGTCCACCATTAAGTTTCTGATAAATAAATAAATTTTAAAAACCTTCATACATACTGGTCTAGATTAAACCACACCACAAAACAGAACTCTATCTATATCAGAAAACATTGCTTAATTTTAGGGAAAATGATATACGTTTGTATACTAAAGTGCAATAATCCTCAGGATAGAGCAAGTGAAGAGATTATGGCACAGAACCATTCTTTGATTCTGTTTGCTTCTCAAATATTTCAAATACTTGCTTTATAAATATATAATATTTCCTTTTGAAACATGTCTCATATTCTTAGTATCTCTGTGCTGTGTTCAAAAGTAGGGTAGCATGGCCTTCTCAGGCAGTTCTGCTTGGAGATGAGCACAGCACGCTCTCTTGTACCTCTCCTCCCTGTTCCCAACTGTTACAAACACAGTGAATATTTATTTGGTCCACAACTGGGGACAGTAGAAAGGACACCAGCTTGGAATCAGTTCGGACCTGTGTCTGCTGCACAGCTGAATCCCTGGGAAAGTAAGTTATTTAATCTTTCTGAGTCTGAATTTTTTCACCTGGCATATGGCAATGAAAATACATACATCTCAGATCTACTATGAGGACTAACAGAGGTAAATAAAGCACATAAACCCTTAGCACAATGCTAGCTGTATAATAGATGCTTCATAAATGAGAATTATCATTATTTTAGTTCAGTGTCTAAAGAACTTGTTTAGGTTTTTTAAGGTCTGCTTTCACAATTCTCTTTCAATGGGTAAATTCAAATGCCTAAGCCTCCTCTGGTATGCTACTCTGGAAAGTTAAGTGCTTGTGAGTGTCTTGTTTTGTTTTTTTTTTAACCATTTTTTAAAGCAAAATTTTCTACTTTCCTTTCTTACGACCATGGAGTCATTTAAAGAAGAAGAATGCTCTTATCCTCTTGATTTCCAAAGGGAGTTTAACTTTAAGATGCTTTTTGTGTGCTTATGGTTAAATGTATTACTCTACATTATAAGTTGAATATTACATATTATTCATCATGTAGAAGCCCATCTAGCAAGACAGCCACAGTTTAAAACAGATGAATAGTGTGAACTAAAAACTAAAGCTTGCAAAAATACCCATATTATGCCCCCTAATTATCTAAATTATATAGTAAGAATATAGCCTTTGTAAGAAATTTTTAAAAATGTTTATTTTTTTAAATTTCCAGCTCTTTTAGTGTAGCATGGCAGAAAGAACAATGGCTATGCCCACACAAATACCTGCTGATGGAGATACAGTTAAGTATATCTTTCAAATATAACTCTGCATTTTGTACTTCAATAAGATTATATAGCCTAAAAATATTGACTTGGAAAACTGATGTAGGCATAGAAGATAAAGTCTTGTTTGTTATGTTTGGGCATGAATTAGCTTTTATACTAATTGGAGTTTTAAGTATCAATGGTGATTTAGATAATTGTTACATGTTTTTTGAGTCCGATGACCTTGTTAGCAGTGCAACAGACTATTTCTACTTAACACCAAAGAAATTCAAAGTAAAACTTCTGAATCGCCCAATAAATGAGAAGAACAGTGCTGTTTTGATGGATATATTTGCAGAATGTATGCACTGACAATAAATAATTTTTTAATGAAGTTATTTTAGCAAATGGTTGGATGGCTGCTTGCTGATTGCTTTACTGAGTGTGAGGTTAGAGCAAGTTTTTTTTTTTTTTTTGAGACTGAGTCTGGCTCTGTTGCTCAGGCTGGAGTGCAGTGGCGTGATCTCAGCTCACTGCAACCTCTGCCTCCTGGGTTCAAGTGATTCTCCTGCCTCAGCCTCCCAAGTAGCTGGGATTACAGGCACCTGCCTTCATGCCTGGCTAACTTTTGGATTTTTTTTTAGTAGAAACAGGGTTTCACCATGTGGGCCAGGCTGGTCTCGAACTCCTGACCTCAGGTGATCTACCCGCCTCAGTCTCCCAAAGTATTGGGATTATAGGCATGAGCCACTGCGCCTGGCCTGTCATTGCTTTTCATGAATAACCATCAGAGGAATTTCTCAGGGACTGAAACATTGGCCTATGCTCATTCCATTTTATCTTTGGGCTTTCTTGTTTAACAAATCATGGTTAATACTCCTTTGTTCACATGACTCTAAAACATAAAATTTTAGGATTAGAAGGGATCCCAAAAGCCAATTAGTCAAACATTATGCAAATGCTGATATGCAAATGCTAGCAACAAATCTTTAGCAAGTGTCTTAGTCTGTTTGGGCAGCTATAACAAAATACCTCAGACTTGGTAATTTATATACAATAGAAATGCATTGTTCACAGTTCTAGAGGATGGGAAGTCCAAGATCAAAGCACCAGCAGGTTTGGTGTCAGGTGGGGGCTTACTCTCTGCTTCAAAAATGGCTTCTAGCTGTGTCCTCACATGGCAGGAGAAGCAAACAGTGTCCCTCAAGCTTCTGTTATAAAAGCACTAGTCCTATTCATGTGGGTGGAGCCATATGACCTAATTACCTCTCCAAGGACCCCTCTGTTTTTTAAAAAATTTAAATGATATGTAATATTAATACATATTGATGGGGTACATGTGATATTTTATTATATGCATAGAATACATAATAATCAAGTCAGGGTGCTTCATGTATCTATTACCTGGAATATTTATTATTTCTATGTTTTGGGAACATTTCAAATCCCCTCTTTTAGCTATTTTGAAATATACAATACATTGTTATAAACTATAGTCTCCCTACTCTGCTATAGAACATCAGAACTTATTTCTTCTGCCTAACTGAATGTTTGAACCCACCAGCCAACCTCTGTTCATCCCCCCACTACTCACACACCCTTCCCAGCCTCTGGTAGCTATCATTCTACTCTACCTCTATGAGGTCAACTTTTTAAGCTGATGCATATGAGTGACATATTTGTCTTTCTGTGTCTGACTTACTTCACTTAACATAATGACCTCTAGTTCCATCCATGTTAATGCAAATGACAGGTTTTCATTTTTTTGTGTGGCCAAATTGTATTTTTTTTTTTTTTTGAGATGGAGTTTCACTCTTGTTGCCCAGGCTGGAGTGCAATGGCATGATCTCAGCTCACTGCAACCTCTGCCTCCCAGGTTCAATTGATTCTCCTGCCGCAGCCTCCCAAGTAGCTGGGATTACAGGCATGCGCCACCATGCCTGGATAATTTTGTATTTTTAGTAGAGATGGGGTTTCAACATATTGGCCAGGTTGGTTTCAAACTCCTGACCTCTGGTGATCCACCCGCCTCAGCCTCCCAAAGTGCTGGGATTACAGGCGTGAGCCATCACGTCTGGCCCCAAATAGTATTTAAATGTGTATATATACAACTTTTTAATCCATATGTCTGTTGATGGACACTTAGGTTGATTCCATATTTTTGCTGTGGTGAATACAGGTTCAATAAACACAGGGATGCAGAGATCTCTTCTATATACTGATTTTTTTTCCTTTGGGTATATACCCAGTAGTGGGATTGCTAGATCATACGGTAGTTCCATTTATAGTGGAAACAAAGAATGAGAGAAAGAGAGGGAGGAAGGGAGAGAGGGATAAAAGAAGTGAAGGGAGGGATTGAAAAAAGAGTGACTAGGATCATAATAGAACTTAAGTTTCCATATCTTAGCTATTAAAAAAATACTGCAATGAACACAGAGCATCACACATCCTGATTTAAAATTATATTACAAAGCTATAGTAATCAGTATAGTATGGTACCATCATAGAAACAGAAACATAGACCAGTGAAACACAATAGAGCTCCCAGAAATAAATCCAAACATTCATGGTTAGCTAATTTTTGAAAAGGGCACCAAGAGGACATAATGAGGAAAAAAATCATCTCTTCACTAAATGGTTCCAGGAAAACTGAATTTCTATATGCAAAAGAATGATATTGGACCATTATCTTATACTATACCAAAAAACCAACTCAAAATAGATAAAAGACCTAAAAGTAAGACCTGAAATCATAAAACTCTGAGAAGATAACATAGGGGAAAATGTCCTGGACATTGGTCTTGACAATACTTTTTTTTTTTTTTTGAGATGGAGTTTCGCTCTTGTTAACCAGGCTGGAGTGCAATGGCGCTATCTCTGCTCACTGCAACCTCCACCTCCCAGGTTCAAGCAATTCTCCTGCCTCAGCCTCCCAAGTAGCTGGGATTATAGGAGCCCACCACCATGCCCAGCTAATTTTGGAGGCTGAAAACTGGACATCTTATGTAGAACCATAGAAACTGAGATAAGTAGATTTTATGTCTGAAACTGACATGCCTTTTCTTTTACCAGGCCTTTAGTACAGAGGTTTGTGTTTCTCTGAGTAAAGCTGGGCTTGAGATTTGATGTTGCTATAGTGTGATTCTTACTACCCTATGGGCTTTTTTTGGCGGGGGATAGAGTTTCACTCTTGTTGCCCAGGCTGGAGTGCAGTGGCACAATCTCTGCTCATTGCAACCTCTGCCTCCTGAGTTCAAGCGATTCTCCTGCCTCAGCCTCCTGAGTAGCTGGGATTATAGGCATGCGCCACCACGCCCGACTAATTTTGTATTTTTAGTGGAGAGGGAGTTTCTCCATGTTGGTCAGACTGGTCTCAAACTCTCAACCTCAGGTGATCTGCTCGCCTCTGCCTCCCAAAGTGCTGGGATTACAGGCATGAGCCACTGCGCCTGGCCTACCCTATGGGCTTTGAATGCCTCTGGTGATACCTTGTGTTGAGGGTGGGGTTGGTTTGCCAGAGGATGTTTTTCTGATGATGATTTCACCCTCAACCTTAAGTCTTCCTTTTGTGCTATGCCTCAGAAAGAGTATGTCTCTTGCAATATCTCTTGCAAAGAATATGTATCTTGACAGCAGTTAGCCTGGTGATGAAGGTACGTGAGAATACTTTTTTATTTGATTGCCAGTCTTAGGCAAACACTCTCCCTCTGGGCCCCAGGGATTTGACCTTCTCTTTCTCTTCTTCTGACATGGTTCTGAATCCATTGTGAATTTCTGCACATCTTCTAGGGCTTCAAGCTTTCTTTGTGTTCCCTACTTTCAGCAGCAATGTGCTTTCACCAGCGCCCTAAGAGAGTGCTTCCTGGCTCTTCACCCATAGATGAAGGCTTTTTTATTCTGTAGAGGAGAAAGTTGTGAGTGGAGCTTCTTGCCAGCATTGCTGCTGTTGCATGTCCCAGTTCTGTAACTTGAGAGAGATATTTTTTTTTCAGAGTCCTATCAATCTTTCACTGAATGTCTAGTTGAGTTCAAGGAGAAAAAGTTTTCAAGGAGCTACAGATTATTTTTTGTTCTACAAAAAAGACACAGGTGGCCGGGCGCGGTGGCTCGCGCCTGTAATCCCAGCACTTTGGGAGGCCGAGGCGGGCGGATCACGAGGTCAGGAGATCGAGACCATCCTGGCTAACACGGTGAAACCCCGTCTCTACTAAAAATGCAAAAAATTAGCCGGGCGTGGTGGCGGGCGCCTGTAGTCCCAGCTGCTCGGGAGGCTGAGGCAGGAGAATGGCGTGAACCCGGGAGGCGGAGCTTGCAGTGAGCCGAGATCGTGCCACTGCACTCCAGCCTGGGCGACAGCGAGACTCCGTCTCAAAAAAAAAAAAAAAAAAAAAAAAAGACACAGGCTCCCCTCCCCTCCCCTCCCCTCCCCTCCTCTCTTCCTTTCCTTTCCTTTCCTTTCCCTTCCCTTCCCTTCCCTTCCCTTCCCTCCCCTCCCCTCCCTTCCTCTCCCCTCCCCTCCCCTTCCCTTCCTTTCCTTTTCTCTCTTCTCTTCTCTCTCTTCTTTCTCTTCTCTTCTCTTCTCTTTTTTCCTTTTCTTTTCTTTTCGAGACAGAGTTTTCCTCTTGTTGCCCAGGCTGGAGTTCAATGGCTCAATCTTGGCTCACTGCAGCCTCTGCCTCCTGGGTTCAAGTGATTCTCCTGCCTCAGCCTCCTGAGTAGCTGGGATTACAGGCATGCGCCACCACACCTGGCTAATTTTGTATTTTTATTAGAGACGGGGTTTCACCATGTTGGTCAGGCTGGTCTCAAACTCCCGACCTCAGGTGATCCGCCTGCCTCAGCCTCTCAAAGTGCTGGGAATACAGGTGTAAGCCACCACGCCCATCCTGTTTTCTTTTTTTTAAATTTGAGATAGAGTCTCGCTCTGTCACCCAGGCGGGAGTGCAGTGGCACAATCTTGGCTTACTGGAACCTCCACTTCCCGGGTTCAACCGATTCTCGTGCCTCAGCCTCCTGAGTAGCTGAGATTACAGGCATGCACCACGCCCAGCTAATGTTTGTAATTTTAGTAGGGATGGGGTTTCACCATGTTGGCCAAGCTGCTCTCAAACTCCTGACCTCAAGTGATCTGCCTGCCTCAGCCTCCTGAAGTGTTGGGATTATGGGTGTGAGCCACCACACCTGGCCTGCACTTGTTTTCATCTCAGCGCTATTCACAATAGCTGAGACATGGAATCAACCTAGGTGTCCATCAGTGGCAGATTGGATTAAAAAATGTGGTACATGGCCAAGCGCGGTGGCTCATGCCTGTAACCCCAGCACTTTCGGAGGCCAAGACAGGCGGATCACCTGAGGTCAGGAGTTTGAGACCAGGCTGGCCAACATGGTGAAATCTTGTCTCTACTAAAAATACAAAAAATTAGCCAGGTGTGGTGGTGGGCACCTGTGATCTCAGCTATTCGGGAGGCTGAGGCAGGAGAATCGCTTGAACCTGGGAGGCGGAGATTGCAGTGAGCTGAAATCACACCACTGCACTCCAGCCTGGGTGACAGAGCAAGATTCCATATCAAAAAAAAAACGAAAAAGTGGTACATATACACCATGGAATACTATGCAGCTATAAAAAATGAAATGTGTCCTTTGCAGCAACATGGGTGCTGCTGGAGGCCATTATCCTAAGTTAATTAATACATGAACAGAAAACCAAATACCACATGTTCTCATTTATAAGTGGGGGTAAACATTGGGTACTCATAGACATATGAGTATGAGACTCATGCCATAGATGGCAACAATGGACACTGAGGACTACTAGAGGGTGAGGGAGGGAGGGGGTGAGGGCAGAAAATCTACCTATTGAGTACTATGCTCAGTACCTGGGTGATGGGATCATTCACACCCCCAACTCAGCACATTCAGTATTTCCTCATAACAAACCTGCAAATGTACTCTCTGAATCTAAAAGTTGAAATTACAAATAAAAATTAAATACATACATTAAATCAAACCTTAATAAATTAAAAAATATAATTAATATACCTTGTATTCTCTACTTAGAATGACAGATTTCCAAATAAGGACAAATAAAAACCAAACCAGAAAACAAACAAAAAAAAGCAGCTACAGGCCTGGGCGTGGTAGTTCACGCCTGTAATCCCAGCACTTTGGGAGGGCGAGGTGGGTGGATCACGAGGTGAGGCGTTCAAGACCAACCTGGCCAACATAGTGAAACTCCGTCTCTACTAAAAATACAAAAATTAGTTGGGCGTGGTGGCACGGCTATAACCCCAGCTACTCAGGACGTTGAGTCAGGAGAATTGCTTGAACCAGGGAGGCGGAAGTTGCAGTGAGCCGAGATCGCACCACTGCACTCCAGCCTGGTCAATAGAGCGACACTCTGTCTCAAAAAGAAAAGAAAAGAAAAGAAAAAAGCACCTACAGATGATTCCTCTTTATGGCTCATACTTTTTACTTGTCAGGCAAGGCATGTTCTAGCAATTTGCTCCTTGCTTTAGAACTCTTCTCACTGATGTCTGCGTCTTTCTTGCCTAGAAAAGTTGATGCTCCCATCTTGTCTTTTCCTGTGGGTTTCTGTCTCTCCTTCGATTCTGGAACAATTGGTCGACCTGAAACGTCAGTACTAGGATGAGTTTTTAAAAAGTTGTGATCTGACCGGGCGCCGTGGCTCACGCCTGTAATCCCAGCACTTTGGGAGGCCGAAGCGGGTGGATCATGAGGTCAGGAGCTCGAGACCATCCTGGCTAACACGGTGAAACCCCACCTCTACTAAAAATACAAAAAATTAGCTGGGCACGGTGGCGGGCGCCTGTAGTCCCAGCTACTTGGGAGGCTGAGAGAGGAGAATAGCGTGAACCTGGGAGGCAGAGCTTGCAGTGAGCCGAGATAGTGCCACTGCACTCCGGCCTGGGCGAAAGAGCGAGACTCTGTCTCAAAAAAAAAAAAAAAAAAAGTTGTGATCTTGCCTTAGTTCATTATTTTATTCCTATAGTATTAGTAGTGATGTCTTTTTTCTGCTCTCCACATCTCTGAGCAGAAGCTAGAAATGAATATAACTGATTTTTGTATATTGACTTTGTATCTTGTAATTTTGATATGTTCTCTTAGTAGTTCTGGTAGATGCTCTGTAGATTCTTGTATATTTTCTACCTTTTTTCAATATAAAATGACAAACTCTTTTGAATATTTATGCTTTTTGTTTGCCTTATTGACTGGTAAGAACCTCCAGTACAGGCCGGGTGTGGTAGCTCACGCCTGTAATCCCAGCACTTTGGGAGGCCGAGGTGGGCGGATCACAAGGTCAGGAGATTGAGACCATCCTGGCTAACATGGTGAAACCCATCTCTACTAAAAATACAAAAAATTAGCCGGGCGTGGTGGCGGGTGCCTATGGTCCCAGCTGCTCAGGAGGCTGAGGCAGGAGAATAGCGTGAACCCGGGAGGCGGAGCTTGCAGTGAGCCGAGATCGCACTACTGCACTCCAACCTGGGCGACAGAGCGAGACTCCGTCTCAAAAAAAAAAAGAACCTCCAGTACAATGTATAAAATGGCAACAGCTGACATCTCTGCTTTATTTTCAATCTTGTGAAGAAAGCACTCAGATGTTTACTATTAAGTATGATGTTAGATTTAAATTTTTTTCTAATACAGTTTTTATCAGATTGATGAAGTTCTCTTTAATTCTTATTTTACTAATAGACTTTAAAAATCACAAATGGGTATTCAATTCAATTCATCAAATATAATATTTTTCACTTATTGAGTCAGTCATATGGTGATTTTACTTTATACTATTAATATGGTGAAATATGTTTATTGATTTTTAAATTTTTTTTTTTTGAGACAGGGTTTTACTCGGTTACCCAGGCTGCAGCGCAGTGGCACAATCATAGCTCACTGCAAACTCTAACTCCTGGGCTTAAGTGATTCTCCCGCCTCAGCCTCCAGAGTAGCTGGGACGACGAGCATGTACCACCATACTCTGCTATTTTTTTAGTTTTTATTTTCAGTAGAGACAGGGTTTCACTATGTTGCCCAGATTGGTCTCGAACTCCTGAGCTCACGCGATCTTCCAGCCTCAGCCTCCCAAAATTCTGGGATTACAGGCATGAGCCACCACGCTCAGCCCTTACTTTTTAATTTTTATGGGTACATAGCAGGTCTATATATTTATGGGGCATATGAGATATTTTGTTATAGGCGCACAATGTGTAATAATCATATCAGGATAAATGGAGTATCCACTACCTTAAGTATTTTTCATTTCTTTGTGTTAGAAACATTTCAATTGTACTCTTCATTCTTCTAAAATGTACAATTTATTGTTGACTATAGTCGCCCTGTTGTGCTACCAAATACTGGGCCCTATTCATTCTATCTAACTATATCCTTGTACCCATTAACCATCCCCTCACCACCCCCACTACCCTTCTTAGCCTCTGGTAACCATCCTTCCACTCTCTATCTCTATGAGTTCAATTGTTTTAATTTTTAGCTCCCACAAGTAAGTGAGAACATGTGAAGTTTGTCTTTCCATGACTTGCTTATTTCACTTAACATAATGTTAGGTTCCATCCATGTTGTTGGAAATAACAAGATCTCATTCTTTTTGATGATTGAATAGTTTTCCATTGTGTATATGTACCACATTTTCTTGGTCCATTCATCTGTTGATGGACACTTAGGTTGCTTCCAAATCTTGCCTAGTGTGAATAGTGCTGCAATAAGCATGGGAGTGTAGATATCTCTTCAATGTACTAATTTCTTTCTTTTGGGTATATACCTAGCAGTGGGATTGCTGGATCATAGGTAGTTCTATTTTTAGTTTTTTGAGGTACCTCCATACGTTCTCCATACTAATTCACATTTGCACCAACAGTGTAAGAGGGTTCTCTTTTTTTCCACATTTTCGCCAGCATTTGTTATTGCCAGTCTTTTGGGTAAAAACCACTTTAACTCAGGTGAGATGATATATCATTGTAGGTTTGATTGGAATTTCTCTGATGGTCAATGATGTTGAGCACCTTTTTATATACCTGTTTGCCATTTGTATGTCTTCTTTTGAGACAAGTGTATTCCAATCACTTGCCACTTTTTAAATTGGATTATTAGATTTTTTCCTATTGAGTTATTTGAGCTTCTTACATATTCTGGTTATTAATCCCTTATCGGGGGATAGTTTGCAAATATTTTCTCCCATTCAGTGGGTTGTCTCCTCACTTTGTTGATCACTTTCTTTGCTGTGTAGAAGCTTTTTAATTTCATATGATCCCATTTGTCCATTTTTGCTTTGGTTTCCTGTGCTTGTGGGGCATTATCCAAGAAATATTTGCCCAGGTCAATGTCCTGGAAAGTTTCCCCAATCTTTTCTTTTAGTAGGTTCATAGTTTCACAGCTTAGATTTATGTCTTTAATTCATTTTTATTTGATTTTTATATATGATAAGAGATAGGAGTCTGTTTTCATTCTTTTACATATGGATATCCAATTTTCCCAGCACAATTTATTGAAGAGACTCTTCTTTCCCCACTGTATGCTATTAGCACCTTCGTCAAAAATGAGTTCACTGTACATGTCTGAATTTATTTCTGAGTTCTGTATTCTGTTCCATTGGTCTATATGTCTGTTTTCATGCCAGTACCATGCTGTTTTGGTTATTGTAGTTCTGTATTATAATTTGAAGTCAAGTAATGTGATTCCTTCAGTGTACCCAGAGTACTCAGCATTGCTTTGAATATTCTGTGTCTTTTGTGGGTACGTATAAATTTTAGGATTATTTTTTCTATTTCTTTTTTCTTTTCTTCTTCTTTTTTTTTTTTTTGACAGAGTCTCACTCTGTTGCCCAGGCTGGAGTGCAGTGGCGCAATCTCGGCTCACTGCAACCTCTGCCTCTCAGGTTCACGTCATTCTCCTGCCTCAGCCTCCCGAGTAGCTGGGACTACAGGCACCCACCACCACACCTGGCTAATTTTTTGTATTTTTAGTAGAGACGGGGTTTCACTGTGTTAGCCAGGATGGTCTCGATCTCCTGACCTCATGATCCACCCGCCTCAGCCTCCCAAAGTGCTGGGATTACAGGCGTGAGCCACTGCGCCCAGCCTCTTTTTTGTATTTTTAGTAGAGACAGGGTTTCACCGTGTTAGCCAGGTTGGTCTTGATCTCCTGACCTCATGATCCACCCACCTCGGCCTCCCAAAGTGCTGGGATTACAGGTGTGAGCCACCGCGCCCGGCCTATTTTTTCTATTTCTGTGGAGAATGTCATTGGTATTTTGATAGGGATTGAGTTAAATATGTAGATTGCTTTCGGTGGTATGAACATTTTAATGATATTGATTCTTTCAGTCCATACACGTGGAATATCTTTTCATTTTTTTGTGTCCTTTTCAATTTCTTGCATCAGTATTTTATAGTTTATCATTTATTGATTTTTGAGTGCTGAATTAACCTTGCATTTCTAGAATAAATGCCAATTGTTTTAATCTATAATCTTTTTTATATACAAGTGAATTGATTGGTAATGTTTTGTTAAGATAAAAAAAAAAACTCCATGCAGTATGATTTCTTCTAAATGAAATTCTAGAAAAAGTAAAACTATAGCAACTGAAAACAGATGAGAGGTTGCCAGGGCTGAGGGATGAGGGTTACAAATTGACTGAATAGGGGCTAATAGGGAAAGTTTTAGGGATGTCAGAAATGTTCTATATGGTGATCATGATGGTGATTACATTACTATACACATTTGTTAAAATTTATCAAATTGTGCACATAAAGTTGGTGAATTTTATTACATATAAATTATTCCTCAATAAAGCTAGCTGATTAACATGTATAGAATTTTAGTAGAAAAAAGCAAGTTGCAGAATGTTTGCTTTTTTTTTGTGAGACAAGAGTTTCACTCTTGTGGCCCAGGCTGGCGTGCAATGGCGCGATCTTGGCTTACTGCAACTTCTGCCTCCCGGGTTCAATCAATTCTCCTCTCTTAGCCTCCTGAGTAGCTGGGGTTACAGGCCTCCGCCACCATGACTGGCTAATTTTTTTTTTTGTATTTTTAGTAGAGACCGGGTTTCACCACGCTGGCCAGACTGGTCTTGAACTCCTGACCTCTGGTGATCTGCCCACCTCAACCTCCCAAAGTGCTGCGATTACAGGCGTGAGCCACTGTACCTGGCCATGTATGTGTTTTTAAAATTTAATACCTCTATATTTGTGTATATAAAAGTATTTTTTAATGTCTAGAATCCTAAAAATCATAAAAATAGGGAAAAGAGGAAGGAGATAGGATGTGGGGAATAGTTAAATGGAATATTATCTTCCATTTCAATATTTCAGTTGTTAAGAAAAATTTATTTGCACACTTACTAGTTGTACAATTAAAATTATAGTAGTAAAAAAGAATTTTTGCAGCTATGCACATGACAGAAATTAATGTATAATTTTCTCTTTTTGTGATGTCTTTGCCAGGTGTTTTTTGTTCGTTTGTTTGTTTTTTTGAGATGGAGTCTCACTCTGTTGCCCAGGCTGGAGTGCATGGTGTAATCTCAGCTCACTGCAACCTCTGCCTCCTGGGTTCAAGGGATTCTCCTGCATTAGCCTCCCAGGTAGCTGGGATTACAGGCACGTGCCACCATGCCCGGCTAATTTTTTGTGTTTAGTAGAGATGGAGTTTCACCATGTTGGTCAGGTTGTCTTGAACTCCTGACCTCAGGTGATCCAACCCACCTCAACCTCACAGAATGCTAGGATACAGGCATGAGCCACCGCCCCTGGCCTGTCAGGTGTTTATATTGCCATTATATCTGGTTTCATAAAATACATTGGAAAAAACTACCCCCTCTTCTGTTTTGTAGAGAGTTTGTGTGAATTTTTCTTTTAACTGCTTGTTGATAGAATTCAATAGTGAAATCAGCAGGGCCTGAAGATTTCTTTGTGGAAAGGTTTTTGGCTATAATTTCTTCAATAGATATATGACTATTTAGATTTCCTATTTCCCATTGTGTCATTTTTATAATTTGTTTTTTTTCCCAATGAAATTTATTTATTTTCAAGTTTGTTGGCAAAAGAGTTATTTCAAAATCATTGGCAAAATGTGTTCATCAATGTGTTCACAGTAGTCTAATTTTGTTATCTGTGTGGTCTGTAGTAATATTCTCCCACTTCTGCTATGAGCAATTTGTGTTTTGGGTGTTTTTTGTTTGTTTGTTTTTTGTTTTTTTGAGATGGAGTCTTGCTCTGTTGCCCAGGCTGGAGTGCAGTGGTGCGATCTCGGCTCACCGCAACCTCTGCCTCCCAGGTTCAAGTGATTCTCCTACCTCAGCCTCCTGAGTAGCTGGTATTACAGGCGTGTGCCACCATGCCCGGCTAATTTTTGTATTTTTAGTAGAGACGGGGTTTTTCCATGTTGGTCAGGCTGGTCTCAAACTCCTGACCTCAGGTGATCTCCCTGCCTCAGCCTCCCAAAGTGCTGGGATTACAGGCATGAGCCACCATGCCTGGCTGTTTTGGGTGTTTTTATTAGTCCAGCTAGGTGTTTATCAATCTTATCAATCTTTTCAAAGCAGCAAATTTTTGCTTATTTAATTTTTTCTAAGACCTATTTCCTATTTCTTTGCTTTCTGCTTTTATTTATTTATTTTTGAGATGTAGTCTCCCTCTGTTGCCCAGGCTGGAATGCAGTGGTCCGATTTCAGTTCACTGCAACCTCTGCCTCCCTGGCTCAAGGGATTCGCCTGCCTCAGCCTCCCGAGTAGCTGGGATTACAGGCTCCTGCCACCATGCCGGGTTCATTTTTGTATATTTAGTAGAGACAGGGTTTCACTATGTTGGCCAGGCTGGTCTCGAACTCCTAACCTCAAGTGATCCTTCTGCCTCAGCCTCTCAAACTGCTGGGATTTCAGGCGTGAGCCAACGTGCCTGGCCATGCTTTCTGCTTTTATCTTAATTTTATAATTTTTGTTTTTCTCCTGGGATTTTTGTCTTTTTACTCATTGTGTATGCACACTTTCCTTTATGTCTCTGCACATTTATAATAGCTGTTTTAAAATCTCTATTAGTAGGCCAGGCGCGGTGGCTCATGCCTGTAATCCCAGCACTTTGGGAGGCCGAGGCGGGCGGATCACGAGGTCAGGAGATCGAGACCATCCTGGCTAACACGGTGAAACCCCATCTCTACTAAAAATACAAAAAATTAGCCGGGCGTAGTGGCAGGTGCCTGTAGTCCCAGCTACTCGGGAGGCTGAGGCAGGAGAATGGCGTGAACCCGGGAAGCGGAGCTTGCAGTGAGCCATCGTGCCACTGCACTGCAGCCTGGGCGACAGAGCGAGACTCCGTCTCAAAAAAAAAAAAAAAAAAAAATCTCTGTTAGTAGATCGGGCTCAGTGACTCAAGCTTGTAATCCCAGCCCTTTGGAGGCTAAGGCAGGAGGATTGTTTGAGCTCAGGAATTCAAGACCAGCCCAAGCAACATGGTGCGACCCCGTCTCTATCAAAAATACAAAAATTAGCCAGGTGCAGTGGATCACACCTGTAATCCCAGCACTTTGGAAGGCCGAGGCAGGCGCATCACCTGAGGTCAGGAGTTCGAGACCAGCCTGGCCAACATGGTGAAACCCCTTCTCTACAAAAAATACAAAAATTGGCTGGGCATGGTGGCGCATGCATGTAGTCCCAGCTTTTCTAGAGGCCGAGGCTGGAAAATTGCTGGAGCCCGGGTGATGGAGGTTGCAGTGAGTCGAGATCTCAGCTTACTGCAACCTCTGCCTCCCAGGCCGATTAGCATGTTCTTGTTTTATAAAGGTACAAAATAAATGTAGACAACATCTACTGAGCTGATTGTTGATGCTTCTACCTTAAAATCTTTCCTACTGATTTATAATTCCTTTATTCTCACATATACTAAAACATTTTTAAAGCGGGTTAATTTAAATAAAAAGGTATTTTGTATTCCTCATAAAATAGTGTTAAGAACTGTGAAGTATGCTGAGCTGTCATTGCAAAGTGGTATTTAATGTGTTTATAGTTGTGCAGGGGGTTGTATAATTCCCATTTTTAAAATAGAAGTACTTAAAAATAAAAAATGAATGATCTTTTAACCTTTTAAAAATGATCAGTTGGTAACTTTGTGTGTAATACTGATGGATTTCTAATTTTCTAGAATGGTGTTATTAGTAGTAGATTTCTTCGATATAACACAAGTCCTCAGAGGGTATATAACAAATCTGAAGTATACATCATTTGATTTTTTAAAAATTTCAAATTGATTTTGGTTTCCTCACATATGTAGAGGATCTCCAGCTTACAATCATTCAACTTAAATTGTTGACTCTATAATAGTGCTGTTTTTCACTTTGTTTGATAAATTACATGAGATATTTAATACTTTATTATAACATAAGCTTTGTGTTAGTTGATTTTGCCCAACTGTAGGCTAATGTAAGTGTTCTGAGCATGTCTAAGGCAGGCAAAGCTGAGCTATAATGTTCAGTTTTGTTATGTGTGTTAAATGCAGTTTTGACTTACAATATGTTCAATTTAGGAGGGGTTTCTTGGGACATAGCCTCATCATAAGTTGAGAAGCATCTGGATTAACATGTGTGGGATTTTCTCAATATATTAATACGCTGCAGCAGAATGAAAGGATGTTAAAGTTTTTTTCTTTTTTCTTATGGAAGAAATAATTTATTATGTTACAGTAATACATTAGAGTTTCTTGTAGTATTTCCTTAATTCCCTATTTAATTAATTAATTAATTTTTTGAGACAGAGTTTCACTCTGTCACCCAGGCTGGAGTGCAGTGGTGTGCTCTTGCCTCACTGCAACCTCCCCCTCCCGGGTTGAAGTGATTCTCCTGCCTCAGCCTCCTGAGTAACTGGGATTACAAGCATGCACCACCAATTTTGTATTTTTAGTACAAGCATGCCCGGCTAATTTTGTATTTTTAGTAGAGATGGGGTTTCACAATGTTGGCCAGGCTGGTCTCGAACTCCTGACCTCATGATCCGCCTGCCTCAGCCTCCCAAAGTGCTGGGATTACAGGCATGAGCCACCGTGCCTGTCCCCTGTCTCTTTTAAAATTTAGAAACAGAGCCTCTTTGAGTGTGCTGAGAGATAGATTCACTTTATTTATAAAAATAATAGCCAAATCTATGTGTTTGAACACAGACTTCTATTTTCACAAATTTACTTAATATATTTGCATCTTGTCTGAGGTATGATAAGCAAATGATAATCAATTCTAATTTATTTGATGTACTATAATCATTTTCCTTTCAAATGACTTCATTTTTTATTCTAACACAAAACTCTAAATTTTTGTTTTATTTAAGCAAAAAGAAAATAATATTCGTTGTTTAACTACGATTGGACATTTTGGTTTTGAATGTTTGCCCAATCAGTTGGTGAGCAGATCTATCCGACAAGGATTCACTTTTAATATTCTCTGTGTGGGTAAGTGTCAAACACCTCATTTGAATTATTCCTTCATTTTTCCCAATGTTCATTTCAACTTATCTTAAGCAGTGTAACATTGATGCTATTAATTCAAATATATCTTCATGTTTACAGTGATTCTCATCTTAGCCATATTATGTAATCCTTTTATTTTTTGAGACAGGTTCTCACTTTGTTGCCCAGGCTGGAGTGCAATGGTGTGATTATGGCTCACTGTAGCCTCAGCCGCCTGGGCTCAAGCAATCTGCCCACCTCAGCTTCCCAAAGTGCTGGGATTACAGGCATGAGACACCACACTCGACCTGTAGTGATTGTTAAAAATTGACACATTCCTGTGCTCTTAAAAGTCTGATGTAGCTTAGTATATACTTTCTTTTTCCATTATGTTAATGACTGAGAGAATCAGGGCTAGCATGTATACATATATATATATATATATATATATATACTTTTTTTTTTTTTTCTGAGACGGAGTCTTGCTCTGTTGCCCATGCTGGAGTGCAGTGGTGCAATCTCGGTTCACTGCAAGCTCCGCCTCCCAGGTTCATGCCATTCTCCTGCCTCAGCCTCCCAAGTAACTGGGACTACAGGCGCCCGCCAATACACCCGGCTAATTTTTTGTATTTTTAGTACAGACGGGGTTTCACCATGTTAGCCAGGATGGTCTCGATCTCCTGACCTCGTGATCCGCCCGCCTCAGCCTCCCAAAGTGCTGGGATTACAGGCGTGAGCCACCGCACCCGGCCTAGCATGTATATTTTCAAGGCCATCCCAGTCTTTGAAGTATTTGAGACCCTTTATTTATTTTTAAAATTAATATTATTTTTAATTGAAAAATCATAGTTATTTACATGTATGGATACAATGTGAGGTTTTGCTATATGTTTACAATTTGGAATGATTCAATCAAGTGAATTAATGTATCTATTACCCGGTTTACTTATCATTTTTTTATGATGAGACATTTGAAATTAACTCTCTTGATTATTTTGAAATATACAATACATTGACTATAGTCACTCTGCTGTGCAATAGATCTCAAAACTTATTTCTACTCCTGTTTGAAACTGTTTGCTAAGGATGATGGCCTCTAGCTCCATCCATGTTCCTGCAAAGGACATGATCTCATTCTTTTTCATGGCTGTGTAGTATTCCATGGTGTATATGTACCATATTTTCTTTATCCAGTCTACCATTGATGAACATTTAGGTTGATTCCATGTCTTTGCTACTGTGAATAGCGCTACAATGAGCTCTGATGGTTTGCTAAGGATGATGGCCTCCAGCTCCATCCATGTTCCTGCAAAGGACATGATCTCCTTCTTTTTTATGGCTGAGAACATGTGCCATGTTCTCACTTGTAAGTGGGAGCTAAATGATGAGAACACATGGACACAAAAAGGGGAATAACAGACACTGGTGTCTACTTGAGGGTGGAGGTTTGGAGGAGGGAGAGGATCAGATAAAATAACTATTGGTTACCATGCTTAGTACCTGGGTGATGAAATAATCTGTACAACAAACCCTCATGTCATGAGTTTACTGATACAACAAACCTGCACGTGTACTCCCAACCTAAAATAAAAGTAAAAAAAAAAAAAGAAACTTTGTACCTTTGACCAACTACTCCACCTTTCCTTTCTCCTGCTCCCCCAGCCTCTGGTAGCCAGAATACTACTCTCTACTTCTATGAGTTCAACTTTCTAAGATTTTAAAAACCACCGTAGGAATTCAAAGTGTTGCTTTTTCTTAGCCCCTTTATGTCCCTATGACAATGACTCTATGTCTATTACAGGGGAGACTGGAATTGGAAAATCGACACTGATAGACACATTGTTTAATACTAACTTGAAAGATAACAAATCCTCACATTTTTACTCAAATGTTGGACTTCAAATTCAGACATATGAACTTCAGGAAAGCAATGTTCAGTTGAAATTGACTGTTGTGGAGACAGTAGGGTATGGTGATCAAATAGACAAAGAAGCCAGGTGAGTGTTTTCTTATTTAAATTAAAAAAGGTTTTCTTATTTCAAGGAATTTGACTTCCTTTGCCATAGACTAATTTGTGTAAGTAATACCTTTTCTTCCAGATTTTAATATTTTCCTAAGTAATGTTCTTTTCTTATAAGATTAATACTTTTGTATATAATTGACTTTCTTACAAGATTTTTATTTAGCCAGTTATAGCAAAAAATTTTAAATATAGCTTCTATTAGTTTTAGCTTATTTCCTTATTTCTTTATTTAACTTTATTTGTACAAATTTTCCGTAGACGTTGTACTAATTTACATTCCCACCAACAGTGTCTAAGGGTTCCCATTTCTGTGTACCCTTGCCAAATTATGTTATTTAATTATTTTTATTATTATTTTTTGAGACAGTTTTTCATTCCATCACCCAGGCTGGAGTGCAGTGGCACAAGCTTGGCTCACTGCAGCTTCGACCTCCCAGGCTCAAGTGAATCCTTCCACCTCAGCCTCTTGAGTAACTGAGACTACAGGCACATGCCACCATGCCTGGCTAATTTTAAAAATTGTTTGTATAGATGGGGTCTTGCTATGTTGCCCAGGCTGGTGTCAAACTCCTGGCCTCAAGTGATCCTCCTACCTTGGCCTTCCAAAGTGCTGGGATTATAGACATGAGCCACTCTACTTGGCCTGTTATTTTTTGTCTTTTTTTGAGATGGAGTCTTGCTCTGTTGCCCAGGCTAGAGCGCAGTGGCGCGATCTCGGCTCACTGTAAGCTTTGTCTCCTGGGTTCATGCTATTCTCCTACCTCAGCCTCCTGAGTACCTGGGACTACAGGCGCCTGCCACCACACCCAGATAATTTTTGTATTTTTAGCAGAGACAGGGTTTCACCGTGTTAGCCAGGATGGTCTTGAACTCCTGACCTCGTGATCCACCCACCTTGGCCTCCCAAAGTGCTGTGATTACAGGCGTGAGCCACCGCGCCCGGCCATTTTTTATCTTTTTAACAATAGCCATTCTGACTGAGATAAGATGATATCTCATTGTGGTTTTGCCTTGTATTTTGGTGTTCTGAAAAATGTCTATTCATGTCCTTTGCCCACTTTTTAATGGGATTATTTGTTCTTCTTGTTGTTGTTGTTTAGTTGCTTGCATTCTTTGTATATTCTGGATACTAGTCCCCTGTCGGATGCACCCAGCTTTCCTCTATGTTTACATTTTACATAACCATAGAGTAAAGCATGAGCCTTATTATTGGTTTAGAATTAATATCTTTGTATGGACATGTTATGAACTTTTTCTTCATCACTATAGCAAACTGCTTACATACATGTTAACTGCTCATTAAGTGGTCAAAAAGCAGGCTTTAGATTTTATTAGTCTGTTATGCTAAATGTATAAATTTTTTTTTAGCTACCAACCAATAGTTGACTACATAGATGCCCAATTTGAGGCCTATCTTCAAGAAGAACTGAAGATTAAACGTTCCTTGTTTGAGTACCATGATTCTCGCGTCCACGTGTGTCTTTACTTCATTTCACCTACAGGACATTCCCTGAAGTCTCTTGATCTATTAACAATGAAGAACCTTGACAGTAAGGTATGTTTGGTAAATCTACCATCTTTTTTTTTTTGAGACGGAGTCTCCCTCTGTCGCCCAGGCTGGAGTGCAGTGGTGCGATCTCACCGCAAGCTCCGCCTCCCAGGTTCACGCCATTCTCCAGCTTCAGCCTCCCGAGTAGCTGGGACTACAGGCACCTGCCACCACGCCCGGCTAATTTTTTTGTATTTTTAGTAGAGATGGGGTTTCACCATGTTAGCCAGGATGGTCTCGATCTCCTGACCTCGTGATCCTCCCGCCTTGGCCTCCCAGAGTGCTGGGATTACAGGTGTGAGCCACCGTGCCCAGCCTTCTTTTTCTTTTTTTTTTTTTGTATTTGAGGCAGGGTCTTGCTCTGTCACCCAGGCTAGAGTGCAGTGGCGTCATCATAGCTCACTGCAGCCTCAACCTCCTGGGCTCAAGCAATCTTCCCACCTTAGCCATCCGAGCAACTGGGACAGGAGTGTGCTACCAAGATTGGCTAATTTTTGTATTTTTTGTAGAGACAGGGTGTCACTATGTTGCCCAGGCTGAACTTGAACTTCTGGCTCAAGTGATCCACCCACCTTGCCCTCCCAGAGTTGTTGGGATTACAGGCATGAGCCATTGTTCCTGGTCTCAACCTTTCATGATGTAATATTAATTTTGAGATAATAAGACATCTTGAAGGCACTTGCATGCAAGTGTAGTTACATATCTTTAGGTGATTTCATCATTATGCAAACATCTTAGAGTGTATCTACACATACCTACATGATATAGCCTACTACACATCTAGGCTATAGCCTTTTATGGTATGGCCTATTGCTCCTAGGCTACAAACCTGGACAGCATGGTACTGTACGGAATACTGTAGAATTATAACACAATGGTAAGTATCTGTGTATCTATTTTATTTTATTTTATTTTGAGATGGAGTCTTACTGTCTCCCAGGCTGGAGTGCAGTGGCACAATCTTGGCTCACTGCAACCTCTGCCTCCTGGGTTCAAGTGATTCTCTGGCCTCAGCCTCCCAAGTAGCTGGGACTATAGGCCTGACAGGCCTGTGCCACCATGCCCGGCTAATTTTTTTTTTTTTTTTTTTTTTTGGCGGAGTTTCATTCTTGTTGCCCAGGCCAGAGTGCAATGGCGTGATCTGGGCTCACTGCAACCTCCACCTCCTGGGTTCAAGCGATTCTCCTGCCTCAGCCTTCTGAGTAGATGAGATTACAGGCATGTGCCACCATGCCTGGCTAATTTTGTATTTTTAGTGGAGATGGGGTTTCTCCATGTTGGTCAAGCTGGTCTCGAACTCCCGACCTCGGGTGATCCACCCACCTCAGCCTCTCAAAATGCTGAGATTACAGGCGTGAGCCACTGTGCTCGGCCTAATTTTTGTATTTTTAATAGAGACGGAGTCTTGCCATGTTGGCCAGGCTGGTCTTGAACTCCTGACCTCGAGTGATCTGCCCGCCTCAGCCTCCCAAAGCGTGAACCACTGCGCCCAGCCTTGTCTGTGTATCTAAACATAAAAAAAGTTTCAGTATTAGACAAATAATAGACGCTGGGCCCTTTATAAAGGGGAAGGGTGGGAGGAGGTTGAGATTTGAAAAATTACCTATTGGGTACAATGCTCACTATTTGGGTGATGGGCACACGAGAGACCAAAACCTCACTAATATTCAATATATGTAAGTAACAAACCTGCACATATATCCCCTGAATCCAGAAATTCAATAAATAGATCTCTAAATAGCCAGGTGCGGAGGCTCACGCCTGTAATCCCGTCACTTTGGGAGGCTGAGGTGGGCAGATCACCTGAGATCAGGAGTTCAAGACCAGCCTGGCCAATATCATGAAACCCTGTCTCTACTAAAAATACAGAAAATTAGCAAATTAGCTGGGCGTTGTAGCAGGCGCCTGTAATCCCAGCTGCTCATGAGACTGAGGCAGGAGAATCGCTTGAACCAGGGAGGCGGAGGTTGCAGTGAGCCGAGATTGCGCCACTGCACTCCAGCCTGGGCGACAGAGCAAGAGTCAGTAAATAAATAAATAAATAATAAATAAATAATAACAACAACAAAAAGCAAAGGTACAGTATTATAATATTATGGGAACAACATCATATGTGTGGCCCATCATTTACTGAAATGCCATTATGTGGTGCACGACTGTACCTGTCATTTTGTAATATATGTATATATCCTAATTATCTTTTTCTGTTAATATTTGAGGCATTTGCATCAGTGTGTTAGGGCTGGGATATCAAAATGCCATAGACTGGGTGGTTTAAACAATGAAAATGTATTTTCCTACAGTCTTGGAGGACAGAAGTCCAAGATCAAGGTGTCAGAAGATGTGCTTTCTTCTGAAATCTCTGTCCTTGTCTGGCAGATGACCACCTTATCTCTGTGTTCTCACATGGTGTTTTTCCTAGTGTCTCCGGGGTGTCCACATTTTGTCTTTTTTTTTCGAGACGGAGTTTCGCTTTTGTTGCCCAGGCTGGAGTACAGTGGTGCAATCTCAGCTCACTGTAGCCTCTGCCTCCTGGGTTCAAGCAGTTCTCCTATCTTAGCCTCCTGAGTAGCTGGGATTACAGGCGCCCACCACCACACCCGGCTAATTTTTTGTATTTTTAGTAGAGATGAGTTTCACCATGTTGGCCAGGCTGGTCTTGAACTCTTGACCTCAGGTGATCCACCCACCTCGGCCTCCCAAAGTGTTGGGATTACAGGCGTGAGTCACTGTGCCCGGCCTCACATTTTATCTTCTTATAAGGGTGCCAGTCAGTTTAGGTTGGGCCCCACTGTAACAGTCTCACTTTTTTTTTTTTTTTAATGCCCAGGCTGGAGTGCCGTGGTGTGATCTTGGCTCACTGCAACCTCCGTCTCCCAGGTTCAAGGGATTCTCCTGCCTCAGCCTCCTGGGTAGCTGGGATTACAGGCATGCACCACTACACCCAGCTAATTTTTGTATTTTTAGTAGAGACAAGGTTTCACCATGTTGGCCAGGCTGGTCTCGAACTCCTAATCTCAGGTGATCTGCCCACCTCGGCCTCCCAAAGTGCTGGGATTACAGGCGTGAGCCATCGCACCTGACCCAGTCTCACTTTTTAATCACCTCTTTGAAGGCTTTATCTCAGTTGAGGTCACATTCTGAGGTACTGGGGGGTTGAGGCTTCAACATACAAATTTTTTGGTTGCTGGGGGAGACAACTCACATTTGATAGATTTCAACCTTGACTTACCTCCCAGATCATGGCCATTTGCCTATAGAGTAGCACCCTTGGGAGTAAGTTACAAGATCCCCAGTGGACGCCTGAAAGCATGCATGGTACAGAGCCTGATATATACTGTTTTTTTCTATGCATACATACCTATCATAAAGATTTATTTATAAATGAGATGCAGTTCTCTTTTATTATTAGTTATTATTGTTAGTTTCTTAGATGCAGACCGAAGCTAACAATAGTAACTAATAATAAAATAGAACAATTATAACAATACACTGTACTAAAAGTTATGTGAAAGTTACCTGCGTCTCTCAAAATATCTTTTTTTTTTTTTTTTTTCTGAGACGGAGTTTTGCTCTTGTTGTCCAGGCTGGAGTGCAGTGGCACAATCTCGGCTCACTGCAACCTCTGCCTCTCGGGTTCAAGTGATTCTCCTGCCTCAGCCTCCCGAGTAGCTGGGATCACAGGTGCCCGCTACCACGCCCGGCTAATTTTTTGTACTTTTAGTAGAGATGGGGTTTCCCCATGTTGGCCAGGCTGTTCTCAAACTCCTAACCTCAGGTGATCCGCCTGCCTCAGCCTCCCAAAGTGCTGGGATTACAAGTGTGAGCCACCACGCCTGGCCTCAAAATATCTTATTATACTGTACTCACTCTTCTTATGATGATGTGAGATAATACAATGCCTACATGTTGAGATAAAATGAGGTGAATAGTGAGATAATTCATATCCAGGGTGAGAAGGAGTGGGTCAACATGACATTTCATCACAGTATTTAGAATTGCATGCAATTTAAAACTTCTACATTGTGTATTTCTAGAATTTTTCATTTAATATATTTGGACTGCTGTTGATTACGGGAAATTGTGGAAAGTGAAACTGGGCTGGGCTCTGTGGCTCAAGCCTGTAATCTCAGCACTTTGGGAGGCTAACGCAGGAGCATCGCTTGAGCTCAGGAGCTCAAGACCAGCCTGGGCAATGTAGTGAGACCCCATCTCTACAAAAAAATAGAAAAATTAGCCAGGCATGGTGGTGTGCACCTGTGGGATTGCTTGAGCCCAGGAGTTCCAGGCTGCTGTGAGCCAAGATCATGTCACTGCAATTCCAGCCTGGGCAATAGAGCAAGTCCCCGTTGAAAGAAAAGAGAGCGAAAGAGAGAAAGAGAGAAAGAAAGAAAGGAAGGAAGGGAGGGAGGAAGGGAGGGGGGAGGGAGGGAGGGAGGGAAGGAAGAAAAGAAAGAAGGAGGGAAGGAAGTAAAAAAGAAGGAAAGAAAAGGAAGAAAGAGAAACTGTGGAAAATGGGGGATGCCTGTATTTTTAAAATAAAATTTACTATATGATACTGTGAAATAATCCCACTGATGTTTGACTAGTACCACTGATGGTGTGAAACAGAAAGCTTTTGTGATCCTGGTTACAGATCATATCAGACAGGATTCAGATACAAGAGCCTGCAGGCAGCTACTGCTTGTTATATAGAAACAGCTAAGAAAAGCATAATTCTTTCCAGCAAAAACCTGGGACACACGAGGACTTCCTTTCAATAGGCTGCTTAAGCCCCATGGCTTCAGCAAAATCTCAAAATCGATATGAGACTCTGTTCATTTGATTAATTTTTCTAATTATTCAGCAGTTTTTTGTAGTTTGGTTTTATTGTACAGAAAATCAGTCCGTTGAATGTTTATGAAGCTCAGATTTATCCATACAGAAGGAATTTTAATTTTTGAATATGTAAAGGTCACAGGACTTGTCAGTGGAAGCAGCTTTTGAATATTTGCTTTATCACTTGCTAGGTGTCTGTGACCTTGGGAAAAATGTCTAGCGCTTTCTGTGATTAAAAACATGGGGAGGGCTGGGAGCCAGGGCTCACCCTGTAATCCCGGCACTCTGGGAGGCCGAGACAGGTAGATCACCTGAGGTCAGGAGTTTGAGAACAGCCTGACCAACATGGTGAAACCCTGTCTCTACTAAAAAATACAAAATTAGCTGGGCGTGGTGGCACATGCCTGTAATCCCAGCTACTCGGGAGGCTGAGGCAGGATAATTGCTTGAACCCGCAGGCAGAGGTTGCGGTGAGCCGAGATCACGCCATTGCACTTCAGCCTGGGCAACAAGAGTGAAACTCTGTCTCCAAAAAAAAAAATAAATAAAAAAGCATGGGTAGTGGGTTCAAGCTGCCTGCTTTCACAAACCTGACCCTGTTACTTGCTCACTGTGTGGCTTTGGGAAAATTATGATGCCTCAATTTCTTTCTCTGTAATATTCATGCAACTCTTCCATAAGTCTAAAATCATTTTTCATAAAAAATTTAGAAGGGCCAGACATGGTGGCTCACGCCTGTAATCCCAGCACTTTGGGAGGCTGAGGAGGGAGGATTGCCTGAGCCTGGAAGTTTGAGACCAGCTAGAACAACATAGTGAGACCCTGTCTCTACAAAAAATACAAAAAAATAGCCAGGCATGGCAGCACGTGCCTGTAGTTCCAGCTACTCAGGAGGCTGAGGTGGGAGGATCGCTTCAGCCCGGGAGGTTGAGGCTGCAGTGAGCTGTGATCATGCCACCGCACTGCAGACAGGGCCACAGATCAAGACCCTCTCTCTCTCTCTCTCAAAAAAAAAAAAAAGGTTAAAAGTATATTTTCTTTTTTAAATATAGAAAAGCAATATACATATAAAGGAAATTGTCATATTATCAGATTCTTTTCTGCACTCAGCCCTAACAAAACATGCTGTCTTCAACTTAAATTAGTTGAAGACATCTTTATTTAGTTGAAGAGAGAAAAAGTTCTAAGTTGGGTTCCTTTTATCCGAGGAATCTCAACTTTTACTATATATTGTTCAAACTGAAAAGAGACTTTGTACTTAATCTCAGATGTCATTAAGTAGTTGAAATAAATTAGATTTCTAGTTAAATTAAGAGCTGCTTCAAGTTCTTAATTAGTAGTACCTTCAATAGTCAGGAATATACACTCTTTTTGTTGTTGTTGTTGTTGTTGAGACGGAGTTTCGCTCTTGTTGCCCAGGCTGGAGTGCAATGGCGCAATCTCGGCTCACTGCAACCTCTGCCTCCTGGGTTCAAGCGATTCTCCTGCCTCAGCCTCCTGAGTAGCTGGGATTACAGGCATGAGCCAACACGCCTGGCTAATTTTGCATTTTTAGTAGAGACGGGGTTTGTTCATGTTGGTCAGGCTGGTCTTGAACTCCTGGCCCCAGGTGATCTGCCAGTCTTGGCCTCCCAAAGTGCTGGGATTACAGGCGTGAGCCACTGCGCCCGGTCTGTCCATGGATTTTTTAAAAAACGTGTTTTGAGCAATCTAAAACAAAAGCAGTCTGCCTAAAATTTATATTTATGTATTTCTACTATATTACAGATATTGATTTTGTGGAGCTATAATTTAATAAGATATTTTAACAGTAATAAAACATTATATAATTTTGTATATTGTTATTTCCTAAAAAGTTTAGTTATTTAAGTGCAAATGCAAAAGGCAGGAGTGCTCATATTGAAGCACTAGGAAAAAACTTTGTGGGTAAAAATTCAACCTCAAATATGCAAATATTTAACTTTCAATGTGGAAATTATGTCTTTTTACAAAAGAAAAATGAACATATTTGTTTGCAAGGTGTTCTTATACACACACACGCGCACACACACACATACATACACACACGGCCTTTAGAATATGGTAACCAGGCCAGGTGTGGTGGCTCATGCCTATAATCCCAACACTTTGGGAGGCTGAAGTGGTTGTATCCTGAGGTCAGGAGTTCGAGACTAGCCTGGCCAACATGGTGAAACCCTGTCTCTACTAAAAATGCAAAAATCAACCGGGTATGGTGGCGGGCACCTGTAATCCCAGCTACTCAGGAGGCTGAAGCAGGAGACTTGCTTGAACCCGGGAGGCAGACGTTGCCCTGAGCCTAGATTGCGCCATTGCACTCCAGCCTGGGCGACAGAGCAAGATTCCGCCTCAAAAAAAGAAAGAATATGGTAATCAAAAACATCTATATTCTTTTTAGGTGGTCTTTGAAAAACAATAGCAAATCTATCTGCAAACACATCTAGGCGGGGCAAGAGAGTGAAAATGGGACATTAATTAAGATTGATTGATGGAAAAAGTGATGTAAAAAGTAGAAGGACAAAATCCCTTCCACAATTTTGAGGAAAGTTCTTTGAATTTGTCTTTTATCACTCAGCTTAATAAGAAATAAAATTGAAAATAAATTAAATAGACCAGGCACGGTGGCTCAGGCCTGTAATCCCAGCACTTTGGGAGGCTGAGGCGAGCGGATCACGAGGTCAGGAGATCGAGAATATCCTGGCTAACACGGTGAAACCCCGTCTCTACTAAAAATACCAAAAAGTAGCCGGGCATGGTGGTGGGCGCCTGTAGTCCCAGCTACTCGGGAGGCTGAGGCAGGAGAATGGCATGAACCTGGGAGGCGGAGCTTGCAGTGAGCCAAGATCGCGCTACTGCACTCCAGAGCCTGGGCAACAGAGCCAGACTCTGTCTGAAAAATAAATAAATAAATAAATAAATAAATAAAATAATTTACATTGTCCTACTATTTACATTTTACTAACTCCATATGTGTAGAGGTATAAGGGATTTTTAGAAGAGAAACAAGGTTGAGACTTCTAAACCTGAATTTGGATAAAAGATCAATCTTCAAAAGTATTGATAATTTTGGAAAATAATTTTTAAGAAAAGCATGACAGCCAGTGATTACCTAGTTATGCAATTTGTTGTCAGAGATTGTGAAGGCTTTACTATAAAAACTATAGGATGGCTGGGCGCAGTGGCTCACGCCTGTAATCCCAGCACTTTGGGAGGCCGGGGCAGGCGGATCACGAGGTCAGGAGATTGAGACCATCCTGGCTAACACGGTGAAACCCCGTCTTTACTAAAAACACAAAAAGAAATTAGCCGGGCGTGGTGGCGGGTGCCTGTGGTCCCAGCTACTCGGGAGGCTGAGGCAGGAGAGTGGCGTGAACCCAGGAGGCGGAGCTTGCAGTGAGCCGAGATCGTGCCCCTGCACTCCAGCCTGGGCGACAAAGCGAGACTCCGTCTCAAAACAAAAAACAAAAAACAAAAAAACTGTGAGATGAACAATGATGAGATTTTGTTTGTCTTCTTTCTTCATAGGTGAATATTATACCACTGATTGCCAAAGCAGACACTATTTCTAAAAATGATTTACAGACGTTTAAGAATAAGATAATGAGTGAATTGATTAGCAATGGCATCCAGATATATCAGCTCCCAACAGATGAAGAAACTGCTGCTCAAGCGAACTCCTCAGTTAGTGTAAGTTTCAGTAACATATCTGACAAAGAGGCTAGAAATGAGTGTTTATCCAGAATCCAGTGTGAGAATTTTTAATTTTTTTAATTTTGTAAAGCTTCTGCTGAGAATCGATTCTTTGTAAACAGATTTATTTAGATTTAATTCATACAGCATGTTCCTCAAGGATATTGGCCTATAATTTTCTTCTTGAAAGTGTGTTTTCTTGCTTTGATATCAAGGGGATGCTGCCTCATAAAATGACTCTGAAGGTGTTACCTCTTTTTTCTATTTTTTCAAAGAATTTGAGGATGTTTTATATTAAATTTTCTTTGAAAGTTTGGTAGAATTTACCCATGAAGTAATCTGGTCCTAGGCTATATTTTGGAGTTTTGAAAAATTACTTCTTTAGTTTCTCTATTTGTTATTGGTCTCTTTAAGCTCTCTATTTATTCTTCATTCCATCTTGGTAGTTTATATGTTTCTAGTAATTTCACCATTTCTTCTAAGTTGTCAAGTTGGTTGGTGTATAATTGTTCATAGTAGTCCCTTATAATTCTGTTTATTTCTGTAAGAAATAAACTTCTGTAATAAGTTGTAATGTCTTCTCTTTCATTTCTTATTTTATTAACATATTCTCTCTTTTTGTTCTTAGTCTAAGTAAGGGCTTTGATTTTGAGTTTTTTTCCCCAAATCAACTCTTAGCTTCATTGATTAATTTTTTGTTTTGTTTTCTTTTTTGAGACAGAGTCTCACTCTGTTGCCCAAGCTGGAGTGCAGTGGCACAATCTCGGCTCACTGTAAGATCTATCTCCCGGCTTCAAGTGATTCTCCTGCCTCAGCCTCCCAAGTAGCTGGGATTACAGGAGCATGCCACCACACTTGGCTAATTTTTGTGTTTTTAGTACAGACAGGGTTTCACCATGTTGGCCAGGCTGGTCTCAAACTCCTGGCCTCAAGAGATCTGCTGGGATTACAGGTGTGAGCCACCGTGCCTGGCCGATTAAAATTTTTTTTATTCTCTATTTCATTTATTTATGCTCTAATCTTTGTTATTTCTTTCCTTCTGCTATTTGTGTGTGTGTGTTTGTGTGTGTGTAAAGTTAGGTTGTTTATTTGAGATCTTTTTTTTTTGAGACGGAGTCTCTCTCTGTTGCCCAGGCTGGAGTGCAGTGGCGCAATCTCAGCTCACTGCAACCTCTGCCTCCCAGGTTCAAGTGATTCTCCTCCCTCAGCCTCCCGAGTAGCTGGGACTACAGGCGTGCGCCACCACATCCGGCTAATTTGTTTGTATTTTTAGTAGGATGGGGTTTCACCATGTTAGCCAGGCTTTCTCGAACTCCTGACCTTGGGCAATCTGCCTGCCTCGGCCTCACAAAGTGCTGGGATTACAGGCGTGAGCCACCACACAGGCGAGATCTTTTTTTAAAAAAAGATGTAGGTGTTTACTACTATAGAATTCCTTTGTTTTTTATTTTAGATTCAGAGGGTATAAGTGCATATTTGTCAAATAGATATATTGCATAATGGTGAGGTTTGGCTTCTAGTGTAACTATCCTGAAATAGTAAATATTGTACCCAACAGATCATTTTTTTTTTGAGACATGATCTCACTCTGTTGCCCTGGCTGGTGTGCAGTGGCGTGATCACATCTCACTACCAATAGATAATATTTTGACCATCGGCCTCCTCCCAGTCTCTCCCTTTTGGAGTCTCACTATCTATTGTTTCCATTTTTATGTCCTTGTGTACTCATTGTTTAGCTCCTGCTTATGAGAACATGTGGTATTTGATTTTCTGTTTCTGAGTTATTTCACTTAGGATAATGGCCCCCAGCTCCATCCATGTTACTGCACAGAGCATGATTTCATTTTTATGGCTGCATAGTATTCCATGGTGTATATATACCATATTAAAATAAATCCAGTCCACTGTTAATGGACATTTAGGTTAATTCCATGACTTTACTATTATGAGTAGGAATGTAATACACATGAGTGAAAGTGACTTTTTTATATAATTATTTCTTTTCTTTCAGATGCCTAGTAGTATAATCACTGGGCCAAATGGTAGCTCTATTTTTAGTGCTTCGAGAAATCTCTATGCTGTTTTTCATAGAGGTTGTTATGGTCCCACCAACAGTGAATAAGCATTCATTATTCTCTGCATTCACACCAACATCTGTTGTGTTTATATCTTATTTTGTGTGTGTGTGTGTGTGTGTGTGTGTGTGTGTGTGTGTGTGTTTGAGACAGAGTCTCGCCCTGTCACTCAGGCTGGAGTTCAGTGGTATGATCTCATCTCACTGCAACCTCTGCCTCCTGGGTTCAAGAGATTCCCCTGCCTCAGCCTCCGAGTAGCTGGGATTACAGGTGCCTGCCACCATGCCCAGCTAATTTTTGTATTTTTGGTAGAGATGGGGTTTAACCATATTGGTCAGGCTGGTCTTGAACTCCTGACCTCAGGTGATCCACCCGCCTTGGCCTCCCAAAGTGCTGGGATTACAGGTGTGAGCCACTGCGCCCTGCCTTTATTGTGGTTTTAATTTGCATTTCTCTGATGATTGGTGATGTTGAGCAATTTTTCATGTGTTTGGTGGCCACTTGTATGTCTTCTTTTGAGAAATGTCTGTTCATATCCTTTGCAGTCTTTTTTAATGAGGTTGTTTATTCTTTGTTGTTGTTGAGTTGTTTGTGTTCTTTTTAGATTCTGGATATTAGTTCTTTGTCAGATGCAAAGTTTGCAAATATTTTGTTCTTATTGTGTAGGTTGTCTGTTTACTCTGTTGATTATTTCTTTTGCTGTGCTCTTTAGTTTAAGTCTCATTTGTGTATATTTGGTTTTGTTGCATTTCCTTTTCAGGTCTAAGTTATGAATTATTTTCCTAGGCCAATATCTAGAAGAGTTTTTCCTAAATTTTCTTCTAGGATTTTTATAGCTTCTGGTCTTTCATTTAAGTCATTAATACGTCTTGAGTTAAAGTTTGTATATGATGAGAAATGGGAATTCAGTTTCATTCTTTTGCCTATGGGTAGCCAATTTTCCCAGCACCATTTATTGAATAGAATGCTCTTTCCCCACTGTTTATTTTTGCCAACTTTGTCAAACATCACTTGGTTGTAGGCATGTGATTTTATTACTGGTTCTTTATTCTCTTTTCTTTCACAATTTTTTTCTCCCTTTTTAAGCTGTATCCTTCCTAGCAATGGACTCTTTATTCCATTCCATTAATCTGTCTGTTTTTGTACCAATGCCATACTGTTTTTTTTAGTATAGCATTATAGTATAATTTGAAGTCAGACACATGATGCCTCTGACTTAGTTCTTTTTGCTTAGGAGTACTTTGGCTATTTGAATGCTTTTTTGGTTCCATATGATATTTAGGATCGTTTTTTCTAATTCTGTGAAAAAATGATATTGGTAATTTGATAGGAATTGCATTTAATTTGTACATTGCTTTAGTTAGTGTGGTCTTTGTAATGATGTTGATTCTTCCAATCCAAAAATTCCATAAATTTTTGGAATAGTTTCAGTAAGACTGGTACCAGCTCTTCATTATACTTGTGGCAAAATTTGGCTGTAAACCTATCTGTTCTTGTTTTTATTTGTTTGAAATTATTTTATTAGTGAGTCAATTTCATTACTTGTTATTGGTCTATTTAGGATATCTATTTTTTCCTGGTTTAGTCTTAGGAGGTTGTATGTTTCCAGGTATTTACCCATTTTCTTTTTTTTTAAAGGAATATAAAACTATTATTGACCACTGTTCACCAATATTTACAATAAGGTAAACAATATACAGTTGGGGCCTGGCGTGGTGGCTCACCCCTGTAATCTCAGCACTTTGGGAGGCCAAGGCGGGCGGATCATGAGGTCAGGAAATCGAGACTATCCTGGCCAACACCATGAAACCCCTTCTGTACTAAAAATACAAAAAATTAGCCAGGTGTGGTGGCAGGCGCCTCCAGTCCCAGCAACTCGGGAGGCTGAGGCAGAATGGCGTGAACCCGAGAGGCGGAGCTTGCAGTGAGCGGAGATCGCGCCACTGCACTCCAGCCTGGTAGACAGAGCGAGACTCCGTCTCAAAAAAAAAAAAAAATATATATATATATATATATATATATATACAGTTGGATAACATTCTGATTACCACAAAGTTGTATTTCCTGGCTTTTGCTGAACCAGTAAAGCAAATACTGAAAAGATTGAGCCTACATGTAAGGAATGAGTTGGAGTAAAGAAAAAAACATGCAAGTCCTTTTTTTTTTTTTGAGACAGAGTCTCGCTCTGTCGCCCAGGCTGGAGTGCAGCGGTGCGATCTCTGCTCACTGCAAGCTCCGCCTCCCGGGTTCACGCCATTCTCCTGCCTCAGCCTCCTGAGTAGCTGGGACTATAGGCGCCCGCCACCACGCCCGGCTAATTTTTTGTATTTTCAGTAGAGACGGGGTTTCACCGTGTTAGCCAGGATAGTCTCGATCTCCTGACCTCGTGATCCGCCCGCCTCGGCCTCCCAAAGTGCTGGGATTACAGGCGTGAGCCACCGCGCCTGGCCAAAAGCATGTAAGTCTTTTAGTTTACTTTTGTAATTTAAGCTATGAAGAGGCTTTTTTTTTTTTTTTTTTTTTTTTGAGATGGAGTCTCGTTCTGTCACCCAGGCTGGAGCACAGTGGCGCTATCTCGGCTCACTGCAACCTCTGCCTCCCAGGTTCAAACAATTCTCTGGAAGAGGCCATTTTTTGTTGCAGACTTGAAGAGCTGTTATTCACTGCCTCCAAGCTGCTCTGGGTGGAAGGTCTGCAGCATCTCTGGCCCTCTGCACCTCCAGCTCCAGCCACATCCGAGCAGGGAGGGATGAATTTAACCATTTTATCTAGGTTTTCTAGTTTGTATGCATAGAGATATTCATATTAGTCTCTGATGATCTTTTGTTTTCTGTGGTATCAGTTGTAATGTCACTTTTATCACTTCTGATTGTGCTTGTGCTTACTTGAATCTTCTGTCTTTTTTCTTGGTTAATCTAGCTAGCACCATATCAATTTTCTTTCTTTTCTTTCTTTCTTTTTTTTTTTTGAGACAGAGTTTTGCTTTGTTGTCCAGGCTGGGGTTCAGTGGCACGATCTTGGCTCACTGCAACCTCTGCCTCCCAGGTTCAAGCAATTCTCATGCCTCAGCCTCCTGAGTAGCTGAGATTACAAGCACCTGCCACCATGCACAGCTGATTTTTTGTATTTTAGTAGATACGGGGTTTCACCATCTTGCCCAGGCTGATCTGGAACTCCTGAGCTCAGGCAATCCACCTGTCTTGGCCTCCCAAAGTGCTAGGATTATAGGCGTGAGCCACCGTGCCCGGCCTAGCACCATATCAATTTTCTTATCTTTTCAAAAAACAAAACAGGTTTTTTGAACTAACACAGACAAAAAAAAAAGTAAATTTAAATAAATAATCAAGAGTTCAATAAATCGGAAATTATGTAAAGCAACCAAACTTATGAGTTGTAGGCATTTCTGAGAGAGAAGAGGAAAAGGTAAAAAGATTGGAAACATATTTGAGGGAATAATCAGAAAAATTGTCTTGGCCTTGCTAGAGAGGTACACATCCAGATACGAGAAGCTCGGAAAATACCTGAAAATATTTTGCAAGATGAACTTCACCAGACTATCCAAAGGCAACTTGAAGGAAAATACTCTGAAAGAAGCAAGAGACAATTTTCAAATCACCTATAAAGGAAATCACATTAGACTAACAGCCGACTTCTCAGAAGAAAGTTTACAAGCCAAAAGGCACTGGGATCCTATTTTCTGTCTGTCTTCTGCTTAGTCTAGCCTATTGTTAAAGCTTTCATCTGGCCGGGTGCAGTGGCTCACGCCTGTAATCCCAGCACTTTGGGAGGCCGAGATGGGCGGATCACGAGGTCAGGAGATCGAGACCATCCTGGCTAACACGGTGAAACCCCACCTCTACTAAAAATACAAAAAATTAGCCGGGCGTGGTAGTGGGTGCCTGTAGTCCCAGCTACTCAGGAGGCTGAGGCAGGAGAATGGTGTGAACCCGGGAGGTGGAGCTTGCAGTGAGCTGAGATGGCGCCACTGCACTGCAGCCTGGGCGACAGAGCAAGACTCTGTCTCAAAAAGAAAAAAAAAAAAAAAAAGCTTTCATCTGTAACCCAACCCTTCAGTGTGTTTTTCATTTCTAGAAATTCAATTGTTTTTTTTTTAAGATATCTGTACTTCATTCACATTCTGCATTGTTCTGGTATCTTTGTGTTGATTTTCAGCTTTGTCTTGGATCTCATTGAACTTCCTTATAATCCATATTTTGAATTCATTATCTTTCATTTCAGAATTTTCATTTTGGTTAGGATCCATTGCGAGAGAGCTAGTGTGTCCTTTGGTAGTGTCAAAACATTCTGCTTTTTTTTTTTTCTTCATGATGCCAAACTTCTTATGATGGTTTCTTCTCATCTGGGAAAGTTGTCACTTCTTATTTTTGAATTTACTTTAATTTAGATGGGGTTTTTCCTCCTTGTGGGTGTAACTACAGCATATATTGGGTAGGGGGCTTTGGCTTTGTTTCTTTAGCCCTGTGCCCTTCTGTCAGTAGACTTTTTATTGATTTGTGTAGTTTAACCTCCATGCCAGTAAGTGGCACTTATGAGTAAGAGCCAGCTATGGCAGAAGCAGATGGTGTGTGTTTGATCTTTGTTTACTGTGATTTCCTGTCTGTTGTTTCAGGTGATAGGCTGGTCTATGTAATGCCTAGACTCTGAGTTGCCTGTTCAGCCCAGAGGGGAAGACACAGCTGGGCAGAGCTGGACCACAAAGCTTACCCACCAACATCTCAATGATGAACGTGAACAGTAGCCTTTAGAGGGTGGCTGGTGCAGCTCCTGGTGAAATGCTCACAGGTCTCTGTAGGGAGGGAGGAGCTGTACCAGCTCTACCTCCTGTGTAGGTAGGAACATGATGTGTTTCCCTATCCTACCCCTGTCCCAGAGTTCATGACTCTCAGTTCATACAGACCCAGTCATCTATCTCTAGGTCATAACGTAGCCAAGAGCCATTGAAAATGCCTGTCTTGTGGCTCTTCACAGGAGCAACCTCAGGGTAGGACCTCTTCCCTCAGGCCAATACAGACAGCCCTGTGGCTTGCCTGTTCTCTCATGCAGGAACGCTGCTCCTTTGTGTACAAAGGGGAAGCAGCTTCACCTTTCAGCACATGAGGGTGGATTTCAGCTGTTGCAGTGTTGGCTAGCTGGGTCAGCACAGCCTTAGTCTCCAGAGAGAGCGATCATGTGCCAATGGTGTACTGGGCTAGCCATTTTCTTGATTCTCAGATCCCTATATGGTGCTCTGGATGGCATGCATAAGTACTGGAGGGACTGGATCAGAAGCAGGCTGGCATATGTGTCCTCAGGTACCCAGGGTTCAGGTGCTGGCTGTGATAGAGAGGGGCAGGCTGGCCCCCACACAGCTGGCAGAAAACTTAGGCAGGGGCAGGAAGAATGCTCAGGCAACTGCAGAATGCTAAAGTGACAGCAGTGCCAGGGCAGACTGCAAGTATCTGGGAGCCGGGCTCTCAGAAGGGTGCCAGGCCACAGCTGAAAAGATCAGATGGCAGCATTGTTCTTTATTCTTTTTTTTTTTTTTTTCTGGGACAGTGTTTTACTCTTGTTGCCCAGGCTGGAGTACAATGGCATGGCCTCGGCTCACTGCAACCTCTACCTCCTGGGTTCAAGCAATTCTCCTGCCTCAGCCTCCTGAGTAGCTGGGATTACAGGCACCCTATATCACATTGGCTAATTTTTGTATTTTTAGTAGAGACAGGGTTTTGCCATGTTGGCCAGGCTGGTCTTGAACTCCTGACCTCAGGTGATCTGCCTGCCTCAGCCTCCCAAAGTGCTGGGATTACAGGCGTGAGCCACCTGGCCCAGCCCATCCTTTATTCTTAAAGGACAGCTTTTCTGGGGTAAAGTATTCCTTTTGGTCTTTCTCTTTCTTCCAGTACATTGAATCATCCCACTGTTTCTTGATCTGCAAGATTCTTTTGAGAAATCCATTGATAGTCTTACGCAGCCTCCCTTATATGGGACAAGATGTTTTTCTCTTGCTGCTTTCAAAATTCTCTTTGTGATATAGGTCAGGGTATGCAAAGATTCAGTTTGCAAAATCAGTAAGTTCTGAAAATCTAATGTATGGCAGTGTGAATATAGTTAACAATATACAACATTGTATACTTGAAATTTGGTAAAAGAGTAGATCTACATGTTCTCACCCCCCAAAAAGCAAAGAAAATAATAATTATTTGAGGTAATAAATATGATAAATAATTGTGACTTTTTTTTTTTTTTGAGACGGAGTCTCACTCTGTCGCCAGGCTGGAGTGCAGTGGCTCGATCTCGGCTCACTGCAAGCTCCGCCTCCCGGGTTCACGCCATTCTCCTGCCTCAGCCTCCTGAGTAGCTGGGACTACAGGCGCCTGCCACCACGCCCAGCTAATTTTTTGTATTTTGATTAGAGATGGGGTTTCACTGTGTTAGCCAGGATGGTCTCGATCTCCTGACCTCGTGATCCACCCGCCTCGGCCTCCCAAAGTGCTGGGATTACAGGAGTGAGCCACCATGCCCGGCCAATTTTTGTATTTTTAGTAGAGGTGGGGGTCTCACTACGGTGGCCAAGCTGGTCTCAAACTCCTGACCTCAAATGATCCAACCGCCTCGGCCTCCCAAAGTGCTGGGATTACAGGTGTGAGTCACCACGCCCGGCCCCATCCTTCTTTTTAAATGTAAAATACTTTTATGTTTTTTTAGTAGTTTTATGGTTGTAGAAAAATTGAGTGGAAAGAACAGAGATCTTAATGCCCTCCCTTGATTTTCTTCTATTATTAACATCCTGCATTAAGTGTGGTGCATTTGTTACACTTGATGAGGCAATATTGGTAAGTTATAAACTAAAGTTCGTATCTGACAACAGTCTTCATTGTTTGTGTTGAACATTGTATGGGTTTCAACAAATGTCTAATGACCTCTATCCCATACTGCAGTAACATTCACCATAGTTTCACTGCCCTAAATATCACCTGTACTTGACCTATTCATTTGTCTCCCTCTTTTCCCTTTACCCTTGGCAACTATTGATCTTTTTACTCTCCGTAATTTTTTATTTTGGGAATATCACATAGTTGGAATTATAGTTCATGTAGAACTTTTGGATTGGCTTCATCCACTTAGAAATATGTATTTAAGGTTTCTCTGTGTCTTTTTTTGTGGCTTGATAGCTGATTTCTCATTATTAAATAATATTTCATGTTTAGGTATGCCACAGTTTGTTTATCCACTCACTGATTAAAGGACATCTTGGATGCTTTCAAGTTTTAGCAATTATGAGTAAAGTTGCTATAAACATTTGTGTGCAGGCTTTTGTATGGACGCAAGTTTTCAACTTATTTGGATAAATACTGATGAGTGCACTTCTTGATCATATGGTAAAAGTACGTTTAGTTTCGAAAGAAACTACCAGTCTTACGATGTGGTTACTGCCATTTTGCATTCCCACTGGCAATGAGTGATAGTTCCTGCTGCTCTGTATCTTTGCCAGGATTTGGTGTTGTCAGTGTTTGGGATTTTGGAAATTAAAAAAAAAAATTGTTTGTTTGTTTTTTTGAGATGGAGTCTCATTCTTGTCACCCAGGCTGGAGTGCAGTGGCGTGATCTTGGCTCACTGCAACCTCCACCTCCTGGGTTCAAGCGATTCTCCTGCCTCAGCCTCCCAAGTATCTGGGATTACAGGCATGCACCACCACGCCTGGCTATTTTTTTTTTTTGTATTTTTAGTAGAGATGGGGTTTCACCATGTTGGCCAGGCTAGTCTTGAACTCCTGACCTCAGGTGATCCGCCTACCTCAGCCTTCCAAAGTGCTGGGATTACAGATGTGAGCCACTGTGCTTGGCCTAAAAAAAATTACTGAGTTTTATTTTAGATTCAGTGGGTGGAAATTTAATAAATGTGTAGTACCATGTATTTTTCTTTTAATTTGCAATTCCCTGAGGATGTATGATGTTGATCATCTTTTTTACATGCTAATTTGTTATCTGAATATCTTTTTTGTTGAGGTGGCTATTTGGATCTTGTGCCCATTTTTAATTGAGTTGTTCATTTTTTTGTTGGGTTTTAAGAGTTCTTTGTATATTTTGGACATCAGTCCTTTATCAAGTGTGTGTTTTGCAAAGATTTTCTCTCAGTCGGTGGCTTATCTTGTTATCTTTAACAGTGTCTTTTGCTAGCAGAAGTTTTAGTTTTAATGAAGTTCAACTCATTGATTCTTTCCATTCATCAATGATGTTTTCAGTGTTATATCGATGAAGTCATTGCTAAATTCAAAGTCACCTGCATTTCCTTTTATGTTATCTGTTGCAAGGGAGTGATGACTATCTGGCCTGGTGGTGCAGGCATAAAAGAATTTACCTTGTTGAGGCAGAGGTTGCAGTGAGCCAGGATTGCACCACTGCACTCCAGCCTGGGTGACAGAGTGAGACACTCTCTCTCTCAAAAAAAAAAAAAAAAGAATTTACCTTGCTGTAGGTAAGGAAGGTAGATTTATTACAGAAAGTAGGAAAATACATTGCTAGGGAGGCAACAGGCAGCTTGCAAGAAAGAAGCTGACTGCAAACAAACAAAGGATTGCTGCAGATTTTATAGGCTAGTTCTTAGGCTGTATGCTGAAGAGGGCTTTGTGTAGTGCTGATAATGCCAAGGTTGTGATGCAGGATTCCTCTCAATCATTTTGCCAGCCAGGGACCTCCAGCCAGTGACACCCCCACCTGGGCCTTGCTTGGGCGCGCTACCTGCCACACAGGTAGCCCCATCCATTTGGCCCATTCTGGCTTGCACAGTGGCTCAGCCTGTGGCTGGGCCAGCATGCCCCAGCCTGCCTGTGTTAAAGCTTCTATCTGAGATCAGCAGTTCATGAGCTCTTGTCCCACAACCAAGAAGAATGAGGATACCCTGACAATTGAAGGATGAGGAAGACAGAAGAATTTTATTGAGTGATGGAACAGCTCTCAGTGGAGAGGGGACCTGGGGGCTGTTTCTCTCCTTGTGTGGCTAAGCCCAGGGCTTTTATGGGCTCAGAATAGGCGAGTGCATGCTGATTGGTTTGTGAGTATGCAAAAAGGTTAAAACAAAGGCACCACCCAAAGGTGGGCACAACAATGTGAAAAAAACAATTAGGAAGTGTAGGTATATGTAAAACAGGTGAAGGGTGGAGATCAGCCAGAGGAAAGTGCACCAAGCAGGAAGACAGGTTCTCAATCCAGTCCATGGATTTGACTTGTAACTTGGCTTTCAGGCTTTAAACTATCCTTGGGTTGGAAGTGGGGTTTCCCTGGGGACTTGCCCCTATCTGCCTAGGCATTTGTCCGCCTCCTGCCACTATCAGTGGCAGTGAGCTAACTTGCAATTTTTTGTATCAGCCGAGGGTCTGCTGATAGCTAGGCACAGGAAGATTGTGAGTTATTTGTGCAGGAGGGCCGTGTGTTCTGGATGGTGAAGAAAGGCAGACTTGTAGCTTATCTGATTTTTTTTTTTTTTTTTTTTGCTTTCCCCTGCTCCCACCAGCCTGACTCCCTTTCTCTAATTAGGACTCTACATTATCTTCTAGGAATTTTATTGTTTTATGCTTTACATTTAGGCCTATGATCCAATTTGAGTTAATTTTGTGAAATATGTAAGGTCTGTTTGTAGATTCTTATTTTTACATGTGAGTATTCAGTTCCAGCACTGTTTATTGAAAAGAATATCTTGTCTCCATTAAATTCCCATTGCTTCTTTGTCAAATATTAGTTAACTTTATTTGTGTAGGCATATTTCTGGGCTCTCTGCTCTGCTCTATTGATCTGTTTGTCTATTATTTTGCCCATGCCACGCTGTTTTGATTACTATGGCTTTGCAGTGAATCCTGAGGTTGAATAGTATGTCTTCCAATTTTGTTCTTCTTCAATATTGCATTGGCTATTCTAGTTCTTTTGCCTTTTCATATAAATTTTGGAGTTAATTTGTTATTATTCACAAAATAATTTGGTGAAATTTTGATTGGGGTTGTGGTGAATACATAGGTTAAGTTATGGAACATTGACATCTTGACAATATTGAGTCTTTCTATCCATGTACATGGAATGTCTCTCCATTTATTTAGATAGTCCCTGATTTTTTCAATAGAGTTTTATCTTTTTCTCATCTAGAACCACTATGAAAAACAGTATGGTGGTTATATGGTTTGGCTGTGTCTCCACCCAAATCTCAACTTGAATCATATCTCCCAGAATTCCCACATGTTTCGGGAGGGACCCAGGGGAAGGTAATTGAATTATGGGGGCTGGTCTTTCCTGTGCTATTCTTGTGATAGTGAATAAGTCTCACGAGATCTGACAGGTTTATCAGGGGTTTCTGCTTTTGCTTCTTCCTAATTTTCTCTTGCCGCTGCCATGTAGGAAGTGCCTTTCACTTCCCACCATGCTTCTAAGGCCTCCCCTGCCATGTGGAACTGTAAGTCCAATTAAGCCTCTTTTTCTTCCCAGTCTTGGGTATATCTTTTATCAGTAGCGTTAAAACAGACTAATATAGGTGGTTTCTCCAAAGTTGAAAATAAAATTACCATATGATCTAACAATCCTCTTTCTCTGAAAGAATTGAAAGCAGGGTCTTACTTAGATATTTGTAAAGCCATATAAATTGCATTATTATCCACAGTAGCTGAGAGATGGAAGCAACCCAAATATCCATCAACAGAAGAATAGGTAAGGAGGGATTAACCCTGGACTCTGTATTTGATTCCATTGGTCTACATGTCTGTCTTTATGCTACTTCCAAACTATTTTGATTACTGTAGCTTTGTAATATGTTTTGAATTCTAGAAGTGTGAGACCTCTAACTTTGGTCTTTCTTTTCAATATTTTTTTGGCTATTCAGGTCCCTTGGGATTACATATAATTTTTTGAATGGGTTTTCTCCATTTCATGGCCTGTTTCTCCTCCAAGGTAAAATCTCTGAGGCAGGGTTCTGGAATTGTGGGTGGAAACAATGGCAGGTTACCCACCCTGCCCTGAAGCTTCAGGCACCCACTGGTAACTGAGAGCTCAGTGAGGAGGAGCACCAGTCTGAGGTTCTTTGGATTACTTCCCCACACAATGAGCCACTGCCTCATGAACCAGGCAAGGATGGTCAGGGCCCCCATCTTCTCTGTTTGCTGCATCCAAGGCAGGGCCCCTATTTCACAAGTAGGTCTTGAGTGGTAAAAGGGAGCCTCCAACTCTCAAATAGACTTGCCAAGGACTTAGCCTCAAAAACAGGTAGATGGGGGTTGGATGCGAATGCTGTGTTGTCTCTGGTTCTGGAATCAGGGCAGTAATAAAGATGATGAAACTCTTTATCTGTGTAAATATTTTAGGCTAGTAAATACCTAAAATATTAGCTTAAATTTGAAAGATGATAATTTTCTTTTCTTTTTTTCTTTTGAGACAGAGTCTCACTCTTGTTTCTCAGACCGAGATGTAATGGCGCGATCTCAGCTCACTGCAACCTCCACCTCCTGGATTCAAGCAATTCTCCTGCCTCAGCCTCCCAAGTAGCTGGGATTACATGTGCCTGCCACCATGCCCCGCTAATTTCTGTATTTTTAGTAGAGACGGGGTTTTACCATGTTGGCAAGGCTGGTCTCGAACTCCTGACCTCAGGTGATCCGCCCACCTCGGCCTCCCAAAGTGCTAGGATTATAGGCATGAGCCACCATGCCCAGCCGAAAGATGATACATTTTGAAAGTATACAGATTTAGATTTCCATCCTAGCTTCTCTACTTAAAAGCCAAAAGATCCTGCACAATTCACTCATCTTCCCTGAGACTGTTATCTATGCTATGGGATCAATGACACTTCTATTAAGGCTTTTTTTCTGAGGTGTAAGTGCCAAAATCTTTGTGAAGGATCTGAAACACAGAGTCTAGAATGTAACAGGTAACTGTAACTGATAACTGTTAATTCCATGTCTTCCATTTCTCTTTTCTTATAATTTACACCTCCTTTATTTTAAGATACCTCAAACACTAATAGATTTCTGAATTGAAATGCTAAGTAATGTAAAATGTAAAAAATTATTTGGGATGGGCGTGGTGGCTCACGCCCGTAATCTCAGCACTTTGGGAGGCTGAGGTGGACAGAACACCTGAGGTCAGGAGTTCAAGACCAGCGTGGCCAACATGGTGAAACTCCGTCTCTACTAAACAATACAAAAATTAGCCAGGCATGGTGGCAGGCACCTGTAATCCCAGCTACTCGGGAGGCTGAGGCAGGAGAATTGCTTGAACCTGGAAGGTGGAGGTTGCAGTGAGCCAAAATCATGCCACTGCACTACAGCCTGGGTGACAGAGCCAGGCTCTGTCTCAAAAAAACAAACATAATTTATTGAGACATATACAGTATTGCTTATTAAAGTATTTTATATTGTGTATCCATTAATTATTATAATAGTTGTAGTTGTTTTTAATATTTTTGTCTTTTAACTTTTATACCAGAGTTAAAAGTTATTTGCATGTTATTTCTTCAACATTCAGGTTAAAGATGGTTCAGGGTAAACATAGTGTGAGAAAAATGATGCCTACTGAAAATCTTTTTTCTATGTGTTTCCCACAGCAGGATACCTTGCTTTAGGCTCTGGCTCAGTAGACAGTTTCCAATTGTGTGCACAGCCTGAGACTTATGCTGACAGAAACCAATTAGTGCATACTGTCAAGTCTTAAAATGAGATGCAGGGTAGATCCCTGTCTAATTAAATTTATTACAATATCATCATCTCTGTCATTTTTGTGTGTGTGTGGCGGAGTCTTGCTCTGTTGCCCAGGCTGGGGTGCAGTGGTATGATCTCGGCTCACTGCAAGCTCCACCTTCCGGGTTCACGCCATTCTCCTGCCTCAGCCTCCCGAGTAGCTGGGACTACAGGCGCCCGCCACCATGCCCGGCTAATTTTTTGTATATTTAGTAGAGATGGGGTTCCGCCATGATAGCCAGGATGGTCTCGATCTCCTGACCTCATGATCCGCCCACCTCGGCCTCCCAAAGTGCTGGGATTACAGGCATGAGCCACCGCGCTGGCCTGTCATTTTTATAACAGGAATGAGAGTAATAGAGTAAGCTCTAATGGTGCTAGAGAATTCAATTCATGTCATTCTTGTTTTCTAGGGGCTGTTACCCTTTGCTGTGGTAGGGAGTACAGATGAAGTGAAAGTTGGAAAAAGGATGGTCAGAGGCCGTCACTACCCTTGGGGAGTTTTGCAAGGTAAAAATGACAGAGGGCAGGCTTTGGAATGATTAAGTTAAATATATGTGTATCACTCATAGTCTCAAAATAACATTTTAACTTGAACTAATATTGGTAACTCTTGCTAATCTGTAAGTTAACAGTTACTAATGGGGAACACAAACTCTGTTTTATTTAAACTAATGCTTACTTTGACTATGATTCATTCTCATAGAAGTTTGCTGAACGCTGCTTTAAGCCAAAATCTACAGAGGCTGGGAAGAACCTCTTTGTCTATCCCAACGCTCCCAATGTGCCATGTACATATTATCTCTCTGTATAAATCATGACACTGAGAGTGCTGGAAAGCACTTTCAACAAAATGGAAGCAAAAATACTAGTGTGTAGACATGTTACATAAACTCATTACTACCTAATGTAGAAACCATTTTAAACTGGTCACTAGAAAAAAGAGTTATAAACTTTTTAAAACAAGAAAGTACAATTTACCTTTGGCTAGAGATTATACCTTTGACATTTATATTATTATTTAGCATCATAATGAGTTAGAATAGTGTAGTAAGCAGTAATTTATTGTCTGGTTCATATACTTGTGGTTCATATAATTATTGGGGAATGGAAGATTTCTACTTGTACTGGTTTCCAAATGATTTTTTTTTTTTTTTTTTTTTTGAGACAGAGTTTCACTCGTGTTGCCCAGGCTGGAGTGCAGTGGCATGATCTTGGCTCACTGCAACCTCTGTCTCCCAGGTTCCAGCTATTCTCCTGCCTAAGCCTTCCGAGTAGCTGGGATTACATGCGCTTGCCGCCACACCGGGCTAATTTTTGTATTTTTAGTAGAGATGGGGTTTCACCATATTAGTGAGGCTGATCTTGAACTCCTGACCTCCGGTGATCCACCTGCCTCGGCCTCCCAAAGTGCTGGGATTACAGGCATGAGCCACCGTGTCCAGCCTCAAATGATGTTGTTAAAAAATTGACATATTAGAAAATTTAAAATTTGTTAAGCATACTTAAAACTTAATGTTTTAATATTTATTATGTTGTATTACATGTTAGTATATGTTATAAAATATATATCTATACTATATGTTGATACATAAAATTTGGTCACAGTATTAATCACAATAAACCATATATTGTGGTCAATCTTCTGGACATGACAAACACAGGAGAGAGCCATACAAATTATTTTTCATTAATTAATCTTAATTGACAAATAAAATTTTATGTACTTATGTACAACATGATGTTTTGAAATACATATACATTGTGGGATGGCTAAATTGATATAATTAACATATGTGTTATCTCAATTATTTTTGTGATGAAAACTTAACATCTATCTTAGCAATTTTCAAGAATATAAAATATTGGCCGGGCGCAGTGGCTCACGCCTGTAATCCCAGCACTTTGGGAGGCTGAAGCGGGCGGATCATGAGGTCAGGAGATTGAGACCAGCCTGGCTAACACAGTGAAACCCAATCTCTACTAAAAATACAAAAAAATTAGCCAGGCATGGTGGCGGGCACCTGTAGTCCCAGCTACTTGGGAGGCTGAGGCAGGAGAATGATGTGAACCCGGGAGGTGGAGCTTGCAGTGAGCTGAGATCACGCCACTGCACTCCAGCTGGGCAACAGAGCGAGACTCCTTTTCAAAAAAAAAAAATATATATATATATATAAAATATTGTTATTAACATGGTCACTATGTTGTACAATAGATCTCTTTAACTTGTTCTTACCTAACTAAAATTTTGTATCCTTTGACCAACATCTCTCCTACATACCCTCTACCTAACTCACGTAACCACCATTCTACTCTCTGTTTCTACAAGTTTAACTTTTAAAAATTTGATCTATTAGTGAGATCATTTACCATTTGTCTTTCTGTGTTTGGCGTATTCACTTAGTGTAAAGTCATCCAGTTCCATCCATGTTGCTGCAAATGATAGAATTTCCTGATTTTTAAGGCTGAATTCCATTGCGTATATATGCCACACTTTTTTTCTTCATGCATCTATTCATGGACACTTAGATTGCTTCCATATCTTGGTTCTTGTGAATAATGGTAGTGTAAGTATCTCTCTGACATACTGACTTCATTTTTGGGAGGTAATGTATCCAGTAGTGAGATGGCTGGATCATATGGTAGTTGTTTTATTTTTAATTTTTTGAAGAAACTCCATACCGTTTTTCATAATGGTTATCCTAATTTACATTGCCACCAACAGTGTACAAGGGTTCCCTTTTTTCCACATCCTTACCAGCACTTGTTTGTCTTATTGATAATAGCCATTTTAGCATGGGTGAAGTTACAGCTTGTTGTGTTTTTAATTTTTTTTTTGAGATGGAGTTTAGCTCTTGTTGCCCAGGCTGGAGTGCAATGGTGTGATCTTGGCTCACTGCAACCTTTGCCTCCTGGGTTCAAGCAATTCTCCTTCCTCAGTAGCTGGGATTACAGGCATGCGCCACCAAGCCTGGGTAATTTTTTTTTTTTTTTGTATTTTTAGTAGAGACAGGGTTTTGGCTTGTTGGTCAGGATAGTCTCAAACTCCTGACCTCAGGTGATCTGCCTGCCTCAGCCTCCCAAAATGCTAGGATTACAGGCATGAGCCACCACACTGGGCCTGTGTTTTTTAATTTTTAATTTTTGTGGATACCTAGTAGGTGTGTATATTTATAGGGCACATGAGATATTTGATACTGGCATTCAGTGTGTAGTAATCACATCAGGATAGAGTACCCATCAACTCAAGCATTTATCCTTTCTTTGTGTCACAAACAATCCAACTATACTCTTTTAGTTATTCTAAAATGTACAATAAATTATTGTTGACTGTAGTCACCCTTTTGTGCTATCAAATACTAGATCTTATTCATTCTATGTAACTATATATTCGTACCCATCAACTATCCCCACTTCTCTCCCTCCCCAATCCTTTCCTAGCTTCTGGTAATCAACATTCCACTCTTTATCCCCATGGGTTCAATTGTTTTAATTTTTAGCTCCACAAATGAGTGAGAATATGTGAAGTTTGTCTTCCTGTGTCTTGCTTATTTCACTTAACAGAATGTCCTCAGTTCCATCCATGTTGTTGCAAATGACAGGATCTCATTATTTTTTATGGCTGAATAGTACTCCATCATGTATATGTACCACATTTACTTTATTCATTCCTCTGATGATGGATACTTAGGTTGCTTCCAAATCTTGACTATTGTGAATAGTGCTGTAACAAACATGGGAGTGGAGCTATCTCTTTGATATACTACTTTCCTTTCTTCTGGGTATACACCTACTAGTGGGATTGCTGGATCATATGGTAGTTCTATTTTTAGTTTTTTGAGGAAACTCCATACTGTTTTCCATAGATACTGTACTGATTGACATTCCTATCAACAGTGTACAAGGATTCCTTTTTCTCCACATCCTCACCAGCATTTGTTATTGCCTGTCTTTTGGATAAAAGCTTTTTTAACTGGGGTGAGATTATATCTCATTGTAGTTTTTATTTGCCTTTCTCTGGTAATCAGTGATATTGAGCACCTTTTCATTTGCTTGTTTGGCATTTAAAAAAACCCACAATGAGCAGTTACTTCACACATGTTAAAACAGTTATTATCAATAAGACAAAAGAAGACATTTGTATGTCTTCTTTGGAGAAATGTCTATTCGGATCTTTTGCCCACTTTAAATTAAATTATTAGATTTTTTTCCTATTGAGTTGTTTGAGCTTCTTAAATATATTCTGGCTATTAATCTTTTGTCAGATAAATAGTTTGCAAATATTTTCTCATTGTGTGTATTGTTTCTTCACTTTGTTGTTTCGTTTGTTTTGCAGAAGCTTTTTAACTTGAGGTGATCCCATTTGTCTATTTTTGCTTTGGTTGCCTGTGCTTGTGGGGTATTACTCACTAAATGTCCTAAAGAGCTTCCCCAATGTTTTTTGTAGTCGTTTCATAATTTGAGGTCTTAGATTTAAGTCTTTAATCCATTTTGATTTGATTTTTATATGTGTTGAGAGATAAAAGTCTAGTTTCTTTCTTCTGCAAATGGATATCCAGTTTTCACAACACCATTTATTGAAGCGCTTATCCTTTCCCCAATGTATGTGCTTGGCACCTTTGTTGAAAATGAGTTCTCTGTGGCTGTGTGGATTTATTTCTGGGTTCGCTATTCTGTTCCATTGGTCTTTGTGTCTGTTTTTATGCCGGTACCATGCTGTTTCACTTACTATAGCTTTGTAGTATAATTCGAAGTCAGGTAATGCGATTCCTCCAGTGTTATTTTTGCCCAGAATTGCTTTAAGTATTTTTGTGGTTCCATATACATCTTAGAATTGCTTTTTCTTTTTCTATGAAGAATGTCATTGGTATTTTGATAGGGATCGCATTGAATCTTTAGATTGCTTTGAGCAGTATGAACATTTTAACAATATTATTGATTCTTCCAATCCATGAACATGAACTGTGTTTCCATTGTTTTGCATTCTTTTCAATTTCTTTCATCAGTATTTTATAGTTTTCATTGTAGAGATTTTTCATTTCTTTGGTTATGTTTATTTCTAGGTATTTTATTTTATAGCTGTCATAAATTGGATTAGTTTTTATTTCTTTTTCAGATTGTTCACTGTTGGCATATAATAATGCTAATAGAATTCTGAATTTCTTCTCTGTGTTATCTTGAATTTCACTGAGCTCTTTTAAAACAGCTATTTTGAGATCTCTGAAAGGTTACATATATCTGTCCTGAGATATGTGATTGGGATTTGTCATTAGTGCCTCATTTGGTTCATTTGGTGAGGTCATGTTTTCTGGGATGGTCTTGATGCTTGTCAATGTTCATCTATGTCTGGGCATTGAAGAGTTAGATATTTATTGTAATCTTTGCAGTCTGGGCTCAATTGTGCCTATTCTATTTGAGAAGGTTTTCTAAGTATTCAAAGGGAATGTATTAGGTGGTACCCCAAGCCCAGTAACACTGTGACGCCAGCAGACTCGTACTGCCTCAGTGGTCTTGGATAATATCTGGGAGAATTCCCTGGATTATGAGGCAGAATCTCTCAAACTCTTTTCTCACTTTCTCCCAAACAGAAGGAGTCTCTCTGTCTGTGCTAGGTTGCTTGGAGTTGAGGGAAGGGTGACATCATCACTCCTGTGGCCATCACAGCTGGTACTGTGCTGGGTCACATATGAAACCAGCAAATTACTGGGTCCTGCCCAAGGCCCATGGCAACTACTGCCTTGCTACTACTGATGTTTAAGGCCCAAGGGCTCTTTAGTCAGCAGGTGGTGAGTCCTGCTGGGCTGGGTCCATCTCTTCAGTGCAGCAAGTTCCCTTCTGTCCCAGAGTAGGTCTAGAAATGTCCAGGAAGTAGGGCCTGGAATTGGGGGCTTCAGGAATGGGCTTAGTGGTGTGTTTTACTGTGGCTGAGCTGCTACTCAAGTTGTAAGATAAAGTTCTCTTCTAATCTTCCTTTTCTTTCCCACAAGTGGAAGGACTCTCTTGTGTGTTTTACTGTGGCTGAGCTGCTACTCAAGTTGTAAGATAAAGTTCTCTTCTAATCTTCCTTTTCTTTCCCACAAGTGGAAGGAGTCTCTTTTCGGGCTGCACTGCCTGGAGTTGGGGGAGGTGTGATACAAGCACTCCTTGGCCACCAAAACTGGTGTCTTGCTGGGTCACACGCATTCCTATTCCACTGGCTCTGAGCAAGCTCAGTAACTGGACTTGCCCAAGGACTGCAGACCTTGGGGCCTGATTGCCTTTCAGATTTATTCAGGACCCCAGGGCACTTTAATTAACTAGTGGTGGAGGTAGCTGGAACTTAAGTTCCTATCTATCTCTGGCATGGGGTATTCCTCTTTAGTGGGAGCTAGGTTAAATGCTCCCTTTGGCCAGGAGTGGTGGCTTACACCTATAGTCCCAGCACTTTAGGAGGCCAAGGCGGGTGGATCACCTGAGGTCAGGAGTTCAAGACCAGCCTGACCAATATGGTGAAACCCTGTCTCTACTAAAAATACAAAAATTAGCTGGGCATAGTGGTGTGCAGCTGTAGTCCCAGCTACTTGGGAGGCTGAGGCCGGAGAATCACTTGAACCTGCGAAGTGGAGGTTGCAGTAAGCCGAGATTGCGCCACTGCACTCCAGCCTGCGTGAAAGAGCGAGACTCCATCTAAAAAAAAAAAAAAGGCTCCTGTCGTGGGCACTAGCAGAATTCTGCCCTATGTTGTGTAGCACTGTGGCAGGGCAGTCACTGAGTTCCAATGCAAAGTCCCACAATCACTTCACTCTCCCTCCCCAAAACACACAGATTCTCTCTCTGTTTAGTATGGTGCTGCTGGGGGATGAATGTCAGATGGCATAGGCTATGCAAGACTCTCTTTACTATAATCGTCAGTGCCTCTTTTCTTGATATAATATTAAAATCAGGTACTATGATTGCTCACCTGATTTTTCATCCTTATGAAGGTGTTTTCTTGCATGGATATTTGTTCAATTTGGTGTTTATGTAGGGGGATGACTGATGAGAGGTTCTATTCAGCTACCTTGCTCCACCCCACTCCCCATTTTAGCAATTTTGAAATATACAGTAGCTTATTATTAACTGTAGTCACCATACAGTGCCGTAGATCACTGAAGCTTATTCCTCCAGTCTAACTAAAACTTCGTACCGTTTGATCAATATTTTCCATTTCCTCATCCCTCAGTCTCCCCACTTTCCTCCAGTCACCACCTGTCTACTCTCTATTTCTGTGAGATTGACATTTTTAGTTACCACATATAAGTGAGATTATGCAGTATTTGTCCTTCTGTGCCTGGTTTATTTCTCTTAGCATAATGTCCTACAGTTTCATTCAGGTTTTACACATGACAGGATTTCATTCTTTTTAAAAGCTCTATAGTATTTTATTGTGTATCTTGTTGATGGGCATTTAGATTAGATTGCTTCCATATCTTAGCTATTGTGAATAATGCTGAAAAATAAAATGCTTAGGAATAAATCTAAACAAGGAAGTAAAATACCTGCACACTAAGAACTGTAAAACTTGGCCAGACACGGTGGCTCATGCCTGTAATCCCAGCACTTTGGGAGGCTGAGGCGGGTGGATCACTTGAGGCCAGGAGCTTGAGACCAGCGTGGCCCACATGGCAAAACCCCATTTCTACTAAAAATGCAAAAACTTAGCCATGTGTGGTGGCGGGCGCCTGTAATCCCAGCTTCTCAGGAGGCTGAGGCAGGAGAATCACTTGAACCTGGGAGGCGGAGGTGGCAGTGAGCCGAGATTGCACCACTGCACTCCAGCCTGAGTGACAGAGCGAGACTCTGTCTCAAAAAAAAAAAAATGCTGGGTGCGGTGGCTCACACCTGTAATCCCAGTGCTTTAGGAGGCTGAGGTGGGCAGATCACCTGAAGTCAGGAGTTCAAGACCAGCCTGGCCAACATGGTGAAACCCCTTCTCTACTAAAAAACAGAAAAACCAGGCGTGGTGGTGCATGCCTATAGTCTCAGCTACCTGGGGGGCTGAGGCAGGAGAATCACTTGAACCTGGGAGGCGGAGGTTGCAGTGAGCTGAGATCACACCACTACACTCCAGCCTGGGCAACAGAGCAAGACTCCATCTCAAAAAAAAAAAAAAAAAAAAAAAGAACTGTAAAACTTGATTTAAAATTGGAGAAGAGTTTGCCTTCCTTCCCCATCTCCATCGCTCCCTGCAGCCTCCACCCAACACCATGGCTCCTAGAAAGGGCAGTAGTTGGGTGGCCAAGACCAACTCCTTAGGGAGGTGGAAGCTCGCCTCCTTTCTTAAAGACTTCGACTGCAAAGTGGAAATACGAATCAAGCCAATTGAGTCTGACAGGCAGAACCTCTTCAAGGAGGTGGATAAACTCTACAACATCCAGATCCTGCGGCTCCCCAAGGCACTGCGCAAAGATGAATGGCATGAATGGCTCAACTACTTCTCCCTTGGAGGAAACAAACAGGGCTTGGAAGAGGCAGCAACAGCTGACCTGGATATCACCGCGGGAGCTATTCAAACACCCCTGACATCTGCTGAAACACGAAAGGTGATACAAGTAGATGAAATGATAGTGGAAGAGGAAGAAGAAGAAAATAAACATAAGAATCTTCAAATTGCAACAGTCAAAAGATGTCCTGCATCCAAGAACAGAACTCAGTCTGTACAAGGAAAAGGCAGAAGGGAAAGGTCAAGCTGTGCTATCACTGTTACCCTAGTTTTGGGCTTATTGGATGTGTCCATAGTGAAGCCAACTCCAGGCCTGACACCCAGGTTTGACTCGAGGGTCTTCATGATCCCTGGTCTGTGCACTCCTGCCACAGGAGAGCGGATTTATAACAAAAGCTGGCAGGGTGCAGTGACTCACACCTGTAATCCCAGCACTTTGGGAGGCTGAGGCGGGTGATCACCTGAGGTCAGGAGTTTCAGACCAGCCTGACCAACATGGTGAAACCCTGTCTCTACTAAAAATACAAAAATTAGCTGGGCATGTTGGTGGGTGCCAGTAATCCCAGCTACTCGGGAGGGAGGCTGAGGCAGGAGAATTGCTTAAACCCGGGAGGCAGAGGTTGCAGTGAGCCAAGATCGTGCCATTGAACTCCAGCCTGGGTGACAGAGCAAGACTCTGCCTCAAAAAAAAAAAAAAAAAGAACTTCAAAAACACCAGCAACAAAACCAAAAGAAACAATTTAATAGCATAAAGATACAACCTAGAGATTGGAAAAAATATTTGCAACTTATACATCTGATAAGGGGCAAATGTCCAAAATATATAATATTTTTGATATTACTCTAACAACTCAATAGCAAGAAAACAAATAACACAAGGAAAAATGGGCAAAGGATCTGAACAGGCATTTCTCAAAAGAAGAAATACAAATGGCAAAAGAAATATGAAAAAAATAGCATCTCTAAAACATCAGGAAAATGCGAATTAAACACATGATGAAGTATCACTTCATGTCTTTTAGAATGACTATTATCAAAAAGACAGGCCGGGCGCAGTGGCTCACACCTGTAATCCCAGCACTTTGGGAGGCTGAGGCAGGTGGATCACGAGGTCAGGAGATGGAGACCATCCTGGCTAACGCGGTGAAACCCTGTCTCTACTAAAAATACACAAAATCAGCCTGGCGTAGTGACGGGCGCCTGTAGTCCCAGCTACTTGGGAGGCTGGGGCAGGAGAATGGCGTGAACCCAGGAGGCAGAGCTTGCAGTGAGCCGAGATTGCGCCACTGCACTCCAGCCTGGGCAACAGAGTGAGACTCTGTCTCAAAAAAAAAAAAAAAAAGACAAGCCATTACAAGTGCTGGCAAGCATATGGAGAAGAGAGAATTCTTTTTTTTTTTTTTTTAATTTTTATTTTAGGTTCAGGGGTACATGTGCAAATTTGTTATATAGATAAATTGCATGTCATGGGGGTTTGGTGTAAAAGATTATTTCATCACAGAGATAATTAGCATAGTACTGGCTGGAGCAGTGGCTTGAGTCTGTAATCCCAGCACTTTGGCAGGCTGAGGCACGTGGATCACCTGAGTTCAGGAGTTCAAGACTAGCCTGACCAACATGGCAAAACCCCGTCTCTACTAAAAAATACAAAAATTAGCCAGGTGTGGTGGCGCGCTCCTGTAATCCCAGCTACTTAAGAGGCTGAAGCAGGAGAATCACTTGAACCCAGGAAGTGCAGGTTGCAGTGAGCCGAGATCGTGCCATTGCACTCCAGCCTCAGCAACAGAGCGAGATTCCATCTCAAAAAAAAAAAATTGCTCACTTTAGCAGCACATATACTAACCAAAAAAAAAAAAAAAAAAAAAAGTAAGCATAGTAGCTTTTCTGTCCTCACTCTCCTCCCACCCTCCACCCTCAAGGAGGCCCCAGTGTCTGTTGTTCTCCCCTTTGTGTCTATGTGTTCTCAATATTTATCTCCTACTTATAAATGAGAGTATGTGGTATTTGGTTTTCTGTTCCTGCATTACATCACTTAGGATAATGGCTTCAGCTCCATTCATGTTGCTGCAAAGGACACGATCTTGTTCTTTTTTTATGGCTGTGTAGTATTCCATAGTGTATATGTTCATTTTCTCTATCCAGTCTACCATTGATGGGCATTTAGATTGATTCTATGTCTTTGTTATTGTGAATAGTGCTGCAATGAACATACACGTGCCTGTGTCTTTATGATAGAACAATATATATTCCTTTGGATATAAACCTGGTAATGGGATTACTGGGTCAAATGGTAGTTCTGTTTTAACTTCTTTAAGAAATTGTCAGGCCGAGCGTGGTGGCTCATGCCTGTAATCCCAGCACTTTGGGAGGCTGAGGAGAGTGGATCACCTGAGGTCAGGAGTTCGAAACCATCTTGGTCAACATGGTGAAACTCCATCTTTACTAAAAATACAAAAATTAGCTGGGCCTGGTGGTGGACTTCTGTAATCCCAGCTACTTGAGAGGCTGAGGTTGGAGAATCACTTGAACCCAGGAGGCGGAGGTTGCAGTGAGCTGAGGTCGCACTGCTGCACTCCAGCCTGGGTGACAAAAGCGAAACTCTGTCTCAAAAAAAGAAAAAAAGAAATTATCAAACTACTTTTCACAATGGCTGAACTAATTTATATTCCCACCAGCAGTGTATATATATTTCTAAGAAAAAAGGGAATTCTTAAACATCATTGGTGGGAATTTAAGTTGGTACAGCCATTTTGGGAAATAATATGAAGGTTCCTCAAAAACTAAAAATAGTATTACTGTATGATCCAGCAGTACCACTACTGGGTATGTACCCTAGTGGAATGAAATTGATCTGTCAAAAGACATGTGCACTCACATTTTTATTTCAGTCTTTTAAAATATGTTAAGACTTATTTTGTGGCCTAACATATGATCTATCCTGAAGAATGTCTTGTGTTTGTTTGAGAAAAATGGGTATTACTTTGCTGTTGGATGAAATATTCCACATATGTCCATTAGGTCTATTTGGTCTAAAGTGTAGTTTAAATCTGATATTTTCTTACTGATATTCTGTCTGGATAATCTATCCATTGCTGAAAGTAGGGTATCTAAGTCCCTTACTATTATTGTAATACAGTCTATCTCCCCCTCAGGTCTGCTAATATTTGCCTTATATATTTAGAAGTTGTGATATTGGGTGCATATATATTTACAATTGTTATTTTTTTAATGAACTGACCTCTTCATCATGATATGATGACCTTCTTTATATCATTTTACAGTTTTTGACTTAAAGTCTATCTTCTGTGATAGGAGTATAGCTTTCCGTGCCTTCTCTTTTAGTTTCTAATTGCATGAAATATCTTTCCGTGTCTTCACTGTCAGTCTGTATGTATCATTAAAACAGCTATGTGAATTTGTTGATTGATTTTGAATATTGACTAACGGTGTCTCCTAAATATGATATATAAATGGAAATATGTAACTAAAGTATTTTCAATTGTAAGGCCTTTTTGCTAGCAGAATTTACTCTGATAAAATTATTTACACTAGTGATGTTATATTACATATTCTGTTAGCACTCCAAAATACCCAGAGGTAGTTTATAACATACTACACAATTGTTAATAAAAACCTATGGCATATATGCACATAAAATATTATTTCACTATTTCCTGCTTATTCTTCAGGTAATAAGTTTAAAGCAAATTTGCTAACCTATAAATAATCTCTGCCTATGGTTGGTATGTATAGTACAACCACACTTACATGCTTAAAAGAATTATAGCTATTAATCAAATTGTTCAGTTGTGTGTTATTTTAAATGTGTTTTTTATTCATGTATTCATTCATGAACACTTACTGATTGTCAGGGATTGATACTGAATGTTGTTGATTCATTATTATTTTTTTACTAGTGGAAAATGAAAATCACTGTGACTTCGTTAAGCTCCGAGATATGCTTCTTTGTACCAATATGGAAAATCTAAAAGAAAAAACCCACACTCAGCACTATGAATGTTATAGGTACCAAAAACTGCAGAAAATGGGCTTTACAGATGTGGGTCCAAACAACCAGCCAGTTAGGTGAGTAAAAATATTGCTAGCACAACCAAATGGATAATTTAGGAGTCCCTACAAACACAAGGTATGATAATTTGGATATGAGAATAATTATACTTCTCCCATCTTGAGCCATCATAAAGAAAACACCTGAATGTTAGGTGTTTTTATGATCTTTTGACGAAGGTAGAGATAGTAGGAACAATATAATGCGAGATCTCATTTTTATGCTGAAATATGTGTATTCAATATGTATATATGCTGAAATGTATATTGATGAAAAAACCCAGTATTTTGTTCCATTTTTTGTATTTATATGAAATGTATCTGTATTATGTGAAAGAAAGGATAGGCCGGGCGCTGTGGCTCATGCCTGTAATCCCAGCACTTTGGGAGGCTGAGGCGGGCGGATCATCTAAGGTCAGGTATTTGAGAGCAGCCTGGCCAACATGGTAAAACCCTGTGTCTACTAAAAATACAAAAAGTAGCCGGGCATGGTGGCACACGCCTGTATCCCAGCCACTTGGGAGGCTGAGGCAGGAGAATCGCTTGAACCCTGGAGGCGGAGGTTGCAGTGAGCTGAGATCACCTCACTGCACTTCCAGCGTGGCGGACTGAGCAAGACTCCATCTTAAAAAAAAAAAGAAAAAAAAAGAAAGGATAAAGAAAAAGATGGAAAAATATTAGCAAAGTTTGACAAAAGACATTAAGAAGAGTTTGATGGAGGAACCAGCTGAAAAGCAGTAGTGCAGCATCCTGGAAGTTAAATGAGAAAAGTTTGAGAGCAGGTGTTTGCTCTAACTTGAAGAATAGAGCCGGGTGCAGTGGCTCCCGCCTGTAATCCCAGCACTTTGGGAAACCGAGACAGGCAGATTACCTGAGGTCAGGAGTTTAAGATCAGCCTGGCCAACATGGTAAAGCTCCGTCCCTACTAAAAATACAAAAAAAATTAGCTGGGCGTGGTGGCGGGTGCCCGTAATCCCAGTTAACTCGGGAGGCTGAGGCAGGAGAATCGCTTGAACCTGGGCAGCAGAGATTGCAGTGAGCTGAGATCGTGCCACTGCACTCCAGTCTGGGCGACAAAGAGAGACTCTGTCTCAAAAAAAAAAGAAGAATAGGACTTGTGTTGCAAAAACATGGCACTGTAGTGTATATAATCTAGTTATATCATTCATTGTTCTTTGTAGACACCCAAAATTTAACTATCTTAAATGAATGATGATATTTTGAAAGACTTTTTGCTTTATTTTAGAGGATTTTTGAAAATCGTCTCATACATTAGAGGTTTCCCTGAATGTTATTGTCAAAAGATATGAAAATGTATGATATCCTGGAAAGTGGTGGGGATAAGAATTCACTCATATAAGTGTTGGAAAATTCTAGTATTCTTTACATATACTGTCTATATACTCTGATCTTAAGTATTGTGCCTTGGTTTTTACATCTTATGATATGGAAATTTCCATTTTGTGCTGCTAAACATGAGAGAATGTTGGTAAATTTCCTTATATAGGATGTAACATACAATATATATTTTTTACATGTTTATACTAGTGTGTTTTTATTTTTCATTTTATTTTATTTTTTTATGATGGAGTCTTACTCTGTCTCCCAGGCTGACGTGCAGTGGCACGATTTTGATTCTCTGCAAACTCCGCCTCCTGGGTTCAAGCGATCCTCCTACCTCATTTTAATATAAGACTAAGAAAACATTTCTCTTTAGTTTTCAAGAAATCTTTGAAGCCAAAAGACAAGAGTTCTATGATCAATGTCAGAGGGAAGAAGAAGAGTTGAAACAGAGATTTATGCAGCGAGTCAAGGAGAAAGAAGCAACATTTAAAGAAGCTGAAAAAGAGGTTAGTACTGACAGTTTGATATAATTTGTATTAATTTTTAGGTGCCCTATTAATTTGGGGGTTTTAATCTCAAGAGTTTACTTGATGTTTTTGGAGGATACTTGCTATTTTTCAAAAAGTAGCTTTTTACCATGTAGACTTGAATATAGCCTTTACAAAATTATAGTCTGTAGTGTTTTTTCTAGAGAACTTAATTTTCCCATTTAAATAACCCTGAAGATAATTTTATAAAAATTATGTTTTATTTATAATTTAAATTTTCATGCATAAAGTTTAATTTGTGACAAACCCAAGCTATTTACTCTGAGAAGAGTCTTGTACTGTCTAATGCTATTAATGCACTAGAAAATTGTCTTCACTTTTATAAAAAGCAAATGTTGACTAATGCTGGCCTTGATTAATGAGAAAATTTTAAGTTGGTAAATTATGTTATTCCATGCCATTTCTAATAAAATGGGGAAAAAAGCTATTAATATCGTTTTAATTATTTGCCACAAATACGTTTTTGGTGAAGACATATTTTTGAAACCATAATTTCTTTCTCTCAAGTGTAGGTGGCTTTAGTTTAAGAACATTTAGTTTAATTAGGTAAATTGGAACATAAACTTCCTTTTTCATAAGAACAGAATAGTAGTAATTAGGTGCTATAGGCCAGATGTCTCATTCAAAGACAGTTGAATTATAAGTAATAAAAATTCCAGCCGGGTGCGGTGGCTCACACCTATAATCCCAGCACTTTGGGAGATGGAGGCGGGCGGATCCCCTAAAGCCAGGAGTTCAAGACCAGCCTGGCCAACGTGGTGAAACCCCGTCTCAACTAAAAATATAAAAATTAGCTGGGCATGGTGCTGCATGCCTATAATTCCAGCTACTCGGGAGGCTGAGGTAGGAGAATCGCTTGAACCCAGTAGGTGGAGGTTGCAGTGAGCCGAGATGGTGCCACTGCCTCCAGCCTGGGCGAGAGTGAGACTCCGTCTCAAAAAAAAAAAACAAAAAAAACCAAACCATTAGCTTAGGTATAAAGGAAAAAGTTTGGATGTATACAAGGGTACGTCATGACATCTAAGGACAAGAGACATAGCTGGATCTCATGAAGACTTTTTTTTTTTTTTTTTTTTTTTTTAGACAGAGTCTTGCTCTGTTACCCAGGTTGGAGTGCAGTGGCGCGATCTGGGCTCACCGCAAGCTCCGCCTCCTGGGTTCACGCCATTCTCCTGCCCCAGCCTCCCGAGTAGCTGGGTCTACAGGCGCTCACCACCGTGCCCAACTAAATTTTTTTTTTTTTTTTTGTATTTTTAGTAGAGATGGGGTTTCACCGTGTTAGCCAGGATGATCTCGATCTCCTGACCTCGTGATCCGCCTGCCTCGGCCTCCCAAAGTGCTGGGATTACAGACATGAGCCATCGCGCCTGGCCTCATGAAGACTTAAACCAAAACTAGGAAGTGACCAGAAACCGAAGCAACCATTTAAATTTTCTCTTTCTCTCCCACCTCACTTCCCTTAGTTATGAACCTTATTCCTGTACGTCTGCTTCTTTTTTCTTTCTCTCTGGAGATTAGTTTCTTTTCCATATCTCAACTATGTGTTCTCTTAGGGTTGATTACATGTCTTGATTATTGTCAATTAATGCTGCAATAAACATGAAAGTGTAGATATCTCTTTGACATACTGATTTTATTTCCTTTGAACACATAACTATTAGTGGGGTTGCTGAACCATATGGTTATTCTATTTTCAGTTGCTTAATGAATACCCATATTTTTCATAATAGCTGTACTGATTTACTTTTTTATCATTGTTTTATAAAATTATTCTTATAAACACTTACCTTTTTTTGTAAATACTTATCTTTCTATAAAATCATTCTTGTAAACACTTATCTTTCTGTTTTTCTAACAGATATGAGGTGCCATCTAATTGTGGTTTAAATTGGCATTTCTCTGATGATTAATGAGGTTGAATATTTTTTTCATATCCCTATTTGCCTTTTATGTCTTCTTTTAAAAAATGTTCAGGTTCAGCCGGGTGCAGTGGCTCTCGCCTATAATCCCAGCACTTTGGGAGGTGGAGGTGGGCGGATCATTTGAGGTGAGGAGTTAAAGACCAGCCTGACCAACATGGTGAAACCTTGTCTCTATTAAAAATACAAAAATTAGCCAGATGTGGTGGCACACGCCTGTAGTCCCAGCTAATCGGGAGGCTGAGGTAGGAGAATCACTTGAACCCGGGAGGTAGAGGTTACAGTGAGCCCAGATTGCACCACTGCACTCTAGCCTGGGCAGCAGAGTGAGACTCCATCTCAAAAAAAAAAAAAAAGTTCAGTTTCATTGCCCATTTTCGGAATGAGGTTTTCATACTATTGAATTATTTGAGTTCTTGTATATTTGGGGCATTAACCCCTTATCAGATGTACAGTTTGCAAATATTTTCTCACATTTCATAGTTTGTTTCTTTAGTCTGTTGATTTTTTTTTTTGGCTGTGCAGGAGCTTTTTAGTTTGATATAATTTTATTTGTCCATTTTTGCCTATGTTGTCTATGCTTTGGAGTTTGTATCCAAAAAAATCATTGTCAGACCCAAGTTAAGGAACTTATCCCTAATTTTTTAAAGTAGTTGTACAGCTTTAGATCTTATAGCGGTTAAGTCTTTCATCCATTTTGAGTTGAGATTTACATATGTTTTGAGATAAAGATCTAATTTTTTTTTCTGCATGTGGTCACATTTATTGATTTGTGTATTTGAATCATCCTTGCATTCCAAGAATAAATTCCACTTGGCCATCTGATATTTAATGTGCGATCTAATTCAGTTTGCTAGTATTTTGTTGAGGATTTCCTAGTTGGCTCATCACAAATGTTGGCCTATAATTTTTTTTTCTCATAGTGTCCTCTTCTGGCTGTAGTATCAGAGTAATAATGTCTTCTTCGAATGCATTTAGAAGTGTATTCTCCTGGCCAGGCGAGGTGGCTCATGCCTGTAATCCCAGCACTCTGGGAGGCCGAGGCAGGCAGATCACGTCAGGTCAGGAGTTCAAGACCAGCCTGGCCAACTTGGCGAAACCCCATCTCTACTAAAAATATAAAAATTAGCCGGGCGTGGTGGTGTGCGGCTGTAATCCTGGCTACTCAGGAGGCTGAGGCAGGAGAATCGCTTGAACCCAGGAGGTGAAGGTTGCAGTGAGCTGAGATCGCACCACTGCACTGCACTCCAGCCTTGGAGACAGAGCAAGACTCCGTCTCATAGAAAAAAAAAAAAAAAGAAACCATACTCTCCTCTTCCATTCTTTGGAAGACTTTGGGAAGTATTTTTGTATTTTTCCATTTTATTTATCTATTTAAGACAAGATCTCGCTGTGTCACCCAGGCTGGAGTGAAGTGGCACGATCTCAGCTCATTGCAACTTCCACCTCCCAGGCTCAAGTGATCCTCCCACCTCAGCTTCTCGAGTAGCTGGGACCGCAGGCATGTACCACCGTGCCTGGCTATTTTTTTGTACTTTTAGTAGAGATGGGGTCTCACTATGCTGCCCAGGCTGGTCTCGAACTCCTGAGTTCAAGTGATCTGCCCACCTCAGCCTCCTAAACTGCTGGGATTGCAGGCATGAGCCACTGCACCTGGCCTATTATTTCCATTTTAAATGTTTTGTAGCCTTCCCCAGTAAAGTCACCTAGTACGGCCTTTTCTTTGGTAGCATTTTTTGTTACTGATTAAATCTCCTTACCTATTAGTAGTCTTTTCAGATTTTCAGTTTCTTCATGATCCAGTCTTCGTAGATCGTGTGGTTATAAGAATTTATTAACCAAGGATATCCAATTTCTTTTTTAGGTTATCAAATTTTGTTGGCTTATAATTTTTCATAGTAGTCTCATGATCATTTGTATTTCTTTGGTGTCAGTGGTTATGTGTCACCTTTCATTTCTGATTTTATTTGTTTGAGTTTTCTCTCTTTTTTTCTTAGTTTTTCTAAGGGTTGTTCATTTATTTATCTTTTTAAAAAACACTTAGTTCATTGATTTTCTTCTATTGTTTCTCTAGTCTATATCTTATTTATTTCTGCTGTGATTTTTACTATTTTCTTGCTTTTACTGACTTTGCGCTTGGTTTGTTTTTCTTTTTCTTTTGAGGTGTGAAATTACATTATTTAATCTATTTTTTCTTAATATAGGCATTTATTGCAATAAACTTCACTCTTAAACTGCTTTTGCTGTATCCCATAACTATTGATATGTTGTTTTTTATCTTCATTTGTGTCAAGAGATGTATATTTTTTAATTTTTAATTTCTATGGGTACCTAGTAGGTATACATATTTATGGGGTACGATAGATATTTTGATATAGGCATACAATGTGTAATAATCACATCAAGTTAAATGGGATATCTATCCCTTCAAGCATTTGTCCTTTGTGTTACAAGAAATCCAATGATACTCAGTTATTTTAAAAGGTACAATTAAATTATTATTGTGTATAGTGACCCTGTTGTGCTATCAAATACTGCGTCTTATTTATTCTTTCTAACTATATTTTTGTACCAAGAAATGTCCTCACTTCCCCCCACCCCTACCACCCTTCCCAGCCTCTGGTAATCATCATTTCATTCTCTATCTCCATGAGTTTAATTTTTTTTTTTTTTGAGACAAAGTCTCGCTCTGTCACCCAGGCTGGTGTGCGGCTGTGGGATCTCAGCTCACTGCAACCTCTGCCTCCTGGGTTCAAGCGATTCTCCTGCCTCAGCCTCCCAAGTGGTTGGGATTACAGGCATGTGCCACCACACCCAGCTAATTTTTGTATTTTTAGTAGAGATGGAGTTTTACCATGTTGGCCAGGCTGGTCTCAAACTCCTGACCTCAGGTGATCCACCTGCCTCAGCCTCCTGAAGTGCTGGGATTACAGGTGTGAGCTACTGCGCCTGACTGAGTTCAATTATTTTAATTTTTAGCTCCCACAAGTAAGTGAGAACGTGTGAAGTTTATCATTCTGTGCCTGGCTTATTTCACTTAACGTGAGGTCCTCCAGTTCCATCCATGTTGTTGCAAGTGACAGGATCTCATTCTTTTTTATGGCTGAATAGTAGTCCACTGTGTATATGTGACATTTTTTTTCATCCACTCATCTGTTGTGGACAGTTAGGTTGCTTCCAAATTTTGGCTATTATGAATAGTGCTTCAATAATAAAATCTTTCTGTTATTGATTTCTAATATTATACTATTATGATAAAAAGATACATAATATGATTTCAAACTTTTAAAATTTGTTAAGAGTCATTTTGTGGCCCAATATATGATCTATGTTGGAGAATGTTCCTGTGCCCTTGAGAAGAATGTATTCTTCTACTGTTCAGTGAAATAATCTATCTATGCCTATTTGGTCTATTGGGTCTATAGTTATTCACATCTACTCTTTCCCTACTTACTTTCTGTTTGGATGGACTATCTGGTGCTGAAAGTGGGATACAGTAGTCCCCTACTGTTCTCATATTGCTGTAAGTTTCTTCCTTCATTTCTGTTAATATTTGCTTTATATATTAGGTGCTCCAATGTTGTCATATATTTGATGATTGTTATAACCTCTTTATAAATTGATTTCTTTATTATTATATAGTGATATTGTCTCTTATGACAACATTTGACCAAAAGTCTAATTGTCTGCAATAAGTATACCTGCCCTGTCCTCTTTTGCCTATAATTTGCATGGAATATCTTTTTCTTTTTCCTTTTTTTTTTTTTTTTTTTTTTTTGAGACAAGAGTCTTGCTCTGTCACCTAGGCTGGAGTACAGTGGCACGATCTCAGCTCACTGCAACCTCTACCTCCTGGACTCAAGAGATTCTCCTGCCTCAGCCTCCTGAGTAGCTGGGACTACAGGTGCCCACTACAAGGCGTGGCTAATTTTTTTTTTTTTTTTTGTATTTTTAGTAGAGATGGCGTTTCACCATGTTGGCCAGACTGGTCTTGAACTCCTGACCTCAAGTGATCCATTTGCCTTGGCCTCCCAAAGTGCTGGGATTACAGGCATGAGCCACTGCGCCCAGCCATGTTTTTCTATTCCTTCACTTTTAGTCTAAGTGTGTCCTTAAGGCAAAAGTGAGTCTCTTGTAAGCCACATATTATTGAGAATTGTTTCTTTATTCATTCTGCTACTTTGTGTCTTGTGATTAGTGGGCTTAATCTATTTACTTTTAAAGTAATTTTTATAGGTAAGGACTTACTATTATCATTTTATTAATTGTTTTCTGACTGTTTTGTAGTTTCTTTGTTCCTCTCTTTCTGTCTTCCTTTGTGATTTGTTGCCCAACACCACTCCCGGCTAATTTTTGTATTTTTAGTAGAGACGGGATTTCACCATGTTGGCCAGGCCAACTTCTGACCTCAGGTGATCCGCCCGCCCCAGCCTCCCAAAGTGCTGGGATTACAGGTGTGAGTCTCCGGGCCTGGACTTCTTTCGGTCCTTGTTGCAAGTGGGCCACCTTCACCTGGGAGGTCAGGTCATGGTACTTCTGCCTCTCATTGGGCCCCAGAGTGTACCACCACTCGCCCAGGATCTGGCTGACGGTCCAGTTGTCCTGGTTGGGGTGACACTGGTGGGCCCTGCCAGAGCCTGGTGCCGCTTGCTGAAGATCATGAGTGCCACTCACGGGCTGCCGGATGTGGTCCTTGTCCCATTTGTTGGGGCTGCGTCCATCCTTCTCAGAAGATGAGTTCTGTTCCTTGGGCAGGGCACTGAGAGACTGGGCCTGACATCATTTGGGTGGTAGAGGCAACTGGGTGTCAGGAGACATGACGGAGAGGAAAGCATCATTGTGGTCATTCTCTGTCTCACTGTCCAGCAGGGGCTCCCCTGAGGGGCCCAGGGCTCCTCCTCCATGGTGGAAGGTGGGCCCTTACCAGGTTCCACCACCCCCAAAGTGTGTGGGGTTCTGGGCCCTGGGCTTTCAGGGCAGGTGGCTTCAGGGGGCCGCCCAGGGTCAGCACTCCCTGTCCCACCTGGTGGACGCTCATGAGCAACAGCTGCCAACTCAGCAGGTTCTTTTGTCTAGTTGGAGGCCACTGAGTGTCTGGCAGGTTGCTGGGCTTTGCGTGGCTGCAGGGAGGGGTCAGGAAGGAGATGGAGTACCAGGGGAACACAGCCAAAGAGCGAGGTTCCACGTTCCTCTACCTGAACATGCCGAGGCCACGGGAGGCCTTGCTGAATGCAAGCATCAGGGGCCTGTGGGCCGAGTACATGGTCTGGGCAGGGGTTCCTGGCAGGGGCTCACACTTCCTCAGCCCCCTCCTCAGCCAAGGTGGCTTGGGCCTGGAGAAGGGGAGTGGGAGGGGAGTAGGAGGCCAGGCCTCAAGTTTTTTGTTGTTGTTGTTGTTTGAGATGCAGTTTGGCTCTTGTCACCCAGGCTGGAGTGCAGTGGTGCAATCTCAGCAGCTGCCACCACACCTGGCTAATTTTTTGTATTTTTAGTAGAGATAGGGTTTCGCCATGTTGGCCAGGCTGGTCTTGACCTCCTGACCTCAGGTGATCCACCCACCTCGGCCTCCCAAAATGCTGGGATTACAGGCATGAGCCACCATGCCCAGCTGCATTCTTTCATTTTTACTTGAAAAACTCCCTTAAGCATTTCTTTTAAGGTACACCTAGTGGTCCTGAATTCCCTCAGCTTTGTTTGTCGAGGAAACATGTTATTTCTTCTTTCTTTCTGAAGGTTAGCTTTGTCAGACATAGTATTAGTTGCTGGCAGTTTTTTCTTTCAGCACTTTGAATGTATTATTTGATTCTCTCCTGACTTGCAAAGTTCCTTCTGAGAAATCTGCTGATAGTCTAATGAAGATTCTCTTGTCTATGTCATGCCACTTTTCTCTTGCCTCTTCAACATTTTAAAAAATCTTTGACTTTTGACTATTTGATTATATTGTGACTTGGTGAGTATCTATTTGGTTTGAACCTCTTTAGGAATCTTTAAGCTTCATGGATTTGGATGTCTAAATCTTTCCCATGATTTAGAGAGTTTTCAGCCATTCTTTCTTTATATAAGCTTTCTTCTCCTTTCTCTACTTTCCTTCTCAGACTCCCATAACCTGACAGTGGTTTGCCTAATGGTGTCTCATTGGCTTTCTTTTCTCTCTCTCTTTTTTTTTCTTTTTTTGAGATGGAGTCTCTCTCTGTTGCCCAGGCTAGAGTGCAATGGCACGGTCTCGGCTTACTGCAACCTCCGCCTCCTGGGTTCAAGTGATTCTCCTGCCTCAGCCTCCCAAATAGCTTGGACTACAGGCATGTACCACCACACCCAGCTACTTTTTGTATTTTTAGTAGAGACGGGGTTTCACTATGTTGGCCAGGCTGGTCTTGAACTCCTGACCTTGTGATCTGCCTGCCTCGGCCTACCAAAGTGCTGGGATTACAGGTGTGAGCCACCACGCCCAGCCTTCTTTTCTCTTTTTTATTCTTTTTTTCTTTGTCCTCTCACTGGATAATTTCAGATGATCTATATTCAATTTTACAGATGCTCTCTCCTGTTGAAGTTTACTATTGTGTTACATTGCCCAGGCTGGTCTTGAACTCCTGGACTCAAGCGATCCTTCTGCCTTGGCCTCCCAGAGTGCTGAGTTTACAAGCATGAGCCACTGCATCCAGTCAGTCCCAGCACTTTGGGAAGCTGAGGTGGGAGGATCACTTGAGCTCAGGAGTTTGAGACCAGCCTGGGCAACATAGTGAGACCTTGCTTCTATATTAAAAAAAAGTCTTTGGGAGGCCAAAGCGGGAGGATCACCTGAGGTTAGGAGTTCAAGACCAGCCTGGCCAACATGGTGAAACCCCGTCTCTACTAAAAATACAAAAATTAGCTGGGCATGGTGGTGCATGCCTGTAGTCCCAGCTTCTCGGGAGGCTAAGGCAGGAGAATCACTCGAACCAGGAGATGGAGGTTGCAGTGAGCTGAGATCGCGCCACTGCACTCCAGCCTGGGCAGCAGAGTGAGACTCCATCTCAAAAAAGGAAAAAAGAAAGAAAAGAAAAATTCCATATCTCAGTGTTTACTCCTGAGTTTTTGAGGTTGTTATTAAGATCATGCTCTACTGTGATGATTTGGGTTTGTTTGATATTTAGAAAAAAGCATATTCTTTTGGGTGTTCAGCCACACTGTGCTTTGGTGTCACAACTGCACATTGGTTTCACAGCTGCAGGACAAGTTCGAGCATCTTAAAATGATTCAACAGGAGGAGATAAGGAAGCTCGAGGAAGAGAAAAAACAACTGGAAGGAGAAATCATAGATTTTTATAAAATGAAAGCTGCCTCCGAAGCACTGCAGACTCAGCTGAGCACCGATACAAAGAAAGACAAACATCGTAAGAAATAATAGTTTCTCTTACTATTCTGAGAGCCCTATCATTCTACATCGCAACTTCCTGTGAGATTGTCTTTGTAGCATTTAACTCTGAAGTTCTCATTTTAAAAATTGGCTTGCTTATTGTATATTTTCCCCAACTAAAGTGTGAACTCCTAGCGGGGTGTGGTGGCTCATGCCTGTAATCCCAGCACTTTGGGAGGCTGAGGCGGGTGGACCACCTGAGGTCAGGAGTTCAAAACCAGCCTGACCAAAATGATGAAACCCTGCCTCTACTAAAAATACAAAAATTAGCTGGGTTTGGTGGCCGGTACCTGTAATCCCAGCCACTTGGGAGGCTGAGGCAGGAGAATCACTTGAACCCCGGAGGTGGAGGTTGCAGTGAGCCAAGATCTCACCATTGTACTCCAGCCTGGGTGACAAGAGCAAAACTCCGCCTCAAAAAAAAAAAAAAAAAAAAAAGTATGAACTCCCAGAAGGCAGATCCTGTGTCCCTCTTTTCAGATTCTGTATCTTGGCACTTAGGACGTACACTAACACAAATATGACTTTCAATCAATATTTGCCAAAATGAAAAAACAAAAGAAACACGTAGCATCATGTAAAAGGAGCTGGTTAGGTGGAGAAATTTATTTACCATAGTCCTGCTTTTGGATCCAGTAGTGACTTTTAACTTTTATATCCAAATAGAAGCTGGAGGCTTTGTTGGGGACTCATAGGCATAAAATGTTAAGTTATACAAATCTAATTAATAGGCCTATTTTCCTTTTTAAGTTCTACTACTGATAATTTCTTGACAGTTTTTATGATAAAAGGTTGGAATTTGATAAGAACTCCCATGCTTTTGTGTCAGACTTAAAACTGATATTAGAATAAAGAATTCAAAAGCTAGAGAAAGAGTTGCATTTGAATGATAATATTATGTGTTACAGATTTGGGGTATATGCCAAAGTTATCAAAGTTGTAGAAAATAAGGCCAGGTGTGGTGGCTCACACCTGTAATCCCAGCACTTTGGGAGGCCGAGGTGGGCGGATCACTTGCGGTCAGGAGCTTGAGAACAGCCCGGCCAACATGACGAAACCCCATCTCTACTAATAATACAAAAGTTAGCCGGGTGTGGTGTTGTGCACCTGTAGTCCCTGCTACTCGGAAAGCTGAGGCAGGAGAATCGCTTGTAGCCAGGAGGCAGAGGTTGTAGTGAGCAGAGATTGCGCCACTGCACTCCAGCCTGGGTGACAGAGCGCTGAGTCACCACACCTGGTATAAGCCACTGTGCCTGACCCACAATGACTTTTATACATATTGTTAAATCATCTTACAGATTTTATAATTTGGGGGAAGAAAAATTTTACTAAATGATCTTTTAATGGAAACTCTACAAGAACCAGAATCTTTGCTTTGTTCACTTATGTATCCATTCCTAGGCCTAGAAAAATGTCTGACGCATAGCAGCAATTATTCATTGAATAAATGGACCCAGCAATAGTACATTAGCTATGCCATATGCATACATTAAAAATGTAGATTATTGACTTTCAAAAGATAATTAATGTAACTTCTTACTGCTTCTGAACATGTTTGTGAGTTATATTGCTGAGGGACCTTTATCTTCTCATTCTTTCATCTTAATCCAATGTTATTAAAACTGAAACTGAAATCACCAATATTATTCCATATTTAAAAATAACATCTACCTTATAAAAATTATCATTGTGCTGCATTTGAGAATAGACTTTTTAGGTAATAATGGTATAATCCATAGGGTTTTTGAGGGCACAGAAGGATTCATGCTAACAGAACATTTTATTTTCTATTTTCCAAGAGCTATAAAACATGATATTATATGATACTATAAGGCATATTTTTATTTTCCATAATTTTTTCTAAAAAAAATTAGTGTTGGTTTTCCATATAACTTTTAACTTTATAAGTAAATATTTGTCTCTTTCAGCTCCAGTTTCATGTGAAATAGAGTTTCCAGATTTATGTAGCATGGAAAGTTTTAATACGTCAGTTACTGATTTTTGCCAGTCATTTTCTCAATTATTTACTTCTTTTATCTTTAGTTGATTTTTTTTGTAGTGACAAGTTTTGTTTCTATTCTCATTTCCTTTTGTGTATATTCTATGTAGATTTCGTTTTTGGTTACTATGAAAATTACATATAACATCCTGGAGTTATAACATTCTGATTTGAATTTATTTCAACTTAACTTCAATCACATACCAAAATTCTACTGCTATATAGGTCTACTCTTTTTAGGTTATTGATGTAACAAATTGTATCTTTATTCATTGTACACCACCTAACAGATTTATAATTACATTTTATGCATTTGTCTTTTAAATCCTGTAGAAAATAAAAAGCGGAGTTACAAACCAAAATTACAATAATACTGTTTTTATGTTTGTTTATGTATTTACCTTTACCAGAGGGCTTTATATATTCATATAACTTGCTTATTTACTTATATAATTACTGCCTAGAGTTCATTTATTTCAACCTGAAGGACTTTAACACTTCTTGTATGGCAAATTTAGAGATAAATGGATTTCTCAGCTTTTAAAAAAAAGCTGGAAATGTCTTAATTTCTCCCTCATTTTTGAAGGACAGGTTTTCCAGCTATAGACTTCTCAATTGACATGTTTCTTCATTATTTTAAATATATAATCCACTATCTACTGGCCTTCCAAGTTTTCTGCTGAGAAATCAGCTGCTAATGTTAACCGGATCCCTTGTCTGTGAGAGTTACTCTTCTCTCTGAGCTTTTAAGATTCTCACATTGTCTTTTTTTTGTTTTTTGAGACAGAGTCCTGCTCTGTCACCCAGGCTGGAGTGCAGTGGTGTGATCTCAGCTCACTGAAACCTCCGTCTCTTGGGTTCAAGTGATTCTCCCATCTCAGCCTCCCAAGTAGCTGGGGCTACAGGCATGTGCCACTATGCCCAGCTAATTTCTTTGTATTTTTAGTAGAGATGGGGTTTTGCCATGTTGCCCAGGCTGGTCACAAACTCCTGGCCTCAAACAGTCTGCTCAGGACTACCATTTACCCAGCAATCTCATTACTTGGTATAGACCCAAAAGAAAATAAATCATTCTACCAAAAAGGCACATGCACTTGTATGTTTATCGCAGCACTATTCACAATGGTAAAGACATGAAGTCAACTTATATGCCCATCAGTGGTGGACTGGATAAAGAAAATGTGGTACATATACACTGTAAAATACTACACAGCCATAAAAAAGAATGAGATCATGTCTTTTGCAGCAACATGGATGCAACCAGAGGCCCTGATCCTAAGAGAATTAACATAGAAACAGAAAACCAAATGCTGCATGTTCTTACTTACAAGTGGGACATATGGACATACTTTGGGTACATATGGACATAAAGATGGGGCAGCAGACACAGGGTGCTACTAGAGGGGGTAGAGGGAAGAGAGGGGGAAGGCAAGGGCAGAAAAGCCACCTATTGGGTACCATGCTCACTATCTGGGGATGGGATCGTTCATACCCCCAACCTCAGCATCATGCGAAATACTCACGTAACAAACCTGCACATGTACTCTCTGAATCTAAAATAAAAGTTGAAATTATAAAATTGTTTTTAAAAATTACACATATATATACTTATTGGCACTCTTAAAGACTGTCGGGGCACACAATGACGCAATCACAGAACCAACCCAACTACAAAAATGGATTGATTTAATCACATTAATTGATTTAATTGCAAAGATGTTATGATGCAAAAGTGAAGCCATCATCAGAAATTTTGAATATCTAAAATAGTATATTTAGATATTAAATTTTAAAAATATTTTGAAATAATACAAAATAAAAACAAAACCTTTTTATTGTGCATCACAGGAAGGCGCTTTCCTCAAAAATATATAGATCATACAAATTCATCACAAAATACACTTTTTTTGAGACAGAGTTTTGCTCTTGTTGCCCAGGTTAGAGTGCAGTGGTGTGATCTCGGCTCACTGCAACCTCCCACCCTTGGGTTCAAGTGATTTTCCTGCCTCAGCCTCCCGAGTAGCTGGGATTACAGGCACTGCCACCATGCCCAGCTAATTTTTTGTATTTTTAGTAGAGACAGGGTTTCACCATGTTGGCCAGGCTGGTTTTGAACTCCTAACCTCAGGTGATCTACCTGCCTTGGCCTCCCAAAGTGCTGGGGTTACAGGTGTGAGCCACTGCGCCCAGCCCAAAATACACATTTTTAACACACAAGTCATGAAATAGAACATTAACAGCACCCCAGAATCCCCCCATACCCCTTCCCAAACATTGTCTTCTCTTTTTTTTTGAGATGGATTATTGCTCTGTCACCCAGGCTGGAGAGCAGTGGCGATCTCGGCTCACTGCAAGCTGCGCCTCCTGGGTTCATGCCATTCTCCTGCCTCAGCCTCCTGAGTAGCTGGGACTACAGGTGCCCGCCACCACTTCCAGCTAATTTTTTGCATTTTTAGTAGAGACAGGGTTTCACTGTGTTAGCCAGGCTGGTCTCGATCTCCTGACCTCGTAATCCATCCGCCTCGGCCTCCCAAAGTGCTGGGATTACAGGTGTGAGCCACTGTGCCCGGCCAACATTGTCTTCTCTTTCCTCCTCAAGGGAACCCCCATCCTGACTTCTAAAACTGTAGATCACCTTAGCTGGGTTTGTTTTTGTTTTTACCTTATATAAATGGAATTATGCAGTTTGCATGCTTTTGTGTTTGGCTTCTTTTGCTCAACATTATGCTTGTGAAATTCATTTATGCTATTATATATAGCTGTGGTTTCTTTTTTTTCATTACTATGTACTGTGCCCTTCTGTGATATACCACCATTTATTTAGTCCTTCAACTGCTAATGGACACTGGGTTGTTTCAACCTGGGCTATTACAAATAATACTGTCATGACCATTGTTTTTAGATGTCTCTGGGTGCACATTTATATAGAGAGAGAGACATCTAAAAACAAGAATAAATATATATCTTTGTTGCTCCACAGTCTTGTCGACTCTTTTAATTATAGTAATTCTGGTGGGTTTGTAGTGGTATCTCATTATGGTTTTAATGTGCATTTTCTGATTTATTAATGAGGCTGAACACTTTTTTATGTTTACTGGTCATTTAACGATTCTCTTTTGTGAAGCATCTTTTCCGGATGTTTTCCTATGTTTCTATTGGGTTGTCTTTTCTTTATCAGTTGGCTGGAGTTTATATATTATTGGCATAAGTGCTTTGAGACTTGTAGGCGCTACAAATGTATTTTCCTGTCTGTGGCTTTTTAGTCTTTCAATTACGTCTTTTTGACAGCAAAATTTCAGTGTGGTCAAATATTAATCTATTAGTCTTTTCCTTTATGATTCATGGATTTTTTTTTTTTTGAGATGGAGTTTCACTCTTGTTGCCCAGGCTGGGATCTCGGCTCACGGCAACCTCTGTCTCCTGGGTTCAAGCGATTCTCCTGCCTCAGCCTTCTGAATAGCTGGGATTACAGGCATGCGCCACCATGCCCAAATAATTTTGTATTTTTAGTAGAGACAGGGTTTCACTATGTTGGTCAGGGTGATCTCGAACTCCCAACCTCAAGTGATCTGCCTGCCTCAGCCTCTCAAAGTGCTGGGATTATAGGTGTGAGCCACCACGCCTGGCCTGATTCATGCTTTTGAAATACAATTTAACACACCTTTTCCTAATTTGACGTCCTGAAAGTATATATCTTTTATTACCTTCTACATTAGTGCTGTCCAATAGAAATAGGAAGTAAGCCACATATGCAATTTAAAATGATCTAGTATCCACATTAAAAGAACAAAAATAATCAGATAAAACTAATTTTAGTAGTGTTTAACTCAGTATATCCAAATTATTATTTCAAAATTGTAATGTTAAAATTGAGATATTTTTAGTTTTTTTTCCTACTAAGTGCTTAAAATCCAGTGCAAATTTTACACTTAATAGCACATCTCAAGTGCTCAATAGCCATACATGAACAGAGCAATTCTAAAAGATTTATTGTTTTTACCTCTTCACATTTAGGTCTATGGTCTATCTGCAATTGATTATTTTTATTATTATTATTATTTTCAAGGCAGAGTCTCACTCTGTTGCCCAGGCTGGAGTGCAGTGGTGCCATGTTGGCCAGGCTGGTCTTGGACTCCTCACCTCAGGTGATCCACCCCCCTCGGCCTCCCAAAGTGCTGGGATTACAGGTGTGAGCCACCACACCCAGCCTAATTTTTGTACTTTTAGTAGATACGGAGTTTCACCATGTTGGCCAGGCTGGTCTTGAACTCCTGACCTAAAGTGATCCGCCCGCTTCGGCCTCCCAAATTGCTGGGATTACAGGCATGAGCCACCACGCCTGGCTGATTTTTTCTAATATCAAAGGAATCACCAGGGTCTTCCCTTTCTTTTGATTCATTTATTTTCTTGGTTCCGAAATGTTTTTTAAAAATATGAAATGCTTAATGAATTTGTGTGTCATACTTTCCCAGGTACCATGCTCATCTTCTCCATGTCATGCCAATTTTAGTATATGTGCTGCCGAAGTGAGCACTGGTTCTGGATTTATTTATTGGTTCTTTTATTTTTGAGACAGGGCTTCACTGTGTCTTCCAGGCTGGAATACAGTGGCATGATCATGGCTTACTGCAACCTCCGCTTTCCAGGGCTCAAGCAATCCTCCCACCTGGGCCTCCCAAAGTGTTGAGATTACAGGCATGAGCCACTGTGCCCAGCCTGGAATGTTTAACTGCTGACTTTGATGCCTGGTTTTGGTTGTACTAGATGCTCCCACTACTTTTTTCTTTAAAAATTACTGGTTTGTTCAGCTCCTTAAAAATATCTTTGGTGTTTTAGACGTCAAAATATGTGAGGCCAGGTGTGGTGGCTCATGCCTGTAATCCCAGCATTTGGGGAAGCCAAGGTGGGAGGATCTCTCAAGCCCAAGAGTTCAGAACCAGTCTGGGCAACATAGTGAGACCTCTGTCTCTACAAGAACTAAAAATTAGCTGGGCGTGGTGGTGCATACATGTAATCCCAGCTCTTGGAAGGCTGAGGCAGGAAGATCTTGCTTGAGCCCAAGAGGGTGAGGCTTTAGTGACCCATGATCATACCACTGCACTCCAGCTTGGGTGACAGAGTGAGACCCTGTCTCAAAAAAAAAAAAAAAAGTAGATTAATAATTGCAGAAACATTTTCTATGCTCCAGGTGACTTTAAAAATTAGACCTAATCTTGGCTGGGCATGGTGGCTCACACCTATAATCCCAGCACTTTAGGAGGCCGAGGTGGGTGGATTGTTTGAGGTCGGGAGCTCGAGACCAGCCTGGCCAACATGGTGAAAGCCTGTCTCTACTAAAAATACAAAAATTAGCCGGGCATGGTGGCAGGCATCTGTAATCCCAGCTACTTGGGAGGCTGAGGCATGAGAATCACTTAAACCTGAAAGGTAGAGGCTGCAATGAGCCGAGATCATGCCACTGCACTCCAGCCTGGGCGACAGAGTGAGACTTGGTCTCAAAAACAAAAACAAAAAACAAACAAAAAATTAGGCCTAATTTTTATTTACAGTTTACTCTTTAGCTTTCATCAAAGCAGTTTTTGGGGTGTTTTTTTTTTTTTGAGACGGAGTCTCTCACTGTTGCCCGAGTTGGAGTGCAGTGGTGCGATCCCGGCTTACTGCAACCTCCGGGTTCGAGCAATTCTCCTGCCTCAGCCTCCCAAGTAGCTGGAATTACAGGCACCCACCACCATACCCAGCTAGTTTTTTGTATTTTTAGTGGAGATGGGGTGTCACTATGTTAACCAGGCTGGTCTCAAACTCCTGACCTCGTGATCCGCTCGACTCAAGCCTCCCAAAGTGCTGGGATTACAGGCATGAACCACCGCGCCCAGCCCATCAAAGCAGTTAACTAACATTTAGAGTAGATGGCCAGGCATGGTGGCTCAGGCCTGTAATCCCATCATCTGTTTGGGAGGCCAGGGTGGGAGGATCACTCTAGTCCAAGAGTTTGAGACCAGACTGGCTAACATAGTGAGACCCCCATATCTACCAAACAAACAAACAAATAGCCGGGTGTGGTGGTGCAAATCTGTAGTCCTAGCTACTTGGGAGGCTAAGGCAGAACTGTTTGAGCCCAAGAGTTTGAGGCTGCAGTGAGCTATGATCATGCCACTGCACTCCAACTGGGATGACAGAGCAAGACCCTGCCTCAAAAATAAATAAAATAAAATAGACAATAGAATTCTCTGAGCTTTTCACCCTTTCCACAGGTTATAGGTACCTGCAAGAAATAGTGAGTGTTACAGGTAGACATTTTTCATTGCAACATAACTAGGATATCTTTTCTAACCATGTTACTATGCAGACGTAGAACGAAAAGCCAATCAGCCGGGGCTATAGCAGGAATTCAGGCATTGTGCAGATGACTCAGTCCGAAGGGGCTTTTCTTTTCTTTCTTTCTTTTTTTTTTTTTTTGAGGTGGAGTCTTGCTCTGTCGCCCAGGCTGGAGTGCAGTGACGTGATCTCAGCTCACTGCCACCTCCACCTCCCAGGTTCAAGTGATTCTCATGTGTCAGTCTCCCAGGTAGCTTGGGAGGATATCAGCCTGGCTGATACCCTCCTCTTAAGTATGGATTAGACCTGCTGGCTTGCTTCTTTTTTATTTTGTTATAAGACAAGGTCTTGCTTTGTTCTCCAGGCTGGAGTGCCGCTGTGCGGTAGTTCACTGCAGCCTCAACCGCCTGAGCTCAAGAGATCCTCCTGCCTCAGCCTCCCGAGTAACTGGGATCACAGGCACATGCCACAGCTCCCACGTAATTTTCTTTAGAGGCAGGGTCTCACTATGTTGCCTAGGCTGGTCTTGAACTTCTGGACTCAAGTGATCTTCTCACTTGGTCCTCCCAAAGTGCTGGGATTGCAGGCATGAGCCACTGTGCCGGCAAGAAATAAGGTTTAATTTATTGGTGCGAGCTGTCCAGTTGGCTATGCTGAGAGCTGCTGATGTGAGTGGGTTCAGGGCCAGGGTGAGAAGTCGTGATCCTTTCGAGCTTCTCTGCACCTTCACCTTCTGGAAAAGGGCAGGGTCCCCGCAGTCAGACTCCCCGCCAGCTCTTGGTGGTCCCTGACTTAACACCCTTCTGACTTGTTGTCATCGTGGTTCCTGGCATGTGGCACTAAGCACTATTTTTTTTTTTTTTTGAGTCAGGGTCTCACTCTGTTGCCCAGGCTGGAGTGCAGTTGTGCAGTCTCAGCTCACTGCAACCCTGACCTCCCAGGCTCAAGCGATCCTTCTGCCTCAGCCTCCCAAGTAGCTGGGATCACAGGTGCCCACCACCAGACCTGGTTAATTTTTGTATTATTATTATTATTATTATTATTATTATAGAGATACTGGGTATCCCTATGTTGCCCAGGCTGGTCTTGAACTCCTGGGGGTTCCTCCCACATCAGCCTCCCAAAGTACTGAAATTACAGATGTGAGTCATCACAACTCAGACAGAGCTTTTTAAAAACCAACTTGAGATTTTATTTCAACATTAAAACAAGATTTTAAAATGTTCAAATTAGGCTGGGCGCAGTGGCTCACGCCTGTAATCTTAGCACTTTGGGAGGCCGAGGCGGGAGGATTACCTGAGACCAGGAGTTCGAGATCAGCCTAGCCAACATGGTGAAATCCTGTCTCTACTAAAAATACAAAAATTAGCCAGGCCTGGTGGCGCATACCTGTAATCCCAGCACTTTGGGAGGCCGAGACGGGCAGATCACGAGGTCAGGAGAGCAAGACCATCCTGGCTAACACGGTGAAACCCCGTCTCTACTAAAAATATAAAAAAATTAGCCGAGCATAGTGGCGGGCACCTGTAGCTACTCGGGAGGCTGAGACAGGAGAATGAATGGCGTGAACCCGGGAGGCAGAGCTTGCAGTGAGCCGAGATCACACCACTGCACTCCAGCCTGGGCTACAGAGCAAGACTCCATCTCAAAAAAAAAAAAAAAAAAAAAAAAAAAATATATATATATATATATATATATATATATATATATATATATATATATATATATATATATATAATTTTCCTCTCAGTACCAGGTATTCTAACAAGCCTTGACGGCCCCCATTTTGAGATGACAGCCTGTGGCAAGGGCCTGGCGAACAGGTTCTGTGTGTAGAATTGAGGTCGTTGTGGAGTAACATTTCCTCAGGCTGCATCAGCCTGCGGGTGAAAGTAAAGTTGGGTGCGGTGGCTCTCCCCTGGATTCCTTGATGCTTTTAATACCCTGAGTCCTCCACCCCACTCTGAGCCACATTGACACTTGTGCACAAAGGTGCGTGGTGTGGCCCCAGTGCCCACAGGATTGCTTGTGAGAACTGCTCCTTCAGCCCCACCTGTGGCCTCTCCTTCTCCAGGGTGAAGTCTGGTTCCTGATGTTCATGCCACGCTCCTTCTCACCAGGGTTCACAGGCATCACTGCCTCCAAAACACCTGATTGAAACCTGTTCCTGGTGGGGCCACCTCATCTGTAAAGGATGGCTTTCTCTGAAGCCAGTTCTCCCACCACAGTGGAAGTAAAGAAAATTATGAAAACTGGCTGGGCTGCTCACGCCTGTAATCCCAGCACTTTGGGAGGCCAAGGGGGGCAGATCACTCGAGGTCAGGAGTTCGAGACCAGCCTGGAGAACATGGCAAAACCCTGCCTTTACTAAAAATACAAAAAATGAACTGGGCATGGTGGTGTGTGCCTGTAATCCCAGCTACTGAGGAGGCTCAGGCATGAGAATCGCTTGAACCCGTGAGATGGAGGTTGCAGTGAGCTGAGATCATGCAACTACACTCCAGGCTGGGCAACAGAGCAAGACTCTGTCTAAAAAAAGAAAAGAAAAGAAAAGAAAATTATGAAAACTCTCTCTTGAATATATGGGCATCTCCTGACCTGAACAGGGAGGTGGTTGAGGGGAGGTCCTGGCAGGTGGGACAGGGTATCCTGGCAGGGCAGGAGCTGGGACTTCAGCATATTTAGTGTCTGGACTTCAATGGTGCCCTTTGTCACAAGTATCCATCTGCATCCACTGACTTATATGGGGGAACCTGGGGAAAAATCAGTGATATGGTTTGGCTGTGTCCCCACCCAAATCTCATTTTGAATTTTAGCTCCCATAATCCCCAGGTGTTGTGGCAGGGACCCAGTAGGAGGTAATTGAATCATGGGAGCAGGTGTTTCCCATGCTGTAGTGAATAAGTCTCATGACATCTGATGGTTTTATAAAAGGTCAGTTCCTCTGTACACGCTTTCTTGCCTGCTGCCATGTAAGATGTGCCTTCAGCCTTCCTTTGCCTTCCGTCACGACTGTGAGGCCTCCCCAGCCATGCTGAACAGTGTCCATTAAACCTCTTTCCTTTATAGATTACGTAGTCTCAGGTATGTCTTTATTAGCAGTGTGAGAATGGACGAATACAACGAACTTCAATGGCCTAAGTGGGTCCAGCCACCACTCCAGAAGATGAAGGATTATAAACCATGGTGGCATCCACATGGTGCTAACTCAGCATATGTGCAGAGTATAAGCTGTGGGGCTATGGTGGCCTCCACCTAGATTTCAAAACATGTATTGAGCAGTCGGGAGCCCCAGGCAGAAGTTTGACACAGAGGTGGAGCTACTGCAGAGAGCCCCCACCAGGGCAATGCCTAATGGAGCTGTGAGAGTGGGGCCACCTCTGAGATCCAAGAACTGTAGAGTTTTTTGTTTGTTTGCTTGTTTTTTGAGACAGAGTCTTGCTCTGTCACCCAGGCTGGAATGAAGTGGCACAATCTTGGCTCACTGCAACCCCCACCTCCTGGGTTCAAGCGATTCTCCTGCCTCAGCCTCCCGAGTAGCTGGGATTACAGGTGTGCGCCACCATGCCCAGCTAATTTTTGTATTTTTAGTAGAGATGGGGTTTCACCATGTTGGCCAGGCTGGTCTCAAACTCCTGACCTCAGGTGATCCGTCTGCCTCGGCCTCCCAAAGTGCTGGGATTACAGGTGTGAGCCACTGCACCTGGCTGACCTACAGAGTGAATAATGTGCAACTCCAGCCTGGGAGAGCTGAAGGCATGATACTTCAACCCATGAGAGCTGCTGTGTGAACTGAGCCCAGTGGCCACAGCAGTATAGTAGCCCTATAGTGCTAGCTCTGGAGGGGCAGGGCTGCTCTAGGCTTTGGGGACTCAACCCTCCTGATGTATCCAGGTAGCAGTGCAGGAAATAAAAGATTATTCTGGAGTCTTAAGATTTAATTTGTCTGCCGTGTTGGGTTTGGACTTACTTTGGGCCTGTTACTTCTTTGGGCCTATTTCTCCTTTTTGAAATGAAAACGTCTGCTGGGCACGGTGGCTCATGCCTGTAATCCCAGCTACTCAGGAGGGTGAGGCAGGAGAATCACTTGAACCTGGGAGGTGGAGGTTGCAGTGAGCCAAGATCGCGCCATTGCACTCCAGCCTGGGCAACAAGAGCAAACTCCATCTCAAAAAGAAAAGAAAAGAAAAGAAAAGAAAAGAGAAGAGAAGAGAAAAGAAAAAACGTCTACCCTATATCTGTCCTACCATTGTATTTTGGAAGCACATCACTTTTTTTTTTTTTTTTAATTTCACATGCTCACAGCTGGAGGAAAATTTGCCTCAGGATGAATTGTGCCCTGGTTCTCACCCATATCTGATTTAGATGAGACTCTGAACTTTAAACTTTTGAGGTGGTCCTCCTGAAACAAGTTAAGACTTTTGGAGCTATTGGGATAGAATGAATGTATTTTGCATGTGAGCAGTACATGAATTTGGGTGGTCAGGGGCAGAATGCTATTGCTTGAATGTATCCCCCAAAGTTCACGTGTTGGAAACCTAATCCCCAATGCAATAATGTTGACAGGTAGGACCTTTAAGAGGTGATTGGGTCATGAAGACTCTGCCTTCAGGAATGGATGAATGCCGTTATTGTGGGAGTGGGGTTCATTATGATGTGAGTGGGTTCCTTATGAAGGATGAGCTCGGTCCCCTTTCTGCTCTCTCTCATGATATGATACTTTCTGCCATTGTCTGCCACAGCAAGAAGGCCCTCAGCAGATGTAGCCCCTCTACTTGGACTTCATCAACCTCCAGAACCCTGAACCAAATAAATTTCTGTTCATTATAAATTACCTGTTATAGCAGCACAGAATGGATGAAGACAAGTGCCTCTGAATGACTTACCCTAGAGAGAAGAAACTGGTTAAAAATGCAAATTTTTGAGTGTCTCCCAGAGCTCTGAATCTAAATCTCTGGATGTCTAAATCTCTGGATATCTAATTTTTAACAACTTTCCTGGTGATTCTTAAGCACATTAAAATTTGAGAACTGCTGCTCTATGTCCAGTATCATTTTAACCTGGAAAATAAGCACTCACCAACCCTACAATCAATGTTATTACCTGAGTTTGCCTGATCATAAAGGTCACTAGAGGGCTTGATAAAAATACACATTCTTAGGTCTCTCTGCTGGTGGGAATCACCTATGAAACAAAGCCCAAAAATCTGTATTTAAAAAATTTTTTATATGTTTTGCTTTTCTTGAGATAGGGTCTCTCTCTGTCGCCCAGGCTGGAATGCAGTGGCGTGATCTCAGCTTACTGCAACATGCGCCTCCCTGGTTCAAGCAATTCACTGGCCTCAGCCTCCTGAGTAGCTGAGATTACAGGTACCCGCCAACATGCCCAGTTAATTTTTGTATTTATAGTAGAGACAGGGTTTCACCACGCTGGCCAGGCTGGTATTGAACTCCTGAACTCAGGTGATCCGCCCCCCTTGGCCTCCCAAAGTTCTGGGATTAGAAGTGTGAGCCACCACACCCGGCCAGCTTCTGGAAGAATTTAATCTGATCCAGTATTGCATTTTTCTTTTTTTCTTTTTTCTTTTCTTTTTTTTTTTTTTTTGAGACGGAGTCTTGCTCTGTCGCCCAGGCTGTAGTGCAGTGGCGCGATCTCAGCTCAGTGCAAGCTCCACCTCCCGGGTTCACGCCATTCTCCTGCCTCCTGCCTCAGCCTCCCAAGTAGCTGGGACTGCAGGCGTCCGCCACCACGCCCAACTAATTTTTTTTGTATTTTTAGTAGAGACAGGGTTTCACCATGTTAGCCAGGATGGTCTTGATCTCCTGACCTCATGATCCACCCACCTCAGCCTCCCAAAGTGCTGGGATTACAGGCATGAGCCACTGCGCCCGGCCATTTTTCTTTCACCCATAGAGACAAGAATGAAGATAATAGCTACAGCATTTATTGAGCACTAATTATGTGCCCGCCACCATGTAATTGATTCTCGTCAAACACTCTGAGGCATGGACCACTGTACTACTGCCATCCCCATTTTTTGGAGAAGATACTGAGGGGTTAAGTACCTTGCTAGGCACAGGCAGTTATTAAAGCAGTAGAGCTGGGATTCCAAACCATTCTTGTAACCAAAGCAATGCTGTATCTCTGGACTTAATCCAGACCAATTTCTCTGATGCTCAAAATTTGCCTGCATTAAATGTGCTTTCGTGAAATCTGTTTCTTTTTTCTTTTTTGAGATGGAGTCTCGCTCTGTCACCCAGGCTGGAGTGCAGTGGCACAACCTCCACCTCCCGGGTTCAAGCAATTCTCCTGCCTCAGCCTCCCAAGTAGCTGCGATTACAGGCACCCACCACCACGCCCGCTAATTTTTGTATTTTTAGTAGAGACAGGGTTTCACCATGTTGGCCAGGCTGATCTCAAACTCCTGACCTCAGGTGATCTGCCTGCCTTGTCCTCCCAAAGTGCTAGGATTACAGGCAGGAGCCACCGTGCCTAGCCAAAATATATTTCTTATGTAAAACAGAGTTTTCCTCGGCTGTGTTCTACTCATGGCTAAAAGTTTCCTAAAATGGGCCTTGTTTCTTTTTCTTTTTCTTTCTTCTCCTTCTCCTTCCTCCTCCTCCTCCTCCTTCTTCTGTAGAACAGCTAGAAAGAGCCTTGTTCTTAACCCAACAGGCCTCTTCTAAAAATGTTTTCTATATCAGCAAGACTAATTAAATTGGAAAAGATCACCAACTAAATGATAAAACAAGGTAAAGCCTATTGCTAATTATTTTTTAATAATTTATTCCTGGGCTCCCTATGACTTGTTGAGGAATTGCAAGATACTGGGAAGTCTCTAATTAGGGAGTTTTAGAATAAACAGAAGTATAAACATTCACAGGAGTTAGATTTGAAGACAATTGCTTTTAACACAGAGACTCACCAGGAGGTGAGCATCATGGAGGGGGTTATTTATTATGTGTTTTACTTTGAACTGAGAACATGTGCATTGATTAGGTCAAAAGTGTTCTTGTCCTAGCATAGTGAAGGAAATGTATGCGAGATAAGGGTGAATGTGGTATGTAGGGAGATCCAGGCACAGCTGGCGTTTGGCTTTGCTGTTGGCTGCAATGTGGACTGCGGACTGTGGGCAAATTAACGCACCACTTTATGAATGGCCCGGCCGGGCGCGGTGGCTTCTGCTTGTAATCCCAGCACTTTGGGGGGCCGAGGCAGGTGGGAGAGGTCAGGAGATTGAGACCATCCTGGCTAACACAGTGAAACCCTGTCTCTACTAAAAATACAAAAAATTAGCCGGGCGTGGTGGTGGGCGCCTGTATTCCCAGCTACTCGGGAGGCTGAGGCAGAATGGCATGAACCCGGGAGGCAGAGCTTGCAGTGAGCCGAGATCACGCCACTGCACTCTAGCCTGGGCGACAGAGCGAGACTCCGTCTCAAATAAATAAATAAATAAATAGATAGATAAATAGATAAATAAATAAATAAATGGCCCTTAGAGAGGGAATCCTAAAAAGATCCCAGGACTTGCAGCAGCCACACAGGAGATTGAGTATTCAAGGGAATAGAATGCTGGAGAACACAGAGACAGTTAGGTTAGCTAAAGAAGATGAAAAATGAGGCTGGGCACAGTTCTTCATACCTGTAATCCCAACACTCTGGGAGGCCAAGGCAGGAGGATCACTTGAGCCCAGGAGGTTGAGGCTGGCCTGAGTGACATAGTGAGACCCCATCTCTACAAAAAATAAAAAGAAACCAATCGGGTACAGTGACATGTGCCTGTGGTCTCAGCTACTCAGGAGGTTGAGGTGGGAGAATCACTTGAGCCTGAGGAGGTGAGACCCTGTTGAGGAGGAAGAGGAGGAGGAGGAGGAAGAGGAAGAAGAAGAAGGAGGAGGAAGAAGAAGGAGGAGGAGGAAGAGGAAGAGGTAGAAAAAGAAGGAGAAGAAGGAGGAGGAGGCAGAAAGAAGGAAAGAAGAAGAAGAAGAAAGAAGAAAAGAAGAAGAAGAAGAAATGGTCTCTCAGCAGCCATGAAGAGTAGGAAGATAACCCAACCTACCTCTCGCTGGGTCTATGGGGAAAACATTGATTAAAGCAGAGCAGGTGTTCAGAGAGAGACTAGGTTTGGGTGAGTAAGAGATTTGAAAAGCTAGAAGGACAGGAGGATATTTAACTTACTCTTACTGTGTAATATATAACCCCAAAACTTTAGGTGCTTAAAATAACAATCTTGTGGGGCATGTTGGCTCACACCTGTAATCCCAGCAATTTGGGAGGCCACGGCGGGCAGATCACCTGAGGTTAGGAGTTCGAGACAAGCCTGACCAACATGGAGAAACCCCGTCTCTATTAAAAATACAAAATTAGCCGGGTGTGGTGGCGCACACCTGTAATCGCAGCTATTCGGGGGGCTGAGGCGGGAGAATTGCTTGAACCTGGGAGGTGGAGGTTGCAGTGAGCTGAGATTATGCCATTGCACTCCAGCCTGGGCAACAAGAGTGAAACTCCATCTGGAAAAAAAAAAGTTTTTTATTTTCATGGTTCTGGGAGTTGATGGGTTCAGGCAGGTGATTTTCACTTGGGGTCTCTCATGCTGTTGTAGTGGCTGGGGCTGGAGTCTTCACAAAGCCTTCTTCAGTCTCATGTCTGGCAACTGATGTTGGCTGTCATCTGAAACCTGTGCTGGGACTGTTGACTGGAACATCAAAATGTGGCCTCTCCTTGTGATCTGGGCTTCCTCACAGCATGATGGCTGAGTTCAAAGAGCAAGCATCCTGGGAAGACCACGGAGAAATGGTGTCACCTTTTATGACCTAGCTTGAATCACTTCTGCCAGTCACAGACCTTCTTGAATTCAAGGGGGAGGAGCACAGACCCGACCTCACCATGGGAGCAATGTTAAGGTCATGCTGAAGAAGGACACATGCCATTATTATTATTATTACTACTACTATTGTTATTATGAGGGAGCCTTGCTCTGTCACCCAGGCTGGAGAGCAGTAATTCAATCTCGACTCACTGCAACTTCCACCTCCCAGATTCAAGAGATTCTCCTGCCTCAGCCTCCCGAGTAGCTGGGATTACAGGCACCTGCCACCACGCCCAGCTAATTTTTGTACTTTTAGTGGAGGTGGGGTTTCACCATGTTGGCCAGGCTGGTCTCAAACTCCTGATCTCAAGTTATCCTCCCGCCTTGGCCTCCCAAAGTGCTGGGATTACAGGCATGAGCCACCGCACCCAAGCACATGCTATTTAGTAAAAAGTCAGAAAACAGTCAGGTGTGGTGGTTTATGCCTGTAATCCCACACTTTGGGAGACCGAGGTGGGCAGATCACTTGAGGTCAGGAGTTTGAGACCAGCCTGGACAACATGAGACCCCATCTCTATAAAAATAAGTATAAAATTAAAAGTCAGAAAACAACAGATATTGGTGATGATGCAGAGAAAAGGGAACACTTATACACTGTTGGTGGGAATGTAAATTATTACAACCCTTACAGAAAACAGTATGGAGATTTATCAAAGAACTAAAAATAGAACTGCCGTTCAACCAGCAATCTCACTACTAGGTACCTACCCAAAGGGAAAGAAATCTATATATCAAAAAGTACCTGTACTTACCTGTAATCCCAGCACTTTGTGGGGCTGAGGCAGGCAGATCACCTGAGGTCAGGAGTTCAAGACCAGCCTGACCAATATGATGAAACTCGCCTGACCAATATGATGAAACCCCATCTCTACAGAAATTACAAAAATTAGCCGGGTGTGGAGGTGTGCACCTGTAGTCCCAGCTACTCGGGAGGCTGAGACAGGAGAACCACTTGAACCTGGGAGGTGGAGGTTGCAGTGAGCTGAGATCGCGCCATTGCACTCTGGCCTGGGCAACAAGAGCGAAACTCCATCTCAAAAAGTTAAAAAAAAAAAAGTACCTGTACTCATATGTGTATCACAGCACTATTCATGGTAGCAAAGATATGGAATCAACCTAAGTGTCCATCAGCAGATGACTGGGTAAAGAAAATGTGGTACATGTACACCATGGAACATGACTCAGCCACAAATAGAATGAAATCATATCTTTTGCAGCACTGTGGATAGAACTGGAGGCCATTATCCTCAGTGAAATAATTCAGAAACAAAGTCAAATACTGAATGTTCTCATGCATAGGAGTTAAACAATAGGTAGACATGGGGAACAACAGATATTGGAGACTCCAAAAGATGGGAGGATGGGAAGAGGGTGAGGGGTGAAAATTTTCCTATTGAGTACAATGTTCACTATTTGAATCATGGCTACACTCAAAGCCAAGACCTCAGCATTCCACAACATATGCACGTAGAAATCCTGTACCTGTACCCCCTAAATAGATCAAACATTTTTTCAGTTTTATTTATTAAAAAGTTAAACTGGCCGGGTGCGGTGGCAGGTGCCTGTAATCCCAGCTACTCGGGAGGCTGAGTCAGGAGAATCACTTGAATCCCGGGAGTGGAGGTTGCAGTGAGCCAAGATTGCGCCACTGCACTGCTGCACTGCACTCCAGCCTGGGTGACAGAGTGAGACTCCCTCTCAAAAAAAAAAAAAAAAAAAATTCAACTTTTTACAGGTGGCTAACACCTGAAATCCCAGCACTTTAGGAGGCCAACGTGGGTGGATCAACTGAGGTCGGGAGTTCGAGACCAGCCTGATAATATGGCAAAACCTTGTGTCTACTAAAAATACAAAAATTAGCCAGCCTGTTGTGACACATGCCCGTTGTGGCTCATGCCCGCAATTCCAGCACTTTGGGAGGCTGAGGTGGGTGGATCACCTGAGGTCAGGAGCTTGAAACCAGCCTGGCCAGCATGGTGAAACCCGTCTCCACTAAAAATACAAAAATTAGCTGGGCGTGGTCGTGGGCGCCTGTAGTCCCAGCTACTTAGGAGGCTGAGGCAGGAGAATCGCTTGAGCCTGGGAGATGGAGGTTGTAGTATGCTGAGATTGCACCACTGCACCCCAGCCTGGGCAACAGAGTGAGACCCTGTCTCAAAAAAACAAACAAAATATAAAGCAAGCAGTCACGCGTTCCAGGAGGTCTTGCAGTGACTGAATGCACTGCAGCATATCTGCGTAGTCTGTGTGGGGTGTGAGGGTCAGCGGGGCCAGCTGAACAGGCTGCATGGAACTGTCCCATGGGAAGGTGGCCACAGGGAGCAGTTGTGTAAAGCAGACTTCTGGATCCACCACACTGAGGAACTGGGGGGTCGGGGAGTAGAAGTGGAAACAGTGTCAAGAGTGAGTGAGCTGGCCACGCACTGTGGCTCACACCTGTAATCTCAGCACTTTGGGAGGACGAGGCAGGAGGATCACCTGAGGTCAGGAGTTCGAGACCAGCCTGGGCAACATAGTGAAACCCAGTCTCTACAAAAAATACAAAAATTAGCCAGGCGTGGCAGCGGGCACCTGTAATCCCAGCACTTTGGGAGGCTGAGGCTTGAGGATCACAAGGTCAGGAGTTTGAGACCAGCCTGACTAACATGGTGAAACCCCATCTCTACTAAAAATACAAAAAAAAAAAAAAAAAAAGAAATAGCTGGGCGTGGTGGCGTGCGCCTGTAATCCTAGCTACTCAGGAGGCTGAGGCAGGAGAATCACTTGAACCCGGGAAGTGGCGGTTGCAGTGAGCCAAGATCGTGCCACTGCACTCCAGCCTGGGTGACAGAGCCAGACTCCATCTCAATAAATAAATAAATAAATAAATAAATAAATAAATAAAATAATAATAGCCCTTCCCCAAAACTCAACCACCTTCATAAAGCTAGTGAGAGACCACCAGGCTAGGAGGATGAGAGAAGCCTAAATTCCGCCAAGGTGTACACATAAACACCGTTTCTAGTTATTATTCTAGAGGGCAGGCACAAGATTTGTAAATCCCCGTTACTCCTGCAGGTTACATCACGACTGTAGAACCTAAGATTGGCCTTTTGAGATGTCTTTTCAGGTTTTTGCATTTCTTTTTTCTTTTCTTTTTTTGTTTTGTTTTGAGGCAGTTTCACTCTGTCACCCAGGCTGGAGTGCAGTGGCACAATCTCTGCTCACTGCAACCTCTGCCTCCTGGATTCAAGCAATTCTCCTGCCTCAGCCACCCGAGTAGCTGGGATGACAGGCGTGCCCCACCACATTTTGTATTTTTAGTAGAGATGGGGTTTCATCATGTTGGCCAGGTGGGTCTCCAACTCCTGACTTCAAGTGATCTGCCCATCTTGGCCTCCCAAATGCTGGGATTACAGGCGTGAGCCACCGTGCCTGGCTCAGGTTTTTGTGTTTCTGACCATCAGTGGCTCCACCCGGACCTAACTAACCCCGCCCCCGCCCCCACCCGACCCCACCCCATGGCCAATTCTGTGGCTCCACCCAGAAGCGAATCCCCTGGCCTGCCAAAGTATCCTTGAAGAAGTCTAGCCTCCGAATTTTTGGGGAGATTGATGTAAGAATAAAGCTCCGGCCTCCTGTTTGGCCGGTTCTGCACGAATTAAGCTCTCTATTGCAATTCCCATCTTGAGAAATGGGCTCTATCTGTGCCGCGGGCAAGAACTAGTGGGGCAGTAGCAGCTGTGACGGTCAGACAGTGAAAACCAGTGGGGGATCGGTCCTCCCACCCGCCCACCAATGGCCTGCTCCTGCCATGCACACCGGGCAGCATAGAGGCTGATGCCGTTTGCAGCACTTTTCAAGGTCCTGGCATGCCTGGTCCTGCCCAGAGCTTGGCACTACTGAAAAGTGCAAACACCACAAAACGGTTTCTAGGAGAGCGACCAGGAGGCATTCACAGTTGGGAACAACGGCCTCATTGTTTGGAATCTCATTTAAATGGTGCCAAACCTATTTCATGTCTCTCCTTCAGAAACTGATTTGGAAGGAAATTTGATTAATTTGATTTGCTTATGTGGCTGAATAATTATTTATTTAATTATATAGCCAAATTTGGTTAAGTAAGTTTTTCAACTAATTCTCAATATTAAAAACCTTATGGCTTTTTCTACTGAATTATCCAACAGTATCCACTTCCTAACCCCGTGGCTTTCCCCTCCCCCATACCTCCAGGGAGGGTATAGAATCTCACACGTTCAAAGCGTGTTCTGAAATTTCCCTTGCTTGGCTCTGCTCAAAACAAACACAAACCTGGCTTTCAAGTATTTCCACGTCATTTATAAAAAAGAAATGTGTTTATATAGGCTGTTAGGAGTTATTAATATTTAATTCATTTAGGGGAAAATGCTGGCCTTTGTGATTAAACTTGTTTTTATTTCTTTTACTTTATGTGATTTTCAAATATCCTTTTTTCTTTTTAAGAGACAGGGTCTCACTCTGTCACCCAGGCTGGATTACAATGGTGGAGTCACAGCTCACTGCAGCCTTGAACTCCTGAGTTCAAGGGATCCTCCCATCTCAGCCCACCAAGTAGCTGGGACTACAGGTGGGTGCCACCACATCCAGCTAATGTTTTTATTTTTTGTAGAGACAGGGTCTTGCTGTGTTGCCCAGGCTGGTCTCAAACTCCAGGCCTCAAGTTGATCCTCTTACCTTGTCCTCCCAGAGTGCTGAGATTACAGGCGTGAGCCCGAATATCCATTTTTCAATCAGTACTTTTGTTTAAGACTCTATTGTTATATTGGAGGCGAAAAAAAAAAACCAATCTCTGTAACATTTCATATATGACAAATCCCAAGAGGTAAAAAAAGGACTTTCCAGGTCCCAGGGCTTTAGGAAGTGGGAGTGGGCTCATGGGGTGAGGACATTGTGCCCAGCACTAAGCAAAGTCTTAAGCCTGTTTCTTGCCTGGGGGATGTTTATGCTTCAACACAGTACCTGAAATATTGGATATTCCAATATCCAAGAGGCAGAACTGCAAATTCCACAAATCTGTTCTGACACATGGATAAACTTTTATTGACATACCAAAGGGAAAAAAACCAATATTCACTGAAGGCTGCCGAATCTATATTCCTAAGAGTAAAGGTGTTTAATTGACTCTCCACTCTTAAAACACTTTGTATGAAATATAGCTAGGAATATACATAAAGAATTCAGATTACAAAACTCTCCAGGAAATCGATAGTGATCATATAATACTGGAACTACAGTTAAAAACAAACAAACCAATCTTTGAGGATTCCTAACTGTAGTTTACTTGACAGTGCAGATCATCTGTACCAACTTTCTATAGCAAGTTGTAATAGGCAATTGTAAGCAAACAGTATCAATCTGTGTAACTTGTAAAAATTCATCTGAAGTTGTTTGGAGCTGTATGACAATGGATGTTATTCTTCCGGTTCTCCCAGCAGCTCTACAAAATCAGTGATATACCATTTGGCGTTATCCTTGACTTGTTGCCTGATCACATTTCCTCCAAATCCAATGAAAGCATCCTAAGAAGTAAGAAAAGAGAGATAAATGATTTTTATTTTTATTTATTTTTTTGGAGGCTCTGTTGCCCAGGCTGGAGCGCAGTGGTGTGATCTCTGCTCTCTGCAACCTCCGCCTCCCGGGTTCAAGTGGTTCTCCTGCCTCAGCCTCCCAAGTAGCTGGGATTACAGGCACCTGCCACCACGCCTGGCTAATTTTTGTGTTTTTAGTAGAGATGGGGTTTCACTATATTGGGCCAGGCTGGTCTTGAACTCCTGACCTCTGGTGATTTGCCCACTTCGGCCTCCCAAGGTGCTGGGATTATAGGTATGAGCCACAGCACCCGGAGGAGAAATGATTTTTAGAAAATCAGAAAACAAAGGTTGCAGGAGCAATAGAGAGCAGTAAGTGTTTCAAACTTTTTTTTTTTTTTTTTTTGAGACGGAGTCTCACTCTGTTGCCCAGGCTGCAGTGCAATGGCGTGATCTCTGCCCACTGCAACCTCCGCCTCCTGGGTTCAAATGATTCTCCTGCCTCAGCCTCCCGAGTAGCTGGGATTACAGGTGCCTGCCACCACACCTGGCTAATTTTTGTATTTTTATTTTTTTTATTTTTATTTTTATTTTTTTTATTTTTTTGAGACGGAGTCTCGCTCTGTCGCCCAGGCCGGACTGCGGACTGCAGTGGCGCAATCTCGGCTCACTGCAAGCTCCGCTTCCCGGGTTCACGCCATTCTCCTGCCTCAGCCTCCCCAGTAGCTGGGACTACAGGCGCCCGCCACCGCGCCCGGCTAATTTTTTGTATTTTTAGTAGAGATGGGGTTTCACCTTGTTAGCCAGGATGGTCTCGATCTCCTGACCTCATGATCCACCCGCCTCGGCCTCCCAAAGTGCTGGGATTACAGGCGTGAGCCACCGCGCCCGGCCAATTTTTGTATTTTTAGTAGAGATGGGGTTTCACCATGTTGGCCAGGCTGGTCTCAAACTCCTGACCTCAGGTGATTCGCCCACCTCGGGCTCCCAAAGTGCTGGGATTACAGGTGTGAGCCACCGCACCCAGCCAGGTGTTTCAAACATAAACTATTCCTGCAAAGAGAGGTAAGCCTGGCCTCCCCCAGGGTGCCTTTGCTGAGTACACAGCACCTTCCTCCTTACATCCTCCCGTCTTCGCCTCCTGGCTTCCTCCTATCCCTCACTGCACTCTCCTGCATCAGTACATGCACCACTGCTGGGGACCCATTCAGCTGGACAATGTCAGGGCTTCTGGAGAGTAAGATGTGGTCCCTGCCCTCTTATAACCAAGACAAATGCCTACAAAAATAAAAATCACATCAGTAGGTAAATGTTTGAGTTCTAAACTAGATGGCAGGAGCTGAGCATGGTGGCTCACACCTGTATTCCCAGTACTTTGGGAGGCTGAGGCGGGAGGATCATCTGAGGTCAAGAGATCGAGACCAGCCTGGCCAACATGGTGAAACCCTGTCTCTACTAAAAATACAAAAAATAGCTGGGCGTGGTGGCAGGTGCCTGTAATCCCAGCTACTCAGGAGGCTGAGGCAGCAGAACTGCTTGTACCGGGAGGCGGAGGTTGCAGTGAACAGTGATTATGCCACTGCACTCCAGCCTGGGTGAGAGAGTGAGACTCTGTCTCAAAAAATAAAATAAATAAGAAATAAACTATATGGCAGGCCAGGCATGTTGGCTCATGCCTGTAATCCCAGTACTTTGGGAGGCCGAGGTGGGCAAATCACCTGAGCGCAGGAGTTCAAGACTAGCCTGGGCAACATGGTGAAACCCTGTATCTACTAAAAATACAAAAATTAGGCTGGGCATGGTGGCTGATGCCTGTAATTCCAGCACTTTGGGAGGCCGAGGCGGGCAGATCACGAGGTTAGGAGATCGAGACCATCCTGGCTAACGTGGTGAAACCCTGTCTCTACTAAAAATACAAAAAAAATTAGCCGAGTGCAGTGGCATGCACTTGTAGTCCCAGCTACTCGGGAGGCTGAGGCAGGAGAATCGCTTGAACCTGGGAGGTGGAGGTTGCAGTGAGTATAGATCGCGTCACTGCACTCCAGCCTGGGCAACAGAGCGAAACCGCATCAAACAAACAAACAAACAAACAAACAAACAAACAAAACTACCTGGATGGAAATCGCATCCCTGCCCTGTAATTTCAAAGAAGGGAAGATCAAAGAGAAGTCTGCGGTGTAGAGGAAATCCCCTTGGACCTGGGATCTGGTCCAGAACAGGCACCGCCCTGCCTGGGAGGCCAAGAGTCGCAGTGTGTGCATAAGAAATGGTGGGGGATTTTCTATTCTGGGATGAGGGAGAACTGTTGGTAGTGCTCTACGTTTTTTTTTTTTTTTTTTTGAGACAGGGTCTGGCTCTGTCACCCAGGCTGGAGTGCAGTGGTGCAATCTCGGCTCACTGCAACCTCCACCTCCTAGTCTCAAGCCATCCTCCCACCTCAGCCTCCCAAGTAGCTGGGACTACAGGCATATGCCACCGTACCCAGCTAATTCTTGTAGTTTTTTGTAGAGATGGGGTTTCGCTATGTTGACTAGACTGGTCTGAACTCCTGAGCTCAGGTGATCTGCCCACCTCGGCCTCCCAAAGTGCTGGGATTACAGGTGTGAGCCACTGCCCCCAATCTACACCTTTTTTTTTTTTTTGATTGATTGATTCATGTGATTGATTGAAACACTCTACTTTTTCATAGTTAAAATTGTTTATAGGCCATGCGCAGTAGCTTATTCCTCTAATCCCAGCACGTTGGGAGGCTGAGGAGGGAGGATGGCTTGAGGCCAGAGTTTGAGACCAGCATGGGCAATATAGTGAGACCCCATCTCTATAAAAAAAATTAAAAACTATCTGGGGGTAGTGGCTCATGCCTATAGTCCTAGCTACTCAGGACGCTGAGGCAGAAGGATCACTTGAGCCTGGGAGTTCGAGGTTGCAGTGAGCTGTGATTGTGCCACTGCCCTCTAGCCTGGGTGACAGAGTAAGACCCTGTCTCAAGAAAAAAATAAATAAATAAAAATTGTTTATAGTTATTATTATTTCATTAGTTGTACTAACTGATACCCTCCTTTTGTGCATGATTTTTTAAAATAGTATTTCCTTTTTTCTGGCAGGATATAGACACAATACTGCATATACTCATTTGAAAGTACAAAATTCTGTTACTTGTCTTTTCCCTTCACTTTTTTTTTTTTTTAAGACAGTCTTGGCCAGGTGCGGTGGCTCACGCATGTAATCCCAGCACTTTGGGAGGCCAAGGCGGGTGGATCACGAGGTCAAGAGATTGAGACCATCCTGACTAACACGGTGAAACCCCGTCTCTACTAAAAATACAAAAAATTAGCCGGGCGTGGTGGTGGGCATCTGTAGTCCCAGCTACTCGGGAGGCTGAGGCAGGAGAATGGCGTGAACCCAGGAGGCAGAGCTTGCAGTGAACACAGATTGCCCCACTGCACTCCAGTCTGGGTGACAGAGCGGGACTCCATCAGAGCGAGACAAAAAAAAAAAAAAAAAAAAAAGAAAGAAAGAAAAAGACAGTCTCGCTCTGTCACCCAGGCTGGAGTGCAGTGGCACAATCTCAGCTCACTGCAACCTCTGCCTCCTGGGTTCAAGTGATTCTCGTGCCTCAGCCTCTCGAGTAGCTGAGACTACAGGTGTGCCCCACCTCACCTGGCTACTTTTTAAATTTTTTGTAGGGTCTTGCTATGTTGCCAGCCTGCTCTCAAACTCCTCCTGCCTCAGCTTCCGAAGTGCTGGGATTACAGGTATGTCCCACTGCACCCAACCAATCTTGTCATTCCTTTTTGGTTTTATGAGACAGGGTCTCACCCTGTCACCCAGGCTGGAGTGCAGTGGCACAGTCATGGCTCACTGCAGCCTTGAACTTCTGGGCTCAAGTGATCATCCTGCCTCAGCCTCCTGAGTAGCCAGGATGACAGGTGCACACCACAATCCCTGAATAATTTTTTAGAGACAGAGTTTTGCTACGTTGCTCAGCTGGTCTTGAACCTCTGTGCTTAAGCAATCCTCCCGCCTCGGCCTCCGAAAGTGCTGGGATCACAGGTGTGAGCCACCGCTCCTGGCTGATTTTGTCATTTCTTGAAAATGAGATTGGGAGCTCTGAGAAAACTCTTCATTTTACTTTTATGTATTTCTCATTAAGCTAGGCCAATGTTCATTGCTTAGCCAACCCCAACACTGGTTATAAATTATCTAAGCTAACAATTCAAAAGCAGCCAGTGTGGTGGCTCATGCCTGTAATCCTAGCACTTTGGGAGGCTGAGGTGGGTGGATCACCTGAGGTCAGGAGTTCGAGACCAGCCTGGCCAACATGGCAAAACCCCATCTCTACTAAAAATACAAAAAATTAGCTGGGCGTGGTGGCGGGCACCTGTAATCCCAGCTACTTGGGAGGCTGAGGCAAGAGAATTGCTTGAACCTGGGAGGCGGAGGTTGCAGTGAGCTGAGATTGCACCATTGCACTCCAGCCTGGGTGACAGAGTGAGACTCTGTCAAAAAAAGAAAAGATTCAAAAGCTGGGCACGGTGGCTCATGCCTGTAACCCCAGCACTTTGGGAGGCCAAGGCAGGCAGATTACCTGAGGTTGGGAGTTTGAGACCAGCCTGGCTAGAACCTTTTTCTTTTTTGAGATGGAGTCTTGCTCCATCATGCCCAGGCTGGAGTGCAGTGGCGTGATCTCGGCTCACTGCAACCTCCTGCCTCCTGGGTTCAAGTGATTCTCCTGCCTCAGCCTCCCAAGTATCTGGGATTACAGGCACCTGCTACCACACCTGGATAATTTTTGTATTTTCAGTAGAGACGGGGCTGATCTCAAACTCCAGTTTGGTCTCAAACTCCTGACCATAGGTTCTCAAACCTTTTTGACCAGGCTGGTCTCAAACTCCTGACCACAGGTGATCCTCCTGTCTCTGCCTCCCAAAGTGCTGGGATTACAGGCAATAGTCACCTTCGCATCCAGCCAAAAAGGTTCCTTTTAACTCTTTTTCATTCATCATTCACAAAGACTATCATTTTTTTATTTTTATTTTTTAGACAATCCCTATTTTTAGATCTCAGGAAACTAGGTGGTAAAAACTTCATATATGTTTTGAGATGCAGTCTTGTTCTGTTACCCAGGCTGGAATACAGTGACGTGATCTTGACTCACTGCAACCTCCACCTCCTGGGTTTGACTGATTCTCATGCCTCAGCCTCCTAAGTAGCTGCAATGATAGGCACCCATCACCACTTCCAGCTAATTTTTTTGTATTTTTTGTAGATATGAGGTTTCACCATGTTGCCCAGGCAGGTCTCAAACTCCTGGCCTCAGGTGATCCGCCCGCCTTGGCCTCTCAAAGTGCTGGGATTACAGGTGTGAGCCACTGCACCTGGCTACACTATATTTTTGGCGTAGTTTTTCTTATGTTAGAATAACATGATAAAGGCTAAGCCCTACGTGAAATGGACACATTTGATATTACGACACCTGCTATATAGCATTTGTTTCCTGCATTGATTTTAAAATGCTTAGAAATAAAATCCCCAGCTGGGCATGTTGGCTCACACCTATAATCCCAGCACTCTGGCAGGCAAAGGTAGGAGGATCACTTGAGCCAGGAGTTCAAAATTAGCCTGGGCAACATAGTGAGACCTCATCTCTACAAAAAATAAACAAAATTAGATAGGTGTGGTGGCATGTGCCAGCAGTCCCAGCTACTCAGGAGGCTGAGATGGGAAGATCGCTTGAGTCCGGGAGGTCGAGGCTGCAGTGAGCTGAGACCGCGCCACTGCACTCCAGCCTGGGTGACAGAGCGAGACTCCGTCTCAAAAAATAAATAAAACCAGGGCTGGGCGTGGTGGCTCATGCCTGTAATCCCAGCACTTTGGGAGGCCACGGCGGGCAGATCACAAGGTCAGGAGTTCGAGACCAGCCTGGCCAATATGGTGAAACCCCGTCTCTACTAAAAATACAAAAATTAGCCAGGCGTCGTGGTGTGCACTTGTAGTCCTAGCTACTTGAGAGGCAGAGGCAGAAGAATCGCTTGAACCCGGGAAGCGGAGGGTGCAGTGAGCCAAGATCACGCCACTGCACTCCAGCCTGGGTGACAGAGCGAGACTCCGTCTCAAAAATAAAATAAAATAAAAAAGTAAATAAAACCTCTGCTAGTCTCAGAAAATGACGTTAGTTCAGAGAAATAAAATGCTGTGGTGGTGTGGGATGCAGTGGCACACACCTGTAATCCCAGCTACCCAGGAGGCTGAGGTGGGAGGATCGTTTGAGCCCAGAAGTTCAGGGCTATGATAAGCTACGATCGCACAACTGAACTCCGGCCTGGGTGACAGAGTGAGACTCTTTCTAAAAAAACCAAAACCAAACATAATATTTGACTTCACAGGGCTGTTATGAGGATTAAATGAGGTAACATATGAGGAACTAGTATATAAAGTATAAAAAGATGTTAAAATCTCGGTTATGAGTTGTTGATGGTATTATTTGGGGAAATGAAATCAACTCTTATTGAGCACACACCTAGGCTAAAAGGTGGTGCCCATGCTACAGGGATAAGGCATTGTTAAAAGTTTTAAAAGGTTTTTAGTTCCTTATTCATAACTTTTCTTGGGTTTGCACAAAGTCAGTTGACATAACAAGATTGAATTTGTTTTTATTATTTCGTTTTTATCTTGTAATGAGAGTTGTTTTTGTTTAACTCCTGTTTTAAATCTTATATAGTTCTAAATCAGCTGTTTTTATTTTATTTTATTTATTTATTTTGTAGAGATGGGGTCTTACTATATTGCCCAGGCTGGTCTCAAACTCCTGTGCTCAAGCGATCTTCCTACCTCAGCCTCCCAAAGTGCTGGGATTATAGGACAAACCAGCTGTCTAAAACAAAAGTACGGTTGGGCACTGTACAAAAATTAGCCAGGCGTGGTGATGGGCACCTGTAATCGCAGCTACTTGGGAGGCTGAGGCAGGAGAATCACTTGAACCCAGGCGGCAGAGGTTGCAGTGAGCCGAGATCAAGCCACTGCACTCCAGCAGGAGCAACAGAGTGAGACCCTGTCTCAAAAAAAAAAAAAAAAAAAAAGAATATCACTCTCAGTCACTCCTTGATATAACTGGAGATCTGAGATAATATAACAGCTGTGGCACCGCTATGGACCACAGAGGGGATAGGAGGCTTCCCCAAGGGCAGCTGTAGTTCAGTAATCTGTTAACAAAAGTCTCCCTTCTAAAGTCTCTGTCTTTTTTTTTTAAAGACAGAGTATCGCTCTGTCACCCAGGCTGTTAAGTGCAGTGGCGCGATCTCGGCGCACTGCAACCTCCGCCTCCCAGCTTCAAGTGATTCTCCTGCCTCAGCCTCCCAAGTAGCTGGGACTACAGGCATGTGCCACCATGCCCAGCTAATTTTCCTATTTTTTTTTTTTTTTTTTTTTTAGCAGAGTTGGGGCTTCACCACTTTGGCCAGGGTGGTCTCGAACTCCTGACCTCAAGTGATCCTCCTGCCTTAGGCTCCCAAAGTGCTGGGATTACAGGCGTGAGCCACCGTGCCCAGCCAAAAGTCTCCTTCTTGAGTCTAAATTGCTTCAAATGCATAGAAGCTCCCATAAAATTGAAATACAACACATAGCAAAGTAAGTCATAGGGGCTATGTAGGAATTAATGTTTCACGAAATGCAGACATTTATGTACAGACAGGTGATGTTATAGATAATAAAGCTAAGACAGGTGATGATCTAAGTCTGTTTTGCTGAGCAAAGGGTACCAAAGGGCAAAAGACATCAATTAAGAGAACCATTCATCTCGGCCGGGCGCGGTGGCTCACGCCTGTAATCCCAGCACTTTGGGAGGCCGAGGCGGGCGGATCACGAGGTCAGGAGATCGAGACCATCCTGGCTAACACGGTGAAACCCCGTCTCTACTAAAAATACAAAAAATTAGCCGGGCATGGTAGCGGGCGCCTGTAGTCCCAGCTACTCGGGAGGCTGAGGCAGGAGAATGGCGTGAACCCGGGAGGCGGAGCTTGCAGTGAGCCGAGATCGCGCCACTGCACTCCAGCCTGGGCGACAGAGCGAGACTCCGTCTCAAAAAAAAAAAAAAAAAAAAAAAAGAGAACCATTCATCTCAATATTTAACTCTGATGTGACTGTTCAAGTTGCATTCCAAAAGACATTACCCAGAATACTGAATAATGGAACTGCTAAGAAAGGGAACATGTTACCGTTAACATCTTACCATTAAGGTAGAATTTCAGCCTACTGGCAAATACATTGGTTGCTGGGATATTGAGCTTTGAAGCAACATGCTCTATAATACTCCTAAAGCCACCAGATATTAGGAAAACCTGAACATTTCGCTCCTGTAGGCGACTTACCAGCTCCCTGCAAAATAAAATACAAAATACCCAACACTGAGTAATACAAAAGAAAACAAAAAAAAAAAACGAAACATGAAGAGGGAAATAAGATGTATTTTCTTCTCCTGAATGCATTTGCCTGAGGTATGTTTGACAAGGTATACTGCCTGGGGTGTTAATGTTTTCTATATGTTTTTCTCTTTATTTTTTGAGACAGAGTTTCACTCTTGTCACCCAGGCTGGAGTGCAAGGCTGCAATCTTGGCTCACTGCAACCTCTACCTCCCGGGTTCAAGCGCTTCTCCTGCCTCAGCCTCCTGAGTATTATAGGCCCATGCCACAATGCCCGGCTAATTTTTTTTTTTTTTTTTTTTTGAGATGGAATCTTGCTCTGTTGCCCTAGCTGGAGTGCACTGGCATGATCTCGGCTCACAGCAACCTCTGCCTCCCGGGTTCCAGTGATTTTCCTCCCTCAGCCTCCTGGGTAGCTGGGATTACAGGCGCCTATCACCACGCCCAGCTACTTTTTTTGTATTTTTAGTAGAGACTGGGTTTCACCATGTTGGCCAGGCTGGTCTCGAACTCCTGACCTCAGGTGATACACCCATCTTGGCCTCCCAAAGTGCTGGGATTACAGACGTGAGCTACCGTGCCCGGCTTAATTTTTGTATTTTTAGTAGAGACAGGGTTTCATCATGTTGGTTAGCCTGGTCTCGAACTCCTGACCTGGTGATCCATCCACTTCGGCCTCCCAAAGTGCTGGGATTACAGGCGTGAGCCACCATGCCCAGCCTTATATGTGTTTTTCTAAATGTACTTAGAAATCAATGGGTAGGGCTTGGCTGCTTTAGGAAACCATTCTAGAACTCTACTCTGCCCATGGACCCAGAAAAACACAAGATGAGGACAAAAAGGAAAGCTTAGGTTTTCCCTGGAGAAAGAGGAAAGGCAGAAACAGACAGGACCAGACAACCGGCCAGACAAGACCACGTGTAAGTGCCAGAAGAACCACACAGTCCATGCCTTTAATTCCAGCACTTTGGGAGGCCAAGGTAGAAAATCACTTGAGGCAAGGAGCTTGAGAACAGCCTGGGCAACACAGCAAGATTCCATCTCTACAAGAAGATTCTTAAAGGCTGGGTATAGTGTCTCAAACCTATAATTCCAACACTTTGGGAGGCTGAGTTGTGAAAATTGGTCACTTAAGCCCACAAGTTCAAGACCAGCCTGGGCAACGTAGTGAGATGCTATGTCTATAAAAAAATTTTTTTTTTTAAAATTAGGCATGGTGGGCCAGGCGCGGTGACTCATGCCTGTAATCCCAGCACTTTGAGAGGCTGAGGCAGGTGGATCACAAGGTCAGGAGATTGAGACCATCCTGGCTAACATGGTGAAACCCCGTCTCTATTAAAAATACAAAAAATTAGTCAGGTGTGGTGGCAGGCGCCTGTAGTCCCAGCTACTCGGGAGGCTGAGGGAAGAGAATGGCGTGAACCCAGGAGGTGGAGCTTGCAGTGAGCCAAGATGGCGCCACTGCACTCCAGCCTGGGCAACAGAGCGAGACTCCATCTCAAAAAAAAAAAAAAAAATTGGCATGGTGGCCTATGTCTGTAGTCCCAGCTACTTAGGAAGCAGAGGCAGGAGGATCCCTTGAGCCCAGAAGATTGATGCTGCAGTGAGCTGTGTTCATGCCACTGCACTCCAGCCTGGGTGACAAAGCAAGACTTTCAGAAAAAAAATTCTTTAATTAGCTGGGCACGGTGGCATTCACCTGTAGACGCACTGGCTTTTTTTTCCCTCTTAGCACAATGTTTTCAAAGTTCCTTTATGTCATAGTGTGTATCAGTATTTCATTTCTTCTGTGGCTGAATAATATTCCATGGTAGAGACACACTGCATTTTGTTTATCTGTTCATCAGTTGATGGACATTTGGGTTGTTTCCACGTATTGGCTATTACGAACAATGCTGCTATGAAGATTGCTGTACAAGTTTTTGTGTGGACATATATTTCTATTTCTCTGGGATATATGCCTAGGAGTGAAATTGTTGCATTATATGATGACTGTATGTTTAGCCTTTTGAGAAACTGCCAGTTTGTCTTCTAAAATAGCTACACCAGTTGAGTGTGATGGCTCACACCTGTAGTCCCAGCTACTCAGGAGGCTCAGTTGGGAGGATGGCTTGAGCCCACAAGTTCAAGATCAGCCTGGGCAAGATAGCAAGACTCTGTCTTGATTAAAAAAAAATCCAATTAAAATGACAAGAAAAGCGTGGTTACACGATTTTATGTTCCCACCAGTAATGTATGTGGGTTCCAATTCCTACACATCTTTGCTGACTTTTTTTTTTTTTTTTTTTTTTTTCTAGACGGGCTTGCTCTGTCTCTCAGGCTGCAGCACAGTGACGCCATCACAGTTCACTGGAGCCTTGACCTCCCAGGCACAAGTGATTTTCTCATCTCAGCCTCCTGAGTAGCTGATAATTACAGGTGCATGCCACCATGCCTGGCTAATTTTTATATTTTTTTTGTAGTGATGGGGTTTTACCATGTTGCCCAGGCTGGTCTCTTACTCCTGGCCTCAAGTGATCTGCCCACCTCAGCCTCCCAAAGTTCTGGAATTACAGGCTAAGCCACTGTGCCCAGCCTTCACCAACATTTGTTATTATCTGTTTTTTTTTCTTTATATCTTAAAGCAGTATAAGAACAAGTGTCTTCAATTATATTAAACAAAAAATATAATCCCAGGGCATTGGGAGGGTGGGAGGGTGAGATAGGAAGATCTTTTGATGCCAGGAGTTTTTTTGTTTCTTTGTTTGTTTGTTGTTTGTTTGTTTTGAGGCAGTCTCACTTTGTCACCCAGGGTGGAATGCATGCAGTGACGCGATCTTGGCTCACTGCAACCTCCGCCTCCCAGGTTCAAGTGGTTCTCCTGCCTCAACCTCCCAAGTACCTGGGATTACAGGCCCATGCCACTACTGCCTGGCCAATTTTTGTATTTTTAGTAGAGATGGGGTTTCGCCACATTGGCCAGGCTGGTCTGGAACTCCTGACCTCGGGTGATTTGCCTGCCTTGGCCTCCCAAAGTGCTGGGATTGCAGGCATGAGCCACCACGCCTGGCCTGATGCCAGGAGTTTTAGACCAGCCTGGGCAACCTAGCAAGACCTCGTCTCTACAGAATATTTAAAAATTAGCCAGATGTGGTGGTGGCTGCCTATAGTCTCTCTCTGTATTTTATTTATTTATTTATTGTATTTTTTTACTTTTTGAGACATGGTCTGGCTCTGTCACCCAGGCTAGAGTGCAGTGGTGTGATTATGGCTCACTGCAGCCTGAAACTCCTGGGATCAAGTGATCAACCCTCCCACCTCATTCTACCAAGTAGTGGGGACCACAGGTGCATGCCACCTGGGTCTCGCTATGTTGCCCAGGCTGGTCTTGAGCTCCTGGCCTCGAGTGATCCTCTCACCTTGGCCTCCAAAAATGCAAGGATTACACCTGTGAGCCACCATGCCTGGCCCCTACCCTGCCTATTGAGAACCAGAAGAATGATCCAAATTCTCCTTAGCTCAACTCAAGCCGTTTCCCGATTGCTTCATCAGCAAGGAGCTGGTTATTGGGCTGTCCAGGCCTCCCAAGCAGCACAGAAATGAGGTGAGGGAGTTTTCCTTCTGCTCCACTCCGTGAGGAGTTGGAGGATGATGTTTACTCATTTGCAGAGAGAGATGCCTTGTAGCCACCTTAGGATGGAGGGGACCCTGATTCCAATGTCCTTTTTTTCTTTAGAAACAGGACCTTGCCCTGTCACTCAGGATGGAGTTCAGTGGTCCAATCATGGCTCACTGTAGCCTCAAACTCCCAGGCTCAAGCAATCCTACCACGTCAGCCTTCCCAGTAGCTGGTAAGCACCATGACACTCAGTGAATTTTGTTTTTATTTTTTTGTAGAGATGGGGCCGCACTATGTTGCCATGGCTGACCTTGAACTCCTGCACTCAAGGGATTTTCCTGCCTTGGCCTCCCAAAATATTGGTATTACAGGCATGAGTCATTGTGCCCACTGTCTCTGGTTCTTAACCTTCTACCTCCCTCTTCCACTTTTAAAGAATGCTTGTAATTACATGGGCTCTCCTAGATACTCCAGGATAATCTTGTTTTAAGGTCAGCTGATGAGCAACATTAATTTTATCTGCACTCTTAATTCCCCCTTCCTATGTAATTGTGCTGTGTAACATAGGACATGAGCAATTAGTTGGCAGGGTGGGGGGTTATTACTTTGTCCACCACAGTAACTTGTGCCAGGTACTGAGCTAAGCACTGGTGAATTAAGCATGAATAACACACACTCTGTAATCTCCATCCATTCATGGGAGGAGCACCTCACCTGCCATGCTCCTGAGAATCTGGGGAGTCAAGGAAGTCTTCCATGAGGAGGTGATGCCAACGCGGACAAGTGACAGAGGAGCTGAAGCTAGCCAGGAAGAGAGTAGAGGTTTAAGGGGAAGCGTATTATAAGCAGAGGATATCACCCACTTCAGAGACTCCCAGAGGAGAAAGAGTGTGCATTCAGGGGGCAGATGAGGCTCAGTTGGACTCCATAGCAGGTGAAATGGAGAGGGGCAAGCAGTGAGGCTGCCTTGCAAGGCAGGGCAGAGCGGGGGCTGTTAAGGAGTTTGGACTTAATCCCCGAGGCAAGGAGAAGTGATGTAAATGGGGAAGTAACATGATGAGATTCATGGATTAGAGACATGGCTCAGGCTTCTGTAGAGAAGTCACCGGGGGGAGCAGGTGGTTCAGTGGGTGTGCAGGAGACCTCTCACTGAGTTGAGGGAGAGGTTTTTAAAACAGAAGAAGTTGGAGTAATTTAAATGATGGTGGGAAGGTGCTAAAAGTGGGGGATAGGTTAAAGATACAGGAAAGTGGGAGGAAGAACTGACAAGTGAGGTTCCAGAGAGGGCAGGAGAAGAGGAGATTCCCTTAGGGGGATTAACACTTTCTTTTCTTTTTCTTTCTAAGACAGGGTCTCACTCTGTCGCCCAGGCTGGAGTGCAGTGGCATGATCTTGGCTCACTGTAGTGTAGACTTCCCAGCCTCAAGGGATCCTCCCACCCCAGACTCCCAAGTAGCTGGAATTACAGGTGTGCACTACCACCACGCCTGGCTAATATTTTTCTTTTTTTTTGGTAGACATATAGTCTCACTGTGTTGTGCTGACAGGTCTCCAACTCCTGGCCTCAAGTGATCCTCCTGCCTAGGCTTCCCAAATTGCTGGGATTACAGGCATGAGCCACAGTGCCTGGCCTCTGCTAGTTGTGTATTCTCTAGAGTTGTCTTTACTTTGTGCTAGTATGTCCCTCGTTATGCTGATCCTCTGCTAAAATTAATACTTTTTTCTTTTTGAGATGGAGTTTCACTCTTGTTGCCCAGGCTGGATTGCCCAGGCTGGAGTGCAGTGGCGCTATCTTGGCTCACCGCAACCTCCGCCTTCCAGGTTCAAGCAATTCTCCTGCCTCAGCCTCCCGAGTAGCTGTGATTACAGGCATGTGCCACCATGCCCAGCTAATTTTGTATTTTTAGTAGAGATGGGGTTTCTCCATGTTGGTCAGGCTGGTCTTGAACTCCTGACCTCAGGTGATCCGCCTGCCTTGGCCTCCCAAGGTGCTGGGATTACAGGCATGAGCCATGGTGCCTGGCCAAAATTAATACTTTCTATATTAAATTTACATATATATATATTTTTTTGTTTTTGATACCAGGTCTCACGCTGTCACTTAGGCTGGAGTACAGTGGCACAACCTCTGCTCACTGCAGCCTCCACCTGCCAGGCTCAAGCAATTCTTCTGACTTAGCCTCCTGAGTAGCTGGGATTACAGGTAAGTGCCGCCACACCGAGCTAATTTTTGTGTTTTTTGTAGAGATGGGGTTTCGCCATGTTTCCCAGACTGGTCTCAAACTCCTGAGCTCAAAGCAATTCACCCACCTTGGCCTCCCAAAGTGCTGGGATTACAGGTGTGAGCCACCTTGCTCATTCTAGTTTAAACTTTTGAGTGGTTTGTGTCTCCTGATTGGACTCCTACAAATACAGAATTGATGGTAGGAAGGGTACCAGGAGATAGACCCACACAGATGGGATTTGGGAATAAGTTTGGTTATCCAAGGAGCAGTGCTGAGCTCCTTGCTAATGGGATATGGGATGCTGGTGATTTCCAGGAAGTGACCTCACAATGACTCAAGCTACCACTTACTGTTGATTGTGATGAAATACCAGGTGAAGGCCGGGTGCGGCAGCTCACCCCTGTAATCCCAGCACTTTGGGAGGCCAAGGCGGGCGGATCACTAGGTCAGAAGATCGAGACCATCCTGGCTAACACGGTGAAACCCCGTCTCTACTAAAAATACACAAAATTAGCTGGGCATGGTGGCGGGCACCTATAGTCCCAGCTACTCGGGAGGCTGAGGCAGGAGAATGGTGGGAACCTGGGAGGCGGAGCTTGCAGCGAGCCGAGATCCTGTCACTGCCCTCCAGCCTGGGCGACAGAGTGAGACTCCGTCTCAAAAACAAAAAAAAGAAATACCAGGTGAAGCATATGCCCTGCAAGCTTAGGGGTGCTACAGTTGACCACTGTAGCAGTAAAGATGACTGAAGAATAGCATGGGATGGATCCTTTCGAATGCACTTGAGCAGCAGTCTCCAACCACAGGGCCACAGAGCCAGAGGTGAGCAGCAGGTGAGTGAAGGGAAACTTCATCTGTATTTCTAGCCCCTCCCATCGCTTGCATGACCACCTGAGCTCCACATCCTGTCAGATCAGCAGCAGCATTAGATTCTCATAGGAGCACGAACCCTGTTGTGAAGTGTGCATGCGAGGGATCTAGGTTGTGCGCTCCTTACGAGAATCTGATGCCTGATGTTCTGTCACTGTCTCTCATCACCCCAGATGGACAGTCTAGTTGCAGGAAAACAAGCTCAGAGATCCCACTGATTCTACATTATAGTGAGTTGTAGAATTACTTCATTATATATTACAACGTAATAATAATGGAAATAAAGTGCACAATATTTGTAATGCACTTGAATCATCCTGAAATTATTCCCTCCACTCCCAGTCTGTGGAAAAATTGTCTTCCACACATTCACTCTGTTTTTTGGTAGAGACAAGGTCTTAATATATTGCCCAGACTGATCTCAAACTCCTGGCCTCAAGTAATATACCTCTCTGAGCCTCCCAAAGTGCCGAGATTACAGGCATAAGCCACCACCCTCAACCAAGACTGTTTCTTAAACCAAATAAAAATTAAGTGAGATTACTTGAGCCCAGGTGGTCGAGGCTGCAGTGAGCCCTGATTGCACCACTGCACTGCAGCCTAGGTGACAGAAAATAAAAAATCAAATAAAAATAATGTCTCAAAAAATAAAATACAAATTAACCCTTTATGACATTCCCAGTAACTTTCCTTCTAAGTGTTCCCACAAGTCTTTGAATTTTGTTTAATTTTCACATACCATTTAAGACGTTTAAGAACTTATGTCTGTTTGTGTCATCCCTTTATTTCAAAAGAATGTATTTGTCACTTCCAGCTGGATCTACCATGAAAGACTTCTGAATCCAGGAAAAGAGACTGACTGGGTAACATGTTATTCAGGTACAAAAAGACTTGGACTATAACTCAAAAATGGTCAAATAATAGTGCATGCATCAAATGCAATGGGAAGCTCTTTTGGAGGCTGAAAGAAGTTTCCAGTTAAGGTGACATTGAAGCTAAGTCCTGAAAAATGAGGAAGAGTTGTATGAGAGTGGGGAGGGAAGGGGGAGGTGGAGGGATGGGGAATGGGCTGGAATGGGATGGAGTGAGCTGCCCAGGCAGGGAAACCAGCACTGCACAGACCTGGACAATGAAGATGGCACATCTTGTTCAGGGAATGGTGAATTAAGTGTGGCAGGAATGCTTTGTGGAGACAGTAATTTGCTTGTATGGAATTTTGCCTGATCACTACAGTTTCTAATTTTTTGATGTTGTCATCCATCACTGTCCTTGTCAAATAGTTTGGAATAGGTATAATGATCACAGTAACACCAAGCATAATATTTCGTTAATTCTCACAGAATCACAGGTAGGTGCCACAGTTATCCCCATTTTACGAATGAAGTGATGAAGACTTAGCAATAATGAGTGATTTGCCCAAGCTCACCTGGATATTAAGACTGAGTCGAATGTTGGGTCTGGTCTGACTTTAATGCTTGCTTTGTTCATGAGCACCACGTATTGCCTCTCCTATGCAGTTAAGCAGGTAGACAGGTGAAAGAAAAGCCTGTGTCTGTCTCTGCTCACACACTTCCGACTGAATGTATGTATGGAGTTTCTACACCAAATTCTCCAGTGCTCTGGATATTAACTGGGTATCCCATGATTTTATTCTGACACTGCCTGGAGTTAGCGCAGACCCCACAAGTTAGGGGCTCAGTCCCATGAGACCATCCTCACTTCAGATGCCAATGGCAAGTCCTAGGTTGTCACCTGTACTTTTGACCAACCTGTTACAAATCGGGGGTTCCCATAACTCCATTCTTGGGTTTAATTATTTGCTAGAACAGTTTACAGAACTCAGAAAAACAGTTTATTTTCTTTTTTTCTGAGAGAGAGGGTCTTATTTTTTTGCCCAGGCTGGTGTGCAATGGTGCAGTCATAGCTCACTGCAGGCTTGACTGCCTGGGCTCCAGTGGTTCTCCCACCTCATCCTCCCTAGTAGCTGAGACTACATGCCTGCACCACCACATCTGGCTAATTTATTTTTTGTATAGATGGGGTCTTGTTGTGTTGCCCAGGCTGGCCACAAATTCCTGGTCTCAAGTGATCCTTCCACTTCTGCCTCTTAAAGTGCTAGGATTACAGATGTGAGCCACTGCATCTGGCCAGTTCATTTCCTATTACTGGTTCATTGCAAAAGATACATTTCAGAAACAGCCAATGAAAGAGACGTACATGCTGGATGCAGTGGCTCACGCCTGTAATCTCAGAACTTTGGGAGGCCGAGGTGGGAGCATCGCTGAAACTGAGGAGTTTGAGACCAGCCTGGGCAACATGGTGAAAACCTGTCTCTATAAAAAATAAAAAAATAATAATAACCGGGTGTGGTGGTGTGCACCTAGAGTTCCAACTACTAGGGATGCTGAGGTGAGAGGACACCTTGAGCTGGGGACTGGGGAGGCTTAGGTTACAGTGAGCTGAGATTGTGCCACTCCACTCTAGCTTGGACTAAAGAGCCAGACCCTATCTCAAAAAAAAGAAAGATGCCCAGGGCAAGGTAAGTTAGGAGGGGCACAGAGCTCCCATGCCCTCTGTTGAACATGCCACCCTCCCAGCATCTCCTGTGTTCAGCAACCCCAGAAGCTCCGCAAACCCTGTTCAGGGTGTTTATGGAGGCTTTATTATGCAAGCATGATTGATAAAATCTTTGGCCGTTGGTGATTAAGGCAGTCTCCAGCCCCTCTTCCTCCTGGAGTTCAGTGCATGAGGCTGAAAGTTCCAAGCGTCTAATCATGTGGTTGCTTCCATTGGCAATCAGCCCTCCTCCTGAAGAAATCTAGGAGCTTGCAGTCACCACGTCATCTCAACAACAAAATATTAAAACAAAAGATGTTCCTGTCACATCTATCACTGAGGTCTTTGTAAGAGCTTTAGAAGCTCTGTGCCAGGAACCAGGGACAGAGATGAAATATATATTTCTTTTCTTTTTTTTGAGACAGAATCTCCCTGTGTCATCCAGGCTGGAGTGCAGTGATGTGATCATAGCTCACTATAGCTTTGGCCTTCTGAGATCAAGCGATCCTCCCATCTCAACCTCCCAAGTAGCTAGGACTACACATGCATGTCACCCATGCCCAGCTCATTTTTGTAGAGTCGGAGTTGCACCATGTTGGCCAGATGGGGTCTTCTTTTGTTGCCCAGGCTGGCCACAAATTCCTGGGCTCAAGTGATCCTCCCACCTCATCCTTGTAGAGATGAGATTTAGTTATGTCGTCCAGGCTGATCTCAACCTCCTGGGCTAAATCGATTGTCTCACCTCAGCCTCTCAAGTAGCTGGGACTACAGGCGCATACCACCATGTCAGGCTAATATTTATTTTTATTTTTTTCTGGAGGTGGGGGTCTCACTATGTTGTTCATGCTAGTTTCAAACTTCGGGCCTCAAGTGTTCCTCCTGCCTTGACCTCCCAAAGTGTTGGGCTTCTGGGTGGGAGCCACCATGCTCAGCAGTCACAAGGGTCTTTATAAAAGAAAGAGAGTAGGAGATTCAGAATTGAAGCAGGAGATGTGGTGATGAAAGCAGAGGTAAGAGAGGGAGATTTGAAGATGCTTCACTTCTGGCTTTGAAGATGGAGTCAGGGGCCATGATCCAAAGAATGGGGGTGGCTCCTAGAAGCTAGAAAAGCCAAGGGAACACTTTAGAGTCTCCAGAAGGAATGCAGCCCTGCTGGCACCTTGACTTTAGCCTTAATGGACCTAGTTTGGGTTTCTGGCGCCTAGAACTGTAAGATGGTAGATTTGTGGTGTTTTAAGCCACTAAATGTAGGAAACTGCAAACTATGTTGCAGCAGCAAGAAGAAATGAACATGAAGCCAGGCATGATGGCTCATGCCGGTAATCCCAGCACTTTAGGAATTTAGGCAGGAGGATCACTTGAGGCCAGGAGTTTAAGACCAGTCTGGGCAACATAGTAAGACCTTGTCTCTACAAAAAATGAAAAAACTGGCCAGGCATGATGGCTCACGCCTGTAATTCCAGCACTTTGGGAGGCCGAAGCGGGCAGATTACCTGAGGTCAGGAGTTCGAGACCAGCCTGGCCAACATTGCGAAACCCCGGCTCTACTAAAAATAGAAAAATTAGCTGGGCGTGGTGGCACGCACCTGTAATCCCAGCCACTTGGAAGGCTGAGGCAGGAGAATCACTTGAATCTGGGAAGTGGAGTTTGTAGTGAGCTGGGATCGCACCATTACACTACAGCCTGGGCAAGAAGAGTGAAACTCTGTCTCAAAATAAAATAAAATAAAATAAAATACTAAAGAATTTAGCCAAGCATGATGGTGTGAACCTGGAGTCCCAGCTACTCGGGAGACTGAGGTGGGAGGATCGCTTGAGCCTGGAAATTTGAGGTTGCAGTGAGCTTTGATTGCACCACTGCACTCCAGCCTTGGTGACAGTGAGATCTTGAAAAAAAGAAAGAAGAAAGTAAAGAAAGAAGAAATGAGCATGGTGGGCATGGGGACAGATGGCAATGTTAAATAGAATGGTCAGGGGTGGCCTCCTAAGTGAAAATTGAGTAAAGACTTGAAGGAGGGGAAGGAGCTGGCCAAGGTGCTGAGGGAAGAGGCTCGTAGACAGAAACAATAGAATAAAGTGTCTGAGGTGTGTCTGAGGCTCTGGAAGGAGGCCCATGGAGCAGACGGAGAGAGGGAGAGAATTCGGGGAGGGGGCCAGGGAGTTGCTGGGTGGGGATCAGTACAGATCACATAAGCCCTGGGAGGTTATTGCTGGGGCTTTGGCTTTTAGTCTGACTCAGATGGGAACTGCGAGAAGGTTCTGAGCAGAGAGGCGACATGATCTGTCTCCCATTTTAAAAGCGTTCTCTGGCTGCTGAGTTGAGAAAAGACTATGGGAAGATGTGGGTAGAAGCATGGGGGCCAAGCTTTGGCAACATCCAGGCGGGAGATGATGGTTGTCCTGACCAGGGCCATGGTGGTGTTGAGAGATGGTCAGAGGGGAGAAGTAGGGGAGGAGGCCAGGGAGTTGCTGGGTGGGGATCTTTAGTACATGTCGAAGACAGTCAACAGGATTTCCTGACAGACTGGATATGGGGTGTGAGAGAAGGCAGGGGTCAAGGTTGAGTTTGATTGTTACTGAAATTATTAAGTAATTTTAAAAAACACTACTGCCTTTCCCAATCCTACCAAGTATGGGATGCTAGATTAAAGAAATCTCTTCAGGCTCATTGCAGTGGCTCATGCCTGTAGTCCCAGCTGTTTGATAAGCAGAGGTGGGAGTATCTTTTAAGGGCAGGTGTTCAAGACCAGCCTGGACAACACAGCAAGATCTGCTCTTTACAAAAATATTTTTCAAAATGAAATAAATGTAGCTAGGCATGGTGATGTGTATTTGTAGTTTCAGCTACTCAGGAGGCTGAAGTGGGCAGATCTCTTGAGGTCAGGAGTTTGAGGCCAGCTTGGGCAACATAGCAAGACCCCTCACTCTACAAAAAAATTAAAAAAATAACCAGGCATGGTGGCACTCAACTGTACTACCAGCTACTGGGGAGCTGAGGCAGGAAGATGGCTTGAGCCCGAGGTCGAGGCTGCAGTGAGCTGTAAGTGCACAGCTGCACTCCAGTCTGGGTGACAGAGCAGGACCTGTCTCACAATACAAATAAAAATACAAGTAAAATAATGACATCTCAAGTCAGAGCCTTTTGGCTCTGCAGCCCTTGCAACCCCTCAGCCGTGCAGTGGGGTTTGCGTCTCTGGGAATGAGGAGACCCCTGCCCGGTGTTGTTGCCTGACTAATCATTGTTTTAAAACATATATTAATCGGGGTGGGCGTGGTGGCTCACACCTGTAATCCCAGCACTTAGAGAGACCCAGGCGGGTGGGTCACCTGAGGTCAAGAATTCAAGACCAGCCTTCTCTGGTCTTGAATTCTAAGAAAATACAATAATTAGCCGGACATGGTAGTGGGCGCCTGTAATCCCAGCTACTTGGGAGGCTGAGGTAGGAGAATCGCTTGAACCTGCGGGACGGAGGTTGCAATGAGCTGAGATTGCGCCACTTCACTCCAGCCTGGGCAAAAGAACAAGACTTTGTCTCAAAGAAAAAAAAAAGTATTATATCAACATGTAATGGTTTTATCACTAATATGTAATGAATATTAAATATTTTTAAAATCTTGTATTATATCAACATGTAACGGCTTTATTAATATGTAATGAATAATATTTAAAATTTTTTGTCTTATTTTCTAGTTTTAATTATTTACAGAAAGAAATAGTCCTAGAGATCTTCAATAAAGTTAAAAAATGTAAAGGGATGTTAGACCCCAAAAGATTGAGAATTTCTAGTTTAGAAATATTCAGAGTAAGCCACATACAACTTGCTACTTGAACTATTTTTTTTCTTTGTGTTTTATTTTAGGAGATGGGGTCTCACCCTGTCACCCAGGCTTGAGTACAGTAGTGCTATCACAGCTCACTGCAGCCTTGAACTCCTGGGCTAAGGATCCTCCTACCTGAGCCTCCTGAGTAGCTGGGACTGTAGGTATACATGACGATACTTGGCTAATTTTTAAATTGTTTTGTAGACATGGGGTCTTACTTTGTTGGCCAGGCTGGTGTCAAACTCATGGCCTCAAATGACCCTTCCACCCCTGCCTCCCATCCTAGAGGTATGTGCCACCACAAGGAGCACTTGTTCAATTTTCTAAAAAAAAATTTCTAAAGTAAGGCTGTGGGATGATGGCAGGAAGATAAAAGAAAAACAGAAGAATAAGTTAAAATGACTTATTCACACATACTCTTTTGACAGCAAGAAGAACTTTTAGTATATACATTCCTTACAAACAAAAGGCAGATAAACAATGTTGTATAGGAACTTCAACACACACTGTACAATATTCCCACTTTGCTGACATAAGTTATGGAAATTTCGTGGTTTACTTGAGTGTCGCTGCCAGTATTTTGCTTCTCTGATCATTTTTATCAACTTCCTCATCTGTTAACTTCTCTTCAAGGTATGTCATATCATGACATACTGCCGCTGCACGAACATGGCCAGTGTCTTCCTATTAAACATGTAGAATGCTTTCCTAATTTCTCTTTTTACTTTCTGTCTTTGTGTTTTGCATTTTCCTTACTTTTATTGTCAGAAACTCCAGAAAGTCAATCGTACTAATTTATCACCATTTGCTTTATTAATTTATACTTTGCTTATATGGAATTTTGCCCAACAGACCTCATTACAATTTCTAACCTATTTTTTTTTTCTGAGACAGGGTCTCCCTCTCTTGTCCAAGGCTGGAGTGTAGTAGTGCTATCACAGCTGACTGCAGCCTCAACCTTCCAGGCTGAAGCGATCCTCCCATCTCAACTTCCCACGTGGCTGAGACTATAGGTGCTTGCCACTATGCCCAACTAATATTTGGAATTTTCCTATATGTGGATTCCAGAGGGGTGACAGCGAAACGTGAGTAAGCATGGATTTTGGTATATGCAGAGATGGGGGGCTGGAACTAATTCTGTATACTGAGGGACGACTGTATATGTTTTTACAATTACGCTGTAGGATACATACTGTTGCATAGCCTTGAAAATAATAATTTTTAATTGAGTGGAATAATAATAATATTGATAAAAGTAGCAGCTGGCCAGGTGTGGTGGCTCACACTGGTAATCGCAACACTTTGGGAGGCTGAGGCAGGAGGATGGCTTGAGGCCAAGAGTTTGCGATAGGCCTTGGAAACAAAGGGAGTCACCATCCCTACAGAAAAATACATGAATTGGCCGGGCGCGGTGGCTCACGCCTGTAGTCCCAGCACTTTGGGAGGCCGAGGCGGGCGGATCACGAGGTCAGGAGATCGAGACCATCCTGGCTAACATGGTGAAACCCCGTCTCTACTAAAAATACAAAAAATTAGCCGGGCGTGGTGGCGGGCGCCTGTAGTCCCAGCTACTTGGGAGGCTGAGGCAGGAGAATGGCGTGGACCCGGGAGGCGGAGCTTGCAGTGAGCCGGGATCGCGCCACTGCACTCCAGCCTGGGCGACAGAGCGAGACTCCGTCTCAAAAAAAAAAAAAAAAAAAAAAAAAAAAAAGAAAAATACATGAATTAGCCTAGTGTGGTGGCATGTTCCTGTAGTCCCAGCTACTTGGGAGGCTGAGCTGGGAGGATCACTTGAGCCCAGGGAGGCTGAGACTGCAGTGAGTCATGATCAGGCCTCTGCACTCCAGCCTCAGTGACAGAGTGAGACCCTGTCTCAGAACAACAAAAAAGTAGCAGCTAACATCAACTGACCTTTTACCAGGTGCCTATTGATACCATAGTTTAATTTCTTATAGCTGTTTCTTATTTCACTTACCAACTCTGTCTTCAGTTACTCCCCAGATTTTTACTGTGTTTGTACAGATGACCTTTTGTTGAGATTGAATTGTCTCCCCAGAAGTAAGATTACTGTGAGTCATGGTGAATGGACATTCTCCTTACCCTTGATGTAAATGGACAAGGTTTTGGGTGCCTCCCAGCTATAATCTTAGCACTTTGGGAGGCTAAGAGAGGAGGATTGCTTGAGGCCAAGAGTTGGAGGAGGCAGTATGGCAGTATGGTGAGACCCTGTCTCTATTATTTTAAAAAATTGACAAGCTTTACCCTGGAAGGCTTATACACAATTTAAACACCCCTCATAGTATAAGAAAGTGCCCATTTCACTGCACCTTTGCCAGCACAGGGTATTATAATTTAGTAAGTCATTTTTTGTTTGATTATTTTAAATAGATAAAAGACCTCATATTACTTTACTTGTCACATTTCAACATCTTCCCTTAGCTTATTAGCTCTATTTCTTTTCTGTCTGTAAATGGTTGTTGTTGTTTTGTTCTTTGAGACAGGGTCTTGCTCTGTCACCAGGCTGGACTGTAGTGGCATAATCATGCCTCACCGCAGCCTTGACCTCCCAGGCTCAAACTTCAGCATTCCGAGTAGCTGGGACTACAAGTGTGCACCACCACTCCCAGCTAATTTTTTTCTTTTTTTGGATAGAGACAGGGTCTCACTGTGTTGCCCAGACCGGTCTCTAGCTCCTGGCCTTAAGCAATCCTCCTGCATTAGCTTCTCAAATTGCTGGAATTTCAGGCATGAGCCACCATGCCTGGCCTGGGCTAGTCCTATATTCTCTAGAGTTCTCTTTACTTTGTGCTAGCCAGTCTCTCATTATGCTATTCACCTGTTATAATGAATAATTCTCTGTATTAAATTTTACCACTTTAAACTTTTGAGCGGTTTATGCTTCCTGATTGGACTCTGACTAATATGTTAGGAAGGGTCCCAGGAGATAAACCCACACAGATGGGATTTGGGCATAGGTTTGGTTTCCCAGGGGGCAGTGCTGAGCTCTTTGCCAGTGGGAAATGGGATGCTGGTGATTTCCAGGAAGTGACCTCACAATGACTCAAGCTACCACTTACTGTTGATTGTGACGAAATGCCAGCTGAGGCACATGCCTTGGGAGCTAAGTGGTTGCTGCACTTGACCACTGTGAAGACTGGTGTGGGAAGGGTCGTTTTGGATGCACTTGAGCAGGGATCCCCAAACCCTGAGCCATGGAGCCGTAAGGAGCCACACAGCAGGAGGTGAGTGGTGTCGAGTGAGGGAGTGAGGGAAGCTTCGTCTGTATTTACAGCCACTCCCCTTTGCTCACATTCCCGCCTGAGCTCCACCTTCTCAGATGAGCAGCAGCATTAGATTCTCATAGGAGAACGCACCCTGTTGTGAACCGTGCATGTGAGGGATCTAGGTTGCGCTGTCCTTATGAGAATCTAATACCTATTGATCTGTCACTTTCTCCCATCACGCTCAGGTGGGACCATCCAGTTGCAGGAAAACAAGCTTAACACGCCCACTGATTCTACATTATGGTGAGTTGTATAATTATTTTATTATATATTACAGTGTAATAATGGAAATAAAGTGCCTAATAAATGTAATGTGCTTAAATCTTTTGGCCCAACTCCTACCTCCCGGCAGCCTCTCCAGGCCCAGAACTTTCTCCAGTCAGCCTCCACAGACCAAGCTCATGACTCACAATGGCCTATTTAGGCCCATACCCTACCTCACGGCAGTCTCCGCAGATGAGGCTACTGCCTCACAACAGCCTCCACAGGCACAGCTCCACCGTTACAATGGCCTCTTTAGACCCAGCTCCTGCCTCCCAGCCTTCTCTCCAGGCCCTGAACTTCCTCAAGTCGACCTCACCAGGCCCAGCTCATGCTTCTTGGCAGCCTCTCCAGGCCCAGCTCCTGCATCTTGGCAGCCTCTCCAGGCCCAGCCTCTGCCTCCTGTCAGCCTCTACAGTCCCAACATCTGTCTCACAGCAGATTCTTCAGGCCCAGCATCTGCCTCACTGTGGACCACCCAAGCCAAGCTCCCAACCTTTCAGCAGCTTCTACACACCCAGCTCCTGCCACCCAGTGGCCTCTTTAGGCCAAGCTCATGCCTCACAAGGGCCTTTCCAGGCCCAACTTTTGTCTCATGGCAACCTTCCCTGGCCAGATTCCTGCCTGTCTCCCAGCAGCCTAGACAGGCCCAGGTCTTGCCTCACACTGGCCTGTCTACATCCAGCTCTTGCCTCACGGTGGCCTCTCCAGGCCCAGCTCCTGTCCCAGGACGTCATCTCCAGGCCCAAAACTTCCTCAAGTCAGCCTCTCTAGTCCCAACTGCTGCCTCCTGGTGGCCTATGAAGGCCCAAAATCTCCTCAAGTTGACCTCTCCAGGCCCAGCTCCTGCCTCCTGTCAGCATCTACAGGCCCAACCTCTGCCTCATGGGGGCTTCTCCAGGCCCAGCTCTTCCTCTGGGCTGAGTCTACAGGCACAACTGCTGCCTCACAACAGCCTTTTTTGGCCCAGTTCCTGTCCAGCTCACAGCGGCCAATGTAGGCCCAAAACTTCCTCAAGTCAAACTCTCCAGGCCCGCCTTCCGCTTCGCGGTGGCATGAACAGGCCCAGCTTTGACTTGAGAACAGCCTCTGCAGGCCGTGCTCTTGCCTCCCAGGGGCTTCTCCAGGCCCAGCTCTTGCCTCATGGCGGCTGCCCCAGGCCAAGTTTCTGCCTGCCTGCCAGCAGCCTCAACAGGCACAGCTCCTCCCTCACAGTGGCCCATTTAGGCCCAACTCATGACTGTCGGGCCATTTCCAGGCCTAGTGCCTGCCTCCTGGCTGACTCTTGAAGCCCAAAACTTCCTCAAATCAGCCTTTTGCCCAACTTCTGTCTACTGTCGGACTCTACAGGCCAGCCTCTGCCTCACAGTGGACCCTCCAGACCCAGATGGTGTCTCACTGTGGCATCCTCAGGCGAAGCTCCTGCCTTTCGGCAGCCTCTACGGGCCCAGCTCCTGCCTTGCAATGGCCTCTTTAGGCCAAGCTCATGCCCCACGGCGACTTTTCCAGGCACAGCTTTTGCCTTTTGCAGCCTGTCCAGGCCCAGAATGTCCTTAACTCGGCATCTCCGGGACGAGCTCATCCTCCCAGTGCGTCTACAGGCCCGTCTCCTGCCTCACAACAACCTCCTTTGGCCCAACTCCTGCTGAGCTGCTTGGCAGTCTCTGTAGGCCACAGAGTTCTTAAAGTAAAGCTTTCCAGGCCCACCTTCGGCCTCCCAGCAGCCTCAGCAATCAAACTATTCCCTCACTGCGGCCACCGAAAGCCAAGTTTCTCCCTGCCTCACGGCATCCTCCGAAAACTGAGCATTTGCCTCACGGTGGCCTCCCCAGGCCATGAATCTGCCTGCCTCCCAGGCAGCTGCTGCCTCACAATGGTCTCTTTAGGCCCAAGTCATGCTAAAAGACGGACTCTCCAGGCACAGCTCTTGCCTCCTGGCAGGCTCTGCAGGCCCAAATTCTCCAAAAGTTGGCCTCTCCTAACTCAGCTCCTGCCTCATGTCGGCTTACACAGGCCCAGACTCTTACCACACAGTAGACCCTCCAGGCCCACCACTTGCCTGAGCATAGCCTCCTAAGGCCAAGCTCCTGCCTTTTGGCAGCTTCTACAGGCCCAGCTCCTGCCTCGCAATTGCCTTTGTAGGCCAAGATCATGCCGCGAAGTGGCCTTTCCTAGCCTAACTTTTGCTTTTTGACACATACTCCAGTCCCAAAACTTCCTCCAGTCAGCCGGTCCAGGCCAAGCTCTTCCTCCCAACGGCTTCTGCAGGCCAAAATCGTCCTGAAGTCACCCTCTGCAGGCCTAGCTCCTGCCTCCAAGTGCTGTGTAGGCCAAGCTAATGCCTCACAGCACACTTCCAGGCTGAGCGTTTCCTTTTGTGCATCCTCTCCAAGCCCTGAACTTACTCCAGTTGGCCTCTCCAGACCAAGCTCTCCCTCCCAGTGGCCTCTACAGGCCAAAACTGTCCTCAAGTCAGCCTCTCCAGGGCCAACTCCTAGCTACCGGTGGCTTCTGCAGGCCAAAATCGACCTCAAGTCAGCCTCTTCACACCCAGCTCTTGCCTCTAAGTGGCCTCTCCAGGAGCAAAACTTCCTCAAGTCGGCCTCTCCAGGCCCAGCCTCCTGCTTCCCAAGGGCATGTACAGGCCCAGCCTCTGCCTCACAGCAGACACTCCACGCCCAGCTCTTCCCTGTCTGCTGCCTCTCCAGTCCAAAGCTGCTCCTGCCTTTCGGCAACTTGTACAGGCCCAGCTCCTCCCTCACGGTGGCCTCTTTTCGCCCAACTCATGCCTCTTGCAACCTGCCCAAGTGTCAGCTCCTGCCTCACACTGGCCTGTTGAGGCTCAGCTCATGCCTCTGGTGGCCTCAACGGGCCCAGCCCCTGCCTGTCAGCGGCCTCTACAGGCCCGGCCTCTACCTCACAGTGGGCTCTCCAGGCCCACCTCTTTCTCACCGTGGCCTCCTGGGGCAATGCTCCCCGCTCTCGGGAGCCTCTGCGGGCCCAGCTCCTGCCTCCCAGTGGCCTCTGTAGGCCAAGCCCGTGCCTCAGGGCAGCCTTTCCAGGCCTAGCGTTTGCTGCTTTGCATCCTCTCCAGGCTCTGGACTTCCTCCAGTCGGCCTCTCCAGGCCCAGCTCTTCCTCTCGGCGGCCTCTGCAGGCCCAGACTGTCGTCAAGTCGGCCTGTCCAGGGCCAGCTCCAGCCTCCCGGCGCCCTCTGCAGGCCCAAGTCGTCCTCAAGTCGGCCTCCCCAGGCCCAGCTCCGGCCTCTCGGCGGCCGCTCCGGGTGCAAAAGTTCCTCGAGTCAGCCTCTCCAGGCCCAGCTCCTCCTGCCTCCCAGTGGCCTCTTTTGGCCCAGCCCAGCTCATGCCTCCCGGCGGCCTTCCCGGCCTCCTGCCTCCTGAAGGCCTGCACAGGCCCAGCCTCAGCCTCACAGCGGACTCTCCACGCCCAGCTAGCTCTCGCCTCACTACAGCCTCCTGAGTCCAAAGCTCCTGCCTCTCGGCCGCTTCGGCAGGCCCAGCTCCCGCCTGCCAGTGGCCTCTTCAGGCCCATGGGGCTCATTCCTCACAACGGCCTTTCTAGGCCCAGTTTTTCCCTTCCGGCGGCCTCTCCGGGCCCAGAACCTCCTCAAGTCGGCCTCTCCAGACCCACTTGCAGCCTCCCGGCGTCCTCTCCGGGCCCAGCTCTTCCTCCCGGCTGCGTCTCCAGGCCCGACTGCTGCCTCCCAACAACCTCTTTGGACTCAGCGCCTGCCCATCTCCTGGCGGCCTTGGTCGGCCCACAGCTTCCTCAAGCCAAGCTCCCCAGGCCCAGGTCAGGCCTCACGGTGGCCTCTCCAGGATCAGCTCCTGCCCTCCGATGGCGTCTCCAGGCCCCAAATGGTCTCCGGTCGGTGGGCTCCTCCACGCCCAGCTTGGGCCTCCCGGTGACCTCTGCAGGCCCAAGTCGTCCTGAAGTCGGCGTCTCCCGGCCCTGCCTCCCAGCAAGTAAGCAAGCCCTTTTGGCTCAACTCCTGCCCAGCTCCCAGCCGCCTTTGTAGGCCCCGAACTTTCTCCAGCCAAGCTCTTCGGGCCCACCTACTGCCTCTCGGTGGCCTGTACAGGCCCAGCTTTGGCTGTAGAACAGCCTCTGCAGGTCCCGCTCTTGCCTCCCAGGGGCCTCTCCAGGCCCAGCTCTCGCCCCCACGGCAGCCTCCCGGGGACAAGTCCCTGCCTGCCTCCCAGCAGCCCGCGTGCGGCCCAGCTCCTCCCTCACGGTGGCCTGTTGATGCCCAACTCATGCCTCTGGCACCCTGCCCAGAGGCGTGAGTCCCTGCCTCACACCGACCCCTCCCACGCTGAGGAAGGTCGGCATGAGCCCCTTGCCTCACACCGGCCCCTCCCACGCTGAGAGAGGTCGGCGTGAGCCCCTTGCCTCACACCGGCCCCTCCCATGCTGACCCCTTGCCTCACACCGGCCCCTCCCATGCTGACCCCTTGCCTCACACCGGCCCCTCCCACGCTGACCCCTTGCCTCACACCGGCCCCTCCCACGCTGACCCCTTGCCTCACACCGGCCCCTCCCACGCTGACCCCTTGCCTCACACCAGCCCCTCCCATGCTGACCCCTTGCCTCACACGGGCCCCTCCCACGCTGACCCCTTGCCTCACACGGGCCCCTCCCACGCTGACCCCTTGCCTCACACTGGCCCCTCCCACGCGGAGAGAGGTCAGCGTGAGCCCCTGCCTCAACAGGCCACCGTGAGGGAGGAGCAGGACTGCACGCAGGCTGCCGGGAGCAGGCAGGGACTTGGCCCCGAGAGGCTGCGGTGGGGCGAGAGCTGGGCCTGGAGACGCCCCTGGGAGGCAACAGCGGGGCCTGCAGATGCTCTTCTGCTGCCAGAGCTGGGACTCTACAGGCCACTGGGAGGCAGTATGTGGGCCTGAAGAGCTTGGCTGCAGAAACTTCGGGGTCTACAAACACCGGCGGGAGCTGAGCCAAAAGAGCTTGCTTGCTGGGAGGCAGGAGCTGGGCCGAGAGATGCAGCCAGGAGGAACAGCTGGGCCTGCAGAGGCCACCATGCGGGAGGCAGAGGCCGGGCCTCCTCAAGTCGGCCTCTCCAGACTCACTTGCAGCCTCCCGGCATCCTCTCCGGGCCCAGCTCTTCCTCCCGGCTGCGTCTCCAGGCCCGACTGCTGCCTCCCAACAACCTTTTTGGACTCAGCGCCTGCCCATCTCCTGGCGGCCTTGGTCGGCCCACAGCTTCCTGAAGCCAAGCTCCCCAGGCCCAGGTCAGGCCTCACGGTGGCCTCTCCAGGATCAGCTCCTGCCCTCCAATGGCGTCTCCAGGCCCCAAATGGTCTCCGGTCGGTGGGCTCCTCCACGCCCAGCTTGGGCCTCCTGGCGACCTCTGCAGGCCCAAGTCGTCCTGAAGTCGGCGTCTCCCGGCCCTGCCTCCCAGCAAGTAAGCAAGCTCTTTTGGCTCAACTCCTGCCCAGCTCCCAGCCGCCTTTGTAGGCCCCGAACTTTCTCGAGCCAAGCTCTTCGGGCCCACCTACTGCCTCCCGGTGGCCTGTACAGGCCCAGCTCTGGCTGTAGAACAGCCTCTGCAGGCCCCGCTCTTGCCTCCCAGGGGCCTCTCCAGGCCCAGCTCTCGCCCCCACGGCAGCCTCCCGGGGCCAAGTCCCTGCCTGCCTCCCGGCAGCCCGCGTGCGGCCCAGTTCCCCCCTCACGGTGGCCTGTTGATGCCCAACTCATGCCTCTGGCACCCTGCCCAGAAGCGTGAGTCCCTGCCTCACACCGACCCCTCCCACGCAGAGAGAGGTCAGCGTGAGCCCCTTGCCTCACACCGGCCCCTCCCACGCCGAGAGAGGTCAGCATGAGCCCTTGCCTCCCACCGGCCCCTCCCACGCTGAGAGAGGTCCGCATGAGCCCCTTGCCTCACACTGGCCCCTCCCACGCTGACCCCTTGCCTCACACCGGCCCCTCCCATGCCGAGAGAGGTCAGCGTGAGCCCTTGCCTCACACCGGCCCCTCCCACGCTGAGAGAGGTCCGCATGAGCCCCTTGCCTCACACTGGCCCCTCCCACGCTGACAGAGGTCGGTGTGAGCCCCTTGCTTCACACTGGCCCCTCCCACGCAGAGAGAGGTCAGCGTGACCCCTTGCCTCACACCGGCCCCTCCCACGCTGAGAGGTGGGCGTGAGCCCCTTGCCTCACACTGGCCCCTCCCACACTGACCCCTTGCCTCACACCGGCCCCTCCCACGCAGAGAGAGGTCAGCGTGAGCCCCTGCCTCAACAGGCCACTGTGAGGGAGGAGCAGGACTGCACGCAGGCTGCCGGGAGCAGGCAGGGACTTGGCCCCGGGAAGCCGCGGTGGGGCGAGAGCTGGGCCTGGAGACGCCCCTGGGAGGCAACAGCGGGGCCTGCAGATGCTCTTCTGCTGCCAGAGCTGGGACTCTACAGGCCACTGGGAGGCAGGATGTGGGCCTGAAGAGCTTGGCTGCAGAAACTTCGGGGTCTACAAACGCCGGCGGGAGCTGAGCCAAAAGAGCTTGCTTGCTGGGAGGCAGGAGCTGGGCCGAGAGATGCAGCCAGGAGGAACAGCTGGGCCTGCAGAGGCCGCCATGAGGGAGGCAGAGGCCGGGCCTCCTCAAGTCAGCCTCTCCAGACCCACTTGCAGCCTCCCGGCGTCCTCTCCGGGCCCAGCTCTTCCTCCCGGCTGCATCTCCAGGCCCGACTCCGGCCTCCCAACAATGTCTTTGGACTCAGCTCCCGCCCAGCTCCCAGTGGCCCTGGTAGGCCCACAACTTCCTGAAGCCAAGCTCCCCAGGCCCAGGTCAGGCCTCACGGTGGCCTCGCCAGGCTCAGCTCCTGCCCTCCGACGGCATCTCCAGGCCCCAAACGGCCTCCGGTCGGTGGGCTCCTCTAGGCCCAGCTTGGGCCTCCCGGCGACCTCTGCAGGCCTAAATCGTGCTGAAGTCGGCCTCTCCAGGCCCAGCTCCAGCCTCCCGGCGGCCTCTGCAGGCCTAAGTCGTCCTTAAGTTGGCCTGGAAGTGGGCCTGGAAGAGCTGCAAGTTGGCCTCCCCGGGCCCAGCTCCGTCCTCTCGGCGGCCTCTCCCGGTGCAAAACTTCCTCGAGTCAGCCTCTCCAGGCCCAGCTTCTCCTGCCTCCCAGTGGCCTCTTTCGGCCCAGCCCAGCTCGTGGCTCTCAGTGGCCTTCCCAGGCCCCGCTTTTGACTTTTGGTGGCCTCTTCAGGCCCAGAACTTGACCTCCAGTCGGCCTTTGCAGGCCTGGCTTCCTGCCTCTCGAAGGCCTGCACAGGCCCAGCCTCAGCCTCACAGTGGACTCTCCACGCCCAGCTAGCTCTCGCCTCACTGCGGCCTCCCCAGTCCAAAGCTCCTGCCTTTCGGCCGCTTTGGCAGTCCCAGCTCCTGCCTGCCAGTGGCCTCTTTAGGCCCAGCTCATTCCTCACAACGGCCTTTCCAGGCCCCGTTTTTCTTGGCCTCTAATTTGTTTATCTTTTGTGTATAAATCTCAAAATATGGAATTTTGGAATATTTCTACCATTATATAAATATTTTTAAAGGTAATGTATTTGGAGTGAGTTTCTGCACCAAGCCCGAATTTTTTATTTTATTTTCCTTATTATTTGGTGTTAAACAGGTTTAATGACAGTCATGGCAACTTTTTGGCACAATGAAAAATACCGCCCATGATCAACGTGTTCTGTTCTGGGGAAGGGGGCAAAGGCAGGGTGAATCACTTTCTTAAAAAGTACAGCTCAAGTTGGGAGTGCAGAGGGAATGGGGAGAAAACCCTCCCGCTGCCTTTGTCGAAGTGCAGGAGCCCCCGCCCCCATACTCACCTGAGTCCAGCCCCTCTGGGGAAAGAAGGGGTGCATGAACTCCCCCTAGTCCACAGGCGCCTCCCTGTGGCCCAAGGCCCTCTTCACACTCCATCTTGTAGCCCCAGCAGGAGCTATTTTCCGAAAAGTGAAAAGCTCTGAAGGTCCCACACTTCATGGTATGTACAGGGGTTTGGAGGAGGGAAACTGCCCAGCTTTCCCCCGGCACAGCTGCAGGGCTAGGGGGTATATATAAGAGGAGCAGGCCTTGGCCAGGTGTGGTGGCTCACACCTGTAATCCCAGCACTTTGGGAGGTGGAGGCAGGTGGATCACGATGTCAGGAGATCGAAATCAGCCTGGCCAAGATGATGAAGCCCTGTCTGTACTAAAAATACAAAAATTAGCCGGACGTGGTAGCATGCACCTGTAATCCCAGCTACCTGGAAGGCTGAGGCAGGAGAATGGCGTGAACCCGGCAGGAATAGGTTGCAGTGAGCCAAGATTGCACCACTGCACTCCAGCCTGGGCGACAGAGCAAGACTCCGTCTCAAAAGAAAAAAGAGAGGCAGGCCTTATTCCGTCCCAAACTGAAAGGATTAAATGGCTTTACCCAGGAGAAGATAACCATCCTGCCCTCCATTGCTACCCCCACATACTGTCCATGTTCTCAGGGGGTACTGTGAGTCCTGGGATCTTCTTTGGGGTCGCCCACCTGCCTGTGGTAGTTATGGAGGGACCCAGGTGTTGAAGCAGGGCTAGGGTGTCCCCTTCCAGCCAGGCTGTCAAGGTCCCACCTCTGGGGCAGAGGCAGTGGCAGGGCAGCCAGGGTTGCGCCAGAGCCTGAGCAGGGTGAGGTGGGGTCAGACAGGGCTGGGAGTCAGGGCAGGGGCAGCAGCAGTGGACCCGCTATGCACACGTCTTCTCCAAGGTTTGTGTGCAGAACATCCTGCTCATGCTTCCCCAGCAGCTTCAGTTGGCACCTGCCGCAGTCCAGCCTCTGGGACCCATGCAGCGGCTCCCAGCGGCCCTGCACCCACCACCAGCATCCGTTTCACCTGCAGTTGAAGATCCGTGAGGTGCCCAGAAGATCATGCAGTCATCAGTCCCACGGAGCAGCCCCCGAGGCTGAGGCTCCTCCCACTGGACCGCCCCCCAACTGGCACCACTGCTGCCCCTGCCCCTACTCTCAGCCTCACGTGACTCTTGGGCAGAGGCAGTGGTGGGGCAGCCAGGGCAGCGTCAGAGTCTAGCCAGGTGAGGTGGGGTCAGGACCCCCACAGGGCTGGGAGTCAGGGCAGGGGCAGAAGAAACCTTGGAGGGGAGGATGTGTGCATAGTGGGCCTGGAGGGCGGCTGTGGCCTAGTGGACAGGAAGAAGCAGTGGGCCTGGAAGAGCTGCATGATCAGGGCCGGCACTGGTCCAGGGCACGTGCAGTGAAGAGGACACCGCCTTCTCGGTCTCCGGTTCCCTGAGCCCGTCCTCGGCTTCTCCCACCTGTACAGGCAAAGGGGAAGCTGTCCCCATCACACATGGCACACTTGGGGGTGTTGGGCTTTGGGCTGCAGCTGGAGCATCTTCTCATCTTGCATTTGAGCGTGGTGGGGTCCTCCAGTGCGGGATCCATGTCCGTGGGGTTCCCTCTGCCCCGACCCCCAAAGCCCAGTCAGTTTCTCCTCTTCAGGCTCTGCCCCCCGGGTGGCTCAGCCCAGCTCCTGCCTAGGAAAGCCTTAGTGTTGGGAGGGACCGTGATGACTGAGGGGCCTGGTAGCTCCAGGTCGCCCACACTTTCAGGTCTCTTGCACCAGAAGGTGGCAGGATCCATTGGGAGGAAACAGGTCGCCTTGGAAGGCATCCCTGGGCCCCCATCCCCAGGGGTAGGGGCCATAGGGGGCCCGCTCTGCTGCCCTGACCAGATTCCTGGGCTTTGAAGGCTCCTGGGCCCAGTAAGGAGGTGGGTGCCAAGGTTGAGGAGGAAGCATAGGAGTGTGTAGGAGGAGGACGGGGTGGGACCATAGACTTTGCCAAAAACTGCAGGTGGATCGGGGGACCCTGGGGGCTCAGGATCGAGCAAGGGGTGGCAGGAGTAAAGGAAGAAGGAATGACAGGTGCCAATACCTTCCCACCAAAGCCCTTGTTGCCCTCTGGCTCCTCCCCAGAGTCGTCCCCACTCTCAGTCGGTCACCCACTCCTTGAACTTGAGATCAGTGTCAGTGGTGCTAAAGCCGTCATCAGCAATGACATCATCACCCCCTCCTCCTCATGGATGACCATGGGCTCCTCGTCACTCGCTGTGTCCTCACTGGCCATGTGCTGGGAATGAGCAGCTCAGGTGGGCAGCAGCAGGGCTGCCCACTGGTCACCTCCCTCACCAGGGGCTGCAAAGTGGCCTGGAGCTCCATGCTGAGTAGAAGGCTTTGGGCCAGAGTATGATGCAGTGCCAGACACCACCTGTGTCAGTTCCTGTAGTGCCTGACGGTCTATTTCCCTGCCGTCCAGGCTGAGTACCCCGCTGTGGGAGAAGGCTTGGGCCAGGCTGAGCCAGGTTCCCTGACTGTGTGCAGCCGTCCTGCCCCACAGAAGCTGCTCCTTGGTATCCGAGCTCTGGAATGTCTGGGCCACAACTGACAGGCGTTCAGAGGACACCCCAGGGGCAGTGGCAGTGCCCGTCTCTGATATGCTCTGCTCCCATGAGCCCTTGTACACTCCTGCTAGCCCCTGGCTTGTGGGCTTGGCCTCTGAGCTGGACTTCTTTCGGTCCTTGTTGCAAGTGGGCCACCTTCACCTGGAAGGCCAGGTCTGGTACTTCTGCATCTCATTGGGCCCCAGGGTGTACCACCGCTCGCTCAGGATCTGGCTGACGGTCCGGTTATCCTGGTTGGGGTGACCCTGGTGCGCCCTGCCAGGGCCTAGTGCCGCTTGCTGAAGATCATGAACGCCACTCATGGGCCACCGGATATGGTCCTTGTCCCATTTGTTGGGGCTGCGTCCATCCTTCTCAGAAGATGAGTCCTGTTCCTTGCGCAGTGCACTGAGGGACTGGGCCTGACATCATCTGAGTGGTGGAGGCAACTGGGTGTCAGGAGACATGACAGAGAGGAAAGCAACATTGTGGTCATTCTCTGTCTCACTGTCCAGCAGGGACTCCCCTGAGGGGCCCAGGGCTCCTCCTCCATGGTAGGAGGTGGGCTTTTACCAGGTTCCACCACCCCCAAAGTGTGTGGGGTTCTGGGCCCTGGGCTTTCAGGGCAGGTGGCTTCAGGGGGCCGCCCAGGGTCAGCACTCCCTGTCCCACCTGGTGGACACTCGTGAGCAACAGCTGCCAACTTGGCAGGTTCTTTGCTCTGGTTGGAGGCCACTGAGTGACTGGCAGGTTGCTGGGCCTCACGCGGCTGCAGGGAGGGGTCAGGAAGGGGACAGAGTACCAGGAGAACACAGCCACAGAACAAGGTTCCACATTCCTCCACACAAACATGCTGACGCCACCGGACGCCTCGCTGGACGCAGACATCAGGGGCCTGTGGGCCAAGTACATGGTCTGGGCAGGGGGTTCCTGGCAGGGGCTCACACCTCCTCAGCTCCCTCCTCAGCCAAGGCAGCTTGGACCCACGGAATGGGGGATGGGAGGGGAGCACGAGGCCAGGCCTCAAGTTTTTTGTTTTTTTTTTTTTGAGATGCAGTTTGGCAGGCTGGAGTGCAGTGGTGCGATCTCAGCTCACTGAAACCTCCACTTCCTGGGTTCAAGCAATTCTCCGGCCTCAGCCTCCCAAGTATATGCACATTTACTGCTGAATATTATATATTTTCTTATGCTTTCATGTGATTAATTAGCATTCTTTTTTTTTTCCTTTTTGAGACAGAGTGTTGCTCTGTCACCCAGGCTGGAGGGCAGTGGTGTGATCTCGGCTCACTGCAACCTCCGCCTCATGGTTTAATTGATTCTCCTGCCTCAGCCCCCTGAGTAGTTGGGATTACAGGCACCCGCCACCACACCTGGCTAATTTTTTGTATTTTCAGAAGGCGTGGGTTTTTGCCACGTTGGCCTGGCTGGTCTTGACCTCCTGACCTCAAGTGATCCACCCTCCTCGGCCTCCCAAAATGCTGGGATTACAGGCATGAGCCACCATACCCAGCTGCTTTCTTTCATTTTTACTTGAAAAACTCCGTTAAGCATTTCTTTTAAAGTAGACCTAGTGGTGGCTCATGCCTATAATCCCAGCACTCTGGGAGGCCAAGGTTTCAGGATCGCTTGAGCCCAGGAGTTCAAGACCAGCCTGGGTAACATAATGAGACACCATCTCTACAAAAAATGCAAAAATTAGCTGAGCATGGTGGCACGCACCTGTAGTCCCAGCTACTTGGGATGCTGAGGTGGGAGGATCACTTGAGCCCGGGAAGTCACAGCTGCAGTGAGCCATGATCGCACCACTGCACTCCAGCCTGAACAACAGTGTGAGACCCTGTTTTTTATTTTTTATTTTTTTATTTATTTTTTAAAGACATAGGTAGCTAGAGTAATACAGAGATGAAAGGGAGAGTATTCACACATGCTTCTTAAAATAGAAATTACTAAATTTTATTTTACTTAAAGTTAACAGAAAATGACATATTTGTGAAATTAAAGAAGTTTTTTTTACTACTAGAGATATTAATTCCCAAAAGAGTCATTTAACATGAAGAAAAATGATTATGTTTATAAAAACTACTAAATGGGCATGTTTCACAGCACACATACAGACATACACAGACAGCCACACACACACAACTCTTAAGAGTGATTCTGTGTTTTCTAGGGGAGAAAATATATTTTATTTTCTTGCCCTCATAGGTTCTTAGGTGAAATAGCCTCCTAAAAATAAAAGTCAGCAGAAGTTTGGCTGGGCACTGTGGCTCATGCCTGTAATCCTGGCAATTTGGGAGGCTGAGACGGGTGAATCACCTGAGGTCAGGAGTTTGAGACCAGACTGGACAACATGGTGAAACCCCATCTCTACTAAAAATACAGAAAGTAGCCAGGTGTGGTGGCAGGCGCCTGTAATCCCAGCTACTCAAGAGGCTGAGGCAGGAGAATCGCTTGGACCTGGGAGGCAGAGGTTGCAGTGAGCCAAGATCGTGCCTCTGCACTCCAGACTGGGCAACAGAGCAAGACTCCATGTCAAAAAAAAAAAAAAGTTTATTGAGTCATTGCTGTACCCATCATACAGGAAAGGCTTCTCAGTTCAAGTGGATTTCTTTCTCAAGGCAGTGGCTTAGGGGCCTTGCTTAAATAGTATTTTAACAAAGACTCATAAATCCTATAGTGACAAGAGAGCATCTTCAGGTTTCCAAAAGGTGGGAAAATGTCGGAAGGTTAATAATCTATGGGAAGAGAAAAGTCTCTGGCGCTTTTGTCTATGAGCTTATAAGCAAACCCTTCAAATCCTATCTTTAGGTGGGAAAGGCAGAGAGGAGGCAGGAAAACCTTTTGTCTTTGTAAATTGCCGTCCTGCCATCAGGCAAGCGGAGGGAAGGGTAGAGTGTCCTCTGCCCTTTAATCTTCTTCAGCTCTACAATCCCTAGTATATTACAGAAGAATATTGGTTTCTTTCAGTTTTAACCACATATTTCCACTTTTAAAGCATCCATTGATATCCTGGTACATGGTAAAACTTTCTCTTTGATAGACTGCTGCAGATATCCAATTCCAAGAAGGTCTGTGAGGACTTCATCACTGTTACACTCTCTCCCACTACTCCCTTTTGCTCACCTCTTTTTTATTATTGCTTAGAATTCTTTTTCTTTTTTGGCTTATGGCTCTGATGTGGCTGGAAGGTGCACTCTCTTAGAAGAGGAGAAGGATAGCTTGAGAGTTAGTTAAGTCTCATAAGGCCAGTATCATACATATTGTATTAGTCTATTCTCATGCTGCTATGAAGAAATACCTGAGACTGGGCAATTTATAAAAGAAAGAAGTTTAATTGGCTCACAGTTCCACAGGGCTAGGGAGGCCTCAGGAAACTTACAATCATGGGAGAAGGGGAAGCAAACACGTCCTTCTTCACATGGCAGCAGCAAGGAGAAGTGCTGAGCAATGAGGGGAAAGCCCCTTATAAAACCATCAGATCTGGTGAGAACTCACTATCACCAGAACAGCATGGAGATAACAACCCTCATGATTCAATTACCTCCCACCAGGTCCCTCCCACCACACGTCGGGATTATGGGAACTACAATTCAAGATGAGATTTGGGTGGGGACACAGCCAAAGTATATCACCAAACCATATCATATTCAGCAGCTTTGAGGGAAATGCTATACATATTTATAAGGGAATTGGGTAAACACATATGTCACACACATCCCACATTTACTTTGAGACTGAGTTTTAGCATTAAAACGAGATGGAATTTGGCTCTTTACAACAAAAAGTGAACTACAGGATACACAGACAGTTCGTGCAAATCCTCTATAAGCTGCTGAAACTGGCCAAAAGCCTGCAGTAGCTTATCAGAAAAGAATGTTTGTGAGGCCCGTCCCCTGTCCAATCAGAGTTGTAGTGGTCTGGGTTGTAAATCAGAATTGATAGCTCCTATTGTTAGGGAGTTTAGCCAAAGGAATTTAGACATTTGCCATGCCAGCCAGGCCCTGAACCCTCTGCCCGTAGGTAACTTCATTTCCTGAAGCTTTGAGTGCAACTTAGTCGATAAAGTGGTGTCTATTTTGGTCTCTCAGATCACAAACTTTCTTTTCTTTTTTTCTTTTCTGTTTTTTTTTTTTTTTTTTTTTTGAGATTACTCAGGGATTACAGGCCTAAGCCACCACACCTGGCTTCAGATCATACTTTCTTCCATGCCATTAATTTGCTTTCAGCCTTGTTTAGTCTGTTTCTTGTTGCATCTAGTTAATTTATTACATTTGTAATGTGGAGACGTATGAGTCAGTACAAAGAAGTAAGAAAGTAAGAAAAAGTAAAAAAACCAAAAAAGCAGAACAAAGAGAAAGTCCAAAATGGTGACTATCTTCTGTCTGTGTATAAAAGACTGTGAAGTAGGGCACACCTCCATAAGAGAAGTCACAGGGAGCCATATTTATGTCCTTTGACTTGCTTTTTTCTTCTTCTTTTGTGTTTATTCCTCCTCTGCAAGTAAGTCAGTGCACTCAGGAGAGAGACCATTGGATAGGAGGGGGGAACAGGTGTTGTTCCTCTGGTGATCTTGGACATCAGATTATTTTTTTGCAACCTACAAAACTATAAAGTGAAGTTTTGGCAGTTCCTCAGAAAGTTACCAGTGGAGTTTCTTTTCTTTCTTTCTTTTTTTTTTTTTAAACAAGAAGTTTATTTAAACAACAAGACGCTTGACTTGAAGGGAAAACTATCTAGGTTTCTTTTTTTGTTTTAATTTGTCCCTACTTAAAGACAGATTGCCCTACATGTAACAGCTATGTACAAAAAAGTTATAAAATTGTCCTTGGTTTTACAATGATAAGTGAAAAACATTAAAATTCTGCAATTGAACAAGGTATGCAAGGATTTTTGTGTGTTTTTTTTGTTGTTAAAACAGTGAGAGCAAAATAACTTACTGGAATATAAAGAGCTGAATGAGCATGCCACTAATGGAGAAAGGGGGTATTTTCACAGAATCAGTACTTTTTCCCCATCCCGTCTCCACTTGATGTCAATCAAAACATACCATTGGCTGTTTAGTTAAAAAAAATGCAATATGCTTGTGCACATATACCAGTTATGTACAATAAAGGAATGGGGAAGGGGGAAATGAAAGAACAGAGAAAACCATATGGTAGTAGTCAGGATGTGGTGGAACCAAATTGCAGTTTTCTAATTGAGAATGTAATCTTGGTCTTTAAGGAACAGAGTTCTGGAGTAAAGAAGCAGGTTCCCTTTTCAGTAGACACCTCCCGTCTGCTGTTGGAACACATCAATTGTATCTTCATTCTCCATTTCCAACTGTGCAGGTGTGTCTGTTTCCTTGATTGGTTGCCCGTCGAATCGGAATCTGATCTGCCTCATTGACAATCCCTGTTGCTTACAATAGGCTTTCATTAGTTTACTAAGTGGTGTATGCCTCTTAATCTTAAACTGCACCACAGAACCATCCTGCCCCGCCACCTTCAAATTAGTATGATCGTTGTTCTCCGACTTGACTCCTTGGTTGGGCTTTTCGTCGGCCATGGCGAGCGCCGGTCTCCTCAGCTGCCACTTCACAAAAGAGGTACCAGGTCCGCACCAAACGAGCACACAAGCAGCACCAGGAGCGGCAGAAGGAGGCGGCAGTGGTGGGCGAGGATAGAGCTACCAGTCGGGTTTCATATGATCCAGAAATTCCATTCCTAGATAGTGTCAGGATAGTGTCAGTTTTTTTTTTTTTTTTTTTTTTTTTTTTTTTTTTTTTTTTTTTGAGATGGAGTCTAGCTCTGTTGCTCAGGCTGGAGTGCAGTGGCGGGATCTTAGCTCACGGTAACCTCGCCTCTCAGGTTCTAGCAATTCTTCTGCCTCAGCCTCCCAAGTAGCTGAGACTGCAGGTGTGTGCCACCACAGCCGTCTAATTTTTGTATTTTTAGTAGAGAAGGGGTTTCGCCATGTTGGCCAGGCTGGTCTTTAACTCCTGATCTCAGGAGATCCACCTGCTTCAGCCTCCCAAAGTGCTGGGATTACAGGTGTGAGCCGCTGCGCCCGGCCCCATACTGTCGGTTCTCATTATATGTAGTAATTTTGTTATAAAGTCCCAGCAAATACTGAACTAGCAAACACTGAACCATTGCTTTTAGGAGAAATTCTGGGTTAGGTTTCTGCAAGGCTTTGGTCACAATATTCCCTCAACTGATCAATACATAATCTTGTTTTATGTGTGTTTCTGTTTAAAGACAGTTTATTGGCCGGCTGGCGCCTGTAATCCCAGCACTTTGGGAGGCCGAGGCGAGTGGATCACGAGGTCAGGAGATCGAAACCATCCTGGCTAACACGGTGAAACCCCGTCTCTACTAAAAATACAAAAAATTAGCTGGGTTCACCGGTTCACGTCATTCTCCTGCCTCAGCCTCCCGAGTAGCTGGGACTACAGGTGCCCGCTACCATGCCAGGCTAAATTTTTGTATTTTTAGTAGAGACGGGGTTTCACCCTGTTAGCCAGGATGGTCTCGATCTCCTGACCTCGTGATCCGCCCGCCTCAGCCTTCCAAAGTGCTGGGATTACAGGCCTGAGCCACCGCGCCCGGCCTTTGTTTTTGTTTTGAGACGGAGTCTTGCTCTGTCACCCAGGCTGGAGTGCAGTGGCGCAATCTCGGCTCACTGCAAGCTCCGCCTCCCGGGTTCACGCCATTCTCCTGCCTCAGCCTCCCGAGTAGCTGGGACTACAGGCAGCTGCTACCACGCCCGGCTAATTTTTTGTATTTTTAGTAGAGATGGGGTTTCACCGTGTTAGCCAGGATGGTTTCGATCTCCTGACCTCGTGATCCGCCCGCCTCAGCCTCCCAAAGTGCTGGGATTACAGGCGTGAGCCACCGCGCCCGGCTGACCGTTTTTTAATATGCTTTTTAAAAATAAACAGTTTCCAATATCAATAAGTATATTTTTATAACACTACTTTGATGGCTGTGTAGATGTATGATAATTAATTGAAAGTTTCATATTGGATTATTTCTCTCCATTATTGATGATACTGTAAAGCATATTCTTACAGCTGAGTCTCTGCATGTATTCTTAATTACTTCCTTGGGGTAAATTGGTAGAAATGCTATTGCTGGGTCAAGCTTATACCCATTCATAGAGCTTTTGTTACATATGGTCAAATTCTTCTACAAGTTACTCTTAACTCTTTGTGGTTTCCCCTTCTGGGGAATGATTTCCAAACCACAGGGGTGGGCTCTGGTAGTTAAGTCTGCACTACAAAGCACTGGTCTGCTCATAGCTGATTGGTGGGCAGGGCTGCAGTCCCAAGCCAGTGACGTAAAACACTGATGCTGGGAAAGACCTAGTTTCTGATAATGGAGCTGCCAGATGTTCAAGTTAAGAGATGTCAAGGGCGTTGTTTTTTGATATGTGGCAGAAGACAACCTGCATCTTAGAACAAAGCCCATATACAAACCTGCAGAAACAAGAAATGGAGACAGAGCATGTCAGCAAACAGCCATATTGGTTCTAGTGATTCTTGCACTCCTCCTAGCAGGGGAAACCTGGCCACTTCTCTGAATTGGATACAACCCCTCAATTGAGTGAAAACCTCTGGTATTCCTCAGATGATTTTTTTTTAATTCCCTATGTGAAATTTGGAGTTCTGTTACTTGGTATCAAAAAACTTGGCAGGGCGCAGTGGCTCACGCCTGTAATCCCAGCACTTTGGGAGGCCGAGGCGGGTGGATCACGAGGTCAGGAGATCGAGACCATCCTGCCTAACACGGTGAAACCCCGTCTCTACTAAACACACAAAAAAATTAGCCGGGCGTGGTGGCGGGCTCCTGTAGTCCCAGCTACTCGGGAGGCTGTGGCAGGAGAATGGCGTAAACCCGGGAGGCGGAGCTCACAGTGAGCCGAGATCACGCCACTGCACTCCAGCCAGGGTGACAGAGCGAGACTCCGTCTCAAAATAAAAAACAAACAAAAAAAACTAAACCAAAACAACAACAAAACAAAACAAAATCATGCATCTCTTTAAATGCTGTAACAATGTACTTCATTGTCTTAATTTTCTTTTCTTTTTTTGAGGAAAATTGAGACCTTCTATTTTCTGAGAAACAATCTATAGATTGGGGAGGTGCAGCCTTTGGTCCAAGTGAAAGTACACTCTCTATTTTCTTTTCTTTTTTATTTTTGAGACAGAGTCTTGCTCTGTCACCCAGGCTTGAGTGCAGTGGTGTGATCTGGACTCACTGTCGCCTCCACCTCCCAGGTTCAAGTGATTCTCCTGCCTCAGCCTCCCGAGTAGCTGGGATTACAGGTGCCTGCCACCACGCCCAGCTAATTTTTGTATTTTTAGTAGAGACGGGGTTTCATCATCTTGGCCAGGCTGGTCTTGAACTCCTGACCTCATGATCCACCCGCCTCAGCCTCCCAAAGTGCTGGGATTACAGGTGTGAGCCACCATGCCTGGCCGTAAGTATTTTTTTTTTTTTTTTTTTGAGATGGAGTCTTGCTCTGTCGCCAGGCTGGAGTGCAGTGGTGCGATCTCAACTCACTGCAAGCTCCCCCTCCCGGGTTCACGCCATTCTCCTGCCTCAGCCTCCTGAGTAGCTGGGACTACAGGTGCCCGCTACCACGCCCAGCTAATTTTTGTATTTTTAGTAGAGATGGGGTTTCACCGTGTTAGCCAGGATGGTCTCGATCTCCTGTCCTCGAGATCCGCCCGCCTTGGCCTCCCAAAGTGTTGGGATTACAGGCGTGAGCCACAGCGCCTGGCCAAGTATTTTTTTAATTTATCATTTGTCTTTAAAAAATTTGTGACATTTTTTAATAGCAAGATTTTTTTTTCTTTTTTGAGACAGAGTCGTGGTATGTTGCCCAGGCTGGACTTGAACTTCTGGGCTCAAGAGATCCTCCCACCTCAGGCTCTCAAGTAGTTAGGACTACAGGCTCCTAGATCCTGCCACCACGAGCAGACATTCGTTTTTATTTTATTTTATATATATTTTTAGACAGGCTTTCACTCTGTCACCTAGGCTGGAGTGCAGTGGTGTGATCACAATTCATTGCAGCCTCCATCTTCTAGGTTGAAGATGATCTTCCCACCTCAGCCTCCGAAGTAGCTGAACCGGGACTACAGGTGCAGGCCGCCCTGCTCTACCTTTTTTTTTTTTTTTTGAGACAAGGTCTCTCTCTGTCACCCAGGCCAATTATGCAGTGGTGCAATCATGGCTCATGCAGCCTCAACATCCAGGGCTCAAGCGATCCTCCAACATCAGCTTCCCAAATAGCTGGGACTACAGGCACACACCACCACATCTGGCTAATTTTTGTTTGGTTTTTGTTTTTCTTTTGAGACAGGGTATCACTCAGTTGCCCAGGCTGGAGTTTATTTTTTCTGTAAAGTAGTGATTATACCTATGACCTTATACAGAGTTGTCATGAAGATTGGACTTCTTGGCATCTAGTTCAAAAGATCAAGTTTCAAATCCCAAGTCTTTACCAATTAATATGTATTGTATGTTTAGCGTCTGAGCCTAGAAACTAATTCAGCACCAAGGTATTTCCCCAAATTGCCGTAAGAGGTCAGTAGGCAAGATAAGTATCATCTGTTTTACAGTCAAGGGTGGAAGTAAGAAGTTACCTGACTTGCCTGAAGCCACAGAGACATAAGTGAAGCAAAGACTGGACCAAAGTATATGTGTAGTGAATGAACTGAATGTCTGAATTCATGTCAATAAAATATATAACAATTTTTATTATCAATGATTATATACTTCAAAATCAAGGTATTGTTTGACAACACAAAGATGACATGCAAAAGTACTTTTTGGTGGTCAGTGCCATTAATAGACTTAATAGACTACAATCAGAAAGTTTTTTCTTTTTTTTTTGAGATAGAGTTTTGCTCTGTCACCCAGGCTGGAGTGCAATTGTGCAATCTTGGCTCAGTGCAACCTCTGCCTCTGGGGTTCAAGCGATTCTCCTGCCTCAGCCACCGGAGTAGCTGGGATTATAGGCATGCAACACCACACCTGGCTAATTTTTGTACTTTTAGTAGAGACAGGGTTTCACCAGGTTGCCCAGGCTGGTCTCAAACTCCTGAGATCAAGCAATCTGCCCCCCTTGGCCTCCCAAAGTGCTGGGATTACAGGCGTGAGCCACCACGCCTGGCCTGTGTCTTTGATTATAACCATTTAGTGGGTGTGAAATGATATCTCATTGTGGTTTTGATCTGCATTTCTCTAATGGCTAATGATGTTGAGCATCATGTGCGTATTGACCATTTGTGTATCTTCTTTCATGTGCTTCTTTCATAGGGAAGAATTTCTTGCTTGAGCTGATGGTAATTAATTCCAGTAGAACAAGTTGTCCTACTATCTAGAGCATCTCTAGGGCTGGCAGCCACTGTGAGGCAGTGTAGGGCAGTTGAAAGAGCATGGAGGATCTACCATCCCTTCATCAAACATTTTTCAGCATCTATCCCTCAAGACAGAGACTAGTCCTAGTCTAGTATGCTTCTTCCCCATCCCTACCACTTACAGCCTAGGCTATTACAACATAGTGCGATAAGTACAGTAAGACAGTAGCACACACTCTGTCTCTCATAGAGTTCACACACAGTCCTTACCATGTGCCTTCACATATGTTAACTCATTTAATCTTAGAATAATTTGTTTAACTTCACAAGACAGTGAGGTAGGTACCTCATTACAAATGAAGAAACTGAGGCTCAGAAAGTTCAAATGATTTGCCCAAGGAACATAACTACTAAGTGGTTGAGTGGAGATTTGAACCCAGGTAGTTCATGGCCATAATCTATGGTCTGTAGTCCACCCATGTATATGATAGAAGAAAGGTAAGTAGCTATGAAAGCACAGAGAAGGTTTAACTATATGTTTTTGTGTCTGTGTGTGGGGGAGGTTAGGATGGAATCCTGGGATGGCAGGGATAAGACCCAAGGATGACGAAAATTCACTGGGGAGGAGCTCAGGGGTGTGTCTGCAGACCCCCAGGTCCAGGCTTGTCTTTTGATAAATATTATTATGTGCCTACCACATACCTTTTTGGGTATACAGAGTTCTAGATGCTCTAGCACAGTAGTGTTTAAACTACATATACTTCTGAATCATGTAGAGAGCTTGTTTTACAGTTTCCGATTCAGTAGCTCTGGGATAGGGCCTAGGAATTTGCTTTTCTGACAAGTTCCCAGCTGATGCTACTGGTCTGAGGACCACACTTTGACAACCATTGCTCTAAAACAGGGGTACTGAAATGGGATATCAATTTACAAAAATAAATAAATAGTAAATAAATAAATAAAACAGGGGTCCCTAACCCCTGAGCCATGGACCTGTTGTGGTCTGTGGCCTGTTAGGAACCGGGCTGCACAGCCGGAGGTGAGCAGCAGGTGAGCAAGCAAAGCTTCATCTGTATTTACAGTGTCTCCGCATTGCTCACATCACTGCTTGAGCTCGGCCTCCTGTCAGATCAGCAGGGGCATTAGATTCTCATAGGCACATGAACCCTATTGTGTACTGCACATGGGAGGGATCTAGGTTATGTGCTCCTTATGAGAATCTAATGCGTGATGATCTGTCACTGTCTCCCATCACCCCTAGATGGGACCACCTGGTTGCAGGAAAACAAGCTCAGGGCTCCCACTGATTCTACGTTATGGTGAGTTGTATAATTATTTCATTATATATTACGGTGTAATAATAATGGAAATAAAGTGCACAATAAATTTAATGTATCTGAATAATCCCAAAACCATCCCCCCACCCCGGTCACGGAAAAAGTGAATTCCTTTCATGAAACTGGTCCTTGGGGCCAAAAAGGTTGGGGACCACTGCTCTAAAAGAATCACAGACTCGGCCAGGCACGGTGGCTCATGCCTGTAATCCCAGCACTTTGGGAGGCCAAGGCGGGCAGATCACCTGAGGGAGTTGGAGACCAGCCTGACCAACATGGAGAAACCCCGTCTCTACTAAAAATACAAAAAATTAGCCGGGTGTGGTGGCGCATGCCTGTAATCCCAGCTACTCGGGAGGCTGAGGCAGGAGAATCGCTTGAACCTGGGAGGTGGAGGTTGCGGTGAGTCGAGATCGCGCCATTGCACTACAGCCTGGGCAACGAGAGCTAAACTCCGTCTCAAAAACTACCTAACTAAATAAAAGAATCATGAACTCAATAATAGGGGTCAACTTCATTTTGTATATTCATTCATTTATTCATTCTTTTTTTTTTTTTTTGAGACAGCGTCTCACTTTGTTGCCCAGGCTGGTGTGCAGTGATGCAGTCTCACATCACTGCAGCCTCTGCTTCCTGGGTTCAAGCAATTCTTGTGCCTCAGCCCCCTGAGTAGCTGGGATTACAGGTCTGCAACACCACACCTGGCTAATTTTTGTATGTTTAGTAGAGATGGGGTTTCGCCACCTTGGCCAGGCTGGAATTCATTTATTCATCCAACAGGTATTTACTGAGTACCAACTCTTGCAGGTGCCAAGGATGTAACAGTGAATAAAACAGAAATCTCTGCCCTCATGGAGCTTACATACTAGTGAGAGGACAGGCGTACTCTTAAGTTATATGGTAAAGTAGAAGTTGGTGAGGACTATGGAGAAAAAGCAGTAGGAGTGAGGGTTGGGAGGGTGGGGCGACAGGCCCAGAAAGGTGAGAGGACAGTGGCCACCCAGCTAATATAACTGACCTTCAGATTCTGGACTGGGGAGCTCTCATGCCTCACACAAAGCAGCCAGCATGCAGTGAGTGCCTTGTGAGTATTATGCACAGATACCTCTACCCGTTCCAGGGAGGGAAGGATTTCTTCTTGCTGAAGCCATATGAAAGGCTTTGAGGAGGAGCTGATGCTTGAGTTGGGCCTTGAGCATGGATGGGATTTCATTCCTTGAAGTGGGGAGTGTGTTTAAGAGAGTGGATGGGGTGGACCAGAGTCTGGGCCTGAGTAGTGCATGCTCAAGGAACAGTGAGAGGCTCCAATATTTGGGTCAGGAGGCAGAGGACCTGGCACTGGAAGGGTGTGGGAGAACCAGTCCTTGGGAGGCCTGGGTGGCTGAGCTAGGTGTTGTGGACTTTGGTATTTTTTTTTTTTCATCCCATGGATTCAAGTTGCCCTGAATATATGCTTCTGTTCAGAATCTTGTGAAGGGAAGGTTTTTGTTCAGAGGAGTAAGGGGATTGAGGTGCTCAGTGGACGGACTGATAGTGTAAGCAGAAATTCTAGAGATCAGCCTCATTGGGGCTTCATTTTACACAGGCATTCATCCAGCTTCTAACATTCCAGGTACTGGGATACAGCAGAGGATAAAGCTGACAAAAGTCCCTGCCCTCAAGTCAGGGTTGGGGTGAACACAAGCCCGTCCTGCAGACTTAAGCAGAAAAGAGTGGGAATTTGTTGGAAGGATCTCCAATTCCTTGTGAGGGTCCAGAATCATGGTCTGAGGTGACTTTCTGCCTCTCCCCAAGGGGTTGCAAACGGGGCTTCATTCTCTCCCACTAGAAAAAGAGTGCTCCAATAAGCTCCCCATGCTGCACACATGACCTCTGGGATCCAGCACCAACGCCGACAAACTGGACTTTCTCACTTCTAGGTTTCCAGGAAATAATCTGATGGGTCCTGCTTGGGGCAGGTGTCCACCCTATTGGGTGTTAAGTCACATGGTCCTAAGTGGGGGCCCAGGCTCACCCTTTCAGCAGGACTGGTCCTCAGGGAAGAGCCAGTGGGCTGGGCAGCAGCCAGGATGGAGTCAGGGGGGCCTGACAGGGGCAGTGGTGTCAGAGCGACTGGCCAGGTCAGGACATGCTAACTTAGGAGTTGTTTAGAGTGTGACTCCACATCGCAGCTCTTTTTATGGAGAAGGGGAGTGCTGAAACGGAGGCTGCTACCGTGCATTAGCCCTGTGCGTTTCTGCTAACTAGGGGAAGATCCTAGCTGCTTCTCACTGCGGTCTCCTGAGGCCATTGGCAGCTGGCCAAGCACCCCTGGTGAAGACTTCTTAGCGGGGCCTTGAATTTTCATTTGTGGGTCATTGCCAGCAATTACACATTTATATTAACAATTTAATTTGGCTGTATGGTATTTTACTGGGCTAAGCCCTGTGAAAAATGGGAATCATCTATAGGGATCTGACATTTTAACTTGTGCAGTTGCTTAAAAACAAAAATCCATAACAGCAATGGATTTTGCTTTGCTTTGCAAAGTTTTTCATTTAATGATATTTTAATGGGTCAAAGCCCATCCAAGCCAACAGCTCATGTTTCAGGGTCTGATTCTCTGAGGAGCTATGAATGGAGGCGTTCTCTCTCATTTCTTCTCTGTTCCCTTTTGCTCCCTCTCTCCTCCCTCACCTCCTCTAACCTTCCTCCTCTGCAGCGTTCTCACACTTTCCCATCTGGGTAGTTTGCCGGTTCATTAACTGCTTTTCTTTTCTCCCTGGCATGTCTCATTAGCTACTGGTAGAGATGGCTGTTTGAGGGAAATAGTCTTAGGCAAAGGGTCCAGAAAGCCCAGAGTCCCCTTTGGGAGTGAATGTGTGCAGAGGGAGGTGGGAGGCAGAAAAGCCAAACTCTGCCTCCCTGCTTTCAAGTCTGCAGTAAGATCAGTCTCAGTGGTGAAACTCAGCCAGCAGAGGGGGTGAGTCTCAGCTGGGAGCTAGGCGGCCAGTGGGGAGGTGAGTTTCAGTCCCATTCGTGAAGGGTGGTGGCAGGACCACAGTCCAAACGTCAAGCAGGTCCCCTGTGAGTCAGCCATCTGAGTTGGCCCAAGCGAGACAGGACCAACTTTGAGGGCCCCAAAGGGTAGTTCCCGTGCCCAGTGGACTTGTTCTTCCTTACTTTGCCTCCCTTCTGTTATGGGTTCTCAAAATATGGCAGTCTTTTTTTTTTATTTCTTTCTTTTTGAGACAGGGTCTCACTCTGTTTCCCAGGCTGGAGTGCAGTGGTGCTCACTGCAACCTCTGCCTCCTGGGTTCAAGCAATTCTCATGCCTCAGCCACCCGAGTAGCTAGGATCACAGGTGTGTGCTACCACACCTGGCTAATTTTTGTATTTTTGGTGGAGACAAGGTTTTGCCATGTTGCCCAGGCTGGTCTTGAACTCCTGAGCTCAAGTGATCCACCCACCTGGGCCTCCCAAACTGCTGGGATTACCGCTTGAGCCACCATGCCCAGCCTGTCATTTGTCCTTTTAAAAGCTCGTTCTTATTGCAGATTTAAACCTACATTTAGAAGCCCCATTCTGCCTTAAGAATATAGCCATGGGGGCCAGGCACGGTGGCTCATGCCTGTGATCCCGGCACTTTGGGAGGCCGAGGCAGGTGGATCATGAGGTCAGGAGTTCAAGTCAGCCTGACCAACATGGTGAAACCCCATCTCTACTAAAATTACAAAAATTAGCTGGGCGTGGTGACATGCACCTGTAATCCCAGCTACTCAGGAGGCTGAGACAGGAGAATTGCTTGAACCGGGGAGATGGAGGTTGCAGTGAACCGAGATTGCACCACTGCACTCCAGCCTGGGCGACAGAGCGAGACTCCATCTAAAAAAAAAAAAAAATATATATATATATATATTTATATATATGTATATATATATACATATATATATTTATATATATATGTATATATATATACATATATATATTTATATATATGTATATATATATACATATATATATTTATATATATATGTATATATATGTGTATATATATACATATATATATAGCCCTGGGGGGCTGGGCGAGGTGGCTCATGCTTCTAATCCCAGCACTTTGGGAGGCCAAGGCAGGTGGATCACCTGAGGTCAGGAGTTCAAGACCAGCCTGGACAACATGGTGAAACCGAATCTTTACTAAAAATACAAAAATTAGCTGGGCGTGGTAGTGTGTGCCTGTAATCCCAGCTTCTAGGGAGGCTGAGGCAGGAGAATTGCTTGAACATGAGAGGCAGAGGTTGCAGTGAGCCAAGATCGTGCCACTGCACTCCAGCCTTGGTGACAGTGAGACGCCATCTCAAAAAAAAAAAAAAAAGAATATAGCCATGAGGATAGTTATTTATCTCAAGTAATGTGTTGCCAATATAATGTGAGCTTTTGTGTAGGCAGTTTAGTGTGTTGACTATGATGTCTCTTGTCTTAGTGGTCCTTGGGTTAATAATTTTAAAGAGCATCATCAGAGGGTGCTACAGACAACTTTCCCATCACTCCCCTGGGGCAGTGATGGAAGGGGACAAAAACAAGCTGGTGGAGAGGAAAGGAGGGTGTTGGATGTGCTAGGTGGTTTCCATTTGCCTTTCTAGGTCCACCCTTCACCTGTTCCATTTGCTTTTTGCTCTGGGAGGCTGACATGTATGGACTACATGTGCATAGTATGGGTTACATTAATGACCCTTTGTCTTCTGGCTTTGGTTGGGTTCAGCCATTGGGACATTGTGATAAGCCATTCCTGCATCACTGGAGAGAAATACCCAAGGCTGGGTAATTTATAAGAAAAGAGGTTTAATTGGCTCACAGTTCTGCAGGCTGTACAGGAAGCATTGCATGCTGTCGTCAGCTTCTGGTGAGGACCTCAGGAGATTTATAGTCATGGTGGAAGGGAAAAGGGGAGCAGACATCTCACATGGCAAGAGCAGGAGCAAGAGAGAGAGGGTGGGAGGTGCCACACACTTTTAAACAAGCAGATCTCTGAACTCATTCATCACCGAGGGGATGGCGCTAAGCCCTCCCACCAGGCCCCACCTCCAACACTGGGGATTACATTTCAACATGAGATTTGGCATGGACACAGATCCAAACCCTATCAGGCATCAGATGTTCAAAGCGAGGGAAGAGAGTGAGGTGAAGGTATGTATTCCTCTGGCTTCCTGTCTGTAGGGTCACCATGGATTGTGGCCCTAAACTAAAGGGCCCAGTTCTGTCAGGTAGCCCCTAGCTGCCCTCTCTGTCTCTGTCATTCAAGCTCAGGTGTGATAGCAGCATTCCCCACCCAGCCACAGAGGTACTATCCCTTGTGTTTTGCTGTGTTCTGTACACACCTTTGCACACACCCACTCTGTTATTACTTTAAAAAAACCATCAAATTTACCATTGTAACCACTTTGAACTGTATAATAGTGTTAGCTATATTCACACTGTTGTGCAATATATCTCTAGAATTTTTCCATCCTGCAAAATTGAAACTTTATGCCCACTGAACAACTTCTCTTCATTTTTCCCTCTTCCTTGTCCGCTGATAACAACATTCCACTTTCTGTTTCTATGAGTTTAACTACTTTAGATACCTCATATAATTCGTGGAATCATGCAGTATTTGTCTTTCTGTGACTGGCTTATTTCACTTTACGTAATGTCCTCAAGGTTCATCCATATTGTAGCATGTGATAGGATTTCCTTCCTTTTTAAGGCGGAATAATATTTCATTGTGTGTGTATACCACATATTTTTTATCCATTTATTTGTCTATGGACATTTAGATTGCTTCTAGCTTTTGGCTATTGTAAATCGTGCTGAGTTGAACATGTGTGTGCAAATATCTGAGTTGTTGTGGTTTTGTTTTTGTTTTAGTTTAGACAGAGTGGTTTTTTTGTTTTGTTTTGTTTTTTGGGATAGAGTGTCGCTCTTAGTGCCTGGGCTGGAGTACAGTAGTGCGATCTCAGCTCATCGCAACCTCCGCCTCCCAGGTTCAAGTGATTCTCCTGCCTCAGCCTCCTGAGTAGCTGGGATTACAGGCACCCAGCACTATGCCCAGCTGATTTTTGTATTTTTAGTAGAGACAGGGTTTCTCCGTGTTGGTCAGGCTGGTTTCTAACTCCCGACCTCAGGTGATCCGCCCGCCTCAGCCTCCCAAAGTGTTGGGATTACAGGCGTGAGCCACCGCGCCCGGCTTAGACAGAGTCTTTTGTTCTGTTGCCCAGGGTCGAGTGCAGTGGCATGATCACAGCTTACTGCAGCCTTGACCTCCTGAGCTCAAGTGATCCTCTCACTTCAACCTCCCGAGTACCTGGGACTACAGTACCTGTGCACCACCACACATGGCTAATTTTTGTGTTTTTGTAAAGATGGTGTTTCACCAGGTTGCCTAGGCTGGTCTTGAACTCTTGGACTCAAGCTTCAACCTTGGATTACAGGCATGAGCCACTGCGTTCGGCCTGATTCTGTTTTCAGTTCTTTTGGGTATACACCAAGAGATAGGATTGCTAGATCATACAGTACTTCTATTTTTAATTTTTTGAGGAGCCTACAGACCATTTTCTAGAGCAAGTACATTTTGCATTCCCATCAAAGTGCACAAAGATTCCAATTTCTCCATATCCTCTCCATCACTTTTTATTTTCCAGTTTTTTGATAGTGGCCATTCTAACAAGTGTGTGTGAGGTAATATTGCATTGCGGTTTTCTTTTTCCTTCTTTTTTTTTTTTTGAGACAGAGTTTCACTTTTGTCACCCAGGCAGGAGTGCAATGGCGTGATCTTAGCTCACTGCAACCTCTGCCTCCTAGGTTCAAGCAATTCTCCTGCCTCAGTCCCCCGAGTAACTGGGACTACAGGCATATGCCACCATGCCTGGCTAATTTTTGTATTTTTAGTAGAGACGGGGTTTTGCCTCAGCCCCCCGAGTAGCTGGGATTACAGGCATATGCCACCATGCCTGGCTAATTTTTGTATTTTTAGTAGAGACGGGGTTTTGCCATGTTGGCCAGGCTGGTCTTGAACTCCTGACCTCAGGTGATCCACCCACCTCAGCCTCCCAAAGTGCTGGGATTGCAGGCGTGAGCCACCATGCCTGGCCTGCATTGTGGTTTTTGATTTGCATTTCTCTGCTGTTTAGTGATGTGTAGCATCTTTTCATATGCTTGTTGGCCATTTGTATATCTTCTTTGGAGAAATATTCATTCAATCCCTTTGCTCATTTTAAAATTGGATTATTTTGTGGTCGTTGAGTTTTAGGAGTTCTTTATATATTCTAGATATTAATCCCTTATCATATATGAGGTTTGCAAACATTTTCTCCCATTTTTTAGGTTGCCTTTTTACTCTGTTGATTGTTTTCTTTGCTGTTCAGAGTTTTAAAGTTTGACAAAGTCCCCTTTGTCTGTTTTTGTTTTTGTTACCTGTGCTTTTGGTGTCATATCCAATCCAATGTCATGATGCTTTTCCCTTGTGTTTTTTTCCTAGTTTTATAGTTTTGGATCTTATATTTATGCATTTAATCCATTTTGAATTGATTGTTTCCTATGGTATAAAGTAAGAATCTCCAACTTTATTCTTTTGCATGTGGAGATCCAATTTTCCCTGCACCGTTTATTGAAGAGACCATCCTTACCCACTGTGTAGCCTTAGCCCTTGTCAAAGATCATTTGACCATATAGGCAAAAGTTTATTTCTGGGCTATTTTGATCTATTGGTCTATGTGTCTGTATTTGGGTCAGTACCATGCTGCCTTGATTATGATAGCTTCATAATATGTTTCAAAATCAGGAAGTGTGAGGCCTCCAGCTTTGTTCTTCTTTCTCAGGATTGTTTTGGCTCTTTAGAGTCCTTCAAGATTCCAAGGCCAGGCACCATGGCTCACACCTGTAATCCCAGCACTTTGGGAGGCCGAGGCAGTCTGATCACCTGAGGTCAGGAGTTCAAGACCAGCCTGGCAAACATGGTGAAGCCCTGTCTCTACTAAAAATACAAAAATTAGCCAGGCATGGTGGCGGGCCCCTGTAATCCCAGCTACTCAGGAGGCTGAGGCAGAATTGCTTGAACCCGGGAAGCAGAAGTTGCAGTGAGCCGAGATTGCACCACTGCACTCTAGCCTGGGTGACAGAGTGAGACTCTATCTCAAAAAAAAAAAAAAATCCGTATGAATTTTAGTTTAGTTTTTTTTTTTTCTATTTCTGCAAAAAATGCCATCAGGATTTTGGTAGGAATCGCATTGAATCAATAGATTGCTTTGGTTAGTGTGGACATCTTAGCCATATTAAGTCTTCCCATCCATGAACGAGAAATGTCTTTCCATTTATTTGTGTCCTCTTTAATTTCTTTCTTTCTTTCTTTTTTTAGAGACAGAGTCTTGCTCTGTCGCCCAGACTGGAGTGAAGTGGTGCAATTTCGGCTCACCACAATCTCCACCTCCCAAGTTCAAGCGATTCTCCTGTCTCAGCCTCCCGAGTAGCTGGGATTACAGGCATATGCCACCATGCCTGTCTAATTTTTGTATTTTTAGTAGAGACAGGTTTCACCATGTTGGCCAGGCTGGTCTCAAACTCCTGACTTCAGGTGATCCGCCCGCCTTGGCCTCCCAAAGTGCAGGGATTACATGCATGAGCCACTGCACCTGGCCCTCTTTAATTTCTTACAGCAATGTTTTTCTAGTTTCCATTGTAGTCTTTTGCCTCCTTGGTTAGGTTTAATCCTAAGTATTTCATTCTTCTTGATGCTATTGTAAATAGAATTATTTTGTTCATTTCCTTTTTTAAGATTGTTCATTATTAGTGTATAGAAATGCAACTGATTTTGGGGTGTTGATTTTGTATCCTGCAACTTTGCCAAATTTGTTTATTAGTTGTTTTTTTCCCCCACAGAACCATCAAGTCCAATGTTTATTAGTTTTAACAGCTTTTTTTATGGACTCTTACAGGGTTTTCTATATATAAAGTTATTTCGTCAGTTAAAAGAGATATTTTTACTTCTTCCTTTCCAATTTCTGTGCCATGTATTTCTTTTTCTTGCTTAATTGCTCTAGCTAGGAGTTCCAGGACCATGCTGAATAGAAGTGTTGAAACCAAGCATCTTTTCCTTGTTCCCAATCACAGGGGAACACCTTTCAGTTTTTCACCATTGATTATGATCTCAGCTGTGCACAACCCCATTATTAAACTTTCCTGGAACAGCTTCGTTTGGGTGTGTCATCTGTTTCCTGCAGGCCCCTGAATGAGATGCCTGTAAAAGGTGTAAATAAGCCAGATCCCAGGACAGGTTGTATAAATGCTTACTCCAGAGTGTGCAGAAGTAATTTTCATGACCAGTTCTGGGCTTGATGCTGCCCATGAGTTTGTGCCAGTTGTGCTGATCAGAATAAATTTGTTCAGAACAACTTTATTTTTCCAGATGGTCAGAATTTTAAGCAGTAGATAAGACTGGTCTTGCATTGTTAGCCTCTTCTATAAATGTATACATTATTAATGTATAAATGTATACATTTTCTTTCAGAAAGGTTTTTTGGTTTTTAGCACTTTGGTGCTTAATTGTTCACAGTGCTTAGGCAACATCAAATGAAGAAGTTAATACTGTGAGGCAACAACTGTTTCTTTCTTCCTTTCTTCCTTTCTTTCTTTCCTTTCTTTCTTTCCAGGATCTCACTCTGTCACCCAGAATGGAGTGCCGGGGTATGATCTTGGCTCACTGCAGCCTCTGCCTCCCAGGTTCAAGCGATTCTCCCACCTCAGTCTCCCAAGTAGCTGGGACCACATGCACATACCACCATGCTCAGCTAATTTTTTGTATTTTTAGTAGAGATGGGATTTCACAATGTTGCCCAAGCTGGGCAACAACTGTTTCTATACACCTCTAGGGAGGCCCTGACCCTGGAGTGTGAGATTGAGATGGTCCTAGATTCTTGCTTTTTTCCCTCCTCATGTTTAATTTCATGAGCTTGGGAAATTTTGTAACCTCCAAAGAGCCTGAGTATCATAGCACCCACCTTAAAGTATTGTATGAGGATTAAATGGTGTAGTATATATTGAAGAGCTTAGTTTGCTACTGTGCCCAACAAATAATAGATACTCTGTAAATGGCAGTTAGTATTAAAAAGTTTTGTTAAATTTAGGAAGTATATTCGGGTTCTGTGAATGAAAAAAATATTTTTAAAGTAGTTTCTTGCCGGTGCATTGTTGCTGCTTGCGTGTGTTCTGTGCTTGGGAGTCTTTGAAGTCTTGCTTTCTGGCCCATTATTATAATAAATCTGCCAGTTTGATGATGGCTTAGTGGCAGGGCGAGTCCCCAGCCAAGTGTAATTCAAGAGCAGGCATTCCAGGGGGTGGGGATTGGGGCCCCGGAGGTAGAGGGTGGAGGTGTAAAGCTGACTTGGGCACACAACTGGCCATGTGCTTTTGTCCTCTGGCTTGTTGGCCTGTACTTGAAATCTTGCTTTCTGTTCACTGACCTTGAAGAAAGGAAACTTATTAAAATAGGCTGTAAAACTAGGAGGAGAAAGAGAAGAGGGCCAGGTCTCAGGAAGCTGCCCTGAGGGGAGTGGTGAGGTGGACTCTGTTGCTCACCCAAACTGTTCATTAGGGAAAAAGAGGAAAAAGTGAAAGTGAAAAATGAAGGGTGACACATTCTCAAGAAGTAAATCCCAGCAGCTCTTAACATTTTATTACATAATTAATTACATGATCATTTTGAAAAGTAGGATAATTAAAGAGAAAACAAATTCAGTCACCTGAAGTCCTCTACCTGTAGATGATAGATAATATTTCATGTATTGCCTTGTGGATTTTTTCATATGCATCTATATATGTAAGTTGAAAATGGAGTGATTTTATACGTGTTAACCTGTTCCCCCCCACCCTTTTTGAGACAAAGTTTCACTCTGTCACCCAGGCTGGATGACAGTGCAGTGGCACCATCTCAGCTCACTGCAACCTTCACCTCCCAGGTTCAAGCAATGCTTGTACCTCAGGCTCCCAAGTAGCTGGCACTACAGGTGCACACCACCACGCCTGGCTAATTTTGTATTTTTAGTAGAGATGGGGTTTCACCATGTTGGCCAGGCTGGTCTTGAACTCCTGATCTCAAGTGATCCACCGTCCTTGGCCTCCCAAAGTGCTGAGATTACAGGCATGAGCCACCACGCCTGGCATTGTAACCTGCCCTTTACTCTTATTGTATATATCCCTCCGAGTCAGTGAGTAAAAATCTGTTATTATAAAATGCCATAGAGCATTTTATTTTATGTCTTCTGAAACCCTGTGGGTCTCTATCAGTATATAAGGTACTTGTAGGCAAAGTCCATGCCTTGTACTTTATATCCCCCAAAGCACCTGGCACAGTCCCCTAATAGGCAAACCCCTGTTGATTGCTAAATTTGACACTGAAGAAGATAAAGGTGTGAGTCACAGCCATGATTTCCTTATTTATCTTTTGATCTAAGGCTGTTGCCTATCAGCCTTTAAAACACGTATATTAGTGATCCTAAGACTACATCATACTTTCTATTACCTGTGATAATTATAGCAATATTGGCATAACACTTAGGGTTTCAGAGCATTTTTCACGTTGTTACACAGATCCTGGGGAGGCTGTTATTATTTCTTGCATTTTGCAGTGGAGGAAACTGAGGTTAAGAGAGTTTAAGTATGTTTTATGCTGTTACCATGCTGCCTCTGTGTTTAACTTAGCTGGATGACTTTTAAAAAAAATCAAGTGTGTGTGTGTGTGTGTGTGTGTGTGTGTGTGTGTTAACTTTGGCCATTAGTACCTATGATGTTGCTTTTAGGTACCAATCATATAGAAAATGAAATGAAGTTTTTTTTTTTTTTTTGACACAGAGTCTTGCTCTGTCACCTAGGCTGGAGTGCAGTGGCGTTATCTCGGCTCACTGCAATCTCCACCTCCCAGGTTCAAGCAATTCTCCTGCCTCAGCCTCCCGAGTTGCTGGGACTACAGGCATGTGCCACCACGCCTGGCTAATTTTTTGTATTTTTAGTAGAGATGGGGTTTCACCGTGTTGGCCAGGCTGGTTTCAAACTGCTGACCTCAGGTGATCCACTCTCCTCGACCTCCCAAAGTGTTGGGATTACAGGCGTGAGCCACTGCACCTGGCTGTAAAGTCTTTTTTATTTTATTTTATTTTATTTTTTGAGACTCTGTCGCCCAGGCTGGAGTGCAGTGGTGCAATCATAGCTCACTGCAGCCTCAAACTCTTGGGCTCAAGCGATCCTCCTACCTCAGCTTCCAAAGTAGCTGGGACTATAGGCATGCACCACCACACCTGGCTAATTATATGTATTTATTTATTTAGTAGAGAGGGGGGGGCCTCACTTTGTTGCCCCGGCTGGTCTCGAACTCCTAACTTCAAGTTAACTCCTCTTGCCTTGGCCTTCCAAAGCCCTGGCATGACCACAGCCAACTCTTTCTTTTTTGTGTGTGTGAAAGAATAGGTAACTATTTTGCAAAATCAGTTTAACACATTTTTGTTTTTCTGGAGAGAGTTATGCTGATTCTTATTGAACTAGATTTGCTGGCAATATTCAAGGTAGTCTAAAATTTCCAACCCTACAAGTACTGTCCAGTGGAGATGTTCCTGTATCAGTAACTCCTAGGCAGGGTTTTTGCTTTGCTGTGGCCCCATTACATCTGTGGGCACATTTTTACAGGTTGGTTTTTACTGAGGAAGGGACTATTTATACTTTTCTTTCTCTTTCCCTACCCTTTGGGCCTTCAGCTATGACAGAGACTCCACTTTCAACGTGTTTGTGGGAAAAGGACAGCTGATCACAGGGATGGACCAGGCTCTTGTTGGGATGTGCGTAAACGAGAGACATTTCGTGAAGATTCCCCCAAAGCTTGCCTACGGAAGTGAAGGAGTTTGTAAGCTTTTCTTCCTCGTTTATAAACACATCAGCAGAAACAATGAGAACACTTTTAGGATGTTAAGTCAAACAGACTGGAGAATCTTGGAAGCTTTAGATTGGGGGAAAATGAAAAGCAGTGAACTCATACACAGCTAAAATTTCCATCTTAGGTTTATTTCTTCTAGATGTGAAAGAAAGTGTCATTAACACAGATGTATTGAATGATACCCTCAATGAGAAGAAAACTGTTTTTTCTCTTTTCTTTCAATTTCATTTGGAGGAAAGAGGGAGGAAGAATGGGTCATTTTGGGATTGTATAGCAGTGACTGCTTGAACCCTTTTGGCCCACATTCACCTTGGGAGCATCCTAGGTGTTTATTTATCTGGCCTGAAAGGCAGCAACTGTGAACTCAGTGTGAAATCTTTAATTTCTAGCTGGTGTGATCCCCCCCAATTCAGTGCTTCATTTTGATGTACTTCTGATGGATATTTGGAATTCTGAAGACCGGGTTCAGATTCACACCTATTTCAAGCCCCTGAGTTGCCCTCAGACCATCCAGGTGTCTGATTTTGTGAGGTACCACTACAACGGGACGTTCCTGGACGGAACTCTGTTTGATTCGAGGTAAGTCCTGTCATTCATGGCAGTATCAGTGAAATGTTCCATGCATAGTTCTTTCCTTCTGTCTTACTTGCTTTTTATGCTGATGGGGATACTAGAATAAGGACTCTTCTCAACTGTAATCAGTACTGAACTCATCTGCTTAAGACTTTTGGTCAGTGTTGCATCTTCTCTGGTGCCAGAGTCGAAATTTTAATACATCTTAGAAACATTGAAGAGCAGTGTTTATCTAACTTAACAGTATTTTGAGATCTCATCATTAAGTGAAAGGTTCTATTTCTTTTTTTTTTTTTTTTTTTTTGAGATGGATTCTCGCCCTGTCACCCAGGCTGGAGTACAGTGGCACGATCTTGGCTCACTGCAACCTCTGCCTCCTGGGTTCAAGCGATTCTCCTGCCTCAGCCTCCCAAGTAGCTGGGACTACAGGTGCATGCCACCACGCTAAGCTAATTTTTTGTATTTTTAGTAGAGACGGCGTTTCAGCGTATTAGCCAGGGTGTTCTCGATCTCCTGACCTCATGATCTGCCTGCCTTGGCCTCCCAAAGTGCTGGGATTACAGGCGTGAGCCACTGCACCTGGCCGTGTAAGTCTCTATTTCTAAGGAGGCTTATGCACGTTTTGGTTCATTTTTGTAGTTTTCCCATGGAAGCAAGAGGGAAAAGATGAATGTATGTGAAGCTATGGAGAGGCATGGGGCTACACGGGAGATCAGGGAACCCTTCGCAATTTCTTCTCATTAGAGTGTGTTTGATTAGTGGAATAGCTGACCTGTTTTTGTCTATCACTAGTATAAATGCATGCTTTTTATTTCTTTCTAAACTTGAGGACATCTGCCCTGTGTTTGGGGGCAAAGATCCATAAATGTCTATCTCTAGGATGGGTATGGGATCATCGTTTAGCTGATATTTGGGTAAGAAAAACCGTACAGAGAGATGAGTTGGAAATATCCTCATGGTGTGGAACTTTTTCCTTTTCTCATTACCTTTCAGTCACAATCGCATGAAAACATAGGACACGTATGTGGGAATTGGCTGGCTGATTCCTGGAATGGATAAAGGGCTGCTGGGGATGTGTGTGGGTGAGAAGCGCATCATCACCATTCCTCCTTTTCTGGCCTATGGAGAGGATGGAGATGGTAAGTCCTTCTCCTTCTTGGAGCCACTCTCTCCTACCCTTATTTTTATTGCAGTGGTTAATTCAATTGTCACCACATGAAACTCACTAGACCTTTTGGTCTAGACCTACGCTGGCCAATATGGTAACCACTAGCTACATGTGGCTATTTATATTGAAATGGAAACAAGTTAAAATTAGCTAAAATTTAAAATTCAGTTCCTTGGTCACACTGCTACATTTTAGGTACCCAATAGCCTCACGTTGCTGAGGACCACCATAGTGGACAGTGCAGATACAGACCCAGATCATTTCCATCACTCAGAAAGTTCTATTTGACAGTGCTAGTCTGGATTGTCTGCTGTGTGATGATTGAGTTGCAGAAATTTCCACTTACTTATAGTCATTGGCATTCATAAGTAACCCCCTCTGCCCCTGTTGTACCTGCCATGGCCTTGGCCACCAACCTCTCTGGCTTTAACATTTGTGAAATGAGACTTGAATTAGACACTATAAAAGTTGCAGATATGCAGGTAGAAATTTAGCCATACAGTGTCAGAATTGCCAGATTTCCCCGTTTGCACCTCTACAATGAGTTTTACCTATGGCATTAACTCCATATGGACAAAAGCAAAGTGTAATGTTAGAAAACACATTAATTACAACTAGTGTCCTGTTTGTAGTTTTACTGTGAAGGAAAACACATAATATGGACTGATAAATGGAATGTCTCAGGTACTCATGTTTGAATTTCAGGTGCGTTTAGTCATATTGACATGCTGGCACAACATAGAGACCTGTAGGCATTTAAACAGCAGATGGATACAGTGATGTGTTGATTCATAATGGGGATATGTTCTGCGAAAGGCATCATTAGGCAATTGCATTGTTGTGCAAATGCCATAGAGTGCACTTACACAATCCTAGGTGCTACAGCCTGCTGCACACTTAGGCTGTGTGGTGTAACCTGTTTCCTCTAGGCTACAAACCTGCACAGCATCTGTACTGAATCCTGTGAGCTACTGTAACACAATGGTAAGAATTTGTGTATCTAAACATAGAAAAGTTACAGTAAAGACATGATATGATAATCTCATGGGACCACTCTCATATATGTGGTCTGTTGTTGACCAAAACTTCATTGTGCAGCACATGACTTTGTAGTTAAGGATATAAATGAGAACATGATGCTTCTTAAGAAGTTTACTGATAGTGATAGCCAACTTACAATAGCCAATATGTTTTCACGTTTTTTCCTGGCTCTGTGGAGCGGAGCAGGAGGAGAAGGGAGCCTGAGGTGATGGGGCTCGGCCTTCTCTCCTTTCTACCTCCATATATATATACTCATATATATATATATACATATATACATATATATATACATATATACATATATATACACATATATATATACATATATATACACATATATATACATATATACATATATATACACATATATATACTCATATATATATACTCATATATATATACACTCATATATATATACTCATATATATATACTCATATGTATATGTACTCATATATATATATACGCTCATATATATATATATACACTCATATATATATATACTCATATATATATACACTTTTTTTTTTTGAGACAGAGTCTCACTCTGTTGCCCAGGCTGGAGTGCAGTGGTGCGATCTCGGCTCACTGCAGCCTCTACCTCCTGGGTTCAAGAGATTCTTCTGCCTCAGCCTCCTGGGTAGCTTGGACTACAGGCGTATGCCACCATGCCTGGCAAATTTTTGTATTTTTAGTATAGACAGCATTTCGCCATGTTGGCCAGACTTGTCTCAAACTGCTGAGGTCAAGCCATCCATCCACCTCGGCCTCCCAAAGTGCTGGGATTACAGGTGTGAACCACTGTGCCTGGCCCACTTTTATATATTTTACATGCTGGGGATCTGCAGATGGTTTCTTAAACAGAGTATTAGGGGTGGAATTCCCTACTAAAAGAAAAATAAAGTTTAAAGCAGTGCCATAAATATGTCTTAATTCTCCCCCCCAATGAGATATAAGATATTGTTGTTATTATTTTTAGAGACAGGGTCTCACTCTGTCACCCAGACTGGAGTGACACCATCATAGCTCACTGTAACCTCAAACTCCTGGGTGATCCTCCTGCCTCAGCCTCCCGAATAGTTAGGACTACAGGCATGTGCCACCATGCTTGGCTAGTTAAAAAAGTTTTTTTAGAGACAGTGTCTCGCTACGTTACCCAGGCTTACCTTGAAATCCTGGACTCAAGCGATCCTCCCACCTCAGCCTCCCAAAGCGCTGGGATTACGGGTGGGAGCCACTGTGCCTGGCAGTTACTGTTTTCTTATTGATGTTCAAATGGTCTTGTCCTTGGCCCCAAAAAGTTCATTCACATTGGCTCCCAGATCCTTTTGTCATCAGCCACATAACAAAACCAGATGTGAGCCTAATATGAGAAATATTATTTATTTACTTTAAATAAATAATAGCTTATTTAGAGTAGTTATTTTTTAATACTTTATACTTGAATACTATGCTTGGCTATCCAAGTGTAACTGTATGGTATGTGAATTATATCTCTGCAAAGTTGCTATAGAAAACATTATTCATTTAGTACACATTAATGCTAGAAAAATTGAAACCCCAGGCCGGGCGCAGTGGCTCCCGCCTGTAATCCCAGCACTTTGGGAGGCTGATTTGGGTGGATCGCCTGAGGTCGGGAGTTCAAGACCAGCCTGGCCAGCATGGGGAAACCCCGTCTCTACTAAAAATACAAAATTTAGCCAGGCGTGGTGGCAGGTGCCTGTAATCCCAGCTACTCGGGAAGCTGAGGCAGGAGAATCGCTTGAACCCGGGAGGCGAAGGTTGCAGTGAGCCAAGATTGTGCTATTACACTCCAGCCTGGGCAACAGAGCGAGACTCCATCTCAAAAAAAAAAAAAGAAAAGAAAAATTTAAACCCCATGGTTACTTTTAAGACTTTCATTTTTCTCTTAAATGAAAAGATACAGTAAGGCACAAAAGATTAATATTCTATCTCCCACGCATGCGATTTAGGGATTGACCACACCTCGCTTTCCAGGGGCTGACTCAGCAGCCGGCTTTCAGCAGATTTCATCATTCCTTGGAGGGGAAGGAGATGCAGGGTGGGCTTTGCCAAAGGCCACTGGAAGGAGCTCAGGCTTGGCGGCATCTGGTTTGCTTGTCTGGGCCTGCTCCTTTGCATGGTATAACAAACGGCAAGTAAAACTGAGGGATTGGTTTGTTGGTTAACTTTCTACTATCCCAAATTACTGGATTTTGAGTTATTTATTGGTTGATGTTGATCTTTGCAGGAAGAACTAGTGTCCTGTAATCTCTTCATGTGGATTTCATTTTGCAGATATTCAAAATACTCCCACTGGCAGGAACATCCAAGAGAAGCAGTACTACCCAGAAGTGAGATAGAAGTGATTTGAGGACTATTTATTTATATTTTGGATTGTGGGTGCCATTTTTTTCTCTGTTATTCTGCTTTCATCTTATTTATATCTTGCTTTGGATATACTTAAAGCATTGAGTTTTACTTTTTGCCTCTAAAAAATTGGCCGTTCGTTTCAAAGAACAAGTCTGTGTACAGTTCTCCAGAACCAGACCAGAGATTTGGAATTTTCTCCTTTAAATGTCTGTGGTTTGCATTTATTCACAAACAGAAACCCACAGAGGTACGTATTTGGGTTTGCCTGTGGGTGCCTGCCCTCCTACATAGAGCCTTGATCTTCCAGCATGAGTCCAGAAAATATGGTCATGGTAGTCTCTTATGTCATTAATACCAATTTTCTCCTTTTGCTGAGTCAGGTTTTAGATTATACCATCAGCCCATGGTTGGACACCATGGGGGCCCATTCAAGACCTGGAAGAACATTTGTTTCCTTGGCTTCAAAACCTCAAGAAATGAATAACACCAACCCCAAGCCTGTTGAGTTGTAAAGTACTTCCTAAATCCTGTGTCCCGTTTAATCATCTTCTCCCATTCCATTCTAGGGAAAGACATTCCCGGTCAGGCATCTCTGGTGTTTGATGTTGCATTATTGGACCTCCATAACCCCAAGGACAGCATTTCCATTGAGAACAAGGCAGTACCTGAAAACTGTGAGCGGTTAAGTCAAAGTGGGGACTTTCTCAGGTATCATTACAATGGCACGCTTCTGGATGGCACCCTCTTTGATTCCAGGTAAGGAAATGATTAAAGTCTTCAACTGCCAGAACATTGTATTAAATAAAGTCTGCCATTGGCTGGACCATGATTTAAATACTCTGTCCATGCTGATTTATAGTTGGCATTTTCATCTCTAATACAGGTTTCTGTTTTCTGATACTTAGTTCTTTCCTCCCTTCCTTCCTTCCTTCCTTCCTCCCTTCCTTCCTTCCTTCCTTCCTTCCTTCCTTCCTTCCTTCCTTTCTTTCTTTTTTTTTGAGACAGGGTCTCGTTCTGTTATCCAGTCTGGAGTGCAGTGCAGCTGCATGATCGTGGCTTTCTGCAGCCTTGAACTCCTGGGCTCAAGCAATTCTCTCATCTCAGCCTCCTTAGTAGCTAGGACGATAGGCGTGTGCCACCATGCTTGGCTAATGTTTTATTTTTTATAGAGATGGGCTTAAGTTTCTTCATAGGCTCTTGTAACCATTTCTTTCTTGGGGGCTGTTTTAGATGGTTCTGCAGGAAGACAGGAGAGACTCACCCTCGACTCCCACCATCCCCCTATACTGTGCTTAGCTATCCAGTTATAAACCTCATTATGGGGCCCAAGATGAGGAGTGGCCAGAAGTGATGTCAAGGAGGTACAGTGGGCAGAGAATGGGCTTAATGCCAAGAGAGCTGGGCTCTAGCCCCTGTCTGTGGTGCACTAGCTGTATGACTTTGGATAGTGTTTGACTGCCTTGGACTTCATTTTTCCCTATTCCAGCAACTTTGTCAAGTAGATGGTTAGATTAAAGAGATAAGATATGTGTCACAGTGCTTTACAAATTTCAGAGGCTGATCAGCTGGACGGCACTGGTTGGATGCATTCAGCTCCCTTCTCGATGCTGGGTGCCATAGAGGCTAATTACTGGCCTCTTTTGTTGTTCAAAGTTTTCTTTTGTTTATCAGGCATGGCCTGCAGTTGTAGAGATGGCTTGTGTTTGGCCTGTTTTGCTCATTCTAGTGGCATGTGTTGTTTGAAACTACTCCTTTAGCTTCCAGTAGAGCAAACAAGTAGTGACAGCAACCTCCCTGTCTCTGAGGTGATAGACTTCTAGTTAATGTAGTCATCCAAAACCATTACAGAAGAATTTGTATATGGCATTATTTCATTTGAATAATTCATTCTTGTTCCTTGGATCTCTTTTAAATTTGTCATTTAAATTTTTTGGAAAAGAGAAATAGTTACATAGCTCAAAACCAAAACAAAGTATGCATTAAGATATGTTGTAAATTAGCCAGGCATGGTGGCGGGTGCCTGTAATCCCAGCTACTCAGGAGGCTGAGTCAGGGGAATGACTTGAACCCAGGAGGCGGAGGTTGCAGTGAGCTGAGATCACACCACTGCACTCCAGCCTGGGCAACAGTGCGAGACTCTGTCTCAAAAAAAAAAAAAAGAAAAGATATGTTGTATACCTGTTCCTGTCTGCCTAACCTCCCTGTCTCCCCTACCCCTTAGAGTTAACCATCTTTATTGGTTTCTATTTTTAATTTTTCCAGTGTCTGGATTTTTTTTTTTTTTGAGGCAGAGTCTCACTCTGTCACCCAGGCTGCAGTGCAGTGGCACAATCTTGGCTCACTGCAACCTCCACCTCACAGGTTCAAGTGATTCCCCTGCCTCAGCCTCCCAAGTAGCTGGGGTTACAGGCACACACCACCACGCCTGGCTAATTTTTGTATTTTTAGTAGAAATGGGGTTTCACCATATTGGCCAGGCTGGTCTTGAACTCCTGACCTCAGGTGATCCACCCAATGCAGCCTCCCAAAGTGCTGGGATTATAGTCGTGAGCCACTGTGCCCAGCCTAATGTGTGGACTTTTTAAAATGCAAATATAAGCAAACACAAATGTTATTTTCTTCTCTTTAAATTATATGGCTTTCAGAATATAGTATTACTAGGGAACAAGGTGGTGTTCTCCTTGATTTTTGTTTCTCTGGGATTTTTCCATACTAATACATAGAGAGAAATCCTTTATTTTTTACATCTACATGGGTGTCCCATTGGGTGAGTATATTGTATTTAGATAACCATTCCCCTATTGATGAATATTTGAGTTGTTTTTATCTTTTTCTGTTACCAAAAAAAAATCATTTAGTGCATATGTGTATTATTCTTTGTTACATTCCAGTGTGGTTCTGTTCTTTATTCCCTGGAATTATATTTCCAATTGAAAGACCACTTTTCTGTGTACACCAGATTTCTGTTCATATAATGGAACCACAGTTTTCTTAGGTTTCAAGAGCTTTCCATTTTAATACAGTGGGATCTAGCCCATTCTAACAGCTGCATATATTTCATTGTATAGATTTGCCTATATTTAGTAATCAATCCTTGTTGTTTGTCCTGTATGTTTCCTGTATTTTGACACTTAAGGCTGCAGTAATTATTTTTGTAGGGAAATCTTAAAATATATGATTAATTGTTTCCCTGGGATACATCGCTAGAAGAATCTCTGGGTCAAAGGTTATGTGTGTGTGTGTGTGTGTGTGTGTGTGTGTGTGTGTTTTGAGACGGAGTTTCGCTCTTCTTGCCCAGGCTGGAGTGCAATGGCGTGATCTCAGTACACTGCAACCTCCATCTCGTGGGTTCAAGCGATTCTCGTGTCTCAGCCTCCTGAATAGCTGGGATTACAGGTATGAGCCACCACTCCCAGCTAATTTTGTATTTTTAGTAGAGATAGGGGTTCCATCATATTGGCCAGGCTGGTCTTGAACTCCTGACCTCAGGTGATCTGCCCGCCTCGGCCTCCCAAAGTGTTGAGATTATAGGTGTGAGCCACCGCGCCCTGCCTTTTTTTTTGAGACAGTATCTTGCTTTGTCACCCAGGCTGGAGTGCAGTGGTGTGACCTCGGCTCACTGCAACCTCCACCTGCTGGGTTCAAGTGATTCTCCTGCCTCAGCCTCCCGAGTAGCTAGGATTACAGGCACCTGTCACCACACCAGGCTAATTTTTGTATTTTTGATAGAGACAGGGTTTTGCCACGTTGGCCAGGCTGGTGTCAAACTCCTGACCTCAAGTGATCTGCCCGCCTCGGCCTCCCAAAGTGCTGGGATTACAGGCATGAGCCACTGTGCCCAGTGGTTATGTGTATTTTTATACCTTTTGATACATACTACCAAGTTGCCCTCAAGGAAGGTTTTACTCAGCATCACAGTTTAAGAGTATCCCATTCCCTACAAATTCAGTAACACTGGGTATCATTTAAAAATAATCTTGGCTAATTTATAGGAGAAAACAATGATACCTGTGGTTTTAATCTGAATTTTCTATTGCTATTGGGATTGAAATTCCTTTGGGTGTTTATTTGAGTACCTTCTTTTGTGAACTACCTGTTCGGGTCCTTTGCCTATTTTTCTATTTAGGGCATTGGCATTTGTCTGTTTCTTGTTGATTTGAAGAGCTCTACACATTAAAAATATTAATTATTTTATGGCTGCATATTATTAAAAACATTTTCCTCATTTTCCTCAATTTATTTGTTTGTTAATTTTGGTTATGTTGATTTTTGGCCCATTTAACTGTAAACCTTTTATGTTGTTAAATACATTAGACTTCCTCATTATGGTTCCTGGCTTTGGTGACTTGTTACAAAGTCTGTCCTCTTCCTAGAGTATATAAATGTTTGCTTGTATTTCCCTCAAGCCTTTTAATGGTTTTTTTTTTCTATTCTTTAAGATATTCTTTATTAGAATTTTTATTTTCAAAAGTAATATGTTCTTTTTTTTTGAGACAGAGTCTCACTCTGCTGCCCAGGCTGGAGTGCAGTGATGTGATTGCAGCCCACTGCAACCTCCACCTCCCAGGTTCAAGCAATTCTTCTGCCTCAGCCTCCAGAGTAGCTGGGACTACAGGTGTGCACCATCACCTGTAGTGATGCAAAAAAATTTGCCCGACTAATTTTTTTGTATTTTTAGTAGAGATGAGGTTTCACCATGTCGGCCTGGCTGGTATCAAACTCCCGGCCTCAAGTGATCCACTCGCCTGGGCCTCTCAAAGTGCTGGGATTACAGGCATGAGCCACCGTGCCAGGCCAGAGATAATATGTCCTAATTGCATAATGGAAACAATGCAAAAATGTATAGCAAAAAATGTAAATTTCCTGTCAGCCCCTTCCATTCTCACTACCATGAGATAACCAGTGTTAACAACGTTCTGCAGTTTCTCTCTATGCTCATAAATGCTTTCATATTTAAGTCTTTAATCCATCTGGAATTTATTGTGGTATCACTGTGACAGGAAGGATTTAACTTTATTTTTTTCCATATGGTTAGCTAGTTTTTCCAACATCCGTCATGAATGACTCTATCATTTCCTCACTGCCCTAAAAGGTGATTTTTGTTATGAACTAAATTCTTATATGTACTTTTGAGTCTTTGTGTAGAATTTTTATCTTTTACCTTCTATCTATTCCTAGGGCAGCATCACACCTTTAACTATGATTAACTAGTGTTAGCTTTTTAATTTGTATAGTAGAGGGCATTCTTTTTCTTTTTTAAAAAATAACTTTTTTTTCTACTAAGTGATGCATTGACATGATTTAAAACCCTGGAAGTATGAAAAGGTATACAATGACAAATTTCCCTCCTATCCTTGTCCCACCTCCCCTCTTCGTAGGGAACCAGTGTTATTAATTTCTTTTTCTTTCTTTCTTTCTTTTTTTTTTTCTGAGACGGAGCCTCGCTTCTTTGCCCAGGCTGGAGTGCAATGGTACGATCTCGGCTCACTGCAACCTCTGCCTCCCAGGTTCAAGCGATTCTTCTGCCCTCAGCCTCCCGAGTAGCTGGGATTACAGGCACATGCCACCAGGCCCGGCTAATTTTTTTAGTATTTTTAGTAGAGATAGGGTTTCAACATGTTAGGCCGGACTGGTCATGAACTCCTGACCTCAAGTGATCACCCACCTCGGCCTCCCAAAGTGCTGGGATTATAGGTGTAACCCACTGCCCCTGGCCCAGTGTTATTAATTTCATAGGTGTTCCATACATATATAATGAAGTACATATATGTATATATTTCCTTCTTAATTTTTTACAAGAATGATAGCTTGCTATATACTGCACCTTAAAAACAGCATTCTTAATTATTTCTTTTTTCAGATGAATTTTAGCATTACTTTACTGAGCTCCCTACCACCACCAGATACACACCCCCAGGATTTTGATTGGAATTGCTTTAAAATTTGTAAGTTAGTTTGGGCCAGCCGTGGTGGCTTAGGCCAGGCATGATGGCTTACACCTGTAATCCCAGCACTTTGGGAGGCCAAGGCAGGTGGATCACTTGAAGACAGGAGTTCAAGACCAGCCTGGCCAACATGGTGAAACCCCGTCTCTACCAAAAATACAAAAATTAGCTGAGTGTGGTGGTGCATGCCTGTAACCCCAACTACTTGGGAGGCTGAGGCAGGAGAATCGCTTGAACCCGGGAGACGGAGGTTGCAGTGAGCCAAGATCTTACCATTGCATTCCAGCCTCAGCGACAGAGTGAGACTGTGTCTCAAAAAAAAGAAAAGATAAAAGAACTTATAAGTTAGTTTAGGGGAGGACTGACGACTTTGCTTTTCTATTGGGGAACAGGATGGTTTTGCATTTACTTGTTTTTAACTTTTATTCAGCATTCACTACAATTCAAGCCCACCCCGCCATTCCGTCTCTCCTTCTGAGGCTCTTATATCCTGCCTCTCGGCTTGGCCCTTGCTGCCAGACCATTGCTCTTCCCTTAGGCAGATCCCACAGCCTTCGGTGTCTGCTATCTCCCCTCTGCCATGGAATCTTTGCAACTATTCCAGTGGGCAGCAATCCCCGCTGTGGGTACCTGCCATCTCTCTCACTACTTGGTGTCCCTTTGTCGGGAGCCCACCACGTAGGTATCCTTCTCTTCCCTGAATGTCTGGCAGTGGCTGCACATTGCTGGTGATCCCCAGGGTCCTGCAGGTGGGAACCTCGGGAGGGTGAGCCCTGCTCTGGCTGAAGCATGCTGGGAGCCGACACGGTCCTCCTCTTCCCTGCTGTGTTCCCCTCCAGGCCTTCCTGGCCAGTGCACCAGGAGGAGGCCTGGAGCTGCTCAGCGTGGGGTGCTGTTCTCAGTGGGTGGGAAGGGGGACTCACAGCCTCGTCTGGGAGTTTATGTGGACAATCTCCTGCTTCCTGGGTGAGGAGAGACATCTGTTGTGATTCTTTCTTTGTGCCCCATGACTTTGTGGTCTCTGAGGGGTATTGAGAAGGGAGAACCCCCACAGCTCTGCCTGTGTATCAGCCTGGCCCCGCTTGGCGGTCCCTCTTCTCCAGGGCATCATGCCCTGGCTTTGAGGTGAGGGAAGGGCAGGACCGATTGGCTCTTTCAGGACAGGCTTTCTGCCTCATCGGCACCAGGTGGTGTGGGGAAGGGGTGCAGGTCACGTGGTCCAGTTTGATAGTGGACTTGTGGCATATGAAGTTTTATTATTTTATTCTGGAATCATTATGCTGTGGGGAATTGATTCCTCTTTTTACCAAACTCATGGTAATAGACTCACTCGGCAGTTTACACACAGGCTGGATCTCTCCACTGAGTGGACTTGGGGCTCCTGCCAGGAGCACTTGGAAAACCCAAGTATTCACCAGGGTGGCGGGGTGAGCAGGGATGATAGTGGGGGCCTTTTGTCGGGCTGTGGTGGAGAGTGCGGAATTCATTACTCTCAGTGTGTATGCTGCTTTCCTGGCGATCGGAATCTTCATGTCAGGCTGGGTGCTATGGCTCAGGCCTGTAATTCCACACTTTCGGAGGCCAGCGCAGGCAGATCGCTTGAGCCCAGGAGTTCGAGACCAACCTGGGCAATGTGGTGAAACCCTGTCTCTACTAAAAATACAAAAATGAGCCAGGCATGGTATTGAATGCTGTAGCCCCAGCCACTTGAGGGGCTGAGGTGGAAGGATCACTTGAGCCCAGGAGGTTGAGGCTGCAGTGAGCTGAGACCAGACCACTTCACTCCAGCCTGGGAGACAGAGCAAGACCCTGTCTCAAAAAAAAAAAAAAATTAAAAAGTAATTAGAAAATAAAAACAGAATATTCATGTCCCACATATGCAGATATTTTCTCTTTAGATATTGGAGACATTATCCTTGTGACACATTCGTAGTTTCTGATAAGGGCTACGTTCGATTCTGTTTTTTGTTTTCAAGATAGGGTCTCACTCTGTCACCCACGCTGGAGTGCAGTCTTGTGATCTTGGCTCACTGCAACCTCAACCTCTCCGGCACAAGCAGTCCTCTGACTTCAGCCTCCTGAGTAGCTGGGACTATAGGTGTGTGCCACCACATCCAGCTAAGTTTTGTAATTTTGTAGTGACAGAGTTTTGCCATGTTGCCCAGGCTGGTTGAGAGCTTGATTGTTTTCATTAACTTGACGTGGTTATAGAGTGTACAGGCTGGGCACGGTGGCTCATGCCTGTCAACCCAGCACTTTGGGAGGCCGAGGCAGGAGGATCACGTGATCCAGGAGCTCAAGACCAGGCTGAGCAACATAGTGGGACCCCATCTCTACAAAAAAAAAAATTTATTACCTAGGTGTGGTAGCATGTGCTTGTAGTCTCAGCTACTTGGGAGGCTGAGGTGGGAGGATTGCTTGAGCCTGGGAGGTTGAGGCTGCAGTGAGCTGTCTATGATGGTGCCACTGCACACCAGCCTGGGTGACAGAGTGAGACCTTGCCTCAGAAAAAGAAAGTATAGCGTTCAATTTACATTAGCTCCATTTCTGTGTGGTGCTTCTCATAACCCACACTGCATTCATAACCTGACGAAACTGGAGGGCCACACGGCGTGTCTCTACAGGTGGCTGTTCACATGCTGTGTGGGGGTTCCTATTTACCCTTCCAGGGGAGCATGTTTCCTGGCTGTGTCATCAGATACTGTGGTTTACGCTGTTCCGGAGTCTGGAGGCCTCTGTGTGCCTTTGCATCTCTTTCCCAACTAATTTGCACAGCTGCTGTGGAGGCCCTCATGAATGACCTCTTTCTTTCCTTTCTTCTTTTCTAGCTACTCTCAGAACCGCACGTTTGACACGTACATTGGGCAGGGCTACGTGATTCCTGGGATGGATGAAGGTCTACTTGGTGTTTGCATTGGAGAGAAGCGAAGGATTGTGGTCCCCCCTCACCTGGGGTATGGAGAGGAAGGAAGAGGTGAGCATCAGCCTCACCTGCCTTCCTCACTAACTGTGGCTGCTTCCACATTGCTTGGAACAGGGCTTCTTTTTCTTTTTCTTCTTTCTTTTTGAGATAGGGTCTCCCTCTGTCGAACAGGCTGGAAAGTGTAGTGTGTGATCATCTTGTACTATGGCCTGAACTCTTGGCCTCAAGTGATCCTCTTGCCTCAGCCTTCGGAGTAGCTGGCACTACAGGCACGCACAACCGCACCCTGCACAGAGCTTCTTGAGAGCCAAAATATTGAAGCTAAAGTCCAGCTTAAGACTGGAATCCCCAAATAGGTTTAGTTTCTAGAGTTGTCCTGTTATTTCTCCTTGTTTCTCTGCCCATTTTCCTTTACCTTTTGAAAATGTTAAATCCTACACCAAAGTCGAAAGCACGTTACAGTGAATTCCACTTTGTGTTGCCAATTGTTAACATTTTGCTATATTTGATCTCTTTTTATATTTATTTATTTATTTTAGGCTGAGCCATTGAAAGTAAGTGCAAAAGCCCCTCTTTGGTTTTTGTTTTATGTATTATAGAATTCACCCATTTAAGTATACAATTTAGTGACTTTTAGAACATTTAGTGGGTTATGTAGCCATCACTATAATCCTGTTTTAGAACATTTTTGTCACCCTCATACCACACTTCCTTTTAAAAGTTACACAAATCATACATGTTGACTTAGGAAAAGAAAATACAGTTAAGCAAAGAAATCCTGCCACCCAGAAATAAATATTTTTTTTCCTTTTTTTCTTTTTTTTTTTTTTTTTTTGAGTCTCATTCTGTCACCCAGTCTGGAGTACAGTGGCACGATCTTGGCTCACTGCAACCTCTGCCTCCTGGGTTCAGGTGAGTCTCATGCCTTAGCCTCCCAAGTAGCTGGGACTACAGGCATGTGCCACCACGCCTGGCTAATTTTTTTTTAAATTTTCAGTGGAGACGGGGTTTCACTGTGTTGGCCAGGCTAGTTTCAAACTCCTGGCCTCAAGTGATCTGCCCACCTTGGCTTCCCAAAGTGCTGGGATTATAGATGTGAGCGCCATGCCATGCCAGAAATAAATATTGTTAATCTTAATCTGGTAGGCAGAATATTCAGCCCCTCCAAGTATCTATGTTCTAATCCCCAGAACCTGTGAGTATGTTACCTTACTTTATTTTGTTTTGAGACAAAGTCTTGTTCTGTTGCCCAGGCTGGAGTGCGGTGGTAAGATAAGCTCCTAACTCACTGCAGCCTCCAGCTTCTGTGTTAAAGTGATCCTCCTGCATCAGCCTCCTGAGTAGCTAGGACTACATGTGTGTGCTACCATGCACGGCTAATTCAAAAGCAATTTTTTTTTTTTTTTTGTAAAGACAGACATGGTCTTGCTATGTTTCCCAGGCCTGTCTGGAACTCCTGAGCTCAAGCAATCCTCCCACCTTGGCCTTCTGAAGTGCTGGGATGACAGGTGTGAGCCACCATGCCTAGCCTCCTGTTACCTTAATAAAAGGGACTTTACAGATTTGATAAAGGATCTTGAGATAGGAATAGTATCCTAGATTATCCAGGTGGCCTCAAAATACTTGCAACAGTCTTTGTAAAAGGGAGGCAGGCGGTCAGACCGGGGAAAAAGTGCTAAACTGCTGACTTAGAAGATACAGAAGGAGGACCCTGTCAGGGAATGAAGGTGGCCCCGAGAGGCTGGAAAAGATGGAAACACATTCTCCCCGGCAGCCTCCAAAAGGAACACATATCCCTAACAATACCTTGAATTTATGCTTCTGCCTTCCAGAATTAGGGGAATCCGTTTGCGTTGTTTTAAGCCAACAGGTTTGTGGTATTTTGCTGCAGCAACAGTAGGAAACAAATGCAGCCATGAAGTGAATGTCCTTCTGTACCTTTGAGTGTATGTATAGGTTTAAAAAAAAAATGCCCACCTACACTAATCAATACGGACAAACACGGGATTGTCTATGCGTATTACTTTGTGATTTCTCTCTTCATCCAATTTGTGGTGAACAACAGATACGTTGTGAACAACTTTCTATGCTATGTATTTTAATGGCTGCTCCCTCGCTTAGGAATAGTTGATGCAGTATTTATTTTGTTTTCGTATTCTTTTGCTGATGGAGGCTGGCCTTGCTGGCTGTACATTTATTTTGTTAGTTCTGTTCTGTTTTTTTGTTGATACATCATATGTATCTTGAGAGTTTTCCCAGTAGTGTTCATCCCAGAGGATCCAAGAAACGTCAAGTTGGTTGGAAGGTAGGTTGTACAATGGAGAAATGTTTTTTTCTCCCTGACTTAAATTTCTGATTGATGAAACCACAACAGATCACAGCTTAAGATCCATTCGACAGGCCTTTCTTCACACATCCTGCTTGTCTAGTGTCTTGATGCTCTATTGCTTTTTATCGTGTGGATTTCTACTTCTAGTCAAATATAAACAGAAACAGATAAATACTTTCTGAGTGTTCTTGTTTCTTTATGGCCTGAGGACTAATCTTTCCTTTCTTTGAAAATAATGCATTGATGGAAAACATTTGCTTAAATTACTTTTTTTCCTCTTGGCTTTCTATCAAGTATGAGACAGAGCTCTGCAAAGAATTATATAAGCCTCTGGGAAGCAGCCGAAGGCTCATAAATTTTCTGGGCAATGAGACTGCTTCATCCTGAATCACGTTGCTGTGGGAGGAGGGCACCCTGAGTGACCCTGAGGTATAAACCCCAAGTGCTCTTGAGTGGAGTCTACCTCTGTCCTCTCCTGATCAGCACCCTTGGCCTCTTTGTGGGGGTTACATAGGAGCTCATGCTGATCCCTGAGGGGCTGACCCGAGAGGGGTCAGGATGCTGAAGCTGTCTGCTTAGTGGCTTCTTCACTGCATACCACAGGGCCAGGCACATTGTGAATGTTTGGCAAATATTTGTGGAAGGAATGAATTGTGGGCTGACCGTGTGCTCTCAGCCTCTATCAGCATTTCATTCTGTCACAGCCATTTTCCCCTGCAAGATTGGTGGAGGGGAAAGGGTAGGCCTCCTGGGAGAGGTTCTGGATCTTTCTGCCATCTGCTTTGTTCCATGGGTCAGCCCTGAAATTAGGGCACTTGGATGGGTTTGCAGCCTCAAAGTGGGGAATGGATTCTGCCTGCGAGGATGTGTAAGCATCACTTCATCGATGGTTTGCTGTTACTCAACTTCCAGATTACCTTTTGAGCACCCTTTTAGGAAAGAGAGGAAAGTTAATAAATTACATTTTACCCACTGTGTGTCTGGGACTTCTTGCACATGAACTCATTCAAACCTGGAAACAGTCTTCTGAGGCATCATTACCCTCATTGTTTAGAAATATAATGAGGCCCAGAGAGTTCCACCCGTGTGTCCAAGGCCACAATAGCTAATCCATGATGGAGCTGGAATTGGACCCAGGGCTCTCTGACCCATATGTGTCCTAGACAGACAGAAAGAATGAGTCCCCATTAGGTAGTGACTTGTTGATACCCATATGTGGAGAACCGAGACCTCAAACTAGAAGTCCTAGAGCTCTCAGAGGAAACACACCCGCTCAGAGGAAACCCACCTTCCTCAGAGGAAACCCACTCCCCTCAGAAGAAACCCACCCCCTCAGAGGAAACCCACCCCCTTCAGAGGAAACCCACCCCCTTCAGAGGAAACTGACTCTCCGCAGAGGAAACCCACCCCCCGCAGAGGAAACCCACCCCCAGCAGAGGAAACCCACCCCCAGCAGGAGCTGCAGAGTTTCTTGGGTGGGCTATTGGCCGCTTTTAAGTTTTCCTCATCTGTATCTCTTCTGAGGGAGGCATCCTCATGGTGAGAACAGAATGATGACTTCTGCATTGGTTAAGGGTTTATACAGAGAGGAGGTTGGTGTTGGAGCCACGTTGGACTATTTCTGCCCATTTGCTGGTCAGCACTCATTTCTATACTTAATCTACAAATAGCTTTGTGGAAGTCAGAGCAAGATAGAGGGATAGAGGTTCGAGGCCTTGGTGCTGCCTGGGGTAGGTGGGGTCTATGGTTCAAGGCTCTGATCTTCATTTTTGCAGGCCGAGAAACTCCATCTATCCATCCGTCAAAGATTTATTGAGTTTCTTCATGACCAGGCCCTGCTCACAGTGTTAGGGATTCAGCAGAAAGAAACACAAACAAAACTTCCTACGCACACAGAGAGTGTTTCCTTGTTGACGCCCTCAATAATGTGTGTGCCCCAGAGGTTATCAGGCACCTGGGAGACTGACTCACGTTAACTTCCTAGAAGCTGACATACTCACCTGATGCTACATGGTTCCTTGACTGGGTGTGAATCGACCTCTACACTGGTTGGAATTCTTGTTCCTGGAATCCTCGGGGCCTGAGAGGCTGAGTTCATTTGACTGCTGACATCAGATTCCAGGGATGTGGGTGGTTCCAGATGCATTCCTTTTTGCCCTGGAGAAGGCCCTGCACCTGAATGCATCTTGGAGGGGAGATTATATTTGAATTGACAAAATTTGGTGACTGCTTAGCTCAGTGTTAGAAGTTTTTAAAATTTGTGGTAAAATATACTTAACATCTTTACCTTGTTAACCATTTTAAGTGTACAGTTTAGTGGCATCAAATATATTCACAATGTTGTATAACCATTACTATCATCTACACTCAGAACTCTTTCATCATCCCCAACATAAACCCATTACACAATAACTCCCGATTCCTCCCTCCTATCAACCTCTGGCAACCACCTTTCTTTCTGTCTCTACCAACTTGCCTATTCTAAGTGCCTCACTTGAGTGGAATCATACAATATTTCTCTCTCTGTGTCTGTCTTATTTTACTTAGCATAATGTTTTCAAGGTCTATTTGTATTTTAGCATTTATCAAAATTTCAAGCTGGGCGCGGTGGCTCACGCCTGTAATCCCAGCACTTTGGGAGGCTGAAGCAGGTGGATAATCTGAGGTCAGGAGTTCAAGATCAGCCTGGCCAACATGGTGAAACCTTGTCTCTACTAAAAACACAAAAATTAGCCAGGTGTGGTGGTACGCATCTGTAATCTCAGCTGAGGCAGGGAAATCGCTTGAACCCGGGGGACAGAGGTTGCAGTGAGCTGAGAACACGCCAATGCACTCTAGCCTGGATGACAGAGCAAGACATCATCTCAAAAAAAAAATAATAATTCCTCTTTTCTGGCTAATAAATTTCATTCCTTTTTATTGCTGAATGAATATTCCATTGGATGTATATACTACATTTTGTTGATCAGATCGTCTGGTGATGAACACTGAGGCTGTTTGTGCTTTTTGTCTATTGTGAATAATGCTTAATGCTTCTGTGAATATGAGTGTACAAATATCTGTTCGCATCTCCAGCTTCAATTCTTTTGTATATATACCCAAGAAAGATATTTTTATTTAATGTTTTCTTGAAATATAATTCACATCCTATAAAAGTAATCATGTTAAAGTTTACAATTTAGTTGTTTTTAGTATATTAACCAGGTAACATAACCATTACCTCTACCTAATTCCAGCACAGTTTCATCACTCCAAAAAGTAACCCATAACTATCAGCGGTCACTCTCCGTACCCTGTCCTCATCCATCCACTGCCCCCACGCTGGCAACAGGTAGTCTATTTCTTGTCTGTATGGATTTGCTTATGCCGGAGGTTTCCATATCCCTGGAATCCTACAGTATGTGGCCTTTTGTGTCTGGCTTCTTTCACTTAGCATAATGTTTTCGGGTTCATTCCCAGGTGATTTTTAACAGGTTACCAAGGTTGAGAAACCATAGATCTGCCTCTGCAGACACCCACCCTGTCCATGTGTGTTAGCTTCCCACACAGAGCCATCCGTGGCCTGGCTTTGAGCAGCCTTCTGGCCAATGGCAGGCTGTACTTCCTGGTTCCTGTGGGAAGGAGCCTGCACCCCACTCCACCCACACCAGCAGCCCCTGTTTTGAGTGAGTAGCAGGCACCTGTGTTCTGCTATTAAAGCACACGCTTCTCAAATTATTACCTTTAACTTTGGCCAGCCCCAAAATTTGTACCTCCATTTTCTCAGGATTTTAATGAGAATTAAACAATACATGTTTAATTTAGAAGAATGCCTGGTACTCAATAAACGCCTATTAAATATGAGCGTGAGTGTGTTTCTATTAGAGAGAGATAGGAGAGAGACCAATCAAGAAGCAGACACAGAAAAGTACGTGTGGGGACGGACGGGAGGTAAGGAGGGACTGTTGGAGTTTGTGTATCTCTATCTGAATTTTGTCATTAGCTGTGTTATTCTCTTGAATAAGTAATATCGTGTCTGAATTTTTCTTTTCTTTCTTTCTTTCTTTTTTGAGGACGGAGTCTCACTCTGTTGCCCAGGCTAGAGTACAGTGGTGCAATCCTAACTCACTGTAGCCTTGACCTCCTGGCCTCAAGCAATCCTCCTGCCTCAACCTCCCGAGTATCTGGGACTACAAGTGCTCACCACCACGCCCAGCTAATTTTTTTGTAGAGACATTTGGCTGTGTTGCCTAGGCTGGTCTCAAACCCCTGGCCTCAAGTGATCCTGCCACCTTGGCCTCCCAGAGTTGAGATTATAGGCATGAGCCACCACCATACCTAACCTGAGTTGGTTTTTTTATGTGTAAAATGCTGATGATAATAAAATATGTCCTTGACTCTAGGTAACATGATTTTAAAATATTTTACATTTAAACTTCTCTGAAATGATTTGGGCTGGGGGATGTATTACAACTGATGCATATGTTTAAGTGTCCCCCACGCCCCTGGGAAGCTGTCGTTAAATTCCTGGGGTTATGGCCACGCCTACCCCATAAGGTTGCTGCAGGGATTTAAAGGGAAAATGTAGGTGAAAAATACTTTGGCAAACTGTAAAACATTATTCAGATGTGAGCTACTGTCTTCAAAAGTGGAAATTATGGAAAAGTTAATAAATAATTTAGTATAGAACAAATAGGATGTATTCTAAAAGCACCTTGTGACTGTTAGGTGTATGATCATAAGGGGCCAATTTTGGGGGAGAGATGTCTTTTTCTTTACGAAGTTTATGTTATGTTTTTCTTGAGCAGTGGTAGGACATTGGAGTGATTTCACTCTACGGCTGATTTTCTCACCCCACCTCTTACTTCCAGTGGGTGAGGGGCAAGTATTAATTTGGCTGGGTTTGAGTTTCCTCATCTGTGATCAACTTAGCCACTCATCTTTCAGGCTCAACGATTCCATGGGGCAATAGTCCATAGTCTTGAATTTTAGTCCAAACTGTGCTCATTACAGGCTGTGAGACCCAGGGCAAATCTGTGCCTCCATTTATCCACCTGTAAAATGAGGATGAGGTTACATCTAACAGCCCTTTCAGCGTCAGTCTTGGAGTCCTCCTAGGGTTCTGTATCTGGGTGCCCGTTTTCCTCACTTGGAGGGCCTTGAGGACATACCTGGTGATACTGGGGAGGCCCATGTGCTGCAGCCTGCAGGGGTCATTCATTCACTCCCTGTGTCTGTCCTTTAGGGAATATCCCCAGCTTGGCTGTGCTGGTGTTTGACATCCATGTGATCGACTTCCACAACCCTTCGGACTCCATCAGCATCACCTCCCACTACAAACCCCCCGACTGCTCAGTGCTGAGTAAGAAGGGAGATTACCTCAAATATCACTACAATGCCTCACTTCTGGATGGGACCCTGCTGGACTCCACGTAAGGGCAACCAGAATAGTGTGGGAGTGAGCCTGGAGGGTGACAGTTGCATGCTCCCACCATCCTCCTCTCTTGGGTAGATGCTGGTTGAGAGCTTTTATCTCCATGCTGCCCCACTGCATAGCTCGTGGCTGCATCACTGCTCAGGTGCATTGTGTTAAGAGTTTCCTATTGATGGTCTTGCCCTGCTCCAGGTCATTTTTCACCCCATGAAATTGTCTTTCTGAAAAGCAGATCTCATCGTATAACTGCTATCTTTCCTTCCTTCCTTCCTTCCTTGCTCCCTCCCTCCCTTCCTCTTTCCTTTCTTTCTCTTTCTTTCTCTTTTTTTTCCTTCCTTTCTTTCTTTTTTTTTCTTTTTTTTTGACAAAGTCTCACTCTTTCACCCAGGCTGGAGTGCAGTGGTGCTATCTCGGCTCACTGCAACCTCTGCCTTCCAGGTTCAAGTGATCCTCCCGCCTCAGCCTCCCAAGTAGCTGGGATTGCAGGCACGCACCACTATACTTGGCTAATTTTGTTTACTTTTTAGCAGAGAGAAGGTTTTGCCATGTTGCCCTGGCTGGTCTCAAACTCCTGGGTTCAGGTGATCCTCCTGCCTCAGTTTCCCAAAGTGGTAGGATTAGAGGTGTAAGTCACTGCACCTGACCCAGGCTAATTTTTTAAATTTTTTTAGAGATGGGGGTCTCACTATGTTGCCCAGGCTGGTCTCGAACTCCTGACCTCAAATGATCCTCCCCTCTTGGCCTCCCAAAGTGCTGGAGTTACAGATTTGAGCCATCATGCCCAGCCGAACTGCTTTCTTTAAAAATTGATGCACAGAGGCTGGGTGCAGTGGCTCATGCCTGTAATCCTAGCACTTTGGCAGGCCAAGGTGGGCAGATCACGAGGTCAAGAGATCAAGACCATCCTGGCTAACTTGGTGAAACCCCGTCTCTACTAAAAATACAAAAATTAGCCGGGTATAGTGGCGGGCAAATGTAATACCAGCTACTCATGAGGCTGAGGCAGGAGAATCGCTTGAATCTGGGAGGTAGAGGTTGTAGTGAGCCGAGATAGCGCTGCTGCACTGCAGCCTGAGCAACAGAGTGAGACTCTGTCTCCAAAAAGAAAGAAAAAGAAAAGACCCTATGGATATACTCTTCAGAGCTCTCCCTCTCGGTATGGGATCCTGTATGCTAATGCATTTAATGTATTTCAACAACTCTAAAGGGCGTGATGGAAACATTTCATGTATCTCTGACCAAGTAAAAACGCTAATTGATGACATACTGTCGGTCATAAAATGTATCCTAATTATACAAAGGTTAAACTGTGAAAAAATAAGCATTTTAGAATCAGTGAAATATGTGCTAGGCTTCCAGGGCCCAGATGTACAGGGACCTGGCTTACAACAGACCTTGCAAAGAAATCCCAACCACTGACTATTGGAAGCTAGCGGGAGGCAGGGCAGCAGGGAAGGGGCATGGCTTGTAGTGCTTTTGTGGATCAAGTGAGCTCCTAAGAGTGAAAATGGTCCATGAGGTTAGAAGGGTCTGTAAGGTCCGTGGCTGCTGTCACTGCTCCTGCTGATGTTCATATTCCTGTCCGCTGATCCTGAGGCTGAGGAAAGGGGAAGTGGGTGTGGGGAATGAACAAAGGAATTCCTTCTCAGAGGCTCCAGGATCTGCTTCTCACGTGGGGCGGGGAGAGTCAGTCTCCCTGCCTCCTGCTTGTGTTTGGAGGACTCATAACATCCTGGCAGAGCACTGAGGAGCCACATGAGCCAGAGCTCCTTATCAGGAAGTGCATTTTGTACTCTGAGAGCCTCTGTATTACATGTAAATCTGCAGCAGAAGAGTAGCGGCTGGCGTCCCTGCTGGTGTCTTCCTGGTGTGAGCTTCAGAATAGTGGGCTAATGGAAAGCTTGGCCAGCACCTGCCTATCTGGTCCCAGCTAGAGCCCCGTGTGGGCTGGGCCCCATTCATCAGGACTAAGGCAGCAGCTGCTGCCTAGAAGGGAGGAGAGGAGTGGGAGTGAGCCGGAGAGGGTGAAGCAGGCAGGAAGCTGCAGGCCGGCGGTGGATGGGGCCAGGAAGCATGCAGGGGGAGTGAGGACCGTGTATGAGAGAAACACTGCCCAAGAGAGAAGAAAGAAAATCACAGGACCCGAGGAAAAAGAATGAGTGGTGTGTTCAGAGATGACACATGACAACAAATTGTTTGCTTGGAGGATTTTCTTACGCGTGCGTGTTTAAACTGGCCTCAAGGAGGAAGAAGAAACATGCGTTCCTGGATGACTGAGTTCTGGAATATTCTGTCATAAGACTTTGCAACTGGAGTAGCCCCAGAAAAAGGCAGGCAGTGGGAGTTGGCTCCCTCCCCAAAGCCATCCCTGAGTTGGCTTTGTTTTGGGTTCCTCCCAGGTGGGAAAACACAAACCCTGTCTTGGTTTGCTGGTAATCAGCTGGAGGAGGGAAAGAAGCGGCTGCCCTGGGCCCAGGGGAGGTCGGGAAGCCTGAGAAGAGGATATGACCCAAAGGGGCACCCGTCCATGTTGTCCCCAGTGCTCATGGGCATCAAGGGGGGTCAGGGGGCTTTTCTCCTTGGAGTAAAGAACATAAACACTGTTTGCCTTTAGGAAGTGATAGGAATGGCATAGATTTTGGAGTAGATTTATTTTTAGTAGTGACCGAAGTGATAGAGCAAACTTTTTTTTAACTGGCTTCCTGAGGCCCATGGCCATCAAGGATAATTAAACTCTTGGTGGTCTTTTTTTTTTTTTTTTAGTCTTAGACTGTTACAGACATAAACACTTTACACCTCAAGGCCAAACATTTATTGAGCCCTTTTTACTTCCTCTCCACTGTGCCAAGCATAACATGTTATTTGCGACTTAAAATGTCCCTGTGAGATAGCTATATTTGTTGTCTCCGTTTCATAGATAAAGTAACTGAGAGATTACATTTCTCAGGGTCAAATTAAGTGGCAGAACCAGGAATCCATCTCAGGTCTTGCTGAATCCAAAAGCCAGGGTTTTTTGTTTTGTTTTTTGTTTTTGAGACAGGGTCTCACTCTGTCTCCCAGGCTGGAGTGCAGGGGCACGATCTTGGCTCACTGCAGCCTCCACCTCCTGGGCTCAAGCAAAAAGGACCCCATTCCACTATGCTTCTCCACTCTGGAACTTCCACAGTCTTGCCTGGATTTTCATGGCCTTGACAGTTTTGAAGATGACAGCCAGACATTTTTCAGCATGTGCCCCAATTTGTTTTTGTCTGATGTTTCCTCATGATTAGATAGGGATTTGCATTTCTTTGGTAGAAATACCCTAGGAGTGATGTGTTCTTCTCATAGGAACACTCTCAGTGCCAGTGGGTTGGTGACCTAACATGAGGCTCTTCTGTTTCATTTTAGGTGGAATTTAGGCAAAACTTACAGTATTGTTCTGGGATCTGGGCAAGTTGTGTTGGGGATGGACATGGGTCTCAGAGAGATGTGCGTTGGCGAGAAACGGACAGTGATCATTCCGCCTCACCTGGGCTATGGGGAAGCTGGCGTGGGTGAGTAAGCAACGCTATTCAAGGGTGTTGGGGGCCCGCTTACTATCTGAATTTTGTGCTTTTTGGGGTGCCATAGTTAGAATCACAGCATGCTTCTTACATGTAATACCCAGAGTGTGTGGTTTCTATTTTTTAAAAATTATTTAGTATTTTTGTTTGGAGACGCCTGTGAATTCAGTGAGCCACGTCAATGCTCCATTACCCTCTTGAGAAAGAACCAGTTTGAGTGAAATAAATCTTGGATCTTCAGACCCATGTGTGGGAGGTGTCCCCAGGGGAGCTGTCCGGGAGGTTTCTCTGGGGTCAGACTGAGCACGTCCTTCTGGAACTGTTTCCTGGGACAGGTGGAATGCTGTAGGCCGTTGCTTTTCACTTCTGAGCCTGTAGGCTGTCCAAGACAGTTTCCTTTGGGAGAGATTAGTTGCAAGTTCTTGAAATACTGGCTTTACCTCATCCTCACAGTGGTTATGTTTTACTCCATCATTTCAGCCACAATGTGTCCTCCACATGGGGATTCAATAACTTTTTTTTTTTCAGAGACAGGGTCTCACTCTGTCACCCAGGCTGGAGTGCAGTGGCACCATCATGGCTAACTGCAGCCTTGAACTCCTGGGCTCAAGCAATCTTCCCACCTCAGTCTCCCGAGTAGCTGGGACTACAGGCATGCACCACCTCGCCTGGCTAATTTTTTATTTTTTAGAGACAGAGTCTCGCTATCTTTCCCATGCTGGTCTTAACTCCTGGGCTCAAGCGATGCTCCTGCTTAGGCCTCCCAAAGCACTGGGGTTATCAGTGTGAGCCACTGCGCCTGGCCCCAGGAACCGCTTCTTTTCAGTGTTTTCACACTGCTGATATCTGGACATGGAGGAGCTAGGAAGAGCTAACTGGTAACAATGATAGGCACTGTGGATTGATATTTTTTCCCCATAAAAGAATTGTAAAGTACATTGTTCTTCCTACCAATCCCAGAAGAAACCCTTTAAAAATTGTTGTATATTCTGGCCGGGTGCGGTGGCTCATGCCTGTAATCCCAGCACTTTGGGATGCCGAGGTGGGCAGATCACGAGGTCAGGAGATGGAGACCATCCTGGTTAACACGGTGAAACCCCGTCTCTACTAAAAGTACAAAAAATTAGCTGGGCATGGTGGTGGGCACCTATAATCCCAGCTACTTGGGAGGCTGAGGCAGGAGAATCGTGTGAACCCGGGAGGTGGAGCTTGCAGTGAGCCGAGATCATGCCACTGTACTGCAGCCTGGCGACAGGGCAAGACTCCATCTCAGAAAAAAAAAAAATTGTTGTACATTCTTTAAGACTTTTTCTGTGATGTATTATTAATAATTATAATACATAGCATATTATATATAACATATAATCTAGATAAAATATAATAATTTGGAATAATGCACATTACCTTTATATAGTCCATACTTAGATAACTTCTTTGGGCCTATACTGTATACACTATTCTTGAATTTGTGCTTACAGTCAAATCTTGGATCATCATCTTCAGGCATATTGTTCAGATTCTAAAAGTTCTGCTGTTAGATTTACTTAAAAGTTTTACCATTGTATTGTAGTCTCTACAAGCAGCTTTCAAACTTTTTTCCACAAGACACACAGTAAGAAATACATTTTATTTCCCAATCTGTATCCTACATAAACATACAAGTTACACATATACACATTTCTTTCTTTCTTTTTAATCAACACATCACAAATTTGCATGTCCTGTTTGCATGGAGGTCATGCTATTCTTCTCAGTATGGTTCCAATTTTAGTATGTGTTGCTAAAGTGAGCATTACTTTTAGTTTTATATATAAAATTTAAACTCAAGTTTCATGACACAATACCTATCTTTTCCACAGGTACAAAGTATTCTGTTTATTCTGTTCCTTTTTTTTTTTTTTTTTTTTTTTGAGATGGAGTCTCACTCGGTCACCCAGGCTGAAGTGCAATGGCGTGATCTCGGCTCACTGCGATGTTTGCCTCCCTGGTTCAAGCAATTCTCATGCCTCAGCTTCCCGAGTAGCTGGGACTACAGGTGCCCACCACCACACCAGCTAATTTTTGTATTTTTCGTAGAGATGGAGTTTCACCATGTTGGCCAGGCTGGTCTTGAACTCCTAATCTCAAGTGATCCGCCCGAGTCGGCCTCCCAAAGTGCTGGAATTATAGGCGTGAGCCACCATGCCTGGCCTCTATTCTATTCCTTAATTTAAAAAATAACTAAACGCTGGTCACCACCCTCTAAACTGATTTCGTGAGTCATTAACGGGCCACTGCCTACAGTGAGAAGGTGACTAGCCTCTGCTCCGCTTTCTTGCTTTGGTCAGAAGTCCCACCCTGAGTGAGGCTGCTGGAGGTCGGGGTGGGTGCTGGTTGTTGGGCTTGACTGCTGCCTGCCGGCTGACACCGCCTCCCGCTCCTGTCACCTGGACAGATGGAGAAGTGCCCGGCAGTGCCGTATTAGTGTTTGACATTGAGCTGCTGGAGCTGGTGGCTGGCCTTCCCGAGGGGTACATGTTCATATGGAATGGTGAGGTGTCACCCAACCTTTTTGAAGAAATTGACAAGGATGGCAACGGAGAAGTCCTCCTGGAAGAGGTAACTAACTGGCCTCTGTAGGAAGGTGGGACCGAAGAGCTCAGGGAGCCTGGTGAGGCTGTGGGGCCGGTTCTGAAGGTGAGGCCTTCTAAGGGTGAGGCCAGCTGGCTGGAGGGCTTGTGAGATGACCAGCACACTTGTGTGCCAAGCGCTTTTACACACACCCTCTTGATGGAAGCTCACCATTCCTCTCTGAAGAAACCGATTCCCTAAGAGGTGTAGGGCTTGATTCCAGCGCACACAGTCTGCATTTAGTTCTCGTTACTGGGTGCTCAACGACTGCCTGTATGTGCTGAGTGTATTCTCTGATTTGGCCCTCACAGCAGCTGTTTTTTAGAAGAAACTGCACAGAGAAGGTAAATGACTTGTCCAGGGTCACACAGCTACTCAGTTGTTTGAGCCAGGACCACACTCCTCTTTGTGAAGCTGGGCAATAGAACCGTCTGTTCTGTCCCACCCCTGGGGAATTCCAGCTCCCTGCCTCTTCCACATCTGCTATTGAAGCGCATCCTCCAGCCTTTTCCTCTCTCTCTCCACATCATCAGCACTTCTGGATCTTTCTCATTTGCATACAAATGTGCTATTATTTTCCCTTCCCTGGATGTGTCTGTTTCTTTCATTGCTTTCCTTCCTTTACAGCAAAAACTTCAAAAGAATTGTGTGTCCTTTCTGCCTCCAATTCCTCTCCTCCCATTCTCTCCTAAACCCACTCCTTTCTGGCATTTGTCCCTCTATGCCTCTGAGCCTGACCTTGCCAGGGTGGCCAATGTCTTCCGTATCGCGGAATCCAGTGGTCAGCTCTCACGCTCCTCTTAACTTCAACACAGCTGATTCCCCTACAGGATGCATCTTTCTCTGGCTTCCAGGACACCACACTTCATGGTGTTCCTTCTACCTCCCTGGTACGTCCCTCTCAGGCCTCTTGTCCCTGATCGCTTCATGTTGGAGTACCCCGGGCTAAGTCTTGACCTCTGTTCTTTTCTCTGTCTTTAAGTCACTCGCTCCGTGGTCTTATCGGGTCCATATCCTGATGGCGTCTGGATTTGTAGCTCCAGTCCAGTCTTCTCTCTCCACTTCACACTCATGTGTTCAGCTGCCTGCTTGATGTCCTCATTTACGGAACCCCTGCTATCCACCCGCACACCCCGCTTGGGGCCTGCTTTACCCAAAGCCTTTCCCGTCGCAGTCAGTGGCATCACTGGCCTCCAGTGGCTCAGGCGAGAGCACTCGGTGATCTCTCACTCCTCTTTCTCTCGTAGGCCGTAATGGTCCTCAGGAAATCATTCCAGCTCTACCTTGAGAGCACACGCAGAACCTGACACTTCTTACCACCCCCACCCTGTAGCATCTTAGCCCGGGGCCTGTCATCCCTTTCCCGGGTCACATCACAGCAGTGGTGTTCATGAAGCTCCTCCTGCCCTCACAGTGGCCGTTCTCACACAGAAGCTGGGTCAGACCTGCAGAGGCCCCTGTCTACAGGGCCTCACAGTGGCCTGTGAAGACCCTGCACTTTCTGCTCGCTGTAACCTCTTTGCCGGCTGTCTCCCTCTGCCCACTTTACCCGGCCACACCAACCTCCAGTGCTGTCTGTGACCACCCAGGCATGCGTCCACCTTGAGCCCTGGCACCGGCTGCCATCTCTGCTCAGGAGACATCTACCCCAGATAACTTGTTCGGCCCTTTCCTTCTCATCTTTCAAGCCTTTGCACAAATCTTCCCTTCTCCTTAAAGTTTTATCCTGACCACTGAATTCAACACTTCATCCCTTTCTCCCTTCCTTACTGAGCTCCGCTTTTTGATTTTTTTCTGGAGCATTTCACTTTGTAACTTAATGTGTAATTTACCTATTCTTATGTTCATGTCTAATTGTCTGTTTCCACTAGAATGCAAGCATCACAGGGGCAGGGTGTTTGTTTGTTTGTGTATTGATATATTTCAAGATCTAGAACAGTGTGCTCAGCACATAGTAGACCATATGTTTTGATCATATGAATGAATGCATGCATCCAAGAATGTTCTTACAGTCTTGGGTGGTCATGGGGGTCAGCCTTTGGTGGGGAACCGAGTTGGGAGAAGGGATAGCTCTGACGGCTGCTGGGTATTGGCTACCTGAGTAATAAGGGCTCTGGGAGTCATTTAGTACAAGGGTTTTTCACCTGCATTTAGAGAAAAAAACAAAACAAAACACAGATCGTAGGTCATATAGCTGCCAAAAAGATCTTGTCTGTGTTGGTAGCCCAGACTCAAGTTCCAGCCCTGTCACCCCCAGACTGCTCTGTTTCTGGCCCCAGGCCTGGCGTTCATGGCAGCTGAACTCATGGTCTTTCCTGTCCCCTTCTTTTCCAGTTCTCAGAGTACATTCACGCCCAGGTGGCATCTGGCAAAGGGAAACTCGCTCCTGGCTTTGATGCTGAGCTGATTGTGAAGAATATGTTCACCAACCAGGACCGGAATGGAGATGGGAAGGTCACAGCTGAGGAATTTAAACTCAAAGACCAGGAAGCCAAACAGGATGAACTCTAAACCTGGCACGAACCAGATGGTGCCAGGGAGTACGTGACACCAAGCCAACTGTGTGGCAGAACGTGCAGTGAGGGTGCAAGGGTCTTTCAGAAGTTGCATCATTAGCCAGTAGTAGGTGGGTCACATAGTACCTGGTGTACACATCGGGGTGGGTTGATATATGGGGTGAGAAGTTTAGGCTGATCGCCAGTGATAGTAAACAAAATCTGTGCAGAGGGCCTTAGCATGGGATGTGTCCAGTATTGAAAAGGCTGCACTGCCAACCATGATTTGTGAACCTTCTGGGAAATTTTGTTATTAAAAGAATATATAGTGTCAGACGGAAGTTATAATCATCTTGGAGGAACCATAAGAAAAAGTGTCCAGGGTATCTATATAAAGAGGGTTAAATTTTTTTTTAACTTGCTGGTTAAAACATTTTAGAAATATTCTTGAGATGGGCAGGAGAGTCAAAGGGCTTGCTTGCCCCAGCAGAGTTCCCAGCAGACAGCCATGGCTCTTCCCAGCAGCCTGTGCAAATTCTGATGATGACCCCACCCCCGCACACGCACACGCACATCATGCTTTTCCAGCTCATCACACCCCGCCCCACTATGGGCCTACCATTAATAGTGTATATCTTGGAGGTTAAAAGAGCCTTTTGGACAGAAAACTGGGCCAGGAAAAGGCATCTCAGACCACAAATAGAGAATTTGATTCCTCATTTGCCACATAAGTCATCTGCTTAGCTTTTCCTTTCTTTTTTTTTTTTTTTTTTTTTTGGAGGCAGAGTCTCCGTTTGTCGCCAGGCTGGAGTGCAGTGGTGCCATCTCGGCTCACTGCAGCACTGTCTCGGCTCACTGCAGCCTCCGCCTCCCGTATTCAAGCGATTCTCCTGTCTCAGCCTCCTGAGTAGCTAGGACTACAGGTGTGCACCACCACGCCCCGCTAATTTTTGTATTTTTGGTAGAGACGGGGTTTCACCGTGTTGGCCAGGATGGTCTCAATCTCGACCTCGTGATCCGCCCACCTCGGCCTCCCAAAGTGTTGGGATTACAGGCATGAATCACCATGCCTAGCCACTTAGTTTTTTGTCATTCCCACCTTTCTATCCCATAGAACACTCTTTTTTATCTTCCCTGAACCATATTGATGAGATAAATAGGGCTGGGGGCTGGGCCCCGCTGGTCACTCAACAGAGTATTTCCCTTGGCCGAGATGGAAGTTTTGTCCCAATAGATGAGCTGCTGAGCATCAACAAGGTGACATTTTTCTGCTGCCCATTTGTGTCCTGGAGACGGTGGTACCCTGAAGGCAGAGGCCAGCTGCTGCAAGACAGCAATGACAGTCCACCTGCCGGCCTGATTCCTGCATCATGGAATAACCACATGGCTACCTTCTATCCTCTGTTCCCAAATGGTGGTGGCACTTATCCTGAAGTCATCAATGATTTCCCTTTGAAACTACTTTATTTTACTAATTTAAACTATTTTGTACTGATGTAGCCCTGAGGTAGTTCATGAAAATGCTGTGCACTCATTCCATGGAATAAATGTTGGAAAGCTGATCTTTTCTGATATAAAATGTTGAATTATATTATCTGGTTTTCTGATGTTTTATTGGAAGGCTGAAGACTTATGAGAATGCACCATGCAGTCAGAATCCCCTTGATGAAAACAGCAGGACTTCACTGCAGTTACTGAGGGAGCACACTCTACTTATAGGGAGTGTCAGTCAGGGTCCTGGCCCTCCTCTGGGACTCCTGAAGAGCAGCTAAAGAAGGGACTGTTTAGAGGGGTGTGGGCGAGGCTGGGGGAACTGAGGCTGTTGAGTGCCAGTGACAGCAGTGTTGGCCACCGCAGGAGGCTGCTACCACCAGGGCCTGAGAGCTCAAGAGGAGGCAGTGGGAGCAGCACAGGAAGGGCTACCTGGAGGCGTCACAGAGGGATGCAGCCAGCTGCATCTGACAGTACGGCTGACACTGCAGCAGAGCGAGGGACAAATGCCCCATCCCCTCTGTGCCCCCATTCTCTGATGCCTGCCACTGGCTCCCATTAGTGGAACCATGTTGGAAGCCAGAGGGTAAGAGGAGCTCAGAGACTGGAGTTCTCAGAGGTCAGCCTCTTGGGTGCAGAGAAAGGTGGAGAATGAATCTGAGGTAGGGATGGGGTGGGTGGGAGCAAATGGAGAATTACTGGCACATGTATAGAGAAACTGTGTGTGTGTGTAGTGCAATTATATATTTAAAAGCAATTATTTTAATATATATTAATATACATAAAATAAATGTATTATATATACATACAGTTGCTGTTAAAAAGCAAATGTTGGCCATGTGCAGTGGCTCATGTCTGTAATCCCAGCACTTTGGGAGGCTGAGGTGGGTGGATCATTTGATCCAAGAATCAAGAAGATAAGTGGAAAGTGTTACCAAAAAATAAACATAAAAAGTATTGGTTAACACAAGGGTCCCCAACCCCCAGGCCATGGACCGGTACCAGTCCATGGCCTATTAGGAACCAGAGCACACAGCAGGAGGTGAGCGGCAAGTGAGCAAGCAAAGCTTCATCTGTATTTACAGCCGCCCCCCATCACTTACATTACCACCTGACCTCTGCCTCCTGTTAGGTCAACAGCACCATTAGATTCTCATAGGAGCGTGAACCACATCCTACTGTAAGCTGCACACATTGGAGATCTAGGTTGTGCTCTCCTTATGAGAATCTAATGCCTGATGATATGTCCCTGTCTCCCATCACCCCCAGATGGAGCTGTCTAGTTGAAGGAAAACAAGCTCAGGACTTTCACTGATTCTACATCATGTGAGTTATATAATTATTTCATTATATATTACAATGTAATAATAATATAAATAAAGTGCACAATAAATGTAATGTGCTTGAATCATCCCTAAACCAGCCCCCTCTCCCCCAGGTCCATGGAAAAATTGTCTTCCACAAAATCAATCCCTGGTGCCAAAAAGACCAGGGACAGCTGGATTAACAGATATTAGACCCCATTGCCTTGTATTGGATTATAGTAATCTGCAGATATATATTGTGTGACTGACATCCGATGGTGCCATCTTTTTTTTTTTTTTTTTTTGAGACGGAGTCTCGCTCAGTCACCCAGGCTGCCTGAGTGCAGCAGCCTGATCTCGGCTCACTGCAACCTCCACCTCCCAGGTTCAAGCAATTCACCTGTCTCAGCCTCCCAAGTAACTGTGACTACAGATGCCTGCCACCAGGCCTGGCTAATTTTTGTATTTTTAGTAATGATGGGGTTTCACCTTGTTGGTCAGGCTGGTCTCAAACTCCTGACCTTGGGTGATCTACCCGCCTTGGCTTCCCAAAGTGCTGGGATTACAGGCTTGAGCCACCGCGCCCGGCCCGATGGAGCCATCTTGCACTGTAAATCATTTTAGGGATACCTGCAGTATTTCATGAAAATTAAAATTTATTTCTAGTGAATTTACAAAGTTGTTTGTAAGTAGTATGTTCTTTTTAATTAGTTAATTTGAAATGATCTGTCCTAATTGAGTTCTTATGACTGTGTGAAAAAGAGGTAATTTTCTTTTTCTTTTTTTTTGAGAGGGAGTCTCGCTCTGTCGTCCAGGCTGGAGTGCATTGGTGCGATCTCAGCTCACTGCAAGCTCCGCCTCCCAGGTTCACGCCATTCTCCTGCCTCAGCCTGCCGAGTAGCTGGGATCACAGGCACCCTCCACCACACCCAGCTAATTTTTTTTTGTATTTTTAGTAGAGATGAGGTTTCACGGTGTTAGCCAGGATGGTCCCGATCTCCTGACCCTGTGATCCGCCCGCCTCAGCCTCCCAAAGTGCTGGGATTACAGGTGTGAGCCACGGCGCCCTGCCAAAAAGAAGTAATTTTCAACGTGTAACTATACTAAATAATTTCTAATATTCTTTTTCATAACATTTATCAGAATTGCTAGTAACAGAAACTCACCAATTAGCAGGATGTTTTTTCTTCACTACCTTTCAAGTATATTTATCCCTTGGAAGAGACTGAAGTGAGAAATTAAAAACATGAGAACTAGAAAGGAAAAGTAGTCAAGAACATAGAAATTTTATTTGAATAATAAACACTGGGTAGGAAGAGCCAGATAACAAAATAAACTTTTTATTTTCTAAGAAGACAAATTTTAATATGTTTTACTGTAGAATGACCTTAAAAGAAGAAGAAAAGGGAAGAAATGCTGATATGTTGCCTAAAAAAGATAGTGAACAGTTAAAAAGAAAAGAAAAGGAATGTGGGAAAGAAGTTGAAACAGCAACTCAGACTCTGAAATCACTGGTCACAGAATTGAGGACATTAGGAAAGAATTTGGATCAGGTAAATTAATTTTTGGTGAAAACTTTATATTTCTAACTTTATAGTTCATCAATATTACTTATAATATTCCTTTGATGTAATGTACATAATTTAGTTTCAAAACATACCAAGACTGTTATTTAATCTTAAAAAGGAAGTATGACATTTATAGCTATTTATTGTAAACCTTGGCATCTCTGCCTGTGATGTTCAGTCTTAGATGCTCAAACTATCTCTTATGTTTTCTGAATGAAGGAATGGAGGATAAATTGAGTTTAATCACATAAATATTTGTGTATTTTTATGTTAAAATACAGGCTCTATAGCTTTGAGACTATAACAAAGCTAGTTACATGTTTTGAAAGAAATTTTATTACACAATACTGTATTTTTCTGTAGGTAAGAACTGTTTTTCCTCTTTGGGAAATTTAGCTGTCATGTATGCAATTAAAGTTTGAGTAATTCCTGAGGGATAAAAGTCCTTGTGTTTCAATAGGCTACTTTTTTTTTTTTTAACAGTTTTACAAAAAAGGTTCTGTTCCTTTAGATTTTCTTTTTCAATGCTATTAGACCAAAAATGTAATGTATGTCTAGGTTGTGCAGAAGCGAAGCGATACCCACAAGCAACTTTCTGAAGAGCAGAATGCCAGAATATTAGAAGATGAGACTCTGACCAGTAAGCAAAAGGAGGTCGAAGGGGCTCAAAAGAAAATGAATTCTGAGGTATTTTCTTTAGTCATTTTCAAATATGTTTTTGTATGTGTATATATTTGAAAAACCAACTCTATGTACCTTGGAAAATATAAAGGATTTTTAAATTATATATATACACACACACACACACACACACACACACACACATCCTATGTGTTTGTGTATCTATATATAGAATATGCGTGTGTGTGTGTGTGTGTGTGTGTGTGTAGGATAAAGCCATATTCTTAATTCAGCTCCATTAGTCTGCAGCAGTCAAGTAGTGACATTCACAATGGCCTCAATCCAAAGAAGAAACATTTGATATTTTTTATAAGAATTGATGATCTTTCCATAATCTCAAAATTTTTGGTACTAACAACAGACGTTCTAGTTTTCGGACATTGTTTTATCTTCTCAAAATATTAATGGAGAAGTCAGTTTATTATTTTCACTGATAGATAAGGAGGAAATGTATAGCCAGTTTAGAGGCCATATTGTGGATGTCATTCTTACTTTTGAAGAACTTCAAAGTTTTCTCCAAGTAGTATCTAATTTCAATGCAAAGGGCTTTGAAAACAATGACGTAGAATAATATACATTTAGTGATAATTTATTGGTAAGTGTTTTGTTTCTAGAAAAATAGTTCAGTGTATTTCCCCCTATTTCACACTTATTATTGTTTCAAACATTATAAAGAGGAAATAAAAGTTATTACAATAGCAAATAATCTCATGATTTTTTAAGAAGATCTTTATAAATTTTACCGTTGGTATTTTTAAATAAGAGGCTTCTTTTGTATTTATATATTTACACCACAGAAGTAACTGCAATTTGATGGAGGAGGACTAGAAGTAGAATCAGAAGACCTGGGGAAAATCCTGCATCTTGCATATATTTCAATCTCTCCTCTTCAGAATTGCGACCTTAAATGAGTTCAGTAATGTATGTAAAAGTGCAATGCTTAGATGTAGAAGTGTAAAATGTAGAAATGTACAATGCTTAGATTTAACATTTATGAATAAGTGTAATCTTTATAACTTACAATAAAATTGTTAGAAAAGTAGAATATCTATAGAACATTATCAGGAAAAAGGAACTTAGAGAACTTTGAGAAATTTCTTCAGTCCAAATAAATGCAGAACTAAGAGTCTTACAATGGGGTGGTGTATAGGTTAGATACCAGATTTTAAAATTTTTAAATTTTAAAAATGTAGTCAAATGTATCAATCTCATATTTTATGCCGCTGGGTTTTTTGTAATTCAGAGAAAGGCTTTGTCAATTCTGAGAGTCTTAAAAATCCTCTAGTGGTTTATTTTTTACTTCTATTGATTCATTGTCTTCAAATAGATTTTTTTAACTTTTGGGAATTTACACTCTGAGGTTTGAAATTTTGATTTAACATTTTTTCCAGTTAAATATCCACTTATGGGAATCCTTTCATTGTACAAGTATACAGGTTATTCTTTAATTTCAGAAGAAACCATGATATGTCATTCTGTTGAGTGCTAAGTTTCCTTTGTTTACTTAGATTTCTTAAAGCCATAAGAAAGAAAAAGACCTGTTGCATAAAAATAGTATGTTGCAGGAAGAAATTGCCATGCTAAGACTGGAACTAGACACAATAAAACATCAGAACCAGCTGAAAGAAAAGAAATATTTGAAGGATGTTGAAAGTGTGAAAGAAAAGAATGACAACCTTCAAAATATGATAAAACTGAATGAGGAAACATCAACAAAAATAGTATTTCAGTACAGTGGACAGCTTAGCATTTTGACAGCTGAGAATGAAACTCTCAGTTCTCAACTTGAGAATGTAAAACACAACATGGAAAGACTGGAAATGGAAATTCAGTCATATCGATGCAGGCTGGCTGCTGCTGTACATGATTGTGATCAAAGTCAGACAGCATAAGAAAACCTAGAACTTGCTTTCCAGAGAACAGGACATGAATGGGTTCATTTACAGGAGAAAATGAATTCTGATATGTCTGACCTAAAAGATAACAGATTCTTTCTGAAAAACTCTCTAATGCTGACAGTAAAATTAACAGCCTAAAAATTAAGTTTCATCATGCAAGGGAAACACTCAGAGAAAAGACGTCAGTTTTAGAATATTTCCAAAGAGACCTAGGCCAAACACGGTGTCAAAAGAAAGAAATTGAACGAATGTATAAAAATGAACAAAGCAAAGTAAATAAATACGCCGAAGAAGCAGGAATCTATAGAGTAGAGATGTGCTCAACTACAAAGTGAAAATAGGTTGCTTCGACAGCAACTGGATGATGCCCACAAGAAAGCTGACAATCAAGAAAAGACAATCAGTACTATCCAAGACCAAATCCATGCTGTAGTAAAAAAATCTAGCTGGGAGTGAAATGCAGAGTCTTCCGCTAGAAGAGAAAAACAAAGACTTAATCAATGTATGTAATAATTTGAAAGAAAGAATATATCAATGTGAAAAAGAGAAAGAAAAAAAAGTAAGTACCAAGAAAGATATTTTTCAAACTCAAAGAAAGAAAATTTAAAGTAATATTTGGTTATGCTAAATGTTATATATAGTTGCATATAAAAGTATGTAGAATAGGCTGGGTGCAGTGGCTCATGCCTGTAATCCCAGCACTTTGGGAGGCCAAGGTGGGCGGATCACCTGAGGTCGGGAGTTCGAGACCAGCCTGACCAACATGGAGAAACCCCATCTCAACTAAAAATACAAAATCAGCCGGGCGCAGTGGCGGGTACCTGTAATCCCAGCTACTCAGGAGGCTGAGGCAGGAGAATCACTTGAACCCGGGAGGCGGAGGTTGCATTGAGCCGAGATCGCGCCATTACACTCCAGCTTGGGCAACAAAAGCTAAACTCCGTCTCAAAAAAAATAAAAAAGTATGTACAAATATACTTAGAATAAAAGTGTATTTGCTGTGTTAGCCTAGAAACATACCAGCAAAAGAAAGACCTGAAGTACACTTTACTTTGAGTAAAGAAATTATATCACCTTTGAAATTTTAAGAGGTTAAGTTACAAGTTGTTAGTAGATATAGACTAATATTTATGATGTAGACATACTGCTAAAATAATTTTAATATTTGTATGTGGCCACATTTTAAGACCATGATGAAGCAGATAAACAGAAATGCCTTATATCTGAAATAAGTCTTTTGAAATTAAGATTCTATTAGGTGGGTTACTTTGACTGTTAATTCAAGATTTCCCAGGTGAACTGAAGTATACTGTTGTATCTCATAATACTTTTCCTTCAGGGGCTTTTTATGTATTTACGTTTGTATAATTTTATTTTTATTTGTATCAATTTGACTTTAATCTGAGACTATTTCAATATCAGTATTGTTATGACATCTCGATTATTTAAAAGCATTTACTTTTTATTAAATCATAATTTGGGACAGATGTGAATTTCCAGCAAAACCATATTTGATTAATCTTACCACTGGTATTTATACTTTGAATGTTCTTAAAAATAATTTGCCCACAATTTTTATTTCAAGGCTCAATGGCTATCATTTGGATATGACTTTGTCCCACACAAAGATAATTGTGGCTATCTGCGATTGCTTTGTTTGACGTTAGGTCCCCATTTTCAATCTAATGGGAGGTGGTAGGATTCACATACAGTGAGAAAGCAGTGAGTAGGGAAGAGATTTGTATGAGCTGAGGTCAAGGAGGGAGGTGAAGGCCGGGTGGTTACCTAGGGCCTGGAAGGCAATTGGAATTTTACTTGTATTCTGAGATAGAAATCTATTGGAAGGATCTGAGCAGGCAATTGAGGATGTCAGGAGTGGTGGGGTTTCTTTGAGCTTCTAATAAAAAAGAGGAAAAACATTTTACAATGTTGCATTTTCTACCACCAGTCCCACCCACATATGGATTTGTTTTTGTGACTTAAGTAGGAAGTTAAGCATTGCAAATGTATCAGGGGTGAGTGAATAGTGAACTGAATCTAAGCAGAATACTGACTTGGCAGGAAAATAATACCTTCTGTGTCCTTAACTGAATTCAGTAATAAGCATGTATACACATAGGAAAAGAAGGTAAATTCATGTATGTGGTGCTATTTTTCAAAGTACATGTTAAATCTTATTACATGATTTACTAATAAGGTAACATGTCAAATCAGTAACAAAAATATCTGAACAGGTAGTTATGAGACAACTTCAACAAGAACTGGCTGATACCCTAAAAACACAACCTATGTCAGAGCCTTACCTGGAGGCTACACCACATTATCATATTAATTTAGAAGAGACCCAAGATTCAAAGAAGGAATTAGGTAAAATCAGAAGTCAAGTATATATGAAACATAACATGTCAATGGTTAATCTATAGGTAGTGGAATAATATCTAATGTTTTAGGATACTAATTGCATTGGATAGGTTTTATTTTTATTATAATTAACTTTATTAACTTTATCATGCAGTTATTTCTTAACCTCTGACTTTCATTCTGTCATGTTTTTCTCATAAGTATATACATTTTAAAAATAATATTTACCCTCATGAAAGTTGGAAATTATACCTCATTCCTCACAGCAGTTGAGAGAGTTTTTTCTGCAAACCATTATTTTTTAGCTATTTCTCTACTGTCATGGTAAGGCAAGCCAGATTAAATCAGAGGATAATGTTTAATATAGTGTTCCAAAGAAGTGTCTTATTTCTTGTCTTTCATGAATGGGTATAGAGTGTGTGTCTGTTTGTTGCATGAATTTCAGGATAACTTGTATGGAAAGGCCATTAAACTTTTCTCCAAAATGCAAATGTTTTAGATTAATTTACAAAGTACTTGAAATGTTAGGCATTTCCTTCATTTTCATTTCATTTTAAGTATATTGTAAAAGCATGGAAATACTCAGATCGTGTAGAGTATATACATCCAAAGTAGAGAATTAAGAAATGTATCTAGATCCTGCCACTGGATTTTTTAAAGCAACTGTGTTGGTATATAATTTGCATAACATACAGTTCACCCATTGAAAACGTACAAGTCTCTTAGTATATTCATGGAGTTGTGTAGTCATCAGCAACATCAGTTTGAGAACATTTTCTCGACCCTGAAAAGAAACCCTGCATCATTTAGCCATCATCCACCAGTTTGCCCTTCCTCAACTCTAGGGAACCACCAGTCTACTTTGTTTCTATAGAGTTGCCCATTCTGGACATTTCATATCAATTGAATCACAAAACATGTGGTGGTCTTTTGTGATTGGCTTCTTTCACTTAGCATAACATTTTTAAGGCTCATCCGCATTGTAACATGTATCAGTACTCAACTTCCTCTAATTGCTGAGTAACATTCCACTCTGTGGATATACCAGTCATTTTATTTACCCATTCATCAGTTATGGACTTTGGGTTGTTTCCATGTTTTGGCTATTAATCATACTCCTATGAAGTTTTATGTACAAGTTTTTGTGTTTGCATATGTTTTCATTTCTCATGGGTGTATACTTAGAAGTGGAATTGCTGGTGTATACTTACAAGTGGAATTTGAGGAGCTGCCAGTCTGTTTTCCAAAGTGGCTGCACCATTTTACATTTCCATCAGAATTGTATGGGGATTCTAATTTCTCTGTATCTTCCCAACATTTTTCACATTTTTGATTGAAGATTCTATCCTAGTGGTGTGAAGTGATACCTCATTGTTTTTTTTTTTTTTTTTTGAGTTGGAGTCTTGCTCTGTCGCCCAGGCTGGAGTGCAGTGGCACAATCTCGGCTCACTGCAACCTCCCCTGCACCAGGTTCAAGCCATTCTCGTGCCTCAGCCTCCCAGGTAGCTGGGATTACAGGCACCCACCACCATGCTCGACTAATTTTTTGTGTCTTTATAGAGACGGGGTTTCACCGTGTTAGCCAGGGTGGTCTTGATCTCCTGACCTCGTGATCCACCCGCCTTGGCCTCCCAAAGTGCTGGGATTGCAGGCGTGAGCCACCGCGCCCCGCAAAGCGATACCTCATTTTTGTTTTGATTTGCGTTTCCCTAATGAGTAATGATGTTAAGCATCTTTTTATGTGCTTATGAGCCACTTGTGTATCTTTGGGAAAATGTCTATTTAAATGCTATGCCCGTTTTAAAATCACCTTCCCTTTTTTTTCTGAATTTTAAGTTTTTTATAGATCTTATGTGTAAGAGCCCTTAACAGATATGATTTTCAAATATTTTATTTCACTCAATGGCTTTTATTTTTACTTTTTTGATGATGTCTGTTCAAGTGCAGACATTTCAAATTTTGATAAAGAATTTTATAGTTTTAGCTCTTATATTTAGCAGTTCTATTTTGAGTTAATTTTAGATGTGGCGTATGTTAGGAGTCCATCTTTATTCTTTTGCATATGGATATCCAGTGGCCCCATTACCATTTGTTGAAAAGGCTATTCTTTTTAACAAATTAATAGTCTCATTTGTTGTTTTTTTACCCTTGTTGAAAATCAATTGACCATAAATATGTGGGTTTATTTTGGGATTCTCAATTCTAATATGTTGATCTATGTCTATCATCATGCCAGTACCGAATCTAATTTTAGGATAATTATTTTTCAGTCATGTTGCTTATTATTCCCAATTGTCCTAAGTAAGAATAGAAATTCAAGTAGTAGGATGCCTTTAATTTCACTGTTTGCTTCTTGAAGGAACATGTGGCCAGCTTATATTAATACCTTGCTGACTCCTGTGACACAATGGGAAGTCAGGCTTACAAAGACAGAGCGTATTCATTTCTTTTTCTCCGTTCAAACCGTTTTTCTCTCACTCAGTCCCTAACCTCTTCACTCCCATTTTCATCAAATCTTGGTTAGAGGATCTGCTGACTCAGTCTACTATTTACTGCATTATATTTACTAACTCATAATAAGTCATAGAATTGTGTAGATTTTTGCCATGTAGGAAGGAGAAGATTAAGTCTGGGCTGTTGCTTTCCTCTTTGGAAATTGAGCTAATTCATCATCTTACAGCTCACAAATAGATCCTCTGTTGACCTGGTGCCTGGTTCTTTGTATAACACTGGAGCTGATCCTTTTCTTGGCACAGATCCTACATCCTCAGAAATTACAGTTTTCTGTATTTAACTGCTTTTACTTAACAGAGGTGCCTAGCTATGCTTTATAGCTCAGTACATAATCAAATTAGTAGTTCAACCCATTCAAATAAAAATTTTCAGGCATGCAGCACCTAAAAATCAGGTGATGTCCAGGTATTTATCAGAGACAAATAGTCAAATTAGTTGTATGAATTTCAAAATTTCAGAGCCAATTTGTATGATATGGAGCAGCATTTTGGTACAATGTAAAGATGAGATGGTCTTACCTTCTCAGCTTGAAGGGAAATTGTATTTAATTTTTTAACATGTAAAGGACACTACATTTGTTTTACTACAGAGAAGGTTAAAACTGATTCCGTAGTATTCTCTTTATTTTCTCATTGAGGAAATGAAAATGAAGATCAAATACTAGATTGATTAATAATTACTCAGCTGCTTATCACTTTTAGAATTTCAGTTCATTGAAATCAGGTAAAATGTCTGATTTGGGTTATTATATCAAATACTTCTGTTTTTTTTCAACTTTCATACTTCAAATTATATATCCTTCCTTCCTCATCTTCCTTATCCCATAACTTGAGGGGCAAATGCTAAAGGGCCTCATTTGCTTAGTTATGAGAATTTGTAACTGAAGGGAACTTTTTCTAAACGTCCTCCTCAATAGTTCATACATCTGTCTCCTGGTTGTCTGCTGCTTCTCATTAGCATTGTTTGTCATTAACAAATTAACCTCAACATTTAGTAGATCCTACTTTAAAGGAGACTAATTACTACTGTGTAAGCTATTATATTTCTTACTGTCTTTTTGTTTAAGTCCATTTTCCTGTTTATTTTTCCCTAACAAGCTACCCAAAGGTGAGTGGCTTAACAGCAACATGTATTTAGTTCACCAATCTGTGGTTTGGAAAATCCTTGTCCAGGACAACCTTCTCTGCTCCCCTCAGCTTCACTTGCAGTCAATCAAATATTGGGGGACTGGAATCATCTGAAGGTCTGGTCACTGATATGTCTGGTTGTTGACAGTGGCTGTTGATTGGAACTTTAGTTGGGGCAGGCAGCCCAAATACTTGCACTGGAACTCCTGTGTGCTTTTTGTGACCTGAGCTTCCTCACAACGTGGGGGCTCGGTTCTAAGGGCAAGCAGTCTGAGGTAGAGAGCGTCTTCTAACCTAATGTTGGAGGCCACACGGTATCACTTGTACCACATTCTATTCATTAGAAGCAAGTCACTAAGTGTGGCCCGTAGTCTGTTTATAGGATGAATTGTTTGTTTGTTTATTTATTTATTTATTTTTGATTGATTGATAGTGTCTCACTCACTACATTGCCCACGCTGGCCTTGTACTCCTGGGCTCAAGGGGTCCTCCTGCCTCAGCCTCGTGAATAGCTGGGACTACAGGTGTATTACATCATACCCAATTTCCTTTTTATTTTTGTGGACATGTATAATTGTACATATTTATGGGATTCACAGTGATATTTTGATAAGTGTAGCCAGTGTATAATGGTCAAATCAGGCTATTAGCAAAGCCATCACCTCAAACATTTACTATTTCTTTGTGCTTTGAACATTGAAAATCCTCTCCTCTACCTTTTTAAAAATAACACTATAAATCATAATCATAGTGTCCCTACAATGCCACAGAACACTAGAGTTAATTCCTCCTATGTAGCTATAATTTTGTATCCATTAACCAACCTCTCCCCATCCTCCACTCCCCCTACCTTTCCCACCCTGTAATACCCACAGCTCTACTCTCTACTTCCATGACCTCAGATTGTTTACTTTAGTTCCCATGAGTGAGAACATGCAGTACTTACGGTTTTGTGCCTTATTTCACTTAACATAATGTCTTCCAGGCTCATTCATGTTGTTGCAAATGACATGAATTTATTTTTTGGCTAAATAGTATTCCATTGTGTATGTGTGCCCTATTTTCTTTATTCATCAACCACAGTCATCTGTTGATAAACATTGAGGTTAATTCCACATCTTCGTTATTGTGAATAGTGCTGCAATAAACATGGGGGTGCTGGTGTCTTTTGATACATTGATTTTCTTTCTTTTGGATAAATACTCAATAGTAGGATTGCTGGATCACACCACAGTTCTATTTTTAGTTTTTACAGAAGCCTCCACACTGTTTTTCATAACGGTTATAGTAATTTGCTATTTCCTACACCAGTGCATAAGAATTCCCTTTTTCTCCCCAACCTCACCAGCATTTTTTACTTTTTGTCTTCCTGATAGTAGCCATTCTAACTGTGGTGAGATGATATTGAGTACTTTTTCATATATTGGCCATTTGTATGTCTTCCTTTGAGAAATAATCTACTCAGAGCCTTTACCTACTTATTAGTTGGACTACTAACTTTTTCACTGTTAAGGTGTTTGCTTTCCCATATATTCTGGATTTAGACCTTTGTCAGGTGAACAGCTTGCAAGTATTTTCTCTCATTCTATGGATTTTCTTCACTCTATTGGTTGTTTTCCTTGCTGTAATGAAACTTTTAATATAGTCTCATTTATCTATTTTTGATCTTTGTTTTTATTTTTTACCTGTCTTTTTTATGTCTTAGCCATAAAATCATTGCCTAGACCAATGTCTTGAAGTATTTTCCCTATATTTTCTTCTAGTAGTTTCATAATTTGGGGTCTTATGTTTAAGTCTTTAATGGATTTTGAGTTGATTTTATGGTGAAAGATAAGGATCTGCTTTCATTCTTCATCCTACTGATATCCAGTTTCCCCAGCCCAATTTGTTGAAGAGAGTGTTCTTTGCCAATGTTATGTTGTTGACACCTTTGACACCTTTGTCAAAAATCATGTGCCTGTAAATATGTAGATTTATTTCTGGGTTCTCTATTCTGTTCCATTGGTCTATGTATCTGTTTTTATAACAATCCATGTTTTAGTCACTGTACCTTGTAATTTGTTGTTGTTGTTATTGAGAGGGAGTCTCGCTCTGTCACCCGGGCTGGAGTGCAGTGGCGCGATCTCTGCTCACTGACTGCAAGCTCCCCCTCCCGGGTTCATGCCATTTTCCTGCCTCAGACTCCCCAGTAGCTGGGACTACGGGCGCCCGCCACCACGCCCGGCTAATTTTTTTGTATTTTAATAGAGACAGGGTTTCACCGTGTTAGCCAAAATGGCCTCGATCTCCTGACCTCGTGATCTGCCTGCCTCGGCCTCCCACAGTACTGGGATTACAGGTGTGAGTCACCGCGCCCGGCCCCTTGTAATGTATTTTGAAGTCAGGTAGAAGTGATGCCTCCAGCTTTGCTCTTTTTCCTCATGAATAGGCGGACTAGTCTGGCTTTTTTTTTTTTTTTTTTTTTTGCTTCCATGTGAATTTTAGGATTGTTTTTCTATTTTTTGGCAAGTTTTTTTTGTTTGTTTGTTTTGTTTTGTTTTGGAAACAGAGCCTCTCTGTGTTGCCTAGGCTGGAGTGCAGTGGCGCGATCTCCGCTCACTGCAAGCTCCACTTCCCGGGTTCACGCCATTCTCCTGCCTCAGCCTCCCGAGTAGTTGGGACTACAGGCGCCCGCCACCACTCCTGGCTAACTTTTTTGTATTTTTAATAGAGACAGGGTTTCACCGTGTTAGCCAGGATGGCCTCAATGTCCTGACCTCGTGATCCGCCCACCCCGCCTCCCAAAGTGCTGGGATTACAGGAGTAAGCCACTGCGCCCGGCTTCTTTGGCAAGTTTTAAAAAGCATTTTGTTTATTCTTTTTCTTTCTTTTATTTTAAATTCAGGGGGTACATGTGCAGATGTTTTTACAAAGGTATATTGCATAATGCTGAGGTTTGGGGTATGATTGATCCTGTCACCCAGGTAGTGAGTATTTACTACTCAATAGGTCATTTTTGACACTGGTTCGCCTCCCATCCTTCCCCTTCTTGTAGTCTTCAGTGTCTGCTGTTCTCATCTTTATGTCCATGTGTACCCAGTGGTTGGCTCCCAGTTCTAAGTGAGAACGTGTAGTATTTGGTTTTCTGTTCCTGCATTAGTTTGCTTAGGATAATGGCTTCCAGCTAAATCCATGTTGCTGCGAAGTACGTGATTTTGTTCTTTTTATGGCTATATAGTGTAACATGGTGTGAATGTACCATGTTTCCTTTATCCAATCCACCTTTGATGGGCTCCTGGTTGATTCCATGTCTTTGCTATTGTGAATAGTGTGGCGATAAACATACAAGTGCATGTGTCTTTTTGGTAGAATGATTTATATTCCTTTGGGTATATACCCAATATTGGGATTTCTGGGTAGAATGGTAGTTCAGTTTTAAGTTGTTTGGGAAATCACCAAACGTCTTTTCACAATGGCTGAACTAATTTACATTCCCACCAGCAGTGTAAAAGTGTTCCCTTTTCTGTACAACCTCACCAGCATCTGTTATTAAATATTTTTGACTAATTGCCATTCCAACTGGTGTGGGTTAGTCTCTCGTGGTTTTGATTTGCATTTCTCTAATGAGTAATGATAGGAATCTTTTTTAAAAATGTGCTTACTGGATGCATGTATGTCTTCTTTTGAGGAATATCTGTTCATGTCCTTGGCCCACTGTTTTATGGGGTTGTTTTTTTCTTGTAAATTTGTTTGTTCCTTATAGATGTTGGATATTAGTCCTTTGTCAGATGCATAGTTTGCAAAAATCTCCCATTCTGTAGGTTGTCTTTTTATTCTGTTGATAGTTTCTTTTGATGTACAGAAGCTCTTTAATTAAGTTCCATTTGTCAATTTTAGCTTTGTGTTTTGTTTTGTTTTTTGAGACAGGGTCTTACTTTGTTTCTCAGGCTAGAGTGCAGTGGTGCAAACACAGCTCACTGCAGCCTCAACCTCTTGGGCTCAAGTGATCCTCCTGCCTCAGCCCCCAAGTAGCTGGGACAACATGTGTATGCCAGCACGCCTAGCTAATTTTTGTATTTTTTGTAGAGACGGGGTTTTGCAATTTTGTCCAGGTGGTCTCAAACTCCTGAATTAGGGAGGGGTCCCTCCTCGTCAATATTTTGGAAGAGTTTCAGTAGGATTGAGAACAGCTTTGGTTCTGATTCAGCTGTGAATCCATCTGGTCCAGGCCTTATTTTGGTTAGTAGGTTTTTTTATTATTGCTTCAATTTCAGAACTTGTTACTGGTCTGTTCATGATTTCAGTTTCTTCCTGGTTCAGTCTTGAAAATTTTTGTGTTTCCAGGAATTTATCTGTTTTCCTGTAGAAATTCTAATTTGTATGCATGGAGGTGTTCATAATAGTCTCTGAGGATCTATTTTATTTCTGTTGGATCGGTTGTAATGTCATCTGTGTCATATCTGATGGTGCTTATTTAAATATTCTCACTTTTGGTTAATCCAATTAAAAGTCTATCTTTTTTTTCTTTCAAGGAATCAATTTTTGTTTATCCTTTGTGTGGGTTTTGGGGTTTCAATGTCATTCAGTTCTGCTCCGATTTTAGTTAATTCTTTTCCTCTGCTAGCTTTGGGGTTATTTTCTTGTTTTTTGGTTCCTCCAAGTGTAATGTTGGATTGTTAATTTCAGATTGTTCTAACTTATTGGCATGTGCATTTAGCACTGTAAACTTTGCTCTTAACACTGCTTTTGCAATATCCCAGAGGTTTTGATATGTTGTGTCTCTGTTTTTATTTATTTTGAAGATTTTTTGTTTCTGATTTAATTTCATTGTTTACCCAAAAGTCATTCAGGAGCACGTTTTTTAACTACCATGTAATTCTGTAGTTTTGAGATATCTCAGTATTGATATGTTTTTATTGCAGTGTAATCCAAGAGTGTGCTTGGTATGATTTTATTTTATTTTTAAATTTATGGAGACTTGCTTATGGCCAAGCATGTGGTTGACCTTAGAGTATGTTCCATGTGCACATGAGAAGAAAGTATGTTCTGTGATTTTGGGATAGAGTATTCTATAGATGTCTATTAGGCCTGATTGATCAAGAGTCAAATTTAAGTCCAGAATTTCTTTGTAGGTTTTGTCTCAGTGGTTTGTCTAATGCTGTCAGCGAGGTGTTGAAGTCGCCTATTATTATGTGGCTGTCTAAACTTTTTCATCGGTCTAGAAGTACTGTTTTATGAATCTGAGTGCTCCAATGTTGGGTGTCTATATATTTAAGATAATGAAGTCTTCCTGTTGAATTGAGCCTTTTATCATTATGTAATGCTCGTCTTTGTCTTTTTTTACTGTTGTTGATTTAAAGTCTGTTTTATCTGATATAAGAATAGCGGCTGGGCTCGGTGGCTCACGCCTGTAATCCCAGCACTTTGGGAGGCCGAGGCGGGTGGATCATGAGGTCAGGAGATTGAGACCATCCTGGATAACACGGAGAAACCCCGTCTCTACTAAAAATACAAAAATTGGCTATTTGGGAGGCTGAGACAGGAGAATCACTTGAACCCGGAGGCAGAGCTTACAGTGAGCCGAGATCACGCCACTGCACTCCAGCCTGGGCGACAGAGCAAGACTGCATCTCAAAAAAAAGGAAAGAAAGAAAGAAGAAAAGAATGGCAACCTTTACTCTTCTTTTCCATTTTATTTGCATGATGGATCCTTCTTCATTCCTTTACACTGAGCCTTTGCATGGTATTACATGTGAGATGGGTTTTGAAGACAAGCAGTGGCTGGTTTTCGTTTTTGTATTCAACTTACCACCCTGACTTCTGAGTGGAGCATTGAGACCATTTAATTTGAGATTAACACTGGTATATGAGATTTTGATCCTGTCGCGATATTGTTAGCTGGTTGCTCTGTGTTCTCCATTGTGTAATTGCTGTGTAGGATCTGTGGGCTATGGACTTAAATCTGGTTTTGTGATAGCAGCTATTGTTTCCTTCATTTTTGTGTTTGTAACTCCCTTAAGAATTTTTTTTTTTTTTTTTTTTGAAACGGAGTCTCGCTCTGTCGCCCAGGCTGGAGTGCAGTGGCACGATCTCCGCTCACTGCAAGCTCTGCCTCCAGGGTTCACACCATTCTCCTGCCTCAGCCTCCCGAGTAGCTGGGACTACAGGCGCCCACCACCATACCCGGCTAATTTTTTTTGTATTTTTAGTAGAGACGGGGTTTCACCATGTTAGCCAGGATGGTCTCTATCTCCTGACCTTGTGACCCACCCACTTTGGCCTCCCAAAGTACTGGGATTACAGGTGTGAGCCACCGTGCCCAGCCTCCCTTAAGAATTTTTTATAACACTTCTAGCAGTAATGAATTTTCTTAGAATTTGCTTTTCTGAAAAAGTTTTGTTTTTCTCCTTTACTAATGAAGCTTGGATTGGCAGGATATGAGATTCTTGGTTGAAATGACTTTTCTTTTAGGATGCTGAAAATAGGTTCTCACTTTGTTCTGATGTGTAAGATTTTTGTTGAAAAATCCACTGTTAGCCTAATGGAGTTCCCATGGTATGTCATCTGACCCTTTCTCTACCTGCCTTTAAGATTTTTCTTTCAGCTGGGTGTAGTGGCTCATGCCCGTAATCCAAGCACTTTGGGAGGCCGAGGCGGGTGGATTGCCTGAGGTCAGGAGTTCATGACCAGCCTGGCCAACGTGGCAAAACCCCGTCTCTACTAAAAATACAAAAATTAGCTGGGCGTGGTGGCGGGTGCCTGTAATCTCAGCTACTTGGGAGGCAGTGGGTTGCCTGGGTGGGCTGGTGCTTGGGCCTCCAGGTAGTGTGTGCTGGGATCAGAGGTGGCAGTGGCATGACAGTCCTAAGGACCCTGGGTGGAACTTGTGGTACCTACAATGACAATAGCAGTGAGGGGCCAGACCCTGGGTTGCATGAACGGGCACTAGTAATGGTGACAGCAGTCTGGCTGGGCATTTTCCTGGGCCCTTGTGTGGCACATTTGGGTGGGTTTCTATAGCCATGGGTGGGGCAAGCTTGTTTATGGGTTCACTGAGTGCACATGCAGGAGCCTTTGTCAGTGGCTGGTGGGGCAGCCCTGTCCTCAGGCCCTGGAGGACATGTGTGGGTGCCAGTGGGGCAATGGAATTGTTCTCAGGCCCTTGACAGTGTGTATGGACACTTATAGAAATAGGGATGCCAATCCTCAGGCTCCCAGAATACAGGTACTTGTGGTGATAGTGGTGGATGGGGCAGACTTGTCTTCAGGCCCCAGAATGCACATATAGGCCTGGGTGGGATGGGCTCCTCCTTCAGGCCCTGGACGGCATATGTAGGCACTGGCAGCAATAGTGGCAGTGGCAAGCAAGGTGACCTTGTCTTCAGGCTCCCATATGGCTCACACAGGCACTGCCCCTGGTGGGTTGGGCAGGCTGGCTTTCAGGATTTAGGATGGTGCACATGCGTGAGTCAGTCCTCAGGCCTCCTGAAGGTGTGCACAGGTGTGCAGCAGTGCTGCCGCTGGAGGGGACAGGGTTGCGTTGGTGGTCATGGCCTCAGTCAGGTGGCTCTCAGGCTCTAGGAGCACATACTTAGGATTCCTTTGTCCTAGAGTACCTTTTCTGGTGGGCCGGACCAACTATTTCCAAGGGTGTAGGGTGCTGCAAGGTTAGGGTTTTGGGGACCCAGCCACATCAGGTGTTGTGGGTCCAGCTGGTGCATGATGCCGCAAGTCCTCTCTGTGAATGTTGTGAAATGTCAGCGGTGCTCCACTGAATGTGGAGATGCAGGGGCTGTTGGGTCTCTGGGCAGGATGTAGTCTGGTAGTAGGGGGCGGTTTGGGCTCTTAAACTGATGCTGATTTAGGTGCCACAGCTTCAGTCTCAGGGTGAGTGGGACAGGCTTCCACTAACAGTTTCTTTGAAGCCCTTTCAGTGTTCATTATTCTTCTCTAGGTCTTTTCAGCCTCTACCTAGCTCCTGGCCCAATGGTATCCTGCCAGGTTTTAGTAGTATCTTTTAATGGCAGTAGCCCATATTTAGTGTCAGTATCTGTATCAGTTATCTATTGCTGTGTAATACACCACCTCAAAATTCATTGTCTCAAGACAGTATCTATTTTGTTCACAATTTGCAGTTTTAGGCAAGGCTCAGTGGGGCTATCTCACTTTCTATGGTATCAGATGAAGTGACTTGAAACTTAGACTAGAATCATTGAAAATATTAAAGTCCTGTTGATTTGCCTGTGTGGCAGATGAAGCTGGCTTTTGGCTGGGAAGTGAAGCTGGGGCAGTCAGCTGGAACACCTACATGAGGATTCATCATTTGGCTCAGTCTTCCTTACATTGTGGTGGCTGGATTCTAAGAACAAGCTTCCCTAGAGAGAAAGTCAGGTGGAAGCTGTATTATAATACATTTTCTTATCCAACGTTAGAAGTCACACACAGTTCTGGCTGGGTGCGGTGGCTCACGCCTGTAATCCCAGCACTTTGGGAGGCCGAGGCTGGTGGATCATGAGGTCAGGAGATCGAGACCATCCTGGTTAACATGATGAAACCCTGTCTCTACTAAAAATAAAAAAAAATTAGCTGGGCGTGGTGGTGGGCGCCTGTAGTCCCAGCTACTCGGGAGGCTGAGGCAGGAGAATGGTGTGAACCCTGGAGGTGGAGCTTGCAGAGAGCCAAGATAGCGCCACTGCACTCCAGCCTGGGCAACAGAGCGAGACTCTGTCTAAAAAAAAAAAAAACAAGAAGTCGCACCCAGTTCTGCCATATGATGTTCACTAGTAACCAATTACCAATGCCAGCTTGTATTCAGGAGAGGGAATTTCATGGGAGAAATGTCAAACAATTAGTAGTGGTGCCACTCCACTTACCTTTTTAAAATAAAATAATCATTCCATCTAAAGGAAAATTATTCTTTCCAACTCAGTAGCACTGAAATTTTAGCAAGATCTTTTGTTATCATTGTTTAGTATGCACCCTTACTTTGTGTAAACTAACAGAGGATTATAAGATTGTGCTATTGAATTCAGACATTTTTGTTCAGGAAAATTGTATGGATCATCATGTTGCTGAACTTTTATACTAGGAGATATAATTGCTTCTTAACCCCAAGAATCATTACCCCTTGAAATGTAATTCAAATTAGCATAAAACATTTATAGTTCAGAAAAAGGCTTATAGCATTGGAATCCACATTTACAAGATTTACAAATTAGAGTCTTATTTTCAAAGTTTTATTTTGGGAGCCATGTACTGACTGAGACCTAAATAATTCAATATGTTTTCCCTGAAACCTCTTTAGAAATTATGGGGAATGACAATGTAGGGGAACGAGTGAAAGTCTTTGTAGTAAGGGGTGGCATAGAGGCATTATAATAGAAAAATAAACAAGTAAATGTTGTATGGCACAAATGATGATAGTAAAGAATATATTTTTGTGACTCCTAGTGGTTTTAACTTTCTTTTTGATTTTGTGAATAACTCAAGGGTCCAAATATTATGAATCTACTACAGTATATATAACATTTTATTGCAGCTGAATTTCTTTCAAAAGTTGTTATTGGTTTCATGTTAGACCATTCTTGGCCTTCCTCCTTCATTACCAAACTATTTTATTTTACTCATGCAGGTTGATCTTACAGAAGCATGGGAAACCACATCTTCAAAATGTCTACATCTGGATGCAGAGAATGAAGTTCTTCAACAGACATTAAACAATATAGAAGAAATAAGACAATACAGAATATGAAAACAATGCAGGAGAAATATGAAAACAATACAGAAGAAATGTGTAACACTGCAGAAGAACAATAGGCACTTAGCACAGGTAGTATTAAACCTCAAAAGTTATATGGAAAGAAATATGTTAGAACATGGTGAAGCTGAACAATATAAATGAGAGATGAAAGAAAGAGCAAGACAAGAGATTGTAGAAAAATTAAGTCAATCTCTTCTTGCAGGTTGTTGTATTTACCTGTAATGTGCTTTCATTCATTTCACTGCAAATTATATTTTGGATATAGACATTGTATGTGTTTTCCCTACTTTATAGCAATTTGTTTGGTAGATTTCTAGAAGGATGGTAGTAGCTGTTTCTTCCTTTAAATATTTTAGTTCCCATCATTATTATAACTAAGTTGATCCTCCATAATAATGATTCTTATTAGAAAATCCTTTGATTACTAAGACCAGTTGGCATAAAACAAGATGAAGAGAGAAATAAAACGTTTGTGATTTACAAATTAAACCATATTCTTGGATTGTTCTTAAGTTACATTGTTCAAATTTTAAAATTTAAAATTGATTCTATTATGCTTTGGAGTATCACATTACATGAGTACTACCATAAGAATGACTCAGTTTTTTTACAATTCAGATTAAGTTGTGAATTCAGTTGATACTCATGATAAATATATTAAACTTCAGCTTCTTTTTAAAAAATACCTAAAATCACTCTCTGAACCACTGACTGAAAACTAAATGAAACAAATACACAATAATTATTCAAGTGATAATTACTATTAAAATGTCTCTTTTAAATGCTCATTTTAGACATGAGCAGCGTCTCAAGAAGAGTTAGAGCAGTTAAGAGAAGACAATATTACCTCACTAAAAAGTCAGATGAAACTCAGAATTAAAGAACTGGAAGCCAAACTCTCCAAAATGAAAACTTCACAAGCAGACTTTAATAACAGTGAATTGGTAAACTATAAGCAGCTCTATCTGGAGGAATTATAAATTAGAGGATCCAGCCAGGCGCGGTGGCTCACGCCTGTAGTCCCAGCACTTCGGGAGGCCGAGGCAGGTGGATCATGACGTTTGAGACCAGCCTGGCCAACATAGTGAAACCCCGTCTCTACTAAAAATACAAAAAATTAGCGGGGCGTGGTGGCGGGCCCCTGTAATCCCAGCTACTTGGGGGGTTGAGGCAGGAGAACTGCTTGAAGCCGGGAGGCAGAGGTTGCTGTGAGCTGAGATCACGCCACTGCAGTCCACCTGGGCAACAGTGCCAGACTCCATCTCAAAAAAAAAAAAAAAAAAAAAAAAAAAAAAAAAAAAAAAAAAAAACAGAGGATCCCTGTCAGGTGAACTAAATAAGTAAATCAAGACACAGAATCACTGAAAATAAATTAAGCTCATTAATTTGCCTTCAAAACATAATTTTTAGTGAGACAGGTTTCTGAGATTCGTGGGAAGTCAAAGCTAACTAGATTCGACAATTTACAAAAGTGATGTTAGTAAATGAATTTACCTTTAAAATGTTCGTCCGGGACAGTTCGTGTGTCTCCCCTGTTTTGAAGTTTTATGTGGCATTTTTTCCTTCATATTCTCATGTAGTTAACCTGATCTATTAGGTTTTCAGCTAAATATTTTTTATCTTTATAATTTAGACAGTGATACTATCATAAAATTGTTAGTCGTCATTCCCCTAAATAGAAATATCAACAAATGTAATTATTTTCTGGAAGATGACAAAGCAAGAGTCAAGTACCACTATTCTGGGCACATTCTGGCACTCAGTAAATTTACTTTCCTTGATTGTGATCTATCTTGGATATTATCATTAGAGGGTGCCTTGAGACAACAAATCCTGTATAGTTTTTCCACTCCACATAAAGGCATACTTCAACATTAGGTTGAAGGGAAGTATAATCCACAAAGTGGTGAAAAATAACACCTTGGTCAGCCTGAGGGGGTGTGTGGAAGACAGAAAGGGCAGGCCCCACCTCTGATGCCTGGGCCACAATGTTAGGCGCTAATTGCCTTTGGAGCTGCTTTAGTTGTCTTTGATCTCAGCTATCTCATTCTCCCCCGGGAGTTGTTGCTCTGTGATATGGTTTGGCTGTGTCCCCACCAAAATCTCTATAGTTCCTGTAATCCCCATATGTCATGGGAGGGACCCAGTGGGAGGTAACTGAATCATGAGAGCGGTTCCCCCAGCCCCAGCTGTTCTCCTGATAGTGAGTGAATTCCCCTGAGATCTGATGGTTTTGTAAGGGGCTTTTGCCACTTTGCTCGGCACTTCTCTCTCCTACTGCCCTGTGAATCAGTGCCTTCCACCATGACTGTAAGTTTCCTGAGGCCTCCCGAGCCATGCAGAACTGTGAGTCAATTAAACTTCTTTTCTTTATAAATTACCCAGTCTTGGGTATTTCTTCATAGCAGCATGAAAATGGAGTAATAAACTCTGAATAATTCCTCAGTGGCAAACACTTAATTTTTCCCAGACAATGGGTTAAATGTAAAAGGCTGGTGAATATGATTTTTCAGGAATGTCTTTGAGGGATAGTTTTCTAAAATCTTTTCACTGGTTTACTAAATACAAGTATTTCTAGCTTTTTAAACTTTTTTTATTGTATATATTTAAGGAGTACAACATGATGTTTTGATATGTTTATATGCACAGTGAAATGGTTATTACAGTCAAGAAAATGAACATATTCATCACTTCACATAGTTACCCTTTAAATGCAAGTATTTTTAATGGCATCCCTAAGAATCTCATAAGTAGAGCCATTCCAGAAAGCAGGAAGTGTTACCTGTTAAGCCATACATTATTGAAAACCTTTTCCCTCCCCTCCCTATTTTGACTTACTTGTTTGCTATAAATCCCCCTAGAAATACACGTACTTCTTCAGAAGAATTTAAAAACTATAATTGCATGCAGTAGGCATGCTCTAACACATTTTTGGAGTTAAAACATGACTTACGGTGTATTCCACCTACTCTTACGGCAACTTTTAAAATGCTGCAAGTCATTTAGGAAAAAAATGAGATACTAAGCATTTGTCTTTTACAATCTTCACAGAACTAATGACATGCTAGCAGACGTCAGCACCCTACTTCCTGTGGAGAAAAAGCAGACCAGATCTTTATTCACTCCTCATAATAGAAGGCCAGTCTTAGAATCACCGTGCACCAGAAATCTTAATGACAGTTTAGGTCTCAACAAAAGCCATATTCCAAGAGAAAACTTAAGGATCTCTTCCTCAAGCTCACAACATAGAGAACTGTTTGTTGAAGGTCAGTTATATTATCTTTTATCCTTTGGCTTTCAAATTTCTGATACAATTCTTGCATTTTATTTGGAGAGCTGTTTGTCTTATGCGTCGAAGTAGAGGTCATAATTATCTGTGTTAATAGAAAGAGGAAACAATTTTTTTTTCTTTTTTTTGAGACGAAATCTTGCTCTGTCGCCCAGGCTGGAGTGCAGTGGCGCGATCTCGGCTCACTGCAACGTCTGCCTCTAGGGTTCAAACGATTCTCCTGCCTCAGCCTCCTGAGTAGCTGGGATTACAGGCGCCCACCACCATGCCCAGCTAATTTTTTTTTGTATTTTTAAAAGAGACAGAGTTTCAACGTATTAGCCAGGATGGTCTCGAACTCCTGACCTCGTGATCTGCCCGCCTTGGCCTCCCAAAGTGCTGGGATTACAGGCATGAGCCAGAGCACCCGGCCAGAAACAGAAATTTTACAGTTATATTTAAGTCCATGGAACTGTCATTTTCCATAGATACCCATTTAACTTTATTTAATAATTGTAACTGAACTGACACGTTTTAATTTGTGTTAAAAACTCCATTTAAGTTACATTTTAGAAATGGAACATTATTGCTTAACAGCTAAAGTTATACTTTGGGATGCTTACTTTGTAGTTGATTTTAGTTTGTTTGGGGTTAATAACACCTTTAAAGTTTTCCTGCACCATCTCAAGTTTTCTACCTCAAAAATGTGAATGAATAGTATCCAAAATTTAACCACATGCAATGTTCATTATTTAAAGGAATCCAAGATAATATTTTTATGAATTGCATTAACCTATATTACTGAAAAAGATTAATTCTGTTTTTTTTAAGTTAAGTTTTGTGATTTTCTTACAAGTGCATCCTTAATTGCTATTGTATTTACAACATTTTACTTCCAATTATGTGGTCAATTTTAGAATAAGTGCAGTGTGGTGCTGAGAAGAATATATTCTGTTGATTTGGGGTGGAGAGTTCTGTAGATGTCTATTAGGTACACTTGGTCCAGAGCTGAGTTTAAGTTCTGAATATCCTTGCTAGTTTTCTGTCTCACTAATCTGTCTAATATTGACAGTGGGGTGTTAAAGTCTCCCACTATTATTGTGTGGGAGTCTAAGTCTCTTTGTAGGTCTCTAAGAACTTGCTTTATGAATCTGGGTGCTCCTGTATGGGGTGCATATATATTTAGTATAGTTAGCTCTTCTTGTTGCATTGATCCCTTTACCATTATGTAATGGCCTTGTCTTTTTTGATCTTTGTTAGTTTAAAGTCTGTTTTATCAGAGACTGGGATTGGAACCTCTACCTTTTTTTTTTTTTTTTTTTTTGCTTTCCATTTGCTTGGTAAATATTCCTCCATCCCTTTATTTTGAGCCTATGTGTGTCTTTGCACGTGAGATGGGTCTCCTGAATACAGCACACCAATGGGTCTTGACTCTTTATCCAATTTGTCTTTTCTGTATCTATTGAGATAATAATGTGGTTTTTGTCTTTAGTTCTGTTTATGTAATGAATTATGTTTACATTTATTCATTTGCATATGTTAAACCAGCCTTGCATCCCAGGGATGAAGCTGACTTGTTTGTGGTGGATAAGCTTTTTGATGTGCTGCTGGATTCGGTTTGCCAGTATTTTATTGAGAATTTTGGCATTGCTGTTTATCAGGGGTATTTGCCTGAAGTTTTTGTTGTTGTTGTATCTCTGCCAAGTTTTGATATCAGGATGATACTGCCTCATAGAATGACTTAGGGAGGAGTCCCTCCTTTTCAATTTTTTAGAATAGTTTCCATAGAGATGGTACCAGCTCTTTTTTGTGCCTCTGGTAGAATTCAGCTGTTAATCCATTTGGTTCTGGGCTTCTTTTTGTTGGTAGGCTACTTATTTCCGCCTCAATTTCAGAACTTGTTGTTGTTCTGAACAGGACAAGTTTTTGTTGTGAATAGAATAAAATTCTGTTCAGGAATTTTATTTCTTCCTGGTTTAGTCTTGGGACAGTGTACGTCTCCAGGAATTTATCCATTTCTTCTAAATTTTCTAGTTTATTTGCATAGATGTGTTTATAGTATTCTCTGACGGTTGCTTGTTTTCCTGTTGGCTCAGTGGTGACATCCCCTTTATCTTTTTTATTGTGCTTATTTGATTCTTCTCTCTTTTCTTCTTTGTTAATCAAGCTAGTGGTCTATTTTATTAATTTTTTCAAAACACCAGCTCCTGGATTCAATACTTTTTTAAAGGATTTTTTGTTTCACTGTCTCTTTCAGTTCTGCTCTGATCTTGGTTATTTCTTGTCTTCTGCTAGCTTTGAGGTTTGTTTGCTCTTGGTTCTCTAGTTCTTTTAATTGTGATGCTAGGGTGTCAATTTGAGATCTTTCTACCTTTCTAATGGTGGGCATTTAGTTCTATAAATTTCCCTCTTAACACTGTTTTAGCTGTGTCCCAGAGATTCTGGTATACTGTCTCTTTGTTCTCATTGGTTTCAAAGAACTTCTTGATCTCTGCCTTAATTTCATTATTTACCCTGGAGTCGTTCAGGAGCAGGCTATTTGATTTATATGTAGTTATGTGATTTTGAGTGGGTTTCTTATGTGAGTTCTAATTTGATTGTGCTGCAGTCTGAGAGACTGTTTGTTATGATTTCAGTTCTTTTGAATTTGCTAAGGAGTGTTTTAGTTTCAATTATATTATCCATTTCACAATAAGTGCCATGTGGTGCCGAGAAGAATATATATTCTGTTGCTCTTGGGTGGAGAGTTCTGTCAATACCTATCAGGTTCACTTGTTCCAGAGCTGAGTTAAAGTCCTGAATATTCTTGTTAATTTTGTCTTGATGATCCGTCTAATACTGACATTGAGGTATTAAAGTCTCCCACTATTGTTGTGTGAGAGTCTAAGTCTCCTTGTAGGCCTCTAATATGAATCTGGATTCTCCTGTATTGGGTACATATGTATTTAGGATAGTTAGCTCCTCTTGTTGAATTGATCCTTTAACCATTATGTAATGCCCTGCTTTGTCTTTTTTTTGATCTTGTTGGTTTAAAGTCTGTTACATGAGAAACTAGGATTGCAACCTCTGCTTTTCTATGCTTTTTATTCACTTTGTAAATTTTTCTCCATTTCTTTATTTTGAGCCTAGTGTGTCTTTGCATGAGATCTATCTCTTGAATACAGCACACTGATGGGTCTTGACACTTCATCTAGGTTGCCATTCTGTGTCTTTTAATTGGAGCATTTAACCTATTTACATTTAAAGTTAATATTGTTATGTGTGAATTTGATTCTGTCATCATGATGCTAAATGGTAATTTTGCAGACTTGTTGGTGTTATTGCTTCATAGTGTCATTGGTCCTTGTGCTTCAGTGTGTTTTTACAGTGGCTGCTACTGGTTTTTCCTTTCCATACTTAGTGCTTCCTTCAGGAGCTCTTGCAAGGCAAACCTGGTGGTGACAAATTCCCTCAGCATTTGCTTGTATGAAAAAGGTTTTATTTATCCTTCACTTATGAAGCTTAGTTTGGCCAGATATGAAATTCTGGGTTGGAGATTTTTTTCTTTAAGAATGTTGAATATTGGCCCCTAATTTTTTTTTTTTTTTTTTGGAGATGGAGTCTTGCTCTGTTGCCAGGCTGGAGTGCAGTGGCACAATCTCAGCTCACTGCAACCTCTGCCTCCTGGGTTCAAGCGATTCTCCTGCCTCAGCCTCCCAAGTAGCTGGGACTACAGGCGTGCACCACCACGCCCAGCTAATTTTTTGTATTTTAGTAGAGACGGGATTTCACCATGTTGGCCAGGATGGTCTCGATCTCCTGACCTTGTGATCTGCCTGCCTCAGCCTCCCAAAGTGCTGGGATTACAGGCTTGAGCAATTGCCCCTGGCCGGACCCCAATCCCTCCTGGCTTGTAGGTTTCTGCTGAGAGATCTGCTGTTAGTCTGATGGGCTTCCCTTTGTAGTTGACCTGGCCTTTCTCTCTGGCTGCTCTTAACATTTTTTTCTTCTATTTCAACCTTGGAGAATCTGACGATTATGTGTTTTGGGGTTGATCTTCTCATGGAGTGTCTTACTGGGGTTCTCTGGATTTCCTGAATTTGAATGTTGGCCTCACTTGCTAGGTTGGGGAAATTCTCCTGGATGATATCCTGAAGTATGTTTTACAACTTGGTTCCATTTTCCCTGTCTCTTTCAGGTATTCCAATCAGTGGTAGGTTTGGTCTTTTTACATAATCCCATAGTTCTCAGAGGTCTTGTTTGTTCCTTAACATTCTTTTTTCTCCAATTTTGTCTGCCTGTCCTATTTCAGCAAGATAGTCTTCAAGCTCTCAAATTCTTTCCTCTGCTTGGTCTATTCTATTCCATTATTGATACTTGTGGTTGCGTTGTGAAGTTCTCATGTTGTGTTTTTCAGCTCCATCAGGTTATTTACGTTCCTCTCCAAACTGGGTATTCTGGTTAGCAGCTCCTGTAATGTTTTATCATGGTTCTTAGCATTTTTGCATTAGGTTAGAACATGGCTCTTGTAGCTCAGTGAAGTTCATTATTAACCACTTTCGGAAGCTTACTTATGTCAATTCATCCATCTCAACCTCTACCCAGTTCTGTGCCCTTGTTGGAGAGGTGTTGCAATCATTTGGAGGAGAAGAGGCATTCTGGCTTTTTGAGTTTTTAACATTTTTTTTGTTGATTCTTTTTTAACTTGATGAGTTTATCTAGCTTTGATCTTTGTGGCTGCTGACCTTCAGATGGAGTTTTTTGGGGGATTTTTTTGTTGATGCTGTTGCTGTTGTTGTTGCTGTTTTCTTTTAACAGTCAGGCCCCTCTTCCATAGGGCTGCTGCAGTTTGCTGGGGATCCAATCCAGACCTATTCACCTGGGTCCCTCCCACACCTGGAGGTGTCACCAGTGGAGACTGCAGAACAACAAAGATAACTACCTGCCCCTTCCTCTGGTATCTCTGGCCCAGAGATGAACCTACCTGATGCCAGTGGGAATGCTCTTGTATAAGGTGTCTGGCAACCCCTGTTGGGGGTCTCACCCAGTGAAGAGGCATGGGACCAGGGACCTGCTTAAGGAAGCACTCTGGCTGCCCCTTGTTGGAGGGCTGCATTACACTGGGGAGAATCCCACTCATCTGTACTGCCCAGATTCTTCAGAGCCAGCAGGGGGAAATACTAAGTCTGCTGATCCATGGAGATCATGGCTGCCCCTCCCCGCAGGGGCTCAGTCCCAGGGAGATCAGAGTTCTGTCCCTAAACCCCTGGCTGGAGTTGCTAAAATTCCTGCAGGGAGGCCCCACTCAGTAAGGAGGGATGGGTCAGGGTCTGGCCTAAAGAGGCAGTCTGGCCACAATCTGCCACAGCTGCTGTGCTGCACTGTGGGGAATTCCTCCTGGGTCCAAACTTTACCCCATCTCCCCAGCACCAGCAGGGGAAAATGGCAGACTGGAGCTGCAGTGATGGCTGTCACCCCTCCCCCAAGGAAGCTCAGTCATCTTAAGTAGCAGGCAGCTGCAGTGATAATGACCACCCGTTCCCCAGGACACTGGGTAGTTTCTAGCAGTCTCCAGCTAAGTGGCCTCTGAGCATCTGCACAGCTCTGTGTTTGGAATCCAAGGCCCTGGTGACGTGGACTCACAGGAGGGATCTCCTGATCCACAGGTTACACAGATCTGTGGAAAAAGTGTGGTTTCCCGGGCAGGGTATCATGATCACTAACCGTCTCCCTTGGCCGTGGGTGGAAGATCCCCTTGCCCCATGTGGCTCCCAGGTGCACCGTTGCACCACCTTGCTTTTTCTCACTCTCCATGTGTCATGCCAGCCGCCTAGTCAGTCCCAATGAGACAACCTGGATACCTCAGTTGCTGGTGCAGGATTCACTTGCTGTTTTCATTCTTCCTGGGAGCCTCCAACTGCAGCTGTTTCTAGTCAGCCATCTTGGCCCCTCTCACTGTATTCTGATTTCTTAAGAATTAAGCGTGGATCACAATCTAGAGTCACAATTTGCCATAATTTGTCACAATTTGACAGCCTGTCTATCCCTTCACCACTTATTTTGCCAAAACAACTCGTCATTCCAGGGTGCCTTCTATTGGGTTTGTTCATGTTTGTCCATCTGCCTCTTTTTGGTGGTGAAGAGGCCTATGAAATCACTCCAGCAGGCTACTGCCATGCATGAGTGAAATGCAGCTGAGGACTACCCATGCGAAGTGCATGGGAGAGTGAGAATACATCAAGAATCCTCAAGATGAATGATAAAAACATGCACCCAGAACAGAGTGTTGCAGTAGGGAGTATGTTAAACCTAAAACAAAGGGTGTATGGTTCAAAACTAAACCCTGCTAGGGCTGGGTCTCTATCACTCCATTCCTGTGTTTGACACCACGAAAGTCAATTTAGTATCCCCCTTTCACTGAGCCACCTCAGGAGGACGTAGAGTAAGATGTTAACCTCCACAGTAATGGTTCTCAAAGGGCTTAGTGGCGTTTCCTGAGTTAGGAAAAGTAGGGGAGTGATATTTTGCCCCAGACAGACGGAGTTTCTTACGCACACACTCCTCTCCTGTTCTCTGCAGTGTGAAAGCCTCAGCGTATTGGAGGGATTGTGAAATGAAGTTTTTAAGCCCTAGACTATACATGTCATCAGCTCTGACAAGATGAGAGTTTTCTGCATTTGAATAAAGCAACAAAATGGGGTGCATCTGAACAGATTTGCTGAAGCAAATCAATTTGGGAGCCTAGGCTAGGAGTTTTCTCTTACTTGGTGAGCTAGGCCCCATTCCACAGAAAATCTTTCAGAGGAGAAGCATAATTTGGTATTTTGGGCAAATGGTCACAGTGGCAAGGTTATGTAGGGAAGAGATGAGACTTGTTCTGGAAGTACCTTCTCACATACCTCTTCCTTATGGGTCTTTCTCCCCTGACTCTGACCTGAGAGGGGGACAGGGAAGGGTTGATGGTGGGAGAACCTCTGCTTTGGTCATTTGGGGATATACACCCTTTCTCCATGAGAAAGCTTACTTTATTCTAAGAAAGTTCTGTGACTTCTAAGGCCCCAGTACTTTTGTTCTACTTTAGTATAGATGCACCAGAGTCTATTCAATTATTATTCTGTTTTTAAACATTTTTAGGGTTGCCAGTTATTTTGTCATACACCTATTGCTGCAAGAAGTATCTTGGTTTATGTATTTTTAGGTACTAGTGTTAGTAATTATTTATTTTTAATTTTATAAAATTGTGGTAAAATACACATAAAATGCACTGTCTTCAATTACAATGTTACGCAACCATAACCACCACCTGCATTCCTCTTTTCATCTTGTAAAACCAAAAAATTGTAAGCATTGAATAACAACGCCCCATTCTTCCAACTCTCCACCTTGCCCCGACCCACTCCGTGGCAGCCACTATTTTTCTTTCTGTCTCTATCATTGTGACTTCTTTAAGAATTTCACAGAGTTTTTCCTGTGGTTTAAAAAAAAAACAAAGACAAAAAATCCCATAAAGTTTACCATGTGTTAAAAAATGATTCTATGACCCTTTTTAACACGTGGCAAGGAAGACTTTATTCAGAGCCATTTTGATAGGTACAGGGATCACTCTATGTGAGTCTTGCAATGGGGAAGAGAGACTGGGCTCTCTCCAAATTCAGCATGGGCAGTTGGAAATTGATAGCTGCCATTAAGGAGTGGGGGGTGGGTACAGTGGATGGAGAATGACAAACAGTAAACATCAGTAGTGAAGGGGAGGCAGACTCTTGGACCCTGCCACACCAGATAAATGAATGATGCTTGTCCCCAATATAGGGCCCAGTTTGTGGAGTAAAGTAGGTCCGTCATGGTTATGTGAATTGTGCTTGTGTGTAATTCAGGAACCTAAGGAAAGCTCTGAGGCCCTAGACCATGCATGTGGTCTTGGGCCAAAAGCAATGTTAGCTTTCTATCTAGCCATGGGATCACTAAGGCTAGGCTACAAAGTGAATGGCCAAGTAAGCCAAAAAATACCCCATCTCTCTTGTTCTTAGAAGCTCAGAGAGGTAGTGACCAAATAGGACTTGAAATAAAAGAACTACCACGTCCCACAGGCCTTTGGCTTTCCTATTTGACATGAAACAGCCGGTCAATTCTCTCTGCTCTCCTAGGGCAGGAGGAGGATTTCTCTCACATGGCAAAGAATGAAAAATGTCCTTCACACCTGAAGTCAAATAAACAGCTGCATCTTTTACACGACTGAGAAAACAACACTCAGTGAGATCTCAGTGTTTTGAAGTCACTGATCTCAAGAAACGGTATAGCATAATCGGTCAGTCTAAAGTGTTTCACCCATACATGGCACACAAGCAAAGATAAAATGACAAATAAATATATATATACACACACATAAATGCCTATATTTTTGTGTATGAAGAAATAGGTACCATATATGAATATACACATCAACACATAAATGAATAAAATTAAAAGAGGTATTTATACATACAGTGTTGTAGAGTTGTCTGCCAGTTGGTGGTGGTATTTCTGCATACAAGAGAAATAAAAACATATTTTTTCATAAATATATATTTAAAAATAAACATAGATATTACCTATAATGACAGATGTATATATAATAAATGTATATGTGTATATAAAATATATGTATAAAATACACATAGTGCAGAGAAATACACAAACACACTGAAATGCACACAGATGCACTTACATCTAAACTAGATGCCATAAGATTGTCTCAATAAAAGAAGCTGAAAAGGCCACAGAAGTCTTTCCATGCAGGTTTCATGTGACCCTACACTAATGGCAAACACCAGGCCAGAGGCTTAAACCAGATCCAGCCCAAGCAGCATCACCCAACAGTGGGAAAACTGTCCACTTCTAGACAACCTCTTGATCAGGATAGGGGCCCTTCTTTGGAACACCTGAGGTGGGTGCGTACAATGGTGTCCCAGTATGACACTTCACTCTGTGAAGGAAAAGCTTTTCACAGAGAGTTGGAAAGGCTAGGTCGAGACCTGAGGATGTGTTGGGCTAAGATGGTATCAGGCCAGAGCAACACCAGGCCAGGGTTGAACTGCAATGCGAGACACTGAGAGCTTTTCGGAGCCAGGAAAATGGCCCCAGAAGCCAAAGGCTATACAGTCTTGAGTAATTCTATTCTGGCTGTTTCCAGCTGATTTTGAGAACCCTACAGGGCAGTACTAAAGAATCTCTGAATTGGCGACACCCGAAAAGCCAGGTATCTGAGGCCTCCTCCACAAGTTTGAGAAGCATGTAATACAGATGTCTGGCTTGACAAACACTTCTGGATGCCAAAGCAGGTGTTAGAAAAAGAAAACTAGGTTAGAGGCAGACTGTTGGACCCTGCCACCCCAGGTGAATGAATGATGCCTGTGCTCAAACCAGAGTAGGTGAGATGAGTCCCTGATGGCAGATAAGAACTGCGCATGCACGAGCCAGCAAGCTACGGAGGGCCTGGAGTTTCTAAGCCAGGCATGTAGCCCTGGTCCAGAAGCACTGGTCAGTGTCCAGCCAACCTTTGGGTCACCAAGGGTATTCTGAGAAGTGTATGGCCATGCAAGCCAAAAAACTTCTGCATCTTTTCTGTTCTTTTTTTTTCAACAAACAAGTGTTTATTGAGCACTTACTATGTGCTAGGCACCATTCTGGACCCCCCCAGAAAAAAAAAAAGAGGCAGCAAACACCAATTCTGAGGGAGAGGAAAGGGGCAGTTGAGTGAGACAGCTAAGGGCAACTGAGAAGCCTGAGGTGATGGGGGGCTCTGCCTTAGGCCTCCTCTTCAGCCTCCTTACTGAAATCCTCTTCCTCTTCTGTGGTAGCATCCTGGTACTGCTGATCCTCAGAGATGAAGTTGTTCATGTTGCTCTCAGCCTCAGTGAACTCCATCTCGTCCATGCCCTCGCCTGTGTAGCAGTGGAGGAAGGCCTTCTGGTAGAACATGGCAGTGAACTGCTCCGAGATGCGCTTGAAGAGCTACTGGATGCCAGTGCTGTTTCCGATGAAGGTGACAGCCATCTTGAGGCCATGAGGTGGATGTCACAGACAGCTGTCTTGATGTTGTTGGGGATCCATTCCACAAAGTAGCTGCTGTTCTTGTTCTGCACTTTGAGCATCTGCTCATTGACCGCTTTCATGGACATTCGACCACTGGAGACAGCAGCCATGGTGAGGTATTGGCCGTGGCGGGGGTCACAAGCAGCCATCAGGTTTTTGGCATCGAAGACCTGCTGGGTAAGTTGGGGCACGGTGAGAGCTTGATACTACTGGCTTCCACGGCTGGTGAAAGGGGCAAAGCCAGGCATAAAGAAATGGAGATATGGGAAGGGAACCATGTTGACTGCCAACTTGCAGAGGTCAGCACTGAGCTGGCCAGGAAGTGGAGGCAGGTGGTGACACCACTCATGGTGGCTAAGACGAGGTAGTTCAGATCCCAGTAGGTTGGTGTGGTCAGCTTCAGATTGCGGAAGCAGATATCCTAGAGGGCCTCATTGTCAATACAATAGGTCTCATCAGTGTTCTCTACCAACTGATGGACGGAGAGGGTGGCATTGTAGGGCTCAACCACGGTGTCAGATACCTTGTGTGAAGGTACCACACTGAAGGTATTCATGAAGCAATCAGGGTACTCTTCTTGGATCTTGCTCATAAGGAGAGTGCCGATTCCAGAGCCTGTGTCCCAGTCAAGTGAGTGGGTCAGCTGGAAGCCCTGAAGGCAGTCACAGCTCTCCGCCTCCTTCCATACCAAATCCAGGACCGAATAAACCAGCTCAGCCCCCTCTGTGTAGTGGCATTTGGCCCAGTTGTTGCCTGCCCCAGACTGATCAGAAGCAAAGTTGTCTGGTCTAAAGATCTGGCCAAAAGGACCTGAGTGAACAGAGTCCATGGTCCCAGGTTCTAGATCCACCAGGATCGCATGAGGAACATATTTGCCACCTGTGGCTTCATAGTAGTACACGGAGATGCGGTCCAGCTGCAGGGCGCTGTCCCTGTGGTAGGTGCCGGTGGGTTGATGCCATGTTCATCACTGATCACCTCCCAGAACTTGGCACTGATCTGGTTGCCACAGTGACTGGCTTGGATGTGCACAATTTCCTTCATGGTTAAAATTTAATTTTTTTGCTCACCTCAAGGTATGTATGGAGCAAGAAAATATGTAATTTTTTTTGCTGCTAGTCGCAGGCTGAAAGGATAGAATGTGCCCCAGAGGCTGGAGCAGTGAGGTGCGAACATGGTGGCAGGAAGGTTCTGAGAGCTTTTCTGTTCTTAAAATTTCAGAGAGACAGTGTCCAAATAGGACTTGAATGGAAGACTGCCTAATATTACCAGGTTCCGTAGACATTTGGTTCCTTCATTTGCCCTGAAACAGTCAGCCAAGTTTCTCTGCTCCCTCCTATAGGAGAAGTGAACTTTTCCCAAATGCCAAGGGAAGAGATGGCCCAGACACGTAAAGTCCAGTGTATAGCCGCATCTTCCCGCTTAGACCAGAAGAAGCCTCAGCCGGGTCTTGGCGTTTTGGAATCTGTAGTCTGAGTAAACAATGTAGCACAATTGATCAGCCTGGAATGTTTAAGCATACAGGGCACAAGTAAAACCATAACTGGAAATTAGTATCTACACACATATAAATGCATACATTTTAAATGAAATAGGAAACATTTACAAATATATCATCAACATATAAATAAATAGAAATTAAAATATAAATATTTATACATACGACATTGTAGCACTGTCTGCCAGTTTGTGGTGGTGCCTTTGCATGCAAGCAGGAAAAAATTCATATATATTATAAATAATAAAATAAAGATCTTATATGTAATAACATAAAAATATACATTTATGCATACATAAATATATAAATACATATTTGTATAAATGTGCATGTAATAAACATAATGCAAACACACACACCAAACACACACAGATGCACTTATATTTATACTACAGGCCATAGGGCTAGCTTTTCACCTACTGGCAGGGGAGGGAACCGAAACGGCAACAGTAATCTTTCCCTGCAATTTCTATCTGACCCTACACCTGTAGCAAGCACTAAGCCAGATAATTTTAATCAGAGCAGCCCAAATTCTGTCACCTTCCACTGGGAAAGTTGTTTACTTTTCACAGATATGTCAATCAGGATAAGCGCTTTTCCTTAGAACACCTAAGGTGGGTGTATAAAATGGTGTCCCTGTATGTCTGGGTAGAGAAAGGTCTTTTTGCAAAGAGGAAGAAAGGCTAGATCTGAGCCTTCAGGATGTCCTGGGGTCAGTGTGAGTATTGGTGAGATGAAATGGTACTGGGCTGGAAAAACACGTAGGCTAGGGTAGGACCAGCTCCTCTGATACCCTCCAATATGTCCCATGAGGTGAGACAAGATGGTATCTCCTGTGAATGGCCCCAGAATAATAGGAAAGCTAAATATTCACCTCCAATTTTTTTCTCCCTCTGAAAAAATAACATGGTTACTGGAAAACACTGTGTGTGGCACTGTGCAGTTTTGGGAGAAGAGCAACTTGGTCAAAGTGAAATCATTCCTCTTACGCTTTATGCATGGCTTCTCTCGGTCTGTAGTTCAAGAAGATGTCTCAGATTCACTCTCAAGTTCTGGGATATTTACAAAGATACTCTAAACTGTGGAAAATTGTTAGTTGAATTTCTGTGGAAGTAAGTAGAGTGAGATAGTTTCTATTCTAACAACTTGCTGACATTACCCTCTCTGGTAACAAATATCTTTAAAGAAGCATATTTAAACACATTATTGTATACTATACAGCTTGGTAAACACTTTAATTTACTGAATTAATACAGTTAACAACACATCTTTTAAGTAGCATTCTTAGATTTATCTTTCATCATATAAACACTTCACTACATACATTACGTACGTTAGATCCACTCATTAAAATAAAAGCTTTTTGCCATAGAATGTTTCTTACCCAAAATGCAATGGTAAGAAACATCTTTAAAAAAATATGCTTGGTTGGCCATGGTAGGGTGGCTCACGCTTGTAATCCCAACATTTTGGGAGACTGAGGTGGGGCAGATCACCTGAGGTCAGAAATTTGAGACCAGCCTGGCCAACATGGTGAAACCCCATCTCTACTGAAAATACAAAAATTAGCGAGGTGTGGTGGCGGGCACCTATAGTCCCAGCTATAGGAGGCTGAGGCAGGAGAATTGCTTGAACCCAGAAGGCAGAGGCTACAGCTAGCCGAGATCGCACACCACTCCAGCCTGGGTGACAGAGTGAGACTCTGTGTAAAAAAAAAAAAAAAAAATGCTTAAACACTTTACACATGTATGATAGCTTATTAAACACTTAAATTCCCGGAATTAATCCAGTTAACAACATATATTTTAAGTGACATTATCCGTTTTATCTTCTTAACATGTGCCTGCAAACCTAGTGAGGTGTATGTAGTGAAATATTAGACGTACTCTCTAACATAACACTCTTAACAAGAAAGATTTTTAAATGCATAATTTAAAAAATCTATAAATAAGCATGTTTAAGGACTTCATTACATACTTTACAATTTGGTAAACACTTGCATTTAATTAATACTTACATTCACTGAATTAACACTATTATCAACTCATCAGTAACATTTTTAGAATCATCTTTTAAGCATGTGCTTATAAACACTTTACAGTGAGCCACGTTCACTCACTGATGTAACAATTTTCAGAACAAAGCTTTTAAAATGCATGGAAAGAGGCTGGGCGCGGTGGCTCACACCTGTAATCCCAGCACTTGGGGAGGCTGAGGCGGGAAGATCACCTGAGGTCAGAAGTTCGAGACTAGCCTGGCCAATATGGTGAAACCCTGTCTCTACTAAAAGTACAAAGAAAATTAGCCGAGCCTGGTGGCATCCACCTGTAGTCCCGGCTACTTGGGAGGCCGAGGCAGGAGAATCACTTGAACCTGGGGGGCACAGGAAGTTGAAGTGAGCCAAGATTGCACCATTGCACTCCTGCCTGGGTGGCAGAGTGAGACTCCATCTCAAAAAATATATATATAAATAAAATAAAATGCGTGGTAAGAAAAATCTTTAAAGAACCATGTTTAAACACTTTATTACATACATTCCAGTTTGATAATACTTGCATTCACTGAATTAACATAGTCACCAACTCATTTTATCAATGACACACTTAGATCATCTTTTAGCCATGTGTCTACTAACTATTCCCTACATAGTATTACATCCACTCACTGAAATAACACTCTTCATTACAAAGCTCTTAAAATGAATAACAAAAGCATCTTTTAAAACATGTTTAAACACATTATTGCATACTTTATAATGTGGTAAGCACTTGCATTCAATGAGTTAACATAGTAACCAACTCATCTAATAAATAACATTATTAGAATTATCTTTAATGTAAGTGTCTACAACCTCACACACATATCCACTTACTAAAAGAACAGTCTTCACAACAAAGATTTTAAGAGGTTTATTTAAAGGTATTCTTTAAATAAACATATTTAAACATTTTATTATATATTTGCAATTGGTAAACACTTGAAATCACTAAATTAATACATTTACAAATTCATTTTTCCAGCAACATCTTAGAAATATCTTTTAAGTATGTGTCTACAAATACCTTACTACATGTTACTCATTTAACACCCTTCACAGTAAAGCTTTCAAAATTCATAAGGGCAGTGACATCACCAAAAAGGCTGAGTAGAAGCAAGCTGGTTTCCACTTCCTGACCCACAGGAAATCTTAAACAAATGCACAGCACCAAGATTATCATCAGCAATATCACAGAACTCAAATATGTGAATAAGATAGTTACTGAAATAATGGAGAAGTGAAAAAATCCATGCAGACATAAAAGAGTAAGACTTTTATATTCCTGACATCCTAGCACAAATCTGCCAGACACCAAGTGTGCAGATAATTTTTCACTATTAAATCTTACTAGACCAAAAAAAAAAAAAAAAAAAAGATGAAGAAGAAGATTAAGGAAGACAACCAGCTTTCCCATCATCTTGGGATTCCAGGCAGAAGACACCCACAAGAAGTATAGCCAGTGCCTTAAGGGAGAAAAACTCCTGAGGACACCCAGAAACAAAGAGATTAGGTTGCAACTAGTATCCCCAGCCTGGGAAATTTAGTTATTTAGCCAAAGGAGATGCCAAATCACAGTGGCTGTTCAGTAACACCATGCTGTAGGAGCTATGTTTCATAGGTTCTCAGACCATAAATCCCTAGCTAGCCTTGCCAAGCTTCCCTGGTATTCCCTTTAGGACTTCCCTCATCTGGCACAAGAAGTGCTCTGAATGGTTGCTAGAGCTGAGGCAAACCTGGGATTAAGGTGCCATCTAGTGCCATAAAGGAGGTAGTGACATAGCAAAAAGGATATTCAAGGTAAATTGCAAACAATCTCTAACACACCCGATAGAAAATTAAACAAGCCAGACAGAGAAGATTCGAATGAATAACTAATCCTTTAATGCAGAGACGTAGATGTACATTCATAAGAAAAAACAGCAAACAAAAAAACCATAATCTTCCCGAGTGGACAAAGCAAGAAGCCACTGGCCAACACTAACTAAACAGTGATAGGTGGGCTCTCTGATCAAGAATCCAAAATAGTATTTTTTTTTTTGAGACAGAGTCTTGCTCTTGTCACCCAGACTGGAGTGCAATGGCACGATCTCGGCTCACTGCAACCTCTGCCTCCCAGGTTCAAGTGATTCTCCTCCCTCAGCCTCCCGAGTAGCTGGGATTACAGGTGCCCGCCACCATACCCTGCTAACTTTTGTATTTTTTTAGTAGAGACGGAGTTTCACCATGTTAGCAAGGCTGGTCTCGAACTCCTGACCTCGTGATCTGCCCGCCTCAGTCTCCCAAAGTGCTGGGATTACAGGCGTGAGCCACTGCACCCAGCCCCAAAGTAGTATTTTTAAGGAAATTCAGTGATATACAAAATAATACAGAAAAGCAATTAAGAAATTTATCAGATAAATTTAAGGAAAAAGATTGAAATGATTTTTTAAAAACATCAAACGGAAATCCTAAAACTAAGAAGTACATCTGCTGAACAAAAATTCATGAGAGGCTCTCAATGGCAGATGCATCAAGCAGAGAAAGAAATCAGTGAGCTTAAAGACAGGCTAATGGAAAATACACAGACGAGATAAAAGAATGAAAAGTAATAAAGCATGCCTATAAGATATAGACAATCACATTGAAATAGTAAATCTAAGAATTACTGGTGTTCAAGAGGAAGCTGAGCAAAAGCAAGGAATGGAAAGTTTATTCAAAGAGGCAGGGTGCAGTGGCTCATGCCTGTAATCCCAGCACTTTGGGAGGCTGAGACAGGTGGATCACTGAAGGTCAGGAGTTCCAGACCAGCCTGACCAACATGGTGAAACCTTGTCTCTATTAAAAATACAAAAATTCACCGGATGTGGTGGTACGCAGCTGTAATCCCAGATACCTGGGAGGCTGAAGCAAAATAATTGCTTGAACTTGGGAGTCAGAGGTTGCAGTGAGCTGAGATCATGCCACTGCATTCCAGCCTGGGTGACAGAGTGAGACTCCTTCTCAGAAAAGAAAAAGGGAAAAAAAGAAAGTCTATTCAAAGAAATAATAACAGAAAACTTTCCAAAACTTGAGAAAGACATAAATCTCCAAGTATAAGAAGGTCAGAGATCACCAGACAGAGTAAAGCCAAATAAGATTACCCTAGGGCATAGGATAATAAAACCCTCAAAGGCCTAAGACAAATAAACTACTAAAAGCAGCAAGGGAAAATAAGTGAATAATATAAAGGAGCTCCAATCTGACTGGCAGCAGACTTCTAAATGGCAACTGTCCAACCCAGGAGAAAGTGGGAGTACATGTAAAGTGCTGAAAGACTAAAATTGTCAACTGTGAATACTGTAACCAGCAAAGCTATCCTTCAAACATGAAGGGGAGATAGTGTTTCTCAGACAAACAAAAGTTAAGAGAATGCATCTCATCAGACCCATCTCACAAGAAATGCCAAAGAAATTTCTTCAGTCTGAAAAGAGAAAAACGCAAATGTGCAAAAAAGAAAACATCTAAAGTTATAAAACTCATTGGTAAAAATAAGCCAACAGACAAACTCAAAATTTTGTAACTGTAGTATGCAGTCCACTTATCACTTTAGTGTGATGACTAAAAGACAAATCTATGAAAAACAAAAGTATCTACAGAAACCTGTTAAGAGAGAAGAAATACAAAGATACATAAAGTGACACAATGAAATTCAAAATGGGGAGAAGATGAAGTGTAGAGCTTTCTTAGTTTATATTATTTTCTTTGTGATCAAAGTCATCACTTTAAGATATTTTTGTAATCTTCATAATCACAGAGCAAAATTTTCTAATAAATACACTGAAAATAAAAAAGCAACAAATTAAAACACAGTACCATAGAAAATTAACCACGAAGAAGAGACAGTGAGAAAGAGAGGAGTTACAAAACAACAAAGATACAAATCACAAAACGACAATAGTACTTATTTATCAGTACTTATTTATCAAAAGAATGAACTCATTTTTTCAATTGAAAGACATTGAGTGGATGAATGAATAAAGAAACGAGATTCATATATACACTACCTACAACGAACCGATTTCATCAATAAAGACATGTATAAACTGAAAATGAAAGGATGAGAAAAAATTCCATGCGAATGGAAACCAAAAAAGAGCAGGAGTAGCAATATTTATATCATATAAAATAGACCACAAGTAAAATGTAAACAGAGATAAAGAAGGTCACTATATGATGATAAAGGGGTCAATTTCGAACACCCCAGTGGAGAAGCTGAGGTCAACATCAGATTTGAAATATTTAAGGTGGATACAAAACTATTTCAGCAATGCAGACAATTAAGTGTGGTGTTGTGGGCGATGGTGCTATTGGTAAAACAAGTCTCCTGATATCCTACACAACAAACAAATTTCCATCAGAACATATGCTGACTGTTTTTGACAACTATGCAGTCACAGTTATGATTGCTGGAGAACCATATACTCTTGGGCTTTTTGATACTGCAGGGCAAGAGGATTATGACAGATTACTACTACTGAGTTATCCACAGACAGATGTATGTCTAGTCTGTTTTTCAGTGGTCTCTCCATCTTCATTTGAAAATGTGAAAGAAAAGTGGGTGCCTGAGATAATTTGCCACTGTCCAAAGACTCCTCTCTTGCTTGCTGGGACCCAAACTGATCTCAGAGATGACTCCTCTATTGAGAAACTTGCCAAGAACAAACAGAAGCCTATCACTCCAGAGCCTGCTGAAAAGCTGGTCCGTGACCTGAAGGCTGTCAGGTATGTGGAGTGTTCTGCACTCACGCAGAAAGGCCTAAGGAACGTATTTGACTAAGCAATATTGGCTGCCCTGGAGCCTCCAGAAAGAAGAGCCGCAGGTGTGTGCTGCTATGAACATCTCTCCAGAACCCTTTCTGCACAGCTGGTGTTGGCATCATACTAAAAGTAATGTTTAAATCAAACTAAAGATTAAAAATTAAAAAAATTTTTTGCAATAATGACAAATGCCCTGCACCTACCCACATGCACTCGTGTGAGACAAGGCCCATAGGTATTAAGGTGCCATCTAGTATGCCCCCTTCCCCCTCCGAGTACTAGTTAATTTTGAGTAATTGTGTATTGTCAGAAAAGTGATTAGTACTAGTTTTTGTTTTGTAGTTTGAAAAAAATTTTTTGTTTGTTTAAAAGCAAGACATACAGACTAATTGGAATTGTTGAAGCTGCTCCCTGGTTCCACTCTGGAGAGTAATCTGGGACATCTTAGTGTTTGGGGTTTTTTTTTCTCCTCTTCTTTTCAAGGACTGTATGTGGGGTTTTTTAGTCTTGTTTTTTTTACTTAATTAACCAGTGGATAGCCCTTAAGGGGAGGAGGATGGATTGATTCCCCCTTCCACTTTCTAGATCTAGTTTAGAAAACATATTCCCCATCTGGTGCTCTTAGGAAGGAGTATAGTAAATGCCTCATTTAATAACATACTCCTTTTTGAAAGTTGCCCGTTCTCTCCACCCTGGAGTAGGTCCAGTATTTGATGAAACTCATGAAAGTGGGTGGAGCCTGTCTAGTCCCGCCTCTTTTCTAGGACACACTATATGTGATTGTGACTTTCAAGGACATTTGTTTGCCATTTGCTGATTTTTGGGGGAAGTTAATTTCTAACTTCTTTCACTGATAAATGAAGAAAAGTATTGCACCTTTGAAATACACCAAATGAATTGAGTTTGTAATTTAAAAAAGTTTTTCCCTGTCAAAAAAAGGGGGTCAATTTACCAAGAAGATATAACAGTTATAAATATATATTCAAAGCAAGAGCACCCAAGTACATAAAGCAAACATTAATATATCTAAACAGAGAGAAAAACTGCAATATATCAATGGTAGGGTACTTCAACACTCTTGAGGAAGGAACAGATTATTCTGACAGAAAATCAGCAACAACCACAAAATTGGAGTTAAGCTACACACTTGACCAAATGAGTCTGACATTTACAGAACATGTCACTCAATTGCTTCAGAGTACATATAATTCTCATCAGCATGTGAAACATTCTCCAGGCCTATATAATAGGATACAAAATAATCCTTAACAAATGCAAAAAAAAGTCAAAATTATATCAAGTTTTTTTTTAACCACAAGAGAAAAGAACTTGACAACAATAACAAGAGGAACCTTGGAAACTACACAAACACATGGAAATTAAAAACATGCTTCTGAATATTCAGTGGTTCATTAAATTAAAAAATTTTTGGAAACAAAAATAGAAACACAATATACAAAAAAACTGAAGAATACAACACAAGCAAGTGATAAGAGGGAAGTTTATAGCAATAAGTGCCTACATTTAAAAAAAAAGAAAAGTTTTATATAAACAATGTAACAATATACTAAAGTAACTAGAAAAGCAAAAATTAAATCCAAATTTAGTAGAAGGAAAGAAATAATAAAGATAAGAGGAAAAATCAGTAAAACTGAGACTAAGAAGGTGTACAAATGACCAATGAAACAAAAAGTTGAGGATTTGAACAGATAAACAAAATAGACAAATCTTTAGCTAGACTAAAAAAAGATAGAAGACCCAAAGAAATAAAATCAGAAATGAAAAAGGAGACATAACAACTGATACCACAAAAATGCAAATAATTATTAGAAACTATTATGAACAACTGTATACCCACAAATTGGAAAACCTGGAAGAAGTGCGTAAATTCCTGGACACAAACAACCTACCAAGATTGATCCATGAAGAAATAGAAAATATGAAAAAAACAGTAAGAGTAATGAGATTTAAGGCATAATAAAAAGTCCCCCATCAACAAAAAGGCAAGGATTTGGCTTCAGTGATGAATTCTACCAAATGCTTAAAAAGGAACTGATACCAATTCTATTCAAATTCTTTAAAAAATTAAAAAGATGCCAGGGGCAGTGGCTCACACCTGTAATCCCAGCACTTTGGGAGGCTGAGGCGGGCGGATCACGAGGTCAGGAGATCGAGACCATACTGGCTAACATGGTGAAACCCCGTCTCTACTAAAAAAAAATACAAAAAATTAGCTGGGAGTGGTGGCAGGTGCCTGTAGTACCAGCTACTCAGGAGGTTGAGGCAGGAGAATGGCTTGAACCCATGAGGCAGAGCTTGCAGTGAGCTGAGATCGTGCCACTGCACTCCAGCCTGGGTGACAGAGCGAGACTCTGTCTCAAAATATATATATATAAAATAAATTAAAAAGAAGAGAATACTTCCAAACACATTCTATGAGATAGCATTTGCCTGATACTAAACCCAGATAAGGATATAACAACAGCAAACTACAGGCAGGACAATATCTTCAATGAGCATAGACAAAAATGTGCTCAAAAAAATACTAGAAAATCCTCACTCAATCCATATTGAAAAGATCATTCACCATGATTAAATGGGATTCATCCCAGGGATGCAAGCATGATTCAACATATATGAATCAATAAAATCTCATACATCACATTAACAGAACCAAAACAAAAACCATATTATTATTTCAATCAATGGTTAAAAAGCATTCAACTTCATAGTAAAATAAATATAGTATATAGTAAATATAGTATAATTAAAATCTAACTTTATAGTAAAACATTCGACAAACTGTGTAGAGAAGAAATGTACTTCAATGAAATAAAAACTAAATATGACAAACCCACATCTAACTGCAAATGAGAAAAATTGAAACTGTTTTCTCTAAGCTTTGGAACAAAATGAGGAGGCCCACTTTTACCACTTTTATTCAGTATAATATTAGAAGTCCTATCCAGACCAATCAAGCAAAAGAAAAAGAAATAAAGGGCATCTAAATAGGAGAGCAAGAAGTCAAATTATCCTTGTTCTCAAACAACATGATCTTGTATTTAGAAAGCCCTAAATATTCTACCAAAAATGGGTTAGAACTGATAAATGAATTCAGTAAAGATAGGGATACAAAATCAACATATAAAAATCAGTAGCATTTATATATGCAACAGTGAGTACTCTTAAAAAGAAATGGGCTGGGCGTGGTGGCTCACGCCTATAATCCCAGCACTTTGGGAAGTCGAGGCAGGCAGATGGTTTTTAAAAATATTTTAAACGAGTATCTTTAAACACTTTATTACATACATTATGGTTTACTTGCCACTTACACTCACTGAATTCACATTGTTAACATCAGTTTTTAGGAAAATTATTAGAATCATATTTTAAATGTATCTACAGACACTTCATTACATACATAATATGTGTTAACTAACATAACCTTCTTCACAAAAAAGCATGTAACATATATAAGAAAAAGTTTTTATTAAGGAAGTATGTTTAAACACATACATACTTTAGACCTTGGTAAACTCTTTCATTGACTGAATTAATACTATTAATGCAACTTATAAGTAACATTCTTAAAATTATCTTATAAACATAGATGTAGTCACACTTCATATATTACATTGATTCATTGAAGTAACACTCTTTTTTTATTATTATACTTTAAGTTCTGGGATACATGTGCAGAACATGCAGATTTGTTACATAGGTATACACGTGCAGGTTTGTTACATAGGTATACAGGTGCCGTGGTGGTTTGCTGCACCCATCAACCTGTCATCTACATTAGGTATTTCTCCTAATGCTATCCCTTGCCCTGGCCCCCACCCCGTGACAGGCCCCGGTGTGTGGTGTTCCCCTCCCTGTGTACGTGTGTTCTCATTATTCAACTCTCGCTTACGAGTGAGAGCATACAGTGTTTGGTTTTCTGATTTTGTGTTAGTTTGCTGAAAATGATGGTTACAAAGCCTGTAAGCCACATGCTACAAAATATTTTTGAAAGAAGTGTTTTAGATGTCACTGCAGATGTTATAACTTGGTAACCACTTACAATGAGTGAATTAACACTGTTAACAATACAGCTAATAAGTAATATTGTTAGATTTATTAAATGTGTCTATAAAATCTTTACTATGTACATACATGTATTCACGAATATAATACCACTTACAGTGAAGCCTTACATAGTAAAAAACATCTTTCAAACAAATAACTTTAAACACTTTATTACATACATCAGAGTATAGTGTCAAACTAAAATAATCAAAAAGTTCAGAGTCTAGTTAAAAGAGAACTTATTCAAGTATAAAGATTAAGGATCAGCCAAGCATGGTCGCTCATGCCTATAAATCCCAGCACTTTGAGAGGCCAAGGTGGGTGGATTTCCTGAGCTCAGGAGTTCAAGACCAACCTGGGCAACATAGCAAGACCCTATCTCAACAAAAAATACAATAATTATCCTGGCATAGTGGCTCAGGCCTGTGGCCAGAGATACTTGGAAGACTGAGGTGGGAGGATCACTTAAGCCTGGGAGGCAGGTCATGCCACTGCACTCCAGCCTGTGTGACAGAGTAAGACCCTGTCTCAAAAAAAAAGATTAAAGATGGCCACCCAGGAGCATAGATTCAAGTTGCCCTGAATATACATTCTGATTAACAGTCCTTACAAGTGGATTTTTTTTTAAGAAGTGGCAGGCGGCCGGGCACGGTGACTCACACATGTAGTCCCAGCACTTTGGGAGGCGAGGTAGGCGGATCGTGAAGTCAAGAGATCGAGACCATCCTAGCCAACATGGTGAAACCCCATCTCTACTAAAAATACAAAAATTAGCTGGGCATGGTGGCGCATGCCTATAGTCGCAGCTACTTGTGAGGCTGAGGCAGGAGAATCGCTTGAACCTGGGAGGCTGAGGTTGCAGTGAGCCGAGATTGCACCACTGCACTCCAGCCTGGCGACACAGTGAGACTCTGTCTCCAAAAAAAAGAAAAAGAAAAAAAAAAGAAGTGGCAGGCTTGGTGTGGTCGTTCATGCCTATAACCCCACTACATTGAGAGGCCAAGGTGAGAGGATTGCTTGAGGCCAGGAGTTCATAACCAGCCCTTGCAACATAGTGAGACCCCATCTCTACAAAAATAATGATTAGGGCTAGAATCTCAAAACAAGTGTTCTACAATTTTCTTCTGAAACATAATTTTGCTCTCCCAAGTTCTCCATTTCTACCAAAGATAAATCTTAGTAGTACCAAGTTATTTGTAATATAAGTTTTATAGTCTTATTATACTTGGTCTGATTATTTGCATAAAGTACAGCAAGAATAGTGATCCACCATAAAGGCTCTCTTAAGTTGGCTTTGCTGGTACTTTTTCATAAGGAATATCAGATTAGACTTTTTTTTTTTTTTTCTACGGAGTTTTGCTCTTGTTGCCCAGGCTGGAAGGCAATGGCACGATCTCGACTTACTGCAACCTCCGCCTCCCGGGTTCAAGCGATTCTCCTGCCTCAGCCTCCTGAGTAGTTAGAATTACAGGCACGCACCACCACGCCCGGCTAATTTTTTTGTATTTTTAGTAGAGATGGGGTTTCACTATGGCCAGGCTGGTCTTGAACTTTTGACTTCAGGTGATCTGCCCACCTCGGCCTCCCGGAGTGCTGGGATTATAGGCGTGAGCCACCGTGCCTGGCCCAGGTTAGACTTTTAAAAGCCTCTTGGGGCTAGAAGGCCAAGCCAAGGATTCACCGTTAGACTGTGCCTGCAATGCCTGTATGAATTGGGTAAACTCTTCTCAATGTCCCAAAGTATTTTGAGGTTCATGGACCTGTCAGAAGGTGACATTTTTACTTACCATGAGGTCACAAACTTTGTAAGGGAACTGTACAAAGTATTGGGCCAGTCTTTCCAAGGGTCCTTTTATGAAACCAACCTCAACTCCTTAAAGCAATCTGTCGTATCTTGAAAATATGCCTTTCCAGTCCAAGCTTTGGTAAAATTATCAGTGTCTCCGATGTGTCCTCTTATAAAAGAAAACATACTATTGATAAACTTAATGCAAATAATGTTATAAATTAAAAATATTTAGTTTCCAAATTCTGGAAAAACCAGGTAAAGAGAAATATAAATGTTTCAATTTTGCTGACAAAAGTATGCTTTACTCAATTTTCGTGAGCTATAAATTGCCCAAAAGAAAAAAAAATTGACTCTAGGAAACAAAACATCTTATTTACCAAAAACGTACTCAAGTCATGTATACTAAGAGGCATTTGAGTTACTTTTTATTTTTCTGAGGAGATATTTAATTTAGGCCAGGAGCAGTGGCTCACGCCTGTAATCCCAGCACTTTGGGAGGCCGAGGTGGGTGGATCACAAGGTCAGAAGATCGAGACCATCGTGGCTAACACGGTGAAACCCCGTCTCTACTAAAAATAGAAACAATTAGCCGGGTGTTGTGGCGGGCGCCTGTAAGTCCCAGCTACTCGGGAGGCTGAGGCAGGAGAATGGCATCAACCCGGGAGGTGGAGCTTGCAGTGAGCTGAGATCACGCCACTGCACTCCAGCCTGGGCGACAGAGCGAGACTCTGTCTCAAAAAAAAAAAAAAAAGATATTTAAGCACTTAATTTTTCTTTAAGCCAATTAATTAGAGTTCTTTCATATATTTTAGTGATAAAACATAACATAAACATGACACATACAGACATACAGACTCACAGACAGGAGATTTTATAGCTTTATTAGGTTACTCATTTTCCAGTTTTCAAATGATTTCTCTCCCCACTTTAAACTGTCAAGCCCTAAACAATTCTTAGCTAGGCAGTCCTAAATTTGCACTTCTAAAAGGATGGTTCCTTAAGTAAAAATTTACATCCCAAAGGCACACAACCTAAATCTAAGCAGCATTATTTGTGAGACAAGAAGAACATACGTAAAGGCTCTGTCAAAATAAAGATTGACAGGGAAAGTATCTTAAACATAGGTAAGGTTTGCTATGTAAACATTAAGCAAATGTCTTTCCTATCTTAAAAGTTTCTAGTGGTTTAAATGCAGGAGAAAGATGCCTTTGCAAATAGAAATTTTCTTTATAGATGTAAATTTTCTTTACAAAGAGTTTCAAAATAACTAGGTAAACTCCAGACAGTCATATTTTGGAGACCAATATAGTTAGAGATGTGGTCTTTTCAACTTAACCTGTTTCTTGATTGATTGTTGATTTCAGGGTGGATCCCCTTAATGAGTAAGGCAACAAAAGCATGCCCTATGCCTGGACTCAGCATATTTGACTCTGAAAAAGCAGCTAGCCTACTTTACTTGTGAAATTATCTTTTATAAACACTATAACCAGCTTTTTTTTTTAAGGTAACTTTTCTAGTAACTCATCAAAAGCAATAAACCTTACCTGATGTTGTGACTTAGCGAAGCAAGGATGAACTAGAAATCTCCAAAGAGGTGAAAAGCAATCCTCTCAAGATCCACAATCAAACCAGAGGCAGCTAGAAGAAAGAAAAGTCTCACTAGCTACAAATGCAGTGTGACCTGTATTTCTTTCCAGCTGTGTTTTCTAGGATCTCAGCTTCCCAGCTGAGTGCTTATACCTGAAGACCCAAAAGCCTGGTGTGCCCCTTGATGGAAAGAGAGGAAATCACAGGATGTCCAAGGAAGAAAAGAGAATCAACAAATGGGTACCCCTGTGAAAGGAAAATATCTTGGTCCCCTTCAAACTGGGAACTCTTCAGGATAATCTGCCTCCCATTCTATTCAAAGTCATCCCTCTACTCACAGAGATAGATGCATATTCTGATTAGCTCCTTTGGAAAGACTTATCAGAAACCCAAAAGAATGCAACCATTTGTTTCTCACCTACCTGTGACCTGGAAGCCCCCAGGGTTGGGGGGTCCTTGCTTTGAACTCTCCCTGCCTTTCTGGAGGGAACCAATACTTCTTACATGTATTGATTGATGTCCCATGTCTCCCTAAAATGTTTAAAACCAAGCTTTGCCCTGACCACCTTGGGCACATGTTGTCAAGACCTCCTGAGACTATGTCATGGGCTTATCCTCAACCTTAGCAAAATAAACTTTCTAAATTAACTGAGACATGTCTCAGATTTTCAGGGTTCACATTTTGGTAACCATGGGGGAATTGTGAATGGAGATGCCCCTGACTTTTGACAAATCTCCTATCGGTGCTTGGTACCAGCATGAGCTAACATTATGGCTCACACCAAAAGGACAATTTGCTGAAGTCTGAGAGCACCCCCTCCAGAGAAGTCCTGATCTCCCAAAATTTGGTCAAGATCTAAAGTTTATTTTGCTGTACAACTCCTCTTTTTCTTGGAGTTTTACTTGCTTCCAACATAAGGAAGGCAAGTTTTTCCTGCTTCCATAATGATGAAAGGCAGGTAACTCCTTTATGGAGTTTGAGCTCACTTCCAACAGGGAAGATGAGTTTTGTTTTGTTTTGTTTTGTTTTTTTCTGCTTCTGGGATGGTAGAGAGCAGTCTTCAGCCTGAGATCCATCCCTAGGTGAGTAAGTGAATTGGGGTTTGTCTTGGCCAAAGTTAAGATTAACAACCAGCTGGTCTGAATTTCTCCTTACCATTAGAGCGCTCAGTGATCAATTGTTGGGTTTCTTTGTTGTTTGTTCCCCTCTGAAGTTGTTGTTTAAGGATCCTAATTCTAGTTCTGAGATGCATTCTAAAGGGTCCTCTCTGTTGCTTTTTCTCCCAAATTTAATCTTAATTTGGTTTTTCTGTGTGCATTTGCATGAGGAACTGAATTGTTGTTTTCATATATTAATGAAACTGAGTTTTCTCAGCTGTGAAGAGAAAGGGCATTTTGCCCCTCCCAGCCAAAAGGCACCCCTGGGCCTCATGGGAGTGTCTGAGGGGTTGATCCCCCATGACATGCAGTGGCCCTGCAGGGCAATCCCCCAAAAAACTTAATTTTAAAAATGGCTTATCCAGGAAACACATACAAGGGCTGATCACCTGGCATTTTGAGCCCTCTCTGAGGTCACAGACCTTTGGAGAGAGAAACTGAGGCACAGAAAAGGGTGGAAACGGCTCAGTGGTGACACACTGTAGAGTGCTGCCCGCAAGCAGCACATATGAATCCACCACACAAAAACCTTAGACCACAGCTCAGTTCCTCCTTTTAAGAAAAAAAAGTAAGAAACAAGAGTGAGGAGAAAACAAGGAGAATGACCCCCTTTTGAGCACTCTGTAGATTTAATGGCACCTCTGTTTGCCAAACTTTATGGAAATAATATGGTCTTTGTGCACATTTACATTAAGGAAAAATAGCCCTAAAGTCAGCCTGCAAACTAGAGCGTTCCTAAGTCCCCCTGTTCTCTATTTCTTCTTTTCTGCCACTCTAAATCTGCTGTTATTTTTCTATTGAGATAAAAACCACTGTTTAGATCCAACAAGTTTTTTTTTTGCAAGCCAGTAAGTTTGTATTTACTTCATGGCTAAAAGTTCTGAAGTAAAAGCTATAGGATCTTTGTGTGTGTGTGTGTGTGTGTGTGTGTGTGTGTGTGCGCGCGCGCGTGTGTGTGTATTTTAAAGGACTTTATAATTTCTATAATCCAACCTTTTTCTTTTTGTATTTTATAATGTAAATGTTGCTATTTGACTTTCACCTGAGTTGCTTCCTTTAATATGCAAATTTAAGGCTGTTTAGCTGAAAATTGCCCAGGGTTGTAAAACAGGTTATCAAGAATCTAAAAGTCTAACATAGGAGAAAATGGTTTTTATGAATCTATAATAACATTAACATGCCTAACGTATGTATTTATGTGTTGTGTACACAATGTTTCACTACTAAAAATATATAAAAGAGCTCTAATTGGCTTACAAAAAATAAAAGCACTTAGATACTAAAAAAGAAAATGCTTTTTCAAGTTCATGTAACTTAATTAAAATCTTTAATAAATAAGCTAGCTGTAAAATTATTGGTAAAGTAATATTAGAAGTGTCCTAAGAATTGCCAGCATACATTTTTGTTTGCATTTATTAATCAAGCAATTTCATACTTATCCCAGCGAAATACTATAAGGTATCAAAATGTGGCATAGGGGTTACAAAACTATAAACCTGGCCCAAAAGAGAATGATCTTTGCTTGTGTAATTTCTTTTTTTTTTTTTCGAGATAGAGTCTCACTCTGTTGCCCAGGCTGGAGTGCAGTGGTGCGATCTTGGCTCACTGCAACCTCTGCCTCCTGGGTTCAAGCAATTCTCCTGCCTCAGCCTCCCAAGTAGATGGGACTACAAGTGCCCGCCACCACACCCGGCTAATTTTTTGTATTTTTAGTAGAGATGGGGTTTCACCGTGTTAGCCAGGATGATCTTGATTGCTTGTGTAATTTTTAATAAATAAGACATCAATATGGGTTTAATGAAAATAGCTGCATCTTAAATTTAGTAAGATTACCGTAACTTCTAATCTTGTGGCTTTAGGCAGTCTAGTCCACAGGCAATAAGGAGGTGTGTTTTGGGAAAGGACTGCTACCATCTTTGTTTGAAAGCTATATACTAAGTTCCTCCCAAAGTTAGTTCAGCTGATGCCCAGGAATGAACAAGGACAGCTTGAAGGTTAAGAGCAAGATGGAGTCAGTTAGGTCAAATCTTTTTTCACTGTCTCAGTTATAATTTTGCAATGGTGGTTTCATAACTTTGAATCACGACTATCACAGTTTTCATAAATAATCTACATAAACAATTAAAATTAAATAATTATGTAAATGTAATGGGATAAATACTTATAGCCAAACCAGTCATAATTTGGAATATAAAGCTATATTGAATTAATTAATAGATATTTCATTATTTGGGTATTTCCCAATAAATATATACTGTAGGAAAACATTCTTCAAAAAAAAAAAGTGCATCCTTTTAAAAAAATGTGAACAAATTTTGTCTAATTCAAAGCTCATTTAAAGGTTATGTGTAAAACAAAAGGAACCAGAAAAAAAAGAAATGTAAAGAAAGTTATAAAAATAAAGAAGTATTTTGTGGTAAGAAAGCTTTAAGAGAAGTAATTTTATATGAAAAACAATCTTGTATGGTAAATTTAGTCCTAAAATAAAATGACCACTTGTTTAAGAAGGAGGAATGTTCAGGACAAACCAAAAAGTCCAAGCATGTCATCAACAGTTGGTGCAAGTCACAGTAAGAGGATTTATATTAAAAAAAAAAATTTTGGGGGCTGGGCGTGGTGGCTCACGCCTGTAATCCCAGCACTTTGGGAGGCCGAGGCAGGTGGATCGCGAGGTCAGGAGATCGAGACCATCCTGGCTAACACGGTGAAACCCCGTCTCTACTAAAAATACAAAAACAAAATTAGCCAGGTGTGGTGGTAGGCGCCTGTAGTCCCAGCTATTCGGGAGGCTGAGGCAGGAGAAGGGTGTGAACCTAGGAGGCAGAGCTTGCGGTGAGCCAAGATCAAGCCACTGCACTCCAGCGTGGGCAACAGAGTGATACTCTGTCTCGAAAAACCAAAAAGAAAGAAAGAAAAAAAAAAGCTTTGGTATGATCAAATTGTCATATTTAAGTTTTGGTTTGCTTAGAAAAAGAGAGAAAAAAATTTTTTAATAAAGGTTATTACATCCATGTATTGTATGTGCTTTTAAAGTCCTTGTGACATTAAGTTGCAGGGCTTTGATTCCTAGGTCTAAAAGGGACATCAAGTCCTGCTAAATCTTAAACATTGACACCAATCAAAGCCTCATCTTCAGGCGCTATAGAAGATGCCAATCAAAATAAACTGCATTCTTGAGACACAGGGCAAGAAATTAAAGCTGTTCAACTCCTCAAGGCCCAGGGACTATTGCAGAAGAGGCGGGCATGTAAGATTGTAAGGGTCAGTTTTAAAAGATAAAATAAGTTCAGTTTCTCTATAAATTAATTATTAATTTCAAAGGCACACTGATACAAGACCAGCATATGGGCCCCTGTGTGGGATTAACAAGGTTTTTCTGAAGCACTAACCAACTCCTAAATAAAGCTTATAAAAGTCTTATGGGGCCAGGCATGGTGGCTCATGCCTGTAATCCCGGCACTTTGGGAGGCCAAGGCGGGTGGATCACGAGGTCAGGAGTTTGAGACCAGCCTGACCAACATGGTGAAAATCCGTCTCTACTAGAAATAAAAAAATTAGCCAGGCGTAGTGGCATGCTTCTATAATCCCAGCTACTCAGGAGGCTGAGGCAGGAGAATCGCATGAACGTGAGAGGCGGAAGTTGCAGTGAGCCAAGATCGCGCCACTGCACTCCAGCCTGGGCGACAGAGTGAGGCTCTGTCTCAAAAAAAAAAAAAATTCTTATGGAAGCTGTATCTTATGATCAAGATTAAATTTCTTTCTTTTTTTTTTTTGAGATGGAGTCCCGCTCTGTCACCCAGGCTGGAGTGCAGTGGTGTGATCTCGGCTCACTGCAAGCTCTGCCTCCCGAGTTCACGCCATTCTCCTGTCTCAGCCTCCCGAGTAGCTGGGACTACAAGAACCCATGACCACACCTGGTTAATTTTTTGTATTCTTAGTAGAGACGAGGTTTCACTGTGTTAGCCAGGATGGTCTTGATCTCCCAACCTCGTGATGCGCCTGCCTTGGCCTCCCAAAGTGCTGGGATTACAGGCGTAAGCCGTCGTGCCCGGCCAAGATTAAAATTTTATAGATTGTTCACAAAATTTTGAAAAACAAATTTAACTGGATTGTTATTATTATTAGGGCTTGTTTGGACAATTAAGTCTCCTCTCTCAAAGAATAAAGGTTTTCACCTTTTTAAAAAAAATCCTTGAGTTATCACTTTGGTTAAATAAATGACTTATTTTACAAAGAACTGTTGTCTTGTTTTGTGATATCAAGTGTTTAAAACCTTTGATATTTGACAAAATTTCCAACATCAGCTTATAAATTATGTCTTTTTCTGACCTAATTAATCATTTAAGATATTAGGTTCCCTAAATTCCAAAAAATAACATAGTTTGGCTTATTTGGTACAAAAATTATACAGGAAGCATTGTCAAATATGAAATGGTGTTGGGTTTTCTTTGGGCTTTATTTGTATAAATATGTTATTGGTATCTGTTCCAAAATTATGGGAAACTCATAATTCTGATATCTTAGTGTACATTATCAGTAATTGTAATAATTGTTATGTTAACATTGTTGTGTGCCACAGAGGTAACAAATTTCCTTATCAATTGTGTCTTTGACTATGGCTGCCCTAAAACTTTTGTCATCCATGAACAATTGTCTTGTTTTGGTCCTCTTTAGAAGATGGTTTTGTAATCAACGATAAAATTTTAACAGGTACTCTTGAATGCAAGTTTCTGATAACCTTGGAGAATGTGACGTCAGAATAGAGGAAAAACTTTCAGGACTCATGGAATGCTAAAACGTTCATGAGTATCAAGCAGAACAGGAATTAACTGCATGGACTGAACTAATCTTGACTTTTTGCTTAAAATATTTGCTGACCCTTTGTTTTGTTTTTCAGTGTCTTAAAACTTGTCTTTTGAGCTATTGACATCTTTTAACAATTCAGTATACTCCTATGAACACAATTTGAAGCATATTTCTTTCTGTCTACCTGATTTCTCCAGAATTTGGAAATGATTTGTGAGTATTTTTAACTTATGGCAATACAGTTATTTGCATAAGTGCAGTAAGAATCTGTTTTCATTTGTAACAGGACACAATTGGAGAAACTGGTTATTTTACCAAGGCCTTCACTGAAATGATGTGCTTTCCTTTAAGGAATCAAACTTGACTTATGGAGACAATAAAGATGCATATTCTGTTGGGCTCCTTTGGATAGACATATCAGAAACTCAAAAGAATGCCACCATTTGTCTCTCACCTACCTGTGACCTGGAAGCCTCTGGGGTGGGGGGCTTGCTTTGAGTTGTCCCCCACTTTCTGGACACAAATAATGTACTTCTTACATATATTGATTAACACCTCATGTCTCCTTAAAATGTATAAAGAAGCAAGATGTGGCTGGGCACGGTGGCTTACACCTGTAATCCCAACACTTTGGGAGGTTGAGGCGGTCAGAGCACTTGAGGTCAGGAGTTTAAGACCAGCCTGTTTTAGTAGAAACAGGGTTTCACCTAAAAATACAAAAATTAGCTGGGCGTGGTGGCACAAGTCTGTAATCTCAGCTACTTGGGAGGCTGAGGCAGGAGAATTGCTTGAACCCGGGAGGAGGTTGCAGTTAGCCCAGACCACACCACTGTACTCCGGCCTGGGTGACAGAGCAAGACTCCATCTCAAAGAAAAAAAAAGCCACAATCTGTGTCCCCACCACCTTGGGCACATGTTGTCAGGACTTCCTCAGACTGTGTCACGGGCACATCTTCAACCTTGGCAAAATAAACTTTCTACATTAACTGAGACCCGTCGCAGATTTCCTGTGTTCAGCCCCCAAGGGGTAAAGAGTCATACGTATAATATAAGACAAGTGGCATTGATCCGCTGACCAGGAATCGAACCCTGGCTGAAGTCACAAAAGCACAGCATCTTTGCCGCTGTACCACAGGGTGGTGTGTAAACTCAACAGGGATCCAAAGCAGGCAGTTTGAGCTTTTAAAGGACTAACTTTTTTAGATTAGATTTTTGCTCTTTAATTTTGTCGAGAGAATTTCTAAGGCTAGCCATGGCACTATTATGTCTTTCTTTTAATTTGATCTTCCCTAAATACAAATAAGGTGATTGTTTAGAATGAGATGTCTAAAATCTTGTCCTAATTTAGGAGTCATTCTAGTTTAAAGGATCCATTTCTTGGTCACTGATATTAGAATTTCTAATGGTGTATTTAGTCCAATAGCAACTTAATACCCTATTCTCACCAAGAAAGTACACCAGAGTCACTACATCCAAGATGAGTCACACAAGTCCTTTTTTCATATTAATAGGAATTTTGCAAGGAAAAAGAGATGAACAATGATTTTTCCTTGTCCATTCTATTGGATTCCACAGAGAGACTGGGAACCTGACTGCTGAGAAATTCTTACCCTTTCTGCTGGCTTGTCACATTCTGGGTTTTATTCACTATGAATTCAAGCAGAGCAGCTTTGGCATCCTGCTCACAGTGCCAAGCTGTAGCAGCCAAGAGATGCATCCCCTTACCCTCTGAAGTTTATGCTGAAAAAACCAACTGACAAAATGATATTAATAATCTTTTGTTATCCTTTTGCAAAAAAAATTACTTTTTTAGAACCTTCTTGTTAGAAGCTTCTAAGTACATTGAAAATAGCTCTCTTGGTTATTCTGTTTTATTTTAGCCAGCTTTTTCTAACTGAACATACCAACAAATCAGTTTAGGCATTTCAAAGGTACCCTATTCTGGCCATTGTAACTTGGGTTCTCCGTGAGTTATGCAGGAGAGTTTTTTCTAAATATATACATGAAGAGCCACCATTGTCTGTGAATCCAGCTGGAGTTTTTAAAGGTGAATCACTCCTTTAGAAATACATTTCCCTGTAATTTTGATTTTCCTTTTGAATGACCAAAAAAGCCTAGTGGGGGGAGGAATTTTGGTCACTCAAGAAGACAGTTTTGATTTGTCAGTTGAACTTGTTACAGATAGTTAGGCAGGCATGAGTGGGGCAGGAGAAGGCTCTTTTCCCCCTACCCAGTGGAAATGTCATGTTATGGTTCAACAATCATCACACTGCCTCTCTGAAAATGATAGCTCAGCAGATGGTGCCAGGGAGAGTCAATCTCTTGATGATCCACAGCTGTTAACTTTAAAGTATTAATTGAATACAGATGCCAGGGAGAAGCAACTTCCTAGGCATGTGCATTAAGAGACAAAATGGTGAAGACAATATGACCTTCTGGGGAAGCTCCACCAGAAAAGGGATGAAGTCCTCAGATGAGCATGCGTACAACTTCGTAAACACACTGCGCATGCTCAGTTCCCAAGGGTAAGGAGGGCACTGCATGTGGCAGCCTACCTTAAGGGAAGAATCACAGGAAAGAGGTGAGCCTATAAAGTCGTAGGATCAAGGATAAACACAGCACTTGTTCTTCAAGTCACCCGCTTGGGTCTCTTTCAAGTGTTCCTTCTTTCCTTTCCTGTTCTAAAAGCCTTTTTAAATAAACTTCCACTCCTCTGAAACTCACCTCAGTCTCTTCTGCCTCATGCCCCTCGGTTGAATTCTTTCTTTTGAGGAGGCAAGAATTGAATTGCTGCAGACCTGTATGGATTTGCTGCCAATAACTTGGACACCTTCCACTAGTAACAAACTGAGTTTCAGAATCTGGCCAGTTTTAAAGATTACTTTTTGGGTTTTGTTTTGTTTGTTTGTTTGCTTTTGTTCTTGTTTGCATGTTTGGTTTTGGTTAAGCTACAAAGATTTCACTTTCTCCTTTGGAAAAAATGTGTTTTCTCCTTGGCCAAATTCTAAACAAAAGATTGCAAGCTCTAACAAGTAAGGCAAACAAAACCTTAACCTCAGAGAAAAGTGAAAATTACAAATCTTCAGTCCAGAGAATCTCTAGAGAATAATAAACAAAACTTCTACCTTAAAGCCTTAAAATAGATCTTCAATTTCAGCCCCATCAAGTGTGGAATTGGATTTGAATAAAGTCTGGATCTCAACCCAAAAATCAGAGAGGCTCACACTCCAAGAAGAGACTCCTTAAAAGAGACCAGTGGAGGCTCAGCAAGGCAGGGTGAATCAAAATGTGTTTGTGCTGGTACCAAGGTCTTGATTGCTGGTGAAATGGAGGAATCTCTGGAAGTTCACTTTGGACCCTTTTGTGGTTACCAAAATGTTAACCTAAAATAATCAGGAATGTTTATTTTATTCAAGTTGCTTTTTCAAGAGAGTTTATTCAAGCACAAAGCTTAAGGATATCTACCCTGGAGTATAGATTCAAGTTGATTGAATGATTTCAAATTCAAATCATAATTTGTATGATATAAATTACACACTCCAATTAGCAATAGTTACAAGGGAATTTTTGAGGAAAAAAGAAGAGGCAGCTCCCAAATTTTTAAATTTATTTTTATTTATTATTTATTTATTTTTGAAACAGAGCCTCTCTCTGTCGCCCAGGCTGGAGTGCAGTGGTGTGATCTCGGCTCACTGTAACCTCCACCTCCCAGGTTCAGGTGATTCTTCTGCTTCAGCCTCCCAAGTACCCGGGACTGCAGGCACACACCACCACACCTGGCTAATTTTTGTATTATTAATAGAGACGGGGTTTCACCATATTGGCAAGGCTGATCTCGAACTCCTGACCTCATGATCCGCCCATCTCGGCCTCCCAAAGTGCTGGGATTACAGGTGTAAGCCACCATGCAAATTGTTTACCAAACATAACATAATTTATTGATTGGCTGTACATTGTTCTTTGTATCAAAAATTTCAGAAACATGAGTATAATGGGTGGGTCAGCTATTAAGGAACAAAAATGACTTTAAACAGTTGTCCCTGGGCATGGGTGTTAGGGGTAGAACTGAAGCCCCATACTCATGTCTCTCTGGGCCTAGTAAATTTTGCATAGCTCAGACTGTTCTGAGCTATTCTTTTTCTTTTCTCAATAGTAACAACTTAAAATCACAGAATTAACACTAACAAATAAGCTTAAGAGTAACAGTCTTAGAATCCGGTTTCAAATGTGTCTACAATTTATTTTATAATTTCATCTCATTTTAGAGTTGGAGGTACATGTGCAAGTTTGTTACATGGGTAACATGTTTGTTACATGGTGTGATGCTGAGGTTTAGAGCATGAATGATCCCATCACCCAGGTAGTGAGCATAGTATCCAGTAGGTAGATTTTTAGCCTTTGCCCCCAACCAAGTAACCCCCCAGTGTCTATTATTCCCATCTTGTCCATGTGTACCCAATGTTTAGCTTCCATGTATAAGAGAGGATATGTGGTATTTGATTTTCTGTTCCTGGATTAGTTCGGATAATGGCTCCAGCTGTATCCATCTTACTGCACAAGACATGAGCATTAGTCAGTTTTCACGCTGCTATGAAGAAATACCTGAGACTGGGTAATTTATAAAGAGAAGAGATTTAATTGACTCACAGTTCCAAATGGCTGGGGAGGACTCAGGAAACTTACAATTATGGCAGAGGCGCCTCTTCACAGGGTGGCAGGAGAGAGAATGAGTGCCAAGCTAAGAGGGAAGCCCCTTATAAAACAATCAGATCTCGTGAGAACTCAGTATCACAAGAACAGCATGGAGGGGAACTGCCCTCATGATTTAATTACTTCCCACTGGGTCCCTCCCATGACATGTGGGGATTATGGGATTACAGCTCAAGTGGAGATTTGGGTGGGGACACAAAAAACCCATATCCTTCTTCTCCTGGCCCCTCCCAAATCTCATGTCTTCACATTTCAAAACACAATCATGCCCTTTCCAACAGTACCCCAAAGTCTAAGCTCATTCCAGCATTAACCCAAAAAAGCAAGTCCAAAGTCTCATCTGAGACAAGACAAGCCCCTTCCACCTATGAGCCTGTAAAATTAAAAGCAAGTTAGTTACATCCTAGATAAAATGGAGGTACAGGCATTGGGTACATACACCTGTTCCAAATAAGAGAAAGTGGCCAAAATAAAGGGGCTACAGGACCTATGCAAACCCAAAATCCAATAGGGCAGTCAAAGCTTAAAATTCCAAAATAATCTCCTTTGACTCCATGTCGCACATCCATGTCATGCCGATGCATGAGGTGGGCTCCCACAGCCTTAGCAGCTCCACTCCCAGGGCTTTGCAGTTTACAGCCTCTCTCCTGGCTGCTTTCATGGGCTGATGTTGAGTGCCTGTGGCTTTTCCAGGCACATGGTGCAAGCGGACAATATATCTACCATTCTGGGGTCTGGAGGATGATGGCCCTGTTCTCACACCTTCACTAGGCAGTGCTCCATTGGGGACTCTGATGGGGCTACCAGCCCCAAACTTACCTTCTTCACTGCCCTAGCAGAGGTTCTCTGTGAAGGCTCTGCCCCTGCAGCAGGCTTCTGCGTGAACATCCAGGGATTTCCATACATCCTCTGAAATCTAGGTGGAGGTTCCCCAACCTCAATTCTTGTCATCTTTGCACCCACAGGACAAACACCACATAGAAGCTGTGAAGGCTTTGGGGCTCGCACGCTCTGAAGCAATGGCCTGAGCTGTACTTTGGCTCCTTTTAGCCATGGCTAGAGCTGAAGCAGCTGGGATGCAGAGCCCCTGTCCCAAGGCTGCATGGAGCAGGGGGGCCCTAGGTCCCTACAAAACCATTTTTCCCTCCTAGGCCTCCAGGCCTGTGATGGGAGGGTCTGCTGTGAAGGTTTCCGAGATGCCCTGGAGATAATTTTCCTCATTATCTTGGTGATTAATATTTAAATCCTCATTACTATGCAAATTTCTGCAGCTGGCTTGAATTTCTCCCCAGAAAATGGGGCTTTCTTTTCTATGGCATTGTCAGGCTGCAAATTTTCCAAACTTTTATGCTCTGCTTCCTCTTGAATGCTTTGCCCCTTAGAAATTTCTTCCACTAGACACCCTAAATTATCTCTCTCAAGTTCAAAGTCCCACAGATCTCTAGGGCAGGGACAAAATGCCACCAGTCACAGAGTCACCTTTACTCCAGTTCCCAACAAGTTCCTCATCTCCATCTGAGACCACCTCAGCCTGGACTTCATTGTCCATATCACTATCCACACTTTTGTCAAAGCCATTCAACAAGTCTCTAGGAAGTTCCAAACTTTCCCACATCTTCCTGTCTTCTGACCCCTCCAATTCTCTAGGAAGTTCCAAACTTTCCCACATTTTCCTGTCTTTTTCTGAGCCCTCCAAACTATTCCAACTTCTGCCTGTTACCCAGTTCCAAAGTCGCTTCCACATTTTCAGGTATCTTTACTGCAGCACCACACTCTCTGTGGTGTCAATTTACTATATTAGATCATTTTCATGCTGCTATGAAGAAATACCTGAGATTGAGTAATTTGTAAAGAAAAGAAGTTTAATTGACTCATAGTTTTTAATGGCTGGTGAGGCCTCAGGAAACTTACAATAATGGCAGAAGGCACCTCTTCATGGGGTGGCTGTAGAGAGAATGAATGCCAAGTGAAGGGGAAAGCCCCTTATAAAACTATCAGATCTCATGAGAACTCACTCACTGTCATGAGAATAGCATGGAGAAAAACTGCCCCCATGATTCAGTTACCTCCCACTGGGTCCCTCCTGTGACATGTGGGGATTATGGGATTACAATTCAAGATGAGATTTGGGTGGGGACACAAAGCCAAACCATATCAATATGATTTTATTTTTTCTGGCTGCATAGTATTCCAGAATATATTTATATCACATTTTCTTTATCCAGTCCACCATTGTTGAGCACCTAGATTGATTCCATGTCTTCACTATTGTGAATACTGCTGCAATAAACACACGAGTACAGGTGTCTTTTTGGTAGAATAATTTTATTTCCTTAGAGTGTATACCCAGTTATGGGATTGCTGGGTCAGATGGTAGTTCTGTTTTATGTTCTTCATGTGAAAAAATTATCAACATCACTAATTATCAGAGAAATGTGAATTAAAACCCCAATGAGATATCATCTTACCCTTGTCAGAATGGCTACTATTGAAAGAGAAAAAATAACAGGTGTTTGTGAGAATGCAGAGAAAAGGGAATTCTTACATACTTTTGATGGGAATGTAAATTAGTACAACTTCTATGAAAAACAGTATGGCAATTTCTCAAAGAAATGAAAATAAAATTACCATGTACTATAGCAATCCTACTACTAGGTATCCACCTCTTAATTTAAAAAAATCAAAAAGATTTTTTATTTGTACAGGTATTTTTTACAGGTATTTTTTAAGACCTGTACTTGTATCAAAAATATACAAGTACAAGTACCTTTTCGATAGAGGTTATGTTGATTCCTTATATTTGCTGTTGTGAATAGTGTTGTGATAAATTTATGGCAAAGATATGAAGTCAACCTAAGTGTACAAGTACAGGTATCAAAAACCTGTACTTGTGTATTTATCACACTATTCACAATAGCAAATATAGGGAATCAGCCTAAGTGTTCATGAACAAGATAAATCAATAAATAAAATGTGGTATATTTATACAATGGTATACTATACAGCCATAAGAAAGAATGAAATCATGTTTTTTGCAGCAACATAGGTGGAACAGGAGGCCATTATCTTAAGTGAAACAATCCAGGCACAAAAAGACAAACACCATATGATCACACTTACATAAGGAATAGAAATAAGTTGATTTCATAAAAGTATAGAGTAGAATAGTGGTTACTAGATCCTTGGAAGGATGGAGGAAGGACTAGAACAGGTTAGTCAACTGGCAAAAGGTTAGACAGGAATAATAAGTTCTGGTGTTCTATTTCACAGTAGGATGACTAAAAACAATTTAGTGTGTATTTCAAGAAAGGATTATTTCGAATGTTATCACCAAAAAGAAGTGATAATTGTTGAAAGTGATGGATATAGTAACTACCCTGATTTGATCATTATACAATGTATTCATGCACTGAAACGTCACATTGTACTCCATAAATACATATACTTTTTGTATGAATTATAAATAATTATTTAATTAAAATAGAACTACCATATGATTCAGCCATCCCACTACTAGGTCTATATCAAAAGGAAATTAAATCGACATGTCAAAGAGACACCTGCACTCCCATATTTATTGCAGCACTGTTCACGAGGGCAAAGATATGAAATCAACCCAAGTGTCAATAAATGGAGGAACAAATTTTCAAAATGCAGTCTATGTGCATAATGTAATACCATTTAGTTACAAAAAATAATGAAACCCTTCCATTTTGACAACATGGATAAACCTAGAGAACGTTATGTTAAATGGTATAAGCCAGGCACAGAAAAACGAATACCACATTATATCACTTACATGTGGAATCTAAAAAAGTTGATCTCATAAAAGTAGAGAGTAGAATGGTAGTTACTAGAAGCTGGAGTGTTCAGTGGGGAAGAGAGGATAGGGGGATGTTGGTAAAAAGATATACAATTACAATTAGATAAAAGGAATAAATTTCAAGAGGTCTACTGTACAGCAAGATGATACAGTTTAGTTAATGATTAACTACAGTTAATACAATAATGATATATTGTATTCTTTCATTTGTTTTTTTGAGACAGGTTCTCACTCTGTCACCCAGGCTGGAGTGCAGTGGCTCAATCACAGCTCATTGAAGCCTCAACCTCCTGGGCTCAAGTGATCCTCCCACCACAGCCTCACGAGTTGCTGGGATTACAGGTATGTGCCACCATGCCCAAATAATTTTTAAAAATTTTTTTGTAGAGATGGAGTCTAGGTTGCCCTTGAACTCCTGGCCTCAAGGGATCTCCTGCCTTGGCCTCCCAAAGTGCAAGGATTACAGGCATGAGTTGCCCTGCCCAGCCAATATATTATATTCTTGAAAAAATGTAAAGAGAGCTACTGTTACATGTTCTTACCACAAAAATAATAACTATGTTAGTTGATGCATTTAATTAGCTGGATTTGGGTGGGCACAGTGGCTCATGCCTGTAATCCCAGCACTTTGGGAGGCTGAGGCAGGCGAATCACCTGAGGTCAGGAGTTTGAGACCAGCCTGGCCAACATGATGAAACCCGTCTCCACTAAAAATACCAAAATTAGCTGGGCATAGTGGTGCATGTCTGTAATCCCAGCTACTCAGGAGGCTGAGGCACAAGAATTGCTTGAATCCAGGGGCGGAGGTTGCAGTGAGCCAAGATCAGGCCATTGCACTCCAGCCTGGGCAACAGAGCTACACTCTTTCTCAAAATTCATAATAATCATAAGCTAGATATACCCATTTCACAATATGTGTGTACTCCAAAACAATACTGTACATGATAAAAACATACAATGTCATCTGTCAATTAAAAATTGTCAGTTAAAAATAAATATTTTTGGCCGGGCACGGTGGCTCACGCCTGTAATCCCAGCACTTTGGGAGGATGAGGCGGGCAGATCACAAGGTCAGGAGATTGAGACCATCCTGGCGAACACGGTGAAACCCCATCTCTACTAAAAATACAAAAAAAATTAGTTGGGTGTGGTGGCAGGCACCTGTAGTCCCAGCCACTCAGGAGGCTAAGGCAGGAGAATGGCGTGAACCCGGGAGGCGGAGCTTGCAGTGAGCTGAGATCGCGCCACTGCACTCCAGCCTGGGCGACAGAGCAAGAGTCCGTCTCAAAAAAACTAAAAAATAAAAACATAAATAAATATTTTTATCTGTCAATTAAAAATAAATAAATATATGTCAATTAAAATAAGCATTTATCTGTCAATTAAAATAAAAAAATATTTTCACCAACCTGATGCTAAAAAGAAAAAAATAAGTCAATAAATAAATAAAACTTTTCTAGATAAGCTGCACACCAGCACTCTTAGAAACATCTTTTATACATGTGTCCTAACAGAATGTATTACAATAGCTAAGAGTAGTTAACATATCCCTTCCCTGAATTCACACATTCTGAATTACTTGCACAACTTACCAAGTTCAACATGTGTTTAATATATGTGTTTTAAGTCTACTAGATGGAGTTTGAGTGATGAACACTTCTATTTACTGAAATAAAACTGTTGTAAATCAAGCATATAATTCATACCCTTAGAAACAGTCTGGTAAGTGTGTCTTAAAAGAATGTATTAAATGAACTTAAGAATGGTGAACACTTTTAATCAATGAAAAAAATGTTGAGTCATGCAGGCAAGGACTTGTGTTAGAAACTTATTTTGTACATGTGTCATACCACAGTAGTATTAAGTGCCTCAAACACATCTTTAAGCTGAAATTACACAGTTCTTAATCACGTGCACAACCAGCACTCCTAGAAGAAAGTTTACATGTGTCATAATGGAATGTAATAGATTGAGTTTTGAGTGTTGAGCGCTTCTTTTCAGTGACCATGTTATTCTGAATCACTACACAGCTAGAAACTTAGAAACATCTTTTGTATACTTATCTTAAAAGAGTATTAGATAGACATAAAAGTGAACACTTCCATAAAATAAAAATATTCTGAATTGAATACAACTAACACTCTTGGAGATATATTTTATACATTTGTCATAAGAGCATATTACGATATAAAAATGGTAAATATTCCCATTCACTGAAGCAACGCTGTTCTCAATCATACATGCAACACTCCTAGTAAAGTCCTTTACATATTAGTGTTACTAAGTGTTTTACATGGAGTTAAGAGTGATTAACACATTCATTGAAATAACACTTTCAGAATCACATGTGCAACTAGAACTCACGAGAGTACTTTTCATATATGTGATTTAACATATATAATAAATTTTAAGGTTTAAGAGTGGTGAATACATTGAAATCAAAGTGTGCTGAATCACTTGTGCAACTCGCATTCTTAGAAATATAGTTTGTGGATATGCCTTAACAGAGCACATTTATACAGAATTGATGAGCATTTCATTTCCTAAAATAACAGTGTCCTGAATCAGTCATGCAACTAGCAGTCTTAGAAGTGTATTTTGCACATGTGCCTAGCAGAGTATATTAGATGACATAAAAGTGGAGAGACCTTCCATTCACACAAAATAACATTGTCCTAAATAATATATAAAATAGAATTCTTAGAAACATCTAATGTCTTCACAGAGTGTATTAAATACAGTTGAGTGATGAAAACATCTATCCATTGAATTAACATTGTTCTTAATCATTTACACAAGTAGTGCTCTTACAAATAGCTTTTACACGTGAATCTTAATAGAGTGTGTTAGATGGAGTCAACAGAGTTGAATATGTTCATTCATTGGATTGATACTGTTCTGAACCATGCACATAATGAGTACTCCCAGAAATGCCTTTATACATGTGTCTGCCAGGATGTATTAGAAAGAGATGAGCAGCAAACTAAACCATTCACTGAAATGACACTTTCATCTATCATGCATAAATTAGCAATCTTAGAAACATCTTTCATACATGTGTCTTAATGGGGAATTTCAGATGGAGTTAAGAGTGGTGAACACTTTCATTCACTCAAAATTGTTCCGATTCATGCATCCAATTAACAATTATAGAAACATCTTGTATACATGTGTTTTGGCAAGGTATAAAAAATGAAGTTAAGAGTGGTAATAACAATTCTCAAACGCCACACAAATAGCTCCTTTACAAACATATTTTGTACATGTGTCTCACTACAGTGTATTAAATGGAGTTGAGCAGTGAACACTTTCATTGAAATAATACTGGAGCACATGTGAAGCTAGCACTCCTATAAAGATCTTTATATGTGCTCTATGAAAGTGTATTACATGGGCATAAAAGTGGTGAGCGCTTCCATTAACTGAAATACTGATTGGAGTAGCAAGCACAACTATCAATTGTAGAAACATTTTTACACACTTGTCTTAAAGGAGTATACACATATTAGGTGAAGTTAAGAATGAAGAACTTCCATTAACTGAAATAATACTTTTTTGAGTCACATGCATGAACCCTTGGAAACGTCTTTTATACATGTGACCTGAGAGATTTTATAAATGGTGTTACGAGTGGTGAACTGCTCCATTCACTGAAATCACACTATTCTGAATCAACTGTGCAACTTGCATTCTGAGAATATCATTTATACTTATGTTTGAACAAAGTATACAAATGGAGTTAAAAATGATGAAATAATAAGAAAAAAAAAACCTGTCTGAATCATGGAAACAACCAGCACTCCTAGAAACACCTTTTATATATGTGCATTAACAGAGTGTTGGCCATTGAAGGGCTAAACTCTGTTCACTGAAATAATGATGTTCTGAATCAGATGTTCAACTTCCGTCCTAAAAAACATCTTTTGTAGGTATCTTCTCAGAGTGCATTAAGTGAAGTTAAGAGGGCTGAAAACTTTCGTTCACTGAAATAAGGTTGTTTTGAATCACATGCATGACTACCACTCCTAGAAACTTTTTTCGGCCAGAGATGGTGGCTCACTCCTGTAATTCCAGCACTTTGGGAGGCTAATGTGGGAGGATCGCTTGAACCCAGGAGTTCGAGACCAGCTGGGCAATTTAGTGAGACCCGGTCTCTATGAAAAATAAATAAATAATATAAAGAAACTTTTTTATACAAGTTGATTAATTAAATGTAATAAATATTGAATTAAAAATATTGAACACTTCCATTTACTGAAATACTGTTGTGAATTGAGCTTGCAAAAATCACTCTTACAAACATATTTCATACATGGATCTTAACAGAGTGTATTAGAATTGTGGGTAAACACTCCATTTACTGAAATAACACTGTTCTGAAAGATACACTCAACCAGCACTTTTTAGAAACATCTTTTATTATATGGTGTTAAGAGTGTTGAACACACCCAGTGACTGAAATAACACTCTTCTCAATCACCTGTGCAACTTACATTCTTAGAAATAGCTTCAATACATTGTTTTAAGAGTGTTTTAGATGAAGTTAAGAGTAGTGCACCCTTCCATTTACTAAAATAATACTATTTTCAGTTATAGTTGCAACTGGTACTATTAGAACAGTCTTTACATGTGTCTTAACACAGTGTGTTAGATGGCGTGATGAGTGGTGAACATTTCCATTCACTGTTGTGAGTCACGTAAACAAGTACCCGTCTGAGAAAAAACTGTCATAGAAGTGTCTTAGACAAAGACACCAAGAAGACACAATGGGGCAAGTTTAGTCTCTTTCATATCTAGTGTTGGGAAAACTGGATATCCACATGCAAAAGGATGAAATTGGACGCTTATCTTACACCAAGACAAAAGTCAACTCAAAACAGATTAAAGGCCTAAACATAAGACTTGAATCTGTAAAACACCTAGGAGAAAACATAGGAAAGAAGCTGATACATATTGGCCTTGGCAATGATTTTTCTGATAGGACAGGCAATGAAAGCAAGAACAAACAAGTATGACTACATCACACCGAAAAGCTTCTACAGAGCAAAGGAAATAATCGATAAAATGAAAAGGCAATCTACAGATTAGGAGAAAATATTTGTGAACCACATATCTGATAACAGGTTACTATCCAAAATATTTAAGAAAATCAATAGCAAAAAGAAAAAAACAAAAACCCAATTAAAAAATAGGCAAAGTACCAGAATAAACAAACATTTCCCAAAAGAAGACATAAAAAGTGGCCAACAGGTATATGAAAATGTGTTCGATATCATTAATCATCAGGCAAATGCAAAGCCTATTATCAAAAAGACAATAGATAACAAATTGGCAAGGTATAGAGAAACAAAAACCCTTTTGCACTGTTAATGAGAATGTAAATTGGTGTAACCATTATGGAAAACAATACAAAGATTGCTGAAAAAAATTAAACTACCATATGACCCAGCAATCCCTCTTCTGGGTATATACCCAGAGGAAATGAAATCAACACCTTGTAGAGAGATCTGCACTCCAATGTTCATTTCAGAATTATTTGTAATAGCCCAGATATGTAAATAATCTAATTGCCGAGAAATAAATAGATGAAAAATTGCAGAGGTTGTGTGTATATCTATATACAAAATTGAATATTATTCAGCCTTAGAAAAGGAGATCCAGCCATTTTTGACAACACGGATAAACCTAAAGGACATTGTACTGAGTGAAATAAGCTAGGCACAGAAAGAAAAACACTACATAACCTCTCTTGTATGTGGAATCTAAAAAAATAATAATAAAAGTTGAATACACAGAAGCAGAGTGTAGTACTGTGATTATCAGAGGCGGGGAAAGGGAAATGGGGAGATTAAGTTAAAAGGTATAAAGTAACAGTTATGTGGGATGAATAAATCTACAGATGTAAAATACAGCATGAGGACTACAGTTAATATTGTTTACTGGAAATTCGTGAAGAGAGTAGATTGTATGTGCTCTTAACCACAAAAAATGGTAACTACATGAAATCATAGATATGTTAATAGACTTGACTGCAGTAATCATTTCACTGTGTATATGTATATCAAAACATGTTGTCCACTTTAAATATATACAATGAAAATGTTTCAAAAATAAAATATAAGTGCTATACAATAGAATGTATTAGATGGAGAGTGGTGCACACTTCCATTCACCAAAATAACCGTTGAATCATGTATGCAACTAACACTGTTAGACATATCTTTTATACATGTGTCATAACTGTTTACAAGATTAAGAACAGTGAACATCATTGTTCTGAATCACTGGACAACTTATATTCTTACAAATGAGGTAGATCAACAGGACTTGTTTTCTGAGCACTGGTAATGACCCTACTGATTAAAACAGGATGCAGTAAAAAAAAAAAAAAAAGAGAAGAAAAGAGAGAGAGAGAAAAAACCGGTACCTGGTGACAAAAGTGACCACTCATTGTCCTCACCATGCTCATTAGCATGGGCTAATGACCATGCTCATTAGCATGGGCAACAACCCAGAACTTACTCTGTATGGCTCTGGGTACTCCCCTGTCCCTTTTCTAAAAAATTCTGAATAACCCACCCCTTAATTAGCATCTAATTAAGAGTGGGTATAAATATAGCTAGCTGGCAGCCCATGGGGGCTGTGGCTGTGGCTGCTGCTCTGGGCTGCTGTGCCTATGAGAGGTCACTTTGCTGTACACTATTGCTCTAATACATTTGCTTTCTTTCGTTGTTAGTGTGCTCTTGAATTCTTTCCTGAGCAAAGCCAAGGACCTTCCCAGGCTAAGCCCTAATTTTGGGGTGCACCTGCATCAGAAACCTTTTTTATACATGTGTCAACAGAATACATTGCATGGGCCAGGTGCCGTGGCTCATGCCTGTAATCCCAGCACTTTGGGAGGCTGAGGCGGGTGGATCACGAGGTCAAGAGATTGAGACCATCCTGGCTAACATGACGAAACCACGTCTCTACTAAAAATACAAAAAATTAGCTGGGCGTGGTGGCAGGCGCCTGTGGTCCCAGCTACTCGGGAGGCTGAGGCAGGAGAATGGCGTGAACCCAGGAGGTGGAGCTTGTAGTGAGCCAAGATCACACCACTGCACTCCAGCCTGGGCGACAGAGTGAGACTCCGTCTCAAAAAAAGAAAAAAAAAAAGAATACATTGCATAGAGTGCTGAAAATTTCTGTTCACTAAAATAACACTATTCTGAATCACCTGAACTACTTGCATTCTCTTAAAACATCTTTTATATATCTGTTTATCAGAAGAAGAAACTTCATGAGAGATGCCAAGCCAGAACCACCCACATAAGCTATTTCCTAATTCGTCATCCACAGAGTCTTGGAGGAAACTGAGGACGAGAGAAGTTCTAATGCTTGCCAAGTGGATTCATCTAAGGAGAATCAAGTTTCTTACAGAAAGACAGAGGCAAGGAAATATTTACTAGTAAAGTGAAACAGACTCTCCTGTCCTGGCAGAGAAAAGACTTTCCATTAGGAGTAGAGAGAAAATTCAATCTAGCTGTGAATCTCCTCTTTGCATGTTCATGGGAAATAAAATCTGTTTTGCCCTGGGACAGCCCTCCCCACACCCTGGAGTGAATTTCCAAAATTAGGGCAGGACATTTTCCTTATGATAGCTATTGAAAAATTACCCAGGAATGGGGTGCCTCTGCTCCCTCCCAGCCAAGGTACAAAGATATTTTCTCAGACTGAAGGCCCTAGGGCCTATTGTTCAACATCTCATGTCAGTGTCAGTATTAGATGCTGCAGGAGAATGAGCTTAAGTCTAGCCCACTCCACTTTTCTTCCACATTCCTCCAGTTGCTCTCCCCAAATTCATTTCCTGTCTCCCTCACCACTGAGAGCTTAGATTCCTAAAGAAAAATGTGTGCAAGCCTAGGGGAACGGTATCTACCAGTCCTTGGAAACATGTTTTATTCTACATAAACATAAAGGTCAACTATAACCCCCAGAGTAAAGGGAGTCAGACTCAGAAAATAAACACTTTGTTCCCTTTCTAGTATGTTAACAGCTTTGGATTGTTGACTGCCCCCAAAGGTCACCAGAACTAAGTTTATTAAACTTAATGCTGTAAGAGAGAACTCCACCTTAACCTATTATGAGGAGCGGAAAGCCAGGAGAAGACATTTATTCATAGTGTTTTAGGGTCTGAGTTGTGTGATTTTGTGATGGATATTTCAAGACTGAAATGTATTGGTACAGCAAAGCCAGGGTCATGAAATTAGTCTTACAAATAAGCTGTTTGGGGTGGTAGGTAAGCTGTTTTAGTCGGTTTACAATATTATTTCTGAAAGCAGTGATTCCTAGAGCAAATAGCTAAGTTATTTTTACTTGTTTTCAGTATTGTTTAAGCCAGGAAAGTATGCCTAATCTCAGAATTGTTTAACATAAAGACACAGAATTACGTTGGTTTCAATCCTCATGACATCGAGGGAAAAAAACCCAAATTAATATCTCAGAAAGTTATCCTGCCACTGAAGTATTAGCAAAAGTCCTTCCCATTCCATCTAGCCTTTCCGTAAATGAAACTACTACCACTTTCAGCTTCAAATTTCTACAAATACATTTCTACAAGATGAACATGCTAAGGCCTTTTAGTCAATATACTGAAGTCAATAGAAACTGTGTCAATGATTCTCTAAAATACTATACTAAAGAGAAAAAACTATGTTTGAAGCAGAAGCCAGATAGATATTTAACTTCTTCCAGCTGTGGTTTCCTTAGTCAAAATAATATTATCATTATTGTGGGCATTAAAGACATAATGCATATGTATTCAGAATAATTTTGGGTGATTTTAAAGTAATGCATTTTTTACTTCAGAAATTATTAGTTCCAAATCGTTCCCACAACTCACAGATATTAAGTGATATCAGAAAGAGAGTTTCTTCTATAACGAAACAAAAAATCCCTCATCCATTCTGACGGCTCTCCAAGGAGGCTTGCTGCCCCATGGTAAAAGAAGTTATGACATGAAAGAAGAAAATGAATCCCATATTTTCTAGAATAAGGGGTTATAAAGAGGTCAGAATGAGAGCAAAGAGGTTAGGCACCAGGGTTCTCATTTATCCTCTTCTATTGTGGTTGTTAAAGATTCTAGAAACATCCTGATGAGAATGGGAGAGTTCAAGAACTCCAGGGCTAATGGCTGTCTTTCTTGGGTGCACGAGTGACAAAGATTTCCTCCTTGACCAAATTTTAGTTAGGCTCCTCTGAGCCTTCTTGACTAAGCCTCTACTTTGGTCTGTCTTTAATAAGAATCCTGCTAATTCAGTTTAGTGAGAATCCTTCACCCTTGATATCTGATCAAGTTCTTCACTTCTCACCCTTGATGTCTAAATCCTTAGCCTGCCTTTAGCAAGAATCCCTCTGCCCTCTCCTTTTAGTAGTTTTGCATCCACTGATGCCTTCATTGTGCTTGTTGGCTGTAACTTCCAACTCCTGTCTTTATTGTATTTGGAGTTGAGCTCAATTTCTCTTCTTTATTGCTAAGTCATGACCCCTCTTACAATAGTTTTGAATAAATCTCACTTACCATTTTTAACAGTGTCTGAATAATTTTTCTTGAATATGAAGGGCACAAAAAGCTAAGAAAATTCTAGATGCAGCCATTTCTGCAATAGTGTGGAATAATGATGGACCAGCAGCAGTAGAAAGTGTTCAACCTCATGAGCCTAAAGAGAGTTTCCTATTCCTGTGTCTTGTGTGTGGTGTACTGGGGTTCCAGAAGCTCTCACTTGTCCTTTTAAGGACACAAGAAGAACCATACATACCTCATAGTAACCATACCCCATAGTAACCAGTCCAGGGCCACCATGGACCAGTCACTCTATAACAGAGATGGTAATGGTTCAGAAATCTTGGCTCAGATTTGAGACCAACATATCCCATCCCCTCTGAAATGAAAGGACAGGAATTGCTTTGTTTATGTGCATATGTTTTGTTCATGTCTGTATCTCCAACTTATTTTTTTGTTTTTAATACAATTTATTTAATTGTATGTTTATATAATTATATAATGGCCAGATTTAACAATTGGCTTGCACAATTCCTGAAATTTTAACAATCACTTCTTATGAACCTGAATAGACCAGCTCCAGCACAGCAATAGTAGTGATTTGAACCAGGCGATGTGAAGTATACATGCCCTAAGAAGTAGGATATCGCCTCTATATTCTAAATAATTAATAGGGCTTGGTATTCTTTTGACATCTCAGACAGCACTGCAGTAAGTACCATGGTCTATAGCTCTGGTTGTATATAAAAATCTCAGTCATCCCAGGTTACAAACAATTGTTTAGCTAACATAATAATATCTTTCATTGTGAAGTATCTTTTTAACCTCAAGATTTAGTATTAGGCACATAAGTGTTTAAGAAAATCTGAATCATGGAATTAATAATTTTTGTTAAAAAAATCTATATTTTGACCTAACATTGTAACTATATATCAGTATTTCATATATATTAATGTATTAGTACTATAATCCAAATTAAAAACTGAAATTTTAGTAGCTGATAAAGATTTAGAATTTTAAGCTGAAAGATTATGACATTTATATTTAATATTATAATATGTAAGAACTTAAATTTATCATATCTATAAGCTTAATTTACTCAATTTATAAAAATGCTTATCTACTTGGGAATATTTGTTATATTAGACAATTGCAAAACAGTATTTTAAAAGGAAGTCAAATATATTATAAATCCAATATAAAATATTAGAGTTTAATTAAGTTTTAAACTGAGATCATATAGTAAAGTCCCCTTAAAATCTTTTATTGAAATACAAAAATAGAATATGAATTTTTAAAACTAAATTTAGAAGTACAAAGAAGGCCAGGCAGGGTGACTCATGCCTATAATTCCAGTACTTTGGGAGGCCGAGGTGGGAGAATTTCTTGAGCCCAGGAGTTCATAACCAGCCTGTGCAACGTAACAAGACCGTGTCTCTAAAACATACCCCATCCCCCCTTGAATTGAAAGGGAAATAATTTTAAAATTTAGCTTGGCATGATGGTGCATACCTGTAGTCCCAGCTATTTGGGAGTCTGAGGTGGGAGGATCACTTGGGCCAAGGAGGTCAAGGCTGCAGTGAAACATGGTTGAGCCACTGCACTCAGCCTGGGTGACCAAGCAAGGCCCTGTCTCACACACACACAAAAAGTACAAAAAAAACCTAGATATTTAAGTATACTGAATGTCAAGTTTTTAAAAGCAAATGCACTTCTGAGCATACAAGTCAATCTCAGTCGGGCACGGTGGCTCATGCCTGTAATCCCAGCACTTTGGGAGGCCGAGGCGGGTGGATCATGAGGTCAGGCGGTCAAGACCAGCCTGGCCAATATGGTGAAACCCCATCTCTACTAAAAATACAAAAATTAGCCAGGCGTGGTGGCACGTGCCTGTAGTCCCAGCTACTCAGGAGGCTGAGGCGGAAGAATCCGGGAGGCAGAGGTCTCAGTGAGCCAAGTTCGCACCACTGCACTCCATCCAGTCTGGGTGACAGAGCAAGACTACGTCTCGGAAAAAAAAATGTCAGTCTCAAAAAACATCTCATTGGCAAACTGTCTTCCTAGGTTATTTGTGTTTGGAGATAAATGTCAATATACAAGCATGTATACAAGCATGTAATTTTATTCCAGTAATATGCTTTTGAGAACACAATGTGAGTAGAAATGAAAGGCGAAGGTGGAATTCATAAAGTATAAGGCAAACCTTTAGAGCTGAGATTGGATGCAGCAAGATAATAGACATCTGGTTGAAGTACAGCAAGTTTTAGAGAGGGTTTTGAAACATTTTCAAGTAATTGTCATCACTTAGTCATTGGAAGCTTTCAGATAAAAATTAAAATTTCCAACATTTTATGAAAAATTTCATGATCAGACAATACTGAATTTCCATTTCTATATATTGACAATCAGCTGGAGATGAGAAACGCTGGCCTCCAGAAAAGAGGTCGCCCTCTCTATGCACTTCACCTTGCTACTTCACTTAGTTGGTGTCTCAGACATTTGAATGTGAACTCAATTCATAGAGTCAGATGAAACTTTCAGGAGACATGTCTATTTTCATATTCTGTTTACAAAAGCTGGTTTTATTACTTTTTTTTAGTTTTTTGCCTTTTTATTTCAGATATTAAGTCCTTTTTAAATTTCAACTTTTATTGTAGATTAAAGGGTACATGTGCAGGTTTGTTGCATGGGTAGATTATGTGACACTGAGGTTTGGGGTCCCAGTGATCCCATCTCCCAGGCCATAAGCTCAGTACCCAACAGGTGGTTCTTCAGCACATGCTTCCCTCCCTCCTTCCCTCATCTAGTGATCCCTAGTGTCTATTGTTACCACCTTTACGATCATGTGTCTTCAGTGTTTAGCTCCCACCTGTAAGTGAGAACATGTGTTATTTGATTTTCCGTTCTTCTTTTAGGTCACTTAGGATAATGGCCGCCAGCTCCATCCATGTTGCTGCAAAGGACATGCATGATTCCATTCCTTTTTATGGCTGTGTAGTATTCCATGGTGTATGTGTACCACATATCCTTTATCCAGTCCACTGTTGATGGACACTTAGGTTGTTTCTATGTCCTTACTATTGTGAGTAGTGCTGCAATGAACATACAGGTGCATTTGTCTTGATGATAGAATGAATTATTTTCCTTTGGGTATATACCCAGTAGCGGGATTGCAGCACTGAATGGTGGTTCTGTTTTAAGGTATTTGGGAAATCTCCAAACAGCTTTGCACAGTGGCTGAACTAGCTTGCATTTCCACCAAAAGTAGATAAGCATTCTCTTTTCTCTGCAGCCTCGCCGACGGCTGTTATTTTTTGACTTTTTAAATAATTGCCATTCTAACTGGTGTGAGATAGTACCTCATCTTGGTTTTGATTTGTATGTCTCTGATGATTAGTAATGTTGAGCATGTTTTTATGTTTGTTTTGGCCATGTGTATGTCTCCTTTTGAAAAGTGTTCATGTCCTTTGCTCATTCCTTAATTGGTTTTTTTTTCTCATTGATTTAAGTTCCTTGTAAATTCTGGATATTAGACCTTAGATGCATAGTTTGCAAGTATTTTCTCCCATTTTGTAGGCTGTCTGTTTACTCTGTTGGTAATTTCTTTTGCTGTGCAAAAGCTCTTTAGTTTAATTAGGCCCCAATTATCAATTTTTGGTTTTGTCGTAATTGCTCTGGGGGACTTAGCATAAATCATTTGCCAAAGCCCATGTCTAGAAGGGTATTTCCTAGGTTTTCTTCTAGGATTTTTATAGTTTGTAATCTTAGATTTAAATCTTTAATCCATCTTGAGTTCATTTTTGAGTATGGTGAGAGTTAGGGGTCCAGTTTTATTTTTCTGCATATGCCTAGGCAGATATTCCACCACCATTCTTTGAATAGAGACTCCTTTCCCTGCTGCTTATTTGTGTTGATTTTGTCAGATGGTTGTAGGTGTGCAGGTAGATTTCTGGGTTTTCCATTCTGTTCCACTGTCTGTTTTTGTACCAGTATCATGCTGTTTTGATTACGGTAGCTGTATACTGTAGTAGAGTTTGAAGTCAAGCAATATGATGCCTATGGCTTTTTTTTCTTTTTTCTTATAATTGCTTTGGCTATTCGGGCTCTGTTTTTGGTTCCAAATGAATTTTAGAATAGGTTTTTCTTATTCTGTGAAAAATGATGTTGGTATTTTAATAAGAATTGCATTGAACTTGTAAATTGCTTTGGGCAGTATGGCCATTTTAACTATATTGATCATTCTAATCCATGAGCATGGAACATTTTTCCATTTATTTATTTGTATAGTCTCTGATTTCTTTCAGCAGTGCTTTGTAGTTCTCCTTGTAGAGATCTTTCACTTCCTTGGTTAGATGAATTCATAGGTATTTCATTTCCTTTGTGGCTATTGTAAATGGGATTGTGTTCTTGATTTGGTTCTCAGGTAGAATGTTATTGATGTATAAAAATGCTATTGATTTTTGTATATTGATTTTGTACCCTGAAACTTTACTGAATTTGTTTATCATTTCCAGAAGCCTTTTGGCAGAGTCTTTAGGGTTTTCTTGGTGTAGAATAATATTGGCAAAGAGAGAGTTTGGACTCCTTCTTTTCCTGTTCATATGCATTTTCTTTCCTTCTCTTGCCTGATTTATCTGACCAGGACTTCCAATACTATGTTGAATAGGAGTGGTGAGAGTGGGAATCCTTGTCTTGTTCCAATTTTCAAAGGGAATGGTTCCAGCTTTTGCCCATTCGGTATGATGTTGGTTGTGGGTTTGTCATAGATGGCTCTTATAATTTTGAGGTATATTCCTTCAATATTATATGTTGAACTCTCAGCATAATATGTTGAGAGTTTTTATCATGAAGGGACGTTGGATTTTACCAAAGGCTTTTTTCTGCATCTATTGAGATGACCTTATGGTTTTTGTCTTTAGTTCTGCTTAGTGATGAATCACATTTGTTGATTTGCATATTTTGAACCAACCTTGTATCCTAGAAATAAAGTATGCTTGATCATTGTGGTTTAACTTTTTGATGTGCTGCTGGATTTGGTTTGCTAGTATTTTGTTGAGGATTTTTACATCTATGTTTATCAAGGATATTGGCCTGAAGTTTTTCATTTTCATTGTGTCTCTGCCAGATTTTTGTATCAGGATGATGCTGGCTTCTTAGAATGAGTTAAGGAGAAGCCCCTCCTCCTCGATTTTCTGGAAAAGTTTCAATAGAATTGGTATCAGTTCTTCTTTGTACATCTGGTAGAATTCGGATGTGTGGGGCCGGGTGCAGTGGCTGACGCCTGTGAGCACTTTGGGAGGCCGAGGCAGGTGGATCACTTGAGGTCAGGAGTTGAAGACCAGCCTGACCAACATAGTGAAACCCCATCTCCACTGAAAATACAAAAATAATTAGCCGGGCATAGTGGCACATGCCTGTAATCCCAGGTACTTGGGAGGCTGATGCAGGAGAATCACTTGAACCCAGGAGGCGGAAGTTGCAGTGAATCGAGATCACGCCATTGCACTCCAGCCCGGCCGACAAGAGCGAAAATCCGTCTAAAAAAAAAAAAAAAAAAGAATTCAGATGTGAATCCACCTGGTCCAGAGCTCTTTTTGGTTGGTAGGATTTTTATTGCTGATTCAATTTCCAAACTTGTTATTGGTCTATCCAAGTTTTCACTTTCTTCCTGAAAGAATCTTGGGAGGTTGTGTGTTTCTAGGAACTTACAGGTTTCCTCTAGATTTCCTAATTTGTGTGCATAAAGATGTTCATAATAGTCTCTGAGAATCTTTTGTATTTCTGTGGGATCGGTAATAATGTCGTCTTTGTCATTTCTTATTGTGCTTATTTGGATTATCTCATTTTTTTCTTCGTTAATCTTGCTAACAACCATCGATCTTATTTATTCTTTTGAAGAACCAACTCTTGGTTTCATTTATCTTTTGTATGGACTTTTGGGTCAAAATTTCCTTCCGTTCTTCTCTGATTTTAGTCCTTTGTTTTATTCTACCAGCTCTGGGTTGGATTTTTCATTTTATCTATTTCCTCCAGTTGCACCGTTAGGTCATTCATGTCAGATCTTTATAACCTCTTGTTAAAGGCATTTAGCCGTATAATTTTTTAAAGACAGATTCTCACTCTGTCACCCAGGCTGGAGTGCAGTAGAGTGATCTTGGCTCACTGCAGCCTCCGTCTCCCGGGTTCAAACGATTCTCCTGCCATAGCCTTCTGAGTAGCTGGGACTACAGGCACGTGCCACTGCACCTGGCTAATTTTTTGTATTTTTAGTAGAGACAGGGTTTCACCATGTTAGCCAGGATGGCATGTAGTCAATCTTAGAATAGTATGAATGAAACATATGTATATTCTATTATTGTTAGATGGAGTACTCTGTAGATATCTATTAGGTTCAATTGGTCACATGTCGAGTTTAAGCCCAGATTTTCTTTGTTAGTTTTCAGCCTTGATGATCTAACACTGCCAGTGGGGTGTTAAGGTCCCCCACTATTATTGTGTGACTGTCTAAGTCTTTTTGTTAGTCAAGAAAAATTTGTTTTATGAATCTGGGTGCTCCTATATTGGGTACGTGTATGTTTAGAATGGTCAGGTCTTCTTGTTGAATTAAACCTTTTATCATCATGTACTGCTCTTCTTTATCCTTCCTGATTGTTGTTGGTTTAAAATCTGTTTTATCTGCTATAAAAATAATGACTCCTGCTCTTTTTTGTTTTCTGTTTGCTTGGTAGATCTACTCTATACTTTTACTTTGAACGTGTGAGTATCTTCACACGAGAGATGGGTGTCTTGAAGACAGCAGACTATCGGGGCTTGTCTTTTTGTCCAACTTGACATGCTATCCCTTTTAAGTCGGGCATTTAGACCATTTACATTCTGGGTTAGTATTGATATATGAGATTTTGATCTTGTCATTATGTTGTTGGCTGTTTATTTTGTAGACTTAGTGGTGTGGTGGCTTTACATTCTCTGTAGGCTATGTCCTTGAGTGTGTTTTTGAAGGAGCATGTTTCAGTTCTTTGTTTTCATGTTTAGCACTCCTTTAAGTACTTGCTTATCTGAAAAGTATTTTATTTCTCCTTCACTTATGAAGCTTAGTTTGGTGGGACACAATATTCTTGCTTGGAAATTATTTTCTTTAAGAATGCTGAAAATAAACCTTGATTCTCCTCTGTCTTGTAAAGTTTCTGTTGCAACGTCTACTGCTAGCCTGATGGGGTTCCCTTTACAGATGACCTGACCTTTCTCTCTAGCTGCCTTTAAGATGTCTTTCTTTTACTTTGACTTTGGTGAATCTGATGACTATGTGCCTTGGGGATGGTCATCTTGTGTAGTATCTGTAGGGTTGTCTGTATTTTTTGAATTTGTATGTTCCCCTCTCTATCAAGTTTGGGAAATTTTTCATGGACTATGTCTTCAAATATATTCTCCAAGTTACTTCTCTTTTGGGAATGCCAATGAAATGTAGGTTTGGTCTTTTTACATAGTCCTATATTTCTCAAAAGATTTTATTCACTTTTTAATTCTTTTTTAAAAATTTTTGTGGGGCTGGGCATGGTGGCTCACTCCTGTAATCCCAGTACTTTGGGAAGCTGAAGTGGGTGGATCACCTGAGGTCAGGAGTTTGAGACCAGCCGAACCAAGATGGTGAGACCTCATCTCTACTAAAATTACAACAATTAGCTGGGCATGGTGGTGGGTGCCTATAATCCCAGCCACTCAGGAGGCTGAGGCAGGATAATTGCTTGAACCTGGGAGGGGGAGGTTGCAGTGAGCCGAGATTGTGCCATTACACTCCAGCCTGGGCAACAGAGCGAGACTTTGTCTCAAAAAAAAAAAAAAAAAATGCTGGGCGTGAGCCATCACACCTGTAATCCCAGCACTTTCGGAGGCCAAGGCAGGCGGATCACGAGGTCGGGAGATGGAGACTATCATAGCTTACATGGTGAAACTCCGTCTCTACTAAAAATACAAAAAATTTGCTGGGCGTGGTGGCGGGCACCTGTAGTCCCAGCTACTCGGGAGGCTGAGGCAGGAGAATGGTGGGAACCTGGGAGGCAGAGCTTGCAGTGAGCCGAGATCGTGCCACTGCACTCCAGCCTGTGCAACCTCCACCTCCCGGGTTCAAGTGATTCTCCTGCCTCAGCCTCCCAAGTAGCTGAGATTACAGATGTGTGCCACCACGCCCAGCTAATTTTTGTATTTTAGTAGAGACAGGGTTTCATCATGTTGGCCAGGCTGGTCTCAAACTCCTAACCTCAAGTAGTCCACTCGCCTTGGCCTCCCAAAGTGCTGGGATTACAGGCGTGAGCCATCACACCCAGCTGGTTCTTTCTTAAAATGGCTGTTTAATCCTTCAGCTCCTGGATTGTTTTACTGGGTTCCTTGGATTCAACTTTCTCTTTGATCCCATCGATCTTCCTTGCCATCCAGATCTTGAATTTTATTTCCATCATTTCAGTCATCTCAATCTGGCTAAGAACCATTTCTGGGGGACTAGTGTGTTTGTTTGTAGGTAAGGGGGCACACTGGCTTTTTGAGTTGCCAGAGTTTTTGCATCGATTCTTTTTCATGTGTAAGGGTTAGTGTTCCTTTAACTGTGATGTAAGTTGAGTACAGTCAGTTGGCTTCTTTTTAGGGTGTTTTCAGAGGGTCACGAGTATGTACAGAATGTTTATTTGTTGCTTAATCTTTGCCTTAGTTTTCACAGGTGCTGTGTACTGGCAAAATATTTTTGTATTGTATTTTCTGCTGTGATCCAGTAGGTGGCACTTAAAAGTGTTAGCCAGCGGACAGGCAGATAGGCTTTTCTCAGCTGCACAGCTCTTTTGTGTTTTCCTCAAGTTAGCATAGTGCTTTTTAGGGGGTGGGGTAGAGATGACCCCCTCACCTTGTCCACCCCTAAGCCTTGGAAGAGCCCCCTCTGATCACTGACTCCATGCCTGTATTTCTTTTATTAGGTGTTCTCGTCCATGGGGCTTCCTCATGCAGGGGCCACAGTTGGCAAACAGGTCATATCCTTTCCGGAATGGCTGTACAGAGGGAGGCACAACCCACTCCTCCACTGACCTGTGAACTTGGGCATCTCACTTCTTTTAGTGATGCAAGAGTGAGGACTCCCCCACTGCTTGGGCACCACCCAAGCCAGCAAGAACTGCTTGGCTAGGAGTTGCAGGGATGAGTGGGGTCACCTAATCTGCTGTCCAGCTGCTTCCCAGGGGAACATGGAGTTGCCCCCACCTGCAGAGTTCATATAAAAGCAGGACTGTTGGGCTGGAAACTCTAGCAGGTGTGGGCTGCTGGCCTTGAGCAGTGGCAGTGGGTGGAGTCACTCACCATGCCATTAAGGTGTTTCCTAGGAGAACAAGAGACTGTGCTTGTCAGCAGAATTCAGACAGAAGTGGTACCACGGGGCTGGAAGCTCTAGCAGGTATGGCCTGCCTGGCTACAACTGGCAGGGATTGGGTGAAGTTGCCTATCCTGTTGTTTGGGTGTTTCCTGGAGGAACAGGAGGCTGAACCTGTTGGTGAAGTGAAAACAGAAGCAGGACCATTGGGCCAGAGGCTGGTGCTGAACTTTGTCTAGTGATTTGGGGTGGAGCAATCTTACTGCCCTCGGGTACCATGACTGCAGCCTCTGTTGGGGCTATGGCACTGGTGCTGGTCTGTTCCAGGGTCCAAGGCTTCCAGCAGTCCCTAGGGACTTGAGAGTTGCCTCCACAAAACTCTGGGTGGCTCTCTGCATTGGCTTAGAGGTGCAGGGAGTGGGTCAAAGAGATTCTCCTGTTCCAAGGCTTGCACAGGTCCCTGTGAAGACTGTGAATCCCCCAGGGGCTCTCAATCACTTACTCTTTCCCTATGTTTGGGAGCTTCTTCTAGCTCCATGCTGATCACAGATGGGCTGCTCAGCTTCACTCCTCTCTCCTCTCTGTGTCCCCTTGCTGCCTTCATGGATGCTGATGTGGTTTCTTAGGGGATCACATGGCAAGATCAGTGTTCACTAGCCATTTTGTTTCCTCTCCATGACAGCAGTGCACATGATCTGCTTCTAGTCTGCCATTTTGACTTAACCCTGTACCCCCAATTATAAAATTGATCCTGGCACTTAGTCTGCTCTTAGCAAATGTTTACTGAATAAATGAGTTAACCAGTGTCATAGCTTCATGTGGCAACTTCTATTACTGCATAACAAATTAACTTAAAATCATAAGGCTGAAAATAACAATAAATATTTATTATTCACCCAGCTCCTAAGGGTCAAAAATTTGACTTATGTGTGGAATCTAAAAGAGTCAAATGTATAGAACTGGAAAGTAGAAGGGTAGTTACCAGGGGCTGGAGGGAGAAGAAAAGGGGGAGACATTGGTCAAGGGTACAGCATCTCAGTTACGCAAGGTGAATAAGTTCTGGAGACATAGTATACAATAATATGACTGTAGTTAACAATAATATATTGTATACTTGAAATTTTCTAAGAGGATACATCTCATGTGTTCTCACCACACACACACACACACACACACACACACACACACACACACACGAAAATGGTACTTATGTGAAGTAATGAATATGTTAACCTAATTATCACGATTATTTCACAATGTATGTGTATATCAAATCATCAAGTTGTATTCCTTAAATATATACAATCTTAATTGTCAATTATACCTCAATAAAGTTGGTGGCAAAAAGAACTTGGTAAAAAAAAAGTTTTTGGCAAAAAGAACTCAGTGGCTTAACTGAGTGATTCTGGCTCAGGGTCTCTCTTGAGGATGTAATCAAGATGTCAGCCAGGGCTACAGTTATCTGAAGACTTGATTTGGACTGAAGAATCCAATTCTAAGATGGCCCACTCATACGACTTGTAAGTTAATGCCAGCTATTGCTAGGAGATATCAGTTCCTTGCTAGATGGATTGTTCCATGGGACTGTTTGAATGATTTCATGACATTGCATCTAGCTTCCCCTAGGGATATTGATCCAATAGAGAATAAGGCAGAAGTCAAAATTCTTCTTATGACCTAAACTTGCAAGTCAGACTCTGTCATTTCAACAAAATAATACTAATTAAACAGATCAACTCTTTTTTCTTGTGGGAAGGGACTATACAAATGTATTAATAACAGCTGATGAGAATCACTGGCGGCCATCTTGGAGACTGGCAGCCATACCCCTTTGTGGTTTCAAAACATGTCCACAAGTGCTTTGACTAGCCTCTCTTCCAAAGGTGGAGGTTAATTCTCGTTCTTTTGAGTGTGGGCTGGACTTAATGACTAACTTCTAAACAATAGAGTATGGCAGAAGTGACGGTCTGTGACAAAATTATAAAGAGCATTACGGGTTCCTTCATACTCTCTTCTTTGATCTTTTGCACTGGAGAAAGCCAGATGACACATTGGGAGGACATTCAGTCAGCCTATGGAGAGGTCCATGTGGCAAGTAAAAAGACCTGTTGCCAGCAGCCATTCTGAAACTGGGGCTTCCATCCAATTGCCATAAGTAAGCCATCTTTGATATAAATTCTTCAACTCCAAGTCTTCAAGTAACTACAATTCTCACCAACAGATTGACTGCAACCTTATGAGACTCTTGGCAAGAATCACCCAGCTACACTCTCCTGAACTACTTATTCACAGAAGCTGTGAGATAATAACAGTGTATTGTTTTAAGCCACTAAGCTTTAGTGCCATATTTAATACAGGCCTAGAAAAAATATTTCCCTCCACATATATCCAGATACCATTCTGGAGAGGAACTTGGGTATCATCTTGATACCATCTTGGGACAGGAATTTGCTTGGGTCATCACTATAGAGAATAATTTGCTTAAGGAGATAGGTGGAATTAATAAATCAGACTAAAATTACAGGATAAGTTTAAATGTAATCATTCACAACTTCAGTAACTCCCAGTGGGCATGAACTTACAAAGATGACCACTTATAAAGAAGACTGGATGAGAGCAACTCTTAGGATAACCAATCAGGGCATGAAGATAAAGCCTAGAGGTTTCCCCCATCCAATCAGAACACAAAGTCCAGGCCCTCATTGCCGAAACCTCTATATATAATGCATACTGAGGGTGCATTCCACCATTCCAGCCTCTTCTGTGACTGCTCCCGCTGCTGCTCCAAGCCCGACTTAGAGGAGGAGGTGGAGGCTGCAACTTGCGGCACCTGGCCAGGCTCCCTGCAGTTGGTGGTGGCCACCAAGACTGCAGCGTGGTCAACGAGACTGCAGCATGTTCGGAGTGGTAGGAGGCAGCGATGAGCGAGAGCTTCTCCGTGCCCTGCTACAGGAGGAGTCAGAAAGAGGAGGCATCTGTCACAGGCTGGAGGCTAGAGCCTGCAGCCCAGTGGCTCACCTCACTGCAGTTGTTGGTGGTGACAGAGACTGCAGCACGACCAGAGCAGTAGGACAGGGGCCTCAGCCTCCTGGGCTCCCTGGTTCCTCCTGCCTCAGCTAGAGCTGCTGGGACCCCAGGAGCAGCCACCACTATGGCCTCTGCACCCATTTCCTGCACAGTACCCTAACTGGGAGAGGTGCTGGGAGAAGGCAGCCGGGCCTCCTGGTCCCAGGCAGCACAGCAGGGTCCTCCAGGGCCTTGCCACGGGCAACCTCCCATGCTCTTGGGCAATGAGCAAGAGCCACAGGCCTGGTCATGCTCTGAGGACAAAAGAGGGACCCTGAGCACAGCCACTGTCCCTCGTCAGGTCATGTGAGAATTGTTCCAAATCCCTCTTTGGAGAAGGAGGAATGGTCTCTACATGCATGTGCAGTCGGGGAGGACACCCCAGGGCCGGGAAATGCAAGCAAGGGGCTACCAGGACGAGGCCAGGTGTCCCGTGAGGCATCCCTGTGCCATCCCAGGGCTGCGTGCAGATTCCTCCCAGGGAACTCGGGCCCAGTTCTTGGGCGCCACCTGGTGGCCACTTGCTTTTCCTGATTGTGTCGCCCAAGCTGGCCTCCAACTCACACTTCGAGAGATCCTCTTGCCTTGGTCTCCCGAAGCAGGAAGCGGGAGGATTCCAGGCTTCAGCCACTGTGCCTGGGCTGGACCTATGTGTTCTAATTTGTGAATGAGTTTAGGACTTGGGGAGAGTTTCCTCATCTGGTATCTTCCTGTGTCCTAAATGACCCTTGAGTCATGACTATTCTTAGCTGACCCTTGAGTCATGGCTATTCTTAGCTGACCCTGCAGATGGGACAGGAAGGGAGAAAACTTGAGGTCCTGAACAGCCAGGCTCCACTCTTCCCCTTCCTGTGCTACACATGCACACATACTCCACACACACACACATGCACACCCTGCATGCACACACTGCATGCACACACTGCACACACAGGCACAGAAGCAGAGTGTGAGTTCAGAACAGATGGAGCTGTGTCCGTTGTGAAAATGCTGAGGAGCATGGATGCTTGGGGAAGAACCCCTTAACCACGCCCCACCCAGTGGCCCAGGTTAATCCCTGACCCAGCAGAGAAGCCGGCCAGCCCCTCCTCCAGTGTCCATTCTGATTGGCCAGTACATGTAACCAGCCCTGGTGAGAACATGCTCACAAAAACCCAGGAGCAACATGCCCGAGACACAACACACTCATAAACCCATGTGCTCATGCAACACACCACATCCAGGGACAGCACAGACACCAGGCATCTCCCTGTCAGTGCCACCTGTCACCACCCAGCCTCTACCCACATTTCCCAGCGACTACCTCCCAAGGTCCCAGGGTCTTCTACCTCACTTACCTGCTTTCCATGTGGTCCAGGTAGTCCATTCTCCCCAGTGGGACCAGAGGATCCACAGAATGAGAGGAATTGGGGTGGGTGAGTGTTGGCCTCCAGCTAAGGGACCCCTCAGGAGTAGGGCACAGAAAAGAGGGGTAAGGGGCTGAAGGCTGGAGCTCAGTGGGGGTGGCAGGGACATTGGTCACTCACGGGCTGTACTGGCTCACCATCCTTGCCATAGTCACCGTTAACACTGTCCTGGTCCTGCAGGGATGAAGCAAGGCCAGACCCAGCTGGCATCACCCCTAAAACTGCTAAGCCTTGCATTCCCCTGCTTGCCCTGCCATATCTCCAGCTTCCCAACATCTAAGCCCATCAGTTGCACAGAGGCACCCCACAGAAGCCCCAACCTCTTCATCCTTTCCCCTCTGTCAGTAAGACTCACATGAGCCACCTTCTCCTGGGGGGCCAGGGTCTCCAGGAAAACCAAGACCCTAATCCAGAGGGAGAACAAGAGTCAGGGTCACAGCCCCATAAGCCCACCCAACACAGACTCCCACAGGCATATGAGACCCTCTTCCTCCCTACAGGCTCATCTGTTGGCACCTCCCTAGGAAGAAGGTCTCTGCACCCCTATCCCCACCTCGAGCACTTCATGCTGTCTAATGCCTTATGGTATTAGCCACAGGGTATCTCTCACTTTCTCTCTGGACTCCAGATCCCATGCATCCTCCCAGGATACCCCATTCCCAGAGCCTCCCTCCCAGGCATCCCCCCATTCCCAGGCTCCCCACAGTCCAAGATCCTTACTCACAGATACCCATATTCCCAGAAACTTGGCTGCCCTGACTCTCCTTTCCCCCCACACTCCCCATGTGTACCCTGCAGAACAAGTGGAGGGCACAGAGGGTCTTGAAGAACAGGGATGCAGCCCCTGCTTCCAAGACACCTTTAGTCACTCCCTACTGCCCTTGAGGACAATGGGATACACATAGAAAGTCTAGCCTATAAGGGGAGTCCCCTGGTCCCCTTCCGTTCAAGGACAGGGTGGAAAGCCTCACTCCAAGGATGGTTGGGAGCAGAGACTCCTGGCCGCAGAGGAGCTACAACTCAAGGAAGTCACAGGAAAAGAGGGGGGGTGCAGCTGAGAGGGGTGAAGGGAATTCTGAAGCAGGGCCCTGGAGCTGTCACTCACCTGACACCCGGCTCACCCTGGATTCCTGGAGATCCTGACTCTCCTGGCTCCAGGAGCAAAGAGATTGGGGTCAAAAACCTCATTGCCCCCTCACAAAATCCTGGTATTTCTCACATTTTATTCTCTTTTGTCTCCTCAACAAAAAATTGGCAGAAATCCAACTGTCATTCCTCATCCACAAGACTGGTCCCCTTCATCCCTTTCCCAATTACCTTCTCTCCAGGGGGACCCAGGGCCCCAACACCTCCCAGGGGATCTTGTGGACCCTGAAAGAGGAAGAGAAATAGGTGACATCGCTTCAGGAGGTGGGGTTATTGCAGGGGCAGAGGCCCAGATGAGCATCCCAAGGTTATGGCAGTGGGACAGTGGGGGCCTCCCAGGGGAAGGGGCTTCTCAGGGGCGAAGAGTTTATGATCTGAGGAAAGGGACGCAGAGGATCAGACTCATTGCTCTGAAGTGGCAGGGGCTGGGATGACTCACACCAGTGCCACTGGGTCCAGGTAGTCCCTGCAGGGGAACAGATACACCAGAGGTGGGGAAGGGAAGTGAAATGGCACAATGAAGGAGTGTGGAGGGAGGAAGAGCAGTCAGGGCAGGGAGGCAGCAGTGGGGTGGGGGCTGGCCAGGCAGGGGTGACCATTTGGGGTCTGGGGTCAGTAGGGGTCACATTCACCATAGGACCCACATCTCCTGTTTCTCCCTTCTCCCCAGAGGGACCTGGCACACGCTATGCAGGTGCAGAAAGCATGGACCCAGGTGACCACCCACCCAAAGCACAGCCCTAGACTGATGGGTCCCACAGCCCCTCCACTCAGACCCCACATGGCCCCCAGGCTTCTGCCCCCACCAACCCAGTCCTTAAAGCATGTTGCTGGCAGGGTCTGGGACACACATCACCCCATCCTGACACTGCCTCTCAGCCCGTCCCCAGCCGCATCTCACCTATAGATTCATGAATCCTGTTCTACCTTTATTGCCTTTGGCTCCCCACACTCTGGCTCCAAAGTGTCCCTGGGGTCCCTGAGCTCTGGGCTCCCAATCTGCTCCCTGGGGAAGGAGAGAAGCAGGGACAAGGACATAGACATGGGTCATGGGTCAGGCATTCTCTATTCACGAACCCCATACATAGCTGGGTACCAGGCCCAGAGACCCCACTCCCAAACCCAGCCTCAGGGGCAAAGGGGAGTTGAAGGCAGAGCAGAGGCTGCCAGGGCCTTGCGTGGGGGCCGAGGGTTCACTCACCACTGCTACAGGCTGTTCCATGGACCAGTGAGTCCAGGGGGTCCAGGAGGGCCCTGGGGGAGAGACGAGAGTCAGAAACACCAAGGCAGGGAGGAACCAGGAGGGAATGAGGTTAAAGGCCAGGGCGTCAAGGTCATGGACACTTTGATGCCCTTCTTCCTGGGGTCCCCCACCTCATCCTGGAGGAGAAGGCACAGGAGATACCAGAGGGAGGAAATGATAGAGCTCAGGAGTCAAGCCCACCTCAGCCCTCTCATGTGGAGAGAAGATTGGTCGGGTTCTCTGGGGTTCTCCTCTTGGTCTCCATCTTCTCCAGCCACACCTGGAGGCCCAGCAGGACCAGGAAGTCACACAGGACTCTGCACCCTATCACAGCCAGGCAGACAAATGGGGCCCTTTTCACCCTGTGGGGCAGGAAGGAGGAGTCATGGCCTGGAGGTGACCCTCACCCTCAAACACCCACAGGAAACCTTTCATAGCCCATCACCCCTCAGCCCACAGACCCCTCCCCAAGAACCACTCCCAAGGTCCCCACTCTCACTGGGACACCTGTCTCTCCTGCTGATCCAGGGGGTTCCTGAGGGCCTGGGCACCCTGGCGGGGGGCAATGGGTCCCTTGATCCTGCTGCACCTCACTCCCTAGGGGGGAACCCTGAAAGTTGAGATGAGTGAGATCCCCAGGGAGGAAGACCCAAGCCCACTCATACCAGGGCCCTCAGAGCACAATTCCCAGGAGAAGAGCCCCAAATCAGCTGCATTCTGGCTGACTCTAGATTCCCTCTGCCCAGTCCCACAGCACCTGCGTAGATCTGGATGCCACCTCCACCCTGCCTCAACACCCCCTTTCCTAGTTCCCTCCTCCCACTCCCCAGGAACCCCAGGCTCCCTGCAGGGTAAGGGGGCCAACTGGACCTCATTCCTCTTCAAGCTGGGTCCACACTCTGAAGCAGAGATTTGGGGAAGGTGGAGCTTCACAGAAAAGAGAAGGGTGAGGGCTGGCGAGAGGAGATAGGTTCAGAGAGATGGGAGTGGGGAGTGGCATGGAGCAGGGTCAGGGTCAGGGAGGGGTTCAGGTCACTTGGTCCTTGGTCCAGGCAGGGCTCTGGGAGTCACACTCACAGCAGTGCCTAGGAGGCCTCTCTCTCCTGGGAAGCCCCTCAGACCAGGAACATCCTTCCCTTGAACCCCATGGACACCCTAAAAGAAAAGGAGAGGTGAGGAGCGACAGCCATCCGTGCTGCCAAATTAAAAAGAGAGATTTCTGAGCCCCCTCAAGTCCCCAGCTACCTGTTCCAGACATGCGAGCCAGAGGCAGGGGTGTGTGACTGAGAGAAGAGAGCCAGACAGACTTAACTCCAGGGTCTGGGAGCCGTTCTCTCCTGGGAACAGACCTAGCTGAGGTCCCACCACATATGGGGGGCCACGGGGGCTGCTCTCCCCTTGGAAACCCTGAGAGGAAAAGGGGGGAGTGCAGTGGGTGCTGTAGGGTAGATGCCTGGGCTCCAGAAGAGGAACAAGGTCACATCAAGCCTCGGCCCGTGGGTGTGGACAGCATTAGGGCAGGCTCTGTTCTGCTCAGAAAATGTCTCTGTGGGCCTCCCAGACAGCTTTGGCATTTGAGGGGCCTCCTGAGAATTGGTGGCCAGGGGTCTCCCTCACCACCTTTCCTCTCTGGCCTGAGTGTCCCGGCAGCTTGTCATTCCCAGGGTGCCCTGGAAGGAGTCCAGATGTCAGGTGAACTCTGGGCTGGAAGGAGGCAGGGAAGGACTCAGAGAACCAGGGGTGGGTCAGAGCTCGGGTGACAACTCACCAGGGGCTCTTTGGGGCCAGGAAATCCATTGGGACCCTGAGTTCAGGGAGACCCTAGAGACAGAGGTAGACAGAGTCAGGAGAATGGGGCAGGTGCTGGGCAGGGGAACTCAGCTTCCTCCCTGGGGTGAGGAAGGAGCCAGCACACCCAGTCTCCTTCTTCCTAAGAGTGAATTTTCTCCAACTCTAGTGCTGGGATCTGACATCCCTGTGCCTGCAGCTCCGTCAAGTCCTTCAAGGTTGCTGTGATCCAGTTGCTGCCCATCTGCCACCCTCAGCTCCATCTGCCCCAGCACCCACTCTTGCTTCACCAGGACTAGTTTCCCCACACGTCTCCGGCCCTTTGCCCATGCGGTGCAGCACCCAGCTCCCCTGTATGCCTCCTGCTGCTCCAGGGCTCATCCAGCCCAGGCAGCTGTGGAGCAGGGGGTTGGGAGCAGTGATTCTGCAGCTCAACCACTGTGGCTCAGTTCCTGCCCTGCCATTTGATGACCCTGTGATGACTTGGCCTGCTTGTGCCTCTGCAAAGCCTCACCTGCAAAATAGGACTGTCCACACCCACCTCACAGGATGGAGAGGAGGTCCCGCACAGCGCCTGCACGTGGCAAGTGCAGGAGATGTCAGCTCTGGAGACCACAGATCTCGGTGCTGTTGGTGTCTCCCTTCTAGGGGCTGCCACTGCCAGTTTGGACGCATGTTCACTCTGCTTGGACCTGCGGCCACTCTGTGCCTGTCTCCATCCAACTCTTCATGACAGGGGCTTTTCCTTGACTTCTTCTATACCCACCTCAATCCATTGTCAGCTAGGAGGTGCCATATACAGAGAGAGGAGCATAATGAATGCATAGCCATCTTTAATTGACTGGCTGACAGTAGCTGCAGGCACCCCCACACCCACCCTGACCTCATGTGCCCTCATCCCTAGAGTGCCCAGGCACAGATCCCTCTCCTATCACCTCCTCACCTGTGAATCCAGGGGGCCCAGGGTCTCCAGTTGGTCCAGTGTGTCCCTTTGGCACCCTGGGAGCACTCTGATGCTGCTGCTCCCTGGGGAGCACAGAGGAAGAAGGCACTCAAGTCACACCCTTTCTCTGGGGGATCATGGAGGCCATCACCACCCGATGTTCCCTGTGGAGGAAGCACAGTCAGGGAGGGAGAGGGTGGGAGAGGTGAGCGTTGGGGTCTGGGGATGAGGTCTGAGCCCAGAGGAGAAGCAGTCACCAGAGAGGCTGAGTGGGGCTGGTAGATCCCAGGAGCTATTGCGGGACAGGGAACGCTGAAGGGTATGAATAGTGTCGTCATCCATGGCCAGCGTGTTGCAGACCATGGGGTTACAGTCCTGCAGGGATCAGGCCCCCAAGGATGCACAGCACTGGGGAGCCCAGGGCCTCCAGGGAATGAACTGGTGCTTGGGGGCTCCAGAGTGCATCATTAGGACACGGAGTAGGGGCCAGCGTGAGGTCTTCACTCAACCTGATATCCTTCACACATGTCACCTTTGAATCCAAGACAGTCGTTCTCCCTTGAGAAAGACGGAGGTGAGAGGACCCCACAGATGAGAGAGGGCTGGGGGTTCTAATGTAGGATTCTGAGAACATGGCTGGAAGGGTGGGCTCAGGAGCTAGAGGGTAGCATGGGGCAGGCAGGAGTGAGGTGCTGGGAAGCTGGGGGCACGGTGCTCACCTTTGCACCCTCATGGCCCTTCAGACTCCGAATTCCATCTCTACCCTGGACTTAGAGGTGAACAGAGGTAGAGTGGTGAGGGGATAGAGGTGGGTTAAAAAGACCAAACTCTTGAGACCCCATCTTGCTCCCCTGAACACATTCCTTTATCCCCAGCCAGGAGGTCGGTTACCTTAACCCTCGAGGTCCTGGGTATCCTAGAGGACCCTGAGGTTCAGATGGACCCTGGAAGAAAGAGGCATTTATAAATGGGTCTTAGAGCACTCACTGTGGGGGCTCCGGGGTGGGAGTAATGGAAGTAAAAACGCTGGAGTCTGGGTAGGGCTACAGGGCATCACAGGAGTGTAGAATATTGTCACAGCCATGTGAATGATGAGACAAGAAAATCCCAAGAACTTTCAGGCTCCAGGGTCTGGGTGGAGACTTTCTCGGGGTGAAGGGCATGGCAGATTTTGATTGTCCTTTCCAGTGTGTTGAACGGAAGAGATGTAAAACCTACCCAAATGATGAAGCAAAGTGAAGCATTAACAAATCTAGATGTTTGGTTTTTTCTGATTGAAAAACCATCAGTATTACAGTGAATTTATAGAGGACTTCATGAGTGTGGAAAGCTTTCCCGGCTTACTGCTCTCAAGGGAACTTTTCTATCTGTGTGAGAAGGATGGATGGGCTTTGGAGCTTCATTTCCTGCTAGTTGACAGGTTTGGGAAGGTTACTTCTTGCTCTGAATAGTAGTGACTAATGTGTGAAAAAGTCATAATAGTATCTATTTTCCTGAGTTGCTGAATGGTTCTATCATATTCAAAGGGTTCTTATAGTATGTGACCTACTACTGAAAATTCCCTCCCTTGCCACTAGTATTTAATAAATTATGTTGTCTTAATAAAAAATAACATTAAAAGCATTAAGTAGAGCTGTGATTTGTTTAAATTTAGTGGAAGAAAAATTTAAGACTCTTGTTTTTTAATTGGCTTGGCTAGACTTGCAATGGAGTGTCAAAGCTACCACCACTGTTTCAATTATTCATATCTTAGAAGCATCATTAACTAAATCATTATCTCAGAACCTCCCCATGCCTCACTCAATCTTTGTATTTCTTCATTCAACAATTCTTACACCAGATTTATCAGGAAAGAAAATATTTTTCTCTATCCTTTTAGGTTCATTGTGGGGGGGGGGCTGTAGATTAAAATGACAAAAGACAAGTTAATGTAAGAATTCAGCTCTCTAATTGTATAAAGTTTGAGGCTTATACAGCATACCTAACGAGTGGAGGAAAGGGAGGGGGAAGAAATTTATTCTAAGACAGGAGCAAATAGGTTTCTTTCTTTCTTTTTTTTTTTGAGATGGAGTCTTGCTTTGTCGCCCAGGCTGGAGTTGCAGTGGTGTGATCTCGGCCCACTGCAACCTTCACCTCCTGGGTTCAAGTGATTCTCCTGCCTCAGCCTCCAAAGTACCTGGGATTACAGGCACGTGCCACCACGCCCGGCTAATTTTTGTATTTTTTAGTAGAGAAGGGGTTTCATCATGTTGGCCAGGCTGGCCTTGAACTCCTGACCTCAAATGACCTGCCCACCTCGGCCTCCCAAATTGCTGGGATTATAGGTGTGAGCCACCAGACCTGGCCGCAAATAGATTTCTTAAGGGAAGAAGAATAAGTGGATTTTTAGGGGAACAAAAAGAAGATACAAAATTTCATAATGATATATGTTTCTGCAAGTGCAGTGTTCTTTCCCTCTTCTTCATGGCCATGAAACTATACCAGAGAGGGGATTTATAACAGGTGTATTCTTGCTTTTCTTTCTGGGAGTAGACCTGCCAAAAGAGAATTTATGGCAGCCTCATTTCTCAGCAGTTGCTGCTTTTAATCAGATAAGGGAAGCTCTGAGGCTTCTTTCTGCATCTCTTGAAATCGGAAATAATGCCTGGCTGGTTCCCTCCACTGTCCCATCCCCCACCCCAGCCTCCATACACACACACACACACACACACACACACACACACACACACACACACACTTTTAAAACGTTATTTAAGATGATGATCCTCACAAATCCTGTCCAGACAGCCATTACTTATTTAAAAAATTTTTTAGGCCAGGTGCAGTGGCTCACGCCTTTAATCCCAGCACTTTGGGAGGCTGAGGTGGGTGGATTGCCCAAGGTCAGGAGTTTGACACCAGCCTGGCCAACATGGTGAAACCCCGTCTCTACTAAAAATACAAAAAATTAGCTGGACGTGGTGGTGGTTGCCTGTAATCCCAGCTACTCAGGAGGCTGAGGCAGAAGAATTGCTTGAACCCAGGAGGCAGAGGTTGCAGTGAGCAGAAATCGTGCCGCTGCACTCCAGCCAGGTGACTGAGTGAAACTCCATTTCAGAAAAAAAAAAAAAAATATATATATATATATGTATATATATATATAGAGAGAGAGAGAGAGAGACAGATATTTTTTAAAGTAGAGATGGGCCATGTGCGGTGGTTCATGCCTGTAATCCAAACACTTTGGGAGGCTGAGGCGGGTGGATCACCTGAGGTCAGGAGTTCGAGAACAGCCTGGCCAACATGGGAAAACCCTGTCTCTACTAGAAACACAAAAAATTAGCTGGTCATGGTGGCATGCACCTGTAATCCTAGTTACTTGGGAGGCTGAGGCAGCAGAATTGCTTGAACCTGGGAGGCGGAGGTTGCAGGGAGCAGAAGCCGTGCCATTGAACTCCAGCCTGGGGCCTAAGCAACAAGAGCAAAATTCCGTCTCAAAAAAAAAAAAAGGAAAAATTACAGATGGGGTTTTGTCCTGTGGTCCAAGGCTGCTCTCAAACTCCTGAGCTCAAGTGATCCACCCACCTCAGCCTCCCAAAGTGCTGGGATTACAGACATGAACCACTGTGCCCAGCTATTACTTATTTTTACAAGCTCTTCTAAGCTTGTAACTTTGTTGATCTGAATGGGTCAGGCCTTTCTTGCAATATACCTGGCAGGATTCCTGAAATCTGATTCCTGTGAACACTTTGGGCAACATCCTTCAGGTGCATTGTGCTGGATATCTCACTCAAGGTTTTAGTAATTAAAGAAAAAAAAATCAAAACAGCCATGTGTCAGCTTCCCATACTCATCATCAGAATCAGTCTTGAGATACAGCCAGAATCTAACTACTTCTCTCCACTTCTACTACCATATAAAGGAAAAAAAAATCAGGACCCCCAAACTTCTTATGAGAAAGGGAAGGTTAAGCCTGGAAGCTGAGTCATGCAACACCCCCTTCCAAAGGAATAGGTGTGACTAGCTTTATGCATCAGCCAGGTCCTCACGGAAAGGTGAGGTGCCTGCACAGGGCTGCCCCCACAAACCATTCATGAGCAAACCATTTGCCTGTCTTCCACTAACAAGAATGTGCCAATTGTAACAACTGTTAGGTATGCAGTCTAAGTCTACCTCCTAAAACTAAAGTCTGTTGGATTCCACAGTGATCATGTTGATTATAAGCTTATCTTCCCAGGTGCAGAACAAAGTTAAGATGAGATCAGTAGTTCCTCCATCTACTCAGAGACATCTGCATAACCAACTCTTCCTTTACTCTCTTTTTCTCTTCATGAGTTCACCTTATCTTATGTAATGTAGAGTTATTGGGCACCAACTAACGTCTCACAGGAATGTAACCATACATTCACCTTACCACCTAGGTGCCTTTCTCCCGACACACCGTTCCCACTTTAAGGAAATGTGTAACTATAAAACCTCCTGAATACCTTTTTGGAAAAACAGCCACAGACGTGTCTATGGCTTATGCTTTTCCCAGATATGCCCTAAGGCTAGGGCTGAATAAACCTTGATGATTAAGACTTTTGCCTCAGTCACTCATTTTGATTGTCACCTATTACAAGTGATATTTAAAAAACTGAAGTCGAAGATGGCCAAATAGGAACAGCTCCAGTCTGCAGCTCCCAGAGTGAGCGATGCAGAAGACAGGTGATTTCTGCATTTCCAACTGAGGTACCAGGTTCATCTCACTGGGGCTTGTCAGACAGTGGGTGCAGCCCATGGAGTGGAACAGAGTGGGGCATTGTCTCACCCAGGAAGCGCAAGAGGTCAGGGATTTCCCTTTCCTAGCAAAGGGAAGCCAAGACAGATGGTACCTGGAAAATTGGGTCACTCCCACCCTAATATTGTGCTTTTCCAAAGGCCTTAGCAAATGGCACACCAGGAGATTATATACTGCGCATGGCTCAGAGGGTCCCACACCCACAGAGCCTCGCTCACTACTAGCACAGCAGTCTGAGATCGAACTGCAAGGTGGCAGTGAGGCTGCAGGAGGGGCATCCGCCATTGCTGAGGCTTGAGTAGGTAAATAAAGCGTCCGGGAAGCTCGAACTGGGTGGAGCACACCGCAGCTCAAGGAGGCCTGCCTGCCTCTGTAGACTTCACCTCTGGGGGCAGGGCATAGTTGAACAAAGGGCAGCAGAAACTTCTGCAGACTTAAACGTCCCTGTCTGACAGCTTTGAAGAGAGTAGTGGTTCTCCCAGCATGGAGTTTGAGATCTGAGAATGGACAGACTGCCTCCTCAAATGGGTCCCTGACCCCCGAGTAGCCTAACTGGGAGATACCTCCCAGTAGGGGCCGACTGACACCTCATACAGCCAGGTGTCCCTCAGAGACAAAGCTTCCAGAGGAAGGATCAGGCAGCAACATTTGCCATTCTGCAATATTTACTGTTCTGCAGCCTCTGCTGTTGATACCCAGGCAAACAGGGTCTGGAGTGGAACTCCAGCAAACTGCAACAGACCTGCAGCTGAGGGTCCTGACTGTTAGAAGGAAAACTAACAAACAGAAAGGACATCCACACAAAACCCCATCTGTACGTCACCATCACCAAAGACCAAAGTAGATAAAACCACAAAGATGGGGAGAAACCAGAGCAGAAAAGCTGAAAATTCTAAAAATCAGAGAGCCTCTCCTGCTCCAAAGGAATGCAGCTCCTCGCCAGCAACGGAACAAAGCTGGACGGAGAATGACTTAGACAAGTTGTGAGAAGAAGGCTTCAGGTGATCAGTAATAACAAATTTCTCCAAGCTAAAGGACGATGTTCGAACCGATTGCAAAGAAGCTCAAAACCTTGAAAAAAGATTAGACGAATGGCTAATTAGAATAAACAGTGTAGAGAAGTCCTTAAATGACCTGATGGAGCTGAAAACCATGGCACGAGAACTATGTGACGCATGCACAAGCTTCAGTAGCCGATTTGATCAACTGGAAGAAAGGGTATCAGTGATTGAAGATCAAATGAATGAAATGAGAAGAGAAGTTTAGAGAAGAGAGAGTAAAAAGAAACGAATAAAGCCTCCAAGAAATATGGGACTATGTGAAAAGACCAAATTTACGTCTGATTGGTGTACCTGAAGGTGACGGGGAGAATGGAACCAAGTTGGAAAACACTCTGCAGGATATTATCCAGAAGAATTTCCCCAACCTAGCGAGGCAGGCCAATCTTCAAATTCAGGAAATACAGAGAACACCACAGAGATACTCCTTGAGAAGAGCAACCCCAAGACACATAATTGTCAGATTCACCAAAGTTGAAATGAAGGAAAAAATATTAAGGGCAGCCAGAGAGAAAGGTCAGGTTACCCACAAAGGAAAGCCCATCAGACTAACAGAGGATCTCTCTGCAGAAACCCTCTAATCCAGAAGAGAGTGGGGGCCAATATTCAACATTCTTAAAGAAAAGAATTTTCAACCCAGAATTTCATATCCAGCCAAACTAAGTTTCAGAAGTGAAGGAGAAATAAAATCCTTTACAGACAAACAAATGCTGAGAGATTTTGTCACTACCAGGCCTGCCTTACAAGAGCTCCTGAAGGAAGCACTAAACATAGAAAGGAACAACTGGTACCAGCCACTGCAAAAACATGCCAAATTATAAAGACCATCAGTGCTAGGAAGAAACTGCATCAACTAATGAGCAAAATAACCAGCTAACATCATAATGACAGGATCGAATTCACACATAACAATATTAACTTTAAATGTATATGGGCTAAATGCTCCAATTAAAACACACAGACTGGCAAATTGGATAAAGAGTCAAGACCCATCAGTGTTCTGTATTCAGGAGACCCATCTCACGTGCAGAGACACACATAGGCTCAAAATAAAGGGATGGAGGAAGATCTACCAAGCAAATGGAAAACAAAAAAAAGCAGGGGTTGCCATCCTAGGCATCCTAGGTTTAAAGTATGGTTTAAAACATACTTTAAACCAACAAAGATCAAAAGAGACAAAGAAGGCCATTACATAATGGTAAAGGGATCAATTCAACAAGAAGAGCTAACTATCCTAAATATATATGCACCCAATACAGGAGAACCCAGATTCATAAAGCAAGTCCTTAGAGACCTACAAAGAGACTTAGATTCCCACACAATAATAATGGGAGACTTTAACACCCCACTGTCACCATTAGACAGATCAACAAGACAGAAAGTTAAAAAGGATATCCAGGAATTGAACTCAGCTCTGCACCAAGCAGACCTAATAGACATCTACAGAACTCTGCACCCCAAATCAACAGAATATACATTCTTCTCAGCACCACATCACACTTATTCCAAAATTGACCACATAGTTGGAAGTAAAGCACTCCTCAGCAAATGTAAAAGAACAGAAATTATAACAAACTGTCTCTCAGACCACAGTACAATCAAACTAGAACTCAGGATTAAGAAACTCACTCAAAACTGCTCAACTACATGGAAACTGAACAACCTGCTCCTGAATGACTACTGGGTACATAATGAAATGAAGGCAGAAATAAAGATGTTATTTGAAACCAATGAGAAAAAAGATACAACATACCAGAATCTCTGAGACACATTTAAACAGTGTGTAGAGGGAAATTTTTAGCACTAACTGCCAAAAAAGAAAGCAGGAAAGATCTAAAATTGACACCCTAACATCACAATTAAAAGAACTAGAGAAGCAAGAGGAAACACATTCAAAAGCTAGCAGAAGGCAAGAAATAACTAAGATCAGAGCAGAACTGAAGGAGATAGAGACACAAAAAACCCTTCAAAAAATCAATGAATCCAAGAGCTGGTTTTTTTAAAAGATCAACAAAATTGATAGACCACTAGCAAGACTAATAAAGAAGAAAAGAGAGAAGAATCAAATATATGTGATAAAAAATGATAAAGGCAGTATCACCACCGATCCCACAGAAATACAAACTACCATCAGAGAATACTATAAACACCTCTATGCAAATAAACTAGAAAATCTAGAATAAATGGATAAATTCCTGGACACATACACCCTCCCAAGACTAAACCCAAGAAGAAGTTGAATCCCTGAATAGACCAATAACAGATTCTGAAATTGAGGCATAATTAATAGCCTACCAACCAAAAAAAGTCCAGGACCAGATGGATTCACAGCCGAATTCTACCAGAGGTACAAGGAGGAGCTGGTACCATTCCTTCTGAAACTATTCCAATCAATAGAAAAAGAGGGAATCCTCCCTAATTCATTTTATGAGGCCAGCATCATCCTGATACCAAAGCCTGGCAGAGACACAACAGAAAAAGAGAATTTTAGACCAATATCCCTGATGAACATCGATGCAAAAATCCTCAATAAAATACTGGCAAACAGAATCCAGCAGCACATCAAAAAGCTTATCCACCACAGTCAAGTTGGCTTCATCCCTGGGATGCAAGGCTGGTTCAACATACACAAATCAATAAATGTAATCCATCATATAAACAGAACCAAAGACAAAAACCACATGATTATCTCAATAGATGCAGAAAAGGCCTTTGACAAAATTCAACAGCCCTTCATGCTAAAAACTCAATAAACTAGGTATTGATGGGACGTATCTCAAAATAATAAGCTCTATTTATGACAAACCCACAGCCAATATCATACTGAATGGACAAAAACTGGAAGCATTCCCTTTGAAAACTGGCACAAGACAGGGATGCCCTCTCTCACCACTCCTATTCAACATAGTATTGGAAGTTCTGGCCAGGGCAATCAGGCAAGAGAAAGAAATAAAGGGTATTCAATTAGGAAAAGAAGAAGTCAAATTGTCCCTGTTTGCAGATGACATGATTGTATATTTAGAAAACCCCATCGTCTCAGCCCAAAATCTCCTTAAGTTGATAAGCAACTTCAGCAAAGTCTCAGGATACAATCAATGTGCAAAAATAACAAGCATTCCTATACACCAATAACAGACAAACAGAGAGCCAAATCATGAGTGAACTCCCATTCACAATTGCTTCAGAGAATAAAATACCTAGGAATCCAATTTACAAGGGATGTGAAGGACCTCTTCAAGGAGAACTACAAACCACTGCTCAATGAAATAAAAGAGGATACAAACAAATGGAAGAACATTCCATGCTCATGGATAGGAAGAATCAATATCGTGAAAATGGCCATACTACCCAAGGTAATTTATAAGTTCAATGACATCCCTGTCAAGCTACCAATGACTCTTCACAGAATTGGAAAAAACTACTTTAAAGTTCATATGGAACCAAAAAAGAGCCCACATTGCCAAGACAATCTTAAGCCAAAAGAACAAAGCTGGAGGCATCACGCTACCTGACTTCAAACTATACTACAAGGCTACAGTAATCAAAACAGCTTGATACTAGTACCAAAACAGAGATATAGACCAATGGAACAGAACAGAGCCCTCGGAAATAATACCACACATCTACAACCATCTGATCTTTGACAAACCTGACAAAAACAAGAAATGGGGAAAGGATTCCCTATTTAATAAATGGTGCTGGGAAAACTGGCTAGCCATATGTAGAAAGCTGAAACTGGATCCCTTCCTTACACCTTATACAAAAATTAATTCAAGATGGATTAAAGACTTAAACGTAAGACCTAAAACCATAAAAACCCTAGAAGAAAAGCTAAGCAATACCATTCAGGCCACAGGCATGGGCAAGGACTTAATGACTAAAACACCAAAAACAATGGCAACAAAAGCCGAAATTGACAAATGGGATCTAATTAAACTAAAGAGCTTCTGCACAGCAAAAGAAACTACCATCAGGGTGAACAGTCAACCTACAGAATGGGAGAGAATTTTTACAATCTACCCATCTGACAAAGGGCTAATATCCAGAATCTACAAAGGACTTAAACAAATTTACAAGAAAAAATCAAACAACCCCATCAAAAAGTGGGCAAAGGATATGAACAGACACTTCTCAAAAGAAGACATTTATGCAGTCAACAGACACATGAAAAAATGCTCGTCATCACTGGCCATCAGAGAAATGCAAATCAGAACCACAATGAGATACCATCTCACACCAGTTAGAATGGCGATCATTAAAAAGTCAGGAAACAACAGGTGCTTGAGAGGATGTGGAGAAATAGGAACACTTTTACACTGTTGGTGGGAGTGTAAACTAGTTAAACCATTGTGGAAGACAGTGTGGCGATTCCTCAAGGATCTAGAACTAGAAAAACCATTTCACCCAGCCATCCCATTACTGGGCATATACCCAAAGGATTATAAATCATGCTGCTATAAAGACACATGCACACGTATGTTTACTGCAGCACTATTCACAATAGCAAAGACTTGCAACCAACCCAAATGTCCATCAATGATAGACTGGATTAAGAAAATGTGGCACATATACACCATGGAATACTATGCAGCCATAAAAAAGGATGAGTTCATGTCCTTTTTAGGGACATGGATGAAGCTGGAAACCATCATTCTCAGCAAACTATCGCAAGGACAGAAAACCAAATGTTCTCACTCACAGGTGGAAATTGAACAATGAGAACACTTGGACACAGGGTGGGGAACATCACACATTGGGGCCTGTCGTGGGGTGGGGGGAGCGGGGAGGGATAGCATTAGGAGATATATGTAATGTAAATGACGATTTAATGGGCACAGCACACCAACGTGGCACATGTATACATATGTAACAAACCTGCACATTGTGTATATGTACCCTAGAACTTAAAGTATGATAATAATAAATAAAACAAAAACAAAAACTGAAGTCAAATTAAATTTAAATGACTTTAATTGAGCAATGAACGATTCATGAATCAGGCGGCCCTCTGAGCCAGGGTAGGCCCAGAGACTCCAGCGCAGCCACATGGTGGAAGATTTATGGATAGAAAAAGGAAAGTCATCTACAGAAAACAGAAGTGAGGCACAGAAACTGCTGGATTGGTTGCAACTCAGCGTTTGCCTTATTTGAACACAGTTTGAACACTTGGCTACATTTGATTGGCCAAAACTTGTTGATTGGCACAAGTGTAGGCTATGGTTTGTTTCCACCTCCACTTGTTATAGTTCACCATGAACAGAAAAATCTTTAGGTTGAACTTAAACATGTATGAACTTTAGGCTAAACTTGATTTAACACAACAAGTCACCTCATCCCTTGCCTGGAATCTAAATGGAGAAATAGCCACTTAAACAACTATGATACAGAGGGCTGAATGCAGACACCAGGGAGTGTGAGTGTAAACCAAAAATAAAATTCTAAGACTCCAACTAACTGAATGGATCCCTCCTCTCAGCCAAGGGAATCCCAAAGGAAACCTAAAAAACTAGTTCAGGCAATGATGGGACAGGAGGTGGGACAAGCCTCATCTTAACCCAGACACGACTTTCTGTTGTTTCCAGGTCTTTAGATAATAACTTAACTTCTTCAACCAATTGGCAAACAGAAAATCTTTGAAAATATCTATGTCCTGGAAGGCCCCTTAATCCCCAGTTCAAGTTTTCCTGCCTTTCCAGACCAAACCAATGTACACCTTACGTGTATTGATTGATGTCTGCCTGTAACTTCTGTTCTCCTAAAATGTATAAAATCAAGTTGCAACCCAACTACCTTAGGCACATGTTCTCGAACCTCTTGAGACTGACTTGGGCTTTGGCCACTCATATTTACCTCAGAATAAATCTCTTCAAATATTTTACAAAGGTTGACTCTTTTTTGTTGGCACAAGGACCACATTGACACAAGAATAAAACAGGGTGATCACAGGAGAATAAAAAATTCCAGGGAGCAGTTTCACATGACTAGAGGCTGTGGGCTGTTAAGACCCCGAAAAACGAAGGTGTGGACCAAGCTGGCTAAGACTGACTGGATCCAACATAGCACTGGGCTTGACCCAGGTTTCACCTAGGACTTCATTATACACTCATTAACATACTAAATCACACACTTACCAGTGCCATAACAGTTCCAAGAACACCCACATTTGGTGTACAAATGGGTTGCATCACAGTTCCAAGAACTCTCCACCTTTTCCCAGAAATTTTCATGAATATTCCACCTCTTGATTAAAGAAACCCATAAAGGTAGTAGCAGCCCCAAACTCCATTTGCACAACTCTCTCTTGAGTATGCCAGCAATCGCTTTCTTGAGTGCTTTTTGCTTTGCAATAAATCATACTTTCACTATTTTCGACTCATCCTTGAATTCCTTCTTGTGATGGTGTCAAGAGGCTGGACACCGGCGGAGGTCAAGATCCCCTTGGCATTTGGGGGACCTCCCCTAGCCCACTGGTATCAACATCACATCCATCTCCTCACTGCTCTTCCAGCCTCCACCCTTCCCTCCACCCTTCCCAACCCTGCCCTAGTCTGTTTTCTACACAGCACTAGGGCTGATGCTTTGAAGGCTTAAGCCAGATTACATTACTTTTCAGCTCAAAATCCTCAAATGATATCCCATTTCTTTCAGAACTAAATCCAAGATCCTTATAATGGACTACAAATCTGAGCGTCCATTTCTTCTTTGAATTCAGATTCTACCCCTGCTAAGGGAGCACAGAGCTCCAGCCTCACCGATCCTGTCAGGAAATTCCTCAGGCCCGTTTTTCCTGCCTCAAAGCTTTGATTAATAGTCTTGTTTTGCCCCCTTTCCTACCTTTGGGTCTCTGCTCCTGGCAATTTGCCATAGGGGCCTGGCCTGGCCCTCCTATTTTTTTTTTTTTTTGAGACGGAGTTTAGCTCTTGTTGCCCAGGCTGGGGTGCAATGGTGCGATCTCGGCTCACCAAAACCTCTGCCTCCCGGGTTCAAACGATTCTCCTGCCTCAGCCTCCCGAGTAGCTGGAATTACAGACATATGCACTACCATGCCCGGCTAATTTTGTATTTTTAGTAGAGACAGGGTTTCTCCATGTTGGTCAGGCTGGTCTCGACCTCCCGACCTCAGGTGATCTGCCCTCCTCGGCCTCCCAAAGTACTGGGATTACAGGCATGAGCCACTGTGTCCGGCCGACCCTTGTATTTTTAATTACACTCAGTCTTACCTTCCAAATGTTTCACTCAATTTATTTTTCTTTCTGGCACTTATATACATATTTATTTATTTATTCTATTCTCTGTTACCCCTCACTAGATTGAAATCTGCATGACAGCAGCCACTCTGCCTTTTATGCCACTGCTTTGTCTATTTTACTCAGGGCTGTATCCGAAATGTCCAGAATAGTGCCTGGCCCAAAACAGATGCAGATAAATATTTATTGAATAAATGAAATACATGTTCATCATTCATGTAGACTCCACAGTTTTGCAGGGAAGCTACAGGTCAAGCCCAGTCTCTCTCTTATTTGTTTCCTTTGGCAACACACATGCTCCAGGCTCTGGGTCCTTACTCCTCAGGGGCAGCTGAGCAGACCAGGACATGTCCAGTCCTGCCCCAAACAACTCATCAAGAACTTTCTTCTAACCCCAAGTCCAACTTTAACAGTTGTTCTAGTGAATGCAGCTTTATCTTGTAACTTTTTCAGTGGTATCTGATGCCCTTATAATTTGTGCTCAAGGAAACAGCCTGGCTGGTTAGCCTACACCCCATCCTCCAACCATGCCAAGCAACCACCACATCATTCAGGACCAAACAGAGAGCACACAGGAGAGGTATCAGACTGAGGTGAAAGCAGAGTCACAGTTCTAATTTTATTCTTGGAAAAAAACTTGCACAAATTACAGGAAGTCGAGCTCAGCAAAACAATCTTCCAGGCAGAGAGAGATGCAGAAGGGAGGTTATGTCAGACACTAGTAGGTTGCTCACAATGCAACAGAACCACAATTTGCACACGAATACATCGTGGACACAAGTCAAAGTTCCATTTTAACCCATTAATGATGGAAACAGTGGGATGACAAAGGTGCTTCAAAGGAGAATGCAGGCAAGTGACCTACACACACAGTCAAAAGCGGGGAGAAAAGAGAAAGGAAACGCTGGGAATGAAGTGGCTCAATCAGATAGGAAGCTGGTTATGATTCTCACCTTAAGCAGGGGTCATTTGTCTTATACACACACACACACACACACACACACACGTTTTAATGGAGACAGGTTCTTGCTGTGTTGCCCAGGTTGGGGTTGGTGAACTCCTGGGCTCAAGCAATTCTCACACCTCAGCTTCCCAGACTGCTGGGATGATAGGCATGAGCCACCCTGCCTGGCCCATTTGCATTTTTACAGGACGAGATCACTTCTATCCCCACTGGAAAAACATTTGTCTTGCTAACACACAATAAGCTTTCAGCTTAGTTTTCTACAAGTTAACTTTTCCATTAAAAAGAGTTGTAAAATGTCCTCATTGTAAATAGTAAAACTACTAGAGTTCAATGGCGTTTGGCAGGCTTGTCAGATAGGTGCCTTAGCATGACTGAAGGCCATAGGCATTGTTTCTGTCTTACTTGTAAGTTCTGGCTCTGACAGGTATAGTCAGGTGGTGCATGCTCTATATTAATCAAATTAGGCTTTGAAAGCTGGGAAAGAGTTGGGGACTTGCCTCGGGTGACATCTGTTCGTGTGACCCCCTCCTTCCACCTCCTGTACTGCGCAGCTCATGTCCTTTATGACCCTCTGTGATGCACCCACCTCCTGGTCTCCGCACTCAGCATTCTGCATCAGGTGGTTTAAGCGACTCTCCCTCCCTCTAGGCTACGGGAGCAGTTTTCTTGTCCTCCTCTCAGCCTCCAACTCAGGATCTGGTACATCTTACAAGTTTAATAGTGTTTGTTGAATAACCTCATGAAGAAGGTGGGATCTGAGCTGTGTTGTGAAAAAATAGTGTCTGTGAGGACATGGAGGTGGGGTCAGCGGAGGCGAGGACAGCGCGAGCTCCGCACAGTTTTCTGCTGCGGGAGGGTGGCCTGCAAGGCGGGGCCGGTTGCGGTCAAGTTCAAGTAGGGTCAGAGCAGGAGAACACTGGCATAAAAAATAGCCACATCCAAGGAAGCAGTGAGGTGTGGGGACCATCTATTTCGGTGGGCCTTCCCACCCCCAGGCCGGCCTTCCCATCACGCGTGGGTGTGGGGGCACTGCCCCCGCTGCGCGCAGGAACAGCGGGGAGAGCCAGGAGCGGAGCGGCTTCGGGATGCCAGACTGAGCAGTGGGTTCGTCTGCGGCCACCTCTCAGGGAACAAGCTTCCCCCCGCGGAGACTCTGCTTCTTTTAAAAGCCTTCCTGGGTTTAGTCTAGGGCGACAGGACGACCTCCCTTGGGAAGGGAGAGCCTGCCAGTCCCCCTCCCATTCGCCAGGCGGTGCAGCCCCTCCTCCCGCCCGGGGCGCGCGCACCTCAGCGTCGCGGGCCTAGCGCCCAGCAGCCGCGCCCCAGGCCGGGCCTCGGGTTCCGGGAGCCCGCAGGCGCGCGCCCGGCCGGGCGTGTCGGGAGCGCGCGGCGGCCGGGGGCGGAGCGCAGCCAGGGCTGCGCGGCGCGCCCCGGCTCCCGCCCGCTCCCAGCCGGGCCCCCCAGCGGTCGGCGGGACGGCTCCCGGCTGCAGTCTGCCCGCCCGCCCCGCGCGGGGGCCGAGTCGCGAAGCGCGCCTGCGACCCGGCGTCCGGGCGCGCTGGAGAGGACGCGAGGAGCCATGAGGCGCCAGCCTGCGAAGGTGGCGGCGCTGCTGCTCGGGCTGCTCTTGGAGGTAGGGGCCGGGGACCGGGTGCTGCCGGAGGCGCGGCGCCCACCATGCTGGCGGCTGGGGGCGCGCAGTTCCGAGGCGCCCCAGAGGACCTTGCCTGGGAGCGCAGACGGTGGAGCGACGGGGAGCCACAGCCCTGCGCGCCTCCCGGAGCTGGGAGGTGCGGGACCCTGGTGACGGGGAGGCTCCCGCCCCGGTCCGCGCCTTCCGTCGTTCCTTCGGTTTTCGCACCCCGCCCCCACCCTGCGGGTGAGCGCGTTTCCCGCGCCGACCGCCTCCGTTAGCTCGGGGTGACCTTTGTGCACCGTCCGCCCCCTCTCCCCGCCGCAGAGGGCCGAGGATCGGATGGACCCGGGGTTGGGCGGGGGTGGTCCTCGGGCGCGGCGCAGGCGCGGAGAGCCCGGGGCGCCGGGCAGTTTGGGGTTAGGAAAGGATGGGTGCCGAGCCGGGGTGAGGGGAGCGGGCGGAGGGGACTGTGGGGAAGTGTCGCGGGAGTGCCGGGAGTTGTGGAGGTGAGCAGCGGGAGGAGGCGTTCCCGCGTGTGAAAATGAAGTGCAGCCTTTAGGTGCGGGGAGGAAATTCTGCGGAGAGCCTGGCTGGGTGGGGGTGCGGAGCCGAAGCCGGCGGGGAACTTGTTGAGCGGCTTCCGGGTGCGAGCGCCCGTGACCGCATCCCTGGCGGGGACCGCGGCTGCTCCTGGCTGTGAAATTGCATCCTCGGATGGGGCCACATACTTCTCACTAAAGCAGGTTCCTTAAAATGCGAACTAGAGGAATTCTGGGGTGTCCAGTCTGAATCAGGGCTTGTTCAACTTTCTCCTTAGTTTCATTATTCTGAAGGAAATTTGCGTTAAATTAATGAAGTCAAAAGAAATAGGTAATGAATCCCATGCCTCTGTTTTAGGAAGTTGTGAAACTATCTTCCTTAATAGTTAGTGATTGGTGCTGGAAATTACTAGTTTGTCTTCGCCCTTTATTAAAAAGTAATTATTACAAAATGTTGGAGGAAAAGTGTTTCCTGAAAGGAAGGCTGGTGGACAAATTTCTCCTTGCTCCAGGCTCTGCCATAGCCGAGACTTCCTGTTTCTGTTCGGAAATATCCCCGTAGCTTGGTATTTAATGTTTTTGTGGAGTGCCTCTGCTTGCATTCTTTCCATTTATTCAGAATTTTAGAACCTTAGGAATCACATTCTCTGAGTGACTCACCATAGAGAACAAAGAAGTGAATCAGAGACCAGTAATCGCATGAAAACAGATGTGCTTGTACCTTAATGTGTGTACCTATACTTGCAATCTTTATTTTTTATTTTTATTTATTTATTTCTTTAGTTTTGAGATGGAGTCTCGTTCTGTGGCCCAGGCTTGAGTGCTGTGGCGCGATCTTGGCTCACTGCAATCTCCGCCTCCTGGGTTCAAGCTATTCTCCTGCTTCAGCCTCCCCAGTAGCGGGGACTACAGGCGCCCACCACTATGCCCGGCTAATTTTTGCATTTTTAGTAGAGTCGGGGTTTCGTCATGTTGGTCAGGCTGGTCTCGAACTCCTGACCTCAGGTGATCCGCCCGCCTCGGCCTCCCAAAGTGCTAGGATTACAAGGTGAGCCACCGCGCCCGGCCCTGCAATCTTTTTTAATCGGCACTTGATGAAATTATTTAGCGTTTCTTTCATTCTAGTTTGTGCCACCCATGTCTCCCAAGCCTTCTGTCTGAGTGGTTCTGTGCCCTATATGTAGCCTAGACGGCCTCAGTGACTCCATTCTTTCCAAAATAGCTGTTTCGTTGCATAGGAATGTATCCTCTTAATAGGAGTTCAGATCATGTCTGCAAAGTTGAAACGACCTTAAAGGCAGAAGTGTGATGTAAAACTGAAACCTAAATGCCTAAGATGATACTTTCACAGTCAAATATTAGATGATTGTTTCAGAGGGGACAGTGTGATGTCACCCACTTTGACATGATGATTATCCTAAGTACCACCACTTTGTGCTGGAGAGGCGTCTCTCTGAGGAGTTAAGGAGATTTCTTCATCATTTATCACATGAAATTTTATGTATGAGATTTATATTTGAGATTTTTTCATCTCTGGTGGGGTGCTCTGATGAATACCTGTGATGCTTCTGAAGTCCTGAATCACATACATGGATGTGCAGTCGTAGGTGTGGAGCATGTGCCATGGCAAATGGCTCTCTTCAGGTTGAGTGCATAAAAGCAACCCAGGGAGCTATTTGGTGGCTTCTGGCTTCTGACTGCCGGCTGCAACCTGGGAAATTTGTCTTTGTTCCTTTGTTCTGCCTGAGCTGGTTTCAGTGTATAAATTTGCCACGTGGTTGATCATAAACCACCTGAAATTAAGGGGTGGCCTTGTGGCAGTGGTGACTCTGTTCCCACCCCCAGCACCCTGGCCCTATCTAGCACCATCCAGAATCTCACATGCGCAGGGGTTTCTGTGTTAGTGAGAGGTCCTTGAGTAGGAAGGGCAATCCAAAGACTGTTTTGAGAAGTGCTTTCCTCCCCTGCCTCACCATCCCTTTGTAGAAATTTACTTACCTGTTAGACATAGAACTGCATATTTATGTTTGCTTACTAAACATTCATAGAGTGCTCCAGGGTAACTGCCAGGCACTGTTCTATAAATGTTACACGTTATCTCATTAATCCTGCTAGCAATTACTTTTATCTTCATTTTTGTTTCAAATGGGAAGTGAACACTTAACACTGCTGTTAAGTGTGAGGGCTTAAGATGCTAACCCAGGCAGTCTGGTTCCAGTGTGTACCCCACCTCGATGCTCTGCTTCCTCTGCCGTCTGCGCACACAGGAACATGTTAGGAATTTGCATGCTCTACATCGCGAGGGCAGTGGTGGCCCTGGAAAGTGTATTCCCCTTAGAAACTCAGTCACCCTTCCTTAGAAAGACCATGTGATTTAGCCTACAAACGGTGGCACTTTGAAGAGTGAAATAGGATGTTGTTAAGAGCTGTGCCTGGACAGTGGGCATCACCAGGACTCTCCTGAGAAACCCTGGTTGTGTTCCCCTCCTGAAGCCCAGGTAGGGCTTCAGGGAGGAACCGGCAGCAGCTGACAGCACCATCCCTCTCCTAGGGAGGCTTCTTGGAAGCTCATTACTGGACTGACCTTTCTTTTCTATTAACTCAGAGTTTCCTGTGAATTACATGCACAGCCAGTGAGGGCCCTGATTTTATCTCCCTCTCCCCTGTTGCTCTGTGCCAGCTGGTTATGATCCAGGGACCCAGGCCACGAATGTGGCAGATTCTAAGGGTGGCTAAGAGTAGGGAACCTCAGAGGCCTTTTTGGTTCATAAAATGCTAAGGTTCTATGCCTTTGTTCCGCCAGCTGGCTGAAGTGAGGTCCTGCAAACAATCCTTACAGGAAGAGTGAAAGTACTAAGCTGTCTCCTAGTAGCCCTGCTGAAGTTATTCTCAGTGGCCTTCACACAGTAACTCCTTAGAAACTAAAAGGAAAAAAAAAGGTTTTAAAACTGACTACACTTCAGTTGAATCCCGAGAGTAATGAGGCCCTAAGCATATGCACCTCCCTGGGGCTTTTTGTTGTGTGCATTGTTTTCTAGATATTGTCACTGCATTCTCTTTCTAGAGGTTTGGTTGGTTACACTTTTGAAATCTACTTAGTATTTGTTTGAAGGGCTCTGTTCTTACTGAAGTGAGCCCAGAAATGTATAGTATGCTATTTAGTGTAAAACTCACCAATACCAGTGCCTCTGCTTCCAAGGAGATAGACTTATTTTAGTTAAGGGACTACTCATTATCTTTCTGATCTTTCCCAGGAACCAAGAGCTGGAAACGCTTAAGCCACGTTGCTTTGTGCTTCAATGCTGTTGGGCAAAAGAACAGATCTTCTTGGACTAGAAAAAGGAACAGTTGTCAGGCTGGGTGCGGTGGCTCATGCCTGTAATCCCGGCACTTTGGGCGAGGCGGGTGGATCACGAGCTCAGGAGATCGAGACCATCCTGGCTAACACGGTGAAAGCCCATCTCTACTAAAAATACAAAAAATTAGCTGGGCGTGGTGGCGGGCGCCTGTAGTCCCAGCTACTCGGGAGGCTGAGCCTGGAGAATGGCGTGAACCCGGGAGGCGGAGCTTGCAGTGAGCGGAGATTGTGCCACTGCACTCCAGCCTGAGCAACAGAGTGAGACTGTCTCAAAAAAAAAAAAAAAAAAGGAATAGTTGTCTCTTAGAGAGGGTTGCAAAGTGGACATTATCTTTGAACTAGGGAAAAATAATAAGATCACTGAGTATTTTTCTGAAGTTCTGTGTATTTTGATGCCTGGGAGTCTGGAAATTAGAACTGAGTTATGTTTAAGAGTGTTTTTTGTCTCTTGCCAAATGTCTTTTGTGCCCTGGAATTCCAACAAATGTGGCAGTCCCTGGCTGCCAATTTCCTGAAATAAACCTTTCAGCCCACCCACTCTTAAGAGTTTTTAGAAACCAGGCAACATGCAATTTGAATGAAAAAGAATCCTGCAGGGAGTTTGCTGTCTCTGGAAACTCCACGGGAGGCCAGGTGGTCATGGGTGAGAAGTGGCAGCAATAAATGAACCGGCTGGCAAGAGCTCTGCTCTGAAGTGGGGAAAGCCTGGGTCCAGGTGTCTGAGGAGGCCTGTGGGCGTTGGGCCCAGACCTGGGGCTTTCCTTGGTTTTTGCTTTCTTTTACTTTGGGCACAGCTATAAAGGCTAACGGAGGGTAAATGACTTAGAAATACATGGCAAGGATAGGATTAGGCTAGTGCTCACTTGATTAGCTCTGCAGGGCAAGGACATTTCCTAGAACTCACTCTATCATGTCCTCTTGATGAAGCTTTTCAGATTTCACCTTCTCAGTGAGGTCTGTCTTGACCACCCTATTTAAAATTTCTTCTCAGTTCTTTCCCTAGTCTACCTTAACTCTGACCAATATCCTCCTTTTCCCATAACTATCTTTAAAATATGACAGAATTTACTTTCTACCATGTAAGCAATTTAGGGGCAAAGGTTTTGCTCTGATTTATTGATTGACATATCCTTAGTTGCTGGAACCATGCCTGGCACAGAGCAGGGACTCGATGGAGACTTGAATGAGTAAAGCCGTCAGTGGTAAGAGCCCTGTGGGCAGGAGCTGAGTAGATGGGCAGTGGGAAAAGAAGAGGCAGTTGATCAGGGGCTGGAGGGCAGCAGAGCACCTCTAGTGATGGAAACCCACTGTGCCTTAAGACAAAGTATCAACTTTTGGGGCAACTTCAGTTGTTAAAGTTTTCTGTAATATTGAGGGGAAATGACAGTATTTTCAGCCTGGTCCTAGGTCTGCACTCATGGGCTTTTCAGAAATATCACAATGACAGGCCCTCAGTCTTCTAACACAGCTGTGTGGTCCCATTTTGTGTGTGTGTTCTTTTCCAGGCCTCACCTTCTGTTGTTTCAAAACATGGTTTTAAATCATCTCACCATCCTCATAGCTGCAGTTTGAAAATTTTGGACTGGATGGTGATGAGGATGTCCTCAATATCTGAAAATAATTGGTCCTAGAAAAAGGCCACTTAGCCATTAATCCATGTGAATCAGGGATCAACATTTCCTAGTCAAAGTGGAAAAAAAGTTCGGTTGGGACTTTATTTTGGAAAAACAAATATCAAATTGTAAACATAAAAGTTAATTTCATCCTGAGTACTCATTTTATTTTATTTTAAATCTATTTATTTATTTAGAGATATGGTCTCCCTCTGTCGCCTAGGCTGGAGTGCAGTGGCATGATCTCGGCTCACTGCAACCTCTTCCTTTTGGGTTCAAGTGATTCTCCTGCCTCAGCCTCCTGAGTAGCTGGGATTACAGGTACACGCTACCACAGCCCAGCTAATTTTTGTATTTTTTTTTCTTTAGTAGAGACGGGGTTTCACCATATTGGTCAGGCTCTGAGTACTCATTTTAGAATGATGAGTCCATTTTGGGGGGACAGTGTAATTTTCCTGACAAAATTCTATAATGCACATAAGACAGTCTTCACTTGATGTTGGACTTCAGTGGCATGATCATAGTGAAAGTTTTTTCCCCAGAATTAGTTGCGCTGGTCTGGAAACTCCCACCACCCCCACCTCCAGCTTCTCTTTGTCCTTTTTATTCATATCATTCTCCTTTGGCCACCTTTTGGTTCATATTAAATGGCTTGACTGCTAGATCTTTTGTCACTTTCATTGGCTTCATGAGCTGCTGCACCTTTGTGAGGTCTGCAGGGCCTGTTTGCTGTCTGTGTGTGGTATTTGGGTTGCACTCTCCTGTGATCTTGGGATCGGAGATTGGTTTTGGATCTGCCAGTGTTAAGTGGGCTGGGGTGAATCCAGTGTTTCTTGTGGTTTGTGCTGAAACCTTTGGTTCCCCTCCAGGTCCTCCCCACTGGCACTTATTGAACAATAGGAAGCTCTGTTCTGTGGGTGTGGTCTGACTGGCAGCATCAAAACCTTTGGCCCTTGTCATTAAGCAGATAAAATTATACTAGTTTATACTAGTGCGTCCTCCCACCTCCACCCCTGCAGCCAGGAGATTCACCCTGAGTTTGCAGTGAGACCGAAATCTTTTTAACATGTGCTGCTGCTAATCCACCACACCTCACAATAGTTGTAGAGCTGTTTATTATTTTTTAAAAACCTAAATTGAGGACTTTACATTGTTTCCAATTTCACATTAATCATTCATCTCATCTACTTAAGCCTATCAACATATGTCTGAACACTATTTTTTAAAATCCAGTGTCCCATATTGTTTTGTACCATGGACCGATTTGATTATACTCCTGTTGGTTTTATCCAACTGATTAACAAACATGTTGAATAGAGCAGAGTCAATTACAGAGATTCTGGGTGGAGTTGGATGACTGAGATTTTGACTTGGAGAGTAAGGATATCCTTAATTTTAAAAAGTCAGAGTTTAATTTTAAATGCTGGTTTTGAAGTGTTTGATGATCTGTCCTTGGTGAAAAGAGATCCAACAAATGAGAGTCTAGAATGCGGGAGGAGGGTGTCTAAACGCGAAGGTGATCTGCATTCAGATACCGTAGAACAGTAGAGAAGAGGCCTTGCAGAAGGCCATCGGATTCGATAATTGGCAAACAGTGACCTTCCCTTGTCAGGGTTAAAGAATCAAATGGTCAATGAAGACAGGGAGGCAGTGACTAATACATATATATATAAAATTTCAGGAAGTACAGCTATATACTTCAAAACTGTCAACAAGAGAACAATGTCCTCAGACCAGAACAAAGAGATATTATCCGGTAAATTAGGTTTGAAATCGATCAATTGCTTGCTTCAAGCATAGGGCATATCTGGTGGTCGTTAGGAGTCACATTTGGATGGTGCCATGACCATGTATTACAGAATCTCAACTCCTTCGGAGTTGCCTGGGAGTCTTTGAGTAAACCTAAGCTCCCACTGACATACACCTGTAAAGAGAAATCCCTCAGTGTTGCTGGAGGCCCTTTGGAAGATTCCCTACTTGGTCTGGAACTTGTGGCCCAGGGTGGATTAACAGAGTATTTATATTGTCAGTCATTCCCAAGCAAGTTTCCTGTGCCCAGGTGGCTGCACACCTGCGGACAGGAGGGAGGGTTTCCTTATCCTGTCGATTAAAAAGTGGGCTTGCTTGTTATTATCTGTGACTAGATTAAGAAGAAACTTTGTCATAAGCGTCCATAGCAAGGGAAAGCAAGATTGTGATTGTGATCATAGTTGGCTCTTAATTTCTGCCCTAGGTAAGACAAAAAAAGGGTCCATAGCCATCTCTTTTGCTAGGATGGTTGAGCAGCTACTCAGGTGACAGCTTGACTTTTAATACTGAGAGGAAAGATGAGTGAAACTCTTTAGCTCTTTAGTTGGCCTCATTCTCTTGGTGTTTTGTGATCTGAGTGTCATCAAGGGCCAAAACATGGCATTATGGAGAGGGTGGGGACAGATCCTAAACCCTTATGGGGAGTGGGGAGAAGAGGAGAGTGAGAGAGAGCAAGCGAGCGAGAGAGAGAGAGAGAGAGAGAGACAGAGACAGAGAGAAAGAGTGTGTTGATGAGATTATTATTGAAGAAGCTCCTAGTTCCTAGTTCCCCCTCCTTCCCTTTAGTTGGAGAGAAAAGCAGCCAGGCCTGCGGTGAGTGAAGCTGTGAAGCCAGGTTCCTATAGCCTAAGGGCAGCTGTGTAAAACAACGTGGGGTTCCCTTAGATTAAATCTCTGCAACCTCTGTTCTTCTCTGCTGCCCTCAAGATAAATTCCAAACACTGTTTTTCCTCCTTAGAATTTCTTCAGGAATTCTCCTTTCTTTCCTTCTCATTTCTTTCCTCCCAAATTGAGCAGCTTTCTCTAGCTCAAAGGTTGTCAAAATTTTGGCTCTTATACTCTTTTAGGGAATTTTCAAAAGCTATATACCCTCTCACATAATTTTAAGTGGAACATACAGGTTAAGCAACCCTAATCTGAAAATCAAAAATCCTAAGTGTTGCAAAATCTGAAACTTTTTGAGTGCCAGTGTGATGTTACAGGTGGAAAATTTCACACCTGACCTTGTGTGACAGATCACAGCCAAAACATTGTTTTGTGCACACAATTATTAAAAATATTGTATAAAATTACCTTCAGGCTATATGTGTAAGATATATATGAACATAAATGAATTTCATCTTTAGACTTGGGTCCCATCCCCAAGATACTTCACTGTGTATATGCAAATGTTCCAAAATCCAAAGAGATGCAAAATCCAAAAACACTTCTGGTCCCAAGCATCTCAGGTAAAGGATACTCAACCTGTGTGATCTTGTTTATCATAGATTTTAAATGGTTACAATAGATTTGATTTCTCATGTATTGTAAACATTGTTAAAAATTCAACTATAATATCACTCTTTTAATGTATTCAGTGGAATCTAAATACCATTAGCAATTTGATACTGATTTTTTTAAAAAACGCAAATAATCTTCTCTAATGGTTGCAAATATAGCATTCCTTTTTTGAATTTCTACTTTATAGAATTTTCTTCTAATAATATATATTTATGCTTGAAAGTCTAGTTTTGATCTGTCGTTTTTTGTAACAAAATCTGTATCGAAATTAATTTTTAAAACATTTCCTCAGATATACCTCCAAAAAATTTAAAAAGACTAATTGATTTATCATTTTTATTGCACATTTGATTGACACTATACATGTATTACCAATTGAATATTATTAAACATAAACAGTAAAATTTACTGGAAATAAATTTCTGAGTGAGATGGACGAGGATATTTCAAGTTAGGGCATGTATAACTGATGGAAATGGAAAAAGTTTCATGTTGAACTTCCGAGTGATGTGCCCAGACCGCATAGTAATCTACAATTAGGTCATCTTTCAATTTAATTGAAAGCAAAGAATTTGAAACCAGTTGAGATGCAAGGCGTGCGTTGACAAAAACTCTCCCCTTGACCAAACTTTGGTTGGGATCCTCTGAGCCCTCTTCTCACTAGGCCTCCACCTTGCCCTCTGTGTCTGTCCTCAGTGGAGCTCAGTTTCAGCAAGAGTCCTGCCAAGTCATCCCCTCACGCTTAATATCTGATCACCTTAGGCTGTCTTCAGCAAGAATTCCTCCTTACTTCTACCCATCATGCCTCTCCTCTTAGCAATTTTGTATCCGTTGACCCCCTCACTCTGCTCCTTGGCTGTGAATTCACACTGATTTTGGTTGTATTTGGAGTTGAGGTCAGTCTGTCTTGCTGTTGTGATAGATTGACCCCTATTGCAATAGTCTTGAATAAAGCCTTACCATTTTTGACAAGTGTCAGAACAATTTCTCTTTAACAGTGTCACTACCAGTATTTTCAGTGGCCTTAGATTGGTACTTGAGAGAGTTTTTTAGTTCTGGACCAGCACATCCCAGTAAGACTAGAAATGGGAGGGAGGTGTGCCTTTCTTTGTAAAGGGAGAGAAGGGTGACTGTAAACGGGGAATTAGCACTGTCACTTGACCAGCATCCGGACCAGGGCCTGTGTCTCAGGCAGTCAGCTTTAGGAAAGCAGACCCATGGAGGTTGAAGGTTTGGAATTCGAGTCCTTTAGCAGTATGGAGGAGCGCCCTTGGAAAGCTTTCAGTATCTACAGAGACCTCCTTGCCATTCTCAGCGTTGGCTGTACATTAGAATGAGGTAGGGAGTTTCGAACAATTACCTGCACCTGGAGCCTAGTCATCTTTATTTTTTAACAGATGCACATTGCTTCTGATGCATAGATGAGGATCAGAAGTCTTCATCCAGTACAGCAGACTGAACCGACTACTGTGGGTCCTGAAGGCACCATACTTTCACTTCCTGTTTTCCCATTCCTTTGACTGCCGTTTCAACTCCCACCATACTTGAAGACCCTCAGGTGGTGTCATGGAAGGCTACTCTCATTGTCCACTTGGGTATGAGTTAAGTCCCCGACTTGGGCAAGCTACTCCCTAGGCAAGCTACTCCCACGTGCTCTGAGCTCAGATACTGTAATTGCTTGTTTGTTTTTTTTTTTTTTTGGAAGAGGGGAGCAGTCTGTGAATTCTTCTTCTTTTTTTTTTTTTTTTTTTCCAGACAGAGTTTTGCTCTGTCACCCAGGCTGGAGTGCAGTGGCATGATCTTGGCTCACTGCAACCTCCGCCTCCCCCTCTCCTGCCTTGGCCTCCTGAGTAGCTGGACATAAGGTGCCCACCAGCACGCCCACTTAATTTTTGTATTTTTAGTAGAGACGGGGTTTCACCATATTGGCTAGGCTGGTCTTGAACTCCTAACCTTGTGATCTGCCCGCCTTGGCCTCCCAGAGAGCTGGGACTACAGGTATGAGTCACCGTGCCCGGCCTGGTCTGTAAATTCTTTAGACCTTAAGCTCCTAGAGGACCTGTTTGTTCCAGAAGGGTTTGGCACAGTGAGGGGGATGGGCTTGGGAGCTTGGGTGTAGAGGTTAGGCTTTGGAAGGGGAGTGGGGATGTGAGGAAGGAGATGAGGAAGGAGGTCATCAAGAGGGAAGGTGCACATAGAGTTGAAGTTCAGTGGGGAAAGGTTGGTGACCTGGGTGGGATGTCAGGAACTTTGCGTTGAAGTAAGCCACAGAGATAAGCTGGGAAGGACCTGGGCCTCCAGGTCATGGTGAAGGTCGCACAGCGGTTGTGGTGAGGGTCCTGGGAAGCTGTGCATGTGCATCTCAGAGCATCCATGGTCGGGGTGCAGAGTGAGCATTTCGGGCAGTCTTGGATACAGCCAGCTGCCCTGACTGGCCCCCTAAGCAGCATGGAAGCAGGGAGGTAGAAGGGTGGCTGCCAGACTGGGGATTGACGCGGGATGGCAGTGCATCATGAGTGAGAGGATTTTGGGGAATTATTGTTATGATGGCTATGTTAGGGTCATTTCTTGAGTGTGTAAAATTAGAAGATGGTTGATGGATTGGAAAATGAACAAGGCATTTGGTAAAAAAGTAGAGGTTGACATGGGAGTGAGGTGAGGGTATGGGACAGGTGCAGAGAAGGGAGAGTGAGGCTACTGGCCTACTAGAGAAGAACTTGCTGTGACCTCTGTGTTCATTACCTGTTGTTGCTATAACAAGTGACTACAAACTTGGTGGCTTAAACCGATCCAGATTTATTATCTTCCCTCTCTGGAGGTCAGAAGTCCTAAATGGCTCTCAGTGGGCTCAATTCAAGAATGTCAGCAGGACCATGTTTCTTCTGGAGGCTCCAGGGAGGATTCATTTCCTGGCCTGTCCCAGCATCTAGGGACTGCCTGTGTTTCTTGGCTGGTGGTCCCTTCCTCCCCTTCAAAGCCAGCGATTCTGTGTCTTCTAATTTCTCTCATGCTTCTCTCTCTCTGTCACTGTAAAGACCCTTGAGATTACATTGGGCCCACCTGAATTACCCAGCATAATCTCCTCATTGTAAGATCCTTAACTTAATCACGTCTGCAAAGCCCCTTTTGCCACCTAAGGTGACATTCCCAGTTCTGTGGATTAGGACGATGACATCTTTGTGGGCAGGAGGTGGCATTACTTTGCTTGCCACAAGGTTGAAAAAAAATGTTGCTTAAAATGGATATTTTAGTGAAATCACTGTTGTAAAGGTTTTTTTTGTTTTCGTTTGTTGTTTGAGACAGAGCCTCACTCTTTTCCCCAGGCCGGAGTGCAGTGGCATGATCTTGGCTCACTACAACCTCTGCCTCCCAGGTTCAAGTGATTCTCCCGCCTCAGCCTCCCAAGTAGCGGGGACTACAGGCGTGCGCCACCATCCCCAGCTAATTTTTGTATTTTTAGTGGAGATGGGGTTTCACCATGTTGGCCAGGCTGGTCTGGAACTCCTGACCTCAGGTGATCGCCTGCCACGGCCTCGTGCGGTGCTGGGATTACAGGCATGAGACACTGCGCCTGGCCAGTAAAGGTTTTTATACTCCATTGCCACGTTCTGAGGTTCTTCTGTGGGGCTGACATGGGCAGTGGAGTGAATGAGAACTTGCCGGTTCCACTGCATGTGCCCTGGGTTGGGATGGAGTCATTAACATAGGTTGTAGGTCTGTTTTATGCTTTGAGTTCTTGGTGGAATGACTCAGGAAAAATATGTATTGGTTTTATTAATAGCTAGTCACCCCAGTGGAAGCTGAGATTCATCTCTGACTTTCTGAATTGCATGAGAAGTTAAATCGCAGATAGGGAGAAGGCTTTCTCTCATAATGAGAGCCTTGGACAAATTGAGATCACAGGTTACTTGATACAATTGATGCTTTTATCACTTCCTGGCAGAAAAGGAGCTGGACTTCAAAATCACGACATCTGGGCCCTGGTCAGCTGAGCCAGGCATTAGAGTCCTTCCACTGTGGTGGCCTGTTGGTCGGCCCAATGGCACGGTCAGCGGCTGCTCTCAGGGGCTTGCTAATGGGCAGTGCTCACCTTCCTCCATAAGATGGGAAGGGTAGGCATCCTAATTAGGAGTCTCTGGTCCCTTTCTGAGTGTCAGCATGACCTAGTGATGTATTCAGAGAAGCTGCCAAGAGTGGAAGTGGATTTATTTAGTGATGATTGTCACCACTAGAATCAGTACCTTTTTAAACTCCACCCTGTTTATCTGAATTCAGTTGTGTGTATGGTTCTTGTTTTGATGGATGGCTCAGGCTCCCATTGAAGCCATCAGAGGCTCCCTCTGATGATGAGGGAGCAGACTAAAAAACCGTTACTATCCACTGGATACTTAGTGACTTATATATAGCTCAAGTTGTTTGCAAAGCTTTGGGCACAAATAAAATTAATATAATTAGGTCTTCAGAAGGAAATGCAGGATGGTATTAAACTTTTCAGTGAGGCTATCTTGTCGCTAACCTTGAACACTGACCTTTCCTTTGCTTTCTTCTTTGGTTTTTAGCAACTCTGCGTTATTATTGCTGAAGAGGGCTCAGAACACTAAAATAGCTCTTTGTCAGTCAGCTTTACTAATGATAATGATGCCAGGGTTTGGTGTTCACCCTGTAGCCATGCTGTGTTTGAGGCTGTATGTAGTCTGAAGTTTTTACTCTGTCTTTTGGGTCTTTGTCTGCAAGGAGCCTGGGGTTGGACATGGATGGATGGGTGGGTGGATCTGGGAAGTGAAGAGACTTTACAGCACCTGACACAGCACAGTAGCCTCTGGACAGGGATGCCTGGGCTCTCTGGAGGCTGAGCAGAGATGATTGGAATTGGCATTAGCAGGGTGTCTCTGGGGTGGCAGGGTCCTCTCCCCGATTAAAGCATCATCTGTCACCCCTGCAGGTGTGCACACCTGAACAGGTTAGCAGGTGAGAAACACATTATTTGTATGAGTTTTCATTTAGTTGTCTGATGGAAGTTTAAGGAACATATTAAAAATATGAAGGATATTCTTTTTCTTAAAATTCATTCTTTTGTATTTAATTTTTTTTGACATACAACAAGCTGAACATAATTAATGTATACAGCTTGATGAGTTTGGAGATAAGCATGCACCTATGAAACCACCTCCACAATTTATGCCATAAGCCTCTAAAAGTTTCCTCCTGCTGTCTGGTTATTATTATTATTATTATTGTGTGTCATAAGGTCTACCCCTTAGCAGATTTCTAAGTACACAGTAGAGTAGTGTTAACTGCAGGACCTCTGTGGCACAGCAGCCCTCTAGGACTCACTGATTTGCATAACTGAAACTTTGTACTTTTTGACAAATACCTAATTTCCCCTCCTCCCAACCCCACGCAACGCCATTCCACCCTCTGTTGAAGGGTTTTCTTGTCTGTCTGTACTTGCAATGCCCCACAGAGTACTTACTAAACCGCATATTGATTAGAACGTCTTTGGCCCTCAGTGATAGGAAACCCAATTCAAGTAGTGCAGACTTGGAGGAAGTTCATTATCTGGCATGGTTAGGAGTCCTCCTGTTGGAGGCCCCGGGCCTGAGTTGTTCAGAGGCTCTACACACCCTCTCATTTGCTCCACCTTCCATTCTGCCATTCTCTGCGGACGGTCCTGCCCTTGTGGTTGTGTGTAGGTTGCAGCAGCTCCTTACAAAATGCAAATCAGTCAGCATCCAGCATGTCTTTCTTATGTATGTGTTTTGTTCTGTTGTGGCTGGGCAGAGTTACTTGGCCCCTTCCTTTTCCCATCCCCACAATATTCCAGTATTTTCTAATGGGGCACTCATTTTGGGTGGGGTTGGTGTTAGATGGGTCCTGAAGAATCGGAATTTTCAGATTGGAAGTCAAGCCAACGATTGAAATATAAACAGACATAAGAGCCTTCTTGCTAGCATATGGGGTTTTTTTAAGTCCTTTTTTTTTTTTTGAAACATCTTATGTTTGAGTATTTTTTTAAAACTTTCCAACCTTATTTTATTTCTCCAGATGATGGTGGCAATGTGATAACCAGCACTTAGCAGGTGCTTGTTGTGTGGCAGCATTGTTTTAAGTAAGCACATGGTGTTTCATCTGTGCAGCCTTCCCACCCCTGCCCCAGGCTCCGTGCTGCCCTCCTGTCCATTTTGCAGATGAGTGGACTGTGGCTCAGGAGACTGGGGCTTTCTCAAGATTTTCTGCAGTCGGACCTAGCATTCAAACCTCAGCAGATTGACTTGCCAACCTAAAATAATGAAAGGGGTCAGAATATGATTTAAAGAGCATTTAAATAAGTACAAAGTGTGAGGTAGGCCACCCAGAAACACCAACTCCGAAGAAATGGAGTCAGTTTTCCGAAGTAGGAAGTGAAGGCTTCATTTATGTGGGCTGAGACAGTGGAGTTTTTAGCAGGATTACAACATTATTCATACAAGGTTGGTGTGTATGTTATAGCAATTTGATTGGCTCTAGGTGATGTTTCTTTTTGGGGAGGGGATATTTAACATTTTCTTAACAGAGGGTGTAATAGTCCTGGGTTTTCTTTCACCTGGTCTAAGCGAAGCAGGGCAATGAAGGGGGAGTTAATCTACAACAAGGGTCATTAATTCAGAGGGCGGGAGGCTTTTGACCCTGACATGGTTTCCCTTTAGTCAATGTACAGAGCAAGAAAAAGAAGAAAATGAGTTATCTATAATCTGAGAAACATAAATTGTAACCATATGTGACTCAGATCACAGTCACATTTCTCTCAAAGCTTGAAGTGTTTTGGGGGGGGGTTCCAACAGCTTTTAGGTTTATTTGTTTTCACAGACTTCAGAGTATGTTCTTAAAGCCCCAATGTGTGAAGTTTATATAATCATAGCATTTTTCTCTTTGAGGTTCCATCATGGCCTGTCGTGGAGGGAGTTCCTGTTGCTGGTTCACGTTATGCATTTTGGTTATTAAGAGACTGAGAAACTCCATCATGTTATCCTAAGTAATGTGTCTTTATTATAAATAGAATGTGGAAATTTGGAAGATGAGAATTTTGGCTCATGGAATCCAGAAGTGGATGAACAGGTTTGCGAACTGGAGGATGGCTTAGAAAGGAACTGGCAAGGCTCACTGTGGCCTTGAGACCTGGTGGAATGAGTCAGGGTCATTGTCCTGCTGGGCTGAACCCCTGTCTCTCCCACCTCCTCCTGCCTTGCTAGGTAGCCTGCACTCACCCAGTCCTTTGTGGCAGGCTGGGCTCAGAAGGTCTCAGAGGAAGCTCAGCAGGTGGCTGGGAGAGAGCAGAGGCTGCCCTTAGGGACACTAGGTGAGTGCAGCAGCTTTCTGTTTCATACATTGAGTGCTTGGGGCCCCTCATAGGTAAGCAGCAGAGGGGCTTCCAGCACATACCCATGTTCTCATTATCATATACAGGTTATTAGAGAGGCGAAATCTACGGGGAAACATCTTAGAACACATGGAAAAGAAAACAAGTGAGTTTTGCTGATGGCTATTGGGGTTATTCATTCGTTTATATTTATTTGCTTTGTGCTGTGTTCATCAGCAGAGCTCACTGAAGGGAGTCCAGCATAAGCAGTCTCTATGATACTGCAGTCCCCGAAAGGTTTTTGTAAGCAGGAACTATGTGAGCAAAATTTAGTTTATTGTTTCAAAATTCTCATAAAGAATTATGTTCCCAGCAGAGCCTCCTGCTGTGTCAGTGGTAATTGATGACTACTACCGTTTTCAATAATAATGAGGTATGCACTAGCGAAATGAAGAGGAGCCCATGCCTGAGGAGCTCTTGATACTTAGGAAAAGGAGAAGGGCTGCTTAGAACAATACCCTGGACCCAAATGGCATGACCACTAAGAGCTGGATCTTATCTGGCACCTAAAAGGTGCTGGGCAGTGTCCTAGTGGTTACCCCCACTGTGTCCCTCATGGTAGCCCTGGAAGCTACATGTTGCCGCTCATTTTACAGATTCACAAAGTGAGGTTGAGAAGTTAAGGGATTTAGCAAAGGTCATCTGTGCGGTGAAAAGAGGCAGTAGTTGTTCTTTCCAGCTTTCACATGTGCGGAAATGGTAGTGCTGAAAGTGAGCGATTGTCATGCAGTCTGCTTCCCTGGGGCCAGCGATTGAGCTGGGGGGTGGTCGGGAGGGCAAGCTGTCCATGCAGAGCACCCTCCCTCTCCTGTCGCTTCCCCCTTCAGGCTTTGGTCCCTGTCCTATGCTTTGCTTCCATCTCTCCTTTTCCCTCCACTACTTCTCCAAGTTCTACAGGCAGATTGGAAATTTATTTTAAGACTGGTTCCTTTTTAAAAAGTATATTTCTCTATGTAACTTAAGTTTCTGATGGATTTTTCTTGTGGCCTAGAGGCATGATTCATTGTAGTGGTTTAATTTGTAAACAGCACCTTTCACCTGATTTTCTCCTTCGGGAGATGCGGCAAAAAGCAGCCACCTTGGAAGCTTTCCTTCTCCATTCCCAGACCCTCATCTCAGCCTCAGATGCTGATGTCTCCTGCGCTTGGGTGAGGTCTTCCTCCTCTCCTCATTCTGCGAAAAATCCTGGGGAATCTCATCTACATCTAAATCTTCAATGACAGTTGTTTATGTGAATGTCTCCAAAATCTATATTTCTGGTCCAAGAATTCCCTGCTGAGCTCCAGCCCCTATCGACCCAGTTGTCTAACAGAGACCTCCTCCAGGGTGGCCCAGAGGCCTCAGACAGTGTATCTGAAGCAGAGCTCACCCTTTCCCCAAAGCTCCGCCCATTGGTTCTGTGTCAGTCCATGGCACTGCCTCCCATCCAGGACAGTGCTCCAGAAACCTCACCATCCCTACATCCTCGGCAACCCAAGTTCTGCAATTTTTTACTCAAAGTTTCTAGAATGTGCCTCTCCCAGGCCCCGTTTTCTCTATTCCTGACTCAGTCCAGGCCATTTTCCTCGTGTACAGTCCTTGGGATGTTTCTTCTCCATTCTGCCCATGTGAGCTTTTGAAACCTTTGTCTGATCTGTTACTTTTCTTCTTGAAATCCACTAATGGTACCCTATTGGCCTATGGGAAAAATTCCAGCCACCCTCAAGTTAGTTCCCAGTGCTCTTCAGTGCCCTGTGAGATCCTGGATGGAACGAGATAGACCTGCCCTCTCCTGACCTTGGCAACTCCACAGCCCTTGCCCTGAACCAGGTGCTGTATTAGATAAGGAGGCAGCAGGCATCACACATGTGTAACCTTGTTTCATTTTAGGATTGACCAGCCACTTGGAAAGTTTTAGGGACTATCTCTCAATAAGAGATAAAACTCTTACTGGCATACCTCTCTGTCTCTCTTCTTTACCAGTAATCACAATTTTGGATAAGCTTTTGCATTTTGGCAACCATGAAGGATGGTAAGTAAAGAGGTCTAATATCGTAAGTCTTGAGCAGGGCAGGTAGCAGCTACGGTTGCCATGATGGATCCCTCCAGGACATGCCTTCCTCAGCATGGTCTTTGTAAATGTTGTCCCCTGAGTTGTGCAGTGCAAGCCTGTGCAGCTGAACAGGAGAGACTTGGGAGCAGCCCTGCTGTGCGGCTGCAATCTGAAAGGAAATGATGCCTCGTTGCTAGGCCTAGGAAGAGGGTGAGTGTGTGTGTGTGTGTGTGTGTGTGTGTGTGTGTGTGTGTGTGTGTGTGTAGAGTGCAGGGGAAGGGAGCACAGAGATATCAGGGGAACCAGGTCTTGAGGACGGAGCTCTTTATCTGGGATGTGATGGAAGGAAGCAGTCGTGGTGTTTGTGTGGTAGGGGTGGGGTGGGGTTGCAGGGATTGAGGTCAGGGAGTGGGGGCTTCTGGAAGGGTTGAGAAAAGTATTTACTTTTGACCCCTAATTTGTATCATTGGTTTCGTTAAGGGATATATTTAAATGAAAACCAGAAATGTTAGGCCTAGATCTATCATCTAAATAATATTTATTTTATGGTAAATGAATTGGAGTTTACAGCCAAGCCTAGTGACCTTTGGGTCTGCAACATGGGAAAACAGCCCGTTGCTCCCCAGGCTAGTCTTTTTATTTTCCTCACTCTGGGAAGCAGTCCCCTTAAAGAGGTTTTTACTGGTGACTCCTCCCAAGTACTGCAAAAGTAGAAATGAAAATTTCTCCCCAATAAAATCCTGTTAGGTGTTGGAACTAAAATATGAATCTAAAATATAAAAATAGCCTGTATAACAGAGGAACTGCAGCTCCTTTCCAACAATGCCTCCTGCTAGGGCAACACATATATTGGAAATGAGATTATGAGATATAATTAACTTGTCTGCCTATACTGTTACTCTTTGAATGTTTCCAAGTTTATTTTAGGAAGATTGACAGTCATAATTATATTGTCAAGCATTTGTCATTTTTGCTGTAGCAATAACACTGAAACTCAGACAAAAAGCTCCCACCTGACTTTGATTGGAATGGTGCAGCAGACAGATTTCGGTTGCATGTCTTTTCCTACAGCGCCTTAGCATTTGTCAGCAATTTGCAGCTAGCAGCACGTATAATTTTTTCTTCGGGTTCAGGAGTTTAGTCTAGGAGGAAATCCTGTTGTGTTGCCATAGTGCTCCGTCACCTTTCTGGGTTGAGCATGGCTGAGTGACTCAGCCCATGGGAGGTTTCCTAGGAGAACAGGCTCCACTTGCTGCCTCTCTGCGTGAACTCCGTGTGCCGGCAACCTGGCGACCAGACTCCTGCCTTCGGAGGGGCTGGGGCTCCAGGACCTGAGTGCCCCCCATTGTTGGAAGGCGGTGTCATATGGTAGGAAAAGGGCAACTTTGGAGCCACACAGACCTGGTTCCAGCACTTTCTTTTGAGGCATCAATCACTTAGCGTTTTCCTAGACTTCATTTGTCACCCTGGGAAAATCATGCTTGTGTTGCTGGGCATGTGTAAGCATGGAGATCCATCCTGTGTGAGTGTGTAGGTCTGAAAAATAATGGGTGTCTAATAAGGGGTAGCTGGCATCCTTAATATGTGTCATCTGCTTTCTGATAGAGGCAGCCATTTGATTTAAGACAGAAATGGGAAACTATTTCCCACCCCATTCCTATGAAGAGAACAGCATTTTGCGATAGTCTGAGCTTCTTGGGAGGAGAGGCATTTTGTACGGAGGTTTTAAAATCAGCTAAATTACCTTCTTTCTGTCATTGCTATTTCTAAATCCAAAAGGTGCTTATATTTGTCCATCTTACCCAGTCCCTCAGTGGACTGCCTTGCCCATGCAGTGCATGTTAATAACTAGCAGAGGCACAGACCTCAACCCTTGTAGGCCCACTGCTTCCTTTTCCACAGGGTCACTGGTCCCTGACCTGGCTAACCTGGCTCCCAGGGCTTTCCCTCCACCTCCACACCTTGTCAACACCTTTTTTTTTTTTTTTTTTTTTTTTTTGGACACAGTCTCACTCTTGTTGCCCAGGCTGCAGGGTCACTGCAACCTCTGCCTCCTAGGTTCAAGCGATTCTCATGCCTCAGACCCCCAAGTAGCTGCAACTATAGGCATGCGCCACCATGTGTGGCTAATTTTTGTATTTTTAGTAGAGACGGGGATTCACCATGTTGGCCCGGCTGGTCTCAAACTGCTGATCTCAAGTGATCCACGCTCCTGGGCCTCCCAAAGTGCTGGGATTACAGGCGTGAGCCACCCCGCCCAGCCTTCAACATGTATTTTGTATTTGATAATTTCCTCCTTCAGATTTTTTCTGCTTTCCCTCCCACTGCGTGTAAGATGAAAGAGAGGCCCTCTTCCTCCACCTCAGCCCTGACCGTGTTGAACCCTTCCCCACTTGGAGTTTCTTTCCCTTTTTCCTAAGGGAAGGGGGAAAAACAAGGTGACCTTTTCCATTTCTAGAAATGGAAAAACTAGACCAGAGCTTATTGACAGATTTCCTGAGGGAAAGAAACACCAAGTGTTTGTGCATTTAATTATTTGCGTCTGATGGGAGAATTGACTTTCGAGGCATGCTTTGGGGAGCACTCAGAACCCGATTTTGAAGGGAAAGCATTTTGTGCTGTTTCAGCCCTGCTGGACGTATTTGCCAGCACAGGTGTACGGTGTGCACGTGGGGTTCTGGTGCTCCACGCCCTAACATTCCAGGACATTGCTTTGATGTCAGTGAAAACTTCCATTGACTCTAGGAGTGATGAAACAGCAGCAAGCATGGCAAATAGGTTTATTTCACATGAAGCCTTGCTTGTCTTCTTGGTAGCGACAGCCTGGAGTGCCTTGCTGTAGAGAAGTCTGGAAGAATGCTATGGCTGATGAGGGAAGTTATGTCTGCGGGATGGTAGGGCTCATGGTTTGTTGTTTTCTCTGCATAACAGGGAGATAATTTGCCAACCCAACCAGAGCACTCAGTGTCTTCATGCTGTCATGTGCCCCTTCGCCTGTCACCATGCCCTTCCCTCTTCTCGGGCTGTCCTGTGTGTCTCTTAGTTCTCATTTTAGATACAGCCTTCTCCAGGAAGCCTGCCCTGATTCCTTCAAGCCAGTGTAGCCTCTGACTCTAAAATTTAATTGCTTTATTATGAAAATAAGCCTAATGCATTCTAATTGTGGAATAATTGGAAAGTAGAAAAATATACAGACACGAAAATAGGTCATGTTTTCCTTCCAGCCATTTTCTGCGCAATTTTCATACACTGGTCGTTAACATATACTCAATAGTGCATCCTTCTGTCACGAGCATTTCCATTCCGTTAAAAATTACCCATCAGCCTGTTAGCGGCTGTATAATCCTTCGCGATAGGGCTAATGGTGGACTCGCGAGTGCCCCTGACATTGAGTATTTAATTTGTTCCCGTTTTTATATATTGTAAGAATGCTGAAATGAACATCTTTGTACATTTTGGACTTTTTTAAAGGATGGATTTCTAGAAATAGAATGCCTAGACCGGAGCTTACTGACAGATTTAAAGACATCTGATATATATTTCCAGACTGCAAACTTTCAGAAAGCTTTTTTCAAACCAAATTTATATTCCCTCCAGCAGTGTACGAGACCATGGAGTTAAATATTCTATCATTGTTTCTTAGGGCAAAAATAAGTGTTGCCTGTGTTACAAGGTTTGGATCTTCGCCCTTATTTATGTACACTTAGGTACGTTTGTTTACAATCTGTGTTGGCAGATTTTCTCTCCAGAGGGTGGCACCTGCCAGACTGCGGCACCTAGTGGCTGCTGTTGGGCTGGTGTCGCACCTTCGGCTTTTATGGCGGCTTTATTGCTATTCCAGGAAGTGGATTCTGCCAGGAGTCCTTGGACTGATGCAGTGAAGGAAATGCTGTTCCTTTTCCCAGGCGCTGGCATTTCCAGGACCCTCCCTTGTTCTGGGGAGTAGCGCCTGTGCACGGCTGTGCAGTCCCCTTGGCCCGGCCTGTGGTGGCACTCAGGCTATCATGCTGAGGAGAGGCCTGGCTCATGAAGTGGATGACCAGGGACTGTTGGTTTTCCTGGTCCGGGTAGGCAGTCTCTGCAGTGACCATGATGGGGATGGGGGTGGGAAAAAGTCTTTTTCCAAGCAAGATTTGAGAGCACCGCTCATGGAGGAGGGGAGCAATGGCATTTTAATATGTGAGATTTTTGTAAAGGGGGATCTCTTGTAGAATGTGTGCATACTCTCTTGTATGGAAAGAAGGAGGTGTTCTTTGTCTAAGTGGATGTGTGCCTAGAACGTACTGTTTGGGGAAAGGATGTAGATGAGCTTAGATGAGCTTCTGCTCATTGCAGGTGCTTCCTCCGCTTGTTTCTGTTCCCAGGGTAACTGCCCAGGGCCCAAGGTACACGGCTGGTCGCACTGCAGAGTGTCCGCCAGTGTGTCCTGCTCCTGCCGGCCACCTGCAGCAGATGGCTGAATGTGGAGCAGAGCCTTTTTTTGACAGTGGAGAAAGGGAAAAGGTCTCTGTGAAAGATTGAGGTCTGGTTCAGTCTCAGTCGCAGAAGCAGTGTTTCAGGTTCACTTGGTTCTTCAGCTTTTGTCCAGACTCCAGACTGGCTACGGATTTGGGGGTCTTAGGAGAAATTAAGCCATGGGCCCGTGCATGTGCCATCAGTCTGCCTAGTTCAAGGGAGTCTGTATGCCTGATCGTGAGGGCCACTTGCCCTGAGAGAAGGGCAGATTATTGGGAAGCTTAGACCCCTTGTTCATCTTTTTGCCCCATGACTGTCTATGTAAATGGCCCTTGGATGCTTTCAGTGTTTTGGAGTGGTTTATGATTAACTGGTCCTATCTCCCCTGTCGAACCTTTAGGTAATTTAGGCGCATTTGGAGTACCTGGTCTCTAGCTGCCTGGACTGCCCATTGTCTGTTGGCAAGCCTCTTGGAGTGTTGTTTTCACTGCTAGACACGCCCCTACCTGTTTTTCCCCTGTGTTTAAATCTCCCAACTTCCATGCCTCATAGGTGGGTCTGCCCTCAGGCCCCGTGCCTCCAGATGGCCAGTCTCACTGTGGTCACCCTGGGCTCTTCCTAGATATAAATGATGATAAAACAACATCCCCCCAGGGTGGATTTTGTTGGGTTTGGGAAATGCTGGGATCTCATGATCCTGCAATGCCTGTTATAGAACCCAGTTGCTTGCCAGTTTTCTTTCATCTTTCGTCTACTTATAATCTACAGAGCAAGAGTGCTGGTGATTATGGACTATATTTCCCAGATTTCTGAATGTAGTCCTGGGCCAAGAGGAATGTGGTAAACCCAAGCACAAGGCTAGTAAAAGTAAAGATGGTTAGAGTCCCTTAGAAAGTGTGCATGAAAGAGAGCTTTGTACTCCCCAGTAGCAGGCGTGTTCACCCACACCCATGCATCTTGCTGGATGGCCTGCATAGAGCAGACAGCATGTTTGGGAGTGTGGGACTCATCTGAATGCTAAGTAAGGAGTAGCTTTGCCTCTCATGGAACGAATGCAGGTCCCTGTAAGTGAGGACAGATATGCATCCCAGCTCTAATGTGAGAAAACAGGAAGGTAAGCCAGGGATCCCCCGGGGTATCCCCGAGTCCGGAGGGGCAGAGGGCGGAGCCTCTGAGGACCAGGCGGTCAGCCACTGCTCTTCTCAAATTAGTCATTGGGGTCTGCTGGGAGGAGGGGAAGACACAGGCAGCATAAACCTGGCAGATCTTCCTGGAGCCCCCATTTTACTTGACATGTTTAGGGGTTGGGGGTTAAAGGCAACCTTTTAATTGATAATTGAAAACATTATGTGTGAAATTTAATGCAAATATATAATGGAGTAGAATACAACATGTGTAAACGAAATAGAATGCAAGGGCGTGAACTTCTAAGGTAAAGCTTGGGATGTCAGACAAATTTTGCATCCCACTGAGTGTCATTTAAGACCACATCTCCATTCACCTGCCTCCCATTCCCAGAATCTGCGGTCACGGTCTTAGGTGGCTGTCGGGGTATTTTGGTGGAAATTTTTAGAAAGCCCTTGGAGGGGAATCAAACAGGTGACTGAAACTGCTGGTGTGCTTTTAAGAGAAGTTGGAAGAAGAGACATTCTCTGTGCACAGGGTAGTAAATGCACATGCCTGCAGGCTCAGGGCACAGCCTGCCCAGCCACATCTACTAGGGAGTGATGGGAAGTGTGGTAAAATGGAAAAGATCTTGCTGTGTGAAAGATATGGCGGGGAAGAGGGAACCAGGCACCACTCAGGTCTAGCTGATGGTTAATGAGTCTTTGGATTTTTCAGGAAAAATTGAATATCTAGATTTTGTGTAAAGTTTCTTTATCTCAAAGCTATCATGGGCCAAACAAAACATGTCTATTGGTAGCTAGTAGGAGACGATCATTCCCAACTCAACTGGTTTGTTAGTCAAGTAAAGGGTTGCATGATGGGCATACTTAGTTCCGTGCTCCAGAGCTCTCTGTAAAGGTGTATTCCTGTTGTTTCTCAAGTTTACATGAGGTTCTGTAACTCCCAAAAAGTTGGCAAGGTTTATTGGTATGCAGAGGCTTACGTTTAAATTAAAGATTCCTGTACTTACATGTCACTGTTAATTAGCCCAAATTTCACTCCCAGCCTTGGTGTGCGTATGGCATCAACCTTAGAAAGCCTTGGAGCCCACCTTGCCTGCCACTCTTCCTATTCATTTCTACATGAATGCATGTAGCCCCAGGGGGAAGGTAGCCTCAGTCCTGTTGGGGTCCTGTTATCTGTGGAACCCCTGGAGCCCCTTTGTCCCCCGTCCCCAGCCTCAGAGGTGGGACAGGGTTGGATCTGGATGTTAGCTGGCATTAGGTGAGAACAGTGGAATCAAGACCCAACCCACCACTCCCTCCTACAGCTCTGTCGGCTTCTCCCAAGTCTTAACAGCTGACCTGGGGCTGCTAAAATCCAGGTCAGAGGGATTACAAATTGCATGGCCTTCTGCCAGTCTGGGCGGTTGGCAGAATGTGGGTCGAGAGAGCTGTGTTGCTGAGTCATCTCTGCTCTGACTCGCTCATCAGTGAAATGAAGGCTGTCCTTCTCCATGTTCAGGGGCACTGGGGACAAGGCCTGTAGCTCCCATTTGTGGAGGTGCTTCCTGTTGGTTTTAGGATGCAGACCTGATCCCATGGCTTAGCCTCCCAGGCTCTGCATGGCCTGAGCTCTCGGCCTGCTGGCCTCTGCTCCATCGCCCCTCCCTTTGGGCTCTGTGCTTCAAAGCTGGAGCCTTAATTCAGGGGTGGTGGTGGTCGTGGTGGTATCACTTATTTCTTGGCGGGGGAGCACAATATATTTGTATATTTTTTAAATCAACTTTTAATTTTGGAATAAGTTTAGATTTATAGAAAATTTGCAAAGCACATTTGCAGAGCAAATACAGAGTTGCTGTATAACCCAGTTTCCACTAATTTAATAACTTACATTGCCATGCTGCATTTGCCTAAAAAGGAAACCAACATTGGTATATTGCTATTAATTAAAATTGCTTTATTTGGATCTCTCCAGTTTTTCCATTAATGTCCCTTTTTCTGTTGGGAGATTCAGTTCATCATGGCGTATTGATTTAGGCTCATTTCAGTTTTGCCAAAACTTCTTGCATCCTACCACCTCACGGTCCATAGAGCATATAATTCCGCCTTTCCCTTAAGTGTTCTCTTTGTACAACTATTCTCAACTTAGTGAGCTACCTGGGAATTATATCTTCATTCATGGGTCAGATCCTGTCTACATCTCCCTCGACTGTCTTGTAACTCAGGAGATGGCACCACCTGTGCCCTCCTCATGACTGAGTCCTTGTCTTCTAGCACAGGCCAGAGCTGTGGAGTGCTTAGTGAGTATCTGTGAGCTGATTGAACAGCTGGGCTTAGTAAATCCTTCCGTTTTTTCACTTTTTCTTTTCTTTATTTTATTTTTTTTAATTGAGACAGGGTCTCATTCTGTCACCCAGACTGGAGTGCAGTGGTGCAATCACGGCTCATCGCAACCTTGACCTCTCAGGCTCAGGTGGTCCTCCCACCTCAGCTTCCTGAATAGCTGGTATTACAGGCATGTGCCACCATGCTAATTTTTGTATTTTTTTTTGTAGAGTTGGGGTCTTGCTGTGTGGCCCGGGCTGGTCTCAAACTCCTGGGCTCAAGGGATCCGCCTACCTCAGCCTCCCAGAGTGCTGGTGTGAGTCACTGCACCCAGCCAAATCATTCCTTTTTAAACACAAGAGCTGCAGCTCTCCACAAATGACAGATCTGTGAGCTTCCATGGGGCTTGCCAGACAGGGAGCCTTAGGCACAGAGCACGAGCAGGCAGTGTTCAGCTCAGTGGATCCCTCTTGAGTCCCGGTGGATGTGTAACCAGTGTGGCCCGCAAGCTGTGATTCCAACTGCAGTCACGCCTGTGTTATTTTTCTAGTCATACTGGAGTGTAGTCATACCTGTGTTTATCCTAAGGTGAATTCAGCCATGCATACTGGGCCAGAAAGAGGATGGGGAGAGCAGGCTTCTTCCCTCCTGGCTGCGCCTCTGAGTGCCTCCCTCCTGCCATGGGTCAGTTGTGTGCTGCTTTGTCTGGGGCTGGTGGGATCTTGACATCAAGACAGGCCTCCCAGGGGAGAGCAGCACGTTCTTGGACCTCACAGCACTGGGGGCTTCAGTGACTCAGTGGGATGCCCCTCCTGATGAAAGAGTTTTCTTCTCCTAGCGTGGTCTCACCTGTGCCCCTTTAAAGAAATAGTGATCACAGGGAACATTGACCATAGGTGACTTTTCCTGTATTTAACAAGTTTATTTCATTTTTAAATAAAGTAATATATGTATATAAATGGAAAGTTTAATAATGTCACAGCTTAACACAGTCTTCCCCATGCCCCACCGTTGTGGTCTGCTTCTCAGAAGAACTACTTTCAACTCTTATTTAGCTGGTTCTTCTACTATTTGCCTCCACATTTTAAAATAATACACATACCTTCTAGCTCTTGATTTAACAGTGCTAGACATTATTTAATCTCTCTTCCTCTATCCTCTCAGTATATATGTTTATATCAGTACCGATTACACGAAAGTAAAATGTATTTAAAATATCTGGTTAAATCCACATTTAGTATCATCATTATTTTGACTACGTTTTGCTGACTGTTGAGCCAGTGTAGAACACTAAAATTGCGCTTTTATTGGACAACTTTTTTTATTTTCCTTGAGTTCAAAATGGCCTCGTGGTTTCATTAGCTTAGTTTATTTCAGATGTTTGCTTGAGTTCCACGGTCTCCACCAACTCTGCTCTCCACCAACTCTGCGGAAGCCTTCAACAACACTCTCCAGAGTTAAATGTTAGATTACATTCGTCAGTTTCAGTTTCCCCTCTGGTGAGGTCCTCCCTGAAACCCCCACTCTTCCACACCAGTTGGAGCTGTGTTCTTTTTGGGAAGACCCAAAAAGAAGTTTTCAGCACATTCCAGTATCAGAAAGACTGTTTTCTTTTCAAGAAACACTATCTTTTCTCGCAAGTTTTTTTCATCCGATGGACACCATGATGTTGTGACTAACAGCGTTCCCCGTTCTGCCTTGGCCCTCAGGAGCCTGGAGCTAAGTGTGGGGCCATCTCCTTCCCCCACCAGCCCTACTGCCCCAAACCATAAAAACCATGCCATTGTGTGCATTTATTTTGTTCCAATTTCATCATATTTTCTTCTTCTTGTGTCGCTTTTGGTCAGCTAAAATCTTTTAAGAATGTGTTTTACAGATTAACACAGAAGCATGCTGGGCCACACATTTACAGCCAGTTGATTTTTGACAAAGGGGCTGAGAACATCCATTGGGCAAAGGACATTGTCTCTTCAATAAATGGTGCTGGGAAAACTGTACATCCATATGAAGAAGAATGAAAGTAGACTTCTGTCTCTCGCCATGTACAAAAATCAACTCAAAATCAAAGACTTAAATGTAAGACCTGGAACTATGAAAGTATTATGCTAAAATAAAACTTTGGGGAAATGCTTCAGGACATTGTTTTGGGCAAAGATTTCTTGAGTAAAGCCTCAAAAGCACAGGCAACCAAAGCAAAAATTGACAAATACGATTACATCAAGCTAAAAAGTTTCTGCACAGCAAAGAAAACAATCAACAAAGTGAAAAGACAACCCACAGAATGAGAGAAAATATTTGTAGGCTATTCATCTGACATGGGATTAATAACCAGAATATATAAAGAGCTCAAACAACTCAGTAGCCAAAAACCAAATAATCTGATTTAAAAATGGGCAAATTATTTGAATAGACATTTCTCAAAAAAAAAAAACCATGTAAATGGCCAACAGGTATATGAAAAAATACTCAACACCGCTAATCATTAGGGAAATGCAAATCAAAACCATGAGATATCACCTCATCTCAGTTAAAATGGCTATTATCAAAAAGACTGAAAATAAATGGTGAGGATATGGCGAAAGGGGACCTCTCAAACACTAGTGGTGGGAATGTAAGTTAGTACTATGGAGAGCAGTATGGAGGCTCTTCAGAAAACTAAGAATATGGAACTACCTTATGATCTAGCAATCTCATTGCCAGGTATTTTAAATGGACAAAGGATTTGGACACACATTTCTCCAAGGAAGAACATGAGCATATTGAAGAGATATTTGTACTCCCATGTTTGTTACAGCACTGTTAATAGCCAAGATAAGGAATCCACCTAAGTGCCCATCAGTGGACACATGGATAAGGAAAATGTGGTTTTATATACACAATGGAATATTATAAAGCCATAATAAAGAATAAAATCCTAGGCTGGGTGCGGTGGCTCATGCCTGTAATCCCAGCACTTTGGGAGGCTGAGATGGGCGGATCATGAGGTCAGGAGATCGAGACCATCCTGGCTAACACGGTGAAACCCTGTCTCTACTAAAAACACAAAAAATTAGCCGGGCGTGGTGGCAGGTGCCTGTATTCCCAGCTACTCGAGAGGCTGAAGCAGGAGAATGGTGTGAACCCGGGAGGTGGAGCTTGCAGTGAGCCAAGATCACGCCACTGCACTCCAGCCTGGACAACAGAGCGAGACTCGTCTCCAAAAAAATAAAAATAAAAAAACAAAAAAGAAGAATGAAATCCTGCTAGTTGCAGTAATGTGGATCAATATGGAGAACATTAAGTGAAATAAGCCAGGCACAGAAAAACAAATATTGCCTGTTCTGTATTTTTTTTTTTTTCTTGGAGATGGAGTCTCGCTCTGTCTCCCAGGCTGGAGTACAATGGCACGATCTCGGTTCACTGCAACCTCTGCTTCTAGGGTTCAAGTGATTCTCCTGCCTAAAGCTTCCCAAGTAGCTGGGATTGTAGGCATGCACCACCACGACCGGCTAACTTTGTATTTTTAGTAGAGACGGGCCTTCACCATGTTGGCCAGGCTGGTCTTGAACTCCTGACCTCAAGTGATCTGCCCGCCTCGGCCTCCCAAAGTGCTGGGATCACAGGCATGAGCCACCATGCCAGCCTGCCTGTTCTTAATCATATGTGGAAGCTAAAATATTTGATCTCATGAAGGTAATGAAAAGAAGAGTGGTTACCAGAGGCTGGAAAGGGTAGTGGGGAGACGGGGATGGAGAGGAGTTAATTGTTGGGGATGAAAATACAGTTAGAAGGAATAAGATGTGGTGTTCGGTAGCACAGTAGAGCAACTGTAGTTAACAAAAATTAATTATATATTTCAAAATAGCTGGAAGAGAAAATTTGGAATGTTCCCAACACAGGAAGTGATAAATATTTGAGGTGGTAGATATTTCTGTTACTCTGATTTGATCATTACACATTGTATGCTTGTATCAAAATGTCATGTGTAGCCCATAAATATGTACAACTATTAGGAATCCATAAAATTTGTTAAAAAAAATACATGCTGGATTTGTCTTATGTTTTTAAACAGCTTTGTTGAGATGTCGTTCACATGCCATCATCTCGCCCATCTATATTGTATGATTTAATTTTTGATAGAGTCACAGGGTTTTTCATCCATCATCACAATCCAATTTTGGAATATTTTGTTCCTCCTAGAAGAAATCTTGTACCTTTAGCAGTCACTCCTGATTCTGGCCCACCCTACCCAAGCCCTGAGCAACCATTAATCTACTCTCTGTCTCTAAATTTACTCTTTCTGGACATGTCATATAAATGGAATCATGTAACGTGGTCCCTTAGGACGGGCTTCTCTTGTGTTATAGCATGAATCAGTACTTCATTTTCATTGCTAAATAACCGGATACACCACATTTGGTTATCCATTCAGCAGTTGATGGACATTTGGATTGTCTCCACTTTTTGGCTATTGTGAATAATGCTGCTGTGAACATTTGTGTACAGGTCTTTGTGGGCATATGTTTTCATTTCTCTTGGATAAATATCTACAAGTGGAATTGCTAGGTTATGTGATGACTGTTTAGCCTTTTGAGGAACTGCTAGACTGATTTTCAAAGCTGCTGCACCATTCTGTTCCCAACAGCAATGTATGAGGGGTCAAATGTTCCACATTTTCGCCAATACTTGTTATTGTCTGTCTTTTTTATTATAGTCATATTAGTGGGTGTGAAGTGGTATTTCACAGTGATTTTTACTTGTAATTCCCTAATGACTAATGTTGTTGAGCTTCTTTTCATTTGTTTATTGGCTGTTTGCATTATCTTCCTTGGAGAAATGTGTATCCAAATCCTTTGCCCATTTAAAAAATAACATGTTTATTAAGATAGAATTTAAGTATCATATAATTCATCCACTTAAAGTGTACAATTCTGAAGTTTTTCATATATTCACAGAGTTATGCAAGTATTGCCACAATCAAGAATATTTTCATCACCTCACAAAGAAACCCTGTACCCACTAGCAGTCACTCCTTTGCCCATTTTTAATGGCTTCTGTTTTTGATATTGAGCGGTAAGACTTTAAATACGTTCCTTATCAGCTAGATAATGGGCAAGTATTTTTTTCCCGTTTCTGCGGGTTGTCGTTTTACTTTATGGTATTGTTTGCAGCCCAAGAATTTTAAGTTTCAATGTAGTCCACTTTATGTATTTTTTTCTCATTACTTTTGCTTTTGGTGTTGTTTTTTTCCTTGTATTTTAAAATGGTATTTATGTAAGCCTTCTCAGACCCTTTTTGAGATCTAAGCCAGACATAAAAATAAACTACGCCGTAAAATTGTGGCATCGACTCTGTCTCAGTGTTGTCTTGGCGGTGAATTCAATAGTAAATTCCCTGCGTTGAGGCCGCAGCGGAGGTGAAGACCTGACACTTAGGGGAAGCAGCCTGCAGGTGAGTGCTCTGTGAGGGCAGCGCCCGTGGTGTCTGGAGGAGCCCTGAGTCCATACACATGGAACTTATGCTCCACGTGTTTACTCGGCTGGGCACCAGGTGGAGGTCAGCCCTTGAAGCTGCTGAGAACAGAAGCACAGCAATGTTGGTGACGGCCAGAGGTCTAAACAGGCAGCCTCCCTGAGGGCACATGGGGTCTCCTCAGCAGACAGTCTGGGGCAATCAAACACAAGGACGGAATGGGAGTTCATTTATTTTTATTTATTTATTTATTTATTTATTTATTTATTTATTTATTTATTTTTGAGACAGAGTCTCACTCTGTCGCCAGGCTGGAGTGCAGTAGCGCGATCTCGGCTCACTGCAACATCCATCTCCAGGGTTAAAGTGATTCTCCTGCCTCAGTCTCCCGGGTAGCTGGGACTACAGGCACGCACCACCATGCCCAGCTAATTTTTGTATTTTTAGCGGAGACAGGGTTTCACTGTGTTGGCCAGGATGGTCTCGATCTCTTGACCTCGTGATCCACCCTCCTCGGCCTCCCAAAGTGCTGGGATTACAGGCGTGAGCCACTGCGCCTGGCTGGGAGTTCATTTATTTTATGAGCTAAACAGACATGTGTTACCTAGCCAGGGAAGTTCGCCAACATTTATACCATCATTTCCGTGAGAAAATGAGCCCTAAATTTTAAACCATCCCTAAGTTGGGGATTATCTGTCTTAATTCATGAGTGTTCCTGCTGTTTCCTTATTTGGGAGGCTGTGTGTGTGTGTGTGTGTGTGTGTGTGTGTGTGTGTGTGTGCAGCGCTTATGTTATGCGCCCGTTTGTTATGTTGTGTGTATGACAAATATGCGTGTATGTGTGTATATATAACATGTTTCTCCATTGAGTCCTGGTTCCTGTCCATATAGTTGGTTCAGCAACCACTTACTGAGCCTGCCTGTGGCCACCTCTGTCCCAGGTCCACGCAGGAAGGCAGTCTCCCTTCAGCATGCCACCTCCAGAGGGACTCAACTCCATCCGTGTCAGGGGCTGTTGAGCTCACAGCGGGGCTGATGATCCAGTTGTGAATTATTCACATGCTTTGTTTCCTTCCCTTTCAGCCTCACATGTGGCCCTTTAACAGCTCATTAGTTTTGTTTTAAGGACAGGCAGGGAGAGAGCAATGGGGAGAAGCTGAATTCAGTTTGGTTGAATCTTTGGGATGAAGGGGTGAGTACCAAGTGGAATGGAATTCTTAAATCATCTGGGGATTTCATGTGTTGATCTTGTTCCTTTTTCTCATAGATAATTGATTTGGTGGTTTTAAGTTTTTAAATACAATAAATACACGTACTTTTTTTGTTATTGTTGGGGGGATCAAGTTTCGCTCATGTCGCCCAGGCTGGAGTGCAATGGTGTGATCTTAGCTCACTGCAACCTCCGCCTCCCGGGTCCAAGCGATTCTCCTGCCTCAGCCTCCCGAGTAGCTGGGATTACAGACGTGTGCCACCATGCCCGGCTAATTTTTGTATTTTTAGTGGAGGAGGGGGTTTCACCATGTTGCCCAGGCTGGTCTTGAACTCCTGACCTCAGGTGATCCGCTTGCCTCGGCCTCCCAAAGTGCTGGGATTACAGGCGTGAGCCATCACACCCGGCACCCCGCCCCTCCCCCCCCCCCTTTTTTTTTAAAGGAATGAAACAAAAAGGAATGAAACCTTTCCCTCCCCAATACCTTCTCAACCCTAGACCCTCTACAGAGAAAGAGGCATACCTCTCTGATAAGTTTCTTGTGCAACTTTTTTTTTTAAGATTGTATACCCAAATATTTGGTTAAAAGTACACAGATGGGATCATATTATAGACAGTGTTCTGCATCTTGTTTCTCCTTTTTTTTTTTTTTTTTAAGAAATGTTGCTTGGAGATGTTTCCTCATCAGCAGCTCAAACCCACAGCATTCCCCTTAGAAAGCGTTCCTTTATAGGAATGGCCATGACTCATTTTAATCCGCCCTCTCTTGATGAACAGCTAAGTAGTTTGTAGCTGTTTTTGTCATTACACACAATGCTCAGCGAAACTCTTGGGTATCTGTCTTCTGTGCTCTTGCAGGTTTGTATAGATGGATTATTATGTTTGTTATTAAACCATGTAAAGCAGTTTACAGTGATCCTCAGTTGGACTGTGGAATCCTCAGTCTTTGGACCATAGGGTTGTTCTTTTTGTGTGGTTTGTGTAGCCTGGCAGGAAGGGCTTGTGTTTAGATTTTGAGAGGGTATTTGAGCATCAAGTTAGCAAAGAACGAAACATTGTTCATTTCAAGAATAAGTCTGAATAAGATGTTGGATATATTCTTTGCAGCTTCATAATGCTTTGCAGACTGGAAGGACTGGCTACATCTTTACCTGGACCTAGAGAAGGACCAGAGAGTGTAGCTCAGTTGGAGAAGAGAGTTCCTAAGTGCGGACTGCATAAGGGATGGTGTTTGCAAATCGCTACTCAGAGTGGTTTGTAGCAAAATAGACTGACTTTGCAATACTTCGTGTTCCAGAAACACTTCTGCAATGAGAGCGGTCTCTAGAGGGGATCAGCAGGAAAAGTTTTCCACCAGTTCAGCTGGTGAAAGAGGTGTCTCGAAGCCCTAAAGTGGGAGAGGCAGAGGGCAGCTTAGTGTGGTCGGGCCAGGCTGGAGGCAGTGTTTGGATCTGGGTGTGTGAGCTGAATGGGGGCTCCTGGGGCCTCCTTGCTGGCTGGTGGAGAGGAATGGCAGGTGGGCAGGAGACAGCCCAGATTCACGCTGGCCTCCATCTCTGCCTGGTGGGGCCACTTGGCACTTAGTAAGTGGTTTGGGGGAGAATGAACTTTTGTGGGCAGTTCCCCCTTTCATGGGTTTGAAGTAGTGGAAGTTGGAGGGGAAGTGGGGGCTGTGGGAAGTGCATGTTCCTTGGTGGCCTGGGCCTGGGGGCCGGACCTGCTTTTCACACTGTCACAAGCGCTGGCTTCTTGAATCCTTGTAGCGTCCTCCATGGTAGATGTTCTCACCACTCAACAGAGGAGGATACTGCAGGGTCTGCGGGCGCCAGAGCTTTATTTATGTGTGCTCCGTATTGGAGGGCTGCGTGTGACCCAGCAGTGACAGGACCGTGGGCGACTGGCTGGCGAGGAGGTGCGCTGCCTGCATCCTTGCGCCTAACAGAATGCGAAGGACGGGCTCACATGCTCAGGTGCTTGCTCGGCTGGTGGTTCAGTTTGCTGTGAAGCCTGGCCCAGAGTTTGGGCTTCAGTTCTGGGAAAGAAGAGCATGGTGGGCAGTTATGTGTTACCTCCAGAAGGCTGGAGCACGAAATCAGTGGTCTGACTTGTTGGCCTCTGCTTGCTCCAGAGCCAGCAGTGGGGGCAGAGTGCCAGCTGAGGTGTGTGAGAGACGTCAGTGAGATTCCTGCTTGGCTTCCCAGATGTTGCTGCACGCTGTGGGTGTTCGGGGTACAAAATATGTGTGTTCAGCTGAAGGAAGGGTATGCAGGCCTGGTTGGGACAGGGCAGGGTCAGTGCTGCCGGGACGGAGGGGCAGAGCCTTCCACGCAGGCACAGTCCAGGGTCAGGGAATTAGACAGGTCAGGCCGAGAGATCTTGGACTCACCATCTGCATTGCGTTTCTCGTCAGAAAATGTCTGGCCCCTCCCCAAAGCCCCTTCCTTAATCCTCTCAGCCTCTCAGACATGACTTGAAGTCTCAGGTTTTGTGGCCAGGGAGGCCCCACCTTCCCCTGGTGGTGCCTCAAGAGCTCTGCGTTTCATGCGGTCTGGCTGCCATTCTGTTCACTGTCTCTTGCATTTGTGGGCACTTACATTGAATGCCCTGTTGAGTGAGGCTGGGTGCCCACCTCAACCAGACTGGGTACGGTGCGCCCTTCCGTGTGGCAGATGCGCTGCCTGAGCCAGGATCAGCACGCCGCCCCTGTGGTCACGCTCCGTGCCTGGGCCAGTGCTCCTTGGTGTGAACACGAGTTGTTTTTATATCAGTGTCATTGTTCAGTCCTGCCACGTGCCATGTGCTCTGCCCTCATTCTCTCCCGTCTTCCTCTTGGAAAATGTTTTGAGAGACACAATGAAGTTCTCTTTGTCCCCATCAGCATATTGTGCTCCTAAGTTCTCTATCCTCATGGTGGTAAATCTTGCCTGAGTTTGTTTTTTTGTTTGAGACAGAGTGTCACTCTCACCCAGGCTGCAGAGCAGTGGTGCAATCTCGGCTCACTGCAACCTCTGCCTCCAGGGTTCAAGCAATTCCCCTGCCTCAACCTCCCGAGTAGCTGGGACTACAGGCGCCCGCCACCACACCGGGCTAATTTTTGTATTTTTAGTAGAGACGGGGTTTCACCATGTTGGCCAGGTTGGTCTTAGACTCCTGACCTCAGGTGATCTGCCTGCCTTGGCCTCCCGAAGTGCTGGGATTACAGGCGTGAGCCACCACGCCCGGCCTTGCTTGAGTTTTAATCAGCCTATGTATCCTGGCAGTCAGGGCCAGTCTCCATACTTCAGGGTGTATAGTCAAATCCAAGTACAACTTTTGAGCAGGCAGAGAAGGAAGTGGATATGTGAGCGTTTCCACCAAAGGTTTCCTGAACGCTTGGCCTGGGTCAGGCACTGGGGCCAACAGGGTGGCCGAGGCAGGGCCCTTACTCCTCAGGAGCTCCTGAAGACCCAACCCTGCAGGAGGAGCCAGGGCCCTGAGTGCATGATCCTTGCTTGGCACAGAGTGTGGGTCAGGTGTAGGAAAGAGTCGGTCGTCATCAAGGAAAGAACACTGTCTTTGGAGATAGTCTCAGACCTGCGGTAAGTTGATGTCTGCCTGCCCAGCCTCTGCACAGAGGGACAGTGCCCCAACTGCATCCTGGGATGGCAGACACAGTGCTGAGCATGTCTGCTGGTTGAGGGCAGCCCACTCCTTCCCATGGTCTCATTAGGACCAAATAAGTTCACGGAAGGGAAGATTCCTTGTAAGCTGAAGTGCTGAGAGTTAAATTTAATCAGAGCCCCAAGGGGGAAAACTAACAACTCACCTTCTGGAAGTCTCGAAAATTTTCATCCAAGTGACACTGAGGCTGAGGCTCCGTTGGTGGAAACTCTGAAGAAGTGTTTTCCAGATGGAAGTGAATAGACCTAGGGTTCTCTAGAGGTGCATGGATGGAAATGGCTGCGGGGCGGGGGACTGGGAGGAGCGGCAGAGACAGGAAGAGCCAATGGCATGTGGGGGCGGCCAGGCCAGAAGGACACTCCCTGGGGTCTGTACTTCACCCTCAGTGAGGCAGCAGGGTTTCCAGGGGGAGCCTGCCCCAGTGCCCTCTGAGCTCACTGAGCTTTGCCCTGATCAGTCAGCCCCACTCTTTTTGCTTGTTTGTGTAATGAAGCCCACTGAAGATAAAATTGCATTCAGAAGAAAGAAAATTATGACCTCAAGGGGAAGCAAAGAGAAACCCACAGTGAATGGGGAGCCCCTGGAGATTTTCTAGCAGGAGTTGGTGTGCTGTGTGCCCTCCTTTCCTATTCTCTATGACAGAGCCCTGCGTAGCCCCCTGAGCTTTGTCAAGGCTGCTGAGAGGTTTAGGGGCAGGTGCAGTGTCAGGAGTCCCCCAGCCAGGCCCTGGCACTAGAGGCCATGCGGCCAGACTTGGATGTGGCAGTGGTCTTGGGGCAGGTGCTGCAGGCTCTACCACTCTTCAACTGTGTCTTCCTGTTCTCCTCTTCTCCCATCAGCAAGCTCACCCCCTGGCTTTTGATGCCAGCCTCCTTTGTGGTGTGGCAGGAATGTCCTGGGAAGAGACAAGGCTTGACCACGTGGATGGAGTGGGAAGACAGGAGGCACTGGGGACAGCATGTGGCTGGGGTGAGCTAGTGGGCGGTGGTACTTTCCCCAAAGTCCAGAGCACTGGGTGGGAGCAGCGCTCAGCTGTAGGGATGTCTGGTGTGAGGTTCTTCTGGGCACCTGGCAGAGATCCCAGGTGGCAACTGGCAGAAGGTCCCCAGCTCAGAGTGGGCCCTGCATGGCGTTGTATGCTGGTGTTCTTTTGTGGGCAGGACACCTGCAAGAGGGCTACAGCTGGAGAAATGGGTGGGGAGGAGTGGCTGTTGACAGCTCCCTGGGCCCAGAGAGAATTGAGTCAGAATTGGGGAAATTGCAGAGCGAGCTCAAAAGCAGAAACCCAGTTGGGGGAAAGTACTGAGCCCAGGGCTCTAAATGACTAATGCAGAAATGATGTTAAGTTTACCTCCAGTCAGAGTGAAACTTTGGGCAGCCCCCGCTCCCTACACGCAGCTGCCCTTCAGGGGAAGTGAGAATTGGCCCAAGCCACAGGTGACCATGACAGGACCTTGCACTAGCTGAGACCCGAGGGTTTAGGAAATTATATGAGAAATGAAGCAAGAGATGATTATCTTTTGACAGCCAAGTCCCCAGATGGAATTTAGATATTTGAACTAGGCCTAAGGAATGTCTGTCTATTAAGTGTCTGTAGAAATTTCTGTCATCTGCTTGCACTTGCTGTTTTACTCTGCTACCATTCTTTTCTCTCTCCATCTCGTAAAAAAAAAAAAAAAGCTACATGAAATGATTTCCTTCACGGATTTTAACAAGCCAGGACACAGTGACAGCTATTAGAAATTATAGCTGACAGGGCTGGGAGACAGCTGTACAGTTTGCTGGTGACCTTGCACAAATGAGTTGTTTTGGGTGGAAAAGCTGTTGCTTATTTACAACACTGAGGCAGAGTTGTTGCTTTTGGATCTGAGTTTTGCCATCCTCCTTCCTGTGGGTGTTTTCACTCATCTACCTCCCTACCCACCCACCACACACTGGGTACGAGAAAAGGTAAGAAGAAAAGACTGGGAGGATCAGAGGATATGAAGGTCAGTCCCCAGACAACATCATCGAAGTTCACCCCATCACTATGTTGATGACTGAGGAGGGAAAGCCAGGTAGGGATTTAGGATTAACCTGAGTGCTGTTCTACATTCAGCCTCCCTTGCTAGTCTCCCTGATGGGGACTTTCCTTTGGTGGGTAGTATGAGGGGTTCTTTGAGTTAGCAGAGTCCCTTCCATCTGAAGAAGCTGAGGCTCAGGGGAGTTTCCAGGCAGTGAGACCCTAGGTCCGGAAGGTTCCCTGATGTGGTGTCCCACATAGCTGCTTCCTCTTTCGTGGTTAAAAGCAGATGGCAGACAGCACAGTCAACCACGGTCATCTCTGAGGCTGACTCAGAGCAGGCAGGTGTTTTTTTGTTTTTGTTTTTTTTTCTTGGCACAGGGAAATCTAAATGAGAGAAGAAATATTTATAAGTGATGGCTCTGGAAGCTGCTTGTGGGTGGACAGTGATGCCCTTCCTGAGTGGGGAAGGCAGGGGCATTTCTGCTGCTGTCCTTGGGCACTGCCTTTCAAGAGCACCACACTGCCCCTTGCATGCACCCACAGACAACACTGAGTGACCGGCCTCCATCCTCACTGGTCTGACCTGGAGGCAGCTGACTGAACCAGCTTTTAGGAGGCACTCATGTGAGTTTGTGTTAAACAGAAATGATTGAGTTGATTGGGTTCAGGAGAGAGACAGAACTGGCATCAAAATCACCTTCCTGGCACATATGTTCTCAGTCCTCCTGGTTTTAGCTTAGGCCTCCACACTGCCAGAGACTCCCTGAAGATTTTCTGATACACAGATGCTGCTTTGGGGCAGCACGTGGAACTGACTCTCTTTCTCCCCAAATTTGCTGTAACAGCTTAGTCCCTTAACATTTATAACCAATCAATTCATGACAAGAAATAGAAAGTCTTCTAAGCACAAGAAATTGCTTTTTGACTCCAGGTTAAATATTACCAGATTTAATGAAAATGCATATTACTAGAATTGAGGGGGTGTGAAATTTGGTAGTAGTGAAAAGGAATGAGAGGAGTACACGTGGCAGTGCTTCCCAGTACCTTCCTGGGAAGAGAATGCTGACAGGGTGTGCCAGAAGCCATGAAAACTTCCATGGAAAGGGGAGGAGCCTCCCTCAGATTGCTTTGAGCTGTATTTTTCCACACCAGGGTATCATTTCCAAGCTGGTGGTTGTAACTAGTGTAGTTTCTAAACTTCTGTTTTTTGTTTGTTTGTTTTTCTGGTTCATTTTGGATCACAGGTTCCATATTCTCACTCTCCATAGAGACACAAAAGTACGTTGTAGAGAATGTTAACTGCATCTTTAGGTTGAGCTTTACTTGACCATGATTCTCAAGAATAAACCGACACAGCACACAATGTAACGACTTAGCAGGAGGCTCTTAGAATAGTGGGCATGCGCCAGGTGGTTCGCATACACTGTTTCATGTAAACCTCAAGGCAAGACAGAAATACCTCTCTCCAGTCTGTAGACAAAGAACCAAAGCTTAGAGACCTTCGGTGACCTGACCATGGTTGGGTCACTGTTCAGGCACAGAAGCAGGCATGCGGCAGGTGCTGTGTGTGTTTATTCTAGTAAGTCACATTGTCTTTAAATGTGGGTGGCACCATCATTTATTCAGCCTTTAGTCAGACTTTAGTCACATCTCAGCTTTTCAATTTCTTGTGCTCTTTACAGTTAGAATCTAGACTTACAGAAATATATGTCATCAGAGAATCCAACACACTTTTCTTCTAAAATAGAAGTCAAATAGGTAGGGTAGTACACAACCCAAATGCAAAAATCCTTATGCATTTTTTGGCATTTTGCCCTTGAAGCTGCTCCACTTATTAATCTTTCTGGGCATTTCTGTCTGCAAAAGGTAAGAAGTTGATATTTTCTCTTAAGTGTGGTGGTTGAGTTTTGGATCTGCTGGCCAAGATTTAGGCCCAACTGGAGGAGAGTAGTCTTTTGGTACATATCTCAGTTATTTCATTTTGGGGGCATAGTAGTTGGAAACAACAAGCCTGTTACTCTTCTCAGACATGTATGAGATCATCAAAGCCGGGTGCCCAAATCATAGACTAGGAGGTGGCAGAGCTGATCTGTTGACTTTTTTTTCATAATGTTACTCTTGCACTCTGCAATTACATCAAAAAAAGATGACTTTTTCTGGGCGCGATGGCTCATGCCTGTAATCCTAGCACTTTGGGAGGCCGAGGTGGGCGGATCCCCTGAGGTCAGGGGTTTGAGACCAGCCTGGCCAACAGGGTGCAACCCCATCTCTACTAAAAATACAAAAAAATTAGTTGGGTGTGGTGGCGCGTGCCTGTAATCCCAGCTACTTGGGAGGCTGGGGCAAGAGAATCGCTTGAACCCAGGAGGCAGAGGTTGCAGTGAGCCAAGATCGCACCACTGCACTCCAGCATGGGCGACACAGCGAGACTCCCTCTCAAAAAAAAAAAAAAAAATTCTGGATTAGGCCTTTAAGGAGAGCATTCAAAGGTTTGGTCCTGTTCATTGCTTTTGTTGGAACTGAGCTGATAACAAAGGTTTATCATATTCATTTATTGCCAGCAGATAACAGTAGCACTGATATTTCTATCTGTTATCGCTGCTTTCAGGCTATTCTAATGAAGTCTCCCACTCATGAGTTTTTTGAATGAATGATGTTTTGTGGCATTTGGAAAATTTGTCACATGAACCCTTTTGGCTGCAGGCCTTATATTCATTTTATATAGTTCTGTGCCTAAAATGGCACCTCTAAGTATTTTTGGCATCTAAAAAGTGATTTCTGAGAGTGAAAGGATGCTTCATGGTTTGCACCCTGGTGGGCTTTGGGCTCCTTGACTTTGCTCCTTTCCTTTCTCTTGTGGTTTGTTCCTGGTGGGCTGGCCATGCTGATTGCAGAGACAGTTTCCTTAGCAAAGCTGCTGGACACACTTGTGTTTGATTTCTGCTCCTGGAGATGCAGTAATTGACAGTGTTGAGAGGTGAGGAATGCTGAAAGGTAGAATTCCTAATAACTCATAAAAGGTTATTTTGGGGGCATGGAGATCGGGTCTTTCATGTGGATTCAGTCATTTTAGTTTTCTTCTATACAGCAAAATAATGCCTACAATAAATCTCATTCCTGTTCCATGCACACGATGTGACAGACATTCCAAAGGGTGGGTCGTGGATTATGATGACACAGAAAACTTCAGCTTGTAGACATTGCCACAGAAAGCACACAGACTTTGGAAACCAACAGACCTGAAGTCAAATGCCGACTTTCAGCTTGCTCCTGTGTCACCTTTGCAAGTCAATTCACCTCTTCGAGACCTTAGTTTGCTCTTTTGTAAACCACCTAACTCTCAGGGTTGTTACAATGTTAAGTGAGATTTCACATGAAAAGCACCTAGTGGATCACAGGCATTCCATGTATGGCAGCTACTGTTTTTTGCCTTCTGATTGAGCTGGAATGAAAAGAGTCTTACATCATTGGTCATTAGGGAAATTCCAATTAAAATCACGATGAGATACCAGTACAGTACTAGATGGCTAATATCAAAAAACAGATAATAAGTGTTAGTGATGATGTGGAGAGACTGGAGCCCTCTTACATTGTTGATGGGAATGTAAAGTAGTGCAGCTGCCTTGGAAAATAGTTTGACAGTCTCTCAACAAGTTAGGTAAGGAGTTACTGTGTGACCTGGAAGTTCCACTCCAGGTCTTGGAGTGGAATGTACGTACCCATTCCACTTTTCTTAGTATGTACCCAAGAAATTAAGATATCTGTCCATGCAAGGACCTGTGTGCAAATGGATATGGCAGCATTATTGATAACAGCCAAAATGCAGTATCAACCCAGATGTCCATAGGCTGGTGAATGGATAAACAAAATGTGGTGTCTTCATAGAATGGAATATTGTTCAACACTAGAAAGGAATGAATTGCTGATATATGCAGCAACATACAATCCAGACGTAAGAGACTGTAAGTTGTATGATTTTCTTTAATTGAACCTTATAGCAAAGGCAAGACTATGGATAAAGATAGAAAGCAGATCAGTATTGCTTGGGGCGCTGGGGTAGGAGTTGGAATTGACTGCAGAACAACATGAGGGAACTCTCTGAAGTGAAGGAAAGGTTCTGAAGCTGGATTGGGGTGTTGGAGGCACAGCTGTATACATTTCCTAAAACTCATCAAACTATATCTTGAAAATGGGTGATTTTATAGTGTATAAACTAAACCTAAGTAAATTGAGCTAGAACTTGGATCACCTGATCCTTCAAGTATCATGAATTGTGATTTATATTGATAATTATGTTTTAAAAGATAGCATAGTTTTCAGAACGCTTTTGTTCAGCAGGCATGAGTAGGAGCTCCTGGGTGCACATGTGTGTTGGGTCTTGCAGCGAATCCAGTCTTTTGCACTCATTGAGGACTCTTTTTTTTTTTTTTTTTTTTTTTTTGAGACGGAATCTTGCTCTGTCACCCAGGATGGAGTGCAGTGGCGCCATCTCAGCTCACTGTAACCTCCGCCTCCCAGGTTCAAGCGATTCTCCTGCCTCAGCCTCCCAAGTAGCTGAGACTACAGGCGAGCGCCACCACGCCCATTTTTAGTAGAGGTGGGTTTTCACTGTGTTAGCCAGGATGGTCTCCATCTCCTGACCTTGTGATCCGCCAGCCTTGGCCTCCCAAAGTGCTGGGATTACAGGCATGAGCCACTGTGCCCGGCCCATTGAGGACTCTTATGTGTCCCTTGTCTCTTGCCACAACAGCCTCTATCATCAGAATTGAAGGCTTCAGTAGGGAGATATTTTAAAAAGAAATCACACCATCCAAATATAACACTGTGAATTTAGGCTTATGCTGTTACATTCTTTCTCCTATGAATATGTTTATTTTTACATTGTTGAAATTAAATATATATAATGTGTCTTAAATTAACTATGACATAAACATTTTCCATGATAAACTTTCTATGAATACAGCTTTAATTGCTGACTCTGTATTTGTTTGAGTACACCCTTTCTAGCCTTGTATATTATTTCACAAACTTTATTATTTTTATTTCATTCCTAGCTGGAGAATGTTCTTTCTTGTTAACAGTTATATTTTCTTATTTTAAATATTTTTCTTTTTTTTTTTTGAGACAGAGCTTGCTCTGTTGCCCAGGCCGGAGTGCAGTAGTGCGATCTCAGCTCACTGCAACCTCCGCCTCCCGGGTTCAAGTGATTTTTCCTGCCTCAGCCTCCCGAGTAGCTGGGATTACAGGCATGCGCCACCACGCCCAGCTAATTTTTGTATTTTTAGTACAGATGGGGTTTTACCATGTTGACCAGGCTGGTTTAAATATCTTTTCATATCCAGTTTTCACTTCTTTTTTGGGTACTAAGTGGTCTGCATTTTAAAGTAAAATTGAATAGAGATTTAAAAATAAAATGTACAGGTTCCATACAGGAAACTTGGAGACTAACAAAATGTATAGTGGAAAACAATCATCTCTAGTACCAACTGAAACATAATTAGTTGTCAGTATTTCGGTACATGGCTTTCCATATTATTTTCTGTTTCCTATAATGTATAACAAAAAATACAATTCTAGATGTACTATTTTATTGACCTTTTTTTCTTAGCAAAATATTCCTCATTATGTTTGTCTACATTCTGATAGTAAATACCTACAAATACATCTTTTGGATGTCTTATAATTTTGTTAGCAAAACCCATTTTGAAAATGTTGGTTATTTCTAGTTTTTTAAATAACATTTGTTCTCAATTGTTTAAACTTGCTGAAATTACATACATTTTAAAGATTTTTGATATATATTGAAAAATTGTCTTCTTGAGGCATTTTATTTTCCCAACAATTATGTGATTTTTTTTTTCCCTTATGCTCTTGTCTGCAAAGGGTACTCTGGGATTTTTTTATTACTAATTTGATGGGTTAAAAACCATACTATTGTAATTTATATTTGGTTATTAATGAATATTGTCTCTTAAAATAGGTTTATTGGCCTTTTGTGTTTCTTTGAAAAATTCTCATATCTATCACTTTATTTTTCCTGTTGGAATTTTTCTTTTTCTCATTGAATCATGTAAGTCTTTATTGATAAAGATATCAGCCCTATTTGGGTAGTTTCCTCTGCTTCTACCTTTTAAGTTTGGTTACTGATTAATTGTCACCTGCTGGGGATGAGGCTTTTTACCTACTGGAATGAGGGTCCATGAGGAGGTCTCCTCCCCTGTCCTTCTGCTGAACACGAAAGCAGGTAAAGCAGACCAGCTGTTCAGAGTCTAGGAGAGTTGACAGAATTTCCCTGGGGATCTGTGGTTGGGCTTCGTTTAAGGTTTACAGCCTGCATCCCCGGATCTCATCTCTGATCGTTATTTGCTGGCTGTGTGTGAATTTCAGGTGTGGTTTCTTCTATAAGACAGGGGTATCTTTTATTTCTGTTATTTTCTTAAGGGTTTATCTGCTTTCTTCCCTCTAAGAAATGGTGCTTGTGAGAAGCCTCATACTCTCATCTCTAAAAAAATCAAGGTTTCTTGGAGATAAGACATTCCTGAGAAACAAAATGTCCATAAACCTGGGGATTAAGTAATTAGCATTTAGGGAACTGATTGAAATTCCAGTACAGGAATTTAAAGCATGGTCGGTCCTATTTATTAATTGAAATTCAGAGACCTTGAGATAATTGCTTGTCATTCCCTGCATAGATTTTCTCTCTGCATTGAGCAGGCTACCCCCTGCCCTCTGCTTCTGTCCCTGGTCCTGAGCATCAAGCCTGCCAGCACCCATGAGGCTCCCTTTGTTCTCAGCCTGTGCGGAGTGTAACGAGCCCACTCTAATTGGGCTCAAGCTGAAAGCAGCTGGGATCTCATTGCCTGTGTGTCAAGTTCTGCTTTTGATGAATGCAGAAGCAGTGTGAGGCACAGCAGGGGGCCCCTCCCTTTTGAAAAAGATGGAGTCCTTGGGCTGATCTTCTTTGGGGCCGTCCCACCATCCTGAAGCAAACCCTGGACTTCTGGCCCGGGACAGACTGTTGGCCAAAGCCGTTGCCGTGATAAGTAACATAAGGATCCTTACTTTCCAGAGGTCAGTGAGACAAGTCCTGTCAGTGAGCTGCTGGTTTGCAAGTTTGTCTGCTATTTATCTAAAGATCTCACCTTATCCCCTGAACTTAAGAAAAGCAGAACAGGTGGAATTTAGGTAAAATCCATGTTGTTTTGGATCCTTGACCCTGCTGTCCACTCCCTCATGTCCCAGAGTCACGAGCTTCAGTTCCTGCCAAGTCAGCTGTGCCTGCCTGTGGTGCGGCTCTGTTTTAGCCTGGGATAGAAAAGGGAGAAGCACTCAACATCAGTGTTGTCCTGCGTCCTTCCTCACTCAGCGCACATGGAGGAGTAATTTATGTCACTATGAGGATTACTAGTGGAGATCAGCAAGGGTTTATTCTCTGGGGCTTATTTAGATCCTGCCTAAATAGGGATAACTATATTTGGGATGGCTTAACTACATATATAGATACCCTAGTCCTTGAACCACGGGCGTCCAGAGTCCTCCTTGAGCAGAGACGTCTTTCAGGCCTCTCCAGTGTGAACTGTTGATCCCCTCAAGGGAGTTGCTCCTGAAGGTTTCCTTGTGAGCCCACACCCTCTGCCGTGTTCATAGTTTGTAAGTTGTATGTTACTGTTTTCATGAGCTCTTCAAGAAGCATGTGGCTCTGCGTATTGTCTCTGCTCTGCACACAGAGGGAATATCCCACAGGTGCTCATGCAGGGCTGCTGTTTTCCCAGAGCCCAGGACAACATCCTGAAAACTGAGGATGCCTGCTAGGTAACAGAAAGCAGTTGACCTCTCCTCACACACATAATTTCTGTTTCCAGAGATGGTTGATCCTTAAGAAATCATGGTAGTAGTATCTTCGCAAAATGTGGGTAGACTGACTTTTCAGAGTGGGCATAAAACCTGGAAATTCACTTTTTTCCCCCTTAGTTTCCATACATTTTAAGGTTTTTTTTTTTTTTTTTTTTTTTTTTTAGAGAGGTTTTTTCCTTTTAGGGAGATTTTGGAAAACTAAATACCGTACACATGTAAGGATTACATATTTAGAACCTTTGTTCTCGAGAGGTTTGGTAGCATTGCTTCTGCCTAGATGATCGAGTACCACGTAAGATGAACCTTGGAAGTTGTTTGTTCCAGAGAAGACACAATTAGGGACAGAGGTGCTAGCTGGTGTGGGATCAGGAAACGATGCCCTAGTTTGGCCAGGCATTTTGATGCAATCTCATTTTCTTCATAAAGCAGGGAAGAGAGTCTGTACTCTTTTTTTTTTTTTTTGGAGACGGAGTCTCGCTCTGTCGCCCAGGCTGGAGTTCAGTGGCGCAATCTCGGCTCACTGCAAGCTCCGCCTCCCGAGTTCACGCCATTCTCCTGACTCAGTCTCCTGAGTAGCTGGGACTACAGGCGCCCACCACCACGCCCGGCTAATTTTTTTGTACTTTTAGTACAGACGGGTTTCACTGTGTTAGGCAGGATAGTCTCGATCTCCTGACTCGTGATCCACCCACCTCGGCCTCCCAAAGTGCTGGGATTACAGGCTTGAGCCACCGCGCCCGGCCGAGAGTCTGTACTCTTACAAACGAGGAGAGTGAGACCCAGACTGGCTGGCGGTGTGGCTGGCAGGTTGCAGTCAGGGTCAGAACACAGAGCTCTGGTTCTTTGGCTCCTCCTTTCCCTGTGGGTTCCCCTTTGCCCGTCGACTCTGGTGCTTCCACGTGACCCAGCACGGGGCCTTCTTTCTGCCTCTTCCCGCTTGCTTGTGAGGCCATATCTGCGTGCCTGCTGGTGATTGGGAGTACTCTGAAGATCCCTCTTATTTGTCCCTGGCAAACTCCCCTTTGACCACAGCTCTAGCTGTCTGGCTTTGTCCTGAGTCCTGGTGCTGGTGCTGGATTTGGAGCTTGGACTTGGTAGGCAGAGACTGCCTTTCTCATCAGACTTCGACTTGGCAGCACCCGGCTCTCAACCCTGGGCTCCTCAGGCAGGCGTGTGCCTCTCCACCTCCTGGTCTCCATTCCCATCACGAGGCTGCGTCCTCCTCAATTGGGCAAGCTGACTCTGACACCTGGTGTTCAGTTAGCAAGCATTTATTGAAGGAAAGCCTCAACAACAACAATTATCAGGACTTCTGTGTCCTCATTTTGGCGTTTTTCAGTTGAATAATGAGACCTGTGACTTTGCATTCTTCATATTATCTGGCTGTCAAATGGAATCATGCCATGCATTAACTGTAGTGAGTTAGTACATGTGTGTAGTATTACGATGTTGGCATTCCTCAGGAGAAAGCTGCTACAAAAGTCCAGCTACCAAAAACAGTGAAGCAGTTTCCAGGATATTAGCAAATTTCAAACACACTAATTTCAGCAGCAACAAAATGGAGCTACACTTTAATGCAAGGTAACTCTGTTTAAAGGTGCTTTCTGTTTCAAGAAATGTAGCCTTAATATTTTCTTAAGAATAGTTTTTGTAAAGGAACAAACGGGTTAAATTTTTCAAAATATGATTCATTTGGGTAGCTTAGTGAGAAATGATAAAAGGTTATTAGCAAGTAACTGAGCAAGGGTAACCAACAAGTAGGCAGCTCTGAAGTTAGGGAATATGCCAGAAAAATGCGGGAAGAAGAGTAGGATGGAAATGGTGCCCTTCACCTGGGAGGGCCCCAGGAAGGGCTCCCAGAAGAGTGAGTGTCTGTGTGAGTCTCCTGTGAGCACTGACCTCACAGGCATCTACCCTGCTTAGTTGCCCCTGGCCTAAAGGGGACATGTGTGATCATGTCATGATAGTCTTTTATAATCTTTTCAGTCTGAGAAGTGGTTTTAAAAAATACTTTCTACTTTATTATCTGAAAAAACATTTCAAAAGTCAAACTACATAAAAAGATATACTCAGAAGAATTTTGCTCTTGTCCTTGTCTTTTCCACTTCACCCCACCCACCCTCCACGGGTAAGCATTTTCATTAGCTTTTACAGAGACAGATCTCTAAATTTAAAACATTTTGTTTAGGAAGTGAGCATTGCAGTCTGGGCCATGTACTGGGTGGTCTTCAGTATGTGTGAAGAACAAAGAGAAGTTTGGAAGTTTTATAAAAAGGAGAAATGTAAGGGATTGTTTTGAAAGAGAGTTGTTCATTGGCACTAAGTAAAGTTTTGGGGAGCTGGCAAGCTCTCATTGGTGTGCAAGCTCTCACTGGTATGTGATGGGGCTGGGTAAGCTAGTCTGAGAGTCAGGGCAGGCAGTTTCAGCAGCCAGGCTTGCCGAGAATGACCTGAGTGCTTTGCCCCTCTGGCCTCGACTCTGTTAGTTGGGTATGACAAGAATGACCCAGTTCTTATGATCAACTTTCACATACTCTGTCCTTCCTGTGATTTTTTTTTTGGAAAAAAAAATGTATTGGTATGTAATAATTGTACATATTTATGGGATACCTGTGATGTTTTGATGTGTGCAAACTGTGATTCTTTTTGTGTAAAGCAGGCCAAATGTACACGTTTCCTTTTGCATCAAGGATGGCATACTGGACGTATGTTTTTGTTTTTGCCTATGCTTTTTCACTAACACTGTATCTTGGGGATCATCTCACACCAGTTTTCAGAGGCCTTTGTTCTTGCTGGAGGTGGGCAGAGTGGGTTCCTCAGGGGAGCTCTCGTGAGTCCAGAAGACACTGTGCTGGGGGCTCTCTGTTTTGCCACCACAAAGAAGCTGTGTGACCCAGAAGAAGACACCCACCAAGGGCCCTGGTGCCTTAATTTGTGAAGTGGTATTCCTCATATACCTGTATCCCAGAGACAATGTTCATTCAGAAGTGTGGCATTATTTTGTCTGATTGGAAGAAAAAGTCCTTTCTGAAATGCAGTGCATTAGTGATGGAGATGTGCTGCCAGAGTATCAAGTGGCTGCTTTGGATCTGGGAATGCTTTAGACCAAGAGGAATTGCAGAAAAGGGCGCTATGGAGGCCAGAGCCTGTCCTTATTTCCAGTGCCAGCCCTTTGCACCTGGCTCTCGCTGCGTGGCTGTGGCCTGTCTCTGCGGAGCAGCCCTGGAGCAGCCAGGCCCCAGGCAGGTGGGGAGCTTCAGGCTTGTGTTCTGATGTTCCCTGGCCTCACCTCTTGATTGTGTGGAACTTAAGTGTCAGGTTCCAGGAATGTTTGGCTGTCGGTGGCGGTGATGGAGAATAAGGGAGACCTGTTTAAAGTGACACATGGAAGGCAGACCTGGTTTCTCTGTTTATCACAGAAGACTCTAGTGAAATGAATTATAATTTGGGGCAGAGACCTGAAATTGCTCTTCTGTGCCAAAATAAATTGATTTCGTCAGCTGTCTGAGCTTCATTTCTTAAACTGGACAGGAGCTAACCTAGTCTAAATAAAACTCATTTTCCGTTAATAAAACTAGGTCACTCCAGGCTGCCTGAGTATGCTTCTGAGTGTCTTAAAGCACATTCTCCAAAATCCAGGGGTTCATGTCATTTTCATAACCCATCGAATGTCACTGGCGTGACGTTGGCACTCACCTCTCCCATGGCATGCCACTGTAGATGTGGGGCCTGTCTCTAACTCCATTCCAGCTGCAGGGCAATCGTGGCAGGAGGGCATTGCTGTACACCTGCTGGGGCTGCGGACAGGCTAGGAGGGAGCTGATCCAGCCACCCTCCCACCGGAGGAGGGGCTTTGGGCAGGACGGCCCTGCCTCACCCAAAGAAAGCTTTGTTTGCCGTCCCTTTGCCAGTGTTCCTGCTGCTGGGAGCTTTGCACCATAATGTTTTGAAGGTTTTATTTACACATGGGGGCCAATAAACTAGATCATGGAAGTAGGACGTTGTGAATGTAAAACAAAAATGACAGCACGAATGGAATAATTTTAGAAAAGCCTTGTTCAGATGGGAAGAGCATCTCTGCATAGAGAGCTCCCTGAGCAGTGGGGATGCTGGCCTGCCTCACTTGCTGGAGGTTTGTGAGAGCCTCCAGGTGGCATCTGGCCCCTGCTCCGATGCCTGTGTGCACTCACCCACCCTGCCCTGCCCTGCCCTGCCCTGCCCTGTGGGGCTGGGCCCTGCCTCCGGGATGTTAGGAGCTGGACTTACCTGGAAAGCCCAGGAGAGGCTCCCATTGTCTTTCCTTGTTCCTTCTTTCTCTTCCTGCACGTGAGAGGGCAACGAGTGAACCGTGACTCGCAGCATCTTGCAGACGTAGGTCGGAATGCGGCTTTAGCATATTCTGAAATATACAGCTCTAGAAATGCTAAATCTATTGGAGATGTCTCTCTAAAACAGAAATTGGGGGGCAGTGGCAATCTTTGCAGTGCTTTATTTCTAGCATTCTTTTGTAATCTGAAGTATCATACCAAGTACATTTTAAACAGTGGATTGTCTTTAATTTACCTTTTTAATAAAATGCTGACACTCAGTGTATATAGAGATATGAAAGGCTATGAAAAAATAGAAAAATAGATGTTTTAAAGAAATAGAAAGTCATGAGAAAGGGGGCGGCTCTCCCTGTAATGCATTGTCTGCCCCGATATCCCAGCTTTTCATGGGTTAAGCTGTGTCTTCTCATCCTTCTTTCTGCCTTTGTGAGAGCTTCTCAACAACATGCAGATTCCTGAGTACTGACAAACTTTTTCTTGCTTCTATTTGCAGTGCACAGAAGCCAAAAAGCATTGCTGGTATTTCGAAGGACTCTATCCAACCTATTATATGTAAGTATTTGCACCTTTCTGTGGTTTCATTCTGTGGCCATACCTTTCTCTGGGAATTGTCTTGCTAAAGTTCTGGGTGTGGGATGGGGAAAGCCCGGCGTGGCCCAGCCTCTGCTGCGGTGCCAGGCTTGCCTCACTGGGGGATGAGCAGGTGACCTCACCGTGGTGTCTGGCCCACTCAGACCAGTTACGTTGAGGACAGCCTGAAATTCTGTGCCCTGTTCTGTGATGCAGGTGAGCTCACATGTGAGGGTTTAAAGGGGGCGAGATGTCTGTGGAAGGCAAAAGTTATGTTGGCTTATACACATTTTCCTAGTCAAAGAGAGAAAGGATCATAGGAGCAGACTTATGAGCTTGAGCAGGACAAGAAACAGTCCTCAGCGGAGCCACTGTGACAGTGTGTGTGTGTCTGTGCGTATGTGTAGGAAATCACAATGATCGCCTGTCTCTGAGGCCTCCTCGCCAGAGAGCTGCTGTCACAGCCTCTCATGGCTCTTGGCTCAGAATGGGTTATAATCCTTCCAGTGCCCCCTCAGTGTCTGCCAGTCTTTCTGTAATGAGGGCATTGCTGCATTTTCTTCCTGTCGTTTTCGTGTGTTTGTAATATCTGCTGTGGTAGCCACCAGCCCTGTGGAGCCACCTGCCTCAGTGACCACATTAACTCTCCAGGTTATCAGTCACTGTTTTTGATTCTGTTTTGAAGTTCCTTAGGTATTGAGTCGAATGCCCTAACCAAATTTTCCCGAAAGCTCTATTATTTTTAGTATTGAATTTTGTAAAACCTGAGATTCCTCAGGCATATATATTGTAGTCTAGCAGAAACACTATATATTCTAGCATATAGGGTAATTGGATAGGAGATATATAATAATAGGAAAACGCGTTATTTTTTTAATCTGCCAGAACATACATTTTTCTTACCTGTCATTATTATTATTATTATTTGAGGTGGAGTCCTGCTGTATCACCAGGCTGGAGTGCAGTGGTGCAATCTCGGCTCACTGCAGTCCCTGCCTCCTGAGTTCAAGCAATTCTTGTGCCTCAGCCTCCCTAGTAGCTGAGATTACAGGCGTGTGCCACCACGCCCAGCTAATTTTTCTATTTCTAGTAGATATGGGGTTTCACCATGTTGGCCAGGCTGGTCTCGAACTCCTATCCTCAAGCAATCTGCCTGCCTTGGCCTCCCAAAGTGCTGGGATTAGAGGCGTGAGTCACCTCGCCCAGCCTCTTACCTGTCATTCTTGAGGAGCCCAGTGTAGGAGGGAAGGGCTGTGTATCTGTGAGTGCGGGTAAAGCACACGGAAGCTGGCCATGTTCGTCATCTTGGTTTCATACTGACAAGCAGGAGTCAGTGTGCCCCATGGCGTGGGGGCCCTGGAAGGAAGCCTCTGCAGCTGCAGAAAGACAGACCCCACTTGGAAAATAAAACAGCAGCATAAGGACTTGGGCTCTAATTACAGAGTTGTCAGGTTGAAGAGAAGTGGTTGTGGGATAACAGGAAGAGAAAATATTTTGGTTCTTCTCAGCATAATGAATTTTCATCAGTACGCCTATTTCCTTGTTTAGCTTTTTGCGCAAATGTGGACCTTTCGCCTCCTCCTGTGTGCTCTTCCTTAAAACCCTATTTCTCCAATTGTTTTATAGATCAGCTTTGTCAGAGCTTGGGCGTCAGAGGTCATTGCTGTTCTTGTATTGACTTGTTCATTTGTTCTTTATCCATTCACTTGTTCCCTGCATATTTTGAAAGTGTTTTGCATTGCATTGAACTGGAGACAGGGGATACAAAAGACAAGCCCTGCTTTTGTCACTCAGTCCTGTGGCCCAGTTTCCTTTCGCGCTTTTCTCTTCCAATGGTGGGGAGAAGGATCCAGAGCTCCCTAGGTGCACTGTCCAGAAAAATGGAAAAGTGAAGTCACCATGAGAACACGAAGTTCAGCGTGAGAGTACCAGCAGGTAACAGTTATTGAGTACTTACTCCAGGCCCCGGCATTGTCCTGTGCCCTGTACGTAAATTAAGGTCTTCGGATCTCATGATGCCAGGAAACCCCAGCCCCACCCACTAGTCTTCTCTGTTCTGCCTCTGGTCTTTCTGTTTCTCCCCTCTGTTCCCAGTGTCCTCACCCGAATCCACATCTGTGAATGTCCCTCTGAACCATTGCCGAAACTTTCTAGCTAGTCTCCTTTCAGCCTCTTCTCCTGTCCAGTTCTCACGTCTTTGTAAATTTCCATGTCACTTTTTTGCTTAAAACCATCAGGAACAATGCCTTTTAACAGTAGACTTTCAAGAGAGCGTCTGGCTTTATCTTCCTTCTTTATTGTGAATCTCATGAGGGCAACAAGTTATAAATACTTGGCTTCCCAACAAGCGTAGGATAGTGCCTGGCACACAGCGGCCATCCTTGATGTTGAGTGGATGCATTTCCTTGCAGTTCCCACCATGCAGTCAGCAGCGCCAACCCATGTAGGGGACCTTTGATCATTCCCCAGTTCTCTCAGCCTCTTCTGACTCAGTTCCCTGTCCCCATAAAAGTTTGTTCCTCCCCTGCTGTTTTGGCTGTGAGAGAATGCTGACAACACCAGCAAACCACCACGCGGCGAGTGCTTCAGTATGGGGCCGTGGCCTGTGCATTCCATAACCCTGCTGCCTGGCCCAGTGTGTAGCACCTGATGTTTGCAATCATGTTCGTGCAGAGTTCACATATTTGCTCTGTTACTTTTTTATTTAATTGAGGTGAAATTCAAAGAACAGAATTAACCGTTTTAAAGTGACCCGTGCAGTAGCATGAAGCACTTTCCCTGCATGTGCGGTCCCCACCTCTGCCTAGCACCAGCCTTCCCATCCCTCCACTCTGTTGTTTACCAGCTCTGTGACATTGTCAGCTGCTTCCTCTGTAAGACGTGACTGCGAATTCTGACCTGCCAGGTTTGAGGCACAGGACTTGCACACGGCCAGTGCAGAAGTCCCATAAGAACATAACCTACCCAAGGCCAGCTCACCTCTCTGTTACATATGCTCATGAGATTAGTGCTATAGACTCAGTGTGCCACTTCCCTGCACATGCGAGGGACGACAGTGTCCTGACACAGCAGTGAACCCAGTGTGGTGCCAAGGAGAAAGTTGTTTTTTTGGGGCCAGCCAGCACACATGGGGTGGCTTGTCCAATACCCTCACCGGTCCAGATATTTAATACTCAAAAACTGTCTTCTCCAAAGCTGTCTTCTCCACTGTCCATCAAGTTGGGGTCATGAAGCATTTTTCTTAAAGGGGAATGAGTAGAAATTGCTTAGCTATATTCTACTCCATCCAGTCTTGCTCAAGGAGAGGTCTGCTGCAAGCAAGAGACGGCGGCTACACCCCTACTGGAAGTGCTTGACCTGCAGGAGGCACAGCTGCCCTAGAGTTAACCTTGAGGGGTACGTTATTTTTGATCTCTGAAGCCCACTGTGGTTTCTGCTGCCTTGGTGGAGAAGGCAGTGCAGGTACAGGAGACTCACATCCAGCCCAGCTCGCCCTGCTGCTGGGGGCCTCAGGCGGTGGGGATGCAGGAGAGGCTGGCGGGCTGCCATTGCACACTGCTGCCGGCCTGGCCTCTGGACACATGGCCAGTGTGCAGGGTGCTGTCCCGGGGATGGTGATGGCTGCACTTCATTCATTCCATCCACAGGTGTCTGTGGAGGGCCCACGACGTGTCAGTTGTGGTGCGTTGTGGTGTGCAGGACAGGGAAGGTACCTATGCCTCATGCAGCAGTGGTATAGTCATGTGAGAGTGACTAGTCATTTCTGAAGCATCTTCAACATCACATTAAAAAAAAACTTAAATTAGGCCGGGCACGGTTGCTCATGCTGGTAATCCCAGCACTCTGGGAGGCCGAGTCGGGCTGATCTCCTGAGCTCAGGAGTTCGAGACCACCCTGGGCAACATGGTGAAACCCCGTCTCTACTAAAATAAAAAAATATATATATATTAGCTGGACATGGTAGCACAAGCCTGTAGTCCCAGCTACTTGGGAGGCTGAGGCATGAGAATCGCTTGAGCCCCAGAGACAGAGGTTGCAGTGAGCCACACCACTGTACTCCAGCTTGGGCTACACAGTGAGACTCCGTCTCAAAAAAAAAAAAAAAAAAAAAAAAAAAAAAATATATATATATATATATATATATATATGTAATGGATCTCATCTAAAAAGTACATTTCTAGTATATTCTACATTTCATTTCACCTGGGTAAAGTGCTAAGATTCTCCAAAACAGATATTCCTTACAAATATGTTGACTCAAGGTGGTGTCCTATTTTGTTAGAGGTTGTTTTCTTTCCTTCCCCTGCAGAAAATATATTTCAAACAACACCTCTGTTTTGTGAGTGTAACTCACCATGCGGAATGCATTGAGGAGGGAACATCTAGGTTGCAAACTTGTTGTAGAGATTTTACTCCTATATTTGATAATCTGATTTCATTTTGTCTCACCGGAAATCCCAGGTGGCAGCCGCCTTCTCCCTACTCTGCCTGTCCCTGCATTTCATTTCAGCGTGCCAGTTAGTAAGCTAACAGAGACTGAGCTCTTTTAATGAAATGTAGGTTTTCTACTGTAGCTACCTAGACATACAAAATTACTCTCACCTCTTCTGATTTCTTTGTGCTAAATGATCTCTCTCTTTCTACCCTGTCCTGCTTCAAGGTTTATTTCATTTCCTTAATTTGATATTTTTCCATTATTGGTCTGGAAGACTGTGTATTACATGTATAAACAAGATATTCTTATTTTTGAAGAAAAAGACCCTTTGGGATCTGAACAGAAAAGCAACACATTCCTGTTCCCTCCAGTAATGTTTCTTTCCCCCTTCACTTCCCTTCACTACCTGCCTTTCCTGTTGCAAGCTGCCCTTCCAAGAGCTCTGATTAAAATGTGCCTTTCTGTGCTTTGGTTCAGGGCTTACTAGGTGTCTGCTCTTAGTAACATGTGATTTAAAAATAGCAAGTGGCTGTGTGGCCTCAGCAGCTCCCGCCCCTTGGCTTGCATTCTCTCCTCGAGTTGAGCTTCTGCTTGGGCCTCGCTTCCTCAGCTCCTTTGCCAGCACGGCCTGAAACAGGGGCCACCGTGTGAGCTTCCTGGAGCCCAGAGATGAGAAGATAAAGGTAGGAACTGACCGAGGAGCATGTCCTGCAGGATCCAAAGCAGCAAACAGCACACTTCCCTGTCAGTCCAGAAAGTGCTGCCGACTAAGGTGGCGTTTGTCAGAGAAGAGCCTAGACGCAGGTCCACATGCGGGAACTCAGTCCGATGTTCAGGTGTCTGCAGGGAGCATTGAATCCTCCTCATCAGGTGACAGGGAGCTCCTGTCTGTCACAGAGGCTGTGCCTGCTGCTCCTGTGGCACAGAGGGGAAGTGGAGTGGCATGGGAGGAGGTAGCTCCAGATGCTATTCAGCCTGCGGCTTCAGTTTTCTTAAAAAAGGTGTGGTCGTGGTGCCTGCTGCACTGGGTTGCTGTGCAGTATAAATACTACTGTGCATGTGAGATACAGAGTAAGGACTCAGTCACTATTTGGGATGCCTGTATTCTCCCTAATATTTGCAGTTTCCTTTGGCACATTTTAACACTGAGCTTGGAGAAGACCGGGGGTTCTGTGCCCAGAGGTGGCTGATGGGTCCGCTGATTTTACCTGGGGACCTCTGCTGCAGGGGACAAACTCACCTCGCTGCCAGTCATGCTCTTGGGGACGCTGTGGGAGGCAGCCTTTCCCAGCCCATCTTTGATATCTGCCAGAGGTTACCTGGGCCTTCCTCGGTGCCTGAATGGACACCACCACCTCTTTGTGGGTAGTGGGAGGCCTCTTGGGTCAGGAGCAGTGACTATAAGAAATGTCACCATCTCCATTGAGATTTCCAGCCCAGGTGCTCCTCAGCCCCCCAGAGGCCACCCAGCTTACAGCCACCACCCCTGAGAGGACTTGGGTGTGCGGAAGAGCAGAGAGAGGGCGGTGGCTTGGGAGGCAGCAGCAGGCTGGAGGTGACAGGGCGTGCCTGTATGCCAGGGTGTGGACAGAGACCTCGGGAGGCTCCTCCACAGCTGACAGAGGTGCAAGTGTGTTACACAGGGTCCAGGGCTTATCCAGCAGGAGGCAGAACCCATTCCAGCAGCACTGCACGGCCCCAGCTCACTACAAGGACAGCTGAGACTGCCCACTTCTTTGCATCTACCTTTGCAGCAGGACAGAGCAGAGGATGGCCCCAAGTTGTCCTAGACTAGCTGAGACACAGAGTCTGCCAGATACACAGCCTGGGAATGCAATGGCTGACATTTGTGGAGTGCTTGCCTAAGCACTCTGCGGTGTCATCTCCAGAGAGCTGGGGATGAGTGTCCCTCTCTGTGGCCCATACCCCTCTTTGGTGCATGGGTACCATGCTCCTTCCCTGGACTTACTGTTGCTGAAATAAAACATCTGTGTGTCTCCTCCCTAGACTGGGAGCCTGTCTTGCTGATTTTTATACCTTCTGTGCCCTTCAGGGCCTGGCCCATAGAAGGCACTCAGTATACCTTTAGTAACGGAGACAAATGGTGGCCTAAGGAGGGTTGGAGACGGAGTGATTCTGAAAGCATTCTTTGGGGATGGAAAATATTTAAGGGGCTGGAGTTCAAGAGATCGTCTCTAGACCTGCTATGCCATCAGGTTGTAGTGTGATCTTGGGCAAATGTCCAACCTCTCTGGGCCCCCGTTTCCTGTGCTAGATCACCTTCAAGGGTCTCATCCCGCTTATTCCACAACACCCTGGCTGGCTGCTGGGAATAATTTATAGCCTAGAAAATAAAAGATGAATGACTGAGCAGGCATGTGTGTTGTAGCAGAGACAAGCGACAAATGGGAGATGGATTTTAGCTCATTAAGGGTCCAGCCTGCTTGCCAAGTACAAAGCAACCACCTCATCTCTCCTTCCAAGCTAGTGAGTCTTTTTTCTTCTGCAGGTCTTGGTACTGACATGATGATGTGAGAAAGGGCGCCGCTCCCAGTCAGACGCTGGGGTGGATCTGGGAGCCTGGCTTCACTGGACCAGATCTTGTGGCTCCTTAGACATAATCAGGTGCTTTCTGACAGTTACCCAGACTTCAGACGATGACTGTTTCATGTGACTTTAATAAGCCAGAGAGAGCTGGCTATTTAGATGTGCAAATTTCTTGTTACTGTGAATTGAAATGAATCTCTGTCCCCCAGAAAATTGAGGGTGGGTTAGAAATGGTTGAGTATTCTTGACACCAATGATTTAAAAGTGAAAATAGCCCTGTGGCCCTTTGAAGAGCTGGGAAGAGGAAAAGATTTGGCCCCAAAGGTGGTTCTTTACTTACCTCCATTCTCAGAATGCCGGGAAACCCTAAGACCATCCTCATCTAGTTTTACTGACTTGGCAGCTGACACCAGGAGATGCTAAGTCTCCCTGGGCCTGCAGCATCTTTAGAGGTCTTTTGCATGACTAGGTCACATCTCTGGCTGTCACATGGATGGGGCAGAGCTGCAGGGCATTTGGGTTCTGGGTGTTCTGTTTGCTCACTTATTTTAGTTTTTCCTTCAGATCTAGGTACCACTGAAGGAAAGAATGTGGGGAAGCTTCTCGGAAGTCAACTCCACTGAGACGATAGGGAATTCACACACTGCCAAGCTCAAAGGAGAGCATGGAAGGGAAAAAATGGATGGCTGCATGTTGTCAAACCGCTGGATAAGGGGAAGATAGGATCCATGAAACAGAATTAAGGAATACGATCATCAGTGTCATGGCTTACCTAGTACCTGTAATTTCCAGAGCACCACTCAAGTGGGAGGGAGCCAGTGTGTAGGGATGATGGGAAGTTAGCGATGAGGGAGGCAGGGCCTGTCCTGGAGGAGCCCAGGGTCCAGGGCTTATCCAGCAGGAGGCAGAGCCCATTCCTGCCAGCACTATCGATTTTGACCAGGCTGCTTTCAGGCCCTATTCCCAAGTTTCCTGTTGGAGCGTGAAGCTTCTTTTTAAAGTGCTTATATTACCCTGTGTTGTTGGCTGCCTCTGGGTTCATTTCTCTGCTGTGAATAATTAATGCTGTGAGTGGATGAAGTGCTGTTCACAGGTGTCAAATCAAGATCCAGAGACAAGGTTGGCAGAGCCAGCACCGCTGGGCCACTTTACCTGCCTGCTAGGGGCGCAGGTGCCAGAGTCAGTCCCAGGCTCCCTGGACACAAGGTCACCTCTCACCAGCAGGTGCCCTTTATGGCTCTGTGGACAGACTCTGAGCCTGATGGGGAGGCCCCTCTGTGCAGAAGTCAGCTGGACTCCTTCGCTGAGCTCTCCTGCAGCACTGGGGCCTTCCAGGATGCGTGGAAGAGGGCAATGGGGGCGGGGGCGCTTCCCTAGCTGAGTGCTCCATACGCCTGCTGCAGACCCTCACTATTTTGCCGTCAGGAGATGGAGCACAGCCTTCGGGTTGCAGCCTGGAGGGGGCAGATATTCAAGAGCAGAATTTCTTTTCTCTCAGTTCTTGTTGGATTTATCAATGAAGATTCCTGGTGTAAGTTGAAGACACCGTCTCTATAACAGGGAGAAATTTTCACTGGTGATCTTCTGCTTAAGAACTTTAGACCCCTAAAATGTGACCTTGATTTATTTTTCTTTTCCTTTTTTTTTTGAAACGGAATCTCACTCTTGCCCAGGCTGGAATGCAGTGGCACGATCTCGGCTCACTGCAACCTCCGCCTTCCAGGTCCAGGCGACTCTCCTGTCTCAGCCTCCTGGGTAGCTGGGATTACAGGCACGTGCCACGACACCTAGCTAATTTTTGTATTTTTAGTAGAGATGGGGCTTCACCATGTTGGCCAGGCTGGTCTCGAACTCCTGACCTCAAGTGATCCGCCTGCCTCGGCCTCCCAAAGTGCTGCGATACAGGTGTGAGCCACTGCTCCCAGCTGAGCTTGATTCCTTTTAACTGTACATTGTGACTATGCTTCTAAATCAGTATACAAAGCCCCTCATGCTTTTTGATAGTAGCAGAATATTTCCTGGGGATGCCTCATCATTCATTTATACAGGTAGTGTCTATATTTAGGAGTTTTTGTTTTGTTTAACTATTGAAGGTTCTCAGTTCCTTGTCTGTAATTCTTATAAACCCAGTAAATCTGAGACGGGTGTCAGTTAATTTAGAAAGTTTATTTTACTAAGGTTGAAGATGTGCACCAGTGTCACAACCCCAGGAAGTCCTAACAACACGTGCCCAAGGCAGTTGGGGCACTGCTTGGTTTTATATATTTTAGGCAGACATGAGATATCATCAATATATGTAAGAAGTACATTGGTTCATCCGGAAAGGCAGGGACAACTGGAAGCAGGGAGAGGGCTTCCAGGTCACAGGTAGGTGAGGGACAAGTGGTTGCATTCTTTTGAGTTTCTGATAAGCCTTTCCAAAGGAGGCAATCAGAATATGCATCTATCTCAGTGAGCAGAGGATGACTTTGAATGGAATGGGAGGCAGGTTTGCCCTGAGGAGTTTCAGCTTGAATTTTCCTTTTAGCTTAGTGATTTGGGGATTCAAGATATTTTTCTTTCACATTCTAAAATTTTAAGCTGTGCTCCTAAACAAATTTTTAATAATTCACTTGGTAGCAAGAACATATTTGAGCAGACATGAGGCTATTTATAGTCTTTAAAAGTTCCGTTTGGTATGATGTTTCATATATTTTAATGCTGGCTGTATTACATGGAGTGAATTTGCAGAAATTGAATTGCTGAATCAAAGCTTATACTTATATTCTACTAAATACCGTCCGACTGCTCTCCCTGAGGGTCATCATGATAATAGGCTATCATTGCCTGGGAGCACCTGTTTCAAACTGTCCCCGCCAGCACTGTGTTAACATTTTAATCAGTTTCCTTTGTATGCTTTGAGTTCATATTGTTTCCATCTTTGCTGATTTCCCTTTCTGCTGCAACATCCCTTCTGTTTAAGTCAAAACCTTTACAAGGTTCTGAAACCAAGGTGGATACCTGGACTATGCATAGAGGAATGAGATGGGGTTGCTCTCAAGGTCATGTCTGGTGTAGAAGACAGAGGCCTCTAACAGTTAACCACAATATTGCACATGGTGAGAACTGTAGAAATGGGGGTCCTGCCAAGGGAGGAGCAGGACAGATTGGGGAGGGCAGGGGATGGTGTTGGGAGAGACCTCACAGGGCTGATCTTTGAAGCGGGGTGGAGCAGAGACTTTGGGAGGAGTGCAGGCATGGGAGCATGAAGGTGCAGGGTGCAGTGGGGACCATGGGGCTGGAGTTCAGGGTGCCTGGTGGATGGCAGGAGATGAGATGGGAAAAAGAGGGAGAAGCCTAGCAAGAAGAGTCTCAAACGCCGTCTGAGGGGCTGAGACTCCCTCCTGCATGCAGCATTGTGGCAGGCCAGGTCTCACCAACACAGGCCTCCATAACAAGTGTTTCAGTACTGACTGAGTGGTTAAGTTAAATATTAAAAGCTAAAAAAAAAAAAAAAAAAAAGCCAGTGCCCTTATATAAAGTCTGGGATGTAACAAAAGCCCACCAGGAGTTTTGCCTAGGCCTTTCCTGGGCCTTAAAGCATGACAAAATAATGAAGGAATTCTTAACATGACCCATTTAGGATTAAATAAGTTTTATTTGGTGTCTGAAGAAACTCCCCAGGCCTCCACAAACAAGTTTATTGCGGTCTGAATGAACTCCCCAAACCTCTTGTGATTTAGTAGGAGACAAGATAAGGGTAATCACCCCAGCACCTGGACCCATTTAGATTAAGTGAATTTACTGAGGCTCCAGAAGAAGGCCTTGAGGACTCAGACATTAGTTATAATGTAAAAGAAGTTAATCACTTATGTCTTTAGATGATGCACACTTACAGGTAGACATATAGCTTAGAAGGTATATAAGCTCTGGAAAACTTTGTAATTTTGAGTTGGTCTGGCCATAATTTCCAGGCCTTCTACCAGTAACTGGTTGCAGAAATAAAAATTCTCTTCCTCCCCAGTTCATCTGCATCTTATTATTGGGCCACAAGAAATAGCAGCCTGACCCTCATTTTGGTCTAGGAACAGTATGACGACACGGTCCTCTGGTCTAAAGGGGAGGAGGTTGTGTTTGTAGTAAAGGCAAGACAGAGTCCAACTCCTGTAGAAATAGGGCAGAGGAACAGGCGGTGGGCATGAAAAGCATCTCACAGAAGAGTCGATATAGAGGTAAAGGGAGTCAAATAAATCAGAGGTTTCTGGTTGGGAAGACAGAGAGAGACCATGAAAAGAATAGGTTCCGGGAAAGATTCAATAGAAGACTGAGCAGAGAATGTCATATATGCATGTGGAGTTTGGAGTTCTTGCAGAATACCCAGGAAATGGAGCCAGTGAGGAATTCACTTTTGCAGCAGAGGTGGAAGAGGGCAGGATGTAGTCCAGAGCTGGAATGTAGACTTAAGAGTTCTGAGCATTTGCTTATAACAGCTAACCAGCTGCTATAGTCTGAATATGTGTGTCCTTACAAAATTCCTATGTTGGAACCTAACACCCAATGTATTAGTATTAAGAGGTGGGGCCTTTGGGGAAGTGACTTAAGTCATGAGGGCTCTGTCCTCGTGAATGGGATTACAAAAGAGGTTGCAGGGAGCTCCCCTGCCCTCTTTTGCCCTGTGAGGACACAGCAGCAAGACATCATTTATGAAGCAGGGAGCCCTGACTAGATACTGAATCTGCTGGGCCTTGATCCTGGGCATCCCAGCCTCCAGAACTATGAGCAATCAATTTCTGTTGTTTATAAATTACCCAAGCTGTGGTATTTTATTATAACAGCCTGAATGGACTAAGACCAACTCAAGTAAAAATAGAGCTGAGAAAGTAAGCCAGGTGTGAACCTCAGTGTAGGTTTCCAGATTTTTTAGGTACTAGAATCTCATCTCCCTTCCTGATCTCATTGCCAAACTCAGCTCATTACTTTAGTATTTATCATGCCTGTGTGATTTCAATGATAGGAAATTTATTATAAAATTAAAATTGATAATAAATTTGAGACAGGGTCTTGCTCTGTCACCTAGGCTGGAACACAGTGGTGCAGTACTAGCTCACTGCAGCCTCAAACCCCTTGACTCAAGCGATCCTCTCACCTCAGCCTCTGAGTCGCTAGGACTATAGGCATATGCTACCACGTCTGGCTAATTTTAAAGATTTTTTTATAGAGACAGGATCTCACTATGAACTCATAGGCAGACTTCTGAGCTCATAGGCAGACTTCTGTTTTTCACTTTAGTATGGAAAATGAAAAACACCTTCCAGAGAAGGTGGTTTCTGGTAATAACTGTTTCTGAAAGAGACATATGGCCAGAATTTATTTTTTTAACCTTATATTTAGTCAACCAGAAACTAGGAGGATTGTTTTTCAGGATAGGCTTGAATAGAACTAATTTTAAATGATCAGCAGTTTACTGAAAGGAGAAAGAGGGAAAACCTCTACCCCAGAAACACAAAGGTGGAGTTTCAAAAACTCTGGGCCAGGTGCAGTGGCTCACACCTGTAATCCCAACACTTTTGGGCTAAGGCAAGAAGATCACTATGGCCAGGAGTTAGAGACCAGCCTGGCAACATAGTGAAACCTCATCTGTAGAAAAAATTTTTGTAATTAGCTGGGCGTGGTGGTGTGCACCTGTATTTTTAGCTACTTGGGAGGCTGATGTGAAGGGATCACTTAAGCCAAGGAATTTGAGGCTGCAGTGAGCTATGATTGCAGCATTGCACTCCAGCCTGGGTGACACAGTGAGACCTTGTGTCAAAACAAACAAAACAAAAAACTCCGTAGTTACCAAAGTTCAGCAGTAATTTAAGAGCTTCTTGGTCCATCTTACCTCACCTCTTCACTTTAACTCTGGGTGCATCTGGGCTCCAAGGCAGCAGCTCCTCAAGGGTTAAAATGGCAAAGAAATGAGCACTTTTTACCCCATTTGGTCTGCTAATATTAGTGATTTTAGTAAGTATTTGTAATGCTTTCTCCCATGGTAGAAATACAAGTAAAATTTCCCTAGGTAAATCCTGTATGCCACCCTGAATGCAACTAGTTTGGGTTTATACAAGTCAGAGAAGGTATTTTCTGGTGATAACTGTGTCTCTGAAGGAATGATTGACAGGGCAGCCATCTTCCCACCCTCAACGTCTCGGGCTCAGGCCTCATCAAAGCAGTGATGGCCCCCTCCTTAGAACCCAGAGATGTTTGACTTCGCCATGGGATGTGTTGACCAAATAAAAGTTGAAACATCATCAAAATGGGACCACACGTCTCAACACACAGGCACCTCCCTGCCCGTCAGGGAAACCATGTCAGGCCAGGAGGACAATTCTGACATCATGTGGATTACCAACTGAGGTTGACAGGAAAGAAAGAACCATGAGTTCATAGTCAGGTCTGTGAAGTTTTTGACTTGAAAGCAAGACAGATAAAATGGTCTAAAATCTTGTGTTTGGAAAGATGAAAGTTCTATTAAAAATGTTATTTTCTCGCAGACGTACAATATTACAAGTAATCAGATTATGCCTAGACTTTCATTGTGGTGGTATCTTGGGTGTTTGCATATGACCAAACTCATCAGATTGTACACAGCTCTTTGTATATCAAGTATATATCAATAAAGCTGTTAAAAAAAAATATACCTGCTCAGAAAAGCCAGAACAACACCCCCCACCCACCAGCTCACCCACCACATGTTCCTTCCCAGCACCAAGAAAAGAGTCACAGGCAAGAGGGCTCCAGATTTAGGTCTTTGGTTCTCAGCCCTGCCGTGTACTGAAATCTCCTGAGGAGTGTGTCCCAGCCAGCAGGCACGGGTGTTTTTAAAGCTGCTGGACAGTTCTGACGTGAGCCTGTGCTGAGAGCCACTACTTTCCACAGCACTCCTCACAGGTGTTTCTTGAGGCTGCTGGAGTTCTGCCTGAACCACCTCCTGGTTTGAGTTTTATCCACATGTATGGGCTGGGACTTCTGCTGCCTCATTCAAATGAGAGAGCTTTCCTGGGGTAGGTTGGATTCCTAAAGGCAAAGCCAGGATATGACCCAGGAGGTTATGCCATATTAAGGCTGGAAATGCATAAGTGTATTAAGTAATATTATAAAGAAGCTTGTGGGGCCGGGCACAGTGGCTCAAAGTGCCTGTGATCCCAGCAGTTTGAGAAGCTGAGGTGGGCAGATCACCTGAGTTTGGGAGTTCTAGACCAGCCTGACCAACATGGGTAAACCCCGTCTCTACTAAAAATACAAAAATTAGCCAGGCATGGCGGCGCACACCTGTAATCCCAGCTACTTGGGAGGCTGAGGCAGGAGAATCTCTTGAACCTGGGAGGCAGAGGCTGCAGTGAACCAAGATCGCACCATTGAACTTCAGCCTGGGCAACAAGAGCGAAGCTCCATCTCAAAAAAAAAAGAAGCTTGTGGCTGGGTGCAGTGGCTCATGCATGTAATCCCAGCACTTTAGGAGGCCAAGACAGGCGGATCACCTGAGGTCAGGAGTTTGAGACCAGCCTGGCCAACATGGCGAAACCCCGTCTCTACCAAAAATATAAAAAATTAGCTGGGCGTGGGGGCGCACACCTGTAATCCCAGCTTCTCGAGAGGCTGAGGCAGGAAAATCACTTGAACCCAAGAGGTGGAGGTTGCAGTGAGCCGAGATCGTGCCACTGCACTCCAGCCTGGGCCACAAGAGCAAAACTCCATCTCAAAAAATGGTGATGAGTAATACATTTTTGCGTAATAGACTTATCATTGGGAGAGATGAGTGTGAGGCAGTGATGTCATCTGAAAGGGAAGTGAGCTTGCAAGAGTTAGTGGGAGAATGTCCTGATGATCACAGATGACTTGTCTAGGAGGGAAGAGGCAGGAATGCCCTGGGCACCAGTGTGCCCAGAGACAAACAGCCCACCAGGCTGAGATTTTTAGAAGGACCTGGGTGAGAGATGGGAGGTGGGCTTGTCAGGACAGTCGCCAGAGCAATGGGGACCTCTCGAAGGCGTCAGGAAATTATTAAAAGGGTGTTTTGTGCTCGATTGAAATTAATTTGGGTTTGCCTGTCTAAGGTCCTATTGGGTTGGTCTTTTATGGGACCGTGAGACGGGGCATCAGTGATCTGACACTGTCCTGTTTTAATAGAGATGTTTGATAGCATCTCTGCTGAGATCAGTAATAGTCCAGTTAGGTGGATTTGTAACTGTTATAATAGCTGTATTTATAAAATTATGATTAGTAAAATCTCAACATAGAAGAAATGTCTCTAATGGAATTCACCATTGACTTAATCATCAATACTTTAGCATTGACTTGAATGAAAATAGGGAAGGCTTGCAATGTTGATCATATGTACAAGTTCCTTCCCTCCCTCCCTCCCTCCCTCCCTCCCTCCCTCCCTCCCTCCCTCCCTCCCTTCCTTCCTTCCTTTTTTCCTTCTTTCCTTCCCCCTCTCTCTTTCTAAATTAAGGTACAATTCACCTACCATAAAATGCACGTGCCCATTTTTTTAATCCCGATGCTGAAACCGATCTGCTCCATCTGAGTAGAGAGCATCTGGCTGTGAGTTGGGCTGAGCTCATGGGCTGTCACCTTTCCGTCTTACCACGTCACCCTCCTTTTCTGCGCACTCCTAGAGTCCTTGCAGCTAAGCCAGGACTCACTTCGTGGTGCAACCTTCTTTCTTTCCCTTTGGTTTTCTTTCTGCAGGCAGACTGCTGGACTTTGGGAAGGTCTCAGGTTTTGGATTTCAGCTTCAGGGCATGGAAAGATTCCTCTTCATTTTCAGGCCCCAGTCTCGTCTCTCCCTGACCCGACTGTGGATTATTGCACGTGGCCATTCTAAGTCATGTGTGTGATTGTCACAGAGAGGAGGAGCAAAGTTGCCTGGGTGGCCTTCAGCAGTCCTGGGTCCCAGCAAAACTTGACTCATATCCTTCATGTCAGTGACAGAAAACTGGAAGGAATAGTGAATGCCTTGAGTGACAGAATGAGGATCCAAAGGCTCTTGACAGGATAAAAGTAATGGGCCAGATTGCATAAGTTTACCCTTTTTATGGATAAGCATAAGGTCCTATATTTGGGTCCCAGACTGTACTGCATCCGTACAGCATGAGAAGACAGAACTTACTGAGAAGAACTTGGAAGTTTTGATGGAAGGTTTATTAGGATTTGGCTGTGTCACAGTTGTTAAAAAGGTTAATCCTGCCTGAAGCTCCAATAAGTGTGGAAATGAGAGTAAACTGGGATTCTTCCTAATAAAGAGAAACCATAATTTTGCCCAAGCTAGGCATTGTTTCCTGGAGAAGAGAAGGCTTGGGAAAATATGCGAGTCCTTTTGGACATTGGAAAGAAAGACTGGCTGTGTGAGTCATGAATCAGCCTAGTGGGGCCTGCCTTGGATTCTGCACAAGGAACAGTGCCCATGGTCATGGAAGGCACTTGCCCTGGGGCCTTGCTGCAGGGAGTGGCAGCGTCTGCCTGGGCAGGTTGGAGGGGAAGGTCAGTCACTGAATGGTCGGGTGGATTCCTTGATCCAGGTGAGGCACAGAGCTCTGCAGTCCTTACAAGGAGATTTGCTGGGGCACTGGGTGGCTAAGGACCGAGTCTTCCTCTGCTCCCCCAGAGGCTCATGTATCCTTTGGAGTTTTCTGCTGAAACTTTATAGGGTTCTGTGTTTAGTTTCTCTGGAGAGCCCAATTTCTCATAGGTAGCTAATTCGAAGGCCAGTGATAAGCCTGAATGTACTTCCTGCTTCTAAATTGGGAAGCCTCCTTCAAGTATGTGCTGCGGGCTCAGCTCTGTGGAGAATGCAGGTAATAATGAGTAGTGTAAAAAGCAGGGTTAGCTGGCAGGGGCAGTGTGATTGAGGAGAACAGACCAGCTGTCAAATTGAGAGACTGGGACTGGATGGGAGAAAGGAGCTGTTGTACCAGCAAGTGCTTAGTGAAGAGAAAGGTTTGCTGAGGGTTAATCCTGCAGGCAGGAGAAAGGATTGGATTCTCGAACTCCCCAAAAAAGTTACAGTCCCCACCAACTCTATCTCCAGACCCGCACCCTGAATATTTTACTCCGACTTTAGCTGCTCCACCAGATGCAGAGATGATTTTTCTATAAATCCTTTTAAATACAATTACTGCTAAAGTGGTGCTTAAGTTCAGGCTGCTGTAACAGCAATACCAGAGGCTGTGGGGCTTAAACAATGTGTGTTTATTTCTCACAGCTCTGGAGGCTGGAAGTCCAAGACCAAGGTTCCGTCAGCTCTGGTGTCTGTTGAGGGCTCTGTCCGTGGTTCGTAGGCACTGTCTTGTTCCATCCTCACGTGGTGGGGAGTGGAGCAAGCAGCAAGCCCTCTTCATGGCTCTTCTTACAGAGACCCCCAACCCTGTCACGAGGGCTTCACCTTGGTAACCGGATCACCTTCCAAAAGCCCCACCTTTTAACACCATCCCATTGCGGGGTAGCCTTTCAACACACCGGTCTAGGGGAGACACTTTCCATCCATAGCAACAACACATGGAAAGGTTTACAAACTGACTTTTGGCTTTTTTTCTTTTTTACATAGAAAGATTTTGTGACTTTACTAACACTGAACATTCCTTGACCTAGTATGTTATCCTTTCCTTCTCGTGAGATTTATGTAACCCAAAGGCTAAGAATTAAATGTGTCCAGTGGCCATACCCTCTTTCCTCCTGTGCAGGACTAAGCATAACACATGCTTCCTTCTTAGGCTCCAAAAACTCCCACAGCGACCACCTGTTGTTTGCATTTGTTTGTTGCTCTGACACCTGTCTAAATCGTGGCCCGTAGACTCTCAGACATACATTTCCTTTTACATGACGAATCCCAGGGACCGCAGGTCCTATCATTGAGATAAAAGGCAGGCACCCTTTTATCTCTATAATATACCTAATTACCTGTCAGCAGCTGCTCAGAGTGGACTACCCATTCTCTGACCTCAGCAGAAATCTACATTTGTATCCAGGGGTACAGTAAGGAATACTTGGCTAACAGGCAGTAAGTCCAGGGGCCCATGTCTGCTGCTATACGTGATCTTTTCATTCTTTTGAAGTATCATGTGTATTTCAGAGTCTCAGGACTATAATTAGATATGCTGTGGAGCGGATTTAGTTAAGAGTAATGTTTCTTCCTTTCTATGGCAAGTCTGACAGTTTATACATCTGGCACACAGAGAAGAACGAGATGAAAAACCCTTGCTGTTTTCTCCATCCTGATCTGTTCTGCAAAGGTGTAGTCTTGCGACGTCCTTGGGAGCAGCATTGCCATTCTGAGGCTTAGGGCAGTAGGAGTATTTGACTTGATGCATCCATGATAGGCATCTTCAGTGTGCTCGACTGCCTGGTAATGTTTACTACTTTAATTAAGCTCAGTGTTGCAGTGAATATCTCTTTGTAATTGCAGCTCTTTGGAACATCAGCAGGTGTGTGTGCTTAGGGCCCCAATTTACCAGCAGCTTCAAAAGGAAGAAAGCAGCAGACAGAAAAGGGGTAACAGTGTCAGCACCTGGGTAATTGTGTGCTCCTTCGAGTAGCTGGGGCCTGCCAGCATCCACAATGGGAGCCGGGCCAGCGCCGCAGATGAGCCGCAAGAATGCGGAGAGTGAATGGGTCTTCAGCTCATGGAAGGAGCATAAAGGGTTCCTGTGTTTTGAGAGAAGAAAGAGATAATCAGTTGACAGCGTGTATTTGCTGCTGGTGTTCCAAATTTGGATTCTGAAAAGTGAGCTAGAGCACATAGATGTTGTATCTTGCCAACAAAGAGGAACTTGTAATCCGTTATACTCCAAATATTCTAGGACGGGTATGTTCTCAGGCTGAGGGGTGTATGTGTGTTAATTCTGGACGAGGGCTCTACATATGTCTGAAAGCTGGTAGTCTGCTCTCTCCAGCATGGGAAATAGAATGCCATAGGGCTTAGGTTTCCAGGCAGCAAATGCTTCCTTACAAGTGTAAAGCTGAAAGGGAAGCATTTTAGCAAATTCAGCTCATGAAAAATGATTCAGTCACTAAATTTATTAGTGTATACCTGCTTTCCTCTTTTATATCAAGTGCATGGCTGCCAGCATTGGAGGGACCCAAGTATTAATACCTCTTAAGCATTGGCTGTGCTCAGAGCTAGAGCACAGATATAAGAGCTGTTACAGTCTGGAGTAAAACCCGAGAGAGAGACACACAGGAGCATCTTGGTGGCAGAGGGTGGTGGAGCAATGGGAGGGAACTAGCAGGAGCTCAGAGGATCATGGCCAGTTCCCCCTAAGCTGCAGGTGTATGTCGTCTCTGTTCTGCACCCCCCTTATTCCCCTCCCTCACCATCAGCACGTGCAGAGGAGGCTGTTCATGGCTAGGCAGTGAGCTGAGTGTCCAATTTGAGAGGGTATTCATGAGTGTTGTATCTTCTAGAATTTGATCACTTGAGGACAATATATAGTAGAATTAGGCGTAAAAATGGTAAGAGCCATTTGACTAAAGCCATTGCCACCTAGACAGAAGACAAGGACCGAAAGACCTTAGCCCAGCACTGTTAACAGCAGAAAGTGACCTTACAGTCAGGGAGACCTGAGCCTGAGGGCCACCCAGAATCTTCCACGAGGATGAATGGAGCCAGTCCTGGACACACCAGAAGACTGAGCCTGTCCACTTTTAACTTGGGGCTTCCCTGGCAGCAGCTGTGAAGAAGTGTGCCTTATGTCACAGCCTGGCACACATAGATTTTTGTGCATGTGTGTGGATGTCTGCTGAAAACAGCTAATGTTGTGGGGGCATCCGCCATTCACTACAAATCGACGCCGTCCTTTCACCTCATATCGCATCTTTATTATATGTCTCTATGATTAAGTTACCTGCTAATTGTAGCGCATTGCTGACATCATATGATACAGGTTTTTCTGGAAATCTTTCTGGTCAGTATGCAGTTCCAAGCTGAACAAAGAACCATGCAAGCACCATTAAAGAGTGGTTGCTGAGTTCCTGTCTGTGGGTCCTGTCTCAGGGACCTCCTGTCATTTGCCCAAGGGTCTGTTTTTTTCACATTGTCTCTGTTACCATGGTCTTTGAAATTTCCACAGCAGGTTATAAAAGCAGGGCCAAAGAAGAATAGGAAAATCAAGTGGGGATAGAGAAGGTGACCCTTTGGTCATGAAAGGCTCCATGTTACTGGAGAGGCAGCATCTGTGCAAAATGCTTTCCTGAAATGCTGGCCAAGTCCACTCTTCGCTTCTGCAGACAGTGACCTGGGCTGGAGGTGCAACATCTCTAACGTCTTGCTTCTAAGCTTATTTCAAACATGGCACTAATAATACTTTATCTTGTATGTGGATGTTTTGAAAATTAACAAGACGTTTGTGAAGCATTTAGCCTGGTGTAAGATAAGAAGTGCTCATAACCTGTAAGCTGTGTTCTTCTTGACTCTGTGGCTGTGTAGTAAATCACTATAAACGTAGCAGACTGAAACAGCACACCCTTATTACTGCAGAGCTCTGTAGATCTCAAGTCTGGGAAAGCACATTTGGGTTCTGGGCTCAGGGCCACCTCACAAGGCTGAGATTAAGCAGTGGGCTGCACTGCATTCTCACCTGGAGCTTGGAGTCCTCCGAATTGATTTGGGTTGTTGGCAGAATTCGGTTTCTTGTGGTTGTAGGATTGAGGTCCTGCTGGGATTGCTGTTGGTGCCTGCAGACCACACTCAGTCCTGGCTACATGGCCCTCTCACGTGGCTGCTATTAATACTATTTCAAAGCCAGCAGGAGAATCTCCAGTCTGCAAGGGCAGAGACTTAGATAACACACCATCTCGTTGAATGTTCTGTGATTGTGGGAGTGGCCATCTGGTATTCACAGGGTCCTGCCCACTGAAGAGGAGGGGATTATGCAGGGTGGGTTCTCTGAGGGGTGCAATTCTTCGGGCCATGGTTGCATTCTGCCTTCCACACTCCTAAACTCACCATGAACCTCACTGGAGTGCTGAGGACGCCTGTCTTTGCACATTCGTGAGAGGAAACGGTCCCACCTCTTTTAGTTTACAGTTAATTGTCTGAACTCCATCCACCCTAAAAGCAAGAAGTCCTTCATCTCCCTCGACTGCTCCCTTCTCTTCCACACACACAGGCACACACACATTGATCAACCGACACCAGTGAGATTCTAGGGGAAGGCCTCGGAGAATTGCAGAAGGTACTGTTTGTGCAGGGCGCTGGCCTGCAGAAACAGCCAGACCAGGTGTCTCACTCCCCCTCACACCCTGTGCTCCTGCACTCATCTCCAGCATGCAGCCGTGGAACCAGGGGTACCAGCATTCCCCCGTCCCGAGCACTGAGACCCTGTGTCAGCTTCCCTCATTGGCAGACTGGATTCCTGCGTGCTCTCTTTTCAGACGTCACCTCCTGCACATGTCCTCCCTGAGCACCCTGCTGCCTCGTGCTCTCAACCTGCCGGTGCCGGCTCCATTTTTCACCACAGAAGAACTTATTACTGTCTAACACAGTTTATGTTTTCTCGTTTACTATTTTCTCCCCCTTCTAGAGAGAAAGCTCCTCCCCAGCAGGGGTTTCCTCTGGGTTTTCCCTGCTCCACCCTCAGGAAAGCACAGAGCAGGCTCCTAGTAGCCCCTTGGTGGATGCATGGAGTGTCAGGAGTGCAAGTGGCACGATCTTGGCTCACTGCAACCTCTGCCTCCTGGGTTCAAGCAGTTCTTCTACCTCAGTTCCCTGAGTAGCCGGGACTACAGGTGCACACACTATGCCCAGCTAATTTTTGTATTTTTAGTAGAGACAGGGTTTCACCATGTTGGCCAGGCTGGTCTCGAACTCCTGACCTCAAGTGGTCCACCTGCCTTGGCCTCCCAAAGTGCTGAGATTACAGGTGTGAGCCACTGCACCCGGCCAGGACCAGCAACATTCTTGAGCACTCATTTAGGTAACTCTCAGTGGGAGCCAATGGGAGCATTTCATGGAAATCACAACACTTTGGGTACTGGGTAGGGATTCATGTTCATGGGCCAGGGGAAGACTGTACATGAATGCTGCCATATTGTCTGTGGAATGGCGTGGGGGTGGAGTGGGGAGGGAGTGTCTCTCAGCCCAGTTTGTCCTTGAAACAATAGAGGATTTAGCTGCCGTTGGGTGCGGGGTGTTTACAAAGAGGCAGCACCACCTCCAGGAGCTTTGGGCCTACTGGGTGCACAACCAGGGAAGAGCAGCTTTGGAGCTTGGGTCTGCTGAGTTCCAGGCCGCTGTTATCTCACTTTGCATCTTAACTAGTTTTCTACACATACTTCTACATAAAACAAGCCTATTTGTACTGCAATAATCTACACATTCAGTGCCCAAGACCTTAGGCTGAATTGTATATTTCTCCCAGGTACTTTTTTTTAAAGGAAAAAAACTGGCAGGAACCTAGATCACAATTAGGTAATGGTTTAATATTGTAGAGAAGTGGCCCTCCCCACATCCCTGCCAATCCATTGCTGCTTGGGCTCGAAACGCTCTAGTGAAAACTTCTCTGTAAAACGGAAGGGTTTGCACTTTCATGGCATCTTCTCTCTTCAAGGAGGACGTGGGGTTGGGGCAGGGCAGGGATGTCGAGGGCACCGAGTGCCTCACCTGAGTGCCTCACCTGCCCATGCTCAGGCAGCTCTCTGGGAACAGCTTCTGAGCACACCCCTGAGAGCTGTGGCCTGCCAGGGGCCCGGAAACCTCAGACACGTTGGGGGATGAGGGGAGGGAGGCAGCGTGAGCAGTGATAGTGCCATCAGCACTTTATATGGTGAGAAAGGCCTTAAAACTTAAGTCAGTACTGTGCAGGGCCCCTGCAGTTCCACTCATTTTGCTGATGGAGAAACTGAGACTCGCCAGAAGTCCCCACAACTAGTAAGTGGCAGGACCAGGACCACACCTGCAATTTATCTAACTCCACAGCCTCTGCTTTTAGCCTCAGTGGATGTGGTGGGGTATTTCCATCTTTTCCCCGTAGTCGGGGACTGAAGACAGCAGGGATGAGCACCACGTGGGTGCTGGGCTCCTGTGGAGCCTCCTCCCAGCAGCAGTCCTGGTAGGCTTAATGTCTGTCTTTGGTTGTGCCACCTCCCGGAAGGAATCCATTGGATTTGGCACACAGGATGCTTGTTAAATGCAGGGCTTTGCATCACCCTGACTGTGCCCACCTCAGCACCTTGCTTTGGGCCACAGGCTGATGTCATTCTGCTCTGCTGGTTCTGTGAAATGCAGTGGAGGCAGTTCTGTCCTTTTTGCTCTTACTGATTTCTTCCTTCAAGAATGATTACATTGAAGCCCAGCCTGGGCCGCATGGCTGGTCCGGTGGCTGCTTCCAATTCAGTGCTGACCAGCCTGTGCCTCTCTCCACAGATGCCGCTCCTACGAGGACTGCTGTGGCTCCAGGTGCTGTGTGCGGGCCCTCTCCATACAGAGGCTGTGGTACTTCTGGTAGGTCACAACTCCTCCTTGTTCCCTACCCCGAGAGCTCTGCCCCCCCCCCCCCCCCATCAGTGTTGTCACAGCCTTGGATGCGACACCTTCACTTGGGTGGTGGCCTCAAGGACAGCCTTGGTCAGGAAAATGGGTATGTTTGGGTTGGCTTCATGACCGGCAGTTGCACGCATGGGGTTTGTGGGAAGCCTGTTTTTGTTTTCACGGATTTTGGAGTGGGAAGAAGAGCTCTGCTTCTGGTAAGGTGGCTGGACAACAGCCTCATCCTTCAGCAGCTCCTCGGCCAGTTTCTGAAATGGAGCCAAGGCTGATTGTCTTGAAGAATCAGAAAATCACCCAACTGAGACTGGCAGGCGATCGAGTTTTCATTGTCCAGACTCTTCCCCATCCATCTTGTGTTGGCTGACTCTTCGCTTTCAAGATAGGCAGCCTGCACCCAGCTGCCTCCAGCTCCTCTGGGGCGCATACGGAGCAGTCCAAAGTCTGCTCCTTGAGTAGGAACTGGTTCCATGCCTGCAGCATCCTGGAAGGGTGGGAGCACATTCCATGGGGGGAGCCTCCTGTGGGCGGGAGCCTCAGGACGCCTGCTGGAGTGCCCCGAGCATCTGTTAGACTCTGGAGATGACAGGTATTGCTTCAGATGAGAGGGTGGCAGAGCACGTGTGGGAAAGGATTTATAAACCAAAGCAGCATTTCTTGTACCCACCTGCTCTTCTTCTCCCATGCAGTGGTGATGCCCTTCAGTGAACTTCAAAAAAGTTTAGAGTTTGCTCTCTGCATGATGCAAGCTTTTTTATGATGTTAAGATTTTGACTTTACTGACCTTTTGAGGCTTTAAGACCTTACTGAGCATGTGACAGCAGCCACCTGAATTTTTATGCGGTTTTATCTTTCTCCCTTAACACCTGTGCCCAGGGTTTGATTAGGGAAGCCTATAGGGAGTGGGGACTCCACGTGTTGGGTGACGAGGATGTTCTTTAATAGTGATGCCTTCTTTCATCATCACCTCACCACCTCCTTGGCCTCACCTGACCTTACAGCTGCTGGCCAGGCCTCCCTTAGGACCAGCCCGGTAAGCCCCACCTAGGTGTACCCCCCTAACAAGGGAGCTGGTGTCAGGTCCCCACACTGCAGAGGTGCCATTTCCTAAAACTCTGTAACAGAAGAATAATTGTTGTAGCCTAAGACTGTTCAAAGGTTAACGGCTCTGTGTGCATCTCCAGATTGAGGGGGCCAGTACCAGAGACGGGGAGGGCCCAGTGTCAGGGGCAAGACCCAGCTTCAGGGCAGGCCTTGCTCCGGAGCCTCCTCCTGGGACCTTGGAGTGGAAGGAGGCGGACCGTCTGGAGTGTGAAACCCTGAACTGTGAACGGGCTTGTAAGGATTTTGGGTTGGTCTAAAGCACTAGATGAATGATGATGAGGGCGTGAGAATGCTTGTAAAAAATGAAAAAGCTGGTCAGCGTTCAGGCATTGGATGATCAAAAAGAAGAGAAGTTTGAGAAAGTCCAGCTGAACTTTTAGGGCCTGGCAGCTTCTGTGGAGCTGCCCAGAAGCTGTAGCTGCACTGGCAGCCAGGTGCTTCCTAGCTGCTGGCCAGGGTCACCTGTCAGAGGCAGGACACCTTGGCGAGGCAGCACACGACGACTTGGTGGGCCCCATTTGGAGAAGCTCCCACAAGTCCCATTGCATAAGGTCAGGCTGTTGGAAGATCTGAGTGCCAGATGCCAGAAGATGGGGCTGAGTCATTAATGTTGAGATTCCGACACAGGGTTCCAAGCTGGCGTTGTAGCCAGGGAGCACCTGGGGGTGTGAGCTTACAGTGCCCCACCCGAAATACAAAGGGCACCTGGGTTCACCCCATGCATTTTCTCTCTCAATCAACATCGGGTCTGATATACACCAGGCATTGTGCTGGGGTTTTATGGAGAGGCTTTAGGCAGGCAGACTCCTGAAGAAGATGATGTCTAAGCAGATAATGAGGTGTGGATACTTTCAAGCCAGAGCACAGAACTTCTGAAGCCAGAAAAGTTGGAGAAAGCTACAAAGCTTTTGACTGGGTCGTCAGAGAGGGCGTTTGGGGCAGAGGGACAGCACCTTGCAGGGCCAGAGTGTAAGAAGAGTGGATGTGTTAAAAGGTGATGGGAAGCTTCTGTGGTGAGGATGAGCATTTGGTGGACAGGAGTGGCGGCAGGATGGGAGGGAGGGGCTGCTCTGCTGCCTGGGCCCCACAACGTTTGAAGGTGTCTCCTGACCATAAAACAAAGGTTTTGAAAGAGAATGCCTTCAGAGTTCCTGCCAACTCCAAGATCTTGAGGATCTTTTCACCAAGGAGGTCTGGATGGAATCAAGAGTAGAGAAGGTGGACCGATGGCACCCTTGAGTGGACTCAGAAAGCACAGTGGGCCCGAGTGAGAACTAGCCTAGGTGGCACTGTGGGTGAGTCCACAGCAGGGTCCCATGCGGAGTCCTGAGTGGGGTCTGGGCAGGGCTTGCACAGTAGCTGCACCAGTCCTTGGGACTGCAGAATTGAGAACTGCTACACTCGGGGCTGGGGGGTCGGGGGGAGGAATCAAAAAACAAATTGAATTAAAGTAACCAGGTAACTTCTAATGTTAAAAAAAAGGCACAAACCTTCCTCTCTTAATCCCTTTGAAAGCTTCCAAAACCTGCTGAGCAACCAAAGAGGACATCTAGGGAACAGCCAGCCCGTACCCCCAGCACTGCAAGAACTGCCTTTCTTACTACTACTCCTCTCTCCCAGCCAACACCCTGCTTCGTCTCTTTCCTTGTTTTTAGAAGCGCTTTCTCCTGCCCCTTTGTTAGTTTCTCTCTTTTAAAATAAGTTCTTGGCCTAGCACAATGGTGCACTTTGGGAGGCCAAGGTGGGAGGATCACTGAAGCCAGGAATTTGAGATCACTCGGCAACATAGTGAGACTCCGTCTCTACCAAAAATTATTTTAAATAAATTTTTAAAATAAACATAAATGAACAGAATAAGTTATCAGACTATGATTTCAGTAAGGGATGAAGTGGATCCCGTGTAACTCCATTCCAGCCTCGCCTTATGCTTGCTCACCATTAGTCTAAGGTGGGAGCTGCAATGTCATTTCCTTTTGTGTAGAAAAACAAAATGTTCTTACTACTGTTGGCAGTGGAACCGACATTTTAGCTTATTTTTTAGACAAGACTAAGATCTCAGGTGCCTTCTGCATTTTTCAATCCAGCGAGCCTGGTCTCTTGGAAGTGGCCAGTGGCTCTGAGAAAGTAAACCCTGTACACATCCAGCCTCTCTGTGCTTTGTATATTTCTACCCAGATACTAACAGCAGGACTCAGTGCTGAGTGTAAGACTGTCACTGAGCCCACCTGAGGGAAATCGGTTTTAGGAGAGGAAGCCGTTCCCTTTGGGAACTTAGTGAGTGTTCTTGATGCCGAGCACATTAAGCCTTACATCACCACACTCCTGAACGGTTTGGGTCTCCGGGCTCCCCATGGCCGCTCCCTCCGCCCATCATGGGGACTGAGCCTCCAGGCCTCCTGCTCCCACCTTCTCCGGCCCCAGTACCTGCTCTGTGTTCTTTCCACCCAGAATGCCCCTTCTTCCCCTTCAGCTTGTCTCTTCTCATTCTTCAGAGCCCAGCCCAGCTGTCACTAAAAGAAATGCAGTGTTCCCAGTCTTGCTCACCACCACAGATACCCTTGTTCAAACCTCTTGGTGCACTGAATTATACACTTAAAAATGATTAAAATAGTAAATTATATTTATGTATATTTTACCCAATCACACACACAGTATTCTTCTTGCATCGCTCATTTTTCTTTTTTAGCACTTACCAGGTTGTAGATAAATAATTGTAAAAGTTGGTATCTGTCTCCCTCCTCTGTAAGCTCAGTGTTGGCGGGGTCGGGGGGCCCCTCACCTGTCTACTCATTGCTGTGATCAGTATGGTGACAGGGCATAGCAGGCACCTGAAGATGACTTGCTGAATGAATAATGAATTAGACGGCAGATGACAAAGGCCACAGTTTCAGTCTTTCCTGAGTCATTCCTGTCTCGTGCCTCTGGCTTTTCTCCCTGCTCAGCCTTCCAAGATTATCCAGTAAATACTTTTGGACTGGCTGAAGGCCTTGACATCACATTAATATTCTCAAAGGCTTTATCGTACGCTCTTAAGAGCTTCTTTTATATGTGGACCAGTGCCACTGACTGCGACCCGCTCTGCTGTGTGCCCATCCTCACAGGGCAGCAGGTGCCCTCACCGTGTGGGTGTCTGCATGGCTTCTGGACAGTTCCATGGGTCCCCTCATAATTTCAGTTCAGAGATGGGCAAGAGTTTGCCAGTTTGCCAGTTTTGTCTACTACTAGTTCTTCTCAAAGTGACTCTCCTCTTTTTCTAGAAACAAAAAGTATGGTGCAAGTGAGGA